>NC_000006.12:73898261-76398261 GCF_000001405.40 Homo sapiens
GTGAGATGATATTGTTTTCTGTTTAGGTTTAAAACTTAGCATATAGCCAATGTCTTACCATTTCATGATTTATTCTTCCACAGTACAGTTTCCTGTTCTTGGATACTTAGAATGGCTCAAAGCCCACTTTTATAAATAGTTTAGTGCATTAGTTAAGGTGCGTTCAGTGGCAAGCACCAGAAAACTTGATTTATAGGAAAACGCTTGATTGACATAGAAGAATGAGGATCTGGGAATGGGGTTACCTTTACCTGACTCACATGGAGGAAAGAGTAACATCTGTAAGGAAGAAGGAAAAATAGACTTTGACTAGACATCCAGCACTACTATAACAGAATTAACTTCAAATTATTAGCTCCCAGTGAATGTGCCAACATTCTTGCATTTGTGTGATGGATCTAGAGTAGGCAATATCAGATCTTCTCTGATAAGAAAAGCACTATGGAAGAGAGCCGTTTTCTACCTACTTTTGTCCTTCCTGCTTGGAATGCTGAGAGCATGATTCTCAGATCTGTTGCAGCCACCCTGTGGTCATGAGTGAAGACACTGTTGTGCTGAGGATGGTAGATGGGAAGAGAGGAACGAGCCAGAGTCTTAGTCAACATTGTTGACTTAGTGAATCCACTTGGGACCATCTATCTCTATTTGTAAACAGTAAATGCCCTCATGGTTTTAGCCATCATTAGTTGTGTATTCTGTTACCTGCGGACAGATATATCCTAAATGAAATAGAATTTGTCTAATAACTAAATTAAAGGAGATTTTCTCCAATTCCTATCTTGACTTTATGTTTTTAGTAATACCAAATAAAACATCAGCTAATCCTGACAAATACAAATGTATGAATTAATTTTTTTACTATATTTTCACTTCTCTTCCAGACACCCCATTGTGGCATAGATAGACATGCTTTTCTGAAGAATGCGTTGGGCCAGTGTTCTAGAACCTCTGTTTCAAAATAATGCAAACTAGAATGACATTTCAAAACCTTACTTTTGTCATACAATTGCTGATATAAACAAATAGAATGTTCAAACACATAGTAAAACACACTGTTTATATCAGTCTTTTTTAATAAGAGGAATTGTATTTTCACCTGACACATTTTTGTAAGTTGGTGTATATCTCCTGATGTTTTTACAAAGTCTGACATGGAATATCTGTTTCAAAGTCCATACTACAACACTTTAAGTCATTAGTTTGAGTTCTAGGATTGGCAAGACTGCACTTCATAAATTTTGTGAATGTTCAGACCTTTGATAGGAGGAAGGGAGCTAGAATTTGGAAAATTGAATTTTGAACTAGAATAGGAAGTCTGGTGAGTTAAGAATTTCAGTTGTGTATTTCATGGAACAAGAGACAGTTCAGTTGCTTACTGAATACAACCAATATTTATTTCTGAGTACAAGAAAATATAGATAGTATGTATATGATTAGAGTTGTTTTCTATCTTTCTTAATACTCTTTTTATATTTCTCCAGATGTTCTTAGTGTCAGGATAATTTGTTTCCTTCCTGTGTTTACAAATATGCAAAAGTTAAACCTTAGTATTTTTTGAACTTAAAAAAAATTTCAAAATATTCTCTCTAAGCTAGTTTTTATTCTGATTTTGTTAACTTCACAGTGATAGAAATAATGTATCTGAAAAATCGCTCCCAGGTATTGTGTTTTAGGCAAAGGCCAGCAAAGCAAGCACCAGCCTAATGATAGGTTTTCCAGATAACTTTGAACAACTGAAACATGTTAGTTTTAAAGGACATTTTAAACAGTTCTCTTGTGGAATTTATGGCTTCTGATGCAATTTTACACTGTTCATACTTTTAAAATAAAGTACTATTAAGGCCATAAAAGTGTCTAGGACACACAAAACAGAAACTTTGAATGATGTTGAAGGCAGATTCTAAGATGACCTCCAATGACTCTTACCCTTGTCTGATCCCCTCTCATATAAGTGTGGGTGAAACCTATGACTATAATGAGAAATTACTCTCATGATATGTTATATGACAAAAGAAAGATTATCTGTGGGAGGAGGCTTGAAGACCCCTGTTTAGAGGCATTTTATAACTTCCTCCTTTACTAAGAACCAAAATTGTGAGTTACATAATCACACTTTGAATAGATAATCCAAAAGAGAAAACTAGAATTCAAAAGAAAAGTGACAGGAAATACCTAAAGCAAGGAAGGAAAAGGAAGCAAGGCAGCCTGCTCAGCCAGGATCATCTGGGAGCCAAGAGTCTTCCCAATACAGGGAAAGGGGAAGTGAAGAACCCTTAGTGGTACACATTTCCTCAACAAACTCCTGCATTCCTAGCCATGGGAGAGCCTGTCGACCCTTGCAGGTCCTGAAACTAACAGAGAGCTACCAAGAAATTGTAGGATAAAACTGTCGAAAGAGTGAGCTCATATTGGGTCCCACACATTCCCTGAGACCTAAGCAGCTACAGCAAGCCTCCAATTTAGAGCTCTACCCACAGCAGACTGCATACTGTCTGGAAGCCTAGCAGCACTAGGGCTGAGGCACAAGAGAAGCATGGCTGCTGCCCCTAAGGCTTAGATGTGAGTGACTGCAGGCTACTGCAGCAGGGGCTGAGGCATGGCCAATGCATGGGCTAAAAATGTTGGGCCTAAGGTGTTAATGGGGTGCTGCATATCAAGCAGTGGCTAAGGCATGAACACACTGGGGCTAAGGCATGAGAGGTGCACATGTTCCTTACCAGCCAGCCTAGGCTGCCTGCCACTGAAGGCAGTACCACTCTCCCCAGTGGAAGGGTAGCAGTGTGGTCACTGTCACCTCTCACTTGAGCATCCTGCCAATGACCTGGGGATTTTCTACCCCTGCCTACCACAGCACAGACCACTGGGGTGCCTGAGAATAAACCTGCCCAGCCTAGCTTTGCTTCTCAATGCCAGAGCACATAGTCTAAGGGCTAAGAGATTGCCCAGTTTCATCTACTTCCATTGGCATCAGAACAATCCTCCTGGGGATGTGAGGTTGGGCCTCCCCACCCAGATGCTATATCACAGTTGGCACTTACCTGCACATGCCTCTTGCAGGCCTGGAGACAGGCACACTCAGCCTGTCTAAGCCAACACCAACACCAGCATACTTCCCAGGAACCAGAGGGTCATCTCAATACTGCCTTTACCATCATCCATACCATGCTAGCCTCCCAGTGGCCCAATAACTTATCCTTCTTTCCAACCTGCTGCTGCTACCAGCATCTGAGTAAGACACCTGGAGGCCCAAGAATCAGCTTGCTTGGACACACTAACTCCAGGTACCAGCATATCCCTTCTGGGTCCTGGGGACAGGCAAGCTCAGCTCACCACTGACACCATTGGGGCCTGAAGACTGGCCCAACTGGCATCCTAGTCCCCAGAAAAACTTCACCACAGCTTCCACTAATAACTGCATCCTAAGCCACTGAGGAAATCACAGATATCACTGATGTTATTATCTGAAGAAATCACACAGAGACTACATTCCTGCATGCACCCAGAATTGAAGCCAAAGTGCCCTCCTTAACCAACATCATAGATTCATCTCCAGGAAATAGTCCCTTCATATGAAAGTAATTCAAAAAATTTGAAGAAGCAATGGTTACACCAGATGAAGAGATATCAATATTAGTACACTGGAAGCATAAAAAAACAAGGGACATGACATCTCCAAAGGAACATAAAAATTCTCTAGCAACAGATTGCAACCAAAAATAAATTCGCAAAATCCCAGAAAAAGAATTCAACTTACTGATTCTAAAGAAGCTCATTGAGATACTAGATAATTTTGAAAAATAATAAAAAGATATCAGAAAAACAATTCAGGATATGAATGAGAAATTTACAAAAGAGCTAGATATTATACAAAAGAACCAAATGGAAATTCTGAAACTGAAGAATTCATTGAATGAATACAAAATACATTTGAGAGCTGCAACAATAGACTAGGCTAAGCAGAAGAAAGAATCTCAGAAGTTGAAGACAATCTTTTGAAATAATCCAGTCAGATAAAAATAAAAAAGAAGAAAAAAGCAATAAGCAAAGCCTTTGTGACATATAGGGTACCATAAAGTGACCAAATATTCAGATTGTTGGGATTAAGAGGTTTTCACCAGAAGGTGAAGAGAGAATGAAAAGGTTAGAAAACCTCTTGACAAAATAATAGCTGAAAACTTCCCAAGTCTAGCAAGGTATTTAGACATAGAGATACAGGAGACTCAGAGATCCCCAAAAAGATACAATGCAAAAAGTTCTTCTCCATCACACATTATAATCAAACTGTCGAAAGTCAAAGACAAAGAGAGATTAAAAAAACAGCAAGAGAAAAACATCTAGTCACCTGTAAAGGAACTCCTATCAGACTAACTGTAAACTTCTCAGCACAAACCTTACCAGTCAGGAAAGAATGGGATAATATATATTCAAATTGCTAAAATAAAAAAAACTCTGCCAGCCGAGGAAACTATATCCAGTAAAATTATCCTTTATAAATAAAGGCCAAAAAGTCTTTCCCAGACAAGCTGAAGGAATTCACTACAAAAGCTGAAGGATTCACTACTACTAGACCAGCCCTATGAAAAATGTTTAAGGGAGTCTTAAATGTAGAAGTGAAAGGAAAAGATTTACTATCATGAAAACAAACAAAGTTAAAAAACTCACTGGTAAAGCAAACACACAAATGAAGACGAGAAAGGGCTCAATTGGTACCATTACAGAAAACTACTGAGAGGTGACAACGTGCTAGCAGCCCTGGCTCACTCTCAGCGCCTCCTCGGCCTTGGCGTCCACTCTGGCCATGCCTGAGGAGCCCTTCAGCTGGCTGCTGCACTGTGGGAGCCCCTCTCTGGGAGAGCAAGTTCAGAGCCAGCTTCCTCTCCTTGCGGGGAAGTGTGGAGGGAGAGGCACGGGTGGGAACTGGGGCTGCTCGTGGCACTCGTGGGCCAGCGTGAGTTCTGGGTGGGTGCAGGCTTGGAGTGCCCCACACTCGGAGCAGCTGGCTGGTGCCACTGGTCCTGGGCAGTGAGGGGCTTAGCATCCAGGCCAGCAGCTGGGGAGGGTGTGTGGGTTCCCCAGCACTGCCGGCCTGCCCGTGCCACACTTGAATACTTGTCGGGCCTCAGCCGCCTCTCCATGGGGCAGGGCTTGGGACCTGCAGCCGCCATGCCCGAGCCCCCCCCCCGGTGGCCTCCTGCATGGCCTGAGCCTCCCTGACAGGTGCCGTCCCCTGCTCCATGGAGCCCAGTCCCATCCACTGCCCAAGGGCTGAGGAGTGCAGGCATGTGGCACGGGACTGGAGGGCAGCGCCGCCCATGGCCCCAGTACCGGATCCACTAGGTGAAGCCAGCTGGGCTTCTGAGTTGGGTGGGGTCTTGGAGAACTTTTATGTCTAGCTGGAGGATTGTATATGCACCAATCAGCACTCTATGTCTAGCTCAGGGTCTGTTGATGAACCAGTCATCACTCTGTTTCTAGCTAATCTAGTGGGGACTTGGAGAACTTTTATGTCTAGCTAGAGGATTGTAAATGCACCAATTAGCACTCTGTGTCTAGCTCAGGGATTGTAAATACACCAATCAGCACCCTGTCAAAACAGACCAATCAGCTCTCTGTAAAGTGGACCAATCAGCTCTCTGTAAAATGGACCAATCAGCAGGATGTGGGTTGGGCCAGATAAGGGAATAAAAGCAGGCTGCCTGAGCCAGCAGCGGCAACCTGCTCGGGTCCCCTTCCACAATGTGGAAGCTTTGTTCTTTCACTCTTCGCACTAAATCTTGATGCTGCTCACTCTTTGGGTCCGTGTCACCTTTATGAGCTGTAGCACTCACTGCAAAGGTCTGCAGCTTCACTCCTGAAATGAGCAAGACCACGAACCCACCAGAAGGAAGAGACTCCAGAGGCATCTGAACATCTGAAGGCACAAACTCTGGACACACCATCTTTAAGAACTGTAACACTCACTGCGAGTGTCCGTGGCTTCATTCTTGAAGTCAGTGAGACCAAGAACCCACCAATTCTGGACACATTTTGGCGACCCAGATGGGACTATCGCCTTTCACCAAGTGGTGAGACTATCGTCAAGTGGTGAGACCATCACCTATCACAAAGCGCTGAGACTATCGCCTATCGCCAAGTGGTGAGTACCATTGGACCTCTTTCGCTTGCTATTCTGTCCTATTTTTCCTAGAATTCGGGGGCTAAATACTGGGCACCTGTTGGCCAGTTAAAAGCTACTAGTGCGGCTGCTGGACTAAAGACACGAGTGTCAGGCATTCTGGGAAAGGGCTCTCTAACAACCCCTGACTCTTTGGAGTTGGGAGCGTTGGTTTGCCTGGAACCAGCTTCCGCATTTCCTGTACTTCTGGGCTGAGCCAAGGGTCAGCAGAGAGGAAAGTCATTCAGCTCCGGGGGTCCCGACAAGTTGGTTGACCTTGCAGCCATGAACAGAACTCTCAAAGTCATGTCACCCAAGCGAGACTCACCCATCTATTCTATCTACCCTGACATTTGCCCGTTGGATCCTAATGCCTGCCATACAAACTTCCTCTCGCCTCTCTTCTCTGAGGCTAGCCCTGCTTCTAAATATCACTCCCTGTCTCTGGTGCTTTTCTAGATTCTCCTATAAGAATGATTTCTAGTATAAACTCCAGGACTCTGTTACCTTCTTTAGGCGCCTGGGCTCACCAATCAGAAAGACATAATTTTTGCCCAAAGCCCCAATGTAGTGGGTACTATCTGGAATTTTAGGATCCCTCCTCAGACTAGCAGGCCCAACAAAAGCTATTCCTGAAGCTAGGATATGGGGAGCCTCAGAAATTGTATCCTTCCTATTCATATAAGTGGGGACAAAAGGCATCATTCTTCCAACTCTGGAGATCCCTTCTCTCCCTCAGGGTATGGCCCTCCACTTCATTTTTGGGGGCGTAACATCTTTATAGGACATGGGTAAGGTCCCAATACTAACAGGAGAATGCTTAGGACTCTAACAGGTTTTTGAGAATGCATTGGTAAGGGCCACTAAATCCGATTTTTCTTGGTCCTCTTTGTGGTCTAGGAGGACAGGCAAGGGTGCAGATTTTCGAGAATGCATTGGTAAGGACCACTAAATCTGACATTCCTTGGTCCTCCTTGTGGTCTGGGAGGAAAACTAGTGTTTCTGCTGCTGCATTGGTGAGTGCAACTGTTCCGATCAGCTGGGCCCAGGGACTATTGCGGGTTCTTGGGCAGGGGTTGTTTCTGCTGCTTCATTGGTGAGTGCAACTATTCCAATCAGCAGGGTCCAGGGACTGTTGTGGGTTCTTGAGCAGGGGGAGAAACAAAACAAACCAAACCATGGGCAGTTTTGTCTAACAGATGGGAAATACTCAGGCATCAACAAGCTCACCCTTGAAATGCATCCTAAGCCATTGGGACCAATTTGACCCACAAACCCTGAAAAAGAGATGGCTCATTTTTTTCTGCACTATGGCTTGGCCCCAATATTCTCTCTCTGATGGGGAAAAATGGCCACCTGAGGGAAGTACAAATTACAATAGTATCCTGCAGCTTGACCTTTTCTGTAAGAGGGAAGGCAAATGGAAACACCTTATGTCCAAGATTTCTTTTCATTGAAAGAGAATACACAACTATGCAAAGCTTGCAATTTACATCCCACAGGAGGACCTTTCAGCTTACCCCCATATCCTTGCCTCCCTATAGCTCTCCTTCCTATTAATGATAAACCTCTTCTAATCTCCCCTGCCCAGAAGGAAATAAGCAAACAAATCTCCAAAGGACCACAAAAACCCCCAGGCTATTGGTTTTGTCCCCTTCAAGCTGTAGGGGGAGGGGAATTTGGCCCAACCTGGGTACATGTTCCCTTCTGCTTCTCTGATTTAAAGCAGATCAAGGCAGACCTGGGGAAGTTTTCAGATGATCCTGATAGGTATATAGACGTCCTACAGGGTCTAGGGCAAACCTTCAACTTTGCTTACCTGGTATCTTAGTCAAGTAAATGATAGAATGACAGCTGAAGAATGGGACAAATTCCCTACTGGTCAGCAAGCCATCCCCAGTATGGATCCCCGCTGGGACCTTGACTCAGATCATGGGGAAGAGAGTCGTAAATATCTGTTGACTTGTGTTCTAGAAGGACTAATGAGAGTTAGTTAAAAGCACATGAATTATTCAATGATGTCCACCATAACTCAGGGAAAGGAAGAAAATCCTTCTGCCTTCCTTGAGTGGCTATGGGACGCCTTAAGAAAATATACTCCCCTGTCACCCAAATCACTTGAGGGTCAATTGATTCTAAAAGATAAGTTTATTACCCAATCAGCTGCAGATATCAGGATAAAGCTCCAAAAGCAAGCCCTGGGCCCTGAATAAAATTTGGAGGCATTATTAAACCTGGCAACCTCGGTGTTCTGTAATAGGGACCAAGAGGAACAGGCCCAAAAGGAAAAGTGAGATCAGAGAAAGGCCGCAGCCTTAGTCATGGCCCTCAGACAGACAAACCTTGGTGGTTCAGAGTGGACAGAAAATGGAGCAGGCCAATCACCCGGTAGGACTTGTTATCAGTGTGGTTTACAAGGACACTTTAAAAAAGATTGTCCAACAAGAAACAAGCCACCCCTTGTCCGTGTCCGCTATGCCAAGGCAATCACTGGAAGGTGTACTGCCCCAGAGGACAAAGGTTCTCTGGGTCAGAAGCCCCCAACCAGATGATCCAACAACAGGACTGAGGGTGCCCAGGGCAAGCACCAGCTCATGTCATCTCCCTCACTGAGCCCTGGGTATGCTTAACCATTGAGGGACAGGAAATTGACTTCCTCCTGGACACTGGTGCGGCCTTCTCAGTGTTAATCTCCTGTCCTGGATGACTGTCCTAAAGGTCCATTACCATCCAAGGAATCCTGGGACAGACTGTAACCAGGTATTTCTCCCACCTCCTCAGTTGTAATTGGGAGACTTTGCTCTTTTCACATGCCTTTCTTGTTATGCCTGAAAGTCCCATACCCTTATTAGAGAGGACTATATTAGTCAAAGCTGGAGCTATTATCTACATGAATATGGGGAACAAGTTACCCATTTGTTGTCCCCTATTTGAGGAGGGAATCAACCCTGAAGTCTGGGCATTGGAAGGACAATTTGGAAGGGCAAAAAATGCCTGCCCAGTCCAAATCAGGCTAAAAGACCCCACCACTTTTCCTTATCAAAGGCAATATCCCTTAAGGCCTGAAGCTCATAAAGGATTACAAGATATTGTTAAACATTTAAAAGCTCAAGGCTCAGTAAGGAAATGCAGCAGTCCCTGCAACACCCCAATTCTAGGAGTAGAAAAACTGAACACTCAGTGGAGACTAGTGCAAGATCTTAGACTCATCAATGAGGCAGTATCCATTATATATCCTCTATATCAAGTTGTACCCAACCCCTATACCTTGCTCTCTCAAATACCAGAGGAAGCATAATGGTTCACTGTTCTGGACCTCAAGGGTGCCTTCTTCTGTATTCCCCTGCACTCTGACTCCCAGTTTCTCTTTGGCTTTGAGGATCCCACAGACAACACATCCCAACTCACTTGGACAGTCTTGCCCCAAGGGTTTAGGGATAGTCCTCATCTGTTTGATCAGGTACTGGCCCAAGATCTAGGCCACTTCTCAAGTCCAGGCACTCTGGTCTTTCAGTATGTGGATGACTTATTTTTGGCTACCAGTTCAGAAGACTCGTGCCAGCAGGCTGCTTTAGATCTCTTGAACTTTAATCAAGGGTACCAGGTGTCTAGGTCAAAGGCCCAGCTTTGCCTACAGCAGGTCAAATATCTAGGCCTAATATTAGCCAGAGGGACCAGGGCCCTCAGCAAGGAATGAATACAACCTATACTGGCTTATCCTCGCCCTAAGACATTAACACAGTTGTAGGGGTTCTTTGGAATCACCAGCTTTTGCTGACTATGGATATCTGGATACAGCGAGATAGCCAGGCCCCTCTATACTCTAAGCAAGGAAACCCAGAGGGCAAATACTCATCTAGTAGAATGGGAACCAGAGGCAGAAACAGTCTTCTAAACCTTAAAGCAGGCCCTATTACAAGCTCCAGCTTTAAGCCTTCCCACAGGCTTAACTTCTCTTTATATGCCACAGAGAGCCAGGATAGCTCTTGGAGTCCTTATTCAGACTTGTGGGACAACCTCACAACCAGTGGCATACCTAAGTAAGGAAATTGATGTAGTAGCAAAAGGCTGGCCTCACTGTTTATGGATAGTTGCAGTGGTGCCTGTCTTAGTGTCAGAGGCTATCAAAATAATACACGGAAACGATCTCACTGTCTGGACTACTCATGATGTAAATGGCATACTAGGTGCCAAAGGAAGTTTATGGCTATCAGACAACCACCTACTTAGATACCAGGGCTACTCCTTGAGGGGCTAGTGCTTCAAATACATACGTGTGTGGCCCTCAACCCTGCCACTTGTCTCCCAGAGGATGAAGAACCAATTGAGCATGACTGCCAACAAATTATAGTCCAGAATTATGCCACCCGAGATGATCTCTTAGAAGTCCCCTTAGCTAATCCTGACCTTAACCTACATAGGGATGGAAGTTCATTTGTGGAGAATGGGATGCGAAGGGCAGGTTATGCCATAGTTAGTGATGTAACCGTACTTGAAAGTAAGCCTCTTCCACCAGGGACCAGCTTCTTATGTGGAATATCAACCTATATCTGCCTCCCCACTAACAAGACAGGCACCTACACCTTAGTCTTTCTAAGTCCCAACATTAACATTGCCCCAGGAAATCAAATCTTATCAGTACCCCTCAAAGCTCAAGTCTGTCAATGCAGAGCCATACAACTAATACCCCTACTTATAGGGTTAGGAATGGCTACTACTACAGGAACTGGAATAGCCAGTATATCTACTTCATTATCCTACTACCACACACTCTCAAAGGATTTTTCAGACAGTTTGCATGAAATAATGAAATCTATCCTTACTCTACAATCCCAAATAGACTCTTTGGCAGCAGTGACTCTCCAAAACCTCCAAGGCCTAGACCTCCTCACTGCTGAGAAAGGAGGACTCTGCACCTTCTTAGGGGAAGAGTGTTGTTTTTACACTAACCAGTCAGGGATAGTAAGAGATGCTGCCTGGCATTTATAGGAAAAGGCTTCTGAAATCAGGCAACGCCTTTCAAATTCTTATACCAACCTCTGGAGTTTGGCAACATGGCTTCTCCTCTTTCTAGGTTCTGTGTCAGCCATCTTGCTGTTACTCACCTTTGGTCCCTGTATTTTTAACCTCTTTGTTAAATTTGTTTCCTCTAGAATCGAGGCCATCAAGCTACAGATGGTCTTACAAATGGAACCCCAAATGAGTTCAACTAACAACTTCTACTGAAGACCCCTGGACCAACCTGCTGGGACTTTCACTGGCCTAGAGAGCTCCCCTCTGGAGGACACTACAACTGCAGGGCCCCTTCATCACCCCATCCAGCAGGAAGTAGCTAGAGTGGTCATCAGCCAAATTCCCAACAGTAGTTGGGGTGTCCTGTTTAGAGGGGGTATTGAGAGGTGACAATGTGCAATGTGCTAGCAGCCCTCACTTGCTCTCAGTGCCTCCTCAGCCTTGGCGTCCACTCTGGCTGTGCTTGAGGAGCCCTTCAGCCCACCACTGCACTGTGGGAGCCCGTCTCTGTGCTGGCCGAGGCTGGAGCTGGCTCCCTCTACTTGCAGGGAGGTGTGGAGGGAGAAACGTGGGTGGGAACTGGGACTGCATGTGGTGCTCGAGGGCCAGTGTGAGTTCTGGGTGGGCACAGGCTCAGCGGGCCCCACACTGGGAGTGGCCAGCTGGCACCACCGGCCCTGGGCAGTGAGGGGCTTAGCACCCAGGCCAGCAGCTGCGGAGGGTGCACTGGGTTCACCAGCATTGCCGGCCTGCCCACACCATGCTCAAATTCTTGGCAAGCCTCAGCTGCCTCCCTGAGAGGCAGGGCTTGGGACCTGCAGCCTGCCATGCCCAAGCCCTCCTGTACCCCATGGTGGGCTCCCACATGGCCCAAGCCTCCCCAATCCGCACTGCCCCCTGCTCCTTAGTGCCTGGTCCCATCCACCGCCCAAGGAGTGCTTTCGTGTGGCACAGGACTGGTGGGCATCTTCTGTGGCTCTGGTGCAGGATCCACTAGGCAAAGCCAGCTGGGCTCCCGAGTCAGATGGGGACTTGGAGAACTTTTATGTATAGCTCAAGGTTTGTAAATGCAACAATCAGCACTTTGTGTCTAGCTCAAGGTTTGTAAACACACCAATCAGTGCTCTGTGTCTAGCTAATCTAATGGGGACTTGGAGAACTTCTGTGTCTAGCTAAAGGATTGTAAATGCACCAATCAGCACTCTGTATCTAGCTCAAGGTTTGTAAATGCACAAATCAGCACGCTGTCAAGACAGACCAATCAGCTCTCTGTAAAATGGACCAATCAGCAGGATGTGGGTGGGGCCAGATAAGAGAATAAAAGCAGGCTGCCTGAGCCAGCAGGGGCAACCCTCTTGGGTCCCCTTTCATGCTGTGGAAGCTTTGTTCTTTTGCTCTTCACACTAAATCTTGCTGCTGCTCACTCTTTGGGTCCATGCCATCTTTATGAGCTGTAACACTCACTGCAAAGGTCTGCAGCTTCGCTCCTGAAGCGAGCGAGACCATGAACCCACTGGGAGGGATGAACAGCTCTGGACAGGAGGAACAAACAACTCCAGATCTGCCACCTTTAAGAGCTGTAGCACTTACTGTGAAGGTCTGCAGCTTCACTCCTGAGGTCAGCAAGACCACGAACCCACCAGAAGGAAGAAACTCCGGACGTATCTGAACATCTGAAGGCACAAACTCCAGATGCACCATCTTTAAGAACTGTAACACTCACTGCGAGGGTCTGTGGCTTCATTCTTGAAGTCAGCAAGACCAAGAACCCACCAATTCTGGACACACTACCAAACCACAATACAAACAATAAAAGAAAAAGAAAGGAACAAAGAATAGGCAAAACAACCAGAAAAAATGAAAAAATATGACAGAAACAAAACTTTACATAGCAATATGTGAAACTGACTATAAATGGATTAAATTCTACACTTAAAAGATATGGACTGGTTGAATGGTTAAAAGTGTATATGGTGCCTACAAGAAATGCACTTTATCTATAAAGACATGAATGGAATAATGATATTTCACATAATCAGAAACCAAAAATGAGCAGGAGTAGGTATACCTATATCAAATAAGACAGACTTCAGTCAAAATCAGTAAAATACAACAAAAAAGATGAGGGGGTCTGTCCTGCAGACCCTGACCCAACAACAGATGAATAAAATACGCTGACACACAGATATTCTGCTTTGCCAGTTCGGCTGAGTGTCCAGGCCACTTAGTAGCAGCCACGGCCTTGATCAGTCAGTGAGACTTGCATTTATTCAGTAAAGATTAATGGACAAAGGTAGTGAGTAAACATCACTAGAGGGTAATTGACATTGTGGACCTCCTGAGTAGAAAGCAATTAAGCAACCACAGTAGATCAAAAGTTAGTCTTAAGACCACATAAGTAAACAAGCTAGTTAGGTAAACTACTCTACTTTCCTTTGTACCCACTTTAAGCTATTTACTCGAGGTAAGGATTAGGTTGCCTTCAGCCATAACCTTATCCTGAGACTTTTGCAAAAACCTTCAGGCCTTCCAAGGTTTGTGGCTTATAATTTTCCCCACCATCCTGACTAAACCCCCACAAAACGACAAAGAAGGTCATTATATAATGATAAAGGGATCAATCCAGCAAGAAGATACAATTCTAAGTATATATGCACTTAACACTGGAGCACCCAGATTCATGAAGCAATACTACTAGATCTAAAGAGAGAGATAGACTGCAATATAATAGTGGGATACTTCAATGCCCAACTTTCAGGCATAGACAGATCATCTAGACAGAAAGTCACCAAAGAAACCTTGGATTTAAGCTAGACTTTAGACCAAATGGGCCTAACAGTCATTTACAGACCATTCTATCAAAAAACTGAACAATACATGTTCTTCACATCAGCACATTAAACATTCTCCAGGATAAATCATATGTTAGCCCACAAAACAAATCTCAACAGATTAAAAAAATCAAAATTGTATCCAGCATCTTCTCAAACAATAATGGAATAGAACTAAAAATCAATACCAAGAGGAACCTTAGAAACTATATAAATACATAGAAATTAAACAACATTTTCCTGAATCACTATTTGATCAATAAAGTAATTAATATGGAAATAAAAACAATTCTTGAAACAAATGAGAGCAGAAACACAACTTATGTAGACCTGTGGGACACAGCAAAAGCAATTCTAATAGGAAAATTTATAACAAAAAATGCCTACATCAAAAAGTAGAAGGATTTCAAATAAACAATCTAGGGATGCACCTCAAATAACTAGAAAAGGCAGAACAAACCAAATCCAAAATTAGCAGAAGGAAAGACAACAAAGACCAGAGTAGAACTAAATGAAATAGAGAATAAAAATTACAAAGGATCAAAAAACAAAAAGTTGGTGCTTCAAAAAGGTATACAAAATTGATAAACTGCTAGCTAGATTAAGAAGAGAGAAGAGCCAAATAAACAATATCAGAAATGAAAAAGGAATATTATAACTTATATCACAGAAATAAAAAGTCATCATCACAGTGTATCATGAACAACTATATGCTAAAAAATTAGAAAACCTAGAATAAATGAACAAATTCCTGGAAACATATAACCTGCCAAGATTGAATGAGAAAGAAGGAGAAAACATCCAACCACCAAGATTTAAAGTGAAAACCTCAATAATGAGTAGTGAGGTGAATCAGTAACAAAATATCTTCCAAGAGAGAAAAGCCCAGGACCAAATGAATTTACTGCTGAATTCTTCTAAACACATAAAGAGGCTAATACCAATCCTACTCAAACTATTCCCAAAGATTGAAGAGGAGGAGATTCTCTCTAGCTCATTCTATGAGGCTAGCACAATCCTGGTATGACCAGACAAGTACACAGAAAAATAAAATCCTTCATGAACATAAACACAATACCCTCAACAAAATACTAGCAAATTGAATTCAACAGCATATCAAAAAGATAATACCCCATGATCAAGTGAGATTTATGCCAGGGATGTCAGGATAGTTTAACATACCCAAATCAATAAATGTGACACATTATATCAACAGACGTAAGGAGAAAAATCATATGATCATCACAATGACACAGAAAAAGCACTTGATAAAATTCAATATCACTTTGTGATAAGAATGCTCAACAAACTGGGCATAGAAGGAACATAATTCAAAATAATAAAAGTCATATAAGACAAACACACAGCTAACATCATACTGAATGGAGAGTGAAGAGAGACAATTGAAAGTATGCAACTATGAGCCATGAAACCTCAAAGATTGTCACTAAACCATCAGAAGTAGGGAAGGGGCAAGGAAGTTTTCCCTTACAGGTTTTAGAGGAAGCATAGCTCTAGTGACACCTTGATTTCGGACTTCTAGTTTTCAGAATAGTAAGACAACACATTTCTGTTTATTATATTAGGAAATTAATATACCTGCTAGTACTTTCACTGAATTAAAAAACCTGACCCACTCGCACCTGGCTGTAGGTAGTCTGAAGGTATTATGTGCAGGATGTCAGTCATGCCACAGAGCTTGGCTAGCTGCTAACTGCAAAATGAATGGTGGCAGAGATATCTTTGGGAAATGTTGCCCGCCCACTGTCACCGTTGCCCTGCCCTTTCCCAGCCAATCCTTCTAGTTTCAGGTGAGTGTGACTTTGATTAATACTTTATCAAGGGATCTGCTTAATACCCTTTAGCTTGATTAGCATTGACTTTGGGTCACAAAATGCTAGGTCTTTTTTCATTTATTTACACATTCTATAGAAACCTCTACCCCCTTAAATTTTTTAGTAACTCTGCTTTCTTGAGGAAGTTTTCTTTCTTGAGAGATTTTTGAGCAGTAATTCTTTTTTTTTTTAATTTTAATTTTAATTTTAATTTTTTATTTTTTATTGATCATTCTTGGGTGTTTCTCGCAGAGGGGGATTTGGCAGGGTCATAGGACAATAGTGGAGGGAAGGTCAGCAGATAAACAAGTGAACAAAGGTCTCTGGTTTTCCTAGGCAGAGGACCCTGCCGCCTTCCACAGTGTTTGTGTCCCTGGGTACTTGAGATTAGGGAGTGGTGATGACTCTTAAGGAGCATGCTGCCTTCAAGCATCTGTTTAACAAAGCACATCTTGCACCGCCCTTAATCCATTTAACCCTGAGTGGACACAGCACATGTTTCAGAGAGCACAGGGTTGGGGGTAAGGTCACAGATCAACAGGATAAGAATTTTTTTAGTACAGAACAAAATGAAAAGTCTCCCATGTCTACCTCTTTCTACACAGACATGGCAACCATTCGATTTCTCAATATTTTCCCCACCTTTCCCCCTTTCTATTCCACAAAACCGCCATTGTCATCATGGCCTGTTCTCAATGAGCTGTTGGGTACACCTCCCAGATGGGGTGGTGGCCGGGCAGAGGGGCTCCTCACTTCCCAGTAGGGGCGGCCGGGCAGAGGCGCCCCTCACCTCCCGGACGGGGCAGCTGGCTGGGCGGGGGGCTGACCCCCCACCTCCCTCCCGGATGGGGTGGCTGCCGGGCGGAGACGCTCCTCACTTCGCAGACGGGGTGGCTGCTGGGCAGAGGGGCTCCTCACTTCTCAGACGGGGCGACTGCCGGGCGGAGGGTCTCCTCACTTCTCAGATGGGGCAGCCGGGCAGAGATGCTCCTCACCTCCCAGACAGGGTCGCGGCCGGGTAGAGGCGCTCCTCACATCCCAGACGGGGCACTCCCCACATCTCAGACGATGGGCGGCCTGGCAGAGACGCTCCTCACTTCCTAGATGGGATGGCGGCCGGGAAGAGGCTGAGCAGTAATTCTTGAGAGTAATTTTCAAACATCAACATTTTTGCTAATACAAAACATTGAGCAATGTTTCTCAAAGTGTGTTTTATGGACTCTCAAAAGATACTATTTCATAAGAGTTTTCTGAGGCCAGATACATTTAGAAAACAGTGAATTAAACAAAACTAAGCATGTTTCTTCCTCCATTCCTTCCTTATAAGATTTCTCATGGCGTTCAATATGTTCACTTGTATTGGCAATTTCTTTTTTTTCTTCTGTTTTTGAGACAAAGTCTTGCTCTTGTCACCCAGGCTGGAGTGCAATGGCACGATCTCAGCTCACTGCAACCTCTGCCTCCGGGGGTCAAGTGATTCTCCTGCCTCAGCCTCCTGAGTAATTGGGATTACAGGCACCTGCCACCACACCCAGCTAATTTTTGTATTTTTAGTAGAGACGGGGTTACACCATGTTGGCCTGGCTGATCTCAAACTCCTGACCTCAGGCAATCCACTCACATTGGCCTCCCAAAGTGTTGGAATTGCAGGTGTGAGCCAAAGCACCCGGCCTGTATTGGGAATTTCTTCCTTCTCCTCCTCCACCTCCTCCTCCTCTTCTTCTTCTTTTTGTTTTTTACAGTTTCAAGTCTTATGTTTAAGTCCTTAATGCGTTTTGAGTTGATTTTCATTTATGATGTGAGATGACAGTCTAATTTCTTTTTTCTGCATATGGATATCCAGTTTTCCCAAGACCAAGAAGAGATTGTCCTTTCCCCATTGCAAGAAGCCATTGTCTTTGGCCTTTTTATTGAAAAATCAATTGATTTTAAAACTGTGGATTTATTTCTGGACACTCTATTCTGTTACATTGATCTATTTGTATCTTTTTATGGCAGTACCATGCTGTCTTGATTACTATAGCTTTGTTGTATAATTTGAAGGCAGGTAATATTATGCCTTCAGCTTTGTTCTTTTTTTTTTTTAATTATACTTTAAGTTCTGGGGTACATGGGCAGAACGTGCAGTTTTGTTACATAGGTATACACATGCCATGGTGCTTTGCTGCACCCATCAACCTGTCACCTACATTAGGTATTTCTCCTCCCATTGACCCCCACCCCCCAACAGGCCCTGGTATGTGATGTTCCCCTCCCTGTGTCCATGCATTCTCATTGTTCAACTTCTGCTTATGAGTGAGAACATGTAGTGTTTGGTTTTCTGTTCTTGTGTTAGTTTACTGAGAATGATGGTTTCCAGCTTCATCCATGTCCCTGCAAAGGACATGAGCTTATCCTTTTTTATGGCTTCATAGTATTCCATGGTGTATACGTGCCACATTTTCTTTATCCAGTCTATCATTGTTGGACATTTGGGTTGGTTCCAAGCCATTGCTATTATGAATAGTGCAGTAATAAACATACATGTGCATGTGTCTTTATAGTAGAATGATTTATAATCCTTTGGGTATATACGCAGTAACGGGATTGTTGGGTCAAATGATATTTCTGGCTCTAGATCCTTGAGGAATCACCACACTGTCTTCCACAATGGTGGAACTAATTTACATTCCCACCAACAGTGTAAACGTGTTCCTATTTCTCCACATCCTCTCTAGCATCTGTTGTTTCCTGACTTTTTAATGATCACCATTCTAACTGGCGTGAGATAGTATCTCATTGTGGCCTTGATTTGCATTTCTGTAATGACCAGTGATGATGAGGATTTTTTCCTATGTTTGTTGGTTGCATAAATGTCTTCCTTTGAGAAATATCTGTTCATATCCTTTGCCCACTTTTTGATGAGGTTTTTGTGTTTTTCTTGTAAATTTGTTTAAGTTCTTTGTAGATTCTAGATATTAGCTCTTT
This sequence comes from Homo sapiens, assembly GCF_000001405.40. Taxonomy (NCBI): domain Eukaryota; kingdom Metazoa; phylum Chordata; class Mammalia; order Primates; family Hominidae; genus Homo; species Homo sapiens. The sequence goes on from NC_000006.12 coordinate 73,917,062, forward strand.
GTCAGATTGATAGATTGCAAAAATTTTCTCCCATTCTCTAGGTTGCCTATTTACTTTGATGATAATTTCTTTGGCTGTGCAGAAGTTCTTTAGCTTAATTAGATCCCATTTGTCAGTTCTGGCTTTTGTTGCCATTGCTTTTAGTGTTTTAGACATGAAGTCTTTGCCCATTCCTATGTCCTGAATGGTATTGCCTAGGTATTCTTCTAGGATATTTATGGTTTTAGGTCTTACATTGTATTGGGAATTTCTAACGAATAAAATGAAAATGTGAATAGATTTGCATGGTCTCCTAAAGTTTTTGCATATGGACAATTTTTGTTTTGGAAAAAACTTCCAAAGGACCTCTGTTTCCTAAAATATACTTTGAGAAATGCTAGCAAAATAAGATTTTTAGAGCTGGAATACAATTTGGAGATGACTTATTCTAATCTTAAGATTTTGTTATCTAGGGGGACAGCCAAGATGGCCGAATAGGAACAGCTCCAGTCTACAGCTCCCAGTGTGAGCGACACAGAAGACAGGTGATTTCTGCATTTCCATCTGAGGTACCAGGTTCATCTCATTAGGGAGTGCCAGACAGTGGGTGCAGGTCAGTGGGTGCAGCGCACCATGCAAGAGGCAAAGCAGGGCGAGGCATTGCCTCACCCGGGAAGCACAAGGGGTCAGGGAGTTCCCTTTCCTAGTCAAAGAAAGGGGTGAAAAACGGTACCTGGAAAATCAGGTCACTCCCACCCGAATACTGCGCTTTTCTGATGGGCTTAAAAAATGGCGCACCAGGAGATTATATCCTGCACCTGGCTTGGAGGGTCCTATGCCCACGGAGTCTCACTGATTGCTAGCACAGCAGTCTGAGATTAAACTGCAAGGCAGCAGTGAGGCTGGGGGAGGGGTGCCCGCCATTGCCCAGGCTTGCTTAGGTAAACAAAGCAGCCAGGGAGCTCGAACTGGGTGGAGTCCACCACAGCTCAAGGAGGCCTGCCTGCCTCTGTAGGCTCCATCTCTAGGGGCAGGGCACAGACAAACAAAAAGACAGCAGTAACATCTGCAGACTTAAATGTCCCTGTCTGACAGCTTTGAAGAGAGCAGTGGTTCTCCCAGCACGCAGCTGGAGATCTGAGAACAGGCAGACTGCCTCCTCAAGTGGGTCCCTGAGCCCTGACCCCCAAGCAGCCTAACTGGGAGGCATCCCCCAGTAGGGGCAGACTGACACCTCACACAGCCAGGTACTCCTCTGAGACAAAACTTCCAGAGGAACATCAGACAGCAGCATTTGCGGTTCACGAAAATCCGCTGTTCTGCAGTCACTGCTGCTGATACCCAGGCAAACAGAGTCTGGAGTGGACCTGTAGCAAACTCCAACAGACCTGCAGCTGAGGGTCCTGTCTGTTAGAAGGAAAACTAACAAACAGAAAGGACATCCACACCAAAAACCCATCTGTACATCACCATCATCAAAGACCAAAGGTAGATAAAACCAAAAAGATGGGGAAAAAACAGAGCAGAAAAACTGGAAACTCTAAAAATTAGAGCGCCTCTCCTCCTCCAAAGGAATGCAGTTCCTCACCAGCAATGGAACAAAGCTTGACAGAGAATGACTTTGACGAGTTGAGGGAAGAAGCCTTCAGACAATGAAACTACTCCGAACTACAGGAGGAAATTCAAACCAAGGCAAAGAAATTAACAACTTTGAAAAAAATTTAGACAAATTTATAACGAATAACCAATACAGAGAAGTGCTTAAAGGAGCTGATGGAGCTGAAAGCCAAGGCTTGAGAACTACGTGAAGAATGCAGAGGCCTCAGGAGCCGATGCGATCAACTGGAAGAAAGGGTATCAGTGATGGAAGATGAAATGAATGAAATGAAGCAAGAAGGGAAGTTTAGAAAAAAAAAGAATAAAAAGAAATGAACAAAGCCTCTAAGAAATATGGGACTATGTGAAAAGAGCAAATCTATGTCTGATCAGTGTACCTGAAAGTGATGCGGAGAATGGAACCAAGTTGGAACACACTCTGCAGCATATTATCCAGGAGAACTTCCCCAATCTAGCAAGGCAGGCCAACATTCAGGTTCAGGAAATACAGAGAATGCCACAAAGATACTCCTCAAGAAGAGCAACTCCAAGACACATAATTGTCAGATTCACCAAAGTTGAAATGAAGGAAAAAGTGTTAAGGGCAGCCAGAGAAAAAGGCTGGGTTATCCACAAAGGGAAGCCCATCAGACTAATAGTGGATCTCTCAGCAGAAACTCTACAAGCCAGAAGAGAGTGAGGACGAATATTCAACATTCTTAAAGAAAAGAATTTTCAACCCAGAATTTCATATCCAGCCAGACTAAGCTACATAAGTGAAGGAGAAATAAAATACTTTACAGACAAGCAAATGCTGAGAGATTCTGTCACCACCCAGGCCTGCCCTAAAAGAGCTCCTGAAGGAAGCGCTAAACATGGAAAGGAACAACCAGTACCAGCCACTGCAAAGTCATGCCAAAATGTAAAGACCATCGAGACTAGAAAGAAACTGCATCAACTAATGAGCAAAATAACTAGCTAACATCATAATGACAGGATCAAATTCACACATAACAATATTAACTTTAAATGTAAATGGACTAAATGCTCCAATTAAAAGACACAGACTGGCAAGTTGGATAAAGAGTCAAGACCCATCAGTGTGCTGTATTCAGGAAACCCATCTCACGGGCAGGGACACATATAGGCTCAAAATAAAAGGATGGAGGAAGATCTGCCAAGCAAATGGAAAACAAAAAAAAGGCAGGGGTGGCAATCCTAGCCTCTGATAAAATGGACTTTAAACCAACAAAGATCAAAAGAGACAAAGGAAGCCATTACATAATGGTAAAGGGATCAATTCAACAAGAAGAGCTAACTATCCTAAATATATATGCACCCAAAACAGGAGCACCCAGATTCATAAAGCAAGTCTTGAGTGACCTACAAAGAGACTTAGACTCCCACACAATAATAATGGGAGACTTTAACACCCCACTGTCAACATTAGACAGATCAACGAGACAGAAAGTCAACAAGGATACCCAGGAATTGAACTCAGCTCTGCACCAAGCGGACCTAATAGACATCTACAGAACTCTCCACCCCAAATCAACAGAATATACATTTTTTTTAGCACCACAACACACCTATTCCAAAATTGACCACATAGTTGGAAGTAAAGCTCTCCTCAGCAAATGTAAAAGAACAGAAATTATAACAAACTGTCTCTCAGACCACAGTGCAATCAAACTAGAACTCAGGATTAAGAAACTCACTCAAAACTGCTCAACTACATGGAAACTGAACAACCTGCTCCTGAATGACTACTGGGTACATAACAAAATGAAGGCAGAAATAAAGATGTTCTTTGAAACCAATGAGAACAAAGACACAACATACCAGAATCTCTGGGACACATTCAAAGCAGTGTGTAGAGGGAAATTTATAGCACTAAATGCCCACAAGAGAAAGCAGGAAAGATCCAAAATTGACACCCTAACATCACAATTAAAAGAACTAGAAAAGCAAGAGCAAACACATTCAAAAGCTAGCAGAAGGCAAGAAATAACTAAAATCAGAGCAGAACTGAAGGAAATAGAGACACAAAAAACCCTTCAAAAAATTAATGAATCCAGGAGCTGGTTTTTTGAAAGGATCAACAAAATTGATAGACTGCTAGCAAGACTAATAAAGAAAAAAAGAGAGAAGAATCAAATAGATGCAATAAAAAATGATAAAGGGGATATCACCACCGATCCCACAGAAATACAAACTACCATTGGAGAATATTACAAATACCTCTACGCAAATAAACTAGAAAATCTAGAAGGAATGGATAAATTCCTCGACACATACGCTATCCCAAGACTAAACTAGGAGGAAGTTGAGTCTCTCAATAGACCAATAACAGGAGCAGAAATTGTGGCAATAATCAATAGCTCACCAACCAAAAAGAGTCCAGGACCAGATGGATTCACAGCCGAATTCTACCAGAGGTAAAAGGAGGAACTGGTACCATTCCTTCTGAAACTATTCCAATCAATAGAAAAAGAGGGAATCCTCCCTAACTCATTTTATGAGGCCAGCATCATCCTGATATGAAAGCTGGGCAGAGACACAACGAAAAAAAGAGAATTTTAGACCAATATCCTTGATGAACATAGGTGCAAAAATCCTCAATAAAATACTGGCAAACTGAATCCAGCAGCACATCAAAAAGCTTATCCACCATGATCAAGTGGGCTTCATCCCTGGGATGCAAGGCTGGTTCAACATACACAAATCAATAAATGTAATCCAGCATATAAACAGAACCAAAGACAAAAACCACGTGATTATCTCAATAGATGCAGAAAGGCCTTTCACAAAATTCAACAACCCTTCATGCTAAAAACTCTCAATAAATTAGGTATTGATGGGACATATCTCAAAATAATAAGAGCTATCTATGACAAACCCACAACCAATATCATACTGAATGGGCAAAAACTGGAAGCATTCCCTTTGAAAACTGGTACAAGACAGGGATGCCCTCTCTCACCACTCCTATTCAACATAGTGTTGGAAGTTCTGGCCAGGGCAATTAGGCAGGAGAAGGAAATAAAGGGTATTCAATTAAGAAAAGAGGAAGTCAAATTGACCCTGTTTGCAGATGACATGATTGTATATGTAGAAAACCCCATTGTCTCAGCCCAAAATCTCCTTAAGCTGATAAGCAACTCCAGCAAAGTCTCAAGATACAAATCAATGTGCAAAAATCCCAAGCATTCTTATACACCAATAACAGACAAACAGAGAGCCAAATCATGAGTGAACTCCCATTCACAAGTGCTTCAAAGAGAAGAAAATACCTAGGATTCCAACTTACAAGGGATGTGAAGGACCTCTTCAAGGAGAGCTACAAACCACTGCTCAATGAAATAAAAGAGGATACAAACAAATGGAAGAACATTCCATGCTCATGGGTAGGAAGAATCAATATTATGAAAATGGTCATACTGCCCAAGGTAATTTATAGATTCAATGCCATTCCCATCAAGCTACCAATGACTTTCTTCACAGAATTGGAAAAAACTACTTTAAAGTTCATATGGAACCAAAAAAGAGCCCACATCACCAAGTCAATCCTAAGCCAAAAGAACAAAGCTGGAGGCATCATGCTACCTGACTTCAAACTATACTACAAGGCTACAGTAACCGAAACAGCATGGTACTGGTACCAAAACAGAGATATAGATCAATGGAACAGAACAGAGCCCTCAGAAATAACGCTGCATATCTACAACTATCTGATCTTTGACAAACCTTAGAAAAGCAAGCAATGGGGAAAGGGTTCCCTATTTAATAAATGGTGCTGGGAAAACTGGCTAGCCATATGTAGAAAGCTGAAACTGGATCCCTTCCTTACACCTTGTACAAAAATTAATTCAACATGCATTGAAGACTTAAACGTTAGACCTAAAACCCTAAAAACCCTAGAAGAAAACCTAGGCATTACCATTGAGGACATAGGCATGGGCAAGGGCTTCATGTCTAAAACACCAAAGCAATGGCAACAAAAGCCAAAATTGACAAATGGGATCTAATTAAACTAAAGAGCTTCTGCACAGCAAAAGAAACTACCATCAGAGTGAACAGGCAACCTACAAAATGGGAGAAAATTTTCGCAACCTACTCATCTGACAAAGGGCTAATATCCAGAATCTACAATGAACTCAAACAAATTTACAAGAAAAAAACAAACAACCCCATCAAAAAGTGGGCAAAGGACATGAACAGACACTTCTCAAAAGAAGACATTTATGCAGCCAAAAAACACATGAAAAAATGCTCACCATCACTGGCCATCAGACAAATGCAAATCAAAACCACTATGAGATACCATCTCACACCAGTTAGAATGGTAATCATTAAAAAGTCAGGAAATAACAGGTGCTGGAGAGGATGTGGAGAAATAGGAACACTTTTACACTGTTGGTGGGACTGTAAACTAGTTCAACCCTTGTGGAAGTCAGTGTGGCGATTCCTCAGGGATCTAGAAGTAGAAATACCATTTGACCCAGCCATCCCATTACTGGGTAGATACCCAAAGGACTGTAAATCATTCTGCTATGAAGACACATGCACACGTATGTTTATTGTGGCATTATTCACAATAGCAAAGACTTGGAACCAACCCAAATGTCCAACAATGATAGACTGGATTAAGAAAATGTGGCACATATACACCATGGAATACTATGCAGCCATGAAAAATGATGAGTTCATGTCCTTTGTAGGGACATGGATGAAATTGGAAATCATCATTCTCAGTAAACTATCACAAGGACAAAAAAGCAAACACCACATATTCTCACTCATAGGTGGGAATTGAACAATGAGAACACATGGACACAGGAAGGGGAACATCACACTCTGGGGACTGTTGTGGTGTGGGGGGAGGGGGGAGGGATAGCATTAGGAGATATACCTAATGCTAAATGATGAGTTAATGGTTGCAGCACACCAGCATGGCACATGTATACATATGTAACAAACCTGCACATTGTGCACATGTACCCTAAAACGTAAAGTATAATAATAATAAAATAAAAATAAAAAAATAAAAAAAATTTTTTTTATCTAAAGTCAGAAAAATAGTTAATGGCAGAGATGAATCTTAAAGCTCAGGCATTCTGAAGCCCAATATAGCTTCTGTCAACCATTTTGTATAACTTACATTTAAAAATAAATATCTAAAATTATATATGTTTATTATATCAAAACAAAGCCTGGGATTTTAAAGTTTTAATTAAATATAAAATTGATGATCTATCTTTCTGTTATCTGGATAATACTCTCTAGAATTGTTACATTTCCTTCTTGATCCATAGTAATCCTTTTCATTACTATGCATGCTTTTCATGAGAATAAAGTGTTATCATTAGATTTTGGCAATGTCCACCAATGCTGAAAGCAATTCAGAAACAGATGGAGACCAGGAGGTGTATAGATGGCAGGAGTGTGGGGGAGTGGGAGACAGCAAAGGAGCCATTCAAGTTAAAAATATTGGAACAGCTGAATCAAAGCTGAGCTTTATTAAAGTTTCCAGTTTCTATTATGAAATTTGGAAATGTTACTATTCTGTAATTCCTCTAGGGGTTTCTACTTGCCTTTTTTCAGACTGGAGAGGAAATGGCAAGCAGCCTTGTTCTATCATCAGTCCCAGGGAGCTCTTGCATCTCCAGCCCTCATGCTCTGTGTGTATGCCAGCAAGTTGATAATTCCAAGAAGATGATCTCATGTCAGGCACTTGGGAAAGGTATGAGTTCTAGGACCGGGAAAATCTTTGTCAGTTCATTCTATTGGGCAACATTGAAGATAACTGTGGCAGTCTTCTCAAATCAATTTCCAGGTGTTTTATCTTCCTTACCTGATATGGAAACCCCCCCAAAATGCAACAATTAAATGAACCTTTGGAGATGTCTGGGATCTAGTCCAGTGTCTAATAATCATCAGTCTGTGGAGATTTCACAGGACCATGGGTGAGATTTGAAGGGTCTGAGAACCCCTGAAATAGTACACAAAATTTCTGACCAAGTTCCTTCTTCTGAAAAAGGAGTTTATAATTTCATTAGATTCTCAAATGGGTTGATATCCCCAAACCATTAAAAACCACTGATCTAGTCTCTCCATCCTAGATTACACATTTGAGGAACTGAGTCTCAGAGAGGCTTGAAGAATAAAATTATTTAAGAATAAAACTGTACAGTTTTCAGAGGAGATTGGATGTATAGTACTTTTCTAATTCTATTTAAATTAACTATCAAGCATTAAATAAGTAACTTTTTAAGAAATAATACTTTTCTATATTTGGACATTCAAATTTTGAAGAGACTCTGAGTTCCCTGTGGGATTAGCTATTCCAAGACAGAGTCTTGCTCTGTTGTTGCCCAGGCTGGAGTGCAGTGGCACGTTCTCAACTCACTGCAACCTCTGCCTCCTGGTTTCAAGTGATTCTCATGCCTCAGCCTCCCAAGTAGCTGGGACTACTTGTGTGTGCCAGCATGCCCAGCAAATTTTTGTATTTTTAAAAATAGAGACAGGGTTTGACCATGCTGGCCAGTCTGGTCTTGAACTCCTGACCTCAAGTGCTCACCTGCTTTGGCCTCCCAAAGTTCTGGGATTACAGGTATGAGCCACTGTGCCTGGCCCAATGTGAGGTTCTTTTTTTTTTTTTTTGTTAATTTTTTTAGTATTTATTGATCATTCTTGGGTGTTTCTCGGAGAGGGGGATTTGGCAGGGTCATAGGACAACAGTGGAGGGAAGGTCAGCAGATAAACATGTGAACAAAGGTCTCTGGTTTTCCTAGGCAGAGGGCCCTGCCGCCTTCCACAGTGTTTGTGTCCCTGGGTACTTGAGATTAGGGAGTGGTGATGACTCTTAAGGAGCATGCTGCCTTCAAGCATCTGTTTAACAAAGCACATCTTGCACTGCCCTTAATCCATTTAACCCTGAGTGGACACAGCACATGTTTCAGAGAGCATGGGATTGGGGGTAAGGTTATAGATTAACAGCATCCCAAGGCAGAATAATTTTTCTTAGTACAGAACAAAATGGAGTCTCCTATGTCTACTTCTTTCTACACAGACACAGTAACAATCTGATCTCTCTTTCTTTTCCTCACATTTCCCCCTTTTCTATTCGACAAAACCACCATCGTCATCATGGCCCGTTCTCAATGAGCTGTTGGGTACACCTCCCAGCCGCGGTTGCGGCAGGGCAGAGGGGCTCCTCACTTCCCAGACGGGGCGGCCAGGCAGAGGCGCCCCCCACCTCCCAGACGGGGCAGCGGCCGGGTGGGGGCTGCCCCCCACCTCCCTGATGGGGCGGCTGGCCAGGCGGGGGCTGCCCCCCACCTCCCGGACGGGAATATGAGGTTCTTAATAGTTATTTGTGAGACATTCATAAGTGAGAGGATAAAGTCACTCCCTCTGCTATGATATTGTTCATACGTTTTCATTCACTCTTCTACTAAGCATCTCTTTTTTCTTTTTCTTTTCTTTTTTTTTTTTTGAGATGGAGTCTTGCTCTGTTGCCAGGCTGGAGTGCAGTGGTGCAATCTTGGCTCACTGCAACCTCCGCCTCCCTGGTTCAAGTGATTCTCCTGCCTCAGCTTCCAGAGTAGATGGGATTACAGGTGCCTGCCACCACACCCAGCTAATTTTTGTATTTTTTTTTTTTTTTTTTTTTTAAGTAGAGATGGGGTTTCACTATGTTGGCCAGGATGGGCTCGATCTCTTGACCTTGTGATCTGCCTGCCTCAGCCTCCAAAAGTGCTGGGATTACAGGTGTGAGCCACCATGCCCGGCCACATCTCTTTTTTCCTAGTTACTTACATATACCCATAATGAGGAACAAAACTTGCAAGGAAGTCTCATTTTGTATATAGATTTGGTATCAGTTAGAGTCCAGCTAGGAAACAGTATAACCACTGTAAGTTCTTCAGCAAAGAGAATTTAATAAAGGCAATTGGTCAAACAGACTATAAAAATGCTCAGCAGCCAAACAGGGCATAATAAGGCAATACAGAGAATGGCAACAGCAACACACTACTCTCTCCATCACATAAGAAAAACAATGGAAAAACTAATGTTTCAGACCCTAAAATTTTAGAATACCTGGAAAAATTTAGGAGCATGGTAGAGGCTGCAGCTGAGAGCTAGTGTTACAGAAGAAACATAGCCATTGCCAGTGGCACCACCAAAGGCAAAAAGAGAGAGGGAAAAATACTCTGGCTTTAGTACTCTTCCACTGCTATCTTCTGCCAGTGCCTGTCATTGCCAAATCTTCCAGAAAGGCAGAAGATAAGACACCCTGGGAATTGTAGTTCTCTGAAATACAGGACATAATAGGAAATGGGAATATGATTAACCTGAGAGCCAAAAAACAGTCATATGACATAGATTATAAACTTAATATAAAATGCAAGGGCCCCCACACTACCATTGCCACTGCTGCAAATGTCCACACAAAGACTAGCAACCATGTGCCTGCCAGTGCCCCACCTCAGCCACAAAGCATGCACCATGCTGTACTGCTGCTGCTGCTGCTGCTGGCAAGTGTGAATGAGTATGGATCCTGCCGCCACTGTCTGATGAAGTGCTTTGGCTGGCACCACCTGAATTCTGGGAACACACTGACCCCTCCGGTACAGCAGATTCCTAACCTTGAAGACCCAGAGAACAAAGCTGGGGGCCTGTTACCAGTCCCCCCTAGAGTTAGAGAATGCAATTCAGAAGTCCTGAGCTGAGCTTTGGCCCCCTAAAATCTTCCAGAAATGAAGCCAGTTGACTGAACCCACCTTATACCACAATCAAAACTTCAAGGACATTAAAAGGACAAAGGAAAAACAATCCACCCAAAAGACAGTAATTTCAAAGATTGAAGGAACATCAGATCACAAAGATGAGAAAGAATTCTGGCAACTCAAAAAGCCAGAGTCTTCTTATCTGAAATGACTGCACTAGTTCCCCAGCAGCAGTTCTTAACCAGGCTGACATGGCTGAAATGACAGAAATAGAATGCAGAATGTAGATAGGAATAAAGGTCATTGAAATTTAGGAGAAAGTTGAATCCCAATGGAAGGATTCAAAGGAATACAATAAAATGATACAGGAGATGAAAGGTAAAATGGCCTTATAAGAAAGAACCAAACTTATCTGATTGAGCTGATAAATTCACTACAAGTATTAATATTTCAGAATACAATTGCAAGTATTAACAGCAGAATCAACCAAGTTGAGAAAAGAACCCCAGAGCTTGAAGACTGGATCTCTGAAATAACTCAGACAAAAATAAAGGAAAAGCAACAAAAGGAGGATAAACATAACCTCTGAGAAATATAGGATTTTGTAAAGTGACCAAATCTATGACACATTGGCATCCCTGAAAGAGAGGGAGAGAAAGCAAGCACCTTGGAAAACGTATTTTAGGATATCATCCATGAAAATTTCCCCAGCCTTGTTAGTAAGCCCAACAGTCAAATTCAGGAACTGCAGAGAACCCCTGTGAAATACCACACAGAAGACCAATCACAAAACACATAGTTATCAATTTTTTTGAGGTCAAAATGAAAGAAAAGATATTAAGAGCAGCCAGAGAGAAGGGTTAGGTCACCTACAAAGAGAACTCCATTAGGCTAACAGTAGACCTTCCAGCAAAACTCCTACAAGCTAGAAGAGTCTGGGGGCTCATATCCAGCATTCTTAAAGAAAAGGAATTCCAACCAAGAATTTCACATATAACCAAACTAAACTTTATAAGTGAAGGAGAAATAAGATCCTTTTTCAGACAAGCGAATGCTAAGAGAATTTGTTACCACCAGACCTGCCTTATAAGAGGTCCTGAAGGAGGTGCTAAATATTGAAAAGAAAAACCATTACTGGCCACTAAAAAACCACACTTAAATACATAGACCAGTGACACTACAAAGCAACCACACAAACAAGTCTGCATAATAACCAGATAACAACAAGATGACAGAATCAAATCTACACATATCAATACTAACCTTAAATGTAAAGTAGCTAAATGCCCCAATTAAAAGTTATAGGGTGGCAAATTGAAAAAAGAAGGAAGACCCAATGATATGCTGTGTGCAAGAGCCACATCTCACATGCAATGACACCAATGGACTCAAAGTAAAGGGATGAAGGAAATCTACCAAGCAAATGAAAAACGGAAAAAAGTAGGGTTGCTATTCTAATTTCAGACAAAACAGACTTTAAACCAACAATGATCAAAAAGATAAAGAAGGACATTAGATAGTGGTAAAGGGTTGAATTCAACAAGAAGACCTAACTATCCTAAATATATACACACCCAACAAGGGGTGTCTCAGCTCAGCCAGTGGTGTTTCCCTTGGATAGAGGATACAATGTCAAACCAGCTCTAGGATGTTCAGCTGCTCAGCTCAGCCAGTGCACGGATTCTGCAGGGTGCCATTTGTCAGTATGGCTCAGGCCTGGGTGTCATGACTACTCTGGGTGGCCCAGGCACTTTATCCCTGGGATGCAGGTTGGAGCTTTGGCTTAGGTACTATGGTGCATGACTACTCTGGGTGACCAGGCACTATTTCTTGAGAGGCAGGGCATTGCTTCCATTTAGGCACCTGAGAGGTGTGATTGCTCTGAGTTTCCAAGGTACTGTTTGCTCAGGATGCAGGGTGGTGCTTCAGCTCTGGCCCAAGGGGATTAGGGGAGAAGTAGGTGGCAACCTCTGGTTGGCCACATGGGAAAGAGTATAACAGATGCTGACAGCTCAGCTTGGGGATGTCAGGCCATTTGACTGGGGTGGTTTGGTGGTGGCTTAGCCTCAGGATGAAGGAGAGGCATGGCTACTTGTCTCCAGAGCAAGACACAGTCCAGCTGTAGTTCCACTTCCAAGATGCTTTGTGCAATAGCCATGTGGGCCACAGAGGGTAGGGCACAGTGTTGGCATCTTTTCTGGAGGGAACATGGCTATGTGGACTCTAGCCAGCTCACTCAGCTGGGCTTAGTGCCAGTGGCTGTAAAGATTGCAAGTGACTCCAGTGTTGAGGTATGTAGGTGTCCAAGGCGTTGTCGGGGGTTGCTGTTATCCACTTGCTTATTGCCTTACCTTGGAAAGAAGTTCCTACAGGTTTCTAGCTTATCTCAGTTGGGGGATGGGATGGTGGTGTCCCGACATTTCCTCTGATTCTCTGTGTAGCCATCCTGAGTTTCTGTGCTCACCAAGACTTCTGTTACTTCTCTGATGCACTGTGATGCTCTCCTTCAGTTATTTTGTGAGGGGATGAGTGCTAGGGGCTTCTAGTCTGCCATCTTGCTGATGTCACTAGTTAGTTGTGGTGACTGGACAAACCAAATAGGTGGGATACAAAGTGAATAATGCTGGTCTCAAGCAACTTCTAACCCTCTGGTTATTTTTGGCTTCTCCAGCAGAAATCAGAATGTCATCCCTAGGTGGATCGCCACTTTCAGCAATCTATTTTAGCCTTTTAAGTCCTTTAGGAACAGTGTAGTATAGTCAAAAGTGAATGGGTTTTGAACTTAGAAGAACTGGGTTCAAATTTCTGCTCTATAATTGTCTAACTGTTTGACTTTGGACTAGGCATATAATCTGCTAGAGTCTTTCTTTTGTTATGTGAAATGAGGAAGATAGTACCTACTATGTAGAGTTGTGAGGATTCAAAATAATTACTATAAAACATCTGATCTGAAAGCAGGGCTTAATAAATTGTGGCTATTATTGTGGATTTATATTTATATTATGGTTATATATAACTCACTATTTATATAAATCTCTATATATAGATTTATATGTTATATTATAGTTACCCCACACTGGCTTTATTAGACTTTGGTTGCTGAAGAAAGATTCATTACTTTTGAAAGGAGAGTTCCGGCCAAAATCTAACTCAAAAAATCCATTTCCCCTCAAGGGTTTCTTTTCACTATTGCAGCTTTCTATAAAGGTTCTTTTAATTTTTGTTGTTGCAGTTTTCTATGAATTTGGGAGTACTTTGTTGCACATTTTGAAGCAGTGCTGCAGAGCTAAATGGTTGCATTTTTACTTAATGGACCTCCAGAAGGCTAGTACCAGTTGTGTATCTTCTTCTTCTTCTATTTTTTTTTTTGAAAATTATAGGGTTTTATTGTTTATAAAATTGTTTTTTTTTTAAATTTAGATTTGGGGGTAAATGTGCAGGTTTGTTACAAAAGTATATTGTGTGATGCTGAAGTATAGGCTTCTAATGATTCCTTTGCCCAAGTAGTGAGTGTAGTACCCAACAGGTAGTTTTTCAACTCTTGCCTCCCCCTGTCTTTTCCTCCTTTTGGGATCCTCAGTGTTTATTGCTCTTATCTTTGTGTCTGTGTGTAGTCAATGTTTGGCTCCCACTTATAAGTGAAAACATGTGGTTTTGATTTTCTGTTTTTGTGTCAATTTGTGTAGAATAATGGCCTGCAGCTGCATCCATATTGCTGCAAAGGACATGATTTCATTCTTTTTTATGGCTGTGTAGTATTCCATGGTGTATATATACCACATTTTCTTTATTCCATCCACCATTGATGGACACCTGGGTTAATTCCATGTCTTTGCTGTTGTGACTAGTGCTATGATGAACATACAAGTGCAGGGGTCTTTTTGGTAGAACAATTTATTTTCCTTTGGGTATATACCCAGTAATGGGATTGCTGGGTCAAACGGTAATTCTATTTTTAGTTCTTTGCAAAATCTTTAAAGTGCTTTCCACAGGGGCTAAACTAATTTGCATCCCCACCAATAGTGTATAAGCGTTCCCTTTTTTCCACAACCTTGCCAATTTCTAATGTTGGACTTTTTGATAATAGTCATTCTGACTGGTGTGAGATGGTATCTCATTATAGTTTTGATTTGCATAGCTCTGATGGTTAGTGACATTAAGCATTTTTTTCACGTTTATTGGCCACGTGTGTGTCTTCTTTCAACTGTCTGTTCCTGTCCTTTACCCACTTTTTAGTAGGGTTATTTGTTTTTTCCTTGTTGAATTGTGTAAATTTCTTATAGATTCTGGATATTAGTCCTTTGTTGGACGCAGAGTTTACAAATATTTTCTCCCATTCTGTAGGTTGTCTGTTTACTCTTTTGACAGGTATTTTTTTCTGTGAAGACTCTAGTTGTTTACATTTTAAAAAGGTGTGAATATGTGAATCAAAGCAAAATGAAATGTTTCTTAATAACTTGGGACATTCTAAATATGAAATTTGGAAGTAATGCCACCTAAACTACATGTTCTAGGATTATTTAGATTGTTCTGCTCATTTTCTTTGAGGACACATTTAATCAGCTCTTAAGGATGTTCTTCATTATTATTTTTTATTTTTTTGAGACAGAGTCTCGCTCTGTTGTCCAGGCTGCAGGGCAATGGCTCACTGCAACCTCTGCCTCCTGGGTTCAAGTGATTCTGCTGCCTCAGCCTCCTGAGTAGCTGGGACTACAGGTGCATGACACCACACTGGCTAATTTTTGTATTTTTAGTAGAGATCTATTGTATGCATAGGTACCCCAAATTTCTTAATATGCTTCTAAACTTTTTAGTATGGCATTATCAGACTTTCTGAAGTTATAGGCTTAAAAAATTCCAAATAAGTGATAGAATATTGACTTTGTTAATGTCTGCAGTTCTCACGAGCAAGAACAAGACTATTGATTTGAGGCTGAGAGTGTAATCTGGAGAAAGAGGAGAGAAAAGTAAAAAATTTAGGAAATACACCTATTTACAAACTGTAATCTCTTTCTTCCTGCACTTTTTTTTTTAAACCACTTCTTTAATTTCTAATTCTGCATTTTCAGCCATGGATTTGTTACTCTTCCTGTAGGACATCAACTTTATTCTAGTCAAAATTACAAAACACATTCTCATGGTATTTCTAAGGTAACCTGTAAATAAATTTGTATAACTTTTCAGTGAACTTCCATTTGTCAAGCATGGAACATAAGGGACAGAGGGAGAGAGTGAGATAGGGAAGGAGGAAAATAAGGGAGAAAGGGAAGGACCAGGTGATTTCCTACAGTGCCCTGGAAATAAAGTGATGGTAGAATAGCACCTTTAGGTCAGAACCTTAGCTTTATCTCTGTTTCTGAGCCTCTAGTTTCAGCCTCTCTCTATCCTTTCCCAAATGCTCTTTCCTACATGTAAGCAGATGCAGAATTCACCATTGTTTACGGAAAAGCTTAGGAGCACAGCATCTAAACCTCTTTAAAAATGCATTTCAGCCTTTCTTTCTCCTATTACATTCTTCAGTTTGCTTTCTGTGCCAACCCTATTAGACTTCTAGATGTTTCCTGAAAAGTATATTGTATTTTTTTGTATTAGTATTTCAGTAGAAAGCAATACAATCTTGAACTAAAAATGGCTTAAATAATAAGGACATATATTATTTGGATAACAAAAAGCCCAGTGACAGATGGTGTTGATAATTCAGCTGTGCAAGGACACAGCATTTTAATGTTTAATTTGCATTCCATACAGGTCAGCTGTGGCCTTATGTTCATTCCCCAGCCAGGCTTCATACAATCACATCCAAAAAAAGGAGGAGGTTTCTTCCTGGGTTTTCTTTTCTTTTAAGTCAGAGAGGAAAGTCTTTTCCAAGAAGGCCCCCAGCTAACTTCTCCATAGGTCTCATTTGCTAAAAGTATGTCCATCCTTAAACCTGTCTTGACAAAAAATCACAGTTTTGTTAATCCCATGTACCTGAGCTGGATCTCACCTCCCTGGAGAGTATTGCTGCCTAAGTTTTGAAAAAGCAGGGGTCTAACAGCCAGGATGAAATGGGGTTGCCATTTCTTTAATGTACTCTGTGTCTTTTTGGAAGTTGTCCTAACAGTCTTGAATTCCCTTTCTTTTCTTCTCTACCTGGCTTTGCTGTTTGTAAAGATCTATCTTAAAATCACTTCTGCACAACATTTCCCCTAACTCAATTTACCATGTAGAATTGCTTTATTCAAAACCACATTTTTTAGAAATGACAGAAGAAATTTACAAAACCACAATGATAGTGTGAGACTTGAACATGGATCTCTAAGAATCTAACCTATTAAATAAAAAACAAAAAGTAGATGTGTAGGGAATTTGAATAATAAAATTAACAATTTTTCTCTCTCTTTGTGCCTACCATATAAAAATATTTATTCTATTAAAATTATAATGTAACATTTATAAAGTAATCACGTTTGTTAGTCACACAAAAATTTCAGTGATTTTCATAAAGTAAAAATAATACACACTACATTTTCTGAACTCATGAAAGGAAAAAAATCAAAACTAACAAAAAATTAAAAATGTAACCTATACATTTGAAAATTCAAAAATATTTTTTCCAAAAGCCTTTTGCACTGAGTCAAAAAAATTAAAATAATTGTCTATTAGAAATGAATAAACATTAGACCACTTATATCATAAAAATTCTATAAGGTACTGCCTAAATAGTACTAAATAGTCTTAAAGGCATGTATTAAGAAATGAGTATCTTTATAATTTTGGATTTTATGAAAACTACATAATTGGAAGGCATAGAGAAAAATATTAAAATATTTAATTGGCCGGGCATGGTGGCTCACGCCTGTAATCCCAGTACTTTGGGGGCGGATCACAAGGTCAAGAGATCGAGACCATTCTGGCCAACATGGTGAAACCCCGTCTCTACTAAAAGTACAAGAACTAGCTGGGTGTGGTGGCGCTCGCCTGTAGTCCCAGCTACTCGGGAGGCTGAGGCAGGATAATTGCTTGAACCTGGCAGGCAGAGGTTGCAGTGAGCCGAGATCGCGTCACTGCACTCCAGCCTGGCGACAGAGCGAGACTCCGTCTCGGGAAAAAAAAAAAAAAAAAATCCTTAACAGCTGAGAATGGCTAGAGTTTAGGCGCTGCACACTGGCAAGCAGCTCCTTTGACCCCAGGCACTTCACTCCTCATTTCTCTCTCAACAGTCAGCCAGCAAGGATCCTGGAGTCACAGGTGTGAGATGCGAAAAAAAAAAAAAAAAAGATTTAACTACATAAAATGTTTAAAACTTTGATATGGCAAATGACACTGTAGTTACTATTAAGAAATAAGTTCACATATTTGCAACATGTAAAATAAAGGCTTACTACGCAAAAAATATAAAGATAACATACATATCAATAAAGGAAGAGGCCATCAATGTAATAGAAAAATGGGTGAAAGATACAAACAAGCAATTCAGATGAAAAACAAGTGGCCAAAAATCTTAAAAATATGTAAATTTTAGGGTGGGCGTGGTGGCTAACGCCTGTAATCCCAGCACTTTGGGAGGCCGAGGCGGGTGGATCACGAGGTCAAGAGATCGAGACCATCCTGGCCAACATGGTGAAACCCCATCTCTACGAAATATACAAAAAATTAGCTGGGCGTGGTGGCGGGTGCCTGTAGTCCCAGCTACTCTGGAGGCTGAGGCAGGAGAATGGTGTGAACCCGGGAGGCGGAGCTTGCAGTGAGCCGAGATAGCACCTCTGCACTCCAGCCTCGGCGACAGAGCGAGACTCCATCTAAAGAAAAAAAAAAAAAGCAAATTTTAAAAATGAGGTAATACTTTTTGACTATAAAGTTAGTAAACATTTTAAAGATTGGTAATGCTGGTATGGGTGAACATAGGAAGGAGCATATACTCTCATAAACTGTTGCAGGAAGAGTAAATTAATACAGCAACTTTAGTGGGCAAATTGACAATACCAATTTATGTTAAAAACACACATGCCCTTGAAATCAGTAATTTCAGTTCTAGAAACTTATTCTACAGTATTTGTACAGGGATGGTCATTTTAGCAATATTTATAAATGAGACAAACAATAAAATTGCTATTGGGATGCCACTGTTCCCAGGCCCTTTCAGCGAATAGAACTAGAGAAAACAAGAATTAATATGTTCTTAAATTTGGAAATTATTAAGTAAATATGATATATTCATTATAAAATGCCCTTTTAGAATGTGTAGATGTATGCATAATGATAAAAATGACTTTTTTAAATTATACTTTAAGTTTTATGGTACATGTGCACAACGTGCAGGTTTGTTACATATGTATACATGCACCATGTTGGTGTGCTGCGCCCATTAACTCGTCATTTAACATTAGGTATATCACCTAATGCTATCCCTCCCCCGTCCCCCTACCCCACAACAGGCCGTGGTGTGTGATGTTCCCCTTCCTGTGTTCATGTGTTCTCATTGTTCAATTCCCACCTATAAGTGAGAACATGCGGTGTTTGGTTTTTTGTCCTTGCGATAGTTTGCTGAGAATGATGTCTTCCAGCTTCATCCATGTCCCTGCAAAGGACATGAACTCATCATTTTTTATGGCTGCATAGTATTCCATGTATTTTGTTGGGAGAAAGGAAGTTACAGAATGATGCTGAAATATGATCATCTTTAGGCTAAAAAATTTGTATTGATACCAAGTTTCCATATTTCTAAGATGTGCATTTCCTTCTTCTTAATATATCTGTAATTGGAAGGCGGTGTGGAAAAACTTGTCTGCCAGGCCTAGGAAAGTTGTGAGTGTCATTGTACATGCAAAACCATGCTACCCACAGATAACATCAGTTCACATAATCACCACTTCAGTATAAGTATGTCATTATTATCTTCACAAGTGATTGAGTTTTAAATGTGGATCACTAATTGTAACACAAAGCATATTAAAAAAGATGATATGATTATGTATTAATAGCAGTAAAACAAAAGTTTGTTTCTGTCAAAGAATGCATGCCATTCTATAGACAATGCAATGAGAAGTAGTAGAAATTGTCAGGTGTCTTAGAGTATATCATACAATTTTCAAAGCTAAGAGAGCTTGCTCTTTTTTTGTGTAATTAAGAGATTATTGTACATATAATGAACACATTTCTGTCAAAAACTTGCCTGACTTTCAGGAAAGACTGTTTAACTTCATTTGACATGGAGGTCAACTAGGAAAAAAAATAAACAAGAAATGGAGTTAATATCTTCCATATACCTTGAGATTCCATTGTCAGTCTTAAAGATGGTGAAAAGTCAAGATCATGATCCTGTGTGATAAACAGCAGATCATTCACGGTGCTATGCATAACTGCTGATGTCTAAAAGTGATTTAGAAGAGTCATTAGATTTTGTCCCTGCAGAAGTCCTAAACTCAGACCTTGACTGTGATACTGGAGAGCAAGGCAGAATGTAATCACATGAGCCCATGGCAGATTGTTGTGGATTCATGTATCAGTTAGAAATGCATTCATCTCTAAGTAACAGAAGACCTAACTGCTTAATGGCTGATATGACTGGGATTTGATTTATAGCTCCCTAATACCAAATTGGCAGGGAAGCTGTCAAGGGCTGTATAGGAATCCCAGGTTCCTTTTAGCTTTTTGCTCTGCCATCCTTAGTGGTGGCTTTTATTCTTGTGGATCCAAGACGGCTGCTCTATTTCTGTATATTATATCCATATTCTAGGCAGGAAGAAGGGAGGAAGATAAAGAGAACAGGAATGTACTAACTGAGTTTTTTCATTTTTAAAGTTCTTTCCTAGAAGCTCCATCCAGAAACTCATTGATCAGATGGTGTAAATGCACCAACCCCTCTTTGGCTGGGGACATTTTGCCTGTTGTCTCAGATTGAGTTTCTAGGGGGACAGACTTTGAGATGCGTATTTGCATGCAGGAACTTTACTGTGTCAAATCCTCAGGAAACTTACCTTTGGGAAAGTAAAAGGAAATTGTACTGGGCAGAGGAAAATGTTGAATTGAGATGTAGTTGGAACAAGATCACCCTGAATCCCTGCCACCATTTTGATGATGGTGTAGACTTTTAGAGTTTGGTCACTTAAAGTAGAGGAGGATTGGATCTTTATTTTCTATACTGACCAGTCGAGGATGAAGACTGCTGCTGGGGAGGAGTGCAAACTTGGGCAAGGTGGCTCTCTTTGGCTGGGGGCAATCTCTTAGGAATGGCTTAGCTGAGAATGGCGACTGCCAACACTCCTGGAAGCTGGAGGAATGAATACCTCAGTTGTAAAGGGAGCATCTGGGTAGCCCAATACAGCATCTACAGCTGGATATCTGTTTCTCTGAACAAAATTCGGCTTTGGTCGCAAATGTTGCAAAAGCTTTTGTTCAGTTTGCTATTTCCATTGAATTTTGTTTGTTCTTGGCTATATAAAATTTGAAACAACATATCAGTTTTTTTCTGTATGATAGTTTTCTTTGCTGTTTTGCTTAGAAAGTTCTTCATTCAATCTAATTATTTTAAAGCTTTAGCAATTTTTTTCTAAAATCACAAGCCTGAGAAAAGTTGTAAGAACAGGAGAGAGAATACTTATTCCCTGAACTATTTGAGAGTAACTTGATAATCTTTTGCCTTATCATCCCTAAAATATTTAATGTGCATTAGTTAAACTCATCTAAATCCCAGGACATTCCCCTACATAACCACAATGTAAACATCAACATTGGGAAATTAACATTAATACATTTATCCCATGTAATCCTTCATTCTCACTCAAATTTTGATAAATATCATAATAATATTTTTCCTATTAAGTGGATCTAATTTAGAACCACAGTTATGTATTTTTTTAAGTTCCTTCAGTCTTGAGCAGTTCCTTAGCCTTTGAACAATTTTTGTGTCTTGATACTTTTGAAGATTCCAGGCCAGTTTTTTAGTAGCATGTCTCTCAGTTTGGTTTTATCTTATATTTCCTTATGACAAGATTGAAGCTAAACATTTTCTTTTGTCAGGACTATCACAGAGGCAACACTGAATCCTTCTCATTGTATCCTACCAGGCAGTATGTGATTTCAATTTGTTTCACTAATGATTTAAATTTTGATCACCTGATTAAGATGGTACCTGCCAGGCTTCTCTGTGTTAAAGTTATTGTTTTCCCCTTTGTAAGTGATACATATTTTGTGTGGAGGTATTTTGAATCCATTTCTTATCAAACAAAGTTTTAATTCATTCACTTATTTATTTATATTGACATGGACTTAGAATTTTCTATTTTATCTTATGCATTATGATGATTACTATCAATTATTTTGATGCTCAAATGTCTCCTTATTTAGCTAGTGAGAGTTTATTCATGTGTCCTTTTGGCATATCCCCTTCATTATTTGACCACCTTCTTATTTTTGGACACAACGAGATGTTTGTTTCACACTCATTTTGTGCTTATTCTGCCTCAGCCTTGAAATGAACCATTTCTCCAAGAAGAGTGGTTCTCTGGTTCCTCTTAGCAGAAATGGTCTTTAGAAGTCAAAACATGGGTACCTGGTGTGCTAATTGTTATTGGGATGCCATTGCTCCCAGGCCCTTTCAGTGGATAGAGCTACAGAATATATTATATATATTTATATCTCTCTATATCATCCAAATCTTAGGGAGTTAATTCTAGTTTGCTCTTTTTCCATTTTTGTAACTGTCTTCTCTAGTATTATTTGTTGCTAAACCTTTCATTGCTACTGCTTCTCATCAGCCCAGTGGACTCAGCGTTCCATGTCAGGGTGCCCCTTCGTGGGAATAACCTCCTCACTTCATTTGGGCTCTAATACCCTGTGGCCATGGGCACACACTTCCTCACTCTATTCTTGGCTTGATTGACATCTCGCAAAGTAAATATGCTCACCCTGCTCAAACTCTGAGACCCCGTGCCAGGAATTGCACCCTTGCCCCAATGTGGATGTGCTTTTCATTTGTCTTAGGCTCTGACACCCAAATTTGGATTACTGCATTTCCTCTGTCTTTGATGTGGACACCTAATCTTATTCTGCCCCAACCATCGGCTTTAGAAGTGAACAGTTAAACAGCAAGGGAAGTGAAAAAAAGGAAAAAAAAAAGAAGAGGAATAGGAAGGGTTATGGGCTGAATAATCCCCCATCCCCCACTCATATATTTAAGTCCTAAACCCAAGTATCTCAGAATGTGACTGTATTTGGAGATAGGGTCTTTAAAGAAGTAATTACATTTAAATGAGGTCATTAGAGTGGGTCCTAATTCTAAATAACTGATGTCCTTATAAGGAGAGGAAATTAGGACACAGACATGCACAGAGGGAAGACTACGTGAAGACACAGGGAGAAGATGGCCATTTACAAGCCAAGGGTAAGGGCCTCAGAAGAAACCAACACTGCTGACACCTTGATCTTGGACTTCTAGCCCCCAAAACTCTGAGAAAATAAATTTCTGTTGTTTAAGTTACTCAGCATGCAGTACTTTGTAAGGGTAGCCATAGCAAACTAATACAGTAGGGATTTAATTTTTATATTTAATTTTAATATATTTTAGTACATTGAGGTAGGAATTTAGTTTAATTCAACTTACCCCTAACTCCAAATATATGGCCAATTGTCCCAGAACTATTTGTTAAATGATCTTTCCTTTCCCCATGTATTCTGTTTTCTTATAAAATCCTAAATTTTTATAATATTAGGGTCTACTTTGGAGCTTTCTGTTTTGTTTTACTCTTGCCCCCTTTCTAAACTATTTAAATCAGTACATTCTTTTAAAATGTTATGGTATTCAGAAGCATGAGTCCTTCTACTTCCTTCTCTCTTTTTCTAAAATGTATTCATTATTTTCATATGTAGAATCGCTTTACAAAATAAAATAATAATCTTGTTTAGACTTTCAGTTGTAGTCGCATAACATATATGTTAATTTAGGACACACTAACATCTTTATTGAATCTTCTCATTCAGAAACATAGAATATCTGTTAATTTTTAGAATGTTTTTAAAAACTATGTTTTGGTAATGTATTGTTATTTTCTTAAAAAATGTTCTGTACATTTCTTATTAAGCTTATTCCTGCCATCAGGGGCACAAAAGTATCATCGTCTGTTGGCCACAGTGCTAAACATCCTGAGACTTCCCTGCTTATTGACTTCTTGCTTCTAATTTTATAGTTCTTCTAGTTTTCACTCTTTCTGTCTTATAGTATGCTGTTGATGCCCACTGCTGCTCAAAGGTCTCATTTCAAATGTGCTACTTCTAATGTGACATGGGCTGGGTAATTAATTATTAATAATGGTCAACATTCATTGGATATTTAACTTGGAGAGGTTAAATGATGTGGCCATGTTTACACAGGCAATAGCACTGGGTCTGGGATTCAAACCCAAGCAGTTTGACTTCAAAGCTGTTTTATTACACATCAGCTCATCTTAAATATTTGTCCGAAATAAGAGAGGTGATTAATGTGATTAAAGTTCTGTTTGGTTGCCTAAAGTTGAGTTTATTCAGTGGCTTTTAAAATATTGTTCTTGGTTCCCCATTTTCTTCTATCTCTGGGGCAGCAGCTACCATTGGGTGATTGAAGTGATGCCCAAACAGTGATGTGTTATTTTTGCTATTCTTCCACAAATCTTGCTTGTATTTTTTATGATTACTTAAAAAATGCTATGAATTTTAACCTCAGTGTTAGATGTTCCAAAATCAAATTCAGCCATGGTAACCTTGATCTCATATCTGAGAAGGTTTTCTATAATTTCAGGAAAACTCTTTCCTCCAAAGCATTTACAAGAGGGAAATGAAATGAAAATAATTGGTATTGTACCATAGTATTTTGTTTTCAAACCTGAGTTAAGTGCTTGATAAAAAGAATTTGGCTTTCTGATTCATGGCTAATTTCTCCATTAAAATGAACCTTGCCCAATATCTTCACTTTTATGATCTTTTAAAAATGTACATTTTTAAATGCATAATTAGTCTTCCATTGGCATAAGCATAACCAAGGTTTTAGGAGTCACAGAATGGGAATCTAACCTGAAAATCCTCTCCTATATCTGCTATTTGAAATATTCCCTAGTCATCTCACTTGCCATTTTTTAAAAAGACCTCTTTCTCAACATTCAGTTAAAAATTCTGTGTCCTTGTGGTACCTTGATTGTCTTTTCCATGAGACTGTAGATAAAAATGTCGAGGGCAAGAAACAGGTCTCCTTTGGCTTTAATCTCCCATAGGCTTTCAGAGTTTATATATATGGTAAACTGAATATTTCTGAGAGCAAAAGGTGAATGTGAAATAAGCCTGTAGAGATTAGATAGTTCAGCAACTTAATTTATATGGGTGGTGAGTATGGCAATTCCTCTAGCACAGCAAATTAGTTTATATGAGGAGAAGGAAAGGAAGAGAGGTATCTAGTTTATATATTTGGTTTAGTCATATTTTTGTCCATCAATTAATCATTTTTAAGTCTTTATCTTAATACATTTTCTTATTTTCAATCCAAGCCCATTCAGCTATTTTGTTTTGAGGAATTGCAAGTAATGAGCACAGGGTGGGGATTGTATGAAAAGATTGGCACTGAGCTCTTTTGGTGTTTAATTTTTTTTATTCAGAATATTTTAAAAGATCTATATCTAATTTTGTCACAGTTTTTATCTAAAGGAAATGAAAAGTTAAATCCATAAATTAAAAGCTGCAAGCTATAACAGATGAGTCAGCTGTTTGATCATTGTTAAAGTGCAAAATCCCTTAAAGCAATGGCTTACTGCATTCATTTTAGCAGCTGTGAGAGAGATCTAGAGTAGAAGAAATGAGCACTGGATTCTAGTTCTAGCTATGCTACTTACAGACCAGGGACAAATAATTTATTCTTTATCTGTAATTAATTTATTCTTTATCTGGTTTAATTTCTTTATCTGTAAAATGAGATGACTGAAGATAATATTGGTAAGTTTCTTCCATCTCTACTGTTCAGTGACATCTTCCAGTGTCTAGTAATTCCTGAAAAGTCTCAGGTATTTTTTTTTCCTTCAGTGTGCAGTCACTCTAGTAAATGGCACAGATTCTTCTGGGGAGAATTCGGAGGAAAATGTATAGTCTATACTTGTGACAATGCTGAAGGATTCTTCCTCAAGGGGACCTGGCCTCCCCTTCAATCAAGAGGCACCAGGTTTATTAATTTGTTTAGGACTGAAAACAGAATGAGAGCCA
Source organism: Homo sapiens (assembly GCF_000001405.40). Classification (NCBI taxonomy): domain Eukaryota; kingdom Metazoa; phylum Chordata; class Mammalia; order Primates; family Hominidae; genus Homo; species Homo sapiens. The sequence goes on from NC_000006.12 coordinate 73,942,567, forward strand.
TGACCCCCCACTGTAATAACTCAAGTCAGGTTTCTGGTCACCAAGCTGGGAGATTTTTCTGAGGTATTGGCATTTCTAAGATAGTAACATTTTAGTAGGCTCTCCATCTCTTTCATTCCCAGGGACACTGTGACTTAGCCATGCCAAGGATTCCTATACGTCGAGTAACTCTGATTGCCACAATGCCCTGCTGCCCCTTGTGGTGAATTCATCCACATTGTCTCTGACAGCTAAGCACTGTCACCTGGGCTTTGTCATCTGGTGATGAGGTCACCAGGATCTCATCATCTCCACTGAAATCTGGCAGTCATCTCAATGGTGTCATCTTCTACCAAGATACATGGCCTACACAGAAAGCAACAAGAGAGATTTTCAAGAATGTTAATACCCTTCTTACTAATGTCTTTCTTAATGCCTTGGTAAGGGGAGTGTCTTCTGGGAACTCTCAAGGGAGGTAGCAGGAGTGAGTGTGAATGCAAGTCACATATGATAAATCCACTTTACCACTCCTATCTCCCTTAACTTTTGGTTTCCTTGCTCTGCATTATGTCAGGGAGGTTCTGACACCTCAACTTCATTAAACGTAGGCCAAAGTTAAGTCAAAGTTTTAGCCAAAATTGAAGTAAACTATAGGAACTAATTCCAGTTGCATATACTGCAACATTAAACCCTAAATCTCTGGAAGTCTACCCATGTCACTAAATGTAGCCAGATCCAGGGTTTTAGTCTGTTGTCTTTGGTCTCAGGTATATATTTACATACATGAGTAAGATCTCATAATTATTTTGGTATGTTAGGTATCTCTTCTTAGTTTGAACTTTGTCCTTCCCCCCAGGAACATGATGAGATGGGACCCTAGTATTGGGTCTAATGGCAACAAACGGTAGTTGGGGTGAATCTTGGTGAAAAGTCATAGTCCTTAAAAGACATCTGTCCCAGATGAGACATTACATGATCTTCAAGCAAGGGATGACTATTTCCTTAGACCTGGGAGGACAAGCTGGAACAGCTAGTAAAAAGAGTTAGTTTCTGCATGCATGGTAGGAGGGGTGGTGACAGCTGAAGCTGATTTAGAGTCCTGTAATAAATACCTGATAGAATACACTTTCAAGAGGAATTATGCCTCATGAGTCATGTTGATACACATGCTTGAATAAAACTTCTAAGAAAGAAGCAAGTAGTGGAAAAACAAAACAAAAAAACCTGATCTAGGGTCATTTTGAAGATGGCAAGTGCTGCAGAATCCACTGAGCCGTCTATTCAGTCTTAAAGCTGCTTCTACTGCTGAATGTTATCTTTACAATAGTTCAATCATGAATACTCATATGGACTAGGTTAAATACAAAAAGGCTTACCTTTATTATATTGTATTTCTTTGCACAACATGCTTTAAAACTTTCACTTTCTCTTAAATCCACTTATTGGAGGCATTTCTTGACAATGGAAATATCTCCAGTACTTTTTGTTTGTTTCCTACATTGTTCATGGTTTGCTCTTTCCCAAACCTTTCATCCCTGCTAAGTCCATCCCAGCTGAAACATTTTTGGACAGCATACAAACCAGAACTACTTTTGGATAGTTCAATATTGTCTTTCCCAAACAACACACACACACACACACACACACATACACACACACACACACACACACACACACACACTTCTAGCCTCTTGCCTTTCATTGGAGTATAATCCTCCCCGTGTACATTTCAAATTTAGCTTCATTCTAATATCATAACAGCTATTTTCATTTTCCTCATATTTGCTTATTTTTAAAAGCTCATTTAAAGAATGATTTACCCACTTCACAGACTCATCATTTTTGGACAAGAAAAAGACCAACCATTAGATCATCTGGTTTCTTTCTGCCTCCTACTGCCAGAGCTGTTCCCACAATGCATTTGCCAGTGATAATCTTGGTTCATTAAAAAACTTTCAGGCACTAGCACTTACACTATTCTCTTGGGGTATGACATACAGAGTAAGAGACTTCATTTAGGAAAATGTTCTTTTCCCACTGTAGATTTACTTAACCTCCACAAAAAAAACTTAAAAATAGACTAACACATGAGTAATATTTTGACTTGGTTTCTACCTTAGGAATTTTCATATTATGGGACTTTCAATTGAATAAATTCCAAACTATAAATTCTCTTAAAATTAGAACTTTTCTGCTTTATATGCAGCGACCTTGATTTTCTCTCTTTTTTGTTTTATTTTCTTTTAACATCATAACTATTTAATATCAATCTGTAGAGACCTGGTAGGTACTAAAATGTCAAGTATATTTAAATATGACTTATTTTTCATTTACTTACTTATTTTTATTTAATTTTAAAATTGATACATGATATTTTACATATTTATGGCGTATATGTGATATATTGTTACATGCATAGAACAGGTTATGATCAAGTCCAGGTATTTAGGGTATCTGTCACCTTGAGTATTTATTATTTCTGTGTTGGGAACAACTCAAGTCCTCTCCTCTACCTACTTTGAAATATGGAATGCATTGTTGTTAACTATAGTCACACTACTTTGTTGTGAACATTAGTACTTGTACCTTCTATCTAAATGTATGTTTGCACTCATTGACCAATATCTCTTCATCCTCCCACCCTCTGTCCTCCATGCCTTTCCTAGTCTCTAGTGTCTTTCTGTTGTCTACCTCCATGAGAACAACTTTTTAAATAGTCGCTCTACTCTACTGTGAAACATTAGAACTTATACTTTTTATCTAAATGTACCTTTGTATTCATTAGCCAACATCTCTTCATGCCGCTGCCTACCTACACACCCTTCCCAGCCTCTGGTATTATACTCTCTTCCTCCATGAGATTGAGCTTTTTAGCTTCCGCACATATGAGTGAGAACATGCAATATTTGTCTTTCTGTGCCTGCATTATTTCACTTAACAGAATGACACCCAGTTTTATTCATGTTACTGCAAATGACATGATTTCATTCTTTTTCATGGCGAAATAGTATTCCATTGTGTATACATACTACATTTTCTTTACCCATTAATCTATTGATTGACACTTAGGTTAATTAGTATCTTTGCTGTTGTGAATAGTGCTGCAATAAACATGGGAGTGCAGGTATCCCTTTGATATGCTGATTTCTTTTCCTTCAGATAAATATCCAATAGTGGGATTCCAGGATTATATGGTAGTTCTAGTTTTAGTTCTATGAGAAATCTATGCACTATTTTCCATACTGGCTATACTAATTTACATTCCCACCAATAGTGTATAAGCATTCCCTTTTTTATGCATCCCCACCAGCATTTGTTATTTTTTAGTCTTTTTCATAACAGGCATTTTAATTGAGGCAACATGATATCTCATTGTAGTTTTGATTTGAATTTCTCTGATGATTAGTGATGTTGAGACCTTTTTAATACATCTGTTGACTATTCTTACATCTTTTTCTGAAAATTGTCTGTTCATGTCATTTCCTCACTCTTTGATGGGGTAATTATTATTATTATTTACCATGAAGTTGTTTGAGTTCCTTCTATATTCGGGGTATTAGTCCCTTGTTGGATAAATAGTTTGCAAATATGTTCCACCATTCAACAGGTTGTCTTTTCATTCTGTTGATTGTTTCCTTTGCTGTTCAGAAGCTTTTTAGTTTAATATAGTCCCATTTGCCTTTTTTTTGTTACCTGTGCATAGCCATAAAATCTTTGTTATTTTCTCTATCCCTGTATCATGATATAATATATCATATATATCATATATATGATATAATAATTTTCTTTGTCTTTTTTTGCTTTTGTTTTGTCTGTTTTATCTGATATAAATATAGCCATTCCCACTAGCTTTTGTTTTCCATTTGCATGGGAACTTTTTCCGTTCCTTTCCTTTCAGTGTATAAATTTCCTAAAAGGTAAAGTGTGTTTCTTATAGGCAGCTGATAATTGCATCATGTATTTTCTTTTTAAAAATCCATTCAGCTAGTCTATACCTCTAAGTGCATAATTTAACTCATTCACATTCAAGGTTATTATTGATCTGCAAGGTTTTGTTTTTCTCATATTGTTAATTCTTTTTGTTTTTAAAAATATATTCTTTGTTCCTTTCTTTTTCTCTTATTGTTTTTCATTGTAGTTTGGCTGTTATCCGTAGCGGTACCATTTGAGTTCTTTCTCTTTCTCACTTGTGTGTTTGCTTTACTATTGAGCTTTATACTTTTTTCATAATGGTAAATGTTGTCCTTTTGCTTCCAGGGCTCCCTTGAGCTCTTCATGTAGGACTAGTCTAGTGGTGATGAATTCTCTCAGCTTTTGCTTGTCTTGGGAAGACATTTTTTTTTTCTCCTACATTCAGGAAGGGTAATTTTGCTAGATACTGTATCCTTGGCTGGCAGTGTTTTTTCTTTCAGCACTTTGAATATGCTCTTTCTCTTCTGATCTGTAAGACTTCTGCTGAGAAGTCTGCTGTTAGTCTGATAGGGATTCCTTTATAGGTGACTAGATGCTTTTTTTTTTTCTTTTAGAATTCTCTCTTTGTCATTGATTTTAGATATTTTGACTATAACATACAGTGGAGACTTTTTTACATTATATCTTCTTGAGGATCACTGGGCCTCCTGTACCCAGATGTCTAATTCTTTGCTAGATGTGGTAAGTTTTCAGCTGTTATTTCATTAAATAGGTTTTTGAAACTTTTCATTTTATCTTTGCCTTCTTGGATACCAATAATTCATAAATTTGGTAGCCTTAGGGTGTCCCATATATCATGAAGGCTTTGTTCACTCTTTCAAAGTGCTTTTGTCTTTATTTTTGTCTTACTGTGTTATTTCAAAAGACCTAACTTGAAGTTCTGAGATTCTTCTGCTTTATCTAGTCTGTTTTTGAACTGATTGAATGTGTTTTATAGTTTATTCAGTGAATTCTTCAGTTTCAGTATTTCTGTTTGGTTCTTTCCTGTGATATCTATCTCTCTGGTAAATTTCTCATTCATATCCTGAATTGTTTTTCTGATTTATTCATTTTTTTGAAATTCTCTGCTATCTCCCTGAGCTTCTTTAGAATCAATAATTTGAACTCTTTTTTTCCAGGATTTTGTTAATTTCTGTTTGATTGGGATCTATTGCCAGAGAATTATTTGGTTCCTTTGGAGTTGTTGTATTCTTTTTTTTTTTTTTCACATTTCCTGTGTTCTTATGTTGATATCTGTGCATCTAGTGTATCCACCATGTCTTCTCCTTTTTTGAATTTGCTTTCATAGGTGATTACTTTTTCCTGAAGATGAATCCAGGGTGTTGGCTGGGTAGAGCACTTTGGCTTTGATTCTTGGTGCGTGCAGTAGTGTAGTCTCTGACTTTTTTTTTTGTCTGTGAAGAGCATCAGTGGTATCTATGATTTCCTTTGTGGCTTAGGGTGTGGTTGTTAGTTGAGGCTGTGGTGATGTTCTGCTGGAGACTGGATTCCAAGTAGGCCAGTCTTTGGGCCTCAGTAGGTGTAGTGGTGGGCTTAGCATGCCTATCCTTTGGTCCCAGGGTGACATATGCTGGCATGGGTGTTAGTGGGTCTACGCAGGCCAGATCTTGGGCGTGTTGGTGGCTTACTCAGATGCCAATGTTGCCAGCCATGAGCTGGGCAGGTGGGTGAGTTCTCAGGCCCCTGGACAGCCAGTGTCACATGGGTAATGGTAGTGGCAGGATGACCCTCTGGGTCCTGAGCAGTGTGTGATGGTGTTGGCAATGACTGTGATGGGCACGGTAGACCAGTCTCCAGGCCTGCAGGTGGCACCAACTAGGTGTCAGATATGGTGGTAGTGGCTGGCTAGGTAGGCTAACCTCAGTCCCTTGGGAGGAGTGATCAGGTGGTGATGCTGGTGAACTGGGCTGGACAATCCTGTGGCTCCCAGACTGTGTGCTCCAGCATGGGGACAAGGGGCAAAGCAGGCTGGGCTGGATTGTTCTCAAATCCCCTCATGGTGTGTATAGACACTGGCCATGGTAGGCATGGTAGGCAGGGGTGGGACAATCCCTCATGCTGCTGCCCTGCCACTGTGGTGGGAAGTCACTGCCTTCACTAATGGCATTCTAGACTGGTGACTGCAGAATGTGTGTACCACTTGCTCTTCAGCCCCAGGTGCAGTTGCTTGCACCTAAGATCCCTGGTCAGCAGCCAGCTCTTCTTTTGCAACTTAGCCCCAGAATCGCTGGGCTCCAGAATGGTTCACATTCTTTTGGGTTAGGCTCTTAAATGGTGCCTCACTTGAGTCTCAGTCCTAAAAGTGGCATCCTGCACCTCCTTCATGCTTTTACCTCTGGTGTTAAACTCCAGGGGCAGCAGCCTGTGCTTCTCTTGAACCTCAGTCCTGGAACTACTGGAGTCCAGGCTACTCTTAAAAAAAAAAAACTTTTCTAAGAAAAGAAACAGTCAGATAGGCCATAGTTAGAGGGAGATTTGGGGTTAAGGGGAGGGTCTTAAATGTGGAATAGCTTTGCTCATGGGAATAGGCTGAGAAAAGAAGGCAGCAGGAAGGGAGAAGTAAAAGATTGTCTTGATGTGATAGAGTCCCTAAGACAATAAAGGGGTTGGGATACAAAATAGAGCAGAGAGACTCACTGCAGATTGAAGAAAAGACAGCGGTGCATGGAACTGAGAGAGAAAAATGCATGGATAGATGTAGAGAGAGGAATTTGAACTTTCTTATTCCAAACATTGACCAGGCAGAGCAAGGCCAAGGACAAGAACATTTCTCCAATCTGCTCTTGCTTGGGCATAGGCATCAACTAAGAGTTAGAAAACTTATTGACAGAAGCTTGTGCCGATGACCTTTATTTTCTTTGTGAAGTAGATAATGACCATTAGGAAGGGCAGGGAGAAGTAGTAGGACTAAATACTTGAAGAGACTTATGAAGATATGAAAGAGCCTCAAGATGGAATATGAAGAGAAGCCATTCAAAGACACAGAAAACTGTTTACCAGCATTAAAAATATAATGGAGTTCTAGGTCATAAATATGTAGGAGTTCAAATTCTCTCACCTTATACTTCATTTGTAAAATCTTTTTGTTCAATGGCATTTAATAAGCTGGATATGGAGCAAAGAAGAACAGCTGGATTGGTTCAGAGGTGTATTTCTAAAAAAGCAAATAGAGGGGCAAGTGGCAAGGGAGTTTGGGTTTTAGTCAAGGTATGTTTTAAATGATGATCATAGTAAATAAGGAAGAAAAAATATAAAGTGGAGGAATAAACCATACTGGAGGACATACCAAGGATGAAGAATAACCTCAGCAGGAAAAAGAGAATGAGAGAGCAAGGTGGACAAGAGATAGAGATGAGAGAGAAGACCACCGAAATTTGACACCTCAGGGCTGGGGAATCGCTAAATAAGGACAGGATGCCAGGCAGTGGCCAAGGGAGGGAATGGGGGAAAGAGGAAGGAAATAAAATTTCTGAAATTAGAGGAGGTTAGGTAAAACTGAGGATGTAGGGCCTATCTGAACACTGAATTCCTTCAGGATAATGAAAACCAAGATGCCATACATCCTTACCTGTTGCCCAAAAGATAAAGACAGCTATTCCCCAATAGGCCAGCAAAGCATATGATTATGGCTTATTTGTGTTTGGAATTTCTAGTGTATAGCAAAATGACTGAGACATATCAGTGCTCAATAAATCTTTGTTGAATGAATAAGTAATCAAGAGGTGATAGGTAAGTTTACGTTCTTCCAACTTATTTATTTCTCAAATGAAATAAAGCAAGTGACATTCCTTGTTTTCCACCAAAGAAAGGATTAAAAAAAGGTAAGTAAAGCTGTGAATGTGCAGAAATTATGAGAATTTCTTATGGAAAAGGCTTGTGATTCTGGCTCAGGTATTTGAGATTGTTACCATTATTGATTACTGTGCCTAAGCTTATAATTAAAAAACACTGTAAACTAGGCCAACACATCCAAAATTCATATATTTTATGAATCATTTTTTGGCATTAAACCCTGGCCAACAAGGTAGGGAAATATAAGGCAGCAACTGGGAATACAGCCAGATTAGGTCTTTTCTTTTGTTTGTTTTTGTTTTTTGAGATGGAGTCTCACTCTGTTGCCCAGGCTGGAGTGCAGTGGCACGATCTTGGCTCACTGCAACCTCTGTCTCCCAGGTTTAAGTGATTCTCAAGCCTCAGCCTCCCAAGTAATTGGGACTACAGGCATGCACCACCATGCCTGGCTAATTTTTATATTTTTAGTAGAGATAGGGTTTCACCATGTTGGCCAGGCTGGTCTTCAACTCCTGACCTCAAGTGATCTGCCCACCTTGGCCTCCCAAAGTACTGGGATTACAAGCATAAGCCACCGCACCTGGCCAGGTTAGATATTTTCTGTGTCATACCTGCATCGCCTAACTCTTTGTGGTTGAGAGGGCAATTCTTGCTCTTGCTTCAATGGAACAAGGAGTCAATGCTTAAGCTTATGATCTTCCATTTCCCTGTCCATGTGTTTACTGCTTTCATCATTTTAGCCAGGCATAGTGGCACACGCTTGTAGTCCCAACTACTTGAGAGGCTGAGGCTGGAGAATCACTTAAACCTGGGAGGCAGATGTTGCAGTGATATTGCAGTTGTATTCCAGTACAACCTGCTGACTCCTTCATACAAATCTGACAGTTGGCAGGTACAGAGGTGCCACCAACCTGTCTTTACCCTCAGCCTTACTTTCTCTGACTGTTGGCTTCCATTAAACTTGACTTCCTATTGATATTCTGCATCTCCTTGGCTGAGTTCCTCAGCTTGCAATTTCTTTGGCTCCTTTTCCAGTTTTTGACATTTGACTCATTCTCTTTGGCAAATGTATTTCCTTTGGGGATGGAAATGGCATGGATGATGTGAAAAGAGAGTCTGAAATGGCCCAGGAGAAATTTTACTTACTTTATTATATTCTGGGAATCTCACTGATATTCCAGTTCTGAGGATTGGTAGTAACAACAGACTTTAATAACCATGTATAATTATTTCTTTTGTTATTTTTTGTAGTATTTGCTTAAATATCAAATGTTTGGAAAGTGTTCACAATGCATTTACTCGTGTGGGTTTTGTTCTACTCAAGCAATCCTTTCATTTTCTCATAAAGGCTTTGAGTTACAAGCATACCTTTAGATATGACCAAGGTGAGGTCTCCAAGCTGGGTAAATCTAGGTTTATATTTAAAGTATTGTGGGCCAGGAAGAAGACTGTGACTGAAAGGTGCCCAAAGGCGTTTTCCTGTTTGACTATTCCATGTGATTAGAATGGTACCTACTCTTTTTGTAATGAAAATATATTCTATAGTGCTTTCACTATTTTAACTATAGTCTCTCATAATGATTTTTTTCATCTACTTAAAGATTTGTAGTAATCGAAACAGCATGAGGCATTCCAATAGAATGTTAGTAGCTTTTTTTGTTGAAATGATCGTCCATATTTTAGAGGTGCTTTAGAGAAACATAATTTTCAATAATGATATTCCATAAACTAAAGGCCAAAAGACATTTTAATAGCATGAATAAAGGTCATTTGGTCCATCCTGTCTGGTAAAACACACTTTGTTTTTTAGATGACAGCATTTGTTTCCCGTGCCTTCATATACACTTTGTGCAAGTTGTAGAAGTGTAAAATGCAAAAGTTATTTATTTTATTATTTTATATTCCTTATTCTTATTTTACATTTATAGCAATGTCTTTGTGTTTTTAGGAACATGTTCAGCATTGTCAAACTAATATGTTTGACAATGATTAATGCAATGTAAAATATACAGATTCAAAGATTAAATTTCTGGCTATTCTATTACTTTGCTACTCCGATATTAGACGATTAAAATGATCTTATTTACTTTACTCAACAGAAATGCATAGGGACCCAATTTTTTCATCCTTTTCAATTGAATTAAGAGCTTGAACGCTTAGTTGGGATGGTTTATTTTGATGCTGAGGGTTATTCATAAATTTAATCCTCTGAATATATCTTATTTCTTTGTGGAATTCTGGTATGTTTTATTTTTTCTCATGTTCTGCTGCCAAAAGTGTTTATTTCATGAACACTGGGCATTTGGACCAGGATTAGTTTGGTTGGTAGTATTTTTTATTTTGCTGTCAACCTCTTTCAATGTAGCTAATTGGGTAAGTAAATTTTTGTTTTAAAACAAGTTGGCCAGGAAACTTCTCCCATCAGCTTCCTACAATACCTCTACCTTACGTTTTTGTACCACAGAGGTAGTTTGGGAATGCAATTCTAACTCCTGCACTTACCAGATCATTGAGGTACCTTTTAGATAAAAAACCTACAATAATTCCACTATTGATTTATAGTTAAAGTTTGCGGTCAGGGCTCAAGGTTTTAAAAGAGAGTATGTGGGCCTCAATGCTCATGGGACTTAGGTGCTGATGTACTTGGTCACTAAAGGGTTTCTGTGGATTACACTGCTGCTTGAACTACTACTATACACAGAGGTACTTCTTTGTTTGGTTAAATTATTGAATCAAGATCCCTGCAATAAGTAGACTAGATTTCAAGGATGTTTTTACAATGATTGTATTAAGGGAAAGAAATCACCAGGTAATTGCTACTGCTTGATGGCCCATTACCCTATATACATGGGAGAATCAGTTTGGTTTGGCATGTAAACTAGAAATCATGGCATGTGTATATATGGGAGGGGAGAGATGATGGTGGCAAGAAGTTAAGGGTAGTCTGGCTCCAGGGGTGGTGGGACATACTGTCAGGGTTATATATTACAAATAAATTGTAGTCTTTCAAATTTAAAGTTTAAAGCACTGTTTAATTTAATTTTATCATTATTATTATTTCAGTAGTTTTTGGGGAACAGGCAGTTTTTGGTTACATGGAAAAGTTCTTTAGTGATGATTTCTGAGATTTTAGTGCACCCGTCACGCAAGCTGTGTACACTCTACCCAATGTATACTCTTTTATCCTTCACCTCTCTTCCACCATTCCCCCTGAGTCCCCAGAATCCATTGTATCATTCTTATGCCTTTGTATCATTCTTATGCCTTTGTATCCTCATAGCTTAACTTCAACTTATAAGTGAGGACATATGATGTTTGCTTTTCCATTCCTGAGTTAGTTCACCTAGAGTAATGGTCTCCAGCTCCATCCAGGTCGCTGCAAATGCCATTATTTCATTCCTTTTTATGGCTGAGTAGTATTCCATGGTATGTATATGTATGTGTATATATATATATATATATATATATATATACAACATTTTCTTTTATCCACTTGTTAGTTGATGAACATTTAGGCTGTTTCAACATTTTTGCAATTGCAAATTGTGCTGCTAAAAACATCCGTGTGCAAGTGTCTTTTTATATAATGACTTCTTTTCCTCTGGGTAGATACCCAGTAGTGGGATTGCTGGATCAAATGGCAGTTCTATTTTTAGTTCTTTAAGGAGTCTCTATACTGTTTTCCATAGCGGTTGTACTAGTTTACATTCCCACCAATAGTGTAAAAGTGTTCTCTTTTCACCACATCCATGCCAATATCGATTATTTTTTTGGTTTTTTGATTATGGCCATTCTTGCTGGAGTGAGGTGGTATCACATTGTGGTTTTGATTTGCATTTCCCTGATAATTAGTGAAGTTGAGCATTTTTTCATGTTTCTTGGCCACTTGTATATCTTCTTTTGAGAATTATCTATTCTTGTCCCTAGCCCACTTTTTGATAGGATTATTTGTTTTTTTTTTTTTGCTGATTTATTTGAGTTCTTTGTATATTCTTGACATTTGTCCTTTGTCAGATGCAGAGTATGCAAATATTTTCTCCCACTCTGTGGGTTGTCTGTTTACTCTGCTGATTATTTCTTTTGCTATGCAGAAGCTTTTTAGTTTAATTAAGTCCCATCTATTTATCTTTGTTCTTGTTGCATTTGCTTTTAGGTTCTTGGTCATGAACTCTTTGCCTAAGCCAATATCTAGAGGAATTTTTCTAATTTTCTAGAATTTTTATGATGATGATCCAGTTTCATTCTTTTACATGTGGCTTCCAATTATCCCAGCACCATTTATTGAATATGGTGTCCTTTCCACACTTTATGTTTTTGTTTGCTTTGTCAAAGGTCAGTTGGCTATAATATTTGGCTTTATTTCTGGGTTCTCTATTCTGTTCCATTGGTCTACATGCCTATTTTTATACCATGCTCTTTTGGTAAGTATAGTCTTGGAGTAGAGTTCGAAGTCGGATAATGTGATGCCTTCAGATTTGTTCTTTTTGCTTAGTCTTGCTTTGGCTCTGCAGGTAAGGCACTGTTTCTTAAAGTATGATGGGTTGATCACCTGCAGCAGATTACTTGGGGTGCTTATGAAAATGCAGATTCTGAGGCTTTACTTTGCACCTTATAAATCAGAAACTCTGAGTGTTAGAATCAGGAATCTATTTCCAACAGTCTCCCTGAATGATTCTAGGATGTTGAGAACAACTGCAATCCTAAGTAAACAAGGCATTTGTCTGCTTTCTATCACTCCAACCACTGAAGTGCCATCTGCCATCCTTTTATAGTCAGAGATTTTAGCATAGCACTTCAAAATGGCAGCCCTCTGGGTTACTAAAATAAAACACTTGCAGATTTTAGATCAAGTAAAATGAAAGTGTTAAAGAATTCTAAAATTCCCATTGCTTGGTAACAATCTCATTACTTTGGCCACAAAGAGTTTTTAAAAATTCTCTTTATGTGAAATTCCTCTTTTGGAGAAGCTCTCACGTGCCCCTTGCTTGTTAAGCAAAATGCAAATATGACTGTCCAGATCTACATAGAAAAGAAAGAATATTATTGTTTAAGTAACAAACTTAATACATTTAACAAGGAATTTAGCTTGCTAAAATATAGAATTCTAACCCATTTTCTTAGTACTTCATCTATTATGTAAATTGAGATAACCTTTTGATGTGGTTGGCTAGAAAATGGCTTTGTGTTGTGGGAACCCTGAAAACTCAGGAGGCTTCAGTGGGAAAATGTATAGATAAGTTGAAATTACCTGGGGTGCAACTAATTTTACCATCTCTGCAGAAACCCTGTACTGTGTGATAAGGCTTATTGGTTGTTGACCAGTCACTGACTCAATGCTCATTTCTGAGCATTTGGGATTTATGATTTCTGGAGGAACTGTCAAACTCAATTACTTGACAGGGACCTGCTGGGACCTACACAGGTGATGCTCAACTCAGTGCAAATCTAAAATTCTGACATTCTTTTTCTCTGAAACTTTGGGCCTTTGAAAAGATTTTCCTTAAGCAATAGAGAGGTTAGCTCAAATGCTGTCTCTCCCAGTTTTTGCCATAAATAGTCCCCTTCTGGACAACTCGTACATACCTTTTACCTCTGTTTTCGTTTTGGGTTCTTTACTTCTCTGTCTTGGCATGCATTTTGCTCTATAACCTTATATCAGCAACAGAGAAGTTGTCTGCCTCAGGCAGTTTGGAATTATCACAGGGCCGTAACAAAGGGGCCTTTTGTGTTGTTGTTATGGCATGTTCAGGATTTCACTAGTTGATCCAGTAATTCTAACAAACTTAAATATTTAGGATTTTAAATGCATTTTCCATCTTATCTGTTCAAAAACTGCTTCTATTTTAATAGTATTCTGGATACGATCTTTGAAAAATGAAATGTTTCTGCTCTCACCATGTGCTTTTCCCTAAAAAAGAGCCAAGGATTTAAGTTCAGTAATTTATATCTGTTGATTGATAGTTTGATTGCATTTTTACAGGAACCCATTCACTTTAAAGTGTTACCACAACTAGCATATATGTCTGTTATAACTTTTAACTCTAACTAAATGATTAAAAGGTTTTGTTTTTTCCTCTTAAAGCAATTTTAGGTGTCAACTAGGAGATAAAATGAAGGCAACACCTCAGGGTTACAACTGGGATGGGAGTTGGGGTAATAAAGGACTAATGACAGAAGAGATGGCCCGGGGCATTTTCTCCAGAGTGTTCCCTCCACCCCAAGGGAGAGGAGCTTACCTGGTTTAGTGAAGGATGCTGGAGTTCTTAATTTGTCATCAGATTCTGCCAGGTCCCAGAACTATTTGGGTGTGAGTAACAAGGACCCCAAATAATGGTGGCTTAGCCAAATTAGAATTTTTTCTCCTACACACAATTTTGTAAGTAGACAATTGTTGTGGATTGAATTGTGTCCCCCCAAAAGATATGTCCCCCCAAAAAGATACCTTTCCCTTCCTTACCTGTGAATGTGGCCTTACATGGGAATAAGCTCTTTGCAGATGTCATCAAATTAAGATGAGGTTATACTGGATTACAATGTACTCTAGTCCAATGACTGGTACCCTATTAAGAAGAGGGAAATTTGGATAGAAAGATACATAGAGACTGTGCCTTGTGACGACAGAGGCAGAGACTGGGACGATGCAAATATAGGGCAAGGATTGCCTATATAAGGGTAAATACAAATTAAAAATAAGAGGCTTAATTCTCCCTGTGAAAATTTACTTTAGAAAACTTTTAATTATAAATTCTTTATCTGCCTGTTAGAAATATGTAAATCTTTTAAAAAGGTAAATAAGCTTCTTTCCAGCTTTCTTCTCTTTAGGAATGTCTTTCTCCGGTACCTGGGAGCCATCTCTTTGAAATGCAATCATTAAGGAAGATAGTGCCCTATTTCCCAGTCTTCTTCTCTTTCTTTCTTTTTTTTTTTTCAGTGCACAAATGTTTATTGCTGCATTGTTTGAATTAGTAAATAAAACACCAAAACCTGGAGTCAACGTAAATGTCAATCAATAGGGCAAAGATGAAATCAATTATAATAATTTATATGATGAAATGAGGGGGGTTGGTCCATGAGCACTGACATGGATATATCACAAACATGTACTCATAGGTTGTGTTAGTTTGCTAGGGCTGCCATAACAGAGTAACACAGACAGGGTGGCTTAAATTACAGCCATCTATTTTCTCACAGTCCTGGAGGCTGGAAGTCCAAGATCAAGGTGCTGTCAGTGTTAGTTTCCTCCCAGATCGCTCTCATTGGCTTGCAGATGGCCATTCCCTGGCTGGCTCTTCACACATCTCCCTCTGTGCAGACACACAGGGATCTCTCTGGGTATCCTAATTTCCTCTTCTAGTAAGGACACAAGTTAGATTGGATTAGGGCCCACCTGATGGCCCCATTTTAATTACTTCTTTAAAGACCCTATTTCCAAATAGAGTCTTTTTTTGAGGTACTGGGTGTTAGGATTTCAATATATAAATTTTAGGAGAGACACAATTCAGCCTATAATATAGATGAAAAAGAAGGCTGGGTAATGTTGTGATTAGCATAATCTCTTATGTATAATTGTAAAAGATATGTAAAGACTGGTATAGGCATTGAAAATTTTTTTTTAATTATTATTATACTTTAAGTTTTAGGGTACATGTGCACAATGTGCAGGTTTGTTACATATGTATACATGTGCCATGTTGGTGTGGTGCACCCAGCAACTCGTCATTTAGCATTAGGTATATCTCCTAATGCTATCCCTCCCCCCTCCCCCCACCCCACAACAGTCCCACGAGTGTGATGTTCCCCTTCCTGTGTCCATGTGTTCTCATTGTTCAATTCCCACCTATGAGTGAGAACATGTGGTGTTTGGTTTTTTGTCCTTGCGATAGTTTGCTGATACTGATGGTTTCCAGTTTCATCCATGTCCCTACAAAGGACATGAACTCTTCATTTTTTATGGCTGCATAGTATTCCATGGTGTATATGTGCCACATTTTCTTAATCCAGTCTATCGTTGTTGGACATTTGGGTTGGTTCCAAGTCTTTGCTATTGTGAATAGTGCCGCAATAAACATACGTGTGCATGTGTCTTTATAGCAGCATGATTTATAATCCTTTGGGTATATACCCAGTAATGGGATGGCTGGATCAAATGGTATTTCTAGTTCTAGATCCCTGAGGAATCGCCACACTGACTTCCACAAGGGTTGAACTAGTTTACAGTCCCACCAACAGTGTAAAAGTGTTCCTATTTCTCCACATCCTCTCCAGCACCTGTTGTTTCCTGACTTTTTAATGATTGCCATTCTAACTGGTGTGAGATGGTATCTCATTGTAGTTTTGATTTGCATTTCTCTGATGGACAGTGATGATGAGCATTTTTTCATGTGTTTTTTGGCTGCATAAATGTCTTCTTTTGAGAAGTGTCTGTTCATGTCCTTTGCCCACTTTTTGATGGGGTTGTTTGTTTTTTTCTTGTAAATTTGTTTGAGTTCATCGTAGATTCTGGATATTAGCCCTTTGTCAGATGAGTAGGTTGCGAAAATTTTCTCCCATTTTGTAGGTTGCCTGTTCACTCTGATGGTAGTTTCTTTTGCTGTGCAGAAGCTCTTTAGTTTAATGAGATCCCATTTGTCAATTTTGGCTTTTGTTGCCATTGCTTTTGGTGTTTTAGACATGAAGTCCTTCCCCATGCCTATGTCCTGAATGGTATTGCCTAGGTTTTCTTCTAGGGTTTTTATGGTTTTAGGTCTAACGTTTAAGTCTTTAATCCATCTTGAATTAATTTTTGTATAAGGTGTAAGGAAGGGATCCAGTTTCAGCTTTCTACATATGGCTAGCCAGTTTTCCCAGCACCATTTATTAAATAGGGAATCCTTTCCCCATTGCTTGTTTTTCTCAGGTTTGTCAAAGATCAGATGGTTGTAGATAGGCGGCATTATTTCTGAGGGCTCTGTTCTGTTCCATTGATCTATATCTCTGTTTTGGTACCAGTACCATGCTGTTTTGGTTACTGTAGCCTTGTAGTATAGTTTGAAGTCAGGTAGCGTGATGCCTCCAGCTTTGTTCTTTTGGCTTAGGATTGACTTGGTAATGCGGGCTCTTTTTTGGTTCCATATGAACTTTAAAGTAGTTTTTTCCAATTCTGTGAAGAAAGTCATTGGTAGCTTGATAGGGATGGCATTGAATCTATAAATTACCTTGGGCAGTATGGCCATTTTCACGATATTGATTCTTCCTACCCATGAGCATGGAATGTTCTTCCATTTGTTTGTATCCTCTTTTATTTCATTGAGCAGTGGTTTGTAGTTCTCCTTGAAGAGGTCCTTCACATCCCTTGTAAGTTGGATTCCTAGGTATTTTATTCTCTTTGAAGCAATTGTGAATGGGAGTTCACTCATGATTTGGCTCTCTGTTTGTCTGTTATTGGTGTATAAGAATGCTTGTGATTTTTGTACATTGATTTTGTATCCTGAGACTTTGCTGAAGTTGCTTATCAGCTTAAGGAGATTTTGGGCTGAAATGATGGGGTTTTCTAGATATACAATCATGTCGTCTGCAAACAGGGACGATTTGACTCCCTCTTTTCCTAATTGAATAACCCTTTATTTCTTTCTCCTGCCTGATTCCCTGGCCAGAACTTCCAACACTATGTTGAATAGGAGTGGTGAGAGAGGGCATCCCTGTCTTGTGCCAGTTTTCAAAGGGAATGCTTCCAGTTTTTACCCATTCAGTATGATATTGGCTGTGGGTTTGTCATAGATAGCTCTTATTATTTTGAGATACGTCCCATCAATACCTAAACTATTGAGAGTTTTTAACATGAAGGGTTGTTGAATTTTATCGAAGGCCTTTTCTGCATCTATTGAGATAATCATGTGGTTTTTGTCTTTGGTTCTGTTTATATGCTGGATTACATGTATTGAGCTGCGTATGTTGAACCAGCCTTGCATCCCAGGGATGAAGCCCACATGATCATGGTGGATAAACTTTTTGATGTGCTGCTGGATTCAGTTTGCCAGTATTTTATTGAGGATTTTTGCATCGATGTTCATCAAGGATATTGGTCTAAAATTCTCTTTTTTGGTTGTGTCTCTGCCAGCATTTGGTATCAGGATGATGCTGGCCTCATAAAATGAGTTAGGGAGGATTCCCTGTTTTTCTGTTGATTGGAATAATTTCAGAAGGAATGGTACCAGCTCCTCCTTGTACCTCTAGTAGAATTCGGCTGTGAATCCATCTGGTCCTGGACTTTTTTTGGTTGATAAGCTACTGATTATTGCCACAATTTCAGAGCCTGTTATTGGTCTATTCAGAGATTCAACTTCTTCCTGGTTTAGTCTTGGGAGGGTGTATGTGTCGAGGAATTTATCCATTTCTTCTAGATTTTCTAGTTTATTTGCGTAGAGGTGTTTGTAGTATTCTCCGATGGTAGTTTGTATTTCTGTGGGATCAGTGGTGATATCCCCTTTATCAATTTTTATTGCATCTATTTGATTCTTCTTTCTTTTTTTCTTTATTAGTCTTGCTAGCAGTCTATCGATTTTGTTGATCTTTTCAAAAAACCAGCTCCTGGATTCATTAATTTTTTGAAGGGTTTTTTGTGTCTCTATTTCCTTCAGTTCTGCTCTGATTTTAGTTATTTCTTGCCTTCTGCTAGCTTTTGAATGTGTTTGCTCTTGCTTTTCTAGTTCTTTTAATTGTGACATTAGGGTGTCAATTTTGGATCCTTCCTGCTTTCTCTTGTGGGCATTTAGTGCTATAAATTTCCCTCTACACACTGCTTTGAATGCGTCCCAGAGATTCTGGTATGTTGTGTCTTTGTTCTCGTTGGTTTCAAAGAACATCTTTATTTCTGCCTTCATTTTGTTATGTACCCAGTAGTCATTCAGGAGCAGGTTGTTCAGTTTCCATGTAGTTGAGCAGTTTTGAGTGAGTTTCTTAGTCCTGAGTTCTAGTTTGATTACACTGTGGTCTGAGAGACAGTTTGTTATAGTTTCTATTCTTTTACATTTGCTGAGGAGTGCTTTACTTCCAACTATGTGGTCAATTTTGGAATAGGTGTGGTATGGTGCTGAAAAAAATGTATATTCTGTTGATTTGGGGTGGAGAGTTCTGTAGATGTCTATTAGGTCCGCTTGGTGCAGAGCTGAGTTCAATTCCTGGGTATCCTTCTTAACTTTCTGTCTTGTTGATCTGTTCTTCTTCTGAGTAGGAGCCTAACTTGGGCAGGCACCTCTCTCTAAAACTATCTGTTGCCACAAAGATAGGAGAAATTTATTTTTCCTGTGGATAAATCCAATTAGCAAACACAGATGGTCACCCAGCTGCCAGGTGAATCTAGGATGTGTAACAAATGGCGCAGTCAAGTCCTCTTACTTAAGGACTAGTTATTTGTTTATCTTGAGAACATGTACGGAATGAATTGTATAGGCTTGTCTGTAGAAAAGAGTGAATTTTTGTCTTCTGGGTTTGCAATCTGTTTGTGAAATGCCTGTGATGAACATCCCATTCTAGTTAATGCTTAGTGATTAATACAATTTTCTTTTTCTTCTAGCTTTGTTGAAAGGTTTTCTGGGTTAAGTGAATATCTTGTTTTTAATTCTGTTTTCCCAACACCAGCAACCACCAGAGATGGGGAGAGGCCAGGAAGGATCCATGCCTAGAGGGTTCAGAGTGAGCATGGCCTTGGCTTTGTGTTGATTTTGAACTTCTAGCCTCTAGAGCTGTGAGAGAATAAATTTTTGCTGTTTTAACCCGCACAGTGTGTGGTAATTTTTAAAAAAATTATTTTATTTTATTTATTTATTTATTTTTTGAGATGGAGTTTTTCTCTTGTTGCTCAGGCTGGAGTGCAATGGCACAATCTCGGCTCACTGCAACCTCTGCCTCCTGGGTTCAAGTGATCCTCCTGCCTCAGCCTCCCGAGTAGCTGGGATTACAGGCATGTGCCACCATGCCCAGCTACTTTTGTATTTTTAGTAGAGATGGGGTTTCTCCATGTCGGTCAGGCTGGTCTCAAACTCCTGACCTCAGGTGATCTGCCCACCTTGGCCTCCCAAAGTGTTGGGATTACAGGTGTGAGCTGCTGCGCCAAGCCAGTTTGTGGTAATTTGTTATGGCAGCCCTAGGAAAGTAATGTAGTAATCCAAGGCTGGATGGTAGCAATGCTTCTCAAAGTCCTCAAGGACTGAGTTCTTCTCTGGCCTTTATTCTGCCATCCCTAAGGTGTGCTCCTTGTCTTCATAGTTAGAGATGGAGATCAGGCCATCACATCTGTATCCAAGCAGCTGGATAGATGAAGAGGTAAGACGGGGCCAATGGCTAATACCAATTTTTCCTTTAGGAAGTCTTCTGAAAACTGTTACAGGAACTTCTACTTATATCCCATTGGGTAGAGCTTAAAGGTCACATAGCCACATCTAGGTTCTTCGAAATTTAGTACTTATTCCAGGTGGCCAGGTGTGTAGCTGAAAAGTGGATTACTATAGAAGAAGGGTGTAAACCAAAAAAGTGTCTAAGATAGTTCTCAATCAGTTTAGAGGTTTATTTTGCCAAGGTTGAGGATGCACCCAAGGAAAGAAGACACAAGCCACTTTGGCCTGTACTTTTTCCAAAGAGAATTTTGAGGGCTTTAATACTTAAAGGGGAAAAAGCAGGCAGGAGGATAAGGAGAAAAAAAAAGAGACAAATGAGACAAGCGGTTACATTCTTTTGAGGCTTTGAGTAGCACTCACTGAATCCACATGTTGCATGCGAAGAGGAGCGGGTAGAGGAATTTTTAATTATGTATTCATCTTACACTCAGTACATCTATATTTTACATAAAATAAAGTAAACATAGAGTAGAGGAAGATGTCCAATGTGCATTCATCTCAAGGTGGGCAGAGGGACTATTTCTAGTCTCCTCTTGTCCCACACCCATGAAGATAAGCTGTCAATTTACATTTGTCTGGGTGAGGGAGGCACCCTGTGGAGACATGTGGACTTCTATCTTGTAGCTATCTGTTTAGGAACAAAAGGAAAGGCAGCTGTTTTTGCATGACTCAGTTTCCAAGTTTAACTTTTCCTTTTGGCATAGTGAGTTTGGGTCCCAAGATTTTATTTTCCTTTCATAAGGGGAAAAATAGAGATGAGGGACAACTTGTACTCTTTAATGTTCCCTCCTGTCCTCTTTCTTAGTTTGTCTTCCTGAATACATGACACATTACTAATCTGAATTTACCACCTCTCATACTTTTTCTCTCCCCAGGATGGTCAGAGCCATATTTTGTAATTTTCTCTCAGAGTCAGATATTATTTGATTATTTTAAAAATATTTTCATATACATAACATCCTTCCCTCAAATTGATGTTCTGAAATGAACCTCCATGATTGAAAAGCCAGGCCCATCTCAGGTCGTAAGATTTGCAACCCAGCTAGGTGGCATTGGGAATTCTTCACTAATGTTGAACTGTTATCATGGACATGCTTTCATAGGAAAAAGGAATTCAAGAAGAAATAGAAAATAAAACTGTCCTTAAATAATCCATAAGTGACTTAACTCAACAGAAAGTCTGTTACATTGCAACACGTGATACCAATTTCAAAATTACTGTCTTCCCACGAGCATCACTGTTTTAGAAAATATAAATAGGACGAACCTCAGAATGTAGTCTAAAAACTACAGAAATATTTTAATCTTCAGCTTTTATCATACTAATAAATTAAATAATGTGGTCTTTTAAAAAGATGTGACTAAATTTAGTTTTTTAATTGAATATTAATTTTGGGGGGCAGAATAAGTGATGGTGGTGGGGTTTCTGGGTTTTTAAGCTTTGCTCTTCAATTCTATACTATCTCTAAATCCTTACAACAAATAAAGTTCCCATATGTTTCACAAAACATTGAAAGACATTTAATTAGTGTTCATAAATACATCCTTTGAATGAAGAGAGATTCTTCTTCCTTCTTTTAGTGTGTTGAGTCCTCAGTTTAGCTGTCTTCTCACTTTATTCTTGGTGTGTTTCTGTTTTGTTTCAGCAATCTCTACAGCAAATTCTTGTTTGCACTAAAAAGTTGTCATATGGATTGTTTTGACTGTTTCCATGACATGCAAATGGATAAGGATTTTAAAAAATGTTCTCGGCTTTAAAACAAACCATATTTATTTACACATCTAGGTAACCAGACCACCTCTTAAACTTTATCGCTTGTTCTTCCTCTGGCTGAAAAGAGAACATTTTTGTACTTTTATGAGAGATTGGCAAAATGCCTGTTAACTCTCTGACCTACTGCTAAATATCATTCTGGACTATTACCTGCTTTATAGTCTTTTAGTTATTAGTAGTACTCTTGGACAAAAGCTACCACAGCCCTGCCCATAACCAGTTGGACAGAATTTCTATCTAGTAGGTTGTATTAGCAAATGAGGCTAGAAGCTGAGCAGGGAGGTGAAGAGCCTTCAGATTTCTATGAAGCAAAAATGCCCTGACATAAGGAATCTCTAAGGGCTCAGCTGCCTGTTTGAAATAGCAGGAAGAGGAAAATGCAGGGAGAGGCCATTCAAAGTTGGCATCCCAATAAAATGATCCTGTCACTTATGAAAGAAATTCAGAGCTAGTTAGGAAGACTTGGGAGCCATTTGTATAGAGATGATAGTTGGAGCTTTCTAAAAAAGAGAAACATTCAAATGAAGCCTCGGAGAAACTCTGGGGAGAAGGAAATGGAGTCAGAGATGCAGTATTAGGAAGGTCAGTGAAGATAATGACAGAGACAAGGCCCCTAGGTTTACTGGTTGAGAAACCAGTTTTAGAAGCATGTAGGAAAATAAATCTGATTTTCAGGGGATGAAGAAATAAGTAAACGATAATATGCAAACAGGGTTACAGACAGCCCCTTCGAGAAGTTGCATGAGAAGAAACAGGATGGAGTAGCTAGTGAAGGTTACATGGGGGCAGAAAATGTTTTTCCAGGCTAAGAAGATTTTTGGTAGCTTCGTGTGCAGTGGGAAAGGAAACATGGAGGATGCAGGAGGACCCAACAAGGTTAAGGGGAGGCTGTTGTGTGTAGGGAAAAGAGACTTTAGACCCTGAAAGTGCTTGTTAGAATCCTCTAGCTATATATTGGTCAATGTAATTGGCACACTGGAATCATTTTATTCATCAGTAAAATAAAGACAAAATGCAGATAAAATAAAGATAAAAGTCTAGTGCGATATTCTGACTCCTAGTGTGATAGAAGCATGAGGAGAGATGACAGGATGTTAGGGCTGGGAGAAATCTTCCAGAGAGTCTAGTGACGACCTGCTTATTTTACAAAGAAATGAGACCCAGAGGAATAGACTGGCCTGTTTAAAGTTATGCAACTGGTTGGAGAACTAGAATTTGCACCTGGAATTTCTGATTCTTAGTCCTCTTCTACTATGTCATAGCACTGACAGAGGGGGAAATTTACAAGATAAACATTAACAGTAAAGTTCTAGGCTTGGCTTAAAAACCAAGCTACATGAGTACAGTTTGGAGAGGAGGGTGAAGAGGACAGCTGGCTTATTACCAGTTTATATAGGAAAAACTTCAGGGATCTTAGTTTTCCACAAGTACAATATGAGCCAACAGTACAATCTGCTTCTGGAAAGGGTGACTTGGGGGATGGCCCAAACTGAGGATTTCAAACCACACCAGGAGTGTTCTGTCCAGTGGGATTCCTTGGTAACTCAATGTGAGACCAGAGGACCAGTGAGCAGAGTGGTGAGGTGGCAGTTTCCTTTGGTGAAGAGTTTTAGGGTTAAAATAACAATATTTAAAAGACTATTATGACTATTTGGACTTACAGAAAAGTTGCAGAGATAGCACAGAGTTCCCTTTATACCCAGTATACAGATCCACTTTGCCCATCCATTACTGGAGACATCCAATTGCTAAACCAACCTTGCCTCAAGACAGCACCCAGTCCCTAGTTAGTCCTTATTTTTCCTAGTTTTCCCCAAGAAACAGCAACCAATGTAGACCTTGTCCCTGCTTCCCTTAGATACTCCTCAGACTCTTTCACAGAAGACAAACTTTTGAAAAGATGCTTCCCTCCTCCTACCTGCTGAGTAGCATTCTGTGTTTGCCCGGGAGTGCCCTCCCTTGCTGCATCTACATCGATAAATCTGAGTTTGTCAGAGTACAGGCTTGCCTCCAGTGGTCTTTGCCAGATCAGACTTTAATAACTTATATAAGTAGGAGGTCTGGTAGACTCTGCTATACTTTTTATAGATTTAAAGTTGACTTTGTGCATGAATGTACTGAATAGCCTATTTGATGCGATTTTGAAGGCAATGGATGAGCAGCCCTCTGGTGTGTCTGAAGTGGTGGTGAGGTTGGTAAAGATGGACCAGGGTTTTGCCATACTAGATTAAAATTTTTATATACAGTGTCTATTTTGTTAATGGACAATTAGAGATGGCAACAACACTAGTAAACCCCCTCGGTTTTGGTAAATGCCATTTATTGAATTCACAGGATGTACTAGACAGTGTGCCAAGTGCTTCCAGACATTATTTCATTTTATCCTCACAACACTTCCAATTTTTAAACAGGGAATGTGTGGTTCTGAGAAGTCAAGTTACTTTTCTAAGATGGAAAGTAGCAAGGTAGGATTTGAACTCAGGGCTCTCTGATTCTGTCTTCTTAGCTACTGTTAAGTTGTTTCTTTACAGATTTTCAGGAACCCAGAAATTGTGAGTTTCCACCCAACCCCCTGTCCCCTGCCCCAGTTAAGTTTCAGAAAAATCTTTTATCTTTTGTTCATTGTAAAATGTATCTCCAGTAGAAGGGGTATGATATGGTTTGGCTCTGTGTCCCCAGTCAAATTTCATCCTGAATCGTACTCCCATAATTCCCACGTGTTACGGGAGGAACCCAGTGGGAGATGATTGAATGATGGAGGCGGGTCTTTCCTGAGCTGTTCTCGTGATAGTAAATTAGTTTCAGGAGAGCTGATGGTTAAAAAAAAAGAAAAAAAAAGGGGGAGTTACCTTACACAAGCTTTCTTTGCCTGCCGCCATCCACTTAAGATGTGACTTGCTCCTCCTTGCCTTCTGCCATGATTGTGAGGCCTCCCCAGCCATGTGGAACTGTAAGTCCAATAAAATCTTTTTCTTTTGTAACTTGCCTAATGTCGGGTATGTCTTTATTAGCAGTGTGAAAACGGATTAATACAGGGCATCTGGCTTTTCTGGCTTTTGCCTGCACTGATGGAGACGTGGCAGCCATTGCCTCTGGTCTCTGATTCTGGTTTTGGCTTTCTATGATCTTCTCTGCTGTCTTTGTGGGGACCAGAGTCATGAAAATAATTAACCCTCACCAAGGTGACCTAATATCCCTTTCAAATTTTAAACTAATGTGTGTATTTAACATTACTACAACTTTTAATGAAGTCTTCTAAATACTCACTACCTTATTGTAAATCTCTTGCTTAATTAGGAGAACCCAATGGAAGATTCTGATACTCTGACTTTGGTTTTTTGTTCTTTATAAGGACCTTGAGCTTCTAGGCCTCTCAGCTTGGTAGAGTTTGATTGGGACAGAGTACAAGTTGCTTCTAATGCAATTTATGTGGTTGTGGCCCAGTGAAATAGTTCTTTTAATGTTTGGGAAACACTCAAAGGGAACTAAAACTTTCTTTTCCCTAGGAACCCTTCAGTGAATATGCTATTTCAATAGGCCAGCTAATAATTCTCTGAGAACTGGGGACTCACATGGGTCCTTGCCCACTTCTCTTTCCTAAAGAACCTCAGGAGCAAGTATTTACCACAAATGTGACCACTAGTGGGGCCCCCGAGAATGCCCAGCCTCTCTAAGGTTTTGGTTCAGGTCACCTTGTTCTTTGCAAAGTCTTTTGCTAGTGACAAAGTGTCTGTTAACCTAGTCTCTCTATTGCAGTTAAGTGATAGCTTAGCCACTGAAAAAATTACTCCCTTGAGTAGAAATGGAAGAATGTTTCTATTTGGTAAGCAGAAAAGTTGGAGGGTGGGAAACTATAACTGTAAGAGGCTGGAAATGGGAGTTGGGAAATATTTGACAGCATTTACATGGCAATCTTGGATATTGGGATGGCTTCATAGGGGGTATGCAATAGAAAAATGTAATATTTATTATAAATGTGTTTGGAACAATAAATGCTTTATAGAGAAAAATCCTAGTCTTGGCAGGAAGTTGTACTCCCTGACCTAAAAGGCCTTTTCCATATTGAATTAATCTGATTAAATCAAGGTTTGTGAGTCATGAGGAAATGTATATAAAGACTACAGCTGTGACAGAAGGACAAAAGATGTATTCCTTAGTAGAAAGCAGCAGGGCTCAGTAAAAAACAAACAACACACACACACACGATTTGAAATCAGAAAAATCTAAAATCAAATCCCTACTTTGTTACTCTCTGTGTAATGTCAGGCAATTTATATAGCCTCCGATTTTCTTGTCTGTAAAAGTGAGATAACAATACTCATCTTACAGGATTACATAAAAGAACTTAAGTAGAGAGTGGATTAAAAAATGATAATTCTAATCATTGTTATGTAGTCCCTATAAATAGGATGGAGTCCCAAATCAAAGAACAGGCAAATGAGAACAGAAAAATTTAACTATGGAACCAAGAATTGCTTTAAAATTTAAAGCACTTTAAAATTCATATTAAAGTGAGCTGAATAGTAGTTTAAAGTATAAAAAGCTGGTTTGGGAGAAATGAAAGGAGAACAGTTATCAGCCCCTGAAAAGGGTGAGGGCTCCACACTGGCCCTAGAAAGCAGCCCAAGCCTCCAAAGGGCTGTTTGGCCTCACCGGTTGGCAAAAGGGAACACCTGAAAGGATGAGTGGGAAGTTCACTAGTGCACCTGGCTCTATAAACTCCGATTTCCTTTCTCAGACATTTTAAGAGTGTGGCAAGCAGAGCTTCTCTTTGGCTAACAGGAAGTCTTGCAAGAGTATTCTTAGAGTCCAATTAGGGCATTTGTTTCCACTTACAATTAGGCAGTATTTGCTCAACTGTCGGCAAATAATGAGGGATCTAAGAGCTCAGATAGTGGTTGCAATATAGTTTAACTCTTTCATAAAGATCTTCATGATGTTGCATTAGGTGCTTAGGTGATATTTGGTCAGCCTACAGTATGGCCAGGTTCACCTGGAATGACAACTCTCGTGAGCCTATTTCATTATAGATTCATTTTCCTTTTGCTTTATATTAAGATATAAATTCCCCATTCGTGTAAAAAGCATCTTCACTGTCTCCAGGCCCAGGGACTTAGTCATTTGTCTCTAATTATCCTCAAAATACACCTCAAGTCCTCAAGTGTCACTATGAAGGTTTCTCTCCTCCTCACTGATCTTTGCTTCCTTTGGACCACGTAAGTTAGCACAGTTGCTAGCTGTTGCATTTGGATTTTTTTTTCTTCCTCACTAGGTTGTAAATCTGAGAGCTGGGCTTATATCTCTTACTTTTTTGTATTTTCTGTGGTATCTATCATTGGAGGTGCTCAGTAGATAATTATTGATTAAATGATTTTTAACGCACATGTTAAAATTATAATATGTTGAAGCAAAATAAAGTTATTTGTAGACTAAGCACAAGAACATGCAAAGACAGCATAAAAATAGCAATTCCCTTTTTATTTAATGTGCTTGGCTTTAAAAGGAATTGGTTTTTGATTAGCCAAGCACAAAAATGATCTGGTTTTTGTCTTTTCATAGTTCCTTTAAGTCTTCACCAGAGATGGTTTTATTCTGGGGGTGTGCTGTAGGATAAGCTCCTGGCCTTGTTTTTATTCAAATGACATTATTGCATGACTCAATAAGCACCGTTGATTGCTTTGAAAGAAAGCACTTGCTGACTTGACTGCATTACATCCACTAGATGGCAGGCAACTGTTAGAGAAAGAAAAGGGAGAACCTGAATTATGATTTATTTTTTTTTTTTTGGCGGGGGTGGGGGTGGTGATTGGTATATTTCCACTGACCTGTCTCAGTCAACAGGCCTTGCCAATAACTCCTTAATTTCTATAAAGTTCTTCAGCTTTAGCTTTCCAGAGATTTTAAAAGTGATTGCAAAACATTCCGTAAAATATACCAGCCAGATATTTTTCCACTACCACACTGAACCCTATACTGACCTTTTCTTCCCCCTAATTTTCTTAAACTATAAATAGTGTCCTGACCTAACATGGGAATTAAAATAAACTACAATGAGGAAAAATGTATTTTTTCAGAGAAATGGAGAAACCACACAAGTTTTTATGTATATGAAACCTGCAGTTTAAAATTTCAGAATTTTTTTTTTTTTAATACAATGATGTGAAATACAGTTTTGCCTACAGGTGTGTAAGTGCTCTTTGAGAGAGCTTGGTGAACACTGTATCATATATGCCGGTGCTTCCACTTGACACTCCTGTCAGTGTTTGAGATGATTGCAACGCCTCTCAGCAAATCTCTATTCTACTCCAGTGCGCTCACTTCCCAAAGTAGTCAGATGCTACTGTTTGTGCAGCTTCAGCGGTTGCTAGGCTTCCTCTGCCCTAGTTATGAGCATTTTCTTATTTTCTGCTACATTTTTCATATGTGGTTGTTCCTCCAGGTATGCTAATAAGATTCACAGATGAAATGGATGGTAAAATGAATGAGATTAATTCAACTGTGCTGGTTCCCATACCTTCTTTAGAATCACTTATTTCCCTATCACTATGAATGAGATGAGGTGAACACTGCCCAATTAACTTATGGTGTTCAGAATTATAACTTGGAATTTATATATGTTACATTAAAAAAACTAAACAATATTGCATACGGGCTTATTAAAAGCTTTATATTTGCTGCCTTCAACATTTGTATCCTTATTTGGTTTAGTTTATTGAAAATGAGGCTCTAGCAAGAACTCTGAAATTTTGAAATGTGAGAGTTAGGAAATTTTGACAATTACTAAACTCTCCTCATTAGTCAGATTTGAATATCATGAGGACAAATGAACAACACCTGCATCTCACACCTGTGACTCCAGGATCCTTGCTGGCTGACTGTTGAGAGAGAAATGAGAAGTGAAGTGCCTGGGGTCGAAGGAGCTGCTTGCCAGTGTGCAGCACCAAAACTCTAGCCATTCTCAGATGTTAAGGATTTTTTTTTTTTTTTTCCTGAGACAGAGTCTCGCTCTGTCGCCAGGTTGGAGTGCAGTGGCGTGATCTCGGCTCACTGCAACCTCCACCTCCCAGGTTCAAGCAATTCTTCTGCCTCAGCCTCCTGAGTAGCTGGGACTACAGGCACATGCCACCACGCCCGGCTAATTTTTATGTTTTTAGTAGAGATGGTGTTTCACCATGTTGGCCAGGATGGTCTCAATCTCTTGACCTTGTGATCCACCTGCCTCAGCCTCCCAAAGTGCTGGGATTACAGGCATGAGCCACTGCATCCGGCCTGTTAAGGATTTTTAATGGATGTCTAGAAATGAAAGCTCAGGATCTCTGAATTGGGCTATTCATACCCTCCCATGTACATTAAAAAATACTATTGGAAAAGTGGCAAGATGGCTGAATAGGAACAGCTCCAGTCTGCAGCTCCCAGCGAGATCAATGAAGAAGGCAGGTGATTTCTGCATTTCCAACTGAGGTACCCGGTTCATCTGATTGGGACTGGTTAGACAGTGGGTGCAGCCCACGGAAGGCAAGCAGAAGCAGGGTGGGGTGTCACCTCACCTGGGAAGTCCAAGAGGTCAGGGAACTCCTTACCCTAGCCAGGGGAAGCTGTGATGGATTGTGCTATCCAGCCCAGATACTATGCTTTTCCCATGGTCTTTGCAACCTGCAGACCAGGAGATTCCCTTGGGTGCCTACACCACCAGGGCCCTGGGTTTCAGGCACAAAATTGGGCCGCCATTTGGGCAGACACTGAGCTAGCTGCAGGAGTTTTTTTCATACCCCAGTGGTGCCTGGAATGCCAGCGAGATAGAACCATTCACTCTCCTGGAAAAGGGGCTGAAGCCAGCGAGCCAGTGGTCTTGTTCAGCGGATCCTACCCCCATGGAGCCCAGCAAGCTATGATCCACTGGCTTGAAATTCTCTCTGCAAGCACAGCAGTCTGAAGTTGACCTGGGATGCTCAAGCTTGGTACGGGGAGGGGTGTCGGCCATTACGGAGGCTTGAATAAGCGGTTTTCCCCTCAGTGTTAAAGCCACCAGGAAGTTCACACGGGGCAGAGCCCACCACAGCACAGCAAAGCCGCTATAGCCAGACTACCTCTCTAGATTTCTCCTCTTTGGGAAAGGCATCTCTAAAAGAAAGGCAGCAGCCCCAGTCAGGGGCCTATAGATAAAACTCCCATCTCCCTGGGACAGAGCACCTGGGGAAAGGGGCGGCCGTGGGCGCAGCTTCAGCAGACTTAAACGTTCTTGCCAGCTGGCTCTGAAAAGAGCAGTGGATCTCCCAACATAGCACTTGAGCTCTGCTGAGGGACAGACTGCCTGCTCAAGTGGGTCCCTGACCCCTGTGCCTCCTGACTGGGAGACACCTCCCAGCAGGGGTCAACAGACACCTCATACAGGACAACTCCGGCTGGCATCTGGTGGGTGCCCCTCTGGGACGAAGCTTCCAGAGGAAGAAGCAGGCAGCAACCTTTGCTTTCTGCAGCCTCCGCTGGTGATACCGAGGAAAACAGGGTCTGTAGTGGACCTCCAGCAAACTCCAGCACACCTGCAGAAGAAGGGCATGACTGTTAGAAGGAAAACTAGCAAACAGAAAGCAATAACATCAACATCAACAAAAAGGAGGACCACGCAAAAACCCCATCCAAAGGTCAACAACATCAAAACCCAAAGGTAGATAAATCCACGAAGATGAGGAAAAAGCAGCACAAAAAGGCTGAAAATATAAAAAACCAGAATGCCTCTTCTCTTCCAAAGGATCACAACTCCTCGCTAGCAAAGGAACAAAACTGGACAGAGAATGAGTTTGACGAATTGAGAGAAGTAGGCTTCAGAAAGTGGGTAATAACAAACATTTATGCGGCCAATGAACATATGAAAAAAAGCTAATCATCACTGGTCATTAGAGGAATGCAAATCAAGACCACAATGAGATACCATCTCATGCCAGTTAGAATGGCGATCATTAAAAAGTCAGGAAACAACAGATGCTGGAGAGGATGTGGAAAAATAGGAACACTATTACACTGTTGGTGGGAGTGTAAATTAGTTCAACCATTGTGGAAGACAGCGTATGTATGATCACCTTACTTAGTAGCCCACTTTTGGCCTGGCTTATTCTTGTACTTCCTGCTCATATTTGAGAGTAAATAAATTTCGATTACCAGTGCCAAGGTAGGTGATGATCTCAGAAAAAACTACCTGATTTTTCTTTTTCTTTTTTTTTTTGAGATGGAGTCTCGCTCTGTTGCCAGACTGGAGTGCAGTGGTGCAATCTCGGCTTACTGCAACCTCTGCCTCTCAGGTTCAAACAATTTTCCTGCCTCAGCCTCCCGAGTAGCTAGGACTACAGGCTTGCACCACCATGCCCAGCTAATTTTGTGTATTTTTAGTAAAGACGGGTTTCACCATGTTGGCCAGGATGGTCTCCATCTCTTGACCTCGTGATCTGCCCTCCTCAGCCTCCCAAAGTGCTGCGATTACAGGCGTGAGCCACCACGCCCCGCCTACTACCTGATTTTTCTTGCCAGCTCATCAGAAATTCTCAACATTGTGCACTGTGGATAACTGGTTTTTTCTTCCTTCTTTTATTTTTAATGGCTTTATTGAAGTAGAATTGACATCCAAAAACTGCACATTTAGATTATACATTTCGATTTCGATAATGTTTGACATATGTATATACCTGTGAAACTAACATCACAATCAAGATAATGAACATATCCATCACTCTCAAAAGTAATCCCTCTTCTTCTCTCCCTACCTGCAGGCAACACTGATCTGCTTTCTGTTGCAATAGATTATTTTATGTTTTCCAGGATTGTATATGAATAGAATCATATAGTGTGTTATCTTTTACTCTTCTATTTTGGCCTGGCTTCTTGGAGAGTCAAAAAGATTCTTCTGATTGTTTCTGAGTGGTATTTTGTTGTATGGACATTTCGTAATTTGTTTACCCATCTGTTTATCACCATTTGTGTTTTTTTCCAGTTTTCAGTTATTACAAATAAAGTCTCTACGGACATTTTTGCATCTGCCTTTTCATGGAAAGATGCTTTCATTTCTTTGGGGTAAATACCTAGGAGTGGACTGACTAGATTGTACTGGAGATTTATGTGTAACTTTTAAGAAATGATCAAAGTTATAGTTTTCCAAGGTATTGTACCAGTTTGCACTCTTATCAGAAGTGTATGAGAGTTCTAGTTGCTCTATATCCTTGTCAACACTTGGACCAGTCAATCTTTTCAAAAGTTTTAGGCATTGTAATAAATGTGTAGTGATTTTATTTGTAGTTTAAATGTGCATTTCCCTAACAACTAATGATGTGAACATCTTTTGGTGTGCCTATTTGTAATGCATATATTATCTTTGGTGAAATGTCTGTTCAAATTGCCCATCTTTTATTGGATTGTTAGTTTTCTTGTTAGTGAGTTTTGAGAATTAAAAAATATATATATTTACAACACAAGCATTTAATCAGATATACGATATGAAAATATTTCTCCTAGTTTGTGGCTCTTCTTGTCATTTCTTTTGAAAGCATAATGTCTTTTGAAAGCAGAGTTCTTAATTTTGATAAAGTTTAACATAAAATTTTTCTTATATGAATCATGATTTTGTTATTGTATCAAAGAAATCTTTCTCTAACCTGAATGAGTAATTGATTTTTAACCAAGAGTGACTAGGGTGAATTTAAATGAAATAAAAACTGATATTAGAAAATTGGGACATCTAGTTATACCAGTCTATATATGTATTATTTTTATTTTGGTATCAATTAAACTTCTGGAAGTGTTCAGGAGTTACTAATACATGATTTCTATTTTCAACATATAACATGACTGATTCTCACTTATTTAAAACACAACTTGTATCAAAGTTCCTTAATTAAAGGCATGACTATAAATGGCCTGCCAGATTTTGAACGCAAAACAAGTGGAAAGAACCTTCCTGATAACTCTCTTCCCAGCCTAATTACCAATTTCTATAAGTCCCATGTAGACTCAAACTGAGCCTCTGATACTTGCTTGAATTCATTCACTCCTCTCCATTTCTTCAGGCACTTCCCTAGTAATCATCATCTTTTGCTGAACAGTTGTCTAACTGCTCTCTTCTTCCAGGATGGTGCCTCCAACTTATTCTCTATTCAGATGCCAGAATTATCATAGCAGCATACAAATGTGAATATGCCATGTCCTTGTTTATAATTCTATGAATTAACCTTTATCTTTAAAATAGATTTTTTTGGGCTGGGTGCGGTGGCTCATGCCTGTAATCCCAGTACATTGGGAGGTTGAGGTGGGCAGATCACTGGAGGTCAGGAGTTCGAGACCAGCCTGGTCAACCTGGTGAAACCCTGTCCTACTAAAAATGCAAAAATTAGCCTGCATGGTGGAGCACCCCTGTAATCGCAGCTACTCGGGAGGCTGAGGCCGGAGAATCACTTGAACCTGGGAAGTGGAGGTTGCAGTGAGCCGAGATCGTGCCATTGCACTCCAACCTGGGTGTTGCAGTGAGACGTCGTCTCAAAAAAAAAAAAAAAAAAAAGATTTTTGAAGGTTTTTTCGTGTCTCTATCTCCTTCAGTTCTGCTCTGATCTTAGTTATTTCTTCTGCTAGCTTTTGAATTTGTTTGCTCTTGCTTCTCTAGTTCTTTTAATTGTGATGTTAGGGTGTCGATTTCAGATCTTTCTAGCTTTCTGATGTGGATATTTAGTGCTGTAAATTTCCCTCTTCATACTGCTTTAGCTGTGTCCCAGAGATTTTGGTATATTGTCTCTTTGTTCTCATTGGTTTCAAAGAACTTCTTGGTTTCTGCCTTATTTCATTATTTACCCAGGAGTCATTCAGGAGCAGGTTGTTCAATTTCCATGTAGTTGTATAGTTTTGAGTGAATTTTTTAATCCTGAGTTCTAATTTGATTACACTGTGGTCTGAGAGACTGTTTGTTATGATTGCAGTTCTTTTGCATTTTCTGAAGAGTGTTTTACTTCCAATTATGTGGTCAATTTTAGAATAAATGCCATGTGGCACTGAGAAGAATGTATATTCTGTTGATTTGGAGTGGAAAGTTCTGTAGATGTCTATTAGGTCCACTTGATCCAGAGCTGAGTTCATGTCCTGAATATCCTTGTTAACTTTCTGTCTTGTTGATCTAATACTGAGAGTGGGGTGTTAAAGTCTCTCATTATTATTGTGTGGGAGTCTAACTTTCTTCGTAGGTCTCTAATAACTTGTTTTATGAATCTGAATACTCCTGTATTGGGTGCATATATATTTAGGATAGTTAGCTCTTCTTGTTGCATTGATCCCTTTATCATTATGTAATGCTCTTTGTCTTTGATTTTTCTTGGTTTAAAGACTGTCTTTTCAGAGACTAGGATTACAACCTTTGTTTTTGTTTTTGTTTTTGTTTTTTGCTTTCCATTTCCTCGGTAAATTTTCTTCCATCCCTTTAGTTTGAGCCTATGTGTGTCTTTGCGCATGAGATGGGTCTCCTGAATACAGCACACTGATGGGTCTTGACTCTCTATTCAATTTGCCAATCTGTGTCTTTTAATTGGGGCATTTAGCCGATATGCATTTAAAGTTAATATTATGTGTGAATTTGATCCTGTCATTATGAATGATGCTATTGGGTTATTTAGCACACTAGTTGATGCAGTTTCTTCATAGTGTGTCATTGATCTTTATATTTTGGTATGTTTTTGCAGTGGCTGGTACCAGTTTTTCCTTTCCATATTTAGTGCTTCCTTCAGGAGCTCTTGCAAAGTAGGCCTGGTAGTAACAAAATCCCTCAGCATTTGCTTGTCTGGAAAAGATTTTATTTCTCCTTTGCTTATGAAGCTTAGTTTGGCTGGGTATGAAATTCTGGGATGGACTGATAGGTGCAGCAAACCATCATTGCACACGTATACCTATGTAACAAGCCTGCACATTCTGCACATGTATCCCAGAACTTAAAGTAAAAAAAATTGCCAAAAAAAAGAAAAAATAGAGTCCAAGCTCCAAAACATGGGCCACAATTAGAGTGAGCATGTATCTCAGTTTAAGCCATTATTATTCCAGTGTGTTTATAAATAGCAACTGCACTGTAGTTCCAAAGTGTCCTTGTTTGGTTAATAATTTATATGGTCACTCTACTTATGAGACCTCACTCCACTGCACTTCAGTTATACCAATTTCCTTTTAGTTCCCTTTATTCATGTGGTATCATTCACCACTAAGCCTTCATGTGCTCTGTTCTTTCTACCTGCAAAACACCCTTTTGGTGGCTAGTTATGATTTTTTCAATTTACCTTTCAAATGTCAGCCTGCATTGAACTACTTTTATAAAGCTTCACCTGATGTTCCATATGCTTGTATTCTTTTACTTGTCTATGTACCCCCACTAGACTTAAGTTTTTAGAGGGTAGAGGAATCTATGCTTCCTTCTTTAATATATTCAGCACTTAGGGCAAGTAGCTGTTATACAAAGAGTTTGATCAGTAAATATTTGTTTATTAGGACTTTGAGGCAATAAGAGGCACCTTTTTCTGCTGGAATCACTCAGAAAACTCTGATCTTGAGCAAAAAAACTGACAGCACCCATTATGGTCTAAGCAAGTGAGTTGCTTATATAAAAATATAAAAACCCTCCAAGGATTGTATAAAATTCTTTGGTGAGAAATGCCCAAGTGTGAGATTCAGGTGTTTTACAACATTCTTTCTGTGTATTTTTCTTGCCTTGTGGCATCTATCATTTTAATTTCCACTGTGCTTCTTGACTCTCAGAATTGTGGTTTTTTTGTCTTTGCCCTAAATAAGAAAAAAAAAAACCTTAACTTCTATTATACTTAGACAAAAAAGGCTAGAATCATTTTCTAATAGAGAATACAAAGAGCAATGACAACCCAAAGAAAGGGAAAACCAGGAGGGAGGAAATAACAATAACTACGAAAGTTCCAAACCTCATAAAAATAAGAAAGTCCTCAAAATACAATTTTTAGTTCTAAGTATCCAAGTAAATGTAATTACATAAGCTGGATTGTGCTTCACATTCCCTTATTCCCTTATTGTAAGATAATGTCTATATTCTAGTCTCAAATAGGCTGTCAAAATTCCTTCTCTGTTCATGTTGAAGCCCCTGGGTTTTATCTTGTTTCCTCACATCTGGAAAACATTCAGTTTAGAAATCTTATCCAGTTAAAGGCAAATACCAACTTCCTTAAGTCTTTTCCTTATTCAACGTTCCTCTCTGAGTGTCTTCCTCTTAGCATGGTTTCTGTTGTAAAGTAAAACCCACAGTATAGTTGCAGATTCCTAGCAAAGGATACCCTGAGGCACCACTGGATTGTCCTAACCTCGGTCAAGGTTTCTGTTGTGTGCTTTTCTGAAATCTGATGTGCCAGCTCACATTATGAGTCCCTAGCATACATATATATGCTATGCTCTATGCATTACAATATACAGGAGAGAACCCAGTCCAAGTTTATTATTGCATTTAAAAAATATAATAGTTCTTAGGCCATAATCATTACTTGCATAAAATAAGATTGAAACTAATAATCACACATGACCCACTCTCTTGACTTAAACTCCTTTGAGTTGTTTTGTATGACCTTCAGAGCTTGGTAGGATATTCTAAAATAGTAGATCTCAAAGTATGGTTCCTGGATCAGCAGCATCACCATCACCTGGGAACTTGCTGGAAATGTAAATTCTCGAGCTTCACGACAGACCTCCTGGATCAGCACTCTGGTTGTGGGACCCAGATATCTATGTCTTAGCAAGCCTGTCAGGTGAGTATGAAAAAATCTAAAATTTGAGAATCACTATTTTAGGAGAATCATCTCCAGTCTAGAAAAATATATATAGTTGATTGCACTCAACTATCAAGTGCTTTGATAATAGGAAGAACATTAAATAGCAACAAAAGAAACTTCACCTCTTCTAGCAAGTTTCTTGGTGCCCATTAAAAACAGGATTTAGTAGGAATGGAGTGAGGTGGAAGGAGAAAGATTGCCATCTCTGAACCAGTGAATAAATTAAATTCCCCAATCCTCGTTGTAGTTGCAGCTAGGAAAAAGAAAAAGAAAAACAACAAACGAAAAACCCTCTTCATAAATCAGAGCAGAAACTATATGTGGGCAGGGTCAGGGTACTTCTTAGACTGGAATGTAGAATAGGCTGTGGCCACAGGGTTAGAGAAAGACCTTACTCCACATATGTTGCAAGTTGTGAGTACTAATTCTATCCGTATTTGTCTTTCATTTATGTGACTTTTATTTGTGGCTGTGCCTGCCTTACAGCTGCCCTGTGTTCCAGAGAGTAGAGATGAAAATAATTCATGAAAACTTCTGTTTCAGGATTTCAGCAATGTAGAGCTATGAAATATCCATTTGGTGTTGCTTTTTTTTTTTTTCTGTGAATGAGGCATCTAGGTTTCTAAAGGGGAAGATATCCCTATAAAACAGCAACAACAAACAACAACAATTCCTGTGTAGCAGCTTTAACCTAACATTTACCTTCAAGTTGTCAATGTTCCTAACATGCTGTTTTCCCATAATTATTGCAGAGCGCTTGGGCTATAATAAGCCCAGGGAATAGAATTAGCATTATTTCACTTTGCCAAGAACTTTTAATTGGCATTTGCTGATTTATATTTCACATAGCATTTAGCTTAAATCTTGCTGTGGTCAAGCAGCTGATGCATGATAGAAACTCCTCAGAGGCAGTAGGGAGCTATCAAAAATGTGCAGTGGGTGTCCTGACATAGCCAGTTTGACTTGGCAGGAGAAGGGGAAACAGACAGTTTTTCCACCCTCTGCCTATAGCATCCTGCCATATCCTGTCTGGGATATAGAGTCATTTTGGCTTTTAAAACTGGTGCCTCATCTGGAAACCAAGTTTTCCTTCATCTGACCACTTATGTTAGAATTTGTGTGAGGAGTCATCTGGCATCCTACATTATTGATCTGAATATACTAGGTCCATTCCAACATATGTTGCTGCCATCTACTTTTTCCCCCCCAAGTCTTGGCATTACATTTGGGAATTAGAAAAATGTTAGCTTGTTCTAAGAACCAATCTTTATGACAGCTATATATGAAAAATGCATCTGGATGACTGTTTTTCACATGTTGCCCTTTGAGCTCCAGACATGTTCTAAGGGTGTGGCTGGCAACATGTCATGTCTGACACTCAGTAACGGCTTCCTGGGGCTTCTCAGGCTGACTGCATGCCATCCATCTCATTCTAGGATTCTGTCGTTTTGCTCTCAGAGTGTTTTGTGGGCATCAGATCCAAATTTATCTGCTATTTATGTATATAATTTTTGTTTCTAGATTTCGCTAGTATAGACCAAATGCAGAGCTAGGACCTGATTTTCTTTTAAAAATTAATTTTTAAAATTGACAAGTACAAATAGTATATATTTATTGTATACAACATAATGTTTTGAAATATGTATACTTGTGGAATGGCTAAATCAAGCTAGTTAACATGTGCATCACTTCACATATTTATCTTTTTTTGTGACTAGAACACTTAAAATCTCTCAGTGATTTTCGAGAATACAATACATTGTTATTAACTGTAGTCGTCATGTTGTTCAATAGATCTCTTGAACTTATTCCTCTTATCTAACTGAAATTTTCTATCCTTTGACCAACACCTTCTCACCCAGCTCCCTCTCCCTACCCTGGTAACCACCATTCTACCCACTGCTTCTGTGGATTCAACTTTTAAAGATTCCATTTATAAGTGATGTCATGTGGAATTGTCTCTCTGTGCCTGGCTTATTTCACTTAACATGATATCCTCCAGTTTCATCCATGTTGTCACAAAGGACAGGATTTCCTTTTTTTTTTAAAGGTGAAATAGTATTCCATTACATACATACACCATATTTTCTTTATCCATTTACCCACTGATAGACACTTAGGCATGATGTCATATCTTGGCTATTGTGAATAACGCTGCATTGAGCATGGGAGTGCAGATATCTTTTCAACTTACTGGTTTCATTTCCTTTGGATATGTAGTGGAATTACTGGATCATATGATAGTTCCATTTACATTTAAGGTTAAGTTTTAAAAAAAAATTAAAAAATTAAAAAATTTAATTTTTTGAGGGACCTCCATACTGTTTTCTATAATGGCTGTGCTAATTTACATTCCCACCAACCACATACGAGGATTCTCTTTTGTCCACACCCTCCCCAACACTTGTTATCATTGATCTTTTTGATAATAGCCATTCTAACAGGTGTGAAGTGATATCACATAGTTTTAACTATAAATTTCCTGATGATTTGTGATGTTCAGTATTTTTTCATACACCTGTTAGTCATTTGTATATCTTCTTTTGAGAACTGTCTATTCAGATCCTTTGCCTATTTTTAAATTGTTTTTTTTCTTGCTATTGAGTTGTTTGAGTTTCTTATATATTTTGGATATTAACCTCTTATCAGATATATGGTTTGCAAGTATTTTTTCCCATTCTATAGTGTGTTGATTTACTCTGCTGATTGTTTTCCTTGATTTGCAGTAGCTTTTTAGTTTGATGTAATTCCATTTGTCTATTTTTGCCTTTGTTGCCTGTGCTTTTGGGGTCATATCCAAAAAATCATAGTTCAGACCAATGTCATGGCACTTTTTATCTATGTTTTCTTCTAGTAGTTCTACAATTTTAGGTCTTACACTTAAGTCTAATTTATTTTGGGTTGATTTTTCTATATAGTATGAGAAAAGGGCCTATTTTTTCTGCATGTAAATATCCAGTTGTCTCAATGCCATTTATTGAATACACTGTCCTTTCTACGTGTGTGTTCTTGGCACTTCTGTTGAAAATCAACTGACTGTAAATGGATAGGTTTATTTCTGAGCTCTCTATTCTGATCCACTGGTTTATGTGCTTTTATGCCAGTACCATGCTGTTTTGTAGGATATTTTGAAGCCAGGTAGTATAATGCCTCCAGCTTTGTTCTTTTTGCTCAAGATTGCTGTGATTATTCAGGACTTTTTGTTGCTCCAAACAAATTGTAGGATTGTTTCTTCTATGTCTGTGAAAACATGTTATTGGAGTTTTGACAGGGATTGTGATGAATATATAGATAGCTTTGGGTAATACGGACATTTTAACAATATTCTTCCAGTACATGAACATACCTTTTCACTTATTTGCATCTTCTTCAATTTCTTTCATCAATATTTTATAGTCTTCAGTGTACAAGTCTTTTACCTCCTTGGTTAAATGTATTCTTACATGTTTCATTTTCGGGGTAGCTGTTGTGAATGGGTTTGGCTTTTTAATTTCTTTTTCAGATAGTTCATCATTAGTGAATAGAACTGCTGCTGAACTTTATATGTTGACTCTGAAACTTTACTGAATACATTTATTAGTTCTAACAGTTTTTTTGGTGAATTTATTAAGGTTTTCTATATACATAAGATCATCTCATCTGCAAACAGGGACAATTTGCATTTAAAAAAATAATTTGGATGACTTTTATTTCTTTTTTGCCTAATTGCTCTGCCTGGGACTTCTAGTACTATGTTAAATAGGAGTGATGAGAGTGTGTATCCTTGTCTTGTTCCTGATCTTAGGTGAAGAGATTTCAACTTTTCATTGTTGAATATGATGCTAGCTGGGGGTTTGTCATATATGGCCTTTATTAATTTGAGGTACATTCCTTCTGCACCTAAGTTGTTGAGTTTTTATCATGCAAAGATGCCACATTTTGTTAAATAGCTTTTCTGTATCTATTGATGATCATATGGTTTTTGCCCCTCATTCTATTAATGTGGTGTATCAAATTTATTGTTTTGTCTATGTTGAACCATCCATGCACCTCAAAGGTAAATCCCACTTCATCACGGTGAATAATCCTTTTAATGTGCTGTTGAATTTGGTTTGCTAGTGTTTTGTTGAGAATTTTTTGCATCTATGTTCATGAAATATATTGACCCATATGGATCTATTTTCAAAAAGCTGTGTTATTCTGGCACATCAGTAAGTGAAAAAGAATACAGTCAGCTCCAATAAGTTGGTTGTGAAATGGGATGGATCCGTGGGATGTTTACCATTCTCAGAATTCCATTCGGGGCCATCAGTTATGATGACAAGGTCTTTTAGTAGGGTGTATTTTGGATTAAGGCAGGATATCTTGGTTCTTATGGTTCTGAGACCAGCAGACTGTGTGAATTTGAGTGAGTCAATTCCCTCTCTGTGCATTTGTTTCCTCATTTAGAAACAAATAGTTGGGATTCCTTAGTTTTTAAAACTTTTAAAGTTAAACAGTCTAGGAATCTTACTAGTGCCATTCAACAGTTATTAATCATGAGTTTCATCTCTACTTTGTTTTGTCTTTCTCCACTTAAACTCCTCCCACACCTTATCAGAAGAGCTTGAATGAAGGAAAAGAAAGATCACAGTTTAGAGACAAAGGAAGAAATTGTTAATAGGTTATTAACAAGAAGTGTCAGTTTCTGTCTATCCCTGCACCATCTTGGGGCTTATCGTCAAAAGGTTTACCTCCCAGCATCAGCTCTGTGTGATTCCTGAGACATTGAGAACCAAGCCAGATAGCAGTCAGGAGCTCTATCTCCACCATTGGAGAAAGAGAATAGAAAGGATGTGATACTTGTCTGAATCACTCTCACTAATTGCAGAATCTCCTAGTCTTGGGAAGGCTTTGGGTATACTGAGGTACAGCTTTCAAATTCTAGGCTCCTTCTCTGTTTCTTGTATCCCAGTTTTCTACTCAAACTAGAAGGCCTTGACCTTCTACTTAGCTATTATAAGCTGCCTGCTCCTCACACTATAACAGATGGTGTTTCTTGTCCCCATACCTTCAGTCACTGTCTGACATTTAATTTCACAGAACATAAGCCTCAATGTGCCCCTGATGCTTTTACCCACTAGACTAAAAGTATAGATGCATCCTGCTGACTTCTGCTATTGGCTTCCTTTCACCATATTGATCTCTGGGGTCTGGACATTAGTATTAATTGAGCCCAAAGTTTTTATGTGCTCTTCCTTTGCAATTTGGACTTCAGATCACCCTTGATTCATAATTCAGTTAGATCCTAGCCTCATCCTTCTGTTCAGTCTTTCTTATAGACTACCATTGAAATCTTAGAATTTCTATCAGTTAACCATATAGAGTTTGACACATGGGAAAATAAGCTCTCATATTACTGATGTTTTTGGAGTGCTATTATGCAGTGGAGCCTCCCAAGGGTTTTCATTGTTTGGCATATATTTCTCCTGGAAACCTGAGATATAAGCATTCTAGAGGCAAAATATTTTAGAGTTGAGTTGACCACATCAACAGAAATGCTTACATAGTTTTCTTATCTTTAATAGGTAACAACTGCATTGCAAATTGCCCTGCCAGAACTAGTGAGGAAATTAATTAATTGCCTGTTTATAATACATGGAGTCATTTCTGAGTGTGCTCAATTCACTTGTCCAGAAATAACTCCAAAAATGAATTGCACATTAGATTTACTGCCTATAATTTTGTAGCTTGTAGATGCTATGGTGAGAAGCACCACAAATTTACTAATTTAGAAACAATTTGGGAATAGTTGAGTGGATATAAAGATA
Organism: Homo sapiens; assembly: GCF_000001405.40. Taxonomy (NCBI): domain Eukaryota; kingdom Metazoa; phylum Chordata; class Mammalia; order Primates; family Hominidae; genus Homo; species Homo sapiens. The sequence continues at coordinate 73,985,039 of NC_000006.12, forward strand.
TGTGATTCTGCTTTATGTACTCATATTTTGAGAGAAAGTATTTATGAGTTTGACCAGAAGGAGCTTTTGATTCCCATTAGTGGTCACAGCTGCTCACTGTGAACGTGGCAAGTTTGCTACATTGAAATGTTAATGTCTAACAGCTTAGTTGTCACGTCAAAAGGTATGAGGCAAAATTAAAATATGTTTTTGAGTGTTTGAAAATTCCTATGGAAATTATTCTTATTCCAAATGGTATAAATTTAGAAGAAATAAATATTTTTTGGCATTTGAAATAATTATTTGGGCATCATCATTTGTAATGGCTCCAGCTCTTTGACCCATTGCCAAGGCAACTGCATTGATAATATAGACCCCTTTATGGTGTATAAAGTAGGGAGATTCCAGACCATGGAGGTTTGTTGGAATTCAAGACTTAGTTCTTGCAAAATTGATTTCAGAGAATTATAGAGTGTTAAGTCTGCAAGTGCCCTTTGAGATCATTTAAACCAGGCCCTTGTTTTAAAGTTGAAGGAATTGAGATACAGGAGATTAAAGGAGTTGACCAAGGTCACACTTCTTTTTAGCAGAAGAAATTCTTGCAGAATTCAAGACTCCTGAGTCCCAGTTTGATTTTCTTTGTATCATAAGCTGGAAAGAATTAGAACTAAATGAGAGAAACAAGAGCTAAAACATTGCTTTCTCAGATGCCTTTATGTAGATTTCTGGTGAGGAAACTGAGAAACATAAAAGGGGATCTTACTCACATTTTATTACTGTTCTCTTAGATGGGTCTATAGTAATTTGTTTTTCATGTTTCCAATTTGATACTTTGACCTCTTTTGAATTTTATGCATAATTAAAATGGACGATTCCTTTGGATTTATGAGTTGGCTTTTGTTTTCAGTCAGTTATGGAACTGATGCCAGATAAATGAGTTCCAAGGAATTATGCAAAGTTTCTGTGAAGTTAGGGATAACTATCCCACATGCTAAGAAAACGTGCCTTTGCCTTCTTGTTTGGTGACTGCATGCATTTAATTATGCACAGAATGTACTGCTGAAAGTCTGACTGGATACCTTCCACTTAGGAAAGGCTAATTAGTGACAGTGATGTTCTGAGTAGGCTGCCAAGCAAGAGGCTTCGTGATGGCAGCCAGATGGGGCAACTGAGCAGACAGCACAGGCCTCTGGAGGGCAGTGCCAACTTAACAGTCAGTCATCAAGCTATGTGTTTCTGGCTAAATGGAATGAAAGGTACTGAATGTTTTGGATGTGCACTGTTTTTAGAGTTTAAGACATGCAAAGACAAGTAATTATGTATTGGGTTAGTACTTTTTTTTTTAATCCTAGTTGTCCTGGACTCATTTTGGAGTTCTAACCTGGGTGATGTAGAGAAAAGCTCACTAGACAAGAGTATCAGCAGATCTTCAATCTAATTCCAGGTCTGCCACTAATCAATTGTGTACCCTTCAGCCTCTACCTTCAGTGTTCTTAATTTAAAAATTAAGTACTTCTATGATTTTGTCTCTAAAATCTCTGAGCCATCTTGCTCTTCTTTTCTGCCCAATTTCCCTAGGCCCCGCTGATTGTAGGTTTGCTTACCTCTGGCTTTAAAAGAGGTACATCAATATTCTCTCTGTAGATAAAACTTTTTCTGCCTTGGCTACCAGGTCAGGCTTCTTTTTCAGGAGAGAAGCTTTTTGACAGCATCACCCTTTCAAGGTAGTGACTGTCATCTATCATCAAGGCTTACCAAAATAGCCTATTTGCAAAAATGCTTAGTGATGGCATTCATAACTGGATGGAAAAATCAGTAATTCATGATCTTGGTTTATTGATCCTTGTATTGGGTTAAATTGTGCACCACCTACCCCTTCATATGTTGAAGTCCTAGTCCCCAGTACTTCAGAATGTGACTTTATTTGGAAATAGCATCATTGAAGACGTAATAAGTTGTTAGGATAAAGTTATATTGAAGTAGGGTGTGTTCCTAACAAAATACAACTGATGTCCTTATTTTTAAAAAATTTGGACACAGAGTTTCACACAGAGAGAATGCCATGTGAATACTGGAGTTACGCTGCCACAAACAAAAAAAGTACCAGAAGAGGACTGGGACAGACCTTTTTCTAGTGCCTTTAGAGGGTACATGACCCAGTCAACACCTTGATCTTGGACTTCTGGTTCCCAAAATGGTGAGACAATAGATTTCTGTTGTTGAAGCCAATCAGTGCATGGTACTTTGTAACAACAGCCCTAGCAAATGAATATAATCCTAACAGAAATTAGATAGGTCATTGAAATATGTGTAAAATGTGGGTTTTTCTAGATGGTTAGGAAATTGCAGTGACTTAGTCCTGCCTCCTCCAATGCACTGTATTCTCCATCAAGGTCAATATCACTGGGTTGTTCAAAATGATAGTAATTTTTGTATAACTTAGGATATGCAATACATTTATTAGGATGAATGCAACCCATTCAGGGGTAATACCATTTATCATTCTTTAATATTTGATTATGTTTATGGTCTCTCAACTTAAACTGGCCTCAGAAGCAAACAGATATATAAAACTAGCAAACAGATATGTAAAACTATCTTTGACTTTAAATAGCATTTGAAGTGCAGAAATTCTCATTTACCAAATAAACAAGGGGAAAAGTTTGATCTTAAACTTTTCTTCGCAGAATAGGTCAATTCACAACTTTAGCTTTTGATCATAGTAGCAATGAAGAGAGGAATTAACTGTGATCACTTTATATTACTAAGACCTGTCATCTAAATCTATCTCCAAAGATACCCCAAACCCAAAATATACTGAGAAAACTAGAAAAGAATTTATACAGCAGGGAGTAGGATGTGGGTGTGTGAAGAGAAAAGCCTAGAGTGAAAGGCACATTTTTTTCAGCACTTAGGTCCCAGCTGGAACCTCATTAATACTTATTAAAAAGAGTCATCTCTAGATATCCCCTATTTTCTAAGTGGGGGAATATTTTCTTTAAATCAACATATGCTACCCAGAAAAATCCAGGAATTTTAGATATTTTGGAAATTATTTGGGAATTCTATGGCTTTGGTTTATGTTATTTGTCTAGTACTCTATGATACTCCCTCAAGCAGGTAGTCACTATATCCCCCGCAGTCAGTTTGATTCACCTCTGCATTAGTACCATGTGGGTCTCCAAATACCTTGCTGGATGCTCTGTGATGCCCAGACAACTTTAGTCTGGGAGAATAATGTTGGTCTGCCCACAGATTGAAATCCCAGGCATGAGCATGGTCAGTACTATATTTTTTTCCTCCTCAATTTGGCTTTTGATCTTGAGATACATTTTCAGTGAGTTCCTTTACCTTAAAAGCGGGAAACAAAAGATTAGCATTATCTCTTTTTGGTACTAAAGAGAAAAGATAACTTGTTTCAAAAACATTTCTGACAAATTCTTTTTTTTTTTTTTTTTTTTTTTGAGACGGAGTCTCGCTCTGTCGCCGTGGCTGGAGTGCTGTGGCGCGATCTCGGCTCACTGCAAGCTCCGCCTCCTGGGTTCACGCCATTCTCCTGCCTCAGCCTCCTGAGTAGCTGGGACTACAGGTGCCTGCCACCATGCCCGGCTAATTTTTTTTAATTTTTAGTAGAGACGGGGTTTCATCGTGTTAACCAGGAAGGTGTGGATCTCCTGACCTCCTGATCCACCCACCTCAGCCTACCAAAGTGCTGGGATTACAGGCGTGAGCCACCGTGCCCGGCTGACAAATTCTAATTATCAGAAGAGGGAATGATGGTAAAAGATATTTTCATGCCGTCTTGGTAATCAACTGGGTAGTTAAAAAATTTATGTTTTTTAGTCCTAGATAGGGTGCAGATAATCTAGTACTTATTCTACTTTAGAGGTAGAAAGAACAGAGGGTTTACATTTTATTATTTTTCTATACTAACCTAAACTCTAAATTTCCTAGCCATAAAGGTAAATAAAGATATCATGATTACAAGCTTCTATTTTTTAGTAGAAAGTAACGTGTCATTTAAACAAGAGAGAAATAACTAACCAGCCTTGGTTTGTTGGAAAGGTCCTGCTTCTTGATGATATGTACTAGGTTGGTAGAAGTCCTGGCAAAAGTTTTATAGAAGAATCTATTCTAAGTAAAGGGAGACCCTACAGGTACTGTTTTATAAACAACGCATAGATTTGTGAGTTATCATGTATAAAATAAATTGGTGGTAAAAATATAACTATCATATGATCCAGCAATTGTACAACTGGGTATCTACACAAAGGAAAAGAAATCATTTTACCAAAAAGACATCTGCATTGCAGCACTATTCACAACAACAAGGGTATGGGTTCAACCTAAGTGTCCATCAATGGAGGATAAGGAAAATGTGGTATATACACAATGGAATACTATTAGCCATAAAAAAGAATAAAATTCTGTCATTCACAGGATCATAGATGAGCTTGGTGGACATTACGTTAAGTGAATGAAATCATGTCTTTTGCAGCAACATGGACGGAACAGGAGGCCATTATCTTAAGTGAAATGACTCAGACATGGAAAGACAAATACTGCATGCTCTCACTTTTAAGTGGGAGCTAAACAATGCATACACTTGGAAGCAGTGTATGGAGTGATGCACACAGAGACTCAAAGGGATGAGGGGAGTGGGAGAAGGGTAGATGATGGGAGGTTGCTTGATGAGTACAATGTGTGTTGCTCCAGTGATGGATGCACTGAAGGCCCTGACTTCACCAAAATATAATATATCAATGTAGCAAAATTGTACTTGTATCCCATTGTGTCCGGAATTGGTGGGTTCTTGGTCTCACTGACTTCAAGAATGAAGCTGCGGACCCCCGCAGTGAGTGTTACAGTTTTTAAAGGTGGCGTGTCTGGAGTTTGTTCCTTCTGATGTTCGGATGTGTTCGGAGTTTCTTCATTCTGGTGGGTTCGTGGTCTCGCTGGCTCAGGAATGAAGCTGCAGACCTTCCTGGTGAGTGTTACATCTCTTAAGGCGGTGCGTCTGGAGTTGTTCGTTCCTCCTGGTGGGTTCGTGGTTTCATGGTCTCGATGGCTTCAGGAGTGAAGCTGCAGACCTTTGCGGTGAGTGTTACAGCTTATAAAGGCAGTGTGGACCCAAAGAGTGAGTAGTAGCAATATTTATTGCAAAGAGCTAAAGAACAAAGCTTCCACAGTGTGGAAGGGGACCCCACGGGGTTGCCACTGGGGGCGGGCAGCCTGCTTTTATTCTCTTATCTGGCCCCACCCACATCTTGCTGATTGGTCCACTTTACAGAGAGCCGATTGGTCTGTTTTGACAGGGAGCTGATTGGTCTGTTTTGACAGGGTGCTGATTGGTGCATTTACAATCTCTGAGCTAGACACAAAAGTTCTCCACCTCCCCACTAGATTAGCTAGATACAGAGTGTGGATTGGTGCATTCACAAACCCTGAGCTAAACACAGGGTGCTGATTGGTGTGTTTACAAACCTTGAGCTAGATACAGAGTGCTGATTGGTGTATTTACAATCCCTTACTAGACATAAAGGTTCTCCAAGTCCCCACCAGACTCTGGAGCCCAGCTGGCTTCATCCAGTGGATCAGGCACCAGGGCTGCAGGTGGAGCTGCCTGCCAGTCCCGCACCATGTGCTGCACTCCTCAGCCCTTGGGCGGTGGATGGGACCAGGCACTGTGGAGCAGGAGGCCGCGCTGGTAAGGGAGGCTCCGGCCGCGCAGGAGCCCACCGCGGGAGGAGAGGGGAGGCTCAGGCATGGCGGGCTGCAGGTCCCGAGCCCTGCCCTGCAGGGAGACAGCTAAGGCCTGGCGAGAAATCCAGCACAGCAGCTGCTGGCCCAGGTGCTAAGCCCCTTACTGCCCGGGGCTTGCGGGCTGGCCCGCCAGCCGCTCCCAGTGCTGGGCCAGCAGAGCCCACACCCACCCGGAACTCGCGCTGGCCCACAAGCGCCGTGCACAGCCCCGGTTCCTGCCCGCGCCTCTCCCTCCACACCTCCCTGAAAGCTGAGGGAGTCGGCTCCGGCCTTGGCCAGACCAGAAAGGGGCTCCCACAGTGCAGCAGTGGGCTGAAGGGCTCCTCAAGTGCCACCAAAGTGGGTGCCAAGGCTGAGGAGGCACCAAGAGCGAGCGAGGGCTGCGAGGGCTGCCAGCATGCTGTCACCTCTCACCATGAATATTTACAAATAAAATAAAATAATTTGACGGCAATAAATTTTCTTTGACAAAAACAAGGTGGCCCATTTACAGTCTTTTTCCATTCTATGGAGCTGTTTGCTCTTGTTTCTATGGAGCATATATTCTCAATCAAAATCACCTGAAAATTGATAACTATAAGCCATCAATTGCAGATCTTGAAATATCTTTAATTACTCCTAATTTTATTCCATGGACAAAGTTAACTGTGGATTGCATTAGCCATCTGGCTACTGGCCAGAGACCTTCCTCAGTTCCTTTTCACATGGACCTCTCTTCATAGGGCAGCTTACAACATGGCAGCTGGCTTCCTTCAGAGTAAAGAATTGAGAGAGCAAAAGAAGGGGAAAAAGACAGAAGCCAGGGTCTTCTAAAAATCTAATACTGGAAATGACACCCCATCAACTTTGTCATATTTTATTTAAGTGAGTCAGTAGGTCCAGCCCATATACAAGGGGAGAAGTCTCCACAGGACATGAAAACCGGGAGCAGGGCATCATTGGGAGCCATTTAGAGGCTATCCACACAATAGGTTTTGTTGAACTAACTGTAGTTGTTTTAATTGAATAATTTGAATTGATATAGCCCCTGTGGGACAAACTACTTTTCTACTTAAAAGGACAAACTACCTTTCTACTTAAAAGGTAGTTTGTCCCACAGGGGCTATATAGAAAAATACATATTTAATAGGCTACTTTCCTTTACTGTTTCATGATATAATATTAAATAATATTTATATGGTATTTTAATATTTTCAAAGCATAGAAATGCTAACATTCTCAAAAGCCCTGTAAAGGAGAAATTAATATGGTCATTTTACAGGTGAAAGAGGTATCATTTAGAGAGATAACTGTATTTTACAATAAATGCAGCTAGAAATATGGTTTTCATGATTATTTTAATGCATAATTTATAAGGACATTTTTTCATCAAAAAGTTTTGTACAAGTCTAGGGAAAAAGTGCTTAAGTTGTTTCTTTTGACTATCATTTGGTCATTTATCTGTATAGGTAGCCCAAAACATGTATATACACAAAAACTAAATTGTGTTATTTGGAATCCCTTCCAAATAATAATCCAACAAAACTAAATTGTGTTATTTGGGCCCTAGTGACGCTGGCCTAGAGTTGAGTTGCATTAAATTGGATTTCACGGCAGAATATTTCTGCTGTGAGCTATTAGGAATAACCAAGTACATGGATCTGTTGGAGCTTGGTTCTACTTGCAGAAGACTGAAAAAATTTTATGATATATTTTTTTCCACCAGTATGATTCTTTGAATCCCTGGAAAGAAATCTTCTGTATTCTCTTCCTACTCACTTTAGAAATGTAGAGCAATAGAGGCTACAGCTTGAAGATGGACAGAAAATACAGGAAGGAAGGGAAGGGAAGGATGAAAAATTTCAAAGCTGGTAAACTGCAGGGTAGGGCATGTGCTGGAGTGTCAGCTATTCGCTCAAGATCAAGCTGCCCTGAAAGAGCCACTGCATCAATCCTGGCAATGTGGATCAGGGGTGACTGTTCTGTCCACTTTCACATAGGTCTGGCTAATGCTTATGGACATAACACCCTGATCAAGGCAGTTGTAAAAACTGGGCAAAACAGATTGGAGATAATGGATTTTTTGACAGAGTTAGATGGTTTCATACAGATTTTTCACCACCAGAATGGTGAAATCAGCTGTGCATGTAGAAACTGTCATGTTTACAGTCCACTGGATGAAAAACAGTAGCATATACCACGTAAATTATGAGAAAACATCTGAACTTCATATTTGCCTAAAGGTCGGTGGTTGGCACAGTCAGGAAAAAGTTTCTCAATTTTTTGCTAGTGTTCACAGTTTGAACTGCCTCTATGGAAAATAAATTCAGTCCGCTTAGCCTCATAAATGCGTTACTGCTTCCATGTTTTCTCCTAAAATCGCCACTTCCACAAGTAAAGAGGAATTTGAAAAACATATATATCAGATTATATCACTCCCCTTCTTAAAACTTCCAATGACTTCCTATGTCAGGTAGATCCAAGTCTACACTGATGACCAGACCCAAGGCCCTGTGTGACGGGGCTCCCCTCTTCTGCCACCATCCTCCCCACTGATTGTTGTGCTCCAGTTACACTGGTCTTATTTTTATTCAGACCATGTCAGCTTATTCTCCCATGGCTTTGCCTTTCGCATCACTTCTGATTAGTGTTGGTTCCCCAAAGCATTATGTAGCTGGCACCTTCTAGTCACTTAAATTTCAGCTCAAATGCCATCTCCCCAGAGATATCCCTGATTGTCCAATCTAAGCTAGAGTTCTGTGTACTTCTGTTCTATTTTCCTATTTTATGTTCTTTGCAGAACTTACTACCATATGACATTCTTTTTTTTGGTTTACTTACTGATTGTCTGCCTCTACCCACTGGATTGTAAGCCCCATGAGCAGCGGAGCCCCCTCTAGCCTGTTTGACTTCTTCACAGTGATATCCCAGTACCTGGAACAGGGTTGGGCTGCAGTAGGTGTGGTAAGCACTTTTTTACAAGTTGAATTGAACCTGTATTTAAGCCAAATTGATCTAATTACAGGCTCCTAAATATGTCTGTACTCCTTGAATTTTTAAAACCATTTCCTTTGGTTGAATACTTCATGCTTTCTCTCCCTGTGTTTGAATATTGTTCCCAACTTTCAAAGCCCCATTCAGACACTATATTTCTCAACCACTTTAGCACAAAGTTATGCCCCCTTTTATGCAGTCCTGTGCCTGTAATTGTCAGTAATCAGCTTTTAAATTTATTTGTCACCTTAAAGTATAGATTATCTTTTTATATGTGTATGTCTTTTGTCCTTGACTAGACTAAATTTTCCATTGCTATCAAATCATGCATACAGTAAGTATTGAATAAATATTTGTTGGAAATTAATTTTTATTATCGTATCTAATGATCAATTTATAGATTTGAGGTAATTCCTGTTCTTGGGTGATGGCTATATATTTTCATTTAAAATGATACCATTTTAAGGATGTATCTGCAGAAACTAATTTTTAATAATCTTAACCCAACCAGAAGCTGTCATAATGAGCTGCTGATCTCTACTATGCTATTAGTTTGTATAGGTAGATATGACTTTTAGAGATCTCTAATGGACATGATAAAGCTTGAAGAATAATTGTAGAACAACTAAACCAATATATGCGTAGTCAAGAAACTTGAGATGTACTTTGTAAGGAGGAAATATTTACCAGAACTCAAATGTTATTTCACAGAACAATTATCTTAGTGAGTTTGCGCTGCTATAACAGAATACCATAAACTGGGGGGCTTAGACAACAAATATTTATTTCTCACAGTTTTTGAGGCTGGAAGTCCAGGATCAAAGTGCCAGAATGGTTGGGTTCTGGTGAAGGCTTTCTTTTTTGTTGCAGACTGCAGACTTCTCATGGTATCTACAGATGGTGGAAAGAACGTGAAAACTCTCCCAGGGTCTCTTTTATAAGGGCACTAATCCCATTCATGAGGGCTCCACTCTCATGACTTAAATAACTCCCAAAGGCCCCGTTTCCTAATACCAGCACATTGAGGGTTAGGATTTCAACATATGAATTTGGGGGGAACACAAATATTCAGTCCCTAAAACCCAGGATTGAAGTCATGCTGTGAGGTTGGGACAAGAGATTGAGGGGCTGAGGACAGTGGCAAAGGAGGATCTGAAACAATAGATCTGGCAGGTTGGGCAATGAAATGAGCAAGAAGAGAGGTGAAAGCTGGGGAGAAAATATGAGGTGGAAACCTCCATGAGGTTCCAGGGTGCATGTTTGAAAATAGGGAGCAGGAAAGCTGGCATATTCAGGGAGTGTGAGTCTCAGAACTGAAGATTATAGAGATAGAGCTGGAGAAAAACAAAAAACTAACCTTAAGGAAAGAGACTGGCTATAATCTGGACTTGCAAAGAGGCAGGGGAAAGAAGTTGGCAAGTCTGTCATAATACAATCAGCAAAGGTTAGCTATTTTAACCCAGAACTTGAGAGCCTTTAGAAACATATATATGAACATATCTAAAATATGTAAAGAACATATATAAAAACATATGCATATGTTTTTGAAGGCTCTCAAGTTCTGGGTTAAAATGTATAGAGATGATTTCATTCTTATATATATATGTATATATATATATTTACTTAATTTGTGAGCCAAACAAGTGGAAGCTTCATTTTTTAGCGGAAGATCTTCCAGGAAGTCACATATAATTTGGAGGCTTCTTTTTATCCTAGATGAATAGATTCATTGCATTCTATAATTATAAGAGTATTAAGTTTTGTAATGTATACTGAATTGATACATTGAAATTAAGATTAAGCAGACCATGAGAATGAAAACACTTTGCTTTCTGTTGATAATTAAAAGGCCTCTTATTTCTCCTGGGAAGAAAGTGTCAGACTACTAGCGGGTAGAAGCCTGCTGTTTGGAAATGACTGCCACTGGCTGCCATGACCTTTGGGGAGGGACTTGTGGACATCTGGGCCACTCTACCTGCCACCAGCGCTAACCCCAGTATTGGTGAGGGTTTCAAAATGCCAGGCTTTGTCCAATGAATGTTTTTGAAAATGTTTCTCCCTGAAATATGTTGAAACCATCTTTAATGGCTCTAAATCGCACACACTTAGCTTCATTTGGAAGGAGCTTGAATTCTCTAATTAATCACAATTAGAAGCCACATTATAAATGAAAAGGCTTAATAAAGAATTAATGACAAATTGTACTTCAGATGTTGGGGATGTAAGAGGTAACATTATCATTAACATTATGGAGGTTTTATCCCAACACATGCTCCTGGTGATTATGATTTCATGTTGTTTAATGTTTTCTAAATCAATTATGCTGTCTGTGGTGATTGTAAACTATATAAACCTAAAACACAGAGATGAAGCTCTCAAACCAGTGTAAAGAAATGGTTTTTGTCATTTCAGGCTCACCCCATGGATGTAGTTGCATGTGTGTTTTAAACAGTCTAGAGTACATTTCCTTCATTTTCCATTTCTGAAACTCTGATTTCTGGCACAAATAGCAAAGCAGAACTAAGTGAAATTTGCAGTGCCTGAGGATCTTCAAAGGAGTTTTCTAAAGGTATCATGAATTGATAACTGATAGACTCAGCCATGCAGAGCATTTGTTTGTTGCCTCTGATGGTTCGGATCTCTCCTTTTAAAAACAAATTCTTTTTGAATAATAAAGAACATCAAATAAAACCTCATGCTAGTGCTCCAGATGCTGGCACTCTTTAGCAGTTAAGCTCTGCTCCCAAGATTTAGAGGGAATTGCTGATTGTAATTTACTAAAAATACTTTGAAGTCTAACTTTAAAGAACTAGGAACTCTCAGGATAGTTTGTATTAATTAATTAACTAGTTACTGCTGTTGTGGGGAAGTTTCCAACCAATAAATCTAACACACCATCTTAGGGAACAGAGTTTTAGTGGTTGACATAGTATTTAAAACATTTAGCTTGATAAATTTGCCTTTGTTCTAAGAATAAATACTGGATTTTTGATTGGAGAGGACAGAAAATACATTTTCTCTTAAAATATGTCTATCACTACTGGCCTGGGTTGTAGTAATTGGAGAATGGACAAGTATCTTTTTATAAAAAGGTTATTTTATTTTAATTTCTACTTTTATTTTAGGTTCATGTGCTGATATATGTGCTGATTTGTTACATGGGTAAATTGTGTGTCACTGAGGCTTGGTGTACAAATGATCCCATCACCAAGGCAGTGAGCACAGCACCCAATAGGTAGTCTTCCAAACCACGTTTTCCTCCCCACCCTCTCAAGCAGTCTACACTGTCTATTGTTCCCATCTTTGTGTCCATTTGTATTTAATGTTTAGCTACCACTTATAAGTGGTATTTGGTTTTCTCTTCCTGCTTTAGTTTGCTTAGAATAATGGCCTCCAGCTACACCCATGTTGCTGTAAAGGGAACGATTTCATGCTTTTTTATGGCTGTGTAGTATTCCATGTTGCATATGTACCACATTTCGTTAATCCAGTCCCACCAGTGATGGGCATCTTGGTTGATTCTATGTCTTTGCTATTCTGAAGCTGCAGTGAACATACGAGTGCATGTGTCTTTTTTTTTGTAGAACTATTTATTTTCTTTCGGGTATATACCCAGTTGTGGGATTTCTGGGTCAAATGGTAGTTCTGTTTTATGTTCTTTGAGAAATTTCCACAGTTTTCTGCAGTGACTGCTTTTCTCCACAATCTCTTCAGGTTTTTATTTTTTTTTTACTTTTTAGTAATAGCCATTTTGACAGGTGTAAGATGGTATCTTGTGGATTTGATTTGCATTTCTCTGATGATTAGTGATGATGAACTTTTTTCATATATTTGTTGGCCACATATATGTCTTCTTTTGCGAAGTGTCTGTTCATGTCCTTTGCCCTTTTTTTTTTTTTACCAGCCAAGCAAAGCTTTTATTTTTTTAAATTTTATTTATTTATTTATTTATTATTATTATATTTTAAGTTTTAGGGTACATGTGCACAATGAGCGGGTTAGTTACAATGTATACATGTGCCATGCTGGTGCGCTGCACCCATTAACTCGTCATCTAGCATTAGGTATATCTCCCAATACTATCCCTCCCCCCTCCCCCCACCCCACAACAGTACTCAGAGTGTGATGTTCCCCTTCCTGTGTCCATGTGTTCTCATTGTTCAATTCCCACCTATGAGTGAGAATATGCGGTGTTTGGTTTTTTGTTTTTGCGATAGTTTACTGAGAATGATGATTTCCAATTTCATCCATGTCCCTACAAAGGACATGAACTCATCATTTTTTATGGCTGCATAGTATTCCATGGTGTATATGTGCCACATTTTCTTAATCCAGTTTATCATTGTTGGACATTTGGGTTAGTTCCAAGTCTTTGCTATTGTGAATAGTGCTGCAGTAAACATACATGTGCATGTGTCTTTATAGCAGCATGATTTATAGTCCTTTGGGTATATACCCAGTAATGGGATGGCTGGGTCAAATGGTATTTCTAGTTCTAGATCCCTGAGGAATCGCCACACTGTCTTCCACAATGGTTGAACTAGTTTACAATCCCACCAACAGTGTCAAAGTGTTCCTATTTCTCCACATCCTCTCCAGCACCTGTTGTTTCCTGACTTTTTAATGATTGCCATTCTAACTGGTGTGAGATGGTATCTGATTGTGGTTTTGATTTGCATTTCTCTGATGGCCAGTGATGATGAGCATTTTTTCATGTGTTTTTTGGCTGCATAAATGTCTTCTTTTGAGAAGTGTCTGTTCATTTCCTTCGCCCACTTTTTGATGGGGTTGTTTGTTTTTTTTTTTGTAAATTTATTTGAGTTCATTGTAGATTCTGGATATTAGCCCTTTGTCAGATGAGTAGGTTGCGAAAATTTTCTCCCATTTTGTAGGCTGCCTGTTCACTCTGATGGTAGTTTCTTTTGCTGTGCAGAAGCTCTTTAGTTGAATTAGATCCCATTTGTCAATTTTGTCTTTTGTTGCCATTGCTTTTGGTGTTTTAGACATGAAGTCCTTGCCCATGCCTATGTCCTGAATGGTAATGCCTAGGTTTTCTTCTAGGGTTTTTATGGTTTTAGGTCTAACGTTTAAGTCTTTAATCCATCTTGAATTGATTTTTGTATAAGGTGTAAGGAAGGGATCCAATTTCAGCTTTCTACATATGGCTAGTCAGTTTTCCCAGCACCATTTATTAAATAGGGAATCCTTTCCCCATTGCTTGTTTTTCTCACGTTTGTCAAAGATCAGATAGTTGTAGATATGTGGCATTATTTCTGAGGGCTCTGTTCTGTTCCATTGATCTATATCTCTGTTTTGGTACCAGTAGCATGCTGTTTTGGTTACTGTAGCCTTGTAGTATAGTTTGAAGTCAGGTAGTATGATGCCTCCAGCTTTGTTCTTTTGGCGTAGGATTGACTTGCCCATTTTTTAATGAGGTTATTTTTTTTTTGCTTGCTAATTGGTTTAAGTTCCTCATCTATTTTGGATAGTAGACCTTTGTTGGATTCGTAGAGTGCAAGTATTTTCTCTCATTCTGTAGGTTGTCTGTTTACTCTGTTGATAGTTTCTTTTGCTATACAGAAGCTCTTTAGTTTAATTAAATCCCACTTGTCAATTTTTTTTTGGTTGCAGTTGCTTTTGGGGACTTAGTCATAAATTCTTTTATCAAGGTTGATGTCGTTGATGTCCAGAATAGTATTTCCTAGGTTTTCTACTAGGGTTTTTATTGTTTTAGTTTTTATGTTTAGGTCTTTAATTTATCTTAAATTAATTTTTGAATATAATGAAAGGAAAGGGAAAAGTTTCAATTTTCTGCATCTCAATGGCCAGTTATCCCAGCACCATTTATTGAATAAGGAGTCCTTTCCCCATTGTTCTGTTTAAAAAATTATTTAAAGCTTTACATACTTCTTACGGAAAACCCATAAAATATAACCAAAAACAGCCTAAACCATTCCACATAAAGAAAACTATGTATTCTAAATAGTTTAGTACTCATACTTCTTGATGTATATATCCTATTCTGTGTTATCTTATGGCACAGTGCCTTGTCTTCTGTCTTGTCTGACTTTCAACTCTTACCATTTATACCCGTACCATAGCCTTAACTGAATGCACCTTTGGTGTTTGAAGATTCACATTCCAAAAACTGAGATAATTGGGACAATGAATACGTACACTGTGAATAGTTTCATGCATTATGTACTTGAATAGATACTAGTTATGAATGGTCACTCAGTGGCAATAACCATGAAGTGACCTATTTGGAACATGGAATAATGGTCCGTAAACCTTAAAAAAATTCTAGACAAACATGCTTAGTGCACATCTATCATGTTTTTCCTGTGGCATATTCTCTTTTCTACTAAACCTGTTTATCATTCATATCTCATCTTTTATCTGTGTTTAATAGAAATTTTATATTTTCTATTCTGGTTAGAATATCTTTTGTTTTAAATCTTAGATATTATTCTGAATGTTTAATACTGGTTATTGGATTGTGGGTTTATCTCAGACAGTTAATTGGAAACGAAACTGGACCAAGACAATGATAGCATCTCTGCTCAGTAATCATTAATCCTAATGCTCTGTGATACCCTCTAGGGACTCACATCATGGGTATTCTGGGCTCATTATTGACTTTTTCTTAGAAATGGGCAGTCTGGGGAACCTTGAGTACATTTTGATTTTGTTTTTGGTGTTAGGCTTAAGAATGTTCAAATGGCACCAGAACACAGGACCTGCATGGTTCTACAGATTAATGACAGCAAGAAGACCTGTCCAGTTTGCTTTGCTTCAAGACATTTAAGTAGCTTCTGAGGCCAAACTCATGATGTTAACACATTTAATTAATTAAAGTCAGTTGAGAATTCAAAGCAGAAGGCAGAAAGGAAATTGATACAATAATTTTTTTCTCCACATACATCTGAATATTGTCTTAAATTAAGTAAATTGAATAGGTCATGCTGAAAGTAGTCATGGCTAATACAGCACTAGCACGTGATCCACTAGTAGAAAGGAACTCCTCTCCTCCTAGTAAACATAATGTATTGCTTAATTCTGGAGTGGCCCTGAAAGCCAGCAGCAGAAGAGTTGCCTGATTGGCAAATGATCTGAATGATCAAGATGGTTTCAGTGAGAACTGTCAACCCCTCCCCTGGATGCACTTGTGTGGGCAATAGCAGGATTGGGTTGGGTCAGCAGGGGGTCAGGAAAGAGCCAGACAGATGTCCGGGTCTGAATTAAGCCAGTGATTTGGGAGCCAGAAAATGAAGACCAGGGAGTCAGTAGTTGACTGTGGCCAAGAACAAGATGGAGATCAGGAAGCCAGGACATCAGACCTGTATGGAGAGGGATAATCAGGCCTGGGTGGTGAAGAATGAAAGAATGAGAGGTTTAGAAGTTGAGTTAACTTGCAGATCTGGCATAGCACAAGCAAGCAAACTGTGAGTAAGAATCGAACCAGCAAATGTGCAAGTCATTTATGGTGTTTTGTGCTTCTTCTCTGGCAGGGTTGGGCTTGTAGTATTTTTCCAAGTAACTCCGGGGGTCTGTTCCAAATTCCTGCATCTTCTGTTTGTCAGCTATGTACCCTTGGGCAAATTACGTAATTTCCCTAAGGTTTAATTTCTTTGCCTATTAATGAGGGATGCTATTGCCTACATTCCATGGATTTTCTGAAAGTGTGTTCATTTTGGGATAATTCACTGGCAAACTTAAGACTTAAGTACTTTTCTGATCATATGGTATGTATCAATATGTTTATTTGAAATATTTAATGTGTTTAATTTTTTTTTGCTTATTTAAAAAATATATTTATTTTAACAATGTAGGCTGGGAACAGTGGCTCACACCTGTAATCCTAGTACTTTGGGAAGCCAAGGCAGGTGAGTAGCTTCAGCCCAGGAGTTTGAGGCCAGCCTGGGTAACATAGTGAGACTCTGTCACTACAAAAAATAAAAAAATTAGCTGGGTATGGTGGCGTGCATGTTAATTCCAGACACTTGGGAGGCTGAGGTAGGAGAATCTACTGAGCTGGGAGGTCGAGGCTGCAGTAAACTGCGATCACACCACTGCACTCCAGCCTGGGCGATGGAACAAGACTGTGTCTCCAAAAAAAAAAAAAAATTATACCTGTGTGTGTGTGTGTGTTCCTGGCAGATAGTAGAAACTACTGTTTTTAGATGGTTTAAGAAATGATGTAGGGAGCAGAAGTTTTAAGTAGATTTTTCATAAAATCTTATATTTGAGCAAATTCTTTCAACTCATCTATAATTAACCAAGCTTGTTTGATATATGGCCATTTGCTTCTTTAAACACAGGCAAATGCTTCTTTCTTTGTGAAGGCTATAGGATTACAGTTGGGCCTATGCAATACCAAACAGTAAAATAATCAGATAATTAAATATTTGGGCTGCTACAATGAATCAGACACCCAGATAGGCAAATGTATACCTTTTTTTTTTTTTGAGATGGAGTCTCACTCTGTCACCCAGGCTGGAGTACAGTGGCACAATCCTGGCTCACTGCAACCTCTGCCTCCCAGGTTCAAGTGATTCTCCTGCCTCAGCCTCCTGAGTAGCTGGGATTACAGGCACGTACCACCATGCCCAGCTAATTTTGTATTTTTAGTAGAGATGTGGTTTCATTATGTTAGCCGGGCTGGTCTCAAACTCCTGATGTCAGGTGATCCGCCCGCCTCGGCCTCCCATAGTGCTGGGATTACAGGAGTGAGCTACCGCGCCCGGCTTATATATCTTTGTTTAGCTAAATTGTTAAATTTAAATTCTGCTCTTTGGAATTATGAAACTACAATTTTCCAGATTATGGAAAATTATGTCATGCTACTAAGTGCTAAGGGCCAAAAAACTTCCATGGCCAACTGAATTTGGGTAACTTATAATGTTTACTTCTGTAGAAGTAAATGGAATTTTGCATTTTTTTTGAAATTGAACCATATTCTCATGAAGGTAGTTGAGATATGTAAACATTTTTTGACTCACAGTTTGGGTTGAAAGAGAAGATTTGGTGGTTAATTGATATTGGTATTCCTACAAAGTAAGAAATTATAATTTCCTCAATTCTTAGGCCACCATTACTACTTTATTTGGAAATTAGGAATTTCCTTTTACGATTCCATCTAATAGACTTCAAATTTTTCAAGGATGGTAGCTTTATATATTTATGCTCCCAGCTTTTGTACTTAGTAGGGGTTAAGTAAATAAATAATAGGCCAGACTATAAGTACTTGAAAGAAGTTTGAGTTTGGGATTTTTATTGAAACTATATGAAAGGTAGGCATTTTGATGAACTTTTAATTCTTCTGGATGGCTAAGAACTATGGAATTTGAGAAGATAATTTACAAGTAATGTATTAGTCCATTTTCATACTGCTATGAAGAAATACCCAAGACTGGGTAATTATATAGAAAAAAAGTTTTAATAGACTCATAGTTCCACATGGCTGGGGAGACCTCACAATCATGGCGGAAAGTGAAGGAAGAGCAAAGGCATGGCAGCAGGCAAGAGAGTGTGTGCAGGGAAATTGCCTTTTATAAAACCATCAGATCTTGTGAGACTTACTCACTATCACGAGAACAGCACAGGAGAAACACGCCCCCGTGATTCAGTTACCTCCCACTGGGTCCCTCCCATGACACATGGGGATTATGGGAGCTACAATTCAAGATGAGATTTGGATGGAGACACAGCCAAACCATATCAAGTAGTGTTTCAGAATTCTTTTGGCCCTTGCAAGGTATTGGTAAGAATGAAGATTTTCATTCTCACAGAAGCCATTTCTTTCTAGTCCCTCCTTTCATTCACTGGAACTGCCGAAAACATTCACAAGTGATAATCTCTGAAGTAGTCTGTCTGCCCTCTGCCTAATATTTGTCTTCTGCTCTGAAAGTTCTTTCTAAAACACGAGTCTAAATTAGGGGTCAGCAGACTTTTTCTGTAAAGGGCCAGATTGTAAACATTTTAGGTTTTATGGGCCATATAGGCCTGGTGTCTATTGCAACTACTCAATTATTTCCCTTTATAGAGCAAAGGCAAACACAGATAACTTACAAAGAATGAGTGTGGCTGTGTTCCAATACTACTTTATTTATAAGAATGGCAGATTTGGCCCTCAGACTATTGTTTGCTGACTCCTGATTAAAGTCATGTTACCACATTACTGAAAATCTCTTGATGGGTTTCCATTGCAACAGAATAAAGTTCAATATATTTAGCCTAGTATACAGCAGTCTGTAATTCTACCCCAGTCTTTCTACCATTATTTTCAACTACATCTCAAACCATCCTCCATTATAATTTACTGATTACATTCTGAGTGGCTTACCCACCAACAGGGATTTATGGTCTTCAGCAGCCCTGTTATCGTACACCCTCAACTAAACCAACATCTTTGCTACAGCTAATCCTGGTTTAGGACCAGATATTTGATTCTATAGGCACTGAGGTAGTTTGAATCATAATTCCCAAATCTTAACTAATAACCAGAGATGTCTATGTTTAACCTACTGGGTTGTCATCAGAAAGTGGGCATGTAGTATCCATGTGTATAGGTTGTGTAAACAATTCAGACTGCTAATTTTTAATATACATCTTCTTTTTTAAAGGGTAGCATAAATATTTGTCATTTATAATTGATGACAGTTGGGTATGTAGTCTTCATACTTCACCTTTCTTTTCTGAACGTAAAAAAATTATGTGTTTTAAACATCCATTGGCTGGTTATGTTTTCAGAATACATGGTTAGATTAATTCATTAATGGTGCCTTCAAATTTTCCTTTGTTAGCTCCAGAAAATTCACTCACCTTTTATTCCGTTTTTAAAAAGTGGAAAGTTGGCATGCATTAGACTTCCACTCTGAAGTAACATCCTGACAGCCATCTATATCTACCTCAAGGAACACCACTCTGGTATACTTTTCAGAGAGAGAATGCAAGAAAGGCTTGATCATTTTGCAAGGCCTGCACCACGAGTCTAAAGAGGCAACTACTATGAGTTTATCTCCTGCGCTGTCCAGGCTTCCTGAGAAGCATGTTTCTTTTCACCTGCTTCACTGTTTTGGGTACTAGAGTCCGACAAGTGACCCTAAGGACATTTTCAACTCTGCGTTATTGAACATATTCATCAAATTCTTTAGCAAATTCAAAATGGTAGTAGCTATTTAAGTTTCTTAAATACATAGTTGGTGGAGGAGGACTGAAGTGTGACAGTACCCAAATTTATCATTACCTGTTATTTTCACCAAGAAACATTTTCAGTTCTGAAGATGATTAAAAAAATCCATTAAAGGCCGGGTGCGGTGGCTCACACCTGTAATCCCAGCACTTTGGGAGGCTGAGATGGGCAGATCATGAGGTCAGGAGATCGAGACCACCCTGGCTAACACAGTGAAACCCCGTCTCTACTAAAAAAATAAAAAAAATTAGCCAGGCATGGTGCTGGGTGCCTGTAGTCCCAGCTACTTGGGAGGCTGAGGCAGGAGAATGGCGTGAACCCAGGAGGCGGAGCTTGCAGTGAGCCGAGATGGTGCCACTGCCCTCCAGCCTGGGTGACAGAACGAGACTCTGTCTCAAAAAAGAAAAAAATTCTATTACATTATTAGGAGAGATACAAGAAAAGATTGGAAAAATTGAATAGAAATGTTAATAAACAGGGTTAACAGAAAAGAAAAAAATATTGTTTTGGTTTAAAGTTTCTTAATTTTTGAGTGTTTCTTCATTTGTTCCATGAATATTTATTGCTGATCTACTATGTTTGATATTCTGGAATATATAGATGTTAAAGATGTTATGAATAAATACCTGTGACCAGTATTTTGGATATTGCCCCAATGAACATTTAAAACAAATCCCATAACCTGGCCCTCTGACTGTATTTGTGTGTGTGTGTGTGTGTGTGTGTGTGTGTGTGTGTGTGTGTGTGTTGTGGTGAGACAGTGTTGGGGATTGCGCATTTTAAGTGCTGTCTTATGTGGAAAAACACTTAAAGATGATGCTGTAGTTATTTCAGCGAAGTAGTCCTTGATGTTGTATTTGATATGATGCATTTTGTCAGTTGGTTTCTCAGTGTTAATGTCTCTACCAGATTAACTCATCAACTTTTAGAATACTAGCCACATTTAACTCTAATTAATTCTCAAATGAAAGATGACATATTTAATCAAGGGAAATACATCAATGACCATTTGAAAATACGTTTTTGAAAGTGACTTCGCCAATCAGATGGTATCTTGAAGAAATACTCTGTACAATGTAAACATGAAGTTGGCTTTTATCAGATGTAGATTATCTTCCTTATTCCTTGACCAGTGATGATTTGGGAAAGGGCATTGACTGCACCACAAAGGGAAGGCTCTTGCACAGGGCCAATGGGGGTGACTAATGCTCAAGTGCTGGGTGTGGTTTCTCTCTGTCTTGGGGTCCACCTCTCTTGAGAGCCTCCTCTTAATGGCCACTCAGTTGATAGCCTGTTTTCCAAGAACAATTTTGGGCTCAGAATTCTAGACCAGCTATCTCTGCTCTGGGCATGAGCAAATGTACTATTGCTCTGTTTTTCTCTTTGGCTGGTTCTGTATTAGTCTTCCTTTCTTAAGAGTGGGAGTACCTCATATTTGGTTGAGGGTATGGGAGGGAGTGGGCAAAGCAGACCATTTTTGTTGTTTTGGCTCCAGGTTTCATATACTTTCCTGACCCCTTGGCATAAGGAGTCTCTTGGTGGCCTACCACAGCTTATAGTGCTGGGCCACAGGCTTAGAGAAGTAGGGTGTTTACTTGATGGCCATTTCCCTCTGTGCACATATTTCCTTCCATGTATATGTACTTCTCAGACCCTGCATGGAGAAGAGACAGTTTGAGGACAGAATTTTGAATTAAGTTCCCATGACTAAGCCATGTTTTCATTTGTTTTTATGACCATAAATCTGTATCCCTTATTGATATAACTTATGTGTGCTTTAAAGGAACCTAGACCTTCAGGTATAGTTGAGTAAATAACTAAATTTTATTTATTTTCATATTATAAAATGCTGTATACATGGAAAAAATCAAACAATAAAAAATAAGTTAAAAGTGATTATTCTATTTGTAACCTAATGTTTCAATTGCCAGAGGTAATGCCTTTCAGTAGTTTCTAATGTATGTCTTCAACATTTTGTATGCATATACACCAAAGCATAATTTAGAGGCATACAAAAGAAATTAAAATATAATTATTTAAAAAATACATACCACAAATGAGATTAAGCAGTTGTGTAATCTGCTTTTTAAAATTTAGCAATATCTTAAAGATTGTTTCATAGCAGTACATAGAGAGCTACCTCAATCTTTTAATGGCTGCATTCTTTTCACAGCAGAGATGTACAATAATTTATTCAATGAATGGTTGATTATTTTTTTATTTTTTTATTATTATAATACTTTAAGTTTTAGGGTACATGTGCACAATGTGCAGGTTTGTTACATATGTATACATGTGCCATATTGGTGTGCTGCACCCATTAACTCGTCATTTAGCATTAGGTATATCTACTAATGCTATTCTTCGCCCCTCCCCCCACCCCACAACAGTCCCCAGAGTGTGATGTTCCCCTTCCTGTGTCCATGTGTTCTCATTGTTCAATTCCCACCTATGAGTGAGAACGTGTGGTGTTTGGTTTTTTGTCCTTGTGATAGTTTGGTGAGAATGATGGTTTCCAGCTTAATCCGTGTCCCTACAAAGGACATGAACTCATCATTTTTTATGGCTGCATAGTATTCCATGGTGTATATGTGGCACATTTTCTTAATCCAGTCTATCGTTGTTGGACATTTGGGTTGGTTCCAAGTCTTTGCTATTGTGAATAGTGCCACAATAAACATACGTGTGCATGTGTCTTTATAGCACCATGATTTATAGTCCTTTGGATATATATCCAGTAATGGGATGGCTGGGTCAAATGGTATTTCTAGTTCTAGATCCCTGAGGAATCGCCACACTGTCTTCCACAATGGTTGAACTAGTTTACAATCCCACCAACAGTGTCAAAGTGTTCCTATTTCTCCACATCCTCTCCAGCACCTGTTGTTTCCTGACTTTTTAATGATTGCCATTCTAACTGGTGTGAGATGGTATCTGATTGTGGTTTTGATTTGCATTTCTCTGATGGCCAGTGATGATGAGCATTTTTTCATGTGTTTTTTGGCTGCATAAATATCTTCTTTTGAGAAGTGTCTGTTCATGTCCTTCGCCCACTTTTTGATGGGGTTGTTTGTTTTTTTCTTGTAAATTTGTTTGAGTTCATTGTAGATTCTGGATATTAGCCCTTTGTCAGATGAGTAGGTTGCGAAAATTTTCTCCCATTTTGTAGGTTGCCTGTTCACTCTGATGGTAGTTTCTTTTGCTGTGCAGAGGCTCTTTAGTTTAATTAGATCCCATTTGTCAATTTTGGCTTTTGTTGCCATTGCTTTTGGTGTTTTAGACATGAAGTCCTTGCCCATGCCTATGTCCTGAATGGTATTGCCTAGGTTTTCTTCTAGGGTTTTTAGGGTTTTAGGTCTAATGTTTAAGTCTTTAATCCATCTTGAATTAATTTTTGTATAAGGTGTAAGGAAGGGATCCAGTTTCAGCTTTCTACATATGGCTAGTCAGTTTTCCCAGCACCATTTATTAAATAGGGAATCCTTTCCCCATTGCTTGTTTTTCTCAGGTTTGTCAAAGATCAGATGGTTGTAGATATGCGGCATTATTTCTGAGGGGCTCTGTTCTGTTCCATTGATCTATATCTCTGTTTTGGTACCAGTAGCATGCTGTTTTGGTTACTGTAGCCTTGTAGTATAGTTTGAAGTCAGGTAGTATGATGCCTCCAGCTTTGTTCAATTGGCTTAGGATTGACTTGGCGATGTGGGCTCTTTTTTAGTTCCATATGAACTTTAAAGTATTTTTTTCCAATTCTGTGAAGAAAGTCATTGGTAGCTTGATGGGGATGGCATTGAATCTATAAATTATCTTGGGCATTAGGCTATTTTCACGATATTGATTCTTCCTGCCCATGAGCATGGAATGTTCTTCCATTTCTTTGTATCCTCTTTTATTTCATTGAGCAGTGGTTTGTAGTTCTCCTTGAAGAGTTCCTTCATGTCCCTTGTAAGTTGGATTCCTAGGTATTTTATTCTCTTTGAAGCAATTGTGAATGGGAGTTCACTCATGATTTGGCTCTCTGTTTGTCTGTTATTGGTGTATAAGAATGCTTGTGATTTTTGTACATTGATTTTGTATCCTGAGACTTTGCTGAAGTTGCTTATCAGCTTAAGGAGATTTTCGGCTGAGACAACAGAGTTTTCTAGATATACAGACATGTCATTTGCGAACAGGGACAATTTGACTTCCTCTTTTCCTAATTGAATACCCTTTATTTCCTTCTCCTGCCTAATTGCCCTTGCCAGAACTTCCAAGACTATGTTGACTAGGAGTGGTGAGAGAGGGCATCCCTGTATTGTGCCAGTTTTCAAATGGAATGCTTCCAGTTTTTGCCCATTCAGTATGATATTGGCTGTGGGTTTGTCATAGATAGCTCTTATTATTTTGAGATAAGTCCCATCAATACCTAAATTATTGAGAGTTTTTAGCATGAAGGGATGTTGAATTTTGTCAAAGGCCTTTTCTGCATCTATTGCGATAATCATGTGGTTTTTCCCTTTGGTTCCGTTTAAATGCTGGATTACATTTATTGATTTGCATATGTTAAACCAGCCTTGCATCCCAGGGATGAAGCCCAGTTGATCATGTTGGATAAGCTTTTTGATGTGCTGCTGGATACAGTTTGCCAGTATTTTATTGAGGATTTTTGCATCGATGTTCATCAAGGATATTGGTCTAAAATTCTCTTTTTTGGTTGTGTCTCTGCCAGCGTTTGGTATCAGGATGATGCTGGCCTCATAAAATGAGTTAGGGAGGATTTCCTCTTTTTCTATTGATTGGAATAGTTTCATGAGAAATTGTACCAGCTCCTCCTTGTACCTCTGGTAGAATTCAGCTGTGAATCCATCTGGTCCTGGACTCTTTTTGGTTGGTAAGCTATTGATTATTGCCACAATTTCAGAGCCTGTTATTGGTCTATTCAGAGATTCAACTTCTTCCTGGTTTAGTCTTGGGATAGTGTATGTGTCGAGGAATTTATCCATTTCTTCTGGATTTTCTAGTTTATTTGGGTAGAGGTGTTTGTAGTATTCTCTGATGGTAGTTTGTATTTCTGTGGGATTGGTGGTGATATCCCCTTTATCATTTTTTATTGCATCTATTTGATTCTTCTCTCTTTTCTTTATTAGTCTTGCTAGCAGTCTATCAGTTTTGTTGTTCTTTTCAAAAAACCAGCTCCTGGATTCATTAATTTTTTGAAGGGTTTTTTTGTGTCTCTATTTCCTTCAGTTCTGCTCTGATTTTAGTTATTTCTTGCCTTCTGCTAGCTTTTGAATGTGTTTGCTCTTGCTTTTCTAGTTCTTTTAATTGTGATGTTAGGGTGTCAATTTTGGATCTTTCCTGCTTTCTCTTGTGGGCATTTAGTGCTATAAATTTCCCTCTGCACACTGCTTTGAATGTGTCCCAGAGATTGTGGTGTGTTGTGTCTTTGTTCTCATTGGTATCAAAGAACATCTTTATTTCTGCCTTCATTTTGTTATGTACCCAGTAGTCATTCAGGAGCAGGTTGTTGAGTTTCCATGTAGTTGAGCGGTTTTGAATGAGTTTCTTAATCCTGAGTTCTAGTTTGATTGCACTGTGGTCTGAGAGACAGTTTGTTATAATTTCTGTTCTTTTACATTTGCTGAGGAGAGCTTTACTTCCAACTATGTGGTCAATTTTGGAATAGGTGTAGTGTAGTGCTGAAAAAAATGTATATTCTGTTGATTTGGGGTGGAGAGTTCTTTAGATGTGTATTAGGTCTGCTTGGTGCAGAGCTGAGTTCAATTCCTGGGTGTTCTTGTTAATTTTCTGTCTCGTTGATCTGTCTAATGTTGACAGTGGGGTGTTAAAGTCTCCCAATATTATTGTGTGGGAGTCTAAGTCTCTTTGTAGGTCTGTAAGGACTTGCTTTATGAATCTGGGTGCTCCTGTTTTGGGTGCATATATATTTAGGATAGTTAGCTCTTCTTGTTGAATTGATCCCTTTACCATTATGTAATGGCCTTCTTTGTCTCTTTTGATCTTTGTTGGTTTAAAGTCTGTTTTATCTGAGACTAGGATTGCAACCCCTGCCTTTTTTTTTTTTTTTTCCATTTGCTTGGTAGATCTTCCTCCATCCCTTTATTTTGAGCCTATGAGTGTCTCTGCCTATGAGATGGGTTTCCTGAATACAGCACACTGATGGGTCTTGACTCTTTATCCAATTTGCCAGTCTGTTTCTTTTAATTGGAGCATTTAGCCCATTTACATTTAAAGTTAATATTGTTATGTGTGAATTTGATCCTGTCATTATGATGTTAGCTGGTTATTTTGCCTGTTAGTTGATGCAGTTTCTTCCTAGCTTTGATGGTCTTTACAATTTGGCATGTTTTTGCAGTGGCTGGTACTGGTTGTTCCTTTCCATGTTTAGTGCTTCCTTCAGGAGCTCTTTTAGGGCAGGCCTGGGTGGTGACAGAATCTCTCAGCATTTGCTTGTCTGTAAAGTATTTTATTTCTCCTTCACTTATGAAGCTTAGTTTGGCTGGATATGAAATTCTGGGTTGAAAATTCTTTTCTTGAAGAATGTTGAATATTGGCCCCCACTCTCTTCTGGCTTGTAGAGTTTCTGCTGAGAGATCTGCTGTTAGTCTGATGGGCTTCCCTTTGTGGGTAACCCGACCTTTCCCTCTGGCTGCCCTTAACATTTTTTCCTTCACTTCAACTTTGGTGAATCTGACAATTATGTGTCTTGGAGTTGCTCTTCTCAAGGAGTATCTTTGTGGCGTTCTCTGTATTTCCTGAATCTGAATGTTGGCCTGCCTTGCTAGATTGGGGAAGTTCTCCTGGATAATATCCTGCAGCATGTTTTCCAACTTGGTTCCATTCTCCCCGTCACTTTCAGGTACACCAATCAGACGTAAATTTGGTCTTTTCACATAGTCCCATATTTCTTGGAGGCTTTGTTTGTTTCTTTTTATTGTTTTTTCTCTAAACTTCCCTTCTCGCTTCATTTCATTCATTTCATCTTCCATCACTGATAGCCTTTCTTCCAGTTGATCGCATCGGCTCCTGAGGCTTCTGCATTCTTCACGTAGTCCTCGAGCCTTGGATTTGAGCTCCCTCAGTCCTTTAAGGACTGCTCTGCGGTTATTCTAGTTATACATTTGTCTAATTTTTTTCAAAGCTTTTAACTTCTTTGCCATTGATTTGAATTTTCTCCTGTAGCTCAGAGTAGTTTGATTGTCTGAGGCCTTCTTCTCTCAACTCATCAAAGTCATTCTCCGTCCAGCTTTGTTCTGTTGCTGGTGAGGAACTGCATTCCTTTGGAGGAGGAGAGGTGCTCTGCTTTTTAGAGTTTCCAGTTTTTCTGCTGTTTTTTCCCCATCTTTGTGGTTTTATGTACTTTTGGTCTTTGATGATGGTGACGTACAGATGGGTTTTTGGTGTAGATGTCCTTTCTGTTTGTTAGGTTTCCTTCTAACAGACAGGACTCTCAGCTGCAGGTCTGTTGGAGTTTGCTAGAGGTCCACTCCAGACCCTGTTTGCCTGGGTATCGGCAGTCGTGGCTGCAGAACAGTGGTGGCTGTAGAACAGAGCATTTTGGTGAACCGCAAATGCTGCTGCCTGATCGTTCCTCTGGAAGTGTTGTCTCAGAGGAGTACCCGGCCGTGTGAGGTGTCAGTCTGCCCCTACTGGGGGGTGCCTCCCAGTTAGGCTGCTCGGGGTTCAGAGACCCACTTGAGGAGGCAGTCTGCCTGTTCTCAGATGTCCAGCTGCGTGCTGGGAGAACCACTACTCTCTTCAAAGTTGTCAGACAGGGACATTTAAGTCTGCAGAGGTTACTGCTGTCTTTTTGTTTGTCTGTGCTCTGCCCCCAGAGTTGGAGCCTACAGAGGCCTCCCTGAGCTGTGGTGGGCTCCATCCAGTTCGAGCTTCCCGGCTGCTTTGTTTACCTAATCAAGCCTGGGCAATGGCAGGTGCCCCTCCCCCAGCCTTGCTGCTGCCTTGCAGTTTGATCTCAGACTGCTGTGCTAGCAATCAGTGAGACTCTGGGCGTAGGACCCTCCGAGCGAGGTGCGGGATATAATCTCCTGGTGTGCCATTTTTTTTTTTTTTTTTTTTTTTGAGACGGAGTCTCGCTGTCGCCCAGGCTGGAGTGCAGTGGCGCAATCTCGGCTCACTGCAGGCTCCGCCCACTGGGGTTCACGCCATTCTCCTGCCTCAGCCTCCCGAGTAGCTGGGACTACAGGCACCCGCCACCTCGCCCGGCTAATTTTTTGTATTTTTTTAGTAGAGACGGGGTTTCACCATGTTAGCCAGGATGGTCTCGATCTCCTGACCTCGTGATCCGCCCGCCTCGGCCTCCCAAAGTGCTGGGATTACAGGCGTGAGCCACCGCGCCCGGCCGTGTGCCATTTTTTAAGCCCGTTGAAAAAGTGCAGTATTAGAGTGGAGTGACCCGATTTTCCAGGTGCCATCTGTCACTCCTTTCTTTGACTAGGAAAGGGAACTCCCTGACCCCTTGCGCTTCCCGAGTGAGGCAATGCCTCGCCCTGCTTCGGCTCGCACATGGCGCGCTGCACCCACTGTCCTGCACCCACTGTCTGGCACTCCCTAGTGAGATGAACCTGGTACCTCAGATGGAAATGCAGAAATCACCCGTCTTCTGCATGGCTCATGCTCGGAGCTGTAGACTGGAGCTGTTCCTATTCGGCCATCTTGGCTCTACCCCCGAGTGGTTGATTACTTTAAAGATAATAAGTAGGTTATTGAACAGAGAATACTAAACTGAAGTTATTTCTCCCCGAGTAAAGATCTTTTTCAAACCTACCTCTCTTTTTTTTTCCTGGAAAATAAAATTTCAGCTCTACATTGTTGTTGGAAGTGTGAGTTTTGGAGATGCTAATATTAACATCAGTTGGAACAACAACAATGAAAAGAATTACAACAACAAAAGTTGTGGTTGGATAATATCATAAGGTATTAATCCATGTTTTGAGTATTTATTTCTTCTGTAGTATCCTGACAGACCCTCCTTTTAGACTGTTGTGTAGACAACTGCCACCTGCATCTGAAGCAGCCCCAAAGACCAGGAAATTTTTAAAGAGAGGCCAGTGGCTAAAATGACAGGGAGATTCAGAGAGGTTCTCTGAGCTCTCAGAAACTAGGTAATACTTGGGCTGGGGAAGAGAGAAAGGAGAGGCAAAAGAACTACTCATAAGAGAGGAAAGAATATGGGCAAAACTGGGGAGAGGAACAGAAGAGAACCACTCTGGGAGCTGAGTGAATGTGGACTCTGCTCTGAGTGAGCTCCTGTTCCCAGGACTCTCCCTGGTGTCTGGTTGTTTCTCTCCCCTTCCTTCTGTTCTTTATTTCCTGTGATCAGTCTTGGAAAGGAAAGTTGTTATTATTGCTGGGGAGCTGGGACATCCTAGGGTGGCCTTATCCCCTGACCAAAGCAGGACAAATGAAGTGGTTGGAAATATGCTGGTGAGCTAGCTCGGTAGTGGGCACACAGGTCTCATACTCAACACTGTAGTCAAAACACACAGAACACAGATGTGAACAAAGACGCTTTGAGAAATGAAGTTAGTATGGACAGCTCTTTTAAGTTTGCTATAAAGAGGAGCAGAGAAATGAGACTATTGGGTTAAAGGAAGGTGGTAATACACTATCAATCAAAATACAGCAATTCGTATATTTGAAGGCTGACTATGTGCAGATGTTGAGTTGAGCATTTTATATATATTATCTCAATTAACCATATGGGAGATAGGTAGCTAACTAGCTAGATTAGATTGCTGGGGAAAATAAAATTTTTCTAATTTCACAGATGAAGAAGTTGAGGAGGCTTGGGATTTTTATGAAGCCACTTGTCTAAGGTTTCACAGCTAGTTAAGGAGAGTCAATATCTGAATTCAGGCAATCTCACTCTAGAGCCCAGACTCTTAACCACTGAACCACTTCCCTTGATTAGTAGGAAAGTTTATATTATTAGGTTGATGCAAAAGTAATTGCAGTTTTTGCCATTACTTAAAAAAGGCAAAACCACAATTACTTTTGCACCAACCTTAGAAGAGTGTATACATTCTCTGACTGAGGATGGGTCAAAGATAGGTGTAAAAAGGAATGCAATTGAAGGAGAGTGCTGGAGTTGTCTAGACTATGCCGTCTTCATATTTTTTGAGAAAGATAAGCTAGCGAAGTCACCTTAAAGTCATCTAGGGCAAACAATACAATTCAACTGGTGGAACTGGATTTAGACGGGAGGTGAGAGGATGATAGAGCTCAGCGCAGAGGCCTATGAGCCTCAGATGCTGGGTAGTTTTGGAGAGAGCAATTTTGTTTGAACATGAATGTTTTGCTTGAAACCCTGACAAAAGATCTTGTTTTCCTTAAAGACTGGGGCCTCAAAGAAGAATCTTAAGATGTTCTTCATGACTATATTTTGCATTTGTAATTTGTTACTTATCTACTGCCTAGACTGAAAATACTTTTTTTTTTCACAGTAAAGTGACTTGTGCATATGAATGGGCCATTTGAAATATCAAAGTGAGCCCAAGGAGGCAGTGGTGCTAGTGATTGTTTGCCACCCCAGCATCCTTGTTTCCTTCTGCCAACAGCTCCAAGTTTCATTTAGGTGCCTCTCTCTACTTCCACCTGAGGCCTCAGACAATTATTTCCTTATAGTTCTGTGGCTACAGTGATTGGCTTAGCCGTGGACATGTGACCTAAGCTACTTTAAAAGAAATGTGTCAGAGTTTTTTTGGGCATGCTGGAACACAGATTTTTCTTTTGTCCATTGGGTTTGAACCTGGGAGGATTTAACCCTAACTGCTGCTGGCAACCTGCTGACCAGAGGGGACAGCCTGTGTAAAAAGGAAGTTTTCATATATGGGTAAGCAGAACCAGTTCTAGAAATAAAGAGTATTGGTTCTGTTTTCATTACTTTATTCCTTTTATCAAGCCATATCTGAGGCACGTCCTTCCCTGGACTTTGCTGTTAGAGGAGACAAAATTTTAACTTTTTACTTAGCTCACTTGTGATTGGGGTTTCTGTCATTTGCAACCAAAATAATCCTAGTTGATACATAGGGGAGAATAATTCTTTATTCATTGGACAAGGGGGAAGAAAAGATCAGTGATGAATGCTAGAGGCTTCCTTTTTGGGGCGTCTCTAAAAGCTTCAAAATAGAATATTATGATTAAAGTTGCCAAATAAACAGATAACTCTTAAACTTCTTATGAATAAATAACAAATAAGAGATGCCACTGTAAGCACTTGCTAAACTCATGATAAATCCCTGAAAAATAAATAGAATTCATAGTCTACGAATAGCAATGAGCTATAAACCACCCCATAGAGCAACTTACTCCATTCTTAGTTTCAGTACAATATTTTAGTCTGTGAATTATTCAAAGAGATACACAGGATTTTTATATGGCTTTAAAATTTTAGAAATATATTATCCTGGTTTTATTTATAATAGCCATTGGTCAATCTTCCATTTGTCAAATATAAAATAATTTATAGTGATAGACAAAAAGGATAAATTATTTTCTTAAAAAAATAAACTTTACAGTCAATTTTTAAAAAAACACTTATTTGTAGTTTTCTACTCATATTCATGTTGTTCAAAAATAGTGACTGCAATTTTGTCAACATTTTAAAGATTTTTTTTGCTCCAATTAGAATAATATTAATACTTTGACATTTATAAATCCTAAAAGCATTATTTTTTTCTTTGAAAAATTTAACCCATGTCAGCCTATCATTCTTAGAAAAGTATGGTAAGTGGAATAGAATGGAGAAAAATTGAGAAGGGTGGCCAATATTAATATTTTGTAACTAGAAAAAAATTATTAAACTGGTCTAAAAGTATTTGCCTGATATTCTACTTGGAGAATGGAATCTTAAGCTTCTTAATTCCTTGTGATGATGTGGAGTAAATTAAGAAATTATTACCTTGAGGTAGTATAGCCTGGACATGTTATTGTAAAAAAGGGAAAATAAATGCCTTTCTAATTGTTATGGGTTCATTTTAATAAAGTTTTACATTGTATATATTACATTAGAAAACTTATTTTTCCTCTCAATATCCCTAAACATATGTTTTGTTTTGTACAAAAATGAAGATATTTAAGTTTTTGTAGAGAAACCAGCCATAAATGAAGGAGGCCAGAAAGCATTAAAGATACTCCCTTTGGCTGTTTATTTCCATTACAGGTAAACAATTGTTTAATAGCATCTTCAAAAGCATATCTTTTCAGAAAACCAAATATTCTTCCTTCTAGTGTGTCTTTCTAAAAAAGTAGTATAGAAGGGAATGACCTTAGCAAAATATCTCTTTGTATTTGGGTGCTAACTTTCTTTCTGCATTTTAAAAGATAGGAACCTTAAAAAAAGCGCTTGTACTTTTCTGTGTGGACTGCAGTCATCATATGGTGAAGATGTTAAGAATATAATTTCTATTTATGGCAAGTATTTGTTTGTCTAGATTTTAGCAAACATATCTTTATAACACACATATATTTGTCTAGAATCCAAGTATCTAGACATCTTATGTAAGCAGATTCCCTTCCACTCCCTGCCTTTATGATAGAACCACGGCTGGGCAGTGGTTGAGCAGGATGAATGGAAATAGACTGGGGAAAGGAATCCAAGGTGGTCTACTATGTTTAGATAAAATAACTGGTCTTATTTATGGATATGAGGAAAAAACGTCTGCAGGTGATGAGACCAGCCCATCTAGAGGTCGAAAATTGCTCTTAGCTGTGCCATTATTTTATCCACTCATAGAACATAGCATTTTCCAGGCACTTTGTGTAGTGGAAGTGAATGTGTAGGTAGTATGGACTGAGAAGGCCCAATAGCAGCAGGTATTGGGAACTCAGTGATACAAAGACAAAGGTAGGGAGGGAAACCTAGCTATGGTGATGACCAGAATGTTCACATTCTTGTGAAGACTGCAAAGTCCTTGAAAGCAAGGAGGCAGGTTTAGTTGGTTTCTGTGATCTCTCTAACATAGTGCGATGCATAGTAGGTGATATGATTTGGCTGTGTCCCCACCCAAATTTTATCCCACAATTCTCACATGTCATGGCGGGGAGGAACCCCATGGGAGGTGATTAGATTATGGGTGTGGGTCTTTCCTGTGTTGTTCTTGTGATAGTGAATGAGTCTCACGAGATCTGATGGTTTTAAAAATGGGAATTTCCCCACACAAGCTCTCTTTGACTGCTGCCATCCATGTAATATGTGACTTGGTCCTCCTTGCCTTCTGCCATAATTGTGAGACCTCCTCAGCCATGTGGAACTGTAAGTCCATTAAACCTCTTTTTCTTTACAGTCTCAGTTATGTCTTTATCAGCAGTGTGAAAATGGACTAATACAATAGGTACTTGTTTTCTCATTTACTTTCTCATCTAGAGGGTGGAACAAGATGGTGAAATAGAAGCCTACACCATTTGTCCCCCACCATGGAGGGATACCAAATTGTAACAACTATCTGTACACAGTAAAGCACTGTCACAGAAAGCAAAAATCGGGTGAGCAATAACAGTACCTGGTTTTAACTTAATATCACTGGAAGAAGCAGTGAAGAGAGTTGGAGAGACAGTCCTGAATTGCCAACACCACTCCTTCCCCATCCCCCAGCAGCAGCCATGTCTCACTGGGCATCTGTGCCTTCTGGGGTGGGGCCAGGGGGAGAGCACAGCGATTGGGAAACTTTATTCTGAATTCAATGTTGCCCTGTCATAGTGGAGAGCAGAGCCATGCTGGGCTCAGCCAGTGCCTGTGCTTGGAGGAAACATTTGGACCAGCCCTAGCCAGAGAGGAATCACCCATCCTAGTGGCTGGAACTTGAGTTTTTCTCCAAGCCTCACCACTGTGGGCCAAAGTACTCTGGGGTCTTAGGTAAACTTGAAAGACAGTCTAGGGCACAAGGAAACTGCAGTTCCCAGGCAACTCCTAGCGGTGGGCTGGACTCAGAGCCAGAGAACCAGGGTAACACGTGACGTATGGAGAAACTGGCCTGGGTGGCTAAGGGAGTGCTTGTGCCACCCTTCCCCCAACTCCAGGCAGTACAGCTCTTACATCAAGGAAAGTGAATCCTTCCTTTTGCTTAAAGGAAATGACAGCAGAAAGTAAACAGTAAAGAGGACTTAGTCTTGCATCCTGCATACCAATTTGGCCACAGTAGCATAGGGCACCAGGCAGAGTGCTGAGGCCCCTATTCTAGGCCGTAGATCCCAGACGACATTTGCAGACACATCCTGGGATGAAAGGGAACTTGACACCTTGAAGAGAAGGACCCAGTCCTGGCAGGATTTATCACTTGCTGACTAAAGAGCCTATGGGCCCTTAAATATTTAGGAATTGATAAAAAAAAGTGACAGATCTCTATAATGAAAATGATAAAACACTGATGGAAGAAATTGAAGAGGATATCCCCAAATGGAAAGATATTCCATGTTCATAGATTGGAAAAATCAATATTGTTAAAAAGTCCATACTACCCAAAACTAATCTACAGGTTCAATGCAATTCCTATCAAAATACCAATGACATTCTTTACAGAAATAGAAAAATAATCCTAAAATTTATATGAAACAACAAAAGATCCAGAAAAGCCAACATTATCCTGAGCAAAAAGAACAAAATGGGAGGGATAATATTATCTGACTTCAAATCATATTGCAGGGCTATAGTAAACAAAACAGCATGGTACTGGAATAAAAACAGACACATAGGCCAATGGAACAGAATAGAGAACCTAGAAACAAGTCCACAAACCTACAGTGAACTTATTTTTGACCAAGCTGCCAAGAACATATACTGGGGAAAAGACAGTCTCTTCAATAAATGGTGCTGGGAAAACAGTATCAATATGTAGAAGAATGAAACTAGACCCCTACCTCTCACCATATACAAAAATCAAATCAAAATGGATAAAATACTTAAATCTAAGACCTCAAACTATAAAACTACTATAAGAAAACATTGGGGGAAACTCCAGGACATGGGACTGGGCAAAAACTTCCTGAGTAATATCCCACGAGCGTAGACAACCAAAGCAAAAATGGGCAAATGGGATCACATCAACTTAAAAAGCTTCTGCACAGCAAAGGAAACAACAAGGTGAAGAGATAACCCACAGACTTGGAGAAGGTATTTGTAAACTACCCATCTGACAAAAGATTCACAGTAGAATATATAAGGAGCTTAAGCAATTCTATAGGATAAAACTTTAATCTGATTAAAAAATGGACAAAAAATTTGAATAGACATTTCTCGAAAGAAGACATACAAATGTCAAACAGGCATATGATCATCTCACCTCAGAGGTTGGGAATGGTAGAGGGCATGGGGGGCATGGGGAGAAG
Organism: Homo sapiens; assembly: GCF_000001405.40. NCBI lineage: Eukaryota > Metazoa > Chordata > Mammalia > Primates > Hominidae > Homo > Homo sapiens. The sequence goes on from NC_000006.12 coordinate 74,020,293, forward strand.
ATGAAGATAGTTAATGGGTTTGTTAATTTTACAATTTTTCCCACCATCCTAACTGAACCCCTACAGTTATTTTTAAATGTATAATTAAATTATTATGGACTATAGTCACTCTGTTGTGCTATCAAATACTAGATCTTATTCTTTTTAACTATTTTTTTTCATCCCATTAACTATCTTCATCTCCCCATGCCCCCCATGCCCCCCATGCACTCTACCATTCCCAACCTCTGGTAAACATTCTTCTACTCTCTATCTCCATGAGTTCAATTGTTTTTATTTTTAGATCCCACAAATAAGTGGGAACGTGCAATGTTTGTATTTCCGTGCCTGCTTATTGCATTTAACATAATGACCTGCAGTTCCATCTAGGTCGTTGCAAACGACAAGATCTCATTCTTTTTTATGGCTAAATAGTACTCCATTGTATATAAGTGCCACATTTTCCTTATCCATTTTTCTGTTGATGGTCACTTACGTTGCCCATCACAGACATGCTGTGATGAGCATGTGGTGTTGCTTGAATGGGGTGTGAGCAGAGAGGCTTCCTAAAGTGATATTTAATCTGATTCCTGAAAGAAAGTATTGGTTAGGTCAAGAGGAGGTCTGCTTAGACAGAGACAGGATCATGCGTAAAGATACTGAGGTGGACAGGTAGCTCACCCTTGTGACAAACTGAAAGAAGCCTATATGGCCAGTAAGTGATGTGGAAAGTAAAATGAAGAGAAATTAGAGACTAGGAAGGAACCAGATTATGCAGAACCATGAAAGCTTCCTTCAAAATTATATAAATTAAGTTTCTTTTGCTTGAAAGTAATAGAAAACTGGCCGGGCGTGGTGGCTCATGCCTGTAATCCCAGTACTCTGGGAATCCGAGGTGGGCAGATCACGAGGTCAGGAGATCAAGACCATCCTGGCTAACATGGTGAAACCCCGTCTCTATTAAAAATAAAAAAAATTAGCCTGGCAAGGTGGCGGGCGCCTATAGTCCCAGCTACTCGGGAGGCTGAGGCAAGAGAATAGCATGAACCCGGGAAGCGGAGCTTGCAGTGAGCTGAGATAGCGCCACTGCACTCCAGCCTGGGCAACAGAGCGAGTCTCCGTCTCAAAATAAATAAATAAATAAATAAATAAAATAAATAAAATAAAGTAATAGAAAACAATTCTGTCTGGCTTAATAGGAAAAGGAGGAGTTATTGAAAGTATGATATTGGGTTGGCTTACAGATGAAAGAACAACCAATATGTAGGGCAGATTGGGTAGATCCAGGGATCTTTTATTCTTATTTATTTATTTTAAATTTCCACTTTCATTTTAGGTTTAGATGGTACATGTGCAGGTTTGTCTGCATGATGCTAGGGTTTGGGGTATGAATGACCCTGTCACCTGGGTAGTGAGCATAGTACCCAATAGGTAGTTTTTTTTTTAGCCCCTGCTCCCTTTCTTATCTCCCTCATCTAGTTGTCCCCAGCCTCGTTGCTCCTATTGTTTTTTTTTTTTTTTGAGACAGGGTCTCTCTCTGTCGCCCAGGCTGGAGTGCAGTGGTGCGATCTCAGCTCACTGCAACCTCTGCCTGCTGGGCTCAAGCAATCCTCCCACCTCAGTCCCGCAAGTTGCTGGGAATATAGGCACGAGCCACCATGCCTGGGTAATTTTTGTATTTTTTTGTAGAGATGGGGTTTCACCACATTGCCTAGGCTGGTATTGCTCTCATTTTTGTGTCCATATGTACCCAATATTTAGCTTCTACTTATAAGTGAGAATGTGTGATATTTGCTTTTCTGCTCCTGCATTAATCTCACTTTGGATAATGGCACCCAGTTGCATCCCTATTGCTGCAAAGGACATGATTTCATTCTTTTTTTTTAATGGGTTGCTAGTATTCCATAATATGTAGGTACAGATTTTCTTTATCCTATCCACTGTTGGGCACCTAGGCTGATTCTATGTATTTGCTATTGTGAATAGTGCTGCGATGAACATGCAAATGCTTGTGTCTTTTTTGTAGAATAATTTATTTTCCTTTGGATATATACCAGTAATGGGATTGCTGGGTCAAAAAGTAGTTCTGTTTAAAGTTCTTAGAGAAATCTCCAAACTGCTTTCCACAGTGGTTGTATATAAGCATTCCCTTTCTCTGCAGCCTCACTAGCATCTGATGTTTTTTGACTTTTTAATAATAGCAATTCTAACTGCTTTAAGGTGGTATCTCATTGTGGTTTTGATTTGCATATCTCTGATAATTAGTTATGAGTGTTTTTTTCGTATATTTGTTTGCCACTTGTGGTTTCTTTTGAGAAGTGTCACGTCCCTTGTCTGCTTTTCAATGAAGTTATTTGCTTTATGCTTGTTGATTTAAGTTTCTCATAAATTCTGAATGCTAGACCTTTGTTGCATGCATAGTTTGTAAATATTTTCTCCCATTCTGTAGGTTGTCTGTTTACCATGATGATAGTTTCTTTTGCTGTGCAGAAGCTCTTTGGTTTAATTAGGTCCCACTTGTCAATTTTTGTTTTTATTGCAGTTGCTTTTGAGGACTTAGCCATAGATCTTTGCTTAGTCTGATGTCGAGAAGGATATTTCCTAGGTTTTTTGTAGGATTCTTATAGTTTGAAGTCTTAAATTTAAACCTTATCCATCTTGAGTTAATTTTTTCATATGGTAAATGGTAGAGATCCAGTGTCAATCTTCTGCATATGGCTAGTCAGTTATTCCAGCACTTTTTATTGAATAGGCAGCCCCTTCCCCATGGTTTATTTTTGTCAATTTTGTTGAAGATCAGATGGTGTTAAGTTTGTGACTTTATTTCTGAGTTCTCTATTCTATTCCATTGGTATATGTATCTGTTTTCGTGTCAGTACAATGCTGTTTTGATTACTGTAGTCTTATAGTGTAGTTTGAAGAAGTCAGGTAATGTAATACCTGGGGCATTTTTTTTTCTTAGGATTGCTCTCCTATTTGGGCTCTTTTTTTGCTTCAACATGAATTCTGGAATAGTTTTTTCTAATTCTGTTAAATGACATTGGTAGTTTGATTGGTATAGTGTTGCATCTGTAGATTGCATTGAGCTCTATGGTTGTTTTAATGGTACTGACTCTTCCAATCTATAAGCATGTAATGTTTTTCCATTTGTTCATGTCACTTATAATTTCTTTCAGCAGTTGTTTTATAATTCTCCTTGTAGAGATCTTTCACCTCTTTCGTTAGATCATAGGTGGTTTATGATTTGGTGGTGATTGTAAATGGGATTGCATATTTGTCTTGTCTCTCAGCTTGAATGCTATTGGTATATGGAAATGCTACTGATTTTTGTACATTGATTTTGTATCCTGAAACTTTACTGAAATTGTTTATCAGTTCTAGCAGCCTCTTGGCAGAGTTTCTTGATTTTTTATGAATAAAATTATATCTTGAGTGAAGAGAAATAATTTGACTTTTTCTTTTCCTATTGAAATGCCTTTTATTTTTTTCTTTCGTCTGATTGTTCTTGCTAAGACTTCCAGTACTATGTTGAATAAGAGTTGGAAGAGTAAGCATCCTTGTCTTATTTTAGTTCTTAAGGAGAATACTTCCAGCTTTTGCCCATTTAGTATGATGTTTGCTGTGGGTGTGTCATAGATGGCTCCTATCATTTTGAGGTATGTTCCTTTGATGCTTTTTGGTGAGTTTTTGTCATGAAGGGGTGTTGGGTTTTTATCAAAAGCTTTTTCTGTGTCTATTGAGATGATCATATGTTTTTTGTTTTTAATTCTGTTTATGTAGTTAATCACAGTTATTGATTTGCCTGTATGGAACAAACCTTGTGTGATTTCAGGAATGAAGGCTACGTGATTATGGTAAATTAACTTTTTATGTGCTGCTGGATTTGGTTTGGTAGTATTTTGTTGAGGATTTTTTCATTTATGTTCATTAGGGATATTGACCTGTAGTTTTCATTTTTATTGTGTCTTTGCCAGGTTTTTGCTTCAGGGTGATGCTGGCTTTGTAGATGAGTTAGGGAGGATATCGTCTTTGTGTTTTTTTGGAATAGTTTCAAAAGAATTGATACCAGCTCTTCTTAGTACATCTGGTAGAATTTGGCTGTGAGTCCATCTGGTCCAGGGATTTTTTTGATTGGTAAGTTTTATAACTTACTTACTTTCATAACTTAGTATTGGTCAGATCAGGGTTTCAATTTCCTCCTGACTCAATCTTGGGATGTTGCCTTTCCAGGAATTTGTCCATTTCCTCTAGACTTTGTAGTTTGTGTGCATAGAGGTGTCATAATAATCTCTGAGGATCTTTTGTATCTCTGTAGAAATGGTTGTAATGTCACATTTGTAATTTCTGATTGTGCTTATTTGGATCTTTTTTCTTTGTTAATTTAGCTAGCAGTCTATTAATCTTGTTTATTTTTCAAAAAACCAACTGTTATTTGATACCTCATATAAATTTTTGGGTCTTAATTTTATTCAGTTCTGCTCTGATTTTAGTATTTCTTTTCTTCTGACAGTTTTAAGGTTAGTTTTTCTTGTTTTTCTAGCTCCTCTAGGTGTAATGTTAGATCATTAATTTGAGATCTTTCTATCTTGATGTAGGAGTTTAGTACTATAAACTTCTGAACACTGCTTTTGCTGCATCCCAGAGATTTTGATATGTGGTATCTCTGTTTTCATTTCTTTCAAATAATTTTTTAATTTATGACCTCATTTCATTGTTTCCTCAAAAGTCATTCAGGAGCAAGTTGTTTAATTGCCCTATAATTGTGTGGTTTTGAGAGATCTTGGTATTGATTTCTAGCTTTGTTCCACTCTGGTTTGAGAGTATGATTGGTATGATTCTGATTTGTTAAAAATCATTGAGACTTGCTTATAGCCAAGCACATGGTCAATCTTGGAAGATGTTCCATGTGCAGAGGACAAGAATGTATATTCAATGATTGACGAGTGGAGTATTCCATAGATGTCTATTAGTTCTGACTGGTCAAGTGGTGAGTTTAAGCCCAGAAACTCTTGGTTAGTTTTCTGCCTTGATGATCTGCCTAATGCTGTCAGTGGGGTATCGAAGTTTCCCACAACTATTATGTGGCTGTCCAAGTCTTTTCATGGACCTAGAAGTACTTGTGAATCTGGGTGCTCCAATGTTGGCTGTATATATATTTAGGATAGTTAAATCTTCTTGTTAAATTGATCCTTTTATTATTACATAATGCCCTTCTTTATCTTTTATTACTGCTGTTGGTTTCAAGTCTGTTTTATCTGATATAAGAATAGTGACCACCTCCAAGGATCTTGACTGCAAGATATTATATAGGTAGTACTTTCATTAAACATTATGACAAGCTATTCTTTTCCTAGGCCCTGTCCTTTGGAAGGTCCTGTTTTGTCCTTCCTTTAACTATACTCTTCCGCCTGGAGGAAGGGGTTCTTAGGGCCAAGTGTAAACGCCTACACAGAGCCTACATTCATCCTCTAGATCACACCGTGGTATTTGGAATTTGGTTTTCTCTGTTCTAAAATTCCCATCCCTACTTTTGGAGTTTGTATGTATCTCTTACTCCCCAGTATAGAATCTTCCATTCGAGTGAAAATCTTGGAAACATCCATTTGACGGGTTCTGTTTGGAGATAGGACATGAAAGCTAAGGTGATATCGATTGTCTACCACATTGTTTGGTGCATTTTAGGTACTCAAACACTGCTGATCAGTGAATAAACAGGACTCAGTCAGGGCAGATGTATTGGCATGCACACAAGGCCCTTAAAGAGTGATATGGAAACACCTGACAGAAAAAGAATTCACAGCCTGTAATCCCAGCACTTTGGGTGGCCAAGGCGGGTGGATCATGAGGTCAGGAGTTTGAGACCAGCGTGGCCAGCATGGTGAAGCCCTGTCTCTACTAAAAATACAAAAAATTAGCTGGGCATGGTGGTGCTTGCCTGTAGTACCAGCTACTTGGGAGGCTGAGGCAGGAGAATTGCTTGAACCCAGCAGGCGGAGGTTGCAGTGAGCTAAGATCACACCACTGCACTCCAGCCTGGGTGACAGAGTGAGATTCCATCTCAAAAAAAAAAAAAAAAGGTAGAATTCTGAATCATCTGGTTCAGAATTTTCAGGAACCTGAAAATTCTAAATTTGAATCTAGGCTTCCAGATTACTATGAAGGATAGCAGACAAAATATATTCTACTTAATGAGTTGTAAGCTTGGCTTATAACTTTTACATATTTCAACATGTTGCATGTTGGTTTCCATTCGTACTTTTTACCCTGGGCCCTGCAAGTATTACAAATAGGTCTGCTTGTGAACTTTTTCTAGGGCCCTTATGTTAAGTAGAGTCAGGAATTAACTATAGTTGCTGGTGTCTATGCCCTTTTCTTAAGTTTCAAACTCTCAGGAAGGAGAATCATTTCAAGGCAGGGCCACATGGAATAGACATAAAGAATAGGAAAAAATTCTGGAGGTTGAACAGCTACACTTATGGGTATGTGTTTTAGGAATTTAAACTTTATTCTAAGACTGGTGAAAAACACTGAGAGGTTTTAAGGAGGTAAGTGACATGGTTGGATCTGCTTTTTTTTTCTTAAGTTCTAGGGTACATGTGCACAACGTGCAGTTTTGTTACATATGTATATATGTGCCATATTGGTGTGCTGCACCCATTAACTCGTTATTTATATTAGGTATATCTCCTAATGGTATCCCTTCCCCCCACCCCATCCCATGACAGGCCCCAGTGTGTGATGTTCCTCGCCTTGCCTCCAAGTGTTCTCATTGTTCAATTTCCATCTATGAGTGAGAACATGCAGTGTTTGGTTTTCTGTCGTTGCAATAGTTTGCTCAGAATGATGATTTCCAGCTTCATCCATGTCCCTACAAAGGACATGAACTCATCATTTTTTATGGCTGCGTAGTATTCCATGGTGTATATGTGCCACACTTTCTTAATCCAGTCTATCATTTTTGGACATTTGGGTTGGTTCCAAGTCTTTGCTATTGTGAATAATGCCACAATAAACATACGTGTGCATGTGTCTTTATAGCAGCATAATTTATAATCTTTGGGTATATACCCAGTAATGGGATGGCTGGGTCAAATGGTATTTCTAGTTCTAGATCCCTGAGGAATCGCCACACTGACTTCCACAATGGTTGAACTAGTTTACAGTCCCACCAACAGTATAAAAGTGTTCCTATTTCTCCACATCCTCTCCAGCACGTATTGTTTCCTGACGTTTTAATGATCGCCATTCTAACTGGTGTGAGATGGTATCTCATTGTGGTTTTGATTTGCATTTCTCTGATGGCCAGTGATGATGAGCATTTTTTCGTGTGTGTGATGGCTGCATAAATGTCTTCTTTTGAGAAGTGTCTGTTCATATCCTTCACCCACTTTTTGAGGGGGTTGTTTGTTTTTTTCTTGTAAATTTATTTGAGTTCATTGTAGATTCTGGATATTAGCTCTTTGTCAGATGAGTAGGTTGCAAAAATTTTCTCCCATTCTGTAGGTTGCCTGTTCACTCTGTTGGTAGTTTCTTTTGCTGTGCAGAAGCTCTTTAGTTTAATTAGATTCCATTTGTCAGTTTTGACTTTTGTTGCCATTGCTTTTGGTGTTTTAGACATGAAGTCCTTGCCCACACCTATGTCCTGAATGTTATTGCCTAGGTTTTCTTCTAGGGTTTTTATGGTTTTAGGTCTAACATTTAAGTCCATCTTGAATTAATTTTTGTATAAGATGTAAGGAAGGGATCCAGTTTCAGCTTTCTACATATGGCTAGCCAGTTTTCCCAGCACCATTTATTAAATAGGGAATCCTTTCCCCATTGCTTGTTTTTGTCAGGTTTGTCAAGGATCAGATAGTTGTAGATATGTGGCATTATTTCTGAGGGCTGTGTTCTGTTCCATTGGTCTATATCTCTGTTTTGGTACCAGTACCATGCTGTTTTGGTTACTGTAGCCTTGTAGTATGGTTTGAAGTCAGGTAGCATGATGCCTCCAGCTTTGTTCTTTTGGCTGAGGATTGACTTGGCAATGTGGGCTCTTTTTTGGTTCCATAAGAACTTTAAAGTATTTTTTTCCAATTCTGTGAAGAAAGTCATTGGTAGCTTGATGGGGATGGCATTGAATCTATAAATTACCTTGGGCAGTATGGCCATTTTCACAATATTGATTCTTCCTACCCATGAGCATGGAATGTTCTTCCATTTGTTTGTATCCTCTTTTATTTCGTTGAGCAGTGGTTTGTAGTTCTCCTTGAAGAGGTCCTTCACATCCCTTGTAAGTTGGATTCCTAGGTATTTTATTCTCTTTGAAGCAATTGTGAATAGGAGTTCACTCATGATTTGGCTGTTTGTCTGTTACTGGTGTATAAGAATTCTTGGGATTTTTGTACATTGATTTTGTGTCCTGAGACTTTGCTGAAGTTGCTTATCAGCTTAAGAAGATTTTGGGCTGAGACAATGGGGTTTTCTAGATATACAATCATGTCATTTGCAAACAGGGACAATTTGACTTCCTGTTTTCCTAATTGAATACCCTTTATTTCCTTCTCCTGCCTAATTGCCCTTGCCAGAACTTCCAAGACTATGTTGAATAGGAGTGGTGAGAGAGGGTATCCCTGTATTGTGCCAGTTTTCAAATGGAATGCTTCCAGTTTTTGCCCATTCAGTATGATATTGGCTGTGGGTTTGTCATAGATAGCTCTTACTGTTTTGAGATACGTCCCATGAATACCTAATTTATTGAGAGTTTTTAGCATGAAGCATTGTTGAATTTTGTCAAAGGCCTTTTCTGCATCTATTGAGATAATCACATGGTTTTTGTCTTTGGTTCTGTTTATATGCTGGATGATGTTTATTGATCTGCGTATGTTGAAGCAGCCTCGCATTCCAGGGATGAAGCCCACTTGATCATGGTGGATAAGCTTTTTGATGTGCTGCTGGATTCGGTTTGCCAGTATTTTATTGAGGATTTTTGCATCGATGTTCATCACAGATATTGGTCTAAAGTTCTCTTTTTTGGTTGTGTCCCTGCCAGGCTTTGGTATGAGGATGATGCTGGCCTCATAAAATGAGTTAGAGAGGATTTCCTCTGTTTCTATTGATTGGAATGGTTTCAGAAGGAATGGTACCAGCTCCTCCTTGTACCTCTGGTAGAATTCAGCTGTGAATCCATCTGGTCCTGGTCTTTTTTTGGTTGGTAAGCTATTAATTATTGCCTCAATTTCAGAGCCTGTTATTGGTCTATTCAGAGATTCAACTTCTTCCTGGTTTGTTCTTGGGAGGGTGTATGTGTCGAGGAATTTATCCATTTCTTTTTTCAAGGTTTTTAACTTCTTTGCCATTGGTTCTAACTTCCTCCTTTAGCTCGGAGTAGTTGGATCCTCTGAAGCCTTCCTCTCTCAGTTCGTGAAAGTTGTTCTCCGTCCAGCTTTGTTCCATTGCTGGTGAGGAGCTGCATTCCTTTGGAGGAGGAGAGGCGCTCTAATTTTTAGAGTTTCTGGTTTTTCTGCTCTGTTTTTTTCCCCATCTTTGTGGTTTTATCTCTCTTTGATCTTTGATGATGGTGACATACAGATGGGTTTTTGGTGTGGATGTCCTTTCTGTTTGTTAGTTTTCCTTCTAACAGTCAGGACCCTCAGCTGCAGGTGTGTTGGAGTTTACTGGAGGTCCACTGCAGACCCTGTTTGCCTGGGTATCAGCAGCGGTGGCTGCAGAACAGTGGATATTGGTGAACCGCAAATGCTGCTGCCTGATCGTTCCTCTGGAAGTTTTGTCTCAGAGGAGGACCTGGCCGTGTGAGGTGTCAGTCTGCCCTTACTGGGGGGTGTCTCCCTGTTAGGCTACTTGGGGGTCAGGGACCCACTTGAGTTAGTCTGCCCATTTGCAGATCTCAAGCTGTTGCTGGGAGAACCACTACTGTCTTCAAAGCTGTCAGACAGGGACATTTATGTCTGCAGAGGTTATTGCTGTCTTTTGTTTATCTGTGCCCTGCCCCCAGAGGTGGAGTCTACAGAGGCAGGCAGGCCTCCTTGAGCTGTGGTGGGCTCCACCCAGTTTGAGCTTCTTGGCTGCTTTGTTTACCTACTCAAGCCTGGGCAATGGCGGGCACCCCTCCCCCAGCCTTGCTGCCACCTTGCAGTTTGATCTCAGACTGCTGTGCTAGCAATGAGCAAGGCTCTGTGGGCATAGGACCCTCCCAGCCTTGTGCGGGATATAATCTCCTGGTGTGCCGTTTGTTTAGCCCATTGGAAAAGCACAGTATTAGGGTGGGAGTGACCCGATTTTCCAGGTGCTGTCTGTCACCCCTTTCTTTGACTAGATAAGGGAATTCCCTGACCCCTTGCGCTTCCCGGGTGAGGCAATGCCTCACCCTACTTCGGCTCACTCACAGTGCGCTGCACCCACTGTCCTGTATGCACTATCCAGCACTCCCCAGTGAGATGAACCCGGTACCTCAGTTGGAAATGCAGAAATCACCCATCTTCTGCATTGCTCACACTGGGAGCTGTAGACAGGAGCTGTTCCTATTCGGCCATCTTGGCTCCACCCCACATTTAAGTCTTTAATCCATTTTGAATTAATTTTTGTATAAAGTGTAAGGAAGAGATCCAGTCTCAGCTTTCTACATATGGCTAGCCAGTTTTCCCAGCACCATTTATTAAATAGGGAATCCTTTCCCCATTGCTTGTTTTTGTCAGGTTTGTCAAAGATCAGATGGGTGTACATGTGTGGTGTTATTTCTGAGACCTCTGTTCTGTTCCATTGGTCTATATCTCTGTTTTGGTACCAGTAGCATGCTGTTTTGGTTACTGTAGCCTTGTAGTATAGTTTGAAGCCAGGTAGCATGATGCCTCCAGCTTTGTTCTTTTGGCTTATGATTGTCTTGGCAATGCAGGCCCTTTTTTGGTTCCATATGAACCTTAAATTAGTTTTTTCCTATTCTGTGAAGAAAGTCATTGGTAGCTTGATGGCAATGGCATTGATTCTATAAATTACCTTGGGCAGTATGGCCATTTTCACAATATTGATTCTTCCTACCCATGAGCATGGAATGTTCTTCCATCTGTTTGTATCCTTTTTTATTTCATTGAGCGGTGGTTTGTATTTCTCCTTGAAGAGGTCCTTCACGTCCCTTGTAAGTTGGATTCCTAGGTATTTTATTCTCTTTGAAGCAATTGTGAATAGGAGTTCACTCATGATTTGGCTCTCTGTTTGTCTGTTATTGGTGTATAGGAATGCTTGTGATTTTTGTACATTGATTTTGTGTCCTGAGACTTTGCTGAAGTTGCTTATCAGCTTAAGGAGATTTTGAGCTGAGAAAATGGGGTTTTCTAAATATACAATCATGTCACCTGCAAACAGGGACAATTTGACTTCCTGTTTTCCTAATTGAATACCCTTTATTTCTTTTTCTTGCCTGATTGCCCTGGCCAGAACTTCCAACACTATGTTGAAGAGGAGTGGTGAGAGAGGGCATCCCTGTCTTGTGCCAGTTTTCAAAGGGAATGCTTCCAGTTTTTGCCCATTCAGTATGACATTGGCTGTGAGATTGTCACAAGTAGCTCTTATTATTTTGAGACACATCCTGTCAATACCTAGTTTATTGAGAGTTTTTAGCATGAAGCGCTGTTGAATTTTGCCAAAGGCCTTTTCTGCATCTATTGGGATAATCACGTGTTTTTTGTCTTTGGTTCTGGTGATGTGATGGATTACGTTTATTGATTTGCATATATTGAACCAGCCTTGCATCCCAGGGATGAAGCCCACTTGATCATCATGGATAAGTTTTTGATGTGCTGCTGTATTCGATTTGCCAGTATTTTATTGAGGATTTTTGCATCGATGTTCATCAGGGATATTGGTCTAAAATTCTCTTTTTTGGTTGTGTGTCTGCCAGGCTTTGGTATCAGGATGATGCTGGCCTCATAAAATGAGTTAGGGAGGATTCCCTGTCTTTCTATTGATTGGGATAGTTTCAGAAGGAATGGTACCAACTCGTCTTTGTACTTCTGGTAGAATTCGGCTGTGAATCCATCTGGTTCTGGACTTTTTTTGGTTGGTAGGCTATTAATTATTGCCTCAATTTCGGAGCCTGTTATTGGTCTATTCAGAGATTCAACTTCTTCCTGGTTTAGTCTTGTATGTGTCCAGGAATTTATCCATTTCTTCTAGATTTTCTATTTTATTTGCATAGAGGTGTTTATAGTACTCTCTGATGGTAGTTTGTATTTCTGTGGGATCGGTGCTGATATCCCCTTTATCATTTTTTAGTGTGTCTATTTGATTCTTCTCTCTTTTCTTCTTTATTAGTCTTGCTAGTGGTCTATCAATTTTGTTGATCTTTCCAAAAAATCAGCTCCTGGATTCATTTATTTTTTAAAGGTTTTTTTGTGTCTCTATCTCCTTCAGTTCTGTTCTGATCTTTGTTATTTCGTGTCTTCTGCTAGCTTTTGAATGTGTTTGCTCTTGCTTCTCTAGTTCTTTTAATTTTGATGTTAGGGTGTCGATTTTAAATCTTTCCTGCTTTCTCTTGTGGGCCTTTAGTGCTATAAATTTCCCTCTACACACTGCTTTGAATGTGTCCCAGAGATTCTGGTATGTTGTGTCTTTGTTCTCATTGGTTTCAAAGAACATCTTTATTTCTGCCTTCATTTCGTTATGTACCCAGTAGTCATTCAGGAGCAGGTTGTTCAGTTTCCATGTAGTTGAGTGGTTTTGAGTGAGTTTCTTAATCCTGAGTTCTAATTTGATTGCACTGTGATCTGAGAGACAGTTTGTTGTGATTTCTGTTCTTTTACATTTGCTGAGGAGTGCTTTACTTCCAACTATGTGTTCAGTTTTGGAATAAGTGCGATGTGGTGCTGAGAACAATGTATATATTCTGTTGATTTTGGGTGCAGAGTTCTGTAGATGTCTATTAGGTCTGCTTGGTACAGAGCTGAGTTCAAGTCCTGGATATTCTTGTTAATCTTCTGTCTTGTTGATCTGTCTAATATTGACAGTGGGGTGTTAAAGTATCCCATTATTATTGTGTGGGTGTCTAAGTCTCTTTGTAGGTCTCTCCGGACTTGCTCTATGAATCTGGGTGCTCCTGTATTGGATGCATATATATTTAGGAAAGTTAGCTCTTCTTGTTGAATTGATCCCTTTACCATTATGTAATGGCCTTCTTTGTCTCTTTTGATCTTTGTTGGTTTAAAGTCTGTTTTATCTGAGACTGGGATTGCAACCCCTGCTGTTTTTTTTTTTCCATTTGCTTGGTAGATCTTCCTCCATCCCTTTATTTTGAGCCTATGTGTGTCTCTGCATGTGAGATGGGTTTCCTGAATACAGCACACTGATGGGTCTTGACTTTTATCCAATTTGCCAGTCTGTTTCTTTTAATTGGGGCATTTAGCCCATTGACATTTAAAGTTAATATTGTTATGTGTGGATTTGATCCTGTCATTATGATGTTAGCTGGTTATTTTGCTCGTTAGTTGATGCAGTTTCTTCCTAGCATCGATGGTCTTTACAATTTGGCATGTTTTTGCAGTGGCTGGTACTGGTTGTTCGTTTCCATGTTTAGTGCTTCCTTCAGGAGCTCTTGTAAGGCAGGCCTGGTGGTGACAAAATCTCTCAGCATTTGCTTGTCTGTAAAGTATTTTATTTCTCCTTCACTTATGAAGCTTAGTTTGGCTGGATATGAAATTCTGGGTTGAAAATTCTTTTCTTGAAGAATGTTGAATATCGGCCCCCACTTTCTTCTGGCTTGTCGAGTTTCTGCTGAGAGATCCACTGTTAGTCTGATGGGCTTCCATTTGTGGGTAACCCAACCTTTCTCTCTGGCTTCCCTTAGCATTTTTTCCTTTGTTTCAACCTTGGTGAATCTGACAATTATGTGTCTTGGGGTTGCTCTTCTGAAGGAGTATCTTTGTGGCATTCTCTGTATTCCCTGAATTTGAGTGTTGGCCTGCCTTGCTAGGTTGTGGAAGTTCTCCTGGATAATATCCTGAAGAGTGCTTTCCAACTTGGTTCCATTCTCCCTGTCACTTTCACGTACACCCGTCAAACGTACATTTGGTCTTTTCACATAGTCCCATATTTCTTGGAGGTTTTGTTCATTTTTTTTTCACTCTTTTTTCTCTAAACTTCTCTTCTTGCTTCATTTCATTAATTTGATCTTCAATCAGTGATATCCTTTCTTCCACTTGATTGAATAGGCTAGTGAAGCTTGTGCATGCATCACGTAGTTCTCGTGCCATTGTTTTCTGCTCCATCAGGTCATTTAAGGTCTTCTCTACACTGTTTATTCTTATTAGCCATTCGTCTAATCTTTTTTCAAGGTTTTTAGTTTCCTTGCGATGGATTCAAACATCCTCCTTTAGCTTGGAGAAGTTTGTTATTACCGACCTTCTGAAGCCTACTTCTGTCAACTTGTCAAAGTCATTCTCCATCCTGCTTTGTTCTGTTGCTGGTGAGGAGGTGTGATCCTTTGGAGGAGAAGTGGTGCTCTGGTTTTAAAATTTTCAGCTTTTTTGCTCTGGTTTCTCCCCATGTTTGTGGTTTTATCTGTCTTTGGTCTTTGATGATGGTGACCTACAGATGGGGTTTTGGTGTGGATTTTCTTTTTATTGATGTTGATGCTGTTCCTTTCTGTTTGTTAGTTTTCCTTCTAACAGTCAGGTCCCTCAGCTACAGGTCTGTTGGAGTTTGCTGGAGGTCCACTCCAGAACCTGTTTGCCTGGGTATCACCAGTGGAGTCTGCAGAACAGCAAAGATTGCAGAACAGCAAATATTGCTGCCTGATCCTTCCTCTGGAAGCTTTGTCTCAGAGGGGCACCCGGCTGTATGAGGTGTCAGTCGGCCCCTGCTGGGAGGTATCTCCAAGTTAGGCCACACGGGGTTCAGGGACCAAGTAGAGGAGGCAGTCTGTCCATTCTCAGAGCTCAGATGCCATGCTGGGAGAACCACTGCTCTCTTCAGAGCTATGAGACAGGGACGTTTAAGTCTGTAGAAGTTTCTGCTGCCTTCTGTTCAGCTATGCCCTTCCCCCAGAGGTTGAGTCTACAGAGGCAGGTGGGCCTCCTTGCACTGTGGTGGGCTCCACCCAGTTTGAGCTTCCAGGCTGCTTTGTTTACCTACTGAAGCCTCAGTAAAGGTGGACGCCCTTACCCCATCCAGGCTTGCCACCTTGCAGTTCCATCTGGCACTAGCAGTGAGCAACGCTCTGCAGGTGTGGGACCTGCTGATCCAGGTGCAGGATATAATCTCCTGGTGTGCCGTTTGCTAAGACCATTGGAAAAGTGCAGTGTTTAGGTGGCAACGTCCCAATTTTCCTGGTGTAGTCTGTCATGGCTTCCCTTGGCTAGGAAAGGGAAATCCCATGACCCCTTGTCCTTCCTGGGTGAAGCGATGCCCTGCCCTGCTTCAGCTTGCCCTCTGTGGGCTGCACCCACTTTCATACCAGTCCTAATGAGATGAACCACGTACCTCATTTGGAAATGCAGAAGTCACCCATCTTCTGCATTGATCACACTGGCAGCTGCAGACCAGAGCTGTTCTATTCGGCCATCTTGGAATGGACCCTGTTGGATCTGATTTTTTTAAAGGATTCTATTCACTTTTTTTTTTTTTTTTTTTTTGTGGAGAATGAAGTAGAAGGGGCCAAGAGTAGCTGTGGGGTCACCTAGGAAGTGCAGATAAGAGATGATGTTGGCTTAGAAAAGAGTCTTGGATGGTGACAGTAGTCATGGAAAGAAGTCAATGGATACATGTTTACAAGTAGAATCAATAAAACTTGCCAAATCATTAACTGTAGAGGGTGAAGAGGACAATGTCAGGGATTAACCCTAAATTTCTGGCTTGGGTAAGACTGACCTTATGATAATATGGAGAACTACATTCTCTTTTGAACCCATTCCAATTAAGAGTTTTGTCCCTACCATTTCAGCCAAATTTCCCTTATCAAGGTCGTCAGTGATTTTCCTGTAGTCAAATCTTCCAGGGTAAATATCAACTCTCATCTTACCCTCCTGTTAGAAGCATCAGACAGAGCTAGTCTTTCCATGAAACCCTTAGTTATGCTCTAGTGGAACCTTCCTTTCCAGGTTGCTTCATTCCACCAGGTGTTCCTTCTTAGCCTTATTTGTTGGATCTTTTACTTCTTTGCAACCTTCAAAGATTAGAGATGGTCCAAGGGTTGTCATTGGATCATTTCTCTTTATTTACTTTACTCTCTAGGTAAATGTATTTAGTCCCTGGCTTTAAATTCAACTGACCATTTCCAAATTTATTATTTATTTCCTGATTTCTCCCTTAGACCCCAGAGTTATAGCTTACTCTCACCCGTGCTCAAACCTGCCATTTTCACAGTCATCCCACCCCTTCCATGTATGACAACTCCATTCTCCATTTGCTCAAGCCAAAAAATTAGAAGACATCATTGATTCCTTTCTTTCAAATCCCATACCCAAATCATCAGAAATTCCTGATGGAATTTCTGCATGTTCACACATGCAGAATCCAACCACTTCTCATTGCCTCTTCTGTGATTACCCCAGTCCAAGCCAGCATCTCCTCCATCTGGATTATTGCAAACTAGAGTCTTGCTTTCACCCCTGTTCTAATGCAGCCAGTTTACCACACAGCAGCTAAAGTGGTCCTTCTGAAAAAGAAATGAAGTCAGTCATCATTCTACCTAAAGTCTGCATTGGCTTTCCATTTTATGCTTTGTAAAAATCAAAGTCCTTACCAAGACCTACTTGGCTCTATATTATTTGGCTGTCTGATACCTCTCTTAATGTTATATCTTCTTTTTTTTTCAGTGATTGTACATCATTTCTTTCCTTTTTAAAAATTTTACTTTAAGTCCTGAGATACATGTGCATAATGTGCAGGTTTGTTACATAGATATACATGTGCCATGGTGATTTGCTGCACCTATCTACCCATCATCTAGATTTTAAGCCCCGCATGCATTATGTATTTGTCCTAATGCTCTCCTTCCCCTTGCCCCCCACCTGCTGACAGGCCTTAGTGTTTGATGTTCCCCTCCCTGTGTCCATGTGTTCTCATTTTTCAACTCCCTCTTATGAGTGAGAACATGCAGTGTTTGGTTTTCTGTTCCTGTGTTAGTTTGCTAAGGATGATGGCTTCCAGCTTCATCCATGTCCTTGCAAAGGACATAAACTTATTGTTTCTTATGGCTGCATAGTATTCCAAAATGGGAGTTTCTCTCCACAAGCTCTTTCTTTGCCTGCCACCATCCTTCGAAGTTGTGACTTTCTCCTCTTTTCCTTCTGCCATGATTGTGAGGCTTCCCCAGCCACATGGAACTGTAAGTTCTCCATTAAACCTCTTTCCTTGCAAATTGCCCATTATCAGCAGCATGAAAATGGACTAATACATTAAATTGATACCAGTAGACTGGGGTGTTGCCGAAAAGATACCTGAAAACGTGTAAATGACTTTGGAACTGGATAACAGGCAAAGGTTGGAACAGATTGGAGGGCTCAGAAGAAGACATGAAAATGTGGGAAAATTTGGAACTTCCTGTAGACTTGTTGAATGGCTTTGCCCACAGTGCTGATAGTGGTATGGACAATAAATAAAGTTCAGGCTGAGGTGGTCTCAGATGGAAGTGAGGAACTTCTTGGGAACCGGAGCAAAGGTAACTCTTGTTATGTTTTAGCAGAGACTGGCAGCATTTTGCCCCTACCCTAGAGATTTGTAGAGCTTTGAACTTGAGAGAGATGATTTAGGATATCTAGTGGAAGAAGTTTCTGAGCAACAAAGCATTCAAGAGTTGACTTAGGTGCTGTTAAAGGCATTTAGTTTAAAAAGGGAAACAGCATAAATGTTTGGAAAATTTGCAGCCTGATAAAGCAATAGAAAAGAAAATCCCATTTTCTGGAGAAATTCAAGCCGGCTGCAGAAATTTGCATAAGTAATGAGGAGCTGAATGTTAATCCCCATGACCATAGGGAAAATTTCTCCAGGCCATGTCAGAGGTCTTCATGGCAGCCCCTCCCATCACAGGCTGGGAGATCTTGGAGGAAAAACTGGTTTTGTGGGTTGGGCCCAATGTTCCCATGCTGTGTGCAGCCTAGGACTTGGTGCCCTGTGTCCCAGCTGCTCCAGCTATATCTGAAAGGGGCCAACATAGAGCTTTGGCCATGGCTTCAGAGGGAGCTTCCATGGTGTTGAGGCAGCTACCATGTGGTGTGGAGCCTGTGAGTGCACAGAAGTCAAGAATTGAGGTTTGGAAACCTCCACCTAGATTTCAGAAGATGTATGGAAATGCCTTGATGCCCAGGCAGAAGTTTGTGGTAGGGGTGGGGTCCTCATGAAGAACCTCTGCTAGGACAGTGGAGAAGGGAAATGTGGGCTGCAAGCCCTGATACAGAGTCCCTGCTGGGGCACTGCCTAGTGGAGCTGTGAGAAGAGGGTTACCATCCTCCAGACCCCAGAATGGTAGATCCACTTACAGCTTGCACCGTGTGCCTGGAAAAGCTGCAGACACTCAATGCCAGCCTGTGACGACAGCTGGGAGGGAGGCTGTACCCTGCAAAACCACAGGGGCAGAGCTGCCCAAGGCTGTAGGTACCTACCTTTTGCATCAGTGTGACCTGGATATGAGACATGGAGTCAAAGGAGATCATTTTGGAGCTTTAAGATTTGACTGCCCTGCTGGATTTCAGACTTGCATGGGGTCTGTAGCCCCTTTGTTTTGGCCAATTTCTCCCATTTGGAATGGCTGTATTTACCCAAGTAACTAACTTGCTTTTGATTTTACAGGCTCATAGGTAGAAGGGGCTTGCCTTGTCTCAGATGAGACTTTGAACTGTGGACTTTGAGTTAATGCTGAAACGATTTGAGACTTGGGGGACTGTTTGGAAGGTATGATTGATTTTGAAATGTGAAGATATAAAATTTGGGAGGGGCCAGGGGCAGAATGAATAGTTTCACTCTGTGTTCCCACCAAAATCTCATCTTGTAGCTCCCATAACTTCCACTTGTTGTGGAAGAGATCTGGTGAGACATGATTGAATCATGGGGGTGGGTCTTTCCATGCTGTTCTTGTGATAGTGAATGGGTCTCATGAGACCTGATGGTTTTAAAAATGGGAGTTTCTCTGCACAAGTTCTCTCTTTGCCTGCTTCCATCCTTGTAAGATGTGACTTGCTTCTCCTTGCCTTCCAACATGATTGTGAGGCTTCCCCAGCCGTGTGGAACTGTGAGCTCTCCATTAAAGCTCTTTCCTCTGTAATTGCCCAGTCTCATGTATGTCTTTATCAGCAGTGTGAAAATGGACTAATACAGTTGGTTTAAAGTCTGTTTTGCCAGATACTAGGATTGCAACCTCTGCTTTTTTTTTTTTTTTTTTTTTTTTTGCTTCCCATTTGCTTGGTAAATTTTCCTCCATCCCTTTATTTTGAGCCTATGTGTGTCTTGGCATGTGAGATGGGTCTCTCTAATGCAGCAAACTGATGGGTCTTGACTGATGGGCAAAATGACCCAATTTGCCATTCTGTGTCTTTTAATTGGGGTTATTTAGCCCATTTACATTTAAGGTTAATATTGTTATGTGTGAGTTGACCCTGTCATCATGATGCTAGCTAGCTATTTTGCACACTAGTTAATGCCATTTCTTCATATTGTCATTGGTCTTTATATTTTCATGTGTTTTGCAGTGGCTGGTACTGGTTTTTCCTTTCCATATTTAGTGCTTCCTTCAGGAGCTCTTGCAAGGCAGGGCTGGTGGTGACAAATTCCCTTGGCATTTACTTGTCTGAAAAGGATTTTATTTCTCCTTTATTTATGAAACTTAGTTTGTCTGAATATGAAATTCTGGGTTGAAAATTCCTTTATTTAAGAATGTTGAATATTGGCCCCTACTCTCTTCTGGCTTGTAGAGTTTCTCCTGAGAGATCTACTGTTAGTCTGCTGGGCTTCCCTCTGTAGGTGACCTGACCTTTCTTTCTGGCTGTCCTTAACATTTTCTTCCTTCATTTCAATCTTGTAGAATCTGATGATTATGTGTGTTGGTGTTGATCTTTTCATGGAGTATTTTAGTGGGGTTCTCTGTATTTCCTGAATTTGAATGTTGGTCTGTATTGCTAGGTTGGGGAAATTCTCCTGGATAATATCCTGAAGTGTTTTTTCCATGTTGGTTCCATTCTCCCTATCTCTTTCAGGTACTCCAATCAGTTGTAGGTTTGGTTTTTTTACATAGTCTCATATTTTTGGAGGTGTTGTTCATTCCTTTTCACTCTTTTTTTTTCTAATATTGTCTGCCTACCTTATTTCAGTAAGATAGTCTTATATCTGTAATATTCTTTCTTCTGCTTGATCAATTTGGCTATTGATACCTATGTATGCTTAACAAAGTTCTGGTGCTGTTTTTCAGCTCCATCAGGTCATTTATGTTCCTCTCTAGACTGTTTATCCTAGTTAGCAGTTCCTGTAACCTTTTATCAAGGTTCTTAGCTTCTTTGCATTGGGTTAGAACATGCTCCTTGACCTCAGCAAAGTTTGTTATTACCCACCTTCTGAAGCCTACTTCTGTCAATTCGTCTGTCTCATCCTCCATCCAGTTCTGTGTCCTTGCTGGAGAGGTGTTGTGATTATTTGGAGGAGAAGAAGCACTCTGGCCTTTTTGGTTTGCAGTGTTTTTTTCATTGATTCTTTATGATCTTCATGAGTTTGTCTAGTTTTAATCTTTGAGGATGCTGACCCTTGGATGAGGTTTTAGTGGGGACTTTTTTTTTGTTGATGTTGTTGTTGCTTTCTGTTAGTTTGTTTTTCTTTCAATAGTCACGTCCCTCTTTGTAGGGCTGATGCGGTTTGTTGGGAGTTCACTTCAGGCCCTATTCACCTGGTTTGCTCCTGCACCTGGAGATGTCACTCAAGGAGGCTGGAGAACAGCAAAAGATGGGTGCCTTCTCCTTCCTCTGGGATCTCTGACCTTGAGGGGCACTGACCTGATGCCAGTAAGAACACTCCTGTATAGGATGTCTGAGCACACTCCTTGTTGGGGTGTGTGCTCACCCAGTTGGGTGGCACAGGAAGCAGGACCCATTTAACAAGGCATTTTGACTGTTCCTTGGTGGAGGGGGTGTGCTGCATTAGGGGGAAACCCCCTTGTCTGGTCTGCCAGGATTTCTCAGAGCTTGTAGGAGGAAAGACCAAGTCTGCTGGTCTGCAAAGTCTACAGCCACCCCTCGCTGTAGGGGCTCAGGCCCAGAGAGACCAGAGTTCTGTCCTTGAGCCCCTGACTTGAGTTGGAATTCCTGCAGGGAGTCCCTGCAGCTGCAGTGTTGGCTGCTGCCCCTCCCCCAAGGAGCCCTGATGGCTTAGACAGCAGGCAGCCACAGCAGTGGTGATGGCCACCCCTCCCCCTGGGAACTCAGCAGGCTTAGGCCAATTCTAGCCAAGTGGGTGTTGGGAATCTGTGCAGCTCCATGGTTGGGGCACAAGGCCCCAGTGGTGTGGGCTCCCGAGTGGGATCTTCCAATCCGTGGGTTGCACAGTTCCATGGAAAAAGCATAGTTTCCCAGGCTGGGTAGCACAGTCTCTTGGCTGGGAGTGGGGGCCCTACCCCGTATGGCTCTCAGTTGTGCTGTTGCACCATACCGCTCTTCCTTCTGTGTGTCATCCAGCCGCCTAGTCAGTCCTAATGACAGAATCTGGATACCTTGGTTGCTGGTGCAGTATTCACACACTGTTTTCGATCTTTTTGATGGGATCCCCTGATCGCCGCTTTTTCTAGTTTGATGGGAGCCCCTGATCGCCGCTTGCTTCAGACCAAGTCCCATTACCTATTTATTTCTTGAGCTTATTGTTACTTGTTTCTTCTTTGCCTTTGCCATACTTATACAGTATTGTTGAGTTTTTTTCTTCCTAATTTGAAACTTTACATAACAGAGGGATTTAATTCCCTCTGACAATATTTTCTTTTTGATCCATGTCTTTCGGTTTTTTATTCCCCCTTCTGATATGAATAATTCATCTATTTTGAAATAGTTTACTAATATAAAAACAAATATTTATTTTTAAAATCCAAAGTATCAATAAAGTAAATGATTCAAACAAAAACTTAAATTTCCTATGATAGTTTGTGTCCATAAATTTTCTTGGGCAGTCCTGTTTTTAATGTAGAGATGCTCCTGGACTTTTTGCACATGTTTCTTGTGCCTGAAATATACTTCTTTACTTGCTTAATACCTTTTCTCTTTCAAACTCTCTAGATTGATGGTATCATTATTTATCTTTTCTCTAGACTTTGACTTTTCTGCTTTTTTGCAGCTTTGAGAGTGTGACTATCAATTTATGCTTGCCTAGATTAAAAATTTTAAAGGCTAGAGTAGAGAAAAAATCCAGGAAGGTCTTATCTATTTTAAATACAATCTGAATATGTTTCCATTAGAAATAATTTAGTACAGTTCATATTTGCTTGAGCTGGTCCCTGGTATTATTGCTGACATTGACATTCACTAAACTCCTTAACAAAAGTCAGACATATTCAAAGTAGCATTGGTAAAAAGGGTATGTGGAAAGCTGGTGAGAAGATTTAGAGCTTCTGATGGAATCTCCCAGTCTATGTTTCTTTCTCCACATTCAGATTAGTTTTTAGTATGAATGATGTTTAAATTTCTCAGTAATACTTTAAAGCATCCCTTAAGTTAACTTTTGGAATTTATTCTTTTTCCCTCTAACTTGAGTTTTTCCTTCAGACTTGATGATAGGTTATTTGCTAATATATTGGAGCTTTGTAATTTGCATGACATTGTTTTCTCCAAATATTCATCCATATACCCCTCTTCATGACCAACTCCATTTTTTATCCCTGAGTTCTAGTCCCTCCCCTGAAGAAAAACAAGATGAAAATGGTGCTTTTCAATATATTACTGAATATTTTTAGGCCTGTGTGGGTTAGTAGAGCCTGCATTAATGTGCAGTTGAAACTTTAGAGATTACTTTTTCCCCTAATAGGTCAAATAAATGAAAAGTTACAGCCCAAAACACAGTCTTTTTTCCCCCATTTGGTCCCATTGTGACAATGAGAGAGTAAAAATTTTAAGGCTTAAAAAGGGTCACACATTTCCTGCAGGGACTGGAGTGTAGGAGTAAAACCGTGTTAACTGATTTCCTTCCAACAAACATTTTGTGCACCTTTCTCAAGTGCCAGCTTCTTTTGTGAGTTGAATTTGGGGAGAAGAACTCTGTATCTGAGGTTCTCAGCTCAGTCCTGTCTGCTGGATTTCTTCCTTCAGGTCACCACTACTAGCATGGACTACGGACAGCCTGCTCACCACAGCAGGGGCTTGAAGAATAGGAAGTTCACACTATGAATGTAATCCATATGTGTTTATTCTGTAGAAATATTGGTATTATACTTCAAGTACCTTATTGATAACATAGTTTTTGGTTTATTTTATTAGAGAAATGTTCTGAATACTTATTTGCAGTAGATTAAGAAAATTTTCATTATAATTTTCAATTGACATCTATGTGTTGTTAAAGAACAGAAAACATTTGTACTCTGAGCTCATCTGTTTTCTTAATAATATGGGTACTCTTTCATCAGGGGAACTCAGAGGAATGGACCGTTACATAAAGACTAAGAAAAAAATGGCAGAATACATATCTCGTATTGTTTTTTTTTGAGATAAAGATTATTTAGAGGGGAGCTTCTAAAGTCACTGACAAAATAAATTTTCTTAAAGGCCAGCTCCATTTTTTTCTGTCATCAGATGAAGTTTGAAACACTTCATTTCCAAATGATTTGCTTTCTTAGTAGTTTAATGTCTAATTAAATGTCTACATTTTTTAATTTAAATAAGGGTGAAGTTCTACTTTTGAATTTCCATTCCAGAACATAGAGAGTTCTTGACTAGAAATTATAAATCTATAGCTCTCAGGTTTTTCTTTCTGTTTCTTTTTCCCTCTGTTTGTAAATTATTATCTTCTCTTTTTGTGTTCCTCCTTCTACTTTATTTCTTTAGGATAAACATTCTTCAGTCCACTATCTTCAGGCTATAACCATACCAACTATAATCTCCTATGTAATCTTTCTTATGCCCTCAATTCAAAATACATTTCTTTTATTTCCTTCTCTTTCTTTTCTTTATCCTTCCTATATGGTAATTATTAAACTTAGAAATTTTCCATAAAACAAACATTATTGCCAGTAACTGTTATTGACTAAATGGACAAAAGGTTAACACACGATTATTTTAATGTCTTTGTTTCCAAGAACATCCTTTATATGATTTTTAATTTAGTGAATTCTTTTTCTTAAGGAAGTGTGTTCTCAGTAGTGTTCAGTAAGATATTATCAATCATTAACACACCGCTTATCTGTTACCTAACACAAATGTGAGGGTATTGATTAATTTTGGAGAGAGAAAAATTCAGACATTAGAGCATGTGGCATCAGAGCAAATGTGATGAAGGCAAAGCTGGAAGAAACATTGAAGTAAGATAAGGACACTAGGAGGATGGAAAAGTGAGATTACATTTTTATATGGGAGGATTCTTCAGAATGAAATATCAGAATAAAACAAAGTTTAGTGGGAGTAATGTGCTGTCTCCAAATTCTGACTCAGCCTGACTCATACTCAACTTTTTGACTCTTAGGACCTGTCCTTTGACCAGTAACCATTCAGCTGAGACATAAAGCAGCTGGATCTTATGTTTGGAGTTTGGTGGCCTGGAAATTTTAAATGATAAACAGCCAAACGGGGTTTAGCACAAAATAAATAAGATGCATCTTAAATTAGACTTGAAATATTTAAGTGAATGGACTCTAATAACCTTTCTAATTAGCCTTGATAAAGTCTTGGGAAATTGATTTCAGTCCAACAGAGAAAAATACTACAATGTTGGATCATTCAAGGCTGTGGTTTACTGGTCTACATAATTAGTAAATTTTATAAAAATTGAATATTGTTTTGATGACTAAATTGAAAGATTTATAAGACAATATCAGTATTTGCAAATATATGTAAAAATGCTATAAGAGCGAATAGAGCTTGAAGACTTGATGTAATTTATATAATTTTATTCTTTTTTTTTTTTTTGAGATGGAGTCTTGCTCTGTTGCCCAGGCTGGAGTGCAGTGGTGCAATCTCGGCTCACTGCAACCTCCGCCTCCCGGGTTCAAGCAATTCTCCTGCTTCAGCCTCCTGGGTAGCTGGGATTACAGGCATATACCACAATGCCCGGCTAAGTTTTTGTATTTTTAGTAGAGACAGGGTTTCACCATGTTGGCCAGGCTGGTCTTGAACTCCTAACCTCAAGTGATCCGCCTGCCTTGGCCTCTCAAAGTGCTGGGATTACAGGCGTGAGCCACCATGCCCAGCCTATAATTTTAGTCTTATAATTATATAATAATAAACTATAAATGTAGGGAGGTAGGGATTCTAATGTGCACCATCCCTGGTACAGTGCCTAACATGTACAACAGAAATACTTCTGGGTATGATAAAGACCTGGCAAAGTGTTTATTGTAATTCATGGTGGTTTTTTATTTTTTATTTTTATTTTTGAGACGGAGTCTAGCTGTCGCCCAGGCTGGAGTGCAGTGGTGTCATCTCGGCTCACTGCAAGCTCCGCCTCCCAGGTTCACGCCATTCTCCTGCCTCAGCCTCCCGAGTAGCTGGGACTACAGGCGCCCGCCACCATGCCTGGCTAATTTTTTTGTATATTTTTAGTAGAGACGGGGTTTCACCATGTTAGCCAGGATGGTCTCGATCTCCTGACCTTGTGATCCGCCCGCCTCGGCCTTCCAAAGTGCTGGGATTACAGGCATGAGCCACCGCGCCCGGCCGGTTTTTTTTTTTTTTTTTTAATCATGAAAGCAGATAAAAATTCCTTGAAGTATGCGATGGTTAAGTTTTCTTTATTTGCTTGAAACATTATTGCCTTGTTTATTTCTCCTTTGCCCTTGCATCTAATCAGTTAAGAATGTCTGGCAATTCTTTTACTTGCCCTCTCATACACATTCCTTTTCTTCCATCCCCACTGCTGCTGCCTGTTAGTTCAGTCTTTCCTTAACTTGCATTTCTTTCTGGGGATTATTGCTATAGCATCTCCCTGTATCTAGGCTTTCCTCATGCTTCATGTCTTCATTAAAAGATGGTATTTCCAGTCACTTTATTTTAGCCATGGTAGTAGGTATAAGATGGTATCTCACTGTGGTTTTAACTTGAGTTTCTCAAACCATTAGTGAGCTTGGATACCGTTTTTGCATTTATTGGCCATTTGGATATCCTCTTTGTGAAATGCCTTTGAAACCTCTTGTGCATTTTTCTATTAGGTTGTCTGTCTTATTCTTTTTACTTTATAATAGCTTTTCATATATTAGGGATAGAAGCCCCTTGTTAATTGTGTGTGTGGTGAGGATCCTCTGTCAGTCTGTGCCTTACTTTTTCACTGTCTTAATGGTGCCTGTTGATGAGCAAAATTTACTAATATTCATGTTGTTCAATTTATCAATGTTTTCCTTCATGATGACCACGTTCTATGTCCTGATTAAAAAATTATTTCTTACCCAAAAGTTATAAGAATAATCTCGTATATTATCTCCTATAAACTTTGTTGCTATTTTTTTCAGTTGATTCATAATCTATATGAAATTGATTATTGTTATGGGATAAGGTAGGAGTTAAATTTTACTTTTTTCATATAGATGTCAGATTGCCACAATAAAATTCATGCAAAAGGCTTTATGTACCGACTGCTCTGCTGTACCACCTTTAACATAAATAGTGTTATGTTGGTCTTTTTCATGACTTTCTATTCTGTTCCATTGGCCTGCTTTGTAAAACTACGCCAAAGCTATGCTGTTCTTGTTGATTTTCTTGGAAAGAAAAAAACGTACACTGAGTATGGATTTAACTCAAGAAAACACCAGGTGGTACAATACATAGACATTTTATGTATATTTTATATATGTCACATTTATTGAGGTATAATTTACAGACAGTAAATACATATTCATATATATGAACATATGCAGTATGTCATAATGTATGTCATATACAGAGGTATAATTTACATACAGTAAATTTACTCTTTTTAGATATAGAGTTCTGTGAAGTTTGAAAAGTGCATACAGCCATGGATCTACCACCATAATCAAGATGTAGAACATTTTCAACACCTCAAGAGTTCCCTTAGGCCCCTTATAGTCAGTCCCCCTTCCTGCTCTCAGCCCCTGGCAAGCACTGGTCTGTTTTCTGTTCCTATTATTTTCACTCTCTTAATGGTTTATTTTGTAGAGCAGATATTTTTAATTCGGATGAAGTCCAATTTATCATTTTTCTTTATGAATCATACTTTTGGTGTTGCATCTGAGAAATTTTTGTCCAATGTCCAAAATTTTTTCTCCTATTGCTTTATTATTTTAGGTTTTACATTTAAGTCTATACTCATTTTGAGTGTCAGGTTCTTTTTTCATACAGATATTCAATTGTTCAAGTACCATTCATTGACAGTATATGTAGGTCTTTCCTTTATCTATTTGTCTTCCCATACACTTTTAAAAGTCAGCTTGTCAATTTTTGTAAAGAACTCCTGCTGTGATTTGACTGGAATTGTATTGACTCTATGGATGAGTTTAGTGAGAATTGACATTTTCACAAGATTGAGTCTTCCAAACCACAAACCAGCATATCTCTGTATTCATTTAGATCACTAATTTATCAGTGTTTTTTAGTTTTCAGCATACGTGCCATATTCATATTTTATTAGGTTTATGCCTAAGTATTTTTTGTTTTTGTTGCTGTTGTAAACGGCACTTAAAAAAAGTTTAATGTTAATTATTCTTTAAGATAAAAACATTGGAAGGCTGGGAAAGTGGGATTAAATCTTTATGTGGGAAGATTCGTTAAAAGAAAACAAATCAGAATAAACAAAGCACAACAGGAGAAATATGCATATATTACACATTTGAAATATGTAGACATATATACAGTTTATATTTTGTATACTGGCCTTATGTCCTGTAACTTTTCTAAACACACTTAGTAATTTTCATGGTTTTTGGGGATTCTTTGGGATTTTGTCTGTAGATAATCATGTAGCTGGTGAATAGAAATAGTTTTATTTCCTCCTTTCCAATTTGTTGGCCTTTTATTTCTTTTTCTTGTCTTATTTGCATTGTCTAGTTCCTCAAGTATAATATTATAAAACTAAAATAAAATTTCAGGACCTTCCAAATTTATGCCAAGAGAAAAGTTAAGCCCTGAAAGCCGACTCACATAACAGTTTTTCTTCTTTGGTCCATGATGGTTACTTTCTGACCTTTGTGTTGAGATGTTATACATTAACCAGACTCTCTATTCTTTATTTAAACCTAGCTAAATAACGTTGGAGATAGAGACCTCTGTGCTCTGTGTGTTAGCTTTTGTATGGAAAATGTAATTCTGTTTAGCACCTGTTTTTGCCTATGTAAATGACCCCCATTTTTCTCCACATTGGGAGCACTGCTTACCATTCATCAGTGTAGCTCTGCTCCCCAGATGGCCACCCTCATGCTTTGTGGTTGAATAAGCTCTTTTAACTGGACCCCTAGCATTTGGATTATTTTAGGTTGGTAATGTTGAATATAATTGGTGAGGACAGATATCCTTGTCTTGTTCCTGATGTTAGGGAGACACTATTGTCTTTCCCTATTGAGTACGTTGAAGCAGGTATTTTTGTAGATGCCTGTTACCATGTTAAGAAAGTTACCTTTTGTTCTTAGTTTGCTGAGGGGGCTTTTTTTTTTTTTTTTCCAATTAGAAAAAGATGTTGGGTTTCGTCAGGTGCTTTTTTACCTATAACAACTGAGATGATAATATGATCATTTTAGTCAGTTAAATGATTAATTATATTGACCAATTTGATTTTTTTGAATATTGAATCAGTCTGGCAATACTTAGATAAACCCCACTTGTTCATGAAGTTTGTTTATTCAAAATATAATATTGCTAGATTTGATTTGCTAGGATTTTGGTGAGAATCTTTTTGTCTATGCTCATGAGAGATAGCCATCTGCCGTTTTGTCTTTTTTTGGTAATATCTTTTCTGATGGTATTATTGGGGGTAATGCTGGTCTCATAAAATGAGTTGATAAGTGTTTCCTCCTCTTCTGTATTCTGAAAGAACTTTTAAAAATAATTGCTAACATTAATCCTTAAATGTTTGACAACATTTGCCAATGAAAGTATCTAGGCCTGGAGTTTTCTTTGAGAATTTTTATGTATGAATTCAAAATCTTTAGCAGGTATAGGATTAAACAGGCTATTTAATTTTTTTTAAGTGAACTCCAGCAGCTGGTGTCTTTCAAGGATTTTTTCCATTTCATCTAGCTTGTTAAGTTTACGGGCATACAATTTTTTTTTTGCAATATTTCTTATTTTAGTGTTTGTGCGGTCTGTAGTGATTTGTCCTCTTTCATTCATGATTTTTGTTATATGTCTTCTGTTTTTTTAACTTGGTCAGCTTGGCCAGAGGTTCATAAATTTTGAGAAACCAAATTTGGTTTCATTGATTTTCTGTATAGTTTTTTCATTCTTAATTTCATTGGCAGCCACTTATTTTTGTTATTTCCTCCCTTTTTTGCTCTAGGTTTAATTTGCTCTTTTTAAAAGTGTTCTTATTGTGGATGCTTAGATATTTATTGTGACCTTTCATCTTTCTTTACTTTTTTTTTTTTTTTGAGAGGGCATCTCACTCTGGAGTGCAGTGGTGTGCAGTGGTGCGATCTCGGCTCACTGCAACCTCCGCCTCCTGGGTTCAAGTGATTCTCCCACCTCAGCCTCCTGTGTAGCTGAGACTACAGGCATATGCCACCATGCCTGGCTAATTTTTGTATTTTTAGTAGAGACAGGGTTTTGCCATGTTGGCCAGACTGGTCTCGAGCTCCTGACCTCAGGTGATACACCTGCCTCTGTCTCCCAAAGTGCTGGGATTACAGGCGTGAGCCACGGCAATCGGCCAACCTTTCATCTTTCTTAGCTCCACTGCTTCAGCAGCATCTCACAAGTTTTGATATGTTGTGTTTTCATTTCTTTCAATACTAAGCACTCTCTAGGTTCCCTTGTAACTTCCTTTTTGACCCATGGATTACTTAGAAATTTGTTGTTTGATTTCTACATATTCAGGGGTCTTCCATATATATATTTGTTATTGGTTTTATAAACCAAAAAGTATCTGAGACAGGTTTCAATCAATTTAGAAGTTTTTTTTTTGCCAAGGTTAAGAACATGCCTGGAGAAAAGGGAACACAAAACAATAGGAATGAATCTGTGGTCCACGCTTTTTTCCAAAGATGATGTTGAGGGCTTCAATATTTAAAGGAAAAAAGCAGGCTGGAAAGCAAAGAGGGAGGGTATGGTTACGTTACTGAATCCATATGTTGCAAGAGAAAAGGAGCAGGTAGGGGAATCTGCAGTTTACATAAGACGAACATAGAGTAGCTACCTGTGGAGATGTCTGACTTTTTATCTTTAACTGTTAAGGAACAAAAAGAAAGGCAATTTCTTATATGACTCAGCATTCAGCTTAATTTTCTGCTTTTGGCACAGTGAATTGGGGTCCCAAGATTTTATTTTCCTTTCACATTTCCTAGCTTAACTCCTATAGGAGTTAATGTGAGAAACTGGGTTTGGGTTTTACAGTTGCTATGACTATCTTCAGTATGCTACTGTCTTTAAATTTCTTTAATAATGTCTTGTGCTTAGGGTGACGATCTGGGTGCCTCACAGTTTATCTCAGTGTTTGCTTTCAACCCTCAGCTTTGACCTGTCCTTTGCCTACACGTGAGAGGGGGCCATGGTCCTTGCATCCTCCTACTGGTAGACTGTGGTGGTTTGTACTCAGTATTCACTAGACTGGTGGGGAGCAGGGCAAAAGGCCTGTTCTGGCCTAGTCTTTATTGTTCTGGTCCAGCCTCATGCCTGTGCCTCTCTGGGTGCAGCTTCCTCCTCCTCGTAGCAGGCACCCAATTCTCCACCTGTATCTATGGCAGGTCTTGTGCAGATTTTCTTTCCCTACTTCAGTGGTAGGAGACCTTTAATAGTACTGGTGTAGGATCCAGGGCTCAGGACTATTTTTTTTTTGCTCCTCTCCTGGAAATAGAGGTGTTTTCTTCTATTCTTTTAGGAAAGAATGGTTCTGTCCTGCTGGAGGTAGCAGGTTTTATTGTCTGTACCCCAGAGACTTAATTTAAGCCTTTTGAGAGAAGGTTCCAAGCAGAGGAGCAGGGCTTCATGCCTGCCAATGGTGGTAGCTGATTTTCTCTTCTTTGACTGTGTGTACCACAGAGGGAGTCTGTCTCCAGTCTCCTGTCTTGTCTTTAGTATTTCTTGTGAGCACCAGGTGAGCATCTATCAAAAAAAAAAAGATAAATAAAAAATAAAATAAAATAAAAAAGAAGCCTGACTATGTGTGGGAACTTCCTTGGTTTTGTAGCTTTCTCTGCTCCTAGGGTAGCCTGTGCTAATGCTGGCTGACTTTTTTTTTTTTTTAACCCACTTGAATGGAAGCCTCATCTTCCTCCTATGCTGTCACAGGTGAGACTGTTCTTGCTCCCATCTCACCTTGGTGAGGGGACCTCCTGGGATTTTAGGTTGCTTGGTTCTTCTGCAATGCCAGCTCCCCAACAGGGTCAGGAAAAGTGATTTTGCAGTGTATCTGGCTTTCTCTCACTGTTAGGAAAGGAATGACTCGCTTAAACCTACATCGTAGGTATGAGTAGATAAAAAAAAAAGTTTCAATGCTTCATCAGAATAAATGGTCACTCTTTCTGAGGTGATGTGATAAATTCATATTTGTCAGGTATTTAACATAAATGTTAATAGTATCACAGTGTTTTCTAAGGTACTGTATAATGATAAGCATTCAGAAGGATGACATTGAAGCATTTTCAGGACCCCAAATTGGCATTAAAATTGTCAAGGTGTTAAACTAAATATACCTTCTGGATTATATTCATTTGAGAAATTGTTCTTAAACACTAAGAACCCAGATGTGGCATCTATGATTATATTCTGTTAATTAATTTTGTTACTTACTGAATTTGAATATGTAAGATTCTAATCTGTTTGTGGATAACTGAAGGCAATATATTTTTTTAAATGTTCAGGCAATAGGAGATGCTGCATGCAAAAGTTTGTGCAATGCCTGCACACTTTTTTATATGTAGCTAACACACATGCACTGCATATTATGCGTTAATTATACTATTGCCTATCTAACAGATAGGAGAGTTCCAAAGTACAAATGAAAAAATTTTTTTTACTGTTTTGTTTTTCTGTATTTTAAGTAAACCTGTCTTCTGACTGATAATAAGTTTAGCAGGCTAGATGAGAAAAAAAAAAGTATATATAATACACAATGACCCAGTGTAACTTTTTCTTACTCTGGTTGAGATTTATATTTCTACTCTGCAGAAATTTTTAAAAGCTGGATTTCATCCTGTGATGTAGAGGCAATGTCTAATTTTACAACTATATAATATCTAGAAAATGCAGGATGGCACATAATGCTTTGTTGGAACTCATCAGGTATAAATAATTATACTTCATTTGGCAAATGGTGATAGTTCAGCACACCTGTTGATTAGGAGTAGTATAGTACATTCTGTACTTTAGAAATTCCCATAGCTATCAATTACTGTAGAGGAATATTTTTGATGTTTACTTACCCTGAAAGATCATATTCAACATCTGGGGGTTTTTTTTTTGTATATGCAGAACACACTTTAAATTACTACATAAGTTGCTTTTAAAAAATATGAGACGATTAATCTTTTTCTTGTTGTGAAATGAGTCTTAGAATGAATTACAAATGTGATTCAGAAGAAAAAACCTTGGCCGTCATAGCTCAACTTTGGATTCCATAGAATGAGATATGCTTATAATATAAATTTTGACTCTTTAATACTATAAGGCCAGGGAGAAATTCAGCTATGTAGAGAAACAGAAGAAAAAAGATGGCTGGTGTGAGGCACATGTGGCTTGACTTTTCTTCTTTCTTCTGTCAAGATGAGACTTTTGCTACTTGGAAGAAGAGAACGGGTCTCATTTGGAAGAAGCTAGGTGTGAGGATTTGCTTTAGGATGCAAACAAAGTTAAATGATTCTTGTTGTCCAGTACTCATAGGGTCTATCTGATGTTTACCATGAGTATTTAGTCCTTTGTACCACTGCCCCAGGGGAATGTTCTTTGTGGTTATACAGAAAGTGTTATGGTGGTGGGTAGTGAAGGCAGTTCAGTTTTTAGTTTACACCACTACTAGTAGCTGGTTGCTTATACTCAAAACAAGTAGACAATATAATTCTTTTCATCACTGAAACTTGATAGAGGACACTGATTGTGGCAAAGAACACTGACTGTGCTAGTGGTGACAGATGCATAGGTAAAGAGGTTGGGGGACAAGAAGGGAGGCAGAGATACACACAGAAACTTCACTCACAGTTAACAAAGAAAAGCAGTATTTCACATGATGTAGGCTACACTCAAGGAAACAATTACTTAGTAAACACTTGGTATTTAAAGTAAAGGTTAAGAATTTGTAGCTGCACACTGAAGACTTTGGGTAAATAGTATTAAGGCAGCAAAGACCTGACAAGCGCAGCCCCATGGGATGAGAACAAAGCAAACCTGGAGGAGCAGCGAGACTCTCCTCTCCTTCATCAGACGGGGGTTTGGAAGTGTATATCAGAATCTACTGCACACAGTTTGTAACTAATGATTGTAATTGGGAATAAACTACTCTATAGCACAATGTACACAATTCATATTTTGTAGAGTGAATTCAGCTGCACTTAAATTTTTTTTCATATTTTGCCATTTTCATAAAGTCCTGGATTCCGTGTGCATCAGCCATGGTAGTAAAAATGTTGTGTTTAGATTGAGCAAAACATAGGTAAGTGGCATCTCTTTGAGAATATTCTTCTAAACTGCACAGTTTAAAAGAACACAGGGTGTTCTATGCTTACCCTGGATGCACAGGCTAAATGCCTCCAGGTCCCTGTGATGATCAAATGATATAATCAGGAAACCTGAGCTTTAATCCAGCTCAGCTTCTTAGTAGCTGTATAAACTTGAGCAGTTTTTTTTCTTCTATAACTGAATCTGCTACACTAACCAGTCTTGAATGTTTCTTCTAACCTTGAAAAAAAAACTGCTCAAGTTTATACAGCTACTAAGAAGCTGAGCTGGATTAAAGCTCAGGTTTCCTGACTTCCTAACTCATTGCATTTACTATAGCATTCAATGAGTTATATATGATAATAACATTCAGTAACTCTTTGGAAAAACTTGGTAAATATTTAAAAGAAATTATTATTACTCAGGAATACTTGTTAACAAGTATATTTACATCCCCAAAGTAATTTTTTTAGGAATGAAGGCAATATGCCTTGTTCTTTGGCTGGGTACTCTAGCTTGTGAGGACTGTATTAATCAGGGATGGTTTCAGCTGTGTGTGTCATACATTACACAGTTACGTTGTCCTTAACTCAAAGTCCAGAGGCAGCAGACTGGCCGTAGCTGCTGTCAGAGCTCCACCATATTCTAAATTCTGAAACCCAGGCTCATTTTAGCTCCTTGGGTTTGCTATCACTGGTGTGGCTCTCATGGCCCAAGATGCTGCTAAATGATTTGTCATCAACACATTACAATTATATATCTATATCTATACCTATGCATATATGTAACCTTCCATTCCATCTCAAGGTAACAGATATCAACTTTCATATTTCTACTTCAACTCTAATTTACTTGTCATTCCCAGAAATAGGAGCTTAGACACAAAGCTTCTTGTTAATATTGCTCTCTTTTGCCAATTGTCTCCACTAGTGTACCCCAGGGACTCTGTCCTTTATCTTGGGATGGAAGTTAGTAACAATAAACAGTCTTATGACTTGGGTGGCCAATGCTCTGGGAGGGTCTCTTCTCCTCCTCATCTTCCTGCCTGTAGAAGGCCAGGTGTCTACTGGTGATGGAGCGGGGAATGGTGGCTATCCTCTCTCAGGCAGACACATCACTGATGTGATATCCAAAGTGAGGAAAGCAGTTTTTAACTTCAGGTTCAAGTCTATAGGGCTTTGTGTTTTGGGAATGGTGCTTCTTGGGTTGGCCTGTGGTCTGTTTTTATATGACTCTTAAGAATGGTAGTTAAGAGACCATCCTGGCCAACACAGTGAAACCCCATCTCTACTAAAAATACAAAAAATTAGCTGGGCGTGGTGGCACACGCCTGTGGTTCCAGCTGCTCAGGAGGCTGATGCAGGAGAATCGCTTGAACCCGGGAGGCGGAGGTTGCAGTGAGCCAAGATTGCGCTACCGCACTCCAGCCTGGGTGACAGAGCAAGACTCCATCTCAAAATAATAATAATAATAATAATGGTAGTTACATTTTTAAAGAGTTATAAAGAAGAAGTAGAGGAGGAAGAGGAGGAGAAAGAAAAGGAGATGGGGAAGTATGTGACCTGCAAAGCCTTAAATATTCACTATCTGCTCCTTTACAGAAAAGTTTGCCAACCATTGATCTTGATGATTTAACTCACCCTTGTACCAGTTTATGAGCAGAGAGCCTTACTCTGGAGCTCTTGGAGCTCCTGCCTGGATCCATGTTGGCAGAAGTGCCTCCCTGGGTTTGTTCTTTTAAATTTTCTATTTCTTTCCCACTGTCACTTGGTCCATTTTAACTATTTTTGCTTTCTCTCTCA
The DNA here is from genome assembly GCF_000001405.40 of Homo sapiens. Lineage (NCBI taxonomy): Eukaryota > Metazoa > Chordata > Mammalia > Primates > Hominidae > Homo > Homo sapiens. The sequence continues at coordinate 74,055,976 of NC_000006.12, forward strand.
ACTTCCACCTAATCTTTTCCCCTTTGTGTTTGGTCCCTGACATCATTTGTCAGTCATTTAAAAATTTTCTGGCTCCTATCGCTGGTTGGTTGGAAAGTGGGATGGGAGCTTTGGTTCCTGAGATGGAAGAAGTAAAAATGTGGCCTGAGAGAGGAGTGAATAAGTCATACATCACTTAGAGAGAAGATTAATCTCTGGCCAGCATAGCTCCTGTATCATAATATAATAAAAGAGTCCCTGTTAATATACTTAAGGAGAAAAATCATAGGACATATCTACACTGATGCCACAGGAGCCCTTGACAAAATTAGAGACCGGTTTTGAATTAAAAGGTTCCAGAGGAACTCTAGGGGTGCTTCTTTAACATGATAAAAATTAAGTAAAATTAACATGAATTTACTTCCAAATTCAGCACCTTACTTAATGCTAGAATAATACACACGCAGTCAGGAACAAGGCAAGGATGTCTCCTATGTTTACTATTGTGTTATACGTGAGATTTTAGCCAATGCAATTAAACAGGAGAAATCAATTAGAGGCATAAGATTAGGTAAAAAAGAAGTGATAATGTTTCTGTTTGTACGTGATATCTGGCATATCTGGAAAACTCCAGCAAGTCAAGGGTTCTGAACCCAAACAATAAAATCATTCAGTAAATTAGCAAGATATAAAATTAACGTCCAGAAGTAAATAGTCTTTAACTATCCAATTGTAACTAGTTAGAGGACATAATTGTAGAGAAAAACACCATTTATAGTAGCAACAACAATAAAAAAATACTTAGGAATAAGCTTAAAAAGAGATGTATAAAATCTTCACGAATACAATTTTTAAATGTTAAAATCACAAAGGTAAACTTGAACAATTGAAAACGCATCCCTTCTTGTTGCATAGGATTGCTCAATATCATAATGATGCCAGTTTTCCCTAGTTAATAAATTTAAAATAAGCTCAATAAAAATACTAACAAGTTTGTTTTGTGGAGGTATACAAGATTATACGAAGGTTCATATTGAAAAGTGTACATGCAAGAATGCTGAAAAAGAAAATCTACAAGGAGAAACTACTCCCATAAGTTATTAAGACATGCCATAGAACTTCAATAGTCAAAACAGCATGGTACTGGTACATAGCTAGATCCATGAATATAGAACAGAAAGTCAGAAAAAGACCCAAGCACAAAGAAAATGGAGCATATCACTAAGATGACATCTCGAATTACTGGGGAATACAATAAACTTTAACAAAATGGTCTTGGAACAAATAGCCACTTGAAAAAAAAGCTAATTAGATCTACACCTCATCCCATATACAAGAATAAATTACAAATGGGTCAGGGATCTACATGTAATCAATAAAGCCATACAAGTACTAGAATAAAACATGGTCAAATAATTAACACGAAAAGAAAAATAGTAACTTTAGAGTGAAGAAATAGTAACTCTACAGTGAACATCATTTTAACTAAGTGATGAAAATTAACATCTCCCATGCTGGACCAGACTGACATCATGTGCTCCTGAGTGACTCACTGAGGAGAACCAACATCACTTTTGTAGTATTCCTGCCAAAATGCATCACTAGAGTCTAGTTACTGTGAAACACTGAATAAACCCAATAATGTTATCATTATAAAAATTGTAATATCCTACTGTCATGTAAAAATACGATCCCTGGATGAGAAATCAAAGCTAGTTCCCTGATGTCACACACTGAAAATTGGTCAAGGGTTATTAAGATATTTTTGAAAATTCTTTTTAAATCATAGAGCAAATGTAATTAGGCCAGTGTAGCATGTAAAATATGGTCATATCCTAATCTCCAAAACTTGTGAAAATATCACTTTACTTGGCAAAAGAGACTTTGCAGATGTGATTAAGGTAAGTAATTTGAGATAGGGAGATCATTATCCAGGTGGGCTTAATCTAATCACATGGGTCCTTTTGTAGATGAGGGTAGAAGCTAGAAAGGGAAGAAAATGGATTCTCCCTTAAAGCCTCCAGAAGGAAATGCAGCCTTAGAAACACCGTAATTTTAGCCCAGTGAGACACACACTGGTTGTAAGATAAGAAATTTGTGTTGTTTTAAGTTTGTGGTAATTTGTTAGAGCATCCATAAAAAAGTAAAACAGAGGTTTTCTCAAAGTGTGCCACCTGAACTAGCTCCATTATAATAAAGTTGTCTTTGACTTTATTACAGAGAAAGAAAAATTATCAAGGATAAAGGATGGGAATACATAGTGATAAAGGGGTCAATTCTCCAAGAAGATATAACAATTCCTTTTTTTTTTTTTTTTGAGACGGAGTCTCGCTGTGTCCGCAGGCTGGAGTGTAGTAGCGCGATCTCCACTCACTGCAAGCTCCGCCTCCCTGGTTCACGCCATTCTCCTACCTCAGCCTCCCAAGTAGCTGGGACTACAGGTGTCTGCCACTATGCCCAGCTAATTTTGTTTTTGTATTTTTAGTAGAGACAGGGTTCCACCATGTTAGCCAGGATGTTCTCGATCTCCTGACCTCGTGATCCGCCTGCCTCGGCCTCCCAAAGTACTGGGATTACAGGCGTGAGCCACCGCGCCCGGCCGATATAACAATTCTTAATGTGTATGCACCTAACAGCAGCGCATCAAAATACATGAGGCAAAAACTGACAGAACTTCAAGGAAAAATAAATGAATCCATTATTATAGTTGGAGACTTCAACACCTCTCTATTAGAAATAGATCCAACAGGCAGAAAATCAGCAAGGATGTGGTTGAACTCAACAGCACAATCAATCAACTGGATATAATGGACATCCATAAACTACTTCATCCAGCAACAAGAGAATACATATTTGGCTCAAGCTCGTGAAATATCTGCTAGGACAGACCACATTGTGGGCAATAAAACAAATCTGAACAAGTTTAAAGGAATCAAAATCATGCAATGTCTGCTCTCAGACCACAGTGAAATTAATCTAGAAGTCAATAACAGAAAGCTGGAAAATCCTAAATACTTGAAGATTAAACAACGTATTTCTAAATCACACATGGTTTAATGAAAAAAATCTCAAGAGAAATTAAAAATTATTTTGAATTAAATGAAAATGAAAGTGCAACTTCTCAAAATCTGTGGGATGCAGTCAAAGCAGTGATTAAAGGGAAATACACAGCTTTGAATAACTGAGTTGTTAAAAATGCAGATTCTGGGTTCTTGCTACTGAGCAATTGAATTGGATCTCTGAAGTTGAAGTGGAGCTTATGAAACTTCGATTTAAATACCAGACTCAGGTGATTTTAATGCACCCTAAAATTGGAAAGTTCCTGTTAAATCTTTGTAAAGTTTCAATTTGTTAATCATGAAAATAAATACCAATCCATTAGCATTGAACCTTTCTGAGGAACCTAATTCATTTGGTAGAAGTGAAAAATTTCTGCTTTTTTTTCAGTAACAGCCCCCTGCCATTTTGTGCTATTTAAATATACGTTTCCACTGGCTAGAAACATGCTTAAAACATCTTAAGCCAGATCCTGTAGCTTCTCAGCCAATTTTAACCTGGTGCTTACTATTCACATTTCTTTATTTAAAACCTTCCCAATTGTCTACTTAAAAGATTTTTTTTTTTTTTTTTCTGAACCTAGGACAGGCTAGGGTGGGGCCAGGGAAGAAGAGAGCTAGAGGAGGGACAGAGGAAAAGGCAAAATTCTTCTAACTTTATGAGGTTGGCTCTTCCCCTGGGTTAGATGCTGTTGAATTTGTTGCCCGTGGGCTCGGATGGGTAGTGGTTTCAACATGCACCTCCAAGCAGCACCCCTAAGCACTGGTGATTCCTGGTGAGATTTGTTCATGTTTTCCGTATTGTCCCCAGCTAACGTCACCATATGCATCTCTCTCTGCCCCCTACACTCAGTGGTCTCAACAGATTGAAGCCTTCAATATCACCTACCCTCCTAGGCCAGTAGCCAGACTTGTATGCATACGGGGAATCCCTTTAATATATCTCTTTTGAACAAAGATTTGAGGTGCCTGCATTCCACCTGAGAGTCCTTTATCATTTTGTCTTTTCATGCTTGTTTTTCTCTTGTTTGCAAGACTTCTGGCCGAATATTCAACTGGGGCTCCTGTCTCCACATCTGAATTACTTCCCTTGGCTTTAGACAAGGGATGCACTGACTTTCCTCAATCACAGGACAGAATAAACAGTCTCAAAAACACAGTTTTCTCCCTTCCTGATGCCTAACTGTCAAGCTGACCTCCATTACCTCTTAGTCTTCTTAATTTTTTTTGGTGGGTATGTGTGGGAAGTAGGGATTCATTGTAAAGCAAGACTTCTGGATTATTAGGTTGGTACACAAGTAATTGTGGTTTTTGCCATTACTTTTAATGTTTTTACTTGTAAGCCCCATAGGGAGGTCATTGGTTTGTAGAACCTAGAAAATGGAGTGGCCATTTATTGTCCTTAGTTATAAGCCTTGGTCTTGGTTCCAGAAAAAATAAGCAAACTCTCACTCAACATCCTGTTACATTTGCTGGCAAAAGATTTAATATTTATTTCTGAGCAAAGAATAGCAATTGTCATCAAAGCTATTTATACAGTATACTAACCCATTCTATATTTTAATGATATGAATCATTGTAAGTGAATTTATTCTCTCAAAACCAGTGAAAGACTGCAAATCATAACAGAAACTTTACCCTGTACAGATTAAGTATAAGTTGAAAAAGCTGTGTAAGTATAGTCCCGCCCAATACCTTCCAAGTTTATCGGTTTGAGCATGGCAATAACTGGTCAGGTTTTGTAGTATCAGTATTATGTGGCTAAAATGCTTCATGTTTGGAAAACTGGTCAATTATTAAAAGACTGCTATGGCCAGAGGGTGGGTGATTGGGGCATTGCAAAGCTTGGGTTAACTGTAAGAAATTTTGGTTCAATAAAATCAGCCATGATTATAGACTATGCAGTTATATTCTTTCATCCAGTCAAAACTCTTTGCAAGCCAAAGCATTCTTTCTGTTTGTTGTCACTGAGTTTTATTTCAGCAGCATTTTGTATTGTAATGAGTTTTCTCACTTTCAGCTACTGAAATGGAAAAACCCTGAGTTTTAAATTTCATAGCAAAAGAACCAAATTTGAAAATATGAGCAAATTAAACATTTATAAAATTATTTTGTATAATGGTTAAGGTTTAAACCAAGTGGGAACTATTGAGATTGAGGTAAAAATGAAATAATTTAAGCATGTATGTGAACATCAGAAAATATTTTTTAACGAGTGTGTGATCTTTTAAGTTTACAAATGTCTCAAATTTAAAAATATTTGACATTTAATAAAGTCCAAGCTGAATGTACCCAATAATTTCTCCCCATATTTATTTATTTTTGAACCATATGTAATTTTTTAAGGGAAATGTAATTCACATGTTTTGGACTCATTTGGCTATGTCATCAAAATTCTCTTTTGTAAGAACTACACTGCATCCAAGTAGACTTTCAGTGTATTTTTTATGTCTTTCTTCCCCTTGTTAAATAAGACCATATTTTTGCTGTGGTAACAAATTCAAACACAAATAATTTTTTTATTAATAATTCTGTGGCTCTGAGTGATAGATTATTAAACTAAAAAGTTAATTTCTTCTTATTAAAAATAATCAATTTTGCTTCTTGTCTGCATTTGGAGAGCATTTCATTAGTGGTAATGATAAACAGGATTTGGTAATTGTAAATATAATCATAAAGGTTTACATAATTATTTTTTAAGTTATAAACTGAAAGTTCCAAACCTAATCTTACTTTTGACACGTGAAACAGGATCTAACTAGTACTGTTAAGAGTATAGTATGTGTCAGGCAATGGGCTCAACACTTCACATATAACTTAAAAGAATTTTATTTTTACATCTTTCTGAGGTGAACATTTCACAAAAGAGACAGCCAAGATTCAGTTGGGTTAGATAATTGCCCAAGGCCATACACAAAAAAATGGTAAAATCAGGATTTGTATGAAGGCCGTCCAATTCCGAAAGAGATTCTTTGTTGCAGAAAATAGTTCAAACCTGCGTTGATTACTGTAGCTAAAATAGAAATGTATTATTGTATTATTGATTTTCTTAGAGATTAAATCAATTTGAATAAAAGTCATACTCTTTATATGCTATAATTTAAGGATTCAGGATGCCCATGGACGTGAGTATATTTGCCAAAATACATATTATTGTCCTTTAGTTTGACCATTTCTTAAATTTACTTATTCTATACTTATTGAGCACCTACTATGTGCAAGTAAGTTATTATTGAAAAAATATAGATTCCTGAATATTCTGTCACAAAAATTCTGCACAGAGAGTACCAATTAGTTTTAACAGAGAATTAGTCTTAGCAGATAACAATTATTACTACTACCATTACACCACCGTACTACATTGATGTGCTTCAGAGCAAATTTTCTTATCTAAGAAAGATTTAAAAATTTTTTTTTATAAGGCCAGGCACGGAGGCTCATGCCTGTAATGCCAGCACTTTGGGAGACTGAGGCGGGTGGATCACGAGGTCAGGAGTTCGAGACCAGCCTGGCCAACATAGTGAAACTCCGTCTCTACTAAAAATACAAAAATTAGCCAGCCATGGTGGCATGCGCCTGTATTCCCAGCTACTCAGGAGGCTGAGGCAGGAGAATCACTCGAACCTGGGAGGTGGAGGTTGTAGTGAGCCGAGATTGTGCCACTGTATTCCAGCCTGGGCAACAGAACGAGACTCCATCCTAAAAAAATTTTTTTTTTTCTGTAGTGATTGATAAAGGTCAAAGTTTTGCTGCAGTAAGAAACAGCCCTCACATCTCCATAGCTTAGAACAACAAAGGTTTATTTCTTGTCCATGCTCTATGTCCAATGCAATTTGATAGCAGTAATAGGGAAACTTATTTTAGTCATTTAGGAACCAATACTGATAGAGGTTCCATCTTAACAGATGGGAAAAGCTAGAGAGTTGCTTCTTTTAACAACTGATTTTCCAGAGCTAGTCACATAGCATGCTAAACTTCAATGAGGGCAGAATATGCAATTACAAAGCAGAGGGGAACCAGAAGTCAGTGAATAGTTTAATGTCTGCTACCGTGCCTAACCTGTCTTTGTTTGTGATAAATGAACTAATTCATTCAGACATTGTGCTGATTTAGAATTGCTTTGGAAATGAAAAAGAATTAGAATAATTATGTCCAGAATAGATCAAATTTGCTTAATACGCAAGTGCATTTCTTTATGTCTTAACTATGTACTTTTTTTTAGCTGTTAAAAGTACAATCTGGGATTTAATTTATCTATTAAATTATTCAATCTGTACACCTGATAAAGTTTCTGCCAGGGTCACCATATTGTTTTAGTAATCCAGTAGTTGCGTTAGATATTAGATATGTTAGGGAGTAGTTAAATGATCCTCATTTCTACCAGCCATGCTGTTTCCATCTTCTTCTCTATTACTATTTTCTCTAGTCCACTTTATAGGAATTTTTAAACCCAGCACTTTTCCTCATATGGGCTTATAAATTAATTCTGGGGTCAAACAAGATCACTGTAGGTACTGAAGCAGAAGAGACAGAGAAATTTTAACCTGGGCTCATCTCTCTGAAATGCAAATCCAAAGCCACCTATTTTCCCTATGGCCTTACCATCTGTAGTAAAGCTGTAGGGAAGAAGGCCAGAAAGTTTTTTTTTTTTTAAAAAGATAGATGTTGGAAGCTGTTGGGAATAAGCATTTTTTAACCCTGAAGTTTGCTCTATTTTGTTTAAACAGTTTTTCTTTTCTCAGCCATCCTCAGCATTCATTAAAATTTCTAGTACTTAACCGAATTGTTGTACAGTGTTGGAATTACAGTGTTATTAGGTGAGAAAAATTATTTCATATAAAGTAATGATGGTTTGCCACATTCTTAAGAAAATGTGTTTCTTGATCTAAAAGTCTTTAGATATCTCGGGTCTAAGGCTCTTTTCCTCCCCTGGGGGAAAGCATCTCTAATATGATAATGTGAGTCAATACTATCAATTTATAAAAATTAAGTCTGCGATTTTTAATGACTTTTTTTTAAAAAAGATAAAGTACATTGCCTTGAACATAAGTCACTTTATCGTATGGGTTGTAAGTAATAAAAGCATTGTTTGTAAGGAATAAATTCAGATGTGAGAGCGTTGGCAAATGGGCAAATATTTGTATAAATGGTTAACAAAATAAGATTAAAAATTCAGATAAAGCATGTGAAGGAAAATGATGGTATTTGTACATTCTCTTTCTTTATACGTAGTTAAGTAATTATTATTTTATTTCCCTCCAACTTCAATGCACAAGAAAGCATTAAAAGCTTCCAATGAGATTTAAGAAAAATTAAATGACCTAAAGAAAGCTATAAATAACAAACATGGAACTACTTCCTTCAGATTGTTCAATTTAATTATTTTCCTCGGAAAATAAACTGTAGACATATGACCTTGTAGTTGTATTCATTTTATTGTTTATTTGCTGCTGTATGGAAACCAGACCTCACACCAGTTTAATACTGAGGTGCTTGGCAATTGTTTACTTGAAAGGGTCATTCTGAAAATACTTGTACTAAAATAACTTGTCATTATATTCAATTAAAGATGACTAGTGCAATTTAATTATAATTACATTCTTCATATTTATCATACTCTGGAAGTTTAAGGAAATTTTCTAAACTCAGTAGATTTCTCAATGGCCCTGGATGGTTGGTATAGTAGGTAGACTCAGATTTCTCTTTTTCCTCTTAACGTTTTTACTTTAAGATCTACTGTGCTCAAAACTTTTTGAACATTAGCAGTGAAGTGATATTACTTTGAGGTTTTAAAGTTAGTTCTGTCACTGTCACCTGTTTTCCTAGTTTAGTGGTGAAAAGAGAATATTATTGATACCATAAACAAAGACATTTTATTCTGTGGTGAGGTAGGCAATTACTTACACCATGATTTGTTAACTCCTGGGAGTGTTCACTTCTCCGCAAATCTCTGTTTTTGATTGGTTGCAGCCTAGCATTTTGTGATTTGTCTTTCATCCCTTTGGTCATGGTTTTGTTCTGTGTTGAGAGACAAATAGCTTATGAGAACAGGACATTTGCAACTTAGCCATTTCTACCTCTTAGTGAATGCATTGAAAAAATCCTTTCTATGTTTTTTACCAATGAGAGAAGAACATAAGGTTTGTCATGGGTAGAGTCTAGTGGAGAAAGCAAATAGCTCTGCAGAAATAATGAGAAAGCCAGTAGGAAGTGCTTTTTGGATTTAACCTAAGCCTTCCCTTAATTTTCCTGGATAGATTTAAATATGTGGGACAGTGTTGATCTAACTTTTTTCCAAACCAGTAAAATACGTTTTTCAAATATTTCAGTATCTTGCTTTTTGATTCCCTTCAGCTACGCAGTGACTATATTATTTCTAAGTGAACCACCTTTCAATTTTCAGGGAAATGGATCTCTTCAATAGTCTACACAAAGATTGTAAGAGACTGGCCTGACTAAACATTACAAGTCACTAAATATGAGGATGCAGATATAACGTTACACACGTTTATAATCCAACTGCTAACCAAATATTTGCTGATTTCTTAAAGGAAATGTTAGCCTTGAAACTTTCTTCCAGAGTTAGAGTTAGACATTGGTTTTTAGCTGCTTAAAGATATATACATAGCAAATAGCAGTACTAATTTTCACCTGCCACTTAAATCCTAAAGCAACCATTTCTCTGTCACACCCTTAGAGCAGATGAAGCAGAGAATGTGAACTGGGGGAAGACATCTTGGATGCTTATTTTGTGGGTATCATTAGCTGCTCTGAGGAAGCAGCATGAGACCCTGGGAAGCAACTGCAGCACTAACCAGACTTTCCAGATGCTCTTGAATATTCTCACCCCTGTGCTAGAAGGAAAAGAGCTTTTTGGAACCCGACCACTTTCTGCAGCTTTTGCAGCTGCTGTGCCTGAGGAGCAGAGGATGGAGCTGGGACAAAGTCTAGTTGCAGGAGCTATAAGGAAAACACATTTCCTTTCATAGGGCTTTGAGTAATTCTGTGAGGAAAAAAAGGTCTCTAATTTTACCTTATTTGAATATTTCTAGGGATTATACAATTGGACAATTATGGAATTGGAAGATTCCTCAGATGTCTGACTCTCTAGTTTTGTAGGCAAGAGAATTAAGATCCAAAGAGGGTAAAGAATTGCCCGACTGTGGAGCCAAGTTTGCGTAGGGGCTGATGATTTAGTCTTCATTGATTTTTGAATAATTTTCATTTAGAAAAGAGTCTTAATTGGCAAACACAGGAATTTGGGTTCTCTACCATGTTATGTTATGCTATGTTATGTTTTGTTGTGTTATGTTACATTACCACATTATGATTCATGCTATTATAATGCTCGATTGTTGAAAGCAAATAAAATATCATTTCTGGGGCTGTTCTCACAGTCTAGAGTTCACACAACAATTAATACCTGCTTTTCCAACAACAGAGCTACTTTCTTTTCCTTTTCTAAAAAAGTTCCTCGTGGCATTAAACATTAAGTAGAGCTTAAACAAGAAGCAGAGTGTTATGGTCCCTAAAATGTGGTTCTCCTCTCTTGTCAATACTTGTCCCAGAGTGCACACATAGGTCTTTGCCAGAGACATTCGCCTGCTGGGCTCTTACGCAAATGGCAGATTGAAGGGTAGCGTGATTGTTCTAGTTCCTAATGCCGTATCACATACTCTGAGTCCTTGGTTCTCTATTAGACCTCAAGGAATGACTTCATGTCTTGTGGTTTGGGGTCCTACGTATTTAGTTCTGCTTGCTTTTCCTGTTCTCTCCCTCCAGTCAGGCTTCTCACCACTCAGCCTGCTCTTTCCCGTTCACTGAGAGAGTGAATGTATCCTTCTCTTGTCTCTATTTCTGCAAAAGTTATCCTTTAAAATGCTTCACTATGATAGACTATTTTATGTCTTTGCAATGAAACAGTTGAATCTCACATTTCCTGTTATCTTGTTAATATTATCAGAACTACATTAATGAGAATTGGTAAAATAACCTCATTTGCTTAATCTCAGCATTAGTATAAATTCAGAGGGTTTTGCTCTTTTTTAACAACCTGACACAATTTAATTACAAGTTAAATTATTGATTTTGCCTTTATTTAAATAGCTCCAACTATTGCTACAAATGACAACCCATTTAAGATTGACAGTTCAAAGGTACAGCCAGTTACCCTTATAGAAATTTTTATTTTACCCTAAAGTCATGGTGAATTGATACTCTTTTGAGAACTGTTTATGTTTTTTTGTTTTTAATCATTACAACTTCTATTTTAGATTCAGTGAGTACATGTGCAGGTATGTCACATGGGAAGACTTTGTGATGCTGAGGTTTGGGGTATGGATGATCCCATGACCCAGTAGGCAGTACCTCAGCCCTCCACCTCCTTGCTCTCTTCCCTCTCCAGCAGTCCCCGGTGTCCATTGCTTTCATCTTTTTTCCATGTGTACACCATGTTTAGTTCTCACTTATAAGTGAGAACATGTGGTATTTGGTGTTTTCTTCCAGTCTTAATTTGCTTAGGATGATAGCCTCCAGCTGCATCCATGTTGCTGTAAAGGATATGATTTTGTTCTTTTTTACGGCTGCATAGTATTCCATGGTGATGTACCACATGTTCTTTATCCAAGCCACTGTTGATGGGTACCTAGGTTGGTACCTAGGTATGATAGATTGATTCCATGTCTTTGCTATTGTGAATGGTGGTGTGATGAACATAAGTACATGTGTGTTTATGGTAGAATGATTTATTTTCCTTTGGGTCTATACCCAGTAATGGGATTGCTAGATTAAATGGTAGTTCTGTTTTAAGTTCTTAGAGAAATCTCCAAACTGCTTTCCACAGTTACAAGACTAATTTATATTCCCACCACAGTTCTGACAGTGAACTAGAACAGCAGCTACCTTTTCTCCTTGGCACTGTGAGGAAAGACATTTTTAACTAAAGATTTTGAATATTTGTATTCAATCTTGCTCAGAGGGAAGCTTATATAAATCTTTAAAAGCAGAAGCCCTGTTTTAGTTCAAATCTGAAAAAAGGAAAGTTAACTTCCCCTCTCTCTACCCATCCCCCACATCCTCCTCTTCTAGGTTCTTGGTCTTTGGTCCTTGACAGAAGAAATCAGAATACAGTTTAAAAAGCATAATTTTAAACCACTAAACAATTCACACAAGCACCCTCAAAATTTGAAGTGGGTTATATTCCAAAAAAAAAAACCCTGTAAATTAATTGTTCAAAGCCCAGAATTTATTACCTCTTAAGATGTTTCTGGTTGGAGAGTAAATTGGTATAGCATTTTGAGGGAAGAACTTGATAATGGAAATCAAAATTATTTTTCTACTCTAATAAGAGTCAGTAATTCCACTCTTGGAATTTATCTCTTAAAAATAAATAGAGAAATGTCCAAAATGTATGTGTAAGTATGTTGATCACAGTGGTGAATGAGATAGTGAAATACTGAGAACAATCTAAATGCCAGATGGTAAGGCCATATTAATACAAATTATGATGCATTAGTTCAGTGGAACACTAAGCAGCTTTAAAAAATTGTTATATAGTTATACCTTCTTTGTGCTTGGCATGGAAATGCGTCCATAATATAATAAGTAATAAGCTAAATTGAAGGCCGTGTATATGCTTTATAATACTATTTTGGATTTCACATATGTGTGTGTGTGTATGTGTATGTGTGTGTGTGTGTGTATTAATATAAACTCTGGATGAATGTTTACCAAAATATTCAGTGATAATTTATACATGGTAGAATTAGAAATAATTTCCAAATTATTTTGCCATCTTTGTGCATTTCTTATTTTAAAATAATAGATGTGATACTTACATAGTCAGAAAAAGCAATGGTGTTAATGGTGTTATTTTTGGCATTTTTATTAATAAAAGATTGTTATATTGCTATAAGTTTTCATATTAGCCTGTTATTTCACATAGAGAATAAAGAAAGTGTTACCAGTAGACTTATTTGTCCACAGAAAGTACACTTCTTCCCTTTTGCATTCTGAAATGAAATCTTGAATCTTTTGAGCTTTCAATTCTGTGCCCACTCTAAGGCTATAGGTGGGTTGAGGCTGAGAGGGACTGTAGGCCGCTCTTGGTGACAGCTGCTATGGTGGAAGGGGGCACTTGGCAGGGGTCCAGGGAGCAGGAAACCTCCAGTGATGGGGATGAGGTCATTCAAAAGTCACATGTTCTTGAGACACAGGCTGCGCGTACTAAACATCACCATAAAGTGATATCAGCCCTAAATTAAAGTAGCAGTTATTCATTTTTTATCTGAATCCCTAAGTCTTGTTCCATGAAACCAGGGAAGGGCTATTTGAAAGCATACTTTCTAGTACAGCTCTCACTGGCTTGAAAGATGAAACTCTCCTTAGTCATTCCAAAGCATTACTGCAGTCCAGATGTATAGTTCATATCTTCCAGCAAACGTCTGTGGGAATTATTTCCTCCCATTGGTATTAGATTATATTTTTCCAAGTCAACTCTTCCTGGCTGCCCTTCAAGGTTCTAAAGATTTTCTACTGTTGTAGTGTAACTAGTAAGAGGCAAAACCATGAGAATCAGAGGTAAGTGCTTATCAAAGGAATAGAACCAAGAGGACAAATTCTACTTAAACAATGCCATCCTTAAATGAGAGGTCAGTGGTTTGTATGTTTATAGGAATGTATCTAATCTATATCTGTATCTGTGTCTGTCTATATTTATACCTATATCATCAGACATACATATATGTGTGCATGTGAACACACGGCAGAGTTCTTTCAATAAAGTCAAATAAGAAAGTTAAACTATAGCTGAGTCTATACAAGTCCACAATCTTGATAAAAAGTTTAGCAGTAGTTAATTAAGCTGTTTTTGTGTACACAAACTACCCTGTATTAGATGTAATTGGGGAATATGAAATAGTGAGGATGAGGCTATTGAAAGACCTCAGGAGAAGATAAAAAATTTACTATGGAAGTCAGTCTTCCATAGGAAAGACCTGAAGTGAAAAAGAGTCTTGCTGGAAGATAATACTAGATGTGGCTTATTGAAGAGGAGATGTAAAAAATTCCAAGTAAAGGAACAGTAGAGGAAAAACACAAAGGCAGGTTGGCTGTGATTTGTGGGGGATGTCAGGAAAGTTGGTGAGACACAAATATAGGGGTCAGAGAGGACTGGTGAGACTGGTGGGGACACCGTGGTTACTTGGGTGAATATTTCCTCATTTTATGGGAATTTCAGGATGTTAATCATCCTTGGCCACTGAGTAATAAAAGGCAGTAGCTCTTTCCAGTCATTGTGACAACCAAAAATGTCCCACAAATTTCCAAACATCCTCCATGGGATATTTATCATCCTGTCTGAAGAACCACTGGGCTAGATAATGAGAGCTTCTGAATGCCAGGATGAAATGCCAGGATGCTGTCAGGTTTTTTGTGTGAAATAGTTCTGTTTTTATTTTCCTATTTCATTTATGTAAGTGTACGTAAAACTTTACTTTTCTTAATGGTATTTACAACCCATCCACATCTGTATTATCTGTGGCTAAATTCAATTCAGAGTTAATTCAAATTAATTATGATTCCTATGGCATCCGTTACATACTGCCTTAACCTTAGTTTATTGCTGTTTATAATTATCTTTATTTATAGCAGGTTTGGGTGAAACTTAGGGGAACCAAGGGGTTCATCAACATCTGGAACAATTTTTCAAAAATTTCGGATTTTCTAAAACCCAAACATGCTGCCAAGCACCTCTTCCCACCCTCTTTCTCTAAACTTTGAAAACACATATATTTTAGAGAACAGTGATTCCATGTGTTTTTAATTCATTTTAGTTTGTATCATCAAAATGTTTTTAAAAAGTGATTTGGCATCCAGGAAGCCCATTGAGCCTTTAAAATAAATAAACTTTTAACAACTTAAAAATACCATACAAATATATTGAAACAGCAAAAGGATAAAGTTTTCATGGAGACTGATTGAGATTGAAATTTGGCAAAATTATTTTTCCACATTGATTTATAGTGTTTCATCCAACTTCCAATCCAATCTGGAGAGAATGAATTGAGTTAGTTAATCTTAGAAAAAAAAAACTACCATATCAAATTCTCTTCACCAAGACATACATCATTAGGGAGAAAATATTTAAAAATCAACTTGAATCATGGTTTGTTAATTTTTAATATTGGGGATTTTTACTATATATCTGGTGATAATGATGTAAGAAACTTTTAGGATAAAATGGAAAATGTGAGAAGTAACAAGGATAATGTAATTTGAGAAGGAAAATAAATTTAGTTATGAGTTACTTATGATTGTGACAGAAGTCAGTGATTCCTATGATTTGAGAGAAGACTAAAGTTTAGCCTCTCTCTGTCTCTTTCTCACACACACACATGCACATACACACACACACACACATGCACAGAAAGAGAGAGAGAGAACTATGTAAATATCCTGGTCCATTTATTAAAGTAAATTCCACTACAGCAACTAGACTGAGGCAAAAGAGTTAAGTGATATAGAATAGATAACAGTCCTATTTAAGCCTGTCTATTTGAAGTAACTGATGAAAATTTTCAAGAGGATTACAGAGATGACTTTTGAGCATTTGAAAGTAAGAACTCTGGAGTTACTCTAAAGAATAGAGATAAACATTATTTAACAAAGTTGTGAAAAATGTCAAATATTATTGGTATGGTAATGGAAATTTAAATGAAATACCATTTTTTACTTCACATTAGAAAAGATGTTTATCTGAAGAATATCTTATGATCTCCCACATTATTCAAGGTCTCCAACAGGAACATTCATATGCTGCTGATAAAAATGTAAAATAAATTTGAAGATGCATATTGAGTCTAAAAATGTTAATGCAGTAGTCCTTCCTTATCCAAGGTTTTAATTTCTGTGGTTTCAGTTACCCTTGGTCAACCACAATCTGAAAATATTAAATGGAAAATTCCAGAAATAAACAATTCATAAGTTTTAAATTGTAAGCCATTCTGAGGAACATGATCAAATTTCTGCCATCCCATTCTGTCCTACCTGGGATGTGAATAATCCCTTTGTCTAGTGTATCCACCCTGTAGACACTACTTGTTAGTTACCTAGTAGCCGTTTTGGTGTCAGATTGACTGTTGTGATATCTCAGTGCTTGTGTTCAAATAACCTTTATTTTACTTAATAATTGCTTCAAAGTGCAAAAGTAGTGATGCTGGCATATTGTTATAATTTTTCTTTTTTTTAATAGTTGTTAATCTTTTACTGTTCCTAATTTTTATATGAAACTTTATCATATGTATGTTCGTATAGGAAAAAACAGTATATATGGGGTTCTGTACTATATCTGGTTTCAACCATCCACTTATCTCCAGTGGATAAGAGGGGGACTACTGTAATCTTTAACCCAGTAATTCTACTCTTGAGAATGATTATATGTTGAGCTGAGGCAAAAAAAATGTGAAACAATCTGAGTGTCTAAACATAAGGAAGGGTTAAACATAATGTCCACACAATGGAAAAATAATGTTTATGAAAGGCTTATGATAAATTAGAGATGTTTATGTAAAGTGCAATACAAAATATGATGGCAGTGTTTCAAGTTGCATAGAAGAAATATACAATATGCATAGAAGAAACATATGAAGTATAAAAGGAATAGTGATTTTATTCTATTCATTTCATAGCACTGAGTCAGAACTACTGGCAGAACTCTAGTATTCAATAGTTCCTAGCTTTATTTTAGCAGATAGTAAGTGCTCAGTAAATGAAGGCTATTTTTTATATTAAAGCTCTCAAATTAATTGCATGTAAAGTTATTTTTCTTCTTTAATAAAAAGGAAATTATTGGGGAAAAAGCAAGACTTTTCTCATAGCATTTGAGAATAAAAGTTACGTGGTTACCTAATTTTACAAGCTAAAGTTTCAGAAACATAAAGATATTTGAATAGAAAAATCTTCATACTTTAAATTACAATTTGAATTAGTTTTAATAATTGTGAAAATTAATTTCTTCACTGAAAGGTAAATTCTTACTATTAACATTTTTACTATGTGTAGTTGGCGTATTGAATTTGAGGGGCAAGTTGCGTGCCCTAGTCAAGCCAGACTGGACTACCATGGCCAATAGGAGCAAGAAGTCCAGTATATTCCCCTCCAAGGTCCAATTATTTTTCTTTTATACTCTTATGAGTCCCTATTTTCAGTGGTCTGGAAAGTGGAAGAGAATTCTCTGATTTATTCCTGGTTCAGTATGCCAGCTGTGGCAGAGGGTTCCTGTCTCCAGAGTAGAAGCTGCCTTCCTGGGCTGTGTTGGAAACAAGAAAGGTGGTGCAGAGTCCACTGTGCAGCAGTCATTCTGAGTTCTGAATCAATCCTGCTTGCTTCTGGAAAGGTGGACTCCCCCAGTTTCTAGGCTGCCTCTGATTTTAAAAAGAATTCCCCACAAACTTATCAGTGCCTTCAAGGTCAAAGTTCTATCAATTCCTGAGCCAAAGCATTTCCATGGGGGCAAAGGCTGCCTACAGGAGAGAATCAGGACAAGTTTTGATGTCCATCATCTTTCAGGTGAGTCATGACGATGAGCTGGGCTCCAGTGGAAATAAGCCAGTGAGTAAGGCTGATTAAGCAGCCAAGCTGTATCCTGAGGGAAACATGGGCAATGGAAAGCATCAGATTTCCTGGGTCAAAGCTATCCTGAGCTCAGGCACTGGGCTAACTGTCCCAGATTCAGCCCTTTCAGGGGAAGGAATGTAGATTCTTATTTCAGTCTCAAAGAAACTCTGTGCTTTAGAGAACTGAGTCTCCAGTGTTTCAACCCTGTCAGCATTCTGCACTACTATTAGGTTGAACTATATGAAATTGTTATTTTTGTAAGTCACCAATGGTTGGATGTTGGCAGTTTCATAAGGTTCATTCTAATAGTTCCTGGGACACAAATGACTCGAAGTAGGTCAAGACAGGTTCAGCACTTGTACTGTGCATGTTAATCTGAGTCCTCCAAGAAGCAGATGCTAAGATGGAACAAAACAGGCAAGGATTTTATTAGGAGGAAATGCCTGCATGTAAAAGAAGTAGGAAGAGAGTTGAGCCAGTCATCAGAATGTGATGCTAGTCTGACCTCAAGTGAAGGAGAGAGGGAGAGAAGGTTGGCTGCAAGCCGCCTAGATTTCTATATCGTCTCAGGAAACTTTAGGGGAGTTCTCTAGCCAAGTCAGCCAAAAAGAAGTCTCACGTCCCCTGGAGACAGGTCATTGGCAGGAAGCAGCCTATGAGAGATGTGGCCATGGCACAAATGCAGGGATAGGTTTCAGGGAGTGGTGGCTGGGGCCTCAGTCAAACACACTTTTTGTGGTTGGAAGCCCACCAGGTGTATTCTCATGCCTACCACACCCTGAGACTCAGAAGCACAGATGATGCCCTGATTCAGTCCAGGACTTGCTCTCTCCCTTCACTCTCTACCCTTGTTTTACCTGTATTTTAGGAGTCTTGTTGTTCATCGTTGCCTCATGAGGCCATCTAAATCTACCCTGACTTTTATGGAGAGGAAGTTGGTGACAGGTAATAGGACTGTGGTCCTTTCTATTATAGAAAATCATTGGCTCCTCACGCAAATCGACCCACCCCTTATTGGTGCTGTCTGTATCAGAGGAGTGAATGCTTTGACCAGTAAAACAAAAATCTCTAATTTTTTTATCTCCAAGCACAAGGTTCAGCATGACAAAAACCTGCAAAACTAATAGAGGCTCTTAAAATATGCTTTGGATGACCTTTCCAATGCCTGTGTAGAGCATCTAGCTGCTTTTTGTCCCTGTTGAAGGAGAAATTGCATCTGCTAGGGCTCCCAGCTGCATAGCTAACAGCTTATTAAAAGAAAACTCAAACAATAACAAAGTTAACACTTACCAAATGTGCAAGTAAAACCTTATATTATCAAATACCCTCTCTAAATATCATTTAGTTTTTATATAGTCAAAATGTGATATTTGAAAGTGAAATCTACATAGATCTATATCTTATAGATGTGCTAATGTGTTAGAAATACAACAGAATACACATTATGATGAAGTTTTTACTAGGAAAATTAAAATGGAAATTGAATAATTAGGTAAACCAAATTGAACACTATTTTCAGTCTAGCTTAGTTTCTTTGCTAATAGAAAGTGTGTATATTGGGAAAAAGAAGTTAACCAAGCTTTTTGGATAATTTTTCATTATGTGTCTACTTCCCTAGTATGAACCTAGTATTCTTTCGGGAGAATATTTTAACCAAGATCTTAAAAGGTACACATAAATTAAGCTTATGTGCAAAACAAAGACAGAAAAACTGTGGAAATAAATATTTAAAGGAAGAACTTGACTTCTTCTGTTTGAAAAGGAGATTAAAACTATCCACACAAAGCATCCGGGAGATCTGGCAAACATGCCCTGGCACTTTCCCTACACAAAAGACAGAGTCTTACACAATTCTTCCATTCACTCATGGGCTCATTTCTGTTGGCCACCCATGCTCCCCGAAGACAGCTTATGGAACTGGATTGCATCAGCAAGGCGTGATGGATGAGCAGGGACATCACCAGGGAGGGAGTACTCTGCCTTTGGCTTGGTTTAGTGTCAGATGTGAAGGAAAGAGGAGCAGTAAATTTGGAAACTATGTTGGAAGAAACTAAAATTTATTTTTAATCTCTGTAAGTTCCAAAGAAGGAATAAAACCTGCAAATTTGATAGTGAGATGATTGGGCTAATTTGTAATGTAATTCATCAAAACACAGGAACTGGAGTTCAGCCCTTCAGGCACGGGGAGATGCTTAGGAAAAATTGCATGTTAATTTCCCCATTTGGGATTTCTTATATAGACTTCAAATTCTAATTCTACAAGTGCAACTAGAAAGTCAGAAAAACTACAGTCTTCTGTAAACTTTGCTTTTTGATTCAGCTAGGTTTTCATATGATATTGGAAGAAAACCTCCGTGAATAGGGGGTTAAACAGAAATGAAAAGGATTTAACATATCAGCACATAAATTTAATTAAGGGCTAAAACCCAACAGTATCACAGAAAGCTTAAATGAACAAGCTTCAGAGGGATTTGCCAAATTAATTTTGTCAATGCTACCAATTAATGCTGCATTTAGAGCTGAGAGCTGTGAGGAGAGATTTTTGCAAGGATAATTGTGGGATTTCCTTGACTCTTGTGTCATCTTGCCACCAAGATTGTGCTTGTGTCGATTGGTTTTGTTGAATGCATTTTTGTGGCAATGTCTCCCTGCTTATTTTACAGTAATTCTCAGTAGGCTGTGCAAGGACCATACAATACTTCAGTGATGCTGTACTCTCATTTAGGAAAATAGGATCCTGAACTGCCAATTAAATTTATGCTAACTGAATCAAAGAAGGGCTTTTCATAACTATTTTGGCAATCAACATAAATTGTTGATGAGGTAGTATGTGGAAAGCCCTGTGCTGGTGATAATGGTGGATACAAAATTGCATCATTTATAGATCCTGTCCTTATTGACTTACAGTTCGTATGTAGGATAAGACATACCCAAATGACTAGAATAGAAAGTATAAAATGAAAAGTATTGCAAAAGAATTGTGGATGGTTTGAGAAAGTCAGAGGGGATGAGAGGTTACTTGCACATGTGATGGAAATAAAGCTCTCTTCAGAGATGAGGAAAGAAATTCAAGAGAGCAGAAGGTGTGAACAAATTGTGATGTTAAAAATGTCAGAGTATAGATTGCAATGAGCAAGTCATTCAATTGGGCTGGAGTAGAGGAGTCATTAAGAAGAGTAGGCAGAAAAAAAGTTGGAAAAATAGGATATTGGCCATGTCATAGGAGCTTGAGAACGGTAGAGAAAAGGGGGTTGGCTCTATAATAGATAGTGAAGAGCTAATGAATGTTTTTGAGCAGGCAAGTAGTTTATTCAGAATTGTGAGCAGGAAGAATATACTGTAAAGTGGTTTAGGACTGGAGGATATTCTGAGGGAGAGAGACTTATAGGAGGCCTTTCTAATATCATAGTTGAAGGGTGATAAGGACTAAACGACAGAGGAAGGGTTAACAGAGATAAGAATTATTTAGAAATATATTGCAGAATTGAAATGTATAGAATTTAGCTAAAACTTGGGGATGGAGGATAAGAGAAAAAAGTGAGAGGCTTGATGTAGTTTGGATATGTGTCCCTACTCAAATCTCATGTTGAATTGTAATCCCCAGTAATGGAGGCAGGGCCTGGTGGGAGGTGATCAGATTACGGAGATGGATTTCTCATGAATGGTTTAGCTCCCATCCTCTTGGTGCTGCCCTCTTGATAGGGACTTCTTGGGAGATCTGGCTGTTTAAAACTACATGGCACATTGCTGTCTCTCTCTTGCGCCTGCTTTCACAATGTGAAGCACCTGCTGCCACTTTGCCTCCTGACATGAGTAAAAGCTCCCTGAGGCCTCCCCAGAAGCAGCTGCCACCATGCTTTCTGTACAGCCTGCAGAATCATGAGCCAATTAAATTTCTTTTCTTATAAATTACTCAGTCTCAGGCATTTCTTTATAGCAATGTGAGAATGGATTAATACAGAGGTGATACCAGAATTTTAAATCTTGATGCCCTGGAAGATGGCCACACTATTAGTAAAACTGGAGAAGTCAAGAGGAGGAGCTGGATGAAGGGAGAAGGGGGAAAATATACTGAGTGTGAAGGGCAGATGGGATATGTGGACAGCTTCAGGAAGCAACTGGAAATACACAGCTGAAATATAAAAGAGAGAACTTGGCCTGGATTTCAGGTTTGGAGGCCATGTCTCTAGAAGTGTCAACTGAAGACAGGGGATTGAATAGATTGTTCAAAGGAATAAGGTAGTTGAGAAAGAGAAGTGAAAATGTTAAGGGCAAAAACTTGGATCATATACATTTCAGGAGTGAAAGAAAGGAAAAAGAGAAATCATCAGAGTTCTGGGAGGAGACCCAGAGAACAATGTCTCATTGGAAGCCAAGGGAAAAGAAGACAAAGAGAAGGTAATCAACAGGAGAGAAAGAATGAGAGAATGAGGGAAAAGACTATTGAATCTTGGTGTTCATTCATTTAGGCTTCAAGTCCTCTGGATTTTTCATTCGAAAGATTTCCTTTTTGGTCTGAATTATTCTTTTTGCAAATTAGCTTTGCCCTAACCTAGACAGCTTGCTCTCAAATTTGTTCTAAGAGACACAGTTGTGTTAATACTGTATAAAGCCTCATTTTCAACTTCCTCAGTAATAAATAATAACTATATGTTAATGTTTCTTATGGGCAAGCAATGCACTAAGTTCTTTATATGCATTTTCTTATTTGATTCTCATAAATAGGTGTGTCACTTTATTCTGACATTTAACAGATAAGGAAACTGAGCACAAAGAGGCTAAGTAATTTTCTTTTTTCATTATTTTTATTTTTGTTTATTTTTATTTTCAAATGAATCTGTATCTTTATTCATGGTTCAAGCATTATTTCCACTTAATTAAAAATGAACACATCCCCTGGAACTTAAAATAAAAGTTGGAAAAAAATGAATGCATCTTTAATCTTTTATGGTTACAGATATGATGGAAAAATTGTTTCTGCCTCAAAACCCTACTTTATAAATAATTAATGAAATGTAGACATGGATAAACATCTCTAAAATTGCATTTCCCAGGGATATATCTATTTAACTCCTGATTCTTTTTTTTTGAAGTAAATTTTTTTATTAATTAAATTCACGTTACATTATCAGTAAAATAATTTTTTCCTTAAATGGAAGATTTCTATCATCAAAGTAATAGTTAAAATTATAAGATTCAAAAAAGATTTTATGGATTTAATTTTTTTATTATTTATTATTATTATTATACTTTAAGTTCTAGGGTGCATGTGCACAACGTGCAGGTTTGTTACATATGTATACATGTGCCATATTGGTGTGCTGCACCCATTAACTTGTCATTTACTTTAGGTATATCTCCTAATGCTATCCCTCCCCCCACCCCCACCGCACAACAGGCCCTGGTGTGTGATGTTCACCGTCCTGTGTCTTAAGTGTTCTCATTGTTCAATTCCCACCTATGAGTGAGAACATGTGGTGTTTGTTTTTTTGTCTTTGCGATAGTTTGCTCAGAATGATGTTTTCCAGTTTCATCCATGTCCCTAAAAAAGACATGAACTCATCCTTTTTTATGGCTGCATAGTATTTCCTGGTGTATATGTGCCACATTTTCTTAATCCAGTCTATCATTGATGGACATTTGGGTTGGTTCCAAGTCTTTGCTATTGTGAATAGTGCTGCAATAAACATACGTGTGCATGTGTCTTTATAGCAGCATGATTTATAATCCTTTGGGTATATACCCAGTAATGGGATGGCTGGGTCAAATGGTATTTCTAGTTCTAGATCCTTGAGGAATCACCACACTGTCTTCCACAATGGTTGAACTAGTTTACAGTCCTACCAACAGTGTAAAAGTGTTCCTATTTCTCCACATCCTCTCCAGCACCTGTTGTTTCCTGACTTTTTAATGATCACCATTCTAACTGGTGTGATATGATATCTCATTGTAGTTTTGATTTGCATTTCTCTGATGGCAAGTGATGATGAATATTTTTTCATGTGTCTTTTGACTGCACAAATGTCTTCTTTTGAGAAGTGTCTATTCATATCCTTCGCCCACTTTTTAATGGGGTTGTTTGATTTTTTCTTGTAACTTTGTTTAAGTTCTTTGTAGATTTTGGATATTAGCCCTTTGTCAGATGGGTAGATTGCAAAAATGTTCTCCCATTCTGTAGGTTGCCTGCTCATCCTGATGGTGGTTTCTTTTGCTGTGCAGAAGCTCTTTAGTTTAATTAGATCTCATTTGCCAATTCTGGCTTTTGTTGCCATTGCTTTTGGTGTTTTAGACATGAAGTCCTTGCCCATGCCTATGTCCCGAATGGTATTGCCTAGGTTTTCTTCTAGGGTTTTTATGGTTTTAGGTCTAACATTTAAGTCTTTAATCCATCTCGAATTAATTTTTATATAAGATGTAAGGAAGGGATCCAGTTTCAGCTTTCTACATATGGCTAGCCAGTTTTCCCAGCACCATTTATTAAATAGGGAATCCTTTCCCCATTTCTTGTTTTTGTCAGGTTTGTCAAAATCAGATGGTTGTAGATATGTGGTATTATTTCTGAGGGCTCTATTCTGTTCCATTGGTCTATATCTCTGTTTTGGTACCAGTACCATGCTGTTTTGGTTACTGTAGCCTTGTAGTATAGTTTGAAGTCAGGTAGTGTGATGCTTTCAGCTTTGTTCTTTTGGCTTAGGATTGTCTTGGCAATGCGGGCCCTTTTTTGGTTCCATATGAACTTTAAACTTTAAAAAACTTTAAAGTTTTTTCCAATTCTGTGAAGAAAGTCATTGGTAGCTTGATGGGGATGGCATTGAATCTATAAATTACCTTGGGCAGTATGGCCATTTTCACCATATTGATTTTTCCTCTCCATAAGCATGGAATGTTCTTCCATTTGTTTGTGTCCTCTTTTATTTCGTTGAGCAGTGATTTGTAGCTTTCCTTGAAGAGGTCCTTCACATCCCTTGTAAGTTGGATTTCTAGGTATTTTATTCTCTTTGAAGCAATTGTGAATGGGAGTTCACTCATGATTTTGCTCTCTGTCTGTTATTGGTGTATAGGGATGCTTGTGATTTTTGCACAGTGATTTTGTATCCTGGGACTTTGCTGAAGTTGCTTATCAGCTTAAGTAGATTTTGGGCTGAGAAGGTGGGGTTTTCTCTTTCTTTTTTTTTTTTTGAGACGGAGTCTGGCTCTGTCGCCCAGGCTGGAGTGCAGTGTCGCAATCTCGGCTCACTGCAAGCTCCGCCTCTCGGGTTCACGCCATTCTCCTGCCTCACCCTCCCGAGTAGCTCGGACTACAGTTGCCCGCCACCATGCCCGATGATGGGGTTTTCTAAATATACAATCATGTCATCTGCAAACAGGGACAATTTGACTTCCTCTTTTCCTAATTGAATACCCTTTATTTCTTTCTCCTGCCTGATTGCCCTGGCCAGAACTTCCAACACTATGTTGAATAGGAGTGGCGAGAGCGGGCATCCCTGTCTTGTGCCAGTTTTCAAAGGGAATGCTTCCAGTTTTTGCCTATTCAGTATGATATTGGCTGTGGGTTTATCATAAGTAGCTCTTATTATTTTTAGAGACATCCTGTCAATACATAGTTTATTGAGAGTTTTTAGCATGAAGCACTGTTGAATTTTGTCAAAGGCCTTTTCTGCATCTATTGAAATAATCATGTGGTTTTTTCATTGGTTCTGTTTATATGCTGGATTACGTTTATTGATTTGTGTATGTTGAAACAGCCTTGCATCCCAGGGATGAAGCCCACTTGATCATGGTGGAAAAGCTTTTTGATGTGCTGCTGGATTCGGTTTGCCATTATTTTGTTGAGGATTTTTGCATCGATGTTCATCGGGATATTGGTCTAAAATTCTCTTTTTTTGTTGTGTCTCTGCCAGGCTTTGGTATCAGGATGATGCTGGCCTCATAAAATGAGTTAAGGAGGATTCCGTGTTCTTCTATTGATTGGAATAGTTTCAGAAGGAATGGTACCAGCTCCTCCTTGTACCTCTGGTAGAATTCGGCTGTGAATCCATCTGGTCTTGGACTTTTTTTGGTTGGTAGGCTATTAATTATTGCCTCAATTTCAGAGCCTGTTATTGGTCTATTCAGAGATTCAACTTCTTCCTGGTTTAGTCTTGGGAGGGTGTATGTGTCCAGGAATTTATCCATTTCTTCTAGATTTTCTAGTTATTTGCATAGAGATGTTTATAGTATTCTCTGATGGTAGTTTGTATTTCTGTGAGATCAGTGGTGATAGCCCTTTATCTTGTTTTTTTGTGTGTTTATTTGATTCTTCTCGTCTTCTTTCTTAGTCTTGCTAGCGGTCTGTCAATTTTGTTGATCTTTTCAAAAAACCAGCTCCTGGATTCATTGATTTTTTGAAGGGTTTTTTGTGTCTCTGTCTCCTTCAGTTCTGCTCTGATCTTTGTTATTTCTTGCCTTCTGCTAGCTTTTGAATGTGTTTGCCCTTCTTCTCTAGTTCTTTTAATTGTGATGTTAGGGTGTTGATTTTAAATCTTTCCTGCTTTCTCTTGTGGGCATTTAGTGCTATAAGTTTCCTCTACACACTGCTTTAAATGTGTCCCAGAGATTGTGGTGTGTTGTGTCTTTGTTCTCATTGGTTTCAAAGAACATCTTTATTTCTGCCTTCATTTCATTATGTACCCAGTAGTCATTCAGGAGCAGGTTGTTCAGTTTCCATGTAGTTGAGTGGTTTTGAGTGAGTTTCTTAATCCTGAGTTCTAGTTTGATTGCACTGTGGTCTGAGAGACAGTTTGTTATAATTTCTGTTCTTTTACATTTGCTGAGGAGTGCTTTACTTCCAACTATGGGGTCAATTTTGGAATAAGTGTGGTGTGGTGCTGAGAAGAATGTATATTCTGTTGATTTGGGGTGGAGAGTTCTGTAGATGTCTGTTAGGTCTGCTTGGTACAGAGCTGAGTTCAATTCCTGGATATCCTTGTTAACTTTCTGTCTCAATCTGTCTAACGTTGACAGTGGGGTATTAAAGTCTCCCATTATTATTGTGTAGGAGTCTAAGTCTCTTTGTAGGTCTCTCAGGCCTTGCTTTATGAATCTGGGTGCTCCTGTGTTGGGTGCATATATATTTAGGATAGTTAGCTCTTCTTGTTGAATTGATCCCTTTACCATTATGTAATGGCCTTCTTTGTCTCTTCTGATCTTTGTTGGTTTAAAGTCTGTTTTATCAGAGACTAGGATTGCAACCCCTGCTTTTTTTTTGCTTTCCATTTTTGGTAGATCTTCCTCCATCCCTTTATTTTGGGCCTATGTGTTTCTCTGCATGTGAGATGGGTCTCCTCAATACAACACACTGATGGGTCTTGACTCTTTATCCAACTTGCCAGTCTGTGTCTTTTAATTGGAGCATTTTGTCCATTTACATTTAAAATTAATATTGTTATGTGTGAATTTGATCCTGTCATTACAATGTTAGCTGGTTATTTTGCTCTTTAGTTGACGCATTTTCTTCCTAGCCTCAATGGTCTTTACACTTTGGCATGTTTTTGCAGTGGCTGGTACCGGTTGTTCCTTTCCATGTTTAGTGCTTCCTTCAGGAGCTCTTTTAGGGCAGGCCTGGGTGGTGACAAAATCTCTCAGCATTTGCTTGTCTGTAAGGGATTTTATTTCTCTTTCACTTATGAAGCTTAGTTTGGCTGGATATGAAATTCTGGGTTTAAAATTCTTTTCTTGAAGAATGTTGAATATTGGCCCCCACTCTCTTCTGGCTTGTAGGGTTTCTGCCGAGAGATCCTCTGTTAGTCTGATGGGCTGCCCTTTGTGGATAACCCGACCTTTCTCTCTAGCTGCCCTTAAGATTTTTTCCTTCATTTCAACTTTGGTGAATCTGACAATTATGTGTCTTGGAGTTGCTCTTCTTTAGGAATATCTTTGTGGTGTTCTCTGTATTTCCTGAATTTCAATGTTGGCCTGCCTCCCTAGGTTGTGGAAGTTTTCCTGGATAATATCCTGAAGAATGTTTTCCAAGTTGGTTCCATTCTCCCCGTCACTTTCAGGTACACCAATCAGATGTAGATTTGGTCTTTTCACATAGTCCCATATTTCTTGGAGGCTTTTTTCATTTATTTTTACTATTTTTTCTCTAAACTTCTCTTCTTGCTTCATTTCATTCATTTGATCTTCAGTCACTGATACCCTGTCTTCTAGTTGATCGAATTGGCTACTGGAGCTTGTGCATGCATCATGTAGTTCTAATGTCATGGTTTTCAGCTCCATCAGGTCATTTAAGATCTTCTTTACGCTGTTTATTCTAGTTAGCCATTCGTCTAACCGTTTTTCAGGGTTTTTAGCTTCTTTGCAATGGGCTCAAACATCCTCCTTTAGCTTGGAGAAGTGTGTTATTACCGATGGTCTGAAGCCTACTTCTGTCAACTTGTCAAAGTCATTCTCCATCCAGCTTCGTTCTGTTGCTGGCGAGGAGCTGTGTTCCTTTGGAGGAGAAGAGGTCCTCTGATTTTTAGAATTTTTAGCTTTTCTGCTCTGGTTTCTCCCCATCTTTGTGGTTTTGTCTACCTTTGGTTTTTGATGATGGTGACGTGCAGATGGGGTTTTTGTGTGGATGTCCTTTCTGTTTGTTAGTTTTCCTTCTAAGAGTCAGAACCCTCAGCTGCAGGTCTGTTGGAGTTTGCTGGAGGTCCACTGCAGACACTGTTTGCCTGGGTATCACCAGCGGAGGCTGCAGAACAGCAAATATTGCAGAACAGCCAATGTTGCTGTCGGATCCTTCCTCTGGAAGCTTTGTCTCAGAGGGGCACCGGGCTATATGAGGTGTCAGTTGGCCCCTACTGGGAGGTGCCTCCCATTTAGGCTACTCGGGGGTCAGGGACCCACTTGAAGAGGCAGTTTGTCCTTTCTCAGATCTCAAACTCTGTGCTGGGAGAACCACTACTCTCTTCAAAGCTATCAGACAGGGACATTTAAGTCTGCAGAATTTTCTGCTGCCTTTTGTTCAGCTATGCCCTGCCCCCAGAGGTTGAGTCTATAGAGGCAGGCAGGCCTCCTTGAGCTGCGGTGGGCTCCACCCAGTTCGAGCTTCCTGGCTGCTTTGTTTACCTACTCAAGCCTCAGCAATGGTGGGCACCCCTCCCTCAGCCTGGCTGCCATCACCTTTCAGTTCCATCTCAGACTGCTGTGCTAGCAGTGAGCAAGGCTCCGTGGGTGTGGGACCCTCCAAGCCATGAGCGGGATATAATCTCCTGGTGTGCTCTTTGCTCAGTTGGAAATGTAGAAATCACTCGTCTTCTGTGTCACTCACGCTGGGAGCTGTAGACTGGAGCTCTTCCTATTCGGCCATCTTGGAACCTACAACCTATTATTTTTATTTTTTAATTTTATTTTTTTAAGAGCAGTTTTAGGTTTACAGTAAAATTGAGAGGAAGTACAGTGATTTTCCATACACTCCTGCCTGCACACATGCATAGCCTCCCACATGATCATCATCCATCACCAAAGAGTACATTTGTTGCAATTGATGAACCTACATTGTCACATCATAATCATTCAAAGTCCATATTTTACCTTAGAGTTCACTCTTAGTAGTGTACATTCTATAGGTTTGGACAAATGTATAGTGACAAATAGTCATCATTAAAGCATCATAAAGACTATTTTCACTGCCCTAAAAAGTCTCTGTGCTTCACCTACTCATCCCTTGGCTCCACCCCTGGATCATTTTACGATTGCCATAGTTTTGAGGCTAAGTGATTTTCCTAATATTTATAGACTCAGGAGGTACATGTGCAAGTTTGCTACATGGATATATTGTGTAATGGTGAAGTTTGGGCTTCCAGTGCACCCATCACCTGAAGAGTGAATATTGTACCCAATAGGTAATTTTTCAACCCTTACCCCCCTTCCTTTTTCTCCCCGCCAGCTTAGGTAATTTGTCCACGATCTGATAATTGATCAATGAACAAGTTTCTCCATCTCTTAGTCCTAACCCTTAACTACTAGTCTACATTATTTTCTTTGCTTGTGTGTATGCCTTTACACACATAAAAGTACCAAAAACCTGTAAAAAAAGTGTATTTGTGACATTGGTAGGCATAGTATTGTAGTTAAGATGTTTTGTAATAGAAGGTTAAGTTGCTTCCTTGATAATGTTTATATATATTTTCTTTCAATACAAATTTCTTTTTTAGCTCTTTCTTATTTTTTCTCATACATGTCATATGAATCAAATATTCATTTAATAATGAAAGTCAGATACATCATGTTTTTATAATACCAAAATCTGGAAATAGCCAAGAGAGTTTGGATTTAATATAACGCATGGAATATTAATGGAAAAAAATCAATTTTTTAAATCCTGATGTTTCAGAAATGTGACATCAGGTCCTCGTTCACAATTTATAAAGCTCAGAAATCTGGCACTTTGGGCTCACAGAAAAGATGAACCGAAACATTACTAGTAAGCTCAAAATATCCAAGGAAACGGCAAATGTGTATGCTATGAAGAACTCTAGAGAGAAAGAAGCAGCAAAATCATTTCTCATTTTTAGAAGCAATAAAATATTTTTAGAAAGACCACATTTTGATTGACTCTCTAGTTATAACTTTTATGACTAGAGAATTATTTGAATCATATGGTGATTTTTAAAAAATAAAGTTCTGCTTCCCTATCCCTGAAAAAATCAACATCCATCACCAAAGAGTACATTTGTTGCAAATGATGAACCTATGTTGTCACATCAAACTGGATGCTTATCAAACTGGTTGGTTACTTGGGCAAATACTCATATCCATCCAGAAACAGGTTACACAGAGTATGAATTATCTTGATCTCTCCTCCCCCTCTGCCTCTCTCTCTTCCTCGCTTTCACTCTTTTACCATGCTGATTTCTCTTTTCTTAACTTCAGTGATCCCCAAGAAGGTAATATAGAGTAATCTAGTTTTGGTAATCATTGCTCAAGTAGAGGGGATTTAAAAGTCTGTAATCTCTCTCCTCCTTAGCATAGCTGAATAAAAAATGAGCTGTTCTAATGCTTTGATAGCATTCATCTGTACCAAGCAGCCAATGTATCTGATACCACCTGCAATTCAGGTTTACACAATGTGAATTTTCACTTGATACAATTACACTTCTTTATTGCTTTGAAGATGGCATAGCAGACTTACCCACTTGATTGTTCAGGAAAGATGAAGATTGATGCTATAACTTTATCCCAGTCACTCATTGACAGCACATAAGAGTGACTATACAATGTCTGGTACTGTGAGTTCAAAGACATGGCTCCTATTTATAGTAGCTATGACCTCAGGTGTCCTGATCTTAAGTATAAAAACCCGTATGTATGTAATAATGTCTTATATTAACCAAACTTCTCTTTACTGTGTCTTGTATGCATTTGGCCTCAGAGTTGTATTTAGAGAGAAAACCTCCAAAACATGGAGATTTGGGAAAGGAGATGTGTGTGAATATTTGGGAAAGAAGTCTGTTTTGGAAGGCATTATTTTATTATTCTATCCAACCTTATTTTAAAAATACAGAAATAACCTCTAAGCTAGAACTGGGCTGTCTTAGTAAGCTTTTCATAAATACTGTTCAATTTTATTGAGCAGTCATAGAAGCTTAATTTGTACCTTAGTGTTTAGTGAAAACTGAATATTTAAAAGGTTAATCAAGTCATCTTTATATCCTCAATATCTAGCAACTATTTGTTCTTTGAATGAATGAAACTATGTGGTTCTCTAATATTAGAGACAGAACAAAGGAAAATGAACTTACATGGTTTTTTCTCCCCTTTGGGAGAAATATTTAACATGCTACAGAGAACCTATAGTTTTTAAAGATCCTCAGACCTTTAATAAAACCCTTTTTGCTTAGATTCAAGCAATTTTTATACTTTTGCTTTCATTAAAGCATATATTGAGCTTTGGAAACATATGAGAATTAAGTGGAATCACATAATATGAATTATGTTAGTTTTAGAAATATATTTTGTAACTGTCATGTTTTCTTTCATTCACCTCATTAATTTGAATTATTAAAATGTTATATTTATGTATATAACTTTCTTCTTACATATATGTAGTCTGTGCTCTTTATCTCACAAAGATCAATTGAGGATTTAAAAAATTTAAGTATCGCTGCTTGTAAGCAGTGAAACTATATTAATAGAAAAAACATCACAGAAAATAATTGGAAGATATAATTTAAATTAATTTATATAACCTAATTAAAAATAATTTTAAATAAATACCAGGTAAACTGTCTAGTAACAACTTCTCTTAGATAGGGATATGATTTTCCTGACATAACGGTGAGAACACAGTTGTCCTCAGACACTTAGACCAGAATTAAGGAAGTACTAGAGTACATGCCATGAAAGAAAGACTAGACTGAAGAACCTTTTGGGTGAATAATCCATTATGTCTTTCCCATCTGTTTTATGCTGTTCACATTCTCGCTATGTGAAGTTATTCAGCCACTGGAGGTCTCTGTTTCTCTGTATAATTTTAGCAAGATGCATGTTTATCATTATTTGTAAAGAGAACCATTCCCTTACAAAATCACTGATATTAAATAAGGGAAGCTAGTTAGCTACATTTCTGTTTTCAATAGCTAGAAACTGTATAAGCCTTCTATATGTTATAGTCACAGTTTCAGTTTATACAGGACAAAATTTGTGGCAATTATCTTGCGTGGGATTGGATGAATATCCACATTTCAGGATCTTCAAATAGCTTTGTCTTCAGTATTATTTCTATTTATGTGACAAAGCACCAACTATAATTGGTGAATTGATTTTGCCTTCTCTCAATTTTCTTATTTGGAAAATTTACATGTTTTTCTTTAAAATATAAAATAACCTGAATGTGTGTGTGTGTGTGTGTGTGTGTGTGTGTGTGTGCATATATACATATTTTTTTATTTTTTTTGTGAGATGGCATCTAAGATGCCATCATTCTAAGATACACCATTATTTTATGAATCAGTAAGATAAAAAAAAATTACCAAATTAAACCAGGACACAATATTTATTGTAATATGTATCTTGGTTTCTAGCTCTGTCACCCAGGTGGGAGTGCAGTGCCACAATATCACCTCACTACAGCCTTGACATCCTGGCCTCAGGTGATCCTTCTGCTTCTGCCTCCTGAGTAGCTGGGACCACAGGCACACACAATGAGCACAGGCAGTTAATTTTTAACTTATTTGTAGAGACAGGGTATCCCTATGTTGCCCAGGCCGGTCTTGAACTCCTGGACTCAAGTGATCCTCCCACCTTGGCCTCCCAAATTGCTGGGGTTATAGGTTTGAACCACTGCTCCCGGCTGTAAAATCCTTCTTCTAAAAGAAGGATTTCAAGGAATTAAGAGAATATTTGCCTACAAACTACCTTGAAATATATTTTAAGACTAATAAAAATTCAAGTTGGAACTATGTAAGGATTGAAATATTGAAAATGTTACAATTCCTGGAAGCAATGCCTCATAACCACAGATTTTAATGTTGAAAGTACATTTCTATGAAAAATTATTTACCGAAAACTTACATTATGTAAGGTAGTGTGCTGTTGAATGGGATATGCAGGCAATGAAGAGAAAGAGTGTTTTGAAGCAAGTTCTAGCAGACAGAGGTGAGGATAACACAAAAAATGTATTTAACAAAATACAGTACTATGGAGGCTCAAATATAAAAGAGATCACATCTGCTCCAATAACATCAGAAAAAAATTCTATGCATGCTGACATTGGGTGGGTGGGACTTTGATAGACAACTGTTTGGTCAGGGGTCAGGGCTGAGAAAATATGGGGTAATTTTGCAGAATAGCAGGTGGTATAGGTTGGTTGAAGGACAGAGTATATGACATGCAATGATGTGGTCAGGACTTTAAATTTCAGCCTGAGAATTAAGAATTTAATTTAAAGGGGTACAGGAAAAGATGAAATTCATACTTAATGAATTTATACTATAAGGCATTCCTATCTCTGGTACTTTTAAAATGATAACTCTTCTAAATATTACCACCATTTAATGGCCAATGATGCTTAGACAGAAGGAGATGAAGTTGTTTACATAAGGTGACAATTTTGCAAATTGATTAAGGAAAGAAGAGATATACACTTAATGTATATCACCAAATCTAAGATGCCATCATTCTAAGATACACCATTATTTTATGAATCAGTAAGATCGAAAAAATATTACCAAATTAAACCAGGACACAATATTTATTGTAATATGTATCTTGGTTTCAGAGATGGTAAAATATTTTTTAAAGGGTATCTTTAAATTGAGAAAATAAGCATACTTTTAAGAAACCAGGGGAAAGAAGAAAAGCTGGTCATTCCGGGTACCATACAAGAAGAGTAAACTATGAGCAAAGAGCTCCTAGTTATAATAAAAAGATGATAGTTTTGCAGGGTATCTTATAACTGTTGAATTGTTTTCACATACATTATTTCACTTGAGCCTCATAAAATCGCTGTTTCTATTATTATTTCCATTTGAAAACATAAAAAAGTAACTTGGTTATTATGTCTAGTGTGATCTAATTTTTAAGAAAATTTCAAATTGTATAATGCATACTATACAATACTATTTTTATTAGTAGAAATTATATACTAATTTACATATTATTTGTATAAAAATATAAGAAGATAGCAACTATAAGTAGAAGGATTGATCAGGGTGGGAAGTGGGGAGAGAGCAAGTGTTTCACTTTATATAATTTCATATTATTTGAGAGTTTTGCAGTAAGCGTGTATTTAAAATCCAATACAAATTTTTCAAAATGAGAGAAAAAACAAGGAAGATCTGCAGCGCAGAGAATGTCTGTGATTTTATGAAGGTCACACTGGTAGTAGTAGGTGGGAGAGTAGAGAAACACTGGAGCCTAAAGAACCACGCTCCTTACTGTTCTGTGGATATTGGTGGAGGCCAACAACCACTTATTTATTCAACAAAACAGGAAAGGAGGCTGGAAGGCAATTTTACTGGAAATCTATCCTTGAAAGAGAATTAATCATTGGGGGAATTATGCTAAATAATCTGCTTGCTTCTTCAAGTAGCCATTTTAATGCAGCTGAAATAAATAAGGATGTAAAAGGCAGTTTCAAAGGAGAAAGTCATTATACAGGGATCCATGTGAAGATGTGTATGGTTCAGGGTATTGAAAAAAGAGAAACTGGTCTACCTACATAGCCCAGTTTATAGCAACGAATGTTCATTGACCAAGTATGTATAAAAGCTGAAAGAAAGCAGGACCCATTTTGGGCAGTCTTAAGAAGGTATCCTCTTCAAAAGAAACACCACTAGATGTGCCAAAAGTCTTGGAAAAGCTATTTAAATGTGTACTGAAGTCTTGTGAAGAAATTTTAAAGGTGAATTCCATTTACCACACACAGGAAAGTATCTTAAAATACTTTTTCTTTCCATCTCACAATAGCTCAAACATTACTGTTTCACCCATGATACTTTCTCAAAATTCCCTAGAATTCACTCTCCAAACGCAGTTCACACTGCTCTTCCCATTCTTTTCATCGCCTTTCCGTCATTCTGGTTTAGTTATTTTCTCCTACTAGAGTGGTTAGCCACAACACACCAAAAAGGCTAGGCAAGCATATAATGAACCCTCCTTGGAAGAGAACCCTCCTTGGAAAGAGGCTCTGTGAACATGTATATAATCGGAATATAACTGAGTCCCATGTGACCCAGGGTCTGCGTTGTATCACTGTCAAAGAAACAGCAGTCTGACGCTAGAAGCCAAGACAAATAGTGTTGATCTTTAAGTGTTTTGAAAGAGAATAGTGCAGAGGTTTCACACAGCACTTTATGTATAAAGCTTCTTAAAAACTATTTCTACATCTCTCTTTGTCCCCAAAGTATCCAATTTAAAGGCAAAGGTTAGGAATCTCCAAGTAGGGGAATTTATTAGATCACCACTAGGGGGAGTGTGACAGTAGTTTGTGATATCCTGATAAAGGATTCATTCACGGCATTTCATTCGATCAATCAGCAAGTGTGTGACAAGCCACAGCTACAGGCCGGACACTGTGATAGGAACTAGGGACACCATAATGAATATGACACTTAGAGTCTGTCAGAAAATATACCTCAAGCCTTAAAATTGTATGAGTGTTATACTAATATCTTGCATAGCTAGCTCTGTGCTGGGTATTGTGCTAAAAGCTGTACATTTAATCTTCATTTAATCGTATAATATTTTCAAGAAAACAGCGTGATAAATACGACTATTAGCTCCATTCAACAAATAAAGAAAATTGGTGTTACTCAAGAACTTACCCAAAGTCACATGTTCAGTAAAAGCTGGAGCCAGGATTTAAAACAAAGTTTACCTAACTTCTGACCTGAAGTTCTTAGCCAATGTTAAAGTACTCTTGCTTTCTAGGAGGGAGGGAACAAAAAATGGTGCCATCGTGGAAATGAATAGAAAAGATTCTGCCCCCTCATTTCAAAAGTTGGGGGGCCTGCCAGCAGCCGAACTCAGGGAAACAAAAAGACAGAATATCCAGAGGAAAACCTCTTTGGAATGAGGTCCTGGTGGAGGCTACAAAACATAGCTTGGCTCATAGTGTGCAAAGCAAGGTATGGGGAATGGACCTTTAGTGAGGGGAGGCCAATTCTGCAAAGAGACTGTGTGGTCACCGTATGAATGGACTCTTAAAAGATTGGCATTGGTAGGAATCTCAATTTCTCTCAGGGATGCAACAAACATGAAAACGCGTATAATCAACAGCATCAGCTCTGACTTCAAAGCAGGTTTGGGATAGAGCTGCAACTCATTAGCTGTGGGGTGGGGCTTTGGGTAAATCCTTAACTTTTCTGCTCCCCAGTTTACTTATGCATAAGTAATTTGATGTTTAAAATGAGTAAGTAAGTGGTAATTGTTAAGATTATATTGTATATAAAAATTGCTTAGTCCAGTAACAGGTATGGAATATACCTGCAACAAATGATAGGTGTTACTATTGCAGGCTGTTTGCAGATTAAATGCTTCCCTTGTTGTTTTCTATGGACCAAATTTCTTTCTAGTGTTTTGAGAATTTAAACAAATAGATCTTGTTGGACTACTCAATATGCAATGTGTTTTTGGCATTCCAGATGGAGCATTACTAATTTTAATTCTTTTAATCTATTCCTTTAGTTACCATTTATGGCATTTACTACATCATACAGCACGCTAAGGAGTTTATATATATCATGGCATTTCATTCTCACAGCAAATCTACAAGGCGAGCACTATTATTAATCCTGTTTTAGAGATAAGGCTTCTTAGGCATGTGACTTGCTGAAGGCCACATACGGGTAGATCTTGGTGCCAGGTTTTGAGTTCATTTCTGCTACCTATGCTTAAACAGAGATATTTTCAAGAAGGTGACTAGTAGTCTCTCAGGTGGGGCAGTGGGGCAATCAGAGCTTCCTTTCTCTGTACACATGAGGCCTCCTTCTTGGCCCACCTTGCTTATAAGCTTTACCTTGATGCATGTCTAAGTCATCATGGAGAGCAAGATCACCTACATGGAGGAGAGGGGAGGGGGAGGTAGGACCAGTCGAGGAGGGCTTATGCTCCCACTCTGGAGGTGGCATCTAGGACTGTGATCCATGAGCTACTTTTGTAAATGGGGTTGAGTTAATGAGGCTCACCACTGCTGACAGGAATGGGCATGGGGACCGTGGTTTAGCTGTGGAATAGCTGTTGCTGGGACTACCTCCAGCTCTGGGCTGGGCCTTTTAGTATGTGTGATGTATTTCACATCCAGTGGCTCATCTGAAATCCTTTAAAATGCCCATGGGTCTCTGAGCTCTAGAGGTGAAGTATTATGAAAGGATGAATGTCCAGGGAGTGGCAAAGCTTGAGGAAATTCAAAGCTTTCCATGTAGTGAGAGCATGCAGCCACTCAGGCTCCATTTCTTCTTGGAAAGTTTTCTTTCTTTTTTCTTTTGGATATTCTATCTGACTGGGATTATCACATTTTGATTTTCTTGGAATGGCTCAGAGCTCAGAACTGTGGAAAATGGAAAGCTAGTGTGAATGTTCTTTCCTTTCTCAGGGATTTGGAGTCTTATTACTGTATGGTTTCAGCTTTCCATGATTTGTTATTTAATGTCGTGGTCTAAAGAAAGTGTAACACTATCATTTTGCTTTCCTGGGATTTCTGTCAGAGCTGTCATTGTTGATAATTTATAACCTATTCTATTTTCAAAAAAACATTTGAAGTAGTTTTCAATATGAAATAAATATAATACAGTACAATTATAAACATTCACATGTAGATCCAATATTTTAATTAAAAGGTGATAGCTAGATGTAGTCATTATATGGGATTAGTAAACTATTACAAGTGAAATTTAAATTTAGTTATGAGCTTCTTGGAAAACATGGTAAGGTCAACCTGATGGAGTTTACAGTTTTTCTGAACTGAGAAAAAAAGAAAGTAGAGTAAGACCTTCATATCCACTGGTTCTGCATCCGTGGATTCAACCAAATGCAGATCAAAAATATTTGGAAATCAAAGATTGTGTCTGTAGTCTGTATTAAACATGTGCATACTTTTTCTGGGTCAGTATTTCCAAAACAAAACAGTATGACAATGATTTATATAGCATTTACATCATATTAGGTATTATAGATACTCTAGAGATGATTTAAAATATATGGGAGAATGTGCAATGGTTATATCCAAACATTATACCATTTTTTATCAGGCACATAAGCATCCATGGATTTTGGTGTCCATGAGATGTCCTAGAACCAATCCCCAATGGATATTGAGAGATGAATGTATACAAGTTGTTCTTGTAGGGAGAGAATTCTTCCTGGAACAGTATTCTAGTTGAAGAAATGTGTAAGTTTTTGTATTATAGAAATATATGAGGGTATAGGTATAAATTTCTCCTTATATACATAAATAGATATATGTGTGCAGGTACACAAATGAAATATATACATATTTGCCCTGGTGTGTGTATGCATACAGACATGCATTCATATTTATTGTGTTGGGCAGACTAATGGCCACCCCCAGATGTCTACATCCTATTCCCTGGAATTTATTAATGGGTTAGGTTAGGGGAATTATTTTGCATATTAAGGTTGCTAGCAACTTAAATCTAGAATAGAGAGATTATCCTGGGTTTTTTGGGTTGGCCCAGTGCAATCACAAGAGTTCTTAGAAGAGAGAAGCAGAAGAGGTCAGAGTCATACAATATGAGAAGGACTCAACCTGCTGCCTTTGAAGGTGGAGAAAGAAGACCAGAAGCCAAAGGATGAGGGACATCTCCAGTAACTGGAAAAGGCAAGAAGACAGATTATCTCTTAGAGTCTCTGGAAAGGAACTCAGTCTTGCTGACACCTTGATTCTAGCCTCATGAGATCCCATGTCAGACTTCTGACCTACAAAGCTGTAAGATAAATCTGGGTTAAGCCACTAAGTTGTGGTAATTTGTTACAGCAGCAATAGAAAATGAATACACACAGATGTATATCTATATATACGTATAGAGGACAGAAAAAGAGGAAAAAGAAATCAGTAAAGATATTTCTATAAGGAGTTAAGATAATGCCGTTAGTCTAGGTACCTTTACTGCAAAGATACAAGTTACTTCTCATGTGTAAATACAATTATACAATAGTATACAATTGTGAAAAATTACAGCAACTTATGGTTTCTTGGATAGCCAATCGAGTTTTAAAATTTAGTTCACATTAAAGTAGAATTCTTGACTTCCTCAAAGCTTGTTACTACCAATAATGTGCTGGAGCCAATTTCTACCAGGTCCCGAAAGCCAACTGGTGACCATTTCTCATTCAGTGACATTATGTATGCAGATGGAATTAGGCAATGGTGGGAGTATTTATACCCTTGATATGCCAAACACTACAAATCAGGGATTTTTTCCTCTTGAGAGTTGGTTGTTAAACATTTACTAGCAGATCATTGCTTTAATAGGTTTACTCATTTCAGTAAGTGGTATGACTGTCCACCTAGGTGCCAAAAATCTAGAAGATGTCTTTGATTTCTCTTTCCTTCATGGCATAATCTAATTAATTGGCTAGTCCTGCCACATCTATTTTGAAATTATCCCCACTTTTAAAAACCTACACAGTTACCACTCTAATCTAAGCTATCAGTATGTCTTGCCTGGACCATTGCAATGTAATGGACCTTCTGGATTCTACTGTTCTCCCTTTCCATCTTTTTATATATCACATTATATCACTTCACTGCTTAAAACCTTCCACTATTCTTAGAATAAAACATAAGCTCCTTAACTCCAGTCTACAATCCCTCCCTTCCTTGCCTCAGTTCAACTCTCCAGTTTCATCCTGACTTCTCTTCATGAGCTCCCTGTGTTCTGACCTCATTGATCTCTCTGTTCCTAAATTCACCAACCTCATTTCTGTCCTAAGGCTTTTGCCATAGCAGTTTCCTTTGCTGTGAGTGTCCCTCTGCCTCCCCCAAGATCTGTGCATGGATGCCTCTTCCTTTTCAATCAGGACTTAGCTTAAATGTCTCCACTTCAGTGAGTCCTTTCCTGGACCAACCAATCTAACATAGTCTATAACATTCCTATACGACCCCGTATCATTTTCATCTTAGTATTTGTTCTAATCTATTATTTGCTTATTCATTTATGATGGCTGGCACACGGTAGTCTCCTAAGAATTGCTTGTTGAAAGAACAAATTAAATTAGAAGGCATTTAGAGTGTTATAAAACAGTGTCTATACTTCTATGAAAAAGTATGTCAGATGAAGAAAGGACAGTTTCTTTCCTGTCTGAGACATAGTGGCAGGGGTTGGCAGGTAAAACCTTGTTAATGTTGACCTGGGATAAGAAAGTGAAAATGGCTGAAGTAGCAGAAATGTAAGTCAGAAGGTCAAACAACCAAATGAGCTTGGGTAAGATATTGCAGTCTCAGTAAAAGGTGTCTAAGTGTCAGATATCTGGATGGAGATGGTGACTAAGAAATGCTGAACTGTAAGCAAGAAAAATATGAAGGCAGAGTCAGGTCTGTCCTGGGTCTTGAATTAAAAGGCAGGGGAGCTAGCAATGGTGCTCAGATATCCTCCCCAATTCTATAAGGTGGTGCTTCCTTTTCCTGAACTCTTTCTGAAGCCCTCCTCCAGGCCTGACTTTGCCCATCCTAAAGGCCTAACTTACTTTCAGATACCACACTGAGTTTCCTCCTTGGAGATGTTCCAGGAGAGAGAAATACTACACTGCTAGAGCTCATGGTTTTTCCCATAATAGAGAGATGGTTGCGTTCATTCATTGCTTTTCATGCTCTCTAGGCATAAAAAGGGAAACTTGTTTTTCATTGTTACATTGATGATTTTCTTTTTTTTTATTATTACTATTATTATTATTTTTATTTATTTTTTTTAATTATACTTTAAGTTTTAGGGTACATGTGCACATTGTGCAGGTTAGTTACATATGTATACATGTGCCATGCTGGTGCGCTGCACCCACTAACTCGTCATCTAGCATTAGGTATATCTCCCAATGCTATCCCTCCCCCCTCCCCGCTCCCCACCACAGTCCCCAGAGTGAGATATTCCCCTTCCTGTGTCCATGTGTTCTCATTGTTCAATTCCCACCTATGAGTGAGAATATGCGGTGTTTGGTTTTTTGTTCTTGCGATAGTTTACTGAGAATGATGGTTTCCAATTTCATCCATGTCCCTACAAAGGACATGAACTCATCATTTTTTATGGCTGCATAGTATTCCATGGTGTATATGTGCCACATTTTCTTAATCCAGTCTATCATTGTTGGACATTTGGGTTGGTTCCAAGTCTTTGCTATTGTGAATAACGCTGCAATAAACATACGTGTGCATGTGTCTTTATAGCAGCATGATTTATAGACATTTGGGTATATACCCAGTAATGGGATGGCTGGGTCAAATGGTATTTCTAGTTCTAGATCCCTGAGGAATCGCCACACTGACTTCCACAACGGTTGAACGAGTTTACAGTCCCACCAACAGTGTAAAAGTGTTCCTATTTCTCCACATCCTCTCCAGCACCTGTTGTTTCCTGACTTTTTAATGATCGCCATTCTAACTGGTGTGATATGATATATCATAGTGGTTTTGATTTGCATTTCTCTGATGGCCAGTGATGGTGAGCATTTTTTCATGTGTTTTTTGGCTGCATAAATGTCTTCTTTTGAGAAGTGTCTGTTCATGTCCCTCGCCCACTTTTTGATGGGGTTGTTTGTTTTTTCTTGTAAATTTGTTTGAGTTCATTGTAGATTCTGGATATTAGCCCTTTGTCAGATGAGTAGGTTGCGAAAATGTTCTCCCATGTTGTAGGTTGCCTGTTCACTCTGATGGTAGTTTCTTTTGCTGTGCAGAAGCTCTTTAGTTTAATTAGATCCCATTTGTCAATTTTGGCTTTGGTTGCCATTGCTTTTGGTGTTTTGGACATGAAGTCCTTGCCCACGCCTATGTCCTGAATGGTAATGCCTAGGTTTTCTTCTAGGGTTTTTATGGTTTTAGGTCTAACGTTTAAATCTTTAATCCATCTTGAATTGATTTTTGTATAAGGTGTAAGGAAGGGATCGAGTTTCAGCTTTCTACATATGGCTAGCCAGTTTTCCCAGCACCATTTATTAAATAGGGAATCCTTTCCCCATTGCTTGTTTTTCTCAGGTTTGTCAAAGATCAGATAGTTGTAGGTATGCGGCGTTATTTCTGAGGGCTCTGTTCTGTTCCATTGATCTATATCTCTGTTTTGGTACCAGTACCATGCTGTTTTGGTTACTGTAGCCTTGTAGTATAGTTTGAAGTCAGGTAGTGTGATGCCTCCAGCTTTGTTCTTTTGGCTTAGGATTGACTTGGCGATGCAGGCTCTTTTTTGGTTCCATATGAACTTTAAAGTATTTTTTTCCAATTCTGTGAAGAAA
Organism: Homo sapiens; assembly: GCF_000001405.40. NCBI lineage: Eukaryota > Metazoa > Chordata > Mammalia > Primates > Hominidae > Homo > Homo sapiens. The sequence goes on from NC_000006.12 coordinate 74,098,554, forward strand.
GTCATTGGTAGCTTGATGGGGATGGCATTGAATCTGTAAATTACCTTGGGCAGTATGGCCATTTTCACGATATTGATTCTTCCTATCCATGAGCATGGAATGTTCTTCCATTTGTTTGTATCCTCTTTTATTTCCTTGAGCAGTGGTTTGTAGTTCTCCTTGAAGAGGTCCTTCACATCCCTTGTAAGTTGGATTCCTAGGTATTTTATTCTCTTTGAAGCAATTGTGAATGGGAGTTCACTCATGATTTGGCTCTCTGTTTGTCTGTTGTTGGTGTATAGGAATGCTTGTGATTTTTGTACAGTGATTTTGTATCCTAAGACTTTGCTGAAGTTGCTTATCAGCTTAAGGAGATTTGGGGCTGAGACGATGGGGTTTTCTAGATAAACAATCACGTCATCTGCAAACAGGGACAATTTGACTTCCTCTTTTCCTAATTGAATACCCTTTATTTCCTTCTCCTGCCTGATTGCCCTGGCCAGAACTTCCAACACTATGTTGGAAGAGGGCATCCCTGTCTTGTGCCAGTTTTCAAAGGGAATGCTTCCAGTTTTTGCCCATTCAGTATGATATTGGCTGTGGGTTTGTCATAGATAGCTCTTATTATTTTGAAATACGTCCCATCAATACCTAATTTATTGAGAGTTTTTAGCATGAAGGGTTGTTGAATTTTGTCAAAGGCTTTTTCTGCATCTATTGAGATAATCATGTGGTTTTTGTCTTTGGCTCTGTTTATATGCTGGATTACATTTATTGATTTGCGTATATTGAACCAGCCTTGCATCCCAGGGATGAAGCCCACTTGATCATGGTGGATAAGCTTTTTGATGTGCTGCTGGATTCAGTTTGCCAGTATTTTATTGAGGATTTTTGCATCAATGTTCATCAAGGATATTGGTTTAAAATTCTCTTTTTTGGTTGTGTCTCTGCCCGGCTTTGGTATCAGAATGATGCTGGCCTCATAAAATGAGTTAGGGAGGATTCCCTCTTTTTCTATTGATTGGAATAGTTTCAGAAGGAATGGTACCAGTTCCTCCTTGTACCTCTGGTAGAATTCGGTTGTGAATCCATCTGGTCCTGGACTCTTTTTGGTTGGTAAACTATTGATTATTGCCACAATTTCAGCTCCTGTTATTGGTCTATTCAGAGATTTAACTTCTTCCTGGTTTAGTCTTGGGAGAGTGTATGTGTCGAGGAATTTATCCATTTCTTCTAGATTTTCTAGTTTATTTGCGTAGAGGTGTTTGTAGTATTCTCTGATGGTAGTTTGTATTTCTGTGGGATGATTTTCTTTAACAGAACTTTCTAAGAATTACTACTCTTACCATCATAGATTCTTATCGTAGAAAGAGTCTTGATTAATTATTTATTACTTTCTAAGAATTATTATTCTTACCATCATAGATTTTTATTATAGAAAGGACCTTGATTAATTATTTCAACTGGCTTCTTATTTTACAAAGAGATTTGTCTTTTGATCTGCTTCAGGTCACAAAGATAGTGGCAGACTCTAGACAACAATCTCTATTTCCTGGCTTCACAACTAGTTAATTTGAAGTGGAGACAGGCATTAAATTGTCATAGGCAAAGTTAGAGAAAAATAAATAAATAAGTTACTATCAAGATAAGGGATTTATTAAACTATAGCGAAGCCCTCCCGATGTCTTATAGAGTGGGCTCAGCTTAGTCTCTTCTTATCCTTCCAACCTGAAAAGGCTGGAAGGAAATGACATGATAATGGAAATCAAAATGACATTCTGAATGCTGGTCAGGGGCCTGGGAAGATTCTGAGGGAGTTGGGATGAAGTATAGATTAGACTATGTTAGATATAATTATTCATTATAGCATATACTATTATTTTCTAATTCTTTGAAAATTTGTAATACTTGGCTACTGCGTTTAGCCAGAGGCACTCATTTCTTGACTACTTCAGATAAAGAGACTTTGACTGTGAACGATTTTGATAGTATTATACAATTCTTACTTGTAGGCTCTTCCTCTGTAACATAAATATTTCAGTTTATTCTTATTTCTTCTTGAAGAGAATTGGTTTATCACGTACCTGGCTTATAGTAGATATAGTAGTCATGAGAGAGGAAAAAAACTGTGCATATAAAACAACTATAACAGAAAGACATAGATGATGATAGTAATATGATATTGTTAATTATCTTCAGAACTCTGAGTTAAATCTCAAAGTGTTGGGTCAAAATATCCCATTTTCTTCAGCCTTTCTCTTCCAAGTTTTCCTTTTTAATCCTTTAATTGCCTTTTGATAATCCCTGTTTAATAAAGTCCTGTATGTTCTTTATTAATTTGGTGGGTGTAGGATATGATAGTGTTCTAAGTCCTATAAATTGCTGAGATTGGCAATTTAATAAGATTTTTTGAAAGTTATTAAAGTCATTGAATTTCTATAATGCACAAGGCACTGTGAGAGATGGGCTCTGTCTTCCAGCTTACATTCCAGTCATTGTTTTCATAGCATGTTTGGAGCCTTGTTTAATAAATGGAAAGAGAAAGACCATGTTTTGTTTCCTATGCCAATGCTCCCTAAAGCTAGCAATGCCCCATGAAAAAGAGGAAATGCCATGATAATGGAAATAGAAAATTGGGCATTTTTCCACATTAGGAGGGAGGATAATTCAGGTCCCATTAGAAGCTGAATCATTGTTTTGGTTGTTTGAATAGCATATAAGTTGAATTATAGCAGATGAGAAAAATCCTCTCAAGATAGGAAAAAGAAAATATGTCTTCTTAAACATAACTTTTGGCATATTAAAAATGCAGAGTGCTTTGACAGTTTCATATCTCAATTTAAAAAATAATTTTGTATGTGGGTAATTATGGGAGATAAAGCAGAGGTTAGATGATGCCAACAGTTATTTTCTTTGGCTTTGGGTGATACAAGCCAAGGGTGCAGACTACTCATATGTATTATAAATAAATGGCATTAAAATCCTGGGTAGGTGAGGACAAATGGAGGTAATTATTTACCTGTAGAAGCCAGTGCAAAACTGTTGGTAGCTATCTATATGTTTTCTGCTTGGTGGCTTCCTCTCCCAAGACCTGAATTTTAGGTGAAGTGTTGGGGCCAGAAGATCATTTCAATCACTAACACTCAGTACTTTGGGAGCTCACTAATTTATATAATAAACATTTTTAGAATGCACATTACATTTCAAGGCATTGGACTGGAATATAACACTAGACATGTCAGAGAAAGTCCCTGCCCTCATGAAACTTACAGTGTAGTGGAGAGGAAGATATTGCACAAGTGATTATGAATGTGATGGGTGGTATAAGAAAATTGAAGGTGTTCTAGAATCACATAGCCAGCTAACCTCATCCAGTCTGGTAAGAGATAATAATTTATGTAAGCAAGCGACATTCAAATTGAGATGCAAAGGATTAGTGTGAGTTAATAAATGAAGTCCAGTGTCTATTTGCATACGAGAGAGATGGAAAGATATAGTGCTATATCTGGAAGGCAAAAATGAGTTAGAAAAATTTCAAGCAGAAAATGCCTCATGTGAGGGAACCTAGATGTGGCTGGAGTGCAGTGAGTAGAGGCGTGAGTTGGGACATGAAGCCGGGTAGACTGGCATGAACCTGATCATTCAGGGTTGTGTCAGACTTCTATGCCTTGTCATGAGGGTAACCGGGGCGCTGAAGGATAGGATTTTATTTGGTGAGAAAAGATCCCCTGGCTTCAGTGAGGCAAGGATGGAAATGACTGCATCGGTCAATGGCCTGTTGTAGAAATCTAAGCGAGGGGGCCGTCTCAAATTTTCAGTTATTAACTCCCTGTTGGCCATCTTTGGGGATGACTGTTTCATTTGCCCTCTCCTTTTTCATTTCGGCTCTCCTTATAAACTCTTTCTTTCCCAAGTCTTTTCCATCTCCAATCTGTTTTGTAAACTACGGGCCGATTAATCATCTTAGAACACCTAAAACATGTGTATATCTCCTTCCCATTTACAAAGCCTCCCGGAAGCCTCCCTGGTGTACCCAACTCCACGCGTGCGCAGTTACCATTTCTACTTCTGGACGCTCTAGCCCTCCTGGATCCTGTTTGGTCTCTCCCTTGTCACCAAGTGCACCATAGACACTGCTTCCACGGCCTGAACTATCTTTCCATTTGCCTGTATCACACTGAAGCTGAAGAAGTCCCAACTCCCCTGCGAAGCCTTCTCAGATTTTATGTTCTTTCTTAATGTACTCACTCCAGAGAACCCATTGGAACCAATTGTTTAACAACTGCTACATTCTACTGTAAGTCATTGTTTCAAGTATATTTCTTGCTCAACAGTTGTATTGATGGCTTCTTTTACAAACAAAATATACAATAAATGATGAGGAATATTGCTGTTATCAAAAGTAACATTTTAGAATAATGACAAATATTATCCACTTAAATAATTTATGGCTTCCGATTGCTTTATCGTTTTTGGTTAAAGCTGATGGCGTTTTTTTCCTAAAATTATAATTTTAAAATAATTTTACTTTTAAGTGCATTACATAATTAGGGTGGTGCAAAATTGCAGTTTTTTTCATTACTTTTAATGTATATTAACTGCAATTACTTTTGTACCAACCTATACTTAGTTAATGACATACTTTTATTTGAAGAGTAAGTCCCTTAAAAAAATACAAAGATGTTACATATATTGCTTTAGTGCTAGTGAATACTTCTTTTTTTCATATTTTGGAAAGGAGAGTTTACGGTTAATGGAGATGTTTCATGGAAATATTTAAAACTAGTCGTGTTTACATATGAATTAAATTCCTTTTCCCTTCAGTATAAACATTTTTGCAGAACAGAATATTCTGTGCTGGGAAATTCCTTTCTGTTTTACCTATACTGTGTTGAACTTAGGCAAGCACATAGCATATGCTATATTAAATCAGAATAGACCTACTTATTTTGATTAATAATGACTTTTTGAGCCATCTAGTATTTCTTCATTGAAGAATAACAAGGTTACTGTGGTACTTTATTTTTTAGCTCTAAATAGAACTATATTCAACTAAGGGCAAGCAGATTTATTTTCTTTGACTCAGCAAATATTTATTGAGTGATAACAGGATGTCACACATTGTATTAATTTCTGGAGAATCTCTGACTTCATTGAGCATTATCTAGAAGGAAATTAAGGAAAGAAAGTCAGCAGTTACAGCACACAACACACACATATTTTGATAAAGTGGGATAGGAAAACTGTAATATTCTCTGGAGCATTCCTAAGCCAGGCATCAGGGAAGACTTCTAGAAGAAGATGACCTTCACTCAGGTGCTATCATAGCAGGCAACAGGTATTAAGGTCCTATGGTGATAGAACAGTCCTGGATTTCAGGATGGAAGAGGTGGGGGCATAAATGAAATGAAAGGCAAGATTGAAGTAATGTATGTCCAAGAATTCTGAGTTGGAGCCATGTTGGAGAACTTTGCAACCTTGAAGAGAAAGTCTTCCCCAGTGAAGCTGCTTTTTCATTTTTATTCTTTTTATGTTAAAAAGACTTTAAAGGAAGAAGTTACCTTCATGTTAAACAGCCAAGATTTTTAGAATGTAGAGCTTATTTATTCTTTACATCAGTAAAATTAAAGATTTTGTCCCTTTTCCAGCCTCTTAGAGATTTCTTAAGCACAGAGACACGAGCTCCAATTACATTGAGTTACTGAGTCAAGTTGCTGGAAAGGAACACTTCTGCAGCAAGACTGTATCCCCGAAAGGATATTTGTCGTCTGTAGACTGGAACCTTACAGCTCTGGAAATATCACTTATATGGGGCTCAGAATTATTTATTAAGAAAAGAATTTATTAAGAAAAGGAATGTGATGTCCTGAGAAGAAGAAGTAATGAATATCACAGTGCCCACAGAATCTCGTTAGCTGTTTTAATAAAAAGATTTTTTCAAGTTAATTATTGGTAATCATGATTACAATTAGATATTTTCCCTACTACTTTTCACCATTAGTGACTTGAATCCCTTTTAATTGAATTTCATAAATGATATGAATAGAGGCAGAGGACAAAGAAGGTGGATCTGAACTGTCACCAGAAGCTGTGCCTTATTTCTTGCCGTATTGGCCACAATTTGAAGAATACCAGTTTGATTCAAGGAGCTCTTTGGCCGGTTCCAAAGGACAATCTAGTTCAATTCGTATGGTGAGATGGAGAAACTGAGACTAGTTCCAAACTTCCTACTAGTGGCTTAGAATATAGAATGCTTATTATAAAAAAGCAGACTCAGAGACAAAGAAAAGAAAAGAATACAGAATGCTTATTTTAGGAAAAAATATCTGCCAAGTTTTCTTCTTTATGTTGATGTAGATTTAAGCTTTAGCTTTTGAATATACATTTGAAGTGACTGTTCATATGGAATACCATCCAGTAGAAGAATAAAGTATTTCCAGATGCTGTTCCTTTGTAACCAAATGTTAGATTTGGCAGAAATCAGAGGAATTTTGCCACCTGACATTGCAGCTCCCTGGAATGACTGCCTGCCCTGCCACTGTGGCAAACGAAGCAGATCGCAGGTGTTCCCTTCCCTGCAGCCTTTTCTCTCCATCTGCCATCCCAAAGACTACTGAGTATTATGATTGGGAAGTGAGAGTCTTTCCTATCTTTGGGTGGTCGTAATGTCTTCTTCCTTCACTGTTAAAGGAATATATCTTCATGAAGTGAAAAGGTCTTGTGAGAGCTGCGCAGTTTGATTCTAGGCAAGGAAATCTATCGGACTTAATAACCCTCTTTCCTTTCAGAAGCACTATCCCCTAGGGCCATGCAATTTGAGGTTAAAATTAGGGCAACACTATGTAGGATGTGTTGTCTAAACTCCTGCAATTAAGTCTTTGGTCTGAGAGGTTACCGGTCCTTGACCAAGTTTATGTTTTTTCTCTGTCCTTAATTATGAACATTTGAAAAAAAATTTTTAAGGAACAAAGAGTTGGCAATTTTGCTGGCCAGTATTTTTAAAAAATTGTCCAGAACTCTGAAGGGTCTGAGGTTTACCCTATTTACAAGCTAATAAGTTAGTTTGTTATAATGTTATGAATGCTGCCAGAAGACACAGGCCTCCTAGGTCGGAGACCAAGGACATTCTTACTCATGGTACAACAGGCAGCATGGGCATCAGCATCTTTGCATCAGTTCTTTGAGTCCTGAGGGCAATACCAAGAGGGTCAGATGACACATGCACATGCAGTGAGTTGCAGTAGAGGACAGGGACCCTGAGTTTAAAGAACTTGAATCTTTTATAATGGACTGTAGTCACGCTTGCCCTGTGGTCAGAAAGAGAGATGCCATCTCTACCTTACATGGCTGTTTGCTATATATGCATTTTTGATAAGATATTCTGAAAGAAAAGGCAGTTAGTGCCACATGCAGAAGCACAAAAATCCTGTAACAAATTTTCTCTCAACAAAAAAAATTTTTCTATTTGTCTAGATTTCTAAAACTATTAAACTAGATGTAATTCCAGAGAATAAGGAGAAATGAAAGAAAGAGAGAAAAAGACAGATATTTAGTGCAAGTGTGTGGAGGTGACAAAGAAAAGTTCTTCCTGAGATTCTACAATATACTCCTAATTCTGAGCAATTAATCAGATCTTAAAGTTAGCATTATATGTTGTGTGCTATTAATAGGAATTAGCTTTTATTTTTGACAATTAATTCATGGCCATAATGGTTTTGGAGTATAGCCTATTTAATGTAAACAGTTTAGACTGTGTCTTATGTGTTGATCAGAGACTGCAGTACTACACTTAAAATTCAAATTAATATGAATATTTGCATGTTTTGCTGAAAAACACATGATAATCTTGCATTTTTGTGAAGTATGCATTGCTGCTTTCAAAACAATTTCGAAAATTTTTATGAAAGAGAATGTGTATCTTTTGGGGAGAAAAGAGTATGAAAATTTACAAGCATCTTACATGAAATTTTCCTCTATGTAACTACTCTGATTTTTGGTATTAAAAATTTGGTTTTGGATGAATATTTAACTTAATATTTTTTATATTAATATGTTTTATGTTTTTTAAAATTACCATCAATTTAATTACCATATACAAGCTTATTGTCCCTTTGAAAGAAATGACAATAAACTAAAATCTACCAGTGCTCATCAAAAAAAAAAAAAAAAAAAGAATTTGGTTTTGTTAGGATTGAATCCAGTCAGAAATAGTTGTGTGTTTACAAAGAACACAGGCTAAGGAAGGTTACGGATACTGACTACGTGTCAGACCTACTTGCTTGAAGGAAGAGGAAACCTCTGTAGAAGCTGGGAAAAAACATTTCAAATTTTTGTGGCAGGCTTTACTGAAAGAAAATGGATATCGAGGAAGCATTTTCAAAGAAAGTACCAGAATCCACACTTTGAAGATTTGTATGCACTTTAAGTACTTGATTAATTTGTTAAGATTTGGGTATTTCTAAATTTATACAAATGTGTATAAATTAGATTTCCAATGCTAAAATTTTAAAAGATCTTCATGATAGTACTCACGAAGTCCCTGTAATATGCCAAATGATGGATAAGAGACATGGGTGAAACAGTTTTTATCTCTGTAGGGGCAATTATTATGAGCTGCAAGACAGAAAAAAATGGTTAAATAAATTTCTTATATCTTCTGCTCCAAATAGTGGAGATACAAAGTAGTTTAAAGAGAAGAAGAAAACAAATGAATGCCGGCTTTCTGAAGGGAATTGTTTTTTTTTGATGGTGAACTACTAAATCACACAATCCTAGTGCATCTTTCCATCATTGACTAAAAGACATTGATATCATTAGTGGCATTGTGGCTAGGGGGACAAAAGATGGGGAAAGAATGGTGAAGTATGTGAAAGAACCAGACAGCAAGATCCCCTGTCTTTGCTAACTGCAAAGTATGGTTGTGAGAAAGTGGAAAATGATTATGTTTTTTGAAAATGAAGACACATTATCTATGTAGCCTAACTGCCATTCCCTTAATGGAATCCCTATTAAAGAGGTAAACGGTGATGAGAGCAAATGTCCTGGCTTGCTCTGTGGTGACAGTAAGAGGGAATTCTATGGGAAATGGGTGTGTGGGAAAAAGGGCAGCATGCTTCATATCTTCATTTCAGTATAGCCCAGCCTCAGTTGACTAAGACCACCATAGATCTTGACTACTGGAAAGACCGGGACAATAGTGTTGGCCCTACTCTTTGATATGTATAATCTCAAAGCTTTCTCCCTTTTTTTTCTTATTCTGTTATCCAGAAAAGGGGTTAGAATGAAGTTCTCAGTGAAATACTGAGAGGAATATTTGGTGGGAGGAGTAAGAGATTGTCAACAAAACATTTCTATGAAACTTTCTGCTGAGGGGAATGCTTTAGCTCTGTTCACTCCCATCATGCTGGTGGGTAAATACCAGATTTTAGGGAAACACCCAGTTGAGGGGGATAACTTCACCCTTATAAGTCCTGATCAGTATCAGGATGAGACCAGTGGGAATTGAAATGAGTCACTTAACATTGGCTCAAGTCTTTGGTTTAGGGACAGCTTTCTTGTTTGGGTCTCTACTGTAGAACTGGAGAGTAACAACTACAGTTACAAGACCAGCATTTGATTATGGGCAATTTGCTTGCCTGCTTCTTTCTGAGTTCTGTGCTAAAAGAAAAATTGGTGCTCTAGAGGCCAAATAGGCCACCCTATTCAGCAGTAGAAGTTTCTACTGGAATTATATGTAGTACTGAGCACAGTGTCCAGTATCTAATGTAGGAGTCAACCCATTCTCTAGAACATGGTAAGTGTTCAGTAAATATTTGTTGACTAGATGAATGAATGGGGGTCACTATGGGACCTTATGCTATGGTAAATGCTTGGCCAAAGGCTTGGAAATTCTTGATCAGAGGTACAATTGGCAACTGTCTAGTCCTAGAAAGCTCAGTAAATATTTGTTGACTGCATGAATGAAAGGGGGTTATTAGGGGACCTTATGCTATAGTAAATGCTTAGCCAAAGATTTGAAAATTCACAATCAGAGGTACAATTGTCCACTGTCTAATCCTAGAAAACCCATAACATATCTATGGGCATATCTCTATAAACCTGGTTTTATGACCAATCAGGTAACTCTCAGGGTAACCTAACATAAGATTCCAGGCCAAGTCAGGCTCTAATCCCACTTAACATTTTAATTTGTTTCAGGATGACCCTGACAAATTCTGATTCAGTCTAGGACTCTTTAACCCTCTCCAGACAACATTAGGGAAATTACATTGATTTTTACCTTTCTCTTTTATCTGCTATTCTTGGGATGTGTTAAATGGACTAAGTCCAGGCTGAGAAAGTGCTGTCCATATTTACTGAGCACTTACTCTATATCTGGGAATGTAACAGATTTTAAAGAACCAGAAAGACTATTATATGGTTTATTTTTTCAAGAGTTCCCAGTCTGGTGGAGGAGAGGAGCAGGGCAGCAAATAATTAACGCTATATGTGTCTCTTTAAAAATTTCCTCAAAGATGCTCAATTCTAGGCATTCTAGCATAAAACCGGACCACTGGACTAATCAATTCCCATTGATTAGTATTGACAATGCATTTCCAATATCCAGTGTAGCTCCTGGCATATAGTAGAATCTTAATCAATGATTGTTGAATGAATGAATGAAGGAAGGAATTATAAGTGGCAAACTTAGTAGGATAATGCTACAGTAAAGAAATGTAACATATTTGAGGAAAACCAAAGATCAATAATTAGTAAGTATGCAAGATTATAATACACAATTCTGTCATAAAATCAAACATGAAATAAATGGCCTCAGCTACCCAAAATAAAAAGTATCATACTCTGTAATGACACAGCCCATATTTTTGTAAAGTATCCTGTAACAAATATGTAACTGAAATTAAAGTAACGCACAAGATGTATAACACAAGATGTATTAACATTTTAATTTGTTTCAGGATGACCCTGACAAATTCTGATTCAGTCCAGGACTCTTTAACCCTCTCCAGACAACATTAGGGAAAGTACATTGATTTTTACATTTATATTTCAAAAAATATATGGTTTTATTTGGTTTTGTTTTTAAGAGATGGGGGATCTGGCTGTGTTGCCTAGGCTGGTCTTGAACTACTGGGCTAAAGCAATCATCATGCCGCTATGCCAGTCTCTGTGTGTGTGTGTGTGTGTGTGTGTGTGTGTGTGTGTGTGTGTGTATAATTGTGTGTATATATTGTGTGTATATATATTTTATATATTATATATACACTATATATACGATACACTATATATATAGTGTATATAAATATACACTATATATAGATTTTTTTAGAAAGAAAACTTTAATTTCGTTCTGTTGAGGAATCAAGTTGCTTTCAAATTTATTTGATTTTTGTAGTATTGACATGTATTTACATCAAATGAGTTAATATTTTTAGGAAGCATGAGAGAGACAGGAGAAACTGTTTCTATAAAATATACATTTTTCTCTTCATTTAGCAAGCTATATTCACAGCAAGTAGTTAGAACACTAGATCTTGCTAATTAATTGTTCCTTAATCATCCAGTTCCAATCTTTACCCACCATTTTCAGCGAAGCCAAACATGTAAATTGCTTTTTTTTTGATTATACATTTTTTTTTTCCATTTCAAAGATGGAGCTATAAATATTTTTTAAAAGCAGTTTTATTGGAAACTAGCTGATTGCTGGCTGGGAGATAGCATCTTTAGGCAAGTGTTTGCACATCCTGAAAAGTGGGGATGAGTCTATTCACTTATTCACTTTTTTTTTTTTTTTTTTTTTTTTGAGACGGAGTTTCACTCTTGTTGCCCAGGCTGGAGTGCAATGGCGTGATCTCGGCTCACTGCAACCTCCGCCTCCCAGGTTCAAGCTATTCTCCTGCCTCAGCCTCCCAAGTAGCTGGGATTACAGGAGTGTGCCACCATGCCCAGCTAATTTTCTATTTTTAGTAGAGACGGGGTTTCTCCATTTTGGTCAGGCTGGTCTTGAACTCCCGACCTCAGGTGATCTGCCCACCTCGGCCTCCCAAAGTGCTGGGATTACAGGCGTGAGCCACCGCGCCCGGCCCACTTATTCACTTTTCAGATAATGCCTGTGAAATTTAAATATTACAGGACTGGTTCCTTCTTCCTGAAGTTCTAGGATTTTGGGACAGTTCATTGATAAGGGCTATTTACTGCAGAAACTCCCATAAACACGGAATTGAAAGACTGACTTTTTCACCAAATTGTCTCAGGAAACCCATTTGCCAGGAAAACATACTTACCTTTCTATATGTTGCTTTTAGGCTTCTTAACCTTAAAATGTCCCTGGAACAATTAGTTCATGGCATAGCTGTTAGGCTTATCTGTTCAGGTGACTACTGGTGCCAGAAAAGATAGTTTTGCTTTTAAAAATGGAAAGTACACTGGTTGGACTAAACAGACAAGAAGAAGTGTTTCAAAGGATACAACTTGAGGGCTTTTGGGCTTGAACTAGGAGAAGAGGATTGACACACTCTGTCAGGTAACAAATGATGACATTAGCAAAGTTCAAGGTTTTAGGACACCGATGAGAAATCATCTAATAATCATAACAAGAAAAAATGTGGAGATAATTGCTTTTAAGAGATAGCTGAGAGCCATGCAAGGAAAAAAAAATAGTCAAACAATTTTTTTTCTGGATTAGCATTTTGTTGAAAACTGGATAATGCTGGTTGGGAGACAAATACTTTTGGTAAATGTTTAGACATCCTGAAAAGTGGAGGAGCATCTATTTACTTACCCCTTTTCAGAAAATGCCTGTGAAGTTTAAAATAATAAATATGATTTTAAAATCTTAGTAAAAGTAATTACTGTTGTTACATTAATAGCTTCAGTGATCTGGAACTCTATTAGTGAGGACTACTACTTGGAAGCAGGAGATGATTTTTGGAACGTAAATGCAAAAGGGCTAAAACTGGGTAACATCAAAGGGAGCAGGGGGGCATTTCCTCGATGTCTCAATTCATGTATTTATTCCCCCGGGCATTCATTAATCTGAGAAGTATTTATCTTGCCTATTCTATGTGTACCAGGTATAGTCCCAAGTATTGGAGAAATAGCTATAAACAAACAGACAATATTACATTCTTTTTTTTTTTTTTTGGTCACAAGTAAACCAAAGATACATAGGCATACCTCATTTTATTGCACTCTACTTTATTGAGCTTTGCAGATGTCGTATTTTTTTTTTTTTTTAACAAATTGAAGGTTTGTGTCAACCCTGCATCAAGCCAATCTATTGGTGCCATTTTCCCAACAGCACATGCACATTTTGTGTCTCTGTATCACATTTTAGTAATTCTCACATTTCAAACTTTTTCATTACTATTTTATCTGTTATGGTGATCTGCGATTAGTGATCTCTGACGTTACTATTATAATTGTTTGGGGGTGACAGAATTGTGCCAACATAAGAAGGTGAACTTCATTGATAAATGCTATGTGTGTTCTGACTGCTCACCAACCAGCCGTCCCTTCATCTTTCTCCTTCTCCCTGGGCTCCCTATTCCCTGAGACACAATAATATTAAATTAGGCCAACTAATAACCCTACAATGGCCTCTAAGTGTTCAAGTGAAAAGAAGAGCTGTACATCTCTCACTTTCAATCAAAAGCTGGAAATACGCTTAGTGAGGAAGGCATATTAAAAGCCAAAATAGGCTGAAAGATATGGTTTGTGTGCCAAATAACCAAATTGTGAATGAAAGGAAAAGTTATTGAAGGAAATTAAAAGTGTTACTCCAGGGAACACAAGAATAATAAGAAAGTGAAACAGCCTTATTGCTGATATAGAGAAAGCTTTGATAATCTAAATAGAAGATCAAACCAGCCACAACATTCTCTTAAACCAAAGCCTAATCCATAGCAGGCTCTATCTCTCTTCAATTCTATTAAGGCTAAGAGAGGCAAGGAAGCTTCAGAAGAAAGGTTTGAAGCTAGCAGAGGTTGGTTCATGAGGTTTAAGGAAAGAAGCTATCTCCAGGACATAAAAGTGCAAGGTGAAACAGCAAGTGCTGATGGAGAAGTTGCAGGAAGTATCCAGAAGATTTATCTAAGATCATTGATGAAGGTGGCTACAGTAAACGACAGATTTTCAATGAAGGTGAAACAGCTTCCTACTGGAAGAAGGTGCCATCTAGGACTTTCATAGCTATAGAGGAGAAGTAAATGCCTGGATTCAAAGCTTTATAAGACAGGCTGTCTCTCTTCTTAGGGGCTAATGCAGCTGGTAACTTAAAGTTGATGCCAGTTCTCATTTGCCATTCTGAAAATCCTAGGGCCCCTAAGAATTGTGCTAAATTGACACTCTTTGTGCTCCAGAAATGGAACAGCAAAGCCTTAATGACAGCACATCTATTTACAATATGATTTACTAAAATTTTTAAGCTTGTTCTTGAGACCCACTACTCAGAAAACAAGATACCTTTCAAAATATTACTGCTCATTGAAAATGAACCTGGTCACCCAAGCACCCTGATGGAGATGTGTAAGGAAATTACTGTTGTTTTTATGCCTGCTAACACAACATCCATTCTGCAGCCCAGGAATCAAGAAGAATTTTGACTTTCAAGTATTATTATTTAACAAGTACATTTCATTAGGCTATAGTTGCCATAGATACTGACTTCTCTGATGGATCTGGGCAAAGTAAACTGAAAACATTCTGGAAAGGATTCACCATTCTAAATGCCAGTAAGAGCATTCGTGATTCACAGGAGGTAAAAATGTCAACATTAAGAAGGATTTGGAAGAAGTTGATTGAATGATTTTGAGGAGTTCAAGGCTTTATTAGAGGAAGTAACTGTAGATATGTTAGAAATATCAAGAGAACCAGAAATAGAGCCTGAAGATGTGACTGAATTGCTACAATCTCATGAAAAAACTTGAATGTGTGAGGAGTTGCTTCTATGGATGAGCAAAGAAAGTGGTTTCTTGAGATGGAATCTACTCCTGGTGAAGACACTGTGAACATTGTTGAAATGACAACAACAACAAAATATTTAAAATATTACATAGACTTATTTGGTAAAGCAGTGGCAGAGTTGGAGAGGATTCATTCCAATAGTTGAAAAGTGTTCTGTGTGTAAAACGGTATCAAACATCATTACATGCTACAGAGAAACTTTTTATGAATCAATCGGCACAGCAAAATTCACATTTTGTTTTTTAAAGAAATCGCCACAGCCACTCAATCTTCAGCAACCACCACCCTGATCAGTTAACAGCCATTGAGACTGAGGCAAGACCCTCTACCAGCAAAAAGATGATGACTCACTGAAGGCTCAGGTGATCGTTAGTATTTTTGAGCAATATTTTAAATTAAGTTATGTACACAGTTTTTGTTTTTTAGACATTATACAATTGCTCGCTTAATAGACTACAGTATAGAGTAAACATAATTTTGTATACACTGAAAAACCAAAAAAATGTGTCTGACTTGCTTTATTGCAGTGGTCTGGAACCCAACCTGCAATATCTCTGAGGTATGCCTGTATATACACATATTCATATAGTGAATCATTCTGTGAAGACAAAGTAAGCTCTTAAAGTAGATAGGGAGTGATGGGGGAGGTCAAGTCTGACAGGGTATTTCAGGATTTGCTGATGGTTAAGAATTCCAGAGAGAAGGAAGGAGAGCAGTTACAGAAGACAGGAAGACACTGGGAAAATGGGGAACCCTCTTTACGAGTTGGGGAAGACTGGGAGAGGAGAACAATTGCTGGGGGGAGGGGGAGTGTTGGGAAATCAAAAGTTCGTATTGAGTATGTTAAGTTGAAAATGACTATTAAATATTCAAATGGAGTTGTTGGGTTGGCAGCTGGATAGCAAGCCTGGAGCTCTGGAAAAAGTCAGGGTTTCATATATAAATTTGGGAGCCCCAAATGTATTAATAGTATTTGAAACCGCAGAACTGCATAAGATAACATAGAGAGTGAGAGGTATGAGTATAAATCAAGAATAAGGCTGAGGATTGAGTTCAGGGACATTCTGACATTTAAAGGTCAAGTGGAGAAGGGGCAAGTAGAAATAGAAACGGGAAGTTGTGGCCTGTTTGGTGGGAAGAGAACTGAGAATGTGTGGTGTTCCACAAGCCAAGAACTCAAAGCAAAAAAAGAGAATAGTGAGCAATCAGCTATGATGACTGCTGCTGGGAGTAAGATGAGTCCTGAGAAAGGACTTCCATTTATCTAAATGGAAGATGAAATAATTCAGGAAGAAAGAACACATGATAAAGAGTGAGTGAGAGAAATATTAGTATAGTAACTGGCTATTAAATTCCTCCAGATATCTGATGCAACTTCCCTTAGCAACATTATCTATCATGATTTAAAACTTGAGAATTTACCTCAGTGAATTCCAAAGGGAACTTTGTTTTGGGACACAAGAGGCAGTTTATATCCAAAGTCACCAGGGACTGTAGTTCAATGCCATTTGATATAATGTAAATCCTTGCTTCCCACCTGCCCTACAGCAGGCAGGTGTGTATTATTTTTATTGTAATATGGGTCAGTATGTGGTAGAGCTGTCTACTTCTCCCCATATCCACTTCCAACAGCCCCCTTCAAGCTGTCTATTTCTCCCCATATCCACTTCCAACAGCCCCCTTCAAGCTGTCTACTTCTCCCCATATCCACTTCCAGCACCCCCCAGGTGTCATCTTTTACCTGGACCACTGCAATTACTCCTGTGCTAGTTCGTTGGAGAAGCAACCACCAAGACAAGATTCATTGTGAAAGAGATTTACTGGGGGAAATGCCTGTGAGGGATAAAGGAGAAGGGCAAAGGACTAGACAGAAGACTATTCAGGCTTTGGTGTGGGTCTGACACCTGTGCAAAAGGAGGGAGGGCAGAAAACTCTGACCATGGAGTTGTTCTAAGAAAGTTTTACCATGACTGTGGGAAGTCCTTAGACAAAGCTGTCCATCAGAGGAGTCCCACATCCCATAGGAATGAAGGCCGGCACTGGTACCACTAGTGCCTAGGCATTAGCAGGAATTGACCAAGGGCTGGTGGGAGGGGTGGAGGTCGGTGGGTTGGGCTTTGACTTCAGCTCAGTTGTGGTGATGGGGCCATAGTGGAGATGACTGGTGCTGTCAGTCAACTAAGTTTCCCATAGCCAATTATCTTAAAGAAGATTTGAGCTTCATATGATTGAAATCATGAAAACTTAGAAACTTACAGAAGGAAACCCACAGAGCTGAAACTCCAACCTTTGAGGAGGCGTTGGTATTTCTCAGCAGGGATCCCGAAGCTGGTTTTGAAAGTGCTGGAAAGCTTGCAAACTAGATTCATACAGTTGAAGGAAGGACTTGCTGCTGCCAGGGGCAAGAAGTATTGCTTCACAGGAATTGCAACAGACAGGAAGTCCTCAGGAAACACAGGGGAAAGAGCCAATCTCTTTTTCCTTCTTCAGTATGGAAGTCTCCATGCAGAGTCCCCTGTTTGAGAAGCCTAACAAGGAAGGATTCAGTAAAGCACGAATGTAGTTTGTAGAGTCCCAAATGCAGTGTGATAGGCAGAGTAAAGAAATGTGGGTTTGGGGCTGAGGGACAATAATATAACACCTTAATAACTGGCACGACATGTGATCTGCTTTCCATTTTTTGTAGTCGGGCGACTCCTGTGTTTTGCTTGTTTTTATGGTGGATTTATAGATATCTCTGGACCCTTGTAATATGAATAGCCTTGGGTCATCTCTCCAGATGGAGGCAGAATGCAATAAGATAGCATATCGGGGACCATCCTGGCCAACATGGTGAAACCCATCTCTACTAAAAATACAAAAATTATCTGGATATGGTGGCATGCACCTGTAGTCCAACTACTCGGGAGGCTGAGACAGAAGAATCGCTTGAACCTGGGAGGCGGAGGTTGCAGTAAGCCGAGATCACACCACTGTACTCCAGCCTCATGACAGAGTGAGACTCTGTCTCAAAAAAAAAAAAAAAATTAGCACATTGGGGATGTTTTTGTGCTAGAGACTATTCTGTTTGTTTCTAGTTCCCTCGGAGTTGGGACCAGGCTGCCTTCTTGGAGACAAATGCCCCCTCTCTTTCCTCTGGATCTTTATTTCTGTTATTGAGTTCTGTTACTTGAGGCCTTACCTCCCTCAGCTTCAGGATCCTTCTGTCTAGGAAGGATTTAGCTTCTTCTTTACCGAGGGGTCTCCCTTAGCTTTCTGGTCACTTCAAGGCTTTCCAGTTTACTCCCAAGAAAACACACAATCCTTACTTTCTCCCCAAGGCACTGCACATAGTAGATGTTCATTAGATGTCGCTTGAACTGATGGAATTGGCGCAACAGCCCTGGCCCGTGAGGGATATGTGTGCAGAAGGGTTATTTACTGCAAGCATCCTCAAATCCCTTGAAGGTCTTTCTCTTAAAGGATCAGATAATAAATACTTTAGATTTTGCAGACCAACAGGCAAAATAGAGAATATAATACTTTCATTAGGGTTGCTAAATCAAACATTGAATAATATAAGTATGTCCCATACAATGTTTGGGACATAATTATACTTAAAAATTGTTATCTGAAACTCAAGTTTAACATGGCATCTTGTATTTTTATTAAGCAAATCTAACTTATATAATCATTTAACATGTAATCATTTAAAACTGTGACACCCATTCTTAGCTCTCAGGCTGTAAAAAACAGCTGCCCGGTTGTGGTTTAGGGGTATAGTTTGCTGACATCTGACTTACTGCATTATTCAGAGTCTGGTTTCAGGAAGCAGAAGCCACTGGCAGAAAGGGATGTAATACAGGGATTTAAATATTTACAAAATGTCTGGAATAGCTGGAGAAATAGGCTTTACACTAGACCACCAGGAATGAGCCCCAGATCAACATGCTAGAAGTGGCCTGCCAAGGAGACTACTTATTCCAGTCAGTTTTCAGTATTTTCTGCCTCTGGGAGGCCTGCTGGCTCCAGGAACATACCATCTTACATCTGATGGGTCAATTGGAAGCCACTCCCAGAACTATTGATTTCAGAGCCACATAGCAGCTGCTAATCAGCACTGGCTTATTACATTTCAAGTGCTTCTACCTCTCTCTCCATTTACTTCAATTATAAGTCTCATGCACAGGCATCTGATTGGCAAGCATACCCAGAACAGTAGCTGCAAGGGATCTGAGAAATAAAGCTTTTAGCTTTCCAGTTTCTGCTGAATGTGGAAAGCTGATTAGGAGAAGAGCAGCTTCCATGTGGAACAAACACTTTACCACGTCTGCTACCTTCCTCCTTCCTAGCCTTCTCTTCGCGCTTTCACTACCTGGGCTTGCACTGCACAGAGGATGCTCACTTGTGTCTCTGAAAATAGAGGTCAGGTCTGCAGTGCTATACCAATGAACATAAATATTCTACTCTCTATTCTGAATCCTCATCATTCCTCTTCCTTTTATTTTTGTTAGGAAGCAGACAGGGCTTTTGTTCGTTATGGTTTTGTTTACAGCAGTTGGTAATTCACTAAATCTTGTGATTTTTTACTTCATTATCCACTCTCTCATTTAAAAATTGAACATATTCTTTCTCAATCCAATGGAAATAGAGCATAGAGACAGGACACTAGACCCAAAGCTGAATTCAATCAAAACCATTTAAATGAAAAATTCAAATGAAACATAAGATTATTATGCATGATTTGTACTTGACATGGTTGGTTCGTTAATGACAACCATTCATCAAGACTTTGGAGGAATTTGGACTAAGTTTAAAATTACTCCCTTTCTCAAAAGATCTTGTTACATGCATTCACTGAATCTTCTTTTTGTTCTTTTTCAGAGGCAAGTTGTTTATCTTCTTTCCAGGATGAATCCTTCATCTTCTGATCTTATGCTTTGCATTCAGTTTTTTCCCAATTTCTTCATGCCTTACTTCAGCAATTATTCCCTTTCTTTTCAGTACATTTATCCTTTCCCTCTCTGCTGGTATCTTCCTCTCCCCTGCAAACATACTCAGTTCTCCCTGAGTTTGTATACATCTTCTGATTCTGCACCTCTTGAATTATTACCCATTCATCTCATTTTATTCGGGAAAGTTCTCAAAAGAGTAGTTTACATTTACTGCCTCTACTTCCTACCTTTCCCTTGTCCTTCTGCAATCTTGCTTCTGTTCCCAACAGACAGTTGAAAACACTCCCTTCCAAAGCACGGTTTGATCTCTTAATAGACAACCAGTGACCCTTTCTAAGATTTCCTCGTTCATCTTTTTCAAACATTTCAAGCTGTTAATACTCCTATACCTATTTTTAATGTCTCTTTCTTTGACCTTCATGATGCAACATTGTCTTATTTCCCCTTAACATATAACTGTGACTATTTTTGATTCCTTTCCCTTTTGTCAACTTTGTGAAGTTGTTCTGTTCCTTTTCTCTCATTTTATCTTCATGCTTCCATTTTCTAATGACCACGTCATTTCCTGCAAACATGCTTTATCCTCTCTATTCACAGAAAAGAAAAATCCTTCTCTTGAACCTGATTTCGTTGCAAGTTTCAATCCTACTCCTCACATTGTTTAGACTTCCAAAATTCTTGAAAGTGTATTATATCTATACTGTCTTCAGTATCTCAGTACTTATTCTATTGTCTGTATAATTTTTATAACTTTTCTTCTCTAGCTTTTGAAATTCTCTCCTTCCTTGGACCCCATGATTTGCCATATGCTGGTCATTTTATTATCTTCTGATGGCTCCTTTTGTGTCACCATTGTTCCATTTCCCCTTCCTACTCCTAAAAGTGGATTATCTTCTAAAGCTATATGATTCTTTTAGTGCCATTCTATTATCATGACTTCTTCCTCAATTCCCACTTCTAATCAGTTGGTAGATTCTGTAAACTCTTCAGGATATTTCTATTTTCTTAACTTTTTTTTTTTTAGTTTAAGATCTAGGGTACATGTGCACAACGTGCAGGTTCGTTACATATGTATACATGTGCTATATTGGTGTGCTGCACCCATCAACTCGTCATTTACATTAGGTATATCTCCTAATGCTATCCCTCCACCCTCCCCCCACCCCATGACAGGCCCCTCTATGCAAATAAACTAGAAAATCTAGAAGAAATGGATAAATTCCTGGACACATACACCCTCCGAAGACTAAAACAGGAAGAAATTGAATCCCTGAATAGACCAATAACAGCCTCTGAAATTGAGGCAATAATTAATAGCCTACCAACCAAAAAAAGTCCAGGACCAGAGATGGATTCACAGCTGAATTCTACCAGAGGTACAAGGAGGAGCTGGCACCATTCCTTCTGAAACTATTCCAATCAATAGAAAAAGAGGGAATCCTCCCTAACTCATTTTATGAGGCCAACATCATCCTGATACCAAAGCCTGGCAGAGACACAACAAAAAAAGAATTTTAGACCAATATCCCTGATGAACATTGATGCAAAAATCCTCAATAAAATACTGGCAAACAGAATCCAACAGCACATCAAAAAGCTTATCCACCGTGATCAAGTGGGCTTCATCCCTGGGATGCAAGGCTGGTTCAACATACGCAAATCAATAAACGTAATCCAGCATATAAACAGAACCAAAGACAAAAACCACATGATTATCTCAATAGAAGCAGAAAAGGCCTTTGACAAAATTCAACAACACTTCATGCTAAAAACTCTTAATAAATTAGGTATTGATGGGACGTATCTCAAAATAATAAGAGCTATTTATGACAAACCCACAGCCAATATCATACTGAATGGGCAAAAACTGGAAGCATTCCCTTTGAAAACTGGCACAAGACAGGGATGCCCTCTCTCACCACTCCTCTTCAACATAGTGTTGGAAGTTCTGGCCAGGGCAATCAAGGCAGGGGAAAGAAATAAAAGGTATTCAATTAGGAAAAGAGGAAGTCAAATTGTCCCTGTTTGCAGATGACATGATTGTATATTTAGAAAACCCCATTGTCTCAGCCCAAAATCTCAAGCTGATAAGCAACTTCAGCAAAGTCTCAGGATACAAAATCAATGTGTAAAAATCACAAGCATTCTTATACACCAATAACAGGCAAACAGAGAACCAAATCATGAGTGAACTCCCATTCACAATTGCTTTAAAGAGAATCAAATACCTAGAAATCCAACTTACGAGGGATGTGAAGGGCCTCTTCAAGGAAAGCTACAAATCACTGCTCAATGAAATAAAAGAGGACACAAACAAATGGAAGAACATTCCATGCTCATGGATAGGAAGAATCAATATCGTGAAAATGGCCATACTGCCTAAGGTAATTTATAGATTCAATGCCATCCCCATCAAGCTACCAATGAATTTCTTCACAGAATTGGAAAAAACTACTTTAAAGTTCAGATGGAACCAAAAAAGAGCCCGCATTGCCAAGACCATCCTAAGCCAAAAGAACAAAGCCAGAGGCATCACGCTACCTGACTTCAAACTATACTACAAGGCCACAGTAACCAAAACAGCATGGTACTGGTACCAAAACAGAGATATAGACCAATGGAACAGAATAGAGCCCTCAGAAATAATACCTCACGTCTACAACCATCTGATCTTTGACAAACCTGACAAAAACAAGAAATGGGGAAAGGATTCCCTATTTAATAAATGGTGCTGGGAAAATTGGCTAGCCATATGTAGAAAGCTGAAACTGGATCCCTTCCATACACCTTATACAAAAATTAATTCAAGATGGATTAAAGACTTAAATGTTAGACCTAAAACCATAAAAACCCTAGAAGAAAACCTAGGCAATATCATTTAGGACATAGGCATGGGCAAGGACTTCATGTCTAAAACACCAAAAGCAATGGCAACAAAAGCCAAAATTGACAAATGGGATCTAATTAAACTAAAGAGCTTCTGCACAGCAAAAGAAACTACCATCAGAGTGAACAGGCAACCTACAGAATGGGAGAACATTTTTGCAATCTACTCATTCGACAAAGGGCTAATACTCAGAATCTACAAAGAACTCAAACAAATTTACAAGGAAGAAACAACCCCATCAACAAGTGGGCGAAGGATATGAACAGACTCTTCTCGAAAGAAGACATTTATGCAGCCAACAGACACATGAAAAAAATGCTCATCATCACTGGCCATCAGAGAATGCAAAGCAAAACCACAATGAGATAGCATCTCACACCAGTTAGAATGGCGATCATTAAAAAGTCAGGAAAAAACAGGTGCTGCAGAGGATGTGGAGAAATAGGAACACTTTTACACTGTTGGTGGGACTGTAAACTAGTTCAACCATTGTGGAAGTCGGTGTGGTGATTCCTCAGGGATCTAGAATTAGAAATACCATTTGACCCAGCCATCCCATTACTGGGTATATACCCAGAGGATTATAAATCATGCTGCTATAAAGACACATGCACACGTGTGTTTATTGTGGCACTATTTACAATAGCAAAGACTTGGAACCAACCCAGATGTCCATCAATGATAGACTGGATGAAGAAAATGTGGCACATATACACCATGGAATACTATGCAGCCATAAAAAAGATGAATTCATGTCCTTTGTAGGGACATGGATGAAGCTGGAAACCGTCATTCTCAGCAAAATATCGCAAGGACAGAAAACCAAACACCACATGTTCTCACTCATAGGTGGGAATTGAACATTGAGAACAGTTGGACACAGGAAGGGGAACATCTTCATGATATTTTTTGTATTTGTATTTTCCTATTGCCAATGTCCCATGCCTCCTCCACATTTACTCTTGCTTGGTCATGTCAATGGTTTTCTATTTCATCTCTTTATGTGTGCTGTCTGAGCATTCAAAGACACTTATAAGGTTACACACCTATACCAACTGCTTGCCTCTAAGGCACAAAAGATATAGAAAATACTAAATGAATTAAGACCCTGAAACATAAGGGTGGTTTAGGAAGGTGTGTTCTCTTGGTTGTCTTTGATGTCGTTCTCTGAAGTCCCTTTGCCCAACTTGGGTGCCCTGCTAGTGGGCCCATGTGTTTGACATCATGCTCTTGGTCTGTCATCCACTTATACCTGTTCTCTCCAGTCTTTGTTTTTGTATGCAGCTACTTATAACTCTCACAAGTGACAGTATAAGAGGAAACAGTTGAACTGTAGATGCACACAAATATATTTGCTTTACTCATGGTATAGATTGAAAAGATGTTCATCTCTCTTCAGGATGCTCTTTATAAATTAGTATTTGGGCATCTGCTTTTATATGTATACACTATCTTCACATCCATCCACCTGAGTTCTACACTCAGCTGAAAGATGGAAATTCATCACAGTTCTGATAATTCTACAGCCTAAAATTCAAGTTCTGATATAATCTGATCCCAAGCTAATATTCCCATAAAAGGCCCGAAATCCTTTTTGGAACAAGATAAGACATACATAAATGAACAGATGATTTACCAGTATTTATTTACAAGGGCCTCTTTATCATACCTAGGATATGGTCAGCTCCTTTCTATTTTTCCAACTGTTTTTTTTTTTTTTTTTTTTTTTTGTCACAATGCCCTGCTACAATGCCCACCTCCTTCTTTGTGCTTTTAAGAACTCGGTTCAAATTCACCTCCTTCAAGCATTTTTCTTACTGCCCCAAGCCATTATGACTCTTCATGTGCTACAAATCTCTATGTTGACTGTAACCTTTGCCCTTGTGCCTCTGCTTCCTATCACTCTGAAGTTTTAATGAGTCTGTTGTCACTTTGTCCAGAAATTACTGGGCCATGATGAATTTTTATTTTTAATTTATTTTATCAAGCGGGTCAGACCTTTGAGTGTTGGTGGTATATTATTCATTCTCTGCTGATGTATTTTACCTTGTATCACTTGTGTTAAGGTCTTTGTCATCTCAAACTGGAAGGTCAGCAAGCACTACACTACAGTTGCATTCCCCTGCTTTCCATTATTCCAGAACTTTTTTTCAGAGACGTGGCCATGATAGGTCTTACAGTTGTTGCATAAATCCCTTGGCTTCTACCAATCTGCACAATCACCATGTTGAAAAATGTTAATAATAGACTTAGATTGCTGAAAGGAGCCATACACAGATACCACTTGGGTAAATAAAATTAGGTTTAATTATCTAAAATAAACATAAGGACATTAGCTCAATAAGAGTACACAATAGAGAAATCACAACATTGTTTAATGACAGGTAAAAGTCTACGCTTATGGAACTCTCAAACTGGACCTACCAGTGGAACACAGTTGCATATGTTGTTTGAGTGAGCAGGGATCACAGCAGATCTCATAAATTTCAGAGTTGCACAATGTACAGTATGACTGCAAAGGTATGGAGCACTGTGCATCCAGTACACTCAGCCCTGAACATCTTATCTATCATTCCCAACGTCCCCAGCTATCCCAGCGTGGGACAAACATATTTCTAACTTAATTTCTGTGGAGCTATGACAAGAATCTATTATCCAGGTGTTTCTGGGAATCTGGAATTTGGCAGGCCTTTAGAACTGCCAGTGGGCCCATGGTGTGTAAGATTTATATTCCTGTAGCAATTTCTGTATGTACCTTTTCCTTTGTCACTCAGCTTTTGTTCTGTTACAGTATCATCTATATTTTTGTTAAGATCTATAGGATCAAATAAATAATACATTTTAATACATTTTACATCCACAATGCTTAACTCACCATATTGCACTTAAAAATATCATTTTGTTAGACATTGGTTGTATACTTACTGAGTTTCAGGCATTATAATAAAGACTGGAAATACAAATGGACTAAACTTTGGTTTCTGGCTTGGAAGAATTCAGCATTTTAGCCAGCCTTGTGCAGCCATGAAGGTGTATTTCTTAGTTCTTCCTTTTAGGGAGAAGCTGCTTTTCCATGCAGTTCTGACTATTCTCATGTTTTTGGTTCAACTGAGGTGAGTCAAGCTCTCCCCAGGCAGCTCCCTGTCAATTACTGAACATAATGAAGATGCCAGGCCTGATCATTTTTTTACCCAAAGCAGGACTGCTCCACTAGTAATTCTTGTGCTGGACTCCCCTGTGTCCTGCCCAAGACTTTCTTAGTGCTGCCCTGCACTTCCTACCCAATCCTGCCTTTTTCTCTTTCTTCTTGTTTCACAGGTGTCAGATCTGCATCATGGAATAAAGGCTTTCCCTGCTATTCTTGTTCCTTCTTTTCTTATGTTTCTTAAGCTTTACCCTTAACAAATTTCTTATACTTCATCTTGGCATGTACTTTCAGATTTCCTGAGCTGATAACACACAGACACACACAACAATTATTTTAAAACGTGATAATTGTTATAGTCAGGAATGTGTGCAAGCTATTATAGGAAACTTTTCTTGCCTTCCACAGAGACCTAGATAATTTTTTCCTTATGTGTTCTATTTTACCTTTTATAAGCTCTGCCTTTATCATAGAACATCTTATTGTTTTATAATTGCTTGCTTGTATGCTTGTCACTCCATTAGACTGTGAACTCCTGTGAATGAAAATTATATTTAATCTTTATGTACTAAAGGGTCTTTTATCAAGCTCAGTGGTGCCAAAAAATGCTTGTTGAGGAATGCATAGGACTTTGAGGAAAGCATCACAGAGGAGGAATCAGTTATCTGGATTTTGAAGAATGAGCAGGTTCTTTTCAAGTGAACAAGGGGAAGGATAAATATCTGATGGAAGGATCATCATCTAGAATCATATGCTAGGCACAGAGAGGTATGAACAAATGTATTCAGGAAGGCACAAGTCCCTTAGGCTAGAGCTTAGTGTGTTTGGGGATGTTGAGGAATGGGAGATGGTGACGGGAAGATAAGTTAATCTTGCATAACATATATAATTGCTGAATGTTTGTATTTAAAATCCACGTATGTCACTCCTCAAAATATGTTATTTAAGGAATTGCATGTGGTGTGTGCATAGTAAGATGAGGCAAGGTGACTGAAATAAAAAGTTTCTGGCCGTACAGTCATCCCTTGGTCTCCATGGATGATTGATTCTAGAACCTCCTGCAGATACCATAATCCATGAATGCTCCAGTTCCAGATACAAAATGGTGTAGTATTTGCACAGAGCCTGTAGACATCCTCCTGTATATTTTAAATAATATCTAGACTACATATAATACCTAATACAATGTAAGTGCTATGTAAATAGTTGTTATACTGTATTGTTTAGGGAATAATAGCAAGGGAAAATTCTGTACGTGTTTAGTACAGACACAATATTTTTGACTGTTTTTGAACCATGATTGGTTGAATCCGCAGATGTTGAATTCACAAATACAGAGAGCCAGCTGTATTTCAGTTTGATGAAGAACAGAAAAAAATTATGACAGAAAAATTATTTGTGATTATGAATGTTTCAGCTTTCTATAAAGAGATCAAGAGAAAAAATAAATTTGTTTTCTTGTGATGCCGTAGCAATGCAAATACGTTCTCCAGACTCATAACCTCAGGACTATTTCTATTTATTCTTCTTTGGCACATAAATCCTACTGTATGTTAAATATTTCTGGATTTTCCTCTGGAATAATTCAGGAGTCATTCCTTTCTATCCATATCTATAGCATCACGCTTCTGCACGCAGTACAAGCTTCCTGTCAAGTTTCTATCTGAGTCTCAACATCTCTAATTCAAGCGTTGCAAACCTTTACTTACAATTGCAAGAAAAACCTATCACATCTCATTATTCCGTAAACAATATGATGTAACAACTATTTACATAGCCTTTATATTGAATTAGGTATTATAAGTAATCTAAATATTATTTAAAGTATACAGGAGGATGTGTATATATTATATGCAAGTATGACATCATTTTGTATCTGGAACTGGAGCATTCATGGATTTTGGTCCCTGCAGGTATCTGCATTTATTACATTGCTTTCTTAGGAAGGCATGATTTTGTTTGTTATTAGTTATGACATATATAAAAGTCTCAAGCCTGGCCTTCAAGATCCTCTAATTTCTACTTCCGTGAATCAACATCTAACCAGCCTCATCTCTTGGTACTTCCGAACAGGGCCAACGATATCCCTCAGTTGTTTTCTATACAATACACTTTTTTAGCCTTTCTTATGATATTTTCCCTTATTTGGAAGTCGTTTTCATTTTTATTATACTAATATATTTTCTTATTTCCACACCCACCTTTACTCTGAGTTCACTCAGGTTTGTGTGTGTATATATACACACAAACAAACATACACATAAAATATATATGGGCATAGATAACATGTTTATATTTATTCTCACTTATTTTATTCATGTATGTTTTATTTCTCTTTCTTAGATTAGGAAAATACTGAGTCTTTTAAGTCTTTCGAATGTGTCTGCTAATAGTCCCTGTTTTAAATTCTACAAGCTATTAAATAGGAAATAAGTGGAGGAATAAAATGCACATCCCTCTGATAATGTATTTCAAACCTTGATTGCCATTAACTCCCTCTTTCAATCACCTACTGTCTAGATTTCAGCCTTTTCCTTCCCCTGCAGATCTCAAAGGCAGTAATTCTTAACTTCAGATGGGAGGATGAGGAAGAGAGGAGTGATATAGAGAATGGTTATGGATAGCACTACACAGGAGACCATACTGTAATCAAGGAAAGGCATATATCACTTGAAGACATTTTCTCAGAATTATTATTTTCTCCCTTCAAGACGTATCTCTTCTTTTTACCTTGACAAAAATCACTAATCACCAAATTATGGTATTCCTGAGACTACTCTGCAACTGGGTTTATTTGATTTATTTCATTACATTTTCATATATAAAATGTTAGATCTAGTTGAATTTTTTGAACACAGCCATAAGCTAGAACTAGTCAATGCAAGTAATTAGACAAACATCAGAGAAGGGAAGCAATTGTCTTTTTAAAATTCACCATAAGATTGATAGCTAATATTAAGTAATTTGATTCGAGTGTCATATGTATCAACCAGCAAATATTATAAAACCACTGCACTGAGGCAAGACTCTTGTCTTCTCTTAGCTCTGCCATCGTCTTTGTGGACATGGGCCCTTAGGCTTCATTGCTTCATGAGGGTAAGGTGTTTTACCTACTTACAGTTCTAATATTCTCTTTAAATTCCTGCTGGGCGCCAGGCATGGTGCAAAATGAGTAAGTGTAGAAGACTTGCTTTCTGCTTTCAAGGAGGTAGAGAATCTTAGAGAAACAATACCATGGGTGCAAACATCTTCCTTGAAAGTTATCTATAACAATTTACAAATTTACAAAGAATGTAAATATACTGTCAACAACTTCTCAGAAGAGAATATTTTTCTTAAGAAAACCCCAGAGATATCAAACCTTCAAAAGTTCATGAGATCAGTTATGTTGTAAAAAGAAGTTAAAGTTGTAATACGGCAAATATTTAAAAATCTTCATTAAGATGGGAAACAAAAACCTAACACCATCATCTCTAAAAAATCTGTACTTTCTCTTTTCTTCCTGCCATGTCACATATATTAACAATTCTGTGTCTATGAGGAAGAGAGGCAAAGAGAAGGGAAGTGTAGCTGAAGGAAGCCTGTTGTGTCTCTGGAATTGGCTTCCTTCCATGAGCTACTTTATTGAGCACCTCCAGATATTATGTTTCCAAAGGGCAAAATTTTGTCTTTTTCATCTTCATTTCCTCAGAGTTCCTAGCAAAGGTTATAGAGTCAGTAATTATTTGTTGCCCAGCAGATGAATTGAAATGATTTGAGAATTATATCTCACATTTATTAGGCAACTTCTTAAGTAATGCCATATTTTTAGATAGTCGCCTCCTCCCGTTCTTTCAATGGTGTTCTCTTCTCATCATTTCCAAATTCCTACTTTTTTCTGTGTTTGGTTAGGGGCACCTAAGGTGCTTGAACAAAGAAATTGAAGTGTTCAGTGGCTGAGAGACTATGACTTATTGTTTCTAACCTTCTTTGAGGTAAGTGCTAACCTTCTCTGAGGTTGGTAGTAGGCTGTCCTCCATGTAAGTATTTTGGGAGCCAGGTTAATAATGTGGCATTACCGTTGTCAACAAGTCACATTCAAGGCTCCTTAGCACAAGGCTCTTCAGTGCTTAAAAGAATGGAGGAGGACCTTGAGCCAGATGAGAGGGAGAAGAACAGAAATCTGGGGCCAGGGAATTATGCTTAAACAAGTTAAACACATAATGTATGCTCCAGTCCCATGGTGAAGCTGTTAATCATAGCCTACACTTAGAGCATGGGGGCTGGGGAGCTCAGTTTCTTGCTGGGCAGTGATGTCACAACTACAACTTTTTTACAGTGGAAGAAGGAAGAATCTTATTTTCATTTTTGCTGGACAGCTGGCAGCCTCTGCTGGATTTTCTTTTCTTGCCGGCAATTTGCTGTATTTTAATAGCAAATATAAAATTTATGGACTCAGGCTCTAGAAAACATTTTAAAGAATATGTATATTTTATATTTTTCCTCTAGGCACTAATTTCCTTGTCCTCACAGTGGTTTTGTTCTAATGAGAACCCTACTCAGGGGTAGTGATATTACTCAGGTAAAAGATATTCCTATCCTGTCTCAGTTACTCTGATATGTTCGGGGAATCTAGAGTTTATTTCTAAGATCTTGTTATTTGTTAGTTTTACAATAACAGAATCTTATATTTCTGTTGCCAAATTGTCAGAAAATTTCTTATCAGTGGTCTAAACCAAATAATGCAAAGTGCTTAAAATAATGGAGGAGTGCCCTGAGGTAAATTTTAAAGCAAATATAATTATTGCATCCATTAGTATAATTAGAGTCTTTGGTTTGAAATACATTCCTTGTGCAGTTTGCTGTTAAGTAATTGCTGCGATATACTATTTTGTTGCCTGTTGGAATTTAGTAAGTAAGAGTTTTTCCCAGGTTTTGTATTTTGAATTATAATCTCTAACATATATTCTTTAATAACTGTAAAGTTAGCTAGGGCTTATAAAAGGTCAGCTATGAGTATTTATACAAATTTGCCTCAAGAAGAATGGCTAAATATGAGAGAGATAAACCTATAACAATTAGGATGATTTTTTGATTTCTCTTTATACTTTCCTCTATATGTACTTCCACCGAACCACTGAGGATACTGCAACTCCATTTCCTTGGCAAAATAATTTCAAAGAGTGTTGAAATGAAAATCACTTATGTTTTAATGACTCTGACTGTCAACAGCTGACCTTCTGTTAGTAGCAGAGAACACTGTACTTGCACAAAGAGGGGAGTATAAAACAATTCCTTGAATTGTATAACCTTAGGGTCATCTGAGTTATTAGTTGCTAATTTTAGAGATGCTGAAAAGTATAGAAGAAAGTACAGAAGTTTTTTTTTTTTTCATGGACTGTCTTTTTGTGAATTGTAGAGGAAAACTATGATTTCTACATAGTAGATCAGAAGGATTTTAATTACTTTTCTTCTTAATATATATTTTGGTCCAGAACAACTATCTGTCATTACAGAATTATAGAAAAAAGATGCCATGGTAAATACTTTCTCTATTAATTGCCTAAAGGTCATGATTAAAAATCTAGGGATTTTTAGACCAGGGCTAGTTTGATGTGATTGGTGTCATAGAACCTGAGAAAGGATTTGCAGAGGTCTATGTGGGTAGAGAAAGTATTGTGGGGAAATCGTCATCATCATCATCATCATCATCGAGTGCTCATATTTCAAGTAAGGAGAGGAGAGTGATAAAATGGCAATGGACAATCTTTGAGGAAACAATTTAAATTCCTCTAATTTCCATTTAACCAGAATGGAAAAGTCTAAAAATTCAAATATTTAGTTCTTAGGATTTTCACTTTGAAGTTTACCTTTAACTGTTTTTATTCTATTAATCCCAGGTGAAACAATGTTTTTTTCTTGAAACTCCATATTTAAGAGTTTTTAAAAAGAAAAACAATGATAGAATGACAAGAGAAGTTCTCTTCTCTAATATTTTCATCGTTGCATTAAAGAAATTTGCAGTAGGATGGTGGGGATTTATAAAAGGAACATCCTACTGAAAAGGTCAGCTGTTTTCCCCTTGTGGAGGTATCAAGGAGGGAAAGTGAAGGAAGAACGCTTTCCCCAAAGTTTGAGGAGAATGTGCTATCCTGCCCTTTATCAAGGAGGTAAAGTGGAGGAAGAACGCTTACCCCAAAGTTTGAGGAGAATGCGCTATCCTGCCCTTTTTATACTTTGGCTTTGTATTTATTTAGTCTCTGTGGTCCTGAGGAAGGTGATTTGGTTTCATCCTCACATGGTGAGCCACACAGGCTGCCAGCCCCACTTGGGGATTTTGCAGGATGTCATTTCATGTTGAGTGCATGGACGGTGTCCAAAGGTAGAAATGAGCTGATACATTTTATTATAGGATGTTGCTTCTAAAAAGTGTTTATTCCTAATAGTCCTTTGTCAAGGCAGAATATAGTGTATGGAAAAACTGAAAGTTCCAGGGGAAGTGGAAAGGATCACCACCTGCAGAGTCAGATATTCACTTCTGGTAACTCTGTGGACCTTTGGCAGGGGGCTTCAGAAGAGGAGATGCTGTTCCTGGAAGAAGCAAAGAATTGGGGCCTATGGCTGTATATTCTTTACATTTTTATTTTTAGAATGCAAAATTTATTTTATGAATTAAAAATTACACACATAAAAGGTACCATTATGTTATCTTCTTTAGTTGAAGATAATATTTCTTTTTTGAAATGATATGTCTCTTCATGGTTTTGATTTGCATTTCTCTAATGATCAGTGATGTTGAGCTTTTATGTTTCTTGGCCACATGAATATCTTCTTTTGAAAAGTGTCTGTTCATGTTCTTTGCCCACTTTTTAATGTGATAGTTTGCTTTTTTGGTGTAAATTTTTTTAAGTTCCTTACATATGCTGACTATCAGACCTTGGTCAGATGCATAGTTTGCAAACATTTTCTCCCATTTTGTAGGTTGTCTGTTCACTCTGTTGGTAGTTTCTTTTGCTGTGCAGAAGCTCTTTAGTTTAATTAGATCTCATTTGTCAATTTTTGCTTTGGTTGCAATTGCAAAAGTTCAGAATGCTCATTCAGACCCATGAAATGTATTCCAAGTACCGCTATAAGGAGGGCGAGAGCATAGATAATCCAATCAAAATCACTATATCTTCTTGGGTTGTTATAAATATGTAAAGTAATCATGACAGAGTCCAGAAGTAGTGTGGTCCTGACTGATTTTCACCAACCCTGTTAAATTTGGTTCTATAAGAAAAATATTATGTTTCTATAAGGATCATGTCTCTTAAATTCAGGCCTAGATAAGCTGCCTTACTTGAGGTAAATTTTTGGATTTAATGTTTAAAGATTTCCCAGGGCCTATATGAAAGAAAAACGAATTGGACAACTCCAGGTTTGACTTCATTCTACTTCTCCAAATGTATTATCCATTTAATTAGGGACCAGATCTTTAATCTGGTAGTGAGGTACTTGGCAACTTTAAGAGTTGATTGAGTTATTATAGTAAATGGGTTGGAGTAGAGCTTAGTTACAAAGAGTACACATAATTTTTGTCAATGACAATTATATTTTTATGTTTCATCTCCTTGAATCTTGAAATTAAAACCAATTTATAAACAAACAGTAAAAACAGCATATTTGACCTTTTCTTAAATTTATTTATGAGGCTTTATTACTGCCTGAGAGTACTTTGGGTTTTTTCAAAATTATTTGTTATTTGTTCAAATGGATTCTAATAAGTACAATATATTGTCCAGATACTACAGAAGACATAGAGCAGTTTTGAATAAAATGATGTTCCTTTGGAAATGCTTCATGGGAGCCATTGGAATCTTTGCCAGAAATGCAGAGTGACACCAATTGAACATCCTTAGAACTTGCTATGGTCTGAATGTTTATATTTGTTCAAACTTCATATGTTGAAATCCTCATCCTAACAGTGATGGTATCAGGAGGTGGGGCCTTTTGACAGGTGGCTAGGCCATCATGGTAGAGCCCTCATGAATGGGTTTAGTGCTCTTATAAAATAAGCCCAAGGAGCTCATTGGCCAATTCCACCATGTAAAAGATGCAGCAGGAAGATGCCATTAATGAGAAATGACCCTCACCAACACTGAACCTGCCAATACCTTATCTTGGACATCCCTGTCTCTCCAGAACTGTGATAAATAAATTTCTGTTGTTTATTAGCTACCTAGTTTATGGTATTTGGTTATGGTTATAGCAACCTGAATACACTAAGACAGAACTTCAGCAGTGGATTCCAAGGAATTTACTGGGGGATTTTTTCTACCCTAATTTAAGTCCTAGGTAAGGGAAGAAAAATGTAAATAACAGACATTTTATTGATAGAAATGCCAGAAAAAAGTTCTGCCTTATAGGGGACTCAGTGATAAACTGGATTTGAGAGATCTAGGGGGACATAAGTGTACCAATTGGACACTTCACATGCACTATTGACATCCTCTCAGCCTCATCTTATAGTCTGACCAAGGCTATAATGACCAGTTCTGGACTGGCTTTGAATAGTTTTGAGCAGATGTATCCTGACATAGGCTCACTCTAGGAATGTATTGTGAGTCCCTCTTTTCTTGCCCTGATGTTTGGGGTCCCATAGGAATCACCTGGCACTCAAGCATGGACAACCACAAGGAAGTGTGGGACAGTTTACACCCAGCAAGTCAGCCAGCTCTTGACCAATGGATACAGGAGCCTAGACATAAATGCTTCCATCTTCCTTCATGAGATATGTCCTATAAGGCAGGGGTCTCTAGCCACCAGGCTGCGGACTGGTACTGGTCTGGTCTGTGGCCTGTTAGAAACTGGGCCACACAGCAGGTGGGGCAGAGGGCACACAGTAGGAGGTGGGGGTAAGCAAGCATTACCACCTGAGCTCCACCTCCTGTAAGCTCAGCAGTGGCATTAGATTCTCATAGGAGCTGGAAACCTATTGTGAACTGCACATGCAAGGGATTTAGATTGAGCACTCCTTATGAGAATCTAACTAATGCCTGATGGTCTGAGGTAGAACAGTTTCATCTTGAAACCATCCCCCCCCACCACGCCCTTTGATGGAAAAATTTTCTTCCATGAAACAAGTCACCGGTGCAAAAAAGGTTGAGGTTCACTGCATAAGGCTTCTAGAAAGTCTGTTAGTTTTTCACAGTTGTATAACAACTTGGAAAAACTTGTTGTATTGACTCTCTTCTTCCACATATACTGCTGTCCCCCACCCTTGCTTTCTGGGATCATGTTCCTCAATATAGCATGCATACATCAATCTTTTTCTCAAGATGCACTTTCAGAGGATCTCAGGGAAAAATTCTATAAATCAATACTAAAAGACAACTAGCACACTAGAAAAATAGGCACATTATATAAACTAGCAGTTTAACAAAAATTATAACTTTTACAAAAATAAGAATGTAAATACAACTTTCAATCATTACAAATAGAAATTAGAACAAAAATTAAATAAAATTCTAACTTATTAGAATAGCAAATTAAAATTGATAACTTTATTGTAGTGAATGTTTGAGGAAACAGTCTCCAACTTGGTGGAGATATCACATTGCAGGTTAATTTGATATCATCTTTTTGGAAATAAATTCTCTGTGAATATTCTCACATTTCTGCATGATTTGGGATTTCTGAGCAAGGGACATGTTTTCATACAAAGGTCTTGAAAACTAGAGACTGTGAATTGCTCCAGAGGGTTGTAGAAACTTACCTCCTATGGACAAATAGTCAGTTACTTTCCAGGGTTGTCAGATTTCTCTCTTTCTCTCATTCTCTCTTTCTCTGTGTACATAAGGGGAGATACATGCAGATATACCAGCTACTCTATATGAACTATTAGTCTCATAATTTCAGGGATCTTCTGTGGTGCAAACTCTGCCCCACATATAGGTTGATATTGTGTCCTCATTGCATTGCCCTGTGAGGAATTGGGGCATGGGGAACTCATGCAAGATATTACTCTTGCTGTTCTTTTTGCTGTAATACATGATTTGTTCTCTGGTCCAGATGTCTGGTGTTTCTGTCAGTACATATACATATACATACACATATGCATATACATATGCATGCACAGACATACACACACTCATAACCATGGCAGACTAACTTGTAAGTAAAATAAATATCTTTAACTCATGGGACTTCTGAACATAATGTATTTCTCAAAAGTAAAGGTGAGCATAACATTTTTACATAGTTTTAAATCTCTAGACATTTATTTTACATACATATTCACACATCATGTTGCACATAATGTAATAAAACTGACATCAGTAAAAAGAGGAACATTTGAAACTATACAAATACATGGATATTAAACACCTTCTTAAAAACCAATGGGTGAGAGAAGAAATTAAGAATGAAATAAAAAATTTGAAACGAATGAGAAGAGAAACACTGCATACAGAACCTATGAGACACAGCAAAAGCAGTATTAAGAGACAAGTTTATAGCAATAAATGCTTACATCAAAAAACTAGAAAGATTTCAAATAAACAACCTAATGATGCACTTCAAAGAACCAGAAACAAACCAAACCCTAAAATAGTAGAAGGAAAGAATTATGAAGATTAGAGCCAAAATAAAAAATATATCACAAACCCACAGCAAATATCTGAATGGGGAAGAGGTGAAAGCTTTTCTTCTAAGGACTGGAACACAAAAAAGGATGCCCGCTTTCACCACTCATATTCAACATAGCACTGGAAGTCCTAGCCAGAGCAATTAGGCAAGAAAAAGAAATAAAAGACATCCAAATCAGAAAGGAGGAAGTCAAAATGTCTGTGTTTGCAGATAATAGGATTTTATATATAGAAAAACCTAAAGACTCTACCAAAATAAGCTCTTAGAAAAGATAAACAAATGCAGTCAAGTTACAGCAGAATACAAAATCAGTATCCAAAATCAGCATTATTTTTCTGATACAATACTTATACAAAATCAGTATTGTAAATAAATAACAACCAAAACAAGAAACCAAGAAGGCAATCCCACTTATGACAGCCATACACACACACACACACACACAAAACCGAGGAATAAATTTAACCAAGGAGATGAAAGGCTTCTACAAGGAAAACTGCAAAACACTGGTGAAAGAAATTGAAGAAGATACAAACAAATGAAAATAAATCACATGTTCATAGATCAGAAGAATTAATATTGTTAAAATAACAATACTCCCCAAATAAATCTACAGATTCAATGCAATCCCTGTCAAAATACCAGTGACATTCTTCACAGAAATAGAAAAAAAATCTTAAAATATGTATGGAACCACATAAGACCCCAATAGCTAAAGAAATCCTGAGCAGAAAGAACAAAGCAGAAGGCATCACACTATTAGATTTCAGAATGTATCACAAAGCTGTATTAACTAAAATAGCATGGTACTGGCATAAAAACAGACACATAAAACAATGAAACAGAATAGGGAACCCAGAAATTAACCCACCTATCTATAGCCAATTTATTTTTGACAAAGGTGCCAAGACCGCTCACTGGGGAAAGGAGAGTCTCTTCAGTAAATGGTGCCAGGGAAATTGGTATCCATATGCAGAAGAATGAAACTGGACCCCCACCTCTCACACTGTACAATAAAACTATTAGAAGAAAATGTGGAGGAAATGCTTCAAGACATTGGTCTGGGATAAGATTTTATGAATAAGAGTTTAAAACCACTGGCAACAAAAGTAAAAATAAACCACTGGGATTATATCAAACTGAAAAGCTGCACAGCAAAATAATCAATAGAGTGAAAAAAGGCTACCTATAGAGTGGAAGAAAATATTTGCAAACTACTCATTTGAGAGGGATAAATATCTAGAATATACAAGGAATGGAAACATCTCAACAGCAAAAAAAAAAAATGGGATTAAAAATGGACAAATTATCTGAATGGACATTTCTCCAAATAAGATATGCAATTATCCAATAAATATATAAAAATGCTCAGCATTGCTAATCTTCTGAGACATGCAAATCAGAAATGAAGTATCATCTCACCGCAGTTATGATGGCTATTAAGATGGAGAGAAAAGAGAACTCATACACTGTTGCTGGGAACGTAAAATAGTATAGCCACTATGAAGAATAATATGGAGATTCCCCAACAAACTCAAATAGAACTACTATATGTTGCAGAAATTCCACTACTGGGCATTTATGCAAATGAAAGGAAATTAGTATGCTGATTATACATCTGCCCTCTTGTGTCTATTGTAGCACTATTTGCAAAAACCAAGATATGGAATCAACCTAGATTTCCTACAACAGGTGACTGGATAAAGAAAGTGTGGTATGTATATTAAAGGGAACACTATTCAACCATAAAAAGAATGAAATCCTGTCATTTGTGGCAACATGGATGTTAATAGAGGACACTAAGTTAAGTAAAATAAGCCAGCAACAGAAAGTTAAAAACTGCATGGTCTCACTCAAATGTGGAAACTAAAAACGTTGATCTCATAGAAGTGAAAAGTAGAAAAGAAGATATTAGAGGCTGGGAAGGATAGGGGAAAGGGAGTAATAGGGAGAGATTTTCTAAAGGATATAAAATTACAGCTATATAGGAGGAATAAGTTCTGCTGTTCTGCAGCACTATAGAGTGACTTAGTTAAAAATGCAGTTAATAATATATAGTATCAAATAGCTAGAGGGAAGATATTGAATGCTCCCAATACAAAGAATTGATAAATGTTTGAGATGATGGTTTTGCTAATTACCCTGATTTCATCACCATGCATTATGTGTATCAATACATCACTATGTACCACATGAATATGTACAATTATTTATCAGTAAAATAAGTGGTACATGAGAACAATAAAATCTTATATTGTCATTAAAAAGAATAAGGCAAATGTACCTATTATGAAATTATGAGAAATATTATACAATGAGAAAAGCAATATATATATTTGAATGTACTAACATATATTTATACATGAATAGAATATCTCTTGAAATATAAAGAAAATTTTGGCTACCTGGATTGCCTCTGGAGAGGATAACCAGGTAACTGAGAGATAAATGTGGACAAGATTTTTTCCTTATTTTTTACTATATACATTTATACTCATTTTGAATTTTATAGTATTTATATATAAGGCTATTCACATAATATAATTTAATTATGAACTAACTTTATGAATATGTTACCACTTTAATGGCTGCATTGTATTCTATGTATTTTATGCTAGATTGATCAGTTTCCTGTTGAAAGTTAGCTTTTACTTAGTATGTCTACTTTATGAAAATTTGTGTTGATTTCCCTATAATCTTTTGTAATTATTTTTGAAGGGAAAGAATAACTAGATGTTTGTATCAGTTAGGGTTCAGCCCAGGAAATAGAAAACATTCCAGGAATTTCAAAGAGGAAAATATTTAGTAGAGGGAACTGAGTTCTTACAAATATCACTGGAAGGGTGGAGGAGTGGAAGTCATGAGAGTCACAATCAAGCTATTGTTTTAAGGTCAAATTTAGATGGAGGAAATCCACAGGTTAGGAAGCTGCTGCTGCTTCTGATATCACCATTCCCATACTAAAATGTCTAGTGACCAGGAGATCGTGACTACATTCTGGAATGTGAACTCTGACCACTACAAAAACTCATGTGTTGGAAATTGCTAGTTAATTGTTCCAGCCACAAAAGAATGACATCTCCCTCGTGTTTTGTCTTCCAAATCTTGTGGTCATATGTTGCACTGGCAGAATCAAGATTGCATCACAAATCCTGGTTATTAGGAAGTCTGGGAAATGTAGTATTAGACTTCTTGCTCCTGCAACAAGTGTATGTGTGTAGAGCAGATCACAGGGGAAGGTAGAAACAAATGCCCAATATAAATAGGCATTCAGCAGAAGAGGACACCGATGCAGAGAAAAGGTAAGAAACTTTCACAAGAGAAAACCTGCTTCTCTATGATCACAGTGATCATAAAATAAATATTATGATGATAAAATGATGATTATGTGAGATAAATGCCTTGAAATCATTTTAACAACAGGTGAGTTAGACCTGTATGAAGAAACTATAGGGTTGGTGGTGCTAGATTTTGAAGCCAGGCAGCCCACACTCTGCATCAGTAAATTATCTTTAAAATCTGTTAGTCTTTTTCTTTAAATTTTCAAATGTTGCTGCCACTCTTGGACTGGCCCTCCCTGCCCCCAAATTATATATATTTTATTCCTATTTTCTTAGAGAATTTTATAGCTTATACATTAAAAATATTTCACTTATTCAGAAGTTAGTTTTGTATAAGGTAATATTGAAGCATATAAATGTATTTCTTCCTAGTTAGCCAGTTATGCCAACAACATTTGTTAAATAGTCTATTCTTTCTTGCATTGATTTGGAATACTCTTGATTGTAAATAGTTTTTCCATTTAGTATTATGGTATGCTTTACCATTTATTGACATTTTTTCTTATGTAAATTGGGAAACTATAATTTCTTCATATAGGTCTAACTCATCTGTTGTTAAAATGATTTCAAGGTATTTATCTCACATAATCATCATTATTTTATCATCATATTTTATGGTCACTGTGATGAGGCACTTTAAAAATTTATATTAATTATGTTATTAATCCTAGTTATTATTTACAGATCCTATTTTACTGTTGTGTAGATGATTTAAATAAATTACTTAGGGGCATAAGGTACTTAAAGGATGGAGTTTGGATTTGCAGTTTTCCCATTGTCCTGAATATATCCTTTATTTCATAATATTTTCTGATTGTTGTTCGTATTTCAGAAAGCTATTGACTTCAGATTATTTATTTTGAAACCTGCTTCTCTCTTTTATTGCCCAATTTTAAAGCCCCTTATACAATAAGAAACATCTTAAGAAATATAAGGAAAGCACATATAAATCCCAAAACAATAATGAGGAAAGCTTAAAATGAATCAGTTCTGGCTCTTGGCTGGAACAAGAGGCAAAAAGAATTGTGGAGTCAGAGCACAGCACTGGGAAACTGTAGCTGTCTCGGTCAGGAGTTAACAGACTGCTTAACCTTTACTATGACTAGCTACTTGTATCCAGAACCAGTCCTTTGACTGCGAGGATGTGTATAGGGGTACACACAAGGCTGGGTGCCTGCTCAGTATCCATTTGATATGGTTTGGCTCTGTGTCCCCACCTAAATCTCATCTTGAACTGTTATCCCCATAATTCCCACGTGTCGAGGGAGGGAACTTGTGGGATATGATTATATCATGGCAGCAGTTTCCCCATGCTGTTCTCATGATAGTAAGTTCTCACGATATCTGATGGTTATATAGGCATCTGGCATTCCCCCCTGCTTGCTCGTCTTTCTCCTGCCACCATGTGAAGAAAGTCCTTGCTTCCCCAATTTCCACCATGATTGTAAGTTTCCTGAGGCCTCTCCAGTCATGTGGAACTGTGAGTCAATTAAACTTCTTTCTTTTATAAGTTATCCACTCTTGGGTATTTCTTTATAGTGATGTGAAAACGGACTGATCCATCATTCTTCCCCTTTCCAACAGCACACAGTTTTGGAGAACTACCTTCCTCTATTGCATAGTAACTGACCAATTTTGGGGGGAAGCAGGGGATTGCCTTTATCCCAGCTCCCAGAGTGAGTCCTCACAGGCCTGAGCAAATCAGCCTAATCTGACACAGCTGCCATGACAACTGAATCAGTGACTAGTCCTAAGACTGTCAATTCATGTTACTTCCCTGGAAATTTTTTTTTTTTTTTTAAGATTGGGCCAAGCAGGGTGAAATAAAGAACTTCCCTTCTAAGGTGGGAGGAAAAGAAAATCTCTTTCTCTGAATGATGTGGGGTATAGATGTGAGGACTGGAAGTACTGCAGCCATTTGTAATCATGGAGGGAAACTAGGCTCAGGTTTAAAATGTTAATAGAAGACTTTGAAGGATTTAGAGAAAAATGGAGCAAATGCCCCGATAAACCATACCAGAATTCTCTTTGAATTTCCATGTTATGTGAGTAAATGAAATCCTTAATTGTTTGTGTCAGATTGAGTTGAATTTCCTGGTATGTGTAATAAAAACCAACCTTTTTGTTAAAGGGTAGAACAGAAGAAGTAGAGAAACCAGTACTCAGCCTATCCCTCAATAGATTTTTTTACTTATGTACATGTCTAAAATTCCTATCTTGAGAGATTCCTTAGTGTTAAACTATTGATCTAGACCAGCACTGTTTAATAGAACTTTCTGTGATGATAATGTTTTGTATCTGTGCTGCCAAATATGATATCCCCTGGTACATGTGACTGTTGGGCACTTGAAATGTTGCTACTGAGATGGAGGAAATGAATCTTCAATTTCATCAATTTCTTAATTTAAGTTTAATTTTAAATAGCTGCATGGTGTTAGTAGCTATTGTATTGGAC
The DNA here is from genome assembly GCF_000001405.40 of Homo sapiens. Taxonomy (NCBI): domain Eukaryota; kingdom Metazoa; phylum Chordata; class Mammalia; order Primates; family Hominidae; genus Homo; species Homo sapiens. Next base: position 74,140,864 of record NC_000006.12, read on the forward strand.
AGAACAAATATAGATTGTTCTGTTTTTTTCTAACGTCCCTAGAAGAATAATAAATTGGTTTGCTATGGACCGAATTGTGTTCTCTCAAAATTCATGTTGAATCCCTAAGCCCCAATGTGATATATTTGGAGATGTGGCCTTTCAGGGGTAATTAGGTTAGATGAGATCCTGAGGGTGAGGCCCTCATGATGGGATTAGTGACCTTACAAGAAGAAGAGAGCAAGGGCTGACAGGCACTGAGGAAAGCCCATTTTAGGATACAATGAGCAGGTGGCCATCTATAGGCCAGGAAGAGAGCCCTCACCAGAACTTGACTATACTGGCACCCTGATCTTGGATGTACACCCTCCAGAATGGTAAAAAAAAAAAAAAAAAAAAAAAAAAAAAACTTCTGCTGTTTAAGCCACATGGTCTATGATACAATAGTTTCCACTTATCCATGGGCAATATGTTTCAAGACCTCTAGTGGATGACTAAAACCGTGGATAGTGCCAAACTCTCTATACACTATGCTTTTTCCTATACATGGATACCTATGATGAAGTTTAATTTATAGATTCCTGTAAGAGATGAACAACAATAATAACAAAATAGAAACATTATTTCAATATACTATAATTTATGTGAATGGGCTGGGCGCGGTGGCTCATGCCTGTAATCCCAGCACTTTGGGAGGCCGATCACAAGGTCAGGAGATCGAGACAATCCTGGCTAACATGGTGAAACCCCGTCTCTACTAAAAATACAAAAAAATTAGCCTGGTGTGGTGGCGGGCACCTGTAGTCCCAGCTACTCTGGAGGCTGAGGCAGGAGAATGGCGTGAACCCAGGAGGCGGAGGTTGCAGTGAGCCAAGATCGCACCACTGCACTCCAGCTTGGGTGACAGAGTGAGAATCCGTCTCAAAAAAAGTAATAATAAAATTTATGTAAATATATCTTTTTTCTCTGTGTCTCTCTTAAAATATCTTATTGTACTATACTCATCAATTTTCAGACTGCCATTACTGCTGGCAACAGAAATTGTGGAAAGCAAAACTTAGAGGGTATTAGAGGGGATTGCTGTAGTTATGGCAGCCTGAGCTGACTAATACATAGTCTCAGAAAATTTTAATATGAATTCTTAAAAGCTTCTTCTTGGAAAACTTAAACTTGAGCCTGAAACGAAGGGGGTTTGTTATGTTTGATAATTTGATATTTTTTGGTGGGAGGGTGATGGGGTCATATAGAGGAGACTCAGGATAGGGTAATACTTTCACCCTTTGTCCCAGTTGGAAATATCAACTTTTAAGGGTTCACTAGTCTTTGAAATTATTTTAAAATGGTAAGATAGGTGCCAATTTTTCTTGTTATAGGCAGTGTATTTTCTTATAGTTTCACCTCAATGGGAATATAAACAAAAGCAGTATAAATAAACATATCAGAAATTCCTTACAAACTCGGTAAATGATGTATTCCAGCTGTGTGTGTTTTGAAAACAGACCATATTACATCAATGAAACCCCAATTAAGAAATAAAATGGAAGTCTCATAACTCTCCTTCTTTTCTTCCTTTTTTTCTCTCCCTGTCTTTCATTTCAAAAATAATTGTTAAGAACTTAGAGCATAAAAGACACTGAGGTCACAGAAAGTAACAAGAAAGATATGGTCTCTTTCCTAACAGAGTCCCAGGGCTTGTGCAGGGGAGAGATAACAAGCAACCTAAATAACGCTGTAATATGAATTCTAATGCGGAAAGTATTATGGAAGTGTAGGACTGGGGCATTGAAACTGCTTGAGAGGACAGAAGGGAAACATCTCAGGAATAAGTAATAGCAAGTTGATACCTGAAGGAACCCTAGGAATAAGCACAGAAGAGGGTGCTGAGTTGGAGGAGGAAGTCAGAGAGAACAGAAAGTGTGAAGGCCAGGTGAGATAGAGTCTTGAGTAAACACAATGCCAGAATAGGGTGTGGTGGCAAACCAAAGTTTGTTATTGTTTAGATGGGGATGGGGAGATGCAAAGGTAAAGGTGATGGCCAAGCCAGACAAATTTCCCTGTGATTTCAGGGAGGAAGAGGAGAGAGAGGGAAGAGAGAATGAATGAATCAATGAATCATAGCATGTTACGTGGGGTATCTTTTTTTTTTTTTCTTTTGAGACAGAGTCTCACTCTGTCACCCAGGCTGGAGCGCAGTGGCACGATCTCAGCTTACTGCAACCTCCACCTCCCAGGCTCAAGTGATTCTCTTGCCTTAGTCTCCCAAGTAGCTGGGACTACAGGTGCATGCCACCATGCCCAGCTAATTTTTGTATTTTTTAGTAGAGACAGGGTTTCACCATGTTGGCTAGGCTGATCTCAAACTCCTGACCTTGTGATCGACCTGCCTTGGCCTCCCTAAGTGCTGGGATTACAGGTGTGAGCCACTGCGCCCAGCCTCATTTTTTGGTAACTCAGCATTATTTCCCATTTCACTTCTCTCCTCTGTATACTGGAACTGGAAACCTGGAAATACATTTTCCAAAATCCCTGTTAGCAAGGTTTCCATATAAATTCTGTCAGTGAGAGATACGGACATGAGATTTGGGAGTCAGGGAGAAGCAAAGGCACAATTTCTTTTTTTTTAAATTTCAACTTTTATTATAGATTAAAGGGTACACATGCAGGTTTGTTACATGTGTAAACTGTGATGCTTAGGCTTGAGGTCCCAACAATTCCATCACCCAGGCAGTAGGGCATAGTATCCAACAGGTGGTTTTTCAGCCCATTACCCCCTCCCTCTTTCCCCCATCTAGTGATCCCAGTGTCTATTATTCCAATCTTTACATTCATGTGTACTCAAAGTTTAGCTCCCACTTATAAGTGAGATCATGTGTCATTTGGTTTTCTGTTCTTTGGTTTGCTGTTAGATTGCTTAAGATAATGGCCTCTAGCTCCATCACTCTTTTTTTATGGCTGCATTATACTCCATGGCATATATGTACAACATTTTCTTTGTCCAGTTCACCATTGATGGGCACTTAAGTTGATTCTGTGTCTTTGCTATTGTGAATAGTGCTGCAGTGAACATATGGGTGCATGTGTCTTTTTGACAGAGAGAATTATTTTCCTTTTGGTATATACCCAGTAGTGGGATTGCTGGGTCAAATGGTAGGTCTATTTTAAATCCTTCGAGAAATCTCTGATCTGCTTTCCGTAGCAGTTGAAACTAGTTTGCATTTCCACCAATAGTGTACAAGCATTCCCTTTTCTCTGCAACATCACCAGCATCTCTTATATTTTGTCTTTTTACAGTAGCCATTCTGACTGGTGTGAGAAGGTATTTTATTGTGGTTTTTGATTTGCATTTCTCTAATATTTAGTGATGCTGAGCATTTTTTCATGTTTCTTGGCCACGTGTATGTCTTCTTTTGAGAAGTATCTTTTCATGTCCTTTGCCCATTTAATTGGATTTTTAATTTTTTGCTTGTTGATTTGTTTAAGTTCCTTGTAGATTTTGGATATTAGATCTTTGTCAGATACATAGTTTGCGAATATTTTCTTCCATTATGTGGGCTGTCTGTTTACTCTGTTGGTAATTTCTTTTGCTGTGCGGAAGTTCTTTAGTTTAGGATAAAGGGGTTAAAAGATCTCTGCAAGGAGAACTACAAAACACTGTGGAAAAAAATCAGAAATGACACAAATAAATTAAAAAATATTCCATGCTCATGGATTAGAAGAATCAATATAGTTAAAATGGGCCATACTGCCCAAAGCAATGTATATTTTCAATGCTAACCCTATCAAAATACCAACATCATTTTTCACAGAATTAGGAAAATCTATTCTAAATTTCAGTTGGAACCAAAAAAGAGCCTGAATAGCCAAAGCAATCCTAAGCAACAAGAACAAAGCCAGAGGCATCACATTACCTGACTTCAAACAATATTATAAGGCTACAGTAATTGGAACAACATAGTACTGTACAAAAGCAGACATATAGACCAGTGGAACAGAATAGAGAACCCCAAAATAAACCCTGAACACCTACAACCATCTAATCTTTGACAAAATCAATAAAAATAAGCAATGTGGAAAGGACTGTTTAATAAATGGCACTGCAATAACTGGCTAGCCATATGCAGAAGAAAGGCACTATTTCAACTGGGGAAGTAATAGGTGGCTTGAAGTTTTGTGTCTTGAGAATCATCCCTTTCTTTCCATAGGCAGTTGAAATCATCAGGGCTGTCTTCCTGCAGTTTCTTTATTTTCCATGCCTTCCCATGATTTTTTAAATTCTCTAATTCCCTGAATTAAATCCTTTTGTGCTCAAAATACCTAAAATGTTCCTTATTTTTCTGATTGAACTCTGACTTATGATATAGCTATCAGGCTGAGAATTCCATATTAGCATGCTTAGAACTTAGTTCTGCCAGTCTTCTGACACACTTTCAGAACTAGCCCCATTGTGCTTCACACACATATTTGATGTACTTACCCTCAAAGTTCTAAACATCCTTCCCAAATGTTATCACCCAGACTTTCCTTCCCATGGTACTCTGACCATAATCAAATTGAATTCAGTCTTCTTTCATTCCCTTTTTTTCTAAACCTGTGTATGTACCTTCTGGAGTGCTCCACCTGTGTCGGGCAAACCCCACTGCATCCTCAACATCTCCTCTGAATGCTCTTGCTACCTATTAGCTAGATGAAAAGCTAGGTGTCCTTGAGGACATTGCATTCCCTTATTGTGTATCCCAGGGTCAAGATGTGGGACAATGCTTCCCTTATTTTCCAGTGTTCCATGGCTGTCTCCAAGCTGTTTCTTCTAGCTTCTCTGAAGTTATTATTTGCTGATATCATGCCCTGCCTTCTCACTGCTGATCTGCAATTATAGTCACTTGATGGTATACATTGTTCAACTCTCCTCTGTGATTAATATTAGATTTGCAACTTTCACATCCAGGATTCTTTAAAATTCATTATATTTAAAACATTTAGGAGAGTGCACAAATTAAGGCCTCAATGAGTATTGTTACCATTGTCATCATGCTCATTTTCCCCTGCTTGCACTAAAGCAAATAAACATTGCTGAGAAAATTGTACAACTGAGATTTTCAGTTGTACAATTTACAAAAAAAATCATGAGAATTCATGATTATAGCCTTCAAGCTGGCCCTCATCACTGCCCAGTAATCAGTCCTGTTCTCTATTAAGCTTGCTTTCCCACTGAAGGTGATGACTTGTTATACTTTCTTCTTTTTTCCTATACCCCACACCCTTTCACTCTAACTTTCAGCTGAAATTTCAGCTCACACTTAATTAAGACAATACAGATTAATTTGGAAACTCTATCTTCCTACCACCAAATCATTTTCCTCTAGGGCATCTGTGCCAACTCTTTCTTCCTTTCTATATCCATGAAGGAAGTGATTTTCCTTTGATCATGGCTGTATTGGTCAGGGTTCTCTTAGAGGGACATAATTAATAGGAGATATATATATATATATATGAGTTTATTAAGTATTAACTTACATGATCACAAGGTCCCACAATAGGCTGTCTGCAAGCTGAGGAGAAAGAAGAGCCAGTCTGAGTCCCCAAACTGAAGAACTTGGAGTCCGATGTTCAAGGGCAGGAAGCATCCAGCACGGGAGAAAGATGTAGGCTGGGAGGCTAGGCCAGTCTCTCTTTTTCACGTTTTTCTCCCTGCTTTATATTCGCTGGCAGCTGATTAGATTGGGCCCACCACATTAAGGGTGGATTTACCTTCTCCTGTCCACTGACTCAAATGTTAATCTCTTTTGGCAATACCCTCACAGACACACCCAGGATCAATACTTTGTGTTCTTCAATCCAATCAAGTTGACACTCAATATTAACCATCACAAATCCACCCCTTGTCAACTTGAACCCATACACATCTCCTGAGATCATACATACTCTTCAATTAAAAACAATAATAAGGTCGTAGTTACACCTAACATACAGATATCCTTCCTACAACCAGAAACACACCAGTCCCCAACCCAAATACTATTACGTAAAGTTAACAATACTTAAATGCTGATATGAAGTCAATAAATCTTACATCACATGATAAATGAAAAGGAAATAAAATGAAGATATTTTCTTAGTACAAGTGTATAAATGCACAAACAAGTTTTTAACAAAGTGAGGAGGAAATACTCATGACAAATACAGTCCTCGCATCTGCAGCTGGTCACCTGGTCATAGCTGGTATTGATGACTACCTTCTTCCACTACCCATTCTGTATTCCCTTTGACTTCAGCAAGCACCTCAGCAGGTTGTGGTTTTTTTCCTGGTTGAGTGACCCAAACCTTCATTCCTGAAGGGTCTGGGTCATTTGTAGTCCTGCCTGGATTGGGCTGTTATAGTTTCCCATTGACCTTAGTCACAGATGGTAATACTAGGAGACACTCTAATGGATCTCCTGTATTCCATGTGTATTCTTCCTTAACCTCTGTTGTGGAGTAGTAGACTGACTTCATCTTGATAGTCTGGGTCAATCACCCCAGCTAACACTGTTAACTCCTTTCTAAGCCTGTTGACTTAAAGGTAGGAGGAGCCCAAAGTGTCCAGGTGGCAATCTTAACTTCCAGTTTAATGGAATCGTTGTTGTGTCTCCTCGTGGCAGCATTCCTCTCTCTGGAACTAAGACCTCTAGGCCAGCAGAACATAATGTTGCGGGAACAGGAAGCAAAAATTTTGCTAGTGGATCACCAGAGGTGATGGTGAGTGGTGGCACTTCTACTTCCACTGCTTGATTCCTGAACCTGTGAATCCTGGCTATGGGAGAAACAGTACCATATACTGGACACTGACTCAGAGCATACATGGCCTTCTGGAGAACTTTGCTGCAGCCCTGCAAATCAATCCAGCTGCTTCAGGATGATGGGGAACAACAGCCAATCCCACTTTTTCCTTGCCTCTTCTTTCCTCTTTTCTCTTAGGACCTGCTCCTCCTGTTATCTACCCTTCCATTGGATCATTATCACCAACCAAAAAAGGAAAAGTTTCAAAAACAACTTCCTCCAAATACCCTCTTTCTGTTCCCATTTATAATGAAACTAAAATAGCATTCTGTAATTACTGTCCCCACTTCCTCACCTCCTATTCTCTTCCACCTCTTTGTTATCTAGTATCAGATCCCACACCTCTGCAGAGACCAAGGTCACTCTTGATGATGTCAACATCTTCATGTAGCCAAATCCAATGGCCTTTGTTTGGTATTCATCTAAACCTAACAGTAGCATTCATCCCAGTGGAACCATTTCCCCCTTCTTGAAGTGTTTTTTTTCTATTTTACTTATATGACCCCACTGCTCCTTGGTTTTAGTCTAGGTTCTCTTCTACCCATCCTTCATACTGGGGAATGCTTCTGGGCTAAATTCTTGTGTATTCAGATCTTGATCTTAGATCATCTCCTGAAATTCTGAGTCTATAAATACTCATATAAAATGGAGGACAAAAGCATGGCCTGGGGAGCCAGACTATCTGCACACAAGTCCTGGCTCCACCACTTGCTATTTGTGTGACTTTGTGCAGATTACTTGACCTCCCTGTTTCTGTTTCTTTATATAATGAGGATAATTATGGTACTTTAGTTATAGCATTATAGTGAGGAGGACTATATTAACAGTGTGCGGCTTGTGCTAAGCACTCAATAAAGGTTAGCTGTTATTATATCCTGAAAACTGAAATGTATATCTCCTGCCCAGACTTACCCACTAAGATTTGGACTCGTGTGGCTGCCCACTTAAGAACTCCACATGGATGATTAGTAGGATCTCCAAATTAACATGTTCAAAGCAAAAAGCAGAATGCTTGATTAACTTCTGAACCTCTTCCTCTCAGTCTTTATACTGTCACTAAATGGCATTGTCTTCATCTATTCAGCAAAAGATTATCTTTGAAGCTGGAGGGGTCTGCCAATGCTTCCTATAGTCCTTAATCTAGGAAATTTGACTATAACTAGGTATGAGATATTAAAACTATTGTAGTGTTTCTTAGATTAGGTAATTTTGCCATCAGCCCAAAGCATCTTGCTGAGCTGTCATGATACAGAACTCTCTACTCTGTGTGTGTGTGTGTGTGTGTGTGTGTGTGTGTGTGTTGGCAATGGTGTGTTTGCCAGCTAGAAGTTAGAATAAAAGTAACACACAGAATAAAAATAGAAAATCTGGCCCCATAACTTCCATTTTAGAGGAATATTTTAAATTATATAGACAGTTAATGTAGTACTACAGAATCCTACTTATCTTTCAAACACTTAAGAAACAACCTTATACTATCAAAGTAACTGGTAAATGTCTGCCGTGTCTTCATGATTATATTTGCCACTTGTTTCACTTCAAACATTGCTTCTGGGTGTTTTTATGACATTTTTCTCTCAAGCAGTTATTTATTTCCTGCAATATTCAATTCTGCTGGTTCATGCCTTTATGACTAGTTTTTGCTTGTTTTCATGATTTTCAAATATAGATACAATATTCTGTTATGGCCTAGTTATCAAAGAGAAGAAGTTACAGTTTCACAGAGAAAATAAATACTCTGAAATTTAATGATGTTAGAAATTCAGTGATCTTTTGGTGAACGTTATAGACACTACACAGTACCATTTATGAAATACACACTACATTTCATACATTTGACTAAACCATTTTCAGTTTCATGCATTTTGTCATTTAAGAATTGTGGTGGCTCATGCCTATAATCCTAGCACTTTGGGAGGCTGAGGTGGGTGGATCACCTCAACTCAGGAGTTTGAGACCAACCTGGGCAACATGGAGAAACCCAGTCTCTACCAAAAATACAAAAAAAAAAAAAAATTACTGTAGCCTTGTAGTATAGTTTGAAGTCAGGTAGCGTGATGCCTCCAGCTTTGTTCTTTTGGCTTAGGATTGACTTGGCAATGTGGGCTCTTTTCTGGTTCCATATGAACTTTAAAGTAGTTTTTTTCCAATTCTGTGAAGAAAGTCATTGGTAGCTTGATGGGGATGGCATTGAATCTATAAATTACCTTGAGCAGTATGGCCATTTTCACAATATTGATTCTTCCTCCCCATGAGCATGGAATGTTCTTCCATTTGTTTGTATCCTCTTTTATTTCATTGCACAGTGGTTTGTAGTTCTCCTTGAAGAGGTCCTTCACATCCCTTGTAAGTTGAATTCCTAGGTATTTTATTCTCTTTGAAGCAATCGTGAATGGGAGTTCACTCATGATTTGGCTCTCTGTTATTGGTGTATAAGAATGCTTGTGATTCTTGCACATTGATTTTGTATCCTGAGACTTGGCTGAAGTTGCTTATCAGCTTAAGGAGATTTTGGGCTGAGACGATGGGGTTTTCTAGATATGCAATCAGGTCATCTGCAAACAGGGACAATTTGACTTCCTCTTTTCCTAATTGAATACCCTTTGTTTCCTTCTCCTGCCTGATTGCCCTGGCCAGAACTTCCAACACTGTGTTGAATAGGAGTGGTGAGAGAGGGCATCCCTGTCTTGTGCCAGTTTTCAAAGGGAATGCTTCCAGTTTTTACCCATTCAGTATGATACGGCTGTGGGTTTGTCATCGATAGCTCTTATTATTTTGAGATACGTCCCATCAATACCTAATTTATTGAGAGTTTTTAGCATGAAGTGTTGTTGAATTTTGTCAAAGGCCTTTTCTGCATCAATTGAGATAATCATATGGTTTTTGTCATTGGTTCTGTTTATATGCTGGATTACGTTTATTGATTTGCATATGTTGAACTGGCCTTGCATCAAAAAGTGGGCGAAGGATATGAACAGACACTTCTCAAAAGAAGATATTTATGCAGCCAAAAGACACATGAAAAAATGCTCATCATCACTGGCCATCAGAGAAATGCAAATCAAAACCACAATGAGATACCATCTCACACCAGTTAGAATGGCAATCATTAAAAAGTCAGGAAACAACAGGTGCTGGAAAGGATGTGGAGAAATAGGAACACTTTGACACTGTTGGTGGGACTGTAAACTAGTTCAACCATTGTGGAAGTCAGTGTGGCGATTCCTCAGGGATCTAGAACTAGAAATACCATTTGACCCAGCCATCCCATTACTGGGTATATACCCAAAGGATTATAAATCATGCTGCTATAAAGACACATGCACACGTATGTTTATTGCGGCACTATTCACAATAGCAAAGACTTGGAACCAAGCCAAATGTACAGCCAAATGTACAACTGGATTAAGAAAATGTGGCACCTATACACCATGGAATACTATGCAGCCATAAAAAATGATGAGTTCTTGTCCTTTGTAGGGACATGGATGAAGCTGGAAACCATCATTCTCAGCAAACTATCGCAAGGACAAAAAAGCAAACACCGCATGTTCTATCTCATAGGTAGGAATTGAACAATGAGAACACATGGACACAGGAAGGGGAACATCACACACTGGGGCCTGTTGTGAGGTAGGGGGAGGGGGGAGAGATAGCATTAGAAGATATACCTAATGCTAAATAACGAGTTCAGCACACCAACATGGCACATGTATACATATGTAACTAACCTGCACATTGTGCACATGTACCCTAAAACTTAAAGTATAATAAAAAAAAAATTAGATGAGTGTGGTGGTACACACTTATAGTCCCAGCTACTGGGGAGGCTGAGGTAGGAGGATCACTTGAGCCTGGGAGGTGAAGGTGGCAGTGAGCTGAGATTGTGCCACCACACTCCAGCCTGGGTGACAGAGTGAGACCCTGTCTCAAAAAAAAAAAAAAAAAAAAAAAGAGAGAGACAGAGAGAAACACAATCACTCTAATAACTCTACCAGGTAGGAGTATTATCAACACCACATGCCAGATGCTGAAATTGGGCTAAAAGAGGCTAAGGAATTTGCTCAGGCTCACAAAGTTAGTAAATGACAGAGCCAGCATTCAAGCTCATGTCTTTGAATCCCCAAAGCCCACTGGTTCTTCATCATTAATTTAATTTAAACCTTTTACGTAGTGATTACAAAGGAAGTTTATTTGGTAGTATGTCTTAATAGTTTATTAAGTGACCACTTATATTTTGTCTTTTTCCATTTTATGAGTTCCTGATTTCTCAAGATTTTTATGTGAGTAGCTTTATTAATTTTTTTTTTTTGCATACTGAATAAGAAACTTCATTACCTCATTCTCCATTATTTACCCAACCGGTTACATTGAGCTTCCAAGTTTCAGCTAAGGGTTTATAAATCAGTTTTTGTTGTATTCACCATTTCTCCTAGTACTATGGTTTCATTGTATGATGATCATTTTGAAGTCTGCATTTATTGCAAAGGTAAAACTTTCCACATATTAGTTCTTTTAAAAATTTAGTTTGATTCCCAGATCATGTTCTTAGGCTGCCAAAATTGCTCTGTGGCAATGTTGAAACTGATGATAAATAGAGAATGTTTAGATTGAGACTTGTGAAACTGGACTGAGGCACTTATCTTTAGATCCAACTTTGGTGATGTATGTATTATAATTCCTGGCAAGAGAAAAGCCGTTTCTAATTGACGGAAACTTTTTTTCTGAAGTAGACTCTCACAGAAACTCCCTAGGTAGCAATGAAAAGAAAATGTTGAATTCTCTGCCTTTGTTATTGAAGAACATAACAGGCAGTGTCTTCAACAGCAACTTTACCAATCATGCAGAAAATGTCTTCATATGGCTGAGTTTCCACAATGTCGGCTTTGAATGAGTGTTTAGGGAATCAATTTACAATATAGTTTTGAATACATTCCCATGGGAGCTGACATGATGTAGGCCAGGGAAGTAATTTTCTCTTGACCAGATTGGATGGGGAATAGGACTGAGGTTATTGAGTCAGAGTGATTTAGATAGAATATTTTTTAGATTTTTTGTCAGTCTTAATTAGTTAATCAACACCTCAGCTCATTCTGTAAAACACAACTAGAATGAACATATGCAGCTCAAAAAACATAAATATTTGAACAAATCTGGGCAAGGTGAAAAGTACAGCAAGGAATTAATAAGCCAGTAGTAAGACTGATGCCCAGAAATGTATAACACACCACTCTATAGAGTAGCTAGAAGTGGCTGAGAATTTGGCTTTAAGTTGCCTAGGGGCTGAAGAACAATTAAAAAATAATTTTAATAGTCAACGTCCATAAGATAGAAATCAATTAGAGATTCATGAGAAACACAGATATTTCTGATATCAAAACTTGAATTTTTCTTCCACGGGTATTCATAAACAGCCTAAAAATGTCCCTAATGATACTTTCATAGTTGATACAGTTTGTGATAGTTAATCTTATGTATTAACTTGACCATATCGAGGGATACCCAGATAGTTGATTAAAAAATATTTCTGGGTGTGTCTGTGAGGTTACTGGAAGAAAATAGCATTTCAATCAGTACAGTGAGTGAAGAAGATATGCCCTCACCAAGGTGAGCAGGCATAATCCAATCCACTGAGGGCCCAGATAGAGCAAAAAGGTGCAAGAAGGGCACATTTGCACCTTTCCTCCATCCCCCAACAGTTTCTCAGGCCTTTCACCCTGGACTAAGAGTTATACCATCTGTAATACTGGTTCTCAGGCCTTCAGTCTCAGACTGAATTACACCAATGACTTTCCTGGTTCTCCAGATTGCAGACAGTATTCAGTGGGACTTCTTGGTCTTTGTAATCACATGAGCCAATTCCCGTAATAGATTCCCTTTTATATATCCATATATGTACTATTGTTTCTGTTTCTCTGGAAAACTGTAATGAATACACAATTATATGGTTATACATTCTAATGTTTGAACATAGCCTTTGGAGTAACCTGAATACATGATACAGCCTTATAATTCAGTGAAAGCAGTTCTGTTGCCAGTGTTGGGGGTGAGCATAAATAATTTGACCTAGATATTTAGCTCTGAAATAATAAGGCTGTTTCAAGTGAAAAGTTAGAACAAGTAGTGATAGCATACAGGAATGGGACTGCACATTTTTAGAACATAAATATTTTCTAATTAAAACTAACATTTTGCTGTTATAAAAGCTGTATATGTATATTGTAGAAAATCAACAGATACAGATAAATAAAAAGAAGAAAAAAAAGAAACCATTTTATCCCTACCCAGAAAAAAATAAACATAGTAAGCGTTTTGCAAAAAAAGTCACATTATGCATGCTATTTTGTAAGTTGCTTTTTCTGGTTAAATTTTTGGTTAAAATATTTACTTTTCATGTCAATAAATTTTATCTCAGCTAATAACCATTTCATGCTCCATATGCCCCAATTGTTTCCCAAATGTTCTTTGTATAACTGGTTTATTGAAACTGGAATCCAATCCCGGTCTATATATTGAATCTTATGTTGGTTAAGCATTTGTCCATCTAGAACAGTGCTTTTTTATCATGACCTTGACTTGTTGAAGAGACTGCTATTCGTCCTGCAATATATCTCATTTTCTATTTTATCTGGTTTCTCTCTTGTGGAAAATCATCTATATTTCCTAATTAATATGTGTTTACCACATTGCGTTAAATCAGGAGACACATTATATATGGTTGTCCCATTCTTAGTAATGTTCAGACTGACCCATGAATTAGAGTGATAAAAGCCTGGTCCCTCCTTTGTACAAATGTGTCTTCTAATTGAATCATGAAAGTAATCAATGGAGTGTTACTTTTTCACTACATATATGTCAGTTCTCCACCAATTGTTCACCTAATGGTCTTAATTATAATCGATAATCCTTAATTAACGTGCTGTCTGTTATGTGATATTTACTTGCTAGCATTCTCCTGGAATATAGAAGCATAAATTTAAGTCACCTATTTGGTTATCTTTAAGTACAGTTTTTATTGAAAAATCAGGATAAATAGTTAATTTCTCATTTATTCAATTTTCAAAATATGAATTTGGCTTAATAAATACCTCAAATATTAGCAGCTAAATTTTCTGGTGTTATCTTCCTATTATATTGTATCCATGAAGTCTCAGGAAATTCATGTGGCTTATTTAATTAGAACCATTATTATTTTTGTTCCCTTATATTAGCTTTTGGGTTTCCCCTTATATTAGCTTTTGATCAACCCTACTAATCTTTGAAAGCTTCTTGCTTCCTGTCACAAGAACAAATCTCAAACTCACCTTGTACCATCCCTACCCCAGTCTTGGAATCAGCTGTTTCTTCAGGTGAAGAATGGTATGAGAGACTAAAATATGACATGATAGTTCCTGTGGTCATGTTACTTTTAACAGCTATAAATATTATTTTCTCCAAGTAAGTAAGCATGGGCAGCTGAAATTTCAAAGATGTGTTTACTCCTTATTATCTGGAACAGTTAGGTTACTTATTAAGAGCAGAAGTTTATAATTAATGACCAGTCCAAAGGTAGAATATGGTCCTTTTGTAAAAATTAAGAAGCCTAATCAAGATTGATGCCTGAATGAATGGCATTCTCACCTTTGCATAAAAACAAAATGAAAGGCAACAAATCTTCAATTCTCAGCCAATGCAGTTATTATGTGGATCACAGTATAGCAAAGAATAAAAATAGGAGATTTGTGCCTAATTCAGTTCTTTTTTTCTTATATAGTTTTTTTTTGTGTGTGTTAAAGACACAGTCCTTTAGTTTGTGAAAATCTTATTATTTGAGGTTCCATTCATTAAATGTCTAAACTGTAAGTCTGGCCAGGAGACAGAAAATAAAACTTTTGTAAATAGGAAATTTGATCCACAATTGTCATTAAATAGTATCTCTAAAACCTCTCACTTATCTTTGTAATTTGAAAAAAAAGTACAGAATATCAAAGTTTTTTAAAGATACCTTACAAACATTTGTTTATCTATATCCACATCTATATCTATCTGTGTCTTAGTTGTCTACAACCAAGTGCTGAGGATTGAAAACCAAGTTATTTATTTATTTATTTTTTTTTTATTATACTCTAAGTTTTAGGGTACATGTGCACATTGTGCAGGTTAGTTACATATGTATACATGTGCCATGCTGGTGCGCTGCACCCACTAATGTGTCATCTAGCATTAGGTATATCTCCCAATGCTATCCCTCCCCCCTCCCCCGACCCCACCACAGTCCCCAGAGTGTGATATTCCCCTTCCTGTGTCCATGTGATCTCATTGTTCAATTCCCACCTATGAGTGAGAATATGCGGTGTTTGGTTTTTTGTTCTTGCGATAGTTTACTGAGAATGATGGTTTCCAATTTCATCCATGTCCCTACAAAGGATATGAACTCATCATTTTTTATGGCTGCATAGTATTCCATGGTGTATATGTGCCACATTTTCTTAATCCAGTCTATCATTGTTGGACATTTGGGTTGGTTCCAAGTCTTTGCTATTGTGAATAGTGCCGCAATAAACATACGTGTGCATGTGTCTTTATAGCAGCATGATTTATACTCATTTGGGTATATACCCAGTAATGGGATGGCTGGGTCAAATGGTATTTCTAGTTCTAGATCCCTGAGGAATCGCCACACTGACTTCCACAATGGTTGAACTAGTTTACAGTCCCACCAACAGTGTAAAAGTGTTCCTATTTCTCCGCATCCTCTCCAGCACCTGTTGTTTCCTGACTTTTTAATGATTGCCATTCTAACTGGTGTGAGATGATATCTCATAGTGGTTTTGATTTGCATTTCTCTGATGGCCAGTGATGATGAGCATTTCTTCATGTGTTTTTTGGCTGCATAAATGTCTTCTTTTGAGAAGTGTCTGTTCATGTCCTTCGCCCACTTTTTGATGGGGTTGTTTGTTTTTTTCTTGTAAATTTGTTTGAGTTCATTGTAGATTCTGGATATTAGCCCTTTGTCAGATGAGTAGGTTGCGAAAATTTTCTCCCATGTTGTAGGTTGCCTGTTCACTCTGATGGTAGTTTCTTTTGCTGTGCAGAAGCTCTTTAGTTTAATTAGATCCCATTTGTCAATTTTGTCTTTTGTTGCCATTGCTTTTGGTGTTTTGGACATGAAGTCCTTGCCCACGCCTATGTCCTGAATGGTAATGCCTAGGTTTTCTTCTAGGGTTTTTATGGGAAAACCAAGTTATTAAACTACTCTAACCTTAGAATTCCTGATCTATGCAGAGGCAAGGAATAAGAAATCTCTGACTCTGCTTTCTCAGAAAAGGACTCACTTTTGAAACTCTTTTGCTGCTCTCTAATCCATGGTTGTCTTAGAATAAGCATTTGAAGTGAGAGCAAATGTTATTACAATTGAATTTCTGAATATTTTTAAAGGAAAGATGGTAATTTAAACATGCAATAGAATAATTGCATTTTAAAAATCTTTGACTTTGTAGAATAAGTGCATAGATTTTAAATATTTTTCAATAGAAAGTAGGGGCCTTGCTTATTACTGTTTTCTACTCAAGTAAAATTTAGGTCTTAGTTTATCTTAAAACATAATTGGGAAGTTTTGCTTCTAGTAGTAGTAGAGTAGCTAGTGCTGGATTAACCATCTCGCAGAAAAGAATAATACATTCTAGATAAAAAAGAACCACTATTTGAAGGCACTGTATAGTGACCAAAAGCAGGCAGAAACTGGAGGAGTGTAGACTCCTGAAAAGGGAAACTTCGCTGAGTGAATTTCACATTTATGAATTTTCTTCTTAAGGGCATTCTTCATTCAGAGTGACTGGAACTCAAGTAGAACTTGTAGTCTTACTGACTTGAGAAATCAGAAGATAGAGTTCAGTATTGCCCAGGTAGATGAAAAGAAGGGGATGATTCTTGGAAAGCAGGGAGGTAGTTGAGGTGAAGTCCCCCACATCAGCATATAAACCCTATCTAAGTCCTTGACTGATCCCTGAACTACGCATTTATGGGGAAATTAAGCAGATATGAAAGAAAGCAGAAATGAGTGGAAATTTCAGCTGCTCACAGGGGAACCAGAGTTTGAAGTTTGAGTCCAACCCAGTTAACCAACTGCTAAAAAGAAAAAGAAAACCAATACTCTATTGAAAAAGTAACAAAATCCAGAATACTAAAATACATAATCATAAAGATCAGTAGAGAATAAAAATTACTTAGCATGTAAAGACACAAGAAAATGTGACTCACAGATAAGATAAAAATCAGTAAATAGAAATCAACCAGAAAATCACTCAGATATTTGAATTACTAGACCACTACTGTTTAAGTATTTTAAACAAAGTAAGTATTTTAATGGGCTAGAAGAAAAATATGTTGTAATGAATGAACAGATGAGGAATCTCAGAAGAGTAATGGAAACTTTAAAAGAGAACCAAATGGAAACTGTAAAGTTGAAAATATGTTATCTGAAAAATTTGAGCTGGATGTGCTTAATATCAGATAAGAAATGGCAAAATAAGAAGTCAGTTAACATGAGGAGAGATCAATAAAACAGAGGAAAAGACTGAAAAAAAAAAACCCACATTACCAGCCTTAGTGACCTGTGGGGAAAATATCAAGTAGTCTAAAAATCCATGTAATTAAAGTTCCAGAAAGAAAAGAAAAAGACAGAATTGGGAAGAAGGAATATTTGAAAACATTATGTCTAAAATTTTTCCCCAATTAGTGAAAAACATGAACTTGAAAATCCAAGAAACTCAGAAAACTCTAAGTAATAGTGCAAGGATAAATGCAAATAAAGCCACACCCAGTAATATCATAGTCAAACTGTGGAGATTCAAAAATATAGAGAAGATCTTGAGAGCAGCTTGAGAAGATTGACACATTACATACAGGGAATAATGATGCATGTAATTACTGATGGTAATACCTATAAAGAAAAAATGGAGGCCCACAGACAATGAAGCTACGTAGTTAAAGTACTGAAAACAAAGAACGAAAAAAAAAAAAACAACCCTATCAATCTGGATTTTATGTCCAGTGAAAGTGGCTGTGAAAAGTGAAGGCAAAATTAAGATATTTTCAAGCTTAAAATAAAACTGAGAGAATTAGTCATAGTAGATCTGCACTACAAGAGATGCTAAAGGGTGTTCTTAGGCCTGAAGCAAAATAGAAACTTGGATCTATTGAAAAAATTGAGAAGCACAAGAAATAATAAATATTTGAATAAATGTAAAAAAATTTTGTCTTCTCTTAATTTATTCAAAAGACATACACATATTTAAACTAAAAATTGATATTTATATTTATAGAACATTATACCCAACAGCTTCAGGATACATACTCTTTTAAAGTACATATAAAATGCTCATCAAGACAGATGATCCTTTGTTATACAACAGGTCTCAATATATTATAAAATATTAAATCTTACAGGGAATGTTCTCTGACCACCATGGAATTAAATTAGAAATCAATAACAATGAGAGGTCTAGAAAATTCCAAAATACTTAAAAATTAAACTACATTTCTAATGACCCATGGCAAAATAAAAAAATCACAGGAGATTTCAGGAAATGTTTTGAATTAAATAACAAAAAGACAATATATAAAAATTTGTTGGAATGCATTTAAAGCAGTGATTAGAAGGAAATGTATGACTTTAGATACTTACATCAGAAAATAAAATGGTTCAAACCATTATATGGTTTAAAAATATAAAAGCAAAAGTCAATGAAACAGAAAACATATAAAAGTAGAGAAAATTAACAAAGAAAAAAATGTTGGTTCCTTGAAAATATTAATGAAACTTGATAAACCCTTAGCAAGACTGAGTTATAAAAACTAAAAAGCAAAAAGGAGAGACAGATGTGTGCGCGCACGCGCGCACACACACACACACACACACACACACAGAGAGAGAGAGAGAGAGCGCAAGACAAAGAGCTACAGAACTCTGCTGAAATAAATCATAGATGACACAAAAAAATGGAAAAACAATTAGTAATCATGGGTTGCAAGAATCAATATAGTTAAAATTACCACAATGCCCAAAGCAACCCACAAATTCAATGCAATGTCTATTGAATTACCAAAGTCATTTTTCACAGAACTATAAAAAACAATCCTAAAGTTCATAAGAAACCAAAAAAGAGCCCGAATAGTGAACATATTCCTAAGCAAAAAGAACAAATCTGGAGGCATCATATTGCCTGACTTCAAATTATACTACATGGCTACACCAACTAAAATAGCATGGTACTAGTACAAAAGTAGACACATAGATTAATGGAACAGAATAGAGAACCAAGAAATAAGGCCACGTGCTTATAATCAACTGATCTTTGACAAAGTCGATAAAAATAAACAATGGGGAAAGGACATCTGATTCATTGAATGGTGATGGGCAAACTGGCTAGGCATATGCAGAAGAATGAAACTGGACTGCTGTCTCTCAGTATATACAAAAATTAACCCAAGATGGATTGCAGATTTAAGTGTAAGACCCGAAACTGTGAAAAATCCTAGAAGAAGACCCAGGGAAAACTCTTATGGACAGTGACCAAAGCAAATAATTTATGATGAAGACCCCAAAAGCAAAGCAAATGCAACAAAAAAATAGATAAATAAGACTTCATTAAACAAAGTCTTCTGCACAGAAAAGAACCCATCAACAGAGTAAATAGACAACCCACAGAATGGGAAAAAATATTTACAAATTATGCCTCTGACAAAGGACTAATAGCCAGAATCTACAAGGAAATCAAATAACTGAACAAGAAGAAAACAACCCCAGTAAGAACTGAGCAAAGGACATGAACAGGCATTTCTTCTTTTGAAAAGATGTCATCAGGAAATGCTAATTAAAACCACAATGAAATATCATCTTATACCAGTCAGAATGGATATTATTAAAAAAATATAAAAACCCCAGATATTGGCATGCATGAGGAGAAAAGGGAACACTTATACACCGTTGGTGGGAATATAAAAAGTAGTTCAACCTCTATGGAAAACAGTATGAAGATGTCTCAAATAACTAAAAATATAACTACAATTCAAGTCAGCAATTCCACTACTGGGTGTGTATCCAAAGTAAAAGAAATCACACAAAAAAGACATCTGCACTCATATGTTCATTGCAACACTACTCACAATAGCAAAGTTATGGAGCCAACCTAAGTGTCCATCAGTGGTTGACTGGATAAAGAAAATGTGGTGTATAGACACATTGGAATACTATACAGCCCCCTAAAAGAATGAAATCACGTACTTTGCCCAAACATGGATAAAGCTGAAGGCTACTATCCTATGTGAACTAATTCAGAAACAGAAAATCAAATACCACATATTCTCATTTATAAGTGGGAGCTAAATACTAGGTACACATAAACATAAAGATGGATATAATAGGCACTGGGGACTCCAAAAGGGGGAAGAATGGAAGGAAGTTCAGAGTTGAATAATTGCCTGTCAGGTAAATGTTTTTGGGTAATAGGTATGCTAGAAGCCCATTTCCCACCAGTACACAATATTCTCACAAATATGCACATGTACCCCATGAATCTAAAAATAAAAATTTAAGAACTGCTATCTAATGTCCCTAAAGAACATAGATGTAAGATTATTAATAATAGCAGACCAAATCCGGTAATGTATAAAAAGAGTAATAAATCATGACCAGGTAAGACTTATCCAAGGAATGCCAGGTTAAATTTAACAGTTGAAAATCAGGGTAACTAATCACATTAATAGAATGAAGGGGAAACACCATATGATTACATCAATGAGAAAATTATTTGAAAATTAAATTCTTTTATTATTAAAACTTTCAGCAATTTTGAGAGAGAACTTCTTCAGTCCAATAAAGAACATCTATAAAACAAAAACTACAGCTTACACCATAGTTAATGATGCAATATTCTGTAATATCCCCCTCAGATTAGGAGCAAATTAAGCATGTTCATACTCACTACTTCTATTCAAAATTGTTCTAGAGGTTTTAGTCAGTATAATAAGGCAAAAAAGCATAAAGATTGTAATGAAAGGTGTAAAACAATCTTTATTCACACAGGATATGATTGTTTATGTGGATATTCCTAAGGAATCTCAGTGACTGCAAGAAATGAGCAAATTCAGTGATTTCATATGTACAAGGTTGATTTACAAAAATGATTTACAAAAATCAAAACTATATATACTAGCTGTAAATAGAAGACAAGTTAAAAATACATTTAAAATATCATAAAAACTTAAAATATTCTGGAATCAATTTAATAAAATATATGAAAGTCTTCTGTACTGAAATCCACAAAACTAGGCTGAAAGAAATGTAGACAAATATACTATATTCATGAATTGAAAGATTTAATTTTATTAACTTGATATTTTTTCTAACTTAATCTTTTAATTTATGCAATCCCAATCATAACACCAATATAAATTTATATTCAAATTATCAGGCTCATTATAAAATTTATGTGAAAATACAAAAAAATCCTGGAATCATCAAAATAATTTTGAGAAGTAATAAAATTGGAGGATTTAAATTACCTTATTTCAAAATATACAATAAAAATTATTATTCAAGAGAATGTAGTATTGGCAAAATGATAGACAAATGGATCAATGAGACCCAATATAAAATGAAGTAACTCAGGAATGGAAAACCGAACATCGTATATTCTCACTCATAAGTGGGAGCTAAGCTGTGAGGATGCAAAGACATAATAAGAAGGATACAATGAATGGGAAGTGGGTGAGGAATAAAAGACTACAAATTGGGTTCAGTGTATATTGCTTGGGTGATGGGTGCACCAAAATCTCACAAATCACCACTAAAAAACTAACTCAAGTAACCAAGTACCACCTGTTCCCCAAAAACCTATGGAAAAAAATTTTTTAAGAGAAAAATAATCATCATTCTCAGTAAACTATCGCAAGATCAAAAAACCAAACACTGCATGTTCTCACTCATAGGTGGGAATTGAACAATGAGAACACATGGACACAGGAAGGGGAACATCACACTCTGGAGACTGTTGTGGGGTGGGGGGAGGGGGGAGGGATAGCTTTAGGAGATATACCTAATGCTAAATGACGAGTTAATGGGTGCAGCACACCAGCATGGCACATGTATACCTATGTAACTAACCTGCACATTGTGCACATGTACCCTAAAACTTAAAGTATAATTTTATATATATATATATATATATATATATATATATATATATATATATATATGAAATAACTTAGGAATGAAAAGCCAAATATTGTTTGTTCTCACTGATATATGGGAGCTAAGCTATGAGGACACAAATGCATAAGAATGATACAATGGACTTTGGGAACTTGGAAGGGTGGAAGCGGGGGCAAGGGATAAAAGACTACAAATAGGGTGCAGTGTCCACTGCTCGGGTGATGGGTGCACCAAAATCTCACAAATTACCACTAAAGAACCTACTCATGTAACCAAATACCACCTGTACCCCCAACAACCTATGGACAAATTATTTTAAAAAGAAGTGAAAGAATCATTATACCACAATCAATATTTCTAGAAACATCAAAAGCCACAATAAACCAATTCCCCTTTATGTTGTAGAACATTAGTTGAATAGCATTGCTTTATAAAAAAAAAAAGTCTAGAAATAGATCAACGTATATTCAGTCAATTGATGTTTGACAAAGGTGCTGAAAAGCAATTCTGTGGAGAATGGATAGTATACTTCAATATAAAAGCTACATTTCTGTTATTTTTGAAATAAAATTAAGAAGATTATTTTTGTAATCTGGGATTGGCAAATAATTCTTAGAGAATAAATACAGAATAATATAAAATTAAAAATGATTCTTTTTTTGAAATTATAAGCATCTTCTCATCAACATACACTATTAAGAAAATGAAAAGACAAACTAGATTGGGAGAAAGTATTTACAAAATATATATGTGATAAATAACTTATCTAGAATACATAATATAATACATCATAGTAATAAAAACACAATGACTTAGTAAAAAATGGGCAGAAATTGGAACAGAAAATTCATCAAGGAAGATTTATCAAAGAGCCAATAAACATATTGGAAAATGTATTTAATATCCTTAGTCATCAGGGAAATGTAAATTACGATTATAATAATATAGTACTATACAATCATAAAATAGCCCCATTTCAACTGAAGTCATGTGACAAATTCTAGCCAATGAGTTGGGAACAAAAGTGAGCTATATCATGTGGGGGCTGGCACATTTAATTGTTGATGCAAAACACCTAGAGTTTTTTCCTCCTGGTGTCTTGACTTGTAACCTTGGAGATGGTGGCTGACTCAGTCACTCAGCGGACTCCCTGAATGAATATCATGTACAGAGCCTCCCCTTTAATCCATAACAGACATGGAGTGAAATCATTTTTGTTTTTATAATTCACTGAAATTTGAGGGTTGTTTATTACTGCAGCCTAAAATAGTGTGATCTAATAGCATGGTTGAAAAAACCTGATTTTGGCTATCAACAGTCCCTGGATCAAACATTCAGGTGCAGGGCACAATTTTTTTTTTTTTTTAACTATACCACCAGTGTTATTCTGCTACTTTGTTGACAGGTTGTATAATTATGACAGCACTCTTTTAAATAATGATTCTGTTTTTTTTTTTTTTTTTGTGGGGGGTGCAGAGTCTCACTCTGATGCCCAGGATGGAGTGCAGCGAGATCTCGGCTCACTGCAAACTGTGCCTCCCATGTTCAAGCAATTCTCCTGCCTCAGCCTCCTGAGTAGCCGGGATGACAGGTGTATGCCACCATGCCCTGCTAATTTTAGTACTTTCAGTAGAGATGGGGTTTCACCACGTTGGCCAGGCTGGACTCAAACTCCTGACCTCAGTTGATCTGCCCGCCTTGGCCTCCCAAAGTGCTGGGATTACAGGCTTGAGCCACCATGCCTGGCCAATGATTCTTTATTGTAAATCTTGACAATATTCATAATTATGCAACCTGTATATACCTGTATATTGCAACTCTGAAATGCTGACCACTGTATGGATATGCCTATCCATTGTCTCTTGTAATACAAGGCCTGGGAGAGGACTGAACATCAGTGTCAGCTCTGGCCAGGGCTACCACAAAGAACAACCCTTTCACTTTTTAGTTACAAATATAGGTCATCACACTTGTTGTAAGTTCTCATAAGATTATTTCACTAACTCTGGGACTTCTCAAATAAATTATGAACTTCAAGGATATCAATATTTTAGATAACGGCAATTCTTATATATATTATTTCTAAGACTACAAGTTTTTTTCTCAATCATGTGGCTCTATTTTATGTACTGTTCTTTCTTATTCTCTTATAATAACTGGTACTATAAAAAAGAGTGAGGACAATTTTCCTTATCTTATTGGCAAAAATTAATTTAAGTGGAAGCATGTAGGATCTAATTGTTAATTTGCATATTTAGTGTAAATAATTAAGCACTTTAACATGTTAGCCTTAATGTATTCTTCAGATTCAATCTGATTTTTGTCTGAAATATTATTGAAAGTAGTTAAATTATTTGTAACAGCTGGGATTTCTACTTTGACTTGCTAGAATTAGGGAAAAAAATGGTTTCCACTGAAGCCAAAGCTCAAATCATCAAAAAAAATCCCCAATAAAAAACATTTTTCACATTTATCACATGACTTAATGTGATACAACATAATTATAAATATAAAAATATAACTTATGTATATAAATATATAATTTACATATAACTCCATATGTATAAAAAAACTCCCTTTTATTCTACCATCTCACAGTGTATCATATTAAAATGATTTTTCTTGGAAAAAAGTCATCTTCTGAAATATTTGTGGTGTGAACAAATAATCATTATGTGGCACCACAAGACTACTTTTGTTCTAAGAATTTAGAATTTTGAAACACCTTTTTCTGAACTTCAGAGTAGCCTATACAGAATTCAGTCACAAAGAAGGCTGGGAAACACTCAAGGATCAGCTCCACAAGAGCTTGTGATACCTTTTGCCATATGCAGAGTGGAAAAGGGAGAGTGTACGTCTCATGAGGGACAAAATGACAGTATATTTTAAGAAAGTTCATGTGCACTCCAAGGTATTCTCATGCAATCTGCTCCCGGGTTCGTAGCCTGAACAATATCTTAGGTGGAAAGATGAAAGGTATTTATTTGAACAGAAGGACAATGAGGTTCCTTCCAGGTGCATTTTGCCTTTTAACACCAAAGATGTGCTTTTGAAATGTCTGGTATAGCTACTATTTTAAAACTCTGAAGTTTTGAGTTTATTTGGAACACTGGGGAATGACAAGAGGCACTATTAATGATTATGCCAAGATAATGTGCATAAACCTAGGCTTTAAAAAGGAAAACTAGGATGTATGTATACCTTTTCTCATTGAGTTTTTAAATAATTGCAAAGGCACTTAAACTTCACTTGACTGTACACTCTGGTTTAATATTTAGCTCATACATAGCTTTTTATAAAGGTTGGTTAAACTCTTCTGTGATAAATTCTTCTGGCTTCTGTGATAAGCTGAAGCCAGAGAAAGATTGAAGTCTTTCTGTTATCCTTGTTGAGCTGTGTTTGGGTGGTTCCTACTTTGAAAAGACTTCCATCATTAAGATAATTTCATAGAAAAATCAAAAAAGGTTAGAAACGTGAATACCCAGTACTGGGCTTCATTTTGAAAGATGTTGTACCTTATGAAATGGGCACCATCCCCCAATTCTTGCTCTCACTCTACGAATAGTAAAAGAAGCCACATAGATACCACAGGAGAGAGAGAAAAAAGGACATTTTAAGAAAACATTGTTCCTTGACTTAAGAAATCCAGTACACAATTGAAAAACCAGAGTCATTTAAAATACTTATTTTCTTTAACATAAGGTGAGTTTGATTCTTGATTAACCAGGATAATCGTTGTGAAGAAACCTATGAAAACCTAAACTCACAGTTAGCATAAAACTAGTCAATATGATATACAATACGATAATTGTAGACATATTTGGTTAAAATTGCATTAGATATTTGAAAGCATGTTCAGTTATCTACAGATATCCACATGTGAAAATAACAGACATAAAATGGCTTAGGAGCATGAAACATCATATAAATTATTTGATTAAAAAAGGGTTAAAAATCTGTTGAGAATGTTATTATCTGTTTTTTTTTTTCTCCTCCTGGTCTTTCTCTCTCCCTCGGTCTCTCCCTCTCCCTTCCTCTTTCCTCTCCCTTTCTTCCTCTGCTTCTCATTTACCTACCTCCCCAACAGAATGAGAACTGAGTTGGACAGAGATGCAGAGAAATGTACGTGCATTTGCAGTCCCCAAACTGAGTCAGCCTCTGCTGTATCCCTATGCAGCCAGTTCTCTGGCTACTTGGTAGAGGATGACTCATTCTCTTATGGCAGTGTATACAAGCAGGTGTCTATCAGTGTGATATGGGACCAGGTGTTAGAAGTAAATCTCCTAATTTAGTTGTCTCTGTGTGTGGAGAAGACATTTGGACAGGAAGGGTAGGGGAGGTGAGGGAATGCCTTCCTGGGAATGGAGCAGCAGGAGCTGAGCCAAGGTTCTATGGGGATGTTTTTGCATGGTTTAGAGGCTGCTTTCTCAGCACAGTACACGTAGTTGTCTTTCTCAATACATGGTCCTTGCACATGCCCTGGAGTCAGGATGAGCCTCTGATCAGTTTCTTACTGCAGCCATTCATGCAGTTTTCGATCCATAACCCCAGGCCTCAGCCAATGCTCTTTATGATGCCAAAGAATTCCCACCAGTTGCTAGATGCCCTTTGATCTTTATCAGATCTTTGAAGGTACTTCGAGATGCCATGAAATTGGAATTTTAATATTGTTGATGCTCTTCTTTACTTGGATCCAGCATTACCACATTCACATCTTTTAATCAGTTACTGCAGATCAACATGGTTCCTCAGATCACAAAATAAATAGCAGGGAGGTCCAAGTGGACTAAGCATGGTCCACTGTGGATTCCCTTACTTGTAGTAGTGTGCTAGAGTGCACACTGGCCGAGGGCATTGCTGCAGTTCATTGCTTATACTGGCAGAGAGAATGGGAGCTTTGAGAGCACTGCCAAAACATGCATTAACAGCTCTGTAATGAAAACAAATGCAGTCACTATTCAGAATCAAACCCTCTTAGATACATTTTGTTTTATGTGTGTACAAACCTATATGGCATTGCTGCAGTAGAGGCTGTCTGGTGGCATCTTTCTTAGCTGCACTTCCTTATTCTTTCTCAACCCATATGCTTACCTGCATTCATATCTATCTTTGGCATAGTCCCTCCTCAAGAGAGGATATAGACTTTCAGATTAAAGCTACTTCCTCCCCAGGGCCTCTGTGATAAATCCTTTCCTTTTACATCACTCCTGAGGGACTTCACTTGAGTATTCAGCAAAGGGTGGGAAGTGCTGCTGCAAGTACAAAACTTGGTTGTAGTAGCAAATACTCAAAATTTTTGGTAGTGTCTGTTTTGCTTGTTGCTTGACATTGAGAAATTCCCTTCCTTCTCTTTCAACTCTACAGCTCGCTGTAAATGGACCTCTTCCAGGATCCAGTTTTTCTGGGGCAGCTGCTAACCAAAACTCTTGGGATGTGCAGTTTTCTCTGTTGAAAGATTATCTCTCCTATTTTTCCCCTATCTGAGCTATTAGTAGTAGAGAATTGTCTATAGAAGAATAACTGAAAGCTCATCTCTTTTCTCATGGTAAAAAATACATTCTGAACTACATACCGAAGAAATAAAAACCTGAAAAAACAAAAAATCAAAATCAAAACCAAACCAAACCAAACCAAAGTGTGCTCTTTCTCTACATCTGAATCTTATTTTGTTTTGGGTAAAAAGCTCAATATACAGAGGAGTGTTAAACAATTAACACAAAACAACCACAGATTCACATACATGAATCTCACTCCACTGATTCAGAACATGTTTTTGGTATTGTAAAGAGTAAATCGATTAAATAGATTTTTCTAGAGTTTAAAAACAGGCTGATTTCTATAAGCTATAATTGTGAAAAGGACTGCAGGTCATGCATTGGTCTTTGTCACTTGATTTATTTGCTTTCTCTAAATCTCAGCTCCTCATCTATAAAAATAGAAAGAATAATATCTATCTTACATAATCACGCATTATGTCCACTCATGGATCCTACTGCCAGTAGGATCATCTTTGCATAAAAGAAAGATAATATCTGTATTGTAATTAAATCTAAGAGGGATAATAATCTTAAGAGGTATTTATTGTAATACCTCTTAAGATTATTATCCCTCTTAGATTTAATTACTGCTACTTTTAATGATCTTTCCCTTTAAGTGTCAGTGAAAATAAGGAAAACATTTTTCTTAAAATAAGAGCAATCTGAGGTAAAATAACAGCATAGCAAGATGAAAGATTGAGCAGGGCATTAGAGATGTTTGGGGAAAAGGGTAGAGAAATTGAAGACAAGACTATGCAAAAAGTGATTTTAGATATAATTTGGAGCTAGAATTGAAGTAGTAACAACCACTCATTGATTACACAGTCTAATACTCAACTGGAAATTTTGTATATTGTCTTCCTTATTAATCATATCAGCTATATAAGATAGATATTATTCTTCCATTTTTATAGATGAGCTGAGATTTAGAGCAAATAAACTGAGTGACATGTCTGGTTGGCTGCAGGATTTGAGTCTAGGTCTCTGACTTCATGGCTCAAGTCTTTCTACTTTCTAGAAACCAGTAAGATTGATCAAGGAACTCAAATGTTGCAAGCTCCCTTCCAGTTCTTACTTTCTACTTAAAATTCCTATGTACATTTTTCAAGATTATTTAATCAATAATTACATAATGTAAAACTGTAAGAGACAATAT
Source organism: Homo sapiens (assembly GCF_000001405.40). Classification (NCBI taxonomy): domain Eukaryota; kingdom Metazoa; phylum Chordata; class Mammalia; order Primates; family Hominidae; genus Homo; species Homo sapiens. Next base: position 74,169,542 of record NC_000006.12, read on the forward strand.
TAGATTCACTGAAAGGGAATTTTAAAGAATGTCATTCCAAGCAATAGCCAATACTATCAGAAAATCCCATTTCAAAGATAAAGTAGTGTCATCTTTAGCACTGACAAATTGATAATTTTAACATTAAATAACTTGCAATTTTCTAGTGAGTTAGATAAGTTATATATAGATTTAAGAATTCTCCTTTTGTATAATTTCAACCCTGTTCCTCAAAATTAATAATCATTTCATTTTTGGTTCTGAATTATGGGAACTGGTTTATCCTTTTTTTTTGTTGTTGAGACAGAGTCTCGCTCTGTCGTCCAGGCTGGAGTGCAGTGGGCGATCTCGGCTCACTGCAAGCTCCACCTCTCAGGTTCACGCCATTCTGCTGCCTCAGCCTCCGGAGTAGCTGGGACTACAGGAGGCGGCCACCATGCCCAGCTAATTTTTTTGTATTTTTAGTAGGGACGGGGTTTCACCGTGTTAGCCAGGATGGTCTCGATTTCCTGACCTCGTGATCCACCCGCCTTGGCCTCCTAAAGTGCCGGGATTACAGGCGTGAGACACCGCGCGATACTTTTAAAAAGTTTTGAGAGCCTGGAAATTACTTTCCAAATACAAAACACTAAGTCCTATTTTGTTAAAAGAAAGCTTGTGTATAAACATGCCATTTTATTGAAGCAGCCCTTCTAAAATGTTATTGGTAAGAGTGGATAAGGGAGACCTCTACGTGTCATATGAATGCTTGTGGCCAAGGGAGGGTGCATTGCTTGCATGTTTCTGGGCAGAAAAGGGATACTGAACTCGTAAGAACTTGTCCAAACTTCCCATTTCCTAAACAAGCTCTGTGATTTCTAAATAACTGGTCTCTAATCTAGCATTCCACCAGGAGCACATCATGACATCCCTGATTTATTGATCCATTTATTGCTGAGTTTATTATTATTCCTTTTTTTCCCTAAAGTTTTCAAGGCCTTGAATAAGCTTCAGAAAAAGATTAGTCTTAAAACCACTCTTTGAACAAGCATAATATAAAATGATGTAAAAACAACTTCATGTCGTTAGTAACCACGGTCATCTGAAGACCAATTATGTGGTTCATTTTTGTGGAATTACATATGTGTAAATACATTTATTTTAATCTATGTATGTATATAATGAAAAATCACTAGTCCATTGCTATGGACACTAGAGGGCTGGAAGATCACTAGTCCATTGCTATGGACACTAGAGGGCTGGAAGATCACTAGTCCATTGCTATGGACACTAGAGGGCTGGAAGATCACTAGTCCATTGCTATGGACACTAGAGGGCTGGTCAATTTAATGAACTCTCTGAGCTTTAGATTATTACCCTGGGTGGCTTGAAAGTTTATGAGGCTGGATCAGTACTGATGCCTTGTTTTCCCTTTTCCTTTAGCCTTGTCAAATGCTGTGTACTTTTTTTGGACATTCCCACTCTTTCTTTGTTTTGGACATTACCAGTCTTTCTTTTTTGAATGTCTTCTTTGTTTTGGACATTCCCAATCTTTCTTTTTCGAATGTCTTCTTCCCTTGTCCAAATCCTACCCAGGATTTCTTTGAGAGTGTCAATAAGGAAGGAAATGTTCCAATGAAAAGTAAAATTGTATATGGATCATAGGAAGAAGATTCTGAAGTGGTTTTATTCAATTATTAAATATTAATCGAGCAACTCTGATATACCCTACACTGAGCTAAAGATAAAATTGGAAATAAACCAAACACCATCCCAGCCCAAACATAATTGTCTTACAGGGTAATATAGAAGACACTAAGTTCATCAGGAAGATATTTATGCAGTTTCCCCTGTGGAATTTTAAAGATTGTTATATATATTATTTTTCTAAAGTGATAGAAGAGGAGGTATCTTTTTGATAGTTAAACACAAATATTCAATGAAGTCAACTATGTTCTAGATACTATGTCATTACAGAGAATGTGATGAACTAATATTTGTGTCTCTATCCTCATCAGCTAGATGACATTTTACTTTTAATTAAAGTGCATCTTGCTGCATATAAACCAGGTAAACCACCTGTCCCAGTATAGCAACTACAAATTACTTAATTTTTTATCAAAGATATAAATGCACAGAGTTTAAAAATCAAATGGTGCTTGAAGGCTTATAACAAAAAGCAGTAGCTCCCACTGGACTTAACCCATCATCTAGTTACTCTATCAGTGAATACTTCAGCTCTTTTAGCAGTTTCTCCTGGTATTTACATATTTTGGAATAATATACTTCTATTGCCTTTTACTATTTATCAATTTTAAGTACTATATGTTGACTACTTATTAAAGTAGATAAGGATTTACTTTTCCAATATGAGAATGAATATTGTGGGATACTTAGAAGTTTCTGCTACACTTGCCAAATATTCCAATAAAATTGTAAAATCTTTCAACATTGTGTTTCATAGGCTTGAAGACATTAGATAATCTATCAGTGTCTTTATTTCTGAAGAATTTCCTCTGGGAACTTTAAATCCTATTCCACATTGGCCTGATTTCTCTCTAGGGCCCGATAGCATCCTGGAACATTTCTCCTGACTTTTCTTTGCTAATATCCCAGGCAGGAACTCTTGTTTCCTAAATTATTTGTATTCTACCTTCTGTACTCTTGTTTGTTTTGTTTAAACACATCTTTCAGCAGTTTTCTGAGAAAGGGCACCTACAAGGCAATTTTTTTTTTTTTTAAGATTTGGCAAATGTGAATCTGTCTGCATTCTTCCCTTACACCTGATTGCTAGGTTGACTGGATACAATACTGTAAATTGAAAATTATTTGTTACTCAATGTTTTGAATAGAAAAATTAGTCAATGAAACTTATTCAAGGAGTTTTGGAAGATGGAGGTAACTATGCAGTTTAAAAATTTCACTGTATTTTCTTATAAAACAAACAGAACAACCAGGATGGAAAACTAAATACAATGAACAACCTCCACAACAAAAGTAGATGACAAAGAAGTCCAGTAAATGCCAAAATATGAGTGCATAGGCAAAAAAACACCACTAGCTACAGAACCCATGTAGTACCAGAAGCAATTCAAGAGGAAGAAGAGGGTTGACAGTAAGACTTTGATGATCCAGAGAACTGTAGAAAACTGCTATCACAATTAGGTTCTCCCTGGAGAGCTTCATAGGCAATTCCATGGACAGTAGCTGAAACTGGGAGAGAACTGTCAATCTTAAATTGAGTGCAAGAGGGCCATAGGAAATTCCGATGATGCCAAGGCAGTTTGGCAGCCTAACCTTAGAAAGATAAACTATCGTAAATTACTTTACAACACAGTAATTTGACTATATGTTCCTAGTTCCATGAACAAAAGAACTGCAAAATATCTTAAACTGTTATACTACTCATATTGTTGATGCTAGTGTTAGTATTGTTATTCTTGTATAGTTTTGCATGCATATAATCAAGCAGATAATAATTATATTGGTGTCCTTGCGAATAAAGTCATTGCTATTGTTATGAGAGAAAGGACAGATGTAAGATTCATAGGGCTAAGTAAAAGACCCATATATTGCATTTTAAGTGGAATAATCAATAATGCATTGTTGATAATATTATATCATGCTACTTTTTGTCTTGAAAAGTACATATTACATATAGCTTTGTCAACTAGAGTCTAGAAACAATAAGCAACCTGGTATCATTGAAACTACCTGGCACTCAGACTGTGTTCCTTAAATAACATTTCCTCTAAAAACAATGATCATTGGAGAAATGGCTTATTCCAAGTCTGGGTCAGAAAGTATAATAGATAAGCCTGGGGCAATTATACTATATGAGAAAACAAGAATGCCATCAAAACTACTGGATCATGTCAGAAGGACTCAGGGGCCCCTGAGGCTTACACTGGCCAAAGATGGGACAATCTGAGCAACAATAAGAATAATAACCTCAATGATTGAAGCAGATGAATACATCAAACATACTTAAATTAATATCTTCTTTTGAGACAAAAGTTTCATTGATTATCATTGGAAGATAAGTCATTTTGAAAATTGATAAATAAGGGAAAACAATCAAGAATTTATTCTGCTTTTCCAGGGGTAACCATGTCAGGTAACTAAATAGTTGATAAGATGACATTTCTTTCTCTTTATGTAAGTATCCCAGTTAATAAATTAAGAAGGAAAGACAGAATGAGAGTAGCATTTTGCAATCACCACTGAATGCATGGATTCAGGCAGTGATCATCAATGGCTGCTTACATCATCATCATGTGCCTCCTGATTGAAATACAGAACACAGCTTATGAAGTTGTCGAGCTAAAAAACTACTTTAACATAAATCTGTTCAAACCTCAGGATCTAACTACAGGATTACTTGTAGGAAGTACGATGGAGAGAGGAACACATTATATGATACTACAGAGAGATAATCTGCAGAATCTAAGCAGTGGGAAACTTTAAAGGAAAAAATAACTCAATTTCTTCAACAAAATTTTTGCAAGAAATGAAAGAGAATTAGAGAAGGAACTTATAGAATAAAAGAGATCACAGACATATTAACAACTGCAATGTATATATCTTACTCAGATCCAGATTCAAACTGTTAGGAAAAAGAAGAGGCCTAGCGTGATCCCTAACACCTATAATCCCAGCACTTTGGGAGGCCGAGGCGGGTAGATGGCTTAAGGTCAGGAGTTTGAGACCAGCCTGGTCAACTTGGTGAAACCCTATCTCTACAAAAAATTACAAAAACTAGCTGGGTGTGCTGGCATGTGCCTGTAGTCCCAGCTACTCAAGGCTGGGACTGGAGGCTGAGGCAGGAGAACCACTTGAAGCTAAGAGGCGGAGGCTGCAATGAGCAGAGATCGAGCCACTGCACTCCAGCCTGGGTGGCAGAGCGAGTCTCTCAAAACACAGAACAAAACAAAACAAAACAAAACTGAAAAAAAGAAAAGAAAACATTAAAAGATAATCATGGTCATGTGAACACCCAGTTGGTTGATAACAAAAAATTTTGAATAATTATCTGAGGGTGGGATAAAAGTATTATAGTTATGTTTTAAATGGGATGTTCTTGATTTTAGATATGTAGTAAAATTATTACAAATGATGTATGTTGCTAAGACTTTCTTCTAAATATCATGGATGAGGGAGAAATAGTTTGTAGTAAAGGTTGGCCATGAGTAAATAATTTTTGAAGCTGGGTGGTAGGTATATTGAGATTCCTTTTACTATTATCTTTACATGTACTTGAAATTTCCATAATCAGAAGTTAAATATTTGTGACTGTCTTCCAATTATTGATTATGCTATTGAAAACCCTCACACTATTCTTATTATCAGTACTTTGTATACGACTTTATTGTTTCTCTCCGGAAGCTGTTAGACTCTTACCTTTACTCATGGTATTTAAAAATTTCACAACGATGCACCTCGGTCTGGGTCTTCTTTCATCCATTGTGTTGAGCACTTACTGATACTTCAATGTAGAAACTTATTTATAGTTCTGGAACATTTTCCCTCATTTATTTGATACTTTCTTGCCTTTTATTTTCCCTGTTACCTATTTTTGTAATACTTAGTCGAATTGATTCCTGAGTGAGCCTCTTATGTTTATCTCTTCTCTCCTACTGTTAATCTCTTGTTCTTTTAAATACTGCTCTGGTGGAATTTAATTTAATTTTTCAGTCCTTCTGTTAATTATTTTTCTTTCTTCTGTTATATTTGTAATTTTAATATTTTTTATTTTTATTTTGTTTTATCTTTATTGTCTTCTGCTCCCTACCTCCCCACAAATGCAATATTTTTTCTTTCAGAGGTTATTTTTGAAATTTTCTTCTGCTTTGCATAGTGTTTATTTTCTTGGAGTATTTTTTTTGTTTGGATTGGCGGGGAGCCACTGCTGCTTTCATATTGGAGGTTTTCCTCAAATATCTGGCGATCTCTGTAGACTCATATTTGATGGTGAGGAACTAAAATTAATGGGATTCATAGGATCGAAAACTTTTTATTTCATTGTGGGATAATTGAGTATCAGTCTCTGTAGGCACTTTCAGTTGAGTCCACTAATACTCCTTGAGAGTATAACCCTAGCTCTTGCATTCTGGGAGCCAAAGGGTTGGGTACAAGGAAGGGAACTAGACATCTCCCTGCTCTGAATATTAACTTTTATTAAATTCACCTGAATTTAGTGAGCATGCGTTCTTCAGCTCTTCCCAGTATTTTCAATACATAGTCCTCATTTTGCACAATCTCTAGAGAATAATCCTCTGCTAGACTAGATGAGATAATCAAGATCTTTGATTGCATCTTTGTGACTTTCAACCAGTCCTAAGATTGTTAGCCCCACTTTGTCTTAAGACGTATCAGAATCCTTAAATTCCTGACTCTTCTAGATCAGGAATAGCAAATACATTTCAACATTTGGGTGCCACATTCAATCAAAATGCTTATCTCCAAACTTGTGTTGATATAGATTCTGTTTGGGTAAGGTTTGTGCTATGATAGTTTAGGAATCATGGGCATCACAAATGTTTTCAGACAAGAGTTTCAAAGAATGTCTTGGAGAGTAAATAGTGATTTTACAGTATCAACTGGAAAGTTGAGCAGTTTGATGTTAATTTAAATGGATTATTGGGAAGTTTTAAAATGAAATACATTAATACATTCATTTGCAACTATTTTTCCCTTGAGCAAAAGTTTCCTGGAGTAATAAAGTCATGTTGATGAAGACAGTCCAAGAGTACTGTCATATTATTGATGACAGTAAGCTGAATGGGCGTAGGTGATTTCATTTCTCACTAATAATAGTAAAATGAGAAGGATTCCACAGCTATTTCAGGAATCTGGCAGAAAAATATTGATTCTGTTTATATCAGGCAGGATTGTTTGGGTTGTGCTGCAGTAACAATTATCAAGTCTAAGTGGCTTAACATAACTTATTGATGCTGCCCTCCATGTGGGTTGGTGAGACCCTGCTTCACATGAAGCTGGGCTGACAGCGGCTCCCTTGCAGCTGTACCCTCTGAAACTCATGGAGAAGGTTAGAGAGTGAGAGGATCTTGCCCTTGCAATTAAATTCTTTGGTCAGGAACCGAAGCATACTACTTCAGTTCATAGCCTACCAGCCAGAACTAGTTACATGGCCCTGCCTAATTACTAGCAGTCTGGGATATGTACTCTTCCATAGACTTAGGAAGCAGAGGTAAACAATAGTAAGTTTACCACAATGCTTAAGAAACAGCTAAAGATTAGTAACACCACTGACAGAATTTCAAGCATTAAAATATATATATATATTTCTTTTTTTTTTTTGAGACGGAGTCTTGCTCTGTCACCCAGGCTGGAGTGCAGTGGCACGATCTTGGCTCACTGCAAGTTCCGCCTCCCGGGTTCACACCATTCTCCTGCCTCAGCCTCCCGAGTAGCTGAGACTACAGGCGCCCACTACCACGCCCAGCTAATTTTTTGTATTTTTAGTAGAGACGGGGTTTCACCATGTTAGCCAGGATGGTCTCGATCTCCTGACCTCATGATCTGCCTGCCTCGGCCTCCCAAAGTGCTGGGATTACCCTTATCAGGTGGATAGATTGCAAAAATTTTAGGAAGAGAATAATTAAATGTGTGTTTTCATAGTAATTGTGTTACACACATTGGGTTATTCCAACAACTCCCTGAGGAATTTAAGGTAGTAATAACCTTATTTTTCAGACAGGGAAAGCAAAACAGAATAAATTTAAGTTATCAAAGACTAAAGAAAATGACGAAGGCAAAGATAGAATTAAAAACCAGGTTTGATCAAAAGTTTTTTAAAAAAATACCATTTAGACCTTAAAAATCAATCCTAGTATATATCTTCTATCATAATAAACAACATTCCTTTCTTATTTTTTTTAACTTGAATCAGTGTTGGGTATAAAAAATCCTTTTGAGACCTCCTACATGATCCTGAACTTATAGGAGTTTGAGAAAATATTATTAGACATTCAGTGTTCCCTATAATTATATATCATGGCCTTTCCTAACCCCTTTTTACAAAATTCCACTGGAACACCCAACTAAAAGGACGTGTACGTGGTAGTTTAGCTCAGGAGAAATCTCAACCAGGGCTGCCCTGGAGTCAGATGCCAAGTCAGAATCCCAGCTCCATATATGCAGCCAGAGCAAGTGACTCGGCCTCCCTAAGTCTGTTTCCCCATCTCCAAATGGGTGGATAATAATAGCACAAACATCACAGGCTATTTTGAGAATTGGATGAGTTATCCATATAGGCACTTAGTATTCTCCTCTTCAGTACGTATTAAGCACTCAGAAATTGTTGGCTATGTTTTAAAATGAAAAATGTTCTTGTATTTTTGTCTAGGAGAATGACCACTAAAATTTTCAATACAATGTAATTCCAAAAATATACATGGTTAACAGACAGCATGTAAAGTTCATGCTGTTCCAAAAACAAATATGTTAATTTCTGATAACACCCATATCACACTCGGCCCCACTCACACATGGAGCATATAACTTACGACTATATTGGATTATAGGCCTTCTTTTGTGTAAGAGTGCCTGTGTATGTGATTATAGACATTCCTTGTCTCTAATCCCATCTGCATTATAGTCTGGACAGTGTCATCAGTGCATAGCTCAGAATTAGGTCTAGATGGAAGCAAAAACATTTACTAGTCTAGTATAGAAAATACCATAAGAGACGAACATTTAGTGTGAGTTGAGAGACTGGGGATTTCTCTGACACTAAACCAAGTTTAGATATTTTACAATATAAGTTTCACAATTATTTTCATGTCCACCTTTCCATTTATTGCAAAATAGCTCATTCCTAGGCCTAGTAAAGATAGCATTATTAAAAATAAATAAAGAATAACTCTATGTTATCCTTATGCTTTCATCAATGGGCGATGAAAACAACGTAAAAAGTTCTGAGAATGTTACCTGTAAAAAGCCAAGACTGAGGTTTTAATATAAACATCAATCCATGAGAATTGGATACCAATAAGCAATATATAGCCCAACAATTAAGAAAAGTCTATATATATATATATATATATATATATATATATATACACATACATTTTTTTTTTTTTTTTGAGACGGAGTCTCACTCTGTCCCCTAGGCTGGAGTGCAGTGGCAAGATGTCAGCTCACTGCAAGCTCTGCCTCCCGGTTTCATGCCATTCTCCTGCCTCAGGAACTACAAGGAACTTAAACAAATTTACAAGAAAAAAGCAAACAACCCCATTAAAAAGTGGGCAAAGGACATGAACAGATACTTCTCAAAGGAAGACATTTATGCGGTCAACAAACATATGAAAAAAAGCTCAATATCACTGATAATTACAAAACCACAATGAGATACCATCTCATGCCAGTCAAAGTGGTGATTATTAAAAAGTCAAGAAACAACATATTTTGGTGAGGCGGTGGAGAAATAGGAATGCTTTTATACTGTTGGTGAGAATGTAAATTAGTTCAACTCTTGTGGAAGACACTGTGACAATTTCTCAAAGACCTAGAACCAGAAATACCATTTGACCCAGCAATCCCATTACTAGGTATATAATATAACAAAAGGAATATAAATTATTCTATTATAAAGATACATGCACACATGTGTTCACTGCAGCACTATTTACAATAGCAAAGCTATGGAATTAACCCAAATGCCCATCAATGATAGATTGGATAAAGAAAATATGGTACATGTACACCATGGAATATTATGCAGCCACAAAAAAGAATGAGATTATATCCTTTGCAGGGACATGGATGGAGCTGGAAGCCATTATCCTTAGCAAACCCGTGCGGGAACAGAAAACCAAACACCACACGTTCTCACTTATAAGTGGAAGCTGAACAATGTGAACACATAGACACAGGGAGGGGAAAAACACACACTGGTACCTGTTGCGGGGTGGGTGCAGGGGGAGGGAGAGCATCAGGAAAAATAGCTAATGCATGCTAGGCTTAATACCTAGGTGATAGGTTGATAGGTGCAGCAAATGACCATGTCACATGTTTACCTATGTAACAAGCCTGCACATTCTGTACATGTATCCCAGAACTTAAAATAAGATAAAAATTATTCTCCTCTTCTTGTACTCCATGCCTTCCTTCTCTTCCTCCTCCTTTTCTACATCACCATTCATACATATTTTCTGTTAGTGTTTCCCACCAACAAAACTTAGAAATTCAGCCTTTTGACTGAATTTATGCTGTGTGAAAGTAAACATTTGAGTAGGTCTGTGGAATTTCTATATGTTTTTAAACATTTAGCTATTAATTAACACGTTTTTCTGAGTTATACAGCTATTGCAATGACATATCTAGATTTATTTATTTATTTTTTGAGACTAAGTCTTGCTCTGTCGCCCAGGCTGGAGTGCAGTGGCATGATTTTGGCTCACTGAATCCTCCACCTCCCAGGTTCAAGCGATTCTCTTGCCTCAGCCTCCCGAGTAGCTGGGATTATAGGCATGCACCACCATGCCCGACTAATTTTTGTATTTTTAGTAGAGACAGGATTTCCTCACATTGGCCAGGCTTGTCTCAAACTTCTGACCTCAGGTGATCTGCCTGCATTGGCCTCCCAAAGTGCTGGGATTACAGGCATGAGCCACTATGCCCTACCACATATTTAGATGTTATTATTCTCATATACATAGCCTAAAGAAGCATAAGTTTAAGGCAAAATTGAGGTTTTTGGAGATCATAAAATCTCTGTATTAAAGTCTTAGAACAGCAGGTAGGCCAATAAGCTAAAAACCAATTAGCTTAAAATAAATGTAAAGAACTTTAATTCACAAAATGTACTAAATCTCTTTAATTTACTAAAATTTTGTTTCTTTTAAACTGTTTTAAATGTTTACATGAATTATGGAATGATATTAACAGCTTGCAATGATTACTGCAAAATTTGATTGATCAATTGTTTTATAGCAGCATTAGAGAAACTTGAACTTACCAAAGGCTAAAATCAGAAGGTGTTTTTATCTAATATGAGTGTATGTAATATTTTAAAACATTTATTTTAAAGTCAAATAAAATTTCAAAACTGAGCATGGGGTTTTTCTATTTATATTGAATTTGCTTGGATCATATTTTTGATAATTTTTTATTTTGCCAAAATTTTAGCATTTTATGATTTTATCTTCAGTTTCTTAAGTAGCATGTCAATCTTGGTTTATGATTTATAGCAATTAGTAGCCAAAAGTTATTATTAATTGCCAGTACATTTCTGATTTTATCCTTCTATTTTGGGGTATTTTTAAGCAACTTTTGGAAATTCCTTTATCATTTTACTCATGGTTTTTCAGTACAAAATTGTAGGTACCAATTATATGATTAATTCCCATAATTCCTTTCTGGCTTTCCTCCTCAGTTCTGTTCTATTGGGTTAAATGTTTCACACTTTCATTTACATTTTCATGTCTCTTCTTTCTGTAAACTGCTACCAAACTGATATACTCCAATTGTTCCTTATAAAGTAGAGAAAATTGGAGCATTTTACTCTATGGATATTGTTTTGATTGCTTCTGATTTATTTGGATGCTTTTGGATATCATTTTATTGTTTCAAACTTTAACCACTTTTAGTTTTTCTTTTCACCAATTCCTCGTATGGCATGTGTATCAGTCAGAAGGTCTGGAGATAGGGCCAAACATGAGTATTTTTAAAAGTTCCCTAAGTGAGTCTCATTTATAGCCAAGATTGAAAGCCATTGGCTGGGATGCTGTATGCATCCAGTACGCAAGGTTCTTTGTGGCACCTGTTCCCAGAATCCAAGAGGCTAGTGAACTGGTATAAGCTTGGCAAACAGGTAAGAGCCTGAGAATTCTAATCAGAATGATGAGTCAGGTTGCTGCCTACTTGACTTCAACTTTTCCTATTTATAAATATTAAGCTGCACCTGCCATGATTTTATCACTAGGTGCCCCATGATCATTAGCCATTGCCACAGATCTCTGTGGGTCAAAATGTTGCAGTCTTTCTGCTCCTTAGCTCAGCTAGGTTTGAGATCTTCAGGAAGAACTAGGTGCTCTGACACTGGAAAGTGAGTGGACTAGAATTTATTAAGTGAAAGGAAAGCTCTCAACAAAGAGAGGATGTGGGGTGAGTGGTTCCCTTACCTGAAGGCTGGAAAGCCCCTTCTCTGTAACTGGGTCCAGGGCCTTTTATGGACTCAGAATGAGGTATGCATGCTGATTGGTTTGTGAGTATGAAAATAAGGTTGAAGTAAAGACACCACTCAAAGGTGGGCATGACAGTGTAGAAAACCAATTAGGAAAGGTAGGTATATGTAAAATAGATGAAGGGTGGGCATCAATCAGAGGACAGCATGCCAAACAGGAAGACAAGTTCTCAATTTGGTCCAAGGATTTCACTTGTAGCTTGGCTTTCAGGCTTTAAACTGTCTTCAGCTTGGAGGTAGGGTTTCACTGGAGACCTGCTCCTATCTGCCTAGGCATTTGGCTGCTTCCTGTCACTCTCAAAAACATTCTGATTTCTACCCTGTCTTTACAGCTGATGTGGTTCTAAAGGTTAGGCACTTCTAGCTGGCTTCTACCATGCCAGGGTCCCACAGTCACCACTGAACTCAGACAGCTTGATTCCTTTGCAGTATCTCTCCCCATCATCTATACTCTATAGAAGACAGACTTCACAGAGCTTTCTAAGAGTGTCATTGCTTCCTTTGCCAATACATTTCTTAATGTCCTTCTGAAAGTGTGTTCCCTGGGCCCTTCAAGGGATTATGATTAGGGGAATGGCTGGGCAGGCTGTGTATGATAGATCCAGCCAGGTACTCTCATCTTCATGAGATTTTGAACTCCTTTTGATAGAGGCAGGAGGCAGAGAAATTCTAGGCAGACAGGGGTAGGTCCCTGGTGAAACCCCACCTTCAAGCCAAGGTAGCCTGAAACCAGTGACCCGAAGTGAAAACTTCTATTCCTGTTTTCCTGCTCTCTCCTGATTGGTTCTTTCTGAATAATGTGTTTTTACCAATTGAATGTTGCCATTTCCAAAACTACCTATGGCCTGCCCCACTCCCATCCTGAGCCTATAAAGACCCCAGACTCAGTTGGTAGAAAAGAGAAGTGGGACTTTGGGGAAGAGAGACAGCTTGATTTAGGGGAAGAGATGGCTGGACTTTGGGGAGAAGACCACCTGACTTCAGGAAAGACTACCTGCCCTTCCCATCCCCTCTCCAGCTCCCCTCTCTGCTGAGAGTCATTTCCACTGCTCAGTAAAATTCTCCACCTTCACCATCCTTCCGGTGTCTGCATAACCTCATCCTTCTTGGACACTGGACAGGAGCTCAGGACCCACTGATTGTGAGTACCCAAAAAGGCTGTCACACTGGCCCTTTGCACTTGTTGGTGGAGGGCAGCCACCTCATGTGATGAGGCAAGGGGCCAACTGAGCTGTTAACACATGGCTGTCTGCAGACAGCAGAACTATAGGAGTCTGTAACACCCCCTCTGGGGCTTTGGGGTGGCAGGCACCCCAACACCTGGGCACCACCGCATGGAGCTTGCTCCTACCATCAGAGTGGCCAGCTGGATCCCACACTTGTTTTCTCACAGCTGGTCTGGCCATAAGCCCCACATGGAGCTTTCTACTGCCAGCACCCAGAGCGGCTGGCTGGATTCACACTTGTTTACTCATGCCTTGTCTGGCCATGTGCTCTATGTGGAGCTTGCTCCTGCCAGTGCCTGGAGTGGCTGGCCGGGACCCACACTCACTCATTCACGTGCTCCCTCCTGAAAGGGTTTGAGCACAGCAGGCTGAGTAAATATTTGCCTCTGTTGCGAGTCCAGTGATGGGGCTGAGAAAAAAATCCTGCATCACCTTCTCTATAGTATATCAGGGATTTAAGTTCTAGCATTTCAGTATTACTGATTATAAGCCATGGATGAGTCTAAGCTTCAGTTAATCTACCTCGTAGACTGTTACTGTTACTGGCATTTGCCTGTGGAAACACAGTATACATTAAATCTCAAATCCTCTGTGATTATACCCTATCAGTTTATTTGCTCCATTTTCATGAATGTAATATTAGAATCCATACATATATGTACATGCTTCTAAAATTCTTGCTGATTCATATTGCCAAGATCATGCATTTCTTTTAGGTACATAGGCTATCTCCTTCTGGATTAGGCCTTATTCCTCTCTGACTGGGTTATGCTGGGATTCAACTTTAGTTACGGATCTGGAGATGATGAAGGATGGTAAGGAAAGGTCCTCAGGGAAATAGGCAATTGCCTTTGTCTTATTAGTCAACTACTCCTGGTGATACCAGGGGAAGGTTGGTTCTTCTCTGCCAGGAGAGGAGGGGCTGCTTCTGCTGGTAGACAAAGTTCAGGGAGATTTGGGGACTCAAAGTTCTCAGCTTTGTCTTGTCTGCCCAATGTCCTTATCTCCTGTCTTACAGCTCTGCTTCTTTCCCAGTGCTCTTGCCTTGACATGAGACATGTCAAGTATACATATTTATTTGGTGTTGCAACTCCCAAATCCTTATATTCAAGTCCTCTAGTTGATCCTTAGCCATACCTTCTGTATGGATACTGACAGTAAGGGGCTCTTTTAAAGCTGCTATAGCACTTTCTGATTTTCTACTTGTGCCTTGTGTTGTGCATTTGAAGCTTTCAATTTGTCCTTTTTTGTATGATGTTCTCTAGAATTATAAGAAGCAGCTATCACATGACACAATTTTTATAATCATCATTATCACCCAAGCAACTACATGCCACATCAAATTTATCTCTTCCCTTTTATGCCACTACTGATAATTTGATCATGATGCTACTGAATATCATATCTTCTCCCCTTCCCCATCAAGGAAGAAAGTTATACATATGACCATCAAATATTTAAGCAAACTTATTCCATAATCCAATTCTGAGAGTCTGTTTCCTAGGGCCTATTTTTGTACCAATTATTATAATTTTTAGGATCCTGGGAGAAAATAGTTTCTGCATGCATTGAGGGTGAATATGCAATATGTGATCCTGCATTCAACCCTGGACTAGAATTTTTGGATAGAAGACATTATTAAGTCAATTGGAAGAATTTGAGTAAGATCTATAGTTCAGATAATAGCATTGCATTAATGTTAATTTTTCTTTTTTTCAAATAATGCTATGGATATGCAAGGTAATATCTTTAGTTCTTGTTTTTAGGAAAATACACACATTGAATTTGCTAGACTGGGCATCAGACATGAAACTTTCAAATAATTCAGAAAAAGTAATAATTACACACATATGCAGAGTGATTGTATATGATATTAAACATTGGGGAATCTGAGGAAAAGATATAGATAAGTTCTGTATATTAATTATTTTCTAAATATTTAAAAATATATCAAAATAAAATACAGAAGAAAGAGTGTTGGAAAAGAATTCAAGAAAGTGTCTATAACATGGGCAAAGTTAAAGATAATTAACAGGGAGGATGAAGTATCCCAGGACTGGCAACAGGAGGGAGTTGCTAACAATTCTGTGTTTGAAAGAACAAGTTAACTGAGCAGTTACTGGAGGTCAGCAAGACTTGTACCTGTTAGAGAGGGTAACCCAATAGGAAATGTGGTCATAGGGGAAAGGAACTTAGCCCCTGTCAACCTGTGGCACAACAGGAAGGAACTCAAGGAAATAAATACCCTCACCATCTTTTATTCTTACCATATGTTAGGTCAGGCACTCTAAGAAGCAGATACTAAGATGGAATTAGACATGCAATAGATTTATTGAGGAAATGCCCATGAGAGAAAATAGGGAGGAAGCCAAGGAGGCACGTAAAGTCTGTGGCGAGAGGGAAGGAAGATTTTGTCTTCCTCTGATGCAGTTCTAATAAAGCTGACATGCTGTTCTAATAAAACTTCAAAATGGAAGCCATCTATTAATGGAGTCTCAGCTATTCTGGGAGTGAACCTCCCTTAGTTTCTTTGATGTGTTCAGTGATTGCTTGGGAGTAGCCCATAGGATGTAGCCTTCAGACACATATGTGTTGATGAATTTCAGAATACCCCAACTGGGGTTGTCAATCAATTATACTACTGAGAGTTGGAATTCTGAAAGATGCATTTTCATGGCTGCCATAACCCCCACTGGCCACCAGCTGAAGTAGAAGGAAAAGGAGGCAGGTTGATAAGGTTCATAAAGGTCCAATTTCCTGGAGAATGTTGGAGAAAGTTAGAGTAGGATGGGGCAGGGTGGATCTACAGAGTTGATCTAATCCAGCCTGAGTCAACAAAGAGGATTTCAGATAGATGTAGGACCCCTTGAAGACATTCTGTAGCTGTACTTGAAGGTTGAGTGCAGTGAAAAGGTCAGGCAAGGTAGAACAACCCTATGCAATTGAGGATTGAAAAGGAAAGGAGGAAAATTGCCCAATCCTTGACAGTGATGAATTCACAGGTAGGGAGCAGGGAAGGGGGACAAAGATTCAAAGTGTGATATGGCTGGAACCCAGGGGAATAAATATATATGAAGAATTTTTAAATAACATGAGAGCTAAGATTTGTGACATTAGGAACTCGAGGTCAGCTGCAAAGGAAAGAATTGTCCTCCCTCAGAGAATCATGGAAGCCTGTGATGGAAGATGGCCAGTGAGCCTACACACTAAAGAATATTCTAAATATATTAGCATCTGTTTTGCTATCTTAGAACACTGGCACCCTTGAGACAATGAAAAGAAATCGTGGTAGTGAATTGCTTAGAACTCAAGTTCTTCCTGACTGTGTGGGATGCTGAGAGCCCTTCACCAATTCTGGACAGACTGTCTGGTGTAGGGACAATTTCAGACCAGTGCTGAGCCCCTCAAAATTTCTCTAAGGGAAATTTGAAAGGATTGACAAATTTGGGTGCAAAAACATTATGGTCTAATAAAAACAACAGACTCAATCCTAATGATAGACCGACAGGGACTTTTTAGGAGTTTTTCCACTTTTCATATGTCTGAAGGAGAAGGAAAATGAATAGGTAACAAAGTAAATGGCAAATCCAGGTGATAAACTAAGTTTTTTGAATCTTAAACCATTACCTCTTATTTAAGAAACTCATGAATGCTTACTAGGGGGGCAGAATACCATGGTTAAAGAAAGAAAGATTCAAGGATAAGAAAAGGAGTAATTGCTTTCTCTAATAAGATACAATGAAATGGCAAGAGGAGAAGGTTGAAAAGAGAAAAACAAAATGAAACAAAACAAAAAGAAGCTCTTTTATTTAATGAAAGAAGCTATGATACAATGTTTCCAAAATTCAGACCTCTTTCTATAAAAGACTAAAATTGTTTTTATGAATATCCTCTAGTCACCTCAGTCTTACTACCACTGTAGTGATGTATTAACTGATTTCTAGGGTTTTTTCACTGGAGATTTTGGGGAAAAGGTAGGGAAGTGAGCACTTTTTAAAACAAATTTTAAAATATTTCAATAATTCATATTATTTTGAGAATTAGTACCCTTTTGGAAACTCATTAATGAAAAAATATTATCCAGTGAATATTTTCTAAGATTTATAACAGATGGGAGTTGCAAAATATTAAAATAATTTAGTGTTCTAGCAAAAATACCTATGAAAATTTATAGCTGTGATGTTGTGTGACACTTTTTTGGAGGACAGGATATAACACACATGCTTCTGATTATAGTACTTATTTTTAAGGTTTGTTTAGCAAAATTCCTAACCATAAATTTTCCTAGCTGAATAATTCATTTAATTATAAATACAGATGGCTTTTCTAATAAGGTTGCCTTTCTTATTCTAAAGGTTACAATTTTCTTATTGTTGTTATTTTCTGGGATGCCAGTCAATCAGGGCTTCCTAATGATATTACTTACCTATTTATTCCACTCAGCACAGAGCATAGTGCCTGGCAAGCAGTGATTCTTGTTGAATAAGTGAATGTGAGTGATTGTAGAAGAAAAACTATATGCTGGATTCTATTGGTCTGTTAGAAAATGAAGTATTTCAAAAGATTTTATAAACTTGGATTGTAGTCTCTTTAAGTCATTTGTTGCTCATAGTGTTTAATTGAAATATAATTGTTTTTATTTGTAGATTCACAGTTACAATACTTTTTAGGGTTTATAGACTTACAGTTGCAATGTTAACTGGGGTACCTCAAACCACTAAAAGTAAGACTGAAATGTCCAGAATCGGCAGTTTCTCTGATTTCATATTTTTATGATGAATAATAGCATTTTAACTGTAATTATAACTTTATATTGTTGTGTATACCATATCAAGTAAGACAACTTGGTTTTCATAGGAAACGAAGTGATGCTAGTTTTGATCTGAAATGGTAAAAAATCTTGAGTTTTTGCCGTTAGAATATTAAATCAGTCAAATTATCTAGTGTGTAAAAAAATTTCAAATTTGTTCTTTGATTTTACTGGTGAAGTAATCATCAGTTGATTCAAATACTTGACCTTTGTAGTTCTGTGTGGTTTTAAAATCTTCGTTTCTCATACAATCCAGTGGATAAATATTGTGGAATTCTTGGGTACAGAACATTCTGCTCTTTTGAACTACTGTATTAAGAAGAACATAGAAATAACATAATACATATTGATTTAGCAGTATGATTATTATAACAAGGCTTTTTTTTTTCTTTTTTTTCTTTTTTTTGAGATGGAGTTTTGCTCTTATTGCCCAGGCTGGAGTGCAATGGTGCAATCTTGGCTCACCGCAACCTCTGCTTCCCAAGTTCAAGCGATTCTCCTGCCTCATCCTCCTGAGTAGCTGGGATTACAGGCATGCGCCACCACGCCCGGCTAATTTTTTGTATTTTTAGTAGAGATGGGGTTTCTCCATGTTGGTCAGGCTGGTCTCAAACTCCTGACCTCAGGTGATCCACTTGTCTCAGCCTCCCAAAGTGCTGGGATTACAGGCATGAGCCACCGCGCCCAGCCACAAGGCATTGTTTAGTGTTGACATCACTACCATTGTCATTATAAAAATATGTATTAACAATCCCTAAGCTTTATAAACATGCTGACATTTACACAAACTGCTTTAAACAAATATGATTTTTATTCTATGTAGTTTTTATGATCTTCAAAACTGATGGTATTGACAAAACAATCTTTAGATATTTTAATAAAGTTTATTTTTGTTATTTTTATTATTTTTTAAACCCAATTTATTGTATTTAACCCAGTTGAACTCTTTTATCATCTCTGTTCTTTCCCCTCTCAGCTCCTACCACTTGAAATATTTTCTATAGGGTTTCTTTTTTAAACTTTTATTTTAGGTTCATGGGAACATGCGCAGGTTTCTTATACAGATTAACTCTTGTCGTGAAGGTTTGTTGGACAGATTATTCTGTCACCCAGATACTAAGTCTAGTACTCAATATTTTTTCTAATCCTCTCCTTCCTCCTACCTTCCAACCTCACGTAGGCCCCAATGTATGTTGTTCCCCTCTATGGGTCAATGTGTTCTCATCATTTAGCTCCCACTTACAAGTGAGAACATGTGGTATGTGGTTTTCTGTTTCTGCATTAGTTTGTTATGGATAATAGAATTCAGTTCCATCCATGTTCCTGCAAATAACATGACCTCGTTCTTTTTTATAGCTGTATGGTATTTCATGGTGTGTACGTACCACATTTTCTTTATCCAAATTGCCATTAATGGACATTTAGGTTGATTATATGTCTTTGCTATTGTGAATAGAGCTGCAATGAACATACATGTGAATGGGTCTTTTTGATAGAATGATTTATAATCATTTGGGTATATACCAAGTAATAGGATCGCTGGGTTGAGTGGTATTTCTCTCTTTAGGTCTTTGAGGAATTGTTACACTGTCTTCCAAAATGGTTGAACTAATTTACGCTCCCACCTACGGTGTATAAGTGTTCTCTTTTCTCTGCAATTTAACAGCATCTGTTATTTTTTGACTTTTTAGTAATGAACATCCTAACTGGTGTGAAATGGTATCTCATTGTGGTTTTCATTTGTATTTCTCTAATGATCAGTGATTTTGAGAGTTTTTTTTTTTTAATATGCTTTTTGGCTATATGTATGTCTTCTTTTGCAAAGTGTCCCTTGCCCACTTTTTGATGGGTTGTTTTTTTCTTGCAAATTTGTTTAAATTTCTTACAGGTGCTGGATATTAGACCTTTGCCAGATGCATAGTTTGCAAGTATATTCTTCCAGTCTGTAGGTTGTCTGTTTACTCTGTTGATACCTTCTTTTGCTGTGCAGAAGCTCTTTCATTTAATTAGATCCCATTTGTCAATTTTTGTTTTTGTTGTGATCGCTTTTGGTATCTTTGTCATGAAATGGTTGTCAGTTCCTATGTCCAGAATGGTATTGCCGAGGTTGTCTTCCAAGGTTTTTATAGTTTTGGGTTTTAAATTTAAGTCTTTAATCCATCTGAAGTTGATTTTTTTTATATGGTGTAAGGAATGGGTCCAGTTTCAATCTTCTGCATATGGCTAGCCAGTTATCCCAGCACCAGTTATTGAATAGAATAAGAAGTCATTTTCCAATTGCTTGTTTTTTTCAGCTTTGTTAAAGATCAGATAGTAGTAGGTGTGCTGTCTTACTTCTGGCCTTTTTGTTCTGTTCCATTGACCTATGCATCTATTTTTGTACCAGTACCATGCTCTTTTGGTTACTGTAGCCCTTTAATACAGTTTGAAGTTGGGTAAAATTATACTTCCAGCTTTGTTTTTGTTTCTTAGGGCTGTCTTAGTTATTTGGACTCTTTTTTGCTTCCAAATTAATTTTACAATAGTTGTTTTTCCCTTTCCTGTGAAGAATGTCATTGGTGGTTTGATAGGAATAACATTAAATCTGTTAACTGCTTTGAGCAGTATGACTATTTTGATGATATTTATTCTTCCTATCCATGAGCACAGAATGTTTTTTTTTCCCATTTGTTTGTGTTATCTGATTTTTTTGAGCAGTGTTTTTTAATTCTCATTGTAGAGATCTTTCACCTCCCTGATTAGCTGTATTCCTAGGTATTGTATTCTTTTTGTGGCAATTGTGAATGGGATTGTGTTCCTGATTTGGCTCTTGGTTTAGCTGCTGTTTGTGTACAGAAGTGCTAGTGGTTTTTGTATGATGATTTTTAAAAAATTTTATTTTATTATTATTATACTTTAAGTTTTAGGGTACATGTGCACAACGTGCAAGTTTTACTGAAGTTGTTTATCAGCTTAAGAAGCTTTTCGGCTAAAACTATAGTGTTTTCTAGATAGAGAATCATGTCAGCTGCAAACAGGAATAGTTTGACTTCCTCTCTGACCTATTTGGATACCCTTTATTTCTTTCTCTTGCCTGACTGCTGTGGCCAGGACTTCCAACACTATGTTGAATAAGAAGGTTGAAAAGAGGGCATACTTGTCTTGTGGAATGCTTCCAGCTTTTGCCCATTCAGTATGATGTTGGCTGTCGGTTTTTCATAGATGGCTCTTATTGTTTTGAGGTATGTTCCTTCAATACTGAGTTTGTTGAGAGTTTTTAACATGAAGGACTGTTGAATTTTATTGAAAGCCTTTTCTGCATCTATTGAGATAATCAGGTGGTTTTTGTCTTTAGTTCTGTTTATGTGATGAATAATGTTTACTGATTTGCATATGTTGAACCAACTTTCCATCCCAGGGATAAAGCCTACTTGATCATGGTAGAGTAGCTTTTTGATGTGCTGCTGAATTCAGTTTACTAGTATTTTGTTGAGGATTTTTCCATTAATATTCATCAGGAATACTGGCCTGAAGTTTTCTTTATTTGTTGTGTCTCTGCCCAGTTTTGGTATCAGCATGATGCTGGCCTCCTAGAATGAGTTGGGGAGGAGTCTCTCCTCCTCAATGTTTTGGGGATAATTTCAGTAGGAATGGTACCAGCTCTTCTTTGTACATCTGGTACAATTCAGCTGTGAATCTGTTTAGTTCTAGGCTTTTTATGGTCTCATTTACTGAATCACAAAATCATTGAATCAGGCTATTTATTTCTGATTCTTCTAGGTTTCCTAAAGGTGTTTATATTGATCTCTCATGGTTGGTTGTAATTCTGTGGAGTCAGTGATAACATCCCCTTTGTCATTTCTAATTGTGCTTATTTGTATCCTCTCTTTTTTCTTCTTTTTAGTCTAGCTAGCAGCCTAACTAACTCTTGGATGTGTTGATCTTTTGAGTGGTATTTTTTTTCTTGATCTTCTTCAGCTCAGCTCTGATTTTGGATATTTTGTTTTCTGTTAGCTTTAAGGGGTTGGTTTGCCCTTGCTCCTCTAGTTCTTTTAGTTGTGATATTAGGTTGTTAATTTGAGATCTTTCTAAATTTTTGATGGAGGTGTTTAGTGCTATAAATAATCCTCTTAAAATTACCTTAGCTGTGTCCCAGTGATTCTTGTTTGTTATATCTTTGTTCTTATTAATTTCAAGGAACATTTTTATTTTTACCTTAACTTCATTACTTACCCAATAGTCATTCATGATCAGGTTATTTAATTTCCATGAAATTGCATGGTTTTGAGTGATTTTAGTGTTGATTTCTATTTTTATTGCTCTGTGGTCTGAGAGTGTGTTTGGTATGATTTTGGTTCCTTTGCATTTGCTTAAGATTGTTTTGTTTTATTGTGTGGTCAATTTTAGAGTATGTGCCATGTGGTGATGAGAAGAATGTATGTCCTGTTGTTATTTGAGTGGAGAATTCTGTAGAGGTCCATCAGATCCATTTGGTTCAATGTTGAATTCAGGTCCTGAATATCTTTATTAATTTTCTGCCTTGATGATCTGTTTAATACTGTCAGTGGAATGATGAAGTCCCCCACTATTATTGAATGGGAGTCTGTCTCTTTGTAGATCTCTAAGAACTTGCTTTATGAATCTGGTTGCTCCTGTTCTGGGTGCATATATATTTAGGACAGTTAGATCTTCTTGTTGAATTGGACCCTTTACCATCACGTAATGCCTTTCTTTGTCTTTTTTGATCTTTATTGGTTTAAAGTCTGTTTTGTCTGAAATTAGGATTGTAAAACCTGCTTTTTTCTGATTTCAATTTGCTTGGTAGATTTTCCTCCATTATTTTATTTTGAGCCTATGAGTGTCCCTGTGTGTGAGATGGGTATCTTGAATATCATATACAATTGGGTGTTGCATTTTAATCAAGTTTGCCACTCCGTGCCCTTTAAATGGGGGCTTTTAGCCCATTTACATTCAAGGTTCATATTGATATGTATAGATTTGACCTGTCATTGTGGTGTTAGCTAGTTATTATGCCAGCTTGTTTGTGTTTTGCTTTATAGTGTCATTGGTCTTTGTACTTAAGTATGTTTTTGTATTGGCTGGCAAGGGTCTTTCTTTTCCATATTTAGCGCTCCTTTCAGGATCTCTTGTAAAGCAGGTCTGGTGGTAACAAACTCCCTAAGCATTTGCTTATCTGAAGAGGATATTATTTCTCTTTTGCTGAGAAAGCTTAGTTTGGATAGATATAAAATCATTGGTTGAAGATTTCTTTCTGTAGGAATGTTGAATATAGGCCCCCAATTTCTTCTGGCTTGTAGGATTTTTGCTGAGATATCCACTGTTAACTTGATTGGGGTTTCCTTTGTAGGTGACCTGCCCTTTCTCTCTAGTTGCCTTTACCATTGTGTCTTTCATTTTGACTTTGGAAAATCTGATGGTTATGTGTCTTGGGGATGATCTTCTTGTGTAGAATCTTGCAGGGTTCTCTGTATTTCCTGAAGTTGGCTGTTTGCCTCTCTAGTGAGTTGGGGAAGTTTTCACGAGTGCTATTCTGAAATATGTTTTCCAAGTTGTTTGCTTTCTCCCCATCCCTTTCAGGGATGCCAATGATTCATAGATATGGCCTCTTTAGATAATTCCATATATTTCAGCAATTTTGTTTGTTCCTTTTCATTCTTTTGCTTTATTTATGTCTGTCTTATTTCAGAGAACCAGTTTTCAAGTTTCGGGATTCTTTCCTCAGCTTGGTCTACTTTGCTGTTCATATTTGTGACTGCATTGTGAAATTCTTGTAGTGTGGTTTTCACCTCTATTAGACCAGTTAGGCAATTTTTTATACTGGATATTTCATCTGTCAGCTCCTATACTTTTTATTGTGATTCTTAGTTTCCTTGGATTGGGTTTTGCTGTTCTAAATCTCGAATTCCTATCCATATTCTGAATTCTATTTCTGTCATTTCAGCCAACACAGCTTGGTCAAGAAGCTTTCTTGTAGAACTAGTGCAGTCTTTTGGAGGCTGTAAGGCTCTGAAGATTTAACTTGCCAGAGTTACTGCATTGTTTCTTTCTCATCTCTGTGTGTGGGTGTTCTTTTAACTGCTGGGCGGCCTCTGATTAAAGTGGCCAGGTGGGGGCAGGGTGGCGATGCTGGAGTCCCAGGTTGGGCCACCCAACCAAGTGAGGAGAAGTGAGAACCAGGACTGCATGAAGAACTGTCCGGTTACTTTTCTGCAAGGTGGGTGCTCTGTGCTCGTAGTCCAAACCAGCCCCTGGTCCCCGTGGACTTTCCAGAGCCTGGAGACTGCATGGGCAAGGACTGTGAGACGGCAAAGGTGGCAACCAACCCCCCTACTGGGAGATCTGTCTCAGGCAGTTGCAGAGCCACTACTTGCTTGATAGTCCCTGCCGTGGGTAGTTGGAGGCCCAGACCAGGAGAACCCACCCAGTGAGGAGATATGGGATTGGGGACCCATGTAATAAACAGTCTGGCCACTTTTCCATAGGGCTGCTGAAGTTTGCTGGGGGTCCACTTTAGTCCCTGGTCATCTTGGATTTTCTGGCACCTTAAGGTATCAACAGTGAAGGCTGTAAAACAGCAAAGATGGTGGCTTGCCCTCTGTCTGGGAGCTCTGTCCCAAGGAGATACGAACCTGTTGCCAGCAAAACTGCCTCCACACCAGTGGAGGTGATTGTAGACCTCAGCTGGGAGATTATGTCCAGTGAAGAGACACAGGATCCAGGACCCCTGTAAAAAAGCAGTCTACTCACTTCTTGTAGAGCTGCTGTGCTGTGCTGGTGGACTGTTTCAATCACTAGTTGCCTCAGACTCCTTGGAGCCCAAAGACAACAGTGGCTAAGACTGTGAAACTGGAATGATGGCAGACCATCCCTCCCCCTGGGATCTCCATCCCAGGAGGCTTGGAACCACTGCCAGCTGGAAAACACCAGCAAGAGTGGCTGGTGGCCCCAGTCTGGAGGTCCTTCCCAGTGAAGAGAAGCAGGGTTAGGGACTCATAAAAAAAAAGCAGGCTTGCTGCTCTTCCACAGGGCAGCTGCAGTGAAGGCAATAATGGCTATGCCTGCACTAAAGCAAAGATGGCAGCCTGCCCCTCCCTCTCAAGGCTCTACCTCAGGGAGGTGTAACACCGCTACCAGTGGCTGGCTGGAGCTCCAAGCTAGTGTGTCTTATTTTGTGAGGTGCTGTGGAAATGGGGCCTACAGAGTGTTGCTGCTCAGCCCCTTGCATTCAGCCCCTTTTCTAGGGGTGTGTGTGGGGGTCTAACATCCTACTTTGCTGGAGTTGCAGCTGCTATTGGGCGGAAGCTCAGATATCAAAAGCTCCTGGGGCTCCATATGTGCTTGAGTGGCTGTTCTGCCAAGACTCCATGTAGTTCCGCAAGTTGGACTGTGGTCCCAGGTGGAGTGGGTTCACAAGAAGATCACCTGACCTGAGGGTTGCAAAAATCTATGAAAGAAGCATGGGTTGCCACTCACTGACTGCTTCCCTGGGTGGGGAGGTTCCTCTGGCTCTGTGTCATTCCTGGGTGGGTGGTTGTCCTGCCTTGCTTTTCTCTATCCCTCATGGGTTGAGTTGTTTTCTTGATGAATCCCAATGTGTGGACCCAGATGTTTCAGTTGAAGGTGTTGTATTTACTTGCCCCTTCTGTTTCTCTTTGTGAGAGTGGTGCACACTAGCTGCTTCTAATCAGCCATCGTGAAAAGTCTTTAAATTTTAAATTTAAATTAAAATATTTAAATATTTTAAGATTTGAAGCTATTGGCCTGCCAGAATGAGGTATGCTGGTATACAAATAAATATAAATGGAAAAATTACTTCCAAAATAAATTAATATAGACTTTTTTCATTGTAAATGAGTTAACTTTTTGATGAATTTAGGAGCAGAGATACATTATTGATTGTATTTAAGAAAAACTCCATAAGCTTATCTGTGCGTCCTTACTTTGAAAGGAACTAAACTTTATTTAGCCCCTGCTTTATGTCAGAAATTGTACTGAGTTCTTTGTTTATTTAATGGAATCTTCTATTTGAATTCATTTTTGGTGAGCATTTGTAGATGATTTATAACTCTAAGACATTGTCCTGAAGTTATATCTACTGCTTTATACAATAAAATAGTATCATTTTAAACTTAGCTATAAATCATAAACTGACCTTAAGACCATAAACAGGTCTTAGTACTTGACCAAATAACTTTATGTAAAGCAAGATACTTCTAAATATTTATATTTAAAGTTATTGTTTTCTTTCTTTTCTTTTCTTTTCCTTCCTTCCTTCCTTCCTTCCTTCCTTCCTTCCTTCCTTCCTTCCTTCCTTCCTTCCTTCCCTCTCTCTTTCCTCTCTTTTCTCTCTCTCTCTCTCTCTCTCTCTTTCACTTGGAGAATGTGAAAACTAGAAGACCACAGATAAAATTTTTAAGTTAACTTTTCCTGAATCTGTTTAGCTTTAAACTGAGGTGGATTAAGAAGAAAGGGATGCTAACCACTTACAAATATGATTAAGTCTTCTAGACCTCCAACACTGAGTAAGAAGGGAAAACTGCTCAGTTTTCAGAACTCCACTTATGATTATTTGTATGAACATGGCAAAAATCAAAGATAATTTTGCTAATTAATGCAAAGAAACATTTGAAACATGTCATAATATTTGTTGTACAGTAAATTTCTCTGATCTATTTGTAGTTCAAAAGAAATCATATATTTACTTTTAATTGTTACTATCAATAAAATTCTCTTGAGATTAATGAGTTGGCTTTTCAATGGAGTTTAATGTGACAATGGAAATAAATGTACTTGTCACAGAGTGTGGCCCATAACAGACACACCATGATTGTTCATTTTTTCGTACCCTAGACATACTTTGTATGTATAAAAGGTATGGAATTTCTTTCATGTTTATCTCTTCTGT
Organism: Homo sapiens; assembly: GCF_000001405.40. Taxonomy (NCBI): domain Eukaryota; kingdom Metazoa; phylum Chordata; class Mammalia; order Primates; family Hominidae; genus Homo; species Homo sapiens. Next base: position 74,196,649 of record NC_000006.12, read on the forward strand.
TATCTAGCTAAAGTCATAAATCTCCATCTCCAGCATCTTGAACTATTTTCTTTATTGTCTCTCCTCCCAGTTTAAAAATGTGCTTATGTCTCCCCAGTCCTTAGCAAACACACTAACTACAGTCTTCCTCTAATCTTGCCTTTGAAACATGAGCACTAACTCTTCTGGATGTTCTGTGCTGTCCGGTCTTTGTGACCATGCTCCATGCTTTGGCTCTCTAATTACTCCTTCTCATTCTTCTGCTGTCTCCTTTTTCCACCAATGTAGGGTAATCAGCTATCCCAGTTTGCCAAGGATTGTCTCAAGTTTAGCACCAAAAGCCCCTGTTTGAGGAAATCCCTCAGTCCTGGGCAAACTAAGAAAGTCAATCAACCTAAATTCAACCCTTAAATGTTGGCATTCCTCAGACTTCCAACCTTAGTTCTCATCTCTTTCTTAGCAAGAATTTTTGCATTCTGCAGAGGCTTCAACTACAGTCATGTACCACATGAAAATGTTTTGGTCACTGATGAACTGCTTATATGATGATGATTCTACACAATTATAATGAAGCTGAAAATTCCTATTGTTTAGTGATGTTGTAGCTGTTGTAATGTCATAAAATCATAGTGTAATGCATTGCCTTTCCTATGTTTAGATATACAATTTCTTACCATTCTGTTACAATTGTCTACAGTATTCAGAACAGTAACATGCTGTGCAGGTTTGCAGCCAGGAGCAATAGGCTGTATCATGTTACCTAGGTATATAGGAAGCTATAGCATCTAGGTTTGTCTAAGTACACTCTATGATGCTCATAAAATGAAATCATCTAGCAATGCATTTTTAAGAAACTATACCTGTTGTTAAGCAACACATGACTGTATTGACAATGTATCACTGATGACCAATTTTATATCTCCAGTCATAAGTGCTCTGCTGAATCACAAACACTATTTCTGAGAAAAGGACATGAGTTGTGGGGTAGGCTCATAAAATCTTGTGTTCAAATTCAAGCTATACCAGCTACTAAGTATGCAGTGTTGCATAATTACTTACCTCTCCAATTTATAGTTTACTATCTTGCAAATGAGGACAATCCTCAACTTAAAAGATTGTTGTGAGTATTAATGCTAAAAATTGTCAAGTTCTCGGTACAGTGCTGGTATGAAGAAAATCAATTTGCAACTATTTTTACATTATTATTGCTGCTATATTTTATTCTAGTGCTTTTCAGAATTTTTTCCACCGCAGCTCATCTGAAGGATGTAAAAATACTCCAATAAATAGAATGGCTCAATATGGAAGAAATTTTCAAAGGAGAAGAGAGGCATGTCTAACCTAGAAAAAAGCCCCCAAGTAGTCCTGGCATTCAAGCTCTTGGTAGATCAGAGTCCCTTCAGCTCTTCTGTCTCCATGCTCTTGTTCTAACAAGTTCAAAAGACATTGTTACCGTGGATATAAATTTAGTTAGCATATTGAAAAATAAAAAATTATTTTCTTGTATCCTCCTTACATTCCTGAATGTTTCCTTATCCTATTCTATGTGCTTGTTCAATCACCTACCACTCATTAATTTAATCCAATCTTTTTTTTTCTAGATTAGAAATTCTTAAAAGTTAAGTGTACCTTAGAATTATCTGGAGGTTGTGTTAAAACACACATTTCTGGCTCTTCAACCAGGGTTTCTGATTTGCAGCTCTGGAGTGAGGCCTGAAGATGTACATTTCTAGTAAGCTGCTAGACGATGCTGGTTCAGGGACTATACTTTGAAAACTACTATTTTAGGATATTTAAATGACATGGCAGTTTAACTTATTTTTAACCTCGAGTATTTGTTTTATTTTTCCTCCTCTTTCTTCTGCTGTTATTTCTCCTTCTCTTCTTCATTCTTTTAGCTTTTCTTACCTGGAAATCTGATTTTCTTCCTCGCTCTTGGCATTATAAATGAACGAGACCTTGCAATTCTGCATATTTTTATTATTTTATCTAACCTCTATTTCCATATGCAATTAGGAATCTAGTATAGTATGTGAATTCCATGTCATCCCTAGGTCTTTACATTCTTAGATGCGTGAAACCTGATAGTCAAGAGACTCAGTGAAAGTGAAGTTTAGTTATGTTTAAATGGCTTAAATTTTACCTTTTATTATGCCTATTCTGCTTGATTATTTATGAAATGTTGAGTAAAAATGGAAAAATGTGCATATAATAAAATTGTAGACACCACTGAGCATGACCACTCTTTTACTTTATAGACCTGAGCATGAAGAATTTAAATGATATTCTGAAAGTCATAATGGTAGCTCAAAGAAGAATATTCAGAATTTCTTAGTGTAGTACATATGCTGGTCCATTACAGCTTGTTTTAATATCATAACAATTCAGTTTATGGATTGAAGTAATATTTAGGTCACTCTTAGGGTAGTGACAGTCCTAGAGCTATCTATGGATTGATTTCCATATTAGTAGAATTGTTGACTATACCTTTCTGGAATAGAGACATCCAATGAGGTAAAATACAATAAAACATTGCATTTTTTTCTGTTGTTGAAATGGTTGATTTTTGGAACCTTAATGGGAATTTTTTCTTTCCTCCTTGCTTTTCTGCCTGTGAACACAACCATTGTGTGTGTGTGTTTTAATACTGTGGAGCACTGCAGCATGTGGAACGTGAGTGAGCATCAAATGGGGAACACAGAACATTTTAACCTACTGAGAACTTTCACTTTCCAGGGTGACCTGTTTGTACTCTGTGCCAAGAGACCTCTAAGAGGCCGACAGCTGCTTTCATTTTTTCATTGTAGACATGAAGTGCAGCCCCTGCAGCAGCTGCAGAGCCCCCCACCTCCCATTCCGCATATACTAAGAAAAGGGACTCTTTAATCTCTGGGCCTGAGAAAAAATTTATTAAGGAATGAAATAGGGCCACAGAATTCCTGGGGTGAGCCTCTGTAACACAGCAGGTGGTGGCCAGGAAGCCATGACAAAATCAAGGAAAAAGATTCAGATTTTTTTTTTTTTTTTGAGGCTATGCATGATTAGCAAAAGACATGTGGGTTACAGCTGTCCCTTAGAGAAGATCACATTTTGCATCTTGAAGAATGAAGGGCGGCTTTCCCTCTAATGAATTTGAAAGACTTCCTTGGCAGATTGTTTTGTTATAAGCTAGAGATCCCCAGTTGTATTTTATTTTTTGTTCTTTTCTAAACTAGTTCCATCCAGCCTAATGAATCTTAAAGCTCTTCAAAAGTTAGCAATAGGAAATGAGATTTCTTGTCTTTCCTCCTTCCCTTTCTTTAAAAAAAATTTATTTTATTAAATATGGTCTTTATTAATTCTTGGACAAGGCCTCTGTGTGTTGCATCAATTTCAAGACCTATTGGTGATTGCTGTCTGTCATTCTGCTTCCAAAGTAAACTAACTGGATATTGAAGCAAAGGCAGAAATGAGAGGACAAGGGCCAATACCAAAGACGAACAGAAGCAGCAGTAACAGACCCTTAAATAACTGTTTTTTTTAAAATCAACATGAGATAACTGTACATATTTATGTGATGTATGTGATAGTTTCATGCATGTATCCAATGTGTAATAGTCAAATCAGGGTAATTGGTATATTCGTTACCTCAATTATCATTTCTAGTTATTTTTACAATAAACTATAGTCACCTTGTTGTGCTATAGAACACTAGACTCATTCCTACTATTTAGTTGTAGTTTTGTCCCTGTTAATCTACCTCTTCTTATCTCCCTCACCCCTTTATCCTTCTCAGCCTCTGGTAACCAGTATTCTACTCTCTACTTCTATGAGATAAACTTTTTAAAGTTTCCACGTATAAGAACATGTGGTATTTATTTCTCTGTGCCTGACTTATTTCACTTAACACAAATGTTCTCTAGGCTCATCCATGTTGCTGCAAATGAAGGTATTTAATTTTTTATGGCTAAATAATTTTCTATTGTGTACATATACCACATTTTTTCATCCATTAATCTGTTGATGGACAATTAGATTGCTTCCAAATCTTGACTATTGTGACTAGTGTGATAAACATGAAAGTTCAGATATCTCTTCTACATAATGATGTCCTTTCCTTTGTGTATACATTCAGTTGTGGGATTGCTGGATCATATGATATTTCTATTTTTAGTTTTTTTGGGAATCTCTGTACTGTTTTCCACTATGGCTTGCTAATTTACATTCACACAAACAGTATATGAATTCCCATTTCTTCACATCTTTGCCAGTTTTTGTCTTTTTGATCATAGTTACTCTAACGGTGGTGAGGTGATATCTCATTGTGGTTTTCATTTGAATCTCCAAGATTAGTGATATTGAACATTTTTCACATACCTGTTGGCCATGTGTATGTCTTCATTTAAAAAATATCTATTCTGATCATTTGTCCATTTTTAGTTGGATTATTTGTATTTTGCTTTAGAGTTGTTTGAGTACTTTAAATATTGTAGGTATTAATTTCTTGTCAGGTGGATAGTTTGCAAACATTTTAGTCCATTGTATAGGTTGTCTCTTCACTCTGTTGATTGTTTCCTTTGCTGTGTAGAAGCGTTTCAGTTTGATGTAATCTCATTTGTCTGTTTGTGTTTTTGTTGCCTGCACTTTTCAGGTCCAATTCAAAAAATTCTTGCCCAGACCAATGTGATGAGCATTTCCCTTATGTTTTCTTCCAGTAATTTCATAGTTTTAGGTCTTACATGTGAGTCTTAATCCATTTTGATTTTTGTATGTGGTAGGAGATAGAGGTCTAGTTTCCTTCTTCTGCATATGGTTATCTAGTTTTCCCAGCACCATTTATTGAAGAGTCTGTCTTTTTCCTATTGTATGTTCTTGGCACCTTTGTTGAAAATCAGTTGTCTGTAAATATGTGGATTAATTTCTGGATTATCTATTCCGTTTCATTGATCTATGTGTCTGTTCTTAGCTCAGTACCATACAGATTTGGTTACAATAGCTTTGAAATTGTAGTGTGATGCCTCCAGCTGTGTTCTTTCTTCTCAGGATTGCTTTGATTATTCAGTCTTTTTTGTTTCCATATAACTTTTAGGATGGATTTTTTTGTGTGTTTTTGTGAAAAATGTCATTGGTAGATCACTTTGGGTAGTATGGACATTTTAACAATATTAATGCTTCCAATTCATGAGCATGATATACCATTCCATATTTTTGTGTGTGTCCTCTTCAATTTCTTTCATCAAACTTTTAAAGTTTTCAATGTAGTGGTCATTCACTTTATTGGTTAAATATATTCCTAGGTATTTTAATTCTTTATTTTTGCAGCTATTGTAAAGGGGTTACTTTCTTGATTTCTTCTTTAGATTGTTCACTGTTGACCTATAGAAATGCTACCAATTTTGTAGGTTTTGTATCCTAAAACTTTACTAAACTTTGTTTATCAGTTCTAAGAGTTTTTTGGTAGAGTCTTTAGGCTTTTCTAAATATAAGATTATGTTATCTGCAAAAAGGGACAATTTGATTTTCTCTTTTCCAATTTGTATGGCCTTAATTTCTTTCTCTGGCATAATTGCTCTGGCTAGGACTTCCAGTATTATTTTGAATAAAAGTGATGAAAGTGGGTGTCTTTGTTTTTGTTCCAGATCTTAGAAGAAAGGCTTTCAACCTTTCCTGTTTAGTATGATGTTAGCTGTGGGATTGTCATGTTTAGCCTTTATTGAGTTGAGGTACATTCTTCCTATACCTGATTTGTTGGGATTTTTTTTTTATCATGAAGGGATGTTGAATTTTATCAAATGTTTTTTGATAAAATTGAAATAATCATATGTTTTCTGTCCATTCTGTTGATGTGTTAAGTTTATTGATTTGCATATGTTGAAACATTCTGTCATCACTGGGATAAATCCCACTTGATAACAATGTATAATCTTTTAGATGTGTTGTTGGATTCAGTTTGCTTTCAGTATTTTGTTTAGAATTTTTTCCATTTGTGTTCATCAGGAGTATTGGCCTATAGTTATTATGATTTTTTCTTTTTTTGTTGTGTCCTTATGTGCTTTTGGAATCAGGGTGATGCTGGTCTCATAGAACAAGTTTGGAAAAATTCCCTCCTCTTCAGTTTTTGGAAAACTTGAAAAATGTTTTTTTATTTTTTAGATGGAGTCTTGCTCTGTCGCCCAGGCTGGAGTGCAGTGGCGCGATCTCGGCTCACTGCAAGCTCCGCCTCCCAGGTTCACGCCATTCTCCTGTCTCAGCCTCCCGAGTAGCTGGGACTACAGTTACCCGCCACCATGCCTGGCTAAATTTTTTTGTATTTTTAGTAAAGACGGGGTTTCACCGTGTTAGCTAGGACGGTCTGGATCTTCTGACCTCGTGATCCGCCCGCCTCGGCCTCCCAAAGTGCTGGGATTACAGGCCTGAGCCACTGCGCCCGGCCTGAAAAGAATTTGTATTAGTTCTTCCTTGAAAGTTTCAACAATTCAGCAGTGAATTCAGTCCTAGACTATTCTTTGTTGGGAGACTTTTGATTACGATTTAATCTCATTACTAATCATTGGTCTGTCCAGGTTTTCTATTCCTTCATGGTTCCATCTTGTAAGTTTTATTTGTCTAAGAATTTATCCATTTCTTGGTTTTCCAATTTGTTGGCATATAGTTTTCATGATAGTCTCTCATGATCCTTTGTATTTTTGTGATTATCAGTCATAATGTCTCCCTTTTCATTTCTTATTTTATTTATTTGGATTTTCTCTCTTTTTATCTTAGCCTAGCGAAAGATTTGTCTATTTGTTTACCTTTCGTAAAAAACAACTTTTTATTTTGTTGATATTTTGCATTTATTTAGTCTTAACATCGTGTATTTCTGCTCTGATTTTGGGGTTGTTTTTCACTTGATTTTCTAGTTCCTTGAGGTACATCATTAGGTTTGAAAGCTTTGTACTTTTTTGATGCAGGCATTTATTGCTATAAACTTCCCTCTTTGTATTGCTTTTACTGCATCCCATAGGTTTTAGTATGTTTTGCTTGCTTTTTTCTTTTTTTCAAAAATTTTTATCACTTTTTTAAAGTTCTCCTTTGATTCATTTGTTATTTAGAACCATGTTGTTTAATTTATGTGTATTTGTACAGTTCTCAAAGTTTCTCTTGTTATTGATTTCTCGTTTTATTCCATTGTAATCAGAAAGATAGTTGATATAATTTCAACTTAAAAAATTATTTTGAGGCTGTTTTGTGTTCTAATATATGGTCTATCTTGGAGAATGCTTCATGTGATCATGAGAAAATGTGTATTCTGCAGCTGTTTGATAAAATGTTTTGTAAATGTCTGTTAGTTTTATTTGATCTGAAGTGTAGTTTAACTCCAGTGTTTCTTTGTTGATTTTATGTCTGGATGATCTGTCCCATTGCTGAAAATAGGGTGTTGAAGTCTTCTACTATTATTGTATTGTATTATAGTATCTTCGTACTTTGGTGTTGTATGCATATATATTTATAATTGTTATATCCTCTTGCTGAATTGAGCCCTTTATTATTCTATAATATTATAATTTAAATAAAGAGAGTTTCTTTGTCTCTTTTTATAGTTCGTGACTTAAGGTCTACCTTATCTGACATAGGTATAGCTACTCCTGCTTGGCTTTGGTTTCAATTTGCATAAAATATCTTTTTTCCACTTCTTCACTTTCAATCTATGTGTGTTCTTACAGCCGAGATAAGTCCCTTATAAGCAGTATATAGCTTGATCTTGCTTTTTCATCCATATAATAACTGTGTGTACATATGTATGTTATATACACACAGTTATATGTATATACATATACACAAGTATACACATATACACAGACGTATGTATATACGTACACAGTTATTACATATATTATATATAAAATATGTATATATTATATATAAAATATATATTACATATATATTATATAAAAAATATTATATATAAAATATATATTGTGTATATATTATATATAAAATATATATTATATATTGTGTGTATATATATATATATATATATTTTTTTTTTTTTTGAGGCAGAGTCTCACTCTGTTGCCCAGGCTGGAGTACAGTGGTATGATTGCAGCTCACTGCTGCCTCAACTTCCTGAGCTCAGGTGATTGTCTCACCTCAGCCTCCCAAGTAGCTAGGACTACCAGTGTGTAACACCATGCCTGGCTAATTTTTTGTATTTTTTTGCAGAGACATGGTTTTGCTATGCTGCCCAGGCTTGTCTTGAACCCCTGAGCTCAAGAGATCTCCCTGCCTCAGCCTCCCAAAGTGCTGGGATTACAGTCATGAGCCACCACGCCTGGCTAAGTAACTGTATATATTTTCATGAGACAATTTAATCAATTTACATTCAAGGTTATTTTGATAGGTATGACTTACTCCTGCCATATTTGTTCGTTGTTTCCTAGTTGTTTTGTAGGTCCTTGATTCCTTCTTCCTCTCTTGTTTTCTTCCTTTGTGGTTTGATGGCTTTCTGTAGTGCTGTGCTTTGATTCTATTCTTTTTATCTTTTTTAAAAATATATGTTATAGGTTTTTTCTTTGTGGTTATCCTGAGACATACATAAAACATTTTATACTTATAACACATTAACTTAAGCTGATAACAGCTTAATTTTGAGTACATACACAAACTCTCCATTTTTACTGCCCCTCCTCCTGCATTTTATGTTTTTGATGTCACACTTTAGATGTTTAAACACTATGTATTCCTTAGCAATTATAGTTTTCATTGTTTTAATAGTTTTGCATTTTGACCGTTACACTAGAGATATACTTGATTTACCCACCACCATTACTGTATTAGAGTGTTTTGAATTTGATGATGTAATTCCTTTTACTCATGAGTTTTATACTTTTGTATGTTTTTATTACTAATTAATATCTTCTTTCAGCTTGAAGAACTTCCTTTCACATTTTCTTGTAATACAGTTGTAGTGTTGATAAAGTTTCTCAGCTTTCATTTGTCTGAGAAAGTCTTTATCACTCCTTTGTTTTGTTTTTGAAAGACAGGGTTGCTGACAAAGACAGGGTTCTTGGTTGGCAGCCTTTTTCTTTTAATACTTTGAATATATCATCTGACTGCCTTCTGAGCTTCTCAGGTTTCTGCTAAGAAATCTGCTGATAGTCTTACGGAGGTTCCTCAGTAGCGGCAATTTGACTTTTCCTTGATGCTTTTAACACTCTTTTTCTTTAACTGTTGACAATTTGACTATGACATGTCATGGTGTGGATCTCTTTGGATTCATCTTATTTGATGTCTTATCGGCTTCTTGGATCTGGCTTTCTAATTTCTTTCCCAGACTTGGGAAGTTTTCTGCCATTATTTCTTCGAATATGTTTTTTGTCCCTTTCTTTGTTGTTCGTCCTTTTGGCATTCTAGTACTGTGTAATTTGTTCTGCTTGATGGTGTCTCATAAATCTTTTAAGCTATCTTCACTTTTTCATTCTCTTTATTTATTTATTTATTTCTCCTCAGATTGGATAATTTCCTGTGCTCTACCTTCAAGTTCACTGATCTTTTTTTCTGCTTGATCTAGTCCATCATTTATACCCTCTACTGAATTTTTTAGTTTGGTTATAGCATTCTTCAAATCCATGATTTCTGTTTTGTATTTTCAAAAAATACTTTCTATCTATTTGTTAAAATTTCTCCGGCTTTTCTTGCACTGCTGTCTTTACCTCCGTGATCATCTTCATGACCATTATTTTGATTTTTTTTTCAGGTAAATCATAAAACTCCACTTCATTTGGGTCAGTTCCTGGAGATTTATCTTGTTCTTTCATTTAAAATATATTTTCATTTTATTTGATTCTCTGTGTTGGCTTCTGTGCATAAGATAAGATAACTACCTCTTTTTAGCTTGTTTGACTAGATTTGTGTAGGAGAGGTTTTCACCAGTCCATCCAGCCAGAGGTTTTAAGGTGGCTCCCAAATCTTTACACTTGTCCAGTCTTCTATCTATGGTTTTGGTGGCCCCCTGGAGCTTAGGATGTGCCATGTCTTGTCAGTAACCAGAGATTAGTATAATAGAAGCCAGACTCTTTAGATGTAGCTGGAAAGGTTGGGGTGTTAAATGTTAATTTTAGTTCTATCTTTTCAGGAAGGCTGAGCATGAGTACCATTCTTTCTGAACTAAACTGGAAAGAATATCTCTGGCAAATTCCTGCAGCTTCTGATACAGAAGGGATAGCTTCTGGAAGTGGGCCCATTATTTGGCCACCTGTTTATTTTTTGTGGTCTTGGGTTATTCAGGGTCATAAAGCCCCCTTGACTTCCAGGGCTAGGTCATTAGGAGACAGTCTGTTAGGTGGGAGCTATGAAGTTGTGGTTGTCAGTGAATGGCCTAACACCTTTCAGAAAAAAACATGAATAGGCCTGGATTTATCTCTGGGGTGAGCTGGGGAGCTAGGGGTTCTAAGTGCTGAGCTCCGGCTCTAGCTACCAAAGAGCTATTGTGTATTTGTCCCTTTACCTCTTCTATGCAAGTTCATTAGAAACCAGGCTGTCAAGTAGCCATGGAGTGCATATTTTATAAGCTTCTTCCAGGCAGAAAGTGAAAAGTACACATTCCTGCCTCATTTTTTTACTACACCAAGAGGGTATAGCCCCTGGAAATGTATGGATGCCTGTTTAAAACCACTTATTTGTTCTGAGATGAAGGGAGACTCTCTCTCTATACATATATATATATATATATATATATACACACACACACACACACACACATATACACACATATATATGCATATATATGTGTATATATATGCTTATTCACTTCTGTTCTCAGAGCTATGAGGTTTAGGATGAAGTCATTTAGGATGTAGCTTTAACAACTGGGGCCCTTGATGTGTGTTCTAGACCCCTTCTGGGGTTAAACAGTGAGTTGCATTTTTAAAGCTCCTTCTCTGCACTGTTCCTAGGGGATAAAATTCTTGGAGATGCTTGCACATCTATTTAAAAATGCTGCATTTATCCTAAGATATAGAGAGACATATGTGTGCCAGTTCCTTCTGCTCCCAGAGCTAGGAGATTTAGATGCAGTCCCTTAGGTGGATGTTGTAAAAGTTTGGGCTCTTGATGTGAGTGCAAATTCCTCCCAGTCTGGTGGCAGGTTAATTACTGACTTCCTTTAACTCCCCAATACAAGTTAATTAGAAGTCAGATTGCTAGGTAGTGGCCGGAGAGATGTTTCATAAACCTCTTCCAGAGGAATCGGGGGGATGTGTTTTGTAAGCCCCTTTGTGGCACTTCTAGGAAGAGGAAGTCTCTGAAAGTGCTTGCAGCTCATATAAAACTTCTGCTCTTTAATTTTTTTCCTATGATCTAGAGAGACACACATGTGTTTACTCCTCTCCACCTCTGTAGCTGGTGAATGAAGAGTCAAAATGTGGGGAGACTTAGGGTTGGGGTCCTATATGTGAGGTCTAGATCCTACTCTCTATAGGGAGGAACTGTGTGTTGGAGATTCCTTTCCCAGTTTTATGACTCAGTGCCCAAGGTGAGTCTGTGCCCCAGTGTGCTTCAGCTTTTTCTATCCATTCAATGTGGATGTTTTCTCAGTTGCCTGGTGGGTAGGAATCTCCTGACTGCTCTCTGACTCTCTCAGAGAGAATTGATCCATGGATAAATGTTTATGTGATGGATTTGTGGGTGGAGGAAGAGTCAGGAGCTTCCTATTTTGCCGAGTTGGTGATGTTGTCCTCCTTAGAGTTTTTAAAACATCAGTAATACTGGAAATTTTTAGGGTTGATTGATCATAGAAAAGTTAACGAAGATTATTTCAGTACAGACTCATTCTTGATCTCTCATAATTATGACATCACCAAGAATGTTCATGACTTTCAGTATGTCATATTAATGAGAAATTAGGGCAGTTTGATTTTTTCTTTCTAAATATTGATAATTATTTTGTCTGTTGACTATAGGCATTTAGCATGTTGCATCCTGTTTATGTTATCTCCTGGGACACCAAATTATTAAAGCAGAGTAAACATACACATTCCTCTGGTTTGTAAATGTTTATTATGCTACTTACTGTGTATTCACTGTTCACTGCATATGCTTTTCAAATATTTTTAACATTGATTTGTTGGCATCCACATATCTACCAATGGAATCAATTTGGTAGCAAAGCTATTTATTTATTTATTTTACTCCCCTCTTTTAGCAAATGAAGGTAGAGATCAAAATAATTTGCTCCAATATGTTATCCAAATATTAAAAAGAAAACAGAAAGCTAAAAAAACCTGTTTTTACAGAGACCCTTTATACTGTTTGTTATATTTTAGCCCTGACAGACAAGAAGGTATATAGGAAATCATGTGAGTTTGTAGACTGATACCTTAAAAAATATGGTAAAATGGTATTTCTAGTTCTAGATCCCTGAGGAATTGCCACACTGACTTCCACAATGGTTGAACTAGTTTACAGTCCCACCAACAGTGTAAAAGTGTTCCTATTTCTCCACATCCTCTCCAGCACCTGTTGTTTCCTGACTTTTTAATGATTGCCATTCTAACTGGTGTGAGATGATATCTCATAGTGGTTTTGATTTGCATTTCTCTGATGGCCAGTGATGATGAGCATTTCTTCATGTGTTTTTTGGCTGCATAAATGTCTTCTTTTGAGAAGTGTCTGTTCATGTCCTTCGCCCACTTTTTGATGGGGTTGTTTGTTTTTTTCTTGTAAATTTGTTTGAGTTCATTGTAGATTCTGGATATTAGCCCTTTGTCAGATGAGTAGGTTGCGAAAATTTTCTCCCATGTTGTAGGTTGCCTGTTCACTCTGATGGTAGTTTCTTTTGCTGTGCAGAAGCTCTTTAGTTGAATTAGATCCCATTTGTCAATTTTGTCTTTTGTTGCCATTGCTTTTGGTGTTTTGGACATGAAGTCCTTGCCCACGCCTATGTCCTGAATGGTAATGCCTAGGTTTTCTTCTAGGGTTTTTATGGTTTTAGGTCTAACGTTTAAATCTTTAATCCATCTTGAATTGATTTTTGTATAAGGTGTAAGGAAGGGATCCAGTTTCAGCTTTCTACATATGGCTAGCCAGTTTTCCCAGCACCATTTATTAAATAGGGAATCCTTTCCCCATTGCTTGTTTTTCTCAGGTTTGTCAAAGATCAGATAGTTGTATATATGTGGCATTATTTCTGAGGGCTCTGTTCTGTTCCATTGATCTATATCTCTGTTTTGGTACCAGTACCATGCTGTTTTGGTTACTGTAGCCTTGTAGTATAGTTTGAAGTCAGGTAGTGTGATGCCTCCAGCCATCCCATTACTGGGTATATACCCAAAGGACTATAAATCATGCTGTTATAAAGACACATGCACACGTATGTTTATTGCGGCACTATTCACAATAGCAAAGACTTGGAACCAACCCAAATGTCCAACAATGATAGACTGGATTAAGAAAATGTGGCACACATACACCATGGAATACTATGCAGCCATAAAAAATGATGAGTTCATGTCCTTTGTAGGGACATGGATGAAATTGGAAACCATCATTCTCAGTAAACTATCGCAAGAACAAAAAAACCAAACACCGCATATTCTCACTCATAGGTGGGAATTGAACAATGAGATCACATGGACACAGGAAGGGGAATATCACACTCTGGGGACTGTGGTGGGGTTGGGGGAGGGGGCAGGGATAGCATTGGGAGATATACCTAATGCTAGATGATGAGTTAGTGGGTGCAGCGCACCAGCATGGCACATGTATACATATGTAACTAACCTGCACAATGTGCACATGTACCCTAAAACTTAGAGTATAATAAAAAAAAAAATTAAAAAAAAAATATGGTAAAATATAGGACCCTTCCCTTTTCAAGGTAACCTATTTATAGTCAGCACCAAAAGCTTCCAAGCACTACCACACCTCACATTTTTCTATGTCAGACACAAACTATTGACATTGCAGCAACTGTGGATTCTCCTTACACTCTGAATGCTGCCTTCTCTCCCTCTTCAGGGACTCCCATTTCCATACCTCAGGTCCCAAGACTTCCTAATGACTAGTAGTTCCACAAGCCCACTGTGCTACCAAACTTGCTGGACCCTTGGCCTACAATGCCTTGCCCGTCTTTCTTCACTTCATTAACTCTTACTGGTCCTTCAAAATGTAGCTTAAATATCGCCTTCTCAAGGAAGCTTTTCTTGATCCATCATCTACCTCACTCCAATCTGATATGGTCTCTTCTGTGTGCTTGCACTCTTTGATAACTTGCAGCAAAATTATTTGTCTGCTTATTTTCTTTTCCAACTAGTTTGAGGATTTGGGTAAAAAGTATGTTTTACTGATTTCTCTATCCTTTGTGCCTATAGTGATTAGGAACTGAAAAAAGTGCTGTCAAATGAAAAGTTAAATGAATGACTCCAGGCAGATATTCAAGGTATATTTAAAGAGTGGTATATTATGCTAATGCAAGGTGTTTTTTTCAATAGAATGCAAAGTATGTATGTCTCAAACACAATAGACATCTAGTTCTTGTTCACTGTTTGTGGTGGTGTTTCTGATTGGCGGGGACAGAAATTTCTCCATGAGATCAATCAGTAATCAAAGCTGACAGAGGCTCTGCCATCTTTGAAACATGACTTCCAAGGAATGTAGTCATCTAAGTCCCAGTTAGCCACGAAAGGAAAAAGCTAGGAGGAACAGTCCCAGGGGGCAGAGGGCATGCATGTGAGAGACCCTTCTGGGCCAGGCCTAAGGGCCACATTTTACTTTCACATGCATCCCACTGGCAGGACTCAGTCATTCAGGAGCACAAGCCTCTTCAGGGTAACATACTAGCACATAAATTTGTAATAAATGTTAATGTGACCCCTTTTCAAACTATTTCAACCATTAATTATATTTCTATAAAACCAAGAACTTGCTAGTTTCTGAATGTTTTACTTTATGTCTTCAAAAATAAAGCCCTTCTTGGTCTATTATAAAACACTTTTGACACTCAAAAATTCTAACTAAAGATAACTAAAAATATATTTTATTTCCCTATGCACCACTACATGTTTCCCTGTTCTATTCTGGATTCTGAGTCCAATATATATGTGTGTGTGTGTGTGTGTGTGTGTGTGTGTGTGAGAGAGAGAGAGAGAGAGAGAGAGAGAAAGAGAAAGAAGGAGATACATGCATTAACCTATCTATTCATTCCTATTAAGCACCAGGTGCCATGTTCAGTGCTGAGTATACAAAATGAGTGAGACATGTTACCTGCTTTTAAGGTTTTTGTAATCTGGTGAAATTCACATAAATAGAACATTTTGAATCTGTGTGGTAGGTATGCTTCTCTCTTCCTGTTATTCATTTTCAATCTATTCCTTGACTTTTTCCCTCCTATCCATTTTTTTTCCCCAGAGTTGAACTTCAAAGGCTCTAATCCTGTGTAATCACAGATCTTTAAAAATTCTGTTTATATCGTATCTAGAAAGCAGTTTTCATTTACACAATCTCTTCAAATCACTGCCAGTGATTTGTGAGAGCTGCAATTAAACCACAGGTATTTTTATTTTGTATGTTCTTTGGGGGAGGAAAACAGACTTACTTAATGAATCATTTTACAGCCTAAAAGGATAATTAGAAAATATAATATTCCATCCTTACACACACACACACACACACACACGGATTTTTCAAATAATTTTAAGAATTCTGAAATTTATAATTTCTTTTTTTTTGTGTGTGTGAGATAAGGTTTCATTCTGTCACCCAAGCTAGAGTGCAGTGGCATGATCATAGCTCACTGTTACCTTGAACTCCTGGGCTCAAGTAATGCCCCTATCTCAGCCTCCTGAATAACTAGGACTATAGGCGTGTGCCACACACTGGCTAACTTTTAAATGTTTTGCAGAGACAGGGTCTCACTATATTGCTCAGGCTGGCCTCACACTTCTGGCATCATACTCCTGGCCTCAATTGATCCTCCTGCCTTGGGCTCTCACAGCACTGGGATTACAGGCATAAGCAACCATGCCGGGATCATTTTCTTTTATTTAAATTTGAAAGGATTTATAATAAAAGAAACTTCACTATTATTCATCTTATACTACCTTTGGTATAATGTTTTCTTATATCACAAGAGAATAATTCTTTTAGAAATACTTTCTATACATATATTTTTCTATGCAAGTTTTAGTAGATTGGTCTAGGTGAAAAAAACTTATTTCAAAGAAGTTCTGGGAAAGAATACATTTTTCGCCAAGTGGATTTATATAAAGAAAATTAAAATTGCATAGTATAAAAAGAACTATTATACTAAATGTTGACTAAAAGTTTTATATGGTTATGCTTTGTATCATGATTGAGATTGCAAGCTTCTTGAGGATTGAAATCAACATTTTCTCTTGTAAACTCTTTCTGTTATGATAGAATATCTCATAATAACTAATTATTGGACCATGTATTCTTTTTTGCAATATATGTGGCTAACAATTTTGCTGTTGTTTATTTTTATCTATATTTGCATTTTTGAAAACTTTATTAATAATTGCAATTTACTATTATAATTATGTTGACCTTAAATCAGTCATTTAGAAAGTAAAGTAAATCTCAGTTTTCTTCTCTTAGAAGATTTTCAGGTAAGTTAAATATAATACTTCATAAGAATGGCTGTCAAAATATTAGACAAATCATCTATATGGTAAAAGGCAATATACATGGAAATTAAATCATTCTTAAGACTCACAAAAATGAAGAGAATAAAAAGAAAATCAGCGTTGGCAAAGGAACTGTGAGTCAGTAGTTCCAAATTTCATCAAAGACTTAAAAAACAAAACAAGAAAAAAACAAAGAAAGAAACCAGATGCACATTTGAGTCCCATCTATGGAAAGTATTCTATATTTTTATGATTTCAACAAAGGTACTAGAATAATAAAATGATGATTATGCTTCAGTAGGACTCATAAGTGAATAAGCAAGTTCTTAACATTTTTTTAACACTGTCATTTTAACACTGTCAGTTGATGGTACTTTTGCCATCAATTAGGAATCAGGATTTCTCTGATCCTAATTGAATTCAATAAAATATCCTTGAAAAGTTGCAGTTTGCAAGGTTGAGAATAGATACCAACTCATAGCTGGATGTGCAAAGTAGGTGCCATAGTTATGGAGAATTACAAGGAAAGGAATTGCAAAAGTCCTCAAATTTGAATAAGCCACTACAACTGGTAAATTATGGCAGACTGAAGAGCACACTGGGGGGAGTGCTGCTGGCTTTCCCAATCTATCTGTCTGTCTGTCTCTCCCTCTCTATCATCTGTCTCAGCTTAATTGAGGTATAATTTACATACATTAAAACTTAGCTATTTTAAATCAACAGTTCGCTGAATTTTCTTAGTGGTACAGAGTTGTGCAACCAGCACCAAGATCCCTCTGAAAAGTTTTCTCCTATACTTCTGCAATCGATCCCCTCCCCTGACCTTTGGCTGTAGGCAGCCACTGATCTGCTTCCTGCCACTTCAGGTTTTCCTCTTCTAGAGTTTCATATACATGGAATTAAATAGTACGCAGTCTATTGAGTCAGACTTGTTTGATTTAGCATGATGGTTTTGTGAATCATCTATGTTGTTTTGAACATTAGTATTTTTTTATTGGTAAGTAGTAGTATTATATGGATATATCTCACATTGCTTATACATTTACTTAGGCATTTGGATGGTTGCCAGTTTTGGACTATTATGATTAATGTTGCACTGAACATTTGTGTACATCTTTGTGTGTTTTCATTTGTCTTGGATGATTCCTGGGTCTATGATAAGTGTACGTAAAATTTTGTAAAGTACTGCCCTACTATTTCCTAGAGTGGCAGTATCATTTTCCCTTCTTACTAACAATGAGCAAGGGTTCCAGTGGCTTCACAGTCTCAACAGTGCTTGATGTGATCAATCTTTAAAAATTTTAGCCACTTCAGTGAATATGTAGTGATATGTCATTGTGATTTTTAATTTACATTTTCCCGATAGCTAGTAATATTGAGCATCTTTTCATATGCTGCTTTTACATTTGTATATATTCTTTCATGAACTGTCTGCTTAAGCCTTGTGACCATTTTGTAATTGAATTGTCTTCTAATTACATGGTAAGAATTCTTTATATATTCTCTCTGTATAAGCCCCTTGTCAGATGTATGTTTTGAAATAATTTTTTCCAGTTCATGGCTTATCTTTTTTATTTTCTTAAGTATGTATTTCAAAGATAAAAATATTTTAATTTGATGTTAAAATAATAGTTTATAATATTCGATATGATTGTAATTATTTTTAAAATATTTTAGTTATTCATTACAAATATGTAGAAATAGTTTTTTTGTATGTTGGTCTTTATCCTGCAAACTTATTAATTGATTTATTATGTCTAGTAATTATGTATATTTTGTCAGGTTTTCCACACAGATAAACACAGTTTTATTTCTTTTTCAATCTGTATTACTTTAGTTTTTTTTTTTTTAATTTTATTGCTCCAGTGCGATGTTTAATAGAAAAGGTCAGAGCAAGCTTAAGGGGATATCATCTAAGCTTTACCATGAAGTATGATGTCAGTTTTAGATTTTCTCAGATCTCCTTTATTGTGTTGAGGAGGTTTCTTTCTATTCCTAGTTTGCTGAGAATTTTCTTTTCCTTTCTTTTCTTCACAAATAAATGTTGGATTTTTTTTCAAATGCTTTTTCTGCATCTGTTGAGGTGATCATATGGTTCTTCTTTTTATACAATTAATTCTTAAATGCTGAACAAGTATTGCATTTCCACAATAAATCTCAATTGGTCATGCTGTATTATGTATATATACTGCTAGATTGGATTAGCTAAAATTTGTGTTAAGAATTTTTGCATTTGAGGCCAGCCTGGACAACATGGTGAAACCCCGTCACTACTAAAAATACTAAAAATTAGCCAGGTGTAGTAGTGGGCGCCTGTGATCCCAGCAACTCAGGAGGCTGAGACAGGAGAATCACTTGAACCCAGGAGGTGGAAGTTGCAGTGAGCCGACATCGCGCCATTGCACTCCAGCCTGGGCAACAGAGCGAGACTCCGTCTCAAAAAAAAAAGATTGCATTTGGATTCATGAGAAATATTTGCCTATAGTTTTCTTTTCTTATAATGGTTTTCTCTAGTTTTGTTATCAGTATAAACACTGGCTTTATAGAATGAATTGGAAAATATTTTCTTCTCTTTAATTTTCTCAGAGACTGTGTTGAATTAGTATTATTTCTTCCTTAAAGACTGAGAGAGTTCCCCTCTATAGCAATCTAGGTCTGGAGATGTCTTTGAAACAAAAAAAAGTGTTAACTACAAATTTAATTTCTTCAATAGTTATAGAGTTTTGAGGTTATGTATTTCTTCTTTAGTGAATTTTATTATGTGTCTTCCAGGAAGTTTGTACATGTTATTTGATTGTCAAATTTATTGTCATAAAATTTTTCATATATATATATATATATTTTTTTTTGAGATGGAGTCTCTGTTGCCCAGGCTGGAGTGCAGTGACGTGATCTTGGCTCACTGCAACCTCGCCTTCCAGGTTCAAGCAATTCTCTTGTCTCAGTCTTCCAAGTAGCTGGGACTATAGGAGTGCACCACCACACCCAGCTAATTTTTTTTTCTTTTTTTGTATTTTTAGTAGACATGGGTTTTGCCATGTTGGTCAGGCTGGTCTCGAACTCCTGACCTCAAGGTGATCCACCTGCCTCAGCCTCCCAAAGTGCTAGGATTACAGTCATGAGCCACTGCACCTGGCCAGTTTTTCACAATATTCTATTCTTATTCTCTTTTTAAACCAAACTATCTTTGAGAAAATTGTAGATTCATATGCAGTCCTAAGACATAACACAGAGATTCCATGGTGTCTTTACTTAGCTTCTGCCAATAGTAGCATCTTGCAAAATTACAGTTCAATATTGCAACCAGTGTATGGATATTGATACATTCAAGACGCAGAACATTTTCATTACCACAAGGATTTCTCTTGTCAACCTTTTATATCAAAACCCACCTCCCTCCATCCATGACCTTTGACAACCTTTAATCTGTTCTCTATTTTTATAATTTTGAGTTTGAAGATGTCATATAAGTGGAATCATAGACTATGTAGCCTATTGGGATTGGCTTTTTTTTTTTGACTCAGCATAATTCTCTGGAGATTCACACATGTTCTTGCATGAATCAATAGGCCATTCTTTTTGATTGCTAAGTAGTATTCTATGATATGCATGCACAACAGTTTGTTTAACCATTCATCCTTTTAAGATAGGTGGGTTGTTTCTAGTATTTATCTCTTATGAATAAAGCCCCTATAAACACTTGTGTATAAGTTTTTGTGCAGACATCAGCTTTCATTTCTTTGAGATAAATTATAGGGTTATAAGGTAGTTGCATATTTAACTTTTAAAGAAATATCAAAGTATTTTCCAGAATGGTCATACCATTTTATATTACCACCAGCAATGTATAACATCTGATTTCTCCACATCTTTGCCAATATTGGGTGTTTTCATTGTTTTTTATTTTAGTGATTCTGATAGTTATGTAGTGATATCTCATGACTTTAATTTGTATTTCCCTAATGAATTATGATATTGAGTACATTTTCATGTGGTCATTTCCCATCAGAATATCATCTTCAATGAAATGTCTGTTTAGGTATTTTGCCCATTTCTAATTTGATTGTTTTTTAAACTAAGATTTGTGAGTTCATTTTTTCTTTGTATACTTTAAGTTCTCGGGTACATGTGCACAACATGCAGGTTTGTTACATAAGTATACATGTGCCATGTTGGTTTGCTGCATCCATCAACTCATCATTTACATTAGGTATTTCTCCTAATGCTATCCCTCCCCCAGCCTCGCACCCCACTACAGGCCCTAGTGTGTGATGTTCCCCGCCCTGTGTCCATGTGTTCTTGTTGTTCAACTCCCACCTATGAGTGAGAACATGCAGTGTTTGGTTTTCTGTCCTTGTCATAATTTCCTTAGAATGATGGTTTCCAGCTTCATCCATGTCCCTGCAAAGGACATGAACTCATCCTTTTTTATGGTTGCATACTATTCCATGGTGCATATGAGCCATATTTTTTTAATCCAGTCAATCATTGATGGACATTTGGGTTTATTCCAAGTCTTTGCTATTATGAATAGTGCAGCAATAACCATGCTTGTGCATGTGTCTTTATAGTAGCATGATTTATAATCCTTTGGGTATATACCCAGTAACAGGGTGGATGGGTCAAATGGAATTTCTAGTTCTGGATCCTTGAGGAATTGCCACACTGTCTTCCACAATGGTTGAACTAATTCACACTCCCACCAACAGTGTAAAAGTGTTCCTTTTTCTCCACATCCTCTCCAGCATCTGTTGTTTCCTGACTTTTTAATGATCACCATTCTAACTGGTGTGAAATGGTATCTCATTGTGGTTTTGATTTGCATTTCTCTAATGACCAGTGATGATGAGCATTTTTTCATATGTCTGTTGGCTGCATAAATGTTCTTTTGAGAAGTGTTTGTTCGTATCCTCTGCCCACTTTTTGATGGGGTTGTTTCTTTTTTTCTTGTAAATTTGTTTAAGTTCTTTGTAGATTCTGGATATTAGCCCTTTGTCAGATGGGTAGATTGCAAAAATTTTCTCCCATTCTGTAGGTTGCCTGTTCACTTTGGTGATAGTTTCTTTTGCTGTGCAGAAGTTCTTTAGTTTAATTAGATCCCATTTGTCAATTTTGGCTTTTGTTGTCATTGCTTTTGGTGTTTTAGTCATGAAGTCTTTGCCCATGCCTACATCCTGAATGGTATTGCCTAGGTTTTCTTCTAGGGTTTTTATGGTATTAGGTCTAACATTTAAGTCTTTAATCCATCTTGAGTTAATTTTTGCATAAAGTGTAAGTAAGGGATCCAGTTTCAGCTTTCTACATATGGCTAGCCAGTTTTCCCAGC
Source organism: Homo sapiens (assembly GCF_000001405.40). Taxonomy (NCBI): domain Eukaryota; kingdom Metazoa; phylum Chordata; class Mammalia; order Primates; family Hominidae; genus Homo; species Homo sapiens. The sequence goes on from NC_000006.12 coordinate 74,218,555, forward strand.
ACCATTTATTAAACAGGGCATCCTTTCTCCACTGCTTGTTTTTGTCATGTTTGTCAAATATCAGATGGTTGTAGATGTGTGGTGTTATTTCTGAGGGCTCTGTTCTGTTCCATTGGTCTATATATTTGTTTTGGTATCATTACCATGCTGTTTTGGTTACTGTAGCATTGTAGCATAGTTTGAAGTCAGGTAGTGTGATGCCTTCAGCTTTGTTCTTTTTGCTCAGGATTGTCTTGGCTATGCGGGCTCTTTTTTGGTTGCATATGAACTTTAAAGTAGTTTTTTCTGATTCTGTGCAGAAAGTCATTGGTAGCTTGATGGGGATGGCATTGAATCTATAAATTACTTTGGGCAGTATGGCCATTTTCACAATATTGATTCTTCCTATCCATGAGCATGGAATGTTCTTCCATTTGTGTCCTCTTTTATTTCATTGAGTAGTGGTTTGTAGTTCTCCTTGAAGAGGTCCTTCACATCCCTTGTAAGTTGGATTCCTAGGTATTTTATTGTCTTTGTAGAAATTGTGAATGGGAGTTCACTCATGATTTGGCTGTCTATTATTAGTGTATAAGAATGCTTGTGATTTTTGCACATTGATTTTGTATCCTAAAACTTTGCCGAAGTTGCTTATCAGCTTAAGGAGATTTTGGGCTGAGACGATGGGGTTTTCTAAATATACAATCATGTCATCTGTAAACAGAGACAATTTGACTTCCTCTTTTCCTTATTGAATACTCTTTATTTTTTTCTCTTGACTGATTGCCCTAGCCTGAACTTCCAATAGGAGTGGTGAGAGAGAGCATCCTTGTCTTGTGCTGGTTTTCAAAGGGAATGCTTCCAGTTTTTGCCCATTCAGTATAATATTGGCTGTGAGTTTGTCATAAATAGCTCTTATTATTTTGGGATATGTTCCATCAATACCTAGTTTATTGAGAGCTTTTAGCATGAAGGGCTACTGAATTTTGTCAAAGGCCTTTTCTGTATGTATTGAGATAATCATGTGGTTTTTGTCATTGGTTCTGTTTATGTAATGGATTATGTTTATTGATTTGCATATGTCAAACCAGCCTTGCATCCCAGGGATGAAGCCGCCTTCATCAGATAAGCTGTTTGATGCGCTGCTGGATTGGTTTGCCAGTATTTTATTGAGGATTTTTGCATCGATGTTCATCAGGGATATTGGCCTAAAATTCTCTTTTTTTTTGTTGTGTTTCTGCCAGGCTTTGGTATCAGGATGATGCTAGCCTTATAAAATCAGTTAGGGAGGATTCCCTCTTTTGCTATTGATTGAAATATTTTCAGAAGGAATGGTACCAGCTCTTCTTTGTACCTCTGGTAGAATTTGGCTGTGTATCCCTCTGGTCCTGGACTTTTTTTGGTTGGTAGGCTATTAATTATTGCCTCAATTTCAGAACCTGTTATTGGTCTATTCAGAGATTCAACTTCTTCCTGGTTTAGTCTTGGGAGAGTGTATGTGTCCAGGAATGTAGCCGTTTCTTCTAGATTTTCTAGTTTATTTGCATAGAGGTGTTTATAGTATTCTCTGATAGTGGTTTGTATTTCTGTGGGAATGGTGGTGATATCCCCTTTATCATTTTTTGTTGCATCTATTTGATTCTTCTCTTCTTTATTAGTCTTGCTGGCAGTCTATCAATTTTGTTGATCTTTTCAAAAAACCAGCTCCTGGATTCATTGATCTTTTTTGAAGGGTTTTTTGCATCTCTATCTCCTTCAGTTCTGCTCTGATTTCAGTTATTTCTTACCTTCTGTTAGCTTTTGAATTTGTTTGCTCTTCCTTCTCTAGTTCTTTTAATTGTGATGTTAGGGTGTCAATTTTAGATCTTTCCTGCTTTCTCTTGTGGGCATTTAGTGCTATAAATTTCCCTCTACACACCGCTTTAAATGAGTCCCAGAGATTCTGGTATGTTGTGTCTTTGTTCTCATTGGTTTCAAAGAACATCTTTATTTCTGTCTTCATTTCATTATGTACCCGGTAGTCATTCAGGAGCAGGTTGTTCAGTTTCCATGTAGTTGTGTGGTTTTGAGTGAGTTTCTTAATCCTGAGTTCTAATTTGATTGCACTGTGATCTGAGAAGCAGTTTGTTGTGATTTCTGTTCTTTTACATTTGCTGAGGAGTGTTTTACTACCAATTATGTGGTCGATTTTAGAATAAGTATGATGTGGTGCTGAGAAGAATGTATATTCTCTTGATTTGGGATGTAGAGTTCTGTAGATGTCTATTAGGTCCTCTTGGTCCAGAGCTGAGTTCAAGTGCTGGAGATCCTTGTTAAACTTCTGTCTCATTTATCTGTCTAATATTGACAGTGGGGTATTAAAGTCTCCCATTATTATTGTGTGGGAGTCTAAGTCTCTTTATATGTCTCTAAGGACTTGCTGTATGAATCTGGATGCTCCTGTATTGGGTGCATATATATTTAGGATAGTTAGCTTTTCTTGTTGAATTGATCCCTTTACCATTATGTAGTGATCTTCTTTGTCTCTTTCGATGTTTGTTGGTTTAAAGTCTGTCTTATCAGAGACTAGGATTGCAACCCCTGCTTTTTTTTTTTTTTTTTTTTGCTTTCTATTTGCTTGGTAGATCTTCCTTCCTCTCTTTATTTTGAGCCTATGTGCGTCTTTGCATGTGAGATGGGTCTCCTGAATACAGCACACTGATGGGTCTTGACTCTTTGTCCAATTTGCCAGTCTGTGTCTTTTCATTGGGGCATTTAGCCAGTTAACATTTAAGGTTAACATTGTTATGTTTGAACTTGATCCTGTCATTATGATGTTAGCTGGTTATTTGCCTGTTAATTGATGCAATTTCTTCCTGGCCTCGATGCTCTTTACCATTTGGCATGTTTTTGCAGTGGCTGGTACTGGTTGTTCCTTTCCATGTTTAGTGCTTCCTTCAGGAGCTCTTGTAAGGCAGGCCTGTTGGTGATAAAATCTCTCAGCATTTGCTTGTCTGTAAGGGATTTTATTTCTCTTTCACTTATGAAGCTTAGTTTGGCTGGATATGAGATTCCGGGTTTTAAATTCTTTTCTTTAAGAAGTTTGACTATTGGCCCCCACTCTCTTCTGACTTGCAGGGTTTCTGCCGAGAGATCCTCTGTTAGTCTGATGGGCTTCGCTTTGTGGGTAACCCAACCTTTCTCTCTGGCTGCCCTAAACATTTTTTCCTTCATTTCAACTTTGGTGAATCTGACAATTATGTGTCTTGGAGTTGCTCTTCTCGAGGAGTATCTTTGTGGTGTTCTCTTTATTTCCTGAATTTGAATGTTGGCCTGCCTTGCTAGGCTACGGAAGTTCTCCTGGATAATATCCTGAAGAGTGTTTTCTAACTTGGGTCTATTCTCCCTGTCACTTTCTGATACACCAATCAAACATATATTTGGTCTTTTCACATAGTCCCATATTTCTTGGAGCCTTTGTTCATTTTTTTCACTCTTTTTTCTCTAATCTTGTCTTCTCACTTTATTTCATTAATTTGATTTTCAGTCACTGATATCCTTTCTTCCACTTGATTGAATCAGCTACTGAAGCTTGTGCATGCGTCATGAAGTTCATGTGTCGTGGCTTTCAGCTCCATCAGGTCATTTAAGGTCTTCTCTACACTGTTTATTCTAGTTAGCCATTCGTCTAACCTTTTTTCAAGGTTTTTAGTTTCCTTGCAGTGGGCTACAACATACTTCTTTAGCTTGGAGAAGTTTGTAATTACCGACCTTCTGAAGCCTACTTCTGTCAACTTGTCAAACTCATTCTCTGTCCAGTTTTGTTCCCTTGCTGGCAAAGAGCTGTGATCCTTTGGAGGAGAAGAGGCGCTCTGTTTTTTGCAATTTTCAGCTTTTCTGTTCTGGTTTCTCCCCATCTTTGGTTTTATCTACCTTTGGGTTTTGATGTTGGTGACCGACGGATGGGGTTTTGGTGTGGATGTCCTTTTCGTTGATGCTGATGCTATTCCTTTCTATTTGTTAGTTTTCCTTCTAACAGTCAGACCCCTCAGCTGCAGGTCTGTTGGCATTTGCTGGAGGTCCACTTCAGACCCTGTTTGCCTGGGTATCACAGTGGAGGCTGCGGAACAGCAAATATTGCTGACTGATCCTTCTTCTGGAAGCTTCGTCCCAGAGGGACACCTGCCTGTTTGAGGTGTCTGTCGGCCCCTACTGGGAGGTGTTTCCCAGTCAGTCTACACGGGGGTCAGGGACCCACTTGAAGAGGCAGTCTTTCTGTTCTTGGAACTCGAACGCCGTGCTGAGAGAACCACTGCTCTCTTCTGAGCCATCAGACAGAGACATTTAAATCTGAAGAAGCTGTCTGCTGACTTTTTTTCTACTATGCCCTGCCCCCAGAGGTGGAATGTATAGAGGCAATGGGCCTTGCTGAGCTGCAGTGGGCTCCATCCAGTTCGTGCTTCTGGGCCTCTTTGTTTACACTCTGAGGTATTCAAGCCTCAGCAGTGGCGGATGCCCCTCCCCCAGTCAAGCTGCAGCATCACAGATTGATCTCAGACTGCTGCGCTAGCAATGAGCAAGGCTCCGTGGGCGTGGGACCTGCTGAGCCAGGCACGGGAGGGTATCTCCTGGTCTGCTGGTTGCTAAGACTGTTGGAAAAGCACAATATTTAGTCAGGAGTATGCTGTTTCTCTGGGTACAGTCTGTCACGGCTTCCCTTGGCTGGGAAAGGGAAATTCCCCAACCCCTGTGCTTCCTGGTTGAGGTGATGCCCTGCCGTGCTTCAACTTGTCCTCTGTGGGCTGCGCCCACTGTCCAACCAGTCCCAATGAGATGAACCAGGTAACTCAGTTGGAAATGCAGAAGTTACCGGTCTTGTGTGTCGATCTCGCTGGGAGCTGCAGACTGGAGCTCTTCCTATTTGTCCATCTTGGAAGCAACTCTGGGAGTTCATTTTATATTCTGATATTGTTCTTTTGTTGGATATATGGTTTGCAAATATTCTCTCCCTATCTATAGTTTTCATTTTCATTCTTTTACTAGGGCTTTTTGCAGATCAGAAATACTTAATTTGAAGAAGTTCAATTTATCAGAATTTGTTCTATGGGTAGTGCTTTTGGTGTCAAAGCTGAAAACCCTGCTAATCCCTAGATCTCAAATTTTCTTCTGTTTTTTTAATGCAAGTTTTACAGTTGTACATTTTACGATTAAGTGAATGATTCATTTTGAGTTAATTTCTTTCTTAGGTGTGAGACATAAGTTTCACTTTTTTACCTATGCATATCCAGTTGCTCCAACACTATTTGTTGAAAAGGCTGTTCTTTCTCCATTAAAGAAGGCATATTTGTGTAGGTCTGTTTCTGTGTTGTTTATTCTAGTCCATTGATCTATGTTTCACTCCCTCATTTTAGCTATTTCAGTTTTCTATATAAAAATTTTAGAATTATCTTGTCTACATCTACAGAAAATCTTGCTGTTACTTTGTTAGGAATTGTGTTAAACCTTTATGTCAATTTGGAGAGAACTGACATATATTCTGTATGATGTCTTCCAATTCATGAACACTGTGTGTCTTTCTGTTTGTTTAGATCTTTGATTTATTGTATCAGTATTTTGTAATTTTTACATGTCCTATACATGTCTTGTTAGATTTACCCCTAAGTATTTCATTTTTTGACTAATTTTAAATTATGTTGTATGTTTAATTTTAGCATCCATGTAATCATTGCTATTACATAGAAATGTAATCAATTTTTAATGTTTATCTTGTATTCTGCAAACTTCTAAATTCATTTTTTCTAGATTTTTTTGATAGCTTTCTTGGGATTTTCTACACAGACAATCATGTCATCTGCAAAAAGGGAGAGTTTTTGTTTTTCTTGTTTACTGATCTATGTGTCTTTCACATCCTTTTGTTGCTTTATTACACTGGCTAAGACTTCCAGCACTATGTTGAGTAAGAAATAGTGGGATCAGGCATCCCTGCTTTGTTCCCAGTATTAGGGGGAAAGCATTCAGTCTTTCATCATTAAGTATAATATAATGGCACTGTAAGTTTTATGTTGATATTATTTGTCAAACTGAGGAATGTGAAAGTTTTTAACCATGAATGAGTGATGAATTTTGTCAAATACTTTTCTGCTTCAATTTATTTAACTGTTATTTTTCTTCTTTAGCCTGTATGGTAGATTACATTAACTGGTTCTTTAGTATTGAACCAGCTCAAGTAAATCTCATTCGATCATGGTAATTTTTTTTTATATATTGCTGAATTACATTTCCTGCATTTTGCTAAGGAGTTTTGCATCTATATTCATGAGTGATATTGTTCTATAGTTTGTTGCTTCTTTGCATTTTGTCTGATTTTGGTATCAGGGAAATACTAGCTTCATAAAATGAATTGGGAAATATTCCCTTCTATTCTATTTTCGGGAAGAGATTATGTAGAATTGGTGTTAATTATCTGAACAGTTCGTAGGATTTTCCAAAATCATCTTGTCCTGGAGATTTCTTTTTTGGGGGGAGTTTTAAACTTATTAATTTAATTTCCTTAATTATTTTAGAACTAATCAAAGTATCTGTTTTTTAAATCGGGTAAGTTGTGGAGTTTGCGTTTTTCAAATAATTGGTCTATTTTAACAAATTTGTCAAATTCATGAGTTAGAGTTGTTCACAGTATTTCATTATTACCCTTTTGATGTATCCAAGTCTGTAATAATGTACTTTTTCATTCCTGATTATGATAATTTCTGTCTTCTCTTTTTCTTTGTCAGTCTTGTTGAAGATTAATTTTATTGTTATTTTCAAATAACCAACTCTTTCTTTCTTTGATTTTCTTTTTTTCTGTTTTTAATTTCGGTGTTTTCTGCTCTTCATTATTGTCTTTCTTCTGCTTATTCTTTCATCTTTGGAGGCAGGAACTTAGAGTGTTGATTTGAGATGTTTTCTATTTTCTAATTTTGTTTAGAATTAGGGTTTGTTTGTTCAATGATTAAAGTCCTACATGATCTGAGTTCAGACCAGAGTAATCCAGTAGGCATTTAGTGATATATATTTTCTTCTCAGCATTGCTTTAGCTGTGTCTCACAAAATTTGATACGTTGCATTTTTCCTTTTCATTCAATTCAATGTAATTTTAAAATTTCCCTTGAGACTTCCTCTTTCTCACATGGTTATTAGAAGTATATAATTTTGTTTCCAAGATTTTGGGAATCTCCTTTTGATACTGATTTCTAGTTTGATTACATTGTGGCTGGAGTACACACTCTATATGAGTTCAATTATTTTAACTGTGTTAAGGCCCAGGATTTTGTCTATCTTGATATATGTTCTGTGGAGTCTTCTATAAATATCAATTATATTCTTATGGTTGATGGTGTTGTTCAGTTCTTCTACATTATTGTTGATTTTCTGCCTAGTTCCATTAATTTCTGAGAGGGTGTTGAAGTCTCCATCTACAATTATTGATTTGGCTATTCCTGTTTTTAGTTATATCAGTGTTTCTTTACCTATTTTGCAGCTCTTTTGTTTGGAGCATACAAATGCAGGATTGCTTGTCTTCTTGTTATACTGCCTCTTTTACCATAACGTCTCTGATACTTTGCTTTGAAATCTACTTTATTTAATATTAGTGTAGCTATTCTTGCTTTAATATAAATAATGTTTGCATGATATATCCTTTTCCATCTTTTCACTTTCAAGTTGCCAGTATCATTATGTTAAAGTGAATTTCTTATAGACAACATACAACTGGTCATGTTTTTCAATTCACTCTGCCAATCTCTGTCTTTTAATTGATATACAAAAGTCATTTATGTAGGTAATTATATGTTAGGCTTTAGTCTGTCATTTTAATTTTGGTGTTGTATTTCTCTTTGTTTTTCATTTGTCTGTTTTATTTTTTCTGACTTCTTCTGGGTTATCTGAACATTTTGTAGAGTTCCATTTTTAGATATCTATAGTGTATTTCAGTGTATCTCTTTCTACAGCTTTTCCAGTTGTTTTTAGTTATTATACCATATATACATAACATCACTATCTATTGTATCATCATTTTACAAACTATAGTGAATTGTAGACATCTCCCTTTCTGTTGCTTTACTTTCTCATTTTTAATAGAATCATGTAAATATTCCTATACATTAATTGAAACCACATAAGACAGTGTTGTAATTTTGCTTCAACTGCCAAACATAATTTAGGAAACTCAAGAGGAGAAGGGAAATATATTTACTTATATTTTTTACTCTTTTGATTTTTTATTCCTTGCTGATGTTCCAAAATTCTTTGTTATTATTTTCTCTGTGTTTAGATAACTTCTTTTACTCATTCTTTTAATTAAGGTCTGCTGATGACAAATTTTCCTAGTTTTTCTTCATCTAAGAATGTCTAGATTTCTCCATCATTCACTGGATGTACTGTATTCACTGGAGATACGATTCTGGTTTGACTATTCTTTTCTTTCAGCTCTTGAAAAATGCTGTGTTACTTTCATCTGGCCTCCATGGTTTCTGATGAAAATTGCCTTTTTAATTATTACTATTATTATTATTATTATTTTTGAGACAGAGTCTCGCTCTGTCCCCCAGGCTGGAGTGCAGTGGTGCAATCTCGGCTCACTGCAAACTCTGCCTCCCAGGTTCACGCCATTCTCCTGCCTTAGCCTACTGAGTAGCTGGGACTACAGGCGCCTGCCACCATGCCCGGCTAATTTTTTTTTTTTTGTATTTTTAGTAGAGACGGGGTTTCACCATGTTAGCCAGGATGGTCTCGATTTCCTGAGCTCATGATCTGCCCATCTCAGCCTCCCAAAGTGCTCGGATTACAGGTGTGATCCACTGCACCTGGCCTTAATTATTACTATTTTTGTTGTGTAAGACATTTCTCTCACCTTGCTTTCAAGATTTTTTTCTTGTTTCTTTTTTTTTTTTTTCGCACGTTTCTATATGACGTAGTGTGATATGGATATGTTTCTTGTCTTTTCATTTCTTTTTTTTTGACAGAGTCTTGCTCTGTGGCCCAGGCTGGAGTACAGTGGCACTACCTTGGCTCACTGCAACCTCCGCCTCCCGGGTTCAAGCAATTCTCCTGCCTCAGCCTCCCAAGTAGTTGGGAATACAGGCACATGTCACCACACCCAGCTCATTTTTGTATTTTTCTGTAGATATATGGTTTTGCCAAGTTGCCTAGGCTGGTCTCAAGCTCCTGGGCTCAACCGATTGACCTGCCTTGGCCTTCCAAAGTGCTCGTATTACAGGTGTGAGCCACTGCATCTAGCCGGATTTCTTTTCTTTTCTTTTCTTTTCTTTTCACACCAAGCAGACCTAATAGACATCTACAGAACTCTCCACCCCAAATCAACAGAATATACATTCTTCGCAGCACCACACTGCACTTATTCCAAAATTGACCACATGGTTGTTAAGTAAAGCACTCCTCTGCAAATGTAAAGGAACAGAAATTATAAGAAACTGTCTCTCAGACCACAGTGCAATCAAACTAGAACTCAGGATTAAGAAACTCACTCAAAACCGCTCAACTACATGGAAACTGAACAACCTGCTCCTGAATGACTACCGGGTACATAACGAAATGAAGGCAGAAATAGAGATGTTCTTTGAAACCAGTGAGAACAAAGACACAACATACCAGAATCTCTGGGACACATTTAAAGCAGTGTGTAGAGGGAAATTTATAGCACTAAATGCCCACAAGAGAAAGCAGGAAACATCTAAAATTGACACCCTAACATCACAATTAAAAGAACTAGAAAAGCAAGAACAAACACTTTCAAAAGCTAGCAGAAGGCAAGAAATAACTAAAATCAGAGCAGAACTGAAGGAAATAGAGACACAACAATCCCTTCAAAAAATCAATGAATCCAGGAGCTGGTTTTTTGAAAAGATCAACAAAATTGACAGATTGCTAGCAAGACTAATAAAGAAGAAAAGAGAGAAGAATCAAATAGACACAATAAAAAATGATAAAGGGGATATCACCACCAATCCCACAGAAATACAAACTACCATCAGAGAATACTGTCAACACCTCTACGCAAGTAAACTAGAAAATCTAGAAGAAACGGATAAATTCGTCTACACATACACTTTCCCAAGACTAAACCAGGAAGAAGTTGAATCTCTGAATAGACCAATAACAGGCTCTGAAATTGAGGCAATAATTAATAGCTTACCAACCAAAAAAAGTCCAGGACCGGATGGATTCACAGCCGAATTCTACCAGAGGTACAAGGAGGAACTAGTACCATTCCTTCTGAAACTATTCCAATCAATAGAAAAAGAGGAAATCCTCCCTAACTCATTTTATGAGGCCAGCATCATCCTGATACCAAAGCCTGGCAGAGACACAACAAAAAAAGGGAATTATTTTATTTTCTTTCTCCCTTTCTTTCTCTTTTTCTCTCTTTCTCTTTTTCTTTTCTTTTCTTTTCTTTTCTTTTCTTTCCTTTTCTTTTCTTTTCTTTTTCCAGTCATTCACCTTCTTAAAACTGTAGATTTGTGGCTTTTTCCAAATCTGGGAAATTTTCAATCATTAATTCTTTGTTAATTCTTTCAGCTCCTTTTTCTCTTCTTCCCTGAGACTCCAATAACATGAACATTATTATACTTCCATAGTAATGTATAACAGTCTCTGAGACTGTTTTTCATAGTCTAGGTTAGGTATTCAAAAATATTTTTACATCATACCTCTTCTAGTTTATGGCTTCACTTCTGTTTTAACATCAGGTTAATTTGTTGTGCAAATTTAAAGGTAAATTGTCATACTCTTTTTGATCTTGAAAATTAAGAATCCCAGGTATTTTCTATTTTATAAGAATAATACCATTTTTGCAATAATAAATATAAAATAATATGTTTTTCTCATATGTGTATAAATTAAACCATGATAAATCAGGTAAATGATTTTCCCCCAGTGCATAGATTCAATTGTGGCCAAAAGAAGCTGAAGGTCAATATCTTGGAGGTTGTGATAAAAAGATGGAGATATATGAAAAAAAACCTTTTTGTGTTGGATATGTGAAAATTGCTTAGAGATGCTCAGAATAGTATGTATATTAGACACTAAATGAAATATGCTGATAAAGTGAATAGGAAGAAGCACTATAGAGGTTCTTAATTGATGATAATAACACTGCTTCTGCTTTTTCTAACTCAGTTTATGTCCAGGGTTATTGTGTTGAAATTAATTATGGGTAATTGCTTCCAGGCTCCATAGGCAGGAGTGAAGTGATTGATTAATGGCATTTTCCATGGATATATGTGTGAAGGGACTGGTAGCGTTCTGTCTATGGTGTAGGAAATGAAAAGTTCATTTCATTTGGTGGATACTGTGGTAACCTCTACAATAGCAATTTTTCTTTCTCTTTAATATTGCCTGCAGGACTCACTTTCCTGCCATAACATAGAATGATAATGCTAGATACCTGATTTTCTAGCCTGGCCTTGGAAATGTGCATGTGATTCAATTCTGGCCAAAAGTAGCTGAGGGCCAATATCTTGGAGGTGGTGATAAAACGATACAGATACATGAAGAAATTCTTTTCCTCTTGGATATGTGACAATTGCTTAGAGAGGCTTAGAGTTTCTGTGGTTCATGTGTTACCTTGAAGGGAAGACCAAAAGAGTTGTAGACAAGGTATCCCAAGACCTTAACATTCTTGAGTCAATAAATTAGTACTGTTCTCATCTTTCTCCATATTTCTGCCTACGTAAGAAAAACCATAATTGTTGGGCTTACTGTTTCTCAAATATTAATATAAATATGAATCCCTTGAGGATCTTGCTAAAATGAAGATTTGGATTCAGTGTTGCTGGGTAATAACTCAAGACCCTATATTTTGAACACATTTTTAGGTGATTCTGATACTATTTTATGGGCCATACATTGTGTAGTAAAGGATTAAGCCATTTTGATGAGGACTATTCAGAGCTGAAACATCCTGAGAGTCACTGAGCTTACAGAAGCAAAAGACTCTGGCAAAAAAACAAACAAACAAACAAAAGCAGTCTGGTAACTTTTAAGGAATTTGGTGATAGAATAAGAGTTGAAAGATATTTAGGGCTAAATACAATAGTGTGCTGATAAATGTTTAACAGCTAGCTCTGTGAGGGTCAAAAAGGCCAGGATATTTTTTAAAAAAGGTCTCTAGGGAAAAAAGAAAGCCATGCCACTTTCCATCAAATAAGTACGCCCACCATGTCTGATTTCAAACTCCTAATGTACCATCACAGAAAGAACTACTGTCTTAGAAATTCTTGGGAAGAGTTACGTACAATTGGCTCTTGTGATCTGATACCAGTCAGCTCTACCACACCACTGGCTACATAAACCATATTCCATTAAATTCACTAAACACCAAAGAATGCTCTGATTTAAAAAACAATATTTCTTATTCTAATTACAAAATAAATTATATTTACATGGGCAGTAAACTTGAGTATAAAGAATAAATCCAAAATAACTCAAAGACCTTTCAGATAAATTATCCTTAACAATTTGGTAAATATCACTCTAAGTCAGGGTTCTTAATTGTAAGCAATAGAAGCTGATTCTGTTTTAATTAAATAGGAAAATAATGTATTAAGTAAATATTGGATAGTTTAGAGAATTTTGGAGAAGTCAGGAGAGTCAGGTTTACTAAGCAGCCAGGGAAAATAGCCCAAACCCAGAACCTGTTTAGTAGGAGGAACTGTTTCTTGCTGCTGCCAGACACAATACTCCCTGATTTTACCTCTTTGGATAGTAGCTCTTGAGCCAGTCTTCGACAATAGCATAGACTAATTTCCGTGTCTATGCCTTAACTGTAAAGGAATTTGGGAAAAGGAGTATTGGTTCCTAAATTTTGAAGGTCACTCTTGCCTCTCACCAGGAAGTAAAAGGTAGAAAATTTCCCAAATACTGGATGGATATTGAGTAGTCAAAGAATACATTTTCACCATTATATTAAGATTGAAATCTTACAAAATAGTTATATACTTTGATTTTTTACATTAGTTATTATATCATGAAAAATTTTTGTCATTACGTATTCTTTGTGAGCATTTTTTACTACTAATTCAAGATACTGCTATGTGAGCATGGGTTTAATGATTGCATAATTTTCCACCATGCAGTACTTCCCAATTACACAAGTTTCAGGGTGTTGTTTTTTTTTCTGAAAATTTTAATCTTTTAAAATATCTTTACACTCTTTTGCAACTTTTAATTTCAGTGACAAATACTTGACTTCGTATCATCAATCAATCTGGGAATTAACTTTCTTGGTTTCTTAATCTTAGTCCGCTCTTTCATAATTAAAAACATTTCAACCGTTTAAAAATTTTTGGTATATGGCTTTAAACCGTGTCTGTTTCCAAAGAGGAAATACCTTTGTGGCATCTAGCATACAAATGATGCTGTAATGTTATGTTATAGGTATCCATCAGAGCTGGCCCAAGTTTTGTTTCTTTCCGTCCTTTTTTCTTCTCTTTTTCCTTCCTTTCCTTCCTTCCTTCCTTCCATCCATCCATCTTTTTTCTCTCTTTCTTTTGCTCTCCTTCCTTCCTCCCTTCCTCTTTCCTTCCTCCCTCCCTTCCTCCTCTTCCTTCCTTCCCTCCCTCCCTCTTTCCTTCCTTTTATCCTTCCTTCCTTTTTCCTTCCTTCCATCCATCCATCTTTTCTTTTTTCTTTTCTTTTCTTTTCTTTCTCTTTCTCTCTCTTTCCTTCCTTCCCCCTCCCTCCTTCCCTTCCCTTCCTTCCCTTCCCTCCCTTCCTTCCTTCCTTCCTTCCTTCCTTCCTTCCTTCCTTCCTTCCTTCATCCCTCTCTCCCTCCTCTCCCCTCCTCTCCCTTTCCCTCCTTTCCTCTCTCTCTCTCTTTCTTTTTTTTTGTTTTGTTTTGTTCTGATGGAGTCTCACTCTGTTGCCCAGGCTGGAGTGCAGTGATGCAATCTCAGCTCACTGCAAACTCTGCCTCCCAGGTTCAAGTGATCCTTGTGCCTCAGCCTCCTGAGTAGTTGGGATTACAGGCATGCACCATAATGCCTTGTTAATTTTTGTATTTTTAGTAGAGATGGGGTCTCACCATGTTGGCAACAAGTCTGGTCTGGAACTCTGGCCTCAAGTGATCCACCTGCTTCAGCCTCCCAAAGTGCTGGGATTACAGGTGTGTGCCACCGTGCCCAGCCTAGATTTTTTTTCATCATGATTAAGTAGTCTCTCTAAAATAACTCTCACTTCTTTTGGGCTTTTGTTTCTGAATAGTTGGAAGGCAATCTTATTTTTCTTTGTAATACATTTTAGAATGATTGTCTTAGAAATTCTTGAATTTTAAGTTTACATCCATGTGTTGTGTGAACAGTAACCATGTATACCTAAAGGGGTATTATGCTGGTGTAAAATGTGGTTACTGAGTGTTAACCAAACTGGTTTCGTTAGACTAAGAGTTCTCAGATTACCAGTATATCCCAGAACTCATTTAATTACTTGTTTATTCATAATTTCATCATGAAGAAAGCTAAGAGTTTGTTTTGTATTGCTGTTAAGTTCCTTCAGCTGCTTACACAAAATGATATTGAATGGTTTGAATCAATGCTGAATGACAGAAAAGGAAAAACATAAGTTACTATTTGACTTTTGTCTAAGTTAGCAAGTATATTTAATGTATGTTAAGCAGTTTAATTTATGTAAATAATACCTAGTTTATTCTTTCATACTGTTCATCAGTCATTTTTAATTTAGGTATTTTTCATTATATTAATAATGAAACTTTTAACAGAGGTTTTCCAGTAAAACAGATTATAATAAACTATATAATTATTGATGATAAAATGATAAATTGATAAAATGATAAATTGTTTTGAAAACCACATAGAAAATAAAACAGTTTCTTTAAATGTAGCAGAATTATGAAAAATTAATTTTTTTCTGAACTTATTGGAAAGTCATTCATTTAATTGAAAATCATTTTCATTAATTTGGATTTTAACTGTTTATGATACTAAGACATTTTATCTTAATTCAAGCTAATTTTAGATGGTACTACCACTGCTAACTTTAGCATTTAAAAATATACACAAAGCTATAGGCCCACTTAATTAAGAAAATTTCTCTATTTTCAGAGAGGAGAAACTTTTTAAAAAGCTAGTAACAACATTTCATTAGTTTCTATAATTCAGTTCCAACATTTTGGAATTTAAACATTTAAAAAATCTAGGATATTTTTAGAATAATCATAAGCTATTATCATCATTAAAGCTCTAGAATTAAAGAAATGAGGAAGTAGTATGGCAAAGATTAAGATATCTTAAAAGTTTTTCCTTGATTAGTTGTGTAAGACATTTTTTAGTGATATTATAGAAGTTCACAGAATCAGTTTTCCCAGCTAGCTACTGGGCTTGGATGGTGACTGGCACTAATTAATAGATGTAGCATGAAAATGGGATTATGGGCTCTATACACCCAGTTCTTTTTAAGCAAAAGAGATGACTTTAAATGTGTTCTATTTTATATGTGAAAATGGCAGTAACCTATGTCTGTGGGGCATGTGTTATGATATTTTGCTGACAGTGGTGGGAATGAATTTAATACAATAATTCAGCCACATCTCATGCCAAGATCCCAGGTATATCCAAGTTAGCCAGGGTTAGGGGCTGCTAGCTATATATATGAGTTAGAGAAAAACTAACTGCATTACTTGGGTTTGAACCTTTTCCCCCAATCTGATGTTATAACCAACCAGAATCTTTATAAATATAGTACTTATTCTGAATAGTAGAGCCAAGGGAGAAAAATTGTAGCTATGGCCATATAGGTATACCATGCCTACAGCCAGGCTTAGTCTTCCTGGCATAACTTCTGAAAGTAGAAACATATCACATAGGAGAGCTCAGTACCAAAGTATTTCATGTTTGAGGAGCTATTCCAGGCATGAATAATGCCTGCCAGCCTATCAACAATATAAGTGCTTTTGGAAGAGTTTGACAAAATCTAAAAAATATTCTTAAACAAATGATAAGAAAATACAAATAGAATATATAGGATATATATGTATATTTGCATATATATGCAAATATGTACATAATATATTCATATATCAATGTAATATTTATCTATTAAATATGCAGCTAAAACATAACAGCTAGATATAAAAATTATTTAACTTGCCACAACTCTTATGCTAGAAGTACTTCTCAGTAACAGATTTTATGGCTATTGTTGGTCAATGTGTAAAACAAATGAGGATAATACAAATTTTGGAAACCATTTTAGATAGAATATTTATTTAAAGTAAACTCTAAGTTACTTTGAAAACAGATTTCAAAAATGAACATTAAACCTGCTGCTCTCGGATAAGCTTCTGTTCCGTGGAGGTTGTACAAGATGCCCTTTTCCCCAAATGTTGGAGTTCTCTATACTGCTGAAGGATAAGAAGTACCCTAATTGCTATGTTCGCATAATTAAGTCTTCTGGAACAGTTTTTTGTATAGCCCAGTGAGGAAAGCCCACTGAATAAAGAGTTTGGAGTCACTAAAAATATTTTTGGTTTTGAAAATTGTATATATTAACCATATCCAAAATGATGTTCTGAAGTAAGTATACACTGGGGAATGGCTCAGTTGAGCTACTTAGCATATGCATTACCTTGTATACTTATCATTATTTGTGGTGAGAACACTTAGAATCTTCTCTGTTAGCAAGTTTCAAGAGTACAATACATTGTTATTAACTATAGTCACTATGTTGTACAAAGATTTTGTGAACTTATTCCTCCTGTCTAACTGAAATTTTGTATCCTTTGACCAATATCTCTAGAAGACTCTTAGCTTTTTCCTACCGCTGATAACAACTATTCTACTCTTTGATTCTATGTGTTCATATTTTATACTCTGCAAGTAAGATCACTGGTATTTGTCCTTTTTTGCAAGACTTATTTCACTTAACATGATGTCTTCCAGGTTTATCTATGTTGTCACAAATAACAAGATTTCTTTTTTTTAAAGGTTGAATAGTATTCCATAATGTATATATGTGCCACAACTTCTTTGTTGATTTATCTGTTGATGGACACTTAGGTTGATTCATTATCTTAGCTATTGTGAATAATGCTGCAATGAACATGGTAGTGAAGATATCTTTTTAACTTACTAATTTTATTTCCTTTGGATATATGCCCTGCTGTGAGGTTGCCGGATCACATGGTAGTTCTATTTTTAATCTTTTGAAGAAACTCTAAAATGTTTTCCATAATAAATGTATGAATTCACATTCTAAGCAATAGTGTATAAGAGTTCCCTTTTCTCCATATCCTTTTTAACATGCGTTGTCTCTTGTAAACCCTCTGAGGCAGAAATAAAATAATTTCAAGACTAAAATTACCTAGTTTTTTACATACAATGTTTGGCATTCAATAAAAAATAACTAGACAGATGACAAAACAGGGAATTAATAAAGCAAACCATAGAAAAACAATAAAAATAGAAAGTGACTCACAGATAATTCAGATAATATTATTAGGCAGTTATTTAAACATAACTATGATTAATATGTTCAAAGAATTCAAAGGCAAGTCTGAAAATTAGGCAGAGAAGTGGAAGCAATTAGGAAATACCCAATGTAAATTCTAGAACTGAAAAATATGATAACAGTAATTTAACAACTCAAGGCATAAATTGCCTGCAGATTAGACAAGACATTGTTGAAAAGAAAATATATGTCCGGGAACATAGGTCACAAAGAAATAGCCAGATTCAAGCTCTGGTTAGGATTGCCAGTATTATGTTGAAAAAGTTATGAAAGCAGGCACCCTTGTCCTGTTCCAGATCTTAGAGCAAAAGTTACTGATTTCCTTCCATTCATTGCAATGTTAACTATGAGATTGTCATATGTGGCCCTTATTATTTTGAAATGTCTTCTAACCCAGTTTGTTGAAGGTTTTTATAATAAAGAGATTTTGAGTTTTATTGAATCTCTTTTCAGCATCTGTTAAAATGCTTATATGGCTTTTGTTTTTGATTCAATTAATGTGATGTATCATGTTTATTGATTTGCTTATGTAGAACTATCCTCGCATCTCTGAGATAAATCCCACTTAGTCACAATGAGTGATCTTTTTAATACTTACTTAAATTAGGCTTGCTGATATTTTGTTGAGATTTTTACATCGATGTTCATTATGAATATTGGCCTGTAGTTTTCTTGTTTTTATTGTGTCCTTTTCTGGTTTTGGTATCTGGGTAGTGCTGGCCTCATAGAATGAGTTGGGAAGTATTCCTTCTTCATTTTTTAAAAGTTTAACTAGAATTGCTATTAGTTATTCTTTTAATATTTGGTAAAATTCAGCAGTAAAGGCATCAGGTCCTAGGATTTTCTTTGATGGGTGACTTTTTTATTATGGCTTCAGTTTTGGAACTTATTATTGGTTTGCTGAGGTTTTCCATTTCTTCTGGTTTAATCTTGGTAGGTTGTATGTGTCCAGGAATTTATGTATTTCTTCTAGGTTTTCAAATTTGTTGGGGTATAGTTGTTCATAGTAGCCTGTGATGATTCTTTGTATTTCTGTGGTCTTGATTGTTATTTCTCCATTCTCCTTTCTCATTTTACTTTTATTTTTTATTTTTGGGGGTCTGTAGGCATATATATTTATGGGGTACATTAGATGTTTTAATACAGACATGCATTGTGACATAGGCATATCATGGAAAATATGGTGTCCATTCCTTCAAGCATTTATCCTTTGAGTTACAAACAATCGAATTACACCCTTTAAGTAATTTTAAAATGTACAATTAACTTATTGACTATAGGTACCCTATTATGCTATTAAATGGTAGGTCTTATTCATTTTTTCTATTTTTTAATACCCATTATCCATCCCCATCTCTACTCACCCAGCCTCCTGCTACCCTTCCCAGTCTCTGGTAACCCTCCTTCTACACTCTGTGTCCATGAGTTCAATTGTTTCAATTTTTAGATCCTACAAATAAGTGAGAACACGTGATGTTTATCTTTCTGTGCCTAGCTTATTTCACGTAGCATAATGATCTCCAGTTCTATCTATGTTCTTGCACATCACTGGATCTCATTCTTCTTTATGGCAGAATAGTATTCCATTGTGTGTATGTACCACATTTTCTTTATGTATTCATCTGTTGATGGGCACAGGTTGCCTCCAAATCTTGACTATTGTTAACAGTGCTTCAACAAGCATGGCAGTGCAGCTATCTCATCAATATACTGCTTTTCTTTCTTTTAGGTATATACACAGCAGTGGTGTTGCTGGATCATATGCTAGCTCAATGTTTAGCTTTTAAAGGAAATTCCAAAGTGTTTTCCATAGCGATTGTACTAATTTACATTCTCACCAACGGTGTACAAGTGTTCTCTTTTCTCCAGATCCTCACTGGCATTTGTAATTGCCTGTCTTTTGGATATAAGCCATTTTAACTGGTGTGTGATTATATCTCATTGTAGCTTTGACTTGCATTTTTCTGATGATCAGTGATGTTGAGCACATTTTCATATGCCTGATTGCTATTCGTAGGTCTTGATAAATGTCTATTCAAATATTTTGCCTACTTTTTGATTGGATTGTTCCATTTTTTTTACAGTTGTTTGAACTCCTTATATATTCTGATTATTAATACCTTCTCAGATGCGTAGTTTGCAAATCTTTTCTCACTTTCTGTGGGTTGTATCTTCACTTTGTTGATTGTATCCTTTGCTGTGCAGAAGATTGTTGACTTGATGTGATCCCATTTGTCTATTTTTGCTTTGGTTGCCTGTGCTTGTAGGGTATTGCTCAGGAAATTTTTGCACAGACTATGTCCTGGAGAGTTTCCCCAATGTTTTCTTGTAGTAGTTTCATAGTTTGAGGTCTCAGATTTAATTGTTTAATTCATTTTGATTTGATTTTCATATATGATGAGAGACAGGAGTCAAGTTTCATGTCTTTGCCTATGGATATCCAGTTTTCCCAGCACCATTCATTGAAGAGATTGTCTTTTCTCCAGCGTATAATCTTGGCACCTGTGTCAAAAAATGAGTTCACAGTAGGTGTGTGGACTTGTTTCTGGGTTCTCTGTTCTGTTCCTTTGGTCTATGTGTCTGTTTTTATGCCAGTACCATGCTGTTTTGGTTATTGTAGCCCTTTAGTATAATTTGAAGTCAGGTAATGTCATTCCTCCAGTTTTGTTCTTTTTGCTCAGGATAGCTTTGGCTACTCTGGGTCTTTTGTGGTTCCATATAAATTTTAGAATTGCTTTTTCTGTTTCTGTGAAGAAGTCATTTGTATTTTTATAAAAATTGCATGGAATATGTGGATTGCTTTGAGTAGTATGGACATTTTAACAATATTGATTCTTTCAGTTCATGAACATAGAATATCTTTCCAATTTTTTGTGTCTTGTTCAATTTCTCTCATTGTTTTATAGTTGTCATTATAGAGATCTTTCACTTTTTTGGTTTATTCCTAGTTATTTCATTTTATTTGTGGCTATTGTAAATGAGGGTATTTTCATTATTTCTTTTTCAGATTGTTCACAGTTTTTATATAGAAATGCTACTGATTTTCCTGTGTTGATTTTGTATCCTGCAACTTGACTGAATTTGTTTATCAGTTTGAGTAGTTTTGTGGTGTTTTCTTTAGTTTTCTTCAAATCTAAGATCATATTATCTGCAAAGAAACATAAGTTGCATTCTTCATTTCCAATTTGGATGCCCCTCACTTTTTTCTCTTGTCTAGTCACTCTAGCTAAGACTTTCAGTACTATGTTAAACAACAGTGGTGAAAATGGGCATTCTTGTCATGTTCCAGATCTAAGAGGAAAGGCTCTGATTTTTCCCCTATTCAGTGTAATACTAGCTGTGGGCCTGTCCTATATGACTTTTACTATGTTGAGTTATATTTCTTCTATACCAACTTTTTGACGATTTCTATCATGAAGAGATGAGATGATGAACTTTATCAAATGCTTTTTCAGCATCAACTGAAATGATCATACAAGTTTTGTTCTTCCTTCTGTTGATATAATGTATCACCTTGATTGATTTGCGTATGTTGAAACATCCTTGCATCCCAGCGATAAATCCCACTTGATCGTGATGAATGATCTAATGTATTGTTGAATTCAGTTTGGTATTATTTTGTTGAGGTTTTCCGAATCAATATTTATCAGTGATCTTGGCCTGTAATATTCTTTTTTTGATGTGTCATTTTCTGATTTGGGTATCAGGAAATACTGGCTTCATAGAATTAGTTAGGATGTATATCCTGTTCCTCTACTTTTTGGAATAGTTTGAATATGATTGGTTTTAGTTCTTTAAATGTTTGGCAGAATTCAGCAATGAAGCCATCACATCCAGGGATTTTCTTTACCAGAAGACTTTTTATCATGGCTGCAATCTTGTTATGTGTTTTTGGTCTGTTCAGGTTTTGGATTTCTTCCTGGTTCAATCTTGGTAGGTTGTATGAATCTAGGAATTTTTCCATTTATCTAGATTTTCCAGTTTATTGGGATGTAGTTACTCATAGTAGCCACTAATGATCCTTTCAATTTCTGCAGTATCAGTTGTAATGTCTTCTTTTTTCATTGCTGATTTTATTTATTTGTGTGTTCTCTCTTTCTATCTTAGTCTGGCTAAAAGTTTGTTAGTTTTGTTGAACTTTCAATAAACCAACTTTTAATTTCATTGATCTTTTGAATTTTTTTTTATTTCCATTTCATTTATTTCTGCTCCATTCTTTATTTCTTTCCTTCTACTAGTTTTGGGTTTGGCCTTCTCTTGCTTTTCTAGTTCTTATGATGCACCATCAGATTGTTCATTTGAAGTTTTTCCTCTTTTTTGATATGGGCACTTATAACTATAAAATTCCCTCTTAGTACTGCTTTTGCTGTATCCCCTAAGTTTTGGTATGCTGTGTTCCCATTATCATGTGTTTCATGATTTTTTTTTATTTCCTTCTTGATTTCTTCATTTATCCACTGGTCATTGAGGAACATATTGTTCAATTTCCATGCATATATATATAGCTTCCAAACTTCCTCTTGTTATTAAATTTTAGTTTATTTCATTGTAATCAGAGAAGATGCTTGATATTATTTCAGTTTTTTTGAATGTTTTAAGACTGATTTTGTGACCTAACATATGGTTTATCCTTGAAAATGATCCATGTGCTAAGGAAAAGAATAGGTATTCTGCAGCTTTTGGATGAAATCTTTGGTAAATATCTATTAGATTCATTTGGTCTATAGTGCAGATTAAGTTTGATGTTTCTGTGTTGATTTTCTGTTTGGAAGATCTGTCTGGTATTGAAAGTAGGGTTTTTAAGTCTCCAGCTATTATTGTATTGGGGCCTATCTCTCTTTTTAGCTTTAATAATATTTCATTTACATATCTGGGTGTTCAAGTGGCAGGTGCATATATATTTTAAACTGTTATATCCTTTTGCTGATTTGACCCCTTTATCATTACATAGTGACCTTCTTTGTCTTTTCTAGTTTTTGTGTGGCAATCTATTTAGTCTGCTATAAGCATAGCAACTCCTGCTCTTTTTGTTTACCATTTACATGGAATATCTTTCTCCATCCATTTATTTCCAGTCTATATTTGTCTTTATAGGTGCAGTGTGTTTCTTGCAGACAACAGATTAATGGGTCTTGTATTTTTTAAAATCATTCTGCCATGGTATGTCTTTTGATCAGAGAGTTTAGTCCATTTACATTTAGTGTTATTATTGATAAGTACAGACTGACTCTTGCCATTTTGTTATTTGTTTTCTGGTATTCTCTTTCTTCTTTCTTTCCTTTCTTCCTGTCTTCCTCTAGTGAAGGTGATTTTCTCTGGTGATATGATTTAGTTTCTTGCTTTTTATGTTTTGTGTTTGAAGTTACCATGAGGCTTGCAAATACTACCTTATAATCCATTATTTTAACCTGATAACAACTTAACACTGTTTGCATCAAGAAACAAGCAAGAAGAAAACTAATAAAAACTCTGCACCTTAACTTCATTCCTCAGCTTTTTAACTTTTTATTATATTTATATTTAATTGTACTTTGTCTTGAAAAGTTGTAGTTATTATTTTTGATTGGCTCATAATTTAATCTTTCTATTTAGAATAACAGTAGTGTACACATCCCAGTTACAGTGTTGTAATATTCTACGTTTTTCTGTGCACTAACTACTGCCAGTGAGTTTTGTACCTTCATGTGATTATTTATTGCTCATTAATGTCCTTTGCTTTCTGATTGAAATACTCTCTTTTGCATTTCTTGTAGGACAGGTCTGGTATTGATGAAATCCCTCAGCTTTTGTTTTTCTGAGGTAGTCTTTATTTCTCCCTTATGTTTGAAGGATATTTTTGCTAGATATACTATTCTAGGGTAAAAGTTATTTTCCTTTGGCACTTTAAATATATCATGCCACTCTCTCTTGACCTTTAAGTTTTCCACTGAAAAGTCTGTTGCCAGACATATTGGAGCTCCTTGTATGTTATTTTTTTTCTTTTCTCTTGCTGCTTTTAGGATCTTTTCTTTATCCTTGACCTTTGGGAGTTTGATTATTAAATGCCTTGAGGAAGTTTTTTTCTGGGGGGGGGTTAAATTTGCTTGGTGTTCTATAACCTTCTTGTACTTGGATATTGCCATCTTTACTAGGTTTCAGAAGTTCTCTGTTACGATCTTGTTGAATAAACTTTCTACCCCTATCTCTTTCTCTACCTCCTCTTTAAGATTTTATAGATCTTGTAGGTGTGCTTGTTTTTTATTTCTTGTTTCTTTTGTCTCCTCTGTGTATTTTCAAATAGCCTGTCTTCAAGCTCACTAATTCTTTCTTCCACTTGATCTAATTTTTCTTTTTAAGGTCTCTGATGCATTCTTTAGTATGCCTATTGCAATTTTCAGATGCAGAATTTCTGTTTGATTCTTTTTGATTATTTTATCTCTTTGTTAAATTTATCTGCTAGAATTATGAATTCCTTTTCATATTTTCTTGAATTTCTTTGAGTTTGCACAACACTGCTATTTTGAATTCTCTGTCTAAAAGTTCACATATCTCTGTTTTTCTAGAATTGGTCCCTGGTGCCTTATTTAGTTCACTTGGTGAGGTCATGTTTTTCTGGGTGGCGTTGATGCTAGTAGATATTCTTCAGTCTCTGGGCATTGAAGAGTTACGTATTTATTGTAGTCTTCACTGTCTGGGCTTACTTGTAGCCATATTTCTTGGGAAGACTTTCCAGATATTTGAATGAACTTGGGTGTTTTGATTTAAACTGTATCTGTTTTAGAGGGCACCCCGAGCCCAATAATGCTGTGGTTCTTTCAGACTCATAGAGATACGACTTTTATAGTCTTGGATAAAAGATCCAGGATAATTTGTGGATTACCAGACAGAGGCTCTCGTTCTTTTGTCTTACTTTATCCCAAACATACAGAGTCTTTCTCTCTGTTCTGAGACACCCACAGATGGAGTTGGAGTGACACAAGCACCCTTGTGGCCACCACCACTATGGCTGTGCTGGGTCATACCTGAAGCCAGCACAGTGCAGTGTGTCACCCAAGGCCTGCTATAACCACTCCTGGGCTATTTCCTATGGTTGCTTATGGCCCTGGGGCTCTACTATCAGCGGGTGGCAAAGCCAACCAGGCCTGTGTCCTTCCCTTCAGGACAGTGATGTCCCCCACGCCCCAGGTGGCTGCTGAAGTGCCTTCAGTGAATCAGGGACTAAGGTCAGAAATATTAGAAGTCTACCTGTTGTTCTATCATATTGCAGCTGAGCTGGCACTGAAACCGCAAGATGCAGTTCTTCCGATTCTTCCCTCTCCCTTCTAAAGTAAGAGGAGCCTTAACCCATAGCCATCGCTACCCCAGGCCATGAGGAATGCTGCCAGACTACTGTCAGTATTCCCTTAAGGCCCAGGGTCTCTGAAGTCAGCTTGTAGTGAATGCTGCCTGGCCTGGGACTCAGCCTTCAGGGCAGTGGGCTCCCCTCTGGCCCAGGGTAGGTCTAGAATTGCTATCCAAGAGTCAAGTCCTGGAATCAGGGACCCCAAAACCCAGCTTGGTGCTCTACCACACTATGGCCACAGTAGTACTTAAGGTCCGCAACAAAGTCCCCTTTCCTTTTCCCTCTGATTTTCTCAAGCAGAAGGCATTTTGCCCCATAGCCACAGCAGCTGGTAATGTGCTAAATCTCACCTGAAGTCAGCAAGTCTCAGAGGCTCGCCCAAGGCCCTCCATGTAGTATCTGGGTATTGTGCTGGTTATTCAGAGCCCAAGGGCTCTTCAGTAAGCAGATGATGAATGCTGGCAGAGCTGGGTCCTTTCCTTCAAGGCAGCAGTTTCCCTTCAGACCCAGGGTGTGTCTAGAAATATCGTCTTGGAGCTAGGGCCTGAAACAAGGGACCTCAAGTCTCTTACGTGTGCCCTATCCTCCTGTGGCTGAGCAGGTATCCATGATGCAAGACATAGTCCTCCCCACTCTTTCCTCTTTTCTCCTCAAGTGGAAGGAAGGGGCTTTTTTTAGAGCCACAAGCTATGCATCCTGGGGTTAGAGGAGAAGTGATGCCAATACTCTATTGGCAACCCCGGTTGGTGTCTTAGTATGTTGCGTGCCCTCACAGTCCAGTGTCTCTGGGGCTAGTTAAGTCCTAGGACTCGTCTAAGAGTTGCAGTCCTTATGGCCTGGACTGCTTTTCAAGTTTACTTAGATACTGACAGCACTTTGGCCCTTGGTGGTGAGGTTTGTGGGCACTCAACTGTGGACCTCTGGGATTAGTGATTCCCCTCCCGCTAGGGCTGGTTTAAATGCTCCCTCTGTGGTGGACATCAGCTGAGTTTGGTCTGGCTTTCCTTTCTATTCCAACTGAACAGCGCTGAGTTCAGTGCCTCACAATCGCTTTGTTCCTCCTACCCCCGTGCCCAGAGAAGCTCTCTGCACCATGTAGACTCTGCCAGGGGTGGAAAAGGGGTAGCATCCATAAATTCAAGCCTGTTTTTTCTATCTCTTCAGTTCCTCTTTCAGCAATATGAAGTTAAAACCAGGACCATGAGTCCTCATCTGACTTTTGGTTCTTATGAAGGTGTTTTTTTCTGTGTAGATAGTTTTTAACTTGGTGTCCTTGTGGGAGGATGATTGGTGGAGTTTTCTATTCTGCCATCTTGCTCCACTTCTCCCACTGTGGTTTTGATTTGTGCTTCTCTAGTAATTAGTGACGTTGAGCAATTTTTTCATATGTTTATTGTCCATGTATATGTCTTCTTTTGAAAAGCATCTGTTAATGTTCTTTGCCCACTTTTTAATAAGGTTATTTTTTTTATTGTTCATTTGTTTAAGTTCCTTATATATTCTTGAAATTAGATCTATTTGGTTGCATGGTTTGCAAATATTTTCTCCCATTCTCTAAGTTATCTATTTACTCTGTTAATAGTTTCATTTGCTCTGCAGAAGCTCTTTAATTTGATTAGGTTTCACTTACTTTTTGCTTTTGTTGCAGCTTCTTCTGGCATCTTTGTCATGAAATTTTTGCCAGGACTTGTATTCAGAATGATATTTCCTAGGTTTTCTTCAAGAATTTTTATAGATTTAGGTTTTACATTTAAGTCTTTAAGTCATCTTGAGTTGATTTTTGTATATGGTGTAAGGAAGGGGTCTAGTTTCAATCTTCTGCATGTAGCAAGTCAGTTAGCACCATTTATTAAAAAGGGAGTGGCATAAAAAATTAATTTTTATAATCCATTTGTTGGAATCAGGTTTTAAACAAGGTTCACATACTATATTTGGTTAAAATGTCTTAAGCTTATTTTAATCTATGGTATTTTATTCTTTTTTTTATTATTATACTTTAAGTTTTAGGGTACATGTGCACAATGTGCAGGTTAGTTACATATGTATACATGTGCCATGCTGGTGTGCCGTACCCATTAACTCATCATTTAGCATTAGGTATATCTCCTAATGCTATCCCTCCCCCCTCCCCCCACCCCACAACAGTCCCCAGAGTGTGATGTTCCCCTTCCTGTGTCCATGTGTTCTCATTGTTCAATTCCCACCTATGAGTGAGAACATGCAGTGTTTGGTTTTTCATCCTTGTGATAGTTTGCTGAGAATGATGGTTTCCAGTTTCATCCATGTCCTTACAAAGGACATGAACTCATCATTTTTTATGGCTGCATAGTATTCCATGGTGTATATGTGCCACATTTTCTTAATCCAGTCTATCATTGTTGGATATTTGAGTTGGTTCCAAGTCTTTGCTATTGTGAATAGTGCCACAATAAACATACGTGTGCATGTGTCCTTATAGCAGCATGATTTATAGTCCTTTGGGTATATACCCAGTAATGGGATGGCTGGGTCAAATGGTATTTCTAGTTCTAGATCCCTGAGGAATCGCCACACTGACTTCCACAATGGTTGAACTAGTTTACAGTCCCACCAACAGTGTAAAAGTGTTCCTATTTCTCCACATCCTCTCCAGCACTTGTTGTTTCCTGACTTTAATGATTGCCATTCCAACTGGTGTGAGATGGTATCTCATTGTGGTTTTGATTTGCATTTCTCTGATGGCCAGTGATGATGAGCATTTTTTCATGTGTTTTTTGGCTGCATAAATGTCTTCTTTTAAGAAGTATCTGTTCATGTCCTTCGCCCATTTTTAATGGGGTTGTTTTTTTCTTGTAAATTTGTTTGAGTTCATTGTAGATTCTGGATATTAGCCCTTTGTCAGATGAGTAGGTTGCGAAAATTTTCTCCCATTTTGTAGGTTGCCTGTTCACTCTGATGGTGGTTTCTTTTGCTGTGCAGAAGCTCTTTAGTTTAATGAGATCCCATTTGTCAATTTTGGCTTATGTTGCCATTGCTTTTGGTGTTTTAGACATGAAGTCTTTGCCCATGCCTATGTCCTGAACAGTAATACCTAGATTTTCTTCTAGGGTTTTTATGGTTTTAGGTCTAACGTTTAAGTCTTTAATCCATCTTGAATTAATTTTTGTATAAGGTGTAAGGAAGGGTTCCAGTTTCAGCTTTCTACATATGGCTAGCCAGTTTTCCCAGCACCATTTATTAAATAGGGAATCCTTTCCCCATTGCTTATTTTTCTCAGGTTTGTTAAAGATCAGATAGTTGTAGATATGCGGCATTAGAAGTTGAATCTCTGAATAGACCATTAACAGGCTCTGAAATTGTGGCAATAATCAATAGCTTAGCAACCAAAAAGAGTCCAGGACCAGATGGATTCACAACCGAATTCTACCAGAGGTACAAGGAGGAACTGGTACCATTCCTTCTGAAACTATTCCAATCAATAGAAAAAGAGGGAATCCTCCCTAACTCATTTTATGAGGCCAGCATCATTCTGATACCAAAGCCGGGCAGAGACACAACCAAAAAAGAGAATTTTAAACCAATATCCTTGATGAACATTGATGCAAAAATCCTCAATAAAATACTGGCAAACCGAATCCAGCAGCACATCAAAAAGCTTATCCACCATGATCAAGTGGGCTTCATCCCTGGGATGCAAGGCTGGTTCAATATACGCAAATCAATAAATGTAATCCAGCATATAAACAGAGCCAAAGACAAAAACCACATGATTATCTCAATAGATGCAGAAAAAGCCTTTGACAAAATTCAACAACCCTTCATGCTAAAAACTCTCAATAAATTAGGTATTGATGGGACGTATTTCAAAATAATAAGAGCTATCTATGACAAACCCACAGCCAATATCATACTGAATGGGCAAAAACTGGAAGCATTCCCTTTGAAAACTGGCACAAGACAGGGATGCCCTCTTCCAACATAGTGTTGGAAGTTCTGGCCAGGGCAATCAGGCAGGAGAAGGAAATAAAGGGCATTCAATTAGGAGAAGAGGAAGTCAAATTGTCCCGGTTTGCAGACGACATGATTGTATATCTAGAAAACCCCATTGTCTCAGCCCAAAATCTCCTTAAGCTGATAAGCAACTTCAGCAAAGTCTCGGGATACAAAATCAATGTACAAAAATCACAAGCATTCTTATACACCAATAACAGACAAACAGAGAGCCAAATCATGAGTGAACTCCCATTCACAATTGCTTCAAAGAGAATAAAATACCTAGGAATCCAACTTACAAGGGACGTGAAGGACCTCTTCAAGGAGAACTACAAACCACTGCTCAATGAAATAAAAGAGGATACAAAGAAATGGAAGAACATTCCATGCTCATGGGTAGGAAGAATCAATATCGTGAAAATGGCCATACTGCACATGGTAGTTTATAGATTCCATGCCTTTCCCATCAAGCTACCAATGACTTTCTTCACAGAATTGGAAAAAACTACTTTAAAGTTCATATGGAACCAAAAAAGAGCCCGCATCGCCAAGTCAATCCTAAGCCAAAAGAACAAAGCTGGAGGCATCACGCTACCTGACTTCAAACTATACTACAAGGCTACAATAGCCAAAACAGCATGGTACTGGTACCAAAACAGAGATATAGAGCAATGGAACAGAACAGAGCCCTCAGAAGTAACGCCGGTATTTTATTCTTAATGCCACTTTTTTAATTACAAAAAGTTTATTTTTTCAATAGAATTGCTATAACAAAGTTCTAAATAATAAAAAAGCTGTGTATAAATTAATTAATAGTATTCTATTTTCTTTCCTTGTGATGTAGTAAAAATGGTGCATCTCATAATGACACTTAGATCTGATGAAACAGAGTAAAAGTCAGTTAAATTTTTCTGTGTTCCAGCTTCCTCTTCTGTACAGCTAGAAGGTTAGATAAGGAATTCTGAGGATCTTTCTTGTTCTAAAAGTCTATGAATTTACACATATGAAAAGATCCTGTAAGCTAAGCTAAGCTAGTAGAAACAGATCTAAGTAACTTCTTTGCCCTCCTTGAAGTAAACTTAGAATATCTGTACATGTCTCCCAAACAAGTCCAATTTCACAGTGTTAGAGTATAACATCTATACTAAAGATTTTGTGGGTGATGCAGAATGTAGTGTCATAGGTTATAAAGCAAACCTTCAAAAACAAAGCCACTAAAAGTTCTTGTTCCATCCCTCTCCAACTTCTTTTTTAGCTTCTGTCTGCTTTTTCTGTTGAAACTCATCATTGCAGGTTCTCCAGTTTCATTTTATCCTTCTCTGCTTCCTGGAATTCTTATCAAATATTTATATCTTTATATTTCCTCATGCTTTTCTTTATTGTCTTTTTATCCTCATACCCACCACACTGATCATCAAACAATCTACTTCTTTAGAAGGCAAGTGGGAAAGTGGGAGGTTTTCTTCATAATAAATAATATTTTATAGGTACATTTATACTGAATTTTTGCCCTTATGAAGCACCTATGTGCCAGAAACTAGGCAATATGCTAGGAATAAAAAAAAATTCTCTCTTTTCCTCATGAATTAGTAGCCAGATTATTTACATGAATTAGAAAGAAGTCAAGGTTATGTATGAAGTAAAAGACAGTGTGGTGTGATTTTTTTTTAAAAAAAGGTAATTCATAATTTATTCCACTTTTGCAGTCATTAGATCTCCATGGAATATTTGCATATTCCCTTAGTGTTTGTGGGTGATAGAAAGCTATTGTAAAGCCAGAATTCTCCTGCCAGGATTCCATCAGGAGTTACCTGCTGGCTCGATGTCCCAGTCTGTGCTTAAAGCAGGATGAGAAAGCTTTGCCACAGGAAATGAGATAATGCATGTACAAACTCATTTATCTTCTCAGGAAAATACATTACTTTAAGTTGTATCTTTATGCTCTACACATTTTAACAGACACACAGCAGTTACCCTTGGTTTTTCTTCTTTACTGTCACTGATTCACAATCATAATTAAAAATGCCAAACGCATCTTTATGTGAAACAAAATAATTTTTTTCTTATTTTTATAGACAAAACCGTCCAAAATGACATATTTTTCTCCAGGAAAGACAGCATGTTGGTGTAGGAAACAGAGTTAGTGTGCTATGGAGTTAGAAGACCTGGATTTCACCATTTAAAAGCCATGTGAACTTGAGCCAGTCCCTGAACCTGTTTATTCATCTATTAAATGAAAAATAGGAATCTCTCTAATTCATGAAAACTTTGAGAAGATTAAATTAGACAAGATGAATGAAAAGAATTCCAAATATACAAATCACATGCAAACAAGTCTTGGCTTATTAGTCTACTGGGAGCAGATTACTACTTTGAATCTTAATGCCCTCTCTTTCAGGTTAATATGCAAAAATACACACAAAACACTTAAAATGTAAAAAGAGGTAGTGACATCACTTGCTGACTTAAGTCTGAACTCAAATTGGTTAACCTGCCTATATATGGAAAAATTTCCATTTAAATGAAAATATTTCACTAGCCCACAAACAGCCTTAGACGTGGTTTCCTGTTTACCTTTAAATGGATGTTGTGGTTTCTTCTTAATGATTGGAGGAAGTTCCAAATTTTGGTGAAATGATCTCATTTAAACATAGAGCAGGATATGAGAAAGAATGATTAACTTGTGGTTCCGATTGATGTTGTATATTTTACACACAGCTGGATAAGTCTATTGTAATAATTAAAAATTTATTTCACTAATTTTTTATTTTCATGAATATTAATTATTATGTCCTAAGCATTGTTGTAGAGATTAATAATGACAATAATGAAGAAGATATTGTCCTTGCTTTCAAGGAGTTGTTAATTTAGTTTAGAAAATAGGCAAGGAAATCA
Organism: Homo sapiens; assembly: GCF_000001405.40. Classification (NCBI taxonomy): domain Eukaryota; kingdom Metazoa; phylum Chordata; class Mammalia; order Primates; family Hominidae; genus Homo; species Homo sapiens. Next base: position 74,250,218 of record NC_000006.12, read on the forward strand.
GTGATTGCAGTATAAAGTGGTAACTGTCTTTAGAAGTTGGTGTGATCTGTTTGATATTAGATGTTTCTTGGCTGCTACTTCTGGAGTAATTTTTAACGGTGCTATGTAAGAATTCCATTGTTCACATAAGTATGCAATGGAAGGTCTACTTTTCAGCTCAGATTCATTTATTGTTTCTCACCCTCTTTCCACAACCCAGAAGGTACTTAGTGAGTCTCCTTAAGTGACAAATAGTATTTGACTCTTTCCATTAGAATTACTCATGATTTCTTTTCCCTTGTCTAATATTCACAAGATTTCTGCTAGAACAGAGAGAATACAGTCCTCAGAAATACAAACACAAATTATTTAGTTTAGTTAAATTATAAGGCTGCAGCATTGCATACACACAGGCAGTATTTTGTTGAGTAAAATGGCAGGAAGCCAAAACTTTTATAGAAACCCGCTGATAATTCAACACTTAAAAACTATGATTTAAAAATGTACAAGTGAAAGATGATTTCTTAGAAATGCAGTAATCTTTTAGCAACCATATCAATGCTGATAGCAGGGGACAAGAGGGTCACAAAGAGATTCCAGAAAAGAATAGGTTCTTTGTCTTGCTTACTCTGGGTTAGTTATTACCAGTTTTCTGGTAAGGAAGAATTAGAGGTAAATATCAGAACTTACTAAACATACCATAGGTCACTGTTTAGTGGCCACTATTTTCACAGGGGTATGTGAAAAATGTAACTCCTTCCCTTTTCTTGCATATCAATTTGAGCTCACTTAGCCAGCCCTCTTTCTGCTAGATAGTAGGAAACTTTATCTAGATAATTCCAGGTGAGCCTAGACATCATCCAATGTTTCACCAAGTGTTTTTTTTTAATTCCCATTTCTCTGTCCTTTTCTTCATGAAATCATCTAAGATTGGCTAGGGGCGGTGGCTCACGCCTGTAATCCCAGCACTTTGGGAGGCCGAGGTGGGCGGATCACGAGGTCAGGAGATCAAGACGATCCTGGCTAACACGGTGAAACCCTGTCTCTACTAAAAATACAAAAAATTAGCTGGGCATGGTGGCAGATGCCTGTAGTCCCAGCCACTCGGGAGTCTGAGGCAGGAGAATGGCATGAACCCGGGAGGTGGAGCTTGCAATGAGTGAAGATTGGGCCACTGTACTCCAGTCTGGGCGACAGAGCAAGACTCCATCTCAAAAAAAAAAAAAAAAAAAAAAAAAAGAAAGCATCTAAGATCTCCAGCTTTGGCAGAACTATCAATCCATGTTGGCACCTGTCCAGATGCCTGTGTTTGCCTGTCTGAGCTCTGCTCCTGGTGACATGGCCTCTCCAGATCTACAGATTGTTTCTTAGCTAGTATCAGGCTCCTTTGCTATTTTACTTGGCACTTTAAGATGGGACTGTGGAAGATTCTCTGGGCTACAGGCCAGCTGGCCAGGCTCCCCTGCAGCCATTCTGTCCCCACTTTACCAGGGAGGTAGGAGAAACTTTGGCAAGGTTGCCACCCTTACAGTCCGGACAGGCAGACTGTACACTTCTTCTACTCTGGGACTCCTCTAAATCTATCTTTCAGTAGAGATCTGCCTGGGGCACCTAAAAGGTGCCCTCCACCTTCTAGGACCTAAGTGTTTTTAGGTAGTTTTGGGGTAGAAGGTGGTGATAAAAAATTCCCATGTTATCACATTTTCCTTCAAATATTACTATGATACAGCTAGACTGTGCTTTCAAAATGAAAATCTGCGAATTTTATGTCTCGTTTGTCCCCTGATTCTGCACACCTTGGGGTTAATGGAAGACTTATATTTAGTTCTGTCAGGTAGTATGAAAAAACATGGTACTGTGAAGAGAAGCAGCTTTTCTTTACAACGTGCATGGTGATTCTTGAGAATTCTGCTGTTGTCTTCATAAATTTCTGGGGTTAGTAATGCCTCCAGGTGTCTTTGCAGGTAAATATGTCTACTAGGTTTCCTTTCAGATGCAGCTTTAATGCTTAGGGCTGGTAAAGCTGGTAAGAACTATTCTTGGAGAATTCCATCTAACAGTTTATCTGTGTCTAGAGTAGTAACAGTTGCTTATGTGAAGAGAACAAAGAATTACAGAAGAGGAATTATGTTAACATTTTACTTCAGAGACAGGTTTAATTTATTTTACTACATGAGCCCCTTTAGATACGGAGCTGATAGTAATTTCTTGCTGAAAGAACTAAAACGACCACTTCATTGGAAACTCATTAAGGAAAATGCCTGTGTATTATAACATCACCTTAGTCCTTACTTGTAGAAGAGCACATAATAGTCCCTTAAATTTTATTGAATGAGTAGAATTTCAGGCTACAATGTACCAACTTGCCCTATAAATTTTGTCAGGTAATGTTGGTATATTTTTCAAACACATTTCTTAGGACTATCAAAAAAAAGCAGAGACAGAAATTAAAGTGGTAAAGGGAAATTTTATTCAGGACTATTGCAATAGGGGAAGAGAGACCCCCATATAGAACTGGGCTTCATTCTAAATACATCAGGGATAAGTAGGGATTTATAGCCAAAGAGCAGGGATCAGAAAATTTTTATGTATTTATTTATTTATTTATTTATTATTATTATACTTTAAGTTTTAGGGTACATGTGCACAATGTGCAGGTTAGTTACATATGTATACAAGTGCCATGCTGGTGCGCTGCACCCACTAACTCATCATCTAGCATTAGGTATATTTCCCAATGCTATCCCTCCCCCCTCCCCCCACCCCACAACAGTCCCCAGAGTGTGATATTCCCCTTCCTGTGTCCATGTGTTCTCATTGTTCAATTCCCACCTATGAGTGAGAATATGCGGTGTTTGGTTTTTTTGTCCTTGCGATAGTTTACTGAGAATGATGATTTCCAATTTCATCCATGTATCTAATTAAACTAAAGAGCTTCTGCACAGCAAAAGAAACTACCATCAGAGTGAACAGGCAACCTACAAAATGGGAGAAAATTTTCGCAACCTACTCATCTGACAAATGGCTAATATCCACAATCTACAATGAACTCAAACAAATTTACAAGAAAAAAACAAACAACCCCATCAAAAAGTGGGTGAAGGACATGAACAGACACTTCTCAAAAGAAGACATTTATGCAGCCAAAAAACACATGAAAAAAATGCTCAGAAAATTTTTAAGAAGAGATACCAAGTCTGGGGGAAATTCTGGCAGAACCAACCTAACAGGATTCCTGCTGAAAACAGGCGAGGGTGATCAGCTAACAGGAGTGGGCAGAGAAAAATTTTGATCAGATACTGAGGGTGATCAGATATCAAGGATGAATAATTCTTGCTAAACTGTGTTGGCCGTATTATTTGCTAAAACTGGGTTTTAGAATGATGTGCACAGACAGGCCCAGGAGAAAGTCCAGAAGCCTGACTAAAGTTTGGCCAAGCAAAGAACTGTTGTTAGAATACAGTCCCACAAGAAGCCAAATGACAAAATAAATATATATATATATAAACAACAGAAGAAGAGCTTCTGGCAAGTAAGTTTGAGAAATAGCTGTATATCACATGCACCTTTGAAAGTGTATTTTAAATAACATTATACCAAAATTTCTTCATTTGTTCTTTCTGTATCTACTCTATTAATATGCTGCTTTATTCTTTTTCTCATTTATTAAACATTAGGATTTAATATACTAACTTCTTTTCTATTATTAATAACTGATCATCATGACACTCATGATTAATTAAATGTTTCATTACATAAGAATGGCATTGGGGCAATATGGAAAAAAGAGGTAGGTTTTATTTATCTATAGATATTTATTTTATTTTATTTTTTTTTGAGTGAAATTCTGCTTTATTTTATAATTAGAAAGGGCCAAGCTTTCTCCTGGTTCAGCAAACCATCTCTGATGAGCAGGTTAGGGGCAGGTTACCAGACTACCCACCATTCCCTTTTGTCAGATGCTCAGACTGCTCAACCGTAAGGGTTGGTCCTGCCTCAGAACCCACTCTGGTCATAGAGATCACAAACTAGGGTCCATCTGTCAGTCCTGACATTTCTCTAGGGGAAGGTGGAAGGAGAGAATTAGAGATGTCTCTAGTTGCAGAATTATGGCCTGCAGTGGGTCAAAGGAACATGACTAAGACCTCACAAAAGACAAGATTCTATCTTGTGGTGAGGGGTGTGGTTGGGGGTAGGAATTAATCAGAGTGAAGCATTCTTGCCTAGAGGTAAAGCTCTCCTTTTTCTTTTCTTTTTTTTTTTTTTTTTGTTTTCTTTCTTTTATTTAATTTATGTGATGAAACCTGGTCAAATTTTGGGCTGAGTTTTTTTTTTTTAGTTGATCATTCTTGGGTGTTTCTGGCAGAGGGGGATTTGGCAGGGTCATAGGACAATAGTGGAGGGAAGGTCAGCAGATAAACAAGTGAACAAAGGTCTCTGGTTTTCCTAGGCAGAGGACCCTGCGGCCTTCCGCAGTGTTTGTGTCCCTGGATACTTGAGATTAGGGAGTGGTGATGACTCTTAACGAGCATGCTGCCTTCAAGCATCTGTTTAACAAAGCACATCTTGCACCGCCCTTAATCCATTTAACCCTGAGTGGACACAGCACATGTTTCAGAGAGCATAGGGCTGGGGGCAAGGTCATAGATCAACAGCATCCCAAGGCAGAAGAATCTTTCTTAGTACAGAACAAAAATGGAGTCTCCCATGTCTACTTCTTTCTACACAGACACAGAAACAATCTGATTTCTCTATCCTTTCCCCACATTTCCCCCTTTTCTATTCCACAAAACCGCCATCGTCATCATGGCCCGTTCTCAATGAGCTGCTGGGTACACCTCCCAGACGGGGTGGCAGCCGGGAAGAGGGGCTCCTCAGTTCCCAGCAGGGGCGGCTGGCCGGGCGGGGGCTGCCCCCCACCTCCCTCCCAGACGGGGCGGCTGCTGGGCAGAGACGCTCCTCACTTCCCAGACAGGGCGGCTGCCGGGCAGAGGGGCTCCTCACTTATCAGACGGGGTGGCTGCCGGGCGGAGGGGCTCCTCACTTCTCAGATTGGGCGGCTGCTGGGCGGAGGGGCTCCTCACTTCTCAGATGAGGTGGCCGGCAGAGATGCTCCTCACCTCCCAGATGGAGTCGTGGCCGGGCAGAGGCGCTCCTCACATCCCAGACGGGGCGGCAGGGCAGAGGCGCTCCCCACATCTCAGACGATGGGCGGCCGGGCAGAGACGCTCCTCGCTTCCTAGACGGGATGGCAGCCGGAAAGAGGCGCTCCTCACTTCCCAGACTGGGCAGCCGGGCAGAGGGTCTCCTCACATCCCAGACGATGGGCGGCCAGGCAGAGACGCTCCTCACTTCCCAGATGGGGCGGCGGCCGGGCAGAGGCTGCAATCTCGACACTTTGGGAGGCTAACGCAGGCGGCTGGGAGGTGGAGGTTGTAGCTAGCCGAGATCACGCCACTGCACTCCAGCCTGGGCAACATTGAGCAATGAGTGAACGAGACTCCGTCTGCAATCCCGGCGCCTCGGGAGGCCGAGGCTGGCAGATCACTCGCGGTTAGGAGCTGGAGACCAGCCCAGCCAACACAGCGAAACCTCGTCTCCACCAAAAAAATATGAAAACCAGTCAGGCGTGGTGGCACGTGCCTGCAATGGCAGGCACTTGGCAGGCTGAGGCAGGAGAATCAGGCAGGGAGGTTGCAGTGAGCCGAGATGGCAGCAGTACAGTCCAGCTTCGGCTCGGCATTAGAGGGAGACCGTGAGGAGAGGGAGACTGTGGGGAGAGGGAGAGGGAGAGGGAGAGCATCTATAGATATTTCAATTGTACTGGCTCTTGATATTTTTAGTAAGAGTTTTCATGTGAGGAAGTACTCAAGTTTGAAAAAACCTCTTTATAAATCCAAAGACTTAGAAGGAGTTTCTAATACATAATACAAATGCCAACAATTAAGCAATTCGAGGAATTTTCTTACTGACCTTCCTATTTATTTAAAATTAATATAAAAATTAGTCTTCCTGATTTCTTCATGGCTGTGCTTGATTGCATAAAGTTGCTTTTACCTGGCCATCTTTTAACATTTTGTTTTTTATTTGGAGTTGCTAAATTAAAGGAAGGAAGCTGTCACAAATTGCTAAAAATAATACATTGAACTATAAATATGAATCATTTAGATTCCAGTATATTTATTTATATACCACCCTTTTTCTGAAATAATTTGAAGAAGCTTATTACTTTATGTACAGAATTTTTTTTATGAAGACCATAATGAGTACAGTGAACACAGCTGTAATTACTATTCCAGCCCTGAAAGCCACTGTGATGAAGTCATGGAATTATGATCTCTTCTAAGCTTATAATTGTGAGCAAACATATGTACAAGTTTATATTACTGCAGTGGGATCCTCAGAAAGAATCACATTCTGGAAACATTTAAGACAAAATAAGCCTTTCTGATCTGCTAATAAAGTAAACAATCTTGATTTAAAAAGAATAAATCATGTGTTAGGGACAAAAATGTGAAGTTCTTTGTGTGAGATCACAGCTCAGTGCTCTCTTCAAAAACAAAAAGTCATGCAGTTGTTTTTATTGTTTAAATATAAATAATTCACGTTCCAAAAATGTCTCCTCAGGCTAACTCAGTATCATTTTAAGGTATTTTTTTTTAAGTTTACACTTGACCTGAATCTTGTCTCTCAAGCAGACAGGACATGTTTTCTAGAATAATTGGCACATTAATAATTAGCCAACCCTGGGGCACAGGGAGGAAAGAAAACATTTCAGGGCTATTAGACACCAAACACCACTTTCAAACGGGGCTGTACCTGGTGAGAAAGGGGGATGGCCATCCAAGTGTCCACACTTGGAGATTCTGCAAAGAGGCTTCCCCTTGCAATGATTCTTTATGCAGCCCATATTTTTCTGTGAGAAGTGGCAAGACAGAAATGAAAGCTGTGAATTGATCTGCCTGCTTAGTAAGCCAAGCTTATAAAAGAAAAAAATTTGCTCAAGTTTCCTGACCTTGTCACCTTGTTTAAGAGACTGAAAGAACCTGACCTTTCCTTCTACCATTTTGTCTGCTTCTGCAACTTGGCATGAATTGTGATTTGGAATAGAGTTAAAATCTCTTTTGGTGTTAGACTTATTCAAGGAAAAATATATCCAAGGATATATAATTCTGAACTTCCAAGAAAAAATCCTAAATGCAGCAAGTAATGCATTTTAAAGGAAACGTGAAAGTATAATTTGTGTTAAATTGTTAAAGGGTTTTAAAACATTAAAATTCATTTATTAAAATAACTTGCATTTTACATGTATTGTAGAAAACCTGAAAACTCTAGAAAAATATAAAGTAAAACAAAAGCATCCATACTTTTGTTATCCAAAAAATGCTATTAATCTTTTAGTGTTTTTCCTAAATATATATAATAACAGGCACTACATTTAAACATAATTTTTATACATTCAATAGTTTTGTCTATGGCCATGATAATCTTAGAATATCCGAAAGAGCCAGCATAATCTGTAAAGTTGCTGAGTGTCTATAATAATATAGAATAAATGACATCAAGAAATATATTGGCTCAGGGGATATCTGCATTATTTAAAACTCCTTCGAACAACCATGTGAATGAGCTTGGAAGCTGATTCCCCCTCAGTCCAGCCTTCAGATGAGGCCTCAGCCTTGGCTAGCTGCTTGACTGTAACCTTATGAAAGACCCCCAAGCTGGAGGCATCCAGCTAAGCCACATCTGGAATTCTCAACACACAGAAACAGTGACATAATGTTTGTCATTTTCAACCACTGAGCTTTGAAATAATTTGTTATGGAACAATAGGTAATTAGGTTATAGCATACAATAATTAAATGGACTTTGGTCATTACACAAGCTATGCCACTCAGTTTACTACAATGTTCATCAAATCACTTAACTTCTCTGGTTTGTAGTTTGCTTACTTGTGGGATTTGGCCAGATTAGTGCTTCTCAGTCTTCAGTCATTTATTTATTAATATTTTCTATACCTACTTGCAAATTGTAGTGTTATTTACTGAATTCTTCAAGTTTTATTATGATGCAAAAATTACTTGAAGCTAATTGGGCCATTCAGCAAACATGTCTTCAGTAAATATTGGTAGTCTTCCAGTAGTTATATGTTGGTGAAGGATATTTTCCTCTTTCTGACAACTTGTTTTTATCAGATGATATATTACAGTGAGTGAAAGTCTCAGACTAAATTCTGTCAAATGTATGAACATTTACTGTATTTCACCAAAACTAAGATATCATCTACTTCAAGATACACCATAATATTATGGAACAGCAAGGGTGAAAGAAACACTGCAAATCATAATTAGAAAATGTAAGACATATCCAATTCCAGATATGTTAAAATGTGAGAAAAAAGTGTGTGCTTTAAGATTAAAGAAATAAGATATTAGCAACTAAGCACCAAAATATGTCATCATCCATTCTATTCAGTACTTTTGAAGTTACACTTTTGACCTAAGGACACGAGCCCTAGCAAGAAAGTTTACTCCAAGAGGGGTATCCCACAGTTCTGATGCCAGAAACAGCCGTCTTTGTAATGAGATCAGGCTATAATGTTCTCCATGCAATGGAAGAATGGGGGAAGAATTGGCTCTCATCTTAAGTGCTCCTGATCTTGTGTGCTACACTTGGCTTCTCAGGGTTTATGCAAGGGTGGTGGAGTCTTCACAGTATTCCCAACTCACCTATTTTAAAGAACACACATTTAAGCCAATAAAGATTATTTCTAACATACCTTATGCTAATTAGCAAAGCCTTTGGTACAGCTTTGATTATGGACATGCTATCTTTTAAGTGTAGTTCTCCTTAGATGTTGAGTCCTGATTAGTACTTCAAATATTAATTAATCATTCCTGATATATAGATTAGAAACAAGTACTTCAAAATACACATCCTGCTGTTTATAATGAAGCATTTTAAACTAAATGATCACATCTAGTATAAAAACACTTATTTTTTCCAAAGTACACTTATATAGTTAGGAAACTACAAGTTACTACTGTAAATGGGAAGTGAGCAATAGTGCTATAAATATAATAGAAGCCACCTGTAAAAAGGAACACATACATCAAAACAATGCTTGGTGCCATTGCCTAGTTAAGGTTCTAAACTTGAGGCCAGCTCTCCCTTTGTTAAAGAAGGTAAGTAATTGAGATTTGTTTCCTTGAATTAATCAGAGGAAAAAAAAACAAGGCAGTCATTTTCTTGTAATGTTACTCCAAATTATTTAATGCTCTGTAAGTGTACCACCAGGGTCTGGGTCCTGTACTTTGTGAAAAACTAGATTACATGATTTCAAAGTCTCTGACAGGTCTAATATTTTTTGAGATACAATTTTTCTTGTGCTTCTTTTGTAAAGCTGTGGGTGGAAATGCATGTCATTTCAGAAAATAGTGCATAGGTCATTGGCATCTTACACAGATTTGTTGCTGTGAATCCTTGAACCAGGAAAGTATTTATTTTTCTAATTAGCTCATTAATAAATGAGAACATTATAAACAATTGTGTATTTTTTCCTCATGGTGCTCATATTATGCACTTATAATATGAAAGACTTTTAGGCAATATTAAAATGTAGACTCAAGCCTTCTTGTTTTAGAATCAGTAACAACAATACAACAACAAATAACTTATTTGTCTGACAGGCACCAGGCTTTAATAAGCATTTTCCACCCCCGCATTCTACCTGCCAGTGATGATACTGCAGCATCTGCTATGATTTGATTTTTGGTACCACTTTGTCTTTATTTCTGGATATAGAGCTTACATTCTTCATTGGATAAGTACTTCCAAGTGGACCTTACATAGCAATCACAATGTCAGATAAGCTAAAAAAGCCTGTTCTGATAACCAATAGTTTGGTTTTCTATCATCTTGGAAACATTCTTTGGCAGGGTATCTGCATTCTTTTTGACTTATTGCAGAAGAGAACCATTCTCTAAGTAACTCTTACAGGAAAATGAGAAAAAATGTTTTATGACTTCCAAGAGTGAAGTAAGTTCTGGAATCAGTCACCTGTGAACAAATGTTAGCCATACATTTCTAATAGTGGGATAGGGAGTTCAGGGACAAATGCTTGACCATTTCTTATGTTTTTCCTCATTTGTTTTAAAGCTTATCCTCAACGACACGTTTTATTAGCCTGACTAAAAGTTTGAGAGGGATACCTATTTTAATTCTTTTTTAAAATTGTCTAGCAGTCTAGCTGAATTTCTTTTATACAGTTTGACCAAGAACTAAGAAGCCCAAGTATCAGTATCTCTATTACAGAGTTTATCAATTGGTGTCTCCTGCCAAAAATTCTGATCTCCAATAGTCTTATATTTTATTTTAATATTAACTTCAATATTTCAGTTAACTTGAAAACTTCTGATATTTAATATCAAAACTAGTTTTTTTGCTTATCTTAAATATTATAGTAATCATCCCACAAGTGGTTTTTTCTAGTACCCTAACAACATTAATAACTAAAAGTGTGTTGTATTATAGACAAGATTTAAAAGCACAATTACAACTGAAAGTAAATTAGCAATTACTTGTTGAAAGTGTCTTTAATGCTGTTCTGACTCCCTAGTAGCACTTATTCACTTCTTTTTATTGATTTTCTATGCTTCCAAACTTTGCTTCCATTTATCAATATTTAAATATGCTATGTCTCACTCTCATGGGGGCTAATGTTGTAGTTTAACCATCTGCAAGGTATTTCTTATTGACAGCTAACAGCTACTATTTTCCTCAAAGGCAACAATGCTAATTAACAACTGTCTTTTATCCAATCCAGAGCAGTGACTGACAGTGACAGTTTTGGCACTGAGGCAGGAAAGTGAAAAAAAGATTTTTGTTATAATTTGTATTTTTTTTTTGGTATGCGTCAAACCACACCATGCAGATAGCTATGTATGGCATAGATTTCTATCTAAAGGAGAGTATAATTTTCATATAGTTATGCTTTTGGTTCACTCTGCTAACAAAGCTTTTCCTTTCAAAAGAATAGGTTTCTCACTGAGGTATGGACATGCCAAGTCCGAAATTTAAAATCTAAAACATTCTGTATTATCTGAGAACAAATAAAGCTTTGGAAAAATTTATCTGATGCAAAATTACTAGACTGTTTTTTTCATGGTGCCCAAATATATTTTTCTTTAAACATTTATCAACTAATCATTTTGTAGTTTTAGAAAAATCAACATTTATTTAGAAGAACATATAGGCTATTAAAACCAGTCATGACAGGAATGATAATCTTGGAAGGTGATATGCATATCCATTCCAGTGGTTTTAATGCTGCCACAAATGTTTGATTTTTATTTATTTATTTATTTATTTTTTATTTAAGTTATAGGGTACATGTGCACAACATGCAGGTTTGTTACATATGTATACATGTGCCACGTTGGTGTGCTGCACCCATTAACTCGTCATTTACATTAGGTATATCTCCTAATGCTTTCCCTCCCCCCTCCCCCTACCCCACGACAGGCCCCGGTGTGTGATGTTCCCCTTCCTGTGTCCAAGTGTTCTCATTGTTCAATTCCAACCTATGAGTGAGAATATGCGGTGTTTGGTTTTTTGTCCTTGCAATAATTTGCTGAGAATGATGGTTTCCAGCTTCATCCATGTCCCTACAAAGGACATGAACTCATCCTTTTTTATAGCTGCAAAGTATTCCATGGTGTATATGTGCCACATTTTCTTAATCCAGTCTATCATTGATGGACATTTGGGCTGGTTTCAAGTCTTTGCTATTGTGAATAGTGCTGCAATAAACATATGTGTGCATGTGCCTTTATAGCAGCATGATTTATAATCCTTTGGGTATATACCCAGTAATGGGATGGCTGGGTCAAATGGTATTTCTAGTTCTAGATCCTTGAGGAATTGCCACACTGACTTCCACAATGGTTGAAGTAGTTTACAGTCCCACCAGCAGTGTAAAAGTGTTCCTATTTCTCCACATCCTCTCCAGCACCTGTTGTTTCCTGACTTTTTAATGATCGCCATTCTAACTAATTAAATGAAACAGCTTCTGCACAGCAAAAGAAACTACCATCAGAGTGAACAGGCAACCTACAGAATGGGAGAAAATTTTTGCAATCTACTCATCTGACAAAGGGCTAATATCCAGAATCAACAAAGAACTCAAACAAATTTACAAGAATAAAACAAACAACCCCATCAAAAAGTGGGCAAAGGATATGAACAGACACTTCTCAAAAGAAGACATGTATGCGTCCAACAGACACATGAAAACATGCTCATCATCACTGGCCATCAGAGAAATGCAAATCAAAACCACAGTGAGATACCATTTCACAAATGTTTGATTTTTGCAATCCATGTGATTTGTTTAGCTCACATTTTTTCTTGATTCTTACATTGAGAAATGCAACGGGTAAACATTGAAACCTGTACAAATGGTACCAGCTTGACAACTGCATGGTTTTATATGCAAAAACAATGGATTGTTGGGTATTTATAGATTGCATTCCAGGTATGCAGTTACATTTATTAATGCACAGTATTTGTGTTTTTAACTAAATGTTTTAAGTGGTTTTTAACTTTTATTTCACTTGTCCAGTGACTTCTGTTGGTTTTGAAGTATAACCAATGAATGTATTCAGGATGGAGGGGCCTTACTGAGGGTTAGAACAGATGCTGTAAAGATCTAGTTAGCAACATGGATCCTACAGTCAAGCAACCTAACTCTGTCTCCACTATTCTCTTATGAGAGTCATTTGACTTCAGCAGGCTTAGCTTATAAACTGGGATTATAAAAGACCTGACTGTGATAATCAGATACGTAAAGCAAATAACACTGTGTCTGGCATATAGAAGGTGCACAACTAATGCTAAGTTTTACATAGTTTTTAATCTTAGGGAATTAAATTGTCCAGGAGATGTTCAGGATTGGAGGGATGGTGGTTAGTATAGTGCTAGATAAAATTAATGGTAATAATTTGTTGTATTGACATGAATTCTGTATATATTTTCTTAGGCCGATTTACTCTTTCAGAAATGTTTTATTATTTTAGCAAGACCGGATTAAGGTATAGTGATGCAGTGGAAAGAGCACTGGGCCTTAGAATAAGGGGATTTCCTTTCTAGCCTTGGCTTTGCCATTTATTTTCTGGAAATGAGAGTGGCCCAGTGAAAGGTCCATGGGGACATTTGACATAGGATGGGACAACTGACCTAGTGAGCTTATCTGTTTACCTCTCTTTTTCACCTCTGTTGGTCTGTATCTTTCAGTGTCAGAAAAATACAGGTATAACTCTGCAACAAGGGACATTTAATTAGCAAGCCTCCCTTGTTAGAACCTCGCTAAATTAATTATTGATCTTGTTTTAGTATAGATTCTTCCCTGTTGCCATGCCACAATAATTGCAGCAAAGTTGTGGTTAGCTGGCTCTCGGACACTTTGGAACTGCTCTCCAGCTTTTAAAGTTGAATAAATGACATATAAGAGCTTTCCACTCTCCTTAAGTTCCACTGTATTTTTACTCAGACACAACAGTGGCCATTTGGGGCCAGAGAGCCACAAATGCTCCTGAAATTATACGGTTCTCCAAAAGCAAAATAAAACAAAATTTTAAAATTAGCAAACCGTCTTCTTCCACCCACCCCCCAAACAATTCTGAAAGCCATGTTAAAATGTACCCTGTAAGCCTTCCTATAAGCCTTAGTTCTTCAGTTGCCTTCCTTCAGGCAAGAGAGGTGTCCCACATGGGGTCTGAGCTTTAACACCACAGATTCCATGAAACCTGTTCTTTGATTATCTCCTCTTTAAGGAATGGGAATATGATGTTGGATTCAGGGTACCTGTCTCACTCTTATTGCCACATCTCAAACACTTTCTTCATTTGAGTGACTCCCAGAGGCAGTCCTTTAAATCTTGATGCATTATATGCCAGCCTCCCTGGGCCTTATGGGGGTCCCAATTCACATCTGGTTATCTTTGACCTTTATCTTGGAATTCTTCCTTCTTTTTAATTCATCCCACACTTCTTAAAATGTTAAACGGCTAATGTTGTATGTTTCATGAAAACATTCTAATGGGACTGATGATATTCACCTATTATTGGAGAATGTGTCATTTTTGTCAGTGACCTTTTTAGGAGAGTGCCAGTGTGTTTGCTTTCTTTCTTTTTTTTTTTTGTATTTTGCAATCCCGTGGTATTAATTTTTAAGTTTTAAATTGAAGTACATTATACAAACCTACAAGAAGGGTACAGCTTAATAAGGAAGATCACATCCATGTAATCGCTACCCTGATCAAGAGGTTGGCCACCTCTTTTATCAATTATCCACTTTTGACCAGAAATATAGTTAGAGTCTCACCTGGTTGAACAACTGAATCCAAATTATCTTGAATAATGAGAATTTCTAGTGTTGTAACTTGAGGCTTTGCCCATGGCTTTGTTTTATTAAACATGTTTATTGATGACTTAGATAAGGCCATGGAAGGCAAGCTTATCAAACTTACGATTGAGGCAGAGGGAAAAAGGAAGTCTCCCTTTGCTTTCTAATTGCAGAGATTGTCCTCTTCTCCCTCCACTTCACTATTATTCTTCTTTTTAGTTCAGGAAGTGGGGAGGCAGAGAAAATGAGAGATAATATTTCTTCTAATGGCATTTTAGGGATAGTCAACTATTTGCCTATTAAAAGCTCGTTCTTCTTAACAGTCATTTTGTGTCTTTTACTCTTTTGTATGATTATAAGATTCTTTGTGAGGATGAGCCAGTTTTATAAAGATTCCCAGGGGGTACAGCATTGGCGATTCATTCTAAGAGAAAATAAATGAAATTGACTTGGGAGAGTATTACATTTTTTCCTAATTTGAGAAAACTCCCAGAAGCAGTTCTGTTTCCTAATACCTGGATTCCACATTTATGGTAAATTTAGCATCTTTCTGGCCCTGCTTGTCCTTATTCCCCTGCTTTTAATGTCTCCCATGCAGATGACACTCCCAAATAGATGTTCTGGGTCTGCACTGAAATTTCTACCTAGCAGCTCTTGGCTGCTGCAGTTGCTTGTTTCTCAGCAAAAGTTTCTCCCGGAGTAGAGGAAGGCTGTATTCCATCACCTGGGAAGGTCTTTTCATCACCTTTGCTCTTGTTATTTTTTGTTCAGTTCCAAAATAATTTATTTCTGTTGCTGCCACCACTCTGACTACCTCCGATATCAGAGAAAAGGACCCATGTCTTCTAGAAGACATAAGATTTTATTTCTCTTGATATGCAGAAATCAGAGACCATATGTTATTAATTTTTAAATTCCAATTCCACTAATAGTAATTAATACATGGTGAATAAATAAATAGAAGTCCCAATGTTGCTGAATACACATTTTAGACACTATCCAATTCTCTAATAAATAAGAAGAAATAAGACTTTTACTAATTCATTCATTTCTTTTTATGTTCATTTTATAAATTCCACTTATAGTTATCTTCACTAATAGATGAGAATAGAAACCATAAATTCATTAATATGCAACTGACCAGCCCATTTCACTTGGAATGCATTTTGAGTTTACAGGCAGATTCATATATATCTAAAGCCTAAGCACTACTAATAAATTAAAAAGCCAGGATATCTACCAATTTAGGAGGAACTGGGAATATGTCCAGTTTTTTTCTTCTATTTTTCTTTCTCTCTCTCTCTGCACACTATACATGGGCATCTTGGTCAGTCTTATTCTAAAGCAAAGAATGAGCAGAAGTGCCCTCTCAGACCTTTCCTGGAAAAATAGTCATTTAAATGTCTGGAGTTAAAGGCCTTCTTTGTATAGTATACAGAAAGTAATTAGACTCAAAACCCTTTAGACAATCAATGCAGGTATTAAATGCATTACATATCAGGAGTATTAGGGAGATAAAAATAGAGCCAAATCTTATGATGGAGGAGGCCAACAATCTCCCATAGAAAAAAACTACATGCCAGACAGTAGATTTTTTTGCCAAGACAGTCTCCTATGTGGCACAGACTATGAAAGCTATGGTCCTTCAGAGGAAGTATAGGTAATTTAACCAGGGAGTAAAGATGAGTGACTAGTGGATGGGGAACCACTGAAATTAAAAAAATATATATTTATAAGACAACTAGAGAGCTACTGTCAGAGAAACCAGCTAGAAAGTACATTCAGTAAGAGAAAAATGTGTGGTAAAAAGCCCTTGAATAGACTCATAATCAGGGCTGGCTTCATGGGCCTGAGACCTATGGAGTCACACAAGATTCCACACTAGAAGGGCCCCATACTTCATTTAATACTCTGCTGTAGCTATCTTTAAATTCTGAATAATTTCTAAATAGAAAACTCAACATTTTCATTTTATACTGGGCCCTACAAATTAAGTAGCTTGTTCTGCTGGTCATATGGAAATTAATGAAGGTGACATGAAACAAGAGCATGAGAAAGGATGAAGGGTTGTGGCTGTATGACCAGAGAGTAAAAATCTATAGGGTGGTAAATTAGAATTCCCACATTACAGACAATTCAGGAAGAATAGGATTGAGGACTACTCTGAGCAGGCAATCTTTTTGGAACTATTGTGTTGGAGTATTGAAGGCCAGAGGCATGTAACAGGGTCCAAATATGCATGAAAAAAAATGGCGAAGACCAAGTCTCAAGTTAGAAGCTAGTTAGCCTAGGAAGGCATGCATTCCAGGTATTGGGACAGAGAAAAATGGGCAGCCTAAAATCAAGTCACAGGACAAGTGGTTTGTAAGAGGAGAAGAAAGAAAGAAGGCTGAAGAGGCCTCAGCAATGGGCATAATGCCAAGCCTAGTGACTGCGGTCATTGTGTTTCACAGAAATTTGTAAGAAAATCTACCTTTTGTGGAAAGATGATGAACAGTTTTTAGTTTGCATGGTGGTGGTGTTCAAGCAAAAAATGTCCAAGATGTAATTGGAGAAAAGAATATGGAGCTGCTAGAAGAGCTCAGGCACAGAGACAGATTTAACAGTGAGAGCTAACATTTGTTGGAGGCTCACCTTGCACCACACACCATGTCGCATTCTTCTCTTGTGGTAGAAAAAACACCAGATGGTATATAACATCCTTTCAGAGGAAAAGGTAATGTCTTATAAGAGGAGAAGGGCTTGTGAAAGCTAGACTTACAAGAAACCTTGTTATTAAAATTTGGGTCTATATTTAAGCCCCTTCCTTCACTCACTCAAAAAATACTTACTCAAGATATTACTACTCTTGTGTTTAAGATGTTCATTTTAGCTATTGCTTTTTATGTGTGAGAGTTGAGATATCAAGATGACAGAGAAACAAGATACAGTGAGGTTGCCATTATAAACTTTAGAAATAAATAAAAGAAATTAGCCCCATAAGTTTCAGAAACTCAAATTAAGCTTAATGACAGATAGATTAGTCAAGGTATACTAGGGGGTAGTAGATATTTTTCATTTCTGCACAATCAAAAATGTTGAACATCTTCCCTATGTGCTAGTAATGTATGAGGTCCAAATTCTTAAGGTAGAAAACCAGAAAATTAGAAATTTCAGCCTCTGGTAAGCTAGGAGTGACCATGTGCTCTGGTGGGAGTCCCTGGGAAGACCCATTCTCTCAAATAAAATTTCAAAAAGAGAAGGGTTTTACACTTTGCCCTTTAGCTATTCTTTATTCTGTTCTGCCTGAAAATCAGATATATTGCCTTTCAGGGTCTCACCAAACCTAAGAGGTGCAACATTCTCTTTATTATGACAAATGCTCTTCTATGCTAAGTGTGGTAGAACAGGGAAGATGGAGGTAACTTAGGTCCTAGATGGCATCCTTACTTCAGCTCTGGACATCACGGAATTTGAAAAAAAGAAAAAGCAAACAAACAAACAAAAAATGAAGCTGCTGTTGTTTGAGTTTTCTGTTCTTTGTATCCCAATGAATAATTTCTGGTTAATCAATGGGGCATATCACAGAATCTGAGGGCAATTATGTGATTAGTTCTCAAGAGCATCCAGGACTCCAGTGAAATCAGGACTCTGTCTCTCCATTTCCACTTTTCTTTCTACTTTGGCTTCATTCTTTAGTTGCAGTAGAGTAGCTTTTGTGGTTGAAAACATGGCAACTCACACCTCCCAGTTTTATGTATTAGAGCTCCTGCCACCAGATGACTTCTTTGATTTCAGGTCTCCAAATCCAGAAAAATGGTTTCCTTGTCATGGCTTAGGTCAGATTTCATTTCAGTATCAATCAATTTTGGCCAGAAGGTTGAAGTCTTTTAAGAATTTAATCATTCCCAGAAAAAGTATATATAGATGGAGAAAGGGCTGAGGAAGCTCTCAAAAGAAGGCATTGGAACTAGGGGCATTCTGGGTACATAAAACAATAGCCCTCAATTATGATTTGTATTACACAGGAGCAAACTGTATTGTGAGTCTGATTGCCCACTATGAACTACACATTTTACACAGTTAAGAGAAAGAGTAATCCTCTCATCTTTTTTTTTAATTTTTAATTTTTGTGGCTTATTTTTAGTACCCAGCCTTAATAGAGTTGAGCAAAATAGAGATTACGTTTCCATGACATAATAAATTTTGGTAATTTCAGAAAGCAAAAAATACTGGAATCTTTTCAATCCAAGTCGATTGGATACATAGCAGTTCAATTTGAACACAGCAGTTCAATTTATTTGTTAACAAATTCTGCAGTGTCTTCCTGTAAGAATCTGTAAAAATCCTCATCAGCATTTGAAGATGCACCCCCTCACTTTTGTAATTGGTTAACAGAAGCTTCTATCTTTTCACATCCCTTTAGTGATCTCACTGTTTACTCTTCAAGCTGTATAGTGGCAGCTGTTTATATGCTTGCATACACATGGTTTATTGGAATGTTCTCTTCAAATTGAAATTATTTATGTTTCAAAATTTATATACACATACTATCTATGAAAAATCCTGCACAATTGTGTATTTTTTTTGCTGTGGATACTGCATAAATAAAATTTAAAATAAGAAAGATGTTTCTCTTCTTTACATTATTACTCTATCTAAGCCTACTGATATTAGTTAAACATTGTTATTTTCTGGCAACGATGTCTTTGATGTGTGACACATTCTTGCTGGAATCCAGCCTGTGGCTGATTGTATTTTCTAGAAAGGGCTGCACTAATACATAGCCCATCCCACCCACATGCTCTTCTTGCAATGTGACAACAATAAATGACATTGTCTAACCTATGTTGGGAATGATAGTCTCTGTCTTTGAATCTGGTTGGAGTTTTGTAAATGCTTGGACCAATAGAATGTGACAGAAATAATGCTGTGTGCCTTCTGAGACTACATCATAAAAGATGATGTGGCTTCTTCCTTGGTCTTTCTTGGGATGTTTACCTTTGGGATCTGGCTACTAATTTGTGGGGAAGGCTAGGCAACATGGAGCGGCCATGTATAGCTCTTCCAGGCTACAGCTGCAGCTAAATTCTCAGCTGACAGCCAACATCATGTGTCGGACATGTGAGTAAATGATCTCATTTTATTCCAGACCTCAGCCTTCAAGTTTTCTAGCTGAGGCTAGGTTATTTCGTGCCACTTGCTCTGGGGGTATTTTTTTTTTCTCTTAATACAACCATAATAATGGAACAGAGTCCATTCTGTTTCTGAAAGACACTTAAGTGTAAAAATAGTAAAAATAAATTATCTCTTTCTAATAACATTACATCCTATATAAAATAGAAAGCCTTTATTCAGATTACAATGAGCTATTCTAAAGGGGAATGTTTAGATATAGCTTTGGCTTGCTAACTATTAAATTATAAAAAATTATCTCAGCGATCATTTTCTATGCATTTAGCATGTCAGAGTTCAAATAATCTAAGAAAAATACATAGGAGAAACAAGACCTGAGGAGATGTTCCTGTGATGGAACACTGAAACAGGATACTGATGGAGACAGGGTTCTCTAAAATTATTTGAAAATAAACCAGGTTTAATATCCTGCATAGAAAAAAGAGCCATAAAATATGGCTTCTATCACTGTACTACACTGTGTTTTTTAATTTTTTAGAAGAGTTATTTAAATTGCTAATTTAAGACTTTAAAATTTATAAAATTTTAAATTTTATTTGTGAGGTGTTTAGTTTGCTTTCTGAAGAATTTCTTAATTAGCATGTCATGCTATGTAGGACACTTTAGTATCCCTGAGACTGAAGCAGATTTTCACATTTGGATTCTTATCTAGCCATAATTTTTTGGATTGTTTTCATATTAAGCTTTACATTTTCGAATATTTGTTGCTGCATATGTCAAATAATTAGAGTCTTTTACTACCTTTGAGACTCTAATACAAATGAAGAATCTAAACAAGCAATTAAACAATAGCAGGATATTCAGCTGGAAACAATTAAGTACTGCCGATTAGAAGCTCAATCCTCTAGAATAAACTCTTACACTAAGAGCAAAGTTTATAGCCACTCTACAATTTATTTAACACTTCCCATCTCCTTCATTTATAAACCACATATGTATATTTTCTTTCTTTCTTTTTTGAGACTGTCTCACTCTGTAGCTCAAGCTGGAGGGCAGTGGTGTGATCACGGCTCGCTTCAGGCTCAACCTCCCAGGCTCCTGATCCTCCTGCTTCAGCCTCTTGAGTAGCTGTGACTACAAGTGTGCACCACCATGCCTGCCTAATTTTTTATTGTTATTTTTGTAGAGACAGGGTCTTGCTATGTTGCCCAGGTTGATCTCGAACTCCTGGGCTCAAGCAATCCTCCTGCCTCAGCCTCTCAAAGTGCTGGGATTACCTGCATGAGTCACTGTGCCCAGCCCCATATATTTTCTTGGTAAATGTGCAATACTCAGGTTTCCTTTCTGTCTATCAGCCACTGGATGCTTGATTTAGTTATACAGAGAATTGCACTGGCAAGCTGTTCAAAACCTCTTCTTAACTTTTTTAAAGCAAAGGCAAACAGAAAAAGTAGGCGAGACAAGGGGAAAAAGAAAAAAAATCTCTCAGGAAAACTTCTGAAGGTAAAAACCACTCTGGGTCACAGGCTTTGGTCACAACAGCTCAGTTAGGGACTTGTTCTTTCTTTCTATCCCTTCACACACCAGGGGCAACATTCTTCCTGGGACTTACTATGCGCCACAAGAAACTCATTATTCGCCTTCACCAAAATTTAAACTCTTCCCCTTTCTGCATTTCCTGCTTCAATTATAACTCAACCTACTAATCAAATGGCCAAACTAGGGATAATCTTAGGCCCTTCCTTTTTCTCCACTATCAATCTAATTTCTTTCCAAATCCTGCTGACCTATCTCTGTAATCGTTTATCAAATCTGCTTCTTCCCATCTCTGCTTGCCACTGCCCTAGCCTGATCTAGATACTTGTAGCATTTGATTGGCTATGTTACTGGTCCTGCTCTCTTAGATATGTCTCTACTCTGACATCAGAGGAATGTATATAAAATGCAAATCAGATGCTGTCAACCCACTGCTTAAAAATCATTCAAAGCATTCCATTGCCTACAAGATAAAGTAAAATCTATTTACGTGACATGCTGGAATTTCTGTAGCCCTGTTTGTCTCTCTGTGTCCATCTTTTAAGTATCCTTTTGGCTCTTCTTTTTCCTTTTCTTAACTTAGTATCCTACATGGATGCTGAATTTCCTGTGACTCCCTCAAGCACCTTGAGTTTTCTGTCTTTGTGCATTTCTTTGTTTTCATTCCAGCTCAGGCAACACCTGTTTCAGGAATGCTTCACTTCTATTCTCTGCCAAAATTTTCACTGACCATTTCTTTCATAGTGCTTACTTTATTATAATGATATTTTGTATTCTTTATATTTTGTTTAGATGTTGTCTTCCTGATTAGGAATGTCCTTAATTTTTGGAGCCATGACAAATATTTTTAAATGATGCCATGGCTTTGTTTGTATTGTGATTTACATAAGATTTCTCATTTACATAGTTATCAATGATGTAACTAAATCCATGCTGATATGCTTTATAAACAACCTGTTAGAATCCATCATGACTCAAACCAAAGTTGAGCCCAATTTCATGGAATTTTCTTCACCTTTTTTATAGGAAACTTTTGTCTCCCTTTCTTATTTCTGTGAGAACCATGGCAAATTGTAAATCTTTATACAATCAGTACAAATACTACACAGTCCATAACTATTTGTTGACCTGAAGTAAACCAGATTAATAAAGCATACACTCTGGATTGAATAATCATAAAGTCCTTAACCAAACTCATTTCCTGAGCCTGGTTATTAGAATCTAAGCATCCAATAAAGGCTTGCTTCATCTAACTGAACAGGCATAGATTAATTCTTTATTTCTTAAAAATAAACAAAAATGCATTTTATTTTTAGCAAGATAGTTTTCACCAATTGGGCTAGAACAATTTTTGAAAGTGAAGATAAGAACTTCAAAGCCCCCACAGCCTCTACCATCTGCATTAGTTTCCTATTGCTGTTGTAACAGCTAAACATTTAGTAGCTTAAAACTCCACAGATTTATTATCATATAGTTCTGGAGGTCAGAAGTCTGAAATGGGTCCACAGGGCTACATTTCTTCTGGAGGCTGTAAGGGAGAATTGCTTCTTGACTTTTCTAGCTTCTGGCTGCTGCCTTACTCTTTGGCTTGTGGACAGGGAGATGCATCCTCACATCTATTCTGATTCTGACTTTCCCAACTCCCTCTTTTCTCTATTAGGGACCCTTGTGATTATGTTTGGCTCACCTAGATAATGCAGTAATCCTCCTATCTTGTTATCTTTAACTGAATCACATCAGCAAAACGTCTCCTTTGCCATATAAAGTAACATATTCACAGGTTCTGGGGATTGGATTTCTTTGGGAAGCCATTATTCTACCTACCATACCATCCATTTATATTGCTATGCATGACATCTTTTGTTTTTCAACTGAGAAACAACTGTACATATGGGTTTGGATGAGAAACTGAGCGATTGAGAAAAAGTATAGGAAATGGAGTAGATTATTGTATTCCATTAAACCCAGAGGGTATTTAAGCTCCTAAATTTGGGAAAGAATGGTCCTTAACTGGAGGATATTAATTGTTGTTGATTTGTTTTGAAACTGGGTAATTTATAAAAAATGAAATTTATTTCTTACAGTTCTGGAATCTGGGAAGTCCAAGGTTGAGAGCGTTTATCTGGCAAGAGCTTTCTTGTTGGTGGGGATCCTCTGCAGAATCCTGAGGCAGCACAGGACATTACATGGTGAGGTGGGGCTAGATGTGCTAGCTCAGATCCTTCTTTCTCTTCTTATAAAGCCACCAATCCTATTTCCATGATAAATTTTAAACGAGTTTGAAGGGGACAAGTATTCAAATCATAGCATTCTGTCCCTGCCCCACCCCCAAGCCTATGCCCTGCTCACATGCCACTCAGAATTATTCCAGTGAGGGCTCTCTGCAGTGGCTTCCTCCTGAAACAAGTCTCTGCCTGGGCCACTAGGAGTTCAACAACATCCTTTGAAATCTGGATGGAGCTGCCAAATCTTCACAGCTCTTTCTTTCTGCAAGCTTGCAGAATTAGCACCACATGGATGTTACCAAGGTTTACAATTTATACCTTCTGAAGCTGAAGCATAAGGCATACATGGGACTTATTTAGCCACAGCTGGGGTAGCTGTGAAGCACTGCACTGTGGTACAGGATTAGAATCCCAAGGTGGCCCTGGGCAGTGATCTCATGGAGAATGTGATGTCCAGTCTCTGGAAATTATTTTGCTCTCCTAGGCCTCTTGACCTGTGATGAAAGGGGCAACCTCAAAGTTTTCTGAAATGTCTTTGAGGTCTTTCTCCCATTGTCTTGAGGTAGAGCACCTAGCTCCCTTCTATTCATGCTAATCTCTTTGGCAAATGGTTGCTGGGCTTGGTTTCTTCTCCTGAACATACTTCTCTATACTTTAAGTGTCAGACTGAGAGTTTTCCAAAGAATTCTACTCTTTTTCCTTTTGGATTATAAATTCGGTCCTTAAATTATTCTTTTGCTCCCAAATCTCAGCACAAGTGGTGAAAAGTAACCAGGAAGCTTCTGTATTTTCCTTAGAAATTTCTTCCGCCAGATACCCTAGTTTATCATTCTCAAGTTTGGCTTTCCACAAAACCTTCAGGCATGGAAACAACTCAGCCAAGTTCTTTGACAGTTTATAACAAGGATGGCCTTTACCCCAGATTACAATACGTTGTTCCTCAGTTCCATCAAAGACCTCATCAGAATGGCCTCTACTGTACATATTTCTATCAGAATTCTGGTCATGACCACTTAACCAAGCTTAAGGTGTTCCAGACTTTCACTAATCTTCTTGTCTTCTATGTTCTCACCAGAATCTGTTTTTTTTTTTTTTTCTAGCCTGATCCTTTAAATTCTTCTAGCCTCTCTCCATTGCCCAGTTCCAAAGCTGCTTCCACATTTTCAGATATTCATTCTTGGCAACATCCACTTCTGATACTAATCTTCTGTCTTAGTTTGTTCATCGTTGCTTATAACAGAATACTTGAAACTGAATAGTTTATAAGAAGTGAAATTTATTTATTGTAGTTCTGAAGGCTGGGAAGTCCAAGGTTGAGGGGGTGCATCTGATAAGAGCCTTCTTGCTGGTGGAGACCTGCTGTAGAGTCCCAAAGTAGCATAGAGTATCACATGGTGAGGGGGCTTAGTGTGCTATCTCAGGTCTCTCTTACACTTTTTATAAAGCCACCAGTCCCACTTCTAGGATAAATTTCAAAATGAGTTTTGGAGGACACATATTAAAGTCATAGCACTTGCCTATGAGGTCATGAAAGGTCTGAAATCATCCTGCCTCTCCAGCCTCATCTTGTGTCCCTTCCCTCTTGATTTTCAAGCTCTATTAACTACACTGTCTCTGTTCACAGAGATTTATATATCAAGTATCGTTTTTCTGGAGTGCTTTTCATTTTATAATTCAGCTCATTAACTCCTTCTGATATATCACATGGTTCATTGATACTTTGTTTTGACACATTTCAATTTGAAATGTTATGCTCACTTGTTGTAACTACTTTTTAACACGTGTTCATTTAAAGAAAGAATAACACAAGAGTCCCACTATAGAAACTTCTATTTAGTATTGTACTGGAGATTCTAGGAGAAATTTTTCTATAAGGATTAAAAACTCCAAACTCATGTTGAAATTTATCATAGGAGTGGGACTGGTGGCTTTATAAAAAGAGGAATAGAGATCTGAGCTAGCACACTCAGCCCCTTCACCAATGTGATGCCCTAGGGCTACCATGGGACTCTGTAGAGGGTTCTCACCAGAAAGAAGGCTCTTACCAGATTCAGCCTCTTCACCTTGGACTTTCCAGCTTCCAGAACTAAAACAACAACAACAACAACAACAACAACGAAACCTATGGAAAACCCAAGAGAATTATCAGACGAACTACTGCAATTAATTAGAAAGTTTAGCAAGGTTGTGAGAAATAAAATCAATACATAAAAGCAAATTGCACTTTATGTGCAGTTAGATAATTCAATTTTAAAAGACCATTTTTATGATAACCAAAAAATATAAGCTTTAATAAGTAAATACTTATTAGTAAGAATACTTAAATTAAGAATTTTGTTCATCGAAAGATACCAGTAACATAGAGAAGTAAAGCAATTTTTAAAGACAGAACATTGGAAAAAAGCCTTAGCAACCTACTCTCAAGTCTCAAGTACACATCTAACAAACAGTCTGTTTACTTACAAAAATGTCTGAGTCTGTATTTCCTTCTCTGAAAAATAGGATTTGAAATAGACAATCTTGCAGTCCTCCAGCTGAAGTTCTTGGTTGTTATAAGATATTCACTCGTTGCAAACTTGTCTGTTTTGATTTTTGAAAGGCAGACTAAGATTCTTCTTTAGAAGGACACATTATATTCTGATTATTCTCTATGAATATAATGAATTTGAAGACCTCCAGGCAATTTATCATATTAGCATATATGGACCTGTCTTGTTTACTTATATCTTACTCAATATTTTCACATTGGACCATAAGTCATTCACTGTAACTTGCTACTTTCTGATTCTGATTTTTCCTGCAGCTTAAGAGGAAATTTAAATATATATATTTATTCTTACCTTGGATTTATAGTGATGCTAAATGGAGGTAGTTTGAGAGGGGTGAATTTAAGAATGTGGCTAAAGAGTATAGTGGGAGGTTTATTTCTGACACTAGAGGTATTATGGGAGGGGCTACCTATGATTATAAAAGAAATAAAATATACAAAGCCCAAGAGATAGTTATCACATTGAAGAATTTCTGCTTTACCAGCAAACTACTTTCTATAACTGTCTCCAAGTCATAAAGCTTTGTTTATGTGTAATATCTGAAAAACAAACTCTATATCATGAAGCGGTTTAACATGCTGTTTGGTCTTTGTGAAGCAAATTTGGAGTTTAGCTACAAAATTATTGGAGGATACTGTAATTTATAGTAACAAAAGCATTTTATCCTGTGATTTCAGGAAACCAAGAAATTATTTTGCATACCACACTGCCACCCTGAATACAAAATTTAAAAGTTAGCTGTATGTTTATGAAATATAATACATATGACAAAGCATATCCTTCCTTATTCATCTCTGAAATCTATTAAAGTACATAGAATAAATGTAGAAAAGTAACAGCAAGTTGGAAATATAATTTAGGTTTGCAGACAATAAGTAAATATTTGAATAATTTTGATAAAACAGGCCACGATTTTATAGGTGCTTCTGTCAAGTTACTAAATCAAAATATTATGGAATTCTTTCAGTTATTAAAATTGCATTCGAATTTTTTAGATGAAAAAAAGCAAGGTGACAGGCTATACATCAGTTAAATTGTGAGCATTCTTTTCTAATTTTCCCCATAAACCAGAAATATTAAGTGTCATGCTAACATCTGTGGCCTGAACATAAAGTTGACAAAAATCAAACCTAATGGCTTTTCCCACTGTAAAATAATGTCTAGTTTCAATCTGCAGTTTTTTTTTAAGTCTCAAGTGTCAAAGTAATGTCTCATGTTTGTAACCACTTTGTGTTTTCACATCAAATATAGTTTCACTAGAATCTAAGTTCTTTTTAAAAAGAATTGGTTTATGATGACATTTTGTTCTCATATGGTCTCAAATATTCTTTTTGTCAAATAATCAGAATGATGAGGGTACTAGTAATCATCTAATATAACATTTTAGTTTTTGACATGTAGAGAGAGAGAGCCCTTTTTATTCCATAGGATCTAATTCAGTAGAAAATGAAAACAAATTCTCCAAAAGTGGGTTCAAAGATGTAGGTGGCTGTTGTATATATTCAGGGAAGCTTCCTGATAGTAGTGGGATACAACGTGTGCGGTTTATCACATACATGTACATGTATATAACAAGATTCTTACTAGACTTTTTGGTTAGACTTCCCTACATTGAAGGGGATTGTATTCACAAGGTCACAGTTTCTCTTCTCTGCATATAGTCAAAGCTGCACTCTGAGACATCTCTGATTTCTGATCCCAAGAATAGCTTGTCCTTTGCTTTTTACTTTCCAATAGGGAATGGATGTCCTTTGACTCAGCTAATCGCAGTGGCCCTATTTCTTCCAACTGTCCTGTTTGTGGTTACATCATCTCAAATTGCTGTGAGATTCAACTCTCCAGTCTCTGTCACATATATATAATACAGCTCAGCTGAGTGGCAGCAAGCTTTGTTTCGGAACTGGCAACATTCCAGGAGTCTGGTTGTGTGCCTCGGGTAAATTTTTGTCTTGCTATTTGTTGTTGGTGTGGTTTCTAGGTGACCCTAATGAAAATGTCCAGGAAATTACATGCGATATTCCTGACAGTTCCAAGTCTAACAGCTGCTTATTAGGATAGACATCTGACTTTATCTGGTGCCTAATGATTTTGTTGTGGTTTAGTATTCCACCGACTGGATTGCTTAGGTGCTATTCGTAACAGACACACAACTTAGTCTCTGCCTTCTGGGAGCTGATGATCCCTAATTCACAGAGCTTAAGAGGGCACAAGGCCATCCACAGCATGTCTAGAAAGCCAGAGAACTTTTCCTTAGCACTCTCAGCTTTTGAATTAATTTCTCTTTTTTCTTCTTGGTGGCCCACACTCTAATCTCACTTTTTATTCATATCCAAAAGAATAATTTACCTCAAACAACATAAAGAACTACCTCTACTGAAGTCATGTGAATTTTAACACTGAATTAATCTAAAAAATAGGAATGTTATAATATTTGAGTTTAAAATGTTAGTGACAGAGGAATAATTTTGCACAATAGAGTCTTCTCTTCATTACTTACTATTGGCCCATGTGACCATGAATCTAAATATGATCCTTAATACACAGATTCACATTATGTTAATGTGTGTATGTCCTTCTCAGTAACCCCTGACAGAACAAGTCATTTCATCAAGAGTCGGGGAGGTTATCAGCTGATCGGTCTGTGAATTAGTAATCATGCTCAGCTGAATGATTAGACTGTTATAAAAAGAAGTTATCACAGTACCTGACTTTGGGTCAAGGCATGCATTTGATTATTGGTATATTTTGGGTGTACATGGCATATAGAATTCAGGAAAGAATATATGGGATTTTAAATTTATTTTAATATGTAAAATACCGTATTGTATTAGTTATCTACTGCTATATACAAATTACCCCTAAACTTAGTGAATTAAAATAACAAACATTTATTAAATCACAATTTCTGTGAGTCAGGGATTGGAGAGAAGTTAGCTGAGGTTCTGGTGTAGAGTTTCTCAGGCGTCTGCAGTCCAGTTGTTGGCTGAGGCTATAGTTATCTGAAGGCTTGACAGGGGCTATCAGACCCAGTTCTAAGATGTTTCACTCACATGGTTCTTTACAGCAGTCCTCAGTTCATTGTCACATGGGCCTCTTTATAGGGTGGTTGAGTGTCCTGAAAGCATGGCAGCTGACTTTTTTCAAAGCAAGGGGTCTAAGAGAAAGAGCAAGAACCCTCAATGACTTTTATGCCTCATCATATTCCATCAATTCTGCCATAATCTATTGGTTTGAAGTTTATTGTTATAAATCCAGCCCACATTTCAGAAGAGGGGAATTCAACTCAACTTCTTGAAGTGAGGAGTATGATATAAAGGAGTTTGCAGATATATTTTAAAACCACCACATGCATTGAAAGGATAGAGAAATAATGCTCAGGAAACTATCCAACATAATTGAGCCACTAAGGATCCAGATTTGTTTTGAAAGTTTTCTCCTCTGTTTCTCCTATTACCTGGAAAATATCTTACCTTGGCTTCTGAAGCTATTGATATATATCTAATTGCTATAGGTATATTCCTAATAAAGTCTAAACTAATTACTAGGGAAACGGAACCCACAAAATTATGTTTATTTTTCCTTAATTCTGGAGTATTAATGTTAAATATGACCCTCCTGTCCCAGGATGTCAGCAGAGGCTTCAAAGCTGGGAACACTATATTTTAAGTGCTCTCTTGTTCTGAAGACCAGAGACATTTCCAAAGGACTTGCTAAAGAGTGGAAATAAAAATGATCTTATAAACTTTAGCCAATGTGACATGAGATAATAAATTTGGAGAAATAGGAGGAAGATGCTTTGAAAAGGATTGTTGGCTTACTCAAGAGGAGACTGTTTTATTCTAACTCAGCTAAGTGGTGGAGGATGTCTTCTTATGATGAAGGGAAACTGCCATATTGCCCCTGGTGGTTGTTGGCTGAGCTGTGGAAATGAGCTTGGGTGATGCTGATCTGTTTACCCTGGCTTGAATCCCTATGTGCACAAGGAAAGCTACCTCGAGTAACTGCTAAAGAACAAGTAAGGAGAGAAAGCTGCAGTGAGAGCAAATAACTCCATTAGTAGGAGGGCAAGGGTACACTTACTGGAGCAAGAGAAGGCACTGTGGAAGGAAGTGAAATAGAACCCTTTAGAGAGGATGTCTAGTGAGGCAAGGTGACCCAGCAAATGAAGGTTCTGTGGGGTGTCATTAGAAATGGGGACTGTGAATAAGCCACTTGAAGGCATCCAGAAAAAATGTTGCTCACTGGTAAATGATGTAATGTTGAACGCTTCTGTGGGAAAGCGTCTCCAGAGAACCCACCAAAACATCCCTTGTGTGAGAGAGCCAATGTTTGGACATCTTCCGTGACAGAGGATTTCCAACAACCAGGAGAAAATACAAATGATGCCATTAATTTTAAACAGATTTTTCCAATTTAACATTCATCCCTGTTCCCAACCCACGTCTAGGGGGAGCTAGAGGCAGTGTAGTGAGTCAGGAATGAAGTTGGAAGAGAAAGGTGGAAACATAGTAAAATATCATGATACGCCCTTGCTTCCAATTACTGTGAAACTGAGAATCAGTTCTGAGTGAGGCTGGGAAGTGGAAGCTTAAAATTGAGTGAAAACTGAATGCTTCGTTGTATATTAAACTGGAAAGAAGATGGAAAAGGAGACTATTCTAATGCCTGAAAGTAATCAGAAAGCTGTGGAATCTAAGATATGGCCAAGAGGTAAGGGAAGGAAAATACGACAAAACAGGTTTGAGGACAGATATGAACAAAATTAAAAAAAAATCCTACTTAAACTCTTTGGCCCATTCAATAAATTTGTTGCAAAAGAGCTTGTTGGGTACAATGTTTTCGAGTTAACGTCCTGTGGCATATTGGATCTCTTCACAGATGTTCATCAAGTGATGGTAAGTGGGAGAAGTTTATCTCTATTCTCACCCATCCTATAAATGCTGTGGAGTGAAGTGATGAACTGAGAGACTCATGTAAAATAGTACTGAGGATAAGCTGGCACTGAGCAAGAGGGAAGAGGACTAGTAACTATATTGTCAAGTACTGGCAATGAGAGACTGCATGTACACTGGAGTGTACCAAACATTGCCTTCCTGGTCAGAGAAATGAGCAGATCTGAGTAGACAATTTTTTTTCTTTTTTTTCTTTTTTTTCTTTTCTTTTTTTTTTTTTTGAGATGGAGTCTTGCTCTGTCACCCAGGCTGGAATCCAGTGGCATGATCTGGGCTTACCGCAACCTCCGCCTCCTGGGTTCAAGCAATTCTCCTGCCTCAGCCTCCCTAGTAGCTGGGATTACAGGCGCCTGCCACCACACCTGGCTAATTTTTGTATTTTTAGTAGAGACAGGGTTTCACTATTTTGGCTGGGCTGGTCTCCAGCTCCTGACCTCGTGATTCGCCCATCTCGGCCTCCCAAAGTGCTGGGATTACAGGCCTGAGCCAACATGCCTGGCCTGAGTAGACATTTTAACAGGCGGTGACAAGTGAACAGGCAACACTGAATGCTTTTCTAGACACCATAAGAAATAATTGCACTGTGGCTATTTTTTATTTATTTGGGAATTATTTGGAATCTTTTAATCTCTTCAGTTGGACTACTGCAAACTGATGATATTTGAAAGTGCACCTGCAACCACTTTTTTTTTTTTGAGATGGAGTCTTGCTTTGTTGCCCAGGCTGGAGTGCAGTGGCGCGATCTTGACTCACTGTAACCTCCACCTCCTGGGTTCAAGGAATTCTCCTATCTCAGCCTTCCAGGTAGGTGGGATTATAGGTATGTGCCACCATGCCCGGCTAATTTTTGTATTTTTAGTAGAGACAGGGTTTCCCCATGTTGGCCAGGCTGGTCTCAAACTCCTGGTCTCAGGTGATCTACCCGCCTCGGCCTCCCAAAGTGCTGGGATTGCAGGCATGAGCCACTGCGCCTGGTGCGAACCACTTTTGTACATAACTAAAGGACTGAAGTCAAAGGATGTCCACAGGGAAAATATTGAGTGAAAATAATAATAATAATATATACAACAGTTCAGTATTGTTCTAAATGTTTTACATACATTAACTCATTTGTTTGGATACACTTGCCTTGCCCTATCATTGGCAATGATTTTCACAAATTTTTAATATACCTGACATTAAGCATTTTTATATTTGTAATCTGCCATAGACATCCTATTTAAATTTAGCTAGTTAAGATTGCCTTATTGGTGAGCACCAGGTGCGGCGTGGGGCAGGGCAGGGTCGTCATGGCGGAGTTGCAGCAGCTGCGGGTGCAGGAGACGGTGGACTCCATGGTGAAGAGTCTAGAGAGAGAACATCCAGAAGATGCAGAGTCTTATGTTCCCGTGCAGCACCAGCTGTTGTGAGGACAGCTAGGCATCCATGCAGTAAGTGCACCAGTGCATCGAGCGCTGCCATGCACCTCTGGCTCAAGTCCAGGCCTTGGTCACCAGTAAGTTGGAGAAGTTCCATGACCGCCAGGCCTGGTGCACCAAACATTGCAACGACAAAGCCAAAGATTCAATAGATGCTGGGAGTAAGGAGCTTCAGGGGAAGCGGTAGCTGGACTGTCGTGTGACCAAGTGTGTGGATGACCACATGCACCTCATCCCAACCATGACCAAGAAGAAGGAGGCTCTCTTACCCATTGGGAAATAGAAGTCCTTGCCAGTGGCCATCGGGACTGAGGGCAAGAATATATTTTTTAATAAGGAATTGGGAATTTCAGTATTTTAAGCAAAGTTTATGAATGAAGAAATTAAGGATGGCAACAAGTGTAAGGCATATGTCACTTGCCTCCGGACACTGGTTCTTTCATGTTTCAGTCCTAAAAAGTGAAATAGGAAAAAGTGGTGCTAAATTGCATCGGAGATATTACAGGAAGTTTTAGAGCTTATGTTCCTGTGGCTAGTGCTTGTCCTGGCCGTAAGGATGTTGCCTGTAATAAGTCAGAGCCCTCCAAGGTACCAGACTCTTCTTACTACACAGGTACCAATAGGCTGGAAGGTTAGACCTGATGGAGTTTGAGGAGAGATATTTTCTCTTTGTTGCCAACATCCTGTTTACCAGAAGGGTCATCACACCATTTTCTGTAAGCTGTGAAACAAAATCCAAGAGGTCAATCACTTAGAAGGGAAAAACAAATTTCTGGGTCTTAGTTTTCTTGATTTTGTGTAATTTATACAATGGTATACAAATTGATTTTAAGATGTGGAATTGGGAGGGAGAGTAGTTTGGATAAGAACTTTGAAGATCCTTTTGGATCCCCATTTCTGGTCATCGATATGTAAATATACATTTCTTAATATTATTACATGCTGTGTCTTTCAACCTGGAGACCGTGCAAAAACATAAGAGGTGACGACACACTAATTGTGGGAAGCAGAGCTTCCCTCTTACTGGCTGATGGGCCCTGAGGTTGTGTGTAGCAAAATGACAGGACGAATCTTGCAGTAACACTTTCCCCTTGAAGAGAAGGGGGTTTTGACTGTGATATATATTAGTATCTAGGAATGAATAGTAAAAGAGGAGCAATTGGCTACTTGCTTATAAGGGAGTTATGAAGTACTGGATTTGGAAAAACCTGGTTTTTATAAAACAGAATGGAATGAAAGCCTAAACCTAGCGTTGTTTCCTTAGCTCCCTGAATTAACAGAGCCCAATTGAGATAAACCCCTGGCAACAGGAAATTCAAGGGAAAAAAAGTAAACAACTCGGGCTAGGATGAGCTGACTCCCTTAGAGCAAAGGAGAGGCAGCCAGTCCCCATTATCAAATACCATTTTTGCCCGGGGCTTTTGAAACTTGCAGTGTTTCAAAACTGGCAAGGCACCTTATTATTTTGATACCAACCTCATTGTATTTTCACCAACTTATTACTTGAAATGATAATACAGCCTGTCCATTTGCTGTTTTCAGGCTGTGATATATTTTCTTAGTAATTTGGTTTTAAAAATAAATAAGGTTTAATTCCCCCCTCCCCGCCACAAAAAAGATTGCCTTATTCATTACTAAAGAATGATATATCACTTTTTAGAAGTATGTGATGTTTTCTAACTACAATTTTTACAAACTAGGCTTTTAGAATTGCCATTTATGATCATTCTTGCAATGCAAACTAAAACTAAAATACGTTGCTGTTTAGGTTTATAAAACAAGTGCCATTCATCAGGGAAAAGATAGAATACGTCTTTTCTTTTTCTTTCTTCTTAGAAGAGTTTTGTATAAAGAACTTCTTTTAAATATTTGAGATACTTTTCACCCAGAAGAGGTGTTGTTTAAATTGGGGTTTGTGACTAATTTGTTTCAATTAAAAATACTTTAATATCATTATCAAATGCCTCTTAGATGATATGATCTCTGTTACCATATGTGGTA
Source organism: Homo sapiens (assembly GCF_000001405.40). Classification (NCBI taxonomy): domain Eukaryota; kingdom Metazoa; phylum Chordata; class Mammalia; order Primates; family Hominidae; genus Homo; species Homo sapiens. The sequence goes on from NC_000006.12 coordinate 74,284,396, forward strand.
GTTTGCTCTACATACTAGCTATTTAAAACAGATGTAAGTAAAACAAGATTTGTTTGGGAGGAATAGGGTTTCTCCAGAGTAAAGAATACAGAGACCAAATGGAAACATACTTGCTTCACTGCACATGGTTTCTATACTTGGCTGTGCTGGCTTACCATTTTATGGTTACCAGATTTACATCCTTTGAAATTATGGACATTGGATCAAATCCTCATGTTGGAAAACACTCTAAGGTAACATTAAATGAGCATGTGATTTGAATAACCTACAATTTTCACACAGGTTTTGATGACCAAAGTCAAAATATTTCCCATAAAATACTGTAAATTTGCTAAAATTTATACAAAGCTCCTACAGTGTAATAATACAAAGAAACTTTGTTTACTGAAAAAATCTAAAATATCTTTTTTTATATTTTATTTTAAACAATTTTTTAAGTTTGTATTTTTATCTTATTTATTTAAGCTTGTTTTCTCTCTCTTTTTTAAAATAATTCTAAAAAAACTAGATACAAATGCAGAGCGTGCAGGCTTGTTACATAGGTATACGTGTGCCATGGTGGTTTGCTGCACCTATTGACCCATCCTCTAAGTTCCCTCCTCTCCTCCTGTCACCTCCCACCCCCTAAAGGGCCTTGGTGTGTGTTGTTCCCCTCCCTATGTCCATGTTTTCTCATTGTTCAACTCCCACTTATGAGTAAGAACATGGGGTATTTGGTTTTCTGTTCCTCTGTTAGTTTGCTGAGGATGATGGCTTCCAGCTTCATCCATCTCCCTGCAAAGGACATGATCTCATTCCTTTTTATGACTGCATAGTATTCCATGGTGTATATGTACCACATTTTCTTTATCCTGTCTATCATTGATGGGCATTTGGGTTGGTTCCATGTCTTTGCTATTGTAAATAGTGCTGCAATAAACATACGTTTGCATGTGTCTTTATAGTAGAATGATATATATCTTCCTTTGAGTATATACCCAGTAATGGGATTGCTGGGTCAAATGGTATTTCTGGTTCTAGACCTTGAGGAGTCTCCATACTGTCTTCCCCAATGGTTGAACTCATTTACATTCCCACCAACAGAGTAAAAGCATTCCTATTTCTCCACAGTCTCGCCAGCATCTATTGTTTCCTCACTTAATAATCACCATTCTGACAGGCGTGAGATGGTGTCTCATTGTGGTTTTGATTTGCATTTCTCTGATGATCAGTGATGTTGAGCTTTTTTTCATATGTTTGTTGGAGACATAAATGTCTTCTTTTGAGAAGTGTCTGTTGATATCCTTTACCCACTTTTTGCTGGGGTTGTTTTTTTTCTTGTAAATTTGTTTAAGTTCCTTGTAAATTCTGGATATTAGACTTTTGTGAGATGGGTAGATTGCAAAAATTTCTCCCATTCTGTAGGTTGCCTGTTTGTTCTGATGATAGTTTCTTTTGCTGTGCAGAAGCTCTTTAGTTTAATTAGATTCCATTTGTCAATTTTGGCTTTTGTTGCAATTGCTTTTGGTGTTTTTGTCATGAAGTCTTTGCCCATGCCTATGTCCTGAATGGTATGGCCTAGGTTTTCTTCTAGAGTTTTTATGGTTTGGGGTTTGACATTTAAGCCTTTAATCCATCTTGAGTTGATTTTTGTGTAAGGTGTAAGGAAGGGGTCCAGTTTCAGTTTTCTGCATATGGCTAGCCAGTTTTCTCAGCACCATTTACTAAACAGGAGATCCTTTCCCCTGTTTAATAAATTTTATATAAGTTTATTAAAATTATAGAATTGTAGAGCTAGAAGATTCTTAGAAGGTCTATAGTCACTATGTTAGCAGATTCTTAGATTAGTCATATTTGACTCAGCAAGTACAGTGTTGTATTTGTATTAGGTTCTTTTTGTGTTAGTTTCTTCTTTGTATTTGTATTCTTGAATTTGTATTAGTTTTCTTTTCTTTCTTTTTTTTGGAGACAGGGTCTTGCTCAGTTGCTCAGGCTGCAGTGCAGTGGCATGATCACAGCTCTCTGTAGCTTTGACCTCCTGGGCTCAAGCAATCCTCCCAGCTCAGTCTCCTAATTAGCTGGTACTATAGGTGCACACCATCATGCTTGGGTGATTTTTTTTTAATATTTTTTGTAGAGACAGCGTTTCACATGTTGCCCAGGCTGGTCTCAAAACTTGGGCTCAAGTGGTCCGCCTTTCTGGGTCTCCTAGAGTGCTGGGATTACAGGTATGAGCCACCACGCCCAGCTTGTATTAGTTTTCTCTTACTGTGCCACAAATTACCACAGACTGTACAGCTTAAAACAACATGTATTTATTATCTTACAGTTGTGTAGGCCAGAAGTCTAGGTACAATGTCACTGTATTCTCTTCTCAGGGTTTCTTTAGACTGAAATCAAAGTGTTGTCCAGGGCTGGGCTTCTTATTTGGGATTTGGGATTCTCTTCCAAGTTCATTGTTTGTAGGCAGAATTCATTTCCTTGAAAGCTTATTGACTGAGCTCCCCATTGTCTGCTAGCTGTCAAATCTCTGACTTCCTCTCCTGAAACCAGCCAGAGAAAACTCTTGGTTTTTAAAGGGATCATGTGATCAGGTTAGGCCCACCTCGATAATACAGTTTTTGCCCTGTAATATAGTTTTGGAGTGATATCTCATCATATTTACAAGTTCTGCTCACATTCAAGGAGAGGAGATTTTACAAGGGCGTGGGTCATGGGGAACGAGTTACCTTTTGCCTGACACACACACATACACACACACACACACACATATATATGTATGTGTGTATATATATATATATATATATATATATATATATATATATATATAGCAATGACTGTAACTTTATGGTCTGCGGGATTATTTGTATCTAGGAAATCTGCCTTCTGAACAGTGGTCAGAAGGTCTGGCTTGTCTGGTTATTGCCATCTATTCCTACTTCATTTTACTCACATACCCCTGGCCCTAATGTGCTTTTTGGGAAGTAGGCAATACTCTCTCGTGGGTATCTTTGGCTTAGTGGTGCCAATATTCCAGGCTTAAACTTCTCCTCTCTCCTTTGTTCTCACACTGGAGACTACTTCAATGTTTATGGCAAATGTACACACTCTGGTTTCATAGTATTTAAAATAAAGTGACCATATTTCCTACTTATAAGACAATTTTTGGCTCAGAAATGTATACAGAAATACACTTTTTAAATAATTTTCAGGCACAGTTTCAAATACTCACTAAATTGCTCCTTTCCCATTTTTCCTATAATGCACAATAATGTATGTCCCTTGATCTAGTCCCAGAAAAGGTTTCCAGGAAGATTTCTGAGAAAAGCGCATATGTGACATTTTCTGAAATGAACTTGCTCAGCAACATGTACTTTTTTCCTTTTTGTTAATGTCCCCATATTTGAGCAGAAGGTAAAATTTTGTTTACATGTATAACTTGCTTCAATTTTTCACACACGTTTTCTAAGAATGTGCATACTGAAGTTGGTGGGTTATAAAAGGGATTAATACCCCTTTTGGCCTATATTTATTGGAAAGACCAAGTTGCCAGGGTTCTTTGAAGAATTCAGACAAATACATCTGAATATTTTCCATCAAACGGGAGGTAGAGGATCAAGCATGGATTTGCTCTTTATAGCACTTCTGGCAAGAGGCTTTTGGAATAAAATTTATGTATTCCTTCTCAATTTGGTTAACCGCAACATCTGTTTGTCTCCATTGGCCTTTGGCCATTGACCTACTGTCTCCTGTAGAAGACACCCACCATCACTCTTACGACCAAATGTTGATGGGAAACAAGCAGTTCTCAAGTGATTTTAGTCATGGAAATAGTGATAAGCCAAAAGCATGGCCTAATTATATCATCTAAATTCATGGAAAAGGGAATTAATTTTATATTTTATCTGATTTTGGGGACTGAATTATTAATAGTACCAACTTATTTGGACAGGAAAAGGCCAAGAGATTTAGACAAGAACACAGTAAACAGACCCTTCTCATTCAATATAGCATGGGACATGTAGATTTACTTTTTGACTGCAGGAACAATTAGAGGAATCTAGGTGATTTTTCCAAACTTAGGAAATGAAAGTTTAACTAAAATTAAATATGTCTGTATGTTTATACATTTTTGAGATAAAACACTATTTTCTCTAGTTTTTTAAAAATGATTTTTTCTAATTTCTAACAATAGCTTATAAGTTTACTACACAATTATTGCTACTTCGAAAACGGATTTACCACTGTTAGGCAGAACAAACAAAGGTTCAGGAGAGGCCAATGCCTGTGAGACCGTGGTACCAGGATCTTCCAGTAACAACTTGGAGCCTGCCAGGCTATCCTTTGATCAAGGGCTCTCTCAGTGTTGGTACCTCTTGCTGCCTGGTCCTGCTTTGTCCTGGCCAGCCATACCCTGCCCAGCTGTGAAAGACCATTCAGTTTCTGCTTTTTCTTTAATTTTTAGATTTTTTTTGTTTACCTCAAATTATTCCAGTTGCATGATAGCAAAAGTAAGCCAGGTCCCTTTAAGAAGCACTGGACTGAAAATCCAGCTTCTGCTATAAAAACTCATTTCCCCACTCAAGGCATTTTCCTTCTGATTTCAGAGGTGAGGTACTCAGATGTGCTTTTGCCTCCAATCTCAGCATCTTCTCCTATTCATTTGTTGCCCATTCTATGCTTTCAATTTCTGCTATAGCCACTCAGTCTTCCTCTGTTCTGGTCTCAAGGTGAGCATTTTCTGCTACCCCTGTGTCTAGTGACACCTCCCAGTTTCTGGCACATAACTCTTTTCTCTGGTTCTCTCTTAAGACCTTGGTTTGTCTCTGGCCCAATTCAGGCCACGATTTCTACCCACCTTGACCTTTGCCATGGTTGGAGCTGTATCTTATGACACTGTGTTAGCTGTATCTTATCACACAAACCTGTGGGAACAAGAGATGTAGTATCTACCCACAAGGAATCTACAGACTACTGGGAATAGCAGACCCTCATTAATTAATTATTAGCATTAATTCTTCATGCTTGTAATCCTAAATTTTTTAAAAATTTGAGAACAATTTTTTTTTCTGTCTAGTTTGGGTGTTGGCTATTCCTAAATATTATGGTACTTACTTGTTTACCTGAAGGCTGGTTTCTCACCTGGCTGCACCTCTGCTGGGGGGTGCTCACTTTGTCCCTAACTTTTGGGTCAATAGGAAGAAGTAAGACATTGAGTGAATAAATTTGACCTTAAGCTGCTCTTTGCCATGGAGGAGTCCTGGCCCCTAGTGTTTGACTGTCAGTGTTTCTTTACCCCATAAAAATTTTCATCCCTAATAAAATGCTGCCATGTAACTGACTCTACATGCTGAACCAAGAGAAATTAAGAAGAATAAACCTAATTTGCTTCAGAAAAGAATGTTTCAATATAGAGGAATTATTTCTTATTTTAACCTTGATAATTTTGCCTATAACATTTTCTGGAAAATAGATAAGTATGCAGAGTCTTAGTTATATTTATAGTAAAATAAAATATAGCAAGGTTAATGGAATTGTCCAGAGACCCACAACGAACAGAGGGCAGATCACAGAACTCCACACTCATACTCATGTTCTAGCCATTAGGCCTCTTGGCCTCTCTTTGTTCTATTTGCCAAGGTATGACCAGAGCAGAAAACATCCTCAACCAATTAGGCAAGCTCCCCATCTGGTGATTAGTCTTGCTATGAAGACATCTTGTGTATTACCACATTTACGACTGCAATTGGAGCTTTATTTACCATTGGGGGTATAGCTCTTTCCGAGGAAATGACCTTCTAACTGAGCCAGGAGGGGCTGGGCTAAGTTTGTTTCAGCTGGAAATTACACATTACATATTTAGTATGTTTGGTCACTTTAGATCTCTGTGAGGCAGGGAAGGAGAATTTTATGCATTACAAAGTTCCTAAAAATATTTACAATCTTGTAAATCAAAGTGGGTTTCTACTGGATTTAGCTTTATGCAAATCTTTATATTATGTCTGGGCTTTCAGTCTGATTTTAGAAGAGTACTATTACAGTATTTTAACTTTTATTGAAAATCCAGGCTTTTTAATTTTTTTAATTTTTAATTTTTGTGGGTACGTAATAGGTGTATACATTTATGGGGTACATGAAATATTCTGGTATAGGCATGCAAAGCATAATAGTCATAACATGTAGAATTGGGTATCCATCCCCTGAAGCACTTGTCCTTTCTGTTACAAACAATTAAATTGTATCTTGAGTTATTTTAAAATGTACAATTAAATTATTTTGACGACAATCACCCTGTTGTACTATGAAATACTAGGTCATATTTATTATTTCTATCTTTTTTGTACCTATTAACGTCTCAATCTCCTTCTCACTACCCTTCCCAGTCTCTGGTAACCATTCTTTCATTCTTTCTCTCTATGAGTTTAACTGATTTGATTTTTAGATGCTACCAGTAAGTGAGAACGTGAGATGTTTGCTTTTCTCTGCCTGACTTATTTGACTTAATGTAATGAATTCCAGTTCCATCCATGTTATTGCGAATGACAGGATTGGATTTAATTTTCTTTTATGGCTGAATAGTACTCCATTGTATATAAGTGTCACATTTTCTTTATTCATTCATCTGTTGATGGACACTTAGGTTGCTTCCAAATCTTGACTATTGTGAACAGCGCTGGGACAAACATGGGAGTACAGATATATCTCTTCAATATGCTAGTTTCCTTTCTTTTGGGTAAAAACTCAGCAGAAGGATTCCTGGATCGTAAGGTACCTCTGTTTTTAATTGTTTTGAGAAAACTCCAAACTGTTTTTCATAATGGCTGTACTAATTTACCTTCCCACCAACAGTGTATAAGGGTTCCCTTTTCTCCATATCCTCGCCAGCATTTGATATAGCCTGACTTTTCTTTTTTTGAGATAGGGTATCACTCTGTCACCCAGGCTGGAGTGCAGTGGTGTGATCTCAGCTCACTTCAGCCTTGACCCTGTGGGCTGAAGTGACCTCCCACCTCAGCCACCCGAGTAGGTGGGACTACAGGCATGTGCCACCATGCCTGGCTTGCCTGACTTTTAGATAAAAGTCATTTTAACTGGAGTGAGATGATATCTCATTGTAGTTTTGATTTGCATATCTCTGATGATCAGTAATGTTGAGCACTTTTTCTTATGCCTGTTTGCCATTCATATGTCTATTTTTGAGAAATGTCTATTTAAATCTTTTGCCAATTTTTAAATCAGATTATTAGATTTTTAAGTTTTATGAAGTCTAGAAATTTTAGAGTTGTTTGAGCTTCTTATGTATTCTAATTATTAATCCCTTGTCAGATGAGTAGTTAGCAAATATTTTCTCACAGCCTCTGTGTTATCTGTTTACTTTGTTGATTGTTTGCCGTGCAGAAGCTTTTTAATTTGATGTGATCCCATTTGTCTGTTTTCGCTTTGTTTGCCTATGCTTGTGGGGTATTACTCAAGGATTTTTTTTTGCCCAGACCAATATCTTGGAGAGTTTCCCCAATGTTTTCTTGTAGTAGTTTCATAGTAGTTTGAGGTGTTAGACTTCAGTGTTTAATCCATTTTGCTTTGATTTTTGTATATGGTGAGAGAAAGGGATCCAGTTTCATTCTTCTGCAAGTAGATATCCATGTGGATATTCAGTTTCCCCCATACCGTTTATTGAAGAGACTGTCTTTTCTCCAGTGTATATTCTTGGCACCTGTGTCAAAAACGAGTTCACAGTAGGTGTGTGGACTTGTTTCTGGGTTCTTTATTCTGTTCCATTGGTCTATGTGTCTGTTTTTATGTGAGTACCATGCTGTTTTGGTTACTGTAGTCCTTTAGTATAATTTGAAGTCAGGTAATGTCATTCCTCCAGTTTTGTTCTTTTTGCTCAGGGTAGCTTTGGCTACTCAGGGTCTTTTGTGGTTTCATATAAATTTTAGAATTGCTTTTTCCATTTCTGTGAAGAATGTCATTTGTATTTTTATAAAAATTGCATCAAATCTGTGGATTGCTTTGGGTAGTATGGACATTTTAACAATATTGATTCTTCCAGTCCATGAACATAGAATATCTTTCCAATTTTTTGTGTCTTGTTCAATTTCTCTCATTATCATTTTATAGTTGTCTTTATGGAGATCTTTCACTTTAATGGTTAATTCTTAGTTATTTCATTTTATTTGTGGCTATTGTAAAGGGAGTACTTTCATTATTTCTTTTTCAGATTGTTCACAGTTTTTATATAGAAATGCTACTGATTTTCATATGTTGATTTTGTATCTTGCAACTTGACTGAATTTATCAGTTTGAATAGTTTTTTTGGTGTTGTCTTTAGTTTTCTCCAAATGTAAGATCATATTATCTGCAAAGAAACATAATTTGCATTCTTCATTTCCAATGTGGATGCCCCTTATTTTTTTTTCTTGTCTGATTGCTCTAGCTAAGACTTTCCTTACTATGCTGAACAACAGTAGTGAAAATGGGCATTCTTGTAATGTTCCAGATCTAAAAGGAAAGGCTTTGATTTTGTCCCTGTTCAATGTAATACTAGCTGTGGGCCTGTCATATACGGCTTTTTTAATGTTGAGTTATGTTTCTTCTAAACCAAGTTTTTTGAGGTTTTCTATTATGAAGAGATGTTAAAGTTTATCAAATGCTTTTTCGACATCAATCGAAATGATCATATGTTTTTTGTCCTTTATTCTATTAATATGTAGTATCACCTTGATTAATTTGCATATGTTGAACCACTCTTGCAGCCCTGGGATAAATCCCACCTGGTCATGATGAATGATCTTTTTAATGTATTGTTGAATGTGGTTTGCTAATATTTTGTTGAGGAGAAAACCTAGACTATTTCAATGTGTTTATGCTTAGCTATCATGCCCAAATCAATTTAGTACATCGTTTAAAGATTCCAGATACTCTAAATCTGGCAACCAGGAAAGAAAACAGCCATAAAGCAATGTATATTTAGATACCAATATTTCCCTCACACTTTCTTTTCGCTTCCTTGTTTCATTTCTTTACTAATTTGTTGATTATTGGCTTATGACATATTGAGGCCTCAGTCTATAATAACCATTTTTATCTGATGTACAGCTCTACACATTTTATTTAACTCTGTGATGGCAAACTCCTGGTACTTTTGTCATTCTCTTGCCTCTTAGGCTTATGGCAGATATCACTAAACAGTGACAATATTCTTTGCTACTAACCTGTGGGTTTGGCATACACAGTAGTGTATGCATTATCAACCTATAGAAGTGGCTTATAAGTTTAAGTCTGCTAGCTTTTTCTACTCTTTTAGCATTCTTAAACGCTGTTTAATTAGATGTAAAAGAAGGAAATGAGAAGTTAAATTTGGACTAAATGTGATAAAAGAAAATCTTTATTAACATAGGATATCAGTGAGTCTGATGAAAAGGCTTTAAAATGCTCTAGGAAGTATTTCTGCCTGGGATGTTTGAATTAAACAGTCTCCAAAAGTAGATCATTCTCCTTTTGTTTGAATATTTTCAGAAATGATAAATACACTTTTTGCTGTTGTTGTTGTTTTGAGACACCCAGGGTGGAGTGCAATGGCATGATCTTGACTCACTGCAACCTCCACCTCCCAGGTTCAAGCGATTCTCCTGCCTCAGCCTCCTGATTAGCTGGGATTACAGGCACCCACCACCACACCCGGGTAATTTTTGTATTTTTAGTACAGATGGGATTTCACCATGTTGGTCTCGAACTCCTGACCTCAGGTGATCCACCTGCCTCTATCTCTGAAAGTGCTGGGTTTACAGGCATGAGCCACTGTGTCTGGCCTAGAAATAATAAATATACTGTTTAATGAAATAGCTTATTCTATGTTTGAAGTTTCTTAAGTTTAGAAAATTTTATGTCGAACTGAAATTTCTTTTTCTATAACTTATACCAATTTTTCTTGTATTCTTTCAATGGAAAACAATGTTTTTTATGTTTTATGTTTTTAAAATTAAGATGTCATTTATTTAAAATAGAATAAAATATAGAGGTCCTAAGATTTCAGTTTGATGACTGTTGAAAATTGTGTACACCTATGTGACTACTACCCAACATAAGATATAGGACATTAGTTTCATTCCAGAAAGATCGCTATTCCTGTTTCAAGTTAATTTCCTGCTCTTCGTCCCATAAAGGCAATCAGTTTCTTACTTCTGTCACCATTGATTAGTTTTAGTGATAAAAATGGACTTATACAGTACGTATTATGTCATATGTATAAATAGATGTATTATGACAGTAAGGTTGTTATGAACATTTCTGTAAAAACTTTAATGAACATATGTTTTCATTGCTTTTGGGTAAGTATATAGGAATAAAATTGCTAGGGCAGAAGTTATGTTTAACTTCTTTAGAAACAGCCAAACAGTTTTCCAGATTGATAGTACCCTTTTGCATTCTCACTAGCAATGAATGAGTTCCAGTTGCAACATGTCTTGCTAGTCATTTAAGTATAGCCATTCTAGTAGTTTTGAATCTGTATTTCATTCTGGTTTCAATTTGTGTTTTCCTGATGACTATACATTTTAGCAGATTGATGGAGTTATTAACCCTTTAAAATAAATGTAAACTTCCCAACCCATTTTTATCTAAGCTAGTACTAATTTAAATCTCCCCTTACGTGTGCTATTGTTTGAAATAAAATGTATGACATTAAATTTACTTTAATAACATTAGATATTATGTATGATTTTCACCTATTAAGATAATTTTAATTTTGTCATTGTATTAGTTACAAATATGTATTATAGATCTGTGGCTAATTTAACCAAAAATACCTGAAATACCTGGCTTTATGTCTGTACCACTACTTCATATTGAGGGACAAAGCTATGAGTAGAATCCTGCACTTCCTCATTAGAAGAAGCATTTTTAATTAATATTGACTCTTGAGATGATTGTTCAACCTGCTTTTAAAACTTCTGAATTTTTTCATCAACCCATATTACTATATCTCATTGATTAAATGCTCATGAGGGATTTGACCAATGACTTAGCAGTGTCAAAATCTGCTAAACTATGAGAATATGCTGTTCTAATATCCTAAAAATGCTGTAAAGGTGGAGATTATTTCAGATAATAGCTCCTAATTATTGCAAAACCATGATATAACAAAGAGATCACTAGACTTGTAATCGTAAATATTTCATTTTCTAGCTGGATTACCAGGAAAAGTCACTATATTTATCTGAATTCTATATTTCACATCTGTTAAATGGAGATAGTAGTATCTATTTTGTCTACCTCATAGGGTTGTTGTGATTATCACACTAGATATTGTGATTATCACACTAGATATTGTGTGTAAAGTGTTTTGTAACTGTAAAAAAATACATATGTAAGATATTAAAAGCTTGTATGTTGATGTCGCCAGTTTATAGCATAGTGTTTGCACATAGTAGGTGCTCTAACAAAAGTAGCTTTTGTTAAATGATGGCTGGATGAACAATATCTCAAAGCAATTTTGTTAATAAACAATTATAGAAATTGTTAAATATTATATCAATATTAATACAAAAATTCCTGCTCCACTTTAGTAAAAGTCACATTTGTTCATTTATAGTCTTTTGGAATCCCTCATATTCTTTGTGACTACTTGTGATAAATGTCAACAAGTTTGACATCACTCAAGCAGGTACTTGAAGGGGCCCTAGCAGCAAGTCATTTATGGCAGAATTCCATTTTTATAAATATCATGGGCTTGCCTTCCTACTCCTTATTATTGAACTCACCTTTAATTTGAAGACTATTTTTAAAATAAGAAATATTTAAGCAAAAATTTCTATTTTTCTTGATCTTGAGTACCTGCTCATTGCTATTTGTTACCTTTCCCAATATCATTAGGTGGTAGTTTAATTTCTTTGTTTGTTACTGTTCTGAGCATTTTTAAAGTGCTTGACTGATTTATTTTAATCCTGCTATTATATGTTTTCCCCAAGTCTCAGGCCTTATCTTATTTCCTCTCGCAGTAGCATTTGACACAGTGGACCATGCCCTTTTCCTTGAAACTCTTCATCATCACTGTGTGGGCTCCCCATTGCCTGATTCTTCTCCCACTTCACTGTCTGTTCCCTCTAAGTGTCCTTAACTGCTTCTTTTTCATCTCCCTCCATGAGACTATCAGAAAATTTATTACCAGAAATCTTGCAGAACAGGAGTGAGTGGGATGATATATTAAAAGCAGTAAAAGAAAAAAAATCTATCACATGATGATAAAATGGTCAGTTCAACAGCAAGTTATAACAATTACAAATATACACATACCCAACATCAGAGCACCTAAATATATAAAGCAAATACTAAAAGTTACAAAGGGAGACTGACAAAAATACAATAATAGTAGGATACTTCAGTGCTGTACTTTTAATAATAGATAGAACATCCAGATACAAAATCAATATAGAAACAGCTAACTTGAACAATACTATGTACCAAGTGGACCTAACAGACATATACAGATCTTTCCATCCACCAGTAGAAGAATATATATGTTTTTCAAGTGCACGTGGAATGTTCTCTAGGATAGATCACATTACATCACAAAACAGGTCTGATCAATTTAAAAAGATTAAAATCACACCAGTTATACTTTTCAGCCACAATAGAATAAAACTAAAAACAATAACAGTAAAAAAAATGAGAAAATTCACAAATACATGGAAACTAAACAACACACTCTTGAACAAACATTGGGCAAAAGAGAAAATATAGTGGGAATGTAAAAAGTATCTCAAGATAAATGAGAATACAACCTACGAAAACTTATGGATGCACAAAGGCAGTACTAAGAAAAAAGTTTATAATGGCAAACACCTAATTTTAAAAAGTAGAAAATTTAAAATTTAAATTTAAAAATATTTTAAATTAAAAAATTTATCAGAAAAAATAATAAGATGACAGTAGAAATATGTAAAATTCAGAATAGAAAAAATTTGAAAAACTAAGAGTTTTTTTTGAAAAGATAAACATTGATAAACCCCTAGCTATGCTAATATAAAAGAAGATTCAAATAGAATTAAAAAAGAAGAAATTATGAGATGACTTATAAATAAAAGAATTATAAGATGCTGTTATGAAAAATTATACTCAAATAAATTAAATAACCTTGAAGAAATGGATAAATCTTTAAAAACATACAACCTACCAAAACTGAATCGAGAATAAATGGGAAACCTAAACAGATCAATAATAAATAAGGCGATTGAATCAGTAGTCAGAAACCTTCCAAGAAATAAAAGCCCAGGATCAGATAGCTTCACTGGTGAATTCCACCAAATATTCAAAGAATAATTAATGCTCATTCATTTCAAACTCTTCCAAAAAAGTGGAAGGGGGGAATACTTCCAAACATATTTTTATGAGGCTGGCGTTATTCTGATACAAAAGCCAGAAAAAGAGAACACAAGCAAAGAAAACATAGGCCAGTATTCCTGGACATAAAAGCAAAAATTCTCCACAAAATACTAGCAAACTGAATCCAATAACACATTAGAAAGATAATGCACTTCACATATGTTGAATGATTCTTGTATCCAGGGATAAATTTCACATGAATCAAGTGAGATTTAGCCCTGGGATTCAAGAATGGTTCAACATATGCAAATTAATTGATGTAATACATCATGTTAATATAGCAAAAAAAGCACATAATTTCAATTAATGCAGAGAAAGCATTTGACAAAATTCATCATTTGTTAATGACACAGACTCTTAACAAAATATGTATAAAAGAAACCTACATGAAACTAATAAAGGCCATATAAGAAAAGCAGAGAGCTATATAGCATCATAATCAATGGAGTGAAACTGAAAGCTTTTTTTTTAAGATTAGAAACAAAGCAAAGATGTCCACTCTTACCACTTCATTCAACATAGTACTGGAAGTTATAGCCAGAATAATTGGACAAGAGAAAGAAATAAAAGTCACTGAATAAAAAAGAAAGTAAAACATTATATGCTTGCGGATGACGTGAGTGTATATGTAGAAAACCATAAAGACTCAAGAAGAAACTATGAGAACTAAATAAATGAAGTCACTAAAGTTGTGGGATACAAAACCAACATAGAAAAATCAGTAGTGATTTTATACATAAACCATGAGCTACCCAAAAAGGAAATAAATAAAATAATTCCATTTATAATAGTAACAAAAAGAATAAAATAAGATACAAATTAAACTAAAGAAGTTAGAAAAGTGTACAATGATAATTGTAAAACACTGATGAGGGAAATTAATGAATGCACAGATAAATGAAAAGACATCCAGTGTTCATGGATTGGCAAAACTAATACTGTCAAAATGTCCATCCTATACAAAGTGATCTTCAGATTTAATGCAATCCCTTATCAAAATCCCAGTGGCATTCTTTACAGAAACAGGAAAACAAATTCTAAATTTTTATAGAACCATGATAGACCTCTAATAGCCAACTCAGTCCTGAGAAAGAAAAAGCTGAAGGCATCATACTTCCTGATTTCAAAATGTGTAACCAAAACTACACTAATAGTGTATATGTGCCACATTTTCTTAATCCAGTCTATCGTTGTTGGACATTTAGGTTGGTTCCAAGTCTTTGCTATTGTGAATAGTGCTCCTATAAACATATGTGTGCATGTGTCCTTATAGCAGCATGATTTATAATCCTTTGGGTATATACCCAGTAATGGGATGGCTGGGTCAAATGGTATTTCTAGTTCTAGATCCCTGAAGGAATCGCCACACTGACTTCCACAATGGTTGAACTAGTTTACGGTCCCACCAACAGTGTAAAAGTGTTCCTATTTCTCCACATCCTCTCCAGCACCTGTTGTTTCCTGACTTTTTAAATGTGACACATATACACCATGGAATACTATGCAGCCATAAAAAATGGTGAGTTCATGTCCTTTGTAGGGACATGGATGAAACTGGAAACCATCATTCTCAGCAAACTATCGCAAGGACAAAAAACCAAACACCACATGTTCTTGCTCATAGGTGGGAATTGAACAATGAGAACACATGGACACAGGAAGGGGAACATCACACACCAGGGACTGTTGTGGGGTGGGGGGAGTGGGGAGGGATAGCATTAGGAGATATACCTAATGCTAAATGATGAGTTAATGGGTGCAGCACACCAACATGGCACATATATACATATGTAACAAACCTGTACGTTGTGCACATGTACCCTAAAATTTAAAGTATAATAATAATAAAATAAAAAAACTACACTAATAGAAATAGGATGGTACTGGCATAAAAACAGACATATAGATGAATGAAATAGAAATAGAAGTAAATGCACACATCTGTAGCCACCTGATCTTTGATAATGCTGCTGAGAACACACAATGAAGGGAAAGGATAGTCTTCAATAAATGGTATTAGGAAAACTAGATATCCACATGCAGGGAAATAAAATTGTACTACTATCTCATAGTATCTACAAAAACCAACTCAAAATGAATAAAAGACTTAAACATACGACAAAAAACTTAAAAACTGCTAGAAAAATACACAGGGAAAAAGGTTCTTGACATTGATGTTGGACAGTTATATTTTGGATGACACCAGAATCACAGACAGAAGGAATGAAATAGACAAATTGGATTGTGTCAAACTGAACTTCTGCACAAAGCAAATAATCTACAGAGTAAAAGACAACCTATGGAATGAAGAAAGCATTTGCAAACCATATACTTTATAAGGGGTTAATATTCAAAATACATAAGAAACTCAGTGACAAAAAAGCAACACTTTTTAAAAATGAGCAGAGGGTGTGAACATTTCTTAAAAGAAGACATACAAATGTTCAACAAGTGTTGGAAAAGGTGCCCAACATCACCAATCATCAGGAAAATGCAAGTCAAAGCCACACTGAAATATCACTTCAAACTTGTTAGAATGATTATTATCAAAATGATGAAAAATAGCAAGTGTTGGCAAGGATGTGAAGAGGGGACCCTTGTGCACTGTTGGTATGAATGTAAATTAGTTCAACTATTATGAAAAACACTATGGAAGTTGCTCAAAAATTTAAAAATAGAACTACCTTATGATCCAGCTACCTTAGCTCTAAGTATAGTTTCAAAAAATATAAAATTATTATCTGGAATAGCTTGTTCCATCCTCATGTTCATTAAAGCATTATTCACATTGGCCAAGATATGGAAAGAACCTAAATGTCCTTCAATCAATGAATGGACTACATATAATATGTACTACTATATATACACACATATGTATGTGTATATATGTTTATGTACTATATATACACATACATATGTGTGTATATATACACACTATATATGTAGTTAGAATATATATACATGCTATATGTATGTAACTATATATATACACACTTCATATACATGTAGTTAGAATATATATGCACACACATTTAAACTACATATATAAATGTAGTATATAGGTATATATGTGTATTACACATATATGTACGTATATATATATAAATGCAGTGTATATGTATATATGTAGTGTATATGTGTATATATAGTAGTATCTATAAAATGTTGTCCATTCATCTATTGATGGACATTTAGGTTGTTTCTATATCTTGCCTACTGTGACTAATGCTTTAATGAACATGAGAGTGGAACTAGCTATTCCAGATAATAATTTTGTATGTTTTGGATCTATACCTAGAGCTAAGATTGCTCTAACAATGTGTGTGTGTGTGTGTGTGTGTGTGTGTGTGTGTATTCTAACTGCATACGCACACAATCCATGCAATAGGTTAAGATTCCACCGTAAAAAAGGAAACTTCGTCATTTGTGACAAGGTGGATGAATCTGAAGGACTTTATGTTAAGTGAAATAAGCCAGACATAGAAAGACAAATACTGTATCATATCACTTAGATTTGGAATCTAAAATAGTCAAACTCATAGAAACAGAGAGTAGAATGGTGGTTGCTAGAGATTAGGAGGGGGAAAAAATTAGAAATGTGGGCCAAAGGGTATAGACTTTCAGATATGCAGTATGAATAAGTTCAGGAGAGCTAATGTGAATATTGAAATTTCCTAGGATGGTATCATGTTTTCACCACAGACATAGAAGAGAAAATGGTAACTCTGTGAGAAGATGGACATGTTAACTAGCTTGTGTAAACCAAAAATAAAATTCTAAGCCTCTTAACCAACTGATGGACCCTCCCTCTTGGCCAAAGGGACCCCAAAGAAATCTGTTCAGGCCATGATGGGAAGGGGGCATCTGACATGCCTTGGTATATCCTCTTCCCTTTGGAATTTAGGCACAACTGACCAGCTTTAACATTAAATAGAGATCTTAAAACTGACAAAACACTTTTTGTAGCAATAAAATACCAAATTCCAACCTTATGCTGGTGAAGCATCACATGACAGATAGGCCCTGCAGAGGATCAAAGTATTTTACCCCTAAATGTATTTCTTTGACATATTTTGAAATGGCCCTGCAAAGCTATCTCTTGTCAGGGAAATTTGCATTCTGTAGACAATCTCCTTCTCTTAAAAAGTCTTTTCTGGAGAGACTGACATCTGTTAAGGTCCAATAAGAGACATTTACCGTCTATTCTTTCTGAAGCCTGTTGGTGGCTTCATCTACAAAAAAAAAAAAACATTGACTTCCTTTCCTTATTTAACTGAATTATTTCTTTATGCTGAGTTTAACCCTTTAGGCAAAGCTTAATTCTTTCAACCAATTGTCAATCAGGAAATTTCTGACTCCACCTATGACCTGAAAGTATTTAGTTTGAGATGTCTGCCCTTCCGGGGCTAATTAATGTTACATACCTTACATGTATTGATTTATGCCTTTGCCTGTAACTTCTGTCTCCCTAAAAGGTATAAAACCAAGCTTTAACCCAACCACCTTGGGCGCATGTTCTCAGGACCTCCTGAGGTGGTCACAAACCATAGTTCTCATATTTGGCTCAGAATAAACCTCTGCAAATATTTTACAGACTTTGGGTTTTTTGGTCAATGCTTGATTGTGATTATTATTTCACAGAATATATGTATGTGAAAACATCAAGTTGTATACCTTAAATATATATAATTTTTAAAATTTGCCAATTATGCCTCAATAAATGTGAGGAACAAAAGAGGTTACAGTATGATGAATTTAATAAACTCCTTTTATAATATATTTAAATAGCAACTTTTGGTGTGTAAAATGTTGCTATTTTTACTGAATATGCATGAGAATTTTTCGATTAAAATATTTATATATGTAATTTGAACACAAAAATAGAATTTTAACTTTCTTTAGTTTTGATATAAATGCTTTAAAATAGAAACTGCAACTTTAAATTTTAATTCTGATTTTTTCCAGAATTTGACTTGAAGTATTTTAAAGAGGAAAATCTTTTAGCGTAGTTCGAAGTTGGGTAGCATGATGTCTCCAGCTTTGTTCTTTTTGCTTAAGATTGTCTTAGCTATATGGGCTCTTTTTTGGTTCCATGTGAATTTTAACATAGTTTTTTCTAATTCTGTGAAGAATGCCAATTGTAGTTTAATGGGACTAGTGTTGAACCTATAAATTACTTTGGACATTATGGTCATTTTCACGATATTAATTCTTCCTATCCATTAGCATGGAATGTTTTTCCATTTTTGTGTGTGTGTGTGTCCTCTCTGATTTCCTTGAGCAGTGATTTGTAGTTCTCCTTGAAGAGATAGATCCTTCACATCCCTTGTTAGCTGTGTACCTAGGTATTTCAATCTCTTTGTAGCCAATTGTGAATGGGAGTTCAGTCATGATTTGGCTCTTTGCATGCCTGTTGTTGGTGAACAGGAAAGCTAGCAATTTTTGCACATTGATTTTGTATGCTGAGACTTTGCTGAAGTTGCTTATCACCTTAAGCTTTTGGGCTGAGACAGTGGGGTTTTCTAGATATAGGAACCTGTCATCTGCAAAGATAATTTCACTTCCTCTCTTCCTATTTGAATACCCTTTATTTCTTTCTCTTGCTTGATTGCCCTGGCCAGAACTTCCAATAATATATTGAATAAAACTGGTGAGAGAGGGCATCCTTGTCTTGTACTGGTTTTCAAGGAGAATGCTTCCAGCTTTTGCCCATTCAGTATGATATTGGCTGTCGTCTATGGATCTTATTAATTTTGAAGTATATTCCTTCAATACCTAGTTTATTGAGAATTTTTAACATGAAGGGATACTGAATTTTATCAGAGGCCTTTTCTCCATTTTTTGAGATAATCATGTGGTTTCTGTCTTAGTTCTGTTTGTGTGATTAATTATAATTATTGATCTGCTTATGTTGAACCAACCTTGCATCCAGGGATGAAGCCAACTTGATTGTGGTGAATAAGCTTTTTGATGTGCTGCTGGATTCGGATTGCCACTATTTTATTGAGGATTTTTGCATCAGTGTTCATTAGGGATATTGGCCTGAAGTTTTGTTGTTGTTGTATCTCATCCAGGTTTTGGTATCAGGATGATGCTGGTCTCATAAAATGAGTTAGGGAGTAGTCCCTCCTTTTCAATTTTTTTGGAATAGTTCCACTAGAAATGGTACCAGCTCCTCACACCAGTTAGAATGGCAATTATTAAAAAGTCAAGAAATAACAGATCCCGGCAATGCTGCGGAGAAAAAGGAATGCTTTTACACTGTTGTTGGGAATGAAATTAGTTCAACCATTTTGGAAGACAGTGTGGTGTTTCTTCAAAGATCAAGAAGCAGAAGTATCATTTGATCCAGCAACCCCATTACTAGGTATATACCCAAAGGAATATAAATCATTCTGTTATAAAGATACATGCCACATATGTTCATCACAGCACCATTCACAATAGCAAAGACATGGAATCAACCCACATGCTCATTAATGATAGACTGGATAAAGAAAATGTGGTACATATACCCCATGGAATATATGCAACTATAAAAAGTAAGAAGATCAAGTCCTTTGCAGGAACACAGATGAAGCTGGAGGCCATTATCCTTAGTGAACTAACACAGGAACAGAAAACTAAACACCGCATGTTCTCACTTATAAGTGGGAGCTGAATGATGAGAACACATGGACACAGGTAGGGGAACAACACACACCGGGGCTTGTTGGGGGCAGTGTGGGGAGGGAGAGCCTTAGGAAGAATATCTAATGGATGCTGAGCTTAATACCTAGGTGATAGGTTGATCTGTGCAGCAAACCACCATGGCACACGTCTACCTATGTAACAAACCTGTGCATCCTGCACCCGTCCTTCGAAACTTGAAATAAAATTTGATGAAAAAAAAGTAATCTCACTTCCATAAGAGGATGAAAATGTATGAGTAGGGCATTATTTAGGTGAACTGTTCATAAGATACCTCATAACATCACATTATGGCTAACATTAATTTTTGTTGTTTGGACAGTCTAGCCTGGACAGACTTTGTCTTTGTTTTTTGTTAAAAACGAATCTTGCAAGAAAAACAGAAGAAAATCTTAAAAATTTTATAGCAGCTTTATTTTAAAATTGATCGTGTATGAATAAATTACCATTTTAAATGTGAATTCCCTTTTTTAATGGGAGTTTTAATATAAATGTTCAAAAATAGTTAATCATTATTAGAAGTCATTTTAATATTCTATTATTTCAATGTTTCTAGTATTTACTAAAATAAACTGCTTCTTTAACATAATTTATTTTTCTATAGAATTACTATATCAGGCTTGCTATTTGTGCTCATAAACTTGTCATGAAATAACTCACAAAAAAGTTTATAATCTAAAGATAGTGACATATGAAAATGATTTTACACTTTTATATATTTAAAAATCACAACTATGCACAATTTCTATTGAATGGTCATTAATGTATATACATGTGTAGAGGGATATTAAGAATTCTGAGTGTACATGGAGAAAAATTCTCTTTCAGCCATTTTTCCTGAATCTAATTTTTGGCAAAATAACCATTAAACTATTTTTTTCTGCCAAAAATGTGATTTGATTTTTTTTTTAAAGTAAAAGGAATGGGGTGTGGTTGGGTGTGGATATAGATATTTGGACAACACAAATCTTTAATAAAGATGAGCAAAGACCTTGAAATGATGCCATCCTTTTTTCTTGCTCTTTATTTCTCCCTAACCAACAGAGACATTCCAAAATTCCTCTTACAGTAAACTTACTTTAAACTTATCTACACAGTAATTAACCTTTTGTTGTTAGCTATCAGAACAATGGGTATTCCTTCACAATGAAATTTTGAAAATAATTACCAGGTCTTGATATGGTCTTTTAAAGAGAAATTGAAGTTTCTTTTGGAGAATTGCTAAGGAATTATCTAAATTGTGTAATTTTTTTTGCTTTCCTTGGTGGTTGGACATTAATTCAAACTTTGGCATTTTATGTGTTTGCCAAAGGAACCTTATTTAATGGATTTGTCTATGAATAGACGCTGGAATAGGCTTGGCTTTCTGGAGATGCTTGGGACTTTCAGAAAATGGGTAACCAGAAAAATGGCTTGCTGCCCTTCAAGAATAAATAGTGTCCCACTGTAAGGTCAATTTGGCTTCATCCTCACTCCCTTATATACATGACTAAATAAGGGGAAAGCCTGGGAAACCATTTCCCAGTTTCCCTTACCAAGAGCGTTTCAGGTTAAATTCTCCTAGTGGGAAGCAGTAGGACTCAATTTGGAAATTGAAAGAGAAGAAGCTGTTCTCTGGCAGCTCCTATAAAGGAGGCTACAGTGGGCACGTCTTAATTTCCTGAATTCTATCAGCAGTTTCCCTGACTTTTGCTCCCTCAGCCCTTCTCATGGTATGACCCACTAATTCCCTATATTAAACCCCTTTCAACTTGATACCTATAAGTTTTATTTTTTCTTAATAAAATTCTGAATGGCAACCCCAAAACTATTAAATCCAGGAATTATTTCAACAAATGCAATGAGAATATGGTTAAAAAGTTTTTAGCAGACTGTGTGATAAGAAGATTGAATACACACAGATTCTTTTTCTGTCACCATTGTCTTTGTTGTGTTTCCCTAGAAGCACACCTGGAGATTAAAATTTGATAAAAAGATAATTCCAGGAAGCACTAATAGGGCAAGCAGAAAGTAATATAGGGAAGAGAAGGAAGCTAATACCGGGGGAAAAAAAAGCATGTTATTGTGGTGGGCTATTACCTGTTGTAGTTGGTTCATTTATTTGTTACTAGCATAATTCTAACTGATATCATGGGTCATTGTGAACAAAGGCGTGTTTTTTTGGAATTAAGGAGCCTAGTCTGCCTGCAATAGGGAGGGGATTTACAGATTTTGGAGAGCGCTGAATTCCAAGGAGTTGGTGTTGACTTGCCATTTGTCAGAACATTTCAGAGACAAGCAAAGTGAAGCCCATTAGATTGATTACACTCACCTAATGAAAGAGAATTTAGAATTTGAAACATTGCAGATATTTATTACCACTGACCAAATGTAATATCAAGACAGCTGGCAAGTTCAAGTGGATGAGCATAGCAATAGAAATGGCTTGGTCTTTTGGTAAAGACCTAAAAGAGGAATGGCTGTAGAAAGATACAGATGTTTGATGATAGCTGCAAAGTATACTCAATGATTGACAAAGAAAGTATTTGTTATAATTTTCTCAGATCCAAGTGGATCTGTATAAAGATCTAAATAGTACAGTTTTCTATATCAGGATAGTTTGATGCCATTATTGATTAGTAGCTGCTATCTTTTTTTCCTGTTTTTGTTTTCTTAATCTTCTTTTGTATAAAATCTTAATTAATGTCTACATTTTTGGCATGTTGGCTGGCTGGCATATTTAGCTAATCCAGCATATTCCTTGGTGGCCTTATTGGGGAAAAGTGTTAGTTTTTCAAAGTTTTTTTTTCCTATTTACTGTTTCCAAAAAGGTTTTAAGTAAATTCCATACTTCTTTTTCTAACTAGTGGCAGTTGATTCTAATAAATGTAAGCAAACCATATTGTAAAAGATAGCAATTTGATATCACATACATACAAATTAAATGCAAAATACAACAGCCCAAGAATCCCCAAAAAGATATGCGACTGCACAGAAACAAGAAGCACAGCCCTGTGCTAGTTATGAACCACTTTTGGATTCCTTGTGTTGACATGGAGCAGAGCCGTGGGGACATGGATTTTGGAGGAGCTGACCACTTTGGAATAGTAGCAAGGAAGAAGTATATACCTATTTCTAGATAAAATTCAGAAGGCTTTTTTCTGACTTTTGATGACAGTTTGATTATTGCAGTCTACAATGAAGATTCATGAAATTGAGTTCTCAAAGATTTCAAGAATAAAACAACCTATACCGTTTGAATATTTGATCAGTTTTAAATATTTGGGATTTGAAAGGCAAAACTATGTAAATTTCCATATGCTATCACTAAAGGCTGGTATTTTATTTAATAAACTTTGTCAAGAGACTAACTTTTCAAAACTCATTCTTCTTTTTTACGAGAAGAAGTGAAAGGAGTAGAAATACAGCCTGTTGATGCCCACAAACTTATCCTAAGAGTTTACACATATCTTGTTAAGCTTCTCAACAATGCTATAAATTGTGGGTTTTGTCCCAGCTTTACAAAAGAGGGTCATGAGGCGAAGATAATTTCTTTAGAAACTTGATTAAGATCATGAAAATAAATGTGATAGAATTAGGATTCAAATCCAGGTTTATATTACTGATTGATTCATCCAAAATGTTTATTTACTATGTGCCAAATCTTAAGCTAAATATTGTATTAGTTTGCTAGTGTATCCATAGAAAAATGCCACAGACTGTATAGCTTAAAAAACAGAAATATATTTTCCCACAATTCTGGAGAATAGAAGTCTGAGATCAAGATGCCAGCTGGGTTAGTTTCTTCTGAGGCTTTCAGAAGATGGTTAAGCCAAACTGTTAATTTTTAAACATCATGAACTAACTTGTCCTCAAAGAACTTCATCAACTTGAACATTTTCAAAGAGCTCTATAAGGCAGCTCAGCATGGCAGTTTTTTTACTGAAATATCTTATCTGGAAGATGGCAAAACAGACCTGGACCTTCACAAGCCAATGGTTGCTTGTATTCATATCACAGTTCACTTGGGTAAGTGGTAACAACAGAATAAAAAGCAGATTGCCTCCATACTGGTTGGGTGAGATAGCTTCATTTTTGGAAAATCAATTGAATCATGAAAATCTTCCCAATGGTATAATTTGTTCCGGAGTTCTTTTGATAGTTAAGAAGGGAAATAGTAATCATTGTCCACAGTCTTTATTTATTTCTTTTTTTTACAAATACTCTTATGGCATTCTCGAGCCATCATTCTATGGTGTGGTGACTGATTGTACTCCATGCAGGTCACCTCCTTGCCATGTCTTCCCATGGTGTTCCCTCTGTGTGTGCACATCTGTGTGCTAGTCTCCTTTTCTTTTAAGGACATCATTTATATTGGATTAGAGCCCACCCTAATGATGTGACTTTAACTTAATTACCTTTTTAAAGACTATCTCCAAATGTAGTCACTTTCTGAGGTATGTCAACCTATTAATTCTGGGTACAAAGTTCGGCCCATAAATGATGTTATGGACCCAATGTCTAACAAAGGCCAAACACTCTCCCTGACTTCGGAGAATTTAGTTTAGTAAGGGAGATTAGCATTAAGCAAAAAATTACCTATATATATATATGTACATTGCTCTAGTAATAAGAACTCTGAAGGGGAATTAAAGGATGTTACAAGAGTTTGAACACATCCATGGGGATAGCAAAGACTTTCTTGAGGAAATAATGACCCAGTTAACTCTGACAATGAAAAGGGCAGTGAAGTCTGGTCCAGGCAGATAATCTACTTGTGCAGGGAAAGCTCCTATGCGGAGGGAGCTTAGGGAATTTAAGGTTAGAAGTGAGAGAAGCCTTGTCAGCTTTTGGTTAGAAATTTGGTCTTTATTCCAAGAGTAATTAGAAGCAATTGAAAGTTTCATAGTTGATTTGTGTTTTGAAAAGAGTACTCTTTCTGCTTATAAAATACTCAGCTGATTAACCACATTTTTTATTGACTTTTCAATTGGTGGTGGTTCTATCATGCACACGCAGAAAAATTTAAAAGTTAGCTTAACTTTTTAGGACTCTCATTACTTCCTATTTTCTAGCTTGAAGTTTGCAAGAAGTGAAAAAAAAGAATTATAAAATTTTACTTCAACCTTTGAAAGGAAGATTCCATTATTTAGACAATTGGAAAAGAAGACAAAAGACTAAAAACATTGTTGTTAATCAGGATCTGCCTTAGAGTTAAATCTTTCTTTGGTATTTCCTGTCTGTCTCCACAAAGTTGTCAGATATTTGGACCTATTCTTCATACGATGAACATTACTAACTGCCTTTAGTCCCAGTAGGAACTATGTGCTTGCACTGAAGAAAAAAAATTGTCTGAAAGGCTAAATACAAATATAGTAAGGTATATATGTATAGAAGTTGGTGATTTATCGGGGCACCTGCCCTGATATTCACGTAGGTTCTTTTCTATTTTCCTTAAGTGTCAGCCAGCTTGAGAAATAAAGGGACAGAGTACAAAAGAAAGAAATTTTAAAGCTGGGCATCTGGGGGAGACATCACATGTCGGTAGGTTCTGTGATGCCACACAAGCCGCAAAAACCAGCAAGTTTTTATTAGGGAGTTTCAAGAGGGGAGGGAGTGTGCGAACAGGTGTGGGTCACAGACATCAAGTCCTTTACAAGGTAATAGAATATCACAAGGCAAATGGAGGCAGGGCGAGATCACAGGACCACAGGACCCAGGGGAAATGAAAATTGCTAATGAAGTTTTGGGCACCATTGTTATTGATAGCATCTTATCAGGAGACAGGTTTTGAGATCAACTGGTCTGACCAAAATTTATTAGGCGGGAATTTCCTCTTCCTAATAAGCCTGGGAGCGCTATGGGAGACTGGAGTCTATTTCACCTCTGCACTCTCGACCATAAGAGATGACCACGCCCAGGGGAGCCAGTTCAGAGACCTACCCCCAGGTGGCATTCTCTTTCTCAGGGATGTTCCATGCTGAGAAAAAAAATTCAGCGATATTTCTCCCATTTGCTTTTGAAAGAAGAGAAATATGGCTCTGTTCCACCCGGCTCACCGGCGGTCAGAGTTTAAGGTTATCTCTCTTATTCCCTGAACAATTGCTGTTATCCTGTTCTTTTTTCAAGGTGCCCAGATTTCATATTGCTCAAACACACATGCCGTACAATTTGTGCAGTTAATGCAATTATTACAGGGTCCTGAGGTGATATACATCCTCCTCAGCTGACAGGATTAAGAGATTAAAGTAAAGACAGGCATAGGAAATCACAAGGGTATTGATTGGGGAAGTGATAAGTGTCCATGAAATCTCCATAATTTATGTTTAGAGATTGCGGTAAAGACAGGCATAAGAAATTATAAAAGTATTAATTTGGGGTACTAATAAATATCCATGAAATCTTCACAATCCACATTCTTCTGCCATGGCTTCAGTGGGTCCCTCCATTTGGGGTCCCTGACTCCCGCAACAGTGATTAAAATATTAAGTGCTTCCAAATGGTACAATTTGAGATTCTGTGTATAAAATTGAGTATGAATGATTAAAATAGTGAAGTAGTTTCCATCGACTTCTGAAAACAAAGAAGCTTTCTGTTTGTTCAGTTTCTTTTTTAATTTTAAAAATTTATGACTATTTTTATTACATAATATTCAATCTTATAATTGACATTGAATGTATTTTTTTCAAAATAAAATTTTTCTTCACCTTCAAAAAAGACTTCTATTTTACTAAAATGATGTAGAAACCAGTTAGCCTTAAGTTTAAATGGAGACCAATATATTAATTTTCAAGTTACAGAATTCCTACCAAAGAGGGGATAGCTATAGCTATCTAACACCCTGTGAGAAATAGAATGATAACAGTAAATATCAGCCATAACAAAGTTATCAAATTCCTCTTGTTTCATAGGAGTACAAAGAAATCATGCTTTATCATCAAATTCCTCTTGTTTCTTAGGAGTACAAAGAAATATGTTAAAGTATGATATTAATAGAACATTAATTGGTAAAAGTCACAATCTGTATTTTGTAGATCTGTACAATGAAAAAATGAATGACTTAATGTAGACAGGTGAATAGTTTTAGGAAATGATTAGACTTTCAATAAAACACAACGTTGCATAGCTAGCATAAAGCTAGTTAAAATATGAGAAATCAAAAGCTGCTTTCCTGAGGCTAGCCAAATGACGAGAAGTGAGGTAAGTCCAGAGTCTGACCCAAATTAAAATCTGTTTCCAGACTCAATCTGAATGCTTCCTTTTTCCTTTATTGCTCAGAGTAGATTTTATAAGTATTGCCTGGAAGAAGAAGCTATATTATATATTAAAATATATGCTATTCTTTCTTTAAAAATTCAAATAAACATATTTAGTTCACATCATTACTCATGTTTGTGTTCAAGGGTAGATAAAAGAGGAGTAGGGAAAGTAGTACTCACTTGAGCTGATAAATATCTCTAAGAAAATTTTAAAATACATGTTTAAATTTATGTGTAAGTTTTATTAATTTTTATTTGACATTTAAATGTAAAATATTTTATCACTCAAATATATTTCAGCTATAAAATAAATAACAGTTAAGGATTTAAAAATATTTATACTCTGAACTGTAGAAATATTAGTCCCTTGAAAGATCTCTTTATTTCCAAAATATTTCTATTGCAAGTGTCAGAAATGGTAACTATATAACAATTGAGAACGTAGGAAATTATTTATTCATATATGAATTCCCACTCATAAATTTTGGCTGCCTTCACTGAAGGCTTTCACCAAAGTGCTATCAATTTTCACTTCTCCTTCATTCCCATGATGTCTTGCAGAAACAAAAGGAGGAAGAAAAAATAATCTAAAGATTGAATGGCTGTCCCACAGATTCACAGCCAAAATTAAAACAAGAACATTTTTGGCCTACTTAATATACTTACTTTCCCCAAAAAGAATCTCATAAAAATTGGTACCAATTATTGTTACACATAAAAATGCAGACCTAATTTCCTTTACATTTGCTGGCACATACCTAGTCTTGTAAGAAAGTGAAAATAGTATGCTTATACTGTGTATACATGTGGAGCTCCCTCCACACAGGAGCTTTCCCTGCACATATAGCTCTTTGTACAGTCTAAAGTGCACCACCACTTTACTAATAATATTTTTGTTGTAATGTTAATTTTAAATTTTAATATTTAACTTTCAATAAGATCAAAATAATATCCTAGAGTTCTGTGGAAGAAGAGAAAAAATTAATCAGCACAGCTATTTTTATATATTTAAAGCAAGTTACCAGTGACATACACAGTCATCTGTCTAATGTGTGTTCTCAGGGGATGTTTTTATTTGCTCCATTTTATTTGTCCTACATAAAACAAATACTGTTAAGTAAAAGAATATAAGAAACACATGAATAAATTTAGACCTTTCTTTTAAGAGTGATTAAAATGTTTCTCTTAGAAGAGTAGTATTTACTTCTTTAGGTAACTAATGACTAATATTTTTGCTTTCTCCAGGTAACTAGTGAAAGTGTTTAAATATCTAGAGTTAGAACCAAAAGACAGGAAATTATTTAAGTTGTAAAATAATACTATAATTGATATATTATACCAAAATCAATTACAATCTCCCATAGGATCAGAAACCATGAAAAATTATGTATTTCAACAATGGGAACATTTTTAAACTGAAGAAAATAATTTTAATAAAACCTTATTAATAATTTTAATAAAAATACACCTAGCTCAAAACCTTTCCCTAGTAACACTTTAGTATGTGTACTGAACTGTTCATCTTAAGATAATGGTAAGAAATTTTTATATGCTGTGTTTCAGTCACAAAAAGAGGAAATGCATAAATTCATACAATTCATTTTTCTACTAAACTTAAACTTTTAGTTCCAAAATGGAAAAATAGCTAATTTACTGAAAATCTGTTATAAATACTATTTGATAATTATTTAAAACTAAAACTTCTAACTCTATATTTACCTTCACTAGGATATTCTATGCTTTCTACGTCATTGCTTATGAGTCTCATGTTTTGATAAGACAAAATTGTGTAAGTTAAAAGATTATCTTTGTATCATGGAAAGATAATGGTATCTAAATTTGGAAAGATATATTTTAACTGAAAAATGTGCTCAACCAGAATTAACAAAATATATGAAATCCAGGTCTACCATTTACTAACTCTGTAATAAAGTTTTTAATTTCTTTGAGTTTCAAATTTCTCACCTATAAAATGGCAATGATAAAAAGCAATACCATAAGGCTACTGTGAAAATTATAAGAGACTTAGAAAGTGCAATGCATAATGTTTGATTTATTGTAGTTATTATTTAAATTTTTAACAGTATGTATATATATGTAATATTGGATTTTATTTTATTAATTCGATTAAGACATATTATGTAGAAAAATAAACTTCCTATGCCATATATAACACAAATGTATTAAGAAACAATTGTGCTAAATTAAGTGAAGTTAAAAAGCGTATGATTCTTCATAACAAAACTATATACAATCATTTCAAGAACAGTCAAAACATATGCTAGGCAATAGAGTGCTGAAAAATGTTTGGTATCATCTCTTTGAGAAGTGAGGTAATTTTTCGCTTCTTAAAACATAAAGATGGATTTAGGAGTAATATATATTCTTTTCTATATGGGTAGATATAGACCAGTAAAAGTGAATCTATGCATTGAGGTAATTACATGTACATTGAAAAAAAATGAAGCTAATTTAAGAAAGTCTTCTCTCATCTAGATATTTTAGCTCAAATGCCTCAGGAATAAATTATCTCATATAAGCAAATCACTTATTCTCTTGTCTTTACTAATATAGTTTTTGCTTATTGTTTTTATGACTCTTGAATTACTATTGAGATAATAGATAATGCACATGCCTTAATCTATATTTCAAAGAAAAATTTAAAATATTTTAAATTCCATGTTCTTCTTGTAGTTTCTTAATCAAGTATTTTGCCTATTTCTCAAACAAAATGGTAATTAAAAAAAACACCTGTAATTTCCAGTTTCTATTTTTCACTTTTCCCCTTGCTTATTTAGAGCTGACTCTGACCAAATCTGTGAAGCAGTGGGTTTGTGTTTTCTTCCTGGTTTCCTTATGTATAGATGACAGTATCTATCCCTGGGCAGTGCCAGGGCATGTCCTTAGAGCGGTTTTTTGAGTAGTAATGATGGATTTACATTGATTCATCTATACTCTTGGCCTAGTTTCTTTCGTGGCCATCATCCTGCCTTCCTGGAATCCAGACCGAAATTAGTGGTTCTGGTTTTGCCTCAGAACTGAGTAAAATTAGCTATGCTAGCTGGAGACTAGCTAAACTGGCTCCAAGTAAACCAAAAGTAGAATTGCCCTTCTCCCTTCTCCAACCTTCTCCTTCCTAACCTTTCCAACAAATCATAGATGTGTCTAAGCTCTTAGAGTTCTAGGGAAGTTACCTGTATTTAATCTTGTCCTTTCTCTACAGATAAGACTCTAGGAGACTAAGACTTAAGGAAAAAATCTCTAAGTGATGTGTGTTTTAAAAAGAAAGCCCAGGAATTATAAACTGTACACAAATAAAGGACATTGTATTTTTAACGTTCTCTACTTCAGTTGTACACTGTCCTACTAAAAGTGATGATATCTTCAATATTCTGCTAGAGCCACTTCTCACTTCATGTTGCCTTGTATATTTTGCCTTTAAAATATTCATAAACCTTTCAATTGTTTAACTTTTACATTTTCGGACAACCTAGTCATCAGAGAACTCATATTTCTGAGTTCCTTGCTTAAACAATATTTAGCCAGCTGAAGGTTTCAATTAAGAGACTTTATATTAGCCTCAGATCAACAGTTCCTAAGAAACAATAGAAGCTTTATCAAATAATCCACTTATCATCTCTGACAAAAGAACATATATATTGTCTTTCCTAAAAATATAGGATTGTTGTAATATGTCAATCTCTCTATTTTCCTAATATGTTCATTAGTTCACTCTTCATATCCCAGGGGATAAAATGTCTTGATTACCTGATTAGGAAATATATTTGCTCATTATTCCCTGAAAACATTTTGCACTGTGTATATTTAATGCTGTTTATACAAAAGAAAGGCCTATTTTTTTTTTAATCTACTCCAACAATATGTTTGTTCTTAAATCTTCTGGCATAACATTCTGTATTTTCCCTGCCCCAGACATGAAGTTAACCACTTCTCGAAGGCTCCTTTTGTTGAAGGAAGGTAGTTAGAAGTAAAGATCTGAGGAGTAGATTTGCTAGTTGGTGTTGCTGTCCACCATTTTGGTGGACAAAGCTAAATTTATTTTTATGTCTATCTATGTGTTTGTTGAAATGCATGAGTTCATACTGATATACCCAATTCCAAGATGACATCCCAGGGTTCGTCCTAGTTTTCTCTCTTTCCAAATTTTTAACTCCTTTCAACTACAGTAATAATCCTGACTACAATTATTCTTAATATATATACTTATTTGATCAATCCCCTCCATGTAACCAGTCTTCCATTGCCACTGCTGCCCCCTTCCCTGCATAGATACCCTCTCCATCTTGCTCTGGGCTCTAACCCCACAGACCTTGCTATCTTTCTCTATATGAGCGCTTTCCTCATTACACTTGTGCCCCAATAGCTCACACTGGGCAGCCCTCCAATACAGACAGCTATCTCATTCTGCTCAGGTTTTGAGACCACTTTGAGAGCACTGATGCTTCCCTGCCTTGCTTGGCATCACCTAACGGTTTTGGGTCTGAATTGCCCGGAAAAGAAAGGGAACAGGAAGAGAAAGAGTAAACTTTGTATGTTAAAGATTCAAGTTAATGAAAAAGATCCTACCATTTGACATTCCATGGCACCCTTTGGGATGAGTTGCATGTCCTCTCTTACTAATATTGTACAGTTTAGGCATGTTTTCTTCTTTTCTCTTAAAACATTTTTCTCTCTTGGTTGCTAAGGCCACATCCTGTTGTGATTATTTTTATTTATTATTGTTTTTTTTTCTAATCCTCTTCATTGATTTCCTTTCATTTGGTTTTAAAACATAGTTTTAAATTTTATTTTAGATTCAAGGGGTACATGTGCAGGTTTGTTACATGAGTAAATTGCATGATTGCTGAGATGAATGATCCCATCCACACAGGGAGTGAGCATAGTACCCAACAGGTAGTGATATGGTTTGCCTGTGTCCCCACCTGTATCTCATGTTGAATTGTAGCTCCCATAATTCTCACATGTTGTGGGAGGAACCCGATGGGAGATAATTGAATCATGGAGGTGGTTTCCTCCATACTGTTCTTGTGGTTGTGAATAAGTCTTGCGAGATCTGATGGTTTTATAAGGAGTTTCCCCTTTCACTTGGGTCTCATTTTATCTCTTGCCTGCTGCCATGTAAGATGTGCCTTTTGCCCTTCACCAAGATTGTGAGGCCTCCCCAGCCATGCAGAACTGTGAGTTAATTAAACCTCTTTTTCTCTACAAATTTCCCAATCTCAGGTATGTCTTTATCAGCAGCATGAAAGTGGACTAATACAGGTAGTTTTTCAGCCCTTTGCCTTACCTTCTCTCTCTTCTAGTCATCCCCAGTGTCTATTTTTGCCATCTTTTTGTCCATATGTACCCAATGTTTAGTTCTCAACTTATAAGTGAGAACATGTAGTATTTTGTTTTCTGTTTCTGTGTAATTTGCTCGGGATGATGGCTTCTAGCTGCAACATGTTGCTACAAAGGACATGATTTCATTCTTTTTATGGCTGCATAGTATTCCATTGTGTATATGTACTATGTTTTTTATCCATTCCACCATTGATGGGCACCTAGGTTGATTATATGTCTTTTCTCTTGTGAATAGTGCTGTGATGAACATACAAGTGCATGTATCTTTTTGTGTGTGTGTGTAGAACAATTTATTTCCCTTTGGGTATATACCCAGTAATGAGATTGCAAAGTGAAATGGTAGTTCTATTTTAAGTTCTTTGAGAAATCTCCAAACTGCTTTCCACAGCGGCTTAAGTAATTTACATTCACTGTTGTATGTATGCAATAGCGTATAAGGATTCCCTTTCCTCCACAGCATCTCTAGCATCTGTTATTTTCTGTCTTTTTGATAATAGCCATTCTGACTGGTGTGAGAAGGTATCTTGTTGTAGTTTTGATTTACATTTTTCTGTTGATTAGTGATGTTAAATATTTTTTCATATGTTTGATGGCAGCTTTTGGTTTCTTTTCTTGTGCTCCTCTATTAAATAATAATGTTATTCAGAATTCTTTCTTCACATCTCTTCTCCATGGGAGAGCTGCTTAGTAGAATTCAGCAATGACCTACATACTATTGACTTTAAAATCTAATTGTTAGGCCAGACTTATATACCTCACAGCCTGAGACAAAGAGAAGGTCCTGCTTTAGCAGCATAGCCCCACAATAACATCCTGGACCCTTGAAGACTAAATGAGCCCTTGGAAAATAAGCTACAAGTTAATCCGTGGTTCGATGATGTAACCCAAGTTATCATAAGCATACCTGTAGGTCCCAAGTCCAGGTATACGATCAGAATACCACCAAGTTTTGGCAAGGGCTTAGTACATGGGCTTTGGTTCCAAAATTGGTGATTTGTATCCCATGAGATAGACAGTTATTACTATAGGTTATCTAGGTCTTTTTGGAATTGAGAGAGTGGGTAGTAATCAAAGTTGAAAAACGTATGGGACCAAGATCAAGAGAACTAAAGAAAAATCTAGCGGTTTGGAATAGATGGCTGTTAGGGAGAATGTCCAAGGAATACTAAACAGAACAGTGTTGGCATTCTGGAAGTTGGGCATGTATGTGTGCCATGGGTCAGAGAAAATAATATTTTTACCCAGTCTGGCAGCTGGAGGTCAGAATGCACTTTGTGATCACACCCATTTCTCTTTATTAATGTCTGTTTCTCTTTATTAATTGGTAAAGTTCTATTTGTTTTTCTACAAAGAAAATAAGACTAAATTTATCCAAAATAACTTTTAGAAATATTTGGGCAAGGGATAAAACTGGTTTGAAAGTAAGGAATTTTAGCAATATAACAAATTCATATGCTGATTTCAACACAAATAAGAACAGAAAATAGAAAACTGTTTGTATCATTCATAGTCCCTGATACTATTCTTAATTAATCAATTTTAGATTACCTCTTTGCCCTCAGAGAAATAGCACACTATCTAGTTCTTTTTTGTTTGCTCACTTGCTTTAATAAAAGTCACTTTTGGAACTACTGAGCAATTGCAGGGAAGTAATTCTTTTAACCATGACCAGGTAATTTAACTAATTTTAAAGCAATGGCATTAATGGGACTAAATGGCATATTTGAAAATAGACTGATTGGATCAACCAAAGTAGAAACTTGCATATTATTCTGGCCCTGTCCTCATTTCATCTCCCTTTGACACAATCTCATTGATGGAGGAGTAAGGACAGGCTGAAAGGCAGGATGTGGAGGAAGTAACAAAAAGAAAAACAAAGTTGAGCTCATATCCAGCCTGGGCTGCATCTCAGCACTGATCATATTTATCAGAGATCCCAAGTGTGATGGTGACAAATGCTTTTTTCCTGGCTTCTTGCCTTACACAGGATTAATAAATAATGAGCTCAATATTTTGGGAAAGAATTATTTCATTATTATATCTTCCCAAAACATTGACTTTGGCTCCTAGCCATTATTGATTTATATTTGAAACACACACTACAACCTATATCTATATCTATAAATTTCAGATTGAAGATAGCAGGACACAGCCCACATGCATAACGTATGTCTTTGTACATAAATATATTGTTGTAACACTAATGAATGATAATCACTTTCTAATGCCAGCTTAAAATTTTATTCTTCAAAACATTTATTTTGATTTTATTATTAGATTTGAAAAAGGTACCTTGAAGAATGATAATTGCAGATAATTCTGTAGGAATTTAAATCTTCTGGCTTCTCATATCTAATCCCAGAAAACATCCTTGGTAGGGGGGGAGGAAGCAGGTGGAAGTAGGTGGAAGCTGAGAGCCGCTCTAAGCACACATGATGCTGCCTGAGGCACTGAGCCTTCCTTGGAAGGGTAGATCACCTAGAGGAGCATTTGTTTGGTAGTCATTCTTTCAAATTGGCCCTTCTCAGGAAGCAACTGCCACCATTTAGAAACTCGTTATCTCTTTGCTGATTTATTATTTGGAATAAAATAATTGCAATTCTCTTCCCAATGAGCAGAAATGTTCTATATTATTTAGATGTCAAAGGAGCAGGTTTAAGCAAAAACACCGATGAATGCAACCGTGAGATGTCTGGTAAATACCACTGTGCATCATAAACATACAATTGATGATAACTTTTATCCAAAAGTGGATTAATTTGATCCAAACCAGATGAATATGGAAAGCAGCTACTGTGTAAATAGTTCACTTGTTATATTTCCAGATAGAAAACAAACTAGCTATAAATCATTATTTGACTATTTAGAAGGCTTTCACAGTTTGGTCAGGATGACATTAATTTTTGGACTTTTTGGAATGTAATATTTTCCAGAGATAAACTCTAAAGGGATAGATGACTAAATAGACAAACAAAAATATTTTAAGTGATACAGCAGCAGATTTCTCCCTGTGTCTTTTCAGTCTTAGGCTGGGACTGGTTTTTCTTGGTAGTGCTATCAGGGTGCTATATTTAAATAGATATAAAGAAAGTTGTTTTTTGTAGACCTAGTATACCATGACACATCCACAAAGAAAGAATAAAAGTCTTTGTGGTATTTGTTTCAGACCACCATGTCTTGGCTACTTATTTACTATCTACTTCAGCAAAAACAAACAGTGAAGTTTTCAGTGAAGAATGTTGTTAACATAACCATTCATCAACATGTAAATAAGCAACTTGTTCCAGCCAGTTTCTTTAGCCTGGCTTTAAGTCCTTCACTCTCTCATACCTTCATACTTGGATGTTTAAGAGCAATGAAGAGGAAGATCAGAGGAAAGAAAGGAGTAGAGAAATTTTTTAGACAAAGTTTT
This sequence comes from Homo sapiens, assembly GCF_000001405.40. Classification (NCBI taxonomy): domain Eukaryota; kingdom Metazoa; phylum Chordata; class Mammalia; order Primates; family Hominidae; genus Homo; species Homo sapiens. Next base: position 74,320,462 of record NC_000006.12, read on the forward strand.
AATCCCTTCCCCTCCAAAGAGAAACTTTTTTGTAATATTTATTCCTGATACAGTTCCTGATTCAGTTGTTCTGAGGATTAAATAAGTTTACATGTTTATAACCTGTTTTACAATATTAAACAATGATGTAAGTTATTATTAAGGTATTGAAAATCTTTATCAAACGGGTTAAAAACTGTTTTGGACCAAGGATTTTAAAAATAAGGTTACTGTTGAGAATTTTTTTTTCTTTTCTAGGACAAAACACTATTATACTTTTTAAATGTGTTTATGATTGGTTGTGCCTTGTTAGTCTGTCTAAAATGTACAACTTGGTAGCTAAGAGTGGGCTTCTGAGGCCACTGTGCTGGAGTTTGAATTCTTGCTTTAGCACTTTTCTGTTATATAATCTTGGGCAACTTTTCAATGTCTTAGTTTCACTATTAGTGAAATGGTGATTGTAAAAGAGGTGAACTCATGGGGTTAGGTTGTTGTGATGATGAAATGAGATACTGTGTAGAACATGCTTGTAGCAGAGTTTGATGGGTACTAAGTGCTCAGTATATGCCAGATATTACTTTAAATAGAATAATCCTATTCTCTTTTTTTGTTTTTTCAATCAACTTAAGAATATGACTTGACAGCTTTAAATTCTTGGTAAACTTATTTTTACACTTCTTTATGGAAGAAATATTTTACCATATTTTGAACTAACAAAAGGCACATGAGGTAAAAAAGTAAGATGGCAGTTGACAATTCTTCACTTAACTAAATGAATATTTTTAAATCAAAGATTGATTTTCCAAAATGACTAAATCTGTTCTTTCAAACTATTGGTGAACATAGTAAAATTGAAGATCATTCTGACAGGAAAAACTTATGATGTCTTGGTCACTGTCCTCTTAGTTGAAATGAATAGAAATACACATATAAACAGTGCAACTTTTCAAAGGGACTTTTGTGAATGAGTACTGGGCATTTCACAGAATCTAAGATCAGCAAGGCCACAAAAGTACTATTCCAGGAGCAGGTAGTAGTCTCAGTCTCTTGTTTCTACTTTTCTACTGCCTTGGGTTAAATATAGTCCACCCTGCTTGGGTAGGACATGGGGTTATGAAGGGTGATATGGCTTGCCGAGGGACCACTGCTAATGTGTGGGGCAGATCTTACTGATAGAAATCGACTATGTTCTGAGCAATACCCAGAAGATCTCTACCACAGTAGATTTTTGTAAAATAAATTTAAACTATAGGGCCCAAACAGAAAATCTTGCAATGTCTCCTACCTTTAAAAGAAAAGCAAATTTTAATTTTATCTTTTAATTGACAAAAATTATACATGTTTATCATGTACAACATGATGTTTTGAAATACGTAGACATTATGTAATTGTTCAAAGGAGCTAATTACCATATTCATTACTACACATTTTTGATAAACAACAACAAATACCCAGAAGAATGATGATAATACTGTGTTAAAATCTGCTACATATATTGTTTCAAAATGGTATGGGCTTGTTTACTCCCTGCAAATTAATGAGATTCAATGTGTTTTTGATGTCTATTTTGAATGGAACATTCAGTACTGTTTAATATTCATTTTTATGGCCAAATCATGTATAAAACTTACTTGAATTTCAACACTGGGCAAGAAAATAGTGGCAAAATTCCTATAGATTTATAAGCCCTCTGTATTTCAAGTTGATCATTTGGTCTTACAAGTAGAATTTGTGATCACAGAGTAGCTATAATAACTCACTCATGTGAATTACTGGTTGGCTACATTTTTAGTCTGCCCCCAAATTGTTTTTGGAAGCTTCTTAATCTCTTCTGGCTTGACAGGAGTTGGCAGAAAAGGCAGCAGGGCGCTATAGTGAATTTGCCTTTTGATTTAGGGCCAGAGCTCCTGCTTCTGTCCTCAATTAGGTTCATTGACCATGTTCTCTCCCCATCGCTCCACTCTTTCCTACACTTTAGGATTTTAAGTTTCGGTTGGATGCAAACAACATAGATTTGGGAATTGGGTAGGAAACTCAGTATCTGGGAGGATGAGTGAGAAGAGGAAAACTAAGGAAAAGATCTTTTAAGCTCAGAATTTACATTTTCATTATCTTGATTAACATCTTAGCACTCTTAGTTCACAAGCCAAAATATGTATATGTGTATACTTTGTAATGGTATTTGCATGTGTGTACTGAACATATGGCATATGGAATTTTACTTTCAGCGTTTTTAGTAATACTTATAGGTTGCAAAGAAATAACAATATACAATGTCTCTGGTTAAAATTAACAGCATTTATTAGAATATGTAGTTGTCTGGCAAGTATGACATTAAATAAATTCGCAGACAGAACCTCTACAATGGTTTATTTTGCATATTGATTTAACTGATGGTCGATGCCAAGTAGCACAAATAATTGATGATGATAGTGATGATGATAAAATCAGCACCAGGGCTTACTTCATGAAGAATCTTTTACCTGCCATTTTTAGAGAGTGGTGATCATTTAGAAATACCTAGGCAGCCTTGGAAGAATCTTTCACTGGATAATTATTCTGACACTTCTTTTTTTTTTTTTTTTTTTGAGACGGAGTCTCGCTCTGTCTCCCAGGCCGGACTGCGGACTGCAGTGGCGCAATCTCGGCTCACTGCAAGCTCCGCTTCCCGGGTTCACGCCATTCTCCTGCCTCAGCCTCCCGAGTAGCTGGGACTACAGGCGCCCGCCACCGCGCCCGGCTAATTTTTTTTATTTTTAGTAGAGACGGGGTTTCACCTTGTTAGCCAGGATGGTCTCGATCTCCTGACCTCATGATCCACCCGCCTCGGCCTCCCAAAGTGCTGGGATTACAGGCGTGAGCCACCGCGCCCGGCCTGACACTTCTTTTTATAATAGTGTTTACTTTTGAAAGAACAAGAGATTCCATAGTTTATCCTAGGCTGCTGTTATCATCATGGATACTACACATAACCGTTCAGAACTTTATAGGTTTGGTTACTTTAATCAAGTGTCTGACTCTTACTAGACAAATTCTGAGACTCTGGATGACTGCATCTTTTCATTTATGAAGTGAGCCTATGAAATGAGATGACCTATAATCTTCAAAGATTTATTTTCAGATTTAAGAGCATCAAAAGAGCTGTGAATAGTAACTAAGCCTGCCTGCAAAGATCTATGGACAGAGGCAGTAACTTTTGATTTTGTAAGTCAATAATTCTGAATGTCTGGAATTTCACTGGGAAGAGCTGAGAGTATAGCAGTTTGCTGCAAAGAATCATAGTGTTGGAAGTAACACAACAACCAAAGCAAAACAAGGGCTCTCAAGAAAGGGTTATACTTTTCCCATATTTGCTTACGTTTTTATTACCTTAAAGATTTGCTGTAGTTAAGATGGGCCAAACTATGGGTCTTTTTATTCTTGCATTAGCCTTTCTTGAATGTTGGATTTATGCTTGAACTTTGGTTATACTTATCAAGGACAATATGGGGGTTTTCTTAGAATGATTCTATAATATAATAAAAATGTTATAATCTCAGCCATTTTAGCACAAAATTTTTTTTTCCCCACAAGTTATAAGTTGCTCTAATCAGGCCTATACCTCTGGCACATAGTAAGTACTTTTAAAAGAGTTTGATCTTGAACTCCTGGCCTCAAGTGATCCTCCCTCCTCAGCCTCTCAAGTTGCTGGGATTACAGAAGCAAACCACTTCCTGGCAAAATGTTTGTGGCTAAGTCCTCAAAAGCAATTGCAACAAAAACAAAAATCCACAAGTGGGACCTAATTAAACTAAAGAGCTTCTGCACAGCAACAAAAACTATCAAAGTTGACTAAACAGAGAATCTACAGAATGGGAGAAAATATTCACAAACTATGCATTTGACGAACGTCTAACGTCCAGCATCTAAAAGGAACTTAGATCAACAAGCAAAAAGCATTAAAAAGTGGACAAAAGATGTGAACAGACACTTCTGAAAGGAAGACATGCTAGTGGCCCACAAACATATGAAAAAATGCTCATCCTCTCTAATCATTAGAGAAATACAACTGCAAATCAAAACCACAATAAGATAACATTTCACACAAGTTGGAATGGCTTTTGTTAAAAAGTCAAAAAAACAACAGATGTTGGTGAGGCTGCAGAGAAAACGGGACACTTATACATTGTTGGTGAGAATGTAAATTAGTTCAGCCACTGTAGAGACCAGTTTGGAGATTTCTCAAATAGCTCAGTTGAACTACCATTTAACCCAATAATCCCATTACTGAGGGTATACTCAAAGGAAAATAAATTATTCTACCAAAAAGACACATGCACCCATATTCTCACCACAGCTTTATTTATATTAGGAAAGACATGGAATCAATCCAGGTGCACATAAATGGTGGATTGGTGCCAAATAATGTCCAAAAAATGTGGCATATATACACCAGGGAATACTATGCAGCCATAAAAGGACAAAATCATGTCTTTGCAGCAACATGGATACAGCTGGAGGCCATTATCCTTAGCGAACTAACACAGAAATAGAAAACAAAATACTGCATGTTCTCACTTATAAGAAAGAGCTAACCATTAGATGTACATGGACATAAAGATAGCAGCAGTATACATTGGGGACTACTAGTTGGGGAAGAGAGAAAGGGGAGCAAGGGCTGGAAAACTACCTATAGGGTATTATGCTCACTGGGTGACAGGTTCAACCATACTTCAAACCTCAGCATCAGGTAATCAATATGCCTTTGTAACAAACCTGCACATGTACCCCTGATTCTAGAATAAAGATTGAAAAAGGAAAAAAATAGTTTACTGAATAAAATATTCAGAAGTTTATTCTGAATAAACTTCTTCTTTTCAGAAAGAAGTGTCACAGTGTTTGAGTAGAGAACAATTCAAAAAGAACTAAAGTCTGAGTATGAATTTATTCTTACAACTAGTACCCACATGAACAATTGTGTTTCTTGGTAATAATTTTAGTTAAAAATAATAAGTATGTCCCAAATTAACCTTATTTTAAAGCAATACTGATTATCTTTGTTATAACTCCTTTCCCCTGTTTCCTACATTTTATGATTCCATTGTCTCTTCTTCATGTTCCTTTTCCCCTTGCTTTCCCTTCCTATCTTCCTCCTCTTCCTTTCTATTATTTCCTTTCTCTTTTCTTAATATTGTCCCCATTATTTTTAGTAGGCATCAAATGAAGCAGACATTTTTCATATAGAAAATTAATTTCTGGCTGGGCGTGGTGGCTCACGCCTGTAATCCCAGCACTTTGGGAGGCTGAGACAGGTGGATTGCTTGAGCTCAGGAGTTTGATACCAGCCTGGCCAATATGGTAAAACCCTGTCTTTACTAAAAATACAAAAATTAGCCAGGTGTGGTGGCACCCGCCTGTAGTCCCAGCTACTTGGGAGGTTGAGGCAGGAGAATTGCTTGAACCCGGGAGGCAGAGGTTGTGGTGAGCCGAGATCGTGCCACTGCACTCCAGCCTGGGCAACATGCCGAGGCTCCATCTCAAAAAAGAAAAAAAGAAAATTAATTTCTTCTACCATAAACTTGTTTTACTTTTTGCAAGTAAATGCATTTATGATACTTCCTAAATCTTAAAAAATCTGTTTTTTTCCATTTTTAATTTAATTTCCTCTTTGAATCATTTAAAAGTTTTCCACAGATACAAATATCTTGTTAGAATAGACATAACTAATCAGTATATGTTTTATGGGGAAATATTATTTGAATTTATACATTTATGATTACTATTTAGAAAGAGATCATGAAGAGCATTCTAAACTTTGGAAAGGTATTAATTTTGGATCACAATAAGCCTCAAGTATAAAGTTTCCAAGCTGCTTTATAAAAAGAAAAATAGCAAGTACTTTCCTTGGCACCAGCTCACTACTTTTCTAATAAATCAATTCTAAGTGAGTAAATCTATCATTGGTTGGAAAGAGAGGTTAGCATGTTACTTTCTATAGTCCTTTTCAGTAAGCAGGTGCATGGAAACACAGAGAAAGGGCTAGATAGAAGTAGGAGACACGAAAAAATGGTTCTGCCAAGATGAGAGAAGAAATACAAGTGTGTCCTAGGGTGCATTTAAGACTTATGTTTAACCAGGTCCCTCTTTTCACAGCAGTGTCACACTTATGCAACCCACTGTGTCCCCAGGAGATCAATGACTGCCTGCATCCCATTTGATGAACAGGAAGACGAGAGCCAAATTCTAGGAGAGAACATCAGAGGGATAATGCATTGTCATGGAGTTAATGTTAGAGATAGTTGACCCTATGTATTATTATCCATAAAACATTTCAAATGTGTCCCAAATGGAATTTCTCTTTTGAGAGATGAAATCTAGTACCCATGACTCCAATTATAGAAAATCGTATGGAGCTACATCCCATAACTCTTTTTTCCCCATACCTGTTACCCATTGAGGTTGTATGGGAAATATCATTTGCTCTCTTAGCAGAAATTTAATTAACAGTCCGCCTTTTTAAAACACTCTTCCCTTGGCTTCCGTAAAATTATTTTCTTTCATTTCTTTTTCTTTTTTTCTTTCCTTTTTTTTTTTTTTTTTTTTGAGAGGAGTCTCTCTCTGTCACCAGACTGGAGTGTGGAGTGCAGTGGCATGACTTGGCTCACTGCAACCTCCACCTCCCGGGTTCAAGCAATTCTCCTTCCTCAGCCTCCTGAGTAGCTGGGACTACAAGTGCATGCCACCACACCCAGCTAATTTTTGTATTTTTAGTAGAGATAGGGTTTCACCATATTAGTTGGCCAGGATGGTCTCGATCTCTTGACCTTGTGATCCACTTGCCTTGGCCTCCCAAAGTGCTGGGATTACAGGTGTGAGCCTCTGCACTGGGCCTTCCTTCATTTTTTATCTTACTATTCCTTGAATTTAACCCATAAATTCATAATTTAGCTTACATGAATTTTTAGTTTGTATGAATCAGTGGTCTTTCACTAAGATACATTTCTCTTTATCTGATAGTTGATGAACTTTATGTTAAGATACATTTCTCCCTATTTTATATTTAAGAAATTTTGCTTATATTGAATTAACTCAAGGATATAGAAGATAATGGCTGAAGTAACTGGTGGGATGGGGTGGTGCAGAAGTAGTTCAAGCTGATGCTGTTTTGGATTAGGCTGGTGAAAAATTAACTTTCAATATTTCGATGAATAAAAATTAGTTTTATTTGAAATCTCTAAAATGTTTCTTGATATACTTCTTACTCCTTTTGGAAGAAAACATTTTGAAGATAAAACATTTAGGCAGAAAACACTACGTTTTTATATGCTGACGGAATACTACAACAGTAAAACGCAATTATATCAAAGGATCATAATCTGAATACCAGATACAGCATTTATCTGTTTGAAGTAGATAAATATGAGCTCAAGAGCAATATTTCTGCATGATTTTGCCTGTAAGTGATTAAATTGGAGTACTCTCTAATGTCTGAAATATGATTATTTTCTAGGCCTTTATTTATGCCCAAAGAAGGGCCACATTGCTGTTCCATTTCTGGATGATTTACTCAAATCCTCTGAAATCTTTCCGGACATCTTTCTGCTCCATAATCAAAACTGTTGTCCCTTACACAAAATTAAAGCTTTAAAGAATAGATAGTAAATGATAAAGAAAATGGAGATACTCAGCTTGTAGAAGAAACACATATTTGAATGGTTGTAATTTGGAAGAGGAAGTTATAATCCAGGTAACATTAATTATGTGATTATTGCCCAATTTAAGTGCAAATCAATATTTTGATGCAGACATAATTGATTATATTCTCAGATCATTTCTATTTTCCAGATGGAGAAATTGAGGCATAAAGAAGTTTGGTAATTTTCCTGCAGACACACAGATACTAAATGGTGGGGCCAGGATTTGCACCTGGATATTTTGACCCCAAAGGACAAATATTTAACCACTGTAGCTTGCTACCTCCTTTGCTTTGTGTACTTCTGGCCAACACAAGAAATACTGACCAATAAAAACCAAAGCAAGGCAGATGCAGGCTGAATATAAATAGAATTTTCTTTTTTTCTCTCTTTTATTAATGCATACTGTTTTACTTATTAATGCAGTACATGGCAATGTTTGTTACATGCACAAATGTGTAATGGTCAAGTCAGTATATTTGGGGTATCCACCACCTTGAGTGTTTATAATGTCTACATGTTGGTATCATTTCAAGTTCTCTCTTCTAGTTACTTTAAAATATACCAAGTACTGCTGCTAAATATAGGCGTCCCATTCTGCTGTACAACATGAGAGCTTATTCTACCTAACTGCATGTTTGTACCCATTAACCAACTTCTCTTCATTCCCATTGTCACTCATCCACCCTTCCCAGTCTCTGGTATCTATCACTCTATTCTCTATGTCCATGGGGTCAAGCTTTTTGCTCCCACATACGGATGAGAACATGCAGTATTTGTCTTTCTGTGCCTGGCATATTTCCCTCAACATTACAAACCTCAGTTCTATCCATCTTGCTGAACATGACATGATTTCATTATTTTTATGGCCAAATAGTATTCCATTGTTTATGTATACCACATTTTCTTCCTTCATTGATTCATTCATTCATTGATGAACACTTAGGTTCATTGCATATCTTTGCTGTCATGAATAGTGCTACGGTAAACATGCAAGTGCATGTATCCTCTTTATATACTGATTTCTTTTCCTTTGGATTAATACTTGTAATGGGATTGTTGGACTTTATGGTAGCTTTATGTTTAGTTTTTTTAAAAAAATCTCCATACTGTTTTCCATAGTGACTGTACAAATTTACATTCCCACCAACAGTGAATGAGTTCCCATTTATCCACATACTTGTCAGTGCCTGTTATCTTTTGTCTTTATTTTAATAATAGTCATTCTAACTGGGGTAAGATGATAGTCTCATTGTGGTTTTGATTTGCATTACCTTGATGATTAGTGACATTGAACATTCTTTTCATATACCTATTGGCCATTTCTTTGTCTTCTTTTGAAAGTGAAAAATTCATGTTCCTTGCTCACTTTTTATGGGAGTATTTGATTTTTTTACTGTTGAGTTGTTTGAGTTCCTTGTATATTCTGTATATTAGTCTCTTGTTAGGTAAGTAGATTGCAAATATTTTCTCCAACTTAAGAGGTTGTCTGTTTATTGTTTCTCTTGCTGTGCAGATTTTTAGTTTAACATAGTCACATTTGTCTGTTTTTCTTTTTGTTGCCTGTGCTTTTGAGGTCTTAGCCATAAAATATTTGCCTAGACAAATGTCCTGAAGAGTTTTCCCTATTTTTACTTCTAGTGAAGTTTTGGCTTTTACATTTAAGTCTTTAATCTACCTTGAGTTTACTTTTGTATAAGGTGAGAGATAAAGATGTAGTATCATTCTGCTGCATGTGGTTATCCAGTTTTTCCAGCATCATTTATTGCAGAGGTTTTCCTTTCTCCAATGTATGTTTTTAGCAGCTTTGTCAAATATTGTTTGACTATAAATATGTAGCTTTATTTCTGGGTTCTCTGTTCTGTTCCATTGGTCTATGTATCTATTTTTATACCTATACCAATCTATTTTGATATTACTATATCCTTATAATATGTTTTGAAGTCAGGTGATGTGATGCCTCTAGCTTTATTCTTTTGCTCAAGATTACTTTGGCTATTCTGGCTCTTTTTTGGTTCCATACAAATTTTAGGATTGCTTTTTCCATTTCTGTGAAAAATAGCATTGGTATTTTGACAGGGATTGCATTGAATCTATAGATCTTGGGAGCAGTATGGTCATTTTAAAGATATTAATTTTTCTGATCTATGGCCATGGGATGCCTTTGCTTTTGTTTTTGTCTTCTTCAATTTCTTTAATCAATGTTTTGAAGATGCCTAGTAGGCATCTTACACTTTCTTAGTTAAACTTATTCCTAGGAATTCATATATATATATATATATATGTGTATATATATATATATATAAATGTATATATATATATATATAAATGTATATATATATATATATATATATCTTTTGTAGCTATTGTCAATGGGATCACCTTCGTGATTTCTTTATCATCGTTTTGTTATTTCTGCGTACTACTGATTATTGTATGTTGATTTTTTTATCCACCAACTTTACTGAATGTGTTTTTCAGTTCTAAGAGTTTTCTGACAGAGTCTTCTATTTTTTTCCTAAATATAAGAACATGCCATTAGCAGAGGGACAATTGGACTTCCACTTTTCCAGTTTGTATGTCCTGTATTTATTATCTTGCTTAATTGCTGTAGCTGGGACTTCTAGTACTATGTTGAACAGGACTGATTAAAGTGGGCATCCTTGTCTTGTTCCAATTCTTAGCGAAAAGGCTTTCAACTTTTTCCCATTCAGTATGATGTTATCTGTGGGTTTTTGATATATGGCCTTTATTATTCACTTCCTTTTTTATCATGAAAGGATGTTGAGTTTTATCAAATGCTTTTCTGTACCTATTGAGATGATCATATGGTTTTTGTGTTCCCTTTTGTCAATGTGAAGTATGAAGTTTATTGATTTGCATATGTCGAACTATTCTTGCACCCCTGGGATAAATCCGACTTAATTATGGTATATTATCTTTCTGATATGCTGTTAGATTTTGTCTGCTGTACTTTGTTGAGGACTTTTCCATCTACGTCTCAGGGATATTGGCCTGTAGTTTTCTTTTTTGGTTGTGCTCTTGTTGAGTTTTGGTCTCATAGTGATGCTGGCTTCATAGAATGCATTCAGGAGAATTCCCTCCTCTTCAATTTTTTGGACTAGTTTGAGGAGGATTGTTATTAGTTCTTCTTTACATATTTGGTAGAATTCAACAGTGAATTGATTAAATCCTGGGCTTTTTTTATTGTTGTTATTGGGATACTTTTTATTGATCTGTTCACGTTTTCTATTCTTTCAGTCTTCATAGGTTGTATTTGTCCATATATATGGTCTTCATAGGTTGTATATATCCAGGAATTATCCATTTCCTCTAGGTTTTCTAGTTTGTTAGTGTATGCTTGTTCATAATAGTCCCCATTATCTTTTGTATTTCTGTAATATCAGTTATAATATTTCCCTTTTCATGTATGCTTTTGCATATTTTGTCTTTCTTCTTTTCTTGGTTAGTCTTGCTAGCAGTTTATCAATTTTGTTTATCTTTTGGAGAACTGACTTTTCTTTTTTCTTTCTTTTTTTTTCTTTTTTTTTTTTTTTAAGATGGAGTTTCACTCTTGTTACTCAGGCTGGAGTGCAGTGGTGCAATTTCAGCTCACTGCAACCTCTGCCTCCCAGGTTCAAACTATTCTCCTGCCACAGCCTCCCGAGTAGCTGGCATTACAGGCACCCACCACCACACCTGGTTAATATATATATATATATTTAATGGAGATGGGGTTTCATCATGTTGGCCAGGCTGGTCTCCAACTCTGGCCCTCAGGTGATCCACCAGCCTTGGCCTCCCAAAGTCCTGGGATTACAGGCATGAGCTACTGCTCCCAGACTGGAAAACCAACTTTTCATTTGGTTGATTCTTAGTATTTTTTTTTTGTCTCTATTTCATTTAGTTCTGCTGTGATCTTTATTATATTTTTCACTTTAGTAATTTTGAGTGTGGTTTATTCTTGCTTTTCTAGTTTTTTTGAGGTACATTCTTAGATTGTTTATTTGAAATCTTTCTACTTTTTTGATGTAGGTGTTTATTGCTATAAACTTTCCTGTTAGCTTTGTTGTATCCCACAGGTTTGGATATGTTTAATTTCATTTTTAATTATTTCAATAAATTTTTAAATTTTCCTCTTAATTTTTTTGCATAGACCCAATGATCATTCAGAAGCATGTTGTTTAATTTCCATGTATTTATATAATTTCCAAAGTTCCTCTTGGTATTGACTCCTAGTTTTATTCCAATGTGGTCTGAGAAGATACTTGACATGATTTCAGTCTTCTAAAATTTATTGAGACTTATTCTGTGGTCTAAAAAATATCCTGGAGAATATTCCATGCACTAATGAGAAGAATGTGTATTCTGCAGATATTGGCTAAAAATGTCTGTTAAGTCCATCGGTCTAAAGTCCAGCTTAAATCCAGTGTTTCTTTGTTGATTTTTTTTATGTAGATGATTTTTTAAATGCTGAGTTGAGGGTGTTGAAATTGCCCACTGTTATTATATTGGGGTCTGTCTCTCTCTTTAGATCTAGTAATTTTGCTTTATACATCTAGGTGCTCCAGTGTTAGGTGCATACATACGTAGAATTATTATTGCATCCTCTTGCTGAATTGATCACTTTAACACTATGTAATGATTTTCTTTGTCTCTTAAAACTCTTTTTGACTTAAGGTCTGTTGTATCTGATATACATATAACTACTTCTGCTCACTTTTGGTTTCTGTTTGCATGGAAAATCTTTGTCTTTTCTTTTTGTCTTTCTCTTCTTTTTTTGAGTTGGGGGTCTCCCTTTGTCATCCAGGCTGGAGGCAGAGGCAAGATTATGGCTCAGTGCTTCCTACACCTCCTAGGGCTCAGGTGATCTTCCCACCTCAGCCTCCTGAGTAGCTGAGACTACAGGAGCATGCCAACACACCCAATTAATTTTTGTATTTTTTTGTAGAGATGGGGTTTCACCATGTTGCCCAGGCTGGTCTTGAACTTCTGGGTTAAAGCAATCAGGCCTCCTAAGCCTCTCAAAGTGCTAGGATTACAGGCATGAGACACCATGCCTGGCTGGGGAATATCTTTTTTTTTATCCCTTTACTTTCAGTCAATATGTCTTTTTACAGGTAAAGTGTTTTTTTTTTTTTTTTTTTTTGTAGACAGCCTGTAATTGATTATGTTTTGTTAATTAATTGAGCCAGTCTCTGTCTTTTCAGTGGATAATATATCTGTTTACATTAAAATTATTGGTATGTGAGGTTTCCTTTCTATCATACTGTTAGTTTTATGGTTATTTTGTATATTCCTTAATCCTTTCTTTTCCTTTTCTTTTCTTACTGTTTGTTCTTATGGTTTGGTAGTTTTCTATAGAGGTACCATTTGAGTCTTTTTTCTTCCTTATTTCTATGTTTGCTTTACCAGTGAATTTTATACATTTTTTGTTTTCATGATAGTAACTGTGATTCTTTCACTTTCAATTTTAGGGCTTCCTAGAGCATTTCTTGTAGGACCAGTAAAGTGGTGATGAATTTCCTTGGTATTTGCTTATCTATAAAAGACTTTATTTCTTCCTTCATTTGTGAAGGATAATTTCACTGAATAAAATATCCTTGGGTGTCAATTTTTTAAAGAAAAATTTTCTAATGATCTGTGTAAAGCACAATGGTGTACATTAGAAATTATTGACATCTCCTTGGTCAATGTAGTTTAATTACAAATGGAATGAAGACTCATTGGAAATTTTTGCAGTGATTATTTTTACTTAAGGGCAAAGTTGAACTATTAGTAAAACTCCCCCACTTCCCTGCCATAGCTCCCATCCTGAAGTCTATAATTCTATTTTAAAAAGTAATGTCTTGTGTGGCTATGTCTAATTGTAACCTTGTCAGAAAGAGTAGCTCTTTCTTAAGTATCCTGCCACAAAGTACCTTAATCTGCTTACCTTTGCTGGATCTAGCCTTGAAATTTTTTAAAACAAAGACCTATGTTAGACTAGCAAATGAAGTCTGAGTATGGAAGAGAAGAGGTGGTGAAGTGAACTTCAAAGCATGAAAAGAAGATGAAGAAAGAAGACAAAATGCAGAAGAATGAAAGAGAATGAATAAGTATTTCTTCTTTCTAAATAAATAATTAAAATAGTGTATCTGCATACAGATGCTTTTTAAATATAAATATTTTAGCTTTCAAAAACTGTTAGGTCTATTTGTTCTTAAGGTCAAAGTGACTCAGTTAGGTTCAAGTCCAGAATACATTTGTATGCAATAGGCTAGTAACTAATTTCTTCAAAGTTTTACAACTTTGCATATTCTCTTCCTAAATATGTCTTTTTTATTAGGAATGTTTATACAAAAGTGGTCAGTATTATACAATTTGTGACTAACAGTACTTACATATACCTCCTGAACCCATGTTACCAGACAGAAGTTACGCTTGTGATATAAACTTTGTCAATGTTATTTCACCTGATTAGACTTTAATTTCTCAAAGTTCTACATATCTCCTAAGTTAACAGGATGTTTCTCCTTTTGTGAATAGCCATCTCTTGCTGAATATTATCACTTACCTGTAAATAGAATTCTTCACATGTGGTATAAATTACTCTCTATATTTAGAAATATTCTTACAGTTGAAATGCTTATTCTCTATGTCTGTACAATCTTTTCTCATTTTCTCATCATTTATTTAAAAGTGCATAATTTTTATTTTCGGCATAGTCATGTGTCTCTTTTTATTTGCATTTTTAAGCCTCTCATTTCTCTTTCACTTTATTGGAAAAGACAATGTATTGGGATAATTTATGCTGAAGTAACAAAAAATGCCAAAATCTCAATAGCTTAACACACCCAAAGTTTACTTAGGTGCTCCTGTTACATGTCCACTGTGGGTCACTTGTGGAGGTTGGGTGTCTGTTCCACAAAGCCACTCCTCACTATCCTATGCTGGCTCCATTTCGATGTGTTGCTTCATAGTTTTTCAGCTCCTGGGGCAATGGGGGCAGGAGTTAAGCACTTGAAATCAAATGCTTCCTCTGCAAATGATGTGTATTATTTTCCCTTACATTTTTTTTGGGGGGGTGCGAAATCAAGGCCCATCACCACCGTTACCTTCAAAGAGATAGAGAAGCACAATTTTTGTATACTTAGAAGTAGAGAACAGGCTATTAGTAAGCATTGGTAATAATCTACTATACGATAATTTTTACTGTTCTTTTTTTTATTATACTTTAAATTTTAGGGTACATTTGCACAAAGTGCAGGTTAGTTACATATGTATACATGTGCCATGTTGGTGTGCTGCACCCATTAACTCGTCATTTAACATTAGGTATATCTCCTAATGCTATCCCTCCCCACTCCCCTCACCCCACAACAGGCCCCGGTGTGTGATGTTCTCCTTCCTGTGTCCATGTGTTCTCATTGTTCAATTCCCACCTATGAGTGAGAACATGCGGTGTTTGGTTTTTTTGTCCTTCCGATAGTTTGCTGAGAATGATGGCTTCCAGCTTCATCCATGTCCCTGCAAAGGACATGAACTCATCATTTTTTATGGCTGCATAGTATTCCATGGGGTATATGTGCCACATTTTCTTAATTTTTACTGTTCTTAAACCTCCTCAAATCTAAGCACAAGCACATAACACATGCCTTAGCAGATTACTATAATATGCAAGGTTATGGTTAAGGCTAAAATGACTACATTTGTCAAATGTTGATGGTGGGCAGAGTTGATAAACTTTGCTCCAGATGTAGACTTTTTGTATGTCTGTGAGGGTACTTTAGTTGAAAGTAACACAAGACTGGAATGGATCCTTTGCACTGAACCTCGTAATTTCCCGTGGTATGGGCTTCCTTCTTGAGACGATTGCCACTTGCCCACTTGTTAAGTTTTGACAACTTGGGTGACAATCTTCAGCAAGTTCAAGGTTTTGACTTGTGTAAAGAGAGTATCTGAATTCTTGGGGAAAGTGTGTAAGGCGATAACTAATGTCCAAATATAAATACTTCTTAAGTAAACAGATTTAGAAGCAGTTTTCAGAGACCTTGAAGGTTCTGTAAACACTCTTTTTACCTACCCCTGAATACTGGCTTGAAAGATTTTTTTCAGATTTCTCAACTCATAGTTCACACAGAAGAAGCTGCTAACAACTGAGCAGCTTGTGGGCTTGAGTTCTCAGTTCATACTTGGGAACTATGAAGAAAACTCTTTGAGATGCTTCTTGTGTGCTAACAACTATGAACTGAGACCTACTCTATAAAGGTAATAGGGAGGCAATGAAAAGGATGTTACTGATTTTATTAAAATAATAATTCTTTTTAAAAGGTATTAGCTCAGTGACATAAAGTTAAATTCCTGGCCTTAGCTTCCATACAGCAAGTTCAGAAATGGCTCATTAACTTTTGCTAGTTAAAAAGAAAACAATCTTTCAAGCCAGTGTTCAGGGGTAGGTAAAATGAATATTTATAGAACCTTCGAAGTCTCTGAAAACTTCCTCTAGACCTGTTTACTTTAGAAGTACTACTTACATTTGGACATTAGTTATGACACTACACACTTTCCCCAAGAATTCAGACATTCTCTTTACACTAAAGTCAAAACCTCAAACTTGCTAAAGATTTGTCTCTCAAGTTGTTAAAACCTAACAAGTAGGGAAGTGACAGTCCTCAGAAAGAAGTTCCTCAGTTTTATTTCTCAGAGATGTGAATATTGGTTATACAGTCCTTAAATAACCACTGCAATGACCTAATTATTATCAACCTCTTCTCGTTTATTCCTCCCTCCCCCCTCCTTTCCTTTTTTCTTCCATTGTTCCCTCACATTTTCTCTCTTGTGTTCATTTTCTCACATGCCTTCTCTCTCTCTTTTTCTCTCAGGCTATAGTTTTCTCTCTTTCTTTCTCTTTTCTTTCATTCTTTGAATTAACAAGAAGTAAATAGTTCTTTCTGAAATGCTTTGCTTAGCACCACAGCACTAATTATTTAACTAATGTTCTCTTGGAGAATAACTTAAACATGACACACATAAATGGAAGCTACTCAGACTAATTGTTCCTTCTTTAATTAAATGATTAAGTATGATTTGTAATTTGAAAAATATTAAAAGTTAAGCAATAATTAATTAAAAGTTTGTTTTACTTTCTCTTAGTTTTCTATTTCTTAGGAAGGAAATAGGATATAATTTTGTACTGCTGCATAAATCCTGGCAGAAGCGAGACTTGCTATGGGCAATTACCTAGGGTAATCAAATGGAGCCTTGTAAACTCCTCTCACCAGTTTCCCTATATGATTGCTGACTTAGGGAGCCCTATGACATGACATGACATGACTGTTCTCTCAGCTTTGTCTTCCTGCCTTCCAAATCTTTATGTTTTTCAATGACAGATCTCATTGAAAATTAACTACAAAATTTACTAAAATAAACTTTTTTTTCTGAAGTGACAGGAATAATTTCTGTTCACTGACAAGAAATAAATGTGTTTTTTTGTTTTTGTTTCTTTTTTTTTTTTTTTAGACGGAATCTCTCTTTGTCACTCAGGCTGGAGTGCAGTGGGGTGATCTCAGCTTGCTGCAAGCTCTGCCGCCTGGGTTCAAGAGATTCTCCTGCTTCAGCCTCCATACATGCATTTTTTTATTTTTTATATTTTTATATTTTTTATTATACTTTAAGTTTTAGGGTACATGTGCACAACGTGCACGTTTGTTACATATGTATACATGTGCCATGTTGGTGTGCTGCACCCATTAACTCATCATTTATATTAGGTATATCTCTTAATGCTATCCCTCCCCCAGCCCCCCACCCCACAACAGGTCCCGGTGTGTGATGTTCTCCTTCCTGTGTCCAAGTGTTCTCATTGTTCAATTCCCAACTATGATGGAGAACATGCGGTGTTTGGTTTTTCGTCCTTGCAATAGTTTGCTGAGAATGATGGTTTCCAGCTTCATCCATGTCCCTACAAAGGATAAGAACTCATCATTTTTTATGGCTGCATAGTATTCCATGGTGTATATGTGCCACATTTTCTTAATCCAGTCTATCATTGTTGGACTTTTGGGTTGGTTCCAAGTCTTTGCTATTGTGAATAGTGCCACAATAAATATACGTGTGCATGTGTCTTTATAGCAGTATGATTTATAATCCTTTGGGTATATACCCAGTAATGGGATGGCTGGGTCAAATGGTATTTCTAGTTCTAGATCCCTGAGGAATCGCCACACTGACTTCCACAATGGTTGAACTAGTTTACAGTCCCACCAACAGTGTAAAAGTGTTCCTATTTCTCCACATCCTCTCCAGCACCTGTTGTTTCCTGACTTTTTAATGATCGCCATTCTAACTGGTGTGAGATGGTATCTCATTGTGGTTTTGATTTGCATTTCTCTGAAGACCAGTGATGATGAGCATTTTTTCATGTGTCTGTTGGCTGCATAAATGTCTCCTTTTGAGAAGCTTCTGTTCATATCCTTCGCCCACTTGTTGATGGGGTTGTTTGTTTTTTTCTTGTAAATCTGTTTCAGTTCTTTGTAGATTCTGGATATTAGCCCTTTGTCAGATAAGTAGATTGCAAAAGTTTTCTTCCATTGTGTAGTGTAGGTTGCCTGTTCACTCTGATGGTAGTTTCTTTTGCTGTGCAGAAGCTCTTTAGTTTAATTAGATCACATTTGTCCATTTTGGCTTTTGTTGCCATTGCTTTTGGTGTTTTAGACATGAAGTCCTTGCCCATGCCTATGTCCTGAATGGTATTGCCTAGGTTTTCTTCTAGGGTTTTTATGGTTTTAGGTCTAATATGTAAGTCTTTAATCCATCTTGAATTAATTTTTGTGTAAGGTGTAAGGAACAGATCCAGTTTCAGCTTTCTACATATGGCTATCCAGTTTTCCCAGCACCATTTATTAAATAAGGAATCCTTTCCCCGTTTCTTATTTTTGTCAGGTTTGTCAAAGATCAGATAGTTGTAGATGTGTGACATTATTTCTGAGGGCTCTGTTCTGTTCCATTGGTCTATATGTCTGTTTTGGTACCAGTACCATGCTGTTTTGGTTACTGTAGCCTTGTAGTATAGTTTGAAGTCAGGTAGCATGTTGCCTCCAGCTTTGTTCTTTTGGCTTAGGATTGACTTGGCAATGTGGGCTCTTTTTTGGTTCCATATGAACTTGAAAGTAGTTTTTTCCAGTTCTGTGAAGAAAGTCACTGGTAGCTTGATGGGGATGGCATTGAATCTATAAATTACCTTGGGCAGTATGGCCATTTTCATGATATTGATTCTTCCTACCCATGAGCATGGAATGTTCTTCCATTTGTTTGTATCCTCTTTTATTTCATTGAGCAGTGTAGTTCTCAATGAAAATAAAACTCAGTGTAGTTTTATTTGTAGCTCTTCTTGAAGAGGTCTTTCACATCCCTTGTAAGTTGGATTCCTGGGTATTTTATTCTCTGAAGCAGTTGTGAATAGGAGTTCACTCATGATTTGGCTCTCTGTTTGTCTGTTATTGGTGTATAAGAATGTTTGTGATTTTTGCACATTGATTTTGTATCCTGAGACTTTGCTGAAGTTGCTTATCAGCTTAAGGAGATTTTGGGCTGAGATGATGGGGTTTTCTAGATATACAATCATGTCATCTGCAAACAGGGACAATTTGACTTCCTCTTTTCATAATTGAATGCCTTTTTTTTCCTTCTCCTGCCTGATTGCCCTGGCCAGAAGTTCCAACACTGTGTTGAATAGGAGTGGTGAGAGAGGGCATCCCTGTCTTGTGCCAGTTTTCAAAGGGAATGCTTCCAGTTTTTGCCCATTCAGTATGATATTGGCTGTGGGTTTGTCATAAACAACTCTTATTATTTTGAGATACATCCCATCAATACCTAATTTATTGAGAGTTTTTAGCATGAAGGGCTGTTGAATTTGTCCAAGGCCTTTTCTGCATCTATTGAGATAATCATGTGGTTTTTGTCTTTGGTTCTGTTTATATGCTGGATTACATTTATTGATTTGTGTATACTGAACCAGCCTTGCATCCCAGGGATGAAGCCCACTTGATCATGGTGGATAAGCTTTTTGATGTGATGCTGGATTCTGTTTGCCAGTATTTTATTGAGGATTTTTGCATTGACGTTCATCAGGGATATTGGTCTAAAGTTCTTTTTTTGTTGTGTCTCTGCCAGGTTTTGTTATCAGGATGATGCTGGCCTCATAAAATGAGTTAGGGAGGATTCCCTCTTTTTCTATTGATTGGAATAGTTTCAGAAGGAATGGTAACAGCTCCTCCTTGTACCTCTGGTAGAATTCAGCTGTGAATCCATCTGGTCCTGGACTTTTTTTGGTTGGTAAGCTATTAATTATTGCCTCAATTTCAGATCCTGTTATTGGTCTATTCAGAGATTCAACTTCTTCCTGGTTGAGTCTTGAAAGCATGTATATGTTGAGGAATTTATCCATTTCTTCTAGATTTTCTAGTTTATTTGCGTAGAGGTGTTTATAGTATACTCTGATGGTAGTTTGTATTTCCGTGGGATTGGTGGTGATATCCCCTTTATCATTTTTTATTGCGTCTATTTGATTCTTCTTTCTTTTCTTCTTTATGAGTCTTGCTAGGAGTCTATCAATTTTGTTGATCTTTTCAAAAAACCAGCTCCTGGATTCATTGATTTTTTGAAGGGATTTTTGTGTCTCTATCTCCTTCAGTTCTGCTCTGACCTTAGTTAATTCTTGCCTTCTGCTAGCTTTTGAAAGTGTTTGCTCTTGCTTCTCTAGTTCTTTTAATTGTGATGTTAAGGTGTCAATTTTATCTCTTTCCTGCTTTCTCTTGTGGGCATTTAGTGCTATAAATTTCCCTCTACACACTGCTTTAAATGTGCCCCAGAGATTCTGGTATGTTGTGTCTTTGTTCTCATTGGTTTCAAAGAACATCTTTATTTCTGCCTTCATTTCGTTATGTACCCAGTAGTCATTCAGGAGCAGTTTGTTCAGTTTCCATGTCGTTGAGTGGTTTTGAGTGAGTTTCTTAATCCTGAGTTCTAGTTTGATTGCACTGTGGTCTGAGAGACAGTTTGTTATAATTTCTGTTCTTTTACATTTACTGAGGAGTGCTTTACTTACAACTATGTGGTCAATTTTGGAATAAGTGTGGTGTGGTGCTGAGGAGAATGTATATTCTGTTGATTTGGTGTGGGGAGTTCTGTAGATGTCTATTAGGTCAGCTTGGTGCAGAGCTGAGTTCAATTCCTGGATATCCTTGTTAACTTTCTGTCTCGTTGATCTGTCTAATGTTGACAGTGGGGTGTTAAAGTCTCCCATTATTATTGTGTGGGAGTCTAAGTCTCTTTCTAGGTCTCTAAGGGCTTGTTTTATGAATCTGGGTGCTCCTGTATTGGGTGCATATACATTTAGGATAGTTAGCTCTTCTTGTTGAATTGATCCCTTTACCATTATGTAATGGCCTTCTTTGTCTCTTTTGATCTTTGTTGGTTTAAAGCCTGTTTTATCTGAGACTAGGATTGCAACCCCTCCCTTTTTTTGTTTTCTATTTGCTTGGTAGATCTTCCTCCATCTCTTTATTTTGATCCTATGTGTGTGTCTGTATGTGAAATGGGTTTCCTGAATACAGCATACTGATGGGTCTTGACTCTTTATCCATCTTGCCAGTTTGTGTCTTTTAATTGGAGCATTTAGCCCATTTACATTTAAAGTTTATATTGTTATGTGTGAATTTGATCCTGTCATTATGATGTCAGCTGGTTAGTTTGCTCGTTAGGTGATGCAGGTTCCTTCTAGCCTCGATGGTCTTTACAATTTGGCATGTTTTTGCAGTGGCTGGTACTGGTTGTTTCTTTCCATGTTTAGTGCTTCCTTCAGGAACTCTTGTAGGGCAGGCCTGGTGGTGACAAAATCTCTCAGCATTTGCTTGTCTGTAAAGTATTTTATTTCTCCTTCAGTTATGAAGTTTAGTTTGACTGGATATGAAATTCTGGGTTGAAAATTCTTTTCTTGAAGAATGTTGAATATTGGCCCCCACTCTCTTCTGGCTTGTAGAGTTTCTGCCAAGAGATCCACTGTTAGTCTGATGGGCTTCCCTTTGTGGGTAACCTGACCTTTCTCTCTGGCTGCCCTTAACATTTTTTCCTTCATTTCAACTTTGGTGAATCTGACAATTATGTGTCTTGGGGTTGCTCTTCTCGAGGAGTATCTTTGTGGCGTTCTCTTTATTTCCTGAATTTGGATATTGGCCTGCCTTGCTAGATTGGGGAAGTTTCTCCTGGGTAATATCCTGCAGAGTGTTTTCCAACTTGGTTCCATTCTCCCCGTCACTTTCAGGTACACCAATCAGACGTAGATTTGGTCTTTTCACATAGTCCCATATTTCTTGGAGGCTTTGTTCATTTCTTTTTATTCTTTTTTCTCTAAACTTCTCTTCTCGCTTCATTTCATTCATTTGATCTTCCATCACTGATACCCTCTCTTCCAGTTGATTGAATTGGCTACTGAAGCTTGTGCATTCGTTATGTAGTTCTCATGCCTTGGTTTTCAGCTCCATCAGGTCCTTTAAGGACTTCTCTGCATTGGTTCTTCTAGTTAGCCATTCATCTAATCTTTTTTTCAAGGTTTTTAACTTCTTTGCCATAGGTTCGAACTTCATCCTTTAGCTCAGAGAAATTTGATCATCTGAAGCCTTCTTCTCTCAACTTGTTAAAGTCATTCTCCATCCAGCTTTGTTCCATTGCTGGTGAATGCAGCTGCATTCCTTTGGAGGAAGAGAGGCTCTCTGATTTTTAGAATTTTCGGTTTTTCTGCTCTGCTTTTTCCCCATCTTTGTGGTTTTATCTACCTTTGGTCTTTGATGATGGTGACGTACAGATGGGGTTTTGGCATGGTTGTCCTTTCTGTTTGTTAGTTTTCCTTCTAACAGTCAGGACCCTCAGCTGCAGGTCTGTTGGAGTTTGCCAGAGGTCCACTCCAGACCCTCTTTGCCTGGGTATCAGCAGTGGAGCTGCAAAACAGTGAATATTGGTGAATAGCAAATGTTACTGCCTGATCGTTCCTCTGGAAGTTTTGTCTTAGAGGGGTACCCAGCTGTGTGAGGTGTCTGTCTGCCCCTACTTGGGGGTGCCTCCCAGTTAGGCTACTCGGGGGTCAGGGACCCACTTGAGGAGGCAGTCTGTCCGTTCTCAGATCTCCAGCTGTGTGCTGGGAGTACCACTACTGTCTTCCAAGATGTCAGACAGGGACATTTAAGTCTTCTGACGTTTCTGCTGCCTTTTGTTCGGCTATGCCCTGCCCCCAGAGGTGGAGTCTACAGAGGCAGGCAGGCCTCCTTGAACTGTGGTGGGCTCCACCAAGTTTGAGCTTCCTGGCTGCTTTGTTTACCTGCTCAACCCTCAGAAATGGCAGGTGCCCCTCCCCCAGCCTTGCTGCTGCCTTGCAGTTTGATCTCAGACTGCTGTGCTTGCAATGAGTGAGGCTCCGTGGGCCTAGGACCCTCTGAGCCACGCGTGGGATATAATCTCCTGGTGTGCCATTTGCTAAGACCATCAGAAAAGCACAGTATTAGGGTGGGAGTGACCCGATTTTCCAGGTGCAGTCTGTCACCACTTTTCTTGGCTAGGAATGGGAATTCCCTGACCCCTTGCACTTCCCTGGTGAGGCAATGCCTCGCCCTGCTTCAGCTCATGCTCGGTGCCCTGCACCTACTCTCCGACAATCCCCAGTGAGATGAATCCAGTACCTCAGTTGGAAATGCAGAAATCAGCTGTCTTCTGTGTTGCTCACGCTGGGAGCTGTAGATTGGAGCTTTTCCTATTTGGCCGTCTTGAAACCACCCCTCTCACAAGCATTTTTAAAAGAGAAAAGTGTACAGCTTTTACATGGCCCAGCAGGAATCAAAATGAATTCTAGTAAATTTCCACCAGGTGGCACCTGCCTTTTGAACTTTGGAAAGAAATTCTAAATGCTGAGGAAAGCCACTTTTATTTCAGAAATAGGGTCGGTTCTGGAAAAGAATTCTAGTCAGTGGAATAGCATTTATAGAAAAAAATACCCTTAAACTATTCTAAGATGCTTTCAAAGTAAAATATGTGATTAAATAATATGTTTAATTTGGGAAAAATTTAGGCTATATAAATAAGGCCAATCCTAGTTTAATCTGAGCTCCCCAGGATGTAAGTTCTACAAAGTTGTAATTTGTAGTTAATCTTTCCAACCGGCTCTCATTTTGAGTGTCTCTCTAACTTTTAATAAGCACAGCAACTAGCACATACTTAGCAATCAAGTGTCTTCTTGACCTGATTTCATTTATAAATCAGTCATCAACTTGCCAGTCAAAAATTCTTAGGCAAACATTTTAACATTTTATCCAAAACCATGGGATTGGTAGTGTGAATCTTCCAAGTAAAACAAAATAGGTCCAGCTCCGCTGGCCACATACTTCTTGTCTATGCACATGGCTCTTTCCAAATCGTTGGCTAAACTGTCACCCCATCCTTGCTGCTCTTCTCAGATCTTTTTATGTGGATCAGGACATAATATGCCTTACCAGATGTTACCCTGACACAGTCATGGAAAAACAGCCAGTTTCACAGTCTTGTATTCACCAAAGATATTAATTTTTACGGAGCAGAATCCAAATTGGGTGATGTCTTTTGTTTTCTTTGGGGTTTTATTCACTGATGATAAACAACCATGCTGAGAAGTCAGGAACAGATTTTTGTTATTTAGAAAGAACAACAGCAAATGAGAAAGATCCACTCAAAAATATACATTTGAGTCTTCAGGGCAGGGCTTCCTGGACCTGTTGATGCTAGTATGTGATACACAGCCTGTATCCTGAGATTGGTAAATTCAGTCAAGTTACTAAAGACTGTCAGAGAGGACGGAAGGAGCCCATTATAAGACTGACTGACTTAGTTGGAACCTGGAAGGTTTTTTAGAAATGGTTTTCAATAACAATTGTCATATACCTGCTTAAAAATGAGATGTACCCTCCTTGTCACAATCCCCTACATATTGATGCTGAGTTTGATAGCAGTTATTTTATCATTACTGAGTTTCCTCTAAATCAAGATACTAAGTATTTCTACTTGAGAGATGGGATGGCAAAAATAGAGAATTTTAAGTTTTAGCAATGGCATTTTCTTCTTCCAGTATAGTTCATACTTTAGACAAATGTCACATTATTTGATTTCTAAAAGGAAAGTGTCTACTGTAATAGTTGATAGGCTCATAAAAGATGTGTTTTGGATACGGGATCTAACAATTCTATGGGAAATGTTATTTATTTCTGCCATGATAAAAGCATCTTAACTGTCTGTCTACATGATTGCCAGATTTAATAAACTGTTGCTCAGTTTGAATTTCAGATGATTATAAATATATTAAATGTCACAAGTATTGCAAGAGAAATGCTCTACAAATTATGTTAAAATGATTTGAGGTTTATCTGAAATTCAAATTCTACTGGGTGCCCTGTATTTTGTCTGGCAATTTACCTGGTAGGTGACTCATTTATGTGCCACCCTCCTTCACAGTTGCCACAGCAAGGATGGCAGAAAACCTTCTGCAACAACATGCACCTCAAGACCCTCAACTCTTGCCAGCATCCTATTTTCCAAGTAAGGGTTCCCAGTGTTAAGAAAAGGACCACTGCAGCTTGCTGTCATTGGCAAAATTCCATGCTAACTTCAGCTGGAATTGCAGAGCCAATATAATAGAATTATATCAGAGTGGTACCTGGAATCTCTGAAGAGTCTCCTGAGAAGAGCTACTCCTGCAATAGCTCCCCAAACTTCAGTTCACAGGGCTACATTAAATAAACTACCTGAGGAGCTCTCGTTTGTGAGTGGTCAAACTAAATTTCATTTTGGTCTTATCTAGCAGGAAACAGATCCAGGAGAAAGTTATCTAGCATGATGATTATAATATTTTACCTTTGCTCCTACCCTCCATGTCCCTATCCTCTGCAAAGGGAATGACTACAGAGAGTATGAATTTTTCATACTTGTCACAGTTTGTCCAAGAAGAGTTAAGAAACCAACCCTGTACTATTTCTTTTCTTTATTGGTGGAGAACTAGCATGTGCCTTGGGCATGCACTCAAAGGCACATCCTGGTTCTCACTTATATTGATCACACATAGGGTAACTTATAACCCTTCTTTGAGAAATATACCAAAATAAACCTTTCTAAGAAAGAGGAAGAAGGGAAATTTCAGACCTATAAGCCTCTCTTATACTATACTTATACATATTTAACTTTGCTTACATATATACTTTAAAAAATACTTGAGATTTAGTTATGCATATATTATTATGTTCAGCATCAATAGGTATAATGGGTACAGCAAAGATAAAAATCAGAACTTTTACATCATCTGAGAATATAGTTTAACAGAGGCTGCTGATATATGGCTATGAACCAATTGAGTAACAATGCAATGTAGTATATGAAGAAATGCCATCATTGGTCATAGAAAGAAGGAAGGTACAATAGTTCAGTGAAATGGTAAATACGTGTAGTCTTAAATGGATCTTGATGGGTCCATGTAATTAATGAAGGGGTATAGGAAACAACAGAAAGGAAGGCTGAAAAAGAGCAGGGGCACTCAAGGGTCAATGAGTACTGGGCCTAGATGAAGGAGAAGACTCCTGTGGAGCAAATGTGGGGATACCTTGGCAGAGGGAGAATGATGCAATATGATGACAACCTATGGTGTTTGAACTTGGTGTTATAGGCCGTGGAAAGTTGCCGGAGATTTTAGAGTCCTCAAGTGACATGATGAAAGGGTTCTAGCAGCAATACGTAAACTAGATGAGAAGGAAAATAGTGAACTTCGACAGCGCAGGTGTTGGTTGTGCACTTTCACTCAGAGTGAGTCTGAAAGCCAACAAAAGATTTAATGTAGTGTAAAACACATACACTAATATACATAGAGATGTATATAATATGAGTATAAAGCAAGCTCTGCTCTCTTTTTCCTTCCCAGAGAACTTCCCTTCATGATGCTATGCAATCCCCAGGAGAAGCACGTTGAAAGCTGAGTGAGTTTCTTACATTACCTCTGTTCTTTGACGTGACTGCATTGAGGTCAAGCTGTACGTTGTGTTCATTCTGTTTCTTGGTATTCCATCATTGTTATATTGCAAAGGGAGAGGGGTGGGAAACTATAGCCCTTCTTGTCCAGGAAGAGTTTTTATTTTTATTTTTTAAGATGTTGCTAGGCTTCATGATTATAAATAAATTAAAACCAGAAACTGTGTTTTCTCTTGGGCACGTACTTAAAAATAGTCTTTGAAGTGACATGGTTAAGTGTCAAAGGAAATCCCCACTGCAGTCAATTTTAGAATAATTCCTAAGGACCTCAGGAATGTGCAACCCATTGTTGTATGCAAGTGGAAAATAAGCTGTTTTTAAAAAAAGTATATACATTATAAGGGAAAAGCAAAACTAGCATGATGAGATCACTGATGTTTTCAATATGAAAACAAAGTACATTATAAATAACAAATAGATTTTAGCTTCATTCTAACTAATTTTCCCTGTGCTGCAAGAAAAATAAAAGTTCCAGAATCCTGACAGAAAACAGAATGGGAATAATGATATTCTTAAAAATCCTTGATGTTCCAAAAACAGATTTCCTGTTATTGTGGTACCTATAACTTCTTGTTTTTATTACTGCTTGTAATGTAATCTCAATTTTTATTGTTGTCTTAATTCCAAAGTCCTTTGGGCTGTATCTTCACCACGAAGTCAAAAGTAGAGACTGGAAAACTGTATTAAATTCATAGGCTTGCCTCAAGTATCTGATGGGCATTTGCTAATCAAAATGTCAACCTCCATGTCCTTAGGCAACTCAAATATTAGTTGAGTTGGTAATCTTTCAGAAGAGATTTAACACATTTAAATGTGTTAAATGGTGATCTTTCAGAAGAGATTTAACACATTTTCTGTCCCCAAACAGCTTTCACTTTTATTCAAACTTAGATTTGGTGGTGGGGAGGAAGACATTAAAGAATCAGTGAATCAATTATTTTTGCACTTGCCATTCTGAAAAGTGCTATGAGGGAAAATCTAACAGATGGAAATTTGTGTATATTTGTAGAAGATGAAGAGCAGGAAAGAAAACATTCTAGGCAGACTGCATGTGGCAAGAACTTAAAGCAAGACACTAACACATGAGGAAAGAAACAGAGACCAATGTTGTGGAGCTCACCAAGTGTGCTGAATTATATATTCTTTCACAATTACTTATTCCTTTTCTGCCCTTGGATGCTTCCCTGCCTAGACTTTGGGCTTGGCTATATTGCTTTTTGGACATCGAGATATGAATAGACATAATATTTTTCATACATGAGCTAGTACTTTCGATGCAATGGCATGGCTTAACTAGGATCCTCTTTCCTGTCCTCTGCCTTGATAGAACAGAATGCACTGAATCCGGATGGATCTTTCCACCTTCATCCCCAAATGTGAAGAAAGTGGTGAAAATTGCATTTCCCTCACAGGCTAGAGAAGAGTCTCAGAGAATAGCTGGCCAGACTTGGCATGTAATGTGAGCAAAAATGACCCCTTGAAATTTTAAGCCATGAGATTTGGGGGAGTTGTTTGTTGAGCATTAGTATTAATTTAACAAAAGCTGACAGACATTGAGGATGGAAAAAAGAAACAAAGAAAAGCAAGAAGATAAAAAAAAAGGCCAGATCATTCAGGAACCTGTAGGCAATATTAAGGATTTTGTTTAAACATACGAATAATGGGAAGTCATTGAAACCAGGTCTTGACACAATCAGGATTTTGTTTAAGAAGAGGAGAAATCACTCTGGCCATACCAAAAACCAAAACAATATAATAACCCCAAATGGGCAAAAATGCAGATGAATGTTCGTAAGTTATTGCAGCAAGGAAGGCTATCTAAAATGTATTGAGTACTTGTTGCTAGGCTTTCTTCTAAGGACTTTACACAATGTAATGGCTAATTAAATCATTATAATGAGGTAGGCCATTTTATTTTTCCTATTAACTATGAGCAAATTGAGGCACAAGGAAGATGTCTTAGTCCATTCGTGCTTCCATAACAAAATACAATAAGGTGGGTGGCTTGTAAACAATAGAAATGTATTTGTCACAGATGTGGAGGTTGGGAAGTCCAAGGTCAAGGTGCCAGCAGATTTAATGTCTGGTAAGGGTCTACTTTCTGGTACACAGGTAGTGACTTCTGGCAGTGTTCTTATTGGTGGAAGGGCCAAGGCAGACCTCTTGGGCTTTTCTTATAAGGGCAACTAATCCCATTCAGAAGGGCTCCACTCTCATGATCTCATCTCCTCCCAAAGGCCTCACATGGTAATATCACATTGGTGATTAAGTTTGTAAACCAGAAATAAAATTCTAAGCCAATTCTAAGCCCACCTCTCCCTTTGGCCAAGGGCATTCCAAATTATTCTGAAAAACTATTTCAGGCCATGTTGGGAAATGGGGGTCAGACAAACATCAACACAGAGATCTTAAGCCTGATAGAACAGACTCTTTAAATCTGATAAGAAACATTTACAGTCTATTTTTTCTGAAATCCTGCTACCTGGAGCCTTCATCTGCATGATAAAACCTTGGTTTCCACAACCCCTTATTTTGTTTTATTTATTTATTTATTTATTTATTTTGAGATGGAGCCTTGCTCTTGTCACCCAGGCTGGAATGCAGTGGCATGATCTCGGCTCACTGCAACCTCCACCTCCCGGGTTCAAGGGATTCTACTGCCTCAGCCTCCTGAGTAGCTGGGATTACAGGTGTGCACCACCATGCCCAGCTAATTTTTGTATTTTTAGTAGAGACGGAGTTTTGCCATGTTGGCCAGGCTGGTCTCGAACTCCTGACCTCATGATCTGCCCACCTCGGCCTCCCAAAGTGCTGGGATTATAGGCGTGAGCCACCGTGCCTGGCCCCACAACCCCTTATTGTAACCCAGACATTCCTTTCTATTGATTCCAGGTCTTTAGATAATAACTCTTTCAACCAATTGCCAATCAGAAAATCTTTAAATCTATCTGTGACCTGGAAGCTCCTGCTTCGAGTTTTTTTGTGTTTGCAGACCAAACTGCGGTACATCTTACACGCATTGATTGATGTTTCATGTCTCCCCAAAATGTCTAAAACCAAGCAGCTGTACCCTGACCACCTTGGGCACAAGTTGTCAGGACCTCCTAAGGCTGTGTCTCAGGCATATCCTTAACCTTGGCAAAATACACTAAATTGATTGAGACTTATCTCAGATACATTTTTGGTTTACAAGTTTCAACATATAAATTTTAGAACACAAAAACATTCAAACTATAGCAGAAGAGAAACAATTTTACCAAGGTTCCACATATATTAAGTGGCAGAGCCAGTAATTCATTTCAGACAATCTGGCTTCACTGCCTGAGTTCTCAGCCAGAGGGATGCAGAAGACAGAGGATGGTGGTTTGAACTGGGGCTGAAGAAAGGGAGATGGAGAGGCTCAGAAGAAGTTGAAAGATATTTGCAAAGTAGAAATATCAGGACTTGATTTTTGATAGGCTATGGGACATAAGAGCAGGAGATTTTAAAGATAACTTCCTTATATGAGAAATGGGTAATATACTGAGATGGGGATATTGAAGAGGACAGGTTGGGAGGTGAGATTCTGAATTCTGATTGTAAGCTGCTTGAGAGTAGAAGCTGTGTAATATCAAGTGTTTTGCTTTGTCTGTTGTAGAGACACAGTGACAATATGTAAAATAAATGAGTCATATTATTTACAAAGCCCATTTTAAATAGCATGAAACTTTCGTATAACAATTCTTTTTCATGAAGATGAATTTCTCTGAAGTGTTTCTTTTGCTGAAGTTCACAAATTTGAATCAGAACGAACACTCATTTTTGGCATGGATATATTCTCCATACACACAAGATAAATTCTTGTGTTATAGTTTTGTACTTCACTGCTACTTCATTTTATTAGTGGAAAATGCTCCTTCCTGAGATGTACCCATATACCATTCTGCAGCTTCATTGTCATGTTAGTGCTAATTTAATGTGATTCAGAGTTTCAACATAGAACAGCATTTATTTTGCTAATGCAGCAATGAAAGAACAAGCATTTACTACAGGACTGCCCTGTGCCAACACTATGTAAACAGGTTATAACAAGGTTATTTCATTGACTCCAACTATTCTTTTACAAATTGTAGGTGTTTTTGCCTTGGCCACAGTTTCCTCCTGTTACATTGTATTTCTGGGCTATTACAGTCATTAGATTGTACTTTTTAAAGGAATATTTTAGAATAATGAATATTAAGTATGAATAATAAAGGTAAACTTTCTTTAAATTTACTGAAGCTCATCTGGCCAAATTATGCTGCTGTCCCTTAAAGTGGCCACTTAAGAAAGTTGGAGTCTTTTAGAATCAATATGACCGAATTACCTCATCCGTTGTAAGGGTCCCAAAGAGACTTGCTGCCCTTATGGTTTAATGAAGCCCACTATCCCTTTGTTTACCTCTTCCTCATTCATGGCTGTGCTCACTGCCACCTGATTGTCTTCAGCGGAGACACTTAAGTACAATCTTGAAGCCACATGATTGTGAACAGAGACCCATGGGACTGTCAGGCCAGAAGAAAACAGAGACTGGAGTAAGATTTATGTAGGGATGCCAAGGAAGAGCTAGTTATTTGTGTATTATCTGTCTGAGATAAATGTGTGTGATCAAGGTGACATATAAAATATTCAGCAACCAGTATGGCATGTCTGTCTATAATCAGAAAATATGCAGCTGCCCATTAAGACAGAAATAAATCACTAGTCATAATAAATACCAACCACAAATAACTGTTAGGGCCTACAAATGGTTTCTGGTTAAATATCAGTCTTGGGAGCAGTTTGTCAAGCGGTGTAAGTGTGAGTTGTAAGAAGGCTAGGGCTGCTTATACTATGTAAAATTATGCACTTATTTGTCTCAATTACAGGATATAACTGACTGAAAAAGGAGTACAATGACATGTTTTAGCAAATAGGTCAACCCTAAGGAAGATATTTGTTTACAAAATTGATAGTTGTATTTCCTAAGACATTATGTATATTATCTGGTACTTTATAATTTATGAAGTATGTCTATGTCTGCCATTTCATTGGAAACTTACTGGAGTCTTGAGAGGTGAACAGGATTAGAGAGGTTAAGTAATTTTCCCAAGGCCATATGGCTAATAAACAGAATAGTTATGATGAGATGACAGTCCTTTTAGAAAGATGTGAAATTATAAAAATAAATTAATGGTTTTCTTACAAAAGTTGAATGGCTTCAGAACAACATAGGGAGGTTCAAAATTACAGTGAAATAAATAGTAACAGATGTTTTTCTTGGGCAATGATAGTGAAATAAGGTAAATTTTTAAAAATAATTTTGTGTGTAAAACAAATTTGTGTACGTTGAACTATCAGAAAACAAAGGTGTCACTGTATCAGCCACCCATGTGGACAATCTGTGTTTAGTATCATCATCGTTCCTGACTCTGGATTTATATGCTACTGATAAGTAATCATTGTCTTATACTTATTCACATACAAGCACTTAATAGTGAAAAATATGACATACCATTAATTCAGTAAAAAAAAAAATAATGTGTTCAGGGTAACTAAGCAGCACAGTAGCATCACCAGAACACCTGTATCAGCTGCTAAACAACAGCAACCACAAACAATGGCAGGCTTTTAGCCTCCACCTGTGAGGAAGTGTTTTGATTAAAAGGTTACTATACATTGTACTTTTTAAATTTTGATACTGTGTTTGTGCTTATGAAAATTAAAAAATGGCATATATTTGATGGCCTTTCAAGACACTGATCTTGATTCTGTTAAAAATTCATTTTTTCTACTCGTTGTCCAACTCCAATAAAATGAACAAGGAGTCCTTGGAGAAATGGCTGAATCTAAAGCTGAGGTCGAAAAAGTATAAGATGAGTCTCACCATCTTGCATTACCAGGAAATAAATTGTGAAAACAAAACAAACCAGAAACAAAAGGATGCAGCTGTGTTCAAGGAACATGGAAGCCAATTTGAAAGAGCTCCCAATGGCCAAAGCTGAACAATTTGAGCAACAAAATGAATAATGTAGTATTGAATTATAGTATAAAATATAAAATAAGTATCTATGGGTCTATAGTGATAAACATGATTTGTTGAATAAATATATTGGGGCAAGGAGATAAATATTCCTTACATAAAATTCCTAACAATACATGTATAAAATCCCTTCTCCAGGAGATGAAGTTTTATGACCCCCTACAACCTTGCCACCTTTGAGTGTGAGCCAAACACTCACACTCAATTGCTGAATATTTTATATTTTAGTGACTTTCTTCCAAAGAATAGTGTATGGAAAGGGAAAAATAGTAACTTTACAGTGAAGAACCCTGGTAATCACCACCTTAACAAAATGATCAAAGTTAACATCACCAGTAACAACTAATGTTCATGTCATCTACCCGTGATATTACTTATTTAGAAGGGTACTTTATATTCAATGTAATTTTTCCAAAAACCTATAAAATCAGTTTAATCATAATACACTAGACAAACCCAAATTGAATGGCATTCTATAAAATACCTAATCAGTACTTCTCAAAACTTCAAGGTCATGAAAACAAAGGGAGATTGAGAAACTGTCAGGAGCTAGAGGAGCTCTTCAGATGTAAGAAGTAAGCACAATATGGAATCCTGGATTGGGAACTGGAACAGACATTTCCAGAAATGGAAAGACTGGTAAAATAAGAATAGAGTCTGGAGTTTAGTTAAAAGTAATGTAACAATGTTGTTTTCTTAGTTTTGAAAATATATAATGGTAAAGTCAGACAATAGAGTAGGGGAAACTGAAACCAGGGTATATGAGAACTCTGTACTATCTTTGGAACTCTGCTGCAAATCTAAAATTATTCCAAAATAAAAAGTTTATTACAAACAAATTATTTGTTTCAAAGAAAGTCCTTGTGTGCATGAATCTATGAATCTGTCTGTATACGCATATATGCATGAATGCCAATCAGTAGAGTTTAGAATATTGTTGACAATTCCATAATATTGAGTAATAGTGACTTTTTGGTTTAATGTTTCTATTATATTTTGGCCATTTTTTGTATGTGTTCATAAACCCACATGATTTTTATGTTCATGTTGTCATACTCAAGAACATCTTCACTATTTATGTGTACTTTCATTCATCTCTGAAGTGAAAATGTTTTAAACATCAATTTTTTTTCAGCATTAAAGACTCTTCTGTTCAGGGACATGAGGCAACGGATAGCCAGAGCACATACCTGCTTTTATTTCTACAATGATTAAAGAGTCAAGAGCCTCCTTGGGGTAGCATTCCATAGAACAGGGATTTGTCTTTTAGTAACAGTGAAGAAACATCACATCGAAGTTCTTACATTCTTCTCGAGCTTCCAGACCTCACACAGTTTCTGTCTCTGTTGATGTTCAATTTGTGAAGCCATGATAATGGCAAATATTATCTGTTTTTCAAGAAAAAATAACTTGGCATATACACTTATCTGTAGTAATATGTCTAGGATGAATAAGAAAATTTGTGAAAGTAGAACTGGCTATTTTGTGAAGTAAGAAGAGAATTGTGGAAGGCCAGCATTTCCTGGAAAGGTTTGTTGTTCATCAAGCTCAATTTGGTGTGCCTTGGAGGGAAGAATAAGAAAGAATGTATCAAATTCCCTAATGTTGAACTTACTAGTATATCAATAACATCACCTATTCAAGGCTTTATATCTCTACACTAATCTGGCCTGATTTGAGGAAGCTACTGATCCATTTTTCATGTCTAAATACTTTCCAGAATGACTTAATATTTTTGTTTGTCCTCCCAGATTTTTGCAGTCAATTCCCCTGTCCTTCAGACTGTGTGCATGAGATACCAAACCAACTAGTAAATTCATTGAAAAAAACCCAAAAAACAAAAGCCATATTCATCTTGTTGTTGGGCATTGTTTTGATAAACACGTTGCTTAATGATGGCTCTTGTTCCAATCTGTTGCAGAGTTGTATAGACACAGACGCCTATTCTGCCATACAGCAGTTTGGGGAATTTTTTCTTGACTTGAATGATTTGCCAATGTCTACAATGCAGACATAAACAATTTCCTCTTATTGCTAGGCTCTAAATAATGATAAAATTTAATAATGCTAATATTTGGAAACATCCTGGCAATTGTTTGAGTTTTCTTTTTATATTCAATAATTTTACATTGATTATAGTTCATACATTTTAACAACTAAATTCTTAGGTAATGTAACAGCTGTGAACTAAACCAATTTTTTAAAACTAGATAACCCAAAATTTCAAATATACAGAAATTAACGCATTAAAATCCTTCCTCACATCTAAAATGCTTCTCAAGTGGTAAAATCAATCACTAAACTATGAAAGGATAGGTATTCTTAATCATTAATCAATGGACCTAAATAAGTTACCAACAAAAATGTTAAGAATAGCAGCTTTTAGATTCTGATTTTACATACATATTTCCTCAAAAGATTATAAAACCAAAGATAGTAAGATTTCTCCTCCTTTTTTAAGTAAAATAATTGGTGAGAAATGTTTTCTCTTAAAAATATTAACTTGCTTTCCAAGGATATGTTAGTTTTTATTATTGCTCTTTTCATTTCCTCCTTTTGGATTATGGGCTCTCAAATCTCATCCTTAACACTCATGCTCTTGAAATTGGAGGCTACTGAGATATTATTATTTCTTATCCCCACTCCCTGAAGGTATGACCTGCTAAGCTTTATGGGACAATGTTTTAGTGAGGCAACTATTTACAAGATGGAGTCTTCCACATGGCACTCTGGGGGAGGTGCCCACTGTCCCTAACTTCATGGAACTACTGCAATAAACCTTTGGGGGTAAGAATAAGGGAGAAGAGATTGAATAGAAATTCCCAAGACTTTGCTAGCAATAAATGTTTTAACCAGGACGTTTTCCAGAGTTATCTGATTCTTAGGTGTAATAAATTCTCTGGTAGGATTCTGTGGAAAATGGTCTACAGTAGTGAGAGTTTGTGTTAATGGGGTCTGGAATAGAGGCAACAAAATGTTCTCTCTTTTTCACTGTTTTTTTTCTGTTAGTCCCAAGTGTAATCTTTGGTCAGAATTCTTGCTCCTGACTTCACCTCTGAGTCTGTTTGGAGAAAGGGCTTAATGAAAACTTAGTATTATTTTTTTTTCTTACCTTTTTGACTGAGGGAGAGCAAATAATTTTTAAGCAGTAAATTTTAAAATATAAGCTCTTAGTTTCATGTGAGCTAGACATCTTTTTTTACTTGTTTCCAGGTATTATTCTTTACTGTCTGTAAATTCATTGTGATTTTTTTTGCAGAAATTATTTTCTGAAAATAAAAACACATTATGCCAAGGACCTTGTAAAGTCATGTCTGAGGAACTCAGATGCAAGTGTCTTGACTCCTGCCCTTGGGGAATGTGAATAAGAGAGGGAACAAAGGATGAGTCACTTTGTCATCCAAAGGACTGACATGTACGGAAAATTTTGAAAAACAGCAAATGACATTAAAATTTCTGAGAACATATAATGGAATTTATATGTTCTGGTTTTCAAGGTAATCTAAATTTATTATATACATTTCGAAAATATAGGAAAGGAAAAAGAAATCAATCAAAAGCTGACAGATAATTGTAACATTTTGGATCTTTTCTTTAAATTTTTTAAAAATGAAATTATTTAATAGTTTCAATACTCATATCTTTAAAATACTAGAAGAAAAATCTTAGGGTAATTTAATTTAATATTTTTGTTTTTCAAAGTAAAACAAATGCTCTTGTTGTTACTATTATCCCAGGTTTATTATCACTTTGAGAGTGATGTTTTATTTGTTTCTCTCAAACTCTTTAAGAACAAATGAAACCTAGATTGTTCTAAAGCATGCTATTCCTTTGGATATGGACTTTTGAATCTCAGTGTAGTTGATTTTAAGAAATCCAAAGCTATGAAGACAAAATTCTCTGATATTTGTCTTCCTAAGTGGAAGACAATAATGGAGCAAATTAACATTGATTGAATAAAATAGAAACACTTGTATGTATGACGTTCTGTATAAATATTCTTTTCAGAATTATTATACAGGCTACAATATTTTGTTTCAAATTATGAATCTTCAACTTAGGATTATTTAGGACATCAGTTTTGTTATTTTTGTTGTTTGTAAAAAACCATCAATATGAAAAATTTGGTAGAATTGACCCAAAACTTCTACTCACTTTTCTCTTGGGACGGGATAAAGGGGGAAATAAGAGGAAGGGCAGAGTGCTGTTGAGTTCAGCACTTCGGTCTATCAGCTTTTTCAGTGACCACAGATTGAACTTCTAATGCAGCCAACTCTCCCAAAATACTTGTTTTTGGTCACAAAGGGAAACAAAATGAGGGTGTATGAGTCACTCTACATTCTTTAAAGTTACTTGCAAAACAATCTTCTTAAGAGGGGAGCGGTAGTGTCATCTTTATCTTGAAAGACCGTATCTTCAATAATTGAATAATATGAGCAAACTACCATAAGAGATGATGCAGACATTTAATTTTAATTATGGGTTCTAGCTATATCCTTTGCTAGGACTAACCACAGCAAAATAGCAGAAATTCTAGAGTTTACTAGATACCTCCTAAGAAATCCAACTGTCAAAGAACAGCCTTCTGCACCCAGAACACAGCTGCTAGCTATCACCTTGAAGCAGTTGTTTCTGTGGTGGAATTAGTTGAAAGAAGATAGTGCTTTGAGACTAGGGCCAGAAACTTTCCCCTTGAAAAAGATGTGCAAATGTTGGGTCAGAGAGTAATAGAATTTATTGGAAATTTCACTGGAAAGCCTGGTGAACCAAACCAACACTGCCCCATTTATTTCTCTGAAGAAATAGCCCTAAAGGAGAGGTGATCTTGGGAAGTTTAAGAAAGTATATTTCTATGCAGGATTAGCATATGGTATGCAAGACAGCCAATGCATAGCTTCATATTATAAGTTAATTATCTGCCTTAGCTGATGTCATTCTATGTATAATTTATAATTAAATATAATAACTATCAAAAGTAATAAAATTATCAGTGTTATGAATTGATTAAAAAGGGGTTTAGAAAAATGAAATAGTGATAGCCATTAGACAATTTCTGTACAAAAGAAGGAAATATAACCTAAAGAAAGAAAATATAGATGAAAAGTACTTTGTTCAAGTGTAGATGGAATAGATGTTTCCTCAATTAGCTGAGAATACATGTATCAGTTTCCATTTTCTATTGCCCTAGAATAAGCAGTGATACCGTATCACAAGAAAGGAAAGGTTAGACCTTGAAATAGGCTAAAATCCATAGTATTACAAGTTATATATTTTTTATTTTGATACCACTAGATTCTTTAAAGAAATAGGGAGAAAAATATAGTTGATATTTTTATAATATCAAATAAGGCCTATCATACCATTATGCATATTTTTAATTGAAAACTATTTTTAATATACTTAGTAAAATTCTACTTAAATAAATAATGAGAAAGCAGTTTTTTTCCTACCAGACAGCTGTTAGCTATTAAAATAACGGACTTAGAACTTCAATCTTTAAAACATATGCAAGTATTTATATATTTGCAACAGAAGAAAAATGTTTTCACAACACTAACAAATTTACATATCTGCTTTATTTTTATATTATTGTAACATTTCAGGTGTTTCTTAAAAGACAATTTAAGCTGCCAGCTTATAAAAACATTGACTGTCTCCAGCCAAATTCTTAGGTAACTTAGTGTTATGGATCATTTACTAAAAGCTGACAACTAGATATTTGCCTGTTTATCTTTTGGGCATGTCCTTTTTTATAGCTTAATTTATTTACAAATAATTAGAAAGTGCTATCAACTGAAAAATTAGCATTTTTATTTGAAATACAAATTATTTAAATCACTCAATAATCTCAATTTAACTAAAGTAAAAAGAAAGAATTAATTAGAATCACATTTTTGTATCACTCGTTATTTAGGGTACTCACTTTACTCATTTATTAAACATTCCAGAATATCCATGAGGAGCTAGATATTATGTTAGAAGGTAGGTTTATAGAGATAACAAGAAATAGTTTTTTCCTTAAATAGTTGAGAATAAACTACAGTTATATTGTATTATAAGCGTATAATAAGTATTTATAGAGGGTGTTGTGAGAGAAGAGAGAAGGATTTAGTGAGGTTCGGGTATAAATTTAAGAACACACTTCTAAGAAAATGTGACATGATCTGATATTTGAAAGCTAAGTACAACTATTTGTGTTATGGTTAAAGGCTGAATTCAGGTTAATCTTTCCCTTATAGAAGAGTTATTTATGGCCGGGCGCGGTGGCTCACGCCTGTGACCCCAGCATTTTGGGAGGCCTAGGCAGGGGGATCACGAGGTCAGGAGATCGAGACCCCAGTGAAACCCCGTCTCTACTAAAAATACAAAAAATTAGCTGGGCGCGGTGGCCGACACCTGTAGTCCCAGCTACTCGGGAGGCTGAGGCAGGAGAATGGCATGAACCCAGGAGGCGGAGCTTGCAGTGAGCTGAGATAGCGCCACCGCACTCCAGCCTGGGTGACAGAGACCCAGAGCGAGACTCTGTCTCAAAAAAAAAAAAAAAAAAAAAGAAGAGGTATTTATACATACATTTTGTTTAGATATGGGTCTCCTTCCTCTAGAGTCTCCTCTTGAATAGTCTTCCTGCTTACCTTTGATCATATAATTACCGAATAGCAAAGTTGACAGGTATTTTATCTATCCTTTAGCCAAGTAGCTCTCAAATTTTGGTGTGTGTGAGGATTATCTGGATGAATTGTTAAAACTTAGGTTGCTGGACACCACCCAAAGTTTCTGATTCAGTAGGTGTGGGGTGGAAATAGACAATTTTAATTTTAAACAAGTTTCCAGGTGATGCTGATGCTATTGGTCTGTCTAAGTCAGTTTGGGCAGCTATAACAAAAATGGCATTGGGTGCCTTGTACATAACAGAAATTTATGTCTCACAGTTCTGGAGGTTGGAGTCTGAAATAGGGTGCCAGCAGGGTCGAGTTCTTGCTGAGGGCCCTGTTCCTGGTTTATAGACAGCCATTGTCTTGCTGTGTGCTGTGTCCTCACATGGTGGGAAAAGAACTCTGGCATCTTCTTATAAGGACACTAATCCCATCCATGAGGGCTCCTTCTCCTGACCAAATTACCTTCCATAGTCCTCGCCCCACCAAATACCATTACATTGGGGTTACGGTTTCAATATATGAATTTTGAGGAGACACAAACATTCAGTCCATAACATGGACCATACTTGATTATCAGAATAAGCTTGGAATGTGTTAAAATCTAGACTTTTGGAGTCCACTCATAGAGATTCAGATTTATTTGGATGGAAACAAATCTGTATGTTTATATATCTCCCCAGTTGATTCTGATTATCAGTGAGGTTTTGAATCCACAGGCATTGTCCAGTCCTCTCATTTCACACATGATAAAACTGAGATGTAGAAAAGGTCTGAGAATTCATCAAAAATATACAACTAACAAAGAGCAGAGCAATCTCTTTTTCCCATTATACCTAGTTTTATCCCTTCAAGAAACCATAGTGATGGTTCACGCTCTACTGAATCGAGTCAATACTTTCATCCTAACATTCAAAGTTTTTCCGAATCTATTTTTTGCAACCTGTTGTCCCAGTAGTTTTGAATACAATTAGGCTATCCCCAATTCAATTAACAAGAAAAAAGTATCTACTATATTCTATGTGGGATAGGTGGATTCAGGTTAGAAGAAAACCTAGTCCACTCTTTCAAGGAACTTCCAGACAAGTAGCAGATATTACATTCTCACACATGCACAAGAATACACCCACACACAATGTAATAAAAGACAGATTTATAATAAGTGTTATTGAAAAAGTACAGAATAGCAGAGGAGCTTCAGCATTATGAATATTTCTATGATCTGTTTGCCAGACACTGTGCGAACTTCTTAGGGATTAGAAAGAGCATCAAGTCTTTATTTTCTTTTCTACCTAAGGAGAGCATCATACAACACAAAACACAACTGACTCCATAATGTAACATAATTAAATCTATAAAAAGGACATGAAGAAAATTCTATCAGAGGATAGAAATGGGAGTGACTAATTCAGCTGAATATGTGAAAATGTTTGCTGAAATGGTGATCGAAAGGCATTTACACATTTGTAGGTAAGTTTTGTTTAGTTTTGAGTAGTCTTAATCTAGTCTCTCCTCTTATTTTGTCAGATAAAGGAAGGGCAGAGCAAAAACACCTATAGCCTACAAAGGCAAACCTACAGCATGGACGTCTACAGAAATAAGTAATAGGCTAACATAGGCTAGAACACAAAGCATGTGGAATCAAAATAGTATTCATGAAGGTGATTTTGACCTCGGCTTTGGAGGAGGCATAGAAGTTGGTAAATAATGTTAACTTTTGAACACATTATTAATTATATTCTTTTTAAAATTCTTTCCCCTTTATTTTTTAACAACAAAATCTTACCCATTCTCCAGGTTCAAATTAAAGCCCTTAAAAGTTCCATGTTAGCATTTCTTACCTTGCCTGAACATTACAGTGATCTCTGGTGTTTAAAAAAGTATAGAAGCCCTGCCCCAATTTGGCAGATTTTGATTTTAGAGATTTCTATTCAAGATGCCTGATAGTAGAAACCAGAGGTTTCTAATTGGTGGTTTATCATAGCTCATTCTGATCTAGCAAATAACAAAACCGAGGATAAGTTAAATATATAATTGTTGAATGTTTATCTGCAAACTAAATGCCTAAATTCTCTTCACAAATTTCATTTTCTTAATACCAGGAACACAGTTTTAATGACTACATTTACTCTTAAATCCTAGTAGTTTGAATCAGAAAAAAATTTCCTACATAAACACCTTGGAGATAAGGAAAACCCAATCTCTCCACTTACCCACTCACATCCACATTCATGCTTCCATCAAGAAATGCCATCCTGGGCACTGGAGGTGAAAAAACACACCAAGACACTGTACTTGTTTGGACTGTTAACAACAACAACAACAATACATTCTAAGTGCACACATGATTTTTAAGTCAATTATTCATATATAGCTCTAAGATAAATTTTAGCTCATCAACCAAATTGAACTAAATTGTTCTAATTTCCTACATGTTTCAGAAAACATGAGGAATTCATGATGTCTACTTGATTCTTATCCAATATTGAGGAATTAGTCATCATTGAGTGTTGCTGCTGTTCTAAATTTTGTGCTTTTGATAGTTAATGAAGAAGGTTAGAATTATTTGTATGCACTCACACACCATAATGAATTCATCTTTTCAAAATATAAATAAAACATTTTTATTTCTGAGACATAATGTTCTGAAGAGTCAAATCCCTTAGCTATCTATTTAATTAGAGCGTACTGGATTAGGACTTTATTATTAGTCATTCCATTAGCTCAATACTCAAGCACACTGCAGATATGACTAAGAAGATTGTGTTTCCTCATGGACAAAAGATGTGACCTTGGAGGGAAAAGCAAAAGATATTCTCAATTTTATGACATTTGAAAATATTTTATAATTAACTTTTTGTGAGTGCTGGAGATACAATAATCTCCACACTTCCAATCCTTTAATGAGAGGAAATTTGAGCATGGATAATACACAAAGGACTAATATTTTGGGATTCCTCTAAAAATAATAGAGTATAAAATGCCATTCCAAACTGTAGTGTTTAT
Organism: Homo sapiens; assembly: GCF_000001405.40. Taxonomy (NCBI): domain Eukaryota; kingdom Metazoa; phylum Chordata; class Mammalia; order Primates; family Hominidae; genus Homo; species Homo sapiens. Next base: position 74,362,881 of record NC_000006.12, read on the forward strand.
AAGCTGTATCGTGTGTGAGAATCATTTTCTCTCTGTTCATAGTATATACCTCTTCATTTTATTATGTGAAAAGCTTATAACATGTATATCAGATATTGTGTTTCAATGCCATGTATTTAAATGTGATTTAATGTGCCATTTATATTTTAAAATTAACGTAGGTAAAAATTTATGGGACCTAAGATGTTTTATAGGGTAATAACAGTAGGCAACATTGTTACATGTAAACTTGGAATGCTACTTGATATGTGTGTGATGATGAAGATTGAAAGATAATGGAAGAATCTTATTCTAACTCGGGTAATTTATTAGAAATAGTTAATTTGATTCTCGCCACTAATCTAAAGTAAATATTATTGTTATCTCTATCTTACAAGTGAAGAACTTGTAGTAGAGAGTTTAAGTAATATACCCATAGTCAAGTAAATGGAAGAACTGACATAAGAACCTAAGCCATAGACTTCAGGATATTTGATCTTAATCAACATACAACACTAAGAGAAGATTTTCATATATAACTTTCAACACTATGATTCACAGTAGGATTAAGAAAGACTCTTGATAAGATGAAATGGTAAAATCTGCAGCTATTCAATCTTGAACAAATTATTTTAATGCTTTGTGTTGGTAGGTACTCTCTTTTATTAGAAAGTTAATTTGCTGAAGTAGAAAAATGAAGGTATTAGAAATAAAATATATTACCTCTGAATTTTGAATATAGTGGAAAGAACATTGAACATAGAATCAGGAATTCTGAACTCCAGCACCATCTCTATCTTTGGCTAGACCTGTGGTTCTCTAATTTTGCACCAAAGCCCTCTGGGACATGGCAGTAAACTCACAGGGGACAGCCAATGAAGTATTCTAATATTTTTTGAAGGTGATGCTTGACATCCATTGGATACTGCATACTCTACTAGCTCATGGTAGTCCACAGTTTTAACATTAGATCACATTACATTTTCTTTTTGTCGTATTTTTGTGAGGCTGAGTTTTCAACAGTTGCTGTGATAAAAAGCAAATAGTATGTGAAAATCAACATGGAACAGGAAATGAGGATGGCAGTATACAACGTTTCCAAGGCTTGGCAAATCATGCAATGCCTAGCAGGAGCATGGAGACTGTTAATAAGTAATTGTGGTTAAGAATGACGTAAAGATACTATTTTTTCCTCTCAGTTTACATGTATCATTTTATTTAAGTAGCTATTAAATTATAGGATATAAATAATTTTTAATAAATTTAATTCAAAAATATTGTTTGGATGTAACTACTTAATAAGGGGAACTTATTAGCATTTCTTTTGTACTATGAGCACCACAAAAAAGCTACTGAGAACCTAAGGGCACTGTGAACTGAGAAAGTTTAGGAACCTCTGGAGTAGAAGTTTTTTGCTATATTGAAGCATTTTTTTTTCCTTGGCTTCATTTTCTTATCTGAGAAATGAAAGAGCCAAAGGTGATGATCTCAAATTCTAGTCTAACTTTAATAGTCAATGATTTTATGATGAGGCAGAGGGTAATTTAGGTGACTTTGACAATTTCATATAACTTATAGTATGTAAACACTACCTTAAATTGGGAAAAACACAGAATGTAGCTGTTCTACTTAATGATCTTCAAATATATTTTAAACCAAATCTTTAAAACAAATTAACTGTTAGATATCAATGAGTTAATCATTTAAAAATATATCTCATCTTTCTCTTTGTGGAGCGCATGGATTTTATGTTTGTTTTGCTTCCTTTTGTTTTTGGCATGCAGGTGTTTTCTCTACTTGCTAATGCATTGAATTAGAAAATTCCCAGGGTAGGACTAGTTTACAGTCCCACGAACAGTGTAAAAGTGTTCCTATTTCTCCACATCCTCTCCAGTACCTGTTGTTTCCTGACTTTTTAATGATTGCCATTCTAACTGGTGTGAGATGGTATCTTATTGTGGTTTTGATTTGCATTTCTCTGATGGCCAGTGATGATGAGCATTTTTTCATGTGTTTTTTGGCTGCATAAATGTCTTCTTTTGAGAAGTGTCTGTTCATGTCCTTTGCCCACTTTTTGATGGGGTTGTTTGTTTTTTTCTTGTAAATTCGTTTGAGTTCATTGTAGATTCTGGATATTAGCTCTTTGTCAGATGAGTAGGTTGCAAAAATTTTCTCCCATTTTGTAGGTTGCCTGTTCACTCTGATGGTAGTTTCTTTTGCTGTGCAGAAGCTCTTTAGTTTAATTAGATCCCATTTGTCAATTTTGTCTTTTGTTGCCATTGCTTTTGGTGTTTTAGACATGAAGTCCTTGCCCATGCCTATGTCCTGAATGGTATTGCCTAGGTTTTCTAGTTCAACCATTGTGGAAGTCAGTGTGGCGATTCCTCAGGGATCTAGAACTAGAAATACCATTTGACTTAGCCATCCCATTACTGGGTATATACCCAAAGGACTATAAATCATGCTGCTATAAAGACACATGCACACGTATGTTTATTGCGGCACTATTCACAATAGCAAAGACTTGGAACCAACCCAAATGTCCAACAATGATAGACTGGATTAAGAAAATGTGGCACATATACACCATGGAATACTATGCAGCCATAAAAAATGATGAGTTCATGTCCTTTGTAGGGACATGGATGAAATTGGAAATCATCATTCTCAGTAAACTATCGCAAGAACAAAAAACCAAACACCGCATGTTCTCACTCATAGGTGGGAATTGAACAATGAGATCACATGGACACAGGAAGGGGAACATCACACTCTGGGGACTGTTGTGGGGTGGGGGGAGCGGGGAGGGATAGCATTGGGAGATATACCTAATGCTAATGACGAGTTAGTGGGTGCAGCGCACCAGCGTGGCACAGGTATACATATGTAACTAACCTGCACAATGCGCACATGTACCCTAAAACTTAAAGTGTAATAATAAAAGAAAAAAAAAAAGAAAATTCCCAGGATAGGCCAGGCGCGGTGGCTCACACCTGTAATCCCAGAACTTTGGGAGGCTGAGGTGGATGGATCATGAGGTCAGGAGATCGAGACCATCCTGGTTAACACGGTGAAACCCCGTCTCTACCAAAAATACAAAAAATATTAGTTGGGCATGGTGGCGGGCACCTGTAGTCCCAGCTACTCGGGAGGCTGAGGCAGGAGAATGGCGTGAACGTGGGAGGCAGAGCTTGCAGTGAGCCGAGATCGCACCACTGCACTCCAGCCTGGGCGACTGAGCAAGACTCCGTCTCAAAAAAAAAAAAAAAATAGAAAAAGAAAGAAAATTCCCAGAGTAAATGAAAATCAGCACTTTGTAAACGTTTGAAAATCTAGAGTGTCTGAACTACCTAAGAAAATATTGTTGCATGAAAATTTCAAATAAAAACAAGTAGCCCATTGTTTTCAATAAAAATGCTGGCTAATAACCACACTACAACTGCATTCTTCTTTATTGCCAACTTACACAGGAACACGCCCATTTAAGAAACCTTTGAATATGTGTGTATAAAAATACTTGTTACATGAACAACTAATGGACTCTAATTAGGCATATATCAAATAATTGCTGTTTGATTTTTTATTTGAGATACAAAACATTTGTGTTTGCTTTGTTAGTATGTTTTTAACTAAAAATATGGGACCAAACTAGGTATTATGCTACACCCAGATGATCAGCACATTTGATTTTATTGGCAATACCTGAAGGAATGAAAATTACAAAATATTTTTGAGATATTTGTATCGTTGGCTTAGTGAATTTAGAAATACAGAAATAAAACTTCCATTTTGAACAGCTGTATAATGGCAGAATGTCCCTGTGAATGTATTGCGAGCTCTTATGTAGTATATGCTTAATGTGTGTTTATTGAATTAAACCAAACAAAAACAACAAAACCTAAAATTCCCAAACATCAGCCCAATTTTGTAGTAACATGCATGCATGGAAACAATGATTCAATTTCTTTCTTAGTCATATGGCAATAGATATGATTCATAGTTGATTCATCTGAATAAAGTTGTAGACTATTTAGACAAATATACCAGTTTATTTCCTTTTTTTAACAGTAATAAAGACTTCCTTTAAGTAGCAATGAGGATACTTGATGCTTTAAAATTAAAATAAAGACTTGTAAATATATAAAACTTAGAGATCATCTTAATATTTTCAAACAAAATTTAGATGAATTATACATCCTTGGTTGAATCACAGTAAAGGTATTGACCTGGAGAAAAATCAGCAATTGTTATTTTTTACAAACAACCTGAGATGGTGGTAACAGTTCTACATATTTTTGTGAGCAGTCTATTCAGGTGTTTGTATACATTTGTCCAAATACTATAGCTATACATTTATTGGATTAAGTATATTAATTTCTTGTTGCTGTAACACATTACCATACACTTACTGGCTTACATTAGATAAATTCATTATCTTATAGTTCTGAAGGTCAGAATTATCACTGGGCTACAAACAAGGTGTCAGCAGGGCTGTGTTTCTTCTGTGGTTCTAGGTTAGAATGTTTCTTTGCCTTTTCTAGCTTCTAGAGGCAATCCTCATTTCTTGACTTGTGACCCTCTTCCCTCTTAAAAGTGAACAGTCGCCTTATTCCAACCTTGACTTCAGTAGTCACATCTACTCTGACCCTTCTGCCTCCTTTCTTCCTCTACAAGTATTGGTGTGATTATAGAGGAAGTAATCGTGATTGTGTTGGTTCCACCTAGATTTTCAGAGTTCCTTTAACCCTGTAAGGTAACATCTTTGGAGGACATTCTTCTGCTTACCCCATTAACGTATGCACCTTGCTGCATGCAATAAAGGATTTTAGGAGGCTATATAAATATTTTATGAAGGCTCTAAATTTAGTAAATTAACTCTCCTTATTTGACATGCAGAATTCAGGTTTCCATGTCATAGAATAATTATAAACCATACACTAATTGGGTCTTAACATATATTTATTTCAATGCAGTTATAAGTCGCAGCCAGAAAATGAAATGAGACTTGAAAAAGATTTGCTAAAATTTGAAAATAGTTTTTAAATCTAAAGTTTGTATTAGATGAAGGAGATGACTTTGAAGAGTTTGTATGGGCAAGATGATGGCATCTTGTGGGCTAAAATGTTATTAAATTTGGATTTTTTTCTAAGTACAATGAGAATATATTAGAAGAGTCACAGGAACAGAATAATGAGTGTAAATCCAAGGTTTCCTGTTATTGACTCCCTCTCTCCTTGTTCTCCATCAGGGGACTTATCACTCAATTTCTTATTTATTTATTTTATGGCCTATCATCCAATATGGAATATATACAGAATATATGGAATTTTCACACTGCTTATCACTGTATCCTAATACCTAGAACTCTGCTGACATGCAAATTGGGTCTTAGAAAGTTGTTTTCTGAAGGTGTGAGTGGATAGGACTTATTGGTTGATAGGCTTGAGGAGAAGAGACAAAAAGGAAGAGTTTGAAATAACAGGATTTTTGTTTTGAAAGTGTATAGAAAATGGTGCAGTATATCACAGCTCAAGAAAATATTAAATTCATAAATTGTTTGAAGAGAAAGAAAAAAATGAGTTAAAAAAAAAAAACTAGGATTAAGATAGCACTGACATGTCCAAGGGGGAAATGCTCTGTAGCAATTTGGGGAGGAGCTACTCCTAGAACAAATCTTATTCCCGCAGAACAGCAGGTACATATGATTTAATAGGTGTTTTGCCAAAGAAAAATCATCGAGATGACATGACCTCACATGATCCTGCTTTCCTCCCTTTCTTGGCCTTGGTACTTTTTCAGGTTTTCATTTTAATCTGTATTAACTGTTTTTCCAGAATATCCTCATAGATTTTTTTCTATCATTATGGCAATGATTTATTGTAATTATTATCTTACCTCAAGAATTTTATATATTTTTGTATGACATTCTACCTAATTGTGTATCTAGTCATGTGCTTCAAAACATCTCTGTCAACAATGGACAGCATATACAACAGTGGTCCCATAAGAGTATAATAGAGCTGAAAAATTCCTATCGCGTGATGTAGTAGCCACTGTAATATTGTATTGCAATGCACTGTTCAAGAGTTTGTGGTGATGCTGGTATAAACAAACCTGCACTGCCAGTCATGTAGCACCTACAGTTATGTACAGTATATACTACTTGATAATAATAAACAACTATGTTATTGGTGTTTGTATTTATTATGCTATAATTTTTATTGTTTTAGAGTGTACTCCTTCTACTTATTAAAAGAAAATAACTGTAAAGCAGCCTCAGGCAGATCCTTCAGGGGGTATTCCAGAAGAAGCCATTGTTATCATAGGAGATGACAGCTCTGTGTGTGTTATTGACACTGAACACCTTCCGGTGGGACAAGATGTGAAGGTGAAGACAGTGATATTGATCATCTTGACCCTGTGTAAGTGTAGGCCAATATGTGTGTTTGTGTCCTAGTTTTTAACAAAGAAGTATAAAACATTAAAAAATTAAATAGAAAAAGCTCGTAAAAATATAAATAAAGAAAACATTTTTGTACAACCATACAATATTTGTTTTCTAAGCTAAGTATTACAACAAGAGTCAAAATATTGGAAAATTTAAGTTTATAAAGTAAGAAAATTACATTAAGTTAGGGTTAATTATTAAAGAAAGAAAAACGTTTTTTATATATGTAGTGTGGCTTAAGTGAAGAGTGTTTATAAAGTCTACAGTAGGGTACAGTAATGTCCCAGGCCTTCACATTCACTCCCACTCACTCACTGACTCACCCAGAGTAATGCTGAGTTTTGCAAGCACCATTTATAGTAAGTATTCTATACAAGTTTACCAGTTTTAATCTCTTACAATTTATTTTTACTGTACCTTTTCTATGTTTAGATACACAAATACCATTATATTACAAATGCCCTCAGTATTCAGTACAGTAACATGCTGTGCAAGTTTGTAGCTTAGGAGCAATAGGCTATGCCATGTAGCCTGGATGTGTAGCAGGCTGTACCATCTAGGTTTGTATAAGCACACTTTATGTTGTTCACACAATCATGAAATCACATAATGACACATTTCTTGGCATGTATCCATGTCATTAAGCAACACAAGACTGCATTTGAATTTTTAGCATGTTTTTTAAATGAATTCTCTGCTTGCACTTAAAACTTGTATTTTATCTTTTATCGTTCTAGAAGAAGCAAACAGTATGTAGGTATGTGGCAAGCATCTGAGGGGACTATCTTAGGAACTGCCATACCCTGAAAAACAGTGGTAGATATTTGGCCCTTCCCATTCCCATTATTACCAGTTGATTTTGTATCATTGTCCTAGCCTCCTAGTCTAGGTAACAATACATGTAAGTTATCATGACAACGTTTTATTTCTGTGTTTCATATTTTGTATTGTAAATAATATTAGTGTTATGATTAATTGTGTTTCTCCCCAAATTCAAATGTTGAAGCCCTAGTGCCCAATGTCACTGTATTATAAGACAGGGCCTTTAAGGAGATAAGTAAAGTTAAATGAGGTCATAAGAGTGGGCCCTAATCCAATATGACCAGTGACACCAAAGATACACATGCACGGAACAAAGACCATGTCAGGAATCGGTGAGAAGGTGGCCACCAGCAAGCCAAGGAAGGAGGCCTCAGGAGAAAACACACTTGCAGACATATTAATCTCAGACTTCCAGCTGCTAGAACTGTGAGAAAATAAATACCTGCTGTTTTAGCCACCCAGTCTGTGGTATTTTGTTATGGGAGCCCTAGTAGACTAAAATACTGGGTTTCTAAACTATCACTGCTGTCCATCAGGCTTGCTGTGACACACATAGCTTCCTCTCCTAACCCAATGGGTATAACAAGACTCATGATTGCACCTCACCAAGAGGAAAGGGAAGCATAGGGAGCCTGAAGGAGAGCAAGAAGGGGTGTTGGGCAGCACTAGTAATGTATACCACATGCCCAGCTGTTGGCTGTTTCTCTTAATGAATTACATTGATTTCTCCACCTCTTCATATTGCTTCTCTAAGACATGGTGCTGTCCTTGATTTGTACCCACATTTTATTCCACTTTTCTTCTAGAATGTAAATTGTTCATAATTCGCTATTCATTGTCACTGTTATATAGGTGACCTGCTCTAGGAGCCTGTTGAATTTCTCATTACAAAAATGTTCATATACAGGAGATTAAAATTGCAATTACTGTAAGAAGAAGTCATGATTAATTTAATAAATAGATATTTTAATTATTAATTTAATGGCCATCTTCACACAAATTATGTAATATATGTATAACATATATATGTCATATAAAAACACAAATATATTTCTTTGCTCTGACAACTAAGAAGGCGTAAAAGAAATAACACTTCAATAGCTACAAATATACCTCATACCCAGAACTTGGTTTCTAACATCATTTTCCAGTAAAAGGAACCGAGGAACCAAGGAACCGAGGTTCCCTGGAGAAAGAGCTAGGACTGGGCAGAAAATATACAAGATGATCCTGTAGCAACTTATAGTGCCAGAAAGTCAGGCAGTCTCCCCAGCCCCCCACAAAAACAGAAAAAAATCCACAATGATGGAAGTATGTCAAAGGAACACAGGAGCCAAGTAAAAGAGCTATCAACACTGGAGCACTTTGAGAAACAAAATAAGTAAAGTCATATTAGGTTATACTCAAGGAATGAAATGAATAACCTGAGTTAATAATGATGGAAATAAATCATTGAATACATTAATACATAGAGAAGAAGAGAAACACCTCCTATCCAGAAGAATTTCAAAAATAAGTTGTTTATATACTCTACCCTAAAGGAGGGGGAGCATAAATTCCCACTCCTTAAGTGTGCAGTATGCATAATGACTTTATTATAAAGAGTAAAACATGGGAAAGGGGAAAAAGTAGTGACTTTGTGGTGGAGAAATAAGAAAAGCAAGACTTCAGGCAATGATGTTATCAAGGTCAACATCAACAGTTACAAATTATGTTGATAGTGCGTAAACTTGACATAATTTGATGAAAATGGTACTCTACCTCTGTGGTCTTCCTCCAGTAAATCCATAACCCTAATCTAATCACGAGAAAAGCATGATTTCTATGAAAGGGGCATCCTGCAATGTATCTGACCATTACTCCTCAAATCTATCAAGGTCATCAAAAATAAGGGAAGTCTGAGAAACTGTCACAGCCAAGAGGAGCTTAAGAAGACATGACAACTAAATGTGATGTGGTATCCTGGATGGGATCCTCAAATAGAAAAAGGACATTAGGTAAATGTTAAAGAGTTAAATAAACTGCAGAATTCAGTTAATTATGTGTCAATACCAGTTTATTGTAACAAAAGTAGTATACTAATATAAGACATTTAAAATAGGAGAAGCTGTACTTTCTGTACTGTCTACTCAAGTTTCCTTTTTCTTTGAAAAATGTTCTTTAAAAAGTACTTTTGTAATAAAAAGTGATTGGGAGAAAAAATTTCATTTACTGATTACCTCCTTTGAAAGGCACTTTTGTTTATCTTAGCTCAGGAAAACATCTGCCTATCTGAAGTGAATAACAATCATCTTGAATATTGCTACAGGAGACACTTACGTTAGAAAACAAAATTCCATGTATTCAAACTTTATAACCTTTTTTCTCTTACCATACAGCAAACTGATGTAAGGATGAGTGAAATAATTTAATCGTGTTTAATATTAGAATGATTTTTAATTGCCTCCGTAGGTAAGAATCTTTTTTCTTCTAATGCTGATTTAGCAAACTTTAAGATGAATATGGTGCATATTGCCAAGGTGCATGCACATTTTTTAGATGTCTGGTCTTAATTTGACAGTCTTTTGAACTTTAGTATATTCTATGCACCATCAGCTGACATCATAATTTTAGGGAACTGATATTAGGATTGGCAATGTTTCTACTATAGCTTACTGATAAAAAATAAATCATTACAAGGGACAAACGAATTTCTCTGGGGCTATTCATAAGATAGCTGTATAAATCAAAGAGGAAAACAAAAACACCTGGGTATATTAATTTAGGAGCAGTATCTACTAATTTTGAATATCAGCCAAGCATTCCTCAATGCTTTTCAGAACAGCAATTCCATGTGACTTAATAGATGTTCTGCCAAAAATGGTGGTCATGTGAGTTTTGCGAAAATCTAAGTTTAGCTAAATAAAATGAGAGATATTTCTTTTTTTAAATTATACTTTAAATTTTAGGGTACATGTGTACAACGTGCAGGTTTGTTACATATGTATACATGTGCCATGTTGGTGTGCTGCACCCATAAACTCATCATTTACATTAGGTATATGTCTTAATGCTATCCCTCCCCCCATCCCCCACCCCGTAACAGGCCCTGGTGTGTGTTGCTCCCCTTCCTGTGTCCGTGTGTTCTCATTGTTCAATTGCCACCTATGAGGGAGAACATGCGGTGTTTGGTTTTTTGTCCTTGCAATAGTTTGCTGAGAAAGATGGTTTCCAGCTTCATCCATGTCCCTACAAAGGACATGAACTCATCATCTTTTTGTGGCTGCATAGTATTCCATGGTGTATATGTGCCACATTTTCTTAATCCAGTCTATCATTGTTGGACATTTGGGTTGGTTCCAAGTCTTTGCTATTGTGAATAGTGCTGCAGTAAACATACATGTGCATGTGTCTTTATAGCAGCATGATTTATAGTCCTTTGGGTATATACCCAGTAATGGGATGGCTGGGTCAAATGGTATTTCTAGTTCTAGATCCCTGAGGAATCGCCACACTGACTTCCACAATGGTTGAACTAGTTTACAGTCCCACCAACAGTGTAAAAGTGTTCCTATTTCTCCAAATCCTCTCCAGCACCTGTTGTTCCCTGACTTTTTAGTGATCGCCATTCTAACTGGCGTGAGATGGTATCTCATTGTGGTTTTGATTTGCATTTCTCTGATGGCCAGTGATGATGGACATTTTTTCATGTGTCTTTTGCTGCATAAATGTCTTCTTTTGAGAAATGTCTGTTCATGTCCTTTGCCCACTTGTTGATGGGATTGTGTTTTTCTTGTAAATTTGTTTGAGTTTTTGTAGATTCTGGATATCAGCCCTTTATCAGATAAGTAGATTGCAAAAATTTTCTCCCATTCTGTAGGTTGCCTGTTCACTCTGATGGTAGTTTCTCTTGCTATGCAGAAGCTCTTTAGTTTAATTAGATCCCATTTGTCAATTTTGGCTTTTGTTGCCATGGCTTTTGGTGTTTTAGACATGAAGTCCTTGCCCATGCCTATGTCCTGAATGGTAATGCCTAGGTTTTCTTCTAGGGTTTTTATGGTGTTAGATCTAACATTTAAATATTTAATCCATCTTGAATTAATTTTTGTATAAGGTGTAAGGAAGGGATCCAGTTTCAGCTTTCTACATATGGCTAGCCAGTTTTCCCAGAACCATTTATTAAATAGGGAATCATTTCCCCTTTTCTTGTTTTTGTCAGGTTTGTCAAAGATCAGATGGGTGTACATGTGTGGTATTATTTCTGAGGGCTCTGTTCTGTTCCATTGGTCTATGTCTCTGTTTTGGTACCAGTACCATGCTGTTTTGGTTACTGTAGCCTTGTAGTACAGTTTGAAGTCAGGTAGCATGATGCCTCCAGCTTTGTTCTTTTGGCTTAGGATTGACTTGGCAATGTGGACTCTTTTTTTGTTCCCTATGAACTTTAAAGTAGTTTTTTCCTATTCTGTGAAGAAAGTCATTGGTAGCTTGCTGGGGATGGCATTGAATCTATAATTTACCTTGGGCAGTATGGCCATTTTCACCATACTGATTCTTCCTACCCGTGAGCATGGAATGTTCTTCCATTTGTTTGTAACCTCTTTTACTTCGTTGAGCAGTGGTTTGTAGTTCTCCTTGAAGAGGTCCTTCACATCCCTTGTAAGTTGGATTCCTAGGTATTTTATTCTCTTTGAAGCAATTGTGAATGGGAGTTCATTCATGATTTGGCTCTCTGTTTGTCTGTTATTGGTGTATAAGAATGCATGTGATATTTGCACATTGATTTTGTATCCTGAGACTTTGCTGAAGTTGCTTATCAGCTTAAGGAGATTTTGGGCTGAGATGATGGGCTTTTCTGGATATACAGTCACGTTATCTGCAAAGAGGGACAATTTGACATCCTGTTTTCCTAATTGAATACCCTTTATTTCCCTCTCCTGCCTAATTGCCCTGGCCAGAACTTCCAACACTATGTTGAATAGGAGTGGTGAGGGAGGGCATCCCTGTCTTGTGCCAGTTTTCAAAGGGAATGCTTCCAGTTTTTGCCCATTCAATATGATATTGGCTGTGGGTTTGTCTTAGATAGCTCTTATTATTTTGAGATATGTCCCATCAATACCTAATTTATTGAGAGTTTTTAGCATGAAGGGTTGTTGAATTTTGTTAAAGGCCTTTTCTGTGTCTATTGAAATAATCATGCGGTTTTTGTCGTTGGTTCTGTTTATAGGCTGGATTACGTTTATTGATTTGTCTATGTTGAACCAGCCTTGCATCCAAGGGATGAAGCCCACTTGATCACGGTGGATAAGCTTTTTGATGTGCTGCTAGATTCGGTTTGCCAGTATTTTATTGAGGATTTTTGCATCGATGTTCATCAGGGATATTGGTCTAAAGTTCTCTTTTTTGGTTGTGTCCCTGCCAGGCTTTGGTATCAGGATGAAGCTGGCCTCATAAAATGAGTTAGGGAGGATTCCCTCTTTTTCTATTGATTGGAATAGTTTCAGAAGGAATGGTACCAGCTCCTCCTTGTACCTCTGGTAGAATTCGGCTGTGAATCCATCTGGTCCTGGACTTTTTTTGGTTGGTAAGCTATTAATTATTGCCTTAATTTTGGAGCCTGTTATTGGTCTATTCAGAGATTCAACTTCTTCCTAGTTTAGTCTTGGGAGGGTGTATGTGTCGAGGAGTTTATCCATTTCTTCTAGATTTTCAAATTTATTTGTGTAGAGGTGTTTATAGTATTCTCTGATAGTAGTTTGTATTTTTGTGGGATCGGTGGTGATATCCCCTTTGTCGTTTTATATTGCATCTATTTGATTATTCTCTCTTCTTTATTAGTATTGCTAGCAGTCTATCAATATTGTTGATCTTTTCAAAAAGCCAGCTCCTGGATTCATTGATTCTTTGAAGGGTTTTTTGTGTCTCTATCTCCTACCATTCTGCTCTCATCTTAGTTATTTCTTGCTTTCTGCTAGCTTTTGAATGTGATTGCTTTTGCTTCTCTAGTTCTTTTAATTGTGATGTTAGGGTGTCAATTTTTGATCTTTCCTGCTTTCTCTTGTGGGCATTTAGTGCTAAATTTCCTTCTACACACTGCTTTAAATGTGTCCCAGAGATTCTGGTATGTTGTGTCTTTGTTCTCATTGGTTTCAAAGAACATCTTCATTTCTGCCTTCATTTCATTATGTACCCAGTAGTCATTCAGGAGCATGTTGTTCAGTTTCCATGTAGTTGAGTGGTTTTGAGTGAGTTTCTTAATCCTGAGTTCTAGTTTGATTGCACTGTGGTCTGAAAGACAGTTTGTTATCATTTCTGTTCTTTTACATTTACTGAGGAGTGCTTTACTTCCAACAATGTGGTCAATATTGGAATAAGTGCAGTGTGGTGCTGAGAAGAATGTATATTCTGTTGATTTGGGGTGGAGAGTTCTGTAGATGTCTATTAGGTCCGCTTGGTGCAGAGCTGAGTTCCATTCCTGGATATCCTTGTTAACTTTCTGTCTCGTTGATCTGTCTAATGTTGACAGTGGGGTGTTAAAGTCTCCCATTATCATTGCGTGGGAGTCTAAGTCTCTTTCTAGGTCTCTAAGGGCTTGTTTTATGAATCTGGGTGCTCCTGTATTGGGTGCATATATATTTAGGATAGTTAGCTCTTCTTGTTGAATTGATCCCTTTACCATTATGTAATGGCCTTCTTTGCCTCTTTTGATCTTTGTTGGTTTAAAGTCTGTTTTATCAGAGACTAGGATTGCAACCCCTGCCTTTTTTTTTTCCATTTGCTTGGTATATCTTCATCCATCCCTTTATTTTGAGCCTATGTGTGTCTCTGCACGTGAGATGGGTTTCTTGAATACAGCACATTGATGGGTCTTGACTCTTTATCCAGTTTGCCAGGCTGTGTCTTTTAATTGGAACATTAGCCCATTTACATTTAAGGTTAATATTGTTATGTGTGAATTTGATCTTGTCTTTATGATGTTAGCTGGTTATTTTGCTCGTTAGTTGATGCAGTTTCTTCCTAGCCTTGATGGTCTTTACAATTTGGCATGTTTTTGCAGTGGCTGGTACCGGTTGTTCCTTTCCATATTTAGTGCTTCCTTCAGGAACTCTTGTAGGGCAGGCCTGGTGGTGACAAAATCTCTCAGCATTTGCTTGTCTGTAAAGTATTTTATTTCTCCTTCACTTATGAAGTATAGTTTGGCTGGATATGAAATTCTGGGTTGAAAATTCTTTTCTTGAAGAATGTTGAATATTGGCCCCCACTCTCTTCTGGCTTGTAGAGTTTCTGCTGAGAGATCAGCTGTTAGTCTGATGGGCTTCCCTTTGTGGGTAACCTGACCTTTCTCTCTGGCTGCCCTTAACATTTTTTCCTTCATTTCAACTTTGGTGAATCTGACAATTATGTGTCTTGGGGTTGCTCTTCTTGAGGAGTATCTTTGTGGTGTTCTATTTCCTGAATTTGCATGTTGGCCTGCCTTGCTAGATTGGGGAAGTTCTCCTGGATAATATCCTGCAGAGTGTTTTCCAACTTGGTTCCATTCTCCCCATCACTTTCAGGTACACCAATCAGACGTAGATTTGGTCTTTTCACATAGTCCCATATTTCTTGGAGGCTTTGTTCATTTCTTTTTATTCTTTTTTCTCTAAACTTCTCTTCTCGCTTCATTTCATTCATTTGATCTTCCATCACTGATACCCTCTCTTCCAGTTGATTGAATCGGCTACTGAAGCTTTTGCATTTGTCACGTAGTTCTCATGCCTTAGTTTTCAGCTCCATCAGGTCCTTTAAGGACTTCTCTGCATTGGTTATTCTAGTTAGCCATTCGTCTTATCTTTTTTTCAAGGTTTTTAACTTCTTTGCCATGGGTTCGAACTTTGTCCTTTAGCTCAGAGAAGTTTGATCATCTGAAGCCTTCTTCTCTCAACTTGTCAAAGTCATTCTCCATCCAGCTTTGTTCCATTGCTGGTGAGGAGCTGCGTTCCTTTGGAGGAGGAGAGGCTCTCTGATTTTTAGGATTTTTGGTTTTTCTGCTCTGCTTTTTCCCCATCCTTGTGGTTTTATCTACCTTTGGTCTTTGATGATGGTGACGTACATATGGGGTTTTGATGTGGTTGTCCTTTCTGTTTGTTAGTTTTCCTTCTAACAGTCAGGACCCTCAGCTGCAGGTCTGTTGGAGTTTCCTAGAGGTCCACTCCAGACCCTGTTTGCCTGGGTATCAGCAGCGGAGGCTACAGAACAATGAATATTGGTGAACAGTGAATATTGGTAAACAGCAAATGTTGCTGCCTGTTCATTCCTCTGGAAGTTTTGTGTCAGAGGAGTATGCGACCATGTGAGGTGTCAGTCTGCCCCTACTTGGGGGTGCTTCCCATTTAGGCTACTCGAGGGTCAGGGACCCACATGAGGAGGCAGTCTGTCCGTTCTCAGATCTCCAGCTGTGTGCTGGGAGAACCACTACTGTCTTCCAAGCTGCCACCCAGTTCGAGCTTCCCGGCCTCTTTATTTACCTACTCAAGCCTCAGCAATGTTGGGCACCCCTCCCCCAGCTTCGCTGCCACCTTGCAGTTTGATCTCAGACTGTTGTGCTAGCTATGAGCGAGGCTCCATGGGCATAGGAGCCTCTGAGCCAGGAGCGGGAGATAATCTCCTGGTGTGCCATTTGTTAAGACCGTCAGAAAAGCACAGTATTATGGTGGGAGTGACCCGATTTTCCAGGTGCCGTCTGTCACCCCTTTCCTTGGCTAGGAAAGGGAATTCCCTGACCCCTTGTGCTTCCAGGGTGAGGTGATGCCTCTCCCTGCTTCTGCTCACGCTCGGTGCACTGCATCCATTGTCCTGCACCCACTGTCCGACAATCCCCAGTGAGATGAACCCAGTACCTCAGTTGGAAATGCAGAAGTCATCCGTCTTCTGCGTCACTCACGCTGGGAGCTGTAGACTGGAGCTGTTCCTATTTGGCCATCTTGGAACCGCCCCCAAAAATGAGAGATATTTCTAAGACTTCTCATAATATACTAATATATTTGGTGATTCCTCAAGTTCATATAATTTCCTAATCTTTTGATCACAAATTTATTTTCAAAGAAAACCTGTATTTTCCTAAGAAAAAGTTCCTATGGAACTCTACCTGGGAGACCTTGGTCTAGATAAATGTTTCTCAGAGTCTCGTCTTACTATCAGCATCACTTGGGGAATTGTAAGAAATGTAAATTATTGCACTCTACCCTAGATCTCCTCAATCAGAAGCTATCAGGTTGGGGGGCCAGAAATCTGTGTTTTAGCAAGCCTTTCAGGTTCTTCTGAGGCATAGTAAAACTAGAGCACTATTAATCTAGTAGCTCCTCACATCTTGAACTTAGAGACCAATGTTGTTGATTTCTTAATACTTTTACTACAGTTTTTTCTTCTTTAAGGAAATTGGCTGAAAGTCATTACTTTATCTTGACCTTCAAAAGAGCTATATATAAGTTCTTAGTATTCAGAATTAAATCAATGGGATATATTGCTTAAAATATCTGAGATGAAGCAAAATAGCTCTTTGATTCTGTAAGTACCTGACTTCTGTTTAATGTGGAATGAATAAGAAGATCCTGTTTCACAGCTTTTATTTTAAGGCCTCAATTTACTTAATGAATATAAGGAAGGTTTAATAGATTGGCATGTAAAGTCTGCATAATTAGGGACAACGTGTAGAGGACTTAATGTCATGAACTCTACAGGTCCAGACTGCTTGGGTTTGAACCCCAGCTCTGTCTTGGGCATGTTATATACTCTTTGTACTTCAGTTTCCTGTCTGTGAAATGCAGATAATAATCATACCTACCTCACAGGCTCTTATATAAAGTTAAAATTAAAGCATCAATATTTTTAAGCACTTAAAAACATTGGGTATATTTAGTATAAATGTTAAATTAATAAAAGCTGAATGTGAATAATAATTGATTGTAGCCTTAAATCTGTGATCACAAGGGTTCTCTTTGACAGTAAAATATTAAAATCTTTATTATATTTCAATGTGTATTATACTAAAAATGATTGAGGAAGCAATACAATTGTATGTTATAATATGGGTGCCTCATTCATTCATTCTATAAATTCATATTAAATGTTTCCTATTTAAAAATAAAATTTCTTGATCTCAAAATGATTAAGATTGGGATGATTTTAAAAATATTTACTTAATTGATTCTGAACTTAATACAATGAATTTATTTTATGTATGTTTATTATATAATTTGATTTACTATTTTTCTCTTCATAGGTAGATTATTTAATTATGTGTTTCTACATTCACTGATCAGAGAAGGCTATTGATTTTTAACAGATAGAATTGAAAATATATGAGGCAGAAAAATTAGGAGTTATAATTTAATTAAGAATAAGTATATTTTAAAAATAATGATTTGAGAAAAGACATATTCTTGGTCAGAAGCTAAACTTTTTTTTTTCCTTCAACTTTTGTTTTAGGTTCTGGAGTACATGTGCAGGATGTATAGGCTTGTAACATAGGTAAACACGTGCCATGGTGGTTTGCTGCACAGATCAACCCATCACCTAGGTATTAAGCCCAGCATCCATTAGCTATTTTCTTGATGCTCTCCCTGCCCCTCCACCCACCCTCGACAGGCTCCAGTGTGTGTTGTTTCTCTCACGTGTCCCTGTGTTCTCATCGTTCAGCTCCCACTTATAAGTGAAAACATGCGGTAATTGGTTTTCTCTTCCTGCATTAGTTTACTGAGGATAACAGCTTCCAGCCTCATCCATGTTCCTGCAAAGGACATGATCTTGTTCCTTTTTTTAACTGCATAGTATTCCATGGTGTACATGTACCACATATTCTTTATCCAGTCTATGATTGATGGGCATTTGGGTTGATTCCATGTTTTTGCTATAGTGAATAGTGCTACGATGAACATACACATGCATGTATATAATAGAATGATTTATATTCCTTTGGGTATATACCCAGTAATGGAATTGTTGAGTCAAATGATATTTCTCCTTCTAGATCTTTGAGGAATTGCCACACTGTCTTCCACGCTGGTTGAACTAATTTACACTCCCACCAACAATGTAAAAGTATTCTTTTTTTCCTGCAACATTGCCAACATCTATAGTTTCTTGTCTTTTTAATAATTGCCATTCTGACTGGCATAAGATGGTATCTTATTGCGGTTTTGATTTGAATTTCTGTAATGATCAGTGATGTTGAGCTTTTTCATATGTCTGTTGGCCGCATGAATGCCTTCTTTTGAGAAGTGTTTGTTCTTGTCCTTTGCTCACTTTTTAGTGGGGCTGTTTTTTCTTGTAAATTTGTTTAAGTTCCTTGTAGACTCTGGATATTAGACCTTTGTCAGATGGATAGATTGCAAAATTTTTCTCTCATTCTGTAGGTTTTCTGTTCACTCTGATGACAGTTTCTTTGGCTGTGCAGAATCTCTTTGGTTTAATCAGATCCCATTTGTCAGTTTTGGCTTTCGTTGCAATTGCTTTTGGCATTTTTGTCATGAAATCTTTGTCCATGCCTATGTCCTGAATGGTATTGCCTAGGTTTTCTTCTAGGGTTTCTATAGTTCTGGGTTTTGCATTTAAGTCTTTAATCCTTCTTGAGTTGACCTTTATAAAATGTGTAAGGATGGGTCTAATTTCAATTTTCTGCAATATGGCTAGCCAGTTCTCCCAGCAGCATTTATTAAATAGAGAATCCTTTTTCCATTGCTTGTTTCCCATTGCTTGTCATATTTGTCAAATATCATATGGTTGTAGTTATGTGGTCTTATTACTGAGTTCTCTATTCTGTTCCATTGGTCTATGTGTCTGTTTTTGTACCAGTACCATGCTGTTTTGGTTACTGTAGCCTTGTAATATAGTTTGAAGTTGGATAGTGTGATGCCTCCAGAGAAGGTAAACTTTAAAAGGCATTTGGAGACATAAAGTTAATTAACTAATGTAAACTTCATTTAAAAAGTGTTTGTGCATCCAATATTTAGTTATTAGTTAATAATTTATTGAAATCTCTTTTAAGAGTAGAACTAAAATAGTCTTAAGATGAAGCTCAAAGCTTCTCATAGTGAGACTACATCTCTACAATTTTTTTTTTAATTAGCTAGGTGTGGTGATATGTGCTCATAGTCCCAGCTACTAGGGATGCTGAGGTGAGAGAATTGCTTGAGCCCAGGATATTGAGGCTGCAGTGAGCCATGGTTTTGCCACTACACTCCAGTCTGGGTGACAGAGTGAGACTCTGTCTCAAAATCAATCAATAAATAAAAATTTTAAGAAATTTTAAAAATTTAAAACAGATAAAGCTCAAATAATGAAATAAGCATAAAACAGAATTTATATATGCTTTTAATTTAATCTTGATATTTTATTAGCTTATATACTTGAATATAAAAATTTACAAATATGTGCACTACATTTATATTCAATGACAAACTTATTTACTCAACTAATAATTAAATTTGAGCTACATGGCTATAAAACCAAAGAACACATTAAATATAGTCCCTTTAAATTTCTATTTTTATTTTTGGACCTTGACTAAAAACTTATTGTTTTCACATTGGCTAGAACAATCAGTCTATTTACATATATTATTCTGAGTATTCTGTATTTTTTTTCCATGACAATTAACATTCCTTTATTTTTTATAAAAGTTTTCTCCTCTAAACACATAGTTGCTTTTTCCCCTGACACCCCACCACCCATAAGTAGCATGTGTCCTATTTTTTAGAACACTTGGTAACAGTTACTGTTTGCATAATTTACTTGGGGGTTGTATCTTTATTGGTGGGTATAAAAGTGATTTGTGGGTGTTTTGTCCAGTTTTAACTTTTGTGCATGGATTTCTTTTAAACTCTTTGCCTTTTGTGACCATACCTCCAGAGTTCCATGTTAACTCTTCATTTCTGAATGCTGCATTCTCATTGATCTCTTCTTTTTTCAAAATCTGATAATGACCATTCCTTGAAATACTGTCTTGCAGTATTACTTAATTGTTTCAGGTATATATGCCTCATCTTCAAATGAGTTGTTAGGCTTTAGGAAGGCAGAGAGTCATGCTATACAAGTAGTCTTTGCCAGTACATTTTGTGGATGAATAAAGTACATTCAAGCACTTTTTGAATGACAGATGAAAGATTAAAAATGACCTTCGGGAGACAACATAGTTTTGCTTACTTAAACAAGTGTTGTCTAGTGTCTACTATATGAGTTAAGTTCTTTACAGATATTAGCTCATTTGATTTTCATAATTAATCATCTCTATGGTTGGAATTCCAATTTCCAATTCACTACTTATGTAATCTAGGGCAAGTTACTCTTCAGAGTGTCAGTATTCTCATTTGTAATATGGTGATAAAGATAGTTTTCCCAAAGTATTTTCTGAAGATTAAATAATATACCAAATATACCATTTGTAAAGTTCCTGGTACATAGTAATCATTTTTAATCTACATTATAGATTTTCCTAGAAATCATTGTAAGTGATCATTGAACGTATTTTTTTTCTATAGATTCAAGGGGTACCTGTGCAGGTTTGTTACATGGATATATTGCCTACTGGTAGGGCTTGGGTTTCTATTGTATCCAACCTCCTTAAAATGAACAATGTATCCAGTAGGTAGTTTTTAAACCTTCACCTCTCTCCTACCCTCTCCCCTTTTGGAGTCCCCAGTGTCTATTTTTCTCTATGATTGCCCATGTATAGTCATTGTTTAGCTCCCACTTATAAGTGATAATGTGCAATATTGACTTTTCTTCTTCTGAGTTATTTCACTTAGGATAATGGCCTTCAGCTCCATCCATGTTGCTGAAAAAGACATGATTTCATTCTTTTTGATGGCTGTGTAATATTACATGGTGTGTATGTACCACATTTTCTTTATCTAGTCATCTGTTGATGGACACAGATTGATTCCATGCCTTTGCTACTGTGAATAGTGCTGCAATAAACATGTGAGTGCAGGTGTCTTTTTGATATGATTTCTTTTCTTTTGGGTAGATAGGAGTGGGGCTGCTGAGTCAAATGTGTTTTTAATACCTAAAATCTTTCATTTTTAAAAGGCCTGGAAGAATCTGCTGATTTGCATAATGGGTTGTCAGTCAGGTTTGATTAGGGCAAGGAAGAGAACAACCTAATCTGAAAACCTTAAGCAGAA
The DNA here is from genome assembly GCF_000001405.40 of Homo sapiens. Lineage (NCBI taxonomy): Eukaryota > Metazoa > Chordata > Mammalia > Primates > Hominidae > Homo > Homo sapiens. The sequence continues at coordinate 74,384,268 of NC_000006.12, forward strand.
ATATTGGTGGGTCAACAGGAAAGCCAAAAATGGTCTTTCAAAGGAAACATAGTCAACAGTTGTGTTTGGGGAAAGGTCTCAGCATATAAGCACCCTACATGAGAAAGAATTAGCATGTAGAATATATCACCCCTAGAGGGCACAGCCCTAGATGATAACTAAATCAGTCACGCACAGCATTTCTGCCTCTTAACTTTTCTTTCTCAGATTAGTCTTCTAGAGATCTAAAGCAGCTGGAAATTTGGGAAATTGATGAAGGAAAAGTCTACACCAAAGCCCTCTGCCCTACCATAACCTTCCGAGGGGGAGACAACCAGAGCAGAGGATGGGAAGACTATTTAAATGAACTTTAGAATTTTATGTAGAATAGACTTGCTATTACCGCAGAAAGAGACTGTAGTGACCAGAGAAGCAGTAAGTATTGCCCTAAATTTATCTAAAGGTGAGTGAAAATCTTGGGGCACATTTGCAAGGATAGTAGTAGGAAACAATAAAATTGCTTTCTTTTTTTACATCTTACCATATGCTACTCATTCAATAACTATTAGGTTACCATTAAATTAATTAAATCTTTATTTACTTTATAATTACTTTTTAGTCAGAGAATAAAGAAAATACTGTTTCTTATAAGCTTGGAAATATTATAAGTGAGGCAGACTTAAGGCTGAGAGCAAGGTTCATGCCAGGTACACAGAAGGAGCCCTAATTTCGAAAGCTGACATTCTTCTTTCTTTTGTACCAGGCATTAATACTTATTCAAATTATCCCTGCTTGCAGATGACATGATTGTATATCTAGAAAACCCCATTGTCTCAGCCCAAAATCTCCTTAAGCTGATAAGCAACTTCAGCAAAGTCTCAGGATACAAAATCAATGTACAAAATTCACAAGCATTCTTATACACCAATAACAGACAAACAGAGAGCCAAATCATGAGTGAACTCCCATTCACAATTGCTTCAAAGAGAATAAAATACCTAGGAATCCAACTTACAAGGGACGTGAAGGACCTCTTCAAGGAGAGCTACAAACCACTGCTCAATGAAATAAAAGAGGATACAAACAAATGGAAGAACATTCCATGCTCATGGGTAGGAAGAATCAATATCGTGAAAATGGCCATAATGCCCAAGATAATTTATAGATTCAATGCCATCCCCATCAAGCTACCAATGACTTTCTTCACAGAATTGGAAAAAACTACTTTAAAGTTCATATGGAACCAAAAAAGAGCCCACATCACCAAGTCAATCTTAAGCCAAAAGAACAAAGCTGGAGGCATCACACTACCTGACTTCAAACTATACTACAAGGCTACAGTAACCAAAACAGCATGGGTCTGGTACCAAAACAGAGATATAGATCAATGGAAAAAGAACAGAGCCCTCAGAAGTAATGCCACGTATCTACAACCATCTGATCTTTGACAAACCTGAGAAAAACAAGCAATGGGGAAAGGATTCCCTATTTAATAAAAGGTGCTGGGAAAACTGGCTAGCCATATGTAGAAAGCTGAAACTGGATCCCTTCCTTACACCTTATAAAAAATTAATTCAAGATGGATTAAAGACTTAAACGTTAGACCTAAAACCATAAAAACCCTAGAAGAAAACCTAGGCATTACCACTCAGGACATAGGCATGGGCAAGGACTTCATGTCTAAAACACCAAAGGAATGGCAAGAAAAGCCAAAATTGACAAATGGGATCTAATTAAACTAAAGAGCTTCTGCACAGCAAAAGAAACTACCATCAGAGTGAACAGGCAACCTACAAAATGGGAGAAAATTTTTGCAACCTACTCATCTGACAAAGAGCTAATATCCAGAATCTACAATGAACTCAAACAAATTTACAAGAAAAAAAAACAACCCCATCACAAAGTGGGTGAAAGACATGAGCAGACACTTCTCAAAAGAAGACATTTATGTAGCCAACAGACACATGAAAAAATGCTCATCATCACTGGCCATCAGAGAAATGTAAATCAAAACCACAATGAGATACCATCTCACACCAGTTAGAATGGCAATCATTAAAAAGTCAGGAAACAACAGGTGCTGGAGAGGATGTGGAGAAACAGGAACACTTTTACACTGTTGGTGGGACTGTAAACTAGTTCAACCATTGTGGAAGTCAGTGTGGCGATTCCTCAGGGATCTAGAACTAGAAATACCATTTGACCCAGCCATCCCATTACTGGGTATATACCCAAAGGACTATAAATCATGCTGCTATAAAGACACATGCACACGTATGTTTATTGTGGCACTATTCACAATAGCAAAGACTTGGAACCAATCCAAATGTCCAACAACAATAGACTGGATTAAGAAAATGTGGCCCATATACACCATGGAATACTATGCAGCCATAAAAAATGATGAGTTCATGTCCTTTGTAGGGACATGGATGAAATTGGAAATCATCATTCTCAGTAAACTATCGCAAGAACAAAAAACCAAACACCGCATGTTCTCACTCATAGATGGGAATTGAACAATGAGAACACTTGGACACAGGAAGGGGAACATCACACTCTGGGGACTGTTGTGGGTTGGGGGGAGAGGGGAGGGATAGCATTAGGAGATATACCTAATGCTAAATGACGAGTTAATGGGTGCAGCACGCCAGCATGGCACATGTATACATATGTAACAAACCTGCACATTGTGCAAATGTACCCTAAAACTTAAGGTATAATAATAATAAAAAATAAATAAATAAATAAAAATAAATACAAAATAAAAAGTATATGAAACGACTTTGTAGATCATAGTGTTTTGTAAAAATACATTTTTGTTCACTGTCCACAGAAGTTGATCTGGAATAATTCTGATGCTTCACATCCATTTAAGAATAAGAAAACAGAACAAGTTAACTTTATGTTGGTTAGAGATGTATGTCTTTCCCTCACTCCTGATTTCTACAAAGAGAGATTTTCTTGGTTTCTTTCAATGTCTTTACTTTCTCTAACTGAGGATATGGAATAAATTACCTGATGCATGAATATTAAAAAAATACTTATTCTTGTGTATATTTGTCACTACCAAATATACTCATGATGATTTCATGCTAGAAGTGAGTAGACTGAGGGCAATCTAAGTTTTTCTAGATTAATGTGGAATCCATGTTAAGAAGTTGCTGCAACAATTCAGGAATGAGGAATACGCACCCAAGCAAATGTGTAGCTAATAATAAAAACAGAGGACAAAATAGATCTAAAAGATGTTTTGCAAGAAAAATGGTAGTACTCGTTTACTAGTTGATAAAGAATTAAGGATAGCGGATAGTCCAAAATACCTTCAAAATTTCCAGGTTTCATGTGAACTGTATAATGTAAATGCTTGTTTTAGTCTATAAGTTAAGGTAAAATAAAATAATTTTGTTTCTATAATAACTTAATTTACACTTTCTGACCTATTATGCTTCTGGAGGGCTTTGCAATGCTAAGGGTTTGGGGGCTGGGTATTAGGTAATGAGGGATCTGGTTGTTGGTATCCATCTGTTGGTGCTAGCATCTGCAAAGAAATCTACCTTCCCATCTGATTTTTGCCCAGTTACTGTTACTCCCATTTCTGTCTATGTGAAAGGCCACTAGGACTAATGGAGCTAATGGGCCATGTCCTACTGCTCTTAGTGGCTTAAGAAGCTGCACTTTTCTGCCTCCATGAAACACAGTAGGATGCACAAGGATGCATAAGGGCTCTATATTCATAAAATCCCTACAAGAAGCAAATGGCACACTCAAGTTAGTGTACTTCAGGGATAGTTTATTTACACAGAAACTAATTACGAAGATGTGGGTGAATGTACAGACACCAAAAGTGATAGTGCAAACACACAGAGCTAGCAGCAAACTCTAAAAGTGAGGGAAGAATTGGCTACCAGAACCTATAAGCAAAGACAATTTAGCAGTAAAGGCTGACTTGGAAGGAGCCTTAATTATTCAAGGGATGCAGCCAACCTAAGATGACTCTTTAGGAAAAATTTTAGGGGAGTCAATATCTTGTCACCACTCTTTTCCTCCATTTTGTTTTTCTGTGGTTCCCATTGGCCAAACCCCACTGGAATCCAGTAGGAAGAGAGCAGAATGAAGACGTGAGAAGAATGAATCTGGAGGTAAAAATATTAGATATCTGGCAAGAGCTATCAGATATGTCTGGTTACATATCACCTCTAGTCTCATTCCTCTCTGAATTATTAATTCCTCTGGTGTTCAGTAATTCCCATGCTTCCTGTTGGCTTTAAACACATACATTTTGTATGTTATTTAGCTTTTAGTTATTCTTTGTTGGGAGTGTTCATCTTTAGCAAACTACTCCATCTAACTCAGCAGTAGAGTTTTCCTCTATTGAATTTTTATTTATTCTGTGATAGGAAAACGTGGCATCAGTTTTGAAGGTTCTTCCAAACTAATGTTTCTTATTACTGGGCATGAACATCTTTGGGAAGCCAGTTACTGTGTATACCATAGTCAGCCCTCTGCCTCTCAAAAATTTACATCTGTCTCACATCGAAAATACATTTATGCCATCCCAAGGTCCCCCAAAATCTCAATTCTTTTATAGTATAAAGTTCAAGATCTCATTTAAGACTTATCATTTCTAAAGTACCAAATATCATTATCTTCATCATCTAAATTAGGCATTGTTGAGGCTCTAGCCATAATCCTTCCTAGGGAAAAATTCCTCTCTGTCTGTGGACCTGTGAAAAAAGAAAACAAATTATCTGCTCCCAAAGTAAAATAATGGGACAGGGATAGGTTAACAACTATAGACATTCCTACTTAAAAAGTAGAAAAGTTTCATTAAAGAAAATAGAAAGAAATAAATGGAATCACTGTCCTGAGCAATTTCAAAATACAACTGGCCAAATTTCCTTAGGATTAAAGCCTGGAAATTATCTCCGGTGGCCCATTGCTCCATCCTCTAAGCCCATTGCTCTACCCATTTGGTTCATGGCTCCACATTTGAGGTCCTTCTTCTCCTTTTTTTTTATTTTATTATTATTATACTTTAAGTTTTAGGGTACATATGCACAATGTGCAGGTTAGTTACATATGTATACATGCGCCATGCTGGTGTGCTGCACCCATTAACTCGTCATTTAGCATTAGGTATATCTCCTAATGCTATCCCTACCCCCTACCCCCACCCCACAACAGTCCCCAGAGTGTGATGTTCCCCTTCCTGTGTCCATGTGTTCTCATTGTTCAATTCCCATCTATGAGTGAGAACATGTGGTGTTTGGTTTTTTGTCCTTGCGGTAGTTTACTGAGAGTGATGATTTCCAATTTCATCCATGTCCCTACAAAGGACATGAACTCATCATTTTTTCATGGCTTCATAGTATTCCATGGTGTATATGTGCCACATTTTCTTAATCCAGTCTATCATTGTTGGACATTTGGATTGGTTCCAAGTCTTTGCTATTGTGAATAGTGCCACAATAAACATACGTGTGCATGTGTCTTTATAGCAGCATGATTTATAGTCCTTTGGGTATATACCCAGTAATGGGATGGCTGGGTCAAATGGTATTTCTAGTTCTAGATCCCTGAGGAATCGCCACACTGACTTCCTCCTTTCTTCTTTCTTCTTCCTTCTTCCTCCTTCCTCTTCTTCCTTCTTCTTGTTTCTTCTTCCTCTTTTTTCTGTCTTCTTTCTCCTTCTTACTTTTTCTTCCTTCCTTCCTTCCTTCCTTCCTTCCTTCCTTCCTTCCTTCCTTCCTTCCGTCCTTCTCTCTTTCTCTCTTTTTTCCCCTTCCTCCTCCTCCTCCTTCTTCACCGTCTTCTTTTTGCAGATAGGTAGTTTTATCCACCTGTTTCCTGCCTGTAGAATTGGGAGTTTTACAGCCTTTTAAAATTTTGTCCTTTCTCCATCCTTTTCAATCCAAGTTGCACTCTTTCTGCTGATATATAATTATCAGGAATCTTGTGAGTCTCCTGTGTATATCACAGGCACTTACTTATTAGACAAAAGGCTCATCCACTGATTGTTCCTGAATAACCGCATCTATATTCTTTGTTTCTGCTAAGATATCTGAGATATGTGGCAATTTATGAGTCTAATCTTTTCACAGTGTCTTCTGTGAGAATGAACATTCTGATCTTTTAGTCCTTCTGAGGCACCTAGAAAAAGTTTCACGCTCTTGACTTTCTCTTCAGAGAACACTTTCCTAACAAGAAATCTCCCAATTTTAGCATGTTTTGCAATCCGGATTGGCTGATAGGTTCTCAAATCATTAAGTCCAACTTTCTTGTGCTTAACAGTTCTTCTCACAGTCTGTCTCTTTCCTCTCACATTTTACTATATTTGCAGCAAAGAGAAACTGGGTTGGACTGTCAACGTTTTGCCTGGAAATCTCCTGAACTAAATATACATGCTCATCCACTACAAGTTCTGCTTTCCACATCACTGTAGGAAACAAATCGACTAATTTTTTTCTGCCACAATATAGCAAGGTTCAAATAACATGTTCTTTATTTTCTTCTCAGACTTCACCAGCAGTGCTTTTAATATTCATATTTTTACCAACAGATGGCTTATGATGATTTTATTATTTTCTGGGCTAATACAGGTTTTCTCTACCATACTCCTCACTTCACTCTGAGCCCTCACCAGCAGTGCCTTTAATCCACATTATGCTCCAAGCAACCTAGTTTTTCTATCATGTTCCTTAGAATTCTCCTAGCCCATTACCCAGTTTCAAAGCCTTGTCTACGTATTTAAATATTTGTTACAGCAGTACCCCACTCACAGTGCCAGAACCTGTACCAATTCCCTTTTGCTCTGGCAACAAATTACGACAAACATTGGATTATTAAAAAAAAAACAGGTTATGATCTGGCTGTTTGTTAGAAATCCAAAATGGGTCAGCAAGGCTACATTTCTTCTGAAGGCTTTAGGAGAGAATGTTTCCTTGTCTTTTTTTAGCTTCCAGAGGCCACCTGTATTCCCGATCTAGTGATGCCTTCCTCCACCTTCAAAGCTAGAAACATAGCATCTGGGAATCTCTGGCTTTGACTCTGTCTTTCTATCATGGCATCTCTGTTTCTTTTCTAACTCTAATCTTCCTGTCTCTCTCTTAATCACAAAGGTTCTTATGATTACATGGTACCTATCAGGATAATCCGGGATGATCTCTTCATCTCAAGATCCTTAACTGAGTCACATCTGCCTTTTACCATATAAGGTAGCATACTCACAGTTTCTGATTAGGATATGGACTTATTTGAGTGGCCACTATTCTGTATAACATGTGCACCTATTTTTGGGTCATAAATTTCAAGCTGAATCTTACAGGATTTGAATTTTTAAATTAATTTTTTTCCCACTTAAATTATTTTTGTTCTAAAGTGCTAAATCCTGAATTGCTTTTGTTTCTTAGTATTTTGCTGGCATCCCTTTTTTTTTCACAGAAAGGCAGGATGCTCTATATGCTGGAAGGGCCATATAGTACACTGGGACTGGAGATCAGATACATCTTTTGACACCTCAGCATATCCCAAAGATGTTGTTGTCTCCTAATTTTTTCTTCAAAATGTATATTTTTACCTTTTATAATGAAAAGTCAAAGTATTTCTCCAGGATAGTGTTAGCTAAACTAAAAGAACTATACAACATGAGACTTTTATTAGATATTGAACAAATGAATAGAAATAATGCTTTCCTTAAAAGGTGATATCTGGAATACAGTGTTTGAGATGAATAAAGCTGAAGGGCAACAAAATCACACTAGTTGTCTTTCCTGATAACACACTTGCTTTTATGTTTGAAGCATAATTTTGATAGTTGAGATTTTTAAAACTTTTAAGTACTGCAAGTTAATAGTCCCATCCTTTTACTTGGGCCTTAGCATGCACAACTGTTTAAGATGCAGTGAGGTTCTTGCACTTAGTCTAACAACTATATCTGGACATCCCCCCTTTTAAAGTTACTCTCTGGAAGGATGTTTTTAAACCAAAGCAAGCTCCCCTGCAGCAAGATGAAGTACAATTTTGACAACTTTACACAATTAAATGATCAAGAGGGTGCTTTAAAATGTCTATAGGGGGAAATCAACTGTGTAAGGCTCTATAGAAAAAAATGTATGTTAAGCCTTTTAGAGATTATGGAATTTGGCACAGGTGAGGAAGCAGATAGGTAAAGCCAGTGGTTTTTTACACTGTAATCCATGGAGCTCTGGGGATTTTGTGGAAGAGTCTCAGATTGCTGCAAAGAGTAAGAGGGCCAAGCAGGCAACTCTTCAGCCAGAGTGTTCTGTTTTATTTGATGTATGTGTATGTGTTGGTTCTGAATACCTTTTGTTTTTGAAAAAAGTTTGTAGGTTTTTTGTTTGTTTGTTCATCTGTTTGCCTTGGCTAAAACAGTTGGACAGGAATTTCATCAAATAAATTGACCTGAATTTAAGTCACTGAGAAGCAAGGCTATGACTAGATTCTAGTCATTTCTTTCCTTTGCTTACATCCCTTCAATGACTCCCTGTTAAGTCCAAAGTAAAATTTATACTCTTTCACCATGGCATGCATGTTCTTACCTTCCTGATCCTTGTCTATCTCTTTAGCTTATTTTGTGCTCTGCCATCTTCTTAATGCCCTGAAGATTCTTTCCACATGTTATGTGTTATACCTGGAGTATTCATCCTTGCTATCCTGTTACCTGGCAATCTTCATAACCTTATTTTTGCACTTAAGGTTCAAAAGAACATCTTTAGAGTGAATATTACCAGTCATCACTTAACTCACCCCTTAAACTCAAAACTTGTCTCTTCTGCCATTTTGATTAGAGATAGGTGTTATTTTGGAAGCCAAAATAGTAAAGCAATTTTTACTTAATTAAGTAATAACACACAAAGTACTTGTCTTTTAGGTTTTTTCTATTTAAACAGGTGTTTACTAGATTATCATGTTCTATGTGGAGCAATATATCTCTAAACTTGAAATTCTATTATCTGAGCTTGCAGGTGACACTTTGGGTTCGAAATTTTCTCTGAAATGGTAACAGATAGGTAGCCTATGGTGTACCAGAAATTGTGTCTCAGTAATAGTTCTCAAATCTTTTTTACTATGGCCCATTTCAATAGGGAACACAATTTGTTAGTTGCTGATCTTCCACGGTCCTATTTTGCAGTGAAAAATAACTTGATAATAACAAAGAATTAAAGACACTAGAAAATAACACAAGGCAAAATAATAAAAGAATAATCAGAGCCAGCCATGGTAGGGTATGCTTTTAGTCCCAGCTGCTTGGGAGGCACAGAAGGAAGGATTGCTTCCAGCCTGGGAAACATAGTGAGATCACATCTCTTAAAAAATAAAAAATAAAAACAGAAAAGAAAAAGAAAAGGAAAAAAAGAAAGAGCAACCTACCTAGCATTAATCGATAACTGCTAATAATGGAGAAAAACACAAAACACTGACAATCCACTGAGACATAACTGTGATACAGGCCATCAGCTTACCTGTAGGTCCATAGTAGACTTTCCTTTTTAGCTTTAGACTGGGACAAAGCACATTGCTTGGGTGTGCTCCCCTTGGTCTAAAGAATTTGGAGGGTCCTACCTCAGCATCTAGATCAAGCCCATGAACTAATCATTTTACATTTTCATATCCAGTGAATAAAATCCAAAGCTATCTTCTCCCTATTTTACTTCCAAGAAAAATGCTGTATAAACATTGATATGGTTTGGATTTGTGTCCCCACCCAAATCTCGTGTCAAATTGTAATCCCCAATGTTGCGAGAGGGGCCTGGTAGGAAGTGATTGGATCATGGGGGTGGATTTCTCTGTTGTTGTTCTTGTGATAGTGAGTGAATTCTCATGAGATCTGGTTGTTTAAAAGTGTGTAGCACCTTCACCTTCTGTCATGATTGTGAGTTTCCTGAAGCCTCCTGAGCCATGCTTTCCATACAGACTGCAGAACTGTGAGCCAATTAAACATCTTTTCTTTATAATTTACCCAGTCTCAGGTATTTCTTTATAGCAGTGTGTGAACGGACTGATACAAACATGTAGTATTTTTAGTTAACATGCATATACAACTTATATTGTACAATTTCTAAATAACACATTGCAATATAGTGTGCATAGATCAAACTATTGGGTAGTTTTATTAATAATTTTATTTCCTTAGCATTAAAAACACAGATATTAAATATATTATGAAGTTTTTCTCACTTTCTTTCATTTTACTTCATTTTTTTATTTTTAAAATAATATAACAACTACTGGATTTTTGGCTGCTACACATCCTCCAGCTTTATTTTGATTTGCCACAGCCATAATTCACGAGGACAGCATGTAAAATGTTGTTCTGAATGGCGAGAAAGAACAACTTCTGAATGTGGTTAATAAAACTGGTAAAAATCCTTTGCCAAGAGACCTTCCTCTGAGAAATTGTCTGTTCTTTTTCCTTGCAAATGGCTCCCAAGAATGCCAATTTTAATGTATGTTAAGACACATCATCAAGAAGATCTAAAGAATAAATCTAATTATTCTATATCAATAATGTCCCAATGCAGAAATTGTCATATCTAAATACATGTAGGAAGAAACACATTTTCTTGGCTTCTCTTTTGAAAGACTTTTCAAATAATTAACTTACGTGTATAAAGTAATACAGTTTTGTAAGGGAATGCTTCAAACATTTAGCTTCTAAGTTAATTTCATGGAGTTTGAAAGATAGCTTATTAGTATAATGTTAAATAAATAATGTATATTTCATAGTAATATGTAGAGTACTAGGTGTGTATTCAGCAATACTTTACTTGGTGCTATTTAAAGTATTTAGCTTAATTACATTATCAAAGAACATTACCTTTTTATTCTACAGTATTTCATTTAATATCAGCTGTGAATTAGATAATTTCTGAAAAATTATAAACTAAATTAGAAGTATGTTATAAGCAATTTTTTCTTAGTAAAGGTTTGTGTCCAGTGAATTAAATTATACCTGAGTTTTTTTTCAGAGATACTTTCTAGAACTCCATACATAAGAAACACTCAAAATAATTAAAGATTGTCTTGATTTTGCTGTAGACTCTGGAAACTTAGTTCCTCAAAGGTTTTTCTCCAAACATTATAAGAGTTTTGGTATTTGGGGGAAAGAAAAATTTTATTGTATACTATAAGATATGTTAAGATATTAAAAATGAGTATTATGGCAGATTTTGAGTATAAGTCAGATGCAAAAAAATTAAAATTTAAATGATATAATGATTAAATATGAAACAAAAGCCAGGTGACTCAAGAAAACTATGCTCTTTTCCTGCTTGTCTTCACAAGTGGCTAGATTAACTTGAAGCAATTCTGCTTCACAGTTAATGATAATCTTAACCAACAAAGTGTTAGCTCCAATTTGATCAAACTCATACAGATAGAAGCAATCATTTTGTTTTCTGGGTTCAGATTCTGAGCAGAACTTGATCTTGAAGAATAATCAGGCAGACACAGGGGACACTTTACTTCCTTCCTCATCTGACCTTACAAAGCAATACGACTTTTTGTTTCATTGGCTATGCCACATTTCAGAATCTACCAAAACCGTAACAATAAACTCTTAGAATTTCATATCAGAAGAATAGCAGCTAAGGGTTAATAATGAAAATTTAGGAGGAGATATATGTTAAAATAACAATAATAAAAACAATAACAAGATTTTGCACCTTTTTTTACCCATTTCTGTAGCACCCCTTTCAAAGAGATTCCTGTTCAAATGCATTGCCTGTTCAAATCGGCATTCTTTGATCATTATAGAAGCTAGGTAATAAATATGGTATGAATAAATAGATTTAAAGTTAGTGTCAGGGAAGTTTCCTGTGCATAAAAACCAGAAAAGGATGGAAGTGAGCATCAAGATACACAGGTGCTGGCCCAAACCCCGCCACGAAACAGCTGTGTGTCCTAGAGACATTCACATAAATCTTTGGGCCTAAATTGTTTAAGAAATTCTTTCTGAGTATATCATTTTTGAGATTCTAATTTTTTTAGAAAACAAATTTTATATTTAGCTGGTTATTTGCAATGTACAAACAAATCAAATTTATAGAAGTTTAGCTTTTTCCCTGCACCAAAAGATTTCTTTGAGGTTAGGATGAAGGTGGGGAGGTGAAATTACTGTAAAACGGTTGACGTGACTGCCTTTGAAGCAATTTTGCAAATATTTTGATGAAGTTCATAAAAAAATTATAAAACCATTAACAGAGAACTTCAACCATGCATTTTTGAGTTCAAATACCAAAATATCTGTTTAAAATAAATATATGTGCACATAGTAGAAGTAATGAAGACACAATGTCAAAATTAGTTTTTAATGCTAACCCATTGGATGAAAGCTTGGAAATTATCCTTGGAAAATTGAAAAATGTTAACTCATTTACTGGAACTGAGAAAAGGCCTATGTACTTGATAATATTTATTTTCAGATAAACAATTGAATAGTTGTTTGAGAATTCTTGTGGTATGAAAAGTCCAGAGAATATTGCCAAATTATTAACATTTTCCAAACTCTGTCTTTAATACTTCCATTTTCTGTTGTAATTTCTAAATATGATGGCATGAAGAATCATATAACAGAAGGCTACATATATTATTGCATGCCCCAGAAACCACAAATCTGAGAAGGAACATAGTCCCGAACGTACATTATATGGAACTCACAACTTGTTGTTACTAAAATGGGGAATAAGTAAAGCACAAACTTGTCTTTGCTATATATTTTATTTTTTACTATTATTTTCTTTTTATGAAATTCATCAACAATTGTCAAAAAATGTAAACATCTTACATATGTTTGTCATAGAATGTGAGAGCCTCCTGTAATCACAACTCCTAGAGAAAATATTTCCTAGCACATTAGCAGGTTCATGTACAGGCCTCCTGAATTTTCCCCTTGCATATATCAACACATACAATACATTACTTGATATTTATATGCTGGGCCATCAGAAGAGATGACATAATTATTCTGGATAGCTGCAAAAATCTGAGGAGTGCTTACAATTCACTGTGTATAACAACAAAAACCCAACTAATTGTTATCTTTAAAATATTTTAAAATTAATAATATTAATAATAGTTAACATTTACTGGGGACTTACTATTTTATTATGTGCAGTTATTGTGTTAAATGCTTTATATGTCTAATCTTTTTTAACTCTTACCATCCCAGATGAGGAGGTACTAATAATTACTTCCTATTTTATTTTGGGAAGATGTAATTTGCACCAGTGTATTTTACATCCAAAGTGAAGAATAACATAGTCCATGTAGCTGGAGGACATATGGCAGTCTATCTGGTCTCCTACCAGTCGTGCACTCAGAGTTCAGAGATTCTTTGCTTCGGGCTCTAGTCCCCTTTTGCAATCTACAGAGCTCATCAATCTTCTGCTTTCCATTTCTTGAAGAATAGATTCAAAATTCCTTGTATGAGCCATCAAATCTCTTTGATCTCTTTACAACCAAATTTACTTACTTAAAGCTCAGCTGTTTCCCCATGCTCCAAATAAACCAAACTGCTTTGTAATTTAATGTCCTTCTCATCTCCTAGTCTTTCTTTCTTATGTATTCTTTACCTGTGCCTCCTTTCTCCACCTATCAAAGACCTATTGACCCTATAGGGACAGCACAATTACTAAGTCATTTACTAAGCATTCTTCAGTCATCTTTATGGAAATGGGCTCTTCTTCCTTCTATAGCATTTTTGTTTGACTCTCCTGTGATACTTGTCACATATTACCTTATTTTAGGATAATTTGCACACACATTATAGACTAGATTTAAGCTCTTTGGCATCTCATCTCAAAGATCATCTGTTAGTCTCTACATAATAAATACTTGATAAAAGCTTGTTGAATTCCATTGCCTGCCCATATTTTGAAGAACGTGTTAGCACCAATGGGTCTGAAGTAAAGAGGAATAATCTTGTATAATAGTTTACTTTGTGACATATGAGGAAAATGGAATAGAAGAGGAGGTGAAGATGGGATAACTGCAGAGAAATGATTCTTCTAGAAATTTATGACTGTGAGCTAAACTGTATTGACCTGAGAGATAACTATCAAGAAGAATATAACGTGGGGAAAATCATACCATCTCATGTTTCTTCTGATTTTTAATTCAGCTACTAGTAGCCATACAAAATACCTCAGATTTTCTTCTTTGGAGTAGGGGGTGGGGTAGGAGGCCATACACTGGGTCCTCTGCTTGGACTGTTACTCCACTGTGGAGCTTATCAAAGCAATGCTTTGGGGAAGGCAATCCTCAACATCATCCAAAGCTGTGGGACTCTCATGGCCTAAACCCTGAGCAGATCTCTTTGAGCAGGCACCACTCCTGTCAGTGCATACATGTAGATAGCTCTGTGGTGTTGGTCAGCCCAGGAGATCTCCACCAGGGCTGGTCCTGCTACCTGCGACTTCATAAATTCAGAGCTATATTGCCTCCTACCCTTCCCATTAAACTTTCCCCTAGGCTGGGATAAATGTATTTTTAAAAAACCTTTTTTTCCAATGGCTTTTGGGGTACAAGTGGTTTTTGGTTAAATGGATGAATTACATAGTGGTGAATTTTAAGATTTTAGTGCACCTGTCATGCAAGTGGTGTACGTTTTACCCAATACATAGATTTTTATCCCACACCCTCATCCCATTCCCCCACTTCTGAGTCTTCAAAGTCCATTATATCACTGTGTATGTCTTTGCATACCCATAGCTTAGCTCCCACTTATAAGTGAGGACATAAGGCATTGGGTTTTCTATTTCTGAGTTACTTCACTTAGAATAAGGTACTCTGGCTCAATCCAAGTTACTGCAAAATACATTTTTTCACTCCTTTTTATGGTAGAATAATATTCCATGGTGTATATAAACCACATTTTCTTCATCTACTCATTGGTCTATGAGCACTTAGGTTGGTTCCATATGTTTGCAATTGTGAAGGGTGCTGCAATCCACATTTGTGTGCATATGCCTTTTTTAAAATATAAATGACTTCTTTTCTTTTGGGTAAATATCCAGTAGTGAGATTGGTGGATCTAATGGCAGATCTACTTTTAGCTCTTTAAGAAATCTCCTTACTGTTTTCCAGAGAGGTTGTCCTAATTTATATTCCCACCAGCAGTGAATAAGCTCTCCCCTTTCACCACACCCACACCAATATCTCTTGCTTTTTTGACTTTTTAATAATGGCCATTCTTGTAGGAGTGGTTTTAATTCACATTTTCTTGATAATTAGTGATGCTTAGTATTTTTTTCATGTGTTTCTTCGCCATTTTTATGTCTTCTTTTGAGAAATGTCTATTTGTGTCATTTGCCCACCTTTGGATGGGATTATGTGTCTTTTTCTTGCTGATTCAGTGTGAGTTCCTTATAGATCTGGTAGATATCTTTTAAACTAGAGGTAACCAATGGTAGGCCAATCCATTCTGTAGCTGTGTTTTCTTTGGCCTGTGTACTGGTGTGTGTGTGTGTGCGTGTGTGTGTGTGTAAATTAGCTGTCAGTGTTTATAAATTGAGAGGTTGTTTTGTTTTGTTTTGTTTGAGATGGAGTCCTGCTCTGTCACCCAGGCTGGAATGCAGTGGCACCATCTCAGCTCACTGCAACCTCTGCCTCTCAGGCTCAAGTGATTCTCCTGCCTCAGCCTTCCGAGTAGTTGTGATTATAGTTGTGTGCCACCACGCCCGACTAATTTTTGTATTTTTAGTAGAGACAGGGTTTCACCATCTTGGCCAGGCTGGTCTTGAACTCCTGACCTCGTGATCCACTGGCCTTGGCCTCCCAAAGCGCTGGGATTACAGGTATACGCCACCATGCCTGGCCTAAATTGAGAGATTTCATATAAAAATATGAGATTTACATTGCTTGAAAAAATTAACAATAACATTCAAAGCAGTGCATAGAGGGAAATTTATAGCACTAAATGCCCACAAGAGAAAGCAGGAAAGATCTAACATTGACACCCTAACATCACAATTAAAAGAACTAGAGAAGCAAGAGCAAAGACATTCAAAAGCCAGCAGAAGGCAAGAAATAACTAAGATCAGAGCAGAACTGAAGGAAATAGAGACATAAAAAACCCTTCAAAAAATCAATGAATCCAGGAGCTGGTTTTTTGAAAAGATCAAGAAAATTGATAGAACACTAACAAGACTTATAAAGAAGAAAAGAGAGAAGAATCAAATAGATGCAATAAAACTTGATAAAGGGGATATCACCACCAATCCCACAGAAATACAAACTACCATCAGAGAATACTATAAACATCTCTATGCAAATAAACTAGAAAATCTAGAAGAAATTGATACATTCCTGTACACATTCACCCTCCCAAGACCAAACCAGGAAGAAGTTGAATTGCTGAATAGACCAATAACAGGCTCTGAAATTCAGGCAATAATTAATAGCCTACCAACCAACAAAAGTCCAGGAGCAGACGGATGCACAGCCGAATTCTATCAGAGGAACAAGGAGGAACTGGTACCATTCTTTCTGAAACTATTCCAATCAGTAGAAAAAGAGGGGATCCTCGCTAACTCATTTTATGAGGCCAGCATCATCCTGATACCAAAGCCTGGCAGAGACATAACAAAAAAAGAGAATTTTAGACCAATATCCCTGATGAACATCAATGCAAAACTCCTCAATAAAATACTGGCAAACTGAATCCAGCAGCACATCAGAAAGCTTATCCACCATGATCAAGTGGGCTTCATCCCTGGGATGCAAGGCTGGTTCAACATACACAAATCAATAAATGTAATCCAGCATATAAAAAGAACCAATGACAAAAACCATATGATTATCTCAATAGATGCAGAAAAGGCCTTTGACAAAATTCAACAGCGCTTCATGCTAAAAACCCTCAATAAACTAGGTATTGATGGGACGTATCTCAAAATAATAATAAGAGCTATCCATGACAAACCCACAGCCCATATCATACTGAATGGGCAAAAACTGGAAGCATTCCCTTTGAAAACTGGCACAAGACAGGGATGTCCTCTCTCACCACTCCTATTCAACACAGTGTTGGAAGTTCTGGCCAGGGCAGTCAGGCAGGAGAAGGAAATAAAGGGTATTCATTTAGGAAAAGAGGAAGTCAAATTGTCCCTGTTTGCAGATAACATGACTGTATATCTAGAAAACCCCATCGTCTCAGCACAAAATCTCCTTAAGGTGATAAGCAACTTCAGCAAAGTCTCAGGATACAAAATCAATGTGCAAAAATCACATGCATTCTTATACACCAATAACAAACAGAGAGCCAAATCATGAGTGAACTCCCATTCACAATTGCTTCAAAGAGAATAAAATACCTAGGAATCCAACTTACAAGGGACGTGAAGGACCTCTTCAAGGAGAACTACAAACCACTGCTCAATGAAATAAAAAAGGATACAAACAAATGGAAGAACATTCCATGCTCATGGGTAGGAAGAATCAATATTGTGAAAATGGTCATACTGCCCAAGGTAATTTATAGATTCAATGCCATCCCCATCAAGCTACCAATGACTTTCTTCACAGAATAGGAAAAAACTACTTTAAAGTTCATATGGAACCAAAAAAGAGCCCGCATTACCAAGTCAATCCTAAGCCAAAAGAACAAAGCTGGAGGCATCACGCTACCTGACTTCAAACTATACTACAAGGCTACGGTAACCAAAACAGCATGGTACTGGTACCAAAACAGAGACATAGACCAACGGAACAGAACAGAGCCCTCAGAAATAATACCACACATGTACAACCATCTGATCTTTGACAAACCTGAGAAAAACAAGCAATGGGGAAAGGATTCCCTATTTAATAAATGGTGCTGGGAAAACTGGCTAGCCATATGTAGAAAGCTGAAACTGGATCCCTTCCTTACACCTTATACAAAAATTAATTCAAGATGGATTAAAGACTTACATATTAGACTGAAAACCATAAAAACCCTAGAAGAAAACCTAGGCAATATAATTCAGGACATAGGCATGGGCAAGGGGTTCATGTCTAAAAGCAATGGCAACAAAAGCCAAAATAGACAAATGGGATCTAATTAAACTAAAGAGCTTCTGCACAGCAAAGGAAACTACCATCAGAGTGAACAGGCAACCTACAGAATGGGAGAAAATTTTTGCATTCTATCCATCTGACAAAGGGTTAATATCCAGAGTCTATAGCAAAGACTTGGAACCAACTCAAATGTCCAACAATGATAGACTGGATTAAGAAAATGTGGCACATATACACCATGGAATACTATGCAGCCATAAAAAATGATGAGTTCATGTCATTTTTAGGGACATGGATGAAGCTGGAAACCATCATTCTCAGCAAACTATCTCAAGGACAAAAAACCAAACACTGCATGTTCTCACTCACAGGTGGGAATTGAACAATGAAAACACATGGACACAAGAAGGGGAGCATCATACACTGGGGCCTGTTTTGGGGTGGGGGGAGGGGGGAGGGATAGCATTAGGAGATATATGTAATGTTAAATGACGAGTTAATCGGTGCAGCACACCAACATGGCACATGTATACATATGTAACTAACCTGCAGGTTGTGCACATGTACATTAAAACTTAAAGTATAATAAAAAAAGAAAAAAAGAAAAAAAAGAAAAAATTAACAATAGATTGCATCAAAAGCATTGAATATTCCCTCAAATTTGCAACTGAGTAGCATCTGCCCTTTTCTCCTGGCTTGCCCAGTCACACTAACCCCACCCAGATGACATCACTCATGTTTTATCTATATTCATTACCCATCTAGTCTCTGGAAACATCTGAGATTTTGTCTCCTGCTTAATGTAAGCCTCAAAGGATCATGTAAACCTGTCTCCTAAACAATCAGGACTACTTGACCTTAATTTATCTTTCTAAAGAATCTGATTTTAATTATTTTAAATTTTTGACCCTTTAAGGAAGGATATCTGCAAAGAGTCATATCAGGAACACAAGCATAGTTTCAATATTAGAAACTATTAGAAAATACATGTTATGTAATATAATTCAGTATATTGCTGGATGAAAAAGAAAAATATATGACAGTCTCCATATATGTGGAAAAATTTGATAAACTTCAACATTAATTTCTACTACAAATAAAACCTTTAATAAAGTAGGAATAAATTAATACTTTATTAACACAATAGCCACCACAAAACCTAATGGGAAAGTCTAGAAGCATTCTCATTAAAGTGAGGAAGAAGGCATTGGTGTTCTTTATGCTAACTATATTGTATCTGTTGACTTCTTCTCCCATTTAGTAATAAGTGGTTGCTGAGCTAGTCTGTATTTTCTAGCTTCACTGCTAAGTGTGGCTGTGGCCATGTGACTTAAGTTTTGTACAATGAGTTGTATTTGGAGTCATGTGTGCAATCTCCAGAAAATCTCCTTGAAGAAGATAAAGGTCCTTGTTCTGGGCATTCTTTTTTCCTCTTGCTGTTAGTTGGGAAATGTTGACAAAGGCAGGAGCCCCTTTGGGAAAAGAGATAGAAGCCTTACATTGAGAATCACGCAGTCCTAGGTCACTCACTTTGGACTTCTACATGATGAGAAATAATTTCTTTCTTACTTAAATCACTGTATTTTTGTAACTGTCTTTTACAGAGCTTAGCCTGTAACTTCATTAATACAGCATCTATTATTTAATAATGTTAGGGGGTTATTATCCAATATAATCTGACAAGGAAAAAAGTTTAAGAGTTACAAAGGAGGTAAAACTAGCTTATTTGCAAATTTTGTGATTATATCCATAGAAAACCCAGGATAATCCATTGAAAGATTGGACAAATAAGACAATTTACTAAATTGCTCGGGCAAAAAATAATATATGAAAAATTAACAGATTTTCTCTTTACAAGCATCAATCAGTTACAAAATATAACAAAAGCTTCTATTTACAATAATAATATAAATACTTCTGGAACAAACTTAACAAAAATATACAAAACATATTTGAAAAGTTTTCTCAGGGATATAAAATTGGAGCTGAATAAATAGAAGTCATATCTGGTAGTTGGACATAAATATCTCAATGTCATATATATGTTACTTCTCTTTAAAAACTTACACATTAAATAAGATTATATTTTGCACACTGAAATGGACATTGGTTATCAACACAACTCCATTCTCAAATGCCTTCTGTTTCATTATAGAGGCTGGGAAAGCTAAATATCTCTTTTCTACCCTTTCTGAAAGTTGGATATGGCCATCTGACACTTCTCTGCTAATGATATTTAAGTGGAAGTTGGATAAGATGCCTGTGAGGTGGCGTCATTTTGTATGCGTGAGGAACAAGCCAAAAGACTAACAGCAACCTTGGCCTAACATCTCAGAACTGTTGAACCAAAGCCAGCTGCTAGGTACTTCCAGACATAGAGAAAAGTAGGCAACTTTTTATTTAAGCACCCCAAATGCTTTCTTGACTTTAAGTCCAAAGTTTTCCTAACTGAATTAAACACCAATGGAATCTTTTTTAAACCATGAGGGAAACTATGAAATTAATATATGAAAATAACATGCACATTGATTTTGTATCCTGAGACTTTGCTGAAGTTGCTTATCAGCTTAAGGAGATTTCGGGCTGAGATGATGGGGTTTTCTAAATATACAGTCATGTCATCTGCAAACAGGGACAATTTGACTTCCTTTTTTCCTAATTGAATACCCTTTATTTCCTTCTCCTGACTGATTGCCCTGGCCAGAACTTCCAACACTATGTTGAATAGGAGTGGTGAGAGAGGGCATCCCTGTCTTGTGCCAGTTTTCAAAGGGAATGCTTCCAGTTTTTGCCCATTCAGTATGATATGGGCTGTGGGTTTGTCATAAATGGCTCTTATTATTTTGAGATACATTCCATCAATACCTAATTTATTGAGAGTTTTTAGCATGAAGGGCTGCTGAATTTTGTCGAAGGCCTTTTCTGCATCTATTGAGATAATCATGTGGTTTTTGTCTTTGGTTCTTTTTATATGCTGGATTACATTTATTGATTTGCGTATGTTTAACCAGCCTTGCGTCCCAGGGATGAAGCCCACTTGATCATGGTGGATAAGCTTTTTGATGTACTGCTGGATTTGGTTTGCCAGTATTTTACTGAGAATTTTTGCATCAATGTTCATCAGGGATATTGGTCTAAAATTCTCTTTTTTTATTGTGTCTCTGCCAGGCTTTGTTATCAGGATGATGCTGGCCTCATAAAATGAGTTAGGGAGGTATTGATTGGAATAGTTTCAGAAAGAATGGTACCAGCTCCTCCTTGTACCTCTGGTAGAATTTGGCTGTGAATAAAGAGAATAAAATACCTAGGAATCCAACTTACAAGGGAGGTGAAGGACCTCTTCAAGGAGAACTACAAACCACTGCTCAATGAAATAAAAGAGGACATAAACAAATGGAAGAACATTCCATGCTCATGGAGAGGAAGAATCAATATCATGAAAATGGCCATACTGCCCAAGGTAATTTATAGATTCAATGCCATCCCCATCAAGCTACCAATGACTTTCTTCACAGAATAGGAAAAAACTAAAGTTCATATGGAACCAAAAAAGGGCCCACATTGCCAAGACAATCCTAAGCCAAAAGAACAAAGCTGGAGACATCATGCTACCTGACTTCAAACTATACTACAAGGCTACAGTAACCAAAACAGCATGGTACTGGTACCAAAACAGAGACATAGACCAACGGAACAGAACAGAGCCCTCAGAAATAATACCACACATGTACAACCAACTGATCTTTGACAAACCTGACAAAAACAAGCAATGGGGAAAGGATTCCCTATTTAATAAATGGTGCTGGAAAAACAGGCTAGCCATATGTAGAAAGCTGAAACTGGATCACTTCTTTACACCTTATACGAAAATTAATTCAAGATGGATTAAAGGCTTAAATGTTAGACCTGAAACCATAAAAACCCTAGAAGAAAACCTAGGCAATACCATTCAGGACATCGGTGTGGGCAAGGACTTCATGTCTAAAACACCAAAAGCAATGGCAACAAAAGCCAAAATAGACAAATCAGATCTAATTAAACTAAAGAGCTTCTGCACAGCAAAAGAAACTACCATCAGAATGAACAGGCAACCTACAGAATGGGAGAAAATTTTTGCAATGTACTCATCTGACTAAGGGCTAATATCCAGAATCTACAATGAACTCAAACAAATTTACAAGAAAAAAAAAAACCCATCACAAAGTGGGTGAAGGACATGAACAGACACTTCTCAAAAGAAGACATTTATGTAGCCAACAGACAAATAAAAAAATGCTCATCATCACTGGCCATCAGAGATATGCAAATCAAAACCACAATGAGATACCATCTCACACCAGTTAGAATGGTGATCACTAAAAAGTCAGGAAACAACAGGTGCTGGAGAGGATGTGGAGAAATAGGAACACTTTTACACTGTTGGTGGGACTGTAAACTACTTCAACCATTGTGGAAGACAGTGTGGCAATTCCTCAAGGATCTAGAACTAGAAATACCATTTGACCCAGCCATCCCATTACTAGGTATATACCCAAAGGATTATAAATCATGCTGCTACAAAGACACATGCACATGCATGTTTATTGCAGCACTATTCACAATAGTAAAGACTTGGAACCAACCCAAATATGCATCGTTGATAGACTGGATTAAGAAAATGAGGCACATATACACCATAGAATGCTATGCAGCCATAAAAAAGGATGAGTTCATGTCCTTTGTAGGGACGTGGATGAAGCTGGAAACCATCATTCTGAGCCAACAATTGCAAGGACAGAAAACCAAACACCGCATGTTCTCACTCATGGGTGGGAATTGAACAATGAGAACACTTGGACACAGGGTGGGAAACCTCACACACTGGGGCCTGTCATGGGGTGGGGGGAGGAGGGAGGGATAGCATTAGGAGATATACCTAATGTAAAAGAAGAGTTCATGGGTGCAGCATACCAACATGCCTCATGTATACCTATGCAAAACACCTGCACGTTGTGTACATGTACCCTAGAACTTAAAGTATAATAATAAAAAATAAATAAAATAACATGCAAAAATATTGAAGGAAATTCTGAAAAAGAAGAGAGACTAGCCCTACAGGGAAATAAAATAAAAAATAAATAAAATTAAAAATAAAATAAAAAAGCTATACAAATTGACACAGCATATGAGGAGACAGACAGATTTTTGGAATAACATAGAACTTAGTAGAAAAAAATAAGAAAAATAATGTAAAAATTCGTGAAAGAATTGGCTCTCTTTAATAGATTTTTAAATTTTATTTATTTATTTATTTAGAGAGAGGGTTTTCTCTGTTGCCCAGGCTGGAATACAGTGGCAGAATCTTAGCCTTGGGCTCCTGGCTTAAGTAATGCTCTCCAGCAGCCTAAGTAGCTGGAACTACAGGCATGCACCACCATGCCTGGCTAATTTTTTTTGTATTTTTTTGTAGAGACAGAGTTTTGCCATGTTGCCCAGGCTGGTCTTGAACTGGACTCAAGCAATCCTCCTGCCTTGGCCTCCCAAAGTGCTGGGATTATAGGCACGAGCCACCACACCTGGTCTGGCTCCTAAATGCATGAAAAGATGCTTCATTTTATAATTTGAAGAAATGAAAATTAATGATAGGATTGCATTTTTCACCTAATGGTTTATAAAAAAGATGTTTCTTCCACCTTCAATAACAAGGTGGGAGAAACATCTTCCACATATTTCTTTGGTTTTGTTGAGAATATAAAGTGGTACAGCATCTACAAAAGGCAAATTTGACAATATCTACTAAAAGTAAAATTAAACACTCTATTTCAAATTATTTATTCTAAATATATACTTTCAATACATGTACACACACATATGTGTCTGTGTATACTTGTATATATGTGTGTATATGCACATATGGTATCTCACACATATTCCATTTGCTAGAAGTGACTTGGTAATAAATTTGGGAGAAAGTACTTTTTAAAATAAAGCTAAGTATATATATATATATATATATATATATACATATATATATATATATATATATATACACACACACACACACACACAAAACACCGCTGGTTCTCCACAGTGTTGTTCAGGGGTAGGTGTGAGGCAGGAGGGTGTATCCTGAGTTCTCAGCTTGAGTTGGTACCAACTGGAGCCCTTTACAGCAGTTTTTTTGAGGAAAGGCAATGTTCAGCAACACCGTATGTCAGCATTTATTATCATGCTAATTCCCAACTATCAGGGCCAAAACCTTTGTATTGTCGCCACGTGAATTATGAGGTTTTTCCAATCTGGTTGTTGAAAACAATAGGCGAAAAGTCCATTATAAAAGGAGGCTCCCAGAGTCTCAGACAGATAAATATGTAGGAAAAATGAATTTACAAAGGTTGAGGTACCAGAAATAAACTTCCTTAATATCATCCTTTCATGGGAATTCCTTAGAAAGCCTCAGGTACCCCAGAAATACATATATCTCAGTTTGAAGACTCTTCTTTTAATTCAGATAATATTTTACAGATTTTTTTAATCCTGAATATTAGAAGGAGTTAGAAAGTATATCTTGGAAATGTCTGGAAAAGGCTTATTTTAGGTGTTATTTTCAGAAAAGCTCTAAGTATTAATTTTCATTTTGCATTATGTTTTCATTATGTTTTTTACATAACCAAATTTCTTTCTATCAGAGTTGCCTTTACTTTTTATTCATATAATAGCACAGAGAACACTGATGAAGGAATAAAACTGTTTCCTACTCAGTATCTCCCTACAGGAGTGCAGCTATGACATCAGTGCTTGGAATGAACAGTTGCCTCCATCAGGAAGGCAACGTGACCTTTCCTCTTCTTATTATGGCAGTGTCCCATAGGCCTCATATTTCATTTATGAAACTCTAATCTCTAGCTTTTTAGTATCAAAAATAAATTGTGATTGTTTTGTTAGTTTTAAAACCAAAAATGATCATCAAAGCATTGTTAGTATCTCATGAATGTGTGTGTGTGTGTGTGTCTGTGTGTGTGATGGAGGGCTTCTTTTCAATAATAACAACATAGGAGCATTGTTGGTTGAACACTGATTGCTATATATGTTGAAAGAAATTATAATATAAATGTCATTTGCTGGAAGTGACTTGGGAATAAATTTGGGAGAAAGCACATTTAAAAGTAAAGCTATGATAAATATATCATTGTATATGTATCATCTTAAAATATTCAGAAATTTGGAATGTGGAAAATAACATAATAATACAGTTAGCTTACATATAAAGAAGTACAGCAAGGAAATGGAATCTTTACCTACCTTAATATGAGAAGAGAAAGAAGATAAAAACAATCTCTTCAGAAATGCTTATCCATTTGAGAAGACCTCATATATTTTCTATCCAGTAGAGAGCAGTCAAAGTCCATGATGCTGTCATGAAATTCAGGCCTTAGTATTACAGGCATGACTGTTAACACTGAATCATCTCATCCAGGTCCTTTCTGAGTAAGGATCTTTTAGAATACTGGACTAGTAGTCTTTCTTTGCGTACAATATTCTTTCTCATACCTGTCCTTGATATTAAATGCAGTATTTATATGCATATTTACACAGAAGTTTATTTGGACACAAACAAAAAACATGTAGCCAGCTTGTGGTTATTGGTCATGCTTTTAAAAATCTATAGTAAGTCTACAAACTATGGTATTTTAAAAAGTTTATGTAATAGAGACAAGCAGAAAGCATGAAGTGGGGTAAGCTTAATATTCCAGGAAAGAATATCCTAAGTGCCACCAGATAGGCAAGACTCATAATTACCAGAAGCTAACATATGACATCCTCGTGGCAATAGTAGTGATTGAAATACAGGGATTTTTCAGAGGTAGATAAATTAAAGAATAATTAAATTAAAAATCACCAAGAGATGATTAGATGATATATTCCATCTTTGTTACCTTGCTACCTTTCTCTTTCCAATTCCATCCTTGTTACCTTTCTCTTTTTCTTTTAGTGTGCCAGAGGAGATTAAAATATGGAGGGATGTTATCTAGTTATATAGATAGAAAGTATATCTTGCCATTGTTTCTGCATTATCTAAGGTTTTGATAGTTATTATATAAAATCTTTGAGTGCAGATCACTTCTGCTTTGCTGATACAACATATTCTCAAAAATGATCCTGAGGGACTACTCTCAAGAGACAGCATCTTGCAAATGCACAGGACCGTTCTATTTCTCTGTTTAGTCTCATAGACAGAAATCAATCTGAAATCGTCACTGGAAATAAGAAGGAGATGTATTAGGAAAGCAGTAAAATTAAATTTTAGTATGTATATTTTCATGCATTCTCAAAAATGTGTTCATCTCTTTTCTTTATAAAATTAACATCAAACAATTGGAGACTCCTTTAGTATAATGCATTAAAATGCTGTCTTTATTTATGTATCAATGGCACTATTGATTCATCATCAACAAGGCAGAGAGTTTGAGGTGGTTTTTCCCAGTAGAGATGTTGTCACAAGACAGCCACATTCTTTTATTTGGCCATTCTCACAACCAAAGTCATACACTTTAATTGGTAGACAAGAGTTAGGTATGTAATTTGTGGTCATGAAGCAAACTGGAACTAACTATCCCACATGTGGTGAGCTTAAATGTCAGGCTGGTCGGCTCTACTCTTGCCAGCTGAGCTAGTGTATCAGAGGGACCACTGTTAAGAATGGTTTGATCACAACTGTTAACAACCTCTTGTACTTTCCTTTAAAATGAATGCTTTTATTGAGGTTCAAATTTTTGTCATTGAGATTAATAATAAGTTTGAATTTGGTTGTGATGTTTCCTTAAAATATCAAGATTCCTCAACCAATAAAATAACTATTTTATTGAGGACATTTGAAAATATTGTTTCTATTACAAAATTTTATTGGGCAATAGCTTATTAATTAAAACAATTTTTAAATTATAATTTAGTCATACTCTAGGTTATTTGGTAGCCACATTAGTTTTATTTTGGGAAAAATAAGGAGATACATGCCATCATGGGTCCTTGTGTTTAAATTTGAATAAGAAAATGTATTGTAGTAACAAATGTTTGGAATTTAGTTAGGAGCTGTGGTTTTTATCTTAATCTTGTAATCTAAAGCCCCTCATGCTCTACACACACTATGCTATACATTGCACAAATAAGAAACTACGACCAGTATGTATAGAAACAAAGCAAAATGGGCCCTAAGTATCAGTGACAGCAAGGAGTGAGTTGGGTGAGCTTTAGCCCTCATCTCCCCAATAATGTTCATCAGCCCTTCATCTTACTCTTTAATTTGGATAATGGATTTCCACACTCCCCTTAATTTTAATTAAAATGTTATGCACGTGCAGCACCAAAACAAGTCCCCTAGACCATTCTTTCTTTTGGCTTGCTTCTCTAAGTTGTTTATACAGATAAACAATTCTGAGAATAAAGGTGATGGTACAGTTCAGTAGGTAAGGCCACTTTCCAAATCTCAGTCAGGGTTTAGAGTCAGGCTTTGGGGAGATCAGCTCATCTCAGGAGAGGATGAGATCATGGTCTTGATGTGAGATGATGTGGATCTAAGCCAGCTGGTGGCTCCAAGAATCTAGTCTCAGATAAGGCCTAGAGCCAAAAGACATTTCAAGGAGGCAGGGTGGGTGAAATTTGGTATATGAGAGCATGTGGCACGAAGAGAAGAAAATATGAAAGATGATTTTACATTTTCTGGTCTCTGAGGGCGTGGATCATTTTGTGGAGAGGGGTAAATCTGAGTGTAGACATGCCAAAACCTAAATGACCTTATGTTATCTTAGACAGGATGTTTCTTAGATATCTTCAAACATAGGATGGACTTCAGGTCAGAGATTACAACATGGGACGCATATTTAAGAAGAGATAAAATATGACACTGCTTGTCCTTATGTAATCTCTTACTACCGTACTTCCAATTCTCTTTGATCCTTTGACCATGGGAGTTGGGAATTTTGCCATTATTTTTAGTTTAACCTGTTTTAGTAGTTCAATAGTTAACAGTGTATTCCATAACTTAGGCCTTCTATACCTGCACAAGCCTATGCCTACAGATGATGCAAGGAGGCATGTTTCTATTCTTTTGAGGAAAGCTTTGCTGCCTTTTCAGGCCTGGGAAGTTCTTGCAAAGCTTTGTGGAAGTTTGACTTGTACTGGCAATTTAATGGAAATAAAACCCCAAAAACAAAAACAAAAAATAAATCTCTTTTGTACATTTTATGGACAAAGCATCCGTATAAAGGAAATAATTTTGAAGATTTTCAACAGCAATTTATCCCACCATCTAGATGTGATTATATTTCATCTCCTCTGAGAGTCTATGCTTTGCATATAAATGCTATGAATTACTGTTTTTTTTTCCAGCAAATATAATGAGCTCTGCTGTGTTCCAGGCAGTTTTATAGAGAAATAGTGTTTGGGAAATAGTGGAGAATAAATAAATAAGACTTCAATTCATATTCCGGGGTGATAAACAGGCAAAATGTAACATGAACCAATACATGGTGGGTGATTTTTAGATAGAGTTAAGGCTATGAAGAACATAAAATGAAGTGTTGTAATAGAGGATTTCAGGATGCTGGATTTAATTTGGAAGGAATAGTCAATAAGGAATTGAATTTTGAATTGAGAGCTGAAAGACAAGAGTGTATAAGCAATGTGAGGCCATGGAACTAACATTACAAGGAGAGTGAAGAGAAAGTGCAAAGAGTAAGGCAGAGACAAAGTTGGCTATTCAAGGAACATAAACGACAACATGGCTAAAGTATAGTGGTAGGAGGAGAGAGGCAGGAGATGTGGCTGGAGAGGTAATTGGAGACAGGTTAGATAGAGCCCGGGGGGCATGAAACATTCTGTGGACTTCATTCCCAGTATAGTGGGAATTCATGCAGAAGAGTAGGATATTGTGGTAATTCTAATTAATTATCCTTTTTGTAGCAAACTGTTACTTGTCAGCTTGCATGCATTTACATTTGTATTTTTTAAAAAGTTAAACAGCTTCTATGTTCTAGAATTTTTATGTTAGAATATACCAACATCAGGATAGAAATATACATACTATAGTGCATTAAAGATATGCAGGAAATGTAACAGTCAACATGAGCTTGTGCTTCAACAATTGTTTTGTTGACCCAGTGAGACTGTATTGTAGATGGTTCACCTTTGCCAGGCAGAGTGGTACCATAAAGACAGACAGGTCAAGACAGACAAGTTTTCATTGAATAGTGTGTCGGTGACCAGCCTCTGTCACACATCCAGAGCCATAACATGGGTGTTTTAAAAACACCCGGGACCTGAATGTGAAATAAAACATGTTTTTTTCAAACCTGTTGCTCAAAATGTGTAGGATTATTTTAACTGTTTGGAAAATATAAATTTAGTATTTTCATTTGATTTTACTTTAGCCAGATGGACTCTGATATAATATCTATAAATGATTTGGCAATTTCTTTCCCTTAACAATTAAGAAAACACTCTGCCCTTAGCAAAACTTTTTTTTCCTTTGGCATGGAGTTGGAGCTGCCATCTTCTAATTTGAAGTTTGGGAATAATACTTTTCTATTCAAAAGCAAACTGTGCCAAGGCTATATTCTCTTTCTGGAAACATAAAGAGGATTTTGCATGTTCATGTCTATGATGAGGCTGTACGAGGCTCTTGGTTTTTGGAGGATCTGTCCTGTAGCCTGATAAGTGGGAAGGGTGTCCATGTGGGCCAACCTCTGACCTCTTTCAGCTTTAACAGGGAAATCAGATGGGGCTCAGATCTTGGGAACTGTATTTCTGGAGAGTTCTTTGCTAGGATTCTCAAGAAACTAGAGGTGAAAGGATGAAAGGAAGAAAATGACTATTTCAATTTCTCACCCTATTTCTAGCTATGAGTTCTAAATGGAACACTAAAGTTTGAGAATATAGTGAGACAAGAAATACATCATAAATAATGTTTTCTAAATCTCATCTTCCAAATTGTAGGTTTTGTTTTATACATGTGTTCATATATATATATATATATATATATATATATATATATATATATACATGTATGTATACAGTCAATTCTTGTTACTTTTGATAGTTATGCTTTACAAAATTGCCACATACACTAAATTAATAAACACTGAACTATTGCTCCTAGGGGAAATACAGGGTTAAGTTCCCATAAGCCTCTTGTGATATTTTTATCAACCAATCCATAATATGAAACTTTGTTTTATGAGTTTTTCTGTTTAGTCACTTTATTTAATATATATGTATGTGTGTGTGTGTGTGTGTGCGTATACATATGTGTGGGAAAATATCACATTTGTGGGAACGTGCATGTTTCAGAGACATACTTTTTTTTTTTTGCCACTCTATGCATATCTGTGAATGACTGCAAAAGTGCCCGTAGTATTGATTTTGTAGTTAAAATACATTTTAGTGAGTGAATTAGCAAATATAGAATCTGGGAATAATGCGGATTGACTGTATATACATATACACATATTTGCATATATAATTTTTTGCTATTGTATCCAATTTTTTTATTTGTAGAGGTGGGAAAATCTCTTTGTTTTGACACCTTCTTTGCATAATTTTCCAAGAGTAATACTGATTGTTGTAAACACATATTCTGAAGGAAAGCTTTCATCTTTTCTTGGAAACTGATATTTTACTCTTTTTAATCAAAGTAAAAAGTTTCAAATGATCAGTGAAAGGATAGCCAGAAAGTATCAGTTCCCATCAACAAATGCACAAAGGATTCTAGAGTTTAGATTTTTTTCTCCTCATAACTTGGGAGAGAAATTCAAAAATATCTCAAGTAGATTTTCCAGCAGAAAATAGGAGCTTATTTTTGAATCCCTACCCAGACTCATTGGAAGATAATACAACTGAAGATAATTTGCTTTTTAAATTAGTGGTTATTTTTCCTCTTGAAATACAAGCATGAGTTCATCCTCTATAAATCAATAAAAGCTTGAGGTTTTTATTTTTTGTAAAAAGGAAATTGCATCATAATAGTAGTCTTGAGATAAATAAGAACTGTTCATTCCCTAATGTCAGCATTTAAACCACAAATTGAATACTAAGACCTCAAATTGTTATTTTCATAGAATTTTAAAGTTAGAAAAAAAATTCATAGTGATCTAAACCAAAATAAATAGAAATAAACCCTGAAAATTATATTTGATTGTTTTTTATCAGGACAACACATGGAAAAATTCTGAGGAAGAAACAAGTTGGTAGAAACATATAATTTTGACTTGTAAATTTGCAAATTAAAACCATCAAATAGCCTAATAGCGAAATGTAATCCACATTAGTTGGACCATAACTTTGTAGGACTACCTTAGTAGAAGGCTTGTACCTGAAGCACTGTGTGCTAGAAAGAATGTTGGAGTGATTGTTAGGAGGTTGGGATTCCAGGTCCACACCTGCTACATCTAGCTCTCTAGTTTTGCGCACTTGGGTTGAACATCCTCAACCACAAAATATGAAGTTTGAATTACATAATCTTTAATATTTCTCTCATTTCTAAAATTTGCTGAGGCTCCAGCACAAAACATCTATGTTAGGCATTCATTTAGTTGAATTTCAGAACATTGTTCAAGAGTTTATTGTGAACAAAAAGGACTCATAGAGTAATCCGTAAAGAAACAACTGTGAATCTGACAGTCCCATAATTTATCATAAAACCTGTGTATCTTTGACAGTGAAATGTGATGCTATAACACTTAAAAATATATAAGCTTTTGAGATCTATGTTACTTTACTAACAAATTAGTTTTATTATACTTGTGAACATATAAAATAGTTCTCATCAAAAACTATATTCAAAAACAAAATATTTGAAAATAATTTTTATGAAGGCAATATAAGCATTATTTGTATTGCTTAACTTTAGAGATAACATAAAATACTTATTATTGGTCCATATTCAGAATTTTAATCAGTGTTTCACTTGATGATTTTTTGATTTCTCTTTTTAAAAGTTTTTTTATTTTTAGATTGACATACGATAATTGCACATATATATGGAGTACATAGTAATGTTTTGATACATATATACTATATAGTGATCGGATCAGTATAATTAGCATATCCATCACCTCCAACACTTTTCTTTAACAATAATACATAGTTTCAAACAGCTAGAAGGAAGATAGTGAATGTTAGTTATTGTTAACTGTAGTCATCCTACAGTGGTATAAAACAGTAGAACTTATTCCTCTTACCTAGCTGTAATTTTGTAGCCTTTAAAAAATCTTTCCCTATCCCCCTTCCCTCTACCCTTCCCAGCCTCTAGTATCCTCTGTTTCACTTTTTACTTCTGCAAGAGAAAACTTTTTCAGCTTCCACATCTGAGTGAGAACATGTGGTGTTTAACTTTCTGTTCTTAGCCTATTTCACTTAACATAATGTCCTCCAGTTCCACCTACGTTGCTGCAAATGACAGAATTTCATTCCTTTTTATGGCTGAATAGTATTCCATTGTGTACATATACCACATTTTCCTTTTCCATTCATCTGTTGTTGGACAACTAGGTTGATTCTATATCTTGGCTATTGTGAATAGTGCTGCCATAAACTTGTGGGTACAGATGTCTTTGATTTACTGGTCCTCTTTCCTTTGGAAAAAAGCCTAGTAGTGGAATTGCCGGATCATATGTTAGTTCTATGTGTAGTTTGCTGAGAAACCATGATAGTGTTCTCTATAATGATTATACTATTTTACGTTCCAACCGACAGCATATAAGACCTCTGTTTTCTCCACATCCTCATCATCATGTGTTATATTTTATCTTTCTGATAATCTTTATCCTAACTGAAAAGAAACGATAGCTCACTATAGTTTTAATTTGCATTTCCTTGATGATTCGTGATGTTGAGCATTTTTTAAAATGTATTTTTGACTATTTTAATGTCTTATTTTGATAAACATCTGTTTATATTATTTGTCCATTTTATAATTGAATTTTTTTTTTGCTGTTGAAAAGTTTCAATTCCTTGTATAGTACGAATATTAATCCTCCGTCAGATGAAGTTTGCAAATATTTTCTCCAATTCTGTTGGTATAAGAAACTGTCCTAATTTCCTGCATATACAATTTCTACATTAGCCTTATAAGGATATAATTCTGTAATGTGTTTAATTTGTTCTGCCTATGATTATCCTCAAGAATCACACACAATTTCAGGTTTTATATTTACGTTTTAATCGATTTTGATTTGATCTTCATGTTTGGTATAAAATAAGAGTCCAGGCCGGGTGTGGTGATTTACACCTGTAATCCCAGCACTGTGGGAGGCCGAGGCAGGCAGATCACCTGAGGTCGGGAGTTCGAGACCAGCCTGACCAACATGGAGAAACATTGTCTCTACTAAAAATACAAAATTAGCTGGGCGTGGTGGCGCATGCCTGTAATCCCAGCTATTCAGGATGAGGCAGGAGAATCGCTTGAGACCAGGAGGCGGAGGTTGCAGTGAGACGAGATCATGCCATTGCACTCCAACCTGGGCAACAAGAGCAAAACTCTGTCTCAAAGAAAAACAAAAGTGTCCAATTTTGTTCTTTTACATGTAAATATCAAATTTTCGCAGCACTATTTGTTGAAAAGATTATCCTTGCCCTTTATCCATTCTTGGCATCCTTATTGAATATCAATTGATTGTATATGTGTGAATTTATTTCTGGGCTCCCTATTCTGTCCCATTGGTCAATATGTCTGTCTTTATGCCAGCACCACAAGTGTTTTGATAGCTAAGATTTGTAATATATTTTAAAATCCGAAAGTGTGATGCCTGAAACTTTGTTCTCCTTTTTCATGATTTGGCTATTTGTGGTCCTTTGTATTTCCATAAGAATTGTAGGATTGTTTTCTCTATTTATTTAAAAATGTCTTTAACAACTATAAAATTGCAAAAAAAAAAAGTTTTTACAGTTCCATTAAAATAAGCTCAAATAAGTTTGATTGTCCTCCACTTGATAGTTCTAATTTGTGCTGAGGTCTCTCTTGTCTAATTGTGTGTGAGAAACCCATGAAATATGCAGAGTTCTTAAAGACTACCTGTGTCTACCATCTTTCACTTCTCAGCATTTTCTGATGTGAGTAACTAACACCTCACTTTCCAGGACAGTTTGCAAGGTACTGACTGATAAAATGCTAGTGCACTGGGCAGAAGTGGCTGAGAACTGCTCATACCTTTGCATCTCAGGTAATGTTGGAAAAAGAATTCAACTTGGTATGCCAGTCGGGTGTGCCAAGATTTGTACTATAGCCTTCCAGATGCATAAATTTCTAAGGTCACCAGTTTTTGGGGTCAGTGGGAATCTATAGGGTAATTTTAGGGTGAATATTTATAAAACATATGCAAATAATAGAGACTAAGCTCTCCCATGGGACATAGAATAATATAAATGCTTTGGTTGCTTCATCACGTATTATATGATATCATCACTTATTATATGATATAATCTAAAACAATTTACTTTATTGTTTAGTAAAAGTTTTTTTAAAAAATAAACTTTTTAAC
Organism: Homo sapiens; assembly: GCF_000001405.40. Taxonomy (NCBI): domain Eukaryota; kingdom Metazoa; phylum Chordata; class Mammalia; order Primates; family Hominidae; genus Homo; species Homo sapiens. Next base: position 74,418,779 of record NC_000006.12, read on the forward strand.
AACAAGCTCAATAAAAGTACTGTAGGTTTTCTTTTCATTCTGTTGATGGTTTCCTTTGCTGTACATAAGTTTTAGTTTCATATAATCCCAGGTGTTTACTTTTGTTTTTGCTGCCTGTGCTTTTGAAGTCTTATTCATAAAATATTTTATTAAATCAATGTTCTGAAGATTTTCATCTATGTTTTCTTCTAGTAGTTTTATAGTTTGGGGTCTTACATTTAGATCTTTAATCTATTTTGAGTTGATTTTTGTATAGGTAAGAGGTAGAGCTCTAATTTCATTCTTCTGCATATGGTTGTCTAGTTTTCCCAGCACCATTTATTGAAGAAGTAGTTCTTTCCCCAGTGAGTGTTCTTGGCACTGTCGAAAGTAAGTTGGCTATAGATATGTTAATTTTCAGGTTTTCTATCTCCTATATGCATGGATCAAAATAATTAATACTGTTAAAGATGACCATACTAGCCAAAACAATCTACAGATTCAATGCAATCCTTATCAAAATAACAATGATATTTTTCACATAAATAAACAAAAAACCCTTAAAATTTGTGTGAAACCATAAAAGACCCTGAATAGCCAAAACAATCCCGTGCAAAAAACAATGAAGATGGAGGCATCATAGAATCAGACTTCAATATATTACTACAAAGCTGCAGTAACCAGAACAGCATGGAATTGGCATTAGTCTTTTTTCATCATATCATGTCATGGGTATTTTTCCAAAGAATGCAGTTTTTATGACAGTATGGCTTTATTGCTATTTTTAATAAAATTGTGTGAAATTGTGTTCAAAGTTAAATTCTGTGGTTAAAACATGTGAACATTTTCTTATATTTGAATCTTCTCTGGAAATTATTTTTATTGAGAAAATTTTTTCTCTGCAGGTTCTTAGTTACCTGGAAAGTTCTGAGAAAATTCTTACTAAATAGAGAGTATACTCATTTCAAAGGTTTTTAAATTGAAATATTTAAATACTTTAGTCTAAACATTTTAACAGATATTGTTTTTAATTTTACCCCTTTATTCAACAAATATTTTCAACAAAACAAAGTTAAGTTAGTTGGTTCTATTTACGCCCCTTTTAACTTTTGTCAAATTTAGATGCTAAAAAATCATGAGTATACATTTATCCAGTTGAATATAGAAACTGTATTAAAAAGATTCCTCTCTTATGCCAATATGCTACAAGGAGAAATTGTAAAATTTGAAAAGTGCATAAATTTAAATTTAAATTTAAATTTCATGCACTTTTGAGTTGTTGTCATTTAATTGATACAATTTCTCTTGTGTTTTTATTGGATTAAATTTTGATGTTTTCACCATTGCAAGCTTGATTTTCAATAAATGCAATTCACTAAATGTTTAAATGGTATTTTTTGGTAGTCCATTTTTTGGCATCTTGGATACCAGCTCAGCCTCAGCAGGATAAGGCACCAGGCCGATTTGTGAGGCCCCCATGCTAGGCCCTAGTTTCTGGATGACATTTCTAGACATACCATGGGCCAAAAAGGAACCTGGTGCCTTAAAGGACCCAGTCCTTGCAGGATTTATCACCTGTTGACTAAAAAGCCCTTCAGCACTGATTAACCAGAAGTGATGCCCAGATAGGATACCATGGACTTTGGGCTCTGAGACATGCTGACTATAGGTGTGACCCAGCACATTCCCAGCTGTCATGCCTATGGTGAAAGACTCCTTCTGTTTGAGAAAAGCAGTAGGAAATGTAAAGGACATTTTGTCTTGTACTTTAGGTAACTGTTCAGCCACAGTGGGGTAGGGCAACAAGCAGGCTCTTCGGATTCCTAAGTCCAGGCCTAGCCTCTTGGAAACCATTTTGTAACCTTCCCTGGGCCAGAGCAGAGCCTACTTCCCTGAAGGGTGAGTCCCAGTCCTGGCAGCATTCAGGATAAGCTGACTGAAGAGCCTTTTGGCTTTAAGTAAATCTTGGTTGTGGACTGGCAGAAACCCCACCATGGGTGGTGGTGCTGGGCACAGGGAAAGGCTCTTCTGCCTATGGAAAGGTAAGGGAAGAGTAGGAAGGACTTTGTCTTGTGGTTTGAGTGCCTATTAGCTGCAGTAGAAGACAACATCAGGTGCATTTCTAGGATTTTTGACTCTGATTCCTGGCTTCTTGACATCTCTGGACCCATCTATGGCCTGGGGGAATTTCCTGTCCTAAAGGAAAGGACACAAACCTATCTAGTTTCAGCACCTGCTAATTGTAGAGCACTAGGGCCTTCAGTGAAGATAGGAGGTAGCCAGCTAGTGTTTACAGTGGGCTATGGATGAGTCCCAGTGCTCTGCTGCCTTCAGGTCTGACCCAGCACTGTAGCAGTGGTAATGGCCACAGGGGTGCCTGCATCAGTACAACCCCAGTTCCAGGTGGCTCAGCACAGACAGAGAGACTTTATTTGTTTGGTGGAAAGTAAGGGAAGAGAACAAGAGTTTCTGCCTGGTAATCCAGAGAATTCTTCTGGATCTTATCCATGATCACCAAGGTGGTACCTCTAGAGTCTGGAAAAAACAAAAACACAGCAATATTTGACTTCCAGTCAAAGTTCCTTAAAATACGTGGAAAGTCTTCCCAAGAAGGATGGGTACAAACAAGCCCAGACTGTGAAGAATACAATAAATACCTAACTTTTCAATGCCCAGACACTAACAAATATTTACAAGCATCAAGATCAGTCAGGAAAACGTGACTGCACCAAACAAACTAAATAAGGACCAAGGACCACTCCAGGAGAAACAAAGACATGAGATTTTTCAGAAAGCGAATTCAAAATAGCTGTTTTGAGGAAACTCAGAGAAATTCAAAATGAAATGGAGAACAAATTCAGAATTCTATCAGATAATAGAGATTGAAATAATAAAAAAGAATCAAGCAGAAATTCTAATGTTGAAAAATGCAATTAACATTCTAAAGGATGCATCAAAGTAATATAATAGCAGAGCTGATCAAGCAGAGGAAAGAATTGGTGAGCTTGAAAACAAGCCATTTGAAAATATACAGTCAGAGAAGACAAAAGAGAAAAGAATAAAAAAAATGAAACATGCCTACAAGATCAAGAAAATAGCCTCAAAAGGGCAAATTGAAGAGTTATTCACCTTGCAGAGTAAGTAGAGAAAGTTCTCTATTATTAGGAGATAGCAAGTTTATTCAAAGGGATAATAATAGAGAACTTCCCAAACCTAGAGAAAGATATCAACATTCAAATACAAAAAGGTTGTGGAACATGAAACAGATATAATCCAAAGAAGACTACCTTAAGGTATCTAATAATCAGACTCCCAAAGGACAAGGATAAATTAAAAATCCTAAAAGCAGAAAGAGAAAACAAAAAACAAATAACAAATAGCATACAGTGGAGTCTAAATACATTTGGCAGCCAACTTTTTAGTGGAAACCTTACAGGCCAGGAGAGGATGGTATGACATATTTAAAGCACTGAAAGTTAGGGGGAAAGACCTTTTACCTTAGAATAGTATATCCTTTGAAAATATCCTTCAAGCATGAAGGAGAAATAAACAGACAAACAAAATCTGAAGAATTTCATCAAGACCAGATGTATCCTACAAAAAATGCTAAAGAGATTTCTTCAGTCTGAAAGAAAAGGATGTTAACAGGCAATAAGAAATCATATAAAGGTGCGAAACTCACTGGTAACAGTAAGAACACAGAAGAAACACAGGATGTTATAACATTGTAATTGTGGTTTGTAAGCTACATATTCATAAGTAGAAAGACTAAATGATAAACCAATAAAAAATAATAACTACAACAGCTTTTCAAGACATAAACAGCACAATAAGATATAAAGATAAAAACAAAAATGTTCAAAGTGGGGGAATGAATTATAAAAATTAATTCAAGATGGATTAAAGACTTAAGTGTTAGACTTAAAACCATAAAAACCCTAGAAAAAAAACCTAGGCAATACCATTCGGGACATAGGCATGGGAAAGGACTTCATGTCTAAAACACCAAAAGCAATGGCAACAAAAGTCAAAATTGACAAATGGGATCTAATTAAACTAAAGAGCTTCTGCATAGCAAAAGAAACTACCATTAGAGTGAACATGCAACCTACAGAATGGGAGAAAATTTTTGTAATCTACCCATCTGACAAAGGGCTAATATCCAGAATCTACAAAGAATTTAAACAAATTTACAAGAAAAAAAAAATAACCCCATCAAAAAGTGGGCAAAGGATATGAACAGACACTTTTCAAAATAAGACATTTATGCAGCCAACAGACACATGAAAAAATGCTCATCATCACTGGCTATCAGAGAAATGCAAATCAAAACCACAATGAGATACCATCTCACACCAGTTAGAATGACAATCATTAAAAAGTCAGGAAACAACAGATGTTGGAGAGGATGTGGAGAAATAGGAACACTTTTACACTGTTGGTGGGACTGTAAACTAGTTCAACCATTGTGGAAGACAGTGTGGCGATTCCTCAAGGATCTAGAACTAGAAATACCATTTGACCCAGCCATCCCATTGCTGGGTATATACGCAAAGGATTATAAATCATGCTGCTATAAAGACACATGCACACGTATGTTTATTGCGGCACTATTCACAATAGCAAAGACTTGGAACCAACCCATATGTTCATCAGTGATAGACTGGATTAAGAAAATGTGGCACATATGCACCATGGAATACTATGCAGCCATAAAAAAGGATGAGTTCATGTCCTTTGCAGGGACATGGATGAAGCTGGAAACCATCATTCTCAGCAAACTATCGCAAGGACAGAAAACCAAACAGCACATGTTCTCACTCATAGGTGGGAAATGAACAATGAGAACACTTGGACATAGGAAGGGGAACATCACACACCCGGTCCTGTTGTGGGGTGGGGGAAGGGTGGAGGGATAGCATTAGGAGATATACCTAATGTAAATGATGAGTTGATGGGTGCAGCAAACCAACATGGCACATGTATACATATGTAACAAACCTGCACGTTGTGCACATGTACCCTAGAACTTAAACTATAATAATTAAAAAAAAAAATAGAACATTTCTAAGTGGTGCAGGTTGAGAATAATGCCTGCCCTCTATTTGAACACTTGTCACTTGATCTTCTCAACTACACATGTTGAATAGAGTATAATAAACTCAAAAAATAAGTTAAAGGGTAGAGTTTTTAGTAGTTTTCTTTTTGCCTGTTTGTTTACGGAATCACTGTTAACCTGTTATCAGTTTAAAATACATAGAAGGAAAGCACAAACAATAAAAATTAAGAAAGTAAATCATATCACCAGAGAAAATCACCTTCACTAAGAGGAAGGCAGGAAGGAAGGAAGAAGGAAAGAAGGGAGAGAAGACCAGAAAACAACCAGAAAAAAAAATTGCAAAATGGCAGGAGTAAATCTCTGCTTATCAATAATAACATTGAATATAAATGGACTGAACTCTCTGATCAAAAGACACGGAGTGGCTTAATGGATGAAAAAACAAGGCCCATTGATCTGTTGCCTACAAGAAACACATTTCACCTATAACTGAAAGTAAAGCCATGGAAGAAGATATTACCTGAAAATGAAAACCAAAAAAACAGCAGGAGTAGCTGTATTTATACAAAATGGGTTTCAAGACAAAAACTGTAAAAGAGACAAAGAAGGACATTATATGATGATAAAGGGGTCAATTCAGCAAGAGGATATAACAATTGTAAATACATATGCACCCAATACATGAGCACACAATACATAAAGCAAATATTATTAGAGCTAATGAGACAGATAGATCTCAATATGATAGTACCTGGAGGCTTTCACACCTCACTTTTAGCATTGGAAAGATCTCCAAGACTGAAAATTAACACAGAAACATCAGACTTAATCTGCACTATAGACCAACTGGAGATACTTACATAACATTTCATGAAAAGGCTGCAGAATACACAAACTTCTTCTCAAGCACATAGATCATTTTAAGGATAGACTACATGTTAGGTTATGAAACAAGTCTTAAAACATTAAAAAAATGAAATTTATGTCAAGCGTCTTCTTTGACAACAATGAAATAAAACTAGAAATCAATAACAGAAGGAATTTTGGAAACTATGCAAACACATGAAAATTAAACAACATGCTCCTGAATGACCAGTGAGTCGATGAAGAAATTAGGAAGTAGAAAAATGTCTTGAAACTAATGATAATGAAAACATGCTTACCAAAATGTATGGGATACAGGAGAAGTAGTACATTATATGTATAGCTCTGAGTGCCTACATCAAAAAAGAAGAAAAACATCAAATAAATAACCTAATGATGCATCTTAAAGAACTAGAAAAGCAAGAACAAACTGAATCCAAAATTAGCAAAAGGAAAAGTAATAAATATTACAGCAGAAATAAATGAATTTGAAATGAAGAAAACGTATAAAAGATCAACAAAACACAAAGTTGATTTTTTGAAGCAATAAAAAATGAACAACTTTTGCCAGACTAATGAAGAAAAAAAGAGAAAGACCCAAATAAATAAAATCAGAGATGAAAAGCAGGACATTACAACTGATACATCCGAAATTCAAAGGATCATTAGTGACCAGAAAAAAAATGACATGACAAACTACATCCCAATAAATAGGAAAATCTAGAGAAAATGGATAAATTTCTAGATACATGCAACCTACCAAGATTGAATCATGAAGAAATCCAGAAATGAGCATACCAGTAACAAGAGACTAAATTCATAATAAAAAAGTCTCCTAACAAAGAAAAGCCTGTGATGTGTTAGCTTCTATGCTGAATTTTATCAATGATTTAAATAATACCAATTTTACTCAAAGTATTCCAAAAAAACAGAGGAGGAGGGAATAATTCCAAATGTTTCAATAGGCTAGTATTACCCTGATAACAAAATCAGACAAAGACACATCAAAAAAAAGAAAACTATAGGCCTATATCTCTGATGAAATTGTTGCAAAAAATCCTTAACAAAATACTAGCAAATTGAATTCAACATTATGTTAGTAAGATCATTCATCAAGACCAAGTAGGATTTATCCCAGGGACACAAGGATGGTTCAACTTATGCAGATCAGTGTAATACATCATGTCAACCAAATGAAGAACAAAAACCATATGATCATTTCAATTGATGGTGTAAAACCATTTGATAGAATTAAACATCCCTTCATGATAAAAATCCTCAAAAAACTGGATTTAGAAAGAACATACTTCAACATAATAAACACCATATACAACATACATACAGCTAGTGTCATACTGAATAGGGAAAAAGTGAACGCCTTTCCTGTAAGATTTGGAACATGACAAGAATGTCCACTTTCACAACTGATATCCAACATTTTTTGAGTCCTAGCTAGAGCAATCAGAGAAAAGAAATAAATAAAGAGCAAGAAATTTAGAAAGGAAGATATTAAATTATCCCTGTTTGCAGATATGATCTTACATTTGGAAAAACCTAAAGACTGCACCAAAAAACATAAGTGATAATAAATAAATTCAGTAACATTACAAGATACAAAATCAACATACAAAAATCAGCAGCATTTTTATATGCCAACAGTGAACAATCTGAAAAAGAAATTGAGAAAGTAATCCCATTTACAATAGCCACAAATGAAATTAAATACGTAGGAATTCACTTAACCAAAGAAGTGAATGATTTCTACATTAAAAACTATAAAACTCTGACACAAGAAATTGAAGAAGAAATAAAAAATGGAAAGATTTATTCCATGTTCATAGATTGAAATAATCAATATTGTTAAAATGTCTACACTACCAAAGCAATCTAAATATTCAGTGCAATCCCTATCAAAATATCAATGATATTCTTAACAGAAATGGAAAAAAAAATCTTAAAATTTATATGGAGCCATGAAAGATCCAGAATAACCAAAGCTATCTTGAGCAAAAAGAATGAAACTGGAGGAATCACATTACCTGACTTCAAATTATACCACAGAGCATTAATAACCAAAACAGCATGGTACTGGCATAAAAACAGACACATGGACTAAAGGAACACAATAGAGAACCCAGAAACAAATCCACACACCTACAGTGAACTCATTTTTGACAAAGTTACCAAGAACATACATTGGGAAAAAACATTCTCTTCATTAAACCATGCTGGGAAAACTGGATATCCATATGCAGAAGAATGAAATAATACCCTTGACCTCCCCATATACAAAAATAAAATCCAAATTGATTAACTATTGAAATTACTACAAGAAAACATTGGAGAAATTCTCCAGGACAGTCACTGGGGCAAAAATTCCCTGAGTAATATCCTACAAGTGCAGGCAACAGAAACAAAAATGGACAAATGGAATCATATCAACTGAAAAATATTTTGCACAGTGATGGAAACAGTTAACAAAGTGAAGAGAAAACCCACAGGATGGGAGAAAATATTTGCAAACTACCCATCTGTCAAGGGATTAATAACCAGAATATATAAGGAGCTCAAACAACCCTATAAGAAAAACATGGATAATTCAGTAAAATAATGGGCAGAAAATTTGAAGACATGTCTCCAAAGAAGACATACAAGTGGGAAACAGGCATTTGAAAAGGATCTCATCATCATTTATCATCAGAGGAACGCAATGATATATCATTTCACCTCAGCTACAATGGCTTTTATCCAAAGACAGACAATAACAAATGTTGGTGAGGATGTGGAGAAAAGGAGAACCTCATACACTGTTGGTGGGAATGTAAATTAGTATAGCTATTATGGAGAACAGTTTTAAGGCTCCTCAAAAAAGTGAAAATAGAACTACCATATGATCCAGCAATTCCACTGCTGGGTATATACCCCAAAGAAGAGAAATCAGTATGTTGAAGAGATATCTGCACTCCCATGTTTGTTGCACCACTGTTCACAACAGCCAAGATATGGAAGCAACCTAAGTGTCCATCAACAGATGAATGAATAAAGAAAATGTGGTACTTATACACAATAATGTACTATTTAGCCATAAAAAAAGAATGAGATCCTGTTATTTGCAGCAACGTGGATGGAACTGGAGGTAATTATGTTCAGTGAAACAAGCCAGGCACAGAAAAAGAGACATCACATATTCTCACTTATTTGTGGGATGCAAAAATCAAAACACTTGAACTCACAGAGATAGAGATTAGAAGAATGATTTCCATAGGTTACGAAGAGTAGTAGGAGGTGGTGGGGAAGTGGGGATAGTTAATGGGTACAAAAAAATGTAGTTAGAAAGATGAATAAGATCTAGTATTTTATAGTATAGCAGAGTGACTATAGTCAAAATAATTTACATGTACATTTTTAAATATAAGAGTATAGTTGAGTTACTTGTAACATAAAGAATAAATGCTTGAGGGGTTGGATAGCCCATTTTCCATGATGCAATTATTACGTATTGCATGCCTGCATCAGAATATCTCATGTATTCCATCAATATATATATATTTACTATGCACCTACAAAAACCACAAATTTTAAAAAGAAAAGGAAACTTAAAATTAATAAATTGAATTACATTTCTACAAAACATAAAATTACCAAAAAATACCATATAGTTAGCACAATGGACAAGTCCAAAGTTAAGCAGACCTGGATCTTATCTTCAAGAATCTTACAACCTGGAAGGAAAGATTAAATGTGTTTTATATTTACACACAAGCACGCACACAATTCTGGGCTGGCTTATTGATTTTCTTTTTATCACTGCTCCTGACATCATTCTTTGTGATAACTACCTTGTTTGTTATATACGTAATATCTTAGTTTCTCCATACTTGATGACTTCTGCAATAATTTTTTCTCCAACTCCCTCAGCCTCCCACTCTCATGGTCCTTTATATAACTCTAAATTAATAATGACTATCTAAACTCCAAAATCTCAATTTCAGGAATCCAAGTGTCCAGTCACCACCTCCTATTCATTTGGCTTACTTATTCTAGTTCTTATACAGCCATAATTCTTCAACCTCTTCAGTAACCCCACCCCTTTTGACTCTGATTTTCACTACTCAGAATTCCCTATATAGTTCAATTTCCTCCTTACAGACCTTAAAGTCTATGATTCCGTGGTGTGTCACTATAATCACTTTCCTTTATACACTCCTTTTCCTTTCTTACTTTAATAAAATTAATTCCAAAAAGTCCCATCCTTAGACTCACCTCATTGGAAAAAATAATGCTTAATAGTCGCACAACAAATAATGACCATAAATTCCAGATGGTATCCAAACACTGGCTAAAAATTCTCCTTCATTTTTCTATGAATTTTCCTCTATGTCCTAAGAAATGTATTCTGTACCTTCAATTCATATCACCCCCAACTCTGACATACGACCTCAGACAGTATAAGTTGTAAACACACTGACGAGACCCATGTCATCATCTTATTAGACTGACCCTCATCTATGCTAAGATACTTTGCTTCACCTCGTTTTCAGATAAGAAGAGTCAATGATCCTATCCATAGTCAAATAAACTCCCTACTTTTGTATACTCAAAAACTTCACTTATGTAATGTCTTCTCTCTCTCCCTCTCCCTGTCTCTCTGTCTCTGCCTCCCTCTCTGTTTCTCTCCCTTTCTCCCTCACTTCCAACTTTGATTTGTCCCTATACTGCAGTTCCTAATGGTATATAAAAATTCCCCAGTATCTTTTGTCTGAGACAAAAAACACACCTAATTTTAAATCCTTCTACCATCTCTCTACACTTCATAGAAAGAAAAGACTTATCAAAAAGATTGCTTATCCATTTGCTTCCATTGCTTCTCTTTCTTTATTTTACTATAATCAGAGTTTCTTCACCAAAAAATCTACAAATTTACCCATTTTCAAGGTAACTAATAGCTTCTTTCTAAGTTCAGTGGTTGTGCTCTGTCCTCTTCCTACTTGATTGTTCAACAACAGTTGACACAATTAAGCAACCTCTCCACTTTCACATTTCACTACCTACACAACCCTAGGTAAATTATTTAACTTTCATGTTCTTCAGCATATTCACTTACAAAATAAAAGAAAGACTGCTTTCTTACTCAAGTGTTATGAAAATTAAATGCGATAATATCACTACAATATTCTTTTGAAAACTGTTCTCCCTTCTTATATTCTTACCTCTCTAAAATCTATTTTCTAAAAAGTAGCAGATAAGAGATGAATGACAAAAGGCGATTCAGAATTAAACGACAAAATGTGATTCTGACCTGATATATAGATATCTTTTGTAGACATACCTAACATATGTCTAAATACGTTATATATGTCTATAAAAGATACCTACATATCAGGTCAGAATCACATTTTGTCATTAATGTGCACACATTCTGGGGCCGAATAAAATATCTGGCCCTATTCCAGATTGTGGTGTCCTTTGTTCATCCTGGTTCTACCATAATGGTATTTTTCTGCTGGGCAATGTTGCAGTTACCTTTTGCTGCATAATAAGCTTCTCCAAAATTTCATGGCTTAACAATTTATCTCAAGTTTGTGAGTTAAGGAAGAATTCTGGTAGAGCTTGGCTGGATGACTATCCTGCTGTTCGTGGCATATTCAACTGGCTGCCAGACTGGAGGTTCCAAAATAGCTTTACTCATGTGTCTGGAGCCCTAGATGGGCTAACAGAAAAGCTGTACTCAGTGTAGCCTCTCTCTATTTGTCCCTCCTTAGAGTCTCAGGCTTTCTCCATGTGGTCTCTCTAGGAAAGTTAAGGAATGTTTCTATGTTGTTTAAGGGATCTAAAAAATCTGGCAAAAGCTGCCAGTCCTTTAAGGGATTAGCCCAGAACTGTCACAGCCTCACTCCTAACACACTCTATTGGTCAAAGAAGTTGCAAGCCAGCCCAAATTCAAGGTGAGGGCAAATAGACACTATCTCATGATAACTGTCAATAATTTGCCACCTTCTTCAATGCACCATAAGAGTACTCCAATATCATTTTTGCTATATACCTGACACCCTTGTTTCTGCCTTTAGGAATTCTTCTCCCAAATCTTTCTATGGCTGACTCCTTCAAATCTCAGCTCAATTATCACCTCCTCATTACATAAAAGCTTTTCTCACTGCCTTATCTAAATATATTTCCTCCTACCATCACTATGTACTCCATCAGCTCTTTTATTTTCTTCTGTCATTACCTTACTACTGCCTCCATTGCAATGTCAACTTCACAAGCACAGAAACTGTCTTTCTTGTCAACTCTGGTTGTAGAACCCAGAATGATGCTTGACACATAAAATTGTTCATTAAATATTTTCTGAAATACTGAGTCAATTATATATAGTTCATTCATAAATGTATAAAGAAAAATTATAACTACTATAACATGAGTTTTGATATTATTATCAAAATCTATACCCTTTTGATTAGAGATAAAAGTGACCTAACAGATGAAAAGATGGTGTCTTTACAGTTACATAATGGTACATTTTTCTTTATTACAATTTTGAGATGAATCCATTAGAATGGCACTTTTACCTAGAATTACTTCTGTTTGAGGGAAGAGGGACACCTTTGGAAAAATTATACAGATTTTTACTCTCTTTCTAGAAATAACATTATAGATTTCAAACTAACTTAACATTAATGTTAAGAATAACCTATACCTATTGTTTTTCAAATTTCTTCTTCTTGTGTTAAAGAAAACTTAGATTCAGTAAAGAAACCACGACTTTTAGTACGATAAGTAGTTCTTTAAAAATGCTATGAATTAAATGAAAGAGATTGGAAACCTGGCTTCATGTGTTTTTCAATATAAACAAGTATTTGACGTTTTCTGAAAAAATAAGCTTAGAGTTTATAGAACCCCAAATGTGTGGAACATTTAGTCCAACATGCATCTGATTTCACCTTTCCCATACTACATCCAACATAATCAAGATTTTCTAAACTACCAAGTAACAATTTTGAGAGTAAATTTATAAAGAGGAATATGTTTTTAAGTTCAGGACCAAGCACTTGTAAACACAGAGATAAATCGTTTTTTACTTTATGACATAGCCAAAGTTATGGCAAAACACTAACCTTTAAAAGTTTGTTAAATAAATGTATTCAGGATTTTTTTTCTTCTTTTTATGGCCCTCTGGTGACTCTTTTTGCCCTTTTACTCCATTTTAAGTGCTCATAATACTCTGCCTTTCGAATGGGACTCTAACTTGCACATGGTTGAGATTTGCTTCATATCAATTCAGTTGAATAACTATAAAAGTACCAGACCTTTCTTAATCACATTGTTTTCTTTCATAGGTTTATGTTGGGTTATTCAAATGAGATACTGAATCAGCTTGGAGTCATGAGCACATTCACATTAATATACTTCAAATTTTGTGAATTTCCTCTGACTCACTTTTCTCTTGTCTTCATTCTACTCTTCCCCCCACTGCGTGTATTTTTTCTTTTCAATTCCCTTATAACTTGTCTTTCTTCATTAATTTATCTTGATGTTTAACTTTAGATTTAATGTTAAATTATCCTTTTTGGTGAGTCTGTAAGATAGATTTGAAATATGACATAAAACATTCCAAAAAAAGAGATGAGCTCATTAATGTTCATTCAAGAACATGCTAGACATATAATCAGGCAACAGCTTATTTTTGATTTAATGAGAAAAACAACTTGGCGCTTGATTTTAAGTAAAATAAAATTTGCAAGATGACATCCCCATAAATGCTGTACTAGTTGGCTGAGGAAAATATAGCATGTGTTAAAACATTTCTCTTTTTAAATTTCAATTGACAAAATGTTTTTGCAATTAGAAAGAAGTAAATGCACTCTATTCTTCCCTCATTAATTTGTCTAAATTTTATATAATTATTGAAACTAAGAATGGCCACTTCAAGTGAAATCATAAGGTCTAAAGGATCATTGCGATGAGGCAATATTCTTACATTTCTGGGAAAGGGGAAAGAGAGCTAATATTTTTGAGCACGTACTATAAGCCATCCCTGAGCTAGACACTTTCTAATACTGTAATAATATTTTTTTTACAATACCATTGTAATTGGTAGTCCATATTTCATATAGATATCAAGTAACTTGCCTAAACCCTAGAAGTAACAAACGGCCAAGGGAAGATTTAAGTTTCAGTCTCCCTAGTTCCAAAACCAGACATTTTCCCATGAAAAAAGTTATCTTCTATATTTGGTAAACAATAAAGTCTTTTATTAGTATGTGCTTGATGACTTACACAATGATTTGTTAGAACAAGTAATGGCAAAAATTTAGATGAATTCTATTAAAAAATGAATGACAGATTATTATAATGCAGATATGGCAATATTCTTGAAAGTTAATTCTATAATGTTCAGAAATTAAGGTAAAATTTATAATGGTATTGAAAAAAACTGTCGGAAATGCTAGTAAATTGCAGTGGAAAAATCAGTTTATATGTAATAGCATTTATCAACAAACATATTCTTTTCTAAACTGAATGAAATTATTTCCCTTAGTACAGAAAACTGATATATCTCATGCCTAAGTAGCATTTGCTAAATGAAGAATTTAAGCAAGATAATTAAGCAAAGGGTACGATTCTGCAGTTGCTACTGATGCTAGCTCATTTACACAAAAGAATTCTCAAGCCAGAGCCAATTCCAAGTGATGGGTCAGCTGGGTATTGGACAGGTTTTTCTGTTCTTGAGTTAATTTATATAATATAATTGATGTCTTAGTCAGAAGCCAAGATTATTTCCAAGATAGAACAAAGAATCTTGGTCTCTTGCAAACTAATTTTAAAACAGGACTGTAACTTTCTCAGTGGTCTAAGGATTGGTCCTTAGTTTCTATGCTAGCCTTGTAACTACCTTTACATATAAACCTAAACACATCTTCCCTGTATCTCAGTGTCTTCATCTCTAAAGTGAGCATATTTCTCTAAGGAATATCTTTTTAATCTTTAAAACTGCTGAACTAGAATTTCTGAGGGGATAATTTGAGATAAGTGCTTGATGATAAAAAAATAAGGGAATTAGGAGAGAAAGGGAGAAGAGGAATAAGAAGAGGGATAGGAAGAGGGAGGGAGAGAGCTAATGCATGAGTTTCAGGAGAGAGTTATATCTATGGAAATAGAGATTTCTCTATCAAAACAAGGATTTACACATTGCACTGAAATGTCATCTTTCTATGAATTTAGAATATTTTGCTATTTTTAGCAGCTACCATCAGAATAGAAAACAATTGGATAAGATGGCTTAAAATGTATGAAAAACATGTAGCAGAGCAAGAGGTAGGTAATGCAGAGATCAATTTTAGATATAATATGTATGATTAATTAATACTCTGTCACTCTTCAACTAAATTTCACAGACAAGTGTAGGAGGACCCTCATTCTTCTTATTCTTGGTCAGAATCAGGCTGAACCTTGACAGAGAGAGCTACCTAAAGTCAGTTTCAATGAGATGAGTGCAACCTGGGCCTTGAAGGGTACTCTAAAAGAACAATGGCATGAAGTGTTTGAGGCATCAGAACCAGAAATTACTTGAACCTAATTTTCAGGTGTCCAAGAGGCCAATGTATTATAACATGAGGATTACAAGAAATGGAAAAAGTGAAATGTACTGCATAATTTTGGATGGACTTCAAGCATGTGATGGATGAATGGAGAAGGGCAGCCAAGGAGCTGTTAAGTGATGACTGGAGCCAGGGCCAGAGTCTTAGAAGGCCACAAGTGAAAACATTAGCAGATTTTGGAAAGATTAAACAAATTACAATGAAAGGATAACTCTGTTGGTAAGATTTCACTGGTAAATAATGATAAACTGGATACTCAGTTTCCAAATGTCTCAATGAAGAATGAAGAGAATACAGTATCTGGATACTTTTTATTGTTATTATTAATTTGTTTTTAGTGTTGTAATTTTGTAATTC
Source organism: Homo sapiens (assembly GCF_000001405.40). Lineage (NCBI taxonomy): Eukaryota > Metazoa > Chordata > Mammalia > Primates > Hominidae > Homo > Homo sapiens. The sequence continues at coordinate 74,434,637 of NC_000006.12, forward strand.
AGAGACCTGATGAGTTATATTCTAAGGATCATTTTTCTTGGCTCTCCTTTGTCTACTAAGTTAAAATGAACTTCTTAGCATGCAAATATCAGCATCAATATCCATGATCTGGCTGACTCTGACCTCCCTTTCTGATGCTCTGCCTAACTACCACCTCATCCATTCTCCATCGTCTTCTGCAACACTTACCTAGTCGCTGTTCACTGGAAAAGTCCTGGCTTTTGCCCACCTCTCTGCCCTTCCTTGCTCAAAGAATTTCCTTCATTTTCCATATCTTCCTGTTTCTTTCTGTCTAAATCCTACTCACAGTGTGAAATCTCTTACATGAACTTTTCCTTGATTCTTTCAAAAGAAATTGTTTTACCCCCTTTGATAGATTACAAGAGTTTGCCTTCTGATTACAGCATTTCTCATTATAGAAATGATCCAAGCATATTTCCTACTAGCTGACTTGTTCAGCTGTCAGTTTCTCCCAATGGGCTGTTCTTTACTTAAGGCATGAGTTGTCTTGTTTATCTCCATCCTCAAATGCGTAACGTGCATGTCTAAGTTTTACTTTAATTGATGTGGAAGACTTTTGGTTTAGGAGATGACAGTTTAAATTGGATGATCAAGAAGCAATGGTTACTATTATGGCTTTGATTTGCCATGCTGTAATCTCAGCATGTGGCAAAATATTGAGCATTCATAGTGATATCAATGTTTCCAAAGCCTTAGAAGACAGAATGAGGCATATGTATGTGTGTAATTTTAAAATTTTATCTTAGCCGTTTTCTTTTTTTTTTTTTTTTGGCTATAAAAATGCTTGTTTAAAGCATGAAATGAGCTGAACAATACAGATTGACAGAGTATTATTTCTGTGCCCACATCCACCCTGACTTTGTGAATTTGGATAAGCTATTAATATTTTTGTGATTCAGTTTCCTCAACTATCTAATAAAAGTGGTGTTGCCAAGTTGATTTCCAAGTTACAGCTCAGCTTTGTAACTTCATGATTGGATTATGTTCTATACTAATGTAAGTAACAACTTAAGATTTATTTTCATCACTGTGGTTTGTATATCAGATGTGCATTCATGTCTAACAGGCATTTCTGATTAGAAGATTTTGGTGAGGGAGAGTAATGACCTGGATACTTGGAGGCTGACAACCAGTTCTCTCCAACCCTCCATGGTCATTGACAGAACAGGAGTGATTCAGCAGCCCTGAAGACACTGATCAAAAGAAACCTTGAGAGTGCTGAAATGGGTGAGGAAAAATACTCTTGGCTGGAATTGAGGGAAGTCGAATTGCTCCATGTCTTTTATATACATATTATTATAATTTAAGTTCTAGGGTACATGTGCACAACGTGCAGTTTTGTTACATATGTATACATGTGCCATGTTGGTGTGCTGCACCCACTAACTTGTCATTTAACATTAGGTATATCTCCTAATGCTATCCCTCCCCCATTTCCCCACCCGACAACAGGCCCAGGTGTGTGATGTTCCCCTTCCTGTGTCCAAGTGTTCTCATTGTTCAATTCCCACCTATGAGTGAGAACATACGGTGTTTGGCTTTTTGTCCTTGCGATAGCTTACTGAGAATGATGGTTTCCATGTCTTATTCAGCTCAGGCTGCTATAACAAGGTGCTGGCAGATTTGACTCCTAGGGAAGGCTTTCCTCTTGACTTGGGTTCCTTCTTGCTGTGTCCTCACAAGGTGGAGAGAGAGAGAGAAGGAGAGGGAGAAAAAAGAAAAAAGAGGGAGAGTATGCTCTGGTCTTTCTCTTCTTTTTTTTTTTTATTATATTTAAGTTCTAGGGTACATGTGCACGACGTGCAGGTTTGTTACATAGGTAAACATGTGCCATGTTGGTTTGCTGCACCCATCAACTCGTCATTTACATTAGATATTTCTCCTAATGTCATCTCTCCCCCAGTCACCCACTCCCTGACCAGCCCCAGTGTGTGATGTTCCCCACACTGTGTCCATGTGTTCTCATTGTTCAACTCGTACTCATAAGTGAGAACATGCAGTGTTTGGTTTTCTGTCCTTGTGATAGTTTGCTGAGAATGATGGCTTCCACCTTCATCCATGTCCCTGCAAAGGACGTGAACTCATCCTTTTTTATGGCTGCATAGTATTCCATGGTGTATATGTGCCACATTTTCTTAATCCAGTCTATCATTGATGGACATTTGGGTTGGTTTCAAGTCTTTGCTCTTGTGAACAGTGCTGCAATAAACATACATGTGCATGTGTCTTTACAGTAGAATGATTTATAATCCTTTGGATAGATACCCAGTAATGGGATTGCTGGGTCAAATGGTATTTCTGGTTCTAGATCCTTGAGGAATCACCACACTGTCTTCCACAATAGTTGAACTAATTTACACTCCTACTAACAGTGTAAAAGTGTTCCCATTTCTCCAATCCTCTCTAGCATGTGTTGTTTCCTGACTTTTTAATGATCGCCATTCTAACTGGTGTGAGATGATATCTCATTGTGGTTTTGATTTGCATTTCTCTGATGACCAGTGATGTTGAGCATTTTTGCATATGTCTGTTGGCTGCATAAATGTCTTCTTTTGAGAAGTGTCTGTTCATATCCTTTGCCCACTTTTGGATGGGGTTGTTTGTTTTTTTCTTGTACATTTGTTTAAGTTCTTTGTAGATTCTGGATATTAGCCCTTTGTCAGGTGGGTAGATTGCAAAAATTTTCTCCCATTCTGTTGGTTGCCTGTTCACTCTGATGATAGTTTCTTTTGCTGTGCAGAAGCTCTTTAGTTCAACTAGATCCCATTTGTCAATTTCGGGTTTTGTTGCCATTGCTTTTGGTGTTTTAGACATGAAGTCCTTGCCCATGCCTATGTCCTGAATGGCATTGCCTAGGTTTTCCTCTAGGGTTTTTATGGTGTTAGGTCTTACATTTAAGTCTTTAATCCATATTGAATTAATTTTTGTATATGGTGCAAGGAAGGGATGCAGTTTCAGCTTTCTACATATGGCTAGCCAGTTTTTCCAGCACCGTTTATTAAATGGTCTTTCTCTTCTTAAAAGGCCATTAATCCCATCTTGGGGGGCCCACCCTCAAGACCTCATCTAAACCTAATAACTTCTCAAAGTCCCATCTTCAAATATCACCACAATGAGTGTTAGAGCTTCAACATGTGAATTTTGAGGAGACATATACATTCAGTTCACGACATTTTATAATTACTTACTTTGGATGAGTGTGATAGTCCCAGGGCTAGGGGACTGTAATTAAGATAAATGAAAATCAGGCCAGTAAAGAAGTTTTATGTGAGGCCAAGAGCCCAGGGTAGAGGGCTGTGTCTTTCACACAGACTGCAGTAGTGATGGCTGTAGCAGGTAGATTCTCTAACAGGGCCAGCCCTTGATCATATTGGGATTGGTTGCCTGAGGACAGTGACCAGCTAATCAACAAGCCAAACTGCAGTTCTGAGACTTCTCATTTACCTTTTCCCATTTTGAGCCAGAAAGAGACAAGAAAGAGGCTCAACTCTCCAAAATGGTTGCAGCATCAGCTTGCCTCCTACAGCAAGAGGAAAATCAAATTGTTTTTAATCAATATTTTAATCACCTTACTTGATTTTTCCCTGACACATCTTTTCTGGTAGCATTTAGAGACAATTAATAATAAAATGGTCGTAGAGATTATTTCAAGGATGCCTCTAGCTCTAATTCCCTGTATCTTTAAGTACAAATTTAATTTAAGAGGAGTGAAAAGTGCATAGGTGAACTTCTGTTAGCATAATAAATATACTAAGGCTGTGAAATTTTGTCTTTAAAATTTTGGCAGTCTAATGAAGGTGAATTAAAGTAAGACTATATGCAAGACAGGAACTTTGTATACACTACACTCTGATAGCTGATAATATTTACTTTTATATTTAGAAAAATATACTTATGTGGAATATGACTTTTTATTTTTATTTATTTATTTTATTTATTTATTTATTTATTTATTTATTTTTGAGACACAGTCTTACTCTGTTGCCCAGGCTAGAGTGCAGTGGCATGTAGCATCTATCTCCCAAGTTCAAGTGATTCTCCTGCCTCAGCCTCCCCAGTAGCTAGGATTACAGGCTTGTGCCACCATGCCCGGCTAATTTTTGTGTTTTTAGTAGAGATGGGGTTTCACCATGTTGGCCAGGCTAGTCTCAAACTCCTGACCTCAAGTGATCCGCCTACCTCAGCCTCCCAAAGTGCTGGGATTACAGGTGTGAACCACTGTGGTGGCCTGACTTTTAAAAGCCTTTTATTTTTTTTTAAAAAAGAGAAATCTCCGATTTATGTCTTGGGAACATAAAAGACTTCACTTTGGAGGACAAAATCTTGAATAATATGCTTTGTCTATGGTGTGTATGCTTCTTAACAACAACAGAAAAACAGATTTCTAGGAGATTAAAGACTTAATCCCCATAATAATACAGTGTCCTTGTATTTTTATTCTTGATCCCATGTTTGACTTGATTTGTGATTTACCATTTGTTAAAGACTTTAGATGTCCTGCCTGGACACCCAGAAGTTATTTCTGTTTTCTAGAGTCAGCATATGAAATGTCATTTAAAGCCCACATTTTGCTTTTTAAATATTACCCAGTGGTTTTAGTTATACAAAGATCAAATTTCAGCCCAACTCCTTGGACTTTCAGGCATGGAAACCTAGCAAACTCTGTTTCTGTTTCTTTCTCCTGAAACAGTTGTCTCTGCAGACAGAGGTTTGGCATCTGTCTACCCCCTCACATATAATATATTACTATGGAGTTCCTGGAAACCTGAAATGGCTCCTTGATGGAAAACATGAGACAGATGGGAACCTCTGAATGTCTGCATCTGGATGTTTAATATTTCTGTATTCATAAAGTTAAAATTTAGAAGTGAAAACTTGAAGTCAGATATTTTAGAAAGAACACAATGTACTTAAGTGGCTAGTGAATTCATTTTGAAATTTCAGCTAATATAGAAACCTGTTCTATGGTGTATTTTAAAACATGTTTCTGAACGATCAGGTTTTTTTTTCTGATCCTCCAAAGTCTCTTCTAGATATGACAGTCCTGTATTTTTGCCACATTAGGTCAAAACCCAATTTATTATTGCTATCTCAGCTCTCTAGTGGCAAAATACTAGATATAAAACTCTCCAAGTTCAGATCTACTTGTGGTTGAATACCCACTTCAATGTGTAGTATATTCAGTATATTGTATAGCATGGTTTGGTGACCTGAGAGTAAGTTCTGACAAAGTCAATCACATCTATGATTGAAAATAGTATTAAAAAGTATTTCTAAGGTTATATTCAATTTTTAAAGAATAATACTATTTTGATTTTGTTTATTAAGTTTTGCTATTTTAAATTTTATTTATATTCAGAATTCTTTACTTGAGAAAAGAATTCAAAATTCCTATAAATCTTATTTTAGGGAAAAGAAAAAAATGCACAGATACATAATTTTATGTTTTTCTGTTTCCTTCCTCTCCAGAAAAATTTTTATTCAAGGGTACTTGAAATATTCAAATATCTATCTTTCTGATTTATTTTTCATTATTACTTACATTGTTACAATAAGAGTTAGGGTGGCTATTAAAATAACAGGAGGAAAAAAAATCTAGTTTTAATTTTAATTTTTATGAAAAAGATTTTAAATAATGCATATAACTGTGCATAGTGGTGTGTGTCTGTGGTCCCAACTACTCAAAAAGACTCAGTCAAGAAGACATCTGGAGCCCACAAGTTCGAGGCCACAATGGGCAATATAGCAAGACTCTCTTTCTTAAAAAAAAAAAAAAAGTTTACAATGCGATATATATGTATATATATGTTTATAATGTGATATATATACGTATATATATATATTCAGAATTCTTTACTTGATAAATGAATTCAAAATTCCTATGAGTCTTATTTTAGAGAAAACAATGCACAGATATATAAATTCATGTTTTCCTGCTTTCTTCCTCTCCAGTAAAATTTTTATTTATTTACTATATTTATACATTAAATAAATAACATACTTTTATTTATATTATATGTATGCATACTATTTTGCAATAATTTGAACTCTTATTATCTGTATTTCATGCCCTTAGTTTTATTATCTTATTTTTCTGTTGTCGATTATACTACTTTAAGCTTGTGTGTATAACTGTAAACCATTTTTATTCAAAGTCTGTGTTCTCAAGTTTATTTTTGTATATTCAACTATTTTGTTATTTATTTATTCAGTTATTTTTATTTACTCCTTACGTTCCTTATATTTTTGTTCTATATTTTATTATCTAGGTTCTTTCATTTAATAAGTAACTTTTATGGCTATAGATTTGATTCTGAGAAATACTTTGAGCATTATTCTTATTTTATATAAAGTTTTTTAAAAACTTGGCTCATGCCTGTAATCCTAACACTTTGGAAGGCCAAGGCAGGTGGATCATCTGAGGTCAGGAGTTCGAGACCAGCCTGGCCAACATGGTGAAACCCCGTCTCTACTAAAAATACAAAAAAATTAGCCAGGCAGGGTGGTGGATGCCTGTAATCTCAGCTACTCTGGAGGCTGAGGCAGGAGAATCACTTGAACTGGAGAGGCGGAGGTTGCAGTGAACCGAGAACACACCATTGCACTCCAGCCTGGGTGACAAGAGTGAAACTCCATCTCAAAAAAAAAAAAAAAAAATTCTAAGTATCTTATGATTGCAGCATAGTTTCCTGTTTCCTCCAAAAGCTTTTAGGTAAAATATTCTTATTTTAAAAATTTTAATTTCCATATAGTCCTTTATATTGGAATTTACTTTTTACATACTTGTTCTGTGTACTACAGCATTATTTCTATGGATATTTCTTGTATCTAAATCTTTTTGTTCAATTTTATTGCTATGTTATTTATAAAGCTTAATCACTGTTGTAGGCAAATTTATGTTTTATTTAAAAAATCTCTTCCTTGCTTATTTCCCCAGAATCCTACATTACTACCTATTCCTTTTAAGATTCCTATTTTATTTTATTGTGTATTTTCTTCGTACATATTTTCACAACCTGTTTGTGTGTGTGTCTCTGTGTGTGTGTGTGTACCCAAGCTAAGAGTCCTTGTCTTTTTTTTTCCTTCTTAAAAAAAAAACCAGGATACATGTGCAGAACGTGCAGGCTTGTTACATAGGTATACGTGTGCCATGGTAGTTTGCCGCACCTATTGACCTGTCCTCTAAGTTCCCTCCCCTCACCCACCTACCCCTCAACAGGTCCTGGTGTGTGTTGTTCTCCTGTGTTCTTATTGTTCAACTCCCACTTATGAGTGAGAAGATGTGGTGTTTGGTTTTCTCTTCCTGTGTTAGTTTGCTGAGAATGATGCTTCCAGCTTCATCCGTGTCCCTGAAAAGGACGTGATCTCATTCCTTTTTATGGCAGCTTAGTATTCCATGGTGTACATGTACCACATTTTCCTTATTCAGTCCATTATTGATGAGCATTTGGGTCAGTTCTATGTCTTTGCTATTGTAAATAGTACTGCAATAAACATATGTGTGCATATGTCTTTACAGTAGATTGATTTATATTCCTTTGGGTATATACCCAGTAATGGGATTGCTGGGTCAAGTGGTATTTCTGTTTCTAGATCCTTGAGGAATCTCCATACTGTCTTCCACAATGGTTGAGCTAATTTACATTCCCACCAACATTGTAAAAGCGTTCCTATTTCTCCACAGCCTCACCAGCATCTATTGTTTCCTGACTTTTTAATAATCATCATTCTGACTGATGTGAAATAGTATCTCATTGTGGTTTTAATTTCCATTTCTCTGATGATCAGTGATGTTGAGCTTTTTTTCATGTGTTTGTTGATTGCATAAATGTCTTCTTTTGAGAAGTGTCTGTTCATATCCTTTGCCCACTTTTTGATGGGGTTGTTCTTATCTTGTGAATTTGTTTAAGTTCCTTGTAAATTCTGGATATTAGACTTTTGTAAGATGGGTAGATTGCAAAAATTCCTCCTGTTCTATGGGTTGTCTGTTCACTCTGATGATAGTTTTGCTGTGCAGAAGCTCTTTAGATTAATTAGATCCCATTTGTCAATTTTGTCTTTTGCTGCAATTGCTTTTGGTGTTTTAGTCATGAAGTCTTTGTCCATGCTTATGTCCTGAATGGTATTGCCTAGGTTTTCTTCTAGGGTTTTTATGGTTTGGGGTTTGACATTTAAGTTTTTAATCCATCTTGAGTTAATTTTCGTATAAGGTGTAAGGAAGTGGTCCAGTTTCGGTTTTCTGCATATAGCTAGCCAGTTTTCCCAGCACCATTTACTGAATAGGCAATCCTTTCCCCATTGCTATTTCTGTCAGGTTTGGCAAAGGTCAGATGGTTGTAGGGGTGTGTGTGTGCATGTCTGTATGTGGACCCAAGCTAAGAGTCCTTGTCTTTTGGTAAGGTTTTTTTTTTTTTTTTTTTTTTTTGAGATGGGCTATTGGCAGGCTGGAGTGCATTGGCACCATCTCAGCTCACTGCAACCTCTGCTTCCTGGGTTCAAGCCATTCTCCTGCCTCAGCCTCCCAAGGTAGATGGGATTACAGGCGCCCGCCACCACACCCAGCTTGTTTTTGTATTTTTAGAAGAGACAATATTCCACCATGTTGACAGGCTGGTCTAGCACTCCTGACCCCAAGTGATCTGCCTGCCTCGGCTACCCCAAGTGCTGGGATTACAGGTGAAGGCCATTGCACCTGGCCATGGTAGGAGATTAAAATCATTTGTATATATTGCAGTGACAGATTTAGCAATTTTTACTTATGTCAACTCATTCACTATTTTTGTACTTTCATTTTTTTCTCTGTACTTTGTATTTTTTGTCTCAAGTTTTTTCTTTCTCTTTTAAAATTTTACAATAGTAATGCAGGATAAATTAATGTTTTCTTTACATTCTTTGTTAACCACACAGTTTTGAAAAATGTGTTGAACTAATCTTTTACTTATTATCTAATTCTTATTTCACTTATTATCTGAGGATATTATCTTCCTTGTATTGATCACCTGTGTTTCCTGTTCTTGTTAGTATAGTCTTACGTTTAAAATAGTTTTTAATAAAATTATTAAGTGTTGCAACTTATGCATTTCTTTACAAATTTTTTAACATTTATATAATTTTGACATTATAGACACAGCAACTATTTAGTTTTAATTCCATATTTAAGTGATTTTAATGGTCAATACAATTTTTAAAAAGTTTTATTTTTAATTGACATATAGTTGTACATATTTATGGAGGTACAAAGGGATGTTTTGACACATATAGAGAGGGTTTTAAATTGTCAATACATGTTTGAGAAATATTTTCAGCTTGGGCCCAAAGGTAGAATATTTCCTGAGTCCTTACATATCTGATAATGATTCTCTTTTTCTTCATAAGTCGAACAAACAAGATTTCAAGGTAAAATAAAAAAATTCTTGGGTCATAACATTTCCACTCAAAACTCTATAGCCATTAATATATCAATTTCATTTTTAATGTAATAAAGAATAAATGTGAACCAGAGTTTTTTAATATCATTTTCTATTTTTCTGGTCAATATTTCTTATTTTCCTTGAAATAAAAATTTTGCAAATCATTGGATTAAAAATGAAACACTGCAGTCTATAAACCCTAATACCATGGTAAGGAATCAAATTATTCTCATGCAATGTTGTGGAATTTTATATGAAAAAATAAAGACAGGTCAAAAAGGAAAAACATATATAAAGTAGAATTATACAGTGTGTGTGTGTTGTGTGTGTGTGTGTGTATATATATGTAACATATAGTACAGTTAGATGACTTTTACTGAAAAAAATAAAAATCTATTAATTTAGATCAAGAAGAGTGATGCATGGGGAGAAGAAAGAAGCAGATAATCAGAATTTTATTTATTTGTGCAGTCTCAAGTACAATAGATATTGAATCCTATGTGCTAGGGTGTGTGCCATGTGCTGAGTTATATGTGCTTTTCCTTGGGAAGTTAATACAGGGAGAAACACCTCCAACACCTTAAATAAGTGTGAAAAAATAAAGTCTTGTCAGTAGGATAACAAAAGCCTATCAAGGTTGTTATTAGATCAAAGAGGAAAGAACATGGTCAGTTCTGATCCAGCAGGTCACAGGCCTCAGGGAAACTAGGAAACGTGTATGATTTTTATGTAGTAGTTTCATTCCTTAAGAGAAACGTTGGTCCAGATGAAGCCTAACCCTTAAAAAATGAAGCTAGGAATTTTAAAAACTGACTTAATTAATGAAATACCCTGGTCAAGAGACTGGGTGACACAAGTACGGAGAACACGTTCTCGTTTTTTATTGCAAACAAATTGTACCCAAATTTCAAAAGGCACAGAGGGCAGAGGGAAGACTAGTGTTTGCCATATGAAACTACAAATAAAATATTTGAAATTTTAAAAGTTTGTTTTGCAATATCTTTTCTATATTTATTTTTTATTGTAAAATTTGCCATTTATAAAACAACATTTATTGGAACTATTGGTGGGAAGAGAAAATGTTTTAGTTAAATATTCATCGGTGAAAAGAGCTCAACTGAATGTGAACTGGATAAGCTCACATAACTCCAAAAGTGGGATACTGATTTACATAGCCTGTCCTCTTAAAAGCATAAACAAAATTGTATAAATTATGGTATAATAATTTAAAATTTGAATTATTCTTTTTGTTTTCATAAACATGCCCAATTAACTAACTCAAAATTAAACCATATGTGAGTCTCTATCCCTTCACTTCATCTTCCCCACTCCAACCCTTCTATAAATGCAGGGCAGTGATTCAGTGCTTCCATGTATCACATCTTCAGTCCTGGCTGTGTATTCCCAGTACATGGGAAGCTTTGAAAACATTTGAAGCTGGCTTCCCCACCTACTTTCATTAAAAAAAAAAAATATATATATATATATATATATATGCACATAGCAATTTAGCAGAGCTGTTCTGGGAGCCCACAATGGCATTTAAAAAAAAAAAACCTTCCTATGAAGCTGTAATGTATAGGCACTGACCTACTGAGAGTCACTAACATTTAGGAAATCAGGAAATCAAATTTCTCCTAGAAAAAGGAAAAGGAATGATTATATTATGTAATTTTATAATTATTCTTTTTAGCATCTGGATATTGCTATTACTATTATACTACCAATACTATGATATTAAAACTTATTTTATACTTAAAGTTAGAGACTATGAGAGAATGGTAAGTTTGTTTTTTTCCTCAAGGAGCTTTTATTTATCAGGAGATAAATGTAATAAAATCCTTTTATATTGTATGTATTATATAGGTATTAAAAAAGTGGTATGCATAAAGTGGGATTGTAATACAGCCGTTAAACCAGTTTAAAATGGTAAAAGTGAGGTCTAATGAATGCTAAAGAAATAAAAGGGGGTATTTGAGTTAAACTTTATATGTAATTTTCTAAGCTTACGAAGGAGAAGTTGGGAAGAGGGTGAGGACCAGTATTCCCGATGGGAAAGAGCAACACAAGTGTTTTACATGTTTCACTGTGGAGGAAATGGAAGCTAAGACTAATTTGATGGCTTACCAAACACTGTTATTTGGCATCAGAGTTAAGATAATAACTCCCCTATTTTTAAAACATGTTTGAGTTAGTGGCCTTTTTAATAAATTATGCCACCGAAAGACTGGAAACCTTCCAGGTAGCAAAACTCTTTTCCCATCTTACCAACTTTTCTAGCCTTCTAAAAAATATATTTTTAGAAAATACAGTAAAAATAGATGGCATTTCACTGGGATATATTGATCTTGTTAAGATGTCCAATTCAAAAACTGAATTAATAATTCTATTGCTATTTCTAGAAAATAGAAGCTTATGTAGGAAAGTAACTTGCAATTGGGAAGCTGCAGTTTATGTTGCTTAAACTCACCCTTACACTGTACCTATACTTAAAATCTTCATATAGACAAACAGCTTTTTAAATTATCTTTTCTGCATAAACATGTCTTCTATTTATAAATAAATGTTTGAAATATTATTTGATCACCTGTACAAACTTTAGGAGAGATTGGCCAACAACTGATTTTAGTGCCAGATTCTACAACACATTTATTTATAACTAATATTTTGAATTTATTTTTTTGACTTTTAGAAATGTGTTCAGTGTTTTATTATTCTTTGAAGAAATAAACGTATTCATTTACTTTAAATCATAAGGAGAATTACAAAATTATCACTATTACATAACTAGTTGTAGAATATTTAAGATGAAATCTACATTCTCTGGATCGATGGTTACATTGTGAAGAATGAATTTTGAAGCTATATTTTGATGGTATTTGGGTTTAAAGCTGATTCATCACTCTCTAACTATGTGAACCTGGATGAACATGTAAAACTTCCATGCCTGTTTCTTCACCCTTAAATAAGAATTATATATGGTTATTTTGAGGATTTAAATCTATGTCCAGCACATAGTAAACGTTTAAGAAAGATCAGCCATAGAAAGCTATATTTCTCTTTTGTTTTATCTTCTGAGCCTCTAAAAAAGGTTCTGTCATCGGTTTCTATGACAACTTGTGGCTTATGAAAGGAAGAGACACAGCGACAACTTTCTCTGTGACTCAACAAATTGGTATTAATAATCAACTGGCAACTATTTCTGGTTTGCATTATGGAAATACTACGAATGCACCATATTTTGAAGGTCTGCCTGCTCTGGGCATAATGTTTTGGCTAAAATTGTAAGTTATGATCAAGTTCGAAGATGTATTTAAAGCAATGCCTAAAAAATGATTTAACACATGATTTCATAAATATAATAGAAAACATTTATTAAAAATTATTGATCCATTTTATAGGATTATAACTAACAATTACTAGAGAATTTTAAGCATAATTACAAATAGCAAAATGCATTTAAAAAACTACATAGTGGAGTTCTGATATAAATGTATAACTTTTCCTCTGTTGAAATTGATAAAACCTGTTTTAATATAATGGTGACTTTTGTTTTGCTTTTCAAATAACAGCAACTTCTTTTTTCAGTTTGGATTATTCTCTGTTATGTGTCTCACACTATATTTCCTCTTCCCTGGGCTGTGCTGAAGTATCTTGTTTTTTTTTTTTTTCATTTTTTTCCCCAGCTTTATTGAGGTATGATTGGCCAATAGAAGTTGTGTGTGTGTATATATATATATATATATATATATATATATATATATATACATATACATATCAATCAAAACTTGATGTTTTGATACATGTAAACATTGTGAAATAATCACCACAGGCAAGCCGCGGTGGCTCACGCCTGTAATCCCAACACTATGGGAGGCCGAGGTGGACGGATCACGAGATGAGGAGTTTGAGACCAGCCTGGCCAACATAGTGAAACCCCATCTCTACTAAAAATACAAAAAATTGGCTGGGCATGGACACGGGTGCCTGTAATCCAAATACTTGGGAGGCTGAGGCAGGAGAATCGCTTGAACCCAGGAGGCAGAAGTTGCAGTGAGCCAAGATGATGCCCACTGTGCTCCAGCCTGGGTGACAGTGTGACTCCGTCTCAAAAAATTAAATAAAAAATAAATAACAGTAATAACAATCACCACAATCAAGCTAATTAACATATCCATTATACCACATAGTATCCATTTTCTTTTCTACTTTTGGGCTTCTTTTTTATTTATTTATTTATTTTTTTTGTGGTGAGAACACTTAAGATCCACCCTCTTAACAAATTTCAAGTATACAACATTGTTAACTATAGTCACAATGTTGTACATCAGCTCCCCAGAACTTATTCATACTGGATATCTGAAAGTCTGTAGCATTTGGCCAGCATCTCTCCGTCTCCCCCTCCCTCCAGCCCCTGGCAAAATCCAGCAGAACTCTGATTCTATGAGTTTGATTATTTTAGATTTCATATATAACTGAGATCATTTAGTACAGGTATTTGTCTTTCTGTCTGACTTATTTCACTTAGCATAATGTCTGCAAAGTTCACCCCCATGTTAACTAAATGGCAGGATTTTCTTCTTCATTAAGGTTTAATAATAAAAAACACATTCCCTCTATAAAAAGCAAGCAGGGATGGTGTTCATGGTGGAGGTAGGAGGTGAAGTGAAAGACTGAATTGACTATCTGCTGTTTTTCCTAGAGTTGACCCCAGATATAAAGATTCAGAGTTTTTCATCAAAGTAATATTTTATATTTTGATTGTAAAACTTTATGCAAAATCAAATCAGTTACATTGATTCCCATTTTTTACAAATTAAGGGCATTTCTGGTTTTCTGTATTCCATTTATGATTTATTAAAGACATTAAGAACAAATCTTGGATTTTACTTGTGGACTATATCATTTGCACAATGACATCAATTCTTTATTTTTTTCTTTCATCCTTCACCTCCTCCCAACCTTCCTCTCAAGATCTCAAAATCCATTACATCATTCTTATGCCTTTGCATCCTCATAGCTTAGCTCCCGCTTATAAGTGGGTACATACGATGTTTGGTTGTCCGTTTGTGAGTTACTTAAGTTAGAACAATTGTCTCCAACTCCATCCAGGTTGCTGTGAATGCCATTATTTTGTTTCTTATTATGGTTGAGTAGTATTCCATAGCATATATATACGACATTTTCTGTATCCACTCATTGGTTAATGGGCATTTAGGCTGGTTCCATATGTTTGCAATTGCGAATTGTGCTGCTATAAATGTGTGCCAGTGTCTTTTTCATATAATGACATTTTTTTTTCCTCTGGGTAGATACCCAGTAACGGGGTTGGTAGATCAAACAGTAATTCTACTTTTAGTTCTTTAAGGAATCTCCATACCATATTCCATAGTGGTTGTGCTAGTTTACATTCTCACCAGCAGTGTAAAAGTATTCCCTTTTCATCACATCCCTGCCAACATCTGTTATTTTTTGATTTTTTAATTATTGCTATTCTTGCAGGAGTAAGGCAATATCTCATTGTGATTTTAATTTGCATTTCCCTGATAATTAGTGATGTTGGGCATTTTTTGATGTTTTTTGGCCATTTGTATATCTTTTTTTGAGAATTGTCTATGTCCTTTGCCCACTTTTGATGGGATTATGATTTTTCCTTGCCTATTTGTTTGAGTTCCTTGTAGATTCTGAGTATTAGTCCTTTGTTGGATGCATAGTTTGTAAATACTTTCTCCCACTCTGTGGATTGTCTGTTTAATCTGCTGATTATTTATTCACTGTGCAGAAGCTTTTTAGTTTAATTAGGTACCATCTATTTATCATTGTTTTTGTTGCATAAACTCTTTGCCTAAACCAATGTCTAGAAGGGTTCTTCTGGCTTTATCTTACAGAATTTTTATGGTTTCAGGTCTTAGATTTAAGTCTTTGATCCATTTTGAGTTGATTTTATATAAGGTGAGAAATGAGAATCCAGCTTAATTCTTCTACATGTGGCTTGTCAATTATGCTAGTACTATTTGTTGAATAGGGTGTCCTTTCTCCACTTTATGTTTTTGTCTGCTCTGTCGAATATCAGTTGGCTGTAAATATTTGGCTTTATTTCTGGGTTCTCTATTCTGTTTCGTTGTTCTACATGCCTATTTTTATATTGGTACCATGCTGTTTTTGTAACTATAGCCTTATAGTATAGGTTGAAGTCAGGTCATGTGATGCCTCCAGATTTGTTCTTTTTGATTAGTCTTGTTTGACTGTACAGGCTCTTTTTTGGTTCCATATGAATTTTAGGATTGTTTTTTCTAGTTCTGTGAAGAATTATGATGGTTACGTTGATGGGGATTGCATTGAATTTACCAATTGCTTTTGGCAGTATGGTCATTTTCACAATATTGATTCTACACATCCATAAGCATAGAATGTGTTTCAATGTGTTTGTGTCATCAATGAGTTCTTTCAGATGTATTTTGTAGTTTTCCTTGTAAATATCTTTTATCTCCTTGGTTGGGTATATTCCTGTTTTTTTTTTGTTGTTGTTTTTTTTTTTTTGCAGCTGTTATAAAAGGGGTTGAGTTCTTGATTTGATTCTCAGCTTGGTTGCTGTTGGTGTACAGCAATGCTAGTGATTTGTATGTATTGATTTTGTATCCTGAAACTTTACTGAATGCATTTATCAAATCTAGAAGCTTTTTGGATGAGTGTTTAAGCTTTCTAGTTATACTATCATATCACTAAAGAACAGTGACACCAATTCTTTAGTCTAATATTTAAATGTTAGTTAAGTCCCTAGTAATGGAATCCTTGGCTGATGTAAGAAATTGCTTAGTTTTATACAAATTACTTTTATTTTTCATAGCAATGTTACTTAATACAAATGGATAATGAATTTAATTTTCTGGAAAAACTCACTGTCCATTATGCAGATATGTATGTGTTATAATCTTATTTTCATACTCACTCATTAAAGATTTAAAATTTTAGAACACTTGCTTTATTATTTTTCTGGCCATATATTTTTTATTCTTATGTCATCACTTAAATATAAGCAGCTATGTGTTTTTATTAATAATCACTGTTTTAAAAGAATTATTTGGTTTTTATTCAGTCATGTGTCATAATTTTTTATATGCTGGGCAACAATTAGGTATAAGATGTCCCAATGAAATGAGAATAGATTACATAGGCAGATATTTTTAAGGTAAATTCCAACATCAGGTATGCCAAAATGTGAAAAATACATATTTTTAAAATGTAGGAAATAGGGTATGTTTTTGTTTGAAGACTTTTAATCACTGGGTTGCACTGAGTTGGCAAAACCTTTGGAGACTGATTCTTATTTTTAGGTATGTTGAGTCTGCAATTCTAGAGGCAATCACCAAGTATCTTTAAACTTAGCCAAATAGTTTAACTTAGGTACTTTTTTGTGAATAAAAAAGATCATTACGTAATCCAAACTATTGCTTTTACTTTTCTAACAGAACAAACTTTTTATGTAAATGTCTAGTTAACATTGTAGAAAATGTTTGGGCTGCCAAGAAAAAGAAGTTTCCTTAAGAGTTTGGGGAGAAAAGAAAAGGTATGCCAAGTTGAGTGCTCTGCTGAGCAGAGGGCGGTTCCCTGGCAAAGGCCCCCACCCTCAAGCCAGGATACCCATGGCCTTCAATGGGAACAGGCATTCTTGGTTTTGCACCCTAAAGTTGCCTTTTGGCCTACCACAGCACCCCCTGCAATCCCATACTCATATAAACCCCAAGCCCCTGGCTCCAGAGAGAGATAAGGAGATGAACAGAAGAGCAGAAGGACAGTAGAATGGCATAGCAGAGAGAAGAGAAAGAGCATCTGAATGCTAAGGGGAATTTGACTGAGGACTGTCAAAGAGGAAATCAGCTGCTAGGCGGCCAAACTCCAGGGGAAGATCATCTTCCCACTCCATTTTCCTTCCAGCTCCCCATCCATCCTGCTGAGAGCCACTTCCACCACTCAATAAAACCCCACATTCATTCTTCAAGTCCATGTGTGACCTGACACCTCCTGAATGTCGGACAAGGAACTGGGTACCAAGAGGGCACAGAGCTGGTTAACACTTAAGCCGTCAGCAGATGGTAAAACTGAAAGAACGCATTGTAATACATGCCATTTGGCCTTTAAGAGTCACAGGCTCCCACCCCCGGATGCTGTGGGGCTGGAGCCCAGGGGCTCTTGCTCCAGCTCCTGCACTTGCCTGTCTGCATGCTCCCCTCCTGTAAGGGGTTTGAGTGGTAGGGGAGACCTAACAGATAAGCCACACCCCTGTTGTGTGTTCTGTGAGGGGGGTCAAGGAACTCTCCTGTTTCAACTTTTCCAAGTCTGGTAATGAAAGTTATTGATGTAAAAATGCCTCAAGATTTTTACTAATTCTCAAAATCTCTACTATGTGTTAAAAAGTGTCCTCTGTTTCCATCTCAGTCTACCAAGTGAAACCTTTTCCACAACCCTTTTAAAACCCTGTCTCCTTATTGATAAATAATACACGTAATATCTGATGCGCTCACTCTTCTACTCCCAACTCCAAAGATTTGGTACACCCTCAGGGAAGTATATCTTTAATGTTTCCTATAACTTTAATTTTTGCACATTTTATAATGAATGTTATATTATTCTGAATATTGTGCTAACTTGAATATTACCTCAGAATCAAAGTTTTGTGAAGGTACAAGCTCTGTGTTGACAACTCTCTTTGCAATGCCTAATCATGTTCTGAAAACTAGTAAGTGCTTAATAAGTATTTATGGAATCAGTGAATGAAAAAGAAGCAGTTCTCTTTTATGATGACTCACATAAATATTAATTTTTAAAATATAAGCATAAAAGGAGTATTAGAGCACAAACAAATGCAAACACATGTAGTAATTTATAACTTACAAAACCCAGTGATTCATTTTATGACATTCTGATACTATCATTGTTATATTTTTTCTCTTCCAAATGCTGATGTTGTTTAATGTTTGATAGCATTTACGTTTTCCACATGCATTGTCAATATTTTCTACTAATCTTTTCCCTTCGGTTTTTGTATTATAAAGGTATCTCATCAGCAAATATAATGTTCTGAGTGTTCATGGTGTTTGTTTATGCCTGATTCCAGGAAAAATGCAAATTAGAATGGGGTTTCTACAAGTTTCTCTCTCTCCAAACAAAATATAAAGTGGTTCCACAGGGTGAATTAGGAGCAAATTTATTTTCCTCTAAAAGGATAACAGTATACAAGTTATAACAGTGCTTCTCTGTGGGAAAGAAAGGAGAGTGAATCTCCTTCCTCTCCAAGCAGGGTTTTGATGCTGAGGGATTAAAAGAGGGTCCTGAGTCACTCCAAATCCCTGTAAATCTACAGTAATCTGGGTCCTTGGACATGGGAGAATCCGTTCTTCTGTCAACACCTACTGCTTTCAGACACTATACTAAGCAGAAGAATAAGCCACAGACCCTTCCTATAAGGAGATCTAAAAATGTTTCTAAACAACCGTAATACGTAATGGAAAGTGATATCACAAAAGACATGGAAACAAAATGTTATAGGAGTCCCCCGAAGGAAGAAAAAGCTTTTTGTTGGGTGATTATGGAGGCTGGTGTCATGATGCTGGATTAGATTTATGGGAAAGATGCACAGGTAAAAACAAAGAGGAAGAGAATTGTAGGCTGATGGTACAGCATGAACAAAACAGGTCTTCCATTTGGTTGGAGTCTAAAAAGTGTAAATATTTTAAATATTGTCAATAATAGGTGCTTTTGATTGAATTCAGTGCCACGTATTAAATTATTGTCTCAATTTCAAACTCACCGTCTCTACCCTGCTTTGCGATGCTGGAGCTAGCTCGCTGTTAAATTCTGCCAAAAGGGATGTGAGATTGAGACTCCAAGCCTGGAGGAGGAGAAAGGGACTTGCTCCTCCCTATTTGCTTTCTGGATACTTGCCATTTCTGTGAGCAGCATCTCTGTACTTGTCTGCATGTGTCAATTCCTTCTGAGGCAATATCAGAACGCTGTTTGCTGTTTGCTCAACACCTGTAGAATTGGTCTTATCCTTCCTCCTTAGGGACACCAACTAGCCAGTGTCCAGTCCTCAGGGATCTGGGTCAAAGGCACATGGGGCTCTCCTCTGAGCTCACACAATCATCAACTGTGCAGATCTCCCTCTTCACTCCAGCTCTCGGGTCCTGGAGCCACATGTCCAGCTTCTTCCTTTTATTCCTCCAGCCCCAGGGTACTACCTACTTCCTAGAGTTGCTGCCTTCATGATCTTTTAGTGCTCTTTTCTTTTAACCTCTTAGTTACTTAGTTAATAACTTCATACTCAGTTAACAAATCTTTATTTAAATTCTCTCTGCTCAATAATTGATATGATTTCTGTCTCCTGCCTAAATCCTAACAATGAATGAATTGTATAGAAGCTGCAATATTGGTGTCAATTTCCACATCACAAAGTGCTATTGGAATTATTATCACTAGGAAGTTCTTAATTATTTATTTCTATATTTATGGAAAAAAGGCTTTAAAACCCTATATCAAGGAAATTATAACAGAGGTTCTTATAATGGCTCACTACTTATTAAAATGTGTATGGTACATATGATTACTTTTTGTTATCTCTCTTCTGGGGTTGAAAAGTTATTAGATTTCCAAAAAACTATGTTAAATAACAGCACAATCCACTCTAGATTATCATTTGAAAGAGTTTTAAAATTTTTCATACATGATTTCTCTTTCCTCCTCCAATTTTACCAACATACATTTTGTATTAATAAAAGGGCTACTTCAACCTTGGTGTTTGTGTATGTAAATGTTCGTTCAATTGGCAACCAGGCAAAGGGAGGAAGCAGTGAATCACTCCTACTTCATGGTCTCCAATCACATCAACTGTCCCTGGATGGGGACACAGAAACTGTACAGGACAGAAACTGCACATTTGCTTTGGGGTGAGCTTTCTATGGAGTATATTTCTCAAGTAATATACATATATATTCTTAATGTATTCTTAATTATATTTTCAATATGTAGGTATATTCTCATTTTAGTCATGGTTCATAAATAAATTTCTTATATTTGGAAATCATAAATTAAATAATATCTCCAAGTATGTTTTAAAATATAAACTGGGCATACACAACTTGACCACTACATTTAAGATTCTGGAGACCCAGACTGTGAAAAACTAGTAAACAGATGTTACTAAAAATTTTATTTTATCCATTGTTCTGGTATACTATATTACATGTAATTTTGGGAATTTTGGAAAAAAATACTTACGAAATCGTGCTTATCTTGCTTTGGAAACAAAAATTGAGACTATGCTAATTTTTTGCAGGTGGCTAAATTATTATTTCTGTTTTATTAGGGAAATTTTGAGTAAACTTAAAGTTGGTAACTGAGCACCATGAAAATGTTCAAACCACATAATTGTTAAAGAATGGTGTTATTTGCTTACAAATAAGTTTGAGTGTAAGTTTGTAATATCCTGAAATTCAAGTTGAGTAAATAAAAGGGGATTAGCAGCTGTCTGACACTTCTTAAGCAAGAGTAAAGTCAAAATCTCATTACCATCTACATAAGTTTTCCATTGATGCTATAACAAATTACCATAAACTTAGTGGCTGAAAACAACACAAACTTATCATCTTACGGTTCCGTTATTAGAAGTATGACACAGGTCTCACTGGGCTAAAATCTAGGTATCTTTAGGTTTTGGTAGGACTGTGTTCCTTTCTGTAGACTCCAGGGGAGAATCTATTCCTTGCCTTTTCAATCTTTGAGAGGATCCCTCATTCCTTCGCACATGCATCCATTCCTCCATCTTCAAAGAGAGCAACATTGCATGTCTCTGCCTCTCCTTTTATTGTCACATCTCTTTCTCACCACAGCTGGGAATGATTCTCTGCTTTTAAAAACTATAATTAGATTGGACTCCTTGGATAATCCTGGATAATCTCCCCATTGCAATGTCATTAGCCTTAATCAAATCTGCAATGTCCCTTTTGCCATGTAAAGTAATGTGTTCACATTTCTGAAGATTGAAATATGGACATCTTTGGAAGTCATTTCTCTGCCTACCACACCACCTACTTGATTTTTGGACTTAGGTACTATGTGGGCATCTCATTTCAAAAAGAACGAATGATACTTGTTCAAATGCGGAGAATCGTTTCCTGTTCAACGTCTTTTTAAGAGCTAGTAAGGGGCCAGGTGCAGTGGTTCACGCCTGTAATCCTGGTGCTTTGGGAGGCCGAGGTGGGCGGATCACGAGGTCAAGAGATCGAGACCATCCTGGACAACCTGGTGATACCCTGTCTCTACTAAAAATACAAAAATTAGCTGGGTGTGGTGGCACATGCCTGTAGTCCAAGCTACTAGGGAGGCTTAGGCAGGAGAATTGTTTGAACCCGGGAGGCAGAGGTTGCAGTGAGCCAAGATCGCGCTACTGCACTCCAGCCTCACGACAGAGCGAGACTCTGTGTCAAAAAATTAAATAAATTTTAAAAAAGTGCTGGTAAGGATATGTATGTGGACAGGAAAGTTGTTCAGATTTACCTGAAAGGCTCAAACTAAAGACATGTTTCCAATAAAAGCAAGAATTGGTATAACAGCCTAACTGGATTATCTCTTCCCCCATTTTCCCACTGAATAGAGCTTTCATGAACCTCTTTTACTAATGAAATTTTGTTATGGTCATGTGTTTGGGGGATAGGAAAAAAGGGTGAGAACTAGTGTTTGACTTCCTGTGCACTATTAACTCCGGCTTGATTTAGCCAGAATAAAAGAAATCTGAACTCAACTAAGAACGTGTTTGCTATGTTTCAATCTTTCGAAACAACCTAAGTAAATATTTCTGAAGCTTGAAAGTCTTATGACTATTTCCTAACGTGTACTTTATTTTGTTTAGTCTCCTTAGACAAGCCAAAATTACTGATATTTGTATTACTAAAAGCCCTTTCTTGAGGTTTAGCAAGTTGCTTTTCATTGTTTTTCTCTGATCCAAAGCATGGCGAGGCAGGTCTCGTAGACAATTATGCTAGTGAAATAATGGGAAAATTTTCTGAAAATGACTTGTAATTAAACATGGTAGGAATTACAGAAGCACTTGGATTAGACAACTCAATGGCTGAGAAGTAAAGCTTTGGGAAAAACTGATTTTATGTTTGAAACTATTAACAGTACATCTTATTAAAAAATTTCTTTTATAAATCTGGAAAAGTTTATATCTTCTAACACATTTGTGCTTCTAATAAAAGCTGTTCATTTCTCAAATAAGAATTCTAATAATTTTGAGATAACTTAAACCGGATATACTGGGGAGAAAAATATTTGCAAAAGTTACTTTATAGAATTTCAGAGAAAAAAAGAAGCCATTCTGACAGACTTAGAAATTATCTTAACGATTACTAAATAAGCACATCCTGCTTCAAAACTCTATCTCTTAACTGAGATTTATTGGGATAACACTTCTAAGTCAACACTGTCTATTAAGGAATACATTTTTAAATATTGACGCCAGATGTCATGAAGCTGTAGGAAGCCTTCAGTATGTGTTTGGGAAATTAATTAATGAGTGCATGGGTATAATATCCATTTCACCTGAGGCAATAATAAAGGTCCAGGAATTTTATTTTCTTATTGGCATCTCTTCTGATATAACTTGTCTTTGCCACTTGGTGAAATTATTTATATTCTTTATAAATTAGTCACCCTATTTTCAAATAAAGTTGATACTCTTAATCATTTGAGTCAGAGTTTAACATAGGAAAGATTTAACATAAAAAGATAAACAAAAAGATGTTCTTTTGAGATGCAGTCTTTGTCGCCTAGGCTGGAGTGCGGTGGCGCGATGTAGGCTCACTACAACCTCCACCTCCCAGGTTCAAGCAATTCTCTGCCTCAGCCTCCTGAGTAGCTGGGATTACAGGCACCCGCCACCACGCCCAGCTAATTTTTGTTGTATTTTTAGTACAGACAGGGTTTCAACATCTTGGCCAAGCTTGTCTTGAACTCCTGACCTTGTGATCTGCCAGCCTTGTACTTCCAAAGTGCTGGGATTACAGGCGTGAGCCACCGCGCCCGGCAACAAAAAGATTTAACATAGACGTAATTACGTGAAATAAAAAACACTGAAGATATCTTACATTCGGAATCAGAAGTATTTAAAATTATTGGCATATTCATGTTGAATTCAAATTATATTTTACTTGTAAATATTTTCAAGAGATTTTTCAGAAAGGATACCTGAAACATAGTAATATTTCAGAGCATTTTCTAATATTTAGAAATAACAAAAAATGCTGTTATTATTTGCCATGGTTTTTAGAAATCCAATGAACATACTAGTTATTGATATTAATCTGTGCTATACAATTTTCTACTGTTGTTAGTAAATAGCAATCCAAGGACCAGACACTGTTTTACTTTCAGAAGTTACACAATGCGGAAAATCAAATAACTGAAAGAGATCATTATCTTAGAGGTTTTCCTTGAGATGTTTTTCTTAAAGGAAGGTACTAGACATTATGAACTATGGTTTCTGGTATATTAAGGATAACAAAAGACATGCAAGATTCTGGATATGGTGATAATTGCTAAGCTTCTTACAACAACTTTTTAGATAAGCTAGAACCAAACAAAATATTCTTATCGTTTGTGGTAAAATGATGCCTGGCACCACCATCTGTTAATAGTACTACAGTAAACAAAGATGTTTGCCTGAGTACAAAAAAGAGGAGCCATGATTTAGTTAGAAAGATAGCACCACCACTCATGGAAAGCATATGGTAACTGTGGAGAAATATTTATCTCCAAAATAAACAGATTGGAGCAAGAGAACAAAAGAATGCTTTTAGAAAAAGGCCAGTAACCTGGTAGCAAGGAGGATAATGCTTTATTAAGCACAAGAAGATTGAAGTGTTTGTTAATCTAAAACAAACATTAATTAATGTTGTATGGACAGAAATGAACTCTGTGAAAAAGTTAACTACCACTTACATATATATTTACTCTGTTCCAAATACTGTTTTAAATGTTTTACATTTAAGCCTTACCCTAGTTCTATGATACCTCCCCCATGCGTCTTTGCCTGCACGAAGTTAGTTGCCCACGACCACAACCCACATCTCTTTGCTGGCACATGTGTGCAGAGGCTGACCTTGCCTTCCCTTCCCCGCCAATATGCATGTGCACCTGCACCACCATTGTGTCAGAGCCTTGGCAGGCATGAGCCCACTGACCCCCATCCCCACGAACCTCGTCCC
Source organism: Homo sapiens (assembly GCF_000001405.40). Taxonomy (NCBI): domain Eukaryota; kingdom Metazoa; phylum Chordata; class Mammalia; order Primates; family Hominidae; genus Homo; species Homo sapiens. The sequence goes on from NC_000006.12 coordinate 74,459,328, forward strand.
CATCCTATAATTATCCCCACTTTATAGGGGAGGAAATTGAGGTACAAACAAGATTAGTATCTTGCTCAGCGTTCCATAGCTAACAAATGATAGAGCTGGGAGCTGAATGCCTGCAGACTGATTCTGGAATTCATACATGTAAACACTGTGAGATACTGAGGTTCGAAAGGAATCGAAGCAAGGTTAAGGTCCAAAGAGAGCGTGCAATCTCAGTGATATTTGGCATGCTAAATTGTTTGGACTTGAGACATTTTACATTTGCTGGTCAAGCCAGGCCCCATTTGAATTTCCTTACTGCGTAGGACCACTGACACTGTAAAATTAATACTAGTTACCTTATTATTAAAAAACTTGGAATTCTACATTGAAAAATGTTTAGACTCCATGTCTTCAATATTTAAAAAAAAGACTCGAATAAATTCCAGTCATACTTCTTACCCAGAAAGACTGACAACCTTTAGCAACCAAAACTGGAGTCCACCCAGAATTCATAAGATTATCATTTTGGAGAAAATGCAAATTTTCTACTATTTCATCCCACTCCTTTTGACAAAACGCAGTTTCCATTCTTTAAAGTAATTATCTTTGTCAATATTGCTTACAAAAGGAATGTGGAAATTAATAGAAATGACAGACCACATTGTTCACATAAGTGAAGTGACTGTGGTGTCACAGAAAATGGCTATTTTTTTCCAGCCTATATTTACATTTATTATATTTTAAGTTCTGGGATACATGTGCAGAACGTGTAGGATTGTTACATAGTTATACATGTGCCATGGTGGTTTGCTGCACCCATCAACCCGTCATTTACATTAGGTATTTCTCCTAATGCTATCCCTTCCCTAACTCCCCAACCCCCGACAGACCTCAGTGTGTGATGTTCCCCTCCCTGTGTCCATGTGTTCTCATTGTTCAACTCTCACTTATGAGTGAGAACATGAGGTGTTTGGTTTTCTGTTCCTGTGTTAGTTTGCTGAGAATGATGGTTTCCAGCTTCATCCATGTACCTGAAAAGGATATGAACTTATCTTTTTTATGGCTGTATAGTATTCCATGGTGTATATGTGCCACATTTTCTTAATCCAGTCTATCATTGATGGACATTTGGGTTATTCCAAGTCTTTGTTCTTGAGAATAGTGCTGCAATAAACATAAGTGTGCATGTGTCTTTAAAGTAGAATGATTTATAATGGGAAAAATTTTTGCAATTTATCCATCTGACAAAGGGCTAATATCCAGAATCTACAAGGAACTTAAACAAATTTATAAGAAAATAACAACCCCATCAAAAAGTGGGTGAAGGATATGAACAGACACTTCTCAAAAGAAGACATTTATGCAGCCAACAAACATATGAAGAAAAGCTCATCACCACTGGTCACTAGAGAAATGCAAATCAAAACCACAATGAGATACCATCTCATGCCAGTTAGAATGGCAATCCTTAAAAAGTCAGGAAACAACTGATGCTGGAGAGGAGAGGATGTGGAGAAATAGGAACACTTTTACATTGTTGGTGGGAGTGTAAATTAGTTCAACCATTGTGGAAGACAGTGTGGCGATTCCTTAAGGATCTAGAACCAGAAATACCATTTGACCCAGCAATCCCATTACTGGGTATATACCCAAAGGGTTCTGCATCTTTATCCAACTTGCCACTCTGTGCCTTTTAGTTGGGGCATTTAACATATTTATGTTCAAGGTTAATATTAATGTTTGTGGAATTGATTCTGTCATGTTTTTAGCTTGTTAAGCAGACTTGACTGTAGTTGCTTCATGGTGTCAATGGTCTATGTACATAGTATGTTATTGTGGTGGCTTATAATGCTCTTTTCTTTCCATATGTAGAACTCCTTTAAGGACCTCTTATAAGGCAGGTCTGCTGAATTTCTGTAGCATTTGCTTATCTGAAAAGAATCTTATTTTTTCTTTGCTTATGGAGCTTAGTTTGGCTGGATATGAAATTCCTGGTTGAAATTTCTTTTCTTAAGTTTTTAAAGAAATTTTTGTGGGGACACAGTAGGTGTATATATTTTTGGGGTACATGAGATACTGTCACACAAGCATTCAATAAGTAACAATCACATCATGCCAAAGGGGGTATGCATCCCCTGAAGTATTTATCTCTGTGTCACAAACAATCCAATTATAGCCTTAGAATAAATGAACAGGGGCTCATATTTGATAGCACAACAGGGTGACTATAGTCAATAATAATTTAATTGTACACTTAAAGATAACTATGAGTATAATTAACATTTTTGTACCCTATTAAGCATTCCTACCTCCCTCCCACCACCTACAAGAAGCTGCTCAGCTTCTTGTAATTATCTTTCTACTCTCTATCTCTATGAGTTCAATTGTTTTGATTTTTAGATCCCACAAATAAGTGAAAACATGTGATATTTGTTTTTCTCTGCCTGGCTTATTTCACTTAACATAATGGCCTCTAGTTTTATTTCATATTATTGTGAATAACAGGATCTCATTCTTTTTTTATGGCTGAATAGTACTTGATTGTGTAGAAGTACTACATTTTATCCATTCATCTGCTGATGGACACCTAGGTTGCTTTCAAATATCAGCCATTGTGAACAGTGCTGCAAAAAACATGCAAATGCATACATCTTTTCCATATACTCATTTCCTTTCCTTTGGGTAGATATCCAACAGTGGGATTGCTGGATCACAAGGTATGTCTATTCATTAGTTTTCCAAGGAACCTCCAAACTTTTCTTCACAGTGGTTGTGATGGTTCTATTTTTCTTTACCTTTTCATCAGCATTTGTTATTGCCTGTCTTTTGGATAAAAGCCATTGTAACTTGGGTACAATGATATCTCATGGTAGTTTTGACTTGCATTTCTCTGACAATCAATGGGATGTTGAGCACCTTCTCATTTTCCATGTTTATGTTTTCTTTTGAGGAATGTCTATTCAAATATTTTGCCCATTTTAAAAAACAGGAATTATAAGATTTTTCCCTATAGAGTTGTTTGAGCTCCTTACATACTCTGATTATTAATCCCTTGTCAGATAGGCAGTTTGCAAATATTTTCTCCCATTCTGTGCGTTGTCTCTTCATTTTGTTGATTGTATCCTTTCCTGTGCAGAAGCTTTTTAACTTAATGTGATCCCATTTGTGTATATCTACTCAAGAAGTTTTTGCCCACACCAATGTCCTGAAGATGTTCCCCAAAGTTTTCTTGTAGTAGTGTCATAGTTTGAAGTCTTAGATTTAAGTCTTTAATTCATTTTGATTTGATTTTTCTATATGGTGAGAGATAAGGGTCTAGTTTCATTCCTCTCCATATAGATATTCAGTTTTCCCAGCACCATTTATTGAAGACATTGTCTTCCCCAGGGATGTTATAGGCAGCTTTTTTGAAAATCAGTTCACTGCCAGTGTGTGGATTTATTTCTGGGTTCACTATTCTCTTCCACTGGTTTTGTGTCTGTTTGTTTGTTTCCAATACCATGCCATTTTGGTTACTACAGCTCTGTAGTATAATTTGAAGTCATGTAATGTGATTCCTCCAGGTTTGTTCTTTTTGTTCAAGATAACATTGGCTATTCTGGGTTTTTTGTGGTTCCGTATAAGTTTTAAGATAGTATTTTTTTAATTTCTGTGAAGAATGTCATTAGTATTTTGATGGGGATTGCATTGAATCTGTAGATTGCTTCAAGTAGTATGGACAGTTTAATAATATTGATTCTTCCAATATATGAACATGAAATATCTTTCCATTTTTTTTGGTGTCCTCTTCAATTTCTTGCATCAGTGTTTTATAGTTTTCATTAGCAAGATCTTTTACTTCTTTGGTTAATTCCTAGGTATTTATTTGTAGTTATCATAAATGGCATTAATTTTTAATTTCTTTTTTAGATTATTTAGTATTGGCGTTGTAAACCAAAAAGTATCTGAGAAAAGTCTCAATGAATTTAGAAAGTTTATTTTGCCAAGGTTAAGGATGCACCTATGACACAACATCAGGAAGTCCTGAAGACATGTACCCAAGGTGATCAGGGTACAACTTGCTTTTACACATTTTAGGGAGACATGAGACATCAATCAATATGTGCAATGGTTTCGTTCAGTAAGGTGGGAAAGTTCAAAGCAAGGGGGTGGGGGGGCTTCCAGGTTAGAAGTAGATAAGAGACAAAAGTTTGCATTCTTTTGAGTCTTTGATCAGCCTTCCAATGAATATGAAATTTAACCTGGCTCAGTTAATCTACATTTTTACATAAACAATGGGCAGAAGAAGCAGTCAGATATGTGTTTATCTCAGGTGAGCCTCAGAGGGATGACTTTGAGTTCTGTCTATCCTTTGTCCACAAAGAATTTCCTTGTGGGCAACTTGTGAGGGAGGGATGCAGCTTTTTATCTTTGTAGCTATCTTATTTAGGAACAAATGGGAGGCAGGTTTGCCTGATATAGTTCTCAGCCTAACTCTTTCCTTGGCTTAGTAATTTCGGGGTCCTGAGATTTATTTTCCTTTCACAGCATATAGAAATGCTACCGAATTCATATGTTGATTTTATATCTTGCAACTTAACTGAATTTGTTTATCAGTTCTAATGGTTTTTTGGCAGGCTTTTTAGGTTTTTCCAAATATAATATTATATTATCTGCAAACAAGGATAATTTGATTTTTTTCTGTTCCAAATTGGATGCGCTTATATTTTTCCTCTTGTCTGATTGCTCTGGCTAAGACTTTGAGTACCACGTTGAATAACAGTGGTGTAAGTGTGCATTCTTGCCATGTTTCAGATCTTAAAGGTTGGTATAAATGCTCCCACTATGGGCAGGCATCAAATTATTTTTGTCTGGTTTTGCTTTCTGATGTAACAGGACAGCATTGAGTTTAATGCCTCACAATTGCTGAGTTCCTTCTCTGCCCAGTGCACAGAAATCCTCTCTGCATCATGCCACCACTGCAGGAGGATGAGGGAGGGTGGTTTCAGAAATTTCAGATTTTTTTTCCTATCTCTTCAGTGCCCTTTTCAGTGACATGAAGTTAAAACAAGTTACTGTTTTTGCTCACCTGAGTGTTGGTCCTTATGAAGGTAATTTGGTATAGCTATTTGTTAAATTGGTGCTCTTTCTTGGGAGATGATTCATGGAAACTTCTATTCCATCATCTCGCTCTACCTCACAGGTTTCTTTCATTACTTAATTATTTATTTATTTTTAATTATACTTTAAGTTCTGGGATACATGTGCAGAATGTGCAGGTTTGTTACATAGGTATACATGTGCCATAGTGGTTTGCTACACCCATCAACCCCTTCATCTACATCTTAATGCTATTCCTCCCCTAGCCCCTCACCCCTCAACAGGCCCCAGTGTGTCATGTTTCCCTGCCTGTGTCCATGTGTTCTCATTGTTCAACTCCCACTTATGAGTAAGAACATGCGGTGTTTGGTTTTCTGTTCCTGTATCGGTTTGCTGAGAATGATGGTTTCCAACTTCATCCATGTCCCTGAAAAGGACATGAACTCATCCTTTTTATGGCTGCATAGTATTCCATGGTGTATATGGGCCACATTTTCTTTAACCAATCTATCATTGATGGGCATTTGGGTTGGTTCCAAGTCTTTGCTATTGTGAACAGTGCTGCAATAAACATACATGTGCATGTGTCTTTATAGTAGAATTATTTATAATCCTTTGGGTATACAACCAGTAATGGGATTGCTGGGTCAAATGGTATTTCTGGTTCTAGATCCCTGAGGAATCGCCAAGTTTCTTTTTTTTTTAAGAATGCTAAATACAGGCCCCCAATCTCTTCTGAATTTTAGGGTTTCTGCTGAAATATCTGTTAGCCTGTTGGGGGTTCCTCTATAAATCATCTGCCCCTTCTGTCTAGCTGTCTTTAATATTTTTTTTCTTTTATTTTGACCTTGGAGAATCTGATGACTATGTGTTTTCAGGATGGTCATCTTATATAGTATCTCACAGGGGTTCTTTGCATTTCCTGAATTTCAATGTTGGCCTCTCTAGAGAGGTTGGGAAAATTTTTATGGATAATATCATCAGATATATTTTAAAAGTTGCTTGCTTTCTTTTCATCTCTTTCAGGGACACCAATTAGTGGTCGATTTGGTCTTTTTACATAATCCCATATTCTTCAGGGGGTTTGTTCATTATTTATTTATTTTTTCTTCATTTTGGTTCGATTGAGTTATTTTGGAGAACATGTTCTTGAGCTCTGACATTCTTTCCTCAGCTTGATCTATTCTGCTGTTAATACCTGTGATTGTATCATAAAATTCTTGACATGAGGTTTTTAACTCTGTCAGATCAGTTTGATTCTTTCTTAAATGGCTATTTCATCTTTCACCTCTTGTATTGTTTTATCATATTCCTTACACACCACGTGTTGAGTTTTAACTTTCTCCCTAATCCTGATTATCTTTATTCCTATCAGTATTCTGAATTCTATGTCTATTATTTCAGCCAGTTCACCCTGGTTAAGAACTTTGCTGATGAAGTAGTGTGGTCATATGGAAGGGAGAAGACACTCTGGCTCTTTGAGTTGCCAGAGATCTTTCACTGTTTCTTTCTCATCTGTGTGGGCTGATGTTCCTTCAGTCTTTGAAGTTGCTGTCCTTCGGATGGGGTTTCTTGCTTTTATCTTCTTTGATGCCCTTGGGGGCTTACTGCTGGTGTAAGTTGGGCTCAGTAAACTGGCTTCATTTCTGGAAGATTTTAGAAAGGAAAAGACTTGGCTCAGCACTCCTGGGATGTGTGCTCTAACTCTGGGGGGCTGGTACTCTGGCTTTGTTCTCTAGCACCTCAAGGTTTGGAACCTGCTGTGCTGGAGGGGTCAAGGTGTTCCCAGCCTACTTCCCACAACACTCTCAAAGGTGGTGTCAACCAAAGTCCTTCTTCAGATCAGTCGCAGCAGGATCCATGCTTGCATGCATGTAATAGCATCTGCAGCAGCATAGCAGGGTGATGCATACCAGCTGGGGCAGGGCATTGGCAGGAGTGGGGCAATGGTATTTCTACCCATGCTTGTACTGATATTGGTGAAGGTGGAGTACTGGTGGGCACAGGAATACCAGTATCGGTGCATGCATTTGCCCTAGTGGTGGTGGTGCAGCAGGATGTCTGTGAGTCAGTGAGGTATAGGGGCAGTGCGGTGCACTAGTGCTAACGGTGGTGCAGAGCAGTGCACATGCACCTGTGTGCTGGCAGGGCAGGAGTGGTGAGGTCTCCCCATTGGCATGTGCCAGCAAAGTGGTTGGGGAATGGGCATGGGAGAGTACATTCCAGCAAAGCAGTAGGGTTATGCCATGGTGAAGGGACACTGCAGGTAGGCTGCTGCTTATTGCTGGGACTGGTCTGCTGGAGCTTTCTGATGGGAATATGTGATGGTCTGCTGTCAAAGTAGCTGTAATGACAGCCCACAGAAACCACTCTCGTGTATCTGAGGCTGCACTACAGGAGGGTGTGGTCATGCTGGGGTTCCATAAGAGACCAGCAGATAGAGGGGCACTCACAGCAGTCTGGCCCCATCCATCAGGCAAGACCGCCCTACTCTGTCCAGGTCCAAAAGTTGCCCTAAAGCTAAAGTCCCCTGGAAGAATATGACAAGCCTTGGGCTATGAATGTTGCTAGCTGTACTCCACTATAGACATTCCTGCACCAAACCCTCTATGATCTGCGCAGGCTGGAGTCCTTCCACTTCCACTTTTCTAAGCAGCTCTCCTTGCCCACTCAAGTGTCCATGGCAGTTGTGGAATCTCCTGCTACTACAATTCTGCAGGTCTGTGGCAAGAGCGGGCCAGTCCTTACCTGTTCAACTCACCCCTTCTCCACTAGTGTCTGGGAGTCAAGAATCAAGTCCTGGTTCTCAGCAAAACCAGGGTTCCATGCTTCCTTCCACTTCACCTCAGTGTCTGCATCCTCCCCCATTCACTCTCAATGCCTTCCCTCTGAAGATTTGCCGAAAATGTGGCAGTCTACCCAAAATCCCGGTCTCTCAGTGGGAGATGTTCCTCCTAGTTGTGTCTATTTGGCCATGTTGACTCCTCCTTCTGGGGCTGCTTTAAAATCACTGTCAGATATTCTGACATCTGTGCCACCTCTATGTATCTTTTGATTGTCTTTTCTCATTTCTTTGATATTTTTCTACTTTTTGGTCGAATGAATAGTTTTAGATTGTGTCAAAGACAGTTTGAACATTATATTATCAGCCTCTAAGTGCCATTTGAAATTTCTATTTTAGCAAACAGTCAAAGTCAACCAATTTAGGTTTAGAATGCAACTCTTGGACCATTTTGTGGATTGTGATTCAAATGTCAGTTTAGTTTTCAGAGACTCTTCTGTGCTATTGTGGTTAGCTTTGTTTGTGTGTTACCCAGAGGCCAATTTGAAACCTGAGTGCCATTACATACCACAATTCTCTTCTCAAACCATTTGCTGTGCTGATTCTGGTCAATGCCATGCAGGGGCTGGTTGAGACCTTCCCAGGACTTTAAACACACAGATTTAGAGAACCATTTTCTCCAGCATTGTGTGCTCTATAGTTCTGCCCCGACTCTCTAGTTCAAAGGGGCTAGAGTGCTATCTATTTGTTGTTGTTCACTTAATGCAGGCAGGGATGATTGAGAATATTCCACTCACATCTCTACAGAGCCCAGTGGGGAGAAGGAAGGGCACGGCCTCTGCTTGCAGTGCTGCAGAGTGAGTATGGTCAACAGTGCTGCACCCCACTGGCTTCAAAGCACCTGGTGGGGAGAGTTATTTCAACTCTCATTTGAAGGGTGGGATGGTTGACAAAGCATCACCCACAATCTTCACAGTGAAGGAAGAGAAAGACCCTCTCATATTATTTTATATTGTTTTATACTCACTACCTGTTTTAAGAAAAAACAGCAAGGAAATAAAACCAAAGACAAGCAGCCCGGCGCCAGGCCCAAAACCAGGCCTGGGCCTGCCTGGCCTAAACCCAGTAGTTAAAAATCAACTCATAACTTAGAAACCGATGTTATTCATAGATTCCAGACATTGTATAGAACATTGTGAAACTCCCTGCCCTGTTCTGTTTCTCTCTGACCACCGGTGCATGCAGCCCCTGTCACGTACCCCTTGCTTGACTGAATCAATCACGACCCTTTCATGTAAAATCTTTAGTGTTGTGAGCCCTTAAATGGGACAGAAACTGTGCACTCAGGGAGCTTGGATTTTAAGGCAGTAGCTTGCCGATGCTACCAGCTGAATAAAGCCCTTCCTTCTACAACTCGATGTCTGAGAAGTTTTGTCTGCAGCTCGTCCTGCTACATTTCTTGGTTCCCTGACCGGGAAGTGAGGTAATTGACGGACTGCCGAGGCAGCACCTTAGGCGGCTTAGACGTGCCCTGTGGAGCATCTCTGCGGGGGACTCCAGCCAGCCTGAGTGACGCGATCCAAACAGCGCTCCTGGGTAGGAAAATGCCCCAGTGGGATGCCTCACCAGAGCAGCGCTTGGCAGGCCCCCGCGGAGGATAAACACAGTGGCTGAACACCAGGAAGGAACTGGCACTTGGAGTCCAGACATCTGAAACTTGGTAAGACTAGTCTTTTGAACTTGCCCCACTCCACCTGAGTGGAAGCATGGCCTGATCACCCGCAGTGTGCCTGTACTGGCATCTTTGTTCTGGTTTTGACTTGGCTTGACTTGGTAAGACTAGTCTTTTGAACTTGCCCCACTCCATCTGAGTGGAAGCGTGGCCTCATCACCCACGGTTTGCCTGTATTGGCATCTTTGTTCTGGTTTTGACTTGACTTGAATTGCTGGATACTTTGGTTTAGGTTTTTGATCTGGCTTGGATTTGTTGGATTTCTCTGATTTTGGTTTTGATTTTGGTTTTGTGTAAATTGCAAAAGTGTGTGTGTGCCCTCTTTCCTCTTCTTTGTTTGTGGTGTGTGTGTTGTGTGAGCATGGTGTTTTATCTCAAAAAAACATGGGTCAGGTGCAAAGTAAGCCCACCCCACTGAGAACTATGTTAAAAAAAAATTTCAAGAAAGAATTTAAGGGAGATTACGGTGTTACTATGACACCAGGAAAACTTAGAACTTTGTGTGAAATAGACTGGCTAGCATTAGAGGTGGGTTGGCCATCAGAAGGATGCCTGGACAGGTCCCTTGTTTCAAAGGTACGGCACAAGGTAACCTGGGTAAGCCAAAGTACCCAGACCAGTTTTCGTACATAGACAGTTACAGCTGGTTTTAGACCCCCTTTCCTCCCACTACAGTAGTTAAGAGAACAGCAGCATAAGTGGCTGGCAGAGGCAAGGAAAGACCAGCAGAGAGAAAAAGAGGCCATCTATACCAATTCTAAGTTAGTTTAGACTAAACAAGGTCTTATTAATAGCAAAGGATAATTGACATCTCAAACTTACAAGGTTTTCAACAAAAGTGAAGATTGCTAAAAGTTAACAGTGTAACATGTATTATGGTAACTTCTAATCTTGTGGCCTTAAACAGTCTAGTCCAAAGATATAAAGAAAGTTCTCTTTAAAAAAAGGAATGGTTATCTTCAAACAAAAAAAAAGAGGGGGAGGAAAAATTTATGTAAAAAGACTGTTATATGGTAAATTCTTGTCCTGAAATAAATTAACTGGTGGTTTAAAGAGAAAAAAAAGTTTGTAATAAGTCAGAAAGTTAAGACATGTTGAAGAATTGTCAGGGAAAGTCGTGAAAGAAAAAATGTTATAAAAATTTTTATGCAAAGAATGTTGTATAATTTAAAAGTAATAAGGCCTCCTGAGTACTATTGAAGAAACAGTTTATGTGCAAAGTGTATAAAAAAGTAAAATATACCTTTGGTAAAAAGATTATAAGGAGGCATAAGAATGTGGATTTTTTACCTACATTAAAAGGTTAAAAAAACTGTTTTAAAAGTTTAAGCAAGTTTTAAAACATTAATTGTAAAGAAAATTCTGTGTGTAAACATATTAGCTAAAGTTAAAAGGTATCATCCAGTTTTTCTGTGAACTGGACATGAAAGTAAAAATGCAACAGGTTTTTTTCATAAAACATCAAACTGCTCTTTAACAAAAATTATAAAAGGTTAAAAAAAGCCTATAAAATCTTACCTTATGGTCAAACATGAAAAACTGGAGAAATATGTCGACAAGGTTTTATTAAAGTTAAGTTTAATATTAAAAACACACTAATATAAAGGTAAAATTTAGCATATCTGGTATGAAAATCATACAAGAAACATTATTAAATATAAAATGGTGTTTAGCTTTCTTTGGTCTAAAAACTAATAAAAATTGGTGCTAAGGGAAACATTCATTTTACTAGAGGAACATAAAAGTTAAAGACTTAAAACAAACTTTGGCAATTAAGACAACATACCAAGATGCAAATGCCTGGTTGAAATGGATCAAATATTCCATCTGCATGTTAAACAAAAGCAATTGTTATGCTTGTGCACATGGCAGGCCAGAGGCCCAGATTGTCTCCCTTCCACTAAGGTGGTCCTCCAGTCGACCAGGTGTGGGCTGCATGGTAGCTCTTTTCCAGGATTCTACATCCTGGAGTAGTAAGTCATGTGAAGCTCTCTCTGCTATATCCCGAAGTCCCTGAAGGTCAGCCCCTGAGGGCCATCCAGCTTCCATCTCCCAACACTAAGTTCACTTCCTGTCTCTCACGGCAGGGAGGAAACTTAGCATTCCTTGGAGACCTAAAGGGATGCGGTGAGCTTAAGAATTTTCAAGAGCTTATCAATCAGTCAGCCCTTGTTCATCCCTGTGCAGATGTGTGATGGTATTGTGGGGGACCTTTACTGGGCACTCTGCCAAATAACTAGAGTGGCACTTGTGCTTTAGTCCATTTGACTATCCCTTTCACCCTGTCATTTCATCTACCAGAGGAAGGAAAAATAATAATAATAAGACATCGTAAAGTGAGAGAAGCCCCTTATAGGTCTTTCAACTCTCGCATTTATTTAGATGCAATTGAAGCCCCCAGGGAATACCAGATCAATTTAAAGCTTCAAATCAAACAGTTACAAGGTTTAAGTCAATATTTTGGTAGATGACAGTCAATAAAATGTAGATTAGATAAACTATATCTATTACAACCAATAGCAATGGGCTTTTCATGAGTTAAAAAGAAAAACTCATGTTGGCCCCAGCCCTGAGGCTACCTGACCTGACAAAACTCTTTACACCCTATGTGTCAAAAAAAAAAAAAAAAAAGGCAGTTGTAGTTTTAACCCAGACTATAGGGCCCTGGCCAAGGCCAGTGGCCTATCTCTCGAAACAACTAGACGGGGTTTCCAAAGGCTGACCCCCTTGTCCAAGGGCCCTGGTAGCAACAGCCCTGTTAGCACAAGAAGCAGATAAGCTAACTCTTAGCCAAAACCTACACGTAAAGTCCCCCTATGCTGTGGTGATTTTAATAAAAACCAAAGGACACCATTAGCTAATGAATGCTAGACTAACTAGATACCAAAGCTTGCTCTGTGAAAATCCCCACATAAGAACTGAAGTTTGCAACACCCTAAACCCCACCACCTTGCTCCCAGTGTCAGAGAGCCCAGTTAAACATAACTGTGTAGAAGTATTGGACTCAGTTTATTCTAGTGGGCCCAACCTCTGAGACCATCCTTAAACATCAGTAGACTGGGAGCTGTACGTGGATGGGAGCAGCTTCGCCAACCCCTGCAAAGTGACTCTAAAGAAGATGACAAGCCCTGCTCCAGTCACACCCAGAAGCTGACTGGTCCATGCACAGCCGAAGCATGAGGAAACTCATCGCGGGACTCATTTTCCTTAAAATTTGGACTTGTACAGTAAGGACTTCAACTGACCTTCCTCAGACTGAGGGCTGTTCCCAGTACATACATCAAGTCACTGAGGTAGGACAAAAGATTGCTACAGTCCTATTATTTTATGGTTATTATAAGTATACCAGGACTCTAAAAGAAACTTGTTTGTATAATGCTATTCTATCCAAAGTATGTAATACAGGAAGTGACCAGCCCGATGTGTGCTATGACCCCTTTAAGCCTCCCATGATCACAGTTTTTAAAATAAAATTAAGGACTGGTCCTTTTCTAAGTGACACAAGTAAAGTAATAGAAGACAAGAATGAGGGGTCCCCAAAACTGTAACCTTAAAATTTGATGCCTGTGCCGCTATTAATAGTAAACAGCATGAGATAAGATGTGGTTCTCTAGATTGGGAAAAAAGTTACACAGCAGAAAATAAGTACATCTGTCAAAAATCATGTTTATGTGAGATGTGTCAATACTGGTCTTGTGTCATTTGGGTTACTTAAAAAGAAGATAAAAAAGATCCTGTTTGACTCCAAAAAAGAAAAGTCAGCCCCTCCTGCATGAGTGTGAGCTGCAACCTTTTAGAAATGATAATCACAAACCCCTCAGACCCAAAGTAAAATAAAGGAAAAGATGTAACATTAGACATTAATGGAAAAGGACTAGATCCTAGTGTAAGCATCCTAATAAAAGGAGAGGTTCAAAGACGCTATCCAGAACCAGTATTTCAGACTTTCTATGATAAACTAAATGTGCCAGTACCTGAGATTCCAGGAAAAATTAAAAATTTGTTTTTGCAATTAGCCAAGCATGTAGCCCAGTCTCTAAATGTCACCTCATGTTATGTTTGTGGAGAAACCATAACAGGAAATCAATGGCCATAGGAAGCCCGAGAATTAGTTCCTACAGATCCAGTTCCTGATGAATTCCCAGCCCAAAAGAACCAGCCTGACAATTTTTAGATTCTAAAAGTCTCAATTATTGGACAGTATTGCATAGCTAGAAAAGGAAAAAGATTCACTCATCCTGTAGCGCGGCTTAGTTGTCTTGAGCAAAAGCTGTATAATGGTACTACAAAAAGTTACATGGTGAAGTTCCAATTACACAGAAGTAAATTTCCAAAGTTGCAGACTGTTTGGGCCCACCCAGAATTCCACTGGGACTGGACAGTACCCACCAGGTTATACTGGATATGTGGACACAGAGCTTATGTTAAGCTCCCTGATCAGTGGACAGGTAGCTGGGTAATTGGCACCATCAAGCCATCTTTCTTCTTACTGCCCATAAAAACAGGTGAACTTCTAGGCTTCTCAGTCTATGCTTCCTGCAAAAAATGAAGCATAGCCATAGGTGATTAAAAAAATAATGAATGGCCCCCTGAAAGAATCATACAATACTATAATCCTGCCACTTAGACACAAGACGGCTCATGGGGATACCGGACCCCCATTTACATACTCAACTGAATCATACAGTTGCAAGCTGTTTTAAAAATCACCACTAATAAAACCGGTCAAGCCTTGACTGTTCTTGCCTGGCAAGAGACTCTGATGAAAAATGCTATCTATCAAAATAGACTAGCTCTTGACTACTTGCTAGCAGCTGAAAGAGGAGTTTGTGAAAAATTTAACCTTACTAATTGTTGTCTACACACGGATGATTGGGGCAAGTAGCTAAAGATATAGTTAAAGATATAACACAACTGGCACATGTACCCGTGCAAGTGTGGCATGGACTCAATCCAGGAGCCATGTTTAGAAATTGGTTTCCAGCAATGGGAAAATTTAAAACTCCTATAATAAAAGTAATAATAGTAATAGGAACCTGCTTACTGCTCCCTTGTTTGCTACCTGTACTTCTTCAAATGATAAAAAGCTTTGTCGCTACCTTAGTTCACCAAAATGCTTCAGCACAAGCATACTATATAAATCACTATCAATCTATTGCACAAAAAGATATAAGTAACAAAAATAAGAGTGAGAACTCCCGCTAATAAAAAGTGAGAGTCTCAAAAGGGGGAATGAAGGAAGAGAAAGACCCTCTCATATTATTTTATATTGTTTTATACTCAGTACCTGTTTTAAGAAAAAACAACAAGGAAATAAAACCAAAGACAGGCAGCTCGGCGCCACGCCCGAAACCAGGCCTGGGCCTGCCTGGCCTAAACCCAGTAGTTAAAAATCAACTCATAACTTAGAAACCGACATTATTCATAGATTCCAGACATTGTATAGAAGAACATTGTGAAACTCCCTGCCCTGTTCTCTTTCTCTCTGACCACCGGTGCATGCAGCCCCTGTCATATACCCCTCGCTTGCCCGAATCAATCACGACCTTTTCATGTAAAATCTTTAGCGTTGTGAGCCCTTAAAAGGGACAGAAATTGTGCATTCAAGGAGGTCGGATTTTAAGGCAGTAGCTTGCCGATGCTCCCAGCTGAATAAGGCCCTTCGTTCTACAACTCAGTGTCTGAGAGGTTTTGTCTGCAGCTCGTCCTGATACAACAGAGCCTAGTGGGAAGTGGGAGAGGTGGGCATAATTGCAGAGCTAATATCTGCAGAGCTGACTTCCTCGTCCTTTGGCTGTAGAGGAAATAAAAAAGGCTTATGCTTTTCTTGAGCTTTTTTGGTATGTGTCCATTTGTGTTTCTAATTGCAGGATGCTCTAGTAGATCCCTCAATCTCTAGTCAGAAGTCTTTAACTTTTTGCTTTACGTTTCAATGATTTTTTCATAGTTATTTTATGCATTTTGTTGTTTTTTTTGTTGTTGTTGTAATTAGTAGGCGCAATAGAGTGGAATGTGCTTGTTCCATCTTGTCCGGAACCAGGAGCTCTGTGTTTTTTATGCTTCTGCCTATCTTAGTTTTCCTTTTATTGCCTATTTCTTTTTCTCTTGACCACCTTTTTCTCTTTAAAATTTAGCCCAGAGGAATCACCATATTGTCATCCACAATGAATAAACTAATTTATGTTCCCACCAACAGTATATAAGCATTCCTTTCACTCCACAACCTTGTCAGCATCTTTTTTTTTTTTTTTTTTTTTTTTTTTACTTTTTAATAATAGCCATTCTGACTGGTGTGAGATGATATCTCATTATGGTTTTCATTTACATTTCTCTAATGATCAGTAATGTTGAGCTTTTTTCATATCATTGTTGGCTGCATGTATGTCTTCTTTTGAAAGGTGTCTGTTCATGTCCTTTGCCCAATTTTTATGGGGTTATTTATTTTTTTCTTGTAAATTTGTTTAAGTTCCTTCTAGATGCTAGATATTAGACCTTTGTTGAATGCATAGTTTGCAAAAATTTTCTCTCATTATGTAGGTTGTCTGTTTATTGATAGTTTCTTCTGTGCAGAAGCTCTTTACACTATTCACAATAGTAAAAACATATAATCAACCTAAATACCTGTCAGTGATAGACTGGATTAAGGAAATGTATGTGGTACATATACATCATGAACTACTATGCAGCCATATAAAAGAATAAGACCATGTCCTCTGCAGGGACATGGATGGAGCTGGAGGCCATTATCCTTAGCAAACTAAGGAACAGAAAACCAAATACTGTATGTTCTCACTTACAAGTGGGAGCTAAGTGATGAGATCACATGGACACATAGAGGGGAACAACACATGCTGAGGCCTATCAGACGGTAGAGGGGTGGGGGAAGGAGAGGATCAGGAAAAATAAATAACTGATGGGTACTAGGCTTAATTACCTGAGCGATGAAATAATTTATGCAATAATCCCCTGTGACACCAGTTTACCTATCTAACAAACCTGCACCTGTACCCCTGAATTTAAAAGTTAAAAAAAGAGATTTTAAATAATATAAAAAATATTAGGCCAGAGTTTATCTCCCAAATGAAGCCTTCTTGGTACTCATAGGTTGCTATATATGCCCATTTTTATCAGCATTACTCCTTCTCTCTAATTGTATTTACTTCATTGTTTATTTCTGTGTCTATTGTTCTGATCACATTGTGTGTGAATTCTTTTAGGGAACTCAACATTGTAAACTCAGTGTCTAATTTCCTGACATATGGTAGGAACTTAATAAATGGTTCTTGAATAAATGAATGGGAGGAAGAAACAAGTTATGTATTTATTCATATTTCCTTTTATTCAGTGATTAGAAATTTCTTATTTTGTACCTATTGTGTTCCAGGAATCCTTCTTGGCACTGGGAATACAGAGGTGATGGGCAGGAAAATTCCCTGATTTTATAGAGCTTAAATTCTTGTAGGAGAGACAGACAATAACAGTAAGTAAATGCTAGACCTTTATAATTAATAATAAATGTTGTTTGCAGTGAAGAAAACTGAGAGAGAGGGTTAACATAGATCAAATATTAGAGAAAATTTTATTGAGGAGGGGACATTTCAGTTAAGACAGGAATTCTAAAAGGGAGCAACTAAAAAGATGTTGGGATACACTTTTATATGGCTGCATAGTTCTAGGCAGATGGAACAGTAATTGCTAAGGATCTCACGCAGCAGATTTATTAGTTTTTGCCACATTGTTCCAGCTACTAGGCACACTGCCATGTTATAGTAAATTATCAATAACTAAAGGTGTCAACATTGTATTTAAGCCATCTTTCTATCTCTCAGGGCCCCCAGTGGAGTCTCTTACATAGTAGTATGTGCTCAGACTGTAATCAATTTCAAATGAAATTATTTTTACTGATGTAGAAACTCATCATATTAGCTGTTTATTTTTTATATCAAAAACATTTCTGTAAATAACTTTGTTTCTGAATCCCACAGCTATTATGGATTTATTTTATTGTGCCATAAGAATTGATGTACACTTAGTTATCCTTAGGTGCCTCAGAATGTAGTATGGTCAGAGACTGGTATTCTATTCATGTTTGCCTATCTAGTGTCTAGGAAAATGTTAACCAAATAAAAGGTGCTCATTGAATATATGCATGATAGACAATACAGAATTATTTTACTGGTCTTTAGGTTCTTAAAATTATAGAAAAAAATAGTCCTTTCTATGTTGCATGTTTATAAATCCTGAAAGACATGATTATGCTTTTTGCTATATGTCAATTATGAACTCTGCTTGAACAAAATACTTTCAATTCACATAAGATATACAGGCTTTCTTCAGAGCCTATAATAGTTTTTGTAAAAATAAAATCGAAGTTATCCCTGTATTATACCTTGTTCTTTATTCATATTAAATATGTTTATATTTTTAAACTTATTTTTATAAAAGTGCTTCAAATAATTGAAATATTATTACCCCCAGCTTTGTATTTATAACAAAGAAAGAAAGAAAGAATATTCTTTGGTACTGTTAAAATTTATTTTGAAAATCCTTGTCGCTGAGCAGCAGCTAAAATAAACTCAAGCCTCTTTCATCTTACGAAAGGCTTTTCCATTGTTTATAATCACAAAGACAGTACAATATACAGCGACATTCCATTTTGTAGATGGCATTCTTGAAACATTTTTAGTATGATAATACCTGTGGTTGAACCTAACTCTAGTTAAGATCTTAGAGTCTGATTAACATGAAGATTATCACCATTCACTTACAGGGTTATTGAATGAAAACATATATGTTAAGCACCTATTCCACTGGCTTGCTCAGGACTGAAACCTGAGACCACCACCCTGGTAGAGGTGGTCAGCAGCAGACAGACCACACAAAGGTGGCTTCTTACTTCCAACCAAATACATAATATAGTCCTCCCTTCATACTGTATTCCTCCTCCCTCTTTCAACACCAGGAATAGGTAGAGCAAGAAGTATACTGGATAAATTCCTCTTCCATGCAAATGAAAAGTCAGACCACCCTCTTTTTTACGTTCTCGTACGTAAGCAAATCCTGGCCAGCGAGTGGTGGTGGTGGTGGTGTAAAGATTCCATTTAGAGTCAGATGTGATATTGGAATGTTAAAGTAGATGTAGTTTTATCAAAAGTGACTGGGAAAATCAAGAAAGAAAATTCATTTAGGTATAATAATGGACTAAAAATAAAACCATTTTATGGATATACACTGTTATGATTAAGATGTGTGCCCTGGAGGCAGAACCATGGTATATGGATTCTGATTTCACCACTTCCCAGCTATGTTACTTTGGGGCTTAGTTTTCTTCATCTGCAAAGAGGAAATAGAATTCTTCTTACAAATGTTGTGAAGATCTGATAAGGCAATATTTGTGTTTAGAACAGTGCTGGGTCCATAGCAATTCCTCAACAAATCTTGTATTTATCTAACTGTCACCATCATCATCATCTCACTGAATTGAGACTAATTTACTTGTTATGTTTTTAGGGTGAGGTCAGGATTTAAAAATCTGCAGTGTATAGCATTAAAGTTACTTTAGGCTCTCTGTGTAGATTGCTCTGATCCCCAAATGTTCACTTGACTTCTTGTTATTCAGAATATCTAAAGTAGCTTCCTCTTCTATCATCACTTTCTAGCACATCTCTTTAATATACTGTCTTTATTACACATATCACTATCTTTATTTGTGAAGGTTATTATTGATAGTCTCTCTCTATGCCATAGACTATATTTCTTGAGGGTAGGGACATTGTCTATCTTATTTATTGCCATAATTCCACTGTCCACAATAGCAGGTTCTCAATACATATATTAATATTTGGACTAAGCCACAATCATGTTTTTTTTTCAGAATCAATTGCTGTTTAATTTATAGACTACATGTACAATCTAGGCATATGTGAATCATTTTACATTTATTTAAATTTAATTGTTAAAATATTGTTATTAAATTTTACAATATATTAATCCCTTTCAGGCTATATGCTCAGTTTTAGGATTTGGATTTTGAAAAGATATTTTAATGTGATGCTGTCAATAAGCACACTAAAACTCAATCTGGATAATACCCAGAAAACAAATTAAAATACAAATAGCTCAATTGTACCACTGCAGACTTTTTTTAAAAAACTAATATGTGTAGAATTAGTATAGCAGACTAAATATTTTGATACTATGTTGGTATAAAACAACAACTAGATTAAATGAGTAACTTGATTTTACAGTTTAATGAAACTATTTAATTCCTCTTTTAAAAATTCATTAATTGTCCAAGTTAATATGCTGGCAGGCATTTTAGTTATGTTAAAGCAGCTCTTGAAGGTATCACAATTAAGATTAAAAGCTAATGTTTCTGCTCTCTTTTAAGAGGCAAAGGTAGAAAACTGTTAAATATCTACAGTAGCTTTAACTTATATATTAAATGTGGTTGCCAATTGATAAATACAACAATTTATTTTTAAATCTGGTTGAAATGTTATAGTGATTAAAAAATAAGAACAATATGTCTTTTATGTTTACCTTGACTTTAGCCTTCTATGTTGATTATTTCTTGTGTAAAATTTGCATCTGGTATCATAACCCTCTCTAAAGAGCTTCCTTCGATATTGACCCCAGGTATTCTAATGAGAGAGACTCCTGGCTGACCCCAGGCATTCTAATAATAGAGACACCTGGGCGACCCCAGGCATTCTAATTGGAGAGACTCCCACTGACCCCAGGCAGTCTAATGATAGACACCTGGGCGACCCCAAACATTCTAATGGGAAAGACTCCCGGGGGAAGGGGAGGTCCAGATGTTAAGTTTCAAAACACTCTGCAATGGAGTCAGGGATGCTTAGTCAAATTTTTAAATACTTTTTGTACCAATTTTCTTATGCCTCATAGCACCTCATGGCACATTTCAGTCTAATAATAATAGTGAGAACACCCGTAAATGCTTAGTCATGTACTGCGTAACAGAGGGAAGTGGGTGTCCCATGGAACAGTCTTGGAGAGGTGGCAGGAGAGGGACCAGGAGGAGAAAAACAGAACACACGAAGGGAAATGGTTTGCTTGCCATCGAAGCGCAATGTTCCTTTTCTCTTCATAGTTTTAAATTGTTGCTGTTTAAAAAGAGAGTGGCTTTGAGCAAAGTTAGAAGTTGCTGCTTCTGTTTGACTCCAATAGGTGACATGCCCCGGGCCCCCAACCAAGGGCACAATCACTTTGGTTGGGCGCACAACTGCTCTCTCCGCCCCCCAAGGCTGTGCCGTGCCTGAGCTTGGAGGTGGAGCCTCAGAGACGTCCTGGCTTAGGGGAGGCCCTGGCCCTCTTTAGATTCTAATTTCAAAGATTTAGAATCGATGAAAAAGTACTGCTGATTCTCATTATTCAAAGTAGTTATGTTCAGTAAAGTTGCTATGAACATTAAGTTAGCAAATATTGAACCATTGCTCTTATGGGACATATATGGTTAGGTTTCTGCGAGTCTCTCATCAAAATATTTTTGTCAACTAATCGATACAGAGTCTTGTTTTATATGTGTTTCTGTTTAAAGACACCTTATTTAATATACATTGTTGCTTCATTAACATTGAACACATGACCTACAGCACTGTAACTCATGCCTGAGCAAAACTTGTTTAACACACACGGACTTCCATGAGCTACATTCACAGTCTTGTGCTTGGGAACACTAGACAAGCACCTTAGCACCCTGCTTGGGAAACATTTTGAATGAGAAATCACTGACAAAAAGCACAAAAATGAGGAAAATGTGGCACTAAACAGACTAAAGAAAGGACATACTTGTTTATAGTATGAAAGCTGAAAACAAGAAGCAGAGCATCGTCTTGTTCAAGCTCAGCTGAGAAAGTATGGGCGGGTGACTCACAACTTTTCCCACTCTGCACATGTCTGCAAATGACTGTGAAAGCACTGAGAATATTGATTTTGAGGTTAAAAATAAATTTTAGCAAGCAGGTAAATTGGCAAATATGAAATCTATACATCATAAAAATGGACTATTTGAGCTCTAAGTATAGGATCATGAATACCATTGAGAAATGAAGGCAAACCCGAAAATCACTGAGGAAAAGTATATAATTTGATAGTCACTGTTGACATGTATGATTATACTTAGGAAACAAAACAAATATTAAAATAATTTTAATTATGAGGAACTTGGAAGATTCCTGTAAAGACTCCATTCACTTTAGCTTCTTCAGTAACTTTAAGTGGAAGAGTCCAAGAAAACCACAAACAAGGTAGGGATACCATGTCACCTCTAATGCGTGAGGAGAAATATTCTTAGGAATAGTAGAGTACTGTCAAGGTGGGAAGTCCTGAGTTACTTTAGATTTCTACAATTTATTAATTTTAGATAATAATTATCAATGTTAATTTTTTAAAAAAGTTAGTTAAGACAGATTTTTTCCTTTCTAAATAGAAGTAAAATAATGTATAAATGGAAAGTAAAATACAAATAAAAAAGAACAAGTGCTCAGGAAGAAACTGTAGAAACCAATAATAAAAGCCTATAGTCATCACTAAATAAAGAGACAAAGATCACAACTTCTGGATACAGAAATTAACAAAAAGAGACTGTTTCTAATGTCGAGAAAGCTTGGCATTCAGTGTTAAATGTCATAACCTTTGTTCCCTTTTTCTTTTTTTGTGCTGGTTTCAATTGGTACAGCATGTCTTTTGTAGGAAATAATCAGTGCATTTAACTAAAAATAGAATTCTGAAAATGTTTTCTCTTAAATATGAATCTAAAAAGAGCTAGTTATGTAGAAAACTAAAATCAAGGACTTCAAGATGGCTTAACTTTATTAGAATGTACACAACATCTTGGAATGAAATGCTAATTTAAAACTTATTTATGATAACAGCAAAACCAATAAATCTGCTTTGAAAAAGAAAGCCCCAAAAATGACTTTTGTAAAAAGGAATAAACACTGTTCGTTTATCTTGACCAAGCCATTTACCTTAATCTAAAGTGACGGAGGAAATAATAAACGCTAATGTTTGCTGAATAATTATAAAGTGTCAGGAACTGTTCCAGCGCCTATAATATAGGTGCCATTATTATTCTCATTTACAGATGAAACATTAGAGATGCAGAGAAGTGTCTTGTCATGTCTTACAACTACTAGCCAGGTAGTACCATTCCAGAGCCCATGCACTTGATGCCACCTCCATACGATGTGAAATGCTATTTCCATGAGTAGAAGAAAAATGAATGGAAAAGCATTTTTACAATAATGAAGCACCACATAAAAATTAGAAAACATGATGTTGACAATTGTGGACCCTATTCAATTTGAGGTGACTGTGGTCAGGTTCAGAGTCCCATAAGGACATATAATCAAGGGGACCTAATCTAGTATAGATATCACATTCCAACTGAGATCTGAAAGGTAAACATTGACTAGCAAGGTGAGGGGTGTGTGTGTGTGTGTGTGTACATGTGTGTGTCTGTGTTATACCTGACAAAGGAGTATTCACAAGTAAACCACTTGCGAAAATTCCCTGTGGTGGGAAGGAACTGAAAGGAAGCCAGTATAACTAAATTTTGCATGCAAGTCACTGTTGTTAGGGGCAGTGGTAGATTGAAAGAGACAAAGTGAATCTAAATTATAAATATGTTTATTTACTCACACATTGATATATTTGATCTAATAAAACATACACAGTGTAGGAATCTGTCATTAAACACAATCCTAAAAAGATTCTTTTAGAGTAGTTTTTTTTTCTTTTTTTTTTTGGTTTAAACAACAGTCATTTATTTTCTCACAGTCTGGAGGCTAGAAGTCCAGGTTCAAGGTACCAACACGGTTGGTTCCTGGTGAGGGCTCTCACCTTGACTTGCAGACGGCTGTGTTCTTGCTGTGTCCCCACGTGACCTTTCTTCTGTGTGTGCAAAGACAGCAAGATTGAGCTCTGGTGTCTCTCTGTCTTCTAAGGACACTAGTCCTCTTGGATTAGTTGTTCACAGCTAAATTGGAAGGTACAGAGATTTCCCATATACCCCCAGCCGCAACACACGCATGCACTCCCCAATATTAAAATTCTCCACCAGAGTGTTACATTTGTTGTAATTGATGAACCTATGTTGACACATCATAATCACTCAAAGTCCATAGATTACATTATGGTTCACTCTTGGTGGTGTACCTTCTATGGGTTCAGACAAATGTATCATGACATGTATTCATTATTATAGTACCACATAGAGTAGTTCCACCACCCTAAAAATCTGTGTTCTGCCTATTCATCTCCCTCCCACCTTTCACCTCCTTCCTCCCTCTCTACATATTCCTGGCCAAATCCTGGCAACCACTGATCCATTACTGTCTTCATAGTTTTTCATTTCCAGAATGTTATATAGCTGGAATCATACTGTATGTTGCCTTTTTAGATTGGATTTTTTCAGTTACTGATATACATTTAATGTTCCTCTATGTATTTTCATGGTTGGTGGCTGATTTCCATTTACCACTAATTAATATTCCATTGTCTGAATGCAACATAGTTTATCCACTCATCTGCTGAACGACATATGGGTTGCTTTCAAATTTGGGCAATTATGAATAAAGTAGCTATAAGCATCTGTGTGCAGGTTTTTGTGTTGACATGTTTTCAGCTCTTTTGGGTAAATACCAAGGAGCATAATAACTGGGTTGTATGGTGTGAGAATGTTTAGTTTTGTATGAAACTTCCAAACTATATTTCAAAGTGGCTATAATACTTTATTGTCTTCCAAGGTAGGTGTAAATGAAAGAAATGAAAGTTTATTTAGCAATAAATGAAAGTTTCTGTTGCTCTACATCCTTGCCAACATTAGATATTGTCAGTGTTCCAGATTTTCCAAATTCTGATAGATGTGTAGTCCTATATGATTGTTTTAATTTGCATTTCCCTGGTGATATATGAGGTGGAGCATATTTTCATATGTTTATTTGCCATCAGTATATCTTCTTTGGTGAGGTGTCTATTCAGGTATTGAGCCCATTTTAATATTGCATTGTTCATTTTTTATTGTTGAGTTTGAAGAGTTTGTTGTACATTTTGAATGACAGTCCTTTATAAATGTGTCTTTTGCATTTATATTCATGAGAGATATTGGTCTTTAGCTTTCTTTTCTGCAGTGTCTTTGGTTTTGGCATTGGGTAATACTGGCTTCACAGAATGGGTTAGAAATTAGTCCCTCTTCCTCTATCTTTTGAAAGAAATTATAGAGGAATGGTATACTTTCTTCCTTAAAAGTTTGGCAGAATTCACTAGCAAACACATCTGGACTTACGGCTTTCTGTTTTGGAAATTATCTATTCAATAGCTATAGGCCTATTTCAATAGTCTATTTTTTCTTCAATGAATTTTGGCACTTCACTCTCTCCTTGCTTGCATGGTTTCTGAAAAGACAGATTTAATTCTTACCTTTGTTTCTCTATTGGTAAGGTGTTTTTTCTTTGGTCTTCTTTCAGGACATTTTTTACTTTTGCTTTTCTGAGGTTTACAAATAATATACCTAGGTATGGGGGATTTTTTTGGCATCAATTTTTCTTGGTGTAGTCCAACCTTCCTGAATAACTGGTTTGGTATCTGACATTAATTTGGGCAAAATCGGGGAGGAGCCAAGATGGCCGAATAGGAACAGCTCCGGTCTACATCTCCCAGCGTGAGCAACGCAGAAGACGGGTGATTTCTGCATTTCCATCTGAGCTTTGAAGAGAGAAGTGGTTCTCCCGGCACGCAGCTGGAGATCTGAGAATGGGCAGACTGACTACTCAAGTGGGTCCCTGACCCCTGATCCCCGAGCAGTCTAAATGGGAGGCACCCCCCAGCAGGGGCAGACTGACACCTCACATGGCTGGGTACTCCAACAGACCTGCAGCTGAGGGTCCTGTCTGTTAGAAGGAAAACTAACAAACAGAAAGGACATCCACACCAAAAACCCATCTACATCACCATCATCAAAGACCAAAAGTAGATAAAACCGTAAAGGTGGGGAAAAAACAGAGCAGAAAAACTGGAAACTCTAAAAAGCAGAGTGCCTCTCCTCCTCCAAAAGAATGCAGTTCCTCACCAGCAATGGAGCAAAGCTGGATGGAGAATGACTTTGATGAGCTGAGAGAAGAAGGCTTCAGACAATCAAATTACTCCGAGCTACAGGAGGGAATTCAAACCAAAGGCAAAGAAGTTGAAAACTTTGGAAAAAATTTAGAAGAATGTATAACTAGAATAACCAATACGGAGAAGTGCTTAAAGGAGCTGATGGAACTGAAAACCAAGGCTCGAGAACTACGTGAAGAATGCAGAAGCCTCAGGAGCCCATGCAATCAACTGGAAGAAAGGGTATCAGTGATGGAAGATGAAATGAATGAAATGAAGCAAGAAGGGAAGTTTAGAGAAAAAAGAATAAAAAGAAACGAACAAAGCCTCCAAGAAATATGGGACTATGTAAAAAGACCAAATCTACGTCTGATTGGTGTACCTGAAAGTGATGGGGAGAATGGAACCAAGTTGGAAAACACCCTGCAGGATATTATCCAGGAGAACTTCCCCAATCTAGCAAGGCAGGCCAACATTCAGAGTCAGGAAATACAGAGAACGCCACAAAGATACTCCCCGAGAAGAGCAACTCCAAGACACATAATTGTCAAATTCACCAAAGTTGAAATCAAGGAAAAAATGTTAAGGGCAGCCAGAGAGAAAGGTCGGGTTACCCTCAAAGGGAAGCCCATCAGACTAACTGCGGATCTCTTGGCAGAAACTCTACAAGCCAGAAGAGAGTGGGGGCCAATATTCAACATTCTTAAAGAAAAAAATTTCAACCCAGAATTTCATATCCAGCCAAACTAAGCTACATAAGTGAAGGAGAAATAAAATACTTTACAGACAAGCAAATGCTGAGAGATTTTGTCACCACCAGGCCTGCCCTAAAAGAGCTCCTGAAGGAAGCGCTAAACATGGAAAGGAACAACCGGTACCAGCCGCTGCAAAATCATGCCAAAATGTAAAGACCATCGAGACTAGGAAGAAACTGCATCAACTAATGAGCAAAATCACCAGCTAACATCATAATGACAGGATCAAATTCACACACAACAATATTAACTTGAAATGTTAATGGACTAAATGCTCCAATTAAAATACACAGACTGGCAAATTGGATAAAGATTCAAGACCCATCAGTGTGCTGTATTCAGGAAACCCATCTCACGTGCAGAGACACACATAGACTCAAAATAAAAGGATGGAGGAAGATCTACCAAGCAAATGGAAAACAAAAAAAGGCAGGGGTTGCAATCCTAGTCTCTGATAAAACAGACTTTAAACCAACAAAGATCAAAAGAGACAAAGAAGGCCATTACATAATGGTAAAGGGATCAATTCAAGAAGAAGAGCTAACTATCCTAAATATATATGCACCCAATACAGGAGCACCCAGATTCATAAAGCAAGTCCTGAGTGACCTACAAAGAGACTTAGACTCCCACACATTAATAATGGGAGACTTTAACACCCCACTGTCAACATTAGACAGATCAACGAGACAGAAAGTCAACAAGGATACCCAGGAATTGAACTCAGCTCTACACCAAGTGGACCTAATAGATATCTACAGAACTCTCCACCCAAATCAACAGAATATACATTTTTTTCAGCACCACACCTATTCCAAAATTGACCACATACTTGGGAGTAAAGCTCTCCTCAGCAAATGTAAAAGAACAGAAATTATAACAAACTTTCTCTGAGACCACAGTGCAATCAAACTTGAACTCAGGATTAAGAATCTCACTCAAAACCGCTCAACTACATGGAAACTGAATAACCTGCTCCTGAATGATTACTGGGTACATAACGAAATGAAGGCAGAAATAAGGATGTTCTTTGAAACCATCGAGAACAAAGACAAAACAAACCAGAATCTCTGGGACGCATTCAAAGCAGTGTGTAGAGGGAAATTTATAGCACTAAATGCCCACAAGAGAAAGCAGGGAAGATCCAAAATTGACACCCTAACATCACAATTAAAAGAACTAGAAAAGCAAGAGCAAACACATTCAAAAGCTAGCAGAAGGCAAGAAGTAACTAAAATCAGAGCAGAACTGAAGGAAATAGAGACACAAAAAACCCTTCAAAAAATTAATGAATCCAGGAGCTGGTTTTTAGAAAGGATCAACAAACTTGATAGACCACTAGCAACACTAATAAAGAAAAAAAGAGAGAAGAATCAAATAGACGCAATAAAAAATGATAAAGGGGATATCACCACCAATCCCACAGAAATACAAACTACCATCAGAGAATACTACAAACACCTCTACTCAAATAAACTAGAAAATCTAGAAGAAATGGATAAATTCCTCAACACACACACTCTCCCAAGACTAAACCAGGAAGAAGTTGAATCTCTGAATAGACCAATAACAGGAGATGAAATTGTGGCAATAATCAGTATCTTACCAACCAAAAAGAGTCCAGGACCAGATTGATTCACAGCCCAATTCTACCAGAGGTACAAGGAGGAACTGGTACCATTCCTTCTGAAACTATTCCAACCAATAGAAAAAGAGGGAATCCTCCCTAACTCATTTTATGAGGCCAGCATCATCCTGATACCAAAGCCTGGCACAGACACAACAAAAAAAGAGAATTTTAGACCAATATCCTTGATGAACATTGATGCAAAAATCCTCAATAAAATACTGGCAAACTGAATCCAGCAGCACATCAAAAAGCTTATCCACCATGATCAAGTGGGCTTCATCCCTGGGATGCAAGGCTGGTTCAATATATGCAAATCAATAAATGTAATCCAGCATATAGACAGAGCCAAAGACAAAAACCACATGATTATCTCAATAGATGCAGAAAAGGCCTTTGACAAAATTCAACAACCCTTCATGCTAAAAACTCTCAATAAATTCGGTATTGATGGGATGTATCTCAAAATAATAAGAGCTATCTATGACAAACCCACAGCCAGTATCATACTGAATGGGCAAAAACTGGAAGCATTCCCTTTGAAAACTGGCACAAGACAGGGATGTCCTCTCTCACCACTCCTATTCAACATAGTGTTGGAAGTTCTGGCCAGGGCAATTAGGCAGGAGAAGGAAATAAAAGGTATTCAATTAGGAAAAGAGGAAGTCAAATTGTCCCTCTTTGCAGACGACATGATTGTATATCTACAAAACCCCATTGTCTCAGCCCAAAATCTCCTTAAGCTGATAAGCAACTTCAGCAAAGTCTCAGGATACAAAATCAATGTACAAAAATGACAAGCATTCTTATACACCAACAACAGACAAACAGAGAGCCAAATCATGAGTGATTTTCCATTCACAATTGCTTCAAAGAGAATAAAATACCTAGGAATCCAACTTACAAGGGATGTGAAGGACCTCTTCAAGGAGAACTACAAACCACTGTTCAATGAAATAAAAGACGATACAAACAAATGGAAGAACATTCCATGCTCATGGGCAGGAAGAATCAATATCGTGAAAATGGCCATACTGCCCAAGGTAATTTACAGATTCAATGCCATCCCCATCAAGCTACCAATGACTTTCTTCACAGAATTGGATAAAACTACTTTAAAGTTCATATGGAACCAAAAAAGAGCCCACATCTCCAAGTCAATCCTAAGCCAAAAGAACAAAGCTGTAGGCATTATGCTACCTGACTACAAATTATAGTACAAGTCTACAGTAACCAAAACAGCACGGTACTGGTACCAAAACAGAGATATAGATCAATGGAACAGAACAGAGCCCTCAGAAATAATGCTGCATGTCTACAACTATCTGATCTTTGACAAACCTGAGAAAAACAAGCAATGGGGAAAGGATTCCCTATTTAACAAATGGTCAGCCCCCCGCCTGGCTAGCCGCCCCATCCAGGAGGTGAGGGGCGCCTCTGCCCGGCCGCCCCTACTGGGAAGTGAGGAGCCCCTCTGCCCAGCCAGCTGCCCCGTCCGGGAGGGAGGTGGGGGGGTCAGCCCCCCGCCCGGCCAGCTGCCTCATCCGGGAGGTGAGGGGTGCCTCTGCCTGGCCACCCCTACTGGGAAGTGAGGAGCCCCTGTGCCCGGCCACCACCCTGTCTGGGAGGTGTACACAACAGCTCATTGAGAACGGGCCATGATGACAATGGTGGTTTTGTGGAATAGAAAGGGGGGAAAGGTGGGGAAAAGATTGAGAAATCGGATGGTTGCCATGTTTGTGTAGAAAGAAGTAGACATGGGAGACTTTTCATTTTGTTCTGTACTAAGAAAAATTCTTCTGCCTTGGGATCCTGTTGATCTGTGACCTTACCCCCAACCCTGTGCTCTCTGAAACATGTGCTGTGTCCACTCAGGGTTAAATGGATTAAGGGTGATGCAAGATGTGCTTTGTTAAACAGATGCTTGAAGGCAGCATGCTCCTTAAGAGTCATCACCACTCCCTAATCTCAAGTACCCAGGGACACAAACACTGCGGAAGGCCGCAGGGTCCTCTGCCTAGGAAAACCAGAGACCTTTGTTCACTTGTTTATCTGCTGACCTTCCCTCCACTATTGTCCTATGAGGCTGCCAAATCCCCCTCTGCGAGAAACACCCAAGAATGATCAATAAGAAAACAAACAAACAAAAACAAAACAAAACAAAACAAACAAACAAAACAAAACAAACAAATGGTGCTGGGAAAACTGGCTAGCCATATGTAGAAAGCTGAAACTGGATCCCTTCCTTACACCTTAAACAAGAATCAATTCAAGACGGATTAAAGACTTAAACATTAGACCTAAAACCATAAAAACCCTAGAAGAAAACCTAGGCACTACCATTCAGGACATAGGCATGGGCAAGGACTTCAGGTCTAAAACACCAAAAGCAATGGCAACGAAAACCAAAATTGACAAATGGGATCTAATTAAACTAAAGAGCTTCTGCACAGCAAAAGAAACTACCATCAGAGTGAACAGGCAACCCACAAAATGGGAGAAAATTTTTGCAACCTACTTGTCTGACAAAGGGCTAATATCCAGAATCTACAATGAACTCAAACAAATTTACAAGAAAACAACAAAAAACCCCATCAAAAAGTGGGCAAAGGACATGAACAGACACTTCTCAAAAGAAGACATTTATGCAGCCAAAAAACACATGAAAAAAATGCTCACCATCACTGGCCATCAGAAAAATGCAAATCAAAACCACAATGAGATACCATCTCACACCAGTTAGAATGGCAATCATTAAAAAAGTCAGGAAACAACAGGTGCTGGAGAGGATGTGGAGAAATAGGAACACTTTGACACTGTTGGTGGGACTGTAAACTAGTTCAACCATTGTGGAAGTCAGTGTGGCGATTCCTCAAGGATCTAGAACTAGAAATACCATTTGACCCAGCCATCCCATTACTGGGTATATGCCCAAAGGACTATAAATCATGCTGCTATAAAGACACATGCATACGTATGTTTATTGCAGCATTATTCACAATAGCAAAGACTTGGAACCAACCCAAAAGTCCAACAATGACAGACTGGATTAAGAAAATGTGGCACATATACACCATGGAATACTATGCAGCCATAAAAAATGATGAGTTCATGTCCTTTATAGGGACATGGATGAAATTGGAAATCATCATTCTCAGTAAACTATCGCAAGAACAAAAAACCAAACACCGCATATTCTCACTAATAGGTGGGAATTGAACAATGAGAACACATGGACACAGGAAGGGGGACATCACACTCTGGGGACTGTTGTGGGGTGGAGGGAGGGGGGAGGGATAGCACTGGGAGATATACCTAATGCTAGATGACGAGTTAGTGGGTGCAGTGCACCAGCATGGCACATGTATACATATTTAACTAACCTGCACATTGTGCACATGTACCCTAAAACTTTAAGTATAATAATAATAATTAAAAAAATTTGGGGGCAAAATCCTCAAGCATTATTGTTTCAAATTTTTTTTTCTTTTCCTCTTTCTTCCCTTCTTCTATTCTGTTATGCATATGTTATACCTTTTGTATACTGTCCTTGAATATTCTGTTATTTTCAGTCTTTTTTTCTATTTGCTTTTTAGCTTTGGAGGTTTCTATTGGCATATTCTCAAATTCAGAGATTCTTTCGTCAGCCATGTCCATTCTACTAACATGCTTATCAAAGGTATTTTTACATTTCTGTTACTTTGCTTTTAATCTCTAGCCTTTAAAAAAATTCTTTCTTAGGATTTACCTCTTTCTGCTCACATTGCTCATCTGTTCTTATATACTACCTTATCCATTGGAGCATTTAGCATATTAGTCATAGTTTTAAATTCCCAGTCTGATAATTCCAACATCCCTGCCATGTCTGGTTCTGATGGTTGCTGTGTCTCTTCAATTTGTGTTTTGCTTTCTGGTATGTCATGTAATATTTTCTTGATAGCCAGGCATGATGTAGCAGGTGAAATGAATTGCTGTACATAAGCCTTTGGTAATGTGGTAGTAAGATGTTGTGGGAGAAGAGTTCTATAGTCTCACGATTAGGTCTCAGTCTTTTAGAAAGCCCGTGCCTCTGGACGGTAAACTTCACAAGTGTTTCTCAGTTTTTCCTCCCTGCTTTGGTGGGGCAAGATGTCTACAGTGGGCTGGAGTTGGGTATTATTTCCCTTTTTTCCCTTATCCCAGGTTAGTTAGGCTCTGATAACACCCCAGCAGGTCAGGCTCTGAATAACTAGTTTCTCCTGAAAACAAGTCCTGTTAAAATAATAATAATAATAAAATTTAAAAAAAGGGTACTCTGGTGTATTTTTAAATGATTCTTCTTTCTCTCCCTCTGACAGAGCACAAAGGGATTTTCTCTGATATTTTCTGTGAGCATCCGGTGGAGCTCCTGGAGGATAATCTCACCAAAGTGTGGGAATCTCCCTATGGCTGGGTCCCCCTTGAGTTTTTAAACTGTCCAACTTGTCCATACTGACCTTCCAGCAATTTGTCAACTTATAAAACAGGTTTTCCTACCCTCGCTTTGAACCCTGGGACTGTTTCCACCCCTGAGTATCTGGTCCTGTAAGCTGTGACTCCCTGTGTTCACCTGTCTGTCTCTCTGAACTTGGGGACAGTGGTTGTCCTGTGTCCTCACCTCTCCTACAGATTTAAGAATTATTAATTTTCAGTCTGTTCAGCTTTTTACTGTTAGGACAGAATGGTGACTTTCAAGCTCCTTACATGTGGAACCAGAAACAGGAACTCTCCACTATTGGTTTTTCATGTTAGAAGTGTTTGACAAGCTCAGTGACTCTGGGAGCATGAATTTTGTTACTTCTTCATTTCTAAAACGAGTACATAAGACACTCTTCACACTCTGTAATACCAAGAGTTTGGGGCTCAAACCCCAACTGAAATAAATTGGATGATGCTTGAGTCTCAAAAAAATAGATTTCCCCCTGGATTTATACATCTAAAATTGTAAGACTTATATTCCTCAGGTAAGTGGAATTATATTGGGGTAATACAAAAGTTTAGAAAAAGAAATTCTCTAAGTTCTTGTATAGTTAAAATGTTACATTGGCTTCATTCAGAAGAAAACATAAGTAGAATTAAACTGGTTCATATTCACTGATTTCATATTTATTTGTGACCGTCCAGATAAATAAATTTTATGTTCTAGGAGTAATTAGAAAATTTACTTTTTTTAAATGAAGAACCACATAACTCTAGCCAAGTAGTCATTTTGTTTACTTTGTTTACATTGTCTACCATTGTCAATCCATCTACCATTAGATAAACAAAAAAAATTATGCTTAAAGCTTCAGAAATACATAAAAGAGGCTTGTCCATGACAGCAGAAAACAGTTGTGGGTTTGACCTCAGGGAGGATTATACATCCACATTACTGAAAAGCAAGCCTGTCACTCAACAAGTCAGCAAATTTTTACTTCTGGTTACATGCACATATATTTTCTTCTACAAATTAGTTCAATTTCCAGCCACAATTTATTTTCCTCAACATGTTTGTAATCATGCTTAATGCTTGGAGTTCCCTAGTGAGTTAAAAATAAAAATTCTGAGTCCTTTCTGCATGTGATTTCGGGTTGTTGCTCACTGATAGTTTTAAGATGTAGTCCTGATAAATTTCTGGTTTCAGTTGGGAATGTGGCTTGGTAACTAAAAACGGGAAGTTTGTACATAACTTTGAAATCAGTAAAATACGCAATTAAGTAAAGTATCAACTGAATCATGGAAAGCTGTGGCAGGCATAGAATGCTGTAATGGTACACTTCCCACAATGAGTTGAAGATTGTGTTATTCACATCTTAACTGATAAATTAGTAGTAAGCAGTAAAAGCCAGTGCAAAGGTATAAGGCAAATAAAAATGTTTATTTAACTGTTTGTTTTCTCTTCCTGTAGAGATATAAGTGTGTCTAATTTTGGTGCTTTCTTGAGGAAGCATAGTGATAGATAAAACCATCACTCTTTTTTTTTAAATGTCACTGAAAAACCATCCATGCAAATTTGAAGGAAACTCAACAGAAATGTTAAAAAAAAGAATAGTAAAAAATATGATTGAACATAAAAATTGAATAAGATATTTTAAATGTTTGAACCTTTTGAAGGCATTTTAGTTTAGAGTGTTATTGAATAGTGAAAGTCAAGAAAGAATTTTAAAATTGACAAAGCCAAAGTTTACAAATATGACCAAATGTGATTTTTGACAAATGATATGTTTAGTGTATTTAAAAGATATAGTTTAAAAAACTGTTTAAGAGATTGAATTATTTCTCTTGCATATAAACTTATTATAGCACTTAATGTAAAAAAAAGGAATACAACAAACAACTGAAATTAAACAGTATTATTTTGTGTTCATCTTTCAATGCAAACTTATGTGTTGTATACCTTAATAGAAAGATACATAAGTAAATATATGATAGATAAATAGATGTACAGTACCACAATTTTTATCTAAGACACTTAAATTATATCTAACATATAATGAATAGAAAACAAGAAACCCACTGAAGGAACTAGGCAAAATATTTTAAGTTTCCTTAACCATGTAATATTTGTCTTTGTAAAATTTCCCTAAGATTAAGAAGAAAAATAACTAATACATTAAAATGTTTTCCTTAAATAAATATTTTAGTTAATATAGAACACATACATAGAAAACAAATTGTAAGTGGACATCTCAGTGCATTTTCACAGGTAAGTATGCCCATATTACCTCTTTCTTGATCAAGTAATAACAAATGTGTAATGTCCCAGAATATTTCTCCCTTGCTGTCTCATAGAAGCCATCTTCTTCTCTCCCCAAAGTAACATGATTTCATTTCTAACGCCATTGAAACCAAATATTAGTGTAGCGTGTTTTAGAATTTGTAAAATGGGATCACATAATATACTCTCTAATATCGTGTTTGAGAAACTAATCCATGCTTCTGGTGTAGTACTAATTTTATTGATCTATATCATCCTATTATATAAATATACTACATTTTTAAAAACTATTTTATTTCTGTATGTGTCTTTAGATAAACCTATGTCTGTGTTTCTGTTGGGTGTATTTGTGTGTATACATATATATGTCTGTGTATATGTATATATGTGTATATATAGAGAGAATATATACATATACATGTATATACTCTATACATTCTCTACATATAGATAATATATACATACAGATGTATATATACTGTATCTATATGCATATATTATCTGTACATATATACAGACATACAGATATAAACAGTGTATATATACTGATGTATATGTATGTATACAGATATATACAATATACCTGTGTTATTAACTATTTGGGTATCCTTATTTGTGAAGTGCCATTTAATTTATTTTCCCTACCTTTCAAATTGGATTGACTATGTTTTCCTTATTTATTTGTAAAAGTTCTTTAGATATTCTGGATATGAGTTATATCCAAAATAACTAAAGAACTCATCATAGATTGCTTACATTTTTCATCTTGGTTTGTATTTTACCCCACTAATGACAGATTTTGATGAAGAGAAATTCTTAATTTTAATGAAGACTAATTTTGCAGACATTTCCTTTATGGTTTGTGATGTTAGTGTCTGCTTAAATACTTACACATCCCGGTGACATAAAGATATTATTCTAGATATATTCTACAAGCTATATTGTTGTAACTTTCACACAAATATCTACAATTAACCAGGAAGTGGGTATTGCGTTTGCAATGAGGACTCAGAATTTATTTTTCTTTTTTGTTTTTTATACTTTAAGTTCTAGGGTACATGTGCAAAATGTGCAGGTTTGTTACATATGTATATATGTGCCATGTTGTGCTGCACCCATTAACTCGTCATTTAGCATTAGGTATATATATCTCCTAATGCTATCCCTCCCCCCTCCCCCACCTCATGACAGGCCCCGGTGTGTGATGTTCCCCTTCCTGGGTCCGAGTGTTCTCACTGTTCAATTCCCACCTATGAGTGAGAACATGCGGTGTTTGGTTTTCTGTCCTTGTGATAGTTTGCTGAGAATGATGCTTTCCAGCTTCATCCAGGTCCCTACAAAGAACATGAACTCATCTTTTTATGGCTACATAGTATTCCATGGTGTATATGTGCCACATTTTCTTAATCCAGTCTATCACTGATGGACATTTGGGTTGGTTCCAAGCCTTTGCTATTGTGAATAGTGCCGCAATAAACATATGTGTGCATGTGTCTTTATAGCAACATGATTTATAATCCTTTGGGTATATACCCAGTAATGGGATGGCTGGGTCAAATGGTATTTCTAGTTATAGATCCTTCAGGAATCACTACACTGTCTTCCACAATGGTTGAACTAGTTTACAGTCCCACCAACAGTGTAAAAGTGTTCCTATTTCTCCACATCCTCTCCAGCACCTGTTGTTTCTGGACTTTTTAACGATTGCCATTCTAACTGGTGTGAGATGGTATCTCATTGTAGTTTTGATTGCATTTCTCTGATGGCCAGTGATCATGAGCATTTTTTCATGTGTTTTTTGGCTGCATAAATGTTTTCTTTTGAGAAGTGTCTGTTCATCCCCTTTGCCCACTTTTTGATGGGGTGTTTTTTTTGTTTGTTTGTTTGTTTGTTTTTTTTTTGTAAATTTGTTTGAGTTCATTGTAGATTCTGGATATTAGCCCTTTGTCAGATGAGTAGATTGCAAAAATTTTCTCCCATTCTGTAGGTTGCCTGTTCACTCTGATGGTAGTTTCTTTTGCTATGCAGAAGCTCTTTAGTTTAGTTAGATCCCATTTGTCAATTTTGGCTTTTGTTGCCATTGCTTTTGGTGTTTTAGACACGAAGTCTTTGCCCATGCCTATGTCCTGAATTGTATTGCCTAGGTTTTCTTCTAGGGTTTTTATGGTTTTAGGTCTAACATGTAAGTCCTTACTCCATCTTGAATTACTTTTTGTATAAGGTGTAAGGAAGAGATCCAGTTTCAGCTTTCTACATAGGGCTAGCCAGTTTTCCCAGCACCATTTATTAAATAGGGAATCCTTTCCCCATTTCTTGTTTTTCTCAGGTTTGTCAAAGATCAGATGGTTGTAGATGTGTGGTATTATTTCTGAGGGCTCTGTTCTGTTCCATTGGTACCAGTACCATGCTGTTTTGCTACCAGTACCATGCTGTTTTAGTTACTGTAGCCTTGTAGTATAGTTTGAAGTCATGTAGCATGATGCCTCCAGCTTTGTTCTTTTGGCTTAGGATTGACTTGGCAATGTGGGCTCTTTTTTGGTTCCATGTGAACTTTAAAGTAGTTTTTTCCAATTCTGTGAAGAAAGTCGTTGGTAGCTTGATGGGGATGGCATTGAATCTATAAATTACCTTGGGCAGTATGGCCATTTTCATGATACTGATTCTTCCTGCCCATGAGCATGGAATGTTCTTCCACTTGTTTGTATCCTCTTTCATTTCATTGAGCAGTGGTTTGTAGTTCTCCTTGAAGAGGTCCTTCACATCCCTTGTAAGTTGGATTCCTAGGTATTTTATTCTCTTTGAAGCAATTGTGAATGGGACTTCACTCATGATTTGGCTCTCTGTTTGTCTGTTATTGGTGTATAAGAATGCATGTGATTTTTGCACATTGATTTTTTATCCTGAGACTTTGCTGAAGTTGCCTATGAGCTTAAGAAGATTTTGGGCTGAGATGATGGGGTTTTCTAGATATACAATCATGTTATCTGCAAACCGGGACAATTTGACTTCCTCTTTTCCTAATTGAATACCCTTTATTTCTTTCTCCTGCCTGATTGCCCTGGCCAGAACTTCCAACACTATGTTGAATAAGAGTGATGAGAGAGAGCATCCCTGTCTTGTGCCAGTTTTCAAAGGGAATGCTTCCAGTTTTTGCCCATTCAGTATGATATTGGCTGTGGGTTTGTCACAGATAGCTCTTATTATTTTGAGATACGTCCCATCAATACCAAATTTATTGAGAGTTTTTAGCATGAACGGTTGTTGAATTTTGTCAAAGGCCTTTTCTGCATCTATTGAGATAATCATGTGATTTTTGTCTTTGGTTCTGTTTATATGCTGGATTACGTTTAGTGATTTGTGTATGTTGAACCAGCCTTGCATCCCAGGGATGAAGCCCATTTGATCATGGTGGATAAGCTTTTTGATATGCTGCTGTATTCGGTTTGCCAATATTTTATTGAGGATTTTTGCATCGATGTTCATCAGGGATATTGGTCTAAATTCTCTTTTTTTGTTGTGTCTGTGCCAGGCTTTGGTATCAGGATGATTCTGGCCTCATAAAATGAGTTAGGGAGGATTCTCTCTTTTTCTATTGATTGGAATAGTTTCAGAAGGAATGGTATCAGCTCCTCCTTGTACCAATTGAGCTGGGACTGTTCGTTAGGAGAGCCATTATTTTCCTCTGTGCATGGTAAATTTGGTTAAAGCATGTGTTTATATATATGTGGGGCTGTTTCCTGATTCTTCTAAATGTTTGCCAGTTTGTCTATTCTTATACTAATACTACATTGTCTTCATTACTATAGGTTTAAAATTAGCCTTGATATCTGTTTTTATAAGTTATATGGTCTCCAATTTGTTCATCACCAAGGCTGTCTTAGCTATTATTTTAAAAAAATTATGGTAATAAGACTTAACTTGAGATCTATTCTTTTAAAATTTTAAGTGCACAATACAGTGTTAAGTGTAGGAAGAATGTTACATAGTAGATCTCTAGAACTTATTCATCTTATATAATGAAATTGTGTGCCCATTGGACAGCAACCCTCCATTTTATATGGAAAATTTAATTTCCATGTACATTTTAGAATTAGCCTATTCATTTCATGGAAAATTTTTGAAAGTGATTTCATTGAATCATTATCACTCTGGGAATAATTGACATTTTTATAATACTAAGTTCTTCAATCTATAAAAAGTATACCTCTCTATTTATTTAGGTGTTCAGTAGCAGTTATTGATAACCCAACCAGATTCTCTTGCCTTTACCTCTTAATGCACACCACCAGCCTGACTTCTAATTGCCAACACCCACAGGTTTTTTTTTTTTTTTTTTAACTGCTGAGAGTGTTCTCTGCTCCATGGAGCTTTTCTGCCTATAATAGCAAACCAAGAATTAAAGAGAAGGAACAATTGCTAGGAGAAGTCAATGAATGACTAATAGAAGTTGCTGTAAACTCCATTTCCTTTCCCCTATCAGAGGAGTGTCAGATACCTCCAAAGTATGTGTTTTACAATAGCTCATAGACTTCCCTGTTGGGTTAAACTTTATTTGACCAGACTAGCAAGTTTATTAGATACCCTTATTCCAAAATGTGGAAATTACATTGATTTTCTAACGGTAAATAAATGGCATTCCTAGAAGAAAAGCAACTCAGTTGTGATGTATTATCCTATTTATATATTGCTAGATTTATTTTGTTCATATTTTGTTTATAAATTTGCACCTAAAATTATGAAAATTATTGGTCTCTATTTTTCTTATAGTGTGCTGTTATGGTTTGAAATCAAAGTCATCCTTGTCTCATGAGTCAGTCAGGAGGTGTTTTTTCTTTTCACATTATGTAATTACAGAAGAGTTGTGTGAGATTGGTGCTTTTTTTCCCATAAAAGTTTGAAGGAATTTACTAGCAAATAAGTTTTCTGGGGATGGAGTTTTCTTTATTGGAAGATATCTAATCAATTTATTTAATATGTAACTATTATGATTTTAATTTATTCTTCTTCTGTCAATTTCTATCACTATGTTTTTCTTGGAACCTGTCCATTTCATCAAAATATCTTTTAAAATGTCAGTAGGATTTTAAAGTGGTTTACCTTTTCATTTTTGAAAATGGGTATTTGTACCACCTATATTTTTCACATGATCAGCTTTAGTAGGGATTTTTAGTTTTTTTTTTTTAATAAACCAACTTTTAGCTTTTTTTATTCCTTTTGCTGTATATTTTGTTTCCATTACATTAATTTTTGTTCTTTTTTATCACTTGCTACTTTACTTTGTGTTTAATTTGCTGCTTCATTTCTAACTTTTTGACATAAATGTTTAGATCAACAATTTCCATTGATTCTTTAATTTTTTCCTTATATATATTTCTAAAATGACTACATTTTCATTGTCCTTTATTTAAAAATATTTCATAGTTGTAATTTCTATATCTTATTTAATCTTGAGGCTAGTGATGTTATTGCATTATAGCCAAACATTTTAGGATTTAGAAATAATTAAATATTGATGTCTAGCTTGATTTCACTGTAATAAAAAATAAGACTATGATTTCAATTTTTTAAAAATTATTGAGATATAGTTGTTACCCCACATGTGGTCAATTTTGAGAAATATTCATATCCACTTGAATACAATGAGTTCTGTTGTTCTTAGGTTCAGTGTTCTATATGTTAACTTTATCAAGTTTGTTAATCATGATGCTTAAATACACTGTACTACTGATTTTGATATTTTTCTTGGCTTGTTTTATCAGTTACTAGGAGGGGTGTATTAAAATATATGATTGTGTGTTTTTAAAAAGTTTTATTTGTAGCTATTTTATTTTAACCTTATAAAGTTAGAGCCTGTATTATTAGTTGTGCATATATCAAGAATTTGTCCTCCTGTGATTGACACTTTTGTTATTAAGTATCCCACTTTGTTTATTGCTTAAGTCTATTTGATGGATATCTACATTCATCTATATGAGTTTTCTTTAGTTTGTGCCTTTTGCCATAAGTAGCATGTGGCTGTTTTAAAATCTAAAAATATTTTATTTTTGTCCTAAAAAATTGAATTTGACATTCTTGGTCTTATAATTTAATTTCAATTTAATATAATGCAATTAATGTCATATTTGGATGTAAATATACCATCTTATGCTTTGTTCTCTATTGTATTTGTTTACATGTTTTCCTCCTCTTTCTTACATGTTTGGGGATATATTAAATGTCTTTATTATTCCATTTTCCTTTTCTATTAGCTTCTTACAGAATTTTAATATTGTTGATGATTAAACTGAAATTTGCAATTTGCATTCTACTTTCATTAACATCTAATAAATACAAATAAGTACTTTAAGGCTTTCTGAACAATGTGTACACTTTGGAATACTTTAATTCTATTTATAAACCCTATCTTTTATAATTTTTTGTTGTACAAATCTGTATATCTTTTTAAGCCACACATGATATTATTACTAATACAATTAGTATTATTTTAGATTTGCTGAAACATTTATTTTTTCTGATGTTCTTTATTCTTCTCTCTATACCTATATTTGTTTCTGGAATTGTTTCCCCTCTGTACAAAGAATTCTCTTTCTTAATTATTTTTTGTGCAGGCCTTCTTGGTGATTATTTTACTTGATCTTTGTCATCTGCAATGTTATTTTGAAAGGATATTTTTGTTGGATGTAGAATTTTAGGTTGTCTGCAATTTTTTTTCTTTCTATACTTTCAAGATATCATCCATTGTCTTCTGGTTATGATATCTTCTTTCTTTTGAATGTGTGTTGAAATTTATAATGTTGCTCCTTTTAAAATCATGTGTCGTATTCTATGGCTGCCTAAAATAGGTCCTATTCTCTTTGAATTTCAGCAGGTTTACTATTTTTGTATATGTGTGGTGTTCTTTACAACATACCTTAAATACGTGGCTTTTGGAAAATTCTCAGCCATTACAGCCTTAGATATTGTTTCTGCCCCATATCCTTTTACTTCTTCTGGAGTGCCATTTTAAACATATGTTTAACTTTTAACTATTTTCTCTTCCAGTAATTTGTATGATACTTCCCATTTTCCATCCTTTATCTATTCTTTTTAGTCTCTCTATTTCCTATTTCCATCCTTTAGTCTATCTATTCTTTAGTCTCTCTATTTCCTACTGATCTTTATTTTATCTAGATTACTATTATTCTCTTTAGCAATGTCTCATTTCCCATTAAAATCATGTATTCAGTCTTACTTTCAGTTATTTTATTTCTTGTTGTTTGTAGGATTTATAGTTTATGTGTGTGTGTGTAAAATCCAAATATGTATGTGTGTGTATATATATATAGATATGCAGAATATATATATATACAGACATATGTATATATTTCATTTTTTGCTTAGGTTCTTTATTTTTTCCTATATTCTTGAACGTGTTATAGTTATTTTACATATTTGGTATATTTTAATAGCTACATCATTTGTGAGTCTATTGTATTTTTTATGATTTTTCTTTTGTTTCTTTCCTGTTTTGTAATTTGGTTATGCTTCCTGATGTTCTAAATAATTTTTTATTGAATGCCAAATGATGTGATGAAAAACTATAGAAATTATTTAAGGTTTTGAATGATGTTAATGACTACAGAGCCATTTTTTTAGATTTTGGCAAACAGTTAATAGAGAAAGATAAGATCTGGCCGGGTATTGAACTGATTTTAAGATAAGCTTTGATTGTTAACAGGTTTGGCTGTTTTAACTTTGTCATTGCACCCAACTTGTAGTTCTTTAGTTTCCAAGTGAAATTCTGAAGGGCTCTCCTCCTTAGAAAGCCATAAACTTTAGTTTTGATTGCTAAATTCCTATGAAACTACCTAATATTCACCTCAACATCTCAAAATCTGTTCTTCTGCTCGTGAATCAGCAAAGGCTTTGAGGGGAAAACTAGATGTTGGGCTCACCCCTGATTCCCCTTCTGTACAGGATCTTCCTACCTCAAATTCTTGCTGTCTTGATAGTTCTCCAATGTTTTCAAACATACTTTTAAAAACTTTTTAAATAGTCCTCTAGTTGTTTTCAAATGACATATTATGTGAGAGAAACAATTCTCCCACACCTGAAACAGGTAGTGTTTTTATTTTAAAACACAATATCGACATCTATTTATTTATCTACTTCTATGCTATACCCTACCTTTATCTTTCAAGTTTTTTTCTTTCTCAAAGACAAAAAGGAAAATCTAAACACAACTAGAATGATGATACAAATTGTACAGAAAGGAATGAGACAAAAAAGTTTTTGGAACAACAAAAATGGATCAGAAGATGGCTCATTTTTGTTCCAGTTAATATCATTGCATAATCAATTACCATAAAATTAATGTCATGAAAAATCATTTTGATTATGCTTACAAAGTCTGTGGGCCAAGAATTTGGATACAGCACAGTGGAAATTGTTCACTTCTGCTGCAAGATGTCTGTATCCTCAACTGGGACAATAAGACAGCCTGGATTACTTGACAGCTGGGGACTGGAGTCATTAGAAGTGTCTTTACTCATGTGTGTGTTGGCTGATTCTGGATGCTAACTGGGATCTCAATTGAGGCTGTGACCAGAACCTCATGTGGTCTTTTTTAGAAGACTATATTTCCTCAAGTGACCTCATGATAGTCAGACTTAGTAAATGGTCATTCAGAGCTCATAAGTCAGTGTGTCTGTAAGGTTAAAAATTACATTACTCTTTTTGGCTGCATTGAAATATAGGCAGCTGCATATTTGCCACAATCAATTGGTTAAAAGCCAGTAACAAACTACAAAGTTTTATTGTGGGGAGAAATGTAGCATAAATTTCATATCTCAATGTGGGAGAGGTGATGTCACATTGTAGAAGACTTTGTGAGATGGGAGATATTTCTGTGGCAAGCTTGTGAAGATATAATATGTCACAAGGGCAGAAGCATAATAGATGTAACCC
Source organism: Homo sapiens (assembly GCF_000001405.40). NCBI lineage: Eukaryota > Metazoa > Chordata > Mammalia > Primates > Hominidae > Homo > Homo sapiens. Next base: position 74,503,062 of record NC_000006.12, read on the forward strand.
AAAATTTTAAAAAGAATTATCAAAAGCCAATATAAAATATTTTATTCACACAAAATCTGAGACAATTGATTATGAAAAAAACCATATTAAAAGATCTTCTATAAGATACACACCAGGAAATTGAATCAAAAATGAACTAAAAGTATCAAGAAGAAATGAAATAAATTGGTAACTATATGAGTTAACTTAAACAGCACAGAATGTAAAGGTCTATAATAGTAACTAATGAGAATAAAAACAATGTGGAACTAAAATACTGGATGGCAGTAAATTAAAGGAAAGGTGGTGATGAGAGTTAAAATGTTCTCATTATTATTTATGAGGACAGAGGAGTTAGTCATTGTGTCTAAATCAAACATGTTCAAGAAGCAACAGGAAAGCCATATATAGAAAGTATAACATTATATGGGACAAAGTGCATGATAACAGTGCTTATATTTATTAAATCTAGAGAAATTTAATTTTACCAGTTAAAATATGGTAAAAATAAATTACAAAATAAAATTTATAAGTGGCATCTGAATATAAAGGATAAAGAAAGATTTATAAAAATGAGATGGAAAACATAACCACATAAATATTAGCCAAAAGTGAATGTTTAGTGTTTTTTAATGAGAAAAAAAACCTGGTAAGAATGATAATGAAGTAATTCACCATGAGGGTTAAAAAAAATTATGAATCTTTACATATTTAATGTTATAGCCCTAAAATACATTTTTTTAAAAAAAGAAATAATTGACAGAAATAAAAGAAAAAAATTCAGTTATAGAGGGAATTTTGGCACACTTATTTTGAGGGGGGTGTTGGGGGAGGGGTTGATAGATCAAGGTATTCAATGATGAGCAAGAACAAAGAGAGAGAGGTAGAACAAAATACTGGATAAGAATACTCCAGCAATCATTTCCTCAGAGGAACATCAAATTAAACAACTATTTATGCAAGAAAATACTCACTGTCACAAGAGCTAAGGAAATCAGGTGGGAGATCACAGTACCTGGTTTTAGCATAATAACAAGAAAAGACACATTGAAGAGGGTAGGAAGGACAGTCTCTAGTCGCTCATGGCATGTAGCACTCCTGCCTAAACCCCAAGCAGCACAGCATAAGAGATAATCTGCATGGGGGAGGGAGAAGGAAGTGTTTATGAGACTTTATGTTAGAACTCACCACAGTAAAATATAGCACCAGGCAGAAACCCATGGCCCTTGATTATAGGCTGGTGCTCATGGAGGGAGCATTTAGACCCACTCTGGGACTGAATGGTATTGGCTGCACCAGTGGGAAGAATTGAGTCCTGACCCATTTCACCACCAGCTGCCTAAAGTGGTCTAAGGCTCAGAATAAATTTCACTGACAAGCAGGCCATAATAGCCACAGTCCTTGGGTGAGCCCTATGGCTGTACTAGACTGGGAGGCCATGGTCATGGGTGTAAACCAGTATCAGTTGTGCTGGCTGCAGCAGTGCATGCATCACCCCTCTCCCAACACCAGGTAGTGCAGTCAGAAGAAAAACTACTTCTCCTTGGGGAAGGAGAGGGAGGAGGTTAGGGGACGTTGCCTGGGAATCTAGTACCAGCCCTGGTATAGTAAAACACAGCAATGAACAGAACCTCATGACCCCAATTCCAGGCTGGTACTCCCAAGAATGCTTCTAGACCCACCTCAAGCCAGTAGGGAATCTGCTGCCAGGTGGAACAAAGCTGACTCCAAGCCAGCTTTACCTCTAGCTAAATAAAGTTGCCTTGAGCCCTGCATAAATATCAACAGCAGCCAGACAGTAGTAATCAGGGGCCTTTGGTGAGCCCTGATGCTGCACTCAACTAGGAGGCTGTGGTCCAACCAAGTGTGGTTCCAGATGAAGTGAAAACAGCAGTGTTTGCATCATCCTTCCTCCAACTCCAGGCAACATAGCTCAGCGAATGACTCCTTCTGCTTGGGGGAAAGAGATGGAAGTGAGCTAGGGACTTTACTAGGGAACCCAGGGAACTTTCCCTGATTATCACCAAGCAAATCAGGGCTGAGACCTAGGATTATTCAAGAGAGCCACAGTTTACTTGGGATTAGGATGTCCTCTTGTGCTGAAACAGCTGCAGTAACCACAGGCTTAGGGAACTCAACAACAGTCAGCCCCCTCTTTAAATTCCTGGAAGGCCCTCTGGACAAGTACAAACAAGCCAAGACTGCGAAGAATGAAATAAATACCCAACTCTTCAGTACCCCGACATCAAAAAACTTCCACAAGCATCAAGAATATTTGGGTAACTATGGCCTCACCAAATGGACTAAGTAAGGTGCCAGTGGCCAATACTGAAGAAATAGATATGTGTGACTTCTCAGACAGTGAATTCAAAATAGATGTTTAGAGGAAACTCAGTTAACTTTTTAAAAAACACAAATATGCAGATTCAAAAATTTATCAGAAAAACTTAACAAAGAGATTGAAATTATTTTAAAAATTGGAGCTGAAAAATATAATAGATGAACCAAAAATTGCATTAGATAGTCTCAAGAGCAGAATTGATTACAAAGAAGAATCAGTGAGCTCAAAAACAGACTATTTGAAAATACAAAGTCACAGGAGAGAAAAATAAAAAGGGATGAAGAATGCTAATGAGATCTAGGGGATTACATCAAAAGACCAAATTTAAGAGTCGTTGGCCTTAAAGAGAGTGTAGAGAAAGAGAAAGGGGTAGAAAGCTTATTCAAAAAGATAATAACAGTAAATTTCCAAACTAGGGAAAGATATAAATATCTAGGTACAGGAAAGTCAAAGTCATCAAGCAGATTCAACTGAAAGAAGACTACTCCAAGGCATATAATAACCTAACTTTCAAAGATCAAGGAGAAGATAGGATTCTAAAAATAGTAAGAGAAAAGAAACAAACAAATAATGTGTAAAGGAGCTCCAGTATATCCAGGACCAAGCTTCTAAATGGAAACCTTACAGGCTAGGGGTGAGTGAGATGACATATTCAAAGTGTTGAAGGAACAAGAAATAAACTGTCAACTGAGAATACTGTACCCAGAAAAAGTATCTTTCAAACATGAACAAGAGATAAAAATGCTCCTTCACAAACAAAATTTGAGGAAATTCACTACCACCAAAATTGTCTTACATAAAAATCTAAAGAGAGTTCCTCAATCTGTCTGAAAAAAAGAGCATTAATATGTAACAAGAAAATATTTGAGGGTATAAAACTCACTGGTAAAAGCAAATACAGTTTACCTTTGAATAATGTGAGAGTTAGAGGCACCAACACCTTATGCGGTCAAAAATTCACGTATAACTTTTTACTCTCTTAAAGCACAACTACTGATAGCCTACCATTTACCAGAAGCCTTACCAATAACAGGAACAGTTTAACATGTATTTTGTATGTACAATATATTGTATTCATAAAATAATCTAGAGAAAATAAAATTTAATAAAATCATTCAAAAGGCAAATATACATTTACTGTGCATTAAGTGGAAGTGGGTCATCATCAAGCCTTTCATCTTCATTATCTTCACATTGAGTAGGCTGAGGAGAAGGACTAAGAGAAAAGGTTGGTCTTGCTGTCTCAGGGTAGCAGAGATGGAAAAAAAATTGTGTATAAGTAGACCTGCACAGTTCAAGCACTCTTGTTCAAGAAGCCTCTATATAAAGAGAAATTCAGAATACTCTAATAGCATAATTGAGGTGTATAAATTACTCATGTCTTTAGTATAAAGACTAAAACACAAATATATTTTAAAAATAACTACAACAATTTGTTAAGATATAGGCAATATAAAAAATGTAAATAGAGAGGTCCAAAAGTCAAAATTTGGGGATGGAGTTAAAATGTAAAGTTTGTTAGTTTTTGTTTGCTTTCTTTGCAATCAAACTTAGTTTGTCATCAGTTTAAAGTAACTTGTTATAGCTATAAGATTTTTTTTAAGTCTCATGGTAATCACAAAGCAAGAACCTATAATAGACATACTAGAAATAAAAAAGCAAAGAATTAAAACATATAACCAGAGAAAAATCACTTAACCACAAAGGAAGACAGTGAGAAATGAAGAAAGAAAGAGGGTAGTGATCAAACAATTGGAAAACAAGTAACAAAATGGTATTAGTAAACCTTACATATTAATATCAACATAATTATATATAAGTTCTCCAATTAAGAAGACATAGAGTGGCTGAATGGATAAAAAACAAGACCCAACTATATGCTGTCTATAACAACTGTATTTCATTTATAAAGACACACATAGACTAAAAGCAGAGGGATGGAAAAAGATATCCAAATTAAATAATCAATATACTAGGGCCTGACAGGTGGGAGTAGGGAGAGGAAGAGCATCAGGATAAATAGCTAATGCAAGTGGAGCTTAATACCTACGTGATGGGTTGATGGGTGCAGCAAACCATCATGGCACACGTTTACCTATGTAATAAACCTGCACATCCTGCACATGTATCCTGAAACTTAAAATAATTTTTTAAAGTGAGCAAGAGTAGCTATACTTATATATCAGATAAAATAAAGTTTAAGTCTAAATTATAAAGACAAGGTCATATATAATGATAACAGAGTCAATATAGCAGTAGTATATAAAAATTGTAAATACATACATACCCAACACTGATCTACTTGAATATATAAAGCAAATATTAACAGAATTAAAGGGAAAGACACACTGTAATACAATAGAAAACTTCAACATCCCATTTTCAACATTGGACTGATCATTCAGGCAGGCAGTCAAAAAAGAAACATCAAAGTTAAACCACACTTGAGACCCAATAGACGTAATAGACATTTGCAGAACATTCCACCCAACAGCTGCAGAGCACACATTCTTCTCAATAACACATGGAACATTCTCCAAGATAGACCATATGTTAGGCCACAAAACAAGTATTAAAATTTTTTAAAAAGTTAAATCACTTCAAGTATCTTTCCTGAACACAATGCAATAAAACTAGAAATCAATAATAAGTGGATCTTTTGGAAACTGTTTAAACACATTAAAAATTAGCATGCTTATGAACAAACAATGGGTCAATGAAGAAACTAAAAAGGAAATTAAAAAATTCTTTAAGACAAATGAAAATGAAATCACAACATACTGATACCTATGGAACACAGCAAAAGCACATTTAAGGTGGAGTTTCTAGTGACAAATTCCTACATCCAAATCTGAAATAAACATCTTAAAATAACCTCAGGGAACTAGAAAAACAAGAATATCTAAACCCATATAAGTATAAAATAGAAATAATAAAGATCAGAGCAGAAAGAGCTGAAATAGATACTAAACAAATATAAATCATCAACAAAAAAGAGCTGTTTTTTTGAAAAAAAATCACCAAATCTTTAGCTAGATTTAAAAAAAGAAACAAAAGGGAAGTTTTACAATTGATACCACAGAAATACAAAGATTATATGAGACTACTGTGAGCAATGACACACCAACATGTTGTAAAACCTAGAAGAAATAAATAGAGAAATTTCTGGGCAAGTACAACTTGCCAAGATTGAATCATGAAGAAATAGAAAATTTGAACAGACCAATAATGAGTAATAAGATCAAAGCAATAATAAAAATGTTTTGATCAAAGAGAAGCCCAGGACCTGATCACTTCACTGCTAAATTCTACCAAACAGTAAAAAACAAATAAACAAAAAACCGCAAATAACTAATTATCAATTTTAAGTGAACTATTTTTTAAAAATGAAGAGGAGGGAAAACTTCCACACTCATTTTGCGAGGCCAGCCTTTTTGTGATACCAAAATCAGACAAGCAGTGGTATATCTGTGGGAACGCTGGATGTTGCTTTTCCACAAAAGTCCCTTGTGAAACATTTAGGAAGAATCGCAGCTCCAGCTGAGGCCTGATGACCTCCTTCCCATGGCTCTTCTGATTTGGAAACAACATCTTAGATCCTGTCCCTGAAGTATCATCCATGAGTCCACTTATCCACTAGCTTCACATCTCTTAGTCCCTGAGAGTTGTTCCTGGCTGCAGTTCTCTTCCACAGTTCTCTGCCCACTAGTCCTAACCCACCTGTACCCTGAAGAGATGTTTCTTACTTTTACAGTGACCAGATCTGGACTTCCCCATCCAGTGGGTTCCAAATATACCTTCTCCAGTGAAGCATGACATCCAAACTTGGGAAGGGACTTTTACTAAGTTTGTCCTATTTAAGATACTCTCCTTCAATCTCAGATTACCCGTTAGAGTTCTCTTTCTGTCTATAGTTCTCTCCTATCATAGTTTACATAATTCTTTATATTAAGCCTCCCTGTTTAAAGTTAAAAAAAAACAGACAAGGACATAGCAACAATAACAACAAAAATAAAATTACAGATCAATATTCTCAAGGAACATATATGTAAAAATTTTCCAACAAAATACTAGCAAACTGAATTCAACAACATATTAAAAGATCATTCACCATGATCAAGTGGTATCCCATGGCTGCAAGGATGATTCAACATATGCAAATCAATAAAAGTGATGCATCATATTAACATAATCAAGGATGAAAACCATATGATTATTTCAATAGATGCTGAAAAAGCATTTGAGAAAATTCGACATCCCTTTATAATAAAAACCCTCAACAAATCATGTATAAAAGAAACATAGCCCAACACAATAGGGATCATATATGACAAACCCACAGCTAACATCACACCAAATTGGTTAGAGTTGAAATATTTTACTCTAAGATCTAAAACCAAAAAGTGATGTCCAATTTTACTACTTTTATTCCACATAGTGTGGAAAGCTCCAGCCACTGCAATTAGGCAAGAGAAAAAAAAAAGGGCATGCAAATTGGAAAAGATAAAGTAAAATTGTTCCTGTTTACAGACAAAATGATATATATAGAAAACCCTAAAGATTTCACCCAAAAATTGTGATAATAAACGAATTTCGTAAAGTTGCAGGATACAAAATTAATATACAAATATTAGTAGAATTTTTACACACCAATAGCAAGCTAAGAAAGAAAGAAACTCCACTTACAATACCTAAAAATAAAATAGAACAAAACACCTATGAAGAAACTTAACCAAGGAGGTGAAAGATCTCTACCAAAAAAACTGTAAAATACTGATGAAATAAGTTGAAGAGTAAATAAATCAATAGAAAGATATCCTGTGGTCACAGAGTAGAAGAATTAACTTTGTTAAAATGCCCATATTACCCAGAGCAATCCACAGATTCAATGCAATCCCTATCAAAATGCCAATGACATTCTTGACAGAAATAGAAATAAAGAATTTTAAAATTCATATGGAAATGCAAAAGACCCCAAATTGATGAAGCAATCTAGAACAAAAATAACAAAATGGGGGCACCAAATTATGTAACTTCAGAATATACTGCAAAACTACAGTAACCAAAACTACATGACAATGTCATAAAAACAGACACACAGACCAAAGGAATAGCATAGAGAACCCAGAAATAAATACATGCATTTAGATCCACCTGATCTTTGACAGAGGCCTCAAGAACACATATTGGGGAAAGGACAGGTTTTTCAGTAAACGTTTCTGGGAAAACTGAATATCTACATACAGAAGAGTAAAACTAGACCCCTATCTCTCACCATATACAAAAATAAACTATAAATGGAAAAAATACCTGAAATTATAAAACTACTAGAAGAAAATAGAAGAAATGCTACATGAAATTGGATTGGGCAAGGAATTTTTGAATAAAACCTCAAAAGCAAAGGCAACAAAAGTGAAAACAGGCAAATGGGATTGTATCTATTTAAAAAGCTTTTGCTCATCAAAGGAAACAATCAATAGAATGAAAACCTACAGAATGGGAGAAAGTTTTGTAAACTACATTATGATAAGGGGTTAATATTCCGAATACACATGGAACTCAGACAACACAACAGCAAAAAACAAGTAACCCAATTAATAGGTTGACAAAAGATCTGAGTAGATATTTCTCAAAGAAGACACAAATTGCCAACAGATATATGAGAAAAGCTCAGCATGAGTCATCATCAGGAAAATGAAAATCAAAACCACAGTGAGATATCATCTCACCCCAGTCACAGAATGCCTATTAACCATACGCGTTATGGTTAATAAGGAGGAAAAATAAATTCTTATGAGGATGTGGAGAGAAGGAAATACTTATACATTGCTGGCAGAAATGTAAATTAGTAAAGCCATTATGGAACACAATATAAAGGTTACTTTAAAAATTAAAAATATAAATACCATATGAACCAGCAATCTCACTATGGAAATACAAGGGAAGTGAAGCCAGTGTGCTAAAGGTACATCTGGACACCCATATTTATTGCAGCTCTATTCACAATAGCTGAGATATGGAATCAACCTAAGTGCTCATCTACAAGGGAATGGATTTTTTTAAATGTGATGTGTAAATATAAAAAGGAACATTATTGCAAAAATCCTTAATAAAATACTGGCAAAACGAATCCAGCAGCACATCAAAAAGCTTATCCACCATGATCAAGTGGGCTTCATCCCTGGGATGCAAGGCTGGTTCAATATACGCAAATCAATAAATGTAATCCAGCATATAAACAGAGCCAAAGACAAAAATCACATGATTATCTCAATAGATGCAGAAAAGGCCTTTGACAAAATTCAATAACCCTTCATACTAAAAACTCCCAATAAATTAGGTATTGATGGGACGTATTTCAAAATAATAAGAGCTATCTATGACAAACCTACAGCCAATATCATACTGAATGGGCAAAAACTGGAAGCATTCCCTTTGAAAACTGGCACAAGACAGGGATGCCCTCTCTCACCACTCCTATTCAACATAGTCTTGGAAGTTCTGGCCAGGGCAATTAGGCAGGAGAAGGAAATAAAGGGTATTCAAACAGGAAAAGAGGAAGTCAAATTGTCCCTGTTTGCAGATGACGTGATTGTATATCTAGGAAACCCCATCGTCTCAGCACAAAATCTCCTTAAGCTGATAAGCAACTTCAGCAAAGTCTCAGGATACAAAATCAATGTACAAAAATCACAAGCATTCTTATACACCAACAACAGAAAAACAGAGAGCCAAATCATGAGTGAAGTCCCATTCACAATTGCTTCAAAGAGAATAAAATACTTAGGAATCCAACTTACAAGGGACGTGAAGGACCTCTTCAAGGAGAACTACAAACCACTGCTCAAGGAAATAAAAGAGGATACAAACAAATGGAAGAACATTCCATGCTCCTGGGTAGGAAGAATCAATATCGTGAAAATGGCCATACTGCCCAAGGTAATTTACAGATTCAATGCCATCCCCATCAAGCTACCAATGCCTTTCTTCACAGAATTGGAAAAAACTACTTTAAAGTTCATATGGAACCAATAAAGAGCCCGCATCACCAAGTCAATCCTAAGCCAAAAGAACAAAGCTGGAGGCATCACACTACCTGACTTCAAACTATACTACAATGCTACAGTAACCAAAACAGCATGGGTCTGGTACCAAAACAGAGATATAGATCAATGGAACATAACAGAGCCCTCAGAAATAACGCCGCATACCTACAACTATCTGATCTTTGACAAACCTGAGAAAAACAAGCAATGGGGAAAGGATTCCCTATTTAATAAATGGTGCTGGGAAAACTGGCTAGCCATATGTAGAAAGCTGAAACTCGATCCCTTCCTTAAACCTTATACAAAAATCAATTCAAGATGGATTAAAGACTTAAACGTTAGACCTAAAACCATAAAAACCCTAGAAGAAAACCTAGGCATTACCATTCAGGACATGGGCATGGGCAAGGACTTCATGTCTAAAACTCCAAAAGCAATGGCAACAAAAGACAAAATTGACAAATGGGATCTAATTAAAATAAAGAGCTTCTGCACAGCAAAAGAAACTACCAACAGAGTGAACAGGAAACGTACAAAATGGGAGAAAATTTTTGCAACCTACTCATCTGACAAAGGGCTAATATCCAGAATCTACAATGAACTCAAACAAATTTACAAGAAAACAACAAACAACCCCATCAAAAAGTGGGCAAAGGACATGAACAGACACTTCTCAAAAGAAGACATTTATGAAGCCAAAAAACACATGAAAAAATGCTCATTATCACTGGCCATCAGAGAAATGCAAATCAAAACCACAAGGAGATACCATCTCACACCAGTTAGAATGGCAATCATTAAAAAGTCAGGAAACAACAGGTGCTGGAGAGGATGTGGAGAAATAGGAACACTTTGACACTGTTGGTGGGACTGTAAACTAGTTCAACCATTGTGGAAGTCAGTGTGGCAATTCCTCAGGGATCTAGAACTAGAAATACCATTTGACCCAGCCATCCCATTACTGGGTGTATACCCAAAGGACTATAAATCATGCTGCTATAAAGACACATGCACATGTATGTTTATTGTGGCATTATTCACAATAGCAAAGACTTGGAACCAACCCGAATGTCCAACAATGATAGACTGGATTAAGAAAATGTGGCACATATACACCTTGGAATACTATGCAGCCATAAAAAAGGATGAGTTCATGTCCTTTGTAGGGACATGGATGAAATTGGAAATCATCATTCTCAGTAAACTATCGCAAGAACAAAAAACCAAATGCCGCATATTCTCACTCATAGGTGGGAAGTGAACAATGAGATCACATGGACACAGGAAGGGGAACATCACCCTCTGGGGACTATTGTGGGGTGGGGGGAGGGGGGAGGGATCGTATTGGGAGATATACCTAATGCTGGATGACGAGTTAGTGGGTGCAGCGCACCAGCATGGCACATGTATACATATGTAACTAACCTGCACAATGTGCACATGTACCCTAAAACTTAAAGTATAATAAAAAAAATTAAATTAAAAAATTAAATAAATAAAATAAATAAAAAGGAACATTATTTAGACATGAAAAGGAATTCAATTCTGTCATTTGCATCAACATAAATGAACATGGATGACATTACATTAAGTGAGATAAGCCAGGCAAAGAAAGACAAACGTCATATGACCCCACTTATGTGGAATCTAGAAAACATGATTTTGTAAAAGTAGAAAGTAGAATGGTGGTTATCCGGGGATAGGGAGGGTTGGGGAAAGGGAAAGCCGGGAGAGGTTATTCAGCGGGTACAAAGTTACAGTTAGATAGGAAGAATAAGTCTTAGTTCCCTATTACACAGTAGGGTGACTATAGCAAATAACAGTTACACCAATTTGATCATTATGCTATGTATAATGCACTGAAACATTACATGGTACCCAATTAAATATGTGCAATTTGTATGTGTTAATTATACATAAAAGCTTAAATGAAAAAATACTGTGTTTAAAACTGAATCAGTTTCAGAATACAAGTGTTATATATATACATAAATATACTTTATATATATGTATATACTTCATATATATGTATATATATACATACACATACTTCATGTGGCATACATTTGCAGAATGTGCAGATGTGTTACATAGGTATACATGTGATGGTGTTTTGCTGCACCCATCAACCCATCATCTACATTAGGTGTTTCTCCTAATGCTATTAAATGTAAGACCTAAAACCATAAAAACCCTAGAAGAAAACCTAGGCAATACCACTCAGGACATAGACATGGGCAAAGACTTCATGACTAAAACACCAAAAGCAGTGGCAACAAAACCCAAAATTGACAAATGGGATCTAATTAAACTAAAGAGCTTCTGCACAGCAAAAGAAACTATTGTAAAAGTAGAAAGTAGAATGGTGGTTATCAGGGGATAGGGAGCGTTGGGGAAAGGGAAAGCCAGGAGAGGTTATTCAGTGGGTACAAAGTTACAGTTAGATAGGAAGAATAGCCCCAGCCCCAGCCCCCTACCACCCAACAGGGTGGTGTGCGATGTTCCCCTCCCTGTGTCCATGTGTTCTCATTGTTCAACTCCCATTTATGAGTGAGAACATGCAGTGTGTTCAACTCCCACTTATAAGTGAGAACATGCGGTGTTTGGTTTCCTGTTCCTGTGTTAGTTTGCTGAGAATGATAGTTTCCAGCTTCATCCATGTCCCTGCAAAGGACATGAACCCATCCTTTTTATGGCTGCATAGTATTCCATGTGTATATGTGCCACATTTTTTTATCCAGTCTATCATTGATGGGCATTTGGGTTGGTTCCAAGTCTTTGCTATTGTGAACATTGCCTCAGTAAACATACATGTGCATGTGTCTTTACAGTAGAATGATTTACAATCCTTTGGGTATATACCCAGTAATGGGATTGCTGGGTCAAATGGTATTTCTGGTTCTAGATCCTTGAGGAATCGCCACTTTGTTTTCCACAATGGTTGAACTAATTTACACTCCCACCAACAGTGTAAAAGCGTTTCTATTTCTCCACATCCTCTCCTCTTCACCATCTGTTGTTTCCTGACTTTTTAATGATTGCCAATCTAACTGGCGTGAGATGGTATCTATCTCATTGTGGGTTTGATTTGCATTTCTCTAATGACCAATGATGGTGAGCTTTTTTTCAAATGTTCGTTGGCTGCATAAATGTCTTCTTTTGAGAAGTGTCTGTTCATATCCTCTGCCTACTTTTTGATAGGATTTTGTTCTTGTAAATTTAAGTTCCTTGTAGATTCTGGATATTAGCCCTTTGTTGGATGGATAGTTTCTTTTGCTGTGCAGAAGTTCTTTGTTTAATTATATCCTGTTTGTCAATTTTGGGTTTTGTTGCCATTGCTTTTGGTATTTGAGTCATGAAGTCTTTGCCCATGTCTATGTCCTGAGTGGTATTGCCTAGGTTTCCTTCTAGGGTTTTTATGGGTTTAGGTCTTACATTTCATCTTTAATCCATTTTGAGTTAATTTTTGTATAAGGTGTAAGGGAGGGGTCCAGTTTCAGTTTTCTGCATATGGCTAGCCAGCTTTCCCAACACCATTTATTAAATAGGGAATCCTTTCCCCATTGCTTGTTTTGTCAAATTTGTCAAAGATCAGATGGTTGTAGATGTATGGCATTATTTCTGAGGCTTTTGTTTTGTTCCATTGGTCTATATATCTGTCAAATTGTCTCTGTTTGCAGATAACATGATTCTATATTTAAAACCCCATTGTCTCAGCCCAAAATCTCCTTAAGCTGATAAGCAACTTCAGCAAAATCTGAGGATACAAAATCCATGTGCAAAAATCACAAGCGTTCCTATACACCAATAAGAGACAGAGAGCCAAATCATGAGTGAACTCCCATTTACACTTGTTTCAAAGAGAATGAAATACCTAGGAACCCAACTTACAAGGGATGTGAAGGACCTTTTCAAGGAGAACTACAAACCACTGCTCAACGAAATAAGAGGGGACACAAACAAATGGAAAACATTCCATGCTTGTGGATAGAAAGAATCAATATAGTGTAAATGGCCATACTGCCCAAAGTAATTTGTAGATTCAATGCTATCCCCATCAAGTGCTCACTGACTTTCTTCACAGAATTAGAAAAACTACCTTAAATTTCATATGGAACCAAAAAAGAGCCCGTATAAGCCAAGATAATCCTAAAAAAAAGAACAAAGCTAGAGGCATCCCACTACCTGACTTCAAACTATACTACAAAGCTACAGTAACCAAAACAGCATGTTGCTGGTACCAAAACAAGTGTTGTTTTGAAAAGTATTAGTTATAAGATCAGTTTTTAAAAGAGCTCTAATAGGCCTATGCCATGAGGGAATATAGCTTATTAATCTAGCTTATTCAATCAGAAGGGTTTAATTACAGAAGAATCTGGGAATTACAACGAATTGCTTACTGAGTGTCTAAGCAATGATCATGAAAACTGAAGAGCTCATTAAATTGGTAAATGACCAAAAAACTTACACTTGACAGAAGAAAAACCAAGACATAATAAAAAATCTGCGACATCTGGATGTTTAAAGACTATAATATCAAGAGGGGTCTCCAAGAAAGCGGTTTTAAATAAGCATATCAAGTCTAAGTCCAAGCATTCTCATGACTAACTACAAAGGTATAATATAAGAAGTGTGTGTCATATGTGAATACAAATGTAGAGTCATAATATTTAAAATTTTTGAATTACTGAACTACTACAAAACAGAAAATGTACCTATTTCATTTAAATGTTGATTTATGAGTAGTAACATGAACTTTTAAAAAATGTTGAGTGAAAAATGCTAGCTGCAAAAAGATATGAGTAATATTACTTGAGAAGTGCTATTAATACATATGTTGAACAATGAGCATAAAGCAGACTATCCTGGACAAACCAAGATGTAAGTCCTCATAAATATTATATTGTTAATAGAAAATTTAAAACACATAAAATAATACTATAGAAACATGTTTCATGAATATATTTAAAAATCATAAACATATTTTGGGAGTGAGGAAAGAGAGAACTGAATCTTATATACATGTTTTTATGACTTGGGGAAGCATCCCATGCTTTAAAATAAAGTAAGTGCTCCCATGAGCTGAGCAGAGAAGATTGGCTTTATAGTCAGAAAAGGGCTAAAGGAAGCATAAATGAAGAATTAATCCTGGAAAACAACAATAAAACAAAGGCAGATTGGTTGTTTCAAAGTTACTTCCCATATGGAGTTAAAATAGAGGAACCTTTTGGTTAACTGCATGCCTTCTGATTGGTTGCTGTGATGCTTCTGTGATTTTGTTGGTTTGTTTTTTGTTTTCTTATTTATTTTCTTTGTTTTTGTTTTGAAAACTGGCTTGTTTCAAAGTTCACTTTGATTACGTGGCACTTAGCCCAGGTGACTCTTCTGGTTTGGCCTGGTCTGCTGGAGTTTAGCGCAGGAGCTGTCCAAAACAATGACCTCCCATAATTTTTGTTTAGCATATGGTAGGCTGAATAATAGTCTCCCAACGATGTCCAAATCCTAATTGTTGGAACTATGAAGATGTAAGTTTACATGGCAATGGAAAATTAAGATTGCTAATTGAAATTAAGGTTGCTAATTGGCTGACTTTATGATAGGAATATTATCCTGGATTATCCCAAGTGGGCCCAATGTAATCACAGGGGTCCTTAAAGGTGGAAGAGGGGGCAGAAAAGGAGGCCCAGGGCTGTGATGTGAGAAAGATTCAACCTATCATTGCTGTCTTTGAACATGAAGGAAGGAGTTCATGAACCAAGGATGTTGGCAGTCTCAGAAAGGGAAAGGGAGTGAGAAAGGAAAAGGGGAAGGGAAAGGAAATGAAAGGGCAGAGGGAAAAGGCGAGGAAAAAGGAAAGGATGGGAAAGGAAAGGAAAATTTCTCTCTTAAGAGCCTCCAGAAGGAATGCAGCCCTACTGGCACCTTGATTTTAGTCCAGTAAGGCCCATGTCAGATTTCTGACTTCCAAAATAATAAATATTATTTATTTATATATTATTAATAATATATTAGTTATAAGCTGGTAAGTTTCTTGGAGTTTAATGTGATAGCTCTAAAAAACTTGCTTTCTTTCATTAAGGCAAAAATTATAAAACTTGTGGGGTAGGAATGAGTATCTGTTCTATTATATATATTTATATAATGTATACTTTAAAATTAAATAAAAATAAGTAGCATACATATAGCTAAATATAAGTAGAATTATTTTGGCTTAGTATTCATTTAATGTTGATTTAAAGAAACAGTGGTTTGCAAAAAATATATTTGAATATATTTAAACATATTACTGTAAAATTAATGATATGGTTTAGATCTGTGTTCCTACCCAAATCTCATGTTGAATTGTAATCCCAAATATGGGAAATGGGGCCTGCCTGGTGGCATAGTCTAATCTTTTTAACAATTTAAAGTATAATTTTTTTAACAATTTCTGGATTATCTTTGTTATTATATGTCAACAATAACCAATAACTGAAGTAACTGTAACTTTACTGCACTATGTGCAGGTGAGGATAATTACTTTCTTTAAGATTTTGTTGCACTCAAACTTTATAAATATATGATCAAATCAGAATAATGCAACAACATTGAAAAGCATTAAGACACAAGAAGAAAAAACAGTCAGTCACAAACCACATATAATCCTAACTAAATTGTTAAATTGGCTGAATATGTTGTAAGTTTATAGTTCTAGAAGTAGGAACAGTAATTTTTCCCTTCCAACCAGCAAAATAAATTTTTAAAGGCAAACTTCTGATTATAGTTTATTCTTTCATAAAGATGTTGGCAACCGACCTAGTCCCCACCTTGCAGAGATATTCTTGGATAAGTTTTACTGTATTCTTCCTTCCTTTAGGTCCTGAGTTATATTTATTAGCTCTTAGTCTTAGACATATTGTAAAGTTGCAGGGTGATGCTTCTGACTCATACAAGAGAAGTCCAGCCTCTTTCTAGGAACTTTGTTTTCCTTTAGTCTACCACTCTGAATACAGCCTATTTCATCATGTGTGGTTTGCAAACATTGTCAGCTAACAGTATTTTACTTTTAATTTTTCTTCTAATTGCTGCTGAAAAGTGTTCTCTTTGCAATTATTTTGACCCAACAATTTATGTAAATAAATCTTTACCACATTGCAATCTTCTCAGTAATATTTTTAAGTATTAGCACTAAATACTAGCAGCTTAAAATCATTTATGTTCATTGACTGTTTTATTTTCCCAACATGTCTATTACTTATTTTTCCCATTAGTAGTGTGTTTCCGTTCTTTGTTATTTTCAGTGTAAGCAATGATTTTTAGATATATATTACCTTTTATGATAATTAATTTATATTAATAGATAATCCCTGCACAAAATACATGTTTAATAGGAAGAAATTAAATGAAAGCTAGGTCTCCCACCCACTCTGTATGCCAGTCGATCTATTTAATCCCCCTTCATAGTTTTTATTAATAATTTTTATCTATCTTTCTGTGGATATTCTAGGTGTTTATAAGTGTATGAATGCATTTATAATTTTAAGCCAAGTGTATAATTTACAAAGTGTTATAAATTCTAGCTTTTTTCTCGAAATAATATAGCTCATTGAATATTTCATATTGATACAAATAGACCTGCCTTTGTGTTTTTAACTTCTGCCTAGCATTCTATTAACAATTCCTACCCTCATTTACTAAATTGTCTCATATATGGACATTTGGATTTTTCTCAATTTTGTATTATTACAAATAATGATTCAGTAATTATTTTAATACATAAACCTCTGAAAAATTTTTGAAATACAGATGAAGGATAAATTCCCAAAGGTAAAAATTCTGGATAGAAGAATAGGTGTATTTGTGATAGATAGATAGTAAGTAGACAATTTGATTGCCAAAATATACTCCATAGTAATTGATGAAATCATTTTTTGTAATTTTTTTAATTTTTAATGTTTTTTGGTACATAGCAGGTATATAGATTTATGGGGTACGTGAGATATTTTGATACAGGCATGCAATGCATAATAATCACATAAGGATAAATGGAGTATCCATTATTTCAAGCATTTATCATGTATTTGTGTTATAAACAATCTAATTATACTTTTAAAAATGTACAATAGATTATTTTTAACTGTAGTCACTCTACTGTGCTATCAAATACTAGATCTCATTCATTCCATATAACTATATTTTTGTACCCATTAACAAAACCCTTTCTAGCCCCTGGTAACCATTATTCTACTCTCTAATCTCCATGAGTTCAGTTGTTTCCATTTTTAGCTCCCACGAATAAGTGAGAACATGTGAATTTTGACTTTCTGTGCCTGGCTAATTTTACTTAACATAATGACTTCTGATTCCATCCATGTTGCTGCAAATAACAGGATCTTATTCTTTTTTATTGTGTACAAGTAGTAAATTTTCTTTATTCATTTTTTGGTGGCCACTTAGGTTGCTTCCAAATCTTGGCTATTGTGAACAGTGCTGCAGCAAACATGGGAGGGCAGATATCTCTTCAATATACTGATTTCTTTTCTTTGGAATATATGCTTAGCAGTGAAATTGCTGGATAATATTTTTAGTTTCTTGAGGAAACTCCAAACAGTTCTCCATAGTGGTCGTACTAATTTCCATTCCCCCAAACAGTGCAAACATGTAGCTTTTTCTCCACATCCTTGCCAGCATTTGCTATTATGTGCCTTTAGGGTAAAAATGATTTTAACTGGGGTTAGATAATATCTAATTGTAGTTTTGATTTGCATTTATCTGATGATTAATGATGTTGAGTACCATTTCGTATCCTTGTTTGCTATTTTTATGTCTTCTTCTGAGAAATGTCTATTCAGATGTTTTGCTTATTTTTTAATCAACTTATTAGATTTTTTTCCTATAGAATTGGTTGAGCTCCGTTATATTCTGGCTAAAATCCCTTTACAGAGGGGTAGTTTGGAAATATTTTTTTCATTCTGTGGGTTGTCTATTTGTTGATTGTTCCCTTCAATGTGCAGAAGCTTTTTAACCTTATGTGATCCCATTTGTCCATTTTTGCTTTGGTTGCCTGTTCTTGTAGGATATTACTCAAGAAATCTTTGCCCAGTCCAATGTCCTGGAGATTTTCCCCAATGTTTTCTTTTAGTAATTTCATAGTTTGAGGTCTTAGGCTTAAGTCTTTAGTGCATTTTGTTTGATTTTTGTGTAAGACAAAAGATAAGGGCCTAGTTTCATTCTTCTGCATGAAGAATGGGTATCCAGTTTTTCCAGCACCATTTATTGGCCCGACAAGTCCCCCACATGCATTCTTGGAATCTTTGTTGAAAATGAGTTACCTGTAGATGTGTAAATTTATTTCTGGATTTTCTATTCTGTTTCATTGGTGTATGTGTCTGTTTTTATGCTAGTACCGTGCTGTTTTGGTTACTGTAGCCCTTTAATATAATTTGAAGTCAGATAATGTGATTCCTCCAGTTTAGTTCTTTTTGCTTTGGATAGCTTTGGCTATTCTGGGTCTTTTGTGGTTCGATATAATTTTCTTTCTTTTTTTTTTTTTTTTTTTTTTGAGACAGTTTCGCTCTTGTTGCCCAGGTTGGAGTGCAATGGCGCGATCTCGGCTAACTGCAACCTCCGCCTCCTGCCTCAGCCTCCTGAGTAGCTGTGATCACAGGCATGCACCACCATGCCTGGCTAATTTTGTATTTTTAGTAGAGACGACAGGGTTTCTCCGTGTTGTTCAGGCTGGTCTCGACCTCCTGACTTCAGGTGATCCACCTGCCTCGGCCTCCCAAAGTGCTGGGGTTACAGGCATGAGCCACCCTGCCCGGTCAAATTTAAGGATTGTTTTTGCTGTTTCTGTGAAGAATGTCATTGGTATATTAATAGGAATTGCATTGAATCTATAGATGACTTTGTGTAGTATGGACATTTTAGCAGTGTTGATTCTTCCAAAACATGAACATAAAATATATTTCAACTTTTTTGTGTCCTTTTCAATTTCTGTCAGCAGTGCTCTACAGTTTTCATTGTAGAAATCTTTCACTTTTGGGGTTAATTTAATTCCTAGGTATTTGATTTTATTTGTAGTTATTTTAAATGGAATTACTTTCTTGATTTCTTTTTTAGATTGTTTGCTGTTGGCATATATAAATGGTACTAATTTTTGTATGTTTATTTTGTATCCTGCAACTTTACTGAATTTGTTTATTAGTTCTAATAGATT
Organism: Homo sapiens; assembly: GCF_000001405.40. NCBI lineage: Eukaryota > Metazoa > Chordata > Mammalia > Primates > Hominidae > Homo > Homo sapiens. Next base: position 74,522,626 of record NC_000006.12, read on the forward strand.
TTTGGGTTTTTTTGGAGTTTTTAGGTTTTTCCAAATGTAAGATCATATCATCTGCAAATAAAAATAATTTGACTTCTGCCATTTCGATTTGTATGTCCTGTATTTCTTTCTCTTTTCTGATTGCTCTAGTTGGACTTCCATACTATATTGAATAACAGTGGTGAAAGTGGGTATCTTTGTTGTGTTCTAGATGTTAGAGGAAAGGCTTCAGTTTTCCCCCATTCAGTATATACTATTTGAGGGTCTGTTATATATGGCTTTTATTATGTTGAGGTATGTTCCTTCTATACCCAGTTTTTTTAGGGGTTTTTATCATAAAAGGATGTTGAACTTCAGCAAAGCTTTTTTAGCATCAATTGAAATGATCATATTGTTTTTGTTCTTCTTTCCCTTGATATGATGTATCACATTGATTGATTTGAATATGTTGAACCATGTTTGCATCTCAAGGGTAAATCCCACTTGGTTGTGATGAATGACTTTTTAATGCGTTGTTGAATTTGATTTGCTAGTATTTTGTTAATAATTTTTGCATCAGTGTTCAAGGATATTGGCATGTAGTTTGTTTTTTGATGTATCTTCTGTCTGAATTTGGTATTTGGGTAATGTTGGCCATGTAGAACAAGTTTGGGAGTGAGTATTCCCTTCTCCTCTACTTTATAGAATAATTTGAATAGGATTGGTATTAGTTCCTTTTTAAATGTTTGGTAAAATTCAGCAGTGAAGCCATTGGGTCTGGGCTTTTCTTTGATGAGAGACTATTACGGCTTTGATATCATTACTTGCTATTGGTCTGTTCAGATTTTGGTTTCTTCATGGTTCAATCTTGGTAAATTATATGGGTCTAGGGATTTATCCATTTCTTCCAGGTTTTTCAGTTTATTGGCATATAGTTGCTCATAATAGCCTCTAATGACCCTTTGAATTTCTGTAGTCTTGGTTGTAATATTTCCTTTCCATCATCTCTAATTTTATTTGGGTCTTCTTTTTTTTTTTTTTTTTTTTTTTTTTTTTTTTTTTACTTTAGTCTAGCTAAAGGTTTGTCATTTTATTTTTTCAAAAAAAAAACACAACTGTTCATTTTGTTGATCTTTTGTGTTGTTTTCTTCATTTCAATTTTATTTATGCACTGATCTTTATTATTTCTTTAATTCTATTATTTCTGGATTTAGACTGCTCTTGCTTTTCTTTCTATTTAAGATATATTGTTAGGTTTTTTATTTGAAGTTTTCTTCTACTTTTTTGATGTAGATACTTATAGTTAAAAATGTTCCTTATATTACAGCCTTCACTATATCCCATAGGTTTTGGTATGTTGCATTTCCATTATCATTTGTTTCAAGAAATTTTTAAATTTTATTTTAAATTTTTTTATTGACCCTCCGATCATTCAAGAGTATATTGCTTAATTTCCATGTGTTCAGACGGTCTCCAAAATTCCTGTTATTATTTCCTAGTTGTATTAAATTGTGGTCATAACTACAATTATTATATTATCTTGTTTAATTGGCAACCTTGCATTATGTACCAACCTTCTTTGTCTCTTTTTATAGTTTTTGTCTTGAAACACATTTTTTTCTGCTGTAAGTATAGCTATTCTTGCTCTTTTTTGATTTTCATTTGCCTGTAATATCTTTTGCCAACCGTTTCTTTTTATTCTATGTGTGCCTTTATTGGTGAACTGTTTTTTTTTAGGCAACAAATCAATGGGTCTTTTACAAAATTTCTTTATTTCACCACTCCATGTCTTTCTTTTTATTTTATGATATCATTGTTTTAAAAAAATTTCCTTCAGGGACCAAATAACTAAATAATAATATGCTGCACTTAACAATATCTGTATACCTCAATAACAAAATGGGACTACCTCATAAATTTAAAATGACTATATAATTATAACCAAAATAGTTTAATTCCAGAATCAAACTTTGAGAGAACTGAGGAGAAGGCAGGCAGAGAGATCCTTGTGGTATAATATTTTGGTTTTTGCTTCAGGATTTTTGTTGGAGTCTTTTAAAAATCAAATCAAAATACATTTTGTAGGCAATGCTAGTTTGATTTAGTCTAAAATAACCTAATTTACATAGAATACAGGGGAAAGGATTCTGTGGCTAGATATTTTTCATAGTTTGCTTGCATTTAATTAGGACTTGCAAGATATACAGAACATATCACAAACTGACTCATACAGTCTTTTGAACTTCCACTCTAGAAGAAGGATATGCTTAGTTTGTCTGCTTGTTCGTTTGTTTATTTATTTATTTATGAGAAGAGCCTCACTCTGTCGCCAGGCTGGAGTGCAGTGGCACAATCTTGGCTCACTGCAACCTCTGCCTCCTGGGTTCAAGCAATTCTCTTGCCTCAGCCTCCCTAGTAGCTGGGACTACAGGCATGTGCCACCATGCCCAGGTAATTTTTGTATATTTAGTAGAGACCGTGTTTCACCATGTTGGCCAGGATGGTCTTGATCTCTTGACCTTGTGATCCGCCTGCCTCGGCCTCCCAAAGTGCCGGGATAACAGACGTGAGCCACCATGCCTGGCCAGTTTGTATATTTTATAATAGCAAAAAAGAGAGTGTAAAAGACACATTCAATTTTGGACTCTGAAATTCGGTATTTTCAAATTTTATATCTCATCTGCTTTTCTTGTCTAACTAACTCTCCAGGAAAAGAAAAGCTCATATATTTCCTTGATCTCTTCTTAACACTCTCAAGTGTCTTTAGAAAGGGTTTATATATTGATTGACATGAAAACATTTCTTGATGAATATTTTATGCATTAAAGAAATATATTAAACTCTGATTGCCTATGGCACAATGTAGACATTAACTTCTCTTTTTAAAAGAAAGAATCCATTAAGGAAAACATTGCAGAATCATAATAGACTTGTGTAAAAATCCACAATAATTTCCCATTTCATAAACAATGTCATTTTAAGTACATTAGAAAATATTAATTTTTCATTCAGCTATTTCCAGGACTTGGGTTCCTGCATTATATTTTTATCACTTTACAATTTTCAATAGATTTCCAAATCCTAGAAAATTCAATACTTATTGCATGTCTCCAGAAAACAACCAATTCCCAGTTGTATATGAGGGAATTAATAAGTCTAAATTTTAGGAAGGTAATATCAAACCCATAAAACAAAGTCATATAAACTAAGCAATTCTTATGTATTCCTCATGCCATTAAATAGCCAGTTACTAATTGAAAAGTAATATGCACACACACACCCATGCACACTCAGTCACATGCACACACAAGCATCATTTTTTATTAACTCAACCAATTATTTTTTGTCAAACAACTGGTGAATTAAACATCATATATAGCTAAATCTATAGATTATTAGATTTAGTGAGGTTAGATTATTACAAGTCTCACTGTACACTCAATTCAAAGTTTCAGCTCATCTAAACATATATATAGTATTGTAATGTTTATATCTATAATATCTATAATAGATAAAAACTTTATATTATATATGTATCTCTCATAGCACATTATACATTTTTTTCCTTCTTCCAGTAGATGAAGTAGAAATGTATACCTTCTCCTGACCCCATTAGACTGATGGTGATATATAAGGTGACTTACCCAAAGTCACTCATCAAATCCTCACAACTACCTTACATATGCAGCATCTGTAGAATGGATCAATAATACTGAGTTTATAAGGGCTTAAAACTGTGTCTGTCACATACCAAATCATCGCTTAATAAATATTAAATGCTCTATTAAGAAGATGGATGATTGGTTTTCTGTCCTTGCGATAGTTTTCTCAGAATCATGCCAAACACTGCATGTTCTCATTCACAGGTGGGAATTGAACAATGAGAACACTTGGACACAGGGTGGGGAACATCACACACCAGGGCCTGTTGTGGGGTGGGGGGAGAGGGGAGGGATAGCATTAGGAGAATACCTAATGTAAATGACGAGTTAACGGGTGGAGCACACCAACATGGCACTTGTATACATATGTAACAAACCTGTACATTTTGCACATGTACCCTAGCACTGAAAGTATAATAATAATTTAAAAAAAGAAGAAGAAGATGGATGAATCACTACTGCTATGAGTCTCCAGCTAGGTCCAGGACTTATTTGCATATATAAAGCTTACCATTTGAAGTCGAGTTTGTTGAAAAAGAACTCAGAATTTGGAGCCCTTATAATAGATTAATTCATGCAATCTTTATAACAACTCTGTGAAGTAGTTGCTGTTATTAGCCACATTTCACAGATGAGGAAACTAAGTCACAGAGTCAAGTCACTGGCTAATTTGTTATAGTTTATAAAACAAGGATATGAACCTAAGTAGTTTGATTCAATGGCAAGGACAGTAAAGCCCTGCATTATATTGTCATAAGAACATAGACTCTCTGAGGCTCAAGGATTCCAGAAAGAGAATTCTTTCTGTAGATACATTTAAGGTCTACAAGAGAAACCTTAAACAAAGGCAGGAGCAAGTGAGAAAGCTATTTAATAGAAGCACGAATTCTCTCAGCTTTTTATCCTGCTCTTAACAATACTTGTTTTAGGAGCAGTGTATAGGATATAATGTGCATGTGTATCTCATGTTGTGATTGTCTTTTGAAAGATTCCTTGGTGGACACTGAATACACAAAAGATAAAAAGTAATGAATCAGGCCAGTTTTGGTGGCTTACACCGGTAACAAGCACTTTGGTAGGCCAAGGCAGAAAGATTGCTTGAGCCCAGGAATTTGAGGCTAGCCAAGGCAATGTGGGGAGACCCCCATCCCTACAAAAAATTATTAAAAAATTAGCCAGGTATATTGGTGTGCATTTGTGCTCCCAGGAACTCAGAAAGCTGAAATAAGAGGATCACTTGAGCCCAATAGGTCAAGGCTGAAGTGATACAATCACGCTATTGCACTCCAGTCTGGGTGACAGCGAAAGACCCTTTCTCAATGAAAAGAAAGTGATTCTATATCTCAATAAAAAGAAAGTAATTAATCAAAGAAAAAAGTAATGAACCATGAAGAAACCAAAATCTGAACAGACTAATAGCAAGTAATGATATCAAAGCCGTAATAGCCTCTCATCAAAGAAGACCATCAAAACAATCATCCAGTCACAAAATAAAATAGAGAAAAAGGAAAGAATAAAAGATCACAAACAAGCATAAAACAACTGAAAAATAGCAGTAGTAAGTCCTTACCTATCAATCTTGAATGTAAATGGATTAAATTTTCCAATCAAAACACATAGAATGGCTAAATAGATTTTTTAGAAGAACAACAATATATTGCCTACAAAAGATTCTCTTCACACTTAAAGACACATAGACTGAAGAAGAAGGCATGGGCAAAGATAATTCATCCAAATAGAAACAAAAATAGAGCAGAGGAAGCTATATCAGATGAAATAGACATTAAGTAAAAAATTATTAAAAGAGTCAAAGAACATAATCATATTGTGAAAAGGGAGTGCATTCATACAAAGATACAAAAATCATAAATATATAGGCACCCAACAGCAGAGCACCTGAAGCAAATATGAAGCAAATAATAATCTATTTGAAGGGAGAGATAGACTGATGAAATAATAGTGGAAAATTTAATACCTCACTTCTAGTGACAGAAATATCATCCAGACAGCAAATCAATAAGGAAGCATTGGAATAAAGTCTAGGCACTTTAGACTAAAGGGACTTGAAAGTCATATACATAACGTTCTATCCAGAAGCAGAAGACTACACCTTCTTCCCAGGAACTCATGAAACATTCTTCCACATAGATCACATGTTAGACTGCAAAACAAGTATTAACAAATTTAAGAAGATTGAAATCATATCATGTATCTTTTCTGACCATCCTAGTTCTAAACTAAAATGATTAGGAGGAATTTTAGAAAATTCTCAACCACATGAAATGTAAATAACATGCTTCTGAACAACCAAAGTGTCAAAAAAGAAATTAAAAAGGGAATTTAAAAAAATATTTGGTAGCATATGAAAACGGAAACACAATATACCAAAACTTATGAAATTCAGTAAATGTGATTCAAAGCGGGGAGTTTACAGCAATAAAATTCTACATCAAAAAAGAAAGAGGAGCCAAGATGGACCACTAGATACAGCCAGGAGAAACATCTCCCACCAAGAGACCAGGACATGGGGAAGACTGGTATGTTCTGAACAGATCTTCAGAAGGAAGGAACTGAAAGGTGAATAGGGAAGGATGCAGACGCTAGGATTAAGGGGGAGGAAGCTGGGAACCTAGCACAGGGCTGCTGAGCACCAGAACTCACTCTTGGCCCCTAGCGATTCTTGGGGAAGGGATGAATCAAACAGGCGAGGAGCAGCCAATTCTCACCATGGACCTCCAGAATCCTAAAAGCAGGGGACCCCATGACATCAATGGACACTTTACTTGGCATGGAGAGTTGCTTAAAGAAGTGGCGGGGAACTCTGCACAGAACTCCAGCCTGTAGAGTTTGGCAAGGGAACAGCTGTAGTAGAGTATGGGAGATGAGCAGAACTGCCTGTATCCCACAGCTTGCCATGCTCCTCTAAAATAATGTAGCCTTAGAGTGACTTTCAAACCTGGACACAGCAGAGCAGTCTTGTCCAGGTGATGAGTCTAGTCTGATCTGAGCACCCCATGTCTGCTGGCCTTTCCTTGGGATCCAGCATCACTGCACCCTCTTGAAGGGTAGCCTCAATGCCAAACAAGGGTGCTTCCTGGGGACCCTCATCATAATTCCTTTGCTGGAAGGCTTGCGCCTGACTGTTGGAGAGCTTCAGCAGACCGGCCACCACTGAGGTGCACCAGCCTACCCATAGCTTCCCACCACCACAGGCTTGGCCCTCTGCTTTGCTGGCAGATATTTTCCCACACGCTCCACACAACATGGACATACAGTTCCTTATTAATTATTATTATTGATTTGCTGTCTACATGATATTTGCATTGCTAGAAGTGAGGTATTAAATTCCCCACTATTATTTCATTGCAGTCTATATCTCCGTTCACATGGATTAATACTAGCTTCATATTTGCTTCAGGCACTATGATGTTGGGTGCATATATATTTACAATTTTTATATCATCTTATGAATTTGCTCCTTCACCAATATATAATAACCTTTGTCTTTTTTTTACAGCTTTTTACTTAAAGTATATTTCATCTGATATTAATATAGCTCCCTCTGCTCTATTCCTCTTCCTATTTGTATGAAATAGATTTGTCTATGCAGGTGCACTTGTGTGGGTGGAACTTGCCTCTGTGACCCTGCCAGTGTGCAAGTGCATGCACACCCTGCCACCCCACCACTGTCGGTGGGAGCATACCTGCTGCCCTCCTGCTCTTGAAAAACAAGAGCAAACCAACCACAAAGCAGGAAGAAGACAAAAAATTACCAAAATCAGAGCTGAACTGAATGCAATTGAGGTACTTAAAACCATACTAAACATCAACACATTCATGAGTTTGCACTTTGTAAAAATAAATAATATTGACAGACTACTAGTTAGGCTAAAAGTAAAAAGGAAAGAAGATCCAAATAAACACAATCAGAAATGATGAAGGGGACATTATCACTGACCCCACCAAAAAAAAAAAAAAAAAATATATATATATATATATATATATATATATATATACACCTCTCAGAGTCTACTATGAACACCTCTATGCACACAAAGGACAAAATCTAGAAGAAATTAATAAATTCCTAGAAACAAACAATTTCCCAAGGCTGAACAAGGGAGAAATTGAATCCCTGAACTAACAAATAATGAGTTCTGAAATCAAATCAGTAATAAAAAGCCTACCAACCACAAAAAACTTAGGACCAGCCAAATATACATTTACAGTCAAATTCTACCAGAAATATAAAGAAGAGAGGGTACCATTCTTACTGAAACTATTTCAAAAGATTGAAAAGGAGAGACTCCTTAACTTACTCCATGAGGCCAGCATCATCCTGATACCAAAACCTGTCAGAGACACAACAAAAAAGAAAACATCAGGCCATATGCTTGATGAACACAGTGTGCAAAAATCTCAAGAAAATAGTAGCGAACCATCAAAAATCTAATCCATCATGATCAAGTAGACTTTATTCCTGGGATGCAAACTTGGTTCAACATGCCAATCAATAAATGTGATTCATCATATAAACAGGTATAAAGACAAAACCACAGGATCACCTCAACAGATGCAGAAAAGACTTCAGATAAAATTCAACATTCCTTTATGTTAAAAGCCCTCAACAAACTAGACAATGAAAATAATAAAAGCCATCTACAACAAACCCACAGCCAACATCATACTGAATGGCCAAAAGCTGGAAGCATTCCTCTTGAGACCTGGAGCAAGCCAAGGATGCTCATCCTCACCACTCCTGTTTAGCATAGTACTGGAAGTCCTAGCCAGAGCAATCAGGCAAGAGAAAGAAATGAAAGACATTCAAATAGGAATAGAAGAAGTCAAAGTATCCATGTTTACACATTGTGATTATATACCTAGAAAACCCCATAGTCACCACCCCAAAGCTCCTAGATCTGAAAAACAACTTCAGCAAACTTTCAGGATACCCAGTTAATGCATAAAAATGAGTAACATTTCTATATACCAACACCACTCAAGCTGAGAGCCAAATCAAGAATACAATTCCATTTATAATAGCCACAAAAAGAATTAAGTACCTGGGAATACAGCTAACCAGGGAGGTAAAATATCTTCACAAGGATAATTACAAAATTTTGCACTGCTGAAAGAAATTAGAGTTGAAACGAACAAATGGAAACACATTCAATGCTCATAGGTAAGAAGGATCAATATTGTTAAAATGGCCATACTACCCAAAGAAATTTACAGTTCAATGCTATTCAATGCTATTCCTATCAGTCTACAAATGACATTCTTCAGATAATTAGTAATAACTATTTTAAAATTGATATGGTACCAAAAAAGAGCATGGATATTCAAGGCAATCCTAACCAAAAAGAAGAAAGCTGTAGGCATCACATTACCCAACTTCAAACCATACTACAATGCTACAGTAACAAAATAGCATGGTACTTGTGAAAAAATAAAAACAAACAAAAGATGCATAGACCAATGGAATAGAGAGCCCAGTAATAATACACCTGCAACCATCTGATATTCAATAAAGTTGATAAAAACAAGCAATGGGAAAAGGACCCATTTTTCAATAAATGGTGCTATGAAACGTTGCTAGCCATATGCAGAAGATTGAAGCTGGAACCCTTATACAAAAATCAACTAAAAGACAGATTAAAGACTTAAATGTAAAATGTAAAACTATAAAAACTCTGGAAGATAACCTTGGAAACACTGTTCTGGACATAGGCCCTGGCAAATATTTTTTATAAAGTCACCAACAGCAATTGCAACAAAACCAAAAATTGACAACTGGGACCTAATTATACTAAAGAGCTTCTGCTCCTTGCACACTTTTGGTGGGAATGTAAATTGATACAGCCATTATAGAAAACAATATGAAAGTTCCTCAAAAAATTAAAAGTAGAACTTATGATCCAGTAATACAACTACTGGCTATATATCCAAAGGAAATAAGATCAGTATGTTGAAGAGATATCTATATTCTCATGTTCATTGAGTATTATTCATTACAGATAATATATGCAATCAACCTAATTGTCCATGAACTGATTAATGGATAAAGAATGTCATATATACACAACAAAATACTATTCAGCTTCTAAAAAGAAGGAAATCCTGTCATTTGCAGCAACATGGATGCACCTGAAGGACATTGTATTAAGTGAAATAAGCCAGGCACAGAAGGACAAATATTGCATGATCTCACTTATGTGTGAAATATTAAAAAGTTGAACTCATAAAGGTAGGGAGTGAATGGTGTTTACCATGAGCTGGGGGTGGGGGTGGGAGAGTTGTTGGTCAAAGGATACAAAATTTCAAGTAGCTGAGAGGAACAAGTGAGGGATCTATTGTATAACATGGTGTCAATAGTTGGTGAATAGTTGGTGACAACCTATTGTATCACTGAAAATTGCCAAGAGAAAATTTTAAGTGATCTCACCACAAAAAGTATATGTGATATAAAGTAAATGTTAAATAGCATGATTTAGTCAATCACAATGTAGGCATATATAAAAACAAATTTTGCATATGATAAACATATAGATGTTCTTTGAATTACAATGGAGTTACATCCTGATAAATCCATTATAAGTTGAAAATATTGTAAGACAAAAGTGCCTTTAATACTCCTAACCTTCCAAACATCATAGCTTACCCTAGCCCAGATGGAAAGTGCCCAGGACACTTACATTAGCCTACAGTTGGACAAAATCATCTATCACAAAGCCTACTTTATAATAAAGTATTGAATATCTAGTGTAATTTATTGAATACTGTACTGAAAATAAAGCCAGAATGGTTGTATGGGTACTCTAAGTACAATTTCTACAAAATGAGTGTTGCTTTTGCTCTATTGTAATGTCAAAAAATCAAAAGTCAAACCTTTGTAAGTCAGGGACTGTATAACATTTTTATTTGTCCAGAGAAAACAAATTATTTTAAAATATTTTTATTTTAAAATATTAATTTCCAATGTTTATTGCTACTGTATAGAGATAGTATTGATTTTTTACACTGACTTCTTTTTTTTTATTATACTTTAAGTTTTAGGGTACATGTGCACATTGTGCAGGTTAGTTACATATGTATACATGTGCCATGCTGGTGCGCTGCACCCACTAACTCGTCATCCAGCATTAGGTATATCTCCCAATGCTATCCCTCCCCCCTCCCCCCACCCCACCACAGTCCCCAGAGTGTGATATTCCCCTTCCTGTGTCCATGTGATCTCATTGTTCAATTCCCACCTATGAGTGAGAATATGCCGCGTTTGGTTTTTTGTTCTTGCGATAGTTTACTGAGAATAATGATTTCCAATTTCATCCATGTCCCTACAAAGGACATGAACTCATCCTTTTTTATGGCTGCATAGTATTCCATGGTGTATATGTGCCACATTTTCTTAATCCAGTCTATCATTGTTGGACATTTGGGTTGGTTCCAAGTCTTTGCTATTGTGAATAATGCCGCAATAAACATACGTGTGCATGTGTCTTTACAGCAGCATGATTTATAGACATTTGGGTATATACCCAGTAATGGGATGGCTGGTTCTTCTTAATTATGACTTTTCTAAACATATTCATTTTTGCGCTGCATAGATAGCCACTCGTTTGCCTGTGTGAAGAACCAATTCTGGCCACAAACATTAAGAGAAACACTGAAGCGCAACACTGAAATGGAGGCCCTGTTTTTAGTGGCTTCCATTGATTGTGCCAGCCCACTATTGACCTTTTTCACTTTTGGAAAAATTTGATTTACTTTCTATTTTGATTAGACATGGAGGCCTCAAGGTCCATCATGACACCAGTATACCATCTAGTCATAGGTATACCATCTAGGTCTTTCATGATTAAGCCCCAGTGAACCTCATATGTGACTAGAATTATGATATTTTTCATATAACTGTCAGCTTACAAGGCAAACAGAAATGAACTACAAAAAGTGGTAGGCCCCCAAACAGCAAAATGAATGTACTTGTTCATACAAAATTAATGTACTATACATCTTTGCAGTCAGATTCAAACCCTAAGATGTAACACTGTTTGGAGAAGGGGGGATATCTTTATATATAACAGATAACAAGCTATAAAATTTCCACTCACCATTAGAAAAAAATGTGTTTATATATAAACTTATGTGTATGGATGGCCTTCAGTGAAATCTAAATAATACAAATCTTGGACACCAAGTATCTAGACGTGTTATAAGATTTGTTGAGTGTGGGAGAAAGTGAGAGTGTTTTAAGTGTGTATGTTTTATATTTTTAATCCCAAACATAAAGTTCCTTTTTTACCCCAAGAGAAGCCTAGGAATAATAGCCAGACATCTGGGCTTTCCTTTTAGTCATACAATACATGCAGCTAGGTCTGGGTTAATTTTCGTATAGCATGGAATGAATACCACCACACATTCTCAAGTTCCCTTGAGTTCAAAGTCCATGTAAACACCAGCTATGTAAACAGGAGGCTCAGTCACAATGGCATTTGTGGACTCATGTCCTCAGAGGGTCAGTGTTAGCAAAACTATAATTTTAGCTTGTAAAGACCCAAGCCCCCAATTTTGTAATACTTCATAATTTTACCAAAATTTCTCAAATAAAGGAGGAAATAAAAGAAAGAAGAGAGTTTTCTCCTTCATTCCTAGGTTTCAAAGCATGTTTTTAGTGTCATCCAAAAATCTTGGAAGATTCCATAGAGGCCACAGGCTACTGTCCCAGAAAACAACTAGGGAAATTCTGCTGTGGAAATTCATTGCTCCTGAGAAGAAACTTGCTTTTAATTTGTAAATACTTTGCAACACTGGGCCCATTGCTCAAGATACCCTTTACAATCATATTTTCTCAGTGGTTTGTTTCTGGACAGAACTCCACCTTGTCTCCTTTACTTCCTTTGCGATAAGATTGCCAAGTAATTGCAACATTCTACAGTCTCAGTAGCCTGTTATTTGTAATTGGAATTAGACAGGCTTGATTCATATTAACTGTTCAATAAAGGTTGGGTGAATTAAATTGCGTTAGGAAATAGAAACAAATATTACCAGGAAAGTGTTTAGTCCTATATGACTTTGGTTAAGATTATCATTTTAGACCATTTTTAATCTTACAAGTAATATGGGGCATCTGAAACAGTCTTCTAGCATTCTTTTCATTTTCAAAATTGCATTTTTATTAAGTATTGGTAAATTATAAAATTTAAGTTAAAATATATAGATTTTATTTAGATGAAATACAAATATATTGAAATGCATCTTAAATTCTGACCAATTGTTTTGATTTAGATGCTGTATAAATGTAGCTTGTAATTTTATGTTTGCTCCTTTTCCTCTATATGATGCAAAAGTTAGTAGTTAAAATTAGGATCATATTACAACCATTTGTTTATTCTACATACCCAAATATTTTGTTATACATTTTACTATATTATGGAATTCACTAGTTATGCTGAGGTTACATATATGAAGCCATATTTAAAGATTTTTTTAAAAAAGAATAAAATAAAATATGATCATAGAAAACTCAATGTATAATTGGAAACTTACTAAAATGAAAAGATAAAGCTAAAATATTTGCCCCCTTATGAAGCCACATAACTCACTAAGTATATTTGTTTTAATTTGCCTACATAACTAGAATATTGTGTAAGTCTTTAAGGCCACTCCTTTTATTCTGGTGAAGTTATTTTCTTGGTAAAGAATGTCCCCATAGAATTCTATTTTTAGATTTGTTTACCTCAATGTTTTCCAGAACATATTCAATGTGGGATAATAGACATTTAAAAATTTTTAAACTGAGTCTTTAGTAAAATTAATTTTGGAAACACTGAATTAAACAAAATGGACAGATTATGGCAGGAATGCTCAGAGACTTTAATATACTAGTATACACTATATATATCAAACACGGGGTAACTAGAAAGCGGTAATTTTCAGACTTACTTGGCCATGAATGCCTTTTGGTAGAGAAATATACCCTGTGAATAATGCTACATAGACCTAATTTTTTTTGATGTGCATAATTTTAAGTGGTTAGGAAATCTCACTAGTTAAAAATATATTGTTTTTCATCCATAGTACGCATTTATTTGTACGATATACATTATGTTCAGTCAATTAGGCTTCTTAGCATCAGTGAAAATTAAAATATATTTCTTCCTTTTGAAAAAAATGAATGTTTTTGGGTAAACTGAAAATCTTCAGTATTTGTTTACTATTTTGAAAATAACTAGTTATATGCCTGTATAAAACTTCTGTTTCTTTATGATCTACTAAAATTATGATCTCCTAAAATTATATCATTTCATAAATTTTGTTCCGGCTTTTAGATCTACAATTCTGGGACTTAAATAATTTATGTCTAATAAATTTTTATCTAAACCCAGTTCTGAGTCTGTTTTTAAAGGTTGCTTTGACTATAGTCATGACATGTTTCTGTATGTATGACTTTGTGCATATGAACAACAACAAATTTCATTTTACCATGTAATACTTAATACTGAGTGTCAACTTGATTGGATTGAAGGATATAAAGTATTGATCCTTGGTGTGTCTGTGAAGATGTTGCCAAAGAAGATTAACATTTGAGTCAGTGGGCTGGGAAAGGCAGACCCACCTTAATCTGGGTGGACACAATCTAATCAGCTGCCAGCGTGGCTAGAATATAAGCAGGCAGAAAAACATGAAAAGATAGACTGGCCTAGCCTCCCAGCCTACATCTTTCTGCCATGCTGGATGCTTCCTGCCCTCGAACATTGGACTCCAAGTTATTCAGTTTTGGAACTCGGGCTGGCTATCCTTGGTCCTCAGCCTGCAGATGGCCAATTGTTGGACCTAGTGATCATGTCAGTTAATATTTAACATATACATACATATATATATATATATATATATATATATATATATATATATATATATATATTTCATTGGTTTGGGGGTTTCTGGAGTTGGCTGCTTAATATGATTAGATCCAAAAATGCTAAAGACTCTATTTCTAATAGTATGGAGAATACTGATAGCCCTTGGCGTGAGCTGTTTAGACAGTTATCCAAAATAAATGCATCTGACACTCCTGATTCATTGCTTGTGAGAGGCAAGGAGTTTAGTGACTCTCTCTCTATATAATACCTTTTACCATATGTGGAGAACCAAAGAACATAATAAAGCTGGTTGGTTGCTCCTAAGTTCAGTGTACAAAGTGATGAAAGAAAATGATGAACTCAGGGATTCTGTCTCCTGGCTTCAGACACAGATTCTGAGCCTCAAATCTCCCAAGATTGCCCAGAGTGAGAGTGTTATCTCCTACAGAGAAAGACCTGAAATTGTGGAAAAACAGACACAAGCCCTTATCATGCTAGTGGCTGACCTACAATGAAAGGTGCATGCACAGCCTCATCAGATGCCTACTGTTAAAGTGAGGGCATTGATTGGAAAATAATGGGACTCTGCAGCTTGGAATGGGGATTGTGGGTGGACCCTGATGAAGCTGGGGACATTGAGTTTATAAACTCTGATGAAACTTTTTTGTCAGAAGAAACAGCATCCCCTTCCCCAGTAGTGGCAACGTCCCCTCCCCACTCATCAGACTTTCCACCTCTGTCTAGGAAGATGAACCCTGCGCTGCCTAAGGCAACAGTAGTGGCAACATCCCCTCCCGACTCATCAGCCTTTCCACCTCTGTCTGGGAAGATGAACCCTGTGCTGCCTAAGGCAACAGTGGTGGCCTCCCCTGAGGCAGTTGCCAGGCAGGATAATGTTGATTCTCCTTTTCTCCTTGAGCCACCCCCAACATCCCTGTCTGCTTCTAGACCTAGAAGAAGACTAAAGTCCCAGTGGGCCCCTAGAGGTGAGGTTGAGAATGTGACCCATGAGGAGGTATGCTACACTAAAAAAAAAAAAAAAAAAAACTGCTTGAGTTTTCTAATATTTATAAATAGAAATCTGGACAACAGGCGTGGGAATCAATATATTCAGGGTGTGCGATAAGGGTGGATGGCACATAGAGTTGGATCAGGCTGAATTTATTGATTTGGGTCCACTAAGCAGAGACTCTGCATTTAATGTTGCAGTTCGGGGAATTAAAAAAAAAAGGTCCTAATAGTTTATTTGCTTGGTTAGCTGAAATATGGATTAAAAGATGGCCCACCGTAAGTGAGCTGGAAATGCCTGATCTCACTTGGTTTAACGTAGAGGAAGGGATCTAAAGGTTTAGGAAGATCGGTATGGCTGAGTGGATTACTCACTTTAGACCTACTCATCCGAGCTGGGAGGGTCCAGAAGATATACCCTTGACCAATGCTTTGTGAAATAGATTTGTGAGGGTAGCACCTGCATCTTTGAAGAGCCTTATACTTGCTCCTCTGTGTATGTCAGATCTAACAGTGGGAACTGCAGTCACTCAACTACAAAATTTAAATACAATGGGGATAATTGGATCTTGAGGTGGCAGGGACCAAGTGGCAGCACTCAACCATCAAAAGCAAGGTGGTCACAGCTACTGGAATAGACACCAGAGGCAAAGCGGCAATCAGAATAGTCTGACTCGTGTAGAGCTCTGGCATTGTCTAATTAATTACAGTGTTCTTAGAAGTGAAACTGATAGGAAACCTACTGCACTCCTACTTAACTAACATAAAGAACAAACTTCTACGTCCAATGGACAAAAGGCTAATTCGAATTATAAAAACAGATAATCATAGCCCCTCAGTCAATTTCCAGACTTGAGGCAGTTTACAGACCCGGAACCCCTTGAATGAAGGTGAGGCAGGTCTCCATGAGGAAGGACCCCACTACATTACCAACAATTGGTGTAATGAATATTTCTCCCATCTTTCCTCAAGGAGACCTCTGGTCTTTTACTAGGGTAACTGTGCACTGGGGAAAAAGAAATGACCCAACATTTTGGGGTCTACAGGACAGTGGCTCTGAGCTAATGTTGATTCCAGGGGACCCAAAACATCATTGTGATCCTCCAGTTAAAGCCAGGGCTTAAGGAGGTCAGGTAATTAATGGAGTTTTAGCTCAGGTCTGACTTACATGGGGCCCAGTGGGTCCCCAGACTCATCCTGTGGTCATTTCCCCAGTGCCAGAATGCATAACTGGCATAGACATACTTAGTAGCTGGCAGAACCCCAACATTGGCTACCCGACTGGTAGGATGAGTGCTATTATGGTGAGAAAGGCCAAATGAAAGCCATTAGGGCTGCCCCTACCTGGAAAAATAGTAAATCAAAAACAATATTCCATCCCTGGAGGGATAACAGAGATTAGTGCCACTATCAAGGACTTGAAAGATTCAGGGATGGTGATTCCCACCACGTGCTCGTTCAACTCTTCCATTTGGCCTGTGCAGAAGACAGATGGATCTTGGAGAATGACAGTGGATTATCATAAGCTTAACCAAGTGGTGACTCCAATTGCAGCTGCTATACAAGATGTGGTTTCATTGCTTGAGCAAATTAACACATCTCCTGGTACCTGGTATGCATCCACTGACATGGCAAATGCCTTTTTCCCCATTCCTGTCCATAAGGCCCATCAGAAGCAATTTGCCTTCAGCTGGTAAGGCCAGCAATAACCTTCAATTTCCTACCTCATGAGTATATCAACTCTCTGGCTTTGTGTCATAATCTTATTCGGGGAGACCTTGATTGTTTTTGGCTTCCCAAATATATCACACTGATCCATTAAATTGATGACATTATGCTGCTTGGATCCAGTTCAAGAAGTACCAAACACACTGCACTTATTGGTGAGACGTTTACATGCCAGAGGATGGGAAATAAATCCAACTAAAATTCAGGGAACTTCTACCTTAGTAAAATTTCTAAGGGCCCAGTGGTGTGGGGCCTGTTGAGATATTCCTTCTAAGGTGAAGGATAAGTTGCTGCATTTGGCGCCTCCTACAACCAAGAAAGAGGCACAATGCCTAGTAGACCTATTTGGATTTGGGGGCAACACATTCTTCATTTGTGTTACTCTGGCCCATTTGTCAAGTGACCCAAAAGCCTGCCAGTTTTGAGTCGGGTTCACTGCAGGAGAAGGCTCTGCAATAGGTCCAAGCTGCTGTGCAAGCTGCTCTGCCACTTGGGCCATATAAGCCAGCAGATCCAATGGTGTTTGTGGTGTCAGTGGCAGATAGGGATGCTGCTTGGAGCCTTTGGCAGGCCCTGATAGGTGAATTACAGCGGAGGCTTCTAGGATTTTGGAGCAAGGTGCTGCCATCTTCTGCAGATAACTACTCTCCTTTTGAGAGACACCTCTTGGCCTGTTACTGGGCTTTGATGGAAACTGAATGTTTGACTATGGATCATCAACTCACCATGTGACCTGAACTGCCTATCATGAACTGGGTGCTTTCTGACCCATCTAGCCATCAGGTGGGTGGTGCACTGCAAATTCCATCATCAAATGGAAGTGGTATATATGTGATCTGGCTTGAGCAGGTATATCCTGAAGGTAAGTGACATGAGGAAGTGGCTCAAATGCCCATGGTCTCCACTCCTGCCACCCTGCCTTCTCTTCTCCAGCCTGCACTGATGGCTTCTTGGGGAATTTCCTATGATCCGTTGACAGAAGAAGAGAAGACTAGAGCCTGGTTCACAGATGGCTCTGCATGATTTTCAGGGAGTACCCAAAAGTGGACAGCTGCTGCACTACCGTCCCTTTCTAGGAAATCCCTGAAGGACAGTGCTGAAGGGAAATCTTCCCAGTGGGCAGAACTTTAAGCAGTGCACCTGGTTGTGCACTTTGAATGGTATATATTTGATATATAATTGCAGATGTGTGATTATATATTGATTTCTGGGCTGTAGCCAATGGTTTGGCTGGTCAGGGACTTGGAAGAAGCATGATTGGAAAATTGGTGACAAAGAGATTTGGGGAAGAGGTATGTAGATAGACTTCTCTGAGTGGTCGAAAACTGAAGATCTTTATATCCTATATGAGTGCTCACCAATGGGTAACCTCAGCAGAGAAGGATTTTAATAATCAAGTGGATAAGATGACCTGTTCTGTGGACAACACTCAGCCTCTTTCCCCAGCCACCCCTGTCATTGCACAATGAGCCCACGAGCAATGTGGCCATGGTGGCAGGGACAGAGGTTATGCAGGGGCTCAGCAACATGGACTTCCACTCACCAAGGCTGACCTGGCTACAGCCACTGCTGAGTGCCCAAGTTTCCAGCAGCAGAAACCAACACTGAGCCCTTGATATGGTACAATTCCTCGGGTGATCAGCCAGCTACCTGGTGGCAATTTGATTATATTGGACCTCTTCCATCATGGAATGGGCAGTGGTTTGTCCTCACTGGAATTGACACTTCCACTGGATATGGCTTTGCCTATTGTGCATGCAATGCTTCTTCCAAGACTACCATCCGTGGACTCATGGAATGCCTTATCCACTGTCATGGTATTCCACACAGCATTGTCTCTGTCCAAGGCACTCACTTCGTGGCTAGAGAAGTGCAGCAGTGGGCTTATGCTCATAGAATTCACTGGTCTTACCATGTTCCATAAAATCCTGAAGCAGCTGGATTGATAAAATAGTAGAATGGCCATTTGAGGTGACAATTACAATGCCAACTAGGTGACAATACTTTGCAGGGCTGGGGCAAAGTTTTCCAGAAGGCCATGTATGCTATGAATCAGCATCCAATATATGGTACTATTTCTCCCATAACCAGGATTCATGGGTCCAGGAATCAAGGGGTGGAAGCACCATTCACTATCATCCCTGGTGATCCACTAGCAAAATTTTTGCTTCCTGTTGCTGTGACATTACATTCTGCTGGCCTAGAGGTCTTAGTTCCAGAGGGAGAAATGCTGCCACTAGGAGACACAACAATGATTCCAATGAACTGGAAGTAAAGATTGCCACCTGGACACTTTGGGCTCCCCCTACCTTTAAGTCAACCAGGCTAAGAAGGGAGTTACAAGTGTTGGCTGGGGTGACTGACCCAGACTATCAAGAAGAAATCAGTCTACTACTCTATAGCAGAGGTAAGGAAGAGCATGCTTAAAACACAGGAGATCCATTAGGGCATCTCTTAGTATCACCATGCCCTGTGATTAAGGTCAATGGGAAACTACAACAACCCAATCCAGGCAGGACTGCAAATGACCCAGAACCTTCAGGAATGATGGTTTTTGTCACTCCACTAGGAAAAAATCCATGAGCTGCTAAGGTACTTGCTGAAGACAAAGGAAATACAGAATGGGTAGTAGAAAAGGGTAGTCATCAATACCAGCTACAATCATGTGACCAGCTGCAGATATGAGGATTGTGATTGTCATGAGTATTTCCTCCTTCTTTTGTTAAGAACATGTTTGTGAATGTACACACTTGTACTAAAAAAAAATCTTATATATCCTTTCTCCTTTATGATGTGACATAAGATTTATTGACTTACATCAGCATTTAAGTGTTGTTAACTTTATGTGATAGTATTTGGATTAGGGATTGGTGTGTTTTCAGTTGTATTAGGATAGTTGTATTATGTTAGGTGTAATTATGACCTTATTATTGTCTTTATTTGAAGATTATGTATGATCGCAGGAGTTGTATATGGGTTCCAGTTGACAAGGGGTGAACTTGTGATGGTTAATACTGAGTGTCAACTGGATTGAATTGAAGGATGCAAAGTATTGTTCCTGGGTGTGTCTGTGAGAGTGTTGCCAAAGAAGATTAACATTTGAGTGAGTGGGCTGAGAAAGGCAGACAACCTTTCATCTGGGTGGGCATGATCTAATCAGCTGCCAGTGTGGCTAGAATATAAGAAGACAGAAAAATGTGAAAGGGAGACTGGCCTAGCATCCCAGCCTACATCTTTCTCTTGTGCTTGATGCTTCGTGCCCTCTAACATTGGACTTCAAGTTCTTCAGTTTTAGAACTTGAACTGGCTCTCCTTGCTCCTCAGCCTGCAGACAGTCTATTGTGGGACCTTGTGATTGTGAGAGTTAATACTTTATAAACTCCCATATATATACATATATATATGGAATCCAGGAATAAGAAGGGAGTTGGATGGAGATTATATATATATATATATATATATATATATATATATATATATACATATATATATATATATATATATATATATATATATATATATTACATTAGTTCTCTTCTTCTAGAGAACCCCAACTAGCACATATAGGATTCACAGTTTTGGTCCAAGCCTAAGCAGAGTTGAAAAATTTAACAGTTGTACTATTTCCATCTTTCCATCATTAATAAGCCTTCCAGGAATTGTTTTGATTTTTCAAATGTATTTATTACCACCTTGTTAAGGACCTTTCCAAGGTTTGATGTACATATGTCAGACACCCAGGTCATTCTAGGACTGTTAAATGATGTGAACTAGTGGTTCACAAATGTAAGAATCATAAGAATCCGCTAAAGGAGTTTGCTAAAATTTTTAATTCCTGGTGACATCCATAGAAATTTTGATTTAATACATCCTGGTTGTTATATGCTCTCAGCCTGATTCTGATGCACTGCCAGCCTTGAAAAACACTGCACTGTACCTTAAATAATAAAAAATTTTAAATGATGCTAAGCCAGTGACACAGTGGCGTATATGAGACAGAATGTATTAGTCCATTTTCAAGATGCTGATAAAAAGACATACCCGAGACTGGGCAATTTACAAAAGAAAGATTTATTGGACTTGCAGTTTCAAATGGCCGAGGAGGCCTCACAAGCCTGTTGGAAGACAAGCCACAACTTACATGGATGGCAGCAGGCAAAGAGAGAGCTTGTGCAGAGAAACTTCCATTTTTAAGACCATCAGATCTAGTGAGACCCATTCGCTATCAATCACGAGAACGGTATGGGAGAGACCCACACCCATGATTCAGTTATCTCCCATTGGGTCTCTCCCACAACATGTGGAAATTATGGGAGCTATGAGATTTGGGTGGGGACACAGAGCGAAACCTTATCATTCTGCCCCTGTCCCCTTCCAAATCTCATATCTTCACCTTTCAAAACCAACCATGCCTTCCCAGCAGTCCCTCAAAGTCTCAGCTCATTTTAGCATTAACTCAAAAATCCACAGTCCAAAGTCTCATTCGAGACAAGGCAAGTCCCATCCACCTATAAGCCTGCAAGATCAAAAGCAAGTTAGTTACTTCCTGGATATAATGGAGGCACAGGCATTGGATAAATACAGCCATTCCAATTGGGATAAACTGGCCAAAGCAAAGGGGCTACAGGCCCCATGCAAGTCCAAAATCCAGTGAGGCAGTCAAATCTTAAAGCCCAAAATGATCTCCTTTGACTCCATGTCTCACATCCAGGTCATGCTGATGCAAGAGGTGGATTTCTATGGTTTTGGACAGCTCTGCTTCTGTGGCTTTGAAGGGTATAGCCCCCCTCCTGGCTGCTTTCATAGGCTAGTGTTGAGTGTCTGCAAATTTTCTAGGCACATGGTGCAAGCTGTCAGTGCATCTACCATTCTGGGGTCTGGAGGACAGTGGCCCTCTTCTCACAGCTCCTCTAGGTGGTGTCCCAGTAGGGGCCTCAGTGTGGGGTCTCCCACTCCACGTTTCCCTTCCACACTGCCCTAGCAGAGGTTCTCCATGAGAGCCCCACCCCTGCTGCAAAATTTTGCCTGGGCATTCAGGTATTTTCATACATCTTCTGAAATCTAGGTGGAGGTTCTCAGATCTCAGTTCTTGACTTCTATGTACCTGCAGGCTCAACACCACATGGAAGCTGCCAAGGCTCGGGGTTTCCAACCTCTTAAGCAACAGCCAAGCTGTACCTTGGCCCCTTTTAGCCATGGCAAGTCCCTAGATTACACACAACAGAGGGACTTGGGCCCAGCCCACAAAACCATTTTATCCTCCTAGGTCTCTAGGTCTGTGATGGGAGAGGCTTCCACAAAGTTCTCTGACATGCCCTGGAGATATTTTCCCCATTGTCTTGGTGATTAACATTAGGCTTCTTGTTTCTTATGCAAATTTCTGCAGCCAGCTTGAATTTCTCCTTAGAAAATGAGATTTTCTTTTCTATCACATTGTCAGGCTGCAAATTTTCCAAACTTTTATGCTCTGCTTCCCGTATAAAACTGAATGCCTTTAACAGCACCCAAGTTACTTCTTGAATGCTTTGCTTAAAAATTTCTTCTGCTGGATACAAAAAATCATTTCTCCCAAGTTCAAAGTTCCACAAATCTCTAGGGGAGGGGAAAATGCCACCAATCTCTTTGCTAAAACATAACAAGAGTCACCTTTTCTCCAGTTCCCAGCAAGTTCCTCATCTCCATCTGAGACCACCTCAGCTTGGACCTTATTGTTCATATCACTATCAGCATTTTTGTCAAAGCCATTCAGTAAGTCTCTAGGAGGTTCCAAACTTTCTCACATTTTTCTATCTTCTTCTGAGCCCTCCAAACTGTTCCAACCTCTGCCTGTTACCCAGTTCCATAGTTGCTTCCAGATTTTTGGGTATCTTTTCAGTAACACCCTACTCTACTGGTACAAATTTACAGTAGTAGTCTGTTTTCACACTGCTGATAAAGACATGCCTGAGACTGGGCAATTTACAAAAGAAAGAGGTTTATTGGACTTACAGTTCTACATGGCTGGGGAGGCCTCACGATCATGGCAGAAGGCAAAGAGGAGCAGATGGCAGCAGGCAAAGAAAGGGCTTGTGCAGAGAGACTCCTATTTTTAAAACCATCAGATCTCATGAGACTCACTCACTGTCACAAGAACAGCATGGGAAAGAAATGCCCCCTTGATTCAATCATCTCCTACTGGGTTCCCTCACACAACACGTGGGAATTATGGGAGCTATGAGATGAGATTTGGGTGAGGACAGAAAGCCAAACCATATCACAGAGTGAAGGGTAGATACTGAATTTTAAATTGTTATAAACTCATTTGTGTTATTCTGTGAGAGGTTATGACATCTTAAATTGCTGGCATATGTGTATCTTTTAATCAGAATCTTTCTTATTTAGTAACTTAGTGTAATCATGTGAGGCTTGAAAAACAAATTATATCTGATTGAGAACACCAAGCAATCATTGCAATTGATTACTCTTAACCAGGTATTGACATATGACAGTGAAAATAATATTCTTTTTTTTTTTTTCTTTTTTTTTTGAGATGGAGTCTCGCTCTGTCACCCAGGCTGGAGTGCAGTGGCGTGATCTTGGCTCACTGAAAGCTCCACCTCCCAGGTTCACGCCATTCTCCTGCCTCAGCCTCCCGAGTAGCTGGGACTACAGGTGCCCACCACCACACCCAGCTAATTTTTTGTACTTTTAGTAGAGATAGGGTTTCACCGTGTTAGCCAGGATGGTCTCGATCTCCTGACCTCATGATCCGCCCGCCTCGGCCCCCCAAAGTGCTGGGATTACAGATGTGAGCCACTGCACCTGGCTGAAAATAATATTCTTTAAGTATTTTTCCTAAGATTATAGAAAACTAGCAACTGAACTTTATAGTAAGGAAATTTATCTTTGTTCATAGACTAGGTTAGGACATCCTCTCTTTCATTGCTTTGTAACCATTCTGTGTCTCTATACTCATGAGTGGGTTGAGAATAATAATAGTAACTACTTCATTAGGGCTGCTGTTACTTCAATGAATTAATACTTGACATTTATAACACTGGCACCTAGTAAGTTTTGAATAAAAATTATTATTATTATCATTCCAATAATCTTTATGTCTTTAATCAGAAGTAAGCCTAAATAAGTCACCATTCTATTAAAGGTACTGCTCTCCTGCCTTTTCCACTTAGAAACATAATCTCATCTATAATTTTGAGAGGTGATATTTGCCTGCTGGTATATACCTAAGAACAGCACTTAATGTAGTTATTTACATAGAACTCAGTAAGAATTATAATAAACTGAAAGTATTAGAGTTTTTGAGAGGAGAGTTTCTATAGTTTATTATGGAACATCATAATTGAGCGTCTGGTATTCATTAATATTTCCAAATCTTCCCACAAGAAACTCATGAAAGCCTCTTAGACTATTGTCTCTTTTTTGAGTGCTATATAGATTTCTCTTCTTACGTTCTTTATATTCTACCAAACTTCTTTATGTGAAATTATTCACCACGTACTCTAATACTATGTGTTCATGGTGGATTTTGTTTGTGGCATCTCAACTTGATTTTCACACTTTTCCTTACATAAACTATACTTTCTTTTTTTTTTTTTTTTACAGTGAAGATAGAGAACGCCATTCTTTTGTTTATTCAGAAAACAATGTTTTTATTAACTTTTAGTAATGAACTATTTTTATTTTTTTTATTTTGTCCATTAGTTGATGCAGTTTCTTTTTTTTCTTCTTTTTTAATTTTTAATTTTTTATTTTATTTTATTTTTTTTTTATTTATTTATTTATTTTTTTGTTATTATACTTTAAGTTTTAGGGTACATGTGCACATTGTGCAGGTTAGTTACATACGTATACATGTGCCATGCTGGTGTGCTGCACCCACTAACTCGTCATCTAGCATTAGGTATATCTCTCAATGCTATCCCTACCCCCCACCCCACAACAGTCCCCAGAGTGTGATGTTCCCCTTCCTGCTTTCATGCTCTTCCATAGCCTGCAGTGGAAGGCCATATCTATGTAGTTAATTATAAACTTGCTCCAAGTTCACTGTCAGTAGAGTCTTTATACGTGGGTCCTCCTGATCATAAATTTGTTGTTATACCAGAAATTACCTTTCTCTCCTGCTTGGGGCATTACGAAGGCATCAGTGAAAGTGATATAAACATACTGTTGTATTAAAGTTGTGTTTTTTGGTATGTGTTCATTGCTGAGGGGGTTTAGTTTTCTCCTTATTTCAGTCAAATACCAGTTAGCAGGAACATAGATGTCATAAAACTTCATGTGTAATAACATCAAAATTTTGTCTTGCATACATGTAGGCTATATTTCTACACATTTCTGATTTTTTTTAAATGTGTGGGTATCTTGTAGGTGTACATATTTATAGAGTACATGAGATGTTTTGATATAGGCATGCAATGTGACATAAACACATCATGGAGAGTGAGGTATCTATTCCCCTCAAACATTTATCCTTTGAGTTACAAAGAATACACTCCAATTACATGCCTTAAGTTATTTTAAAATGTACAGTTATTATTGACTATAGTTACCCAATTGTGCTATCTAATAGCAGGTCTTATTCATTATTTAACTAATTTTTTGTGCACATTAACCATCCCCACCTTCCCGACTCCCAGCCTCCCACTACCCTTCTTAGCCTCTGGTAACCATCTTTCTACTCTCTATGCCATAAGTTCAATTGTCTTGATTTTGAGATCCCATAAATAAGTGAGAACATGCAATGTTTCAATGTTTGTAGTTCTGTGCCTGGATTATTTCATATACCATAATGATCTCCATTTCCATCCATGTTGTTACAAATAACAGGATCTCATCCTTTGTTATGGTTGAATGGTACTCCATTGTGTATGTGTACTACATTTTTATTCAGTTACTTGTTGATGGACACTTAGGTTGCTTCCAAATCTTAGCTGTTGTAAACAGTGCTACAACAAACATGACAGAGCAGATATCTCTTTGATATACTGATTTCCTTTTTTGGGGGTTATATACCCATTAGTGGGATTGCTGGATCACATGGTAGCTCCATTTTTAGTTTTTTGAGGAACCTCCAAATGGTTCTCCATAATGGTTGTATTAATTTACATTCCCATCAAGACTGTTTCAGGGTTCTCTTTTCTCCATGTTCTTGCCAGTATTTGTTATTCTCTTTTGGATATAAGCCATTTTAATTGGAGTGAAATGATATCTCATTGTAGTTTTGATTTGCAATTCTCCAATGATTAATGATGCCATGTAGTTATTATTTTCAATGGGTTCATCGTTTAGTATTTCTAGTTAGGATAAGAGTAGTTTACACACCACAGTTACAGGGTTAATATATTCTCTGTTTTTCTGTGTACTTACTATTACCAGTGAGTCTTGTACCTTTAGGTGATTGTTTATTGCTCATTAATGTCCTTTTCTTTCTGATTGAAGATCTCCCTTTAGCATTTCTTGTAGAACAAGGCTGGTGTTGATCAAATCCCTCACCTTTCATTTGTCTGGGAAAGTCTTTGGTTCTCCCTCATGTTTGAAGGATATTTTTTACTGGATATATTAATACTATGCTAGGACAAAGTTTTTCTATTATCTTCAGCACTATAAATATGTCATACAACTCACTCCTGGCCTGTAATGTTTCCACTGAAAATTCTGCTTCCAGAGGTATTGCAAATCCATTGTATGTTATTTGTTTTCTTTTTTCTTGCTACCTTTAAGGATCCTCTCTTTATCCTTGACTTTTGGGAGTTCCACCTGTGGCCACTACCACTATGACTGTGCTGGGTCAAAGCTGAAGCCAGCAGAGCACTGGGTCTTACCCAAAGCATGCTGTAACCACTCCCTCACTACTGCCTGTTTGCTCATCACCCTGGTGCTCTACAATCATCAGGTTCCTTTAGGGCAGTGAGATCCCCTTGGCCCTGGGTGGGCCCAGAAACGCCATTTAGAAATCAGAGACTAGGGTCAAAAAACTTAGAAATCTACCTGCTGTTCTACTGTATTGCTGCTGAGGTGGCACTCAAACCACAAGACACTGACCTTTCCACTATTCCTACCCCTTTCCAATGGCAGAGAAGCCTCACCCCTTAGCCCCACTGCCCCCACAGTCCATAAGGAGTATTGCCAGACTACCACAGATATTCCCTTAAGGCCCAAAGGCTTTAAGTCAGCTAGTGGTGAGTGCTGTCTGGCCTGTGACTTCAGGGCAATGGGTTCCCCTCTGGCCGAGGGTATGTCTAGAAAAATTGCCATACAAGTCAGGTCCTGGAATTGGGGACCCCAAGAACCCGCTTGGTGCTCTACCCCTCTGTGGCTGTGCTGGTACCTAAAGTACAAGACAAAGTCCCCTTTACTTTTCTCTCTGTTTTTCTCATGCAGAAGGATTTTTTCCTGTAGCCACCACAGCTGGTAATGTGCTGAGTCTCACCTGAAGCCAGCAAGTCTCAGCGGCTCACTAAGGCCAGCGATATAGTACTTGGATATCGCTACTAGTTATTCAGGGCCCGAGGGTGCTTCAGTTAGCAGGTGATAAATGCTGCCAGGACTAGGTCCTTTTCTTCAAGCCAGTGAGTTTCCTTCTGGCCCAGGCCATGTCTGGAAATGTCATCCGGGATCTACAGCCTGGAACAGGAGCATCACAACTCTGACTGGCGCCCTATCCTGCTGTGGCTGAGCTGATATCCTAGGTGTAAGACAAAGTCCTCTTGACTGACTCTTCCTTCTCCTCTCCCTAAGCAGAAGGAAGGGGTCTCTTTTGGAGCTGCGAGATGTAGAGCCTGGGGCTAGCAGAGGGGTGATACCAGCACTCCCTTGGCTGCCCCAGCTGGTGTTTCAATAGTTTGCTTGCCCTCCCCGCACCCCCGCCCCCTCCAGTCCACTGTCTTTGGGCCTAGTTCAGCAATAGGACTCACCTAAGAGTTGCAGTCCTTATGGCCTAGACTGCCTTTCAAGTTTCCTTGGAGACACAGAGTACTGTAGCCCTCAGTGGCGAGGTTTGTAGACACCCGAGTTTGGACCACGGGGATCCAGGATTCCCCTTTGGCTGGGGCTGGTTTAAATTGTCCCTCTGTGTGTGGGTATCCGCTGAGTTTAGTTCCGTTTCCCTTTCTGCTCTAACAGGACAGCCCTGAGTTCACTGCCTCACAATAGCTGTGCTCTTCTTCCCCAGCAGATGCTGCCTGTACTATGCTGACACTGCCAGGTTGGGGGTGGGGTGGGGTGTAGCCTCAAGGATTCAGGACTGTTTTTTCTATCTCTTCAGTGTCATTTTCAGTGATCTGAAGTTAAAACCAAGTATTATCAGTACCCACCTGATTTTTTATTTTTATGAAGGTGTTTTGTCGTGTGTAGATATTTGTTAACTTGGTGTCCTTGTTGGGGAAATTATCGGTGGAAATTTCTATTCCATCTTGCTCCTCCTCCCATTCCAGATTTTTTATCACATTTATTAGGATATACGATTATAATTCATCTTTCACAGCTCAGGCTTATATTATTTACTCATTCAAAATATATACTTCACTATTAACTAAGGCAGACATGACCATTGTTCTCATAGATCTCTTAATTTAATCATGAAGATTCTGGTATGGTGTTATGAAATGGATCTTACTTTACCTTGACATAGTTTGGGTTTAATATGAGTGTGCTTCTAGATAATTTGACAATACTTAATTAGCTGCAGAGGGATAGATTTCTGTTCTACAAATTTATTTTTAAATTTCTCTCAAAAATTAAAGAATTATACTATTGTTATCCAGATTTCTAGCTACCTGGTATCTTACCCTGTATAAACTGCAGATTGTAGTTCATTAACTCCTGCCTCTTTACGGAAGAGTCTTAAACAAATATTTCTAAACTTATGTGCTTTTCTCCTTTAAAATGTACCCACAGAATTAATTAGATATTGACATTAAGTGATATTAACCTTTTAAATATTCAAATTTTATATTTAGGGAATTAATTAGATATTGACATTAAGTGATATTAACCTTTTAAATATTCAAATTTTATATTTAGAGAAACCTGTGTTCTTTTGCTCTACTTTCAAAAAAAGACATCTCTATATGCAAGTTAATGGTCTAACTTCATTCATTTGGAATGCTGAGGATGAATACATTTTTAGCCACTTTACCTAATAAGGTAAACCATTCAGATTGGGTCATTTCAACTAAGCTTGGAGAAGAATATCAGATTTGGTTTCCTAGTGCCAGAAGACTTTCAAACCACAATCAAAGGCTTGCAATCAATAATACATTACAAATCCAAGATGACAGGTCATCAGGATATGTTTATCACTCCATAAGAAAAATATGTAATACTAACTTCTGAAATTGCAGTGTTTCATCATAACTGTCAGTTGCCAAAGATTACAAAAGCTGTTTCTGTAAGAGCATCATAATCTAATTGCTCTTATGGTCTATTAACTCTGGGTGTACATCTTTAAATATTCAATTGCCTTTTGGAAATGAAGGTAAAATTTGAACCCAACTTTAAGGACAAGTTCTAAATTTAGCTCTTCCTTAGTAGAAAAGCCCATTTTCAGTGATTTCTGTCCTTTGACACTTTCTAGGACATACTATGTTTTCACCATTATTTTATTCCAAGATTTATTTCAAACAGGCAATAGTAGTATATTAATTTGTTTTCACACTGCAAATAAGGACATACCCAATACTGGGTAATTTATAAAGAAAAAGAGGTTTAAGGACTTACAGTTCCACATGGCAATCATGATGGAAGGCAAAGGAGAAGCAAAGGCACATCTTACATGGCAGCAGGCAAGAGGGCTTGTGAAGGGGAACTCTCATTTATAAAACCATCAGATCTCATGAGACTTATTCACTACCACAAGAACAGTATGGGAGAAACCACCCCCATGATTCAATTATCTCCACCTGGCCCTGCCCTTGACACGAGGGGGTTATTACAATTCAAGGTGAGATTTAGATGGGGATACAGCCAAACCATACCAAGTAGGGTACATAGTTCAGAGAATTATATCCTCTGACTATATAACTTTCTATTAATGATGAAGTTCTGTTGCAAGTTCCCATAAGGTATATTCAATTGCTTGAAAGGTCTCCTTCATACATAGTAACTATCAAGATTTTAAAATAATATTTATAATTTAATATTAGAAAACATCCAAGGCCTTTTGTAAAATGCATAGGGGAATGTTATATCTAAAAATAGAACTTAAAGTAGGAAAGCTTAGTAAATAATATCTGGATATAAAATCCTAGAAATAATTGTCTTCAATAGATATGTTAATTATGAGGTTTCATTCACGGGAAGATGTATCAGCATATATACACACACACATACACTCCAACACTGGAGATTTATAGTTAAAGTAAAATATGGATACATTTGGTCTTGATGAAATAGAAGGCAACTTCCCTTTGAATAGAAGTAGAGATGGTAGACATCTGCTCCCTTTTAAGGTCTATTGTCAAGGTTGTGATAGAAGTTTACACCTCCCCACCTGCTCATGCTTTCTCAATCAATAGCTGTATTAAGATTATAGTATCTATTAAGGTTGGAACCTGTTGAATTTGGGACTGGAGTCTTTTAATCAATAGACTATCACAAAAATACCATTTTTGCTTCAACTAAATAAAAAATTTACATTTTCTTTATAATTTTTGATCTAGATAAGATTCTCACATTCTTCAGTCAAGTTTTGTGCCAAAGATTCTGAAAGCGAGATTGTCTTATTAAACTTGTGAAGCAACTTTGTATTTATAGAAGTAAAGATCCATATGATAAATTACATTCTCTAGATCCACTTTGATATTGGTAGAATGTTCTTTTTATACCCAATGAGTCTTAAGCCAGTTATCTTCAGACAATTGTTCAAATATTCAAATAAAATTTCAATCTCTTTCTTTGAAGTCACTTTCCTTCTATCTTTAATTCTCTTGTCTAATTGACCAGAAACATGGGTTAGTAATAGTGTGCTGCAGGTGGGAAGGCAGGGGAAGATGGCGGAATCAAAACCTCCACAATTTATCCCCCAACAGGAACACTAATTTAACAACTGTCTACACAGAAAAAACGCCTTCATAAGAACCAAAAATAAGGCAAGCTCTCATAGAAACTGGTTTTATCTTCATTTTGCTGAAAGAAGCACTGAACAGTTCAAAAAAACACTCCTGAATCACCACTACCACCCCACACCTTTTCCCTGGTGGTAGTGGTGTGGTATGGAGAGCATCTCTGGGCACTAGTGGAAAGAGAGTACAGCAATTGTGAGGCAGTAAACTTAGGGCTATCCTGTTAAAGCAGAAAGGAAAACTGGACAAAACTCAGCTGACTCCTGCCCATGGAGGAAGCATTTAAATCATTCTTAGCTAGAGGGGAATCATGGATCTCAGCTGTCTGACTTGATTTCATGCCAACTTTGCCACCGTGGGCTAAAGAGCTCTGATCTCTACATAAACTTGAAAGATTGTCTAGACCATAAGGACTGAAAGTCATAGGCAAGTGCTAGTGCTGAACTGGGCCCAGAGATAGTGGACCGGGGAAGCATGTGACCTAGTAAGACACCAGCTGGGGTGGCTAAGGAAGTACTGGGATCACACCTATCCTAAACCCAGGCTGCACAGCTCACAGCTCCAAAAGAGACAACTTTCTCCCACTTGCATAGAGCAGAGAGAAGTGTGGGGAGGACTTTGTATTGCATCTAAGATACCCGCTCAGCCACAGCAGGATAAGACACTAGTCAGAGTCATAAGGTTTCTGTTCCAGGCCTTAGCTCCAGGATGACATTGCTAGACATGCCTTGGGCCACAAGGAAACTCACTGCCTTGAAGGAAATGTCCAAGTTCTGCCAGCATTCATCACCTCCTAACTGAAGAGACCTTGAGCCCTGAATAACCAGCAGTGATACCCATGTACTACACAGAGGGCCTTGGGTGAATCTCTGAGGCTTGCTCGCTTCAGGTGAGACTCAGCACATTACCAGCTCTGATGGTTACAGGAAAAAGAGTCTGCTTGAGACAATTACAGTGAAGGTAAAGGGAACTTTGTCTTGCACTGTAGATACCAGCATGGCCACAGTGGGGTAGAACACCAAATGGGCTCCCGAGGTCCCCATTTGCAGGACTGGACTCTTGGACAGCATCTCTGAACCTGCCCTGGGCCAGAGGGGAGCCCACTGCCCTGAAGGGTGAGTCTCAGGACAAGCAGCATTCAGCACAAGCTTACTTAAGAGCCCTTGGGTGGGCCTTAAGGGAATATCTATGGTAGTCTGGCAATATTTCTCATGGCCGGTAGCAGGTGAGGCTCCTCTACCTTTGGAAAGGGGAGGGAATGGTGGGAAAGACTGCATCTTGTGGTAAGAGTTCCAGCTCAACCGCAGTTCAATAGAACATAAGGTAGACTGCTAAGGTTTTTGAGCCTTATTTCTGACTTCCGGATGGCACTTCTGGACTTACCCCGGGCCTAAGGGGAACTTGCTGCTCTGGAGGAAAGGATGCAGGTCTGACTGGCTTTGCCACATGCTGATTGCAGAGTGTCAGGGTGTTGAGTGAAAATGTGTAATAGCAAGGGATTAGTTACAGAAGGCCTTGGTGAGGCCCAGGACTATGCTGACCACAGGTCTGACCCAGTGCAGTCATAGTGGTGGTGACCAGAAGGGGGCTTATGTCATACCACCGTCAGGTTTAGGTGGCTCAAAACAGAGACCTATATCCGGAGGAAGTGTCTATTCCAGTGAAGACAAACCTCTGCCCTTTCTGATGGAAGAGGTCCAATATAATCAACCTGCCACCATGTGGCTGGCTGATCACCCCAAGGAATGGTGCCATATCGAGGGCTGAGTGTTCATCTCTGCTACTGGCAAATTGGGCCCTCGGCAGTGGATGTAGTCAGGTCACCCTTTGTGAGTGGTAGTCCATGTTGCTGAGCCCATGTGTAACCTCCATCCCTACCACCATGACCACTGTTCATGGGCCCATTGGGCAATGACAGAGGTGCCTGGGGAAAGAGGCTGAGTGGTGTCCACAGAAAGGGTCATCCTATCCACTCAATTATTAAAATCCTCCTCTGCTGAGGTCACCCACTGGTGAGCACTAACATAGGATACAAAGATCTTCACAGTTTTTGACCACTCAGAGAAACCCATCCGCATACCTGTTCCCCAAATCTCTGTCACCAATTTTCCAATCATGCTTCTTCCAAGTCCCTGACCATCCAGGCAAACCATTGGCCAGAGTTCATAAATCAGTATATTATCTCACATCTGATCATTTCTCCTTCCATGCAAAGTGCACAAACAGGTGCACTGCTAGAAGTTCTGCCCACTGGAAAGATTTCCCTTCACCGCTGTCCTTTGGGGATGTCTTAGAAAGGGGTTGTAGTGCTGCAGCTGTCCACTTTCTGGTGATGCCTGCATATTGTGCAGAACCATCTGTGAAGCAGGCCCTAGTCTTCTCTTCCTCTGCCAACTGATCATAGGGAACTCCCCATGAGGCCATCAGTGTAGGGTGGGGGAGAGAAGACAAGGTGGCAGGAGTGGAGACCATGGACGTTTGAGTCACTTCTTCATGTCACTTACTTGTGCCTTCAGGATCTGCTTGAGCCTGATCACATATATATCACTTCCATTTGATGATGGAATGCTGCTGTGCACGACCCACCTGATGGCTTGATGGGTCAGAAAGCACCCAGTCCATGATAGGCAGTTCAGGTCACATGGTGACTTGTTGACCCATAGTCAAACGTTCAGTTTCCACCAAAGCCCAGTAACAGGCCAAGAGATGTCTTTCAAAAGGAGAGTAGTTATCTTCAGAGGATGGCAGCACCTTGCTCCACAATCCTAGAGGCCTCTGCTGTGATTCACCTCTCAGGGTCTGTCAAAAACTCCAAACAGCATCTCTATCTGCCACTGACACCTCCTTGGATCTGCAGACTCATATGGCCCAAGTGGGACTGCAGCATGCACAGCAGCCTGGACCTGTTGCAGAGCCTTCTCCTGTTCTGGACCCCACTCAAAACTGACAGCCTTTCAGGTCACTCGATAAATGGGCTGGTGTAACATATCCATATGAGGAATAT
Organism: Homo sapiens; assembly: GCF_000001405.40. Taxonomy (NCBI): domain Eukaryota; kingdom Metazoa; phylum Chordata; class Mammalia; order Primates; family Hominidae; genus Homo; species Homo sapiens. The sequence continues at coordinate 74,556,905 of NC_000006.12, forward strand.
GTTGGGTCCAAAATCCAAATAGGCCCATTTGGCATTGAACCTCTTTCTTGATTGTAGGAGGGGCCAAATGCAGCAACTTATCCTTCACCTTAGAAGGAATATCTCGACAGGCCCCACACCACTGGACCCCTAGAAATTTTACTGAGGTAGAAGTTCCCTGAATTTTAGTTGGATTTATTTCCCATCCTCTGGCATGCAAATGTCTCATCAATAAGTCCAGTGTGTTTGCTACTTCTTGCTCGCTGGATCCAATCAGCATAATGTCATCAATGTAATGGACCAATGTGATATCTTGTGGAAGCAAAAAGTGATCAAGATTTCTCTGTATAAGATTATGACACAAACCCAAATGTTGATCTGCCCCTGAGGTAGGACAATATAGGTTATTGCTGGCCTTACCAGTTGAAGGCAAATTGCTTCTGATGGGCATTATGGACAGGAATGGGGAAAAAGGCATTTGCCAAGTCAGTGGATGCATACCAGGTGCCAGGAGATGCATTCATTTGCTCAAGCAATGAAACCACATCTGATAAAGCAGCTGCAATTGGAGTCACCACTTGGTTAAGCTTACAGTAATCCACTGTCATCTTTCAAGATCCATCTGTCTTCTACACAGGCCAATGGGAAAGTTGAATAGGGATTTGGTGGAAATCACCATCCCTGTGTCTTTTAAGGCCTTGATAGTGACACCAATCTCCACAACCCCTCCAGAGATGCAATATTAGTTTTGATTTACTATTTTTCCAGGAGGAGGCAGCTCTAATGGCTTTCATTTGGCCTTTCCCACCATAATAGCACTCATCTTACCAGTCAGGGAGCCAGCGTTGGGGTTCTGCCAGCTGCTAAGTATGTCTAGGCCAATTATGCATTCTGGCACTGGGGAAATGACCGCAGGATGAGTCTGGGGACCCACTAGACCGACTGTAAGTTGAACTTGAGCTAAAACTATATTATTTCCCTGACTTCCATAAGCTCCTACTTTAACTGGAGGACCACAATGACGTTTTGGGTCCCCTGGAATCATTGGCAGCTCAGAGCCAGTGTCCAGTACTCCCTGAAATATCTGATCATTTGCCTTTTCCCAATGCACAGTTACCCTGTTAAAAGGCCAGTGGTCTCCTTGGGGAAGGATGGGAGAAAGATTCATTGCATCAATTGTTGGTAATGTAGTGGGGTCCTTCTTCACAGAGACCTGGTCTTCCCTTCATTCAAGGGGTTCTGGGTCTGTAAACTGGCTCAAGTCTGGAAACTGACTGAGGGGCCTTGATTATCTGTTTTTATAATTCAAATTAGTCTTTTGTTCAATTGACCTAGAAGTTTTCTATTTATATAAATTAAGTAGGAATGCAGTAGGCTTCCTATCAATTTCACTTCCAGGAACACTGTGATTAATTAGAAAAGGCCAGAGCTCTACAGAAGTCAGACTATTATGATTGGTATTTTGCCTCTGCTATCCTTTATGGTAGCTATGCCCACCTTGCCTTTGATGGCTGAGTGCCGCCACGTGGCTCCTGACACCTCAAGATCCAATTCCCATTGTATTTAAATTTTGTAGTCGAGTGACTGTCGTTTCCACTCTTAGATCTGACATACAGAGAAGAGCAATTACAGGGCTCTTCACTCACAGATGCAGGTGCTGCCTTCACAAATCTATTTCTCAAGGCACTGGTCAAGAGGATATTTTCTGAACCCTCCCAGCTGGGATGAGTAGGTCTAAATAAGTAATGCACTCCACTATCCAAATGTCCCTAAGCCTTTGGATCTTTTCCTCTACATTAAACCAAGGAAGATCAGGCATTTCCAGCTGGCTCATAGTGGGCCATCTTTTAATCTATATTTCAGCTAACCAAGCAAATAAACTATTAGAACTATTTTAACTCCTCGAGCTGTGACATTAAAAGCAGAATCCCTACTTAGTGGACCAAATCAATAAATTCTGCCTGTTTCAACTCTGTATTCCTTCCACAATTATCCCACACCCTTAATATCCATTCCCATGCCTGTTCTCCAGATTTCTGTTCATATACATTAGAAAACTCAAGCAGCTCTTTCAAGTGTAGCACACCTCCTCATGGGTCACACTCTCAACCTCACTTCTAGGGGCCTGCTGGGACTTTAGTCTACTTCTAGGTCTAGAAGCAAATAGGGATGTTTGGGGCGGCTCCTGAGGAGAATCAACATTATCTTGCCTGGCAACTGCCTCATGGGAGGCCATCACTGTTGCCTCAGGCAGCACAGGGTTTATCTCCTTAGACAGATGTGGAAAGGCTGATGGCAGCATGGGTCGGGGAGGAGATATTTCCACTACTGGGGATAGGGTAGCTGTTTCTTCTGGTGAAAAACTTTCATCAGAGTTTACAAATTCAGTGTCCCCAGCTTCATCAGGGTCCTCCTGCAGGTCCCCATTCCAAGTTACAGGGTCCCATTCTTTTCCAATCAATGCCCTCACTTTAACAGTAGACACCTGGCAAGGCTATGCATGCACCTTTAGTTACAGGTCTACCACTCACATGATAAGAACTTGTATCTGTTTTTCCACAATTTCAGCCCTTTCTCTATGGGAGATAAGACTCCCACTCCGGGCAATGTTAGCAGATTTGAGGCTCAGTATCTGCTACTGAAGCTGGGATATAGAATCTCTGAGTTCATTATTTTCTTTCATCACTTTGTCCAGTGAACTTAGGAGCACCAACCAGCTTCATTATGTTCCTTGGTCCTCCACGTATGGTCACATGTATTGTGTATAGAGTCACTAAACTCCTTGCCATTCACAAGCAATGAATCAGGAGTGCCAAATGCATTTATTTTGCATAACTCTGTAAGTAGTTTGGACCAAGGACTATCAGTGTTCTCCATACTATTAGAAGTAGAGTCCTTAGCATTTTTGGGTGTAATCATATTAAGCAGCCAACTCCAGAAACCCCAAAACCAACAAAAGAACTCCATCCTTAATATTCTGTTCCTCTAAACCACTCCTGGTACCAAAATCTGTATTAGTCAGGGTTCTCTTGAGGGACAGAGCTAATGGAATATATATATATATACACATATATATATATACATATATATATATATATACACATATATATATGTATATATATATATGTGTATATATATATATATATGTGTGTATATATATATATATATATATATGGAGAGAGAGAGAGAGAGGCACAGAACTGTATATATATATATATATATAGAGAGAGAGAGAGAGAACAAATGGAATATATACTATATATAATTATGCACTAATTGATGTAAACACTACTATATATATGAATTTATTAAGTATTAACTCATACGATCACAATGTCCCACAATAGGCTGTCTGTAGGCTGAGAGAAAGGAGAGGCAGTCTGAGTTCCAAAACTGAAGAATTTGGAGTCAGATGTTTGAGGAAAAGAAGTAACCAGTATGGGAGAATCATGTAGGCTGAGAGGCTAGGGCAGTCTCTTCCCATTTTTCTGCCTACTTATATTCTAGCCAATCTGGCAAATGGTTACACCGTGCCCACTCATACTAAGGGTGGGTCTGCCTTTCTCAGTCTACTGACTCAAATGTTAATCTCCTTTGGCAATACCCTCATAGACACATCCAGGATCAATACTTTGTATCCTTTAATCCAATCAAGTTGACACTCATTATTAACCATCACACATGATAGTCCACATATCATCGACTCTGACCAAGGCACTCACTTTACAGCCAAACAAATGTGGCAGTGGGCTCATGCTCATGGAATTCACTGGTTTTACCATGTTCCCCATCATCCTGAAGCAGCTGGACTAATAGAACACTGGAATGGCCTTTTGAAGTCACAATTACAATGCCAACTACGTGACAAATGCTTTGCAGTGCTGGGACAAGATTCTTCAGATGGCTATGTATGCTCTGAATCAGCATCCAATATATGGCAGTGTTTCTCCCATAGCCAGGAGTCACAGGTCCAGGAATCAAGGGGTGAAAGTTGAAGTGGCACCACTCACCATCACCCCTAGTGACCCACTAGTAAAATTTTTGCTTCCTGTTCTGCTGGCCTCGAGGTCTCAGTTCCAGAGGGAGGAATGCTGCCACCAGGTGACATAAAGATGACTCCATTAAACTGGAAGTTAAGCATGTCACCTGGCCACTTTGGGCTCCTGCTACCTGTAAGTCAAGAGGCTAAAAAGGGAGTTACAGTGTTGGCTGGGGTGATTACCTGGAATATCAAGATGAAATCAGTCTACTACTCCACAATGGAGGTAAGGAAGACTATGCATGGAATACAGGAGATCCCTTAGGGCATCTCTTAGTATAACCATGTCCATGTGATTAAGGTCAATGTGAAACTACAACAGCCCAATTCAGGCAGGAGTACAAATGGCCCAGACCCTTCAGAAATGAAGGTTTGGGTCACTTCACCAGGTAAAAACCCATGACGTGCTGAGGTGCTTGTTGAAAGCAAAGGGAATACAGAATGGGTAGTAGCAGAAGGTAGTCATCAATACCAGCTACAACCACGTGAGCAGTTGCAGAAATGAGTATTTTGATGGTCATGAGTATTTCCACCTCCTTTTGTTAAGAACATGTTTGTGCATGTATACACTCATACTAAGAAAACATCTTCATTTTTCTTTTTCCTTTATCATGTGACATAAGATTTATTGACTTTATATCAACATTTAAATGTTGTTAACTTTATGTAGTAGCATATTGGTTGGGCATTGGTGCATTTCTGGTTGTATGAAAGATAGTGGTATTTTGTTAGGCATAATTATGACCTTATTATTGTCTTTATTTGAAGATTATGTCTGATTTCAGGACATGTGTATGGATTCAAGTTGACAAGGGGTAGATTCGTGAAGGTTAATATTGAGTGTCAACTGGATTGAAGGATGCAAGGGTGTTGCCAAAAGAGATTAACATTTTAGTGTCTGGGTGTCTCTGCGAGGGTATCTGTAACATTTGAGTCAGTGGACTAGGAGAGGCAGACCCACCCTCAATGTGGGTGGGCAGTGGGCACCATCTAATCAACTTCCAGCACAGCTTGGAGAAAAGCAGGCAGAGGAACATGGAAAGACCAGACCTGCTGAATCTTCTTGTCTCCATCTTTGTCCTGCGCCAGATGCTGCCTGCCCTTGAACATCAGACTCCAAGTTCTTCAGTTTTGGATTCTTGGACCTACCCCAGTTGTTTGTCAGGGGTTCTTGGGCCTCTGGCCATAGAATGAGGGCTACACTGTTGGCTTCCCTACTTTTGATATTTTGGGACTTGGACTGGCTTCCTTGCTCCTTAGCTTGCATACGGCCTACTGTGGGACTTCACCTTGTGATCATGTGAGTCAATACTCTTTAATAAACTCCCTTTCATTGTACATCTATCCTATGTTCTGTCCCTCTAGAAAATCCTGACTAATACAGGTAGGTAGGTAGGTAAGTAAATGATTGATAGATAGATAGATAGATTGATAGACAGACAGACAGACAGATAGAGAGGGGATTTATTAGGATAATTGTCTCATGGGGTCATGGAGGTTAAGAAGTCCCAAGATAGATCATCTGCAAGGTAGAGAACCAAGGAAACCAGTGGTATGTCTTAATCCAAGTCCAAAAGCCTTAGAACGAGGGGAACAAGCAGTGTAACTATCAGTCTGTGGCTGAAGCCCTGAGAAACCAGGGGGCAGCTGGTGCACATTCTAGGGTCCAAAGGCTGGAATGCCTTAAGTTCCGATATCCCAGGACAGGAGAAGAAGAGTGTCCTAGCTCCAGAAGAGATATGATTTGCCTTTCTTTTGTCTTTTTGTTTTACCTGGGCCCTAAGCAATTGAATGGTGCCCACTCATATTGAGAGTAGCTCTTTCTTACTCAATCTACTGATTCAAATGCCAATCTCCTCCAGAAACCCTTTCACAGACACACTCAGAAATAATGCTTTACCAGCTCTCTGTGTATCCCTTAATTCAGTAAAGTTGACAACTAAAATTCGCCATCAAATATGACAAGAGATTATATCATTAAAACTGGAGTTAGAGATTGCAAGGGAGTGAGAAAACAGTTAAGAGTCCAGGTCACTTAATCTTCCTCTTTTTCTGACCATGAAACATAAACAGGTATGATGTACACAATGTCTAAGCACAAGTTTTAAGAAACATCTAAACTTATAGTAATTCTCTTACTCTTTTCTCTTTCCACATAGGAACTGTCCCTTTAGCTTGAGCTCTGGAATGGAAAGACATTCAATAGATTGACAGCAGTTAACCCACAGCCATTGACACCTAAAACAATAAAATAATGACTACAACAATTTTGATAGGTAAACCTATCAGTATGTTTTACAGCTTTTGGTTGATGGGGGGAGGGAATCTAAATGTAGGGTAGAAGCTAAAATAGAAGACTGACAACTTCTCTAAGACAAATTAGAGCTATAAAATTTTTATGAAAGCAAAGCATAAGGGACCTGCTAAGAATCATGTTTATATTTGCCATAAAATCACTCCTATAATCAGCTTTAGAATTGTGAATTCAGGAATTTTTCTTCTGAGAGAACTCATTACCTCTTTATAGTCCCCAAAGAGTATGTATTACTCTTCTACTTTTTAGTCCTTGCTAAAAATCCTAAATGATATGGCCCTTCAAGCCAATCACTCTCAGACTATTTCTTGCCCGTTATCATCATGTCTTGATCAAAAACTAATTGAATGTCTGTCACATTCACTCAGGAAGTAAGTCACTGTTTTATTTCTATGGAGCTAAAAGTCTAAAAAGTAAAAGTATAGACATGGAAATTTAATATTTGCTGCTGAATCAATAGGAAAGGACTAGATTCTTGAACTTCTGTTTTCTATTGAACATTTCCACCCTACATTGTGCTGTGTAGTTGATCATCATATGCCTGTGTGCAGAATCTATCCTGGCTAAAAGAGTGAGAACAGCTCTGATGAAATACATATAAAATAGATAATCCACATTTTGAAACTATAACAATTTCTCGATTATTTATTAACACATACCCATTTGTTTTTTAATTGTGTAAGGCATTGCTTTGAATGATTTTGGAGACATGAAGATAATTAGAACCAAGCCCCTTTAATAGGAAGATTTTATCCTATTGTAGGCAGATAGGCAATATCCATTTTGGCTATGCTTACTTTGCAGCCACCTGTCAGAACTTGAGTGATTGTATGTACAAAATGTTTAAAATCACATTACTTTTTAAATAGTCCTCTGGGCTAATTATGTATGACCCTCTATATGTGTAGTTCACCTATGAGTATGGCAAGAAATATAAGTAGTACAGAGAAGAAATCCTACTTACTTAAATGATGGGGTAAAATGTTACCAATGGAGAGAAAGATAACAGAAATAATAAAGTAATCATCAATCTGTGGTCAATAATTTGACAAATTCTATGAAAATGCAGAAACAGTTGGCATATTTAGCTATGTAGAGTAAGCTAGCATGTATTAATCAGCAATTTTAACATTGGAAATTTTTGTGCTAAATGGTGTTCATCAAGTTCTGGTCTAGAGTTATCTATCCTCTATGGCTGGGTCCATTTATAAGGTAGCAACGTAGTCTCCAAGAATCTTTATGCTGCTTTCAGACAAGCTACTCAGTAGCTTTCACTAGGAAGAAAATTGTCAGAGACCTACTTTGGATAAATCAAATTAATCATCAATATAGTTTTTAAAAGTACATTTCTTAAAGATTATTTTCATCATTAATATATAAAAATTTATCTCCTACAATGTCATATAAGTGTATGTTACCATGAAACATCATTTTGCTTCTTTTAATAATTTTTATGTAAAAGTGCCTTTGATGAGAATCTTTAAAAGAACAGACTTGTATCACGAAGGTTGTTATAACTAAAAACCTTTTCATGTATTATAAACATCAAAATTAGCCTTTGAATTTTGGCAGAGAGGTACTATAACATTCTGGGCAGACACAGTGTTTACTGCATGCCTATGAACACAGGGTTGCTAAAAACCTTCTCAGGAAGCTCATATCCTGCCCAAAAGTCTTACAATTCTTTCTCTTTTGAAATTATGATGGAGTCAGCATCCAACAGGATTTAAATAACATTTTAAAATAAGGTTACCCCTAGGTGGCTAAGAATTCAGACACACAGGTATGTTCTTGAATATGAATTTAACTTTAATGAAAAGGCTTGGACCTAACATTTTGATGAAACACAAGTTTTATAACTCATAATATTTATCAGAAATGTTCAGAACAAATTTTTTAGTGGTTTATTAAATTCTTGAGGCAAATCCTCCACAGCTCACCTCCATATGGCAAAGAGATGCCTTTCATTCAATGAGAATAACTGATTAAACTCTTTAATCTTTATAATCGCATACTAAAGGCCCATTTAATCCTGCCTTTTAATAGGGACAAGAACATTCCCAGCCCCAGCCTCTATCAAAATATGTAACTTTCAACTCTTGCTATCTAGATCATATTATAACCTCAGCAAGGAATGTTTTCCACATCTAATGTCTAAGAAAATCATTAATTATAGTTGGTTGTAATTTTTGTGAAAGGCAGTAGAAATAGAATATTATAAACCTTAAATACTTTCAACAAATATTGGTTAAAATGAAAGAAAGCCACAAATGACAATGACATTTAATATAAAATTTTAAAAATCAGTAAGACTGCTATTTCAAAGAACTATACCAGTCATTATTGTTTTATGCAAAAGTAAGGGGAAAAACTGGAGAGTATTTTTCATACCAGTGTGCACATGAACACTAGCCAACTGGGGCAAAAGCGTTATTTGAAAAATATATTTTTGTTTTAGAATTGAGTTTTATATTTACAGCAAATTTGGAAAACTCATACAGAGAGTTTCATATACTCTTTACTCAGGCAGTTTCTCTTATCGTTAAGACATTACATTTCTGAGGTACATTTGACACAACTAAAGAGCCAATGTCAGTACATTACTATGAACGAAACTCCACATTTTATTCAGATTTCACTAGTTTTTCCCTAATGTCTTTTTTTGTTCCAGGATGCTATTCTGGACACCACATCATATTTAGTCATCATGTCCCGTTGGCCTTCTCTCCTCCATGACAGTTCTGTCTTTGCTTGTTTTTGATGACCTTGACTGTTGCAGTGCTGTTTAGATGTTTTGGCCCTCAATTTGGGTTTGTCTGATGTTTTTTTCGTGGTCAAACTAGGACTATGAGTTTTTGTGAAGAGTGATCACAGAAATGAAGTTTCCATTCTCATCACACGTTTTTGGGGAGTACACGATATCAACATGACTAGCTTATCACTGACTATGTTAGCCTTCATTGCCTGATGTGTGGGCCAGGATTCTCTACTGTAAAGTTAAAAGTCTTATTTTTTATTTTAACTCTATACATGCTCTGTAGCAGCTATTTGCACTCTTTTTGGCTGCCTCATTCTTTGAACCCTTTTCCTTTCATAAATTTTTTTCAGCCCATGAGTTCTTGCCTTACTGAGGCACAAGGCCAGCATGCCTTCCCAGCCTCCCTGTGGTTCCTTAAGAGGCAGGAGCTCTTGCTGTAGCAGTTAGAGCCATCCCATCTCCAGATGCTGAGGCAGACATCTGGAGGGATCTGTTCCAGTGAAGACATGGCAGAGATAGCAAGCTATTGAGGCAGCAGTGACCAGAATGGGCTTATTTGTCAAAAAGCCTTAGGATACTGGTCTTGGCTTTCTCTGACAGACCAAAAAACTAATTCTATCGGAGTCTTTCTAACCACAGCAAAAGTCAGTTCTTCTACAATATGTTACTATTTATTTTTCAACATTGGGAAAATCTTAAAGTTGAGACATTATTTATGTTAAAAATTAAGTCAGAATGAAGTTAAGATTCACCTAATGATTATATAGTTCTTATAACCTTGCATCTCATTATCTTTCTTGATAGAGGAAAAGATGAAGTTGCACCTAGTACATGTCACTATTATCTGGTGTGAATTAAAATGAAAAATGTTTGAAAATTGATGGCCCTCATCCTCTCCTTTACTTGTTTAAATCCTGTTTTTTTCATAAAGATGACCAAATAAAAGTTTATACTTTTGGACCATATTACATTAGATTTTCAGTAAGTCATCGTGACCAAATAATGTTTGAACTGTTACTGTCTTCAAGCTTTGACAAAAACTTGCTTGCTGTAAGTATTGGATGTATAGTTTTCATTTTGGCATTTTTTTATGTTGTTCACACATTTTTTGATAGGAGTACTCATTTTTACCTACAAAATTAAGAATAATTAAGAATAATCAAATTTGGTTTTCCTTGAAAATTGAATATGTTTTTTGTCTCTAATCAAGGAACTGCCCTACTGTATTAGTATGGTAAGTAATGCTAACTGTTGTAATAAACAAACTCAAAAATTTCAGTGGCTTAACACAATAAGTGTTATTTATCACTCACACAAGAGCCAGTGTGGGTATTTCTGGAGCCAGCGTGTGAATCGCCTTCTATGTGGTCATTCAAAAACCCAGACTCCTTCCACTTTGTGAGTTCATCCTTCTTTAAATATTAGAGTAGGGAAAGAGTGAGAAAATTATGCATGAGAGGCTTGTGTAGCCTGGGTTTGGGAGTGGTGCACATCTCTGTGGCTCACATTTCCTTGATCAAGAATCAGTTATGTGGCTACCATAACTGTAAGGAGAGTGGGGAATACAGCCTAACTATGTGTCCAGGAGGAAAAGGAATTCGGTGTTGGTTTATGCCATATTTGATTCCTTGACATTACGAGCTAGGTTTTCTTTTGTGAAGATGCAGCATAATTTATTGCAAAGGAGAAAGACTATTTTAAAAGTTAGATGCAGAATACCCAGTACACCCTGAGCGAGAAGGGATTCAGGGCAGGCAGCTTACAGGAATGAGACGCAAAGACTAGAACTAGGAACACTCCATTTATGGGAATCTTACATAATTATTCATAAGGAGGTGGGAAGAGGTGTTACTGGTAAGTATGTTCTGGGTGGTCCTCTTGGTGCACATACACAGTGGTTGTACATGCTTGTTTATATGTCACGTATCATTAGCATCTTAAATCTCAACCACGGTGTGATTTTTACTATTTATAATAGTAATAATGAGTAAAAGGTCACTTTAAGGACAGGTAAAATCAAAATGTGCATGCTCTCTACAAGGGTATTTCCCTTTGCTTGAATGAGTTGAAATACGATGCAAATGCTGGGGCTTGCTGGGTTGACAATATGCAGTCATCATGCATTCACCGTGGTTGCTGCATCCCGAGGACATTATCAGTATGCCAATGTGGTATACTGTAGTAATCACTTTCTTGAATACCCATCCTGCCTCAATAGTACTTGCTAGGTTTTATGCTTTATCATGCTATTAACTTTTAAAATATAATATTTTTATTTACACAATCTGAAATGTTCTTTGTAGCCTTGATTTTATGGTGATATTGAAAAAGGGTGGAAGTCTTATGCTATTTGATTGTTCACCATAACAATTCAATAAACTAATTTAATTGGAGTCTGTGATTGTATGAGTTCAGTCAGTCCAGCTTCTGCTTTTAGACAAATAGACCCCAATGAAGATATTGTAATTTACCTCCTTACAGCCCTGCAAAAAAGATTTTATGAGCCTTGATGATTGCAGTATGCTGCAGTGAAGGACTGAGGTTAGTCATAAGAAGGAGACCACTTTCCCAACTGCAATTCTCCCATTAGAATCAGATAATAGAGGAGATAAGAACTTAATTTGAAAATCATTGTTTCATAAAAAGTCCTCAAGTAAACACGAAAGTCTGTTCTGCTGTTCAGTAATTTTTGATTCCCAAATCATTATTTTCACTGTAAAGTATTACTCTCTTGGTTGTTTGAGCTATTATTAAGAAATTAGGGCACAAATCGAAGTAGCTAGAAATCAGTGAATAGATGGAAAATGTGGCATTTCTTTTAGAAATATTTCCAACTGAAATTTTACATCAGTTGTGGATTTGTCAAATATCCTGAAGAAATAATACTGGGAAAAAAAAAAACCTAAGTTAAGTTTAATTCTGCAAGTTTTCCCGCAATAGCGTATATATGTAATTAAGGCGAAGACTTGATCTATCTTTAGTGTGAGTTAACATCTCAAATATGTATGATGTAAAGCCTGAATCCCTGAAGCACATAAGCTTTCCCGTTCCTCTCCAGACGCTGACATTCCTTTCCTTCCTCCCTTTCATCCTTTTCTGGCATGACAAATATAGACGTGAATATGGAAACTGTCTATGGAGTTTTAAAGGACAAGCATTTCAAGCTGTTTTCCAGAGCAAAAGTTTTCCTATGTAATTTTTCTATACTCCAATACTTTTTCAGGTTTTATTAACATTTATTAATATTCTTCAACTTATTTTTCATTTTCATGCCAGAAGCTTGATCTCAAGGATGCTTTAAAGGAAACTTAATCAGTTTCCTTCCAGACATCTGATAAGAATTTGCCATGAGTTAATTTTCAATTAGTAGCTGGTAATGCGTATTATGCCATGAAACTGTCATCTGGTCAATTGTCTATATTGAGCTATTGAATATATAAATCTTCAAATATGATAATCTGCATTCTGGTATTGGAATAAAAGACTGAAGTTGCAGAATGAAATAATGGCACTTTATCTTCAAAATGGACAAATTTTATTTTGTGAATTAACTGAGATAATTTTTAGTTTCCTGTTGTGTTTTCTCCCTGCACAGTCCCAGGCCAAACTCTGTTTCCCATATTAGCTGACATGTGTTCAGTCATTGCAGACTGTTCTTCATTTGAGCCTAATGACAAAATAATTAAAAGATAAATCTTCTGCTTTAAAAATAACATATACTATAAAACCACATACTAATGATTTTTGGATTTTTGCATTTTTTTAATATCCCAGAACATAACTACTCTTTATCTGGGCAGCAAATGGTTCATTAGCTTTGGTTCCCTTACTTAGCACACTCAGCAGCTTGTCACATCCGAAGAATAAAAAAAGGAAGTCTCATTTTTCTTTAAACCTAAAAGTTGTATCTGCTACATTCCCTCTAACCAAAAAAAAAAGGGTTATAGAAAGAAATTCTCAGTTCCTCATAAAAGGATATAGAAAACAAATATCCGGATTCCAATTCTATGTGTTAATTATGTATAATATTGGAAGAGAGATAGTGTTTAAAAGAAAAGATGGTTAGCTCAGTATAAGGATTCAAGGTAGGTTTCTGAGAGGAAACTTGATGGAGACTGTAGTTGATAAAAGACATTCCAAGTAGAGGGAACATTTATACGAAAGCATTAGTGACATGATGCAGTAGGGTAAGTTCTAGAGCTATGATTGTACATTGTTAGGTAGAGTATAGGTGTGAAGGTAAAGATATGGGTAAGTGTGGGGAGGGGTGGGGTCAGACCCTGCTGTGTCAGAGCAGTACTGGTTCATGTCTGTTATCCTGGCATAATTATTAAGGAAGCCCTTTTTATTTTCAAAAGTGTCCTGGTTGGGATGGTAAATTACATCACCATTTTGGGGCAGGGGACTTTTGCAAACCATACAGTGCTGTTTCTTCCATTTCCTGGTCCTACTGACACTACCTCATCTTTTTTCAAATACTATAATTAGTCTTCTAGTCTACAATGAGCAGGAGAGAGGCAGAGGCCAGATCATGAAGGATTTTATAAATCTTGCTAAAGAGAATAAACTTTAAATCCTAAGAAAAAGGTCTAGTGAAAGGTTTTAAGCAGGAAAAATACATGTTTATTTGTTTTACAAAATGATTTGGAGGAGGACAGGAATGAAGCAGGCCAGTTGACAGCCAGCACCAATGACCAGCCATGTGAGTGAAAACATTTTAATCCATCCAGCCTTGTGTTAGTCAGGGTTCTCCAGAGGGACAGAATTAATAGGATATATGTATATATGAAAGGGAGTTTATTAGGGACAATTGGCTTACACATTCCCAAGGTGAAGTCCCACTATAGGCCTTCGGGAAGCTGGGGAAGAGAGAAGCCAGTAGTGGCTCAGTCCGAGTCCAAAAGCCTCAAAAGCAGGGAAGCCTACCATACTGCCTTTGGTTTGTGGCTGAAGGCCTGAGAACCCCCAGCAAACCACTGGTTTAAGTCCAAGAGTCCAAAGGCCAAATAAAAGAACCTGGAGTGTGATATTCAAGGGCAAGAGGAACAGATGGAAACATTCAGCATGGGAGGAAGATGAAAGCCAGAAGACTCAGCAATCCAGCTTATCCCACCTTCTTCCGACTGCTTTGTTCTAGCCATACTGGCAGCCGATGGGATGGTCTCCACGCACATTGAGAATGGGTCTTCCTATCCCAGTCCACTAACTCAAATGTTAACCTCCTCTGACAACACCCTCACAGACACACCCAGAAGCAATACTTTACCAGCTACCTAGACATCCTTCAATCAAGTTGACACCTAATATTAATCACCATAAGGCTCTAGTAAGTTGCCAGATTATTTCAATTTACTTAGGCCACCTAAATGGCTGAGGTGGGACAGACATAACAGCAGAACACAGCCCACACTGCAGATTCATTGAATCGTGAGAAAATAAAATGGTGGCTGTTTTAAGTTAATATATTTTGAGTGGTTTGTTACACAGCAATGAGACATGGCTTCAGTTTTTTATTAGAAAATATAATAATATATCAGAAAGTTTAAAGAGAGACTACATTACTATACAAATCAAAAGCAAAAATAAATATACTTAACGAAATTCTGCATTTAGTCATGATTCAAAATTCTTAGAAAAATTTAAATAAGAAAATACTTTTCAAACCTGCAAAAGAATATTATTTTTCAATTATCAGCCAGTTTTATGCTTAATGGTAAAACATTAAGGAACTTCTCATTAAAGTCATGAATAAGACAAATAGGCCAACTATCAAATGTTATTGCTTAATACTGTTTTCCAAGTTCTAGACAATGCGATAATGCATTCATCAGAGACATGAGACCTAAATATCAGAAAGAGATAAATTGTGATAATTTTTAGATATAGTTGACTGCTCAGCATTTTAAAGTAGTCTATGGGAAACAAATGCCTTTTTTTAAAGTTCAGAAAAATGACTAAATGCAATGTAAGTTGTAACAAATATGTATTAAGCAAGAATCAATAAAAAATTATAGAAAATCTAAATTACCACTCTAAGATAAAACAAAAATGAAAAACAATAAAAGAAACCCACCTAAGAATAATATGACCATCTAACCAAGACTAATATGAAGAAAACTCCAAAGTTTTTTAAATAAAACATTTTAAAGGACTTGAGTAAAGGGAGTTGCATATCATAGACCTGGATAAAAAGACTAATCATGATAAATTTGCTCCTTCTAATGTTAAATCAAAACATTATATTATTATTTTTAGTACTTTATAAGTATAGTAGACATAAAAATGTGTCAGTATAAACAAAAATGCTGGAAAAAAATAAACCAGGGATATGACATGTAAGATACTACAGGATAAGAAAAAGCTAGAATCATTCTAATTAGGAGTACTCGTGAAAGTATAGGTAAAGTGAAGAATGGAACAAACTAGAAAGCCAGGAAACAAACCCTCGTACATATATCAGGACTTCTTTTATAACAAATATAAAATCACAAATCATGAGTGGAGTAAAGTTGTTTTCTGTAGAAAAAAGTCTTCACACAAAATAAAGTATACTTGTATTAAAGAGATAAATATTTGAAATTAATGGTAGGTTAGTATTTATTTTGTTTGGCATGAAGAATTTTCTAAGTAAATAGGAGGACTTTAAGAGAGAAGAAATAGTGATTTTTGACTATACAGAAAAAATTCAAATTCTGTATTTTTACAAAAACAAACATAATGAAGAAATGGTTATGCTGCAGAGAAAATTGCAAAATACTTTAATTATAAAATGAAGAAATAATTATGGTTGGTCTCAAGACTAAGTGGGAAAGATAGCTATTAAAAATATTACTATTCATAATGTACGAATAGCTCTAATGAATTACTGAGAGATAAACTTTCCAATAGAAAAGTGAACTCAAACAATATAAATAGGCAATGTTCAAAAAAATTACAATGTTGAGTAAACATGGGAATATGTTTAATCTTACCAACAATTATATAAATAAAAACTAAATCAGAGAAATGTCATTTACCACTTACCAATTATTCATTTAAAATTATACTAATATGCTTAGTGTGAGAAATATATTCAAATGAGTGCTGGCATATATGTGGGGGTGAAAATAAAAATATTTTACAACTAGTACAGCATGGGGCTGTCCAATCGAAATAGACATCCAACCAAACAACTCTGTGTATATTCTGACTTCAGCATAAACACTTACAAATACATTATACTCTTTGACACATAAATTCCTTTATGCATGTATCAAATATCTCTGACAATTCCAAATCTTTTTCCAGAAAGGGTATGACACTTTACATGTTTATCAGCAGTTAATGACAGTCTGTTTCCTTACATGCTAAACAACATTGGATGTTTTCTAATTTATTTTCAATTATTTTTCATTTTTTGCCAATATAATACGTAAAAATACTGTGTGGTGATGAGTTTGATTTTCCTTTGGCTACTAATGGAGTTGTTTTATTTCTTCCTTTGTGTACTGACTGTCCTTGTCCTGTTACTCTTTCATTCTATAGCTTTTAATCCTGTTAGTATAAGAGTAGAAGGAAAGAAATTTAAATGATTTATCTTCCATTCACATAATCATACCAATGATTGCTTTTCATGGTGGAAACTAGTATCTTTTAGAACACAGTGTTCTGAATGGAAAACTCAAGAATGAAAGAAAGTATTATGTGGCATTTTGTCCAAGAACAAATCACTAAATTTAAAACGGCATGCGTCAAAACAGAAAGGCGTGGATGTTGACTGATGAGTTAGTATCTTAGCTGCATTTAACTCTGTAAGCTTGTCTCTAGTGCCTCATGCATTGCTTCACTTCTCCTCTGGCCCCTGCCAACACAGGACCACCCAAGCTCCTGAATGCAGTTCTTTCTGTAGGACCTTGAGGAAAGCCCAAATTGCAGGGTGGAAAGTCTTTAGTTTGTTTGAGGCGTGAATAATTTCTCTGCCATCTCTTTCACCCTACTCCGGTTACCATGCGGAATGCCATTCTGGGTAGCTTGGAAATGGTTCTAGGCTTGTACCATAAAGAGGTCCAGACATTTTTTGTGGACTTATGATGGTAGGGAGAAAATAAAAAATGGATGCAGAGGTTGACCTAGCTATCCTATCCAAGTCGACTGGGGTTTGGGGTTTCCAGAATTGTTGTCATGTTTGGGGAGCCTTGCAAGTGGATTAATGACAAGGCATTTTGAGGGCTGCTGATCCAGGGAAATGGATCATGTTGTCTAGGGTACATGGCATTTCATCCGTTTATGCACTCCATCTTGTATTTAAAGGGTAAACCTGGTATTGTGGGGTTGTTAACAGTTAGCTATATTATTGGCTCTCATAGAAGAGGGTCTCTGAGAAAGTTTAGAACCACATTTTGGTTATAAAAAATTGGATAATTATTAGGAGAATCGACTCTTTGACTGAGTTGTACCCACAAGTTTTTCAATATTTGTCTGATTCCTTGTTTGCCAGTGACTGTCCTTTAGAGGGCTTCAAATACATATTCATAACAACAAAAAACAGCTTTTTCCTTATAAATGTTACAATAGTAGAAGCTGTAGAAGATGTTTTAGAAACTGGCTTGTTCTTTGTGCAGTCATATATTATACATATACACACAAACTATATATATATATACACACACACACACACACACATATATACACACACACACACACACACACATGCAGAAGAAGTTGCATTACCAAATATGGTAGTAAATCTAAGTGAGTCAACTGTTAATCTCCTTTGGCAATACCTTCACAGACATACCCAGGATCAATACTTTGCAACCTTCAATCCAATCAAGTTGACACTCAGTATTAAACATCACATTAGGATAAGCCAATCAGCACACTTCATCCTCCAGATGCAGAGAATGGTTCAAAATAGTCAAATAAACTTAGCCGCTATAAATGATGAACATTTATAACAACTTTTTCTGCTAAGACAATGACACTGTCCTACTTGATGGGACTATAGGAATTTGTAGAACTGAGAGATTATGGAAGCCATCTGGTGGTCTTGAGGCGTAACTGCCTGTGATGAAGCCTATATCAAAACAAACGAGGAGATAGACCAAAACCAGGTCCTTCGTGTCGATGCTGGGCCATTAGATAAAGCCTCTACCTGAGCCAGCTTTACCTGTAGACATTTTAGGATATTACATTCTATTAACTGAATAAGCAAGTTTTGAGTTGAGTTTTCTATTTCTTACACCCAAAAACATCCTATTGCTTCAGTCTGCAGTTTCCTGTTTAATTGATAGAGGAAAGCAGTGTATTCAGAAGTCCCTAAAATAATGAAGGTCAGATTTTGAAATTCTTATTAGACTGTAACTTTTATTAATTTTTATTGTTAGCTTTTGTTCTAGGTTCAGGGGTACATGTGCAGGTTTTTTATATAGGTAAATGGCATGTTGTGGGGGTTTGGCATACAGATTGTTTCATCAACCATGTAATGAGTATACTACCTGATAGGTAGCTTTTCAATCCTCACCCTCCTCTCAACTTCCACCCTCAAGTAGGCCCAGTGTCTATCGTTCCCTCCTTTGTGTACATGTGTACTTATTGTTTAGCTCCCACTTATAAGTGAGAACATGCAATATTTGGTTTTCTGTTCCTGCATTAGCTTGCTTAGGATAATGCCTCCAGATCCAATGATGTTACTGCAAAGAACATGATCTCATTCTTTCTTATGGCTGTGCAGTATTCCATGGTATATATGTACCACATTTCCTTTATCCAGTCTTTGGTATTTAGGTTGATTCCATAGACTGAAACTTTTAAAAAATAAGTAGGATGGTGTTCTCTAGTGGTTTGCTTATCAAGGGACTGCCTCCATAAATAGGGTGACCATTAGTCTGATTGGTTTGCAAGAGAGTCCCTAGTTTATGCCTCTTGAACCAGCATATTTTTAAAGAGCTCCTCATTTCATAATTAAGTATCCTGGTTTGGACAATAAGTTCTATGGTCGCTGTACTAATAACATATCCAAGGCTCAAACAATTATTTAGCTTTGGTATCTCTATTATCAGATGAAACAGAGGTTAAAGCACATCAGTTTAGAAACATTTTTTATCTTGCTCATCACCATATTCCCATTGTTTAGAAGGGTGATGGGAACATAGTGGGATGACTATTTTTTGAATGAAGGAATGAATGGTGCCAGTGAGCATGACTTATGAGACCATAATCCAAAGCCATATAGCCCCTCTAATGCCAGTTTACTTGTCTCCAAAATAGTATTAAAAATAAATATACCCCATCTACCTTATGAATTTGTTAAGAGGATCAAATAAGTTAATTGTGTGAAAAGCTAGCAAAAATTTAAAATTATATATACATGTGGTATTTAATTATATACAAAAGAATGCAAATGTTACAAGTTCTTTCAATTTCTACCCAAGTAATAAATATACCTAAATTTGAGTCACCAACAGCACCATACTGCTTCCATACATTATCATAACCTTTTCCCCCAATTTTAAAGCACATTGAAACAGATTAAATAATTCATCAGAAAAATCAGATTATATATGGAAAAATTCCATCAAGAAATACGTTGAAAAATTCAACCATTACCATAACCTTTAAATTGAAATTCTATGTATCTACAAATATGGTAACTATTAGCAAAGCTTTATTTTTCTTAGGCATCAGAAACAAATTATTTTATTGTTTTGTCATTGATTCAAGTATTTAATAAGATCTTATATGGAGAACTTATAGATTATTTTAGAAAATACACTTCAGGCCAGCTGCGGTAGCTCATGTCTGTAATCCCAGCACTTTGGGAGCCCGAGACTGGTGGATCACCTTAGGTCAAGAGTTTGAGACCAGCCTGACCAACATGGTGAAACCCCATTTCTACTAAAAATACAAAAAATTATTCGGGTGTGGTGGCAGGCGCCTGTAATCCCAGCTACTCAGGAGGATCTCCTGAGCCTAGGAGGTCAAGGCTACACTGTGCCGTGATCATGCCACTACCAAAAAAAAAAAAAGACTAAGAAAAGAAAGAAAAAAAAAGAAAAGCAACTGAGTGAGGGCAAAAAGAAAGAGAAAGAAAAGCAAGTGAGGGCAAACAGTACCTGAGGATATGAAATATTTAAGGAAGGGCTAGGGACAAGATATCTCTGGTGTACCCACCGGTCCAGGCTTTTGCTATTGTACAATAGGGAAGCAAGGAAAATAAAAGAAGGTGTGAAGTAAACCTCTTGGTTTAGTGATTATCAGAGCTTGAATAGAAACAGAGTAAACTTGTCTGTAGAAAGATCAGTCAATGATGGAAATGTAAAGACACTTTTATCAGGTCCTTAAGCTCAGTATCAAACTGGAAACCAATAATTAAGTTCTAAATACTTATAATTTATTTTTTCATTTTTGTGAGTTTGGTCTAATGATCAAGCATCAGCATAATTTTGCTAAAAATAAATTTATGTTGCCTTAATATAAGAGCAACTTATTGACTGTGTCAATATAAAGGTGGAAAGTTTTAAAGCCCAGTAGAAATATTCTAAGTCCAAGAATAGCTTTGCTCATTCACTGGATAATTGTTTTTATATTAAGTGGGTGAGAGGCCAAACTGAGGCTGGACCCTGCATCTCAGGGCTGGAGCCTGGACTGTGGCTTAGGTTTCTAGAGGTATCATCAATACCCCTTTCCTGCAGCCAGAGAGACCACAGGTCCAACAACAGGAATACCACCTACAAAGGAATCTATGGGCTCACATAGTGAGGCTGTGTAACAAGAAGGGGAGAGCAATAAATTATCTACCCATTAGAAACAGGAAGGGAGACAGTGTGTGATAGCCAAAAAGCAGAACAGAAAGAACAGCTGAGAAGGCCTGAGAACCAGGTGAATGGCCTGGAGGAAGGATGGGGGCAAGCAATGTGGATAGCTGGACTCAGGGGGGTTGACCATTTAATATTGTAAACTGCTGAAACACAAGGGCTCAGGGAACTCTGATTATTTTTGTAGGCAAGCAAATATACTGCATGAACAAAGAATAGTTCTTGTATTATTTGAATTTAAAATGTAATTCTTAGGTAACAATATAGGAATTCTGTGGATCTTCATGAACTAGTTTCTGTATCAAGTTTGACTACATTTTATAGGATGAGAGTATATAATTTCATTGGCATACCTTCAGGGAAAGATCTGGAAAAAAAAACAAAAACAAAAAAAAAAAACAAAAAACCTTGCCCATTTTGTCCCAAAAAAGGCAAAAGCTCTGGGGAACCAGGATGAATCTGTTATTTCCTTTAATCCCCTAATAGTAAGGTTTTAATAGGTTCTTAGACATTGATCAGAACCATCTGAGGGTGGTAAGTGGGTCAAGGCTTAGCTCTCTGCCCCTGTTTGCTGTCTGTCCACACAATGGAGTATGTGAGTGAGTAAGCCTGTTGGAAGCTTATTTTTAGTTTCTCTAAAAGGAATTACACATGGGCATCAAATGAACAGTTAGGCCTTTAATGCCATAAAGGATCTGTTCCACACAGATGCAAGAATGTAAGCATTGTTTGTGATCTCTAAAGAGCAATTATATCAAGCAGGAAGGTTTTTTTTTTTCCCCTTCTGTGAAGTATATCATTTCTACACTACTTGATATTTTAGTTAGTTCTTCCTACTATGATTCAGAGGTTTTCTGGTGTTTTATTTAGAAATACCAGATGTTACACTGTAAGTAACTGGGGAGGATTGTGTATGACTATTGAAGTGGAAAAAGTAAAATTCTTTTCTCAGGGAAATGAATAAACACTTGCTTAGTAAAATAAGATAATAGCAGAAAGACTTGAAAACCTTAGTAGAATGGAAATCATATCATGCAAGAGACATTGTTTATTTTGTTAGCATATAAAATTTCAAATAGAAATAGGCTAACTATAATGTTTCCATATCGTGTTAGACCTTTTTGGTGAGTGCAAGTGGTCTGTCTGTCCACACAATGGAGTATCTGAGTGAGTAAGCCTGTTGATGATGAATTTTGGACAAATAAAATTGGTAGATTTGTTTCGTTTTGTTTAGAAGAATAGATCTGAAGTAAACATCAATTATTTTATATAACTTCTAATACTGAACTCTGTAGGGATATAGTTTTTTCCTAAGTATATATTTTATTTTATTCTTTTGACTCTCTTTGACACACATATAATCCAGTTACTCCCACTATATAAATCCATGTAATGTTTTGAATCAGCAGAAAGCAGAGTAATGGAAATGTCCTTGTGCCAGAGTGCAGGGCTTTCCATTCATGTACCGCCAGGTTAAATGGAGTGCTATTTACAGGTCTAAAAATCCACAGGGAAATTCTGATTTAAGACTGACTGCAGTACTTCATAACTATCAGGTAGCATCACTCTGGCTAGCACATTCAGTTTGATAAACGGGGTCTGAACAAGACAGAGTAATATGGTTACTAGAACCTGGGCTTGGAGTCAGAGACTTCAGAGTTTACACAGGAATCTACCTTCAGTTGCTTACCAGCTGTCTGAATTTGGCTAGTTGCTTAACCTCTCCAACTCATTTTCTTAAACTGTAATAGGCTTAATAATGTGTCTCTTGAATGACTGTTGTGAGTTTGAAATAAATTAAGCTGTCTGGGGCGTATAGTCTGCTCAATAAATATTATTTCCTTATGCATTTTATATATTATTTAGCTACAAAAAATGACTGACATAAACTTTTTGTTTGTTTTAATCAAGCCTAAGGAAATAGAGCAGAAAGTTCACAAACCATTTGACAAGGATGCTGGAAATAGCATAGAATACCACCAAAACAATGTTAATATTAGTTTGTCATCATCTTTCAGATAAGTACATATAATTCAAATTACAAAAGAAAATCATGCAAAATAATAAATACTCATTAGAAAGTACAAAAAAATTACTACAGGCATGCCATCTTCTCACAATAACTGTGACTTGAACCCAGTTGTGTAAAACATGGTATTAAAGAAGCCAAGGCTGATTGCTGTATTGCAAATGACCTTTGTAACTTAATAGGCTCTCAGTCTAGAAAGACAAATAGTGCATGATCTCGCTTACATGTGGAATATAAAAAAGTCAAAGTCATAGAGCCAGAGAGTGGAATGGTAGTTGCCAGGCAGGCAGAGATGGGGAGATGTTACCCAAAGGGTGCAAACATTCAGTTATAAGACTAACGGGTTCTAGGGATCTAACGCAGAGCATGATGGCTATAGCTAGTGATACTGTATTGCATACTTGAAATTTGCTAAGACAGTAGATACTAAGTATTCTCACCCCCTCAGACACACACAATAATAACTATGTGTGGTGATGGAGGTGTTAATTAATTTGATTGTGGCAATCATTTCACAATGTACAGTATATGTATAGCAAATCATGTTATACATCTTGAATATATACAATTTTTATTTGTCCATTATACCTCAATAAAGCTGGAAAAAAAATAAGTCCTGAATCTTCAATCTCAAAATCTCAAACCTGGCCAGTGCGGCCTAAAGACGCCTAGGAAAGAATCCTTTAATTATTTGAGGTTTCCTTATTTTTTTATTCTAACATTTTGTAACCACCTTTGGTTCAGGAATTCTTCAGAAATATTGCTTAGGATATAGATTTTTGTATGTGTCAAAGCAGTAAAACATAAAGGCATATTAGTCAGAATATATGGAAATACTTATGCCTATCAATATAGATATTAATTATATGTTTACCTCTGTTAACTAAGATAATGGCAGAGCAGAATTTTAGCTACTATTAATTAAACATAATTTGGGGTTAAGAGGATATCAGAGTGGCCTAGAGTACCACAAAAATGAGTGGAATTCAATATTCCAAATTCTACCAGTTCATATATCAAACTGCACCAAATGGGGGATGCAGGTCATCTCAAGGAAGAGCAGTCTCATGGAGCATTTTCTTGTTGCTCCTCTCCAAGGAACGTGCCCACTGATCTGTTTGTCTTTCTCAAAGTCCAGGAAAATGATTTGAATTTGAACTACCAAAGGTGGAGAACTTCATTCTTCCACAATAAAAATAATATGAACACCAGATCAAAGTTAAGAAAACCCACCCTGTCCCACTCCCTATCTCCTTGTCTGTGTGCTCCAGGCAAACAATATTAAGGGAGGAATAAATTATCCTTTAAGTAAGTCAGTCACCTGTGCCTTTGCTCTTGGTACATGTGCTCTTTCCATGTTCCAGAAATCCTTCTAAGAGGTTAGATGCTATCTCTTCTGATTATTCCAACAACTTTATACAAGGTAAATAGATCTTTTATTATCCCCATTTTACAGATGAATAAACTGAATTATAGGGCTAAGTCAGCTATTTAAGGCCTTATATCTGGAGGTGCTGGCTCTCTAGTTTTAGAGCCCATGTTTTTAACCACTAAGTAAATAAGATATCCTAATTAGGGCTTTGAGAATAAAATTGAGTGCATACTCTAATTCTCCAACAAATGCTTGGCCTCGTTCTTCAGGTACACCAGATGTAAGGATGACTAGGGACCCATCAATACCTCTATTGGAAAGTTCAATTTAATTTATTTAACTCTATGCATAACTTTATCCTTGTGTTTCACAGAAAAAATGGCTTCAAAGATGGCTGAATCCTAATTCCTTGAACCTGTAAATATACTAGGCTATATGACAAAGGAGAATGAAGTTTGCAGAGAGAAGTAACGTTGCTAATCAGATGACATTAAAATATGGAGATTACCTTGGATTATGCAGGTGGATCCAATGTAATGACCTTAAAAGTGGAAGAAGTGGGACAGAAGAGAAGGTCAGATTAATGTGAGATGAGAGGTACTCGGCCTTCTATTGCTGACTTTCAGGAAGCGGGGGTGCCGGCAATCCCCAGTGCCCCAAAGGGTGTGTTACCAACTCAGCAGGGCTTTTGCCTCATCACATGGGGTGGCTGCCCTCTGCCAGCAAGGGCAAAGGACCAGTGTGACAGTCTTTTTGTGTTCCTGCACTCAGTGCATTCCGAATTCTTGTCTGGTGTCCAGGAAGAATCAGGTCACATGAACGGTTTGCAAGGTGATGAATGCAGAGTTTTTAGTTGAGTGATGGAAGTGGCTCTGGTGGAAGGGCGCTGGTAAGGGGATGGTGTGGGAAGAAGGTGATCTTCCCCTAAAGCCTGGACACCTCCTCTCTGAAATTGTGCCATCTGAATTTAAGCTGTGTCTATCCATAGTCTCTGACAACTCTCAGTAGTTTCTTCTCCTCTTGATATCCAGCAGCTTGTCTCTCTGCCAGCTGAGATCTGGGGTTTATATGGGCATAGGATAGCGGGGAGGACAAGCCAAAAAGCAGCATTCGGGTGGGAAAACAGGGATGTGAAGTTCTCATTTAGGGCCAGGGGCCCAGGCTTGAGGGTGGAGCCCTTGCATGGGACCCCATGCTCTTCTACCCAGTATTTCCTGGCCTCCTGAACATATCACAGCCAAGGAATGCAGGCAGCCTCTAGAAGCTAGAAAAGATAAAGAAACAGATTTCCTCTGGAGCCAACAGAAAGAATGCAGCCCTGCCACCACCTTGATTTTAGATGTCTGACCTGCATAACTGTAAGGTAGTAAATTTCTGTTGTTTTAAGACAGTAAGTTTATGATTTCACTATGACAGCAATTGAAAATTAATATGATCCTCCAAAAATAAAAATTTAAAAATAAATAAATTAACTAATTAAATAAAATACCCTGAGGTATTTTCATCAATGAGAGTTATATCATTGCTCCTCTCCAAGGAACATGCCCACTGATCTGCTTGTCTTTCTCAAAGTTCAGGAAAATGATTTGAACTACCAAAGGTGGAGAACTTCATTCTTCCACAATGAACATAATGGATGTGTGGATAATGAATAGTGATTATGGATAGTGGATAATGAAAGCGATAGTGAAAATAATGGATGTTTTTAAACATTTACTCAGTAGGTAAGGAAATTCTTTCAGAGGCCCAATTCAAACTCCAATGTTAGGGTGTTTTATCTTTGTCTTGCCCTCACAGCTCTGTCCTGAATGTCTGTACACCTTTTAATCAAATAGAAAGTTTTGACTGGCTATGTTAGCCCAACATGTTACTCCAAACCAGCATGTTTGGACTGGCTATGACTTCATCTCAATTTTAACTTAATCTTAATATTTTCTTCTTATTGGTCAGCATCAGCAGAGTGTTCACCTTATTAATGCATACCTTCAAGCCATGATTCATTCCCTTGAGAATAAGAATTAATTAGGTGTAATAACTAGGGCAAATTGACTATACTCATTGATGATATTATTCCATGGAAAATATCATGTACATCTTGTCTGTCATCATTCTGCTAAATAGCTGTGAATCAATACATTGTAGCTGTACTGAAGACAAAGGTTGTAATCAATTTATGGTCTTAGGCTATTTGCATGACTGAAATCTGAAAACTTCATGAAATCAGGGATCATTACAAATATCCCAATGCCTTGTGCCAGCCACAGAAACTCAGTAACAGACTATTTGACAGAATGGTGTCAATTTAATCATGACATTGCAATGGACTATAGGAAGAGTCAATAAAACACTGATAGTGGAGCAAAAATCTGGCGTGACACCTGACATTGAAAAAGTCGGATGGAATACAACCACATCCATTTGTTCTATGTTGTCTATAGCGGCTTTCACACAGAAACTGCACAGTTGAGTCATTGTGACAAAGACTGTATATCCCACAAAGCTTAAAATATTTACAATTTGGCCTTTTAGAGAAAAAGTTTTATGACCCTTGCAATATAAACACAGAAATCTCAGAGATGCTGTCTTCTTCCTAAACTTTAATATTTAATTCTGATTGTGGATGAGATTAGATTCTCCAACTTTCCATGTTTAAGACTCATTCAAAAAATTCATAAATCTCAAAATATTAGAAATGCAGGATATTGACTGATGACTTGTCAATTACATGATAAATTATCTTAACTATAGAATTAATATGCTGGATTAAGAAATGACCCTTGTTTATGCCTAAGCTTCTAGGGCAAGAAAAAAATGATCAGAAGGAGGAAGGTAGTTCCCCTCCACCTCAAGAGAAACCCTATTGTCATCTACATGTCTCTGGAAAACATTTTTTGAACAAATATGCCAACTAACCAAAAGATGAACATAAGAAAAGACTCAAGAGAGGAAAGACACTATTGAAATGCTAGGGGAATAGCACTGGCAACAGTAATATGACAATACAGTTAAATATATTAAAAACATATTAAAATATATTTAGTGAAATAATCCAAGGATAATATTTAGGGCACATAGTTAGAAATTATTAGAAAGTAGAGAAATGAGGAAAGTAAAAGAGTTGTAAATAGCATTGATTTATAAATTGTAGTCAAAGTTGTACTATACTTGATTTTGATAATTAGAAAAATATAGATTAAAGCTTGTTTCTCAAACACTGAAACATTTTAAATATTTATTATTAATATTTATTTAATTTAAATATATATTATATTTGGAAAAGATTAAAGTGGCTAACTCATAGTTAATAAGGCAAAAATCAGAAAGGAATATAGCAAGTGAATTTTAAAATTTAGTCTTCTGTAAAGATGCCCTAAAAAAGGCATTTGGCTATTATAAATGTAGGTTCTTAATGAAGTTTAAATAAATGGAGAAAAAGAAAGATTTCATATGTTTTACAAAAGACAAATAAATAAATTAAATAGAAACATTAAAAGATTAATAAATCTAAAATATGGTTATTTTAGAAAAAGCTAGCAGTAAAATTTAAAAAGGGGGGGCAGTATAATAAAATTAGGCAAAAAACAGAAAACAGAAGTAAAACAAAAATAGAAAGGAGAATGTGGAAGTATCAACAATAAAGAGATTTGCTAAAGTGTAAGAAAACTATGTAATAGTTTTTGCTCGTTAATTTTGAAAAAGATGTGTGAAATAGATATTAAAAATAATTAAAAATGAGTCAATATATAGCAAAATTAAAACACAAAGGAAATAGCAGATTGACAACCATGTAAGCAACTAAAATTTTTTTTCAAAGAATTACATATAAAGATAGCTCCAGGTCCATTATGGGGCATTCTTTAAAATTTCATATAATATGGACTCGTTCCAAAGATTCAGAACAACGTACAGCCACTACCATTTGCTTGAATTAGCTTCATAATGATACTAAAAGCTAAAAATTGCACAAAAAGAATAAAGTTAAAGACAATTATATTTGTGTGATGCAACAATTCTAGGTAAATATTTAATTAACACATTTCAATAGCTCATAGAAAGACCTATTCACTTTAACAAGTAGAATTTATCTTAGGAATTAAAGGACGGTACGATGTTACAAAAATATTAGTTAAATACCTCATTATCAATAGGTTGGAAGTAAATAGACATATGGTAATATCAATAGATTTTTATGCCATTTTATGATTAAATTTAATACATACTGATTTTTGAATAAAACAAACTCTTAAATAAGTAGGAACAGAAAGTTCCATACTTAATATAATAAAAACTACCTTAAACTAATAGCCAGATTTGTACTTAAAATGGAGCTCAACAACTGTTTCCCAAATTGTTGGCTTTTTGTACACCAATCTTGCACATTGTTTCCTTAAATAAAGGAGGCTACATGGTCAAAATTTTGGATAAGGCAGCCTATTCTTGGTGTTATACAATTTATAGCATTTTAAAGGCTCCAAGAAGTCTACCAGTGAGGAGACCAGACTATTTTGTTTAACCATCATTTTTCAAACTAACGGAATACAGAATTCATTTTTCAACCACATATTAATATAAATTATATTCCACAGAAAAGGCAGTATGCATACTCATTAAAATTAAGAAAATGGCAAGGATTCTAGATTTTACCATTGTTGTCCAAAGTTGTTTTGGAAGTTCAAGCCAATATTCTCTTCTTGCTTTTTAAAGTTAGAGAAAATGATCATAAGGCTCCTGGGGATATCTGTCAGCCAAAAGATGAAAAGATTTGAGTCTCTGAATCATCATTTGTAGGACTGCTGCCAATTCACATTAAAAAATCTTCCCTGGGTTGGTACAACAGTGAGGAATAAAGTTCTATTTAAGTCCATACATACACACAG
Organism: Homo sapiens; assembly: GCF_000001405.40. NCBI lineage: Eukaryota > Metazoa > Chordata > Mammalia > Primates > Hominidae > Homo > Homo sapiens. Next base: position 74,586,068 of record NC_000006.12, read on the forward strand.
AGGCACAAACACACACTGGCTATTTGGTACCAGAGTTCAGCCCCCTCTAACTAATACACTGATTATCAGGAAGAGCTGCTGGTTCCATTAACCTCTAAACATATCCCAAATTTGTTCAATACTTTCCATTTTCTGCTACCAGCCTTGTTGAAGTCTCTATCATCTTCTAACCGAACTGTTATAAATACCTCCTTCTGAATTGTTACAAATACCTCCTAATGTATCTCCTTACTTCCACTCCTGCCTCCCTACAATCCATTCTCCACAGAAAAACTAAAGAGGGGTTGATATTGTCTTTTTAACAAGAAATCACATCATAACTGTTATGGCTGAATTTTGTTCCCCCGATTCATATGTTGAAGGCCTAACCATCAATACCTCAGAATGTGACTATATCTTGGAGACAGAGCTTTTAAAGAAGGTAAAAATTAGGCCATGTGGGTGGACCCTATCTAATATGGCTGGTGTCCTTGTTAGAAGAGGAGAGTAGGACACAGGCAGGCATGGAAAGAAGACTGTGCTAAGACACCAGAAGAAGACGGCCATGTGTAAGCCAAGGAGAAAGGCCTCAGAAGAAGCAAACCCTGCCAACACCTTCATCTTAAGAACACCTCGATCTTGGACTTAAAGCCCCTGGAACTGTGAGGAAATACATTTCTGTTGTATTTTATGAGCCACCAAGTCTTTGGTGCTTTGCTATGGCAACCCTAGAAAATGAATATAATATCCTTGTCCTGTTTAAAACTCTTCAATAACTAAATAAAATCTCAATATCTGCCCTTGTTGGGGAAGCTACTGCATTATCTGGCCCTCCCGTATCTTGCTCTTCTCATCTTCTCCTACTCGGCACTTTGTTCATTCATCTTCAGCAGCACTGGCATGTTTTCCTTTCTTAAACGTATTAAGCCCCTTCCTGCCTTAGGTCATTAGCACTTGCTGTTCCTCCAGTTAAGAAAGTTGTTCCTGGGTAAGATGGCTGAGTAAAGGGTGCCACCAATCATCCCCTCAGCAAGGACACCAAGCTAACAACTATCTACACAGAAAAAAACCTTGATAAGAACCAAAAATCAGGTGGGCACTCATAGTACTTGGTTTTAACTTCATATCACTGAAAGACGCACTGAAGAGATAGGAAAAAACAGTCCTGAGCCACTGATGTCACCCCTCTCCTGCCCTTCAGCAGAGGTGGCATGGTGCTGGGAAACAATCTCTGGGTATTAGGGGAAGGACAGCATAGTATTTGTAAGGCATTGAACTCAGGGCTATCTTAGGAGAGTAGAAAGGAAAACCAGACCAAACTCAGCTGACGCCCACCCATAGAGGAAGCACTTAAACCAGCCCCAGCCAGAAGGGAATCTCCAATCCCAGCATTTGGAACTTAAGTGCCTACAAGCCTCACCACAACAGGCTATAGCACTCTGTGTCTCCAAGGAAACTTGAAAGACAGTCTAGGCCATAAGGACTGCATCTCTTAGGCAAGGCCCAGTGCTGAACTAGGCCCAGAGATAGTGGACTGGGAGGGCACATGACATACTGAGACACCAGCTGGGGCAGCCGAGGGAGTGCTGGCGTCACCCCTCCCCTAGCCACAGCCTGCACATCTCACAGCTCCAAAAGAGATCTTATCCTTCTGCTTTAGGAGAGGAAAGCAAAAAAGGGGGAGGTGTTTGTCTTGCTTCCTGCATACCTGCTCAGCCACAGCAAGATAGGGCACCAGTCACAGTTGTGAGGCCCCCATTCCAGGCCGCAGCTCCAAGGCATTTCTAGACACATCCTGGGCTAGAAGGGAACCCACTGCCTTGAAGTAAAGGTCCCATTCCTGGCAGTATTCATCACCTACTACCTGAAGATGCTACCTTGGGCCTTGAATAACCAGCAGTGATATCCAAGTACTACATTGAGGGCCTTGGATGGGTCTCTCAGACTTGTTGGTTTCAGGTGAGACTCAGCACATTACCAGCTGTGGTGGCTATGTGGCAAAACTCTTTCTGCTTATAAAAATCAGAGGGAAAAGTAAAGGGGATTTTGACTTGCACCGTAGGTACCAGAAAGGCCACAGATGGGCAGAACACCAAGTGGGCTCTTGGACAGCATTTCTGGACCTGCCCTGGGCCAGGAGGGAACCCACTGCCCTGAAGAATGAGTTCCTGGCCAGGCAACATTCACGATAAGCTAACTTAAGAGACATTGGAACTTTAGGGAATGTCAGCGACAGACTGGCAGTACCCCTTGTGGACTGTGGTGGCAGTGGCTATGGGGTGAGGTATCTCTGCTTTTGGAAAGTTGAGGGAAAAGTGGGAAGGACTACAACTTGCGGTTTGAGTGCCAGCTCAGCTGCAATACAATAGAATACCAGGTAGACTTCTAAGGTTTTTGACTCTAGTCCCTGACTCCCAGATAGCACTTCTGGACCCACTGGGACCTGGGGGAACTCACCGCCCTGAAGGGAAGGACACAGGCCTAGCTGGCTTTGCTACCTGCTGATTGTAGAGCCCCAGGGACTTGAGCTAACATAGGCAGTAGTTAGGGAGTGGTTATAAAAGGTCTTGGGCAAGACCTAGCACTTTGCTGTCTTCAAGTCTGACCCAGTGCAGTCATAGGGGTGGTGGCCACAGGGTTGCTTGTGTCACTTCACCCACAAGCTTTAGATGGCTTAAAACAGACAGTGAGACTTTGTTTGTTTGGTAGAAAGTAAGGGAAGAGAACAAGAGTCTACAACAATTCTCTGGTAATTCAGATAGTTCTCCTGGTTCTTGTCTAAGATGATAAAAGCAGTACATATATGAGTCTTCAAGAACTACAGCATTACTGAGCTTGGGGTGCCCTCTAAAGCAGATACAGCTCAGGTCACAACACCCAAGTCCTTTCAAATATCTGGAAAGCCTTCCCAAGAAGGACAAGTACAAATAAGCACAGATAGTGAATACTACAATAAATACTTAACTCTTTAATGCCCAGACACCGAAGAACATCTACTAGCATTAACAACATCCAGGAAAACATGACTTCACCAAATGAACTAAATAGGGTACTAGGGACCAATCCTGAAGAAACAGAAATATGTGACCTTTCAGACAAACACTGTAAGAAGAGACAAAGAAGGTCACTACATAATGATAAAGGGGTCAATTCAATGAGAGGATATAATTTTCAATATATATGCACCCAACTCTGGAGCATCCAGATATATAAAGCAAATATTATTAGAGCTAAAGAGAGAGATAGACCTAATATAATATCAGCTGGAGACTTGAACATACTACTTTCAGCATTAGACAGATCTTCCAGACAGAAAATCAACAAAGAAACATCAGACTTAATCTGCACTATAAACAAAATGAATCTAATAGATATTTACAGAATATTTCATCCAAGAGCTGCAGAAAACACATTCTTTTTCTCATCACGTGAACTACTGTCAAGGATGGACTGTATGTTAGGTCATAAAACAAGTCTTAAAACATTTTAAAAAATTAAAATAATATCAAATATCTTTTCTGACCACAGTGGAATAAAATTAGAAATTAACAAGAGTAATTTTGGAAACTATACAAATAAATAGAAATTAAACATATATGCTCTGAATGACCAGTGGGTGAATGAAGAAATTAGGAAGGAAATTGAAATATTTCTCAAAACAAATGATAATGGAAACACAACATACCAAAACCTATGGAATGCAGCAAAAAACAGCACTAAGACAGAGGTTTATAGCTATAAGTGCCACATCAAAATACAGGAAAAACATCAAATGAACAGTCTAATGATGCATCTTAAAGAATTAGAAAGGCAAGGGCAAACCAAACCAAAAACTAGTAGCAGAAAAGAAATAATAAAGATCAGAGCAGAAATAAATGAAATTGAAATGTAAAAAAAAAAAGAAAAGATCAATGGAACAAAATGCTGTTTTTTTGTTTTTTGTTTTGTTTTTTGTTTTGGAGATTCTTTTTTTCTGGCTTTATTGGGATATAATTGACAAATGAAAATCATATATATTGAAGGTGTACAATATGTTTTGACATACATATATATTGTGAAATGATTGCCACAATCCAGCTAATTAACATATCCATCACCTTATATAGGTATTGAAAAATTAAACAAAATTAATTAATCTTTAGTCAGACTAAAAAAACATGAGTGAAGATCTAAATAAAATTGGAAATGACAAGTTAATAGAACTGATACTGCAGAAATTTAAAGGACATTAGTGGCTACTATGAGGAACTATTAATATATGCTAACAAACTGGAAAATCTAGAATAAATGGAAACATTCTGAGATACTTACAACCTACCAAAATTGAACCGAGAAGAAATTCAAATACTGAATAGACCAATAACAAGTAACAAGATCAAAGCCGTAAAAAAAAAAGGCTCCAAGTAAAAAAATAAAAATAAAAATAAAAAAATAAAAGCCTGGGACCTGATGGCTTCACTGCTGAGTTCTACCAAACATTTAAACAAGAAATAATACCAGTTCTACTCAAACAATTCCAAAAAATAGAGGAGAAGGGAATACTTCAAAACTCATCTCATGAGGCCAATATTGCCTTAATACCAAAACCAAAGACACATCAAAAAAATAAAACTACAGGTTAATATCTCTGATGAATAGTGATACAAAAATTCTCAGCAAAATACTAACAAACCAAATTCGACAATACATTAGAAAGATCATTCATCATGGCTAAGTGAGATTTATTCCTGGGGTGCAACAATGGTTCAACATATGCAATCATCAATCAATGTGATACATCATATAAACATACTAAAGAATAAAAACCATATGATCATTTCAATTAATGCTTAAAAAGCTTTTGATAAAATTTAACATCCCTTCATGGTAAATATCCTCAAAAAACTCAGGACAGGAGGAACATACCTCAACATAATAAAAGCCATATATTACATACCCACAGCTAGTACCATACTGAATGGGGTAAAACTGAAAGCCTTTCCTCCAAGGTCAGGAACACAAGAAGAATGCCCACTGTCATCACTGTTATTCAATACGCTACTGGAAGTCTTAGCTAGAACAATCAGACAAGAGAAACAAATAAAGGGCATCCAAATTCAAAAGGAAGAAGGCAGATTATCTTTGTTTGCAGATGATATGATCTTATATTTGGAAAAACCTAAAGATGATACCAAAAACTATTAGAACTCATACACAAATTCAGTAAAGACTCAGGATACAAAATTAACATACAAAATTCAGTGACATTTCCATATGCCAACAGTGAACAATGTGAAAAAGAAATTTAAAATGTAATCTTATTTACAATAGCCACAAATAAAATGTAATACCAAAGAATTAACCTAATCAAATAAGTGAAAGATCTCTACAATGAAAACTGTGAGAACTGATGAAAGAAATTGAAGACACCAAAAAAGGAATAAATATTCCATGTTCTTAAATCAAAATTGATACAATGTCCATGGTACCCTAAACAATCTACAGGTTCAATGCAATTCCTATCAAAATATTAATGGCATTCTTAACAGAAATAGAAAAAACATTCCTAAAATTTATATGAAACCATAAAAGACCCAGAATAGCCAAAGATATCCCAAGTAAAATGAAGAAAACTGGAGTTATCTCATTACCTAACTTCAAATTATACTACAGAGCTTTAATAACCAAAACAGCATGGTAGTGGCATAAAAACAGACATATAGACCAATAGAGCACAATAGAGAACCAACAAACAAATTCACCTACAGGGAACTCATTTTCAACAAAGGTGCCAGAACATATACTGGCAAAAAGACAGTCTCTTCAATAAATGGTGCTGGGAAAACTGGATATCTATATGCAGAATAATGCAACTATATCCCTCTCTCTCACCATAAACAAAAAAAATCAAATCAAAATTGATTAAGGACTTAAATCTAAGACCTCAAACCATAAAACTACTACAAAAACATTGGGGAAAATCTTCAGGACATTGGTCTGGGCAAAGTATTTCTTGAGCAATACCCTACAAGCACAGGCAACCTAAGCCAAAATGGACAAATGGGATCACATTAAGTTAAAAAGCTTCTGCACAGCAACAGATACAATCAACGAAGTGAAGAGACAACCCACACAATGGGAGAAAATATTTGCAAACTACCCATCTGACCAGGGATTAATAACCAGAGTATATAAGGAGCTCAAACAACTCTGTAGGAAAAAAATCTAATAATTTGATTAAAAAAATGGGCAAAAGTTTGATAGACATTTCTCAAAAGCAGACATACAATTGGCAAACAGGCATATGAAAAGGTGCTCAACATCATTGATCATTAAAGAAATGAAAATCAAAACTACAATGAGATATCATCTCACCCCTGTAAAAATGACTTATATCCAAAAGACAGGCAATAAAAAATGCTGATGAGGATGTGGAGAAAAGGGAACCCTCACACACTGTTGGTGGGAATGTAAATTAGTACAACCACTGTAAAGAACAGTTTGAAGGTCCTTCAATGTAATGGTTAATATTGAGTGTCAATTTGGTTAAAGGATACAAAGTATTGTTCCTGGGTGTGTCTGTGAAGCTGTTGCCAAAGGAGATTAACATTTGAGTCAGTGGGCTGGGAAAAGCAGACCCATTCTTAATATGGGTGAGCACCATCTAATCAGCTGTCAGATGGCCAGAATAAAAGCAGGCAGAAAAACGTGAAAACACTAGACTGGCCTAACCTCCTAGGCTACATCTTTCTCCCATGCTGGATGCTTCCTGCCCTTGAACATTGGACTCCAGGTTCTTCTGTTTTGGGGTTCAGACTGGCTTCCTTGCTCCACAGCTTGCAGACAGCCTTTTGTGGGGCCTTGTGATTATGTGAGTTAATACTCCTTAATAAACTCCCATTTATATACACATGTATCCTATTAGTTCTGTCTCTCTAGAGAATCCTGACTAATACACTCAAAAAAACTAAAAATTGAGCTATCATGTGGTCCAGTAATCCCACTGCTGGGTATATACCCCAAAGAAAGGAAGTCAATATATTGAGAGCTATCTGCACTCCCATGTTTGTTGCAGCACTGTTTACAATAAGTAAGATTTGGAAGCAACCTAAGTGTCCATTAACAGATAAATGGATAAAGAAAATGTGATACAGATACACAATGGAGTACTATTCAGCCATAAAAAAGAATGAGATCCAGTCATTTGCAACAAAATGTATAGAAATGGAGATCATTATGTGAAGTGAAATAAGCCAGGCACAGAATGACAAACATCACATGTTCTCACTTATTTGTGGGATCTAAAAATCAAACAGTAGAACTCATGGATATAGAGAGTAGATAGTTGGTTACCAGAGGCTGGGAAGGGTAGTGGGAGTCTGGATGGGAGATAGGGACAGTTAGTGTGTACAAAAAAGAATAGTTAGAAGAACGAATAAGACCTACTACTCAACACAACAGAAGGGATACTATAGTCAATAATAACTTAATTGTACATTTTATAATAACTGTAAGAGTGTAATTGAATTGTTTATAATTCAAAAGATAAATGCTTGAGAGTATGGATACCCCATTCTCCATGATATGCTTATTTCACTTTCCATGCTGGTATCAAAACTTCTCATGTACCCCCAAAATATGTATACCTATTACGTACTCACAAAATTTTTTTAAGTAAAAATTAGGGTAGTGGGAAAAAAAAAAAAATTCTTCCCGTTGGTCTTCATGGGGTAGATCCTTCTCATTATTCAGGTCTCAGCTTAAATATCACTTCCTCAAAGGAATCTTCCTGGTCACTTTATCTAATGTGCTTATAGCCTCAGATGGCAATAACTTTCCACTTTCTTCCCCTAATTTTCTTTATAGCACTTACCAGTTGTGAAATGCTCTTGTCTATTTAGAATTTAAGCTCTACAGTAGCAAAGATGTATGTTTGCCACCATATTTCTGGAGACTGAAATGGTTACTGGCCCATTGTAAGTACAAAAAAAAAATTAAATGTATTATCAAGTACTCTTGAGAGCACTTTAAACCACTGCTAGTCAGAATATAGGTTGGTACCATCTTTGTAGAAAGTAATTTCCCATTATATCTCAGTTCAATGATTTTCATACCTGTTTACCCAGTAACACTATTTCTATAAAAACAAACAATTTTATTTTTTTTTTTTAAACATCAAAGTAATTTATTTGATTTGTTTGAAATCGAGTCATTTCTTCCCCCACCACATCCCCTGTACCTGTTCTGCCCCATCTAAAGTGTCCTAAGGCACAGATGTGATCATCCTGTTCTTTTGACAAAAACCAGTAACAGCTCCTTATTTGTGACTAGGAGAGACAGCCAAACTCCATAGGCTGGTTTCTCAGTAGCTCTTCCATTCTTCACAATGCCTTTTCACTTGGAGTGTTTTCCAACCAAACAAAGCCACCTGCTGCTATACAGCCTCCTGTACTCTTCCTATTCATTCCTCCTGAAAAGCCCCCGCCACAGTCTTCTCCGGTGAAAATTCCGTTTGTCCTTAAGGCCAGACCACATACTGCCCCCTACAGGCAGCCTTCCAGGACTCAGCTTTACGCAATTGCTCATTCTGAACAAAAAACAAACAATTTTAAAAATCAGAGTTAAGAGCAAAGATTTATGGAGTTATATAATACACATAATATAAAAAATATATACACCTACTATGTATGCACCAAATTATTTAAAATAAAAATGAAATAAAAAATTTAAAAAATTAAGGTAGTGGGAAAATGTATTATTTTATATATACATATGCATATATATACACACACACACATATATATATAGTAGCATATATATAATTAATAAAATTAGAAACACCTCAAAGGTCTGACAAAGAGGAGATGGTAAATTAAACTATGATATCTTCACACAAATGGCAGTATTCATTCCACCTTGCTTTGGTAATCATACTTCCAAAAATCTCTCCCCTACTGGATATGAGATTAGGTGTCCCGTATCCCCTTAGCCAAGGGATAGACATTTGACCCAAGGTAAGCCAACGGAGTCCTTACCTGAAGTTTGAATATTTTGCCCATGGACAGAAAGGAAAGATGAAATATTTATTTCTTCCTTTCATTGCTCGTGCCTAGACAAGCCTCTCAAGCAATGTTTGCTAATAAGTTTCACCAGGGCTCTCTGATTTCTGCTATGGCTGACATCCCACTGGATACACTGTTCTGCCTTTCTGGTTTGAAATAATTTCAAAATATGAAATTATTTCTAAACTTATTCATAAGTAGCTGTTGCCCTCTGAGAGTCCTTCATTGCCACAGCTAACCCAGCCTCTGTCCAAGTACCCTCTGCATGACCCACTATTCCAATAAATAAAGGGGTAATCCCTAGCTCAACAGCTGTGTGGTTGGCTTTGGTTCAGAAAGGTAGAGTGCTTCATGCCATTCAAGGTATTTTCAATTCCACTCTTGCTTCCTGTCCTTAACAAGTCCCTTTGATTTTGTGTGTTCACTCATATTTTTCCTTTAATTTCATATTTGCTACATTAGTTCAATTCAGTATTTGTGGCTGGCAAAAGAAGAATTCTATTTGATGTACTCTGAGTCTTGTTTTCAATGTTGGAAAATTCTTAGTCAGTTAAAAAAATAAGGACACAAAACTATGTGAAGCCTAATTTTATTTAAAATATATTTTGAAATATTGTCATTTATATCAAATATTGACATGCATATATACATAGATACACGTAAAATATAGCAAAATCTTTTTTTTTAATTTTTATTTATTTTTTTTTAAATTATACTTTAAGTTTTAGGGTACATGTGCACATTGTGCAGGTTAGTTACATATGTATACATGTGCCGTGCTGGTGCGCTGCACCCACTAACTCGTCATCTAGCATTAGGTATATCTCCCAATGCTATCCCTCCCCCCTCCCCCCACCCCACAACAGTCCCCAGAGTGTGATATTCCCCTTCCTGTGTCCATGTGATCTCATTGTTCAATTCCCACCTATGAGTGAGAATATGCGGTGTTTGGTTTTTTGTTCAAAATCTTATAATGCTCATCTTTTGGTATTATAGTATATGGAAGATATTCTTCATAATTTTCATTATTTTCCAAACTTTCTGCATCTATGTATGTATAAACCGCTAAAGTTACATAATTTTAAAAATAATTAGGATGGATTATAGCTCTATCGGGGGGCGCTCAGCTGTTGTATCAGGCATTGTTAGAAGTGAATTTATAACCCTAATGATGGAATATTTTAATTGCACATGTTGATCTTCTTAGCTTCATATGTCTATGTCATATACATCAATTTCATGATATGTAATTCTTGCTGTGTTGATAATCAGACTTGATGCTAACTTATATCATCTTACAAGATAAATTATATGATCACCCAATCTTTAGCAGTTATGCCTATTCTCAGTTCATACAACATTTAGGAAATTATTACAGCTGTCATTGGCCTTTACTATGGTACTGGAGTGTACCTAGGAACAACTTCTACCTAGAAGGCATTGTAACACAAATTCATTCACTTTTTAAAGGGAAAAATTGGGAAACATGGTGGTATTGTCCATGGATAGAGTTTGTAGCTAGATCTTTTCTTGGATGAGTGCTTTGAAAAATGCCACATTTTCATAAAATTCTGGAAAAAATTCTCACTTCAAATTGCTGAATTAGTGTTTATAAACCAGAAGACAGAAAGTGTTGTGTTCAACAGCCAAACCTCCTGGTGACCCACAGCTGTGTCTGGACCAAGACTGCATATTTAACTCAAGGAAGAAGTGCCTCTTTGAGTACCTCACTCCCCAGCATGGAATGTTAATGAGAATTCTCTACCAGATGTGTGGACTTAGTGCTAGACAGGAACAATATTGAAAAGTATGCAATTAAACTTTTAACTTTTTTTTTCAGATAAAAAGAATGGGAAGGTATTATAAATAAATATACTTTAATGGTTATTACCATTATATTAGAAATTAGTTGCATAATTCAGTTCACTGTTTAATCATAGGTAAAATTAATTGAGGCCACATGTGCCTACCTATGGCCATTTGAATGTATCTAGTGTGGTAGGTGACTCCTGCAATTGTTCCTGAGGTTCTCTGCAGGATATTTCTCTTCTCTCATCTCCTAGCCAGACTCAGAGAAGCCAATGGAGTATTTGGAGCAACCACTACGTGGAAGGAGCCCAGATCCTGAGTAAGCTGGTAGGCCACCAGCCAGATAATTAATTGACATGAATGAGAAATAAAGATGATGTGTTAACAAATAAAAACACATATAGAAATAAGCATATTCATGATGTATAAAATACACTTATAATATCTAAATAAGCATAAAACTTTACCAACATCATAAGGAAAATAAATGTCTTGTAGGACTTGAATGAAGAGGAAAACACATCTGGAGAGGATATGACTCAGGATAACCACTGCCTTTTCTAGCATTTCCTGACTGCTCAAATTTGATTAGCGCTTCCCACCTGACCCTGTGTGAAGCCCATGGGCTTATTTGTCTGAATCCCATCTGTACAGTAAGCTCCTTGCAGCCAGGCCATTATCTTATTTATCTTGAATTACTTGTAATTACTTAGTCCCGGAAACATACATAGATGTTTCTTAGTAAATACTCATTTTTTTAGTGAGTGATGTATGAAAATGAGAAACATTTCACAACTGGACAGTAAAGATGGCATTTGTTAAGAAGTAGAATTTTGATGGTGGAGACTCTGATGAGAAGGACATTCCAATCAGAGGAAACAGTGTTAGCAAAGGGCATCATAAAAAAACAGGTGAGCAAGGCTGTATAATCCTACGCTGGAGGTCTCTGTAGCTGTATCAGGAAAGAGGTCTTTGGTATTTTATTTGTATATAAAAATTCACATTTTCTAATGCATGTTAGTAGGATAAATGTCTTTTTCTTTGTCTACTGGTGTTTGCCTCTGTTTTTAATGTGTGTATGACAGCATATGTGAATTTCGAAAATAAGCACAGAGAACATGGATAACATTCTAGAATATAAAACTAACAAAGTATTACACAGTTTCAAAATGACAATGACATCTATATATAGAAAACAAAGTTGGTGAACATTAACAACATGAACTTTCTATTTTAATAAGAAAATGGAAAATAAAGAATAATGATATTGTAGATATCAAAATAATTTACCAATAAGATTAAATATTTTGTTAAATAGCCTGATTTTTACTGATAAATCATGTAAAAACACTTAGTGAAAGTATATTAATTGTGTATTATGGGTTAGGTGCTATTCTGAGTGCCATTTATGCACTGGGAATAAAATAGTCCCTGCTCTATTTTGTAATTATAGTCTGGTAGGTTAGTTAGATAAGTAAATAAACAAATGGTGTAAAATGATAACAATCATGATGAATACTATGAATAAAGTAAACAGAGTGCAGAGAGATAAAATAATTGTGAAGAATCTACTTGTTTAGAATAAGTAGAGAGACCCTTCTAACAATGTGACAATTAAGGTGAGTCATGTAAGGCAGAATCAGGCAAGCGTGTTCTAGGCAGAGTTGCAGTTGCAGATGTTATTCCAGATATTAGTCAGAGCACCTGCCATCCTTCCTTCTTTCACCAAATATTTAGTGTGTGGCTACATTAGGTAAATCGACATACTCAGTGCTTAAAGAGATAGAGAAATGGACCAGGCACAGTTTCTGTCTTCAAGGAGGGATTGTAATTTTGAAATTATAACTGGCCATGGTGTGCAGGAGCTGACTCCTACACATATGAGAGCTGCTTGTTAAATACTCAGGAATGTTGTAACCTGCTTGTTAAATAGTTGGTAGCCTAAATCATCCATGGTAAGAGTATTTACACTACAATAATTGGCAGTCATTGTAAATCAGGGTGTTTTCTTTTCTCCAGAGAGTTTGTGGTTACATATTTACCAACAACCCATAACTCATCACTTGTAAGGCTGATTCAAGAGGAACTGAAGCTACTTGTTGACTTTAGGCTCTATTATATTCTACTATCAACTGTTTACATAGGGTACAACTTTGAAAAAGTACAAAAATATTATTTTATATTGCCATCTCAATATTGATAATGCAAAGTGCTTTCAGTAGCTTTTAGGGTTGGAAATTTGAGACTAAACTTGATAAGATCAGACAATATGACTCTTATTCCCCCCTCTACCCTCAGTATTAGCCAGACCTGTGATCATTGCTAGTGAAGTTTGCTCTTCCAGGAATACTCTCCCCATCACGATCTCCATCTGTCCAATCCTGTTGTCTTACAAGTATGAAATGATAGCTCCCATCTTAGAAGAAAGATTTCATTTCCCCCACATCCCTTCCTTCAATAGCTCAATTTCTTCATTTTTCATTCCAAGTCCCAAAGTTCCTATTTCAGGCTTTTGTCTCCAGCACTTCACTAAACTGTTCCTATGAAGGGCAGCAAATACAAAGGACAATTATCAGTCCTTGTCTTCCTCAATCTTGCAGTGATATTTGACACAGATGGTCCCTCATCATTCTTCACAATTCTAAATACAGGAGTTCCCTAGGTTCAGTCATTGGGAATTTTTCCTGTCTATTGACTTTCATTGGTATTTAGGTACTGATTATGTATTATGTATCGATGACTGACTTATTCTGAGTTCCAAGCACTTAGCACAGCATAGAAAGCCCCTTCACAGTCCAGCCTCAGCCCAGCTCTCCAACATCATGGCCTTCCATGCTTCACTTGACTCACGATGCTTGATCACACAGAAGTTCTTATTTTTTCTTGAAGAAATAAAGCTGAGTCTTTCTTTAAGACTTCATTTCAGTTTCCCTCTGCTTATAATACTCTACCCCTATTTCTTCTATAACTTACTGACATACTTTTTTCAGGGCCCTGCTCTAATGTCGTCTCTCTGACCATCTCATCTAGAATGTCAACACCATAATCTCACAATGCTTTATTTTTCTTCATACTAATTATTTTTGTGTCTATATAATATATATATGCACACACATATACATATGTATATAATCTCACTAACATAGTAGTAATACACTTTCTAAAATGTCTATCGACACAATATTACTTAATATATTATATAATATATAGCATAAATTGCAAAGATATAGTACTTAATGTATAGTATAATGTCATGTAATATAACATAATATACTCTCCCTGGAATGTAAACTTCCTGAGAACAGAAAGCTATCTTTCTATAGTTCCATCACCCAAAAACAGTGTCTGACACATAGTAAGAACTTAAAATACATTTTTTGAATGACTGAAAAATTACCTAAAAATTAATAATCCCCATGTAGCCTTTTTATTTAACTATTTTTACACTTCTTTACCCTCCTCCTTTTATCCACTGAAGGCACAATAATCTAGGCCATACAGTAGTAACTTATGAGAACCAGTTCTTGAATCCAGATATTTTCATTACTTTTTACTTCAAATACATGTTTCCATTGTATTGCCACCTCTAATTATATATTTTTTAGAACCAGTTAGTTTGTAATATCAAATGCCATTGGCAATTTCTGGCCACAAGATTTTTTTTTTTTTTTTTTTTTTGAGACGGAGTCTCGCTGTCGGCCAGGCTGGAGTACAGTGGCGTAATCTGGGCTCACTGCAGGCTCCACCCCCCGGGGTTCACGCCATTCTCCTGCCTCAGCCTCCCAAGTAGCTGGAACTACAGGCGCCCGCCACCTCGCCTGGCTAATTTTTTGCATTTTTAGTAGAGAAGGGGTTTCACCGTGTTAGCCAGGATGGTCTCGATCTCCTGACCTCGTGATCCGCCCACCTCGGCCTCCCAAAGTGCTGGGATTACAGGCGTGAGCCACTGCGCCCGGCCTCTGGCCACAAGATTTAATCATCAGGAAGATCTATTGAATATCTACTATGAGGTGTCCACTCTATTGGTGCTTGGGATCCAAAGACAAATAAAACACTTCTCTTGCATCCAAAGGTCTCTCTGTCTTACACAAGCATACATGCAAAAATTTATTGCACTAATTTCTGGGGAAATTATGTACAACTTGTACAGGAAAAGCCTCATATTTCAACGTTAAAAATTCTGTTTGCAGAATGAATTTCTGCACATACATGCACATATGCACACACACATATGCACAATCATACATACGCACTTTTTAACAACCTTAAGTGTATAAGAACATGATATGAACTCTTTCTTTTTGAGGGTATTTATATTTCAGGGCCAGATATAACCACAGAAACATCTGACCTTAGCAGAAATATTATTCCTTCTTATTTGTCAAAAGTTGAGCATTAAAATCAAATGTGAGACTAGGAAATAGCAGCTTCACTTGGAGATTTCTCCACAGAGTTCTTGTCTTCAAAATAAAGTCAGTGGAAAAGAAAACGCAAATCCCTTTTCAATTATTCATTTTTTCCAACTTGGAAAATTTTTCAATACTTATTATTTACTCTGGATATCAGTTATTCTTTTCATTGACTTGCATTATCTTTCCATATACACACATTTTCCAGGATTTTATTTGGCCTACAAATAACCTCACAGGTAATTTATTTTGCAAATACTTCATGTTTGATCTAGGTGGCAAGGCAAATAGTTTTCATATTATTTAGCTGACTAGGGTGGAAAGTGGAAAAGAAAATTTTATTTGACATTTCCTGTCAGTAAGCTGCTAGTGCTAAGAACAGAAACTGCATAAGTAATAGCACTGGCAACTAAATTCTTTCATGCAATGATGATGCTAACTATATCTTAATAAGAATGATGTTGGGATGTCTTCCTTGTATATATTAAAAAGTGTATAAGGTTGACTAAGCAGTCCCAAGCAGTCAGCGTTGCTCTTGGTAAGAATGTATTCCAAAAGCAATATGGATTTGAAAGTGTCATCTAAAAAGCAGGAAAAGCTTTTATTATAAAATTTGGTATCTAGCCTCTACAATGTATAATGATGTTAGTTTTTATTACCATTCTGAATACAATAATTGAATTGAAGATTGATGGTTTAAGACACCCTCTTCATTTAGAATATGCAAGAACAATACTAAAATATTAATGATGATAATAACATTTATACTACATATATTTGGCACTCTTTTGCAATATAATTTCTCTGAAGACTTTAAGAAATCCCTCAATCAGAGATCTATGAGGTAATATAAAACATAACATAGATAATTCATATTTTAAAGTAATACCAGCCTGTAAATTTAAAAAAAAATCATAATTTATAGTTATCTGTCTTTTTACAAAATTATCCTTTGGAAACAAAAACCTCTTACATTCGCCGCTCATTGTTTGCGGAATCTACAAATATATTCCATGAATGTGCTGCAAGTAGTGTCCTTGGCCACTGGTTAGCACCCACCATTTTCCTGCCCCAATTCCTGCTTGCTGTGGTGGAATCTCCTGTCTCTGTTGATGCCAAAGCAGCAAATGTGCCAACAAATATCCTGTCTATGGGGAAAAAGGAAACCTCAATCTGAAACAGCCAAAGAAAACTGCTGACATCAAGGCAGTTCACAGCATGAACTATGAAAGTTCTATACAGAATTTACTCAAAGACCATCAATTTTTATCTGCCCCCCCTTTTTTTTTTGATAGTACAAGTTGAACTCAAAAATTGGGCCATCCTCAGAACCAACTGCCTCCTCAGCCCTTCAACTTGACATTGAAACAGTTTCGCCCTTAAAATTTACAAGGAGAAAGACCATCCCAATGATGTTAAATAACAGATTCCTATGAAAGCCATAAAAAAGAATGTTTATGTGCAATCTACTGATTTTTAAGTCTTGATAGCTAATTTAAACCTTGTGAATAATATTCTTATTATAATATAGAAATAAACTTTATGCATTACATGTAGAAAAAGAAGAGTTGGGATGTCTATAAAGAAGATTATTTTTAAATCAATTCAGTTCAACAGTATTGTTTAATAGTTGGGGAAAAATCTAGGTTTACAATCAAAGCTCATTAAAATCACAGCACTGGTGAACTAGTCTACAGGATGAATTCCTCCTTCTTCATCCTCAGGAAATATTCCTGAATACTGTTGTGGGAACAGCTCTTAACTGGACAGCTGTTATGTACATCTTTAGTAGAGACAAGGTTCCTGAGAAACTCTTATGTGAGATATAATTTTGCCTCATACACCCTCTTTACTTTAAAAAAAAGCAAGAAGTTCTGACATGGATAGGAAATAAGAAGCAAGTAAAAAAATGTCAGCAATTCCTGTGTGGCATGGCATAAATAATATGGCTGTGTGCAAGAAGACTGTAGAGAATATAAGGACTTTGGGGAAAATTGAGGCTGCTGGAAAGGATAATGGTTAAAACAAGGAGTAGCCTGGGGGACCATAAAAACTCCATGATCTCTACCAGTCTCCATCAAGCCACCTCAAAGAGACATACTAAAGAAAAAGTCTGCTTGCTATGCAAATATAGCTTTGAGACAAATATGCTATTCCACCCTTCAAAAAAAATTGCTGTCCATAAATTTCCCTTGTGAGGTAAGGCGAGAGCAGGACTGGGAGGGGAAGCAGCACAGTACTGCACTGTCACTGCTACCCAACATGTCTACACAGAGGAAAGTAAGGTAGCTACCACAAGTCTCTGGACTCCTGTGGTAATATAAAGGTAATAACAAAGAAAACTAATGAAACTTTTGTATCATGGCATAAAGCAAAAGGAGATTTTATAGACAAATTAAAGTTTTGAAGTTTTGAAGTCAGCAATTAAGCTTTTGATTAATCACAGAAAATATGTTCTTTTCCTTGATTTGAGAATAGCTTCTGGCAAAAAAACTCAGCAATGTTGCACTCCATCAGATTCCACTCTGCAGTAGAGAAACAAAGTAAAATCCCTAAAATAAAGATGACTCAGCACCACAGTTCTCACTCCATGAGGTTTAGATTTGAGTATGAGACACCAGTTTAATAAAGATCTTAAATCAGCGAATGATAAATCATAGTCATTTCATTTTTTAAATTTTACATAGTTCTTCTTGGCTGTGTATTTAAAAATGATTGAATTTAGTTTCTATTGAAACCTGTTTCTCCATAGCTTGAACAGAATTCAATGTGATCACATAAAACTATAATTGATAACACAAAAACTTCTCATAAGACCTGAAAATAAAATGAATACCAAGAAAAAGAATGGTATGGTTAAAACAGTTGTACAAATCTTAAACAGATTAACATAACTTTGTTAATTGTAGTCCATCATTCAAATATTTGAGGCTTTCATATTTTCAACAAAGGCAGACTCTAACAAATTTTATATACTGTCAGAAAGGCTTAACATCAAAGATTTCTCTTATCTGGAAAATGTGTGTGGCACTTCATTGTGGATTTCAATTTGCTGTGAAATGCCCTGAAAATTGATCTTCTGAACCCCGGATTTTCCTGATATACTTTAGCATGTGATTTCAACAGCTGTAAATTCCACTTGTAATTTAGTCATCAAAAGTGACTAGCGGATTAAACAATAAAGTGGCAAATGTCATCTCACACAAAGAATAACTTGTGAGTGAACGTGATTTAGAATTCATGAAGTTTGCCTACCAAACAGGACATTTGGAATTGCCTGTGGAGATAAATTTACTATGCAATTTTTCTTTGGAGATAATTCATTTGGAGACTATTAGAAATATAATACTGTAACATTGATTGTCTTAAAGATAATTTGTCTGCCACTTTAGCCCAGAGTTAGGCAAACTATACTTCCTGGGCCAAATCTGCTGTACCTCCCATTTTTGTAAATAAAGTTTTTTGGAACACAGCCACACACATGCATTCCTTATTGTCTACGGCTACTTTTGTGCTACAACAAAAAAGTTGAGTTGTTATTACAGAAACTGTATGATCTGAAAACCCTAAAATATTTATAGTCTTGCTCTTTGTAGAAAAAGCTTGTCAATCCCTATTTTAGTCTTTATTATTTGTTATACAAACAAGACTTAACATTTATCATGATGAGAGCTACGTATCATTTATTATCCACCAGGCATTGTATTAAACTTTCCCATACTTCTTTTGTCTCACTTCAGTTCTGTGAAGTATTGCTATTCCCATTAAATATATGAGAAATGAGAAGCTTAGGAAGTGTAAGTGCTTTGCCCATGTAAAGAGTGGAACCAGGATCCAGCCTCAACTCTGAATCAAAACCCATATTATTCCTCTTAATCCATCTCATCTCCAATAATTCCATGGTCTTCCTTTCTCCAGACAACTTACATGATTTGAATCTAAGAGAAATAGTGCCAATAGATTTAGTAAGTGTCTTAGACACTTGGATGTGAAGTTATACTTAATATAGAAGAAAGGGAGAAATAGCTTTTAAAGTTTCCTGGAAGTATAAAGAATTCAATCTAAGTACTCAGATCGCCACAACCTGTTTCAAAGTTTTCAAATAAGCCAGTGACTACTGGGAGGCACAATTTGGTTATTAATAAGTAAGTGTCTTTTGGCAAACAACATACGTCAAGCTTCACCTCTTCATCTTTTAAGAAGAAACAAAATACATGGGAATTTGGGGTTATCACAAGAATATCTGCATGCTCAGTCTTGTCTGGCCAGTTTGACCTTCTGTCAAAGTGTTATGAAAAAATAGTTTTTACTCAAAGCAGACAGGCAAAACAGTCAGCTGTGACTTTTGGCAGAGGACTTTTTTCCGCACCCCGACCTGCCCATCCATAGACTATTTATTATTTTTCTCCTGAAACAGGTATGCCTCGCCTGCTCTCCAAGATATTTCATTATAGTTTGAAAATCTAGTATGAAAACCTTAAAATTTCAAAGGAAAAGTATTCTTAAAAGACATCTAGTCTAACTCTCAATTTGTGAAAGAGTAAACTGAGGACTTCATCCCAAGGTAGGATGTAAGAGGTAGGCTGTCCCTGACTCCACTCACAACTGTACAGTCAAGGAGCATCAATCACATGGACACAATGCAGAACCCTCCAGGCATCCCGTGAAAGGCATTGGACTATTCTGTAAACCTACTAGTCATCTAGGGAGTCCTTCTTTTGAGTTTGGAAATTATGCAAATTAAGAAAATATATTTGGTTTACAAAGAATAAATACGATCATCAATAAAATGACTGAAAAGTTAAATCATTATGCAATCTGAGATGATATTATGAGTCATAGCCTGCTGTCCACTCCCTTCTAAAAATATAATTTTAGTACTTATGACAAAAGAAAAATTATGGAATTTTGACATTAATTGTTAAATTGTTTGCTTCTAGTTGTGAAACCATTTTTTAATAGCCTAGTAAAAGCAAGCGCTGTGTAAAAAAATTATTTTCTTCATCTTTTCATCTTTCTTTGGCCCTTCTTCCAACCCCAACCCTTGCTGTCTCTCCCTGTTCCCAGTCCCCTTTGTATCTCCACCCAAGAGGGAAATGCTATTTCTGAACCATGAAAATGGGGATATTGAGATCAAGGAATTTCTGGAATTGTTGAGTTTCCATGCTGGAGTGTTCTTTGCAACAGTGGCCAAAGTTCAAATATTAAATAATACATTTAAAATTACATTGACAGAACTCAGGGGCATATTTTCACTAAATGAAAAGCACAGGTCTCTTAAGTACATATGTCCTCATTTGGTTTCATTTCTTAGACCAAGTTCATATTTTTTTCACTGTCTAAATGTGTACAGAGTTTCTAGCCAGGCTGTGACACCCCACTTCCATGTTCCTTCCACAAATTAAGCTACTAAGGACATTTTCCTGCTCATATTCATCATTTGCGTGTCCTCGTGGTGTTGCATTTGATAGTGGAAAATATTATCAGCATATTATTCCAATGACTTTGGCAAAATAAACTCTCCTTAATAGTAGTCTATTACATACACTATGTGGGACCAAGACTTGCAAAATTTTTCCCCCTGTTCTCCCTGAGTCATCTTGTCTGGCATTTCACAATACATTCCAAGGAGCAACAGAAGGAGAGTAACCGCAACAGTAGCAGAAGCAATTCTTTGAGAGGAAATGCCTTTGTTTTAGGGGAGGAAAGAAAAAGAGAAAAAATAAAGGGAGGCAAAGAGAGGGGGAATCAGCATTGTGAGAGATTAAGAAAATAAAGAAAATAAGGAATACAGGTTATTCATTATTCACCTTCTTGTAGGATGGTTCTAACAACTCAGTGGGTGAAACACCAGAAGATAAGGTGTGAGCTTCCAAGTTTAAGTTTTAGTCTTTGATATGGTGCTATTATTTAGTCTAAGGATTTTCCTACTGTGTTCAATGGCATTACGCACAAATAAATACCACTTTCCTTTCCAAAACAATCTCCAAGTGTGGGTGATTGAGGATAGTGGCCTCAAATTTTCTGCTGACCTGGGGGATATTAATCGAGTTTTTAAGGGAAAATCAAGGATTTTTTTTCTCACCTATCAAGTGAAGCTACTATTAATTAAATGGCAGAGTCCACCAAAAAGACCTATCATCCCAGAAACAAAGGTATGCAGTTTGTACCTACACTTTGGCTAATTATTGAATAATGGTAAATGGATGTATGATAGCACAGATAGGAATAGTAAAGGATCGTATGAATAGGATCAAGCAGAAACATATTCTCAAGCTGTTTCATGCTCCCCAAAAGATGCCTGAGAATTGTACACACTGGCCAAAATGTTTTTGAGACTATTTTTCTGACATATTGCTGACCTTGTATTTCTACAATTTGAGTTTCACAAAGGCAGTATAGTTAGGCATAGACAACATACTTTAGAATAGATATTCTTTGTATAAAAATAATATTACCTTGTAACAAAGCAGACAGAAGGCTGAAACTAGCTCCAGGTCAACTGCCTTAAATGGTTGCATGTCTGGAACACTTTAGATTAAGGTCAGGAAAGGAGAGGTAACTTCATCAACTGGCTTTATTGCCATAGTAAAAGAATTTAGTTGTCAACTAATACTTTCCTAAAGACAAGCCTGGGGACAACAGGACCTCGTGGCACTAAATGCACTCAAATAAATAGGATGGAGGTAGAAATTGAGATAAAAATCCTGAACTTTCTAGAGCTTAGTCATTTGTTTATATTACAGAGTATGGGGTTAAGGAGAGGCTGATTAACAAAGTTTCTACAGGAGGATTTGTGTTACGTTCTGTCATTCTACCACAAAAAGTTGTCAAAGCATTTGAATTGAGTTTAGGTCTCCCATCCTACATACAACTGGGGAGAGACTGAAATGTATGCTTGCCAATGACCATTAAGCTCGGTTAGTTCTTCCTCAAAGGGAAAAGGAACAAAGGAAAAGAGTGTTGCAGCATCAGGGAGCTATTATACAAGGTTGGAGTCCCAGGAGGGTGCTTCAGTCTTTCTATGTTCCTGCTTTTTTTCCATAAGAGAGCACAGCTAGGAGTTGTTGTTATTGTTTTTAACTATAACTTTTATTTTAAGTTCAGGGGTACATGTGCTGGGTTTTTATATAGGTAAATATGTATCATGGGAGTTTGTTGTACAGATTATTTCATCACACAGGCATTAAGCCTAGTACCTATTAGTTATTTTTCCTATTCCTCTCCCTCCTCTCACCCTCCAGCCTCTGATGGACCCCAGTGTGTATTGTTCCCCTCGATGTGTCCATGTGTTCTCATTATTTAGCTCCCACTTGTAAGTGAGAACAACTGGTATTTGTTTTTCTATTCCTGCATTAGTTTGATAAGGACAATGGCCTCCAGCTCCATCCATGTGCCTGCAAAAGACATAATCTTGTTATTTTTTGTGGTTGCATAGTATTCAATGGTGTATATGTACCACATTTTCTTTATATAATCTGTTGTTGATGGGCATTTAGGTTGATTCCATGTCTTTGCTATTGTGAGTAGTGCTGCAATGAACATATACATGCATGTGTCTTTATAACAGAATGATTTATATTACTTTGGGTATATACCCAGTAATGGCATTGCTGGGTCAAATGGTATTTCTGTTTTTAGGTCCTTGAGGAATTACCACACTATCTTTCACAATGATTTGAACTAATTTGCACTCCTACCCACAGTGTATAGGTGTTTTCAATTTTAAAACGTTGTAATTAATTCTCTCAGCAGAAATAATTTCTGCAGGACCCTGGTGGCAGTTGGCAACATGCTCATCTTTGACAGAGTTTACCAGTTATTTATAGCCAAAATAGTGTTGGATGACAAATCCCAGAAAACTCAGCAGCTTAGAATAATAAATATTAGCTAGCTTATAGGTCTTTAGGTTAGCAATTTAGATTGGGCTTAGCTAGGGTACCTGGGCTGACTCAGCTCTCCTTTATGTCCCTTTTATCCTCAGAAGGCTCACCTGTGTTTGTTCTCATGGTGGTCATCATGGCATGAGAGGGCAAAGGTGGTAACAAATAAGCACTTTTCAAGCCTCTTCTAGTGTCAACTCTGCTAACATCCCATTGGCCAAAGGCAGCCCCACTGCCAAACCAGAGTAAAGGGGGCATCACCCCAACCATGGCAAAGAGTATAGATGCACAGTAAGTGAAGAATTGGAGTCATCAGTCCAGCCTTTCACTCAAGGCAAACACGTGTAGTTATTTGGGTAGCCTGTGGGCCTTCAGCTTTCCTGGAATGATAAGATGCTGGCATGAGAGAGACAGCCGCAAGAGGGGAAAGACTTTTAAAGGAAAGAAATGTTTTTAGTAGAGTTAGATGAGCCCTTGGCCAAGCAGAAGAACAAGCCATGAAGATCTGTGTGAAATGACCTGCTGATGTGATTGGCAGGACACCAGCACTTTGGCTGGCTGTTTAGGAAAGAGAACACATTTTTTTTTCATAGCATCTGCTATATACCTAGAGTCTTATTAGGCTATTAGTATTCCTTATTTCAATGAACCCTTGCAATATTTCTAATGTTTTGGTGTAATTATCTCCATTATCTCCACTTTATAGGTGAAAACACTGAATATGGGTTAGCTTTTTAAAAAATAACAGTGCAAGCAAATGGTGAAGTTCCCTTTTCTGATTTCAGATCTTATACTCTCTCTACCACTGCATGTTGTACCCATATTTACATCTAGTATGAATCATCTCCTGTCAACTTTTTTCCTAAAGAATTCCCTCAGGAACAATGAGTTGTGAAAAGAGGCACCAGTCTGAAAAAAAAAAAAACAAAAAACCTGGCATAATTCACTTTTCTGGCCTTTTCTCCCCGGACTGTTTTGAATGGTTTTTCTTTGTAAGAGATGAAGAACACATGCACAGGTCCAGCCCAGAGCACAAAAGGCAGAACATCTACATGAAGCAGAATTTTTTAAGCAAAATGTTTTATTGACTTTAGGTCAGCTGGGAATAATTATCTGCATTTATGCTTTAAGGTATTTTACCTCATTGAAAAAATAGAAGACAAATGTTATATTAGGGACTTCTGACTTTCATGTGTTTGCTGCTCTGGGCTGACAAAATGTTCAGCTCTCTCCTGTAACATATGCTTCAATATTACCAGTCATCAACAAAAGATACATGCCCCAAATGTCCACTTACTGCCATTGACTTCTGGCCAGAAGCAAACTTCTTCACAGCATTTATGACATCAGCATTAGCCACCAAGTCAATCTGCTGAAAGGCTGTGGAGGATGGCATGTAAGAACCAGCACCAAAGCCTGGGCCCCACCTTCATCCAGGAAACCCTCAGAAGACTCTACTGACATTAGGTATCCAACTTTCAGCTTGTTCTCGGCAGCTTGGACATCTGTATCAGAAAAGTTTCCTTGAGTAGAATTTATATTAAGCCTATACAGGGCAGAGCAACTCGACTCACTCATGCTGGCTCATGAGGCTTATTAGATCATGAGTGGCTGTAGCCCCATCTCTTGGTACCCTTTGTACCCATTCAGGGCACACATGATTCCAAATAACCATTTGTCATGTCTATTTCTACACTGAGTGATTGATTTGATGCCTGGGTATTTGTATACAGCCTCTGGTTCAACGGCTTGACTTCCACAAGCCCCAAAATACAAAAAAGCAGAAGGAAGGGAGGGCAGCTTGGATCCAGACTACTGTTGAAGCCTATCTCTAAAATATATCTCTAGACACATATTTTATAGAATACATATTTTTATAATAAACCAGGGTATAAAAGTTAAAGATAATAGAAAATTAAATATTTTCTATTAACAACTAGAAAACAGGAAAAGTAAAAATTTGTCATTTAAAATGATTAGTTTTTAAAAGTTGCTGATATTTACATAATATGTACATCAGGCCGTGATTAGGTGTCTAGTTTTATCTGTTATTTAAACAATAATAAACCAGAAACCCTCTTCTAGTTGTATATGTTAACTAGTAAATAATCAAATGTAATCTAATATCTCACATTCACTCTATTTAACATTCACTCTATTTAGAGCTCTTTAATTAGAGAAAATGCTTTTGAACACCACACAAATTGGATTGCTTCATTGAGTTCCTCTTGTATAGCTCCTCTGTTGACATTTATCTGTGACTCATTTACTGATAATTTTACTGTATGTCAGGGAATTATATATTGATGCTGCAAATATTTCACTTAAAGATGGAAAACACAAGGAACATTTTCTGTAAGGAGTTTATTGTTAATGGCAGATACAGACCTATATGCAACTATAAATATCATGTGTGTATATTTTGCCAAATTTTTAAGAAAGACACAAGGCCATTTAGAGAAAGTGATCATTTTTCCTTTAAAAGTGAGTTTGTAGGTACATGGATGAAGCTGGAAACCATCATTCTCAGCAAACTATCGCAAGGACAAAAAACCAAACACCGCATGTTCTCACAAATAGGAGGGAATTGAACAATGAGAACACATGGACACAGGAAGGGGAACATCACGCACCGAGGACTGTTGTGGGGTGGGGGGTGGGGGGAGTGGGGAGGGATAGCATTAGGAGATATACCTAATGCTAAATGACGAGTTAATGGGTGCAGCACACCAACATGGCACATGTATACATATGTAACAAACCTGCACGTTGTGCACATGTACCCTAAAACTTAAAGTATAATAATAATAAAAATAAACAAATAAATAAAGATAAAAAAAAGTGAGTTCCTGCTGTGATCATTTTAGAGTTGAAGGAGAAGCTGATATGTTCCTTTGGCTTCTGAAGTGTGGATGAGATTTGGTGGTCAGAAATCAAAGAATGGTTATTTTATGCAATATTAACTTTTCACTTGTTTTTTTTCTGGTGAAACAAAATACTTCAGTACCACAGAAACATGAGATATGGAGCCAGACATCTGGGTCTTGACATTTTCTAGCTAGAGTAACTTTGCCTACCCTCTTCATTAGTAAAATGGGGAACATAAAACTTACTTTGCAAGAAAGGTCATTATGAGGGTTGAAATAATATGTCTAGGTGTGTAGCACAGTATCTAAAATACGTAAGTTAATTCTCATATTTTTTCATGACTTATCCTCTTTCTTCTCTACTCTTTAGTAACATCTGAAATCGCATACCCTCAGTTCTTTTCCCTTTTTCACTTTACATCTTTGAACTTTTCTCATCATCAGTTTTCTGCCTTTATCTTAAACATATCTTCAAGTATTACTCTACCTAAATTTTTTTTTTATCCTGCCTCCCTTGTTAGTTATCATTTTCTGTCTCAGTTTTCTTTAAATATTTGCAAGAGGCACCTGCATTTACTGCCTCCACTTGCTTATTTCTTATTCATCAGAGAGCCTCAGAGCATGGTAGTTAATATGGGCTCTGGCCACAGATGGAGTGATACACATTCTGATTCTGTTACTTTTCCTAAGCTCTGATGTTGGGTAAATTGTTATCTTCTCTGTGTTATTTTCCTCATCAGAAAAATGAAGATGATTATGATAGTAGCACCCACCTCATAGAGCAGTTGTGAAAATCAAATGCATTTATATTCAAAGAAGATACAGCAAAGTATCTGACACTAATAAATACACACAAAAAATAACTATTACAATTCTTTGGCTAAGTGGAATCTGACTTTTCTTTTCAGTCTATTCAAATGGTTCCATCAAATGTCACCAGTGTTCTCAGGATTTTCAAATAGAGTAATAGCATTCTTGTGTGCATCCTGCTTGGTTCCTCTGTAGCACTTTGCTCAGTTTCCACTCCTCATCTTATGAAGCTTTCCTCTTAGCATCTCAGCAATTTTTTCTTCTGCACCCTCATTAGATATTAATATTTGCTTCTCTGTGAAACACACATCCACACATCCAAATGCTTATATCTCTATAGGTATCACAAATTCTATATGTCCAAAATTAAGTTTACTGTATTTACTTCCCAGGACTCCACCTTCCCTTTCCACCTACCTGGGTTTCTTTTTGTTTGTTTTTTTTTGTTTTTGTTTTTTTTTGGGTTTTTTTTTTTTTCTTTTTTTTTTTTTTTTTTGAGATAAGGTTTTTCTCTGTCTCGCAGGCTGGAGTGCAGTGGCACAACCATGGCTCACTGCAGCTTTGACCTCCTGGGCTCAGGTGATGTTCCCACCTCAGCCTTCTGGGTAGCTGAGACTACAGGCATGCTCCATCATATCTGGATAATTTTCTGTATGTTTTGTAGAGATAGTGTTTTGCCATGTTGACCAGGGTGGCACCTACCTTTTCTTGATAAACTGTCTATCTAGATCCCTGGAACATAAACTTGGAGCATTGAAACTCATTTAGAGTTTCCCTCATAATTAGGTGTCAGTCAACATTCTTCCCTCAATTCCAACTGTCATTTCTTTAGTTAATGTTCTAATCATTTTTCTCTTGGATTCTTGCAATAGCCTCCTCATAGGTCTCATCTCATACACTCTCATCCTCTCCACATCCATTTTCTACATTTAAGGAAAATTATCTTTCGTTTTTTAACTTTTATCTTAATTTCAGGAATATGTGTGCAGGTTTTTTTATGTAGGTAAATTTGTGTCATGGGGTTTTGTTGTAGTTGTGCAGATTATTTCATCACTCAGGCATTAAGCCTAGTATCCATTAGTTATTTTCCAGATCCTCTCCCTCCTTCTTCTCTCCACCTTCCAATAGGCCCTAGTGCATATAGTTTCACTCTACGTGTCCATGTGTTCTCATCATTTAGATCCCACTTATGAAGGAGAACATGTGGAATTTGGTTTTCTGTTATTGCATTAGTTTGATAAGGATAATGGCCTCCAGTTCCACTGATACACTTGCACAGGACGTAATCTTGTTCTTTTTTTGCAGCTGCATAGTATTCAATGGTGTATATGTACCTCATTTTCTTCATATAATCTGTCATTGATGAGCATTCGGGTTGATTCCATATCTTTGCTATTTTGAATAGTGTTGCAATGAACATACAAGCATGTGTGTATTTATAATAAAATGATTTATATTCCTTTGGATATATACCCAGCAATGGGATTGCTGAACCAAAGGATATTTCTGCTTTTAGGTCTTGGAGGAACTGTCACACTGTCTTCCACAATGGATGAAGTAATTTACACTCCCTCCAACACTGTATAAACATTCCTTTTTCTCTGCAACCTCACCAGCATCTGCTATTTTTTACTTTTTAATAACCACCATTCTGACTGGTGTTAGATGGTATCTCATTGTGGTTTTGATTTGCATTTCTCTAATGATCAGTGATGTTGACCTTTTTTCAATAGTTTGTTGGCTGCTTGCATGTCCTCTTTTGAAAAGTGTCTGTTCATGCCCTTTGCCCACTTTTTAATGGGGATGAGTTGGAAAACATCACTGTCTTGCTACAAATACTTCAGTAAACATCCTGAACTCTTTCATATGGCCCCAAAACACTTTGTAAGCAACCCATGTCTCTAGCTGCATGCCCACCACCCCCTACAATGCTGACAGAAGGAAAGGATGGATGAGGAGTTGGTTAAGTTTTGAAATGTAGGAGAAAGAAGCAAGTTAATATAATTAATGGGTCTACACCATGGCACTCAGGAATCCAAATGACTTACTTGTCTTTATTGATTTACTCATTTTATTAACAAATACTTTCTGTGAGCCTCCTGATAATGGCTGGAGGCTAGGAATCTAGGAGTGAAACAAAGTATATTTAGGTTCTAGGGATGGATCAGTGAAATAAAACAAATCGTTGTTCTCAAGGGGGAAAGAATGACAACAAATAAAAACATAAAGCTATAACATAGCATACTGGCATGTAATGTGAAAAAAAGAAAGGAAACAGGATTAAAGAAACATAGAGTGCTAGGGAAGAGGTGGTTAGAACATGCTATTTTATACAAGGTGGTCAGAGACAGCACAGCATCAGCGAGGTGATATTTCAGCAGAGACCTAAAGAAAGCAAGAGAGAGCAAGCCATGATGATATGTATGGAGAAAGTATTCCAGAGAGAGAAATATCAAGTGCAAAGGTCCTGAAACAAAGTCAGGTTAAGAATATTCGTGGAATATAAATTAGGCCATGGTGGCTGGAGCACAGTGAAGGGAGAGAAGTAGGAGGTGAAGTCAGAGCAGGAATCCATGAAATCTTGAAGGTCATTCTAAGGATTTTGGCTTGTACTAAGAGGGAATTGGGGAGCAGTTGCAGAAATTTGAACAGTGACATGATCTCTCTGGACTTCTCTCTTCATATCCATGTTTTGGAGAGGGGCACACTACTTGGATTTCCTTATTCTTACTCTCCTGAGTGTCTCCATATGCTGCTACCTTTGCCTGGAACATCCTTCCTACTCACATCTAACCCTCATTTGACTGTCAGTCATGTAGTAAATCTTCAGGTTTCATCATATATATGGTGGAAGTATCAATTCTTCTCCAAGAAGGATAGAGTTGGTGCCCTTCCTAAGTGCCCCCATGACATTTTCTGTCAGGATGCTTTCAGGTGTAAAAAATCAAAAGCCTAACAGTGGCTGAAACCACAAGAAATTAAATGTTTGCCTATGAGATATCCAGAGGTAAATAGTATTGATATTAGTTAAGCATCTCAGAAATATTCACAAGGATCCCTGCTTTTGCTATTCTTCTGCTTCACTAATATTAGCATGTTGTCTTTCATGTTCCAGCTTGCCCCTAATGGTTGCAAGGTGATCACCATCTTGACCTCACAGTCATGTGACTTCAAACAATGGAATCCAAAACAAGGTCAGAGAGAAGGGATTCCTAGAGCTTTCCTTTTGCAGTGTCCTTGCCTCTTGTCAGGGGAGAACAGCTTTCCCAGAAGCTCACTAAAAGCCTCTTTATGTCTAAGTGGTTAGTTGATGCTTATCTGTCTCCACATCAGTTCACATCTACATTAGAAGCCAGGACTAATGCATGTGTTTTACATTAAGTTTTTATTTAGCAATTTATTTTTAATCTTTTAATTTTATTTTAGGTTTGGAGTGCATGTGCAGGTTTGTTATATAGGTAAACTTGTGACTCAGGGGTTTGGTGTACAGATTTATTTACTTATTTATTTTTGGCACAAAGGTACCAAGCCTAGTACCTGATAGGTTTCTGTTTGTTTGTTTTTTCTAAACCTCTCCCTCCTCTCACTCTCCATCCTCCCACTCTCCATCCTTTGATAGGCCCCAGTATCTGTTGTTCCCTCTTGCTGTCCATGTGTTCTCATCATTTAGCTCCCACTTATAAATGAGAACATGTGGTATTTGGATTTTGTTCCTGAATTAGTTTGTTAAGGATAATGGCCTTCAGTTTCATCCATGTTCCTGCAAAGGACATGATCTTGTTCTTTTTTATGGCTGCATAGTATTCCATGGTGTATGCATACCACATTGTCTTTATCTAGTATATCACTGATGGGCATTTAGGTTGATTCCATGTCTTTGCTATTGTGAATAGGAGGAGTGCAGTGAATGTATATGTGCATGTGTCTTTTTGGTAGAATAATTTATATTCCTTTGGGTATATACCAGAATAGTAGTTCTGTTTTTAGGAGTTCTGTTTTAGATTTTGAGGAATCACTTTCCAGAATGGTTGAACTAATTTATACTCCCACCAGCAGTGTATAAGTGTTTCCTTTTCTCTGCAACCTCTCCAGCGTCTGTGGGGTTTTTTTGTTTGTTTTTTCACTTTTTAATAATAGCTATTGTAACTGGTGGGAAATGGTATCTCATTGTGATTTTGGATGGTATTTCTCTAATGACTAGGGCTATTGAGCATTTTTTCATTTACTTCTTGGCCATATTTATGTCTTCTTTTGAAAAGTGTCTATTCATGTCCTTTGCCCACTTTTTACTGGGTTTGTTTTTTACTTGTAGGCTTAAGTTCCTTGTAGATCATGGATATTAGACAAGAAATAAAGCCACACACCTACAACCATCTGACCTTTGACAAAGCTGACAAAAGCAAGAGGGAAAGGACTCTATTCAATAAGTGCTAGGATAACTGGCTAGCCATATGCAGAAGATTGAAACTGGACCCCTTCTTTATACCATACACAAGAATCAACTAAATGATTGAAGACCTAAACGTAAAACCTAAAACTATAAAAACCGTAGAAGATAACCTAGAAAATACCGTTTTGGACATACGAACTGGCAAAGATTCCAAAACAAAAATGCCACAGGCAATTGCAACAAAAGCAAAAATTGACAAATGAGACCTAACTAAATTAAACTAAAGAGCTTCTGCACAGCAAAAGAAACTATCAACAGGGTAAACAGGCAACCTACAGAATGTGAGAAAATATTTGCAAACTATATATCTAATTCATATTTATTATAAGTGCATGTTTACCTGTATCTCCCAATCATTGTACCCTAACACCTAACCCAGATGGTGACACATAGTAAGTGCCTTGATAAATACTTGTTGAACAAATCAATGTTTCATAGCTTTAGTTCTTTTTGTAAAATAGAATGTAAAGTTGGGGGTGGGAGTTTCATGAAAATCACATACCTCTCAGAAAAGAAAACAAATGGTGATTAAAAATGAGTAAAACAATTACAAAATATATTGTAGCCTTGCCTATATCAGACAATAGCAAAATAATAAGGTTCCAGTTTGTACTTTAGAGTTCCCAAATAAAAATTTACAAATCCCATAAGGGTTGTAATGAAATTTGTATTTCTAAAACCATGGAATTTAAACATTCTTTGAATATTTCCTCCACCCTGGTTTCGGTTCATTGATAATAATCTTTAAAAAATTGTTCTTATCCACTGAACTGCACCTGAACATCACTGGTCGATTGCATACCATGAGCTGTCCGAAATAGGACAAGCACGAACACAAAATCACATACACATACATACACGCACATAACACTGAAACACATATACAACGCTGGGGAACACTGTTGTTGATGGTTCAGTGGGAAGTTTCCAAATTGGTACAGGTATACATGATATTTAATAGTTTAACAAGGCAAGTGACATAGAGTCAGCGAATTTTTTCAAGTATCACTTGCCTAAAGCTGGTGGCTAAGCATGCTTAATACCCTTTTGAGGTCCCTCCTATCTTTGAGCCAACCTACACACTCCCTGTGGAATGTCCTAGGGCTACAGCCTAGAGACTGCCTCTAAGGGAATCTCTAGGCCCACCTCCCACTTTCTACTCCAAACCACGTGGTCTTAGTGTCCTCAATTTCCATCCTATTCTTTTTTTACTTTCCAGGACCTTCAGACTGATTCCTCAGCAGAAGAGGCCACTTGGCCAGATTCGGCTTTAGCTCTTGGTCTTCCTTTGCTCTGTGCTCTGCAACTCTTGACCAGAGTAGTTCCACTTCTGAGATCAACCCAAGCTCTAAACACTGCAGCCCAGGTGTACTAGTTCGTTTTCATGCTGCTGATAAAGACATACCTGAGACGGGGCAATTTACAAAGGAAAGAGGTTTAATGGAGAACTCACAGTTCTACGTGGCTGGGGAAGCTTTATAATCATGACAAAAGGCAAGAAGGAGCAAGTCACATCTTACATGGATGGTGGCAGGCAAAGACAGAGCTTGTGCAGGGAAATCCCACCTTATAAAGCCATCAGGTCTCATAAGATTTATTCAGTGTCACAAGAATAGCAAGAATAGCACAGCAAAGACCCACCCCCATGATTCAATAATCTCCCCCTGGGTCCCTCCCACAACTCATGGGAATTATGGGAGCTACAAGACAATATTTGAGTGGAGACACAGAGCCAAACCATATCACCAGGTATAATACCCATTTGTCATTTTAAAGTTTTAGAAGCAGACACTTTACATTTAGAAGAACACCTAGGGCCCTGCAGAAAGGGCCAAAAAAGGGTCTTCAGCCAAGAAAGAAAGAGACAGAGACAAAGAATGCATGCTGATTTGGGTTGGACAGCTAAGGTAGTCATGTACTACCCAACAATGATGTAGAGAGACAAGCTGTCTGAAGTCAAAGGGAATTTTGCACTACTCACTGTAGGAATGTTAATATGCTTAAGTGCCAGCATTTTAAGGATATGTGTAGTATCTAATTATGAACAGTAGCAGCTAGAACCATCAAAACAAAGTGACAAAGACCCTTGGACTAAAATTATAAACATTGGATAATTATGGACTGACTCAGAAATTTGTATAATTTGTTTCTTAACTCTGATACAAAAAAAAAGTGCTGCTTCTAATGTAGACGTGAACTGATGTGGAGACGGATAAGCATCAACTAACCACTTGGATTCAAGCTTTGGACAAATATAGAATAAAAACATTTTTTTTTTCTTATCCAAAGCTAAGAATTTCATCACATTTTCTATTTACAGAAATTTGGATTTAGTATCCAAATTGTACTGCTTATTTTTGTAGCTTTATGGTTATCTGGAAATATGTGTGTATATGTATACATGTGTCTATCTGTAGAGTACTTAATGTGTCATACGTAGTACATTTATTCTCTATCAATGCTTCGATTCAATCCTAAATTAAAAATCACCTCTCTTCCAAACACACACACCTGTTTTCAGGTACTGGTGAAAAGTGGTGTCTGAATCCAGTAAGACCTACACAACCATTGAGCAAAGTTTCTACAGCCCAGAGTGAGCTGCCATGAAAACAGCTTCCTTTACAGAATTCTTTCACAAATCCACTTCCTGTCCAAGTAGGCCATGTATTAAAACTAAAAATTAGTATACTTCATCTGTTGAAATGCAAGACATCTGTGACAACCCAACACATAAGGTCTCTTCTGATTTTAAATTAGCTTGGAAATTATTTAATCACTAACTAGTTCCTGCTTTGGGATAATTTATACCACTTTATTAAACCCTAAAACTAATGTTTAAAATTATATGTTTTTTGTTTGTTTTGTTGCCAGACACATGGAGCATATATATTTATTTAATGTAGAAGTTATTTTCATCATGTAAGATCTTATTGAAATAGAAAGATTGTATACTATCTTTAATGAACTTCACTTGGAATTTTGACTAAATATTGGCTTAAGGATAGATGCAGGTAATATAAAATATAGGCCAGAAAAGACAAACAAATAATGTCTGATTTATTTAGCTATTTGGCTTTCTTTGGCCTACTAAACACATCACTGCTAACAAAGTTTTCACGACCAGAGAGCTCTACACAGTTTTATGGCAGCCATTTAAAAAATGATATGTATATCAGTTTCTCCCCTTGACTGCATTTTATAATGTGAAACTTTGGTTTAAAGGAACAGTTATAGGGCCAGGTGTGGTGGCTCACCCCTGTAATCCCAGCACTTTGGGAGGCAGAGGCCGGTAGATCACCTGAGGTCAGGAGCTCGAGACCAGACTGGCCAATATGGCAAAACCCTGTCTGTGCTAAAAATACAAAATTAGCTATGTGTGGTGGCACACACCTGTAATCCCAGCTACTTGGGAGACTGAGGCAGGAGAATGACTTGAACCCAGGAAGCGGAGTTTGCAGTGAGCTGAGGTTGCACCACTGCACTCTAGCCTGGGTGACAGAGTGAGCTCTGTCTCAAAACAAAAACAAAAACAAAACAAAAACAAAACAAAACAAAAAAACAAAAAAGAAGGAACCACTATAGAATATCTCATTGTTGTAATTTATCTGAGTACTGACCAAATGTTTTATCTAGCTCAAAAATTCTCAATTTAGCTTATAAAATTCTATGCTTTACAATACTATAGTTTTAATATTGTTCTTTTCATACAGATGTCTATTTTAGCACACTAATGTTGAACTCTAGTAGAATCTTTGATGAGACCCATTTGCTGCAAATAAAATCGATTTTATTTTGATTAACCATCATTTTAAATTCTATAAAATATTCTATTATAGAAAATAACTGCAATTTAAATTAACATAGTTAAATTAAATTTGATTTTTTTCAAGCATTACTATTATCTGACCTAAAGTATTCTATAAGAAATAAAAGCAAAATTTTTGCAAAATTGTGGAGTGGAGCATAAATTAAAAGAACCAGCACAAAATAAAACTATAAAACTGGCAGCACTCACCTCATAGTTGGTTCATAGTTCTTAATTTTATAACTATATTTAAATTGATCTAAATTTTGAAAAATTAAACTATCCAGCATTTGAAAAATTTATGTACCTTTTCAGGTAAGCAGTATATTAATAAGGCATATTTAGTTTTCAATTAAGTTTTTAAATAATTTTGTGAAGGTAAGGTATTAGTTCTTATCCTTATAGATTGAAGAAATCAAAGCATAATGATATTGTCTTTAATCACAGCTAAATTTTTAATGGGTGAGAACACTGATCTTTTGAATTTTTTAATCAAGTTAATTGTGTTTTTAAAGAAGTTGAATCTACTAGGTATCTACTTGTTACTTTCTTTATAAAAGAAGTAAACCAGTTTTTATCTTGATATATGTAAACATTTACTCTTTCATTGTATTAAGTGACATAGTGTAAAATTTAACTATTAGCATAAAAGTCTGAGAACATTTTTACTTAAAATATATGTAACAGTTTAGCGATGTCATTAAAATAAAATTATTGTATATTTTTATATGCCCAAACTACATTGGTCCCTATGGGTACTAACACAAATTTAGTCAACTAATAACTTAAAAAAACACAAAATCACTTGGCTTTCTGACTTAATAAATTAATACATTTTACAGTATTTAGAATGAAAAACTACTTGCATAAGTTAAAAACCATGTTAATAAAGTTCTATATCATCTT
This sequence comes from Homo sapiens, assembly GCF_000001405.40. NCBI lineage: Eukaryota > Metazoa > Chordata > Mammalia > Primates > Hominidae > Homo > Homo sapiens. Next base: position 74,622,027 of record NC_000006.12, read on the forward strand.
TATAGAATCTCAGTTATATTGAAATTATCTAATTACTACTCTTTTCTCTATTAGAACATATTTTTCTCAGAAAAAAACAGTCTATATTCCATCTATTCTTTGTCAAAATTATGGCATAAATGATGCCATAAAGTAAAGGAATTGAATGTATCTAATAATAAGTAACAGTTTTCTCTAGTCTTCTTGCTAAGTTTACCCAATATCTTTGACAACATAAGTTACTATTTTTATTTGGTATTTGATATGGTTAAGCTTTGTGTCCCCACCCAAAACTAATCTTGGATTGTAATCCCCCTAATCCCCACATGTCAAGGGAGAGACCAGGTGGAGGTAAATGACTCATGGGGGCAGTGTCTTCCATGCTGTTCTCATGATAGTGAGTGAGTTCTCATGAGATATGATGGTTTTATAAGGGGCTCTTCCCACTTTGCTCAGCACTTTTTTCCCCTGATGTCTTGTGAAGAAGGTGCCTTGCTTTCCCTTCACTTTCTGCCATGATTGTAAATTTCTTGAGGCCTCCCCAGCCATGCTGAACTGTGACTCAAATAAGCCTCTTTCCTTTATAAATTAACCAGTCTCAATTACTTCTTTATAGCAGCATGAGAATGGACTAATACAGTAACTTGGTACCGATATAGTAAGGTGCTGCTCTAAAGATACCCAAAAATGTGAAAGCAATTTTGGAACTGGGTAATGGACAGAGGTTGGAACAGTTTGGAGAGCTCAGAGAAGGCAGGAAGATGTGGGAAAGTTTGGAACTTCCTAGAGACTTGTTGAATGATTTTGACCAAAATGCTGATAGTGATATGGACAATGAAGTCCAGGCTGAGGTGATCTCAGATAGATATAGGGAACTTACTGAGAACTGGAGTAAAGGTCACTCTTGCTATGCTTTAGCAAAGAGGCTGGCAGGATTTTGCCCCTGCTCTAGAGATCTGTGGAACTTTGAACTTGAGAGAGACAATCTGAAATTGGAACTTATGTTTAAAAGGGAAGCGGAGCATAAAAGTTTAGAAAATTTGCAACCTGATGATGCAATAGAAAAGAAAAACCCATTATCTGGGGAAAAATTTAAGCTATCTGTAGAAATTTGCGTAAGTAATGAGGAGCCAAATGTTAATTGCCAAGGCAATGGGAAAAAGTTCTTCAGGACATATCAGAGGTCTTTATGGCGGCCCCTCCCATCACAGGCCCAGAGGCCTAGGAGGATGAAATGGTTTCATGGGTCAGGCCCAGGGCCTTGCTGCTTTGTGCAGTCTGAGGACTTCATGCCCTGCATCCCAGCCATGGCTAAAAGGGGTCAACACAGAGCTCAGGCTGTTGCTTCAGAGGGTGCAAGCCCCAAGCCTTGGTGGCTTCCACATTGTATTGGGCTTGCAGTTGCACAGAAGTCAAGAATTGAGGTTTGGGAACCTCCACCTAAATTTCAGAGGACCTAAGGAAATGCCTGGATGTCCAGTCAGAAGTTTACTACAGGTATGAAGCCCTCATGGATAACTTCTGCTAGGGCAGTGCAGAAGGGAAATGTGGGGTTGGAGCCACACACAGAGTCCCCACTGTGGCACTGCCTATTGCAGCTGTGAGAAGAGGGCCACCATCCTTCAGACCCCAAATAGTAGATCCACCAACAGCTTGTACCATCACCATAAGTTTGGAAAAGCCACAGACACTAAATGTCAACCCACAAAAGCAACTGAGAGGGAGGCTGTACCCTGTAAATCCACAGGGGTGGAGCTGCCCAAGGCTGTGGGAGCCCACCTCTTGCATCAGTGTGACCTGGATGTGAGACATGGAGTCAAAGGAGATCATTTTGGAGCTTTACAATTTGACTGCCCTGATGGGTTTCGGACTTGCATGGGGCCTGTACACCCTTCGTTTTGGCCAATTTTTCTCATTTCTAATGGGTATGTTTATCCAATGCCTGTACCCCCATTGTATCTAGGAAGTAACTAACTTGCTTTTGATTATAAAAGCTCATAGGTGGAAGGGACTTGCCTTGTCTCAGATGAGACTTTGAACTTAGACTTTTAGGTTAATTCCAGAATGAATTAAGACTTTGGGGGACTATTGGAAAGGCATGACTAGTTTTGAAATGTGAGGGGGACATGAGATTTCAGAGGTGCCAGGGGAAGAATGATATGGTTAGGCTTAGTGTCCCCACCCAAATCTTATCTTGAATTGTAATCCCCATAATCCCCACATGTCAAGGGAGAGACCAGGTGGAGTTAATTGAATCATGGGGGTGGATTCCCCCATGCTGCTCTTGTGATAGTGAGTTCTCATGAGATCTGATGGTTTTATAAGGGGCTCTTCCTTTTTCACTCAGCACTTCTCCTTCCTGCAGCCTTGTGAAGAAGTTGCCTTGCTTCCCCTTCACCTTCCACCATGATTGTAAGTTTCTTGAGGTCTCCCCAGCCATGCTGAACTGTGAGTCAATTAAACCTCTTTCCTTTATAAATTACCCAGTCTCAGGTATTTCTTTACAGCAGTGTAAGAACAGACTAATACAATATCCCTTCTGTTTTAATTTAGAGGAACATTTTATTATTCTTAGTATTTTTCCTTGACTCACAATTTACTCTTCTTAATTTTAAAATATGTAATTTTTGGGAAAAATAATTTCTATGAGTAGTTGTAAGTGCCACCAATTTTGGTATGAAACAGATCATTCTCTCTACATTTGAAAACAAACCAACAAAGTCTTGTTCATTATACTAAAGATATGATATATTGTAAGTAATTTCATTTTCTAGTAAATACATGATTAATAAAGTAAACCTTTTAATTTAAAATGGAGTCACTTAAACAGCACACTTTGCTGTTTTATTAATATTTTATGAAAATGTATGCATTGATGATTAGAAATTTTCTACAGTAGTTTTATAAACATGTTGTGCATCTTCATAGTGAAGGTTGTATAAAAGATTGGATTAAAAGAACACTTTGTTGTTTGCTAAATAAGTCTTTTCTCTCTTATTTGTCACTATCTCCTAAATTTGAACTTAAACAAATAATTACATTGAGATATAAAATGTGAATTCCAATTCATCAATATTACTTTAGAATCAATAATTAGAAGGAATTCTATTTTAATAAATGAACAAATCCACATTACAAATCATTACTGAAAGTATCAACCACTCACTGGTTATGAGGTTTCTTATTAATTATTTTGGCATCAAGGAGAGAAGGAATATTCAGTTACTGAGTCAATTCTCTCACTGTTCTGTGTATATTTTCACTAAACCATAAATACTCAGAAATTTTTGAAGATAAAAAAGTCAATGATGGAGTATAGGAGAGAAAGGAAATTAAAGTTTCAAGCTAGTGTTACTGATTAAATGATAAAACAATTGCAGTAAATGCAGAAGAAAAAAATTATTTTATTTGGGGGGAGTTGGAACTCTTTGAGTTTGAGATACCACTACCAGCCTACTGTTGGCAACGAGGCATTACAGTTTACAACCATGTTAACACAGCCACAAATTATGTTTAGAATCCTCTGCGAGGAGGTCAGAACTGAATAGTAAAGTGAATGAGATAACTCTGAGACTGAATGTGTGACACAGAAGTGAGAAGACTATGGAAAAACACTATTATCTATAGTTTGAAAATTATATGGGAAAGAGAAGCAAGCAAACAGGCAGGGAAAAGGTCAGAGATATTGGAAGATAAACAGATGATGGAATGGTAAGGAACCCAAGGAAGGATAGGATTTTTAGAACAGAGATAAAGCCCAAACCAGTGGTTTGGTGGTCTACAAAATTTGTACTGACATTCCTCCTAAAATAATTTTGAAAAACTCTGGCCCCTCACACATGTTTAACATCTAAAAATATTCAACACAGGTATAAATAATTTTAGAGAATGTAATTTACAACATACTATAGATGTTGATATAGTGTTATATGACTCTTCTCAATGTACTCAATGGAATATAAAAAACAGCAACTTGATACCCACCATCATCTACTATAAAAACAGATTAGAGGAGGCAGGGTCAAGATGGCCAACCAGAAACAGTGGCGTTCAGAGCCTCCCATTAGAAAAACAAAACAAAACAGAATAAGCATGTGAATCCTTCACCAGCAACCAAGATATCCAGGTTCTCTCATCAGAACTGACTAGGAGGCTGGCATGACCCACAGAGAGAAGGAAGAACAGTGTGATGTGGTGGCCTACCTGAGAGCCATACAGCACAGGGGAGCCCCCTCCTCCCAGCCAAGGGAGGCAATGAGTGAGCATGCTACCTGGCCTGGGAAACCATGCTTTTTCCACGGAAGAGTGCAACCCACAGATTGGAAAATCCCACTCTTGAACCCTCGTCACTGAGGCCTAACTGTCCCAACCCTGGAATGTGCAGATTCTCAAAAGCCTCTCAGCTGGAATCTGCTTAAGCCTACCAAACACCTGCGGGAAGGGGTGACCCATATCTGCAGCTGTGGCTGCCTGCTTTCTAAGCTGTTTGAGCTCCTTGGGGGAGGGGCAGCAGCCAGCACTGGGACTGGCAACTGCCTAACACAGTAAGCTCCCTGGATAGGGGAAGGGTGGCATCCAGCTCTGTAGCTACAGGCTGCACTTTTACCCTGCTAGAGCCAGGGAGGCTGGATGGCTTGGTCCTAAGACTTGTCCCCCACAGCCTAATACACTGGCCGTAGCAGTCTGTGGCCAGAGTGCCCCTTCAGGCCTGACCCTGACCCGTGCATCATCATTGGGCAGGGCTTTCCTGCAGGAGGAACTCCAATAACTCCAGCCTTAGGCTCAGGGACAGAACCCGGATCTCCCTGGGCCTGAGCCCCTAGAAGGAGGGGTGGCTGTAGTCTCTGCAAACCAGCAGACCTAGCCTTTCCTCCTGGTAGTTCTGAGGAATCCAGGCAGCCCAGAAAAGTGGGTTTCCCCACAGCAAGGCACACCCCCTCCACCAAGGGACAAAGTGCTTCATTAAATGGGTCCTATTCCCCGTGCCACCAACTGGGTGAGACCCTCCAACAGGGGTTGTCGGACACCTTATACAGGAGTGATCCTCCTGGCATCAGGTTGGTGCCCCTTGAGGTCAGTGGTCCCAGAAGAAGGGGCAGACACCCATTTTTGCTGTTCTCCAGCCTCTCTGAGTGACATCTCCAGGTGCAGGAGCAAATCAGATGAATAGGGCCTGAAGTGAACCCCCAGCAAACCACAGCAGCCCTACAGAAGAGGAACCTAACCATTGAAAGAAAAACAAGCAGAAAGCAACAACTACAGCATCAACAATAACAACAACAACAAAAGCCCCCAAAAAACCCCATCTAAGGGTCAACAGCCTTGAAGACCAAAACTAGACAAACTCATGAAGATGAGAAAGAATTGGAAAAAAATGCTGAAAACCCAAAAGGCCAGAGTGCCTCTCCTCCTCCAAATGATCACAGTGTCTCTCCATCAAGGGCACAGAACTGGATGGAGGATCAGATGGACAAATTGACAGAAGTAGGCTTTAGAAGATGGGTAATAAAAAACTATGCTGAGCTAAAGGAGCATGTTCTAACCCAATGCAAACAAGCTAAGAACTTTTATAAAAGGTTAAAGGAATTGCTAACTAGAATAACCAGTTTAGAGAGGAACATAAACTACCTGATGGAGCTGAAAAACACAGCTTGAGAACTTCGTGAAGCATGCACAAGTATCAATAGCTGAACTGACAAAGCAGAAGAAAGGATATCAGAGTTTGAAGACCACTTTTCTGGCATAAGGCATGCAGACAAGACTAGAGAAAAAAGAATGAAAAGGAATGAACAAAACCTCCAGGAAATGTGGGACTTCATAAAAAGACTGAACCTATGACTGACTGGGGTACCAGAAGGAGACAGAGAGAATGGAAACAAGCTGGAAAACACACTTCAGGATATTATCCAGGAGAACTTCCCCAACCTAGCAAGACAGCCCAACATGCAAATTCAGGAAATTCAGACAACACCATTAAGATACTCCATGAGAAGATCAACCCCAAGACATAATCATCAGATTCTCCAATGTTCAAATGAAGGAAAAACTGTTAAGGCAGCCAGAGAGAACAGCCAGGTCACCTACAAAGTGAAGCCCATCAGACTAACGTGAAACTCTCAGCAGAAACTCTACTATCCAGAAGAGATTGAGGGCCAATATTCAACATTCTTAAAGAATTTTCAACCCATAATTTCATATACAGCCAAACTAAGCTTCATAAGCAGAGGATCAATAAAATCCTTTTCAGACAAGCAAATTCTGAGTGATTTCATTACCACCAGGCCTGCCCTGCAAGAGGTCCTGAAAGAAGCACTAAATATGGAAAGGAAACACTGGTACCAGCTACTGCAAAAACACACCAAAATATAAAGACAGATAACACTATGAAGAAACTGCATCAAATAATGTGCAAAATAACCAGCTAGCATCATGACGACAGGATCAAATTCACACATAGCAATACTAACCTTAAATGTAAATGGGCTAAGTGCCCACAATTAAAAGACACAGACTGGCAAATTGGATAAAGAGTCAACAACCATTGGTGTGCTGTATTCAGGAGACCCATCTCATGTGCAAAGACACACATAGGCTCAAAAAAAAGGGATGGAGGAAAATTTACCAAGCAAATGGAAAGCACAAAATAGCAGGGGTTGCAATACTAGTTCTGACAAAATAGACTTTAAATCAATAAAGATAAAAAAGGACAAAGAAGGGCATTACATAATGGTAAAGGGATCAATGCAACAAGAAGAGCTAACTATCCTAAATATATATGCACCCAATACCGGGGCACCCAGATTCATAAAGCAAGTTCTTAGAGACCTACAAACAGACACTCCCACACAATAATAGTGGGATACTTTAACACCCCACTGTCAGTATTAGACAGATCAATGAGACATAAAATTAACAAGGATATTCAGGACTTGAACTCAGTTCTGGATCAAGTGGACCTGGTAGATGTCTACAGATCCTCTACCCCAAATCAATAGAGTATACAATCTTCTCAGTGCCACATGGTACTTATTCTAAAATTGACCACACAATTGGAAGTAAAACACTCCTCAGCAAATGTAAAAGAACTGAAATCATAACAAACAGTCTCTCAGACCACCATGCAATCAAATTAGAACCCAGGATTAAGAAGCTCACTCAAAACCACACAATTACATAGAAATTGAATAACCTGCTCCTGAATGACTCCTGGATAAATAATGAAATTTAGGCAGAAATCAAGAAGTTATTTGAAACCAATGAGAACAAAGAGACAGCATACCAGAATCTCTGGGACACAGCTAAAGCAGTGTTAAGAGGGAAATTTATAGCACTAAATGCCCACGTCAGAAAGCTAAAAAGATCTAACATCACAATTAAAACAGCTAGAGAGGCAAGAGCAAACTAATCCAAAACTAGCAGAAGATAAGAAATAACTAAGATCAGAGAAGAATTGAAGGAGATAGAGATAAGAAAAACCCTCCAAAATAATCAGTGAATCCAGGAGATTGTTTTTTGAAAAAATTAACAAAATAGATAGACCACCAGCTAGACTAATAAAGAAGAAAAGAGAGAATCAAATAGGCACAATAAAAAATAATAAAGGGGATATCACCACTGACCCCACAGAAATACAAGCTACCATCAGAGAATACTATAAACACCTCTATGCAAATAAACTAGAAAATCTAGAAGAAATTGATAAATTCCTGGACGCATACACCCTACCAAGACTAAACCAGGAAGAAGCTGAATCCCTGAATAGACCAATAACAAGCTCTGAAATTGAGGCAATAATTAATAGCTTATCAACCAAAAAAAAAAGCCCAGGACATACACATACATAATTTACTTATCTTGTGTATTTATGTTTCCTTGTCTGTTTTCACTTACTAGCATGTAAGCTCCATGTGGAAGTCAGTAAGCTTGCTTGCTTTTTCCTTCCTTCCTTCCTTTCCTTCCTTCCTCCCTCCTTCCCTCCCTTCCTTCTCTTCTTCCTCTTCCTCTTCTTTCTTTCTCTTTTCTTTCTTTCTTTTTCCTTCCTTCCTTCCTTTCTCTCTCTCTCTCCATCCCCCCACTCTGCCTCTCCCCACTGTCTCTCTCTCTCTCTCTCTCTCTCTCTCTCTCCCTCCCTCCCTCCCCAAACACCTAGAATAATGGCTGGCAAATAATATGTGTCCAGAAATGGTTTTATAAATAAAAAGCATTGAAACTTCACATATACTTAATTTAATGTATGGAAAATAGCCCCATAAAAATACAATTACCAGGCCAGTCCTCAATTATCAACCTATCTGACATAGGTTCTTTCCAAAAGTGTCTGATTTCATCTTTCCTTTTTAAATAACTGTGTTAGTACTCAACCTCAAGGCAAGCATCATAATTTTGAATTGGAATTCTAAAAGAGCTAAGTAAGGTTGGCAGGGAGATGGAGCAGAAGGATGAATAAATCCTCAGGAGCTCAATATGTCCTCAGGACCTTGCCCAGAACTGGGGACCTGGATGGAATGAGGTGCTGCTACCTTCAGTACTGTTTCCTTTACTTTGCCCACAGGGGAACCTCCCTCCAGAGCACTGTATTCTTTGAAGGCAGCCCAAGGATGAAATCAATGAGTACAAGAATAAAAATTCTTATTACTCTGGGAATTCAGAACAGTTACACACATGACACAATCTCAAAGTTCTAAAATCAAGTTTAACGTTAAGGACATATGTATATAACAGAGACAGACAAAATAGCCGGCCCAGGCCTTAATCAATATTTTGAATTGTCCCTTTATTTGCATCCAGAAGGCTCTTTTACATCATCCACTCCCCCACCCCGCCTTCCCCTTCTTCCAGGGGAATGTATTTTAGTAAGATTGATAAATGAGAGTTATAACTATCTTTTCTAAAATGGGAAAAGGAGGTGTCATAAAGCAGAACCAGAGTGACACTTAAATCCAGGACCAGCTACTTAATTTGTGAACCAGAAATGTAGAGCCCTTTTTATTAAAAAAATTATTAAGAATTTTCAGATGGTGACAGAGAACATTAAACCAGGGTGTGACCCTGTGCTGCTGCACAGATCACATGCCCATGAAGCTGGCCCTGACTGAATGACTTCAACATACACATTCCAGGGGCAAGTCAGTTTTAGGAAAGAGTACCTAAAGAAGGTGAGAACTTAGAAATAGATTCCCTTATGACTCCCCATTTCCACTTGTCTCTTAGAAAGTCTGTGTACCACGAGAGATACGTGAACTCCAGCTTATCTGGGGTTTTCCACTAATTACATCCTCAAGTAAGTTCAAGATTGAATTACACATCGAGAGAGTTTATGTCACAATTATTTTATGACATCAGAAAATTCAAAAATGATTTTTTAGCTTTTCTTTTGAGTTACTCCTGTTGACTGCATGAAAAAGTTATAGCTCTGGGCAACACAGCACACATTCCTTATTTTATATCTATGAAATCCACAAGATAGGAAGGCCAACTAAATCTTACCAGATACCAAAGAAAATAGAAAGTAATAGACCTCAATAAATCCTATAAAAATGCTACATATGTGATTAAGACCTTTAAATTTATGACCATTATTAAAAACTTCCAGCATTAAAAATGGATTTATAAGGAATTCTGTGTGTTTGAAATTATTCAAAAGGGGAAATAACAACAAAGTAGAGTTAACTGGGACAGAGATCAAGGAATTAAACTGCATAGTCACTGTGACAATGACTCAGGTTTGTTAAGAGAGGGTTGGATGGCTCTTAAATGTTAATAGGACACCTCTCTGCAAGCCGATGGCTGATCAGATGTCTCTGGAATATATTACATCACAGGTCCTGCGTGTCTGGGGTTATACATAAACAGTTGCTATCTTCTGGTCTCCAAGGCTACACTACAGTCTGTGCAAATTAATTTCATTATAGTGTTGTTTTACATCATGAGCATTTGAAAACAGTTCATCATGGGGTTTCTCAAAGTTTACTTCCCTACTATCTACCTCCACTGTATCAGAATCCCTTGAGGGACAGCCCAGAAAGCTGTATTTTTGAAAAAGCTTCCTAGATGGTTCTTGAGCATCATCTAGTTTTGGAAAATTTTTGTATCATGAGATATGGAAAACTAAGGCCTAGAAGCCAAATCTGATCCAACACCTGTTTTTGTAAATAAAATTATTTTGTAACACAGCCATTCCCATTCATTTACCCATAGTCTATGATTTCTTTCACAACCAAGGACAGAGTTGAATGGTTGGGTCACAGACTGTGTGGCTTGCAAAGCCTAAAATGTTTACTATCTGACACTTTATAAAAAAAGTTGACCAATCTCTGTTCTGTCCTTTTAAGCAAACTTTAACTTATTCATCCCAATAATACTTTTACCAGTACTGAGGATAAATTTTGAAATTTTGAAAATGATTTCCATTTTTTTCCTTAGTAGAAAAGTACTCTTAATCTAGAGTGCATATTTGTGGTGAAAGGTGGTCTTTGTTGCTGCCTAAAAACAGAATGTCCCAGATGCAATCCATAATCTTCTGGGTGGGGCTGTATTTTAGCAAAGATTCATTCACTGATTCACATTTCAGTCTATATTTATAAAGCAAAACTTTGAATTTTTAGTCCTTTGCTCAGACCCATAATTTCAGGATTAAATTACGCTCTGCTCCTCTCTAGAGGCTGAACCTTCAGGAAAGACCATCCAGTTTTAGCTCTGCAAGTCTCCAATTCTCTGAGGCAGTCTGTGACCTTTTATGGCTAAGCTTTGCTTTATCTCTTGCATGGCTATGCAAGCTTGTAGCTCACAAGGTTAAAATTATCATATATGCCTTTGAAAATATGGAAGGGCTGAGAGATCTGTCTGTCCCAATAAATACTCTATTAAGTTTATTTAAACAAAAGAAGTATCAACTGATGGCCTTGTGTGTTTAATACTTCCTCAAAGGAATATACATGGAATATTCTGTTTGAGCTTTCTTTTTCCATTGTAATAATGTGATTTTTGGTCTCAGAACGTAACACTCTGTTTGAATAACATTAGATGTGGATTACTTATATTGTGCACTACTCACCTGAGATGTTTTGACTCAAAGAACTCAGAAGGCACCATAGACAGCAAATATGCTCTTCTTATTATTTTTACTAATGAGTATATCTAGGCTCCAAAAAGCTTATATAATTCGTAAATAGTTGATCAATACAATAACTATCTATTGAACATTAAACAATGTACTAAAGCTCTAGCGGTCCCAGATTTTGATCTGTGGTCAATTGATAATATTCTATTAGGAGAAAATGACCAAAGCTATTTTATAGAAAAATTAATTGGCATTTCAGACTATTTGAAAATAAGATTTACTTAGATTATTAACATTTCCAGGATTATTTATTGATAAGATTTTCTATTTAGAAGACATAGTATGGAAAAGTGATGAAACGTTAGAACTGAAAGAACTTTAATAATTTTTCTAGTCCATGTTCCTTCTTTTTATTTAAGCTATTTGAGGAGAGTTGTTCCCTGCTCCATACAGATTATAATTTCTATGACACTGGAGAATTTGATCCTTACCTATCTTTCCTCCCATATTTCCCATACCCTATAAAAACCCTATATTCCTACCAAATGGAAGACGTACCCAGATGTGGTTTCTAATATCCCACCTCTTGCTTACTTTCATCCTGGAGTGTCCTATTTCAGGATCTATAGTCATTTAAGTCCTACCATCTTTTATCTTCACAAACTTATAGCTAGCTTCTTTTGCCTGGAATGTGGCACATCCCTGAGTCTCTCTCTCTCTTTCTCTCTCTTCTTTCTGAGGAGTTGAGTCAAGGTTGAGTCCATTCAACCTTGTTTGGTGTGCAGAACTTGGGCCTTGGGATGATGATCAAGATTTAAGACACAATTCTGAATATAACTTTTGTTAATTCAAAAGACTGTGGTAAGTTTCATAAAAATATTGTTACAAAAACTGAATTGGGTGATGTGTATTAAAACAATTTGTCTTTGAGAAGTTCTACACATATAAGTTGCTGTAGTCATGTATATATTTTAATCCTCATAAGTGCAAGCATGGTCTTATTTATCTGTGCATCCATAAGGGCTAGGAACTTGTTATATTTTTCCTGGTATAGTTAGCACCAAACGCAATGCCTGGCATGTTTGGTATTCAATAAGTCTTTACTACCTAACTGATTGATGAGTTGATTGATAAATGAGTAAATGATTGAATTAAGAAATGAAAAGGTATTTAATAAATACAGAAAAGTATGTTCTTTTCTATCCTCCATTCTTGTCCATTTTTATAAATGTCGTTTTTCTTTTTCTTTTTTTTTTTTTTTTGAGACAGAGTCTCGCTCTGTCACCCAGGCTGGAGTGCAGTGGCGCAATCTCGGCTCACTGCGAGCTCTGCCTCCTGGGTTCACACCATTCTCTTGCCTTAGCCTCCCGAGTAGATGGGACTACAGGCACCCACCACCACACCCGGCTAATTTTTTTTGTGTGTGTGTATTTTTAGTAGAGGCGGGGTTTCACCGTGTTAGCCAGGATGGTCTTGATCTCCTAACCTCATGATCTTCCCGCCTCGGCCTCCCAAAGTGCTGTGGTTTTTCTTTGTCTGAACAGTTAACAGTACATTCATCTGTATTTCCATAGTATTTGGAAAATAACTTTAGACATAGTTTTTGACTTTATAACTTCCTTTGGCATGATATTGACTCATCATATTGAATAGTAATTGTGTAACAACATATTCATATCAGAATGAGATTAGCTATTTTATTTTGTGTTAATCTCAGTACCTTCACTGTGTCAGAGACAAAATAGGTGCTCAATAAATTTTTGTCACATTGGATTAAATTAAATGTGTTGCTTGTGCTTTTGTGTCATCACTCTGTTGTCTCTATCATAAGGAGGACTTTCACCTCCTATTATTTAGTTTTGCCTCCTGAGCCCTGGGGGTTTTTAGGGGATGATTTGGGGGAGGGGAGATTGGAATTTGTATTTACTGCATCTGAAGCAGATCATCACACAGGGACATATGAGGTGTATGTATAGGAGTGAGGTCAAGTCAAAGGAAAAGAATGGCCCCCCTTCTGCTACAGTCATGTATTCTATTTGATATTAATTGCCTTTCTAGATGATCAAATATCTGGCATATGAAAATAAAATTATGTACTTCTCTGAACTAAACCCTTCGATGGCCCTGGAGATAAAGTTCAAACACTTTAAAATAAGGTTAGAAAGTCCTTCTTCACTTGGCCCTTCTTATTTCTAGGCTCTAGGTACAAGCAGCTTCTTGCAGACCTTTGTACCTACTATTTTCTCCTGCCTGCCTCTGCCTAGAACATTCCATATGCCCCTTTCCCTTCCTCACTCTTTCTCACCTTTCAAAAATTCCAGTGGGGCACTTAAAAGTTAGTTATCATGTGAGCCAGAGGGCCAGAATGGAAACTTGAGAGTAACATGATTAGTTACAGAAAACATAGGGGACCCAAATTCTTCACATCCTGAAAGTTATGACAAACTTATTCCTCAGATATTGGCAGTTCTCAATGTCATCAGCAAATAAACAACAAAAATGTTTTCTTAAGCATGCTAGTCTTCACTGGAAGAATCTTAAACAGAAAGATCACTTCCCTTCTACATTGGTCTTTGGATGAACATTTTTCTTTTCTTAATCTGTTTCACACATAAAATGCAAGTAATCCAGACTGATTAAATAAGCTTGTTCATCAAAAACAAAATACACAAAATGTCATTTTGCATTTCATAAATATTTTTTCAGGTCTTAAATCCACTGAAAAATGCCCCCCCACCAAAAAAAACAGTGAGACTTACAGATGAAGCCTTATGACTGACCACATATCAAAGAGGCCCTGAGTCTCTCAGTACCTTCTTGACCAACCAGGCCTGCTCCCAGCCACACTTTCACTGTTGACTCTCCTCCTGGTTACCCATGGGAAGGTTTCATGACACTTTCCTTTTTATCTGCTTGCCATTTCTCACTAAGATTTGGCAGTCAGGATATGGCTTGTCTGGATTCCAAGGGCATCCGAAATTTAGAACCCGAATAGAAATGTGAAAAGGGAGGTTTGGGTTAACCTCTGGCCACTTGAAGGGCAGTCCTTTCAAACATTAGAAGGTCCCCAGTTCAGGAGAATGGGGAAAAAAATTAGAGCACAATGATGTCCTCTAAAAACTTAACGTGTACTGGAAGTTGACCTGATAAATGGTCTCTCTCTTTTAACTGCAAACAGACTTCCCTCCTTAATATCTCAAGTAGGTCAGAAAACTTGTTTCTTGAGATAAAAATAATAACATTTTATTTCATTTTTCTATTTTTCAAATGTGTGCATACAAAACTTTTCAATAAGGACACAAAGAGAAGGTATAGTTTTTTTCATAATTTCCATCTTCAGTATAGTATAAAACTTAAATTTTCATCCAAATTACCTTACTTCTTTCCCTTAAAGAGGTTATTCATTCACAACAACTTTCTGTTAAAAATGTTTGTCTTGAGAGAGCTATCGTACTAGAGTAAGCAAAGAAAAGTAAAATAACAGTACATATACTCTACCTTGAAACCTCTTAGGGATGATCAGATTATTTCTCTTTGTCCTGCTCCCATGCATGGACTTTCTCAAATCTAAAAAACAGGATTATTTTTAAAGGAAATTAATACATAGTGAAGAAAACCTAAAGGAATGAAAATTTTACCCAGAGGTGTTTTTTATATTAAACTACCAACTATAGACCCCAAATAGATACAATAATTAACCATCAATGAATGAGCCAATAAAGTTGTAGGACACTGTTTATTTTGTTACAGAAGTTCAAAAGCTGCCCTGATTTTTTCTAAAATAACACCCTGAACATATCTATAGTCCTTTTCAATTTACAAAGGGATTTTTTCTCATCCTATGTCTCATTTGAGCCTTGTAACAAAGGTTTCTTTGGGGTCAAAAGTAGGTATCACTTTTAATACAAATTTTATTAAAAATTTTTCATTATTCTTTCCCATTTTACTTTTTATACCTCCTTGTCATAATTTTTACATTCTTTTAAAAAATTAGTTTATCAACCAAATTGTTATTTATTCAACACTTTTATGCATATGTCACCCTGTAGTTCTGAAATAAAACTGTATAAGATATAATCTCCCCTAATGGAGTCTGTATTTTATTTGGGTAGAGAAAAAAAATCCCTAATATGTATTCTAAAACTACAACCTATTTAAATAAATGTTTATGATGCTCATATGGTAAATGTCAAACACTCAAAGCATCATATATAAATTGATTCCAAATAAGTAGTTAAAGAACGGGTACCGGTCTGATTCCTTTCAAGCAAAAATATAGAATGCAGATATTTGAGAATTTAGTGTTGCCAACACTTGAAATTTTCACATTAAGATTGCACTTTTTTTTTAAAACTTATCACTCATGGCAACATCAGGCCCATATTCCCATGTAATTCACGTGCATGGCTTGGAAGGAAGGCAGCTTTATCCAAAAGGGGTAAGTTGCATCCAATATTGAGGCTCTGTAAGGAACTATCTTGCTACAGCCAGCCCAGTTCATTCATTAAGATCCTGACCTCCATATGCAGCTAAGCTTGCAACCTCTGTGTTAAACTAATAACTGCTATGGACATTTGGAAGAGTGAGATACCACAGGCTTGGGTTCTAGGGTCCTAAAGAAGATAGGGACGTATGATATGAGTTTCAAGGGAAAGGAAATAGCTTTGTGCTCCCACAAAAGCACAAAGAAATAAAGCAGAGGTGGGTTTAACAAGAAATAGGTAATCCAGTGGGCTAGATCACAGTGTTCAGTGTATCGCTGAAAGCTTCTTGAAAAGGGTAATCACATTGGTATTCTCTTTTATCTACTCCAAACTGTCCCCTACTTATTACAATCTGACTACTTCCAGTCAGGACTTGCTTTTTGTGCTGATCTGTTTAACCTTTAAAGTTAAACAGCATGATCTATCCACAGTAGACATGATCTCCCTGTCATGGTTGGTGACTCGTGGTCAGAGCCACTACTAGAGTAATATTCATGGGCTCCTATTGGGGATAAATAAAATAATAATACATTTTCATGTGGCTCCTCCCACAAACCCTTCTGATAAGTGGTTGCCAAATAGTGTTCTAAAATTGAAAAAAGTGTGTTTCTGCATTATACTAAAGTCAGAAACACTTTAACTTAAATATTTGCTTTTTGTTTAAAGAATATGTTGGAATTATACAGACAGAAAAATGGAATATGTAATAGAATAGCTATAAATGAACTTCACTGCATACACTCACAGAAAGTTTATTTTGCTGGCTTAATAAAATATTAATTTTGGCTGAAACTGAATGATTTAATATGAATAAAGCAAAGCAAAATATAAAAGGACTTTTATTTTGTGTAAAGAAGCAGTACTTGTAGAACAGAGCATGTAAAAACATGACAAAGTAACTAATAAAGTCACTGATTCCTATTAATTTTCCCAAAATACTGAATGATGTCAGCCTGTAAAAATGAATTGCATTACTGTCAAGGTAATTCAGTTGCCATGTATAAGTTCAGTGGCTACAATGTCACAGTAATGAACATTAGTCTTTGTGGAAAAAAGTTCAATGTGTGCTTCGGAATGTCCTGCATCTCTGCCCTTTGAAACTTCATCTGGTCCAAATTACCATCTGCTCCTAATTTGATTCAGTGGCAGAGAATGAGCTGGGCTTCTGTACTTGAGCTGAAGCAGACATGCTTCATTAGGTCCGGTTCTCGTGTTATTCTTTATATATCAGCTAAAGTTTATAGTAACTTTATATAGACTTAACAACTTTATGAAGTTCTATTCATAATGCATAGTGTTGCATTTAAGTAACACCTTTTTGGTCATTTAACTATCAAGTTCATTTGAAGATTGTATGTGATTTTTTAGCTGAACAAATAAAAGCTTCTGCTCTGCCTCTTATGTTATAATATTTTATTTTGTCTTCCCACCTCAGAATTGTTATCATAAAGCAATTGAATGTATTCATTTTGAACAGATTGGGTATATGTTTGCTAGGGGTCTAACAGTCACTGGCCTATTCAGTTTATCTAATATGTAAAGATTGCTATTATGTGCCAGGTATTGTACACAGCCTTTACCTTCCCTGAAATATCAGGCTTTTGGAGAAGACAGACATTAACCATGAAGACCCCAAAGCCAAAACTGTCTTAACAGTTCAAAGGACATGCTTTGTTTACTCCTCACTACTATTCTGTACCCACAGTGTCTTTGGGTGCTAGTCCAAGCAGAACTGGGTGTGATCAGCTCCGGCCATATTCACCACAGGCAGAGCAATGTGGTATATGGATGCTGCTCAGGCAAATTCTCTGATTCCTAGCCTTGTTTTTCCATCCGGACAAAAATTCATCCATCCATCTAAGACAGGTCAAATCTGGCCTGCTGCCTGTTTTTATATGGTCTAGGAGCTAAGAATCATTGATATTACACTTGTAAATGATTGAAAGCAAATCAAAAGAAGAAGAGTATTTTGTGACACATAAAAATTGTACGAAAATCAAATTTCAGTGTTAATAAAGTTATATTAGAATACAGCTATGTTCACTCATTTACATATTGTCTATGTCTCCTTTCACAGTACAATAACAGATTGAGTGGTTATAATGGAGGCAGTATGGCCTACAAAACTGAAAATATTTACTAATTGTCCCTCTATAGAAAAGTTTGCCTACCCCTGGTGTAAAGTGCCATATTATCTCTTTTCTGATTTTTCTCATGAATCTATTCACTGTATAATGGAAACTGCCTAAGATATTATTCCTTCATTTCTTCTTCTAGTTCCTGAATTTTTCTTCCACAAGCACATGACAACCTCACATTACAAAACCCCACAGCTTATTATTCCCAAAATAGGGAGGGGAGATGACAGCTAGCCAGAAGCACATGACCCCTGGGAATATGACCTGATTTTTTTCAGCCTCATAATGTGACACAATTCACTTACCTATGTTTAGGGTATTTCCATTCTAAGAACAAAAACCACTTTCCTCCAATTAGCTATTAGATGCCATATTTTGAATAGGACAATTCTATAACATAGTTTGATACATAATACATTTTGGCTTCTTAATTCCCTAAAATCATCAGGGGTAAGGTTACATAAGTTTTAAATGATTTTGACTATTAGCCCTAATTTATAATATCTCTCCTCCCCTAAAACTTCTAAGAATTTCTGTAATATAAATATTCATAAATAGCTAATAGATTTGCAAAATGGCAAAATTTGACTACTATAGCTAGCTTAGTAAGCACTTATTTAAATATTTAATTATACTACATACTTATTGAAACTCTCGAATATATAACAGTGATAACTGATTTATAGGAGTGAATTATATTGTTTAAAATACATTTCATCTTCCATATTTATCTGCATACAATATGCATGACTGATTATAACTATCTAATATTTTCCATTTTAATGTTTTCTGTACACAAATAACCACTGGCAACAATTTTACCTATCATAGCATAATTTCACATGCCATTAAAATGCTGACTTTAAAATATAATGTAACCTCATTTGATTCTCTTAATCAAAAATAATATTACAGCAAGCTAAATACAATTAAACCATTTTTATTAGATTCTTAATTTTGAAAAATAATGTTTTATCATGAAGTAATATACTTTTGTGTCAAGATAAAATTATTATATTTAACCTAATTCTTTGAAGAATATCCAAATGCTTTCATTATGTTTCAAAGACACTTCTCCAATTGTTAATATTGAATAAAATCATATATTTAAAAAATATGTGTGGGAAACAAACATCTAATATTTGGCTCATATAGAAAGAAAAAAATGATCTATAAAATTATTCCTCAGAAAATTAAAGAAGATGAGTCACAGGTCTTTTTTTTTTTTTTTGAGACGGAGTCTGGCTCTGTTGCCCAGCTGGAATAATGGCACGATCTCGGCTCACTGCAAGCTTCGCCTCCTGGGTTCCCGCCATTCTCCTGCCTCAGCCTCTCGAGTAGCTGGGACTACAGGCGCTTGCCACCACGCCTGGCTAATTTTTTGTATTCTTAGTAGAGACGGGGTTTCACCGTGTTAGCCAGGATGGTCTCGATCTCCTGACCTCGTGATCTGCCCACCTTGGCCTCCCAAAGTGCTGGGATTACAGGCGTGAGCCACCGCGCCCGGTTAGTCACAGGTCTTTTATTATTCACAGCATAGACGCTTAACAAAGGCTGGGCAAATATTTGTTGAAATTGAAGTGGAAGCTCTGCTTTGAACTATGTAATCTTGGCCAAGTTACTTAATCTTGCAAGACTCATGTCTTTAATTGTAAATTGGGAATAATAAGATTATTTGCTTAGTGAATATGTAAAATGTAGATTCAATGGTTCATAAAATTTAAAGCTCTGGACTATTTGCCTGACATACAGTAAGCAATCAGCTTTCTTTACTAAGTCTCTTTCTATTTTCCCTGTTCTGTCTTCTATTTCTTCTAATTACAGATTACTATTCTCTTTTGTATTTCATTCTTCCTTGCCCATTGTTCCTATACTAGGTACTACTAACATCACTGGAAGAAATCAGTGGATAAAACTAGAATAGAAGAACTAAACATGCCAAACTTCTGTTTCAGTCCATTTCTAATCCCCTTTTATAAGTGATTATTTTGTTGCTTTCTTCCTTAAGGTGAAGGAAAAGCAAAACTACTAGAGCGAAAGTTTGTTCTGTTTTCAGAAGTGAATTCCCTTCCTGGTGGGCAATGTGTGCTTTTCTGCATAAATAAAGAGGGTTTTCTATGGCTTAGATTAGAATGAGAGTGTGTGTATGTAAAAATAATTGCCTAAATATTTGAAGGAGTGAAAGCTTAACATATAACCAGCTTCCCAAAACATTTTACCTGGGAACTTATTCTAACCCAGGAAAAGACATTATTAAAACAACGGCCAGATCAAAAGAATAATGGGCAGTGCATTATAAAGCATATACATTATAGATTGCACAACTGTACTAAAGATGAAGAAGACAAAGGAAACGGTGGACACAGGACAGGGAACCACAGGCTATCAATGCACCTGTGGGGAATGGTTTTGGGTTGTGAATATTATTCATGCTTCAAAACTTGAAATAATAGATCTAATTTCTCACAATATCTTAGAAAACCAGTAACAACATGCTAAAAGGTAAGGCTCTGCAATCTGTGCTTCTGCCAGGTAGTTTCTGAGACTGTAGTGGGTGGTGAAAGCAACTGTCCGGCCATGCTTGGATGATATGGCTGACCTATTTTCCTGAGCAGTATTACTGCTGGTGTATAACAGAGAAGGAAATTGAAACCCAAGCATCTATTTGCTTTGCCCAGAGCCTGCGGTTAATCAGTATTTGAACCTGAATCTCAAGGATCTTCTTATGCTAAGCCTGAGACCAGACCAAGAGGATACATGGCACAGTGCTTTTGACCATCTTGACCAGAACCACAAAACCCAGGAAATTTCTCAGAAATGGATGTTCTCTACTGATTTCCAAACCTTAGGTATGTCTTCTTAGGTAAGTGTCAGGAAAAATACGACGCCTTTAAAAGAAGCTTCCAAGCCACAGAAACTACATAGAATTGAGACAATGTTTGACCTTGTGCCTACTTAATTTATGAAATATTATACTTGTCTGCTTTTTTATTCTGAAGCTTTAAAGAAGAACACACTTCCTTTGCCCTCATATCTCTAAGGAATTTCAATATACAATTTCTTTAGGATGTAACAAGAGACAGAAACATCACAAGATAAACTAGTTTTTGTGTGTGTGTGTGTTTTTTTTTAGATTTTTGTAGTATACCAAAGTAGCAACAACACTGCCCAATTCCAGTATCCAACATCTATTTAACTGGTTCTTAGTATAGCTAAGCATTAACTTCCTAGAGCAAGACATTGAATCCAAATTTAATTTTATGTAACTGTAAGTTCAGTTTCATTCTATTGAGTGTCTGCTGTATTCCAGACCCATGCTAAGTACTGGGATGAATGAATTGTGAATTATTAGCAGCCTCTGCTCTCCAAAAGTTTTTGCTATAGTGAAAAAAAAAATTGCTAAGTAAGTTAATTTAATATTATATAGTGTGGGCTAACTGGAAAGCAATAGGGATATGTCAGGGATAGTCAGGCTACTTAGTCTTAACAGAGGAAATGTTCCAGGAAGGAGAAGCTACCCTAGTTGTAAGTTATAGTAGGAATAAGCTTTCTTTAGGGGATATTGAGCAGTAGAAATAGTCTGAACAAATCTATACAGTGTAAAATTTCATAATGTATACATTCTGCATATGCAGTAAGTATGAGGAGGGCAAGATGAGACTGAAGAAAAGATCAGGGCTAGGTCATAGAGGGATTATTTTATGTCACTCTGAGGAACTTGATTCTATAGGCAAAAGGACATCATTTAAAGACAAGTACATGGTAATATCATCACTTGAAATGAATTTCCTAGAGTATATCACGGAGGATGGTTCTCTAGGGGGCAAAAGTAGAGGTAGAACAACAGGTAAGAGGCTGTTGCACAGTCCAGGAAAGAGATGATGCAAGCCTGATACAGGACAATAATAGCAGGACAGGAAATGGAAAAAGCAGGATATGAAAATATTTGAAAATTAGAATTTCTAGGTTAAAACAATTGATTAGATTTGACATTATTCAAAGAGAGGAAAGCCTATGGCATGCTTCTGACCAGAGGCAAAATTGGATAGTTGAGCCATAGACAATAATAATAATAGAGGAAGAGAAGAGGGGTTTAAGGATGCATGGATAAAATAATGAAAGAAGTTTGTCATAGTCACATGTGTCTTGCAACCAATATTCATATTTTGAATTTTTCTTGCCTTTACTATTTATATATTTTGTACATAATTAAGCTGATGCTGCATTTAAAATGATATATTCTGCCTTTCATTTGACAATAGCATTATTTTTAAAGATGTATTTTACATTAAAAATTATTTTTAAACATACTTTTCAATGACTGCATATTTCTGTTGGTGGATTTACCATGATTTTCTTAAAATATTACACCTAGGCAACAAAACATTTTTTAAGAAATCAATGAGAACTCCTTGCAAATGTGCCTGCTATAACTCTATATATTACAACTGAATTGGATGCTACCTAAATATTTGGTTAGATTGAAGTAGCTCATAAAGTATTCTACCAAAAAAAAATCAGATCAATATTTTTTAGCAGCAGGTAGTTCACAGGGGTCAATCAAGTACAACATATTAAGAAAAAAATATAAAAAGTCTCCTTTATTCAAAATATCAAAGTTTACCATTTGTATTGATGCTATAATAACATTATGTTCTGGTTAGACTATGACCTTAGAGTTAAAAGATACATATCCAAGAAAGAAAACAATGAGATTTGTGTCAATCTTTTTCCTCTTCTTTCCAGTTACATGGTTCAGAGGAACAAAGTCTGCAGATAAAAGAATTTCTTTTCCCAGAGCTGGTCTTAAGCAAATTCATATAGTCAATCATATAGATAAAATGTAGGCTAGGCTGCCTGTTGTTTTTAAAAACAGGCAATAGATGAAACACAAGAAATAAATATGACTATTTATAATCCTCACTCCTTGGTTGGCATAGTACAGAATTATTAAATATGCAGACTTAATGTTTTTCCATTATTGTTGGGCTTCTCTTTTTTTGCCATATTCTCAACAGGGAATTTCAGTATAGATTTTTGTCCTTTGGCTTCATCTTTTGGAAGCTCATGAAAAGTGATATGTAGGTGGTTTACACTCAGTGCCAGAATCAACACTGTTTCTGTTCTGAAAAGCTGAGGATTTGAAAACATTTCTTCTTCTCATAAGGATTTACTCAAGTATTTATATATCCTGTAATATTTGGCTTCAGTAATATTATTCCTTCATATTTTTTGATGTTTTTACTTAAAATAACATGCTTCATAAGCAAGGAAGCAAACTACCGCTAACGAAATGAATATAACTTCATTTCCAATTATTTTTCTTCATGTCACTGTGGAAGTTGCATTTAAATATATTTCACGCATATGTCCTATTTTCCTTAAGTGGAAATCCTAGTAATTCAAGGGGAAAATGATGATAGATTTGGTACTGTGTAATCTTTCACTGACTTATGAAGACCCAGTTCAAACAAAGAACAGTCTTTGTACACAAAACATTGGTTCAGTATAAGTTCAGATTTAGTAGCTTAGACTTTAGAGATTTGTGTGTGTGTGGTGGGGTAGGGGGCGGGTGGTAATCAGTGGTTACCAGCAGATACTTAAGTTACTTATTATGCAAAGTTAAATAGAATAAAAGAAATTCCTAACTGCTTACAGGCTTAGGAATAGAGCTGTGCCACAGAGTAAATGGTATTTCTGCAGGTTTCAGTCAATTTTGACAGATTTTATAATCAACAATTTTTTTCTACAAAGCAAAAGATGCTAAGGTGAACAGTAATTCATATTTTTGAACAATCTTTCCTGAGTACCAGATTAGTATACATGACATAACAAAAATACAAATGTGAGAACTCCAGGGGTGAGGATGACTAACTAGAGGCACCCTGCACTCACCTCCTTCGCAAAGAAAGACCAGAAGAGTGAGTAGGTAACCGAACACTGACTCGAGCTTCTTAGAGAGAACACTGGAAAGAAAGTGACCGGGAAACTCTGAAGCATGGAACAAGAGGGAAACAAAGCAGCTGGCAGGTCCAGGATCAGCTCAGAGCCAGGAGGAACTCCGTATTGCAGGGAAAGTTAAGTGACAGATCTCCCTCAGATCATATTCCCACAACAGGCTCTTGCAATCCTAGCCATGGGAGAGCCCTTCAGCCCTTGCAGGCCCTGAGACTAATATAACCCTGAGCCTGACATCCTCATGATACCATTGTTTCAGGGAGGGAGTTTGGACTGGGTCCCACTGTACCCTCTCCCGACCTGTGACCCAAGCAGCTTCAGTGTAGAGCTATTTTGAAAGCTGAGCCCCCAGCAAACTACATCTTACCCTAGGACCCAATCATCTTTGCACCTTCATATCCCTGGAACCCTGTTGATATCCCCCCACATCCACTCAGGAGGCTGCAGTGTCATGACGCTAGCTAGATCATTGGTGTGACCTGATCCCTAGCATTCTAACCCACAGTTTCCTGTACCCCATGGAACAGGCAGTACAGTGGACCAAGGGGGCTGCCCCCAGACAAAGGGAACTGAAGTATGCGCTCTCCAGAGCCTGACAGCAGCCTGCCCAGAACCCCTGCCACATCTCATCAAGCGATTTCATAACAGTCTACCCTGCCTGTTGCTGCTGCCAGCACTCATGCACACCAACAAGGCCTAAAGACAGCCCTGCCTTGCCTGCTGCTGCTGCCAGAACCTAAGCATATCATCTGAGGAACTGCAAATCAGCCTGACATGCCCACCACCACTGGTGCCCAAGAGTACCATCCAGTGGCCTGAGAATTATCACCACTACCAGCACCTGTGCACATCATCCAAGTTTCTGCTACCACCAGCACCAGTGCCTGAAGTTCAAGAACCTGAGGACAGGCCTACTCTACATACTGCCACCACTTCCAGTGCTCAAGAAAGCTGTTCAGGGGACTGCGGATTGAGCCACCCTGACTGTGTCTTTATTGCCACAACCAGCACCTGTGCATGTCATTCAAGGTCCTGGGGAGAGGCCTGACCTGCCCACTGGTGCCACTGCCAGTGCACACATAGTTCTACTGTGGTCTGATGACAGGCCCATCTCACCTGCCACCATGACTCACATATACTGTCTGTGGGCCTATGGATAGTTCTTCCCTGCCCACCTCCATTGGTGCATGTGTTCACCATCCAGGATCATAAACACTGGCCTACTGAGAGCCTGCATGCACCTTTAAGGGACTTAGGGAACATTTTGTCCAACCTGCTACCACTGCCACTGCCAGTGTTCACCCACACACTTCACCCAGGGGCCTGGGGACCACCCAACCCAAGCCGCCATTACTACCACAGGTAACTTCACACATCACTTAGAACCAAGGATCTGCCCACCCAGTCTGCTGGTGCCACTGTTGGCACCTAAGCATGCTGCGTATAGGCCTGAAGACTGGCTCACCCAAACCCACCACCACCAGCACTAGCATATGCTGTTAAAACCCCAAGGACTATAAACCTGTTAAAACCCCAGGCACACTATGCCTGCCATCACTACCACAGGTATCCAAGGTCTGGCCCACCCTGTCCTACCAAAGCCTCACCACAACCTTCACTAACAACTGCAGTCTAAACCACTGAGGGACTCATAGATACCACTAATGCTGATTACAGCCAAGAAAGAAATCATATGAAGATTATACTACTACATTCACCCAGAATTAAAGACAAAGGAGTCTACCCAATAAACACTATAGATACATCAATAGGAAAAATCTTTACCTGCAAAAACCAATCTATAATATGGGAAGCAGTGACTGTTACACCAGTTATGCAGATATTAAAATAAGGAAACAAGACACATGAGAAAGCAAGAAAACATGACATCATAATTCTCCAGTAACAGATCCCAAAGGAAAGAAAATCTGTAAAATGACTGAAAAGAATTTTTAAAGTAATATTAAAGAAAATTAGTGAGATATAAGAGAACACAGATGAACAACACAAAGAAATGAGAAAAACAATTCATGATCTGAATGAGAAATTCAACAAAAAGTAGGTATCATTAAAAATAGAAATCTTGGAAATAAATAATTCAATGAATAAAATAAAAACACAATTGAGAACCTCAACAATTGACTAGATCATTTTTCAGAAAAAAAAGTCTGAACTTGAAAATAGGGCTTCTGAAATAACCCAGTCAGAAAATAAAGAAAAAAGAAAGTTGAAAGACGTCTACAATGAGAATTACAAAACACAGTTCAGAGAAATCAGAGAAGACACAAACAAGTGGAAAAACAACCCATGCTCAAGGAGGGGAAAAATCAGTATCATTAAAATGGCCATACTGCCCGTTGAATCTACAGATTCAATGCTATTTCTATCGAACCACCAATGACATTCTTCACAGAACTAGAAAAAGCTATTTTAAAATTCATATGGAACTAAAGATGAGCCCAAAGAGCCAAAACAATCCTAAGCACAAAGAACAAAGTTTGGAGGCATCAGGTTGCCCAACTTCAAACTATATTACAGGCTACAGTTACCAAAACAACTTGGTATGGTACAAAAACAGGCACATAGACCAATGGAACAGAATAGAGAGCCCAGAAATAATGCTGCACACCTACAACCATCTGATCTTCTATAAAACTGACAAATACAAGCAATGAGAGAAGAACTCCTTTTTCAATAAATGGTGCTAGGATACTTTGCTAGCAATATGCAGAAGATTGAAGCTGGAACCCTTCCTTACACCATATACAAAGATCAACTCAAAATGGATTAAAGACTTAAATGTAAAACCCAAAACTACAAAAACCCTGGAAGACAACCTAGGCAATACCATCCTGGACATAGGAATGGGCAAAGATTTTATGACAAAGACATCAAAAGCAATTGCAACAAAAGCAAAAATTGACAGGTGGAATCTAATTAAACTTAAGGGCTTCTGCACAGCAAAGAAAATTATCAAAATAGTAAACAGACAACCTAAATAAAAGGAGAAACTTTCTGCAAACTATACAGAAATCTGACAGAAATCTAACATCCAGCATCTATAAGGAACTTAAACAAATTTACAAGAGAAAAACAACCCCATTAAAAAGTGGACAGAAGACATGAACAAACACTTTTCAAAAGAAGACATACATGTGGCCAACAAGGCTATGAAAAAAAGCTCAATGTCACTGATCATTAGAGAAATGCAAATCAAAACCACAGTTAGATACCATCTCACACCAGTTAGAATGGCCGTATTTAGAAGTCAAAAAATAACAGATGCTGGCGAGGTTGCATTGAGAAGAGAACACTTATACAACTGTCGGTGGTAATGTAAATTAGTTCAACCATTGTGGAAAGCAGTATGGCTATCCTTCATGGAGGAATATAAAAACGGAACTACCATTCACACCAGCAATCCCATTACTGGGTATATACTCTGAGGAAAATAAATCATTCTACTATAAAGACACATGCACATGAATGCTCACTGAAGCATTATTCACAATCGCAAAGACATGCAATTAACCTAGATAAAGGATATAACAACTGTAAATTGTACCAATACCAGGGCACCCAGATATATAAAGCAAATATTATTAAAGCTAAAGAGAGACATAGACCGAATACCATAATAGTGGGGGACAGCAACACCCCACTTTCAGCAATAGACAAGTCACTCTGGCAGAAAATCAACAAAGAAGCATCGGCTTAATCTGCCCGATAGACCAAATGGACCTAGCAGACATTTACAGAATATGTCATCCAACAGCTGTAGAATATACGTTTTTCTCATTAACACACAAAACAGTCTCCAGAATAGAATGTGATTAGGCAACAGAACGGTATCAACAAATGTTAAAAAACTGATTTTGTATTAAGTATCTTCTCAGACCAAAAGAAAGTAAAACCATAAATCAATATAAAAAGAGGAACTTTGGAAACTGTAAAAATATATGAAATCAAACGCCTTGCTCCTGAATGACCATTATGTCAATAAATAAAGAAGAAAAACAAAACATTCCTTGAAACAAATGAAAATGGAAACGCAACATACCAAAACCTACGGGATACCGAAAAAGTAGTGCTAAGAGGGAAATTTAGAGCAATAGATTTCTACTTCTAAAAAAACTGAAAGATTTCAAATAAACAGCCTAATGATCCATCTCAGGAAAATAAAAAGCAAGAACACACCAAACCCAAAATTAGAAAAATAAATAAATATCAGAGTAGAAATCAATGAAATGGAGACTACATAACAATACAAAGAAACAACAAAATGAAAAGTATTTTTTTAATTTTATTGATACATACTAGATGTACATATTTTTGTACTACGTGTGATTTGATACAATCATGTAATCAAATCAGGGTGATGGGAATATCCATCATCTTAAATATTTGTCTTCTCTTTAAGCTAGGAACATTCAAATTATTCTCTGCTGGTTATTTCAAAATGTACAATCAATTAATGTTAACTATAGTCACCCTACTGGTCTAGTGAACACCAGGTCTTAATTCTTCTAAATGTTTATTTATACCCATTACTCAACCTCTTTTCATCCCTCCCTTCCCCATACTCTTCCTTCTTCTAGGAACCAACCATCAACTTTCTATTTTCCTTTTGATCTTTCACATATGAATGAGAACATGTGATATTTGTCTTTCTGTGCTTAGCTTATTTCACTTAACGTATTGACCTCTGGTTCCATTTATGTTGCTTCAAATGACAGACTTTTATTCTTTTTATGCCTGAATAATATCCCATTGTATATCAATAACACATTTGCTTTATCCTTTAATCCATTAATAGACATTGATATTGATTCCATGTGTTTGCTATTGTGAATAATGCTACAATAAACATCTGAGTGCAGGTATTTCTTTGATATACTCATTTCTTTTCCTTTGGATAAACACCCAGTAATGTGATTGCTGTATCACATGGCAGTTCTATTTTTAGTTTTTCAAGAAGCCTCCATACTGTTTTCCATAACAGCTATACTAATTTACATTCCCACCAACAGTGTACCAACACTGGAGAAAGTTCTCCGTTCTCCACATTCTCACCAGTATCTATCATTCCTTATTTTTTGATAAAGGCATTTTAATTGGAGTGAGGTGAAATCTCATTGTAATTTTCATTTTACATTTCTCTGATAAGTGATTTTGAGCTCTTTTTCATAAAACTGTTGGCCATTTCTCTTTTTCGAGAAATGTTTATTCAGCAGTTTTGTCTACTTTTCTTCATCTTTTCCTTTCTCCTTTTTGGATATTGATTTGTTTGAGCTACTTTTACATTCTTGTATCACTCTCTTGTCAGAATAGTTTACAAATATTTTGTCCCATTCTCTGAGTTGTCTTTTCATTTTATGATTGTTTTCTTTGCTGTGCAAACTTTCAAGCTTATGTAATCCCGTTCGTCTATTTTTATTTTTGTTGCCTGTGCTTTTGAAGACTTACAAACATATTTGTTCAGACCAATGTCCTAAAGCATTTCTCCAAGTTTTCTCATAGCAGTTTCATAGTCTGAGGTCTTTGAAGTCATAGTATTTTCATAGTGTGAGTCTTTAATCCATTTTTGATTTCATTTTTTGTATATGGTGAGAGGCAGGGGTCTAGTTTCATTCTTCTGCATATGGTTATCCAGTTTTCCCAGCACCATTTATTGAATAAACCATCCTTTCCCCAGTGTATGAAATGAGTTGGCTGTAAATATATGTGTAGTTATATCTGGATTCTCTATCCTGTTCCATTGGTCTATATGCCAGTACCATGCTGATTTGGTTACTAAAATTTTCTAGCGTAAAGTCAGGTATTGTGATTCCTCTAGGTTTGTTCATTTTGCTCAGGATTTGTTTGTTGTTGTTGTTGTTTGTTTGTTTGTTTGAGGTCTTTTGTGGTTCCATAAAATTTTAGAATTATTTTTCTGTTTTGTAGATAATATCATTGGTATTCTGATAGGGGTTGAATTGAATCTGTAAAGTGCTTTGGGAAGTTTTGTCATTTTAATAATATTAAATTCTTCTAATTCAGGCTCATGGAATATCCTTACTTTTTTGTGTCCTTTTCAATTTCAGCCTATCAGAGCTGCTGAGACTGCATTCTGGGTCTTTTATCTCAGCTGGATTATTCACACCTGTAAGTGTAAAGTACTGGCAGTCAACTTATAACCATAAAGTCAACTTCATCTGAGATTTGACCAATACCTCTCTACAACAAGTAAAAGGCAGAGCCAAGAGTTACAGAGAAAAAGCAGGTCCCGATGATATAATTTACCATGGTTAAGCTTTGACCAAAGCTAGACTTATTCCTGAACATATTGGTTAGCTGAGGCAATAAATTTTATTTTTGTTCAAGCCAGTTTGGTTTGGATCTTCATTCACTTATAATCAAAAGAAATCTAACCATTACAACTTAGCTATAAAAAATGTCCTGTCCTTTTTTCCCCAGACAGCAGAAAATTTCGAAATAAACTTTCTTTAAACATTTTATTGCAAAACTATGATACGTTACAAAATTTAAAGCATTTGAAATCTAAGAAGAATGGCATTTCTGTGGAAATATTAAATGACTATCTGTGGAAAATTATAGTACTGCCCTGCCTGTTTTAAATTATGGTATAAAGTTCACAGCTGTATATTCTTCAATTACCAGAAATCTGAGAAGTCTGCTATTTAGGCTCTTAAACAAACCTATGTTTATTTCACTTTTGAGATAGCGAGAATGTTAAGAAGTAATCATTTTATTAAAAACAATAACTAGAGTTTACTTTTTATTTCTAAGTAAAAATATTTTCAAAATTAAATAGTTCTTGTTTCTGAGTCTCACATTTTAGTGGAGAAGATGAACACATAAACCACTGAAATCAGTGGTTTGCTTTGATCTTTGTTTTAAGGATTGTTAATTGAAATGGATTTACATCCTTTTTATCTGAAAGCAATGACAGCACTGATCAGGTATTTAGAGGAATTTTTTCCGACTATGTAATGGACGTCATTAGGAATCAGCCTGGAAACACTGTATTAAGTATAAATCAAATAGACTTTCAGACAGGAATTGCTTATTTGATGCTTTCTTAACCTAAAGTTTTCCTCCCAGTCAATTATAACTTACACAGTCTTATTTGTGTATGTCTTTTCAGCATCTATGAGGATTCCAATTTCACTAATCTACCTTTTTTCCTTTTGAAGATAGAGAAGATAGTAATAGAACTTGGCCATAGAAAGGAAACATGAAGTTGCAGAATTTCCTTTTCTTTTCCTAATGAAGATTTGGGAAGCTTTCCTTAACTCTATTTTTTTTTTTTTTACATACTCCGTAGTGTTTATGTAAAACTTTCAGTAGCAACCTAATTTTCACAATTGAGCAGATACGATGGAATTTGATACCCCTTCGAATCCTATTAATGACAAAAACTACTGCTTACACTGCACATATTATGTGCCAGGTATTGTTCTGGTATTTTTGCATACATTAATTTATGTAATTTTCATTACCACTCTATGAAGTATAATGAGGTTAAGAACCTTGCCCAGTGTCTCATGGCTGCTCAGTGGCAGAGTGGTATAGCCACCCAGTCTATTAAGACTCTTGCTCTTAACCACAGCATGCACTGCCTCTCTGCACTGGAGGGCTGTGTTGAAAAGAGGACCATCAAGTCATTAGAATTCTGCTAGACCTTCTCACTTCTATTTTTCAGGAACAACAACAACAATAACAAAATAAAAAACAAAAAACAAACAAACAAACAAAAACCTCCATGCAACTCTAATCCTATGGATAGAGTTTGGTTTTCTAGAACTAATTCCATTGTTCAGCCCCAGTGACATGACGGCAGAAGAACCATCACTCATCCTTGCATGGCTACGAAATGTTTAATCCTGATTCTAATTTCCCTCCCTCTAGGTGACATTTAAAATGTCTGCTAACCAAATATGCTTGATATTTTGTTCTAAGTAGCAGTTAAAAATATGCAGGCAAGGTTATAAAGTAATCCCCAAACGTTTTTCGTAACAGTCATTAAGGTTTCCTTAATTAGATGAAAAGTGACAAGTGTGAAATACATTACACATTTTGGTATTTAACAGCTATATTAACACATTGTATATCTCAATTATTTCAGAATATGGAATACTTATTTGTAATTAGAACTTAATTTCTTATTCATGTGTATCTATATTAAAGACATGTGCAGGATAAGAAACACAGATTGAATTATTAAAATATGAATTGCAATACATTTGAAATCCTGGATGATTTTAAATATTAGAAAAACGAAGTGCATTTCTGAATCAGGAAAAAAGAACTAAGTCAATTTCCTGTCCCCACACTCAGAGACTAACTAGTAGATCAGTATTCCGTGGCACAATTTCTGAATTTGATTTCTGACCTCAAAAAAAAGAAGGGTTATGGTCTTTTACCCACTCTACCAAACCCTAGCTATATTGCCAGATGTTTGCTAAACTTCTTTAATAAATTAGCATATTTTATATTTTTGATATTTTTACCTGCTATAAGTCATAGAGGCAATAAAGAAATGAAACTGATGAAGGATAATGTTTAGAGATTTGGGCTCCATTGTCTCCAACTGTGGTGGTAGAAAAGTCACTTGGCCTAGTTGAGGCTTAATTTTCTCAACCGTAAAATGAGGGTAAAAATACTTCCTTTTGTAACTACTTCACAGGATTATCAGGAACAGTACATGAAATAATGTTTCTGAATGGGGCTTGTAAATTTTCAAGTGCTAGACAGAATTAGTCATAACTACTCTATGGGTTTTCTAGGAGGAGTTGCAGGTCAGAACCAGTTGGGGAGGCTGTGCATTGCACAAAAGTATCATATCACATCACATAGATTTCTATATGAATGCCAGTAATTATCCAGCAAAAGGTGTTAGAGAATCTTGTTCTAATAACTTCTGCATGTTATGACAATTTTCCAGTAGGAAGGAGTTCTTTTTCTAATTCTTACAAAGACCCTTTGTGTTGTGATAGAGGAAGCACTGTCCTGGCTTCTTGACTCTTCCTTTCTGCAGTTCAATATTCATGCTGCAGTCTGATAATTATTCCTAAAATGCAAGCTTGATAATGTTATTTTTCTGCCAAAATCCCAACCAAGACTCCTCAATTGCCTCCAGAATAAAGTGTAAATTTCAAAATTTGACAAAGCTCTTGGCCCCTTGTCATTACCCTCATCTCCTCTCTCTCTGCTCTTAGCCAGCTCCAGCTTTACTCCAGTGTGGGGAGAGACCCACAGTCCCTTAAACAGCATGCATTTTCTCACCTCTGAGTCTGAGGAATTACCTTCTGCCTGACACATCCTTCTACTTCTCCATCGCTCTAGGTGGCTTAAATGCCACCTGAGATTTCACCTCCTCCAAGAAGCCACCCCTAATCTAACCTTTAAACTCAACCCTGTAAGAATCTTTGTCCCTTTATTCTCTTATAGTGACCCATTAAGCCATTTGACTCCCTCAAGTAGACAATGAGCAACTGAAGGACAGAGAGTGTGTACAACTTGCCTTTGTGCCTGGCACAAACTAGACCCCGCATACATTTGCTGAATGAAACAGAGCCTAGCTTTTAGTGGTCGATCTTCTGCTTATTTGCTTTGTGATTTTGAGCAAACCTTTTAATCTCTAATTTTCCTGCTAGTAAAATGGAAGTGTGAATTAGTCAATCCATAAAGGATTTTGGTGGTTCTACATTTCTATAAATCTGAAATACAGCTTAAACTAAAAGAAACAATTTAGTAAATGCTGTTATTATCCAGATAATAACTTGATATATTTGAACATACCATAGGTTCCTAATAGTCCTATAAATGTGAAAACTATAAATAGCAACAACTAAAACATGGACCTGGTTTAATCTCTGCAAAGAAATATTTTGTTCTTTTCAATCTAAATGAGGACATGTAAAAAAGTTTTATATTCTAAGAATATTTTTAATTAAAATATTTGAACCAACTTTTGAATCCTGTCTAATCTCAGCTGTTACTGTATTCAGTATGTTTATTAAATTGGAGGGCAAAACCCAATGGAAGGGCACTCACATCTTCATCTCTTATTGCTGAGTTTAAAAAGCAACAGCCCAAATACCATAGCAATAGCTTATTATTGTACAATTGCCCACAGTATCCGAGGGAAATTGGTTCCAAAATACACACCCTCATCCCTTCCCCCACTACCCCATAAATATCAAAATCTTTCGATGCTCAAGTCCCTGAATTAAAATGGCAGTGTTTGCCTATAACCTAGTCACATCCTCCTGTATACTTTAAATCATCTCAAATATCATAACAAATATTCACATAGCATTTGTGTTATATTAGGTATTATAAGTAATGCACAGGTATTTCATACAATGCAAATGCTGTGTAAATATTTGTTACACTATATTGGTTTTAAAATTTGTATTATGTTTTTTGTTATATTGTTATTTTTTATTGTTTTTCCCCCAGATATTTTCCATTTGCCTTAGTTGAATCTGCCCTGTGGCTATGAGGGCCTATTTAACGGCAGGTTGTATTTATGTGCATCTACTATTATAACCTAACATGCAATTCAGATTTACCTTTCCCTGGACATGTTGCAGATAGAGTTGTCCATTGTAGGAAATAAGGTCACAAAAGCACAGTGAGATCTACCAGAATTAAAATCAAAGATATTAGAGAAATTCTAATATCTCAAATCATTACAGAAGTAATGAGAGTTCAAAATTAATTAATTAATTAAATAAAAACAGTTCAAAAGTGTATATTTACAATCAGCAATATTTTCATTCCCCCCAAAATTGTGATTCTCTCTTAACTACTGTAGGCATTTGACTTGATTATAATTGAAATGAAGTCAAATACAAATCAAATATATGGGGCTATTCTTAACCTTTTACTGAGACCGTGGTAACAATTTGAATGCTAGCTTCAATTGCCAACCAGGTCTACCCACTTCCCCTATCATGAGCTCTTTCATTAAGTCATATCTGACCTTGTCTGTTGGATATAACAGAAGAGAGAAGAGAACTGAGAAGAGAGCTGACTGTATAGGCTTATTGAAGGTTTATGATTTCCTTACTTAGGTTTTGTTCTCTGTAAGAAAGTGTCTTATAAGTCATTATACACCAGAACATACATGTAGGAGAACATGTAGACTTAGAAATATGTTAGACATTTTTTTTCTCAGAAAATTCAAAACCTTTTATTTTTGCTGCTGAAATCGAAAAGGAAAAGAAATGTTTTGGTGGCTGAAACTCAAATACACACGAAGTAAGTGTGTGTGCATGTATGTTTATTTCCTTAAGAGTTAATATCCCTAATTGAGAAGGTTTTCAACAAATGATCGTGGTAATGGCAATGAAAAGGCTTGGCAAGTGAAAATCAGTTATTTTACAGTGGTTTAACATTTTCCAAATACCAAATCTAATAGGTGTTTGACATTGTACATAATTCACTGGATCTTTATTTCATTTTTGCAACAAATTTATGGATTAAGCTTCAGGGTAAATTACTTCAACACACAATCAAACTATTCAGGGAATGTGGAATGAAAGCTGTACAATTATCTCATGGATTTCAAAGTCAATATGCAGAAGTCAAGTGCCAGCTCCTCCTGGGCTTAATCTTAATCATCCTGAGGATTTCGTGCTGTGGGCAGAGCAGTGTATCATTAAGATGTGGGTGGAAGTGGCAATAAAAGAAAGGGCTATTGGAATGTGGAGATGGTGGTAGGAAGGAAAGAAGCGAGTCACAGAGAGCAGTTGTACAAGATGCTAAAGCCCATGTGCCCTCCATTTTAACAGACTGACCAATAATATCATGTATCTAATGTTGATCAGTGTTTTTTAGCATGTTCCCTTGGATGCATATAGGACATGAACGCTTCTACGACCCCCATTAATTTTGATACATCATACTGAGTGTGATTCCCAGAGGAATCCATTATTTTCTGTGTATTCTCAAAATAAAATATTTTGTTGAGGTTTTCTTTCTGTAGATTATATGACAATAATAATACAGGAAGTTTTTTTCCCAAAATAAAATTAGAGTATAACATTGAATGTGGGTTTTTAAAGTATACATGTGTACTTTCCACACTCAAGAGATTAAAATACACCCCCATGGATGATATGGCCCCAGATTGAGAATCATAGATTTGCTGGGTGTTTAAGAAGCAAAATGTACCATAGAGAATGACATTGAAAAAGGAAATACAACTGAGCTACATTTGATTTAGAACTATTAATAATACCCTTGAATCATTAAGAAGTTCATCTCATGTGAAACGAATACAAATCCACTGGCTGCACCAGGAGCCATATGCAGTTTTAAAGTGAGTGCTGGACTAAAGGCATCAATTCTTTTGTATGTGACAGCAACAGTCATAAATGTATCTACTTTAGTGTGAGAAAGGAATGTACTTTATTACCTTGCCACCCCTTATAGAGTCATACAAGCAGGCACCTGCCATAGATTTCAGTTGAGTAAGTCAGTGACTTTTAAAGACCTGCCAGTGAACTGGTGCCAGACTGGCTAGAGAAGAATCACCCAAGTTACTTGTTATATACAAATTCACCTGAGTGTCTCCCCAATATTCCTGAATTACAATCTTTGCAGTTGGAGTCCAAGAATTATTATCTTAAACAGCTTTGTTGGTAACTCATGTGACCAGCTTTAGGAACCACTGTACTGACTTATATTTCATCTCAGTAGTTATACAATAAGCTCTCTCCTCTTACTTACAAGAGAGTGTTTGTAAGTAACACTCTCTTCTGAAAAAAATAACTAAAAAGTCTGATAATGGCAATTTTCTGAAGAAAGTAAGCATTGACAGGCAACAAAGTGCAGTATCAGAATTTGGACATTCCATGATTGTCTACACCCTGCAGATTAAGACCACCAACACTTTAAGAGGCTACTTTTTATCACTGGAATCTTAACTTCTCTCTTGGCTGGATTATGAAACTGGAATCTTCCTGAAGTAGAGGTGCATTAGTAGACTTTTACTCATTTTCTGGAATGAAACTGTGAAGTCTATATCTATTCACATCAGAAAAAAAATGCTCTAAGTCAATATGTCTTAATACTTGAAAATAGGACAAACTTTTCTACTGCACAACATAAAACATTTTAAAGAAATTATATGACTTACAGTAGCTTATATATTGTTAAATGTTTAACCAAACACCCATGTTTTTAGTAATAAAGTACAAATAAATGGCAGTGAATATTAAAAGTGTGAATTTAGAGGTGCAACTTTTACTCAATTTCTTACTCTTAATGGGATTTGGAAAGGAGCTGCTATTTCAGAGTGTTAATCTATATCAGGAAAACTCTGCTAAATTTGAAGTTTTATAAATGTACATGA
This sequence comes from Homo sapiens, assembly GCF_000001405.40. NCBI lineage: Eukaryota > Metazoa > Chordata > Mammalia > Primates > Hominidae > Homo > Homo sapiens. The sequence continues at coordinate 74,659,014 of NC_000006.12, forward strand.
AAATGATTGAGAAAAACAAATTTTAGTAAGGATTACTTTTTCTTCATTTAACGAGAATGTGAGCTTTACCAGACAGATCATTCATTTATTTATCAACAAACTGAACAAATCTATATTGAGCATCTGCCAACCATTCTGATTAGCCAGAGCACACAACAAGGGTAGTTCACAATTAATCAATTTTTCCTTCCCATTAAGCAATTATTTATAAACCTCCAATTCAATTAAAAGACATATTTATTCATTCATTCATTCAAGTATTTTTCTTTATTATCTTGCAAAGCCCTATGCTATGCTCTATCAAGGACTTCAAAAATTATGTACAGGGCTTCTGTTCTAATAGCTTCTAATCATGATAATTTGTAAAATTGAATGTGTTTCTCAAAGAGTAGATAATAGGTGTTTTACTTTTAGCATCCTTGATTTCCTACAAAAAAAAGACAAGGATCGTTGTGAAGGGAGCCAAAGAAATATAGGTAAAAATTCTTTCCCGATGAGATTCTAGGTGGTTTGATAAAATGTGTTGTTGCCTTTAAGCCAGCAGTGGAGAAGTTTGAAAAATGTAACGTTCATTTGCCTGTTAGATAAAATACCATGGCCATTCATTATAAAACCCCCTTCTATGCCTTTAATATTTATTTTGCCATATTTACTTGTCAAAAATCCAAACCAGCAGAAATCCAACCATTTCCAGCTCCAAGCCTGAACAGTGAAGTGCAGCTGAATGTGGATAGAGAAAAACCAACAGATGAACTGATAATTTTCCCTTTAAATTTACCTGTGTGCTTCCCAACAATCATACTATTTTCCCCCATATCTCCTAATGTTTGAAAACAGTATGAAAGATATGTCATATTTTCCTCTTCTCTTAGGCTCCTAACACTTTCTTTATTTCCCTTTCAAGTCAAATATTGGTGATGTTTATTTTTTGAAAAATTTGATATTAACTATTTCTGCCTAACAAAGATCCCCAAGCTTAATAATGTAAAACAAATGAACTATGGAGCCAAGATGGCCGAATAGGAACAGCTCCAGTCTACAGCTCCCAGCGTGAGCGACCCAAAAGGCAGGTGATTTCTGCATTTCCAAATGAGGTACCGGGTTCATCTCACTGGGGAGTGTCGGACAGTGGGTGCAGGACAGTGGGTGCAGCACACCATGCATGAGCCGAAGCAGGGCAAGGCATCGCCTCACCCAGGAAGTGCAAGGGGTCAGGGAATTCCCTTTCCTAATCAAAGAAAGGGGTGACAGATGGCACCTGGAAAATCGGGTCACTCCCACCCTAATACTGCGCTTTTCCAAAGGGCTTCACAAACGGTACACCAGGAGATTATATCCCACACATGGCTCAGAGGGTCCTATGCACACAGAGCCTCATTCACTGGTACCATAGCAGTCTGAGATCAAACTGCAAGGCGGCAGCGAGGCTCAGGGAGGGGTGCCCACCATTGCTCAGGCTTGAGTAGGTAAACAAAACAGCCAGGAAGCTCTAACTGGGTGGAGACCACCACAGCTCAAAAAGGCCTGCCTGCCTCTGTAGGCTCCACCTCTGGGGGCAGGGCACAGACAAACAAAAGACAACAATAACCTCTCAGACTTAAATGTCCCTCTCTGACAGCTTTGAAGAGAGTAGTGGTTCTCCCAGCACACAGCTTGAGATCTGAGAACAGGCAGACTGCCTCCTAAAGTGAGTCCCTGACTCCCAAGTAGCCTAACTGGGAGGCACCCCCAAGTAGGGGCAGACTGACACCTCACACAGCTGGGTACTCCTCTGAGACAAAACTTCCAGAGGATCAGGCAGCAGCATTTGTGGTTCACCAATATCCGCTGTTCTGCAGCCACCGCTGCTGATACCCAGGCAAACAGGATCTGGAGTGGACCTCCAGTAAACTCCAACAGACCTGCAGCTGAGGGTCCTGACTGTTAGAAGGAAAACTAACAAACAGAAAGGGCATCCACACAAAAAACCCATCTGTACATCACCATCATCAAAGACCAAAGGTAGATAAAACCACAAAGATGGGGAAAAAACAGAGCAGAAAAACCAGAAACTCTAAAAATCAGAGTGCCTCTCCTCCTCCAAAGGAACGCAGCTCCTCACCAGCAATGGAACAAAGCTGGACAAAGAATGACTTTGACGAGTTGAGAGAGAAAGGCTTGAGAAGATCAAACTACTCCAAGCTAAAGGAGGAAGTTCAAACCAATGGCAAACAAGTTAAAAACTTTGAAACAAAATTAGACGAATGGATAACTAGAATAACCAATGCAGAGAAGTCCTTAAAGGACCTGATGGAGCTGAAAACCATGGCACGAGAACTACATGATGAATGCACAAGCCTCAGTAACTGATGCGATTAACTGGAAGAAAGGGTATCAGTGATGGAAGACGAAATGAATGAAATGAACTGTGAAGAGAAGTTTAGAGAAAAAAGAATAAAAAGAAATGAACAAAGCCTCCAAGAAATATGGGACTATGTGAAAAGACCAAATCTATGTCTTATCAGTGTACCTGAAAGTGATGGGGAGAATGGAACCAAGTTGGAAAACACTCTGCAGGATATTATCCAGGAGAACTTCCCCAATCTAGCAAGGCAGGCCAACATTCAAATTCAGGAAATACAGAGAACACCACAAAGATACTCCTCGAGAAGAGCAACTCCAAGACACATAATTGTCAGATTCACCAAAGTTGAAATGAAGGAAAAAATGTTAAGGGCAGCCAGAGAGAAAGGTTGGGTTACCCACAAAGGCAAGCCCATCAGACTAACAGAGGATCTCTCGGCAGAAACTCTACAAGCCAGAAGAGAGTGGGGGCCAATATTCAACATTCTTAAAGAAAAGAATTTTCAACCCAGAATTTCATATCCAGCCAAACTAAGCTTCATAAGTGAAGGAGAAATAAAATACTTTACAGAGAAGCAAATGCTGAGAGATTTTGTCACCACCCAGGCCTGCCCTAAAAGAGCTCCTGAAGGAAGCACTAAACATGGAAAGGAACAACTGGTACCAGCCACTGCAAAAACATGCCAAATTGTAAAGACCATCAAGGCTAGGAAGAAACTGCGTCAACTAACGAGCAAAATAACCAGCTAACATCATAATGACAGGATCAAATTCACACATAACAATACTAACCTTAAATGTAAATGGGCTAAATGCTCCAATTAAAAGGCACAGACTGTCAAATTGGATAAAGAGTCAACACCCATCAGTGTGCTGTATTCAGGAAACCCATCTCACGTGCAGAGACACACATAGGCTCAAAATAAAGGGATGGAGGAAGATCTACCAAGCAAATGGAAAACAAAAAAAGGCAGGGGTTGCAATCCTAGTCTCAGATAAAACAGACTTTAAACCAACAAAGATCAAAAGAGACAAAGAAGGCCATTACATAGTCGTAAAGGGATCAATTCAACAAGAAGAACTAACTATCCTAAATATATATGCACCCAATACTGGAGCACCCAGATTCATAAAGCAAGTCCTGAGTGACCTACAAAGAGACTTAGACAACCACACAATAATAATGGGAGACTTTAACACCCCACTGTCAACATTAGACAGATCAACGAGACAGAAAGTTAACAAGGATATCCAGGAATTGAACTCAACTCTGCACCAAGCAGACCTAATAGACATCTACAGAACTCTCCACCCCAAATCAACAGAATATACATTCTTTTCAGCACCACACCATACCTATTCCAAAATTGACCACATAGTTGGAAGTAAAGCACTCCTCAGCAAATGTAAAAGAACAGAAATTATAACAAACTGTCTCTCAGACCACAGTGCAATCAGACTAGAACTCAGGATTAAGAAACTCAATCAAAACCACTCAACTACATGGAAACTGAACAACCTGCTCCTGAATGACTACTGGGTACATAACGAAATGAAGGCAGAAGTAAAGATGTTCTTTGAAACCAACAAGAACAAAGACACAACATACCAGAATCTCTGGGACACATTCAAAGCAGTGTGTAGAGGAAAATTTATAGCACTAAATGCCCACAAGAGAAAGCAGGAAACATCTAAAACTGACACCCTAACATCACAATTAAAAGAACTAGAGAAGTAAGAGCAAACACATTCAAAAGCTAGCAGAAGGCAAGAAATAACTAAGATCAGAGCAGAACTGAAGGAGATAGAGACACAAAAAAACCCTTCAAAAAATCAACGAATCCAGGAGCTGGTTTTTTGTAAAGATCAACAAAATTGATAGACTGCTAGCAAGACTAATAAAGAAGAAAAGAGAGAAGAATCAAATAGATGCAATAAAAAATGACAAAGGGGATATCACCACCAATCCCACAGAAATACAATCTACCATCAGAGAATGCTGTAAACATCTCTATGCAAATAAACTAGAAAATCTAGAGGAAATGGAGAAATTCCTTGACACATACAGCCTCCCAAGACTAAACCGGGAAGAAGTTGACTCTCTGAATAGACCGATAACAGGCTCCGAAATTGAGGCAATAATTAACAGCTTACCAACCAAAAAAAGTCCACGACCAGATGGATTCATAGCCAAATTCTACCAGAGGTACAAGGAGGAGCTGGTACCATTCCTTCTGGAACTATTCCAATCAACAGAAAAAGAGGGAATCCTCCCTACCTCATTTTATGAGGCCATCATCATCCTGATATCAAAGCCTGGCAGAGACACAACCAAAAAAAGAGAATTATAGACCAATATCCTTGATGAACATAGATGCGAAAATCCTCAATAAAGTACTGGCATACTGAATCCAGCAACACATCAAAAAGCTTATCCACCATGATCAAGTAGGCTTCATCCCTGGGATGCAAAGCTGGTTCAACATACACAAATCAAAAAACGTAATCCAGCATATAAACAGAAGCAAAGACAAAAACCACATGACTATCTCAATAGATGCAGAAAAGGCCTTTGACAAAATTCAACAACCTTTGATGCTAAAAACTCTCAATAAATTAGGTATTGATGGGACGTATCTCAAAATAATAAGAGCTATCTATGACAAACCCACAGCCAATATCATACTGAATGGACAAAAACTAGAAGCATTCCTTTTGAAAACTGGCACAAGACAGGGATGCCCTCTCTCACCACTCCTATTCAACATAGTGTTGGAAGTTCTGGCCAGGGCAATTAGCCAGGAGAAGGAAATAAAGGGCATTCAATTAGGAAAAGAGGAAGTCAAATTGTCCCTGTTTGCAGATGATATGATTGTATATATAGAAAACCCCATTGTCTCAGCCCAAAATCTCCTTAAGCTGATAAGCAACTTCAGCAAAGTCTCAGGATACAAAATCAATGTGCAAAAAGCACCAGCATTCTTATACACCAATAACAGACAAACAGAGAGCCAAATCATGAGTGAACTCCCATTCACAATTGCTTCAAAGAGAATAAAATACCTAGGAATCCAACTTACAAGGGATGTGAAGGACCTCTTCAAGGAGAACTACAAACCACTGCTCAATGAAATAAAAGAGGATACAAACAAATGGAAGAACATTCCATGCTCATGGGTAGGAAGAATCAATATGGTGAAAATGGCCATACTGCCCAAGGTAATTTATAGCTTCACTGCCATCACCATCAAGCTACCAATGACTTTCTTTATAGAATTGGAAAAAACTACTTTAAAGTTCATATGGAACCAAAAAAGAGCCTGCATCGGCAAGTCAATCCTAAGCCAAAAGAACAAAGCTGGAAGCATCATGCTACCTGACTTCAAACTATACTACAAGGCTACAGTAACCAAAACAGCATGGTACTGGTACCAAAACAGAGATATAGATCAATGGAACAGAACAGAGCCCTCAGATATAATACCACACATCTACAACCATCTGATCTTTGACAAACCTGATAAAAACAAGAAATGGGGAAAGGATTCCCTATTTAAGAAATTGTGCTGGGAAAACTGGCTAGCCATATGTAGAAAGCTGAAACTGGATCCCTTCCTTACACCTTACACAAAAATTAATTCAAGATGGATTAAAGACTTACATGTTACACCTAAAACCATAAAAACCCTAGAAGAAAACCTAGGCAATACCATTCAGGACATAGGCATGGGCAAGGACTTCATGTCTAAAACACCAAAAGCGATGGCAACAAAAGCCAAAATTGACAAATGGGATCTAATTAAACTAAAGAGCTTCTGCACAGCAAAGGAAACTACCATCAGAGTGAACAGGCAACCTACAAAATGGGAGAAAATTTTTGCAACCTACTCATCTGACAAAGCGCTAATATCCAGAATCTACAATGAACTCAAACAAATTTACAAGAAAAAACAAACAACCCCATCAACAAGTGGGCAAAGGATATGAACAGACACTTCTCAAAAGAAGACATTTATGCAGCCAAAAAACACATGAAAAAATGCTCATCATCACTGGCCATCAGAGAAATGCAAATCAAAACCACAATGAGATACCATCTCACACCAGTTAGTATGGCAGTCATTAAAAAGTCAGGAAACAACAGGTGCTGGAGAGGATGTGGAGAAATAGGAACACTTTTACACTGTTGGTGGGACTGTAAACTAGTTCAACCATTGTGGATGTCAGTGTGGCGATTCCTCAGGGATCTAGAACTAGAAATACCATTTGACCCAGCCATCCCATTACTGGGTATATACCCAAAGGACTATAAATCATGCTGCTATAAAGACACATGCACACGCATGTTTATTGTGGCACTCTTCACAATAGCAAAGACTTGGAACCAACCCAAATGTCCAACAATGATAGACTGGATTAAGAAAATGTGGCACATATACACCATGGAATACTATGCAGCCATAAAAAATGATGAGTTCATGTCCTTTGTAGGGACATGGATGAAGCTGGAAACCATCATTCTCTGAAACTATGGCAAGGACAAAAAACCAAACATCACATGTTCTCACTCATAGGTGGGAATTGAACAATGAGAACACATGGACACAGGAAGGGGAACATCACACACTGGGGACTGTTGTGGGGTGGGGGGAGGGGGGAGGGATAGCACTAGGAGATATACCTAATGCTAAATGACGAGTTAATGGGTGCAGCACACTAACATGGCACATGTATACATATGTAACAAACCTGCACATTGTGCACATGTACCCTGAAACTTAAAATATAATAATAATAATAATAAATGAACTACAAAAATATTTATTATTTCTTGATGGGTCAGGAATTCAGGTTCAGTGAGGCATTTTGTTTTTCTGCACTGTGTGTAGGGTCACTCAGCCAGGAGCACTGCTGAGCTAGAATCTCCAAGAGGGCCTTTCATCCTTTATGGTTCTACATGTGGCCCCTATGCATTCAGTAGTCTACTTTTTCTAAGCATGGAAGCTGGGCTTTAAGAACGAGGAAGCAGAAGTTACCAATTCCTTAAGGCCGAGGGTTGAAATCCCAAAATGTCACTACTGTATTCTATTGGTCAAAGCAACACACAAAGCCAGGATTCAAGAGAAGGAAATAGATTCAGCCTGTTGATATGAGAAACCATATACGAATATCGGGATAAGAGTAACTGTTGGTAGATGTAATTGAAAACCATCTATAACAGATAGTTAAATATTAGTATCATGCCTCTACTGCCACATATACCATCTTACCTGTATCTGTGCCCGTATGTCCACCCTCCCTCATGTTACTACTGATGGATGGTCCCATACCTAACAAAGTTCAACACCTTCCACTTTTATATTAGAGTTCATTCAACTTTCACCTACTCAAGGTCATTGGTTCCTATTTTTTCTTCTTTTCCTTGCATTATGAATTTTTCCTCTCCACTATGTAACCCCATTTGGCAAACATATTTTAATTTCTCTCCACTTAAAAAACAACCAACCAAACAAAAATTTGTCTCCTGAATCCATATCTCCCTCCAGACACTTTCATTTCTTTGTTACCGTTGATTGCAAAACTTCTCAAAATTATTTATGTGTACTATCTTCAATTCCTTTAATCCATCCTTTTTTGATCCCACTCCAATCAAGTTCTTGCTAAAATCCTTTCACTAAAACAGCCCTTCACTCTGTCACCATGTCCTCCAATCCTCAATCCAAAATACAATTCTCTGTTGTCATCTTTCTTGATCTATCAGGAGCATTTGGCTCAACTGATCTCTCCCTCCAGCTTGAAACACTTTTGTCCCCCTCTTGGCTTCCAGGACAATGCACTCCTGATTTTCCTCTTTTCACTGGCTGCTCCTTTTTAGTCTCCTTTGTTGATTTCTCCCCATTTCCTCAGTCTTTACTCACATCTTGCAACTTTAAATACCATCTATATTCTGAAAACTTGAACACTTATACACTTATATCTTCAACCCAGACCTCTTTCCCAAACTCTAGACTAAATCACATGCCACCCACTCCCCCTACTCCACCCAGCCTGACATCTCTACTTGGATATCTAATCAGAATCTCAAGCAAACATGTCCAAAAGTGAACTGCTAATCTTGTCCCCAAATGATCGTCCCACAGACTTCCCATCTCAGTAAATGACATCTTTCCAGTTGCTCTAGCCAAAAATTTAGAATAATCTTAGGCTCTCTCTTTCTCTCAAAATCCTCATTGAATTTCTTCTCACATCCCATTTACTCTTTATTTGAAATGCATTCATAATTTGAATACAACTTACTACCATCTTTCTTACCTGCATTACTCTAAGTAGAATCTACTCTTACTTCCTCATGGTCTATTCTCACTATAGTAGAGAGAGGATTTTTTTTTTTTTTTTTTTTTTTTTTTGAGACGGAGTCTTGCTCTGTCGCCCAGGCTGGAGTGCAGTGGCGCGATCTCTGCTCACTGCAAGCTCCGCCTCCCGGGTTCACGCCATTCTCCTGCCTCAGCCTCCCGAGTAGCTGGGACTACAGGTGCCTGCCACCACGCCCGGCTAATTTTTTGTATTTTTTTTTTTCTTTTTAGCAGAGATGGGGTTTCACCGTGTTAGCCAGGATGGTCTCGATCTCCTGACCTCGTGATCTGCCCGCCTCGGCCTCCCAAAGTGCTGGGATTACAGGCATGAACCACTGCGTCTGGCCCAGGGACTTTTTTTTTAAATGTTAAGTAAGATGATCTCACTCCTCTGTTTAAAACTCTTCAGCGATGACCTGTTTCACTCAGAATAGGAGTAATAACATACACATAGGCACTCCATAAATAGGTATGAAATAGTAAATTCTCATTTTCTTTTTTGTTTTAAAATATAGTTAATTCTATATGCCCATTGAAATGTATTTTATATTATGATGAGATGTGAGATTTAAACATATTTTTCTTATAAATTACTAATTATTTCTCTCAACAATAGCCTTGGGTGAAGCTAAACTGTGATGTTTCTTTTGTTCTGTCATAATACCGCTTAGTATTAGATTCTGTCTTTCCGTCTTACTGCGTCATGCTTTTAAAGTTATTTTTTAAAAAGAAAATCATTATGTTTTAACAAAGGATAGAGCTAGTCATCCCATTTTCTTTTTATTCACAACTTTCTCATTCTTCCCAGTTGATTTTTGTATATGCATGCCAACTCACTCACATACTACATCCTGGTCACACCAATGATAAGAAGTAGAGTCTCTTTCATACTTTTATGTCTAGACTCTTTTCTAGGTACTATTTCTACTTAGATTTGCTACTAGAATTTTGGGATTTCTGGCATGATGTTTGAGACGTGATATATACAGGTAAAATCTTCCTTTCTTTAATGCTGAGGACTGAAATGTCAGATTTTTTTTTTTATTTTTTCAGATTTTTGAGTATCTGTATTAGGTTTAACGTCCCAAACCTAAAAATCCAGAATCCAAAATGCTCCAAAGAGTATTCATTTTGAGTACTATGTTGGTGATCAAAATTTTAGGATTTTGGAGCATTTCAGATTTTGTAGATTCAATCTGTATCTCCTTCCCTCTAATTGGCCACCAATTCTGTCTGCTTTCCTCTTGTTGAACCTTGTTTCATCACACTTTCTAATTCTATTTGATTTTCTGCCTTTGGTGTCTGTCCCTCCTGAGGTGAGGCTTCCCCCTATTTTAACAACATCTGCACACTCCTTACTCCATACTCCACAACTTAACAATGATACCAGCCTCTGAACATATTTTTTTAATGGGAGTAAATTTGGGCTTTTGAAATTTATTTTACAGTTTTTTCCTTCATTTTTTGCCTAAAATGTTTCATTGCAAGTTTGTCAGTGTTATCTTATAATTTGGGGAAAATTATTGACATCTTTTAAAATAAGAACATTTTATTTCTTGTCAAATTTTCTTATACTCTGTTGGTATTTTCTCTAAATTGGTTACATGTTTCTTATTAGAGGCAAACGTGGATGTTTGTAAATTAATTGCTATTGCGAATTAGAGTTATTTTTCATCGCATTTATAAGTGATATTTGCGATGATATGCTTTGTGCCTTGGAAACTTTTCTGGGAAAATTTATTTGGTATTTTGACATCTTTTATAATTCTTCATTATGAAAGAATTTTTAAACTAGTTTTCATAATGTAATATATGTCATAATTTTGTCTTTTGCTGTATTTATATGCTTTGTTTATTTTGGCTATTTAAGAACCTTTGTATAACAAAGACTTGTAGAACAAAGAATTTTATAAACTGATATAAATGCTTATTAAAATTTAAAATGTATTTTTAATACCGTGTTCTAAAATTGTATATGTTGTGTGTGTATGTTAATGATATGATTTGGTTGTGTCCCCATCCAAATATATTGAATTATAATTCCCATAATCCCCACATGTCATGGGAAGGACCTGATGGGAGGTAATTGAACCATGGGAGTTGTTACCTTCATGCTGTTCTTGTGATAGTGAGTGAGTTCTCACAAGATCTGATGGTTTCGTAAGGGGCTTTTCCCCCTTTTGTTTGGCACTTCTCCTTCCTGCCTTGATATGAAGAAGGACATGTTTGCTTCCCCTTCTGCCATGATTGTAAGTTTCCTGAGGCTTCCTCAGCCCTGCAGAACTGTGAGTCAATTAAACTTTTTTCCTTATAAATTACCCAATCTTGGGTATTTCTTCATAGCAGCATGAGAATATCTGCCTATCTAAAGCATAGGACATACATACACTAACCATGTTATTTCCTTACTTCCCCTAAACATCACAATGCATTCCGTGAACTAGAAATTAATGTATTCCTTGAAATATAAATTAATACATTCCTTGAATTAGAAAATGTAAAAAGTAATTAATGGGAACAGGACTTGGTATAATGACTATTTTTCACCATTAGTGTTTTATTTTGTTCTATCACTGTGTCAAGGCATACACTTGGAAATTGGACAAGTATACCTTTATTATAGATCACCTGGCTCCGTCCTTAGAATGAGAGAAGCTTCAAGAAGAAGGTTCGTTTGAGAAAGCCTGAAAGAGGTGGAACTAGCATGAATATGTTCCTCTGAAACTGAGAAATGTATAATCTTATTGCACTCAAAATGAAAGCAATAAAGCTTGGTAGCAAAATAATAGCCAGACTCACAGGTTTAGACTTTATCTTTTAACCCAAGACTATTGGAGAAAGGTTAATGCTAATGAAGATAATCTCATAAGCAGAACACTCAGAATAGAGATGGGGAGACTTAGAGAGCAAGCCCACTAGGAATACACTGGATTTCCTCATTAAACTCTTAATATAATTCTATGAACATGGTATGCTAAGTACAGGAACAGGTTGAAAAAAGAATCAGTAAAGATGCTTGCCCAGGAAAGATCCCTGGCTGGGGCACACACACACATACACAAACACATACATGTATACAAATGTATCTTGGTAATTCTGTTTGTGCTAGGCTAGAGAAGTATTCCTTTAGCATTCGACATGTGCTGATGGAGCCAGATACCAAAAAACTTACAGAGTGGGAGGTTACAGCTCTGAGATGTAAGATTTGCCAAGGAAAATCCAAATACAGATCAAATATTTTTTTCTTAAGTAACACTTTTAATAGTCTATTTTTTGTATTATAGGATTATAATATTTTTTGTATTATAAAATTGTAAGATATTAAAAAATAGCTATTAACCTGAAAGTAAGGTTGATTATAAAACACATTGCTTCCTCATAACCACTGATATTAAAATAATCAATTGACACACTGGCATTCATATTATATCAAGTTAAACATATGCAGAGTCTACCCCCTTTCCTCAGTTCTGCCAATGTCACTAAGTTGGCTTTCTCCAAAGTCTACATAACGTCACAAACTGAGATTGAGACATTGGTCAGCCTTCCTTCGAATGAGACATTGGTCAGCCTTCCTTCAAGTACTTAGTGCAAAAATGTTTATTTTACATCTTTAAGTACAACTTTGATTTTGGGAAGACAAATGGAGAATTTTGGGGCGGGTTCTGTGTAAAGAAAAATATTTTTAAAACACACTTCATTTTAAGATTTTTAAGGAAAGCTATCCAAAAATTATAGCATAATGATAAGCTAACACATTGTTTTGTCTAAATAAATCCATGTGCTGGAGCGCTGATTCTAGGATATCTTCCAAAGCTATAGACCTTTGGTGTTTCCCTTGGTGCACACATGTGCATCTGCTGTGCCAGCGTGCTGTACTGCTTTGACTCAAATGTCCTCCATATCCAGGCATTAAGTCACTATACTGGACATGCACCACTGGAATGCTGTGGCCTACATAACGTGTATGTGGTTTACATTGTCAGTAACTGGGAAGCAATTTAATTGTCTGACTCAATTACAGTAAGTGAGAGCCAGACTGCCAACTCTTCATTCACCTCACTGAAAACGAATGCCTCAAAGTCAAGCCAAATTCTCGAAGGAGAAGCTGGGTCAGCAAAGCTGTTGCTGAGGCACGTGTGTTCCAGTCTGTATTTTGAGAAAGTTGTTGGTTTTCCTTGATCCTTTATTTCCAGCTCTGGATGTCCGAAGCTGGTCAAACTCTAGGATAAACAGTGCAATTGAGTTTGACTCATAGCTGAATGGGGATTCTATTTTGGGCAACTGCTACTTAGATTAAAGCCAAAAGAAATAGTACCCAGTAGGAGGAACCATAATGAAACTGGGTTTTGATTAAGATGCAAAGTGTACATTTTCCAAGCAGCACTGATATACTAGAATTCCACTGTGGTCTTAATCTCTGGTACAGAGGATTAGCTTGGACTCTTGGGACTGGACTCTTGGGAATAGACTACTTCATGTCTTCTATGGTTAACTGCCTGAAGATTAGTTTGCCAAGTGACTCCATCTTTGACATGCCAAAACTGGCTTCTGACAAGAAGGTTGGGGTATGCCTCATCACAGAGCTGACATGTATCAAGAAACAGCCCAAGTGTCCATGAGAAACAACTCTTCCAACTCTGTTTCTAATGAGCTAAGGGAATCTGTACAAATCTCTTTGGGACTTGCCAAGCAGTAGGCGTTAGATTTTGTCATCCCTTCTTTGGAACCTATGTAAAAGATAATCAGTAAGGGTGGTGATCAAGGCTGCCATTCCCTGTGATAAGTCCCAGAGAAATGCAGAAAAAATTCTAGTAAGAAAAGGAAAGCTGTAGTGAGAGATCTCTTTGTTTAATCTATCAACTCTGAAAGCAAGTAATTCTTCAATATTTATAGTAACTATGAGAAATCATACAAATTAATAGGCAGGTAAACCACTGACATATTTTAAAAGTTCTAATGATTATGATAGAAAATTGTTCTTCTTTTGCTCACAAACTGAATTTATTCAGTTAAAGGAGGACTCAGAGTGGGGCAGAAGAGAAGGCCAGGAGAGAAAATTCTGACCTGAGACCAGTGCTATTTTGTTTTCATTTTTACTTGTATTTTATTTGGTAAAATACAAATAACATGAAATTTATCATCTTAACCTTTTTTAAAGTGTGCAGTTGAGTAGTGTTAAGTACATTCACATTGTTATGCAGGCACTCTCCAGAACTCTTTATTTTGGAAAACTAAACTTTTTATCCATTAAACAACTCCCTGCTGTTTTGTTTTCAAATATTTTAGAAATCATTATGCTTATGAGTACAGAACAGATAATTTCTATTTTTTAACCCACTAAGATACCAACAGGTACTGTGGAAGGCTTTTTGCTTACTACCTGCTCAATTTATTTGAGGGAGTTAAAACACTTCCAAAATGTAAGTCCAACTAGTTCATTTTTTGTTTCTATTTTATCAGTGTCTTTAGGATGATATGGCTATGTTTGAAAGATTGATGGATCAGGAATTATTATTTCAGTTCCAGGACAGTTTGTTTTTTAAAAAATACAATATAAAGATGATGTAATGACATGAGATAAACTCTTTAACTGATTATGGCATTATACATCACCATTAAACGATTAAAAAACATGCTATTTTATAAAGATAATGTTAATCAACAGTGGCTGGCTCTTTCAAAGTCTTCACTTGCTTTCCACACAGTACATTTTAAAAATAGTATCTCACAATTTTCTAATAATTAATAGTTAAAAAATTTTCTTTTGGAAATCTTATAACTTGAAAGACGTTCTTTTAAAAAATGGTCCACATAGTTGTTGGGGCTGGTAAGGATAGGGAACTGTGGTAGAGGATAGTGGCCCTGGCATCAGATCTAAATAGATTTGGGCCTAGGCTCTGCCACTTTGTAACTGTTGGTTATATCTTTCCTTTTCTACTCAGTTTATCTATGAAATGAAAAAAAATAATGCAATAATGCATGTAAAGTTCAGCATAGTGCATGACACATAGGAAACAGTTAATATAAGTCACTGATTATTAAAATAAGAAAAATGGGTACATACATACACACAGTGTCCTTTATTCCATTTACCAATGTCCGAGATTGAAGTATTTCTTTAAAATATGATGCAAAGACCTCCAGTATCTTTGTTCTTAGACACAGTCTAGAAAATACTTGGCAGGTAAAATGTAGAACCACCTATGGTTCCTAGTTTCCTAGTTCCCAGAAGACCCCATTCTCCTCACTGCTGAGGGCTAATATTCTAAATACAAATACTATCAGCTTCATCTTACTCTATTTTATTAATTATTTCTCTTCTATTTCCTTCCTCTCTCTTCTCCTCTCTAGAAAGAAGACTGACTGAGATGTGTTGGCGGGCTTCTCAAGATCCCTATCGATGGCAGAATGCTGACATGAGTTGCCCATAGTCCAGGTACACTGAGTAGGACTGCAAAATCAGTGCTAACAGCTGCCGATCATTCTTCATCATAATGTTAAGATGAAAATGTTTTTGGAGGAATATACTTTAAATTCTGGGTGGTAACAATATCTTTTAAAAAGATTATTTGTGTATTTTTAATATTTTGGCAACAAATATGTCACTTTTATAACCAGAAATAGTAAACATTTAAAGAAAAGAAAGAAATTGACAGTATGATTAAGAGAGTGTTCATCCAGGGCAGGAACACTTTCTGTTCCCTTTCTGCTGTTTCCACCACAATTTTTAAGAATCTTGACTACATGGAGATGTAGATGACTTGGACATCTGGATTATGCATTTTATTATTCTTGTCATTCCTCATGACATTTCTGACAACTTCCCTTAGGCATAAAAAAAACTCTATGAAGTACATTGGCACATGACATATATATACATACACTCTTGTCATTCCTCATGACATTTCTGACAACTTCCCTTAGGCATAAAAAACTCTATGAAGTATATTGGCACATGACATATATATACATACATATACACATACATACATATGTATGTATATGATTGTTCAAATATATATATTTATATTTATATTTCCTTCCTGGAGTTTCTACATGTAAATTAAATTGAAAATGTGTAAATTATTTCCTTTATTTTTCTGCTTTTTGGCCTGAGAGGTTTTCTCACACATTTACTTTTTCCTTCTATTCATATGACGTTTGAGAATGTTGAGTGCTTAAGCTTGTATCTTATCTTCTATAGAAGCCTTTGGTATATCAGATAAATTTCTCTTGTTCATATGGGGTATATTTCAGTGGAATGACCCATTGATGTATACAGTTAAAAAAAGTAAACATAGTGGCACTAAAAGCATTTTCTGAAAACAAGTTGAAAATGAAATTGATAATATATTTTAAAATTTACTTAGAAGAGCAATATCTCTGGTACATGGACATATTTTTCTTGCTTGGAATTTTTCAAAATTTCTGTATATCTATTTTAAGAAATTATAACAGAACATTTACAACTTCCTTAGTGAGAAAAAAGGTAACTTCATATACCACTTGTTCCATATGCCCCTGTTATGTCAAAATCTCTAACATTTTATTTTTTTGATCCAGTCAGCTATGTCAGGAAACACATCAGTTCACGACACAGGAACAATCCTGGAGTCTATTTACTTATACTGCTTTTAATTGTTTTTTTTTTTTCCTTTGTGAGTCAAGGACATCAGTTTCAACAAGCCTGGTGTATCAGTAAGCATGTGGACCACCTAATCACATAGACTGATAGAAAGCAGCATAATATATTATGGGCCAGGAGCTTCAGCTTCCTGGATCACTTCTTCCCCAGAAATTCCTTACAAGAAACCTGCTCTGCCAGACTAGGTCGAAGTTATTACCACAAAACTTGGTGGACTCCCTCTTCTCATGTGGCAAATTTATCTCAAAATCATTTTTTTAGAAAAAAATGAATAGCCTTACTCATAAATATGAGTAACAAATATCATACTCAATTTCTAAAAATTTTGAAAAGAAATTAAACAGAATGGAGGAGATTTGCAATAGGAAAACTTTGATGAGTAGCTCTTGAAATAAGTGGGAAAGAGTCTGCTCTATTTACAGAGACTTTCCAAGTCCACAGAGGCACATATTGAATATATTATGGGCCATTTTCTCCTCCTTTAATACGTAAGATGCTTTTTTTTCCTGGATTCTCTTAATTTTTAATGTACTGATTGTTCATACTTTGGCTGCCTAGTGCATAAAAAATAAGCCTCATCATGATGATTTTTCAGAGAACTTCTCTAATCTTACCTGTATATGGCATGTGTCATTGTATTGATCGTCTCTGATGTGAACAGACAGGACAGCACTTTCAAACTCTATTTGGCAAATCTCCAGAAGTGAGTGATGAGTTCTTAGGAAAATGCAAAATTAATTAAAATAATGACATTTATTGGGTATTTAGACTTTCATATATGTGTGTATATGTATATGTATGTTACAGTATTTAGCATATTAAAACGCTGTGATGATTTTATTACATTTTATTATTTATACAGCATAGCAATATATAATTATTCTCTCCTCTATGTTAGCTTGTTGTACCGTGATGATTTTTTTACCATATTAGATTGTATTATAACACTTCTTTACGTGAACTGAGATTATCTCTAATGCAATGACTGGGTCTTACTCTTCCTTGGCTTTGGAGTGCTTTGCGTGATTATTGGCACATAGTAGACAGCCAACACACACTAGTTCGGTGAGTGAAAAACAGATAGATGGTTAAATGGATGGTGGGCAGTCATAAGCATATATTCAATACTATAATATTGTCTGTAAAACAAATGTAAGAGATTTTACTAGATTTTTCCTATAGAGCTCATTAGAATTAAGCATGATGTAAATAGAATGATGAAGTAATACTATATAACAGAGTTTCTCATCAGTGGCAATGTGAACAATTTGGATGAGATAATTCTTCATTGCGTGTGCTATCCTGTGAATTGTAGGATATATATCAGCGGATCCGGCCACTACCCAGTAGATGCCAATAGCTATCCTACTCGCTCCAGCTCTGAAAACCAGAAATGATTCCAGACATTGCCAGCTATCTGTGAGGCAGGGAGGGAAAAAATCCCCTTCAATGAAGAACCTCTGTATATAGTGTCTGATTTCAGGATAGTATTACACATTTGTATTACATTTTTCCTTTTCCAAAATGTAAGTACATAATTGGGCAGGGAAATAAAGGGAAAAGTAATGACATTTTCTGCCCAGATTGGGCAAAATGGAAAGCAATCTTTGTCTTCCAGAAAAATGGTTTCAAGAAATGTTATTTATTCTTGTAAGCTGCATATTTTCAGGCTGTAAAGTAAAAATAAATCTCTGGATGCTAAAATCCTAGTGGTTAAAATACATGGGCTCTCCATGTGGATTCCTCCTACAACGTATAAATTCCCACCTCTGTTGGAAGAACCCTACAGTGCCTTCTTGCATGTTTTATGTTTGGCTTCTATTTTAGAACTGATCTGGCAATTTTCCTAATTAAATATACCCATCATCCAAATTCTGCAGGATTTGTCTCTATTTTGTTTCCTTCTACAGGCTGGACAAAATCTGAGTCCTGAACTCCTTAGTTTGTACATAAAATTTAATTAAATCTAATAATCATTTTACTGACATGTTTCCAAAATACTCACATCAAAAAAAATTTCCTCACTAAAGAGTCAGATAAGATAAATTCTATGTAATAAGTGAAGAATAAGGAAATGGAAACCTAGAGAATTAGGAAACTGTGAGCATATTACTGACAGAACTAGAAGTAAATCTAGTATCTTCAGTCCCAATTCCAAATTCTGAACTTGAACTTACATATATGTAAGAATGGCCTTGCGAGCTTGTTAAAAAATGCACATTTTATGCAGCATATGCAGATCATCTGCTTCTGTGGGTGTCTGTCCAATAATTTCCTTTCTTTACAATATTTATTTATTTATTTATTTATTTATTTATTTATTTATTTATTTTTAGTATCTTGAGTGCCCAAGGTTGCCATCATTATACTAGTCTGGTCATGGTCCACCTTTTACAGGACTGTTCTGATTATTTAGTTTTTTCCCTTTTCTCCAATTTCCACTCTTCCCTCCCTTTTCCTACCATGCACATCTACCTTAATATGTTTAATGCATATTCTTAGATATCTGTGCATCTTTGTAAAATCTATAGGTTGTTTTGACTGTACCTGTGTTTTTAATTTTCAAAAATGGTATTTAAAAATACCACAGATCACTTTACGGCTTTATTTTTTTTATCAGCACTACATTATTAATATTTATTCACATTGCTATGTACATTCAGTTCTTTTGAAGGTATAGTTTTTACATAGCATACACTCAACACATTGCCTTGTTCATTTCCTTGAAATGGACACCTGAATTATTTCCATGTCCCAGTTGCCATACTCAAGGTAATGTTGAATGCCATCAAATTCCTTGATTGGCTTGTGAGAAAGTTTCTCTTCTGAAGACTTGTTTCACTGGGTTATAAGAAAATATATAACAAAATTTTACACATTACATTCAGAATGCTGGCAGGGAAGGATATATTCATGAACGCCGCTACGGTGATACACTTCAGCTCTCATCCCCGACCCCACATATTCTCACCAATATTTTGCACTATCTTACCTCAATCTTTGCCAATACCACTAGTATTAAATGCATCTTTTGCCTGTATTTTTAGTATAAACTGTATCATCCTGTGATAATTCTAATATTGGGCATCTTTCCTTATTTTTCTTGGACATTTGTATTCTCTATTCTGGTAACCGCCTGTTGTTTTCTCAGTTTTATGTTGTTTTGTTTATTTTCATGTTTATTTCTTATATCTATTAAATCAAATATCTCTGTCAGTTTTAGACATTGTGAATGATTTCTGACAGATTGTTAGCAGGCTGTTAATATTTTTGTGAAAAAACTCAATTTTAATAATATCACCTCTATTGATTAATTCATACCTCTAATCTATTTGGTATTTAGCTTTGTGGATATTGTAATGTAGAGATTCAACTATATTTTTTTCTCTTTCAAGTTTGCTGATTTGTGGTGCCCTCTGTATGATAAAGTTCCTATATATATCCATAATCCTATTTCTGGGTCATATTCGGTTCCATTGATCTATTGATATGATCCTCTACCGTTACCACAATGACTTATTTTCTTGCTCTTTCTTACTTGTCTTTCTTGTCTGTCCTTCCTTCCTCTTCTTTCTCTTCTGTTTTTCTTTCTCACTTTCTTTCTTTTCTCCTCTATTCCCCTCTTCTTCCTTCCTGTTAAAATTTTCATCACTGTTCTTTTAAAAAATTCAATCACCATAGTTTTGTAGCATATCTATTATAACTTGTCAGTCAGTGTTCTCTAGAGAAACAGAACCAATAAGAAAGGCAGGTAGATAGATAGATAAATAGATAGGTGATAGATACATACATACCTACATACATAGATTGATCTTAGAGAGAAAAAAAGAGAGTTTTTTAACCCTTTTCCCATTTAGAAAAACAAAGTGCAGCTTGCTGCCAGCATTTATTCTACATAAACAAACACACTTTTTGAGGATGAAGCAAATTTGACTGATTTTCAATGTAAAAATAAAATAAAAACAGTTCTTGGAGTTATTTCTAAACAGCACTAACATCAGAATCATCTGAATCATCAGGATCATCTATTTCAGAAACATCAGATTCATCAAATGAATCCTCGCTGTTCAAGAACGATGTTAACATCATGAATAGGAATTCCACATTTTCTAGGATTTGACATTTTCAGCAATCGAGAATTACTATATTTTGTAAATGGAAATACCACTACTAAAACCAGAATGCTATAAATAGAATGATGTCTTTTGTTTCCAAAGTTGACATACTAGAGCAATGCAAAAATAATAATAAAAGCAAGATATTTCATGGCAAAATTATCTCGGGGTAACCACTGCAGCAAAAGTGCTGTGTTCTCAGGGCAAATGGGCAAAGGATTAAGGAATTGGCTCATGTGAGTGTGAAGAATCAAAACTCTGAAATCATTAGGACAGGCCAGCTGACTATAAACTCAGACAGGATTTCTATGTTACAATCTTGAGGCGGAATTCTCTATTCTTTGGAAAACCTTAGTGTTTGCTCTCAAAACCTTCAAGTTACTCAGTGAGACTCCCCTATATTATCAGGAGTAATCTCACTTACTTCAGGTCAACCAATGGCAGCTATTAGTTATATCTACAAGATACTCTCACAGCAATATCTAGACTACTGTTTTTTTGTTTTGTTTTGTTTTTGTTTTTTGTTTGTTTGTTTGTTTTTTGAGATGGAGTCTTGTTCTGTTGCCCAGGCTGGAGTGCAGTGGCAAGATCTCAGCTCATTGCTACCTCTGACTCCCGGGTTCATGCCATTCTCCAGCCTCAGCCTCCCAAGTAGCTGGGACTACAGGTGCATGCCACCACACCCCACTAATTTTTTTGTATTGTTAGTAGAGATGGGGTTTCACCATGTTAGCCAGGATGGTCTTGATCTCCTGACCTCGTGATCTGCCCACCTTGGTCTCCCAAAGTGCTGAGATTACAGGCATGAGCCACCATGCCCAGTCTAGACTAGTGTTTTATCAGACAACTGGGCATCATAGCCTAGACAAGTAAGTAAATAAAATTAACCATCATGGTGTTGGAAAAACTGTATGCAGAAGAATTAAACTGGGCCCCCACATTTCACCATATAGAAAAATTAACTCAAAATGGATTAAAGACTTAAATGTAAGACCTCAAACTATAAAAAATCTAGAAGAAAACCAAGGAAATACTCTTCTAGTCATTGGCCTTGGCAAAGAATTTATGATGAAGACCCCAAAAGCAAATGCAACAAAATAAAAAATAGACAAATGGAACTTAAACTAAACAGCTTCTGCACAGCAAAATAAACTATCAACAGAGTAAACCACCAGCCTACAGAATGGGAGAAAATACTTGCAAACTATGTATCTGACAAAGCATTAATATTTAGATTCTGTAAAGATTCTAATATTTAGATTTTATAAAGAATTCAAACAAATCAACAAGAAAAATAACCTCATTAAAAAGTGAGCAAAAGACAGACATTTCTCAAAAGAAGATATACAAACAGCCAATAAACATTTGAATAAAATGTTCAACATTACTAATCATCAAAGAGATGCAAATCAATGAGATGCAAAACACTGAGATACTATCTCACATCAGTCACAATGGCTATTATTAAAAGTCAAAAACAACAGATGCTGCTGAGGCTGTGGAGAAAAGGGGAAACACTTATACACTGTTGGTGGGAATACAAATTAGTTCAGCCCCTGTGGAAAGCAGTTTGGAGATTTCTCAAAGAACTAAAAATAGAACTACCATTTGACCCAGCAATCCCATTACTTAGAATATACTCAAAGGAACATAAATTGTTCTAACAAAAAGACACATGCAGCACTATTCACAATAGAAAAGACATGGAATCCCAACTGCTTGTCAATGGTGGATTGGATGAAGAAAATGAAGTATATCCCTATGGAATACTACACAGCCATAGAAAAGAACAAAATCATGTTCTTTGCAGTAACATAGATGTAGCTGGAGCCTGTTAGACTAAACGAATTAATGCAGAAACTGAAAACCAAATGTTACATGTTCTCACTTTTAAGTGGGAACTGAATCTTTGCTCATGTAGACATAAAGATGAGAAAAATAGACACAGGGGATTTCATAAGGAGGAAGGGAAGGAAGAGTACAATGACTGAAAAGCTTCCTATTGGGTACTATTGTTCACTATCTAGGTTATAGGATCAATAGAAGCCCAAACCTTAACATCATACAATATAGCTTTGTAACAAATCTCTACATGTACCCTTTGAATGTAAAACATAAATGGAAATTTTAAAAATAAAAAAATAAAAATCATGATCTAACTTAAAAATTTCACCATTATTATCATGGGGGTTCATCTACATTTGCACTTTTTTTCCAAAATTATTTAAGCTCTTGGATTTGAGGAAATTTCTTAAAAATTTGTGCTGAAGTAAGAATTGGAATTGCAATGATTCACTAGTTAAATT
This sequence comes from Homo sapiens, assembly GCF_000001405.40. Lineage (NCBI taxonomy): Eukaryota > Metazoa > Chordata > Mammalia > Primates > Hominidae > Homo > Homo sapiens. The sequence goes on from NC_000006.12 coordinate 74,681,779, forward strand.
GGCAAGAATTAACATCTTGATAATATTAAGTCATCCAACCATAATCATAGTATGTTTTCTTTTTTTATTTTTATTTTATTATTATTATTATACTTTAAGTTTTAGGGTACATGTGCACAATGTGCAGGTTAGTTACATATGTATACAAGGACTTCATGTCTAAAACACCAAAAGCAATGGCAACAAAAGACAAAATTGACAAATGGGATCTAATTCAACTAAAGAGCTTCTGCACAGCAAAAGAAACTACCATCGGAGTGAACAGGCAACCTACAAAATGGGAGAAAATTTTCGCAACCTTCTCATCTGACAAAGGGCTAATATCCAGAATCTACAATGAACTCAAACAAATTTACAAGAAAAAAACAAACAACCCCATCAAAAAGTGGGCGAAGGACATGAACAGACACTTCTCAAAAGAAGACATTTATGCAGCCAACAGACACATGAAAAAATGCTCACCATCACTGGCCATCAGAGAAATGCAAATCAAAACCACAGTGAGATACCATCTCACACCAGTTAGAATGGCGATCATTAAAAAGTCAGGAAACAACAGGTGCTGGAGAGGATGTGGAGAAATAGGAACACTTTTACACTGTTGGTGGGACTGTAAACTAGTTCCACCATTGTGGAAATCAGTGTGGCGATTCCTCAGGGATCTAGAACTAGAAATACCATTTGACCCAGCCATCCCATTACTGGGTATATACCCAAAGGACTATAAATCATGCTGCTATAAAGACACATGCACATGCATGTTTATTGTGGCACTATTCACAATAGCAAAGACTTGGAACCAACCCAAATGTCCAACAATGATAGACTGGATTAAGAAAATGTGGCACATATACACCATGGAATACTATGCAGCCATAAAAAATGATGAGTTCATGTCCTTTGTAGGGACATGGATGAAATTGGAAATCATCATTCTCAGAAAACTATCACAAGGACAAAAAACCAAACACCGCATATTCTCACTCATTGGTGGGAATTGAACAATGAGAACACATGGACACAGGAAGGGGAACATCACACTCTGGGGACTGTGGTGGGGTGGGGGGAGTTGGGGAGGGATAGCATTGGGAGATATACCTAATGCTAGATGACGAGTTAATGGGTGCAGCGCACCAGCATGGCACATGTATACATATGTAACTAACCTGCACATTGTGCACATGTACCCTAAAACTTAAAGCATAGTATGTTTTCTTTAGCTATTCAGATCTTTTTTAAAGTTGTTGTTCTTTGAAATAATTGAAAAGAAATAACTTTAAAGCCTCCTATAGTTAGTTGTTTTACAATAATATTCTTTAAATATATTAAAATCTTAATAAACCTTCAGGTACTTTCTCTATTACTCCTGCTAAGTACAGCTGAAAACTCTGTACATTATATATAAAACAAACATAAGAAGACGCTGAAAGGTAGAAAGAAGAAGGTAGACAGGCTGCAAACCTCAGAATTTAAGAAAGGACACAGCAGTGAGTTACCTGGATTGCCTTTTTAGCCCATATATTCTGAACTGAGTGTTAGAGAAACCAACAACTGTGAAACACCAACAGGCACAAACAAAAAAGAAGCACAAAGAAAAGCTTCTTCTCCCTAGCTCAAGAATCAGAAGACAGGAAGCCCAGAAAGACAGAAAACTTTTAGATAATAACCTCTTTATTTCAGCCAAACCTATTGAAAATACTATGTGGTGCCTCCACTAACAGCCAGCACAAGGCAGGTGCAGAGCCCAGACTTCTATCCATGCCAGGTGCCCCAACTTCCCACCTGGGGTAGTGTCAGAAGGTTGAGTAAGGAGTCTAGATTTTCATCCTCCTCAGGTGGTAACAAGGTCAACTTTCCCTTCCTTTCACTACAACGGTAATGTCAGTGGAGACCTGTGGAGAGTCGGGATTTTTACCACTGCCCAGAGGTAACCAGGCCATCTCTCCCAAAGAATCAGTGGAGGCCATGTGGGAAAAAGTAATGAGGCACCCCACCCTTCCCAGCCAGGTAGGCATCCGTGGTGAACTAGTGGGAAGTTAAAACTCCCATCCCTGTCAAGCGGTTATGAAAAGCCTGTCCCCTCCCATGGTGTCAAAAGATGCTGAGTGAAGAACATAAACTTCCACCCTCTTCTGGCAGTAAAAAGGCAGTGCCCCTTCCATAGAGTGCATGGTTCCAGAGGAGGTAAGAAATATTTAAGTAAGATTTGAAGTCTCATAACATAAAACCCCAAATGTTCAAATTCAAATATTACTTGTCTTGCTTACAATTTGATTAAAAGATAATTTCAACTTGAAAGAGGAAAGGCAGGCATACAATAGAATATTATTCAGTCTTAAAAAAAGAAGAAAATTCTGCAGTATGTGAGAAAGTGGGTTAATTCTTGAAGTCATTAAACTAAGCAAAATAAACCAGATACAAAAGAACAACTCCTATATGTTTCCACTTATATAAAGTACCTAAAATAGGCAAATTCATAGAATTAAATAGTGGAATGGTGATTTCCAGAGTCTAGTAGGGAGGGAGAAGTGGTAAGCTACTAATCAATGGGCACAAAATTTCAGTTAAACAAGATGAATAAATTCTAGTGATCTGCTGTACAACATTGTGCCTATAGTTAACAGTACTTTATTTCACATTTTAAAATTTGTTAAGAGGATGGATATCATGTTAAGTGTTCCTACAATTAAAAAAAAGACAATCAGCCCATAAACCCAGCATTGTTGGAGGCTGAGGTGGGAGGACTGCTTGAGCCTAGGAGTATGAGGCTGCAGTGAGCCATGATCATGCCACTATACTCCATCCTTGGTGACAGAGTGAGACCCTGTCTCAAACAATAAAAAATAAAAAAAGACAATCAGCAGATACAAATGCCAAGATGAAACAGATATTAAATGATCTGACAAGAATCTTAAAATAGTCATGACAAAAATGCTTCAAAGAAATTATGAACATGTTTGACACAAATCCAAAAAAAATCAGCAAAGAAACAGAAGACGTAAAGAATAACTAGGAAGTTGGGAACCCCGCACAGGTCTACTGCTAACTGGGATTCATTCCTGGCTCCCAATGACTCTTGCAGAGGGGATGAGTTGAACAGGCAAGGAACAACCCACTCTAGCCATGGGCCTCTGGAATCCCAGCAGGTGGAGACCTCTCTACCACCACAAACACCCGAGTTTTCAGGGAAAGCTGCTTAGAGAAGTGGTAGAGGCAGAACTCAAGTCAGTTCTCCAGCCAGGGCAATCACAGAGAGCTTGATGTGGGAGCATCTGTAGTGGTGCATGCCCAGGGACACCCATCCCGCTGGGCTCAACTTGCTCTCATAGGATACTTTAGCCATAAGGGAGCTGTCTGACCAAAACTTCAGGGTGGCTTTGCCCATGAGACCAGGCCAGTCCAACGAGCACACCTTAGTCTGCTGGCCTCTTCTGGGGTAGTGTCAGAAGGTTGAGTAAGGAGTCTAGATTTTCATTCTCATCCTGCTTAGACACATCTGCTTGCAGTGTAGCCCCAGATACTTCCTGGGGCTACATCCCAAATACTTCCTGGGGGGCTGCATCATAGCTCCTGTGCTGGCAAACCACATTTGACTATCTCACAGCAGTCAGAATGGCTATTATAAAGAAGTCAAAAAACAACAGATGCTGGTGAGGTTGCAGAGAAAAGGGAACATTTATACACTGTTGGTGGGAGTGTAAATTAGTTCAATCATTGTAGAAAGCAGTGTGGCGATTCCTCAAAAAGCTAAAAACAGAACTACCATTTGTTCTAGCAGTCCCATTACTGGGTATATACCCAAAAGAATATAACTCATTCTACTTTAAAGACACACGCACACATATGTTCATTGCAGCATTGTTCACAATAGCAAAAATATGGAATCAACCTAAATGTCCATCAGTGGTAGACTGGATAAGGAAAACATGGTACATATACACCATGGAATACTATGAAGCCATAAAAAGAAAAATATCCTGTCCTTTGCAGGAACGTGGATGAAACCAAAGGCCTTTATTCTTAACAAACTAATGCAAGAACAGAAAACCACATATTTTATGTTCTTATAAGTGGGATCTGAATTATGAGAATACATGGACACAAAGAAGGGAGCAACAGACACTGGGACTTACCAGAGGGTGGAAGATGAGAGAAGGGAGAAGAGCAGAAAAAATAACCATTGGGTTCCAGGTTTAGTGCCTCAGTGAAAATATGTATATCAAACCCCAGTGATATGAGTTTATCTATATAACAAACCTGCTTATGTACCCCTGAACCTAAAATTAAAGTTTTTAGAAAATAACTAAATAGAAATAAAAAATATAATAACCAAAATAAAATCTCAATAGATGAACCTAACTGCAGAATGGTGGAGGCAGAGGAATGGATTGGTGATCTTGAAGATAAAATAATAGAAATTACTCAACCTGAACAACAGAAGAAAGTGGACTGTTAAAAAAATAAACAAAGCCTTAGGGACCTGGAAGGCTATAACAATAGCTCTAAATTCATGTTAACAGAATTCTGGAGGAACAGGAGAAACACAGAGGAGCTGAAAAAGTATTTTTAAAAATAATGGTTGAAATGGTAGAAAATATGTAAATCTACCTGATTCAAGAAGCTGAGTAAGCCCCAAACAGGATACACCCAAGAAATCCATGCCAAAACACATCATAATGAAATTTCTAAAAACTAAAAACAAATATAAATCTTGAAGGCAGTAGGAAAAAAATCTTACCTATGGGGGAAAAACATTTTGAATGACAGCAGATTTCTCATCAAAAATTGTGGAGGTGAAAAGGAAGTGACACAATACTTTTCAAGTACTGGAAGAAAATAACTGTCAGCTTAAGATCCTATATCCACTGACATATCCTTCATTAATGAAGAGGAAATCAAGACATTCTCAGATGAAGAAAGACTACTGTAATTTTTCACTAGCAGACCTACTGTAATGAAATGGCTAAAGAAAATTTGCTAAACAAATTATAAAAGAATTTTAGAACATCAGAAAGCAAGAAAGAAAAATAGAAAAAGTAAGACTATAGGTAAATATAATAGACATTTCTTTTATTCTTGAGTTTTCTAAATTATATTTGACAGTTGAAGTAATAATTAAATCACCATCTGATCTTCTAAATGTATGTAGGGAAAATATTCAAAACATTCATATTATAAATAAGGGATGTTAAAGGAGTATAAAGGCAGGTAAGGTTGCTACACTTCAACTTAAAAAGTGTTGCAACAATTGACTGTGATAAATTGTATGTGAACAATGTGATGATGGTATGATACATATGATTCCACTTAGATTATGATCTTGAAATTACAAAATTATGGAGACAGAGAGCAAAATGTTGTTTACCAATTGTTAGGGATAGTTGCAGGAAAGGATGGGTGTGACTATAGAGGGATATAGAGAGGTATGTTACTGTTAGAATAATTTTTTACCTTAATAGTGATAGTGTTTACACAAATCTGCAAGCAATAAAATGGCATAGAACTATATACATATGTTGTACCAATGCTAATTTCTTGGTTTTTATACTGCGTTATTGCAGTATTAGATGTAATCATTACAGGAAACTGGATGAACTGAGGCACAGAACTTCTCTATAGTATCTTTACAACCCTCTGTGAATTTACAATCAGTTTCATATAATAAAATTTAAGCAAAATCTGCATCATCTGTCAACATAGTAATAAATTAACTAACTTTTGAAAATACGCTCAGAGTGAAGAGATTTAATATATTTTTTCCTTTTTCTGGGATTTAGGAGGTCTTACATTTCGGAAAGATGGAATCATCCCAGGAGACAGTATCACCGTGTAGAACTAGATTAGGCTGTAAGCTCAGTTATTCTATCATGCATTCAAATAAATAATGTAACTGCTTTTTGAAAAACATAATGCTAGGTGGGAAAGTCAAAGTCAAGTAAAACAAAGTCATCACTTCCTAGAGACCTGAAGCTTATCAGGGGAATACAGGCATGTAAGCAAATCAAGGCTCTAAAGTGCTATAGATTACGTAGCTCTTTGTACAGAATATATTGAGAGTTCAAGGGAGACGTAGCACTATCAAGGCTGCCTAAAGAGAGAATGCTTCTTGAAGGAGAGAATCTTCCACCTAAGAGTTGAAGGATGAATAGTTCTTCCGATAGAAAAGGATGAAAAACAGGGCAAAGAGGTCATATATAATTTCTCTTTGTAAATTTAGCACCTAAAACTGATGGCTGCTATTCAAAAGGTCCTCCATAAATATGTGAAACCCTGGGAAGTCAGGACTGTATGGAAGAAAGGGCGATGAATTCTAATCATGAAAGGTAGGAAAAAGAATAAATTCCTATTTTTTTCCCTGAGTAGTGCTTTACCAGGGGTGCCAAAATTTATTTCTCTTGTATAATGTGTGTCTAACTAGAGACAAACACTAAACAATAGAATTTTTTAAAATAATACAAATTTTCAATGTTTTTCTTTAAATTTTTAAACCAGAGCTTAGTGAATAATTTTAGTAAATTATTGGAATTAGTAAGTTCTAAAGTTTTATACCACTTTTTGTGTTTGTTTCTAAAAATGTTAACCATTATAAAATAGAACTGAACAAAGATTTCGATCTGCCTATTTGAAACTTTGTAATCAACAGAAAATATAAAAATAGATCTCAAATTCTTTAGGTAATATCTATGGAAACATATAAAAGTTCTTGTTATTGAGTTGTTAGTAAAATGACAATTATATAACTGTTCACTACTATGTGTGAATTTAAGACTTGGAGGCTAGCCCATACTCAATAGTTTATTAAAATTGAGGCAGAAAGTCAGAAGTGGAAAACTAGTTAAACGTGATCTTTAGATCTCCACAGGATAGATGAGTTAAATGGTTATATAAAACTCTTGTTTCTCAATAAGTAATGATGCCTCAGAAGACAGTGTTTTGTTTTCACTTCTCACAGTAACAGAATGATATTTTAGCAAACAAAAAAATCTTATTGGCATTTAAAGACACAATGGAAAAATATATGCAATTGGTGTTGGCAGAGTTGTGCATCCTATAACACATCATTTGCTGTTGTATTTGCCATGATCCCTGAAACTTCAAGTCAGGTGTTATATAGGCAAGCCAATGTTTAGAGCTAAATTTATATGATTTTTCCTCATGGTAGACAATGAGGTGTTTAAATTGGAAGTTATTCAGTTGTTATAATCCATTTAGATGGACAATAAGATAATTTATATTACAAGCCATAAAACAGGCTACTTCTGAATTTTTACTTTTATAGAGATATATATGTGAAATAACAAGAAAAAAATACAATGGTAACACATTCACTACTCAATAAAGATAGCATATAATACATGTAAAATACATATATGTGTATGTGTACATGACAAATGTGATATATATGTGTATGCATATGTAAATATTTATAATATAATATTATAACCAGGTGTCTTTCTTGAATGTGCTAATGAATATTTCCTAAATGCTGGGCACTCTACTCAGTATTGTATTTTTCCTCAAGAATTTTTATCCTCAAGAATCCTAAGAGATATATAATATTACTATCTTCATTTAATAGGAGAGACCACTGAAGCCTAGAAAGGTTAAGTGACTTGACCAAATTCACCCAGCTGGTAAGAGGTCAAGCCACAAAGCTAAGATAAAATGGCAAGTCTGACTTTAGAGGCCATATACGGAGACAGTAGGCTCCCCACACATTTCTATTGAAGCGAATGGCCTCTAAACATGGCAAAATGCATGGGAATATGTGTCTCTTAGGCTTGTTTAACTTAATTTTTTACAACCACAGTCAACATTTCTCAAAGGTTTCATTTAATTCACTACTGGGAATTTTTCAAAAGTCATTCCACAGCAATTTTCTAACATAGGAAAAAAACTGTGACATTTTCAAGGAATAGAAATTAAGCAGTCCATATGACCATGTTTCTCCTGGAAACATATTTTGGCTCAGTGCTGGACCATGCATCAGAGACTGGGCAGGCTCCAGCATATGTCCCAGAGCCACTTGATGATTGTTTTAGCAGAAGGTACCAACACTTTAACAGAGTTAAGCCAGGCACTTGTGCAAATGAGTTCTGGATCCTCCTCTGTGAACAGCTGATAGAAGACAGAATTCAAGTGTTCTCGTCTGGGAGAACTTCAAGGCATGTCATGGTGTTTTTAGTCACATGCTCACATTAACCTGCTTTACAGAATGATCGAACTAGAAGGTATCAGAGAGAATGTCTCACCTAACTCCCACGTTTGGCAGCCAGGACTGGAGAATAAAGTGATTGACCCAAAGCCGTGCAGATAATCAAAGGCAGAGTTAAGGGGAACTGAGATCTCCTGGCTCAAACAGTGATTCAGCCGCTCCTAACAACAGCTGAGAAGTGGTCTTTACATTTTAAGTATGAAACCTCCTAACTTCAGTGGCTGGAGTTTAAAGGGGAGTATTTTTGGTTCATGTTACTGAAACAGCCACAACAATATCAACAATAACTAGTTTTTCTCTTCATCTTTCACCAGTATTTTCTCTCTATTGACTCTATTCTCAGGTTTCCCAATGTAGCAGATGACTCTAGCGGCTCCAGCTTCAGCATCATCTTAAGTTCAAGTGAAAAGGAAAAGAGAATCTCTTTTTCTTCAAACAATTTCAAACTAAAATCTTGAGTCTGACTTTTCCTGGCCAGAATTAAGCTTGTACTTATCCCTGAAAAATCATCAATGCTACAGTGATGAATTTACCAATTGAGGCAGAATTTAGGTCACATGACGCTCCAAAGCCTCTTCAAAACCGCATGACTCAGAGTGAGGCAGAAGTATTTGGGATATTTGCAACAGGAGAAGGGTAAATGAATGGAGAGTGCCAAAACAACTTATGTCAATTATACAATTATAAATACAACCAAAATAAAGTATGGAAATCAGTATTTTCACCTATCTTAACAGAGTGAAAGATTTATTCTGTTGAATATTTGCCATATTTCACTTTCCACATTCAGCACTCTGCAATATTTAAAGAAGAAAATAAGTCTCCATATACTGAATAAAGACATATCAAAATTTGTGTGACATCATATTCCTTAGTTACATTTTTTGTTCATTCATTTGTGTGTTTGTTTATGTCACCCACACTAGATCATGGTGGTGTGAACATGGTTCACTACAGCCTCAACATCCTGGGCCCAAGCAATCCTCCCACCTCAGCCTCCTGTGTAGCTAAGACCACAGGTGGGCACCACCATGCCCAGCTACCTTTTAATTTTTTGTAGATATGGGGGTCTCACTTTGTTGCCCAGGCTGGTCTCGAACTCCTGGGCTCAAGCTATCCCCACAACACTTTGGTTTGGCCTCCCAAAGTGTCGGGATTACAGGTGCGAGCCAGTGCACTCAGCCTTACATTTTTTAATAAATGAATTTAAACAAAGAATAGAAACATATTTTTAAACACACCAATTAACAAACCAAAGTGTATTGCAAATTATTGGAAGGGACAGCAGAGTGAAAAAATGTTATCCCACCTGCAGGAGGTGGAAAAGGTGATAATATGAAACAAATATTTCCACCTATCCTAATAGAGTAAAAGATTTATTCTGCTGGATATTTTCTGTATTTTACCTACCTTCCACATTCAGCACTCTGCACTCTCTTGCCCAACTATTCCTTTTAATTTTCCCATAATACAACTTTTTAATATTTTATGTAATATATGTATTTATTTCTTTCTTTTACTAACTGTGTTTCCTACTGGAATGTAAGCTTCAAAAATTCAGAGATCTTTGTCCTTGTTGCTGATATAGCCTACTGTCTAAAAAAAACTTCAGATATTTAATTTTTTTAACTTTTAAGTTCAGGGGTACAAGTGCAAGTTTGTTACATAGATAAACATGTGTCATGGGGGTTTCTTGTGCATATCATTTAATCACTCAGGTATTAAGCTTAGTACCCATTAGTTATTTTTTTCTGATCTTCTCTCTCCTCCTATCCTTCACTCTTCAATAGGCCCCAGTGTGTGTTATTCTCCTCTATGGGTCCATATGTTCTCATCATTTAGCTCCCACTTATAAGTGAGAGCATGCAGTGTTTGGTTTTCTGTTTCTGTCAGTTTGCTAGGGATAATGGCCTCCAGCTCCAACCATGTTCCTGCAAAGGACATGATCTCATTTTTTTTATGGCTGCATGGTAGTCCATGGTGTATATATACCACATTTTCTTTATCCAGTCTATCATTGATGGGCATTTATATTGATTTCATGTCTTTGAGATTGTAAATAGTGCTGCAGTGAACATATGTGTGTATGTGTCTTTATAATATAATGATTTATGTTCCTTTGGGTATATACCCAGCAATGGGATTGCTGGGTCAAATGGTTTTTCTGTCTTTAGGTCTTTGAGGAATTGCCACACTGTCTTCCACCATCTTTATTTCTGCCTTCGTTTCGTTATGTACCAGTAGTCATTCAGGAGCAGGTTATTCAGTTTCCATGTAGTTGATCAGTTTTGAGTGAGTTTCTTAATCCTGAGTTCTAGTTTGATTGCACTGTGGTCTGAGAGACAGTTTGTTATAATTTCTGTTCTTTTACATTTGCTGAGAAGTGCTTTACTTCCAACTATAGCATTACGAGATATACCTAATGTAAATGACGAGTTAATGGGTGCAGCCCACTAACATGGTATACATATGTAACAAACCTGCACGTTGTGCATTTGTACCCTAGAACTTAAAGTATAATAAAAAAGTAAAAAAATAACAGTTACTGGCAAGGTTGTGGAGAAAAAGGAAGGCTTATACACTATTGGTGGGAGTGTAAATTAGTTCCACCAACAGTTTACAAGTGTTCCCTTTCTCCACATCCTCACCAGAAATTTTTATTACCTGTCTTTTGGATATAAGTCATTTTAACGGGGGTGAGATGATGTCAGTGTAGTTTTGGTTTGCATTTATCTGAATAATGCTACATTTTCAACAGACCTCTTCAGAGTGTTTGATAGATCAATGGACTAGCCACCATTCAAACATGCATGCCTACATGTATTCATTCAATACACACCCACCAAGAACTCACTAGAGCTGCACCAGTCATTGCAGTTTTTTCAAAGGCCTCACTAGAATTTAAGCTTCATAATAGCAGAGTTTTTGTCTACTGTATTCAATGTCATCTCTCTGTCATAGAAAATGGTGCCTGGCATGTGGACGATGCTCAATAAATGTTTGTCTCTTGACTGATGCACCGAAGAAATACTACTAGTGTTTTAGGGTTGGATGATAACTAGATTAAAACCGTAGCTCTGAGGCTTGCCATATCTGTGATCTTGTCAAATATCTTAAATCCTCTATACATACACTACCTTATCTATGAATCGGAAATAAGATGCACATAGTTCTTATAAAAATTGAATATGGAAAAAGTATAAAATGCATAACATAGTATACATTTTAGAAAAATGTTATAAAATGTATAACATTGGCTAGAATAAAAGTAAATTCTCAGTAAATTATATCTGTAACTATTAAGGTAGTAAGCCTCATAAAAATATAATTTATTTATAACCATAACAAAAGTGAAGTTTACTACAGCAAAGGTTTGTGCCAATAAATTAAGAAATGCAATTTCCTAGAGTTTTCTCATTGGGTAATTATCAGAAAACCACATTTCTGGAAGGAAGGTTCTCCTGATTTCTGTTTTTTCTTTGTCTATAGAACAGGTGACTAAATTAGTACTTATGATATTTTTAATGCTAAATTTTATAAATACTAGACTTCTGATGATCCCAAATCACTCATATCTATCTCTTTAAACTTCAACAGTATAAGCTAGAAAATGTGTTACTAGTGGTAAAAACCAGTCTCAGACCAAGTGTTGAAAAGTGCCCCCCTCAAAATGTCTTCCCCAGCCTATAGGCAGTATCTGGCCTGAGTCTGGTTACTTGTTCGGGTAGATGATGTCCATCTCATCTAAAGCACTAAAGCTACTTTTTTAGATGGAGTCTCACTCTGTTGCCCAGACTGGAGTACAGTGGTGCAATCTCTACTCACTGCATCTCATATAAGATGTTAACTGAAAGCTTAAGTTGGAGTGTCAGTGACATAGTTTAGACATGACCCTTTCAAGATGGTGTTTGAGTAATTCACATGCAGTAAGTGCTAAGAAAAATAAATAGAAACATTGGGTGAAACATGTCATTTACCCATATGTCAAAAAATTTGACAGTTCTCATGCTTTCCCTAACTGTAGTAGAGATATTTGGTTGGAAGATGCAAACATCAATACCACTGAGAAAAACTAGTTATAACTAGAGAAATTCTTCACAATATTCCATGTGACCACTATTCTTTTCTAACTTAAACTCACATGCAACCACTAAAGAGACTAAAATATATTCTAAAGAGATTTATGAGAAAATTATCACTATTGATTATAAGTGTTTCCTTATTGATACATATATATCCTTCATATCTATATATATGAAGGATACCGGATACCATTAGTTGACCTAGACAACATACTAAAAGCAATAACAATAACAACTGATGATATTTTATGATTTAGCCAGAACTTTTATGTCTGAAAAGATAAATTAAAAGGACTATAGCAATATAGAAACCATCTAAAACTTAATAAAGGAACATAATCTAAAAAATAAAATTTTCCACATAGTTTTTTAAAAGAAAATATAATAATCATATGACTACAATAACACAAGAAGAAATAAAACCACAAAACGATGAGCCACAATTGCAGTGGAAAAACTCTAAAGACCAGAACATCACTCAAAACTGATGATCAACTTCTAAATAAATTAGAAATAGCAATGAACATAATACAGTTGAACTGAAACTGCTTCTAGAGAGAAGCATCAAGATTACCACAGTGTATTCAGAGGAAAAAATAATGCCTATGAAGAAAAGATTCCTGAAATGAAGGAAGAATTGCATCTGCAGAGGAAAAAGCATACTCTACTACAAGAAAAATTAATATGAAGCAATGAATAAACTGTCAGGCATATCCTGGGTGAGTTATGCTACTCCCGAGATATTTATAATAATTCTTCAGGCATCCAAGTAAAAAAGCAACTCATTTATCAGACAAGAGGAAGAAAAATTAGGCTAGCTTCAGACTTTGTCCCAGGCACATTTAACGACAACACAGTGGAGCAATGTGAAGCTTTAGAACACAATTTTATTTTCCACTAGGCAAGTATAAGCCCGGTCTTGAGCTACTTTTTTAGATGGAGTCTCACTCTGTCGCCAGGCTGGAGTACAGTGGTGCGATCTCCACTCACTGCAACCTCCGCCTCTTGGGTTCAAGCAATCTCCTGCCTCAGTCTCCCGGGTATATGGGATAACAGGTGCCTGCCACCACACCCAGCTAATTTTTGTATTTTTAGTAAAGACAAGGTTTCACCATGTTGGCCAGGCTGGTTTCGAACTCTTGACCTCAGGTGATCCACCCACCTCGGCCTCCCCAATGCTATATTTTTAACAGACCCCTTCAGAGTGTGTTTAGCAGTCCAGTGGACTAACCACCATTCAATAATGCATGCCTACATGTATTCATTCAACAAATACCAACAAAGAGCTCACTAGAACTATACTACTCATTGCAGTTTTCTCAAGGATCTCACTAGAATTTAAGCTCCACAAGAGCAGTTTTTTCTATCTTATTCAATATCATTTCCCTGTCACAGATAATGGTACCTGGCATGTGAAGATGCTCAATAAATATTTGCTCAGATGTGTCTGTTGACTGACTCACAGAAGAAATACTAGTTAGTATTTCTTAGTAACACCATTTGGGAGAATCATGTCTAAACTATGTTAACTTACACTTCGATTTAAGCCTTCAGTTAACATCTTAGAGAGATGAGAGGACATCTACCTGAACAAACAACCAGACACAGGCCAGATATTCATCATTGGGGCTGCCTAGAGGCTGGGGAAAACATTGTGAGGGGGGCACTTTTCAACACTTGGTCTGAGACTTGTTTCTACCCAGAGTAATACATTTCCTATCTCATACTGTTGAGGTTTGAAGAGGTAGATATGAGTGATTTGCTTCACAGTGGAGCTAAGGGTGTGGAAAGACCCCAAAGTAATGCATATTATTGTCATGCTGGCATTCAGTATAAAGGCAAGTAGACACTTTCAAATTTTAAAGAATTCAGGGACTAAAGCACTCTTGAGCCCTAGTTGGAAAAAAGAAAAGCACCATGCAAAGAAATCAAGCCAACAAAGTCATGAATGGGAAAGTCTTGGTGACAGTCATGTTCACTCAGTATCATAAGACCATGAAGCAATGTGTATAAAACTCCAAGAGAAAAAAAAGTGCGATCAAATTCTGTATTTGGCCATATTAATGTATTATTAAGGCAACTAGCAAATGTTCTCGAGTCTATAAAGACTCAGGGAATGTTGAAGTTCTCTTCAACAAAAGATGGTTAGATTCAATCAGAAGATTATTTAAACTGAGATCAGAAGTGGAAAAGCCACAGGAAGACTAAATACAATGGAAATCATTAATACATAACAGAATGTAAGCGCTACTATGTTTTTATCAACTTAAAAATTTCTGAATAACAAAATTTACGTTTATTACACAGTGTCAAAGTGGAAATGCAATAATTTCCTCATATTGAAAACTGGGAGCCAATTGTTACTATTCAAAAGTAAAGTGTGTCTTTAAAAAATATGTCTCTAATTTTTTACATGTTTATAATTTTAAAAAACTTGGATGGGCTCTCAGAGATTAATATCTCTTATGCAGAAACATTTATTTGAAGTTCCACTATTACTTTCATTCCCTATTAAATATAAACTTAAAGGTAACAATTTATGTTTTTAAAATAGTATGTACAGTATAATACTATTTTTACAAATATATTTATCTTTCAGTTTATATATATGTATATAGGCATAGATGCCTTGAATTATGTACATCTAGTATTAATGTCTTTCCAGGTGGTATTAGTTTTTTTTTTCTTTTCTGTATTGAGTAAAGTTGTTGTAATAAGCATGCATCATTTTTATAAAGTAATAACATCATCTTTCTAAAAATTTATTTCTAAAGGAACAAGGGAAGAGAACAAATAAGGGAGGTCAGTGACAGCATTAGACCAAACAGCCGCAGGTCTGAAGGTGTCATTTCAGGTTAATCCTGTTTCATTTGCATAGGACTATATTCATCAACATACAGAGCCACCCAGTAAAAGTCACTCCCATTCCTGAGGAAATACATTTCAGATTTTTCTCTGGCACCCAGAGAAATGTGTTGTGTAAAGGCACCAATATCAGCTCTGTGCTATTGATCACATGTATTGATTATATGTCTTTCCTTTGTGCATAGTTTAGCATTATTTATATTTTCTTTGATATTTTGCACCCAGAGAAAATTAATTCATTATTTCAGCAAACATGTATGTATCACTTACAAATATGGGGTCCTAACAGGTGAATGTGACCATCATAAGCTTACAATTTTCTCTGGGAGACAAATACAGTGACAGGCCATGAGGATAATTAATGATTTGCTGGACAACTGAGAAACTGCTAGTTTGAGAAATCACTATTTTCTCAACTTGTACTACTATATCCTTAGTCCCACAGACTGTTCCTTCAAACAAATTAAGTTCAGTGCCAGATGGATATGACGTGATTTATAAAAAATAAAATAAAATCTATTTAGCATGTTTCTATTTAGAAATGTGTTGGGAGTATAAGTTGTACATTATGCATTATTTATATTCTTCCTTGGTAAAACAAAATTAACTTTTTAAAATAATAAATTCTGTGGTTTACCATATGGTATCTTAGAGTCCTTGTTACTATTTGTGTTTGGCGCCATTCAGTTTATTTTTAAATGGATTTTTCCATTGAAAGCTTAAACTGATGTCTAATGGAATTAATGTATGAAGTTAGGGTCAGACAGCACGAATTATTCATTGGATTCTCACACTTGCATTTGTGGTTAAGTCATCATAATATATCATAGTTACCATAGAAAATGTTAACCTAAAACCAATATTTATAACTCTTTTTAAAGTTTCTTTATATGTCATATATGTGTTATAACCTTCCTGGTATAAGGGACAAAAGATTGTTACTTAATAAAATTATATTATAACTTTAAATAAAATATTATCTTTAATGAACACAGAGTTGTGTACGTATACTTTTCTAAGAAATTTTACAATATTTTTAAAGCTTTCAACTTCTTTAAATACTGCTTAAATTAAATATATATTTTAACACATTAGTCTAGAATTAATACTGAATTCTATATCCGTTAAGATTATGCATGAACACAAAGAGAAAAAGTATCAAATTTGACCTGCAATATAAACATTACTAGTGTTGTTTAGGTACATCTCTCTTTTTTTAACTTAATTATTTAATTTGAATTACTATAACTTAGAGTAGTGACATACGTTTAGTTCATTTCTAAGGCATGTGTCTGAAATGGAGTTTACAGGCTATGGGTACCACTGCACTTAGAATAAAATATAAAACTCCTCCTGATGACCTGCCCAGGTTTGTGAGATTTGCTCTCTGATACAGCTCCTCAAGCTTTCCCTCTGCTTGCTACTCTCTAGCCACACTGGCCTCTCTGAACACTGTAAGCTCATTCCTGACTCTCTCCTGGCTCTTCCCTCTGCCTACCAGGTTCTCCTCAAATCACACCATGTCCAAGCTGAACATTAAGGTCTTAGTTCAAATGTTTTGGGGAAAACATTTTCTTGTTATATTTTCTTCATAACCCATTGCTGTTTGAAGTTAGCTTGTTGATGTATTTCTGAGCTCACAAATGATAATCACATGTTGCATCCTGTGTCACCGCTGGGATGTAACCCCCAAGAGACTAGACACTTTTCATCTCTTGGTCTCTCTGTTCCCTATTATCAGGCCAAGGAGTACATCCAAGATGAAATAAGCTATCATCAAATATTTGTAGAGGGAATGAATCAGGATCATCTAGGGCAGAGGTCTGCAAACTTTTTCTGTAAAGGGCCAGATAATAAATAGTTCAGCTTTGTGTCTTTTTAATTTCTTCCTTCCTTCTTTCCTTTCTTTCTTTCTTTCTTTTTTTCTTTCTTTCTTTTCTTCCTTTCTTTCTTTCTTTCTTTCTTTCTTTCTTTCTTTCTTTCTTTCTTTCTTTCTTTTCTGATTAAAAATGTAAAAACTACTTAGGCAGGGCTTACAAAGGTAGGCCATTGGCTGGATTTTGCCCATGGGTCACAGGCCTACTTTCCTGACCCCTAATATAGGTTGCCTACTCAACTGTACATTGCTACTCCAGAACCATGAATTGAAGTCTCTCTAGAAATGGGACCCAGAAATCTTCATATTCTCATGGATCTCAATCCATTTTTAGCCATTGATAAATTTCAGAACTAGGGGATTAAAATGTAGAAAACAAGTTTAGGAAGCTCACCTAGGAAAGCAAATAATATCAATAATATCAATAATACAGTAAATAATATATTTTTCAACAAAATGTTAAATAATGGTTTAATTTTTATAAGAATTATTTATATTCTTATAACTTTTATAAGAATTGTCAATTAATCTAAAGTCTCCCCATCTAATGAGCGGCAGCAGCACTTTATCCACTTTTTTAAGACACCGGGAACTGGAGTTTGTTTATTGTAGTCCATTACAGAAGTGAGTTCTAAAAATGTAAACTTCAATTTCAATGAAAAATTCAACACTTTGTTCTTCATCCATTTTCAGACATTGCAACAGGCACCAGTGCTCACTACAAAGCCAAACCCTTTTTTCAGTAAAGACTGCCATGGAATTGGGTCACTAAAAGGAAAAAGGCTTTTAACAAGACTTTCTTCAAAAGGTTCTTACATTCTATTTCTGTTGATTGGTGCAGCAGTATTTTAGTGAAATGGAAAGTGCAGCTGTGGCTTTTCTTACTTTCTGCATAGTAATCTTTCATTCAGCACAGGACTTGAAAACATTTTTCCTTCTATAGATTTTAGTGGCAAATGTGATTTATTATTTGCTGGATACTAGGGCAAAATATAGAAAGAAAAATAATTAAAAGGAACAACTGTGATCTATTTTTAATGTTTTGAATACATGTTTTACCACTTATATTAAGCCTAGACCATGTTTTTCTCATTTAATCTGGTTTCAAATATGTCCAGTTCAAAGCTTTGTGATTAATAATTTATCGTTCTATTATTTATTTTTATACATTTATTAGTAGTATTTATACCCTTATTACTTACTATAATGCTTATTTTAAACTTTAACTATGTTCCAGGGCTGCACTAAGCACTCCTATACATGGTCTGCTTTAACTCTCTTTTTATTAATTGCCATCCTCATTTTGTGGAGGAAGAAGTCAAAGCTGAAAAAAGATTAGGAAGTCAACCCAGGCCACACCCCTGGTAAGAAGTAGAGCTTAGGGGGTCATTATTTCAGGCAAGTCTGAAAAATGCCAATAGAGAAGGGGAAAAAAAAGAATGAAGCAAAGAATATGAAGAAAAACAAAGGAAGAAAGAAGTTAAATAAGGTGGTAAGGGAGAAGTTGGGAACAAAAAGTGATCGTGGGTTTTTCCATTTGATAAGGCTTCTCAAGATAATGACAAAAAATGAAGAAAAGTATTTCTCTCAAGGCTCTTATCTTCTTCTGTTTAGTGTTTTAACTTCTCTGTGGAAAGTATTATGATGCTGCATGAAATGAGGTGTATATATTTTATTATTTTTTCTAAATTTGGAGTATTTTGAAAATAAAAGACCTTTCCAGACACAAAAAGGAAACCCTACTTAACCAAATCACATTTACTAAACTTCTATCACTTCAAGGTAATTTTTACCCCAGTAAATTACCAATTAAAGGTCAGATAAAACATAACCAATCTGAACCAAAAGTTTCTATTTGATTGTATATTTGATTCTCATTGACTCAACATTCCCTCTTCAAAGGAAAGTTTTCTCAGAAAACAAGAAATTTCTAATAGATTCCAAAACATGGAGTCATAGGGTACTAAGAGCCCAGAACATCATGTAGAAAGTAGATTAAAATATGAATAGGCATGTACATACACATGTCTGCAAGATCATGCAGATGCACACACAAACACACGCAGCTTTCTCTCCAGAAAGTGTTTGAAGTGTTTATTGTGCTGTTGCCATGTAAACATATAGAAACTGATTTCTATGGTTATGTCAGTTGTTTTAAAAAGCTATTTTTTATATTCAATGCCAATTGTTTAAAACTATATTTATTATAAGGTCTAACTCTAACTGCTCTTAAGCAATTGAAGTCTACACCTCTGAGATCTGTTTTATTTCTTTCCAATTAGAATTTTTACCTGATAAAGAGATACTAAATAAGCATCTATCATGCTTATTTAGGCATGATAGATGCCTAATATATCATGACCTACAACTCTCAAGATAAAGTACTTTAGCATCTCAGCCTTTCGGTTCTTTCTAAAATGAGCTTTCCTCAAGGATAGGGACCCTATTGATTCATCAATGCATCTTCTGTACCGTGCAGCATATATATTATTAAATTAATGTACTGAATAAACAAATGAGTACTTCTGATCCTTCTCAATCAAACTCTTCCCCTGTCAAGAATTTTCCTATTTTCCAACTTCTTTCTAGAAAAGGAGTTGCTACTCCAATTGCTAAGAATGTGAAACATTTATTAAATAGGGAATCCTTTCCCCGTTGCTTGTTTTTCTCAGGTTTGTCAAAGATCAGATAGTTGTAGATATGCGGCGTTATTTCTGAGGGCTCTGTTCTGTTCCATTGATCTATTCTATATCTATGTTTTGGTACCAGTACCATGTTGCTTTGGTTACTGTAGCCTTGTAGTATAGTTTGAAGTCAGGTAGCATGATGCCTCCAGCTTTGTTCTTTTGGCTTAGGATTCACTTGGTGATGCGGGCTCTTTTTTGATTCCATATGAAATTTAAAGTAGTTTTTTCCAATTCTGTGAAGAAAGTCATTGGTAGCTTGATGGGGATGACATTGAATCTATAAATTATCTTGGGCAGTATGGCCATTTTTACGATATTGATTCTTCCTACCCATGAGCATGGAATGTTCTTCCATTTGTTTGTATCCTCTTTTATTTCATTGAGCAGTGGTTTGTAGTTCTCCTTGAAGAGGTCCTTCACGTTCCTTGTAAGTTGGATTCCTAGGTATTTTATTCTCTTTGAAGCAATTGTGAATGGGAGTTCACTCATGATTTGGCTCTCTGTTTGTCTGTTATTGGTGTATAAGAATGCTTGTGAATTTTGTACATTGATTTTGTATCCTGAGACTTTGCTGAAGTTGCTTATCAGTTTAAGGAGATTTTGGGCTGAGACAATGGGGTTTTCTAGATATACAATCATGTCGTCTGCAAACAGGGACAATTTGACTTCCTCTTTTCCTAACTGAATACCCTTTATTTCCTTCTCCTGCCTAATTGCCCTGGCCAGAACTTCCAACACTATGTTGAATAGGAGTGGTGAGAGAGGGCATCCCTGTCTTGTGCCAGTTTTCAAATGGTGCTGGGAAAACTGGCTAGCCATATGTAGGAAGCTGAAACTGGATCCCTTCCTTAAACCTTATACAAAAATTAATTCAAGATGGATTAAAGACTTAAACGTTAGACCTAAAACCATAAAAACCCTAGAAGAAATCCTAGGCATTACCATTCAGGACATAGGCATGGGCAACGACTTCAGGTCTAAAACACCAAAAGCAATGGCAACAAAAGACAAAATTGACAAATGGGATCTAATTAAACTAAAGAGCTTCTGCACAGCAAAAGAAACTACCATCAGAGTGAACAGGCAACCTACAAAATGGGAGAAAATTTTCGCAACCTACTCATCTGACAAAGGGCTAATATCCAGAATCTACAATGAACTCAAACAAATCTACAAGAAAAAAACAAACAACCCCATCAAAAAGTGGGCAAAGGACATGAACAGACACTTCTCAAAAGAAGACATTTATGCAGCCAAAAAACACATGAAAAAATGCTCACCATCACTGGCCATCAGAGAAATGCAAATCAAAACCACAATCAGATACCATCTCACACCAGTTAGAATGGCAATCATTAAAAAGTCAGGAAACAACAGGTGCTGGAGAGGCTGTGGAGAAATAGGAACACTTTTACACTGTTGGTGGGACTGTAAACTCGTTCAACCATTGTGGAAGTCAGTGTGGCGATTCCTCAGGGATCTAGAAGTAGAAATACCATTTGACCCAGCCATCCCATTACTGGGTATATACCCAAAGGACTGCTGCTATATACTGGGTATATACCCAAATCATGCTGCTATAAAGACACATGCACGCGTATGTTTATTGCGGCACTATACACAATAGCAAAGACTTGGAACCAACCCAAATGTCCAACAATGATAGACTGGATTAAGAAAATGTGGCACATATACACCATGGAATACTATGCAGCCATAAAAAATGATGAGTTCATGTCCTTCATAGGGACATGGATGAAATTGGAAATCATCATTCTCAGTAAACTATCGCTAGAATAAAAAACCAAACACCGCATATTCTCACTCATAGGTGGGAATTGAACAATGAGAACACATGGACACAGGAAGGGGAACATCACACTCTGGGGACTGTTGTGGGGTGTGGGGAGGGGTGAGGGATAGCATTAGGAGATATACTTAATGCTAAATGATGAGTTAATGGGTGCAGCACACCAACATGGCACATGTATACATATGTAACAAACCTGCACATTGTGCACATGTACCCTAAAACTTAAAGTATAATAATAAAAAAAAAAGAATGTGAAACATTAGTTAAACCACATTCAGTGATGTATCAGTTAACTATACCTTACAGGTAACAAACTTTCCCACTTCTTCTTCCACTATCAATGCATCAGGATCTCTTCTTTTTTTACCTGGACAGGACTTCTTTTTGCTGTGAGAAGTCTATCCCTTTCTCTTTATGAACCAACTCTAAGAATGTGTGGCTGGTTGGGTAGACTTGAGATCTTCCCCATAATCATAGTCATATCACTCTCTCTTTCCATAGGCATGTGTGAGCCTGTGGGTTCCAATATACAGATTCAAAATATTCAGTAGAAAGCCCCAGTTTGGCATGATACTGAAGCCACACTAAAATATCCAATCTTTTCTACAGCTTTGCTTTGTCATATAAAACACTTTCCCAGATACTGATCAAATTGTTGTTTTGTTTCATGCACAACTTTTATTATTTGTGCACCATCTTCCCTTAGTTAAAAACCACAAAAGTGAAGGAAAATTAATGATAGTACCTTTGGAATACTCAAGCTTTACCTTCAAACCTTAACCAATACTTCCTTGTATACCCCTTCACACCCAATGTAGTACTTAAATATTTGTGTAGTACACACCTTATACTTACAATGAGGATTCCCTATTTTTATGAATTTATTTAATACTCAGTAGATATAAGAAAGCAGAAAAAGTTGGTTCCATACTACAGCTAAGGCAGAAGCTGTGTAAGGACCAAACTTAAATTTTAATCTAAGTAATAAAGGTAAAAGGACATCAAGGGGTTAAGGGACAGTGAATGTTGAGAGCATCAGTGTATTGGACATTCCAGGAGAGCTGCTGAATTGTTGGCATGGGGGTTCTGGAAGGAGTGAGCTTAAAAGAGCAAAGGTATTAGTATGCATAGTAAAAATTGTGCAAGTGTTGCAGTCATTGATAATGACAAAGTCTAGGTAATTGTCATGAAGAAAGAAGCTGAGGAAGTGCAGAGTCTGGGAAAAGAGGAGAGGAAAAGTGCTAGAAAAAAATCATCTACTTATATAATAAAGACAAGAATAGTATCAGAACTAAAATCATCAGGAAATGAAAGGCAATTACGGGAGGGTGAAATGGCAGTGAAAGGGTATTAATCCAATCATGTGAAACTTAGGGAATTTTTTTTTTTTTTGAGAAGGAGTCTCACTCTGTCACCCAGGCTGGAGTGCAGTGACGTCATCTTGGCTCACTGCTACCTCCGCCTACCAGGTTCAAGTGACTCTCCTGCCTCAGTCTCCCGAGTAGCTGGGACTAAAAGTCACGTACCACCACGCCCAGCTAATTTTTTATATTTTTAGTAGAGATGGGGTTTCACTGTGCTAGCCAGGATGGTCTCAATCTCCTGACCTCATGATCCACCCGCCTTGGCCTCCCAAAGTGCTGGGATTACAGGTGTGAGCCACCGCGCCCGGCCCAGGGAATGATCTTGAATAGACAAAAAAGATGCCCAGCCAATATTTAGGCATATTTATTTAGGTAGTATAAGCGCTATATGGGAAAAACAAAACAAACAGACAAAAAAAAATGACCCACTACTTACAGAGCTGTAGGAGTCGCAGGGTATTCTAGAGAGAGCCAGGTTTCCACAATGGCAAGAAGGTGAAGGGTAAGTTCAGAGAAGAGGATAAGAAAATAGCAGATTCTTGCTCAAGATGAACTGAGAAATCCAGAGAACACAGAGAGTTTCAGGAGTTGGAGAGAGGAGAGAAAAAGACACCGAATAGAACATGGACAGAGGGGGATCTCTAAGAGCTAGGGCTTATCATGAAGCCTGACAATTTAAAAAGGGGGGCAGAATGAGTCTTGGTCTAGTGGGCTCAAAATAGAGAGCAGTGGCCAGGCTGTTAGTGTTGTGAGGTGAGGAGGAATGGATTTCTGTAGCAACCCCCTTACCCCATGCTAAATGTCTCAGTCCCAGTGTACAATTCACCCTTAACTCCTGATGGGAGAGAGATGACCTGACTTCGGGTGGATATGCCCACCTATGACCTCTATAATAGAATTGAAACTTCTCTAGAAGCCAAAGTCAGATTCCCTTTCCCATGATGCAGTATTCAAAGATAGTGAATCACTCTTCATTCTTTAGTAGCTACATAACTCTGGGGTGGTTAATTTCTCTGAGCCACTGTTTCCTCATATTAAAACATTGATAGAAACTGTGATAATTAAATGAAGTAACATAAATTTCCTAGGTTAGTGCATGGCTCTTAGTGAACATTCAATATATGTTAACTGTCACTGTTTGTTTCACCAAATCTTAAGTTAGTCACTCAGGAAAGAAGATCAAAGCCCTTTGCTTTGTTCCTCTAGTTAAAATTAATTTCTCTCCCATACAGAAATTTAACCACTCATTTCAAGAAGTTAGTTAACTTTTATCAAA
Organism: Homo sapiens; assembly: GCF_000001405.40. Classification (NCBI taxonomy): domain Eukaryota; kingdom Metazoa; phylum Chordata; class Mammalia; order Primates; family Hominidae; genus Homo; species Homo sapiens. The sequence continues at coordinate 74,705,957 of NC_000006.12, forward strand.
CATGTCTTGAGTATAAATAATTTGTGTTAGCACCACTACAGCATCTAGGATGGAGAAACGGACTTTTTACATGAAGATGTGTTGATTTAAAACCATTTGGTAATTATTGCCATGTCTGTGATAGTCTTGAATATATTATGTGTTGTGTTTAAACACTCTGTTTCTCTAACAAATGATACTCTATAGACTTCCTGACCTGTGACATTCACAGTGAAGCTAAGCGCTATAGTTCAAAAGCTGTGATTAAAACAAAGCAATAAAAACTATAATTTGTACTTTTTTTATTGGGATATAAATTGGAAAATATATAATGGGGACGACATGAGATCATACTTTTTCCTATGAACAACACAGGAAAATCAGAATAGTGAATATTCAAACCTCTGAAGATATTTGATTTTCCCAATGGCATTTCATGTTACTCTGTCTAACCCATATGTCTAAAGGATAAAGAAATGCTGATGTTATTAAAGAATGTTACTTTTCAAGCAAAATCATGTAACAAACTATAAGAGTTTTTTTAACTATATGTTTTAATAAAATATTTAATAATGCTGAAATTTAAATTCAATATAATTTTTTCCATTTGTACTGTTTTAATGTTTGAGCCTTCACCACCTTATAGTTAAGAATTTCATTATATGTATGAATCCTACCTTTTGGCTTCTGAAATAAATATTTTTACGTAAGTGAAATGTTTTAGGAACATAAATGTTTTGATCATACCCTTTTACTTCCTAAAAACCTTGATTTAATTTAAGTAGGATTTTAACTTTTGAGTCTCTATTCTAATGTATTATTTTCATTATTGTCATGTTTTAAACACAGTTTGTTATAGGTTTTTTTATTCTAGCATCCTTACCTTATCATTGCAGAAAATAAAATACAGAGAAGTGAAGAAGACTGAGAAAATACTTCTCTGCTCACTCACCAATAAAATAATGTTTTAAAATTTTGTGTTATAATTTCATTTTGAATACTTTCTTTTTAAAAATGTTTTATAATTTTCTTGTGTAGTGTTCTGATAGGTTTTGAATCATGCTTTATAAATATGAAAATACTATTATATCATTACTTCCTAACTGAAATGTAAAAAATATAGGTGTGTCATGCAGCAATTTTTAAGAGAAAATGCTATTTACATAGTACTGTTGTTGAAACCAAGTCTGCCCATCCCCCTCAATGTACATATCTCTGATAAAAACCTGAAATCTAGTCTCCCTCCTAACATGATTCCAACTGACAATAAAACTTTTGTGGTGTGGCAAGGGCTTTACTTGAGGGCAAGGACTGTATCCTATACATTTTTTACAGGCCAATCTTTAACCGATAGTTCTGAGTATTTGCTATGTGACAATCACTGTCTACAGTGAAAAACAAATAGAAAGCCTGCTGTGATGTTTCCAACCAAACTGTGGCCCACTATTTTTAGTGTTCACTGCAATATGATACATTCTGTTTGGCTGTTGAATTGAAAACTGTATAATTTTGATTATTTATATAGATAAGCATTTAAAATAACTCAATTCTCATTGTATTTTGATTCTGAGTATATCATGTTCAATAAAGAGATTTTGATTCCAAACTCTGGTTAATACTGTTAGCTGTGAAGGTTTGGACAAACTAATATCCCTTAATCTGTAATCTATTAAATGAGAACTATACCTACCTTATAAATTTGTAAGAACTAATGGGATAAAATATACAACGTTTCTATTAAACTCTTTGTATCAGAGTAATTGCACTTTAAATGCAGGCTATTATTTTTACTATTATTATAACAATAACCTTTTGATCTTTATTAAAGGTCAATAAGGAAGACATATATATATATAAATTTTCCATCAATATTTAAACAAATATTTCTAGATTATCTCAGAAATTTAAATCCATATGAATCTTTGTAGCAGTTACTTAAATTTTTAAAAGCAGGAAAATATATCAGAAGTATCTTAAGTAAAAAGTCTTATTCACTCTCCTTTCTGCTTCACACATACTATGGGAGTATTGGCACACCGCTTTTTAAAAATAGAGCATATGCATGCACTACATTAATAACTTTCTCAGAAATAATCTTGACAAGGATATTTTGGTTCAAAGACTAGATTTTAAAGCAAAGATAATATCTGGGCAAGTAGACAAATTGTACGGATCATGAAAAACAAACAAAGCCCTTTAAGAATTATTTTCTGCAACTTTCTGATGACAAGTATTTTATTTTCAGTTCTTAACACTCAAGTCCACAGTTCCTCATCCACATTCCAAAATCCAAATAGTTCTAAAAACAGAAAAATTTTCCTAACCAATATGCTGACAATACTTGAAATTATCTAAATTCAGTTAGAAGCAAAATTAACAAGAACTTGAGGCTCTAAATAGTATCCATTTGCCCTTGCAAAATAAATATTTATACAATTTAGATATAAATAAGAATAAGGTTAATTATAAAATTCTACTCCATAAATTAGTAGAGATATTAGGTCAAATATGATATCTGCCAATAATTATCTTCCTGAAATCTGGAAATTTTTAAAAATTTGGTTTTATTTTTAATTGTGTATTTTTGGAGTTTAATGTAATGTTTTGATACATATACAGTGGAATGATCAAATGAGGTTAATTAGCATATCTATCATTTCAAATATTTATTATTTCTTTGTGGTGAGAAATCCTCTCTTTTTGAAAGGTACATTATACAGTTATTAATGTAATATTTTACATGTTTTGTAAAACATTTGAAAGGTACATTACATATTATTAACTACAGTCTGTCTGTCTCCAATGGCAGAAGTCAGGTAACGGGGAAGTCAGATAATAATATAATATTAATATTATTAATGTCTTATTATATAACAAAAAGTTTTATAATCTATAAATAGCACACTTCTATTTAAAAATTTATTATACTATGAGAATATCTTATTATTATGGAATGAAGAAAATGCATTTCATGAATTATAAAATCATTAAATAGCATTTAAAACAGGACTTTTCAAAATCAGGAACAAAGCTCTATCAAAAATTATCTTTCTCTATTTGTAATAATTAAAATTGGTACTTTCTATGCTGTAACAACAAACTGATAAGCTTCCCCTATGTGTTTTAGTTTTTTGCTCTAGATCCTTTCACATAGCAAAAATAAAATTTGGTAACTTTTAAATAGTAAACTAAAATCATCCCTTCAGTTGTAGCATCAACTGTAAAATGCAATATATATAAAATGAGTTTCATAGCCTAAGATTTAAAGTTGCTACTATTAGCAACATCGTCTTACTGTAAATTAATTAATGTAATTTTGTATATTCCAGGTCAGATGTTTATCAAAGAAAATGAACCACTTTTATGTCACTACACTAATAAAATCAAATGTAGAGGTTTTTTTTTGGCTTCACAGTGGCATTTAAAATGTGAGTGTATTAAAAATTAGATCTATACACACTGTTTTATTTTTGTATTTTATTCTCATTTTGTCAATGTAATATTTGCTTATCGTATAAAAATTAAATAATACTAAAAATTTTGCAAACAATTTAAGCAGTCTCTCACCCTTAAATGATCTCACTTTCTATCCTCCTGCTTTCCAGTAACAAAAACTTTTAACTCTTACAGGTTTTTCCTCTGTAGTTGTTTCTGATTACAGAATACAATACAAATTATATATTAAAATATATGCATTAATATATACATATAAATATGTAAAAATATAGACATATACATATGATTTTTGCTTATTTTAATTTTTGTCAGCATATTTCTTTGTAATATAAATATAACACAGATCACTCCTGAGCCAAGTGTTATACCATGATTATAAATCATCTCTTGTACAACTTATATTAATTTTCCTGGAATTATTCATTGCTCTATTACTCTCTTACACATTATTTCATTTTCCCATCAGATTGCTCACTATATGTGTGACCAAAGTCACCACTTTATGCTACTAGATTCCTTTTTCCCAGATTCCATGTCTTCTCCCTTCTTGGTTCTCCTTTCATTTTGCTAGCTTTGGATATAGGAGATAGCATTTGAGGTTCTCATACCTGAAAATGGCTTTATTCTACTATTTTATTTGACAAGTCAATTTACCAGATGCAGAATTCGAGATTTCAAGATATTTTCTCTTAAAATTTGAAGGCATTACTTGTATCTGCCAGTAATTTTTAACTTGACATGGAGTCAACGAACCGCCAGCACCAACGTCATCTCTAATCTTGTCAAAAAAGATCTCTGGTTCCACCTCAAACCTACTGGATTGGAATCTGCATTTTTAACCAGATCTGTAGGCTGTAAGCACATTAACATTGGAGAAGTGCTGGTCTAACCTAGTGTAACCTAGTGTTGCTATTCCTGTATGAGGAGGCTTTTTCCTCTCTGGAGACTTTTGTGATTTTTGTCTTCATTAGAAATATTGTATTAAACGCCACACGATGGCTCATACCTATAATCCCAGTACATTGGGAGGCCAAGGTGGGCAGATCCCTGAGGCCAAGAATTCAACCAGCCTGATCAACATGATGAAACCCCATCTCTACTAAAAATACAAAAATTAGTTTGGCATGGTGGCCCAGGCCTGTGACCCCAGCTACTCAGGAGGCTGAGGCCAGAGAATCACTTGAACCCAGGAGATGGAGGTTGCAATGAGCCGAGACCATGCCACTGCACTCCAGCCTGGGCGACAGTGAGTCTCTGTCAAAAAAAAAAGAAAAGAAAGAAAAATAAATACCATGCTAATAGTGCTAATATGCTTGCTGTGTGTCTTCTTTCATTCATTGGGCTGGAGATGCAGTGGGTCTTTTAAACTTGAGACTCATGTTCTTTCTTTTGGGGAAATGTCTTTGTTTGTTTGTTTTTTAGGCTATCCAAGTGATGCAGTGGGACTTGTATTATTTCTTAATAATTTCTTCTTCACCATTTTGTCTCCTAACTGAAGTTACTCTTAAATGTATTTTGAGCCTCTTGGACTGATCTGCTAAGTCCATATTTTTAATCCCCATTTTCTCTCTTCTCATCTTTCTTTTTTCTTTCTAGGAAACTTGTTCCACGGTCATCTTCCAATTCCATTATTAAACTTCGTGTATCATCTATTCTCATTATAATTTCAGTGAGATTTTGTCTTCTAATAGTTACTTTTAGTTCTCATTGTCCGGAATCTAGTTATAGGGCATACCTACTTTCAAGAAATACTGTATTTTTTCAGCTAGGGAAGTAGTGTGACCTGCTAAAAATCAGTATTCTGTTACTAAGGAGGGGGAGAAAGTATAATGTGGATGACAACTAGATTCCTCTATAACAAGTTCCAAACAATTAATTTAGATAAAATAATAATGCAATTACAATTGCATTATTTGGTTTGGTTTATATCAGTAGGCCTTCCTGTCATGAAGTAGAATAAGTGATGAGAAGTACGCATTGGAGAAAATTTATGTTAAATAGGATAATTATTGAAAACAAATACATCTGACCCAAATACCTTTTTGACTTTTAAATTCAGCACAAAACTTCAATTTAGAATTAATCAACCCCATAACTCCTAAAATATATGATGTGTTAATATAATAAAATTATGCTTGTAACAAATTACAGTCAGAGGTCTAATTCTTACTTTAAAATTGTAGTAAATTGCACCAGTTACTTTTATTCCCCTGATCAAAGTCTGCCTTTTTTTTTAATTACTGAAAGCATCATACACTTGCTCAGATTTTAGAAGGACATAGTAGGGCTGAGGAAGGAAGGATAAGCCGTCTGACAAGTTTTGTCAGCCAAACCAACCTTCCACATCCATGTGATGATGGATACCATAGTCTCTTTCTCCTCATTTTTTATGAATTTATTTAGATTCTATTTCTACCCTTCCTTTTGGTCAGCTCTTGACTGAAACAATATAAATCTTAGAAAAACTTGTATTAACATTAAAAAATTTGCCAGATGACAATGAAACAATTCTATGATCAGAAAACTTAAACTTCTAATTGAGGAGACAGTATTAGTGGAAGATGCAAATCTTCCACATCACTTGATATCTTGTTCCTGAATATAAAGCCCTCATTGGATCAGCTAGAGAATATTTGTTAAATGTTTATTGAGTTACTTTAACTATATTGAATTAATACTGACATTTCTATCTATTAAAATATTTAAGTTACAAGTGTAAAACCCAAAACTATAAAAAACCCAGAAGAAAATTTAGGCAATACCACTCAGAACATAGGCAGGGGAAAAGATTTCATGACAAAAATATCAAAAGCAATTGCAACAAAAGCAAAAATTGACAAATGGGACCTAATTAAACTAAAGAGCTTCTGCACAGCAAAAGAAACTATAATTAGAGTGAACAGATAACTTACAGAATGGGAGAAAATTTTTGCAATCTATCCATCTGACAAGGGTTTAATATCCAGAATCTACAAGGAACTTAAACAAATTTACAAGAAAAAAACCAACAATCCCATAAAAAAAATGGGCAAAGACGCGAACAGACACTTCTCAAAAGAAGACATTTACGCAGCCAACAAACATATGAAAAAAGGTCAGCACTGATCATTAGAGACATGAAAATAAAAACCACAATGAGATACCATCTCACACTAGTCAGAATGGTGATTATTAAAAGTCAAGAAAAAACAGATGCTGGTGAGGCTAGGGAGAAATAGGAATGCTTTTACATTGTTGGTGGGAATGTAAATTAGTTCATCAATTGTGGAAGACAGTGTAGCGATTCCTCAAGGATCTAGAAACAGAAATACTCTTTGACCCAGCAATCCCATTACTGGGTATATACCCAAAGGAATATAAATCATTCTACTATAAAGACACATGCACAAATATGTTTATTGCAGCACTATTCACAATAGAAAGACAGGGAATCAACCCAAATGCCCATCAAAGATAGACTAGATAAAGAAAATGTGGTACATATACACTATGGAATACTTTGCAGCCATAAAAAGGAACAAGATGATGTCCTTTGCAGGGACATGGGTGGAGTTGGAAGCCATTATCCTCAGCAAACTAATACAGGAACAGAAAACCAAACAATGCATGTTCTCAGTCATAAGTGGGAGCTGAACAACCAAGAACACATGGACACAGGGAGGGGAACAACACACACTGGGGCCTGTGGGGGAGCAGGGAGAGGGAAAGCATCAGGATAAATAGGTAATTCATGTGTGGCCTAATACCTAGGTGATGGGTTGATAGGTGCAGCAAGCCACCATCGCACAAGTTTACCTGTGTAGCAAACCTGCATGTCTTGCTCGTGTATCCCGGAAATTAAAATAAAATTAAATATAAAAAATAAATTAAATAAAATATTTAAGTTAGAAGAGAATGCTGGCTGACAGCAAATATGAAATAACTTGAAATTTAAAGAAATCTAAAAAATTAATTAGTATAAGTTCTCAATATGCTTACTTTATATCTGTCATTGTTATATTTAAAACTTGTATGCTCTTTCTCTCAAAATACATAAACTCCAAAAGGTTAGAAATTATATTCATAAAATTTAACTTTACTTAGACTCTCTTTAAAATATAGTATAGCTCACATTGTGGAATGAACAAATCAGACTAATTAACATATTATATCATCACTGTTCAAATTATGGCAAATGGAATTAGAAACCAATTTTAGTGACTAAGCATTTTGCAAAATAAAAATATTTTTTGTTCACCAACCTAGTCTCCTAATGTTTACATCACTAGAAAGCACCAGAAGTTTTGAAAAATTTTGATCTACATTCGATCAAATTACAAGCAATTCATTGCAACAATAAATTAATTACACCCAAACCAAAAAATAAATATAGTATAGTTCACTTATATTTATAATGTATTTCTGTATGACACGTCATTTATTATCTATTCTATCATCTTTTTTTGTTACAAATCGAATGATGTAAATATGAAAGACTCATTAATATATAGCTATTTGATCCTTTCCAGTTTTTTTTTTTTGAGACATTTAAAAAAATAAAATAACTAAGAGAAACAGCAAAATTTAACTGGGTTCATCCATATTACTGGAAACTATTGCTTTTGGCCACTGCAATTAAAACTAATATTTGTGACTGCCAGAAATAATGAAGTTTTGGATTTATGATGAGGAACTGAGAGTTATACCCTATTTTATTTTTAAAGGTGAAAGATTTACAGTCAGTGGGGCTTGAACTGATGTGGCTCATTCATTCCAGAAATGTGGGAGTGAAGGAATGTGAATGCAAGGCCAAAAATGCTATTGTGTCCAGGTGGAAGTGAAACAATAAAAAAAAGAAGCTACTAATTGGATGATTTTTTGTAAAATGCTGTGTGTAAAATGCATAAAACCCTCAACTTTTCATTAACAAAATCATAAAACTTAAGGAAGAATTACATATTTATATCATTATATTCTTAATCTTTATTTTCTCTGCAGATATTAAATCTCACAGAAAGGTGTTCCTTATTAATCTTTACAAAATTGTCATTTCCCCGGTGAAGCCAATTTACATTAAAAATAATGTTCAGAAAATGCTGCTGCCTGCTTTCTCTCCTCTTTTACCCACCCCTTGTTCTCCCAGCAATCTTCGCCCTGTATGTTTATGTGGACAATTTCTATTGTAACATTCTCCATTCCATTAACTCTGCCTCTTCCTCTGAGGGGGGAAAATAAAACCCTAAATGGCTCTAATAGTTATGTATTTTATTTTGTCTCAGAGGTTTCCAAACTTCTGCTTTTAGCTTCCTTTTCACTGGGACAAATGGATGTAAGTTATTTTCCAGTTTCCTGAAAAATAATCAGGGACTATTTTCTTCATCTATCTCAGGTGCTTCATGAGTTTCCTAAGATATTAATTACGGTTTCCATACATTCAGAATCAAGGGACTCACGGATATGGTACTGTGTTCACTGCTACACAGAGTTTTTCTAGAAAAAAAAATTCTTTATTTTTATCTTCTATTTGTATCCAAACGATGGTAAAACAAAATTCCTCTTTAGCTAGGTACTGGGATTTTTTCTTTAGGAAATACTAATAGAGTTACAAAGGTTAGCTTATAGGTAGACAAAGACATAGGCATAGACATAAGCATAGATATAGAGATACAGTATTTTTGAAACCAATAGTCAGCAATACACTGAATTCTGGCACATTATTTCAATAAAAAGTTTATGAAAGACTTAAAAGAAATTTAAAATATTCCTATCAAATTGAACATACATTTATATTATTATTAATAAAAGTTTCCCTCTTCCATTTGTTTTAAATTTACCTACATTATTTTTAACACTAAACTTTAAATGAGTATGTAAAATTAAAATTCATATGCATACATGTACATATGACGTTAGTATATTGAAATTAGCATATTATAAATTTAATACTGAAATATGCTAATTTCAATATACTAACGTCATATGTACATATATAACATATTTCTTTGAATAGTCTTGATATTAGCATATTTCAATATACTAATATGTTTTTCTGGCACCTTTTGTTTTTTACCTTCTTCCTAGTTGATTACATGTGTCCTCCCCAAATAGAGAAAGCTAAGCTCCAAGAAAGAGTGTGGCAAAATGCAGAGAAAAAGAGAATTACATCCTGTACAGTCCCCAAGATAAACAAGAAGAGCTGCCTGCTTAACAATTCATGTCCAGTCTCAGAATTGAATGCATTTTTATTCTTGCATTATATGAGGTATCCCCACATCCTGAAAATCAATGGCTTATTTTCACTTCAAAAAATTAAATATTGTACCATGAATTTTGACATTAATACTAAAGATTTTTTAATTTTTCATTGTGGTAAAATACACAGAACATAAAGTTTACCATCTTAGCTATACTTAAGTGTACACTTCTGTAGTGTTAAATATAATGTTGTGAAACCATCACCATCTCCATGACTCATCTTGCAAAATTGAAACTCTATACCCTTTAAACAGTAACTCCTCATTCCTGCCTCTTCTCCCCTGATAACTACCATTCTTCCTCTCTGTGATTTTAACTACTCTAAGTACATGGTATAAGTGGATTCATACAGTATTTGCCTTTTTGTGACTGGTTTATTTCACTTAGCATTATGTTCTCAAGGTTCATTCGTGTTGTAGCATATATTAGGATTCTTTTCCTTTTTGAGACTAATATTCCATTGTATGAATATACCACATTTTGCTTATCTATTGATCCATCGATGAATACTTGGGTTGTTTCCACATTTTAGTATTGGGAATAATGCTGCTACAAACGTACAAACATGGACATACAAATATTTCTTTGAGATCCCACTTTTAATTCTTTGAGTATATAACCAGAAGTGGAATTGCTGTATGAAATGTGAATTCTATCTTCAATTTTTTGAGAAACCACCATACTGGATTCCATAGCAGTTGGACCATTTTATATTTTCCACCAACAATGCTCAAGGGTTCCAGTTTTTCCACATCCTCACCAACACCTGTCATTTTCTGGATTGTTGATGGTAGCCATTCTAATGGGTGTGAAGTGACATTTCATTGTAGGTTTGATTTGCATTTCCCTAATAATTCATTATACTGAGCATCTTTTCATGTCCTTATTGGCCATTAAACATCATCACTGGAGAAATGGTTATTTAAGAATTTTGTCCATGTTTGAATTGGATTGTTTAACTTCTTTTTAGTTTTAGGATTTTTCTGTATATTCTATATATTAACCTCTTAGATATGTGGTATGCAAATCCTCTTTTCTATTCTTTTTACTCTGTTGATGCACAAACATTTTTAATTTTCATGAAGTCCAATTTGTCCATTTTTCTTTTGTTGCCTGTACCTTTGATGTCATATCTAAGAAATTATTGTCAAATCTAAAGTGGTGAAGATTTTATCCTAGGTTTTCTTCTATAATTGTTATTGTTTTAGGTCTTAAATTTAGGCACTTGTTTTATTTTGAGTTAATTTTTGTATATGGTATTTGGTAAGGGTACAGTTTCATTTTTCCTCATGTGGATATCCAGTTTTTTCATACTATTTATTGAAAAGACTGACTTTTCCCATTTGAATAGTCTTGGCATCCTTGTCAAAAATCATTTGACTGTATATGCCAGGATTTATTTCTGGGCTTGTTATTATATTCTACTGGTCTACATGTCTGTCATTATGCCAGTACCATACTGTTTGGATTATGGTAGCTTTGTAGAAAGTTTTGAAATCAGAAAGTGTGAGTCTTCCAACTTTGTTACTCTTTTTGAAGAATATTTTGCCTATTTGAGGTCCTTTGGGATTCCATATAAATTTTAAGATGAGTTTTTCTATTTCTACAACAAAACACCATTGGGATTTTGATTAGGATTGCATTGAATTTATAGATCACTTTGGGTAGTATTGTTATCTTAACAATATTAAATCCTCAAATCCATAAATATGCAATGTGTTTCCATTTATTTATGTTCTCTTTAATTAATTTCAGCAATGTTTTACAATTTTCTTGGGACAAGTCTTTCATGTCACTTAGCTAACTTATAAATAATTCCTATTTCATTCTTGATATTATAAATGGAAATTTTCCTAATTTCCTTGTCACATTATTCAGCACTAGTATATAGAAATGCAACTAATTTTTGTGTTGATTTTGCATCCTGATATTCTACTGAATTCATTTATTCCAAAAATTGTGGAATCTTTGAGTTTTTACATATAAAGTTATATCATCTCTAAACAGAGATAACTTTTACTTCTTTTTCTTGACTAATTCATCTAGTTAATACTTCTATTACTATCTTGAATATAAGTTGCAAAAGTGAATATCCTTGCCTTGTTCCTAGTCTGAGAAGAAAAGCTTTTAGTCTTTCACCATTGAGTATGATGTTCACTGTGGGTTTTTCACATATGGCTCTTATTATGTTGTAGTTGTTTCCTTCTAGTCTCATTTCACTGAGTGTTTTTATTATGGAAGGGTGTTGAATTTTGTCATATGGTACATCAGTTTCAATGATCATGTGGGTTTTTTATTTTGTTAATGTGGTATATTACCTTAACTCAATTTCATATGTTAAGGAATCCTTTCATTCTAGTAAATAAAGCCTACTTGGTCATGGTGGGTATTTTTTAAATATGCTGTTAAAATTGTTAGCATTCTGTTGAGGAATTTGTATCAATATTTACAAGGGATGTTGTTCTGTAGTTTGTCTTTCTGGTAGTGTCTCTGTCTGGCTTTGGTATTAGATCAATACTAGCCCTATAGAATGGGTTAGAAAATATTTGCTACTCTTGAATTTCTGGAAAAGTTTGAGAAAGATTTGTGTTAATTCTTTTTTAAAATGGTAGAATTTACCAGTGAAGTAATCAGGTCCAGGGCATTTCCTTGTCAGGAGATTTTTTCATTATTGATTTAATTCCCTTACTAATTAAAAGTCTAATCAGATTTTCTATTTATTTGCTACTTAGTCTTGGTAGGTTTTGTGTTTCTGTGAATTTGTTAATTTCATTTAGGTTATCCAATTTTTTCGGTATACACTTGTTCACAGCACTCTATTATAATCCTTTTTATTTCTGTAGAATCAGTAATAATGCCCCCACTTTCACTTCTGATATCAGTAATTTATGTATTCTGTATTTTTTTTCTTAGTCTATCTAGGTAAAGGTTTATCAATTATATTGACCTTTTCAAAGAATCAACTTTTGGTTTCATTCATTTTCTCTATTGTTTATCTAGTCTCTATTTCATTGATCTCTGCTGTAATTTTTATTATTTTCTTCCCTTTGCTAGCTTTGCATTTAGTTAATTTCTTTTCTAGTTCTTTAAAAGTTAGGTTGCTGACTAGAGATCTTTCTTGTTTTTATTGTAAGCATTTATAGCTATAAATTTCCACTTCATAGCTGCTTTTGCTGCATTCCATAATTTTGGTATATTGTATTTTCATTTTTATTTATCACTAAGTATATTCTAATTTTCTTTGTGATTTCTACTTTGACTCATTTGTTGTTTAAGAGTGTATTATTTAATTTCCACAATTTTATAAATTTTTCTGTTTTATTTATCTTATTGATTACTAACTTCATCCCATTATGGTCGGTGAACATACTTTGTATGAGATCTACCTTTTTAAATTTATTGATACTCAATTTGTGACTCAACACATGGTCTATCCTGGAAAACGTCCCATGTAAACTTAAGAAGAATGAAGACGTTGTTGTTTGGAGTAGAGTGTTTTGTATATGTCTATTAAATCTGGTTGGTTCATTGTGTTTTCTTCTACTTCTTATTACTTATCTTCCATCTGGCTAGTCTATCCATTATTGAGAGTGCTATATTGAAATCTTCAAATATTATTGTAGAACTGTCTCTTTTGTTCTTTAATTCTGTCAGTTTTTCTTCCCAGATTTTGATGGTCTGTTTATTACATGTGTGAATCTTCATACTTTGTTTACCTTTATGCTCCGTTGAAATATTTATCAATGTATGCTGTTCTTCTTCATCTTCTGTAAACTTTTCTGATTCAAAGTCTACTATGTCTGATAATAGTATACCCATCCCTGCTCTCTTTTGGTTACTATTTGCATGGAGTAACTTTTTCATTCTCTCAATTTATTTGTTTTGGGATCTAAAGTGAGTCTTCTGTAGACAGCATATAGTTGGAAAATGTGTTTTATTTTAATCCATTTTGCTAATCTGTTTTTTGATTCAAGAGTTTATTTACAAGTAAAGTAATTACCAATAAGGAAGTACTACTGTCACTTTGCTATTTGTCTTCTGTATGCTATTTGTCTTTTTAGTCCCTCATTTCCTGCATTACTGTCTTCTTTTGTGTTTTGTTGATTATTTTCTTTTTTTGGAGACAAGGTCTTGCTCTGTCACTCAGGCTGTAGTGCAGTGGTGTGATCACAGGTCCCTGCAGCCTCAACCTCCTGAGCTCAAGCAATCCTCCCACCTTAGCCTCTGGAGTAACTGGAACCACAGGTATGTTCCACCATGCCCAGCTAATTGTTTAATTTTTTGTAGGCATGGGGTCTTGCTCTGTTACCCAGGCTGGTCTCAAACTCCTGAGCTCAAGCAAAACTCCCACTTTAGCCTCCCAAAGTGCTGGGATTACAGGTGTCAGCCACCATGCCTGGTTCGTTGATTTTTTTTGTAGTTACATGTTTATATTTTATTTTCATTTCCTTTGGGTGTCTTCTATAGGTATTTTCTTTGTGGTTACCATTGGATTACACTTAACATCCTAAAGTTATACTACTCTAATTTTAATCTATATCAGTTTAACTTCAATAGCATAAAAAACTTTGCTCCTTTACAGCATTGTCCCCTCATCATTTTGGTTGTTGATGTCAAAAAAATTACATCTTTATATTTGTGTTTCCCAAAACATAAACTAATAATTCTTTTAAATGCATTGTCTTTTAAATTATATAGAAAACAAAATTTGAAATTACAAACCAAAGTTACAATAATACTAACTTTTAGATTAATAATTTAAATGTATTAATTTCTTATTTAGAAATTACAAAGTAGAGTTATAAACCATTGTTATATTAATGCTAGCTTTTATAATTACCCATGTATTTACTTTTATTAAGATCTTTTTAAAATAGTTTTGAGTTATGGTCCAGTCATCCTTTTATTTCACCTTGTATAACTTCCTTGAACATTTGTTGCAGGGAAAGTTAAGGGGTAACAAACTATTTCAGCTTTTGTTTATCTGGAACTGTCTTTATTTTATTTTGAAGGAAAGATTTGCCAGATGTAGGATTCTTGGTTGACAGATAGTACTTTGAATATATCAGACTGCTATGATTTGGATTTGCGTCCTCACCCAAATCTTATGTTCAATTGTAATTCCCAAAGTTGGAGGTGGGGCATGGTGGGAGGTGATTGAATCATGGGGGCAGGTTTCTAATGGTTTTGCACCATTCCCCTATTGCTGTTCTCATGATAGAGTTCTCAGAAGATCTGATTGTTTAAAAGTATATGGTGCCACCCTCCTGTGCTAGCCATGTGAGATGCCTTGCTTTCCCTTAGCCTTCTGCCATGATTAAAAATTTCCTGAGGGCTTCCCACAAGCCATGCAGAGGTTGCCATGCTTCCTGTACAGCTTGTGGAACTGTGAGCCAATTATACCTCTTTTCTTTATAAATCACCCAGTCTCAGGCATTTCTTTATAGCAGTATAAGAATGAACTAATACACAGACCATAGCCTTGTGGCCTCTAGAGTTTCTGTTGAGAAATATGCGGGTAATTTTATTAAGGATATTTGTATGTAATTAGTCACTTCCTTCTCATTGCTTTCAAAATTCTTTCATTGTGTTTTAAAAGTTTGATTATAATATTTCTCAGTGTGGGTCTCTTTGAGTTCATTTTACTTGGAGTTTGAGCTTCTTGAGTTTTATATCCATATCTTTTATCAAATATGGGGAGTTTTCAGCCATTATTTCATAAAATAATGCTATTTCCTTTCTCTCTGTGCACACCCCTTTTCTCTCTCCCCCTCTCTTCAACTTCTGAGAGTCTTACAATGTATATGTTGATCTTCTAAACAGTGTTCCACTGGTTCTTTAGGCTCTATTTACTTTTCTTTAATCTGTTTTCCTTCTGTTCCTCAGACTTAATAATTTCCATTGTCTTATTTTCAAGTTCACTTATTCTTTCTTCTGCCTGTTCAAATGCAGCTTTAAATTCCTCTAGTGATTTTATTTCAGTTATTGTATTTTTCAGCTCCAAAATTTGTTTTTTATTTCTTTTTAGATTTTCTAGCTCTTCACTGATATTTCTATTTTTTTGGATTTTTTTTTTTTACTTTCTCCACGTCTTTAGTTCTTAGAGCACCCTTAAGAGAGTTGTTTTAAAGTTTTTGTCTGATCTTTCATCAAATCTTCCTAGAATCTTCTGAGGATTTTTATTTAAAAAAAAATGCTTATCACAAAACATTAAAAACATATCCAGTTTATTCATTTTTTCCTTTAAATGAGTTATACAGTAAGTCCTCGCTTAACATCACTGATAAGTTCTTAGAAAATAAGAGTTTAAGTGCTCCTATTTCTCCACATCCTCTCCAGCACCTGTTGTTTCCTGAATTTTTAATCATCGCCATTCTAACTGGTGTGAGATGATATCTCACTGTGGTTTTGATTTGCATTTCTCTGATGGCCAGTGATGATGAGCATTTTTTCATGTGTCTGTTGGCTGCATAAATGTCTTCTTTTGAGAAGTGTCTGTTCATATCCTTCGCCCACTTGTTGATGGGGTTGTTTGTTTTTTCTTGTAAATTTGTTGGAGTTCATTGTAGATTCTGGATATTAGCCCTTTGTCAGATGGGTAGATTGCAAAAATTTTCTCCCATTCTGTTGGTTGCCTGTTCACTCTGATGGTAGTTTCCTTTGCTGTGCAGAAGCTCTTTAGTTGAATTAGATCCCATTTGTCAATTTTGGCTTTTGTTGCCATTGCTTTTGGTGTTTTAGACATGAAGCCCTTGCCCATTCCTATGTCCTGAATAGTATTGCCTAGGTTTTCTTCTAGGGTTTTTATGGTTTTAGGTCTAAAAGAAATAATGGGGCCAGGCACGGTGGCACATGCCTGTAATCCAAGCACTTTGGGAGGCCAAGGCTGGTGGATCATGAGGTCAAGAGATAGACACCATCCTAGCCAACATGGTGAAACCTTGTCTCTGTTAAAAATACAAAAATTAGCTGGGCATCGTGGTGCACGACTGTAGTCCCAGCTACTCGGGAAGCTTAGGTAGGAGAATCGCTTGAACCCACGAGGCAGAGGTTGCAGTGAGCCTAGATTGTGCCACTGCACTCCAGCCTGCAACATCATTTTGTAATAACATGTATGAGAAAAATAGTTTTTGTTAGATCATGTTTTATTTAAAATTGCAGTTTAAAAGAACCTATCAACAATGTTTAGTAAGGGCTTACTGTTCCTTTCTTTTTCTGTGTATGCTTTGTGATCCTTTGCTGAAAATGGGACACTTAAATCTTTCTTATAGAAGAATTCTGAATAAGTAGTTACTAACTCTTCCAGGAGATGAAACTTTATCCTCAAGTATGGGCTGGCCTTAGTGATTACGTCTGAAGAATAAAATAATTGGAAGGTGAGTCCCTCCTGAGAATTGGCCTAGGCAGAAAAAAGCTTTTGCCCCGGGTTATGGATTACGACTTTCCTTCCTCCTACCAACACCATCCAATGCCTGATTGATGCAAGGGATGGGCTAGAATACAAAAACTCAGCCTTTTACCTTAAAGAAGACAACAAACTGAAGACTATGCCAACTCCAGAGCACCTTGTGAGATTTGTTGGAACCTCTCTTGGAAATGCACTGAGGTCCCACTTCTCATTCTGCTTAATCTGGCTTCTTTATTTCCTTTATACTTGTTCCAGGGAGAAGTCTCCAGTAAACCTTCTGCGTTCAAATTCCCATCTCAAAGTCAGCTTATCTGCAACCTGATCTAAGACACCTTATAGTGTGAAAGAGAGGTGGTAGATAGAAAGGAGGCAGGTGTAAGTTGAGGAAGTAGATCTAAGATTGTGGAGCACGTACAATGGTGAGACGAGTCAAAAGCTTGGAAAAGTGAATAATGGCGAGTTACTTTTATTAGTCTAGAGGGTAAGGTACAGGGCAAAGTGTGATAGGACAGGGAAGCATGTGACAAAATAGATATAGAAAATCTCTTGGAAGACCACAGGCAGGAGCTGATCCTAATGGAGTTCTTAGAAAGGCTCTGCTCTCACAGTTTACAAGATTCCCTAATAGACTTCGAGTGAGCCTCAGGTGTACCTCTCTCCCACTCAGCTTTGGGTACTATTCTTATATCACTGAAATGGCCCATCCCTGCCATTGTTTAAAAGGTTACTTGGGCCCAGCCCAAACTGTCACATGGTCTTCAGTTTAGCAGAAATATATACATTGCAGCCAAGTTTTATCCTGTGTAATAATGTCTTGCGGTATCTAAACTGGTTGAGACAATAGTGAAATTATTTATTGTATGGGAGAAGAAAATTAAGAAGTTACTGGAAAGTACATAAAAATTAATTATTATATTGCATAAATTGAGTTCATGGCTACAAGATAGAAATGAATGTACTATAAAATGTAGAAAAGATTTTATTTAGACCCATGTTCCTATAAAGGAACAGGCTGGCTGAGAATTCATATGGGCAGCTCTTGGACCCCAAAAGATGATGAGAGTCACTAAATTCCTACAAATTACGATGGAGGTTCCAAGAGCACTAAGAGTGTAATGATGGGCCATGAATTTTATTTTTTTATTTTTATTTTTTATTAAAGTTCTAGGGTACATGTGCACAACGTGCAGGTTTGTTACATATGTATACATGTGCCATGTTGGTGTGCTGCACCCATTAACTCATCATTTACATTAGGTATATCTCCTAATGCTATCCCTCCCTCCTCCCCTTGCCCTATGACAGGCCCTGGTGTGTGATGTTCCCCACCCTGTATCCAAGTGTTCTCATTGTTCAATTCCCACCTATGAGTGACAACATGCAGTGTTTGATTTTTTGTCCTTGCGATAGTTTGCTCAGAATGATGGTTCCCAGTTTCATCCATGTCCCTGCAAAGGACAGGAACTCATCCTTTTTTATGGCTGCATAGTATTTCACGGTGTATATGTGCCACATTTTCTTAATCCAGTCTATCATTGATGGACATTTGGGTTGGTTCCAAGTCTTTGCTATTGTGAATAGTGCCACAATAAACACACATGTGCATATGTCTTTATAGCAGCATGATTTATAATCCTTTGGGCATATACCCAGTAATGGGATGGCTGGGTCAAATGGTGTTTCTAGTTCTAGACCCTTGAGGAATTGCCACACTGTCTTCCACAATGGTTGAACTAGTTTACAGTCCCACCAACAGTGTCAAAGTGTTCCTATTTCTCCACATCCTCTCCAGCACCTGTTGTTTCCTGACTTTTTAATGATTGCTATTCTAACTGGTGTGAGATGGTATCTCATTGTGGTTGTGACTTGCATTTCTGATGGCCAGTGATGATGAGCATTTTTTCATGTGTCTTTTGGCTGCATAAATGTCTTCTTTTGAGAGGTGTCTGTTCATATCCTTCGCCCACTTGTTGATGGGGTTGTTTGTTTTTTTCTTGTAAATTTGTTTGAGTTCATTGTACATTCTGGATATTAGCCCTTTGTCAGATGAGTAGATTGCAAAAATTTTCTCCCATTTTGTAGGTTGCCTGTTCACTCTGATGGTAGTTTCTTTTGCTGTGCAGAAGCTCTTTAGTTTAATTAGATCCCTTTTGTCAATTTTGGCTTTTGTTGCCATTGCTTTTGGTGTTTTAGACATGAAGTCCTTGCCCATTCTTATGTCCTGAATGGTATTGTCTAGGTTTTCTTCTAGGGTTTTTATGGTTTTAGGTCTAACATTTAAGTCTTTAATCCATCTTGAATTAATTTTTGTATAAGGTGTAAGGAAGGGATCCAGTTTCAGCTTTCTAGATATGGCTAGCCAGTTTTCACAGCACCATTTATTAAATAGGGAAGCCTTTCTCCATTTCTTGTTTTTGTCAGGTTTGTCAAAGATCAGATGGTTGCAGATGTGTTGTATTATTTCTGAGGGCTCTGTTCTGTTCCATTGCTCTATATCTCTGTTTTGGTACCAGTACCATGCTGTTTTGGTTATTGTAGCCTTGTAGGATAGTTTGAAGTCAGGTAGCGTGATGCCTCCAGCTTTGTTCTTTTGGCTTAAGATTGACTTGGCAATGTCGGCTCTTTTTTGGTTCCATATGAACTTTAATTTTTTCCAATTCTGTGAAGAAAGTCATTGGTAGCTTGATGGGGCTGACATTGAATCTATAAATTACCTTAGGCAGTATGGCCATTTTCATGAAATTGATTCTTCCTACCCATGAGCATGGAATGTTCTTCCATTTGTTTGTGTCCTCTTTTATTTCGTTGAGCAGTAGTTTGTAGTTCTCCTTGAAGAGGTCCTTCACATCCCTTGTAAGTTGGATTCCTAGGTATTTTATTCTCTTTGAAGCAATTGTGAATGGGACTTCACTCATGATTTGGCTCTCTGTTTGTCTGTTATTGGTGTATAAGAATGCTGGTGATTTTTGCACATTGACTTTGTATCCTGAGACTTTGCTGAAGTTGCTTATCAGCTTAAGAAGATTTTGGGCTGAGATGATGGGGTATTCTAAATATACAATCATGTCATCTGCAAACAGGGACAATTTGACTCCCTCTTTTCCTAATTGAATACCCTTCATTTCTTTCTCCTGCCTGAATCCCCTAGCCAGAACTTCCAAGACTATGTTGAATAGGAGTGGTGAGAGAGGGCATCCCTGTCTTGTGCCAGTTTTCAAAGGGAATGCTTCCAGTTTTTGTCCATACAGTATGATATTGGCTGTGGGTTTGTCATAACTAGCTCTTATTATTTTGAGATACTTCCCATCAATACCTAATTTATTGAGAGTTTTTAGCATGAAGTGCTGTTGAATTTTGTCAAAGGCCTTTTCTGCATCTATTGAGATAATCATGTGGTTTTTGTCTTTGGTTCTGTTTATATGCTGGATTATGTTTATTGATATGCGTATGTTGAACCAGCCTTGCATCCCGAGGATGAAGCCCACTTGATCATGTTGGATAGAGGGAAATTTATAGCACTAAATGCCCATAAGAGAAAGCAGGAAACATCTAAAATTGACACCCTAACATCACAATTAAATGAACTAGAGAAGCAAGAGCAAACACATTCAAAAGCTAGCAGAAGGCAAGAAATAACTAAGATCAGACCAGAACTGAAGGAGATAGAGACACAAAAAACCCTTCAAAAAATCAATGAATCCAGGGCCATGAATTTTAAACACAGACAATGCCACAGCTTATCTGGGTGAACCTTGTGAACCTTGTGAATTAAGAAACAGTTCACCTACATTAGGAATTTCAGATCCTGAAAGGTTTATGCCATCCATCCAATTGTATTCTAACCTCAATAAAACTGTAATTCCAAATCTTTCTTTCTCAGGAATGGGTATTTATATCCATAGTGAAAATCATAAAATGAAAACTGTGTGTTCTATTTCTGTGTTATATGTCAGCTAATTATTGAAGTTATGGTTAAAGGAAGGACTACAAAAATATGGTCCTACTGAAATAAATATTTTTTCCCAAATGATTTCTGCAGAGAATAATTTAACTTGTAAGTAAAATTAATCACTTTCTAAATTATCATACTGAAAATTGACTCAGAGATTATAAAAATGATCTGGAAGCAAATTTTAAAGTTCTGGAGTCTTCAGGACATAAAGACTATGAAGGAAACAGTCATGGTTTTGTCTGTTTCAAAGAGTTTCACTTGAAATGCATTTTTCAACATAATATCAAGAAATTCTTTTATGTGTGGGTGGGGTGGTGGAAGGGTGGCAGTGGTGTGGGGAACTTTTCTAAAGTTAAATAAAGGGATTTTAATAATTTATATTTTCCTTCTTCTTCCCCTTTGTTTCTATTAATCAACTAGTGCTTTCAATGAAATCAATCACAAAATCACTTATTATTTTAAAAGTTTATCCATTTCTGTCTCCTAAAGAAAGTTGTTCTTAACCTAATCCTTTTAAGATTTTTGTATGTGTGAATGTATACTCATTATCAACAATGAGACTTTGAAAATAAAAGCATAACAGGAAAATTAAATTAAATTTGCATATATACATAGATATGTATGTATATCTATATCTGCTATATTTTATTCATTTATTTATTTTTCTCTCAAGAAATTAGAATGATGTGAATTAAAATGCCTATAAAATACTAACAGTGGAAAAAAGTGTGACTGTAATTTTATACCAGAGCTTTCAGGATGTTTTAAATTTAACTGATCTGTTTTTATAAACAACCCTGTTAATTTATCCTAAAACTTTTGCAAACATGGATAACTCATACAAGCAACATTTTTTCAACTATTCCAAATGTTTTTAGAATAATCAGTTATTCCTACAGGAGCCATTTCCAAGCATACAAAAGCAATTCCTAGAATATGTACCATTTGGTAACATCTACATGGCGTTTACTTTTTTCTTGCATTTAGTTCATTTTTGCACCCTCGACTTCATCCATTTGACATTTTACCAGATGCATAATTTTTGTATGAGAAAAGTATGTTTACATAATTTTAAAAACATGAATCAACTTATCAAATCTAATTTTCCTGAGTTCAAAATTGAGAACAGAAAATGATAAAATTTGGCTGTGTCTTAAAATACTCAGTTACCTTGCCAATTTTTTACTAATTATTCTGAAATTAGGTTTAATTTTACAACCAAAACATAAGACCCAAATTCTTAACTATCTCATTTGAAAACATATGAGTCTGAAACAAGTGTCTTATACAATCTCAGATCTAAAATTGAATTTCAGAAAGATACAAGAATAAGGTGCTATGAAATTAAAGAACATAATCTGGTGGATTTTTATTTTTCTGGAGGACCCTTTCTCCAGGCTGTTGAGCAAGGTATAATTTTCACTAGAGCAGTTCTGTACTATTTCTGCAACCAGGCATTATAAAAATGTTTTTTCCCATTCAAATTCTGCAACAAGCTAAAGACTTATTGGGAAAAAGAAAAGACGGCTTCTTGATTCTAAGAATGATCCAGAAAACACCAATTATGGTGCAAAATTAAAGTTTAATATTTCCAAATATAAATATATTTTTCTCTGTATCCAAGATAGCAATAACCAGTTATTGCAAGGGCATCTGCATTTTAACAGAGGAAATGAGGTAAGCCATAGGAATACATCTAACAGCAGGACTTCAGGCATCAGTCAACAAGACATGGGAGGTCTTCCTTAGAAAAGCAGTGATTTGGCAGAAAGAACTCAATGTCAGACAGGCTTGACTTGACTGGTGGCTGAGCCACTTACTAATCCTGAAACAAGAACAGGGCTTCAACATTTTTCTAAGCCTCAGTTTCCTTATTTCTTAATTTAAAAAAAAAAACACTTTACGTGGTTATTTTGATTATCATTTCAAACAAGGTAAAGCAGGAAGTAGGTAACCAATGCTAATCTCTATGTGATCCTGCTCAAAAAGTTGGTTTTGCCATCTTTAAAGTATGGAGTTCTCCACCAAAGCTCTGGCTGAAGAGTCAAATATATATATAATTCAAAGTAGTCTATATATTCCTGGCAAATGATACTTTAAGGAGATTAAAAGAGAATAAAAGGAATGCCATACATTAATTAAATACCTGCCATATAACCAGACACTATTTCTCCAAGCATAATATATGATAATTCATTTATTCCTGAGAAGTACCCTATAAGATAGGAACTATTTTAACCCCATTTTTCTAAGCATAGAAAAATGAATTTAAAGCCAGAGAGTTTAGTCATTTTTTCCAGAAGCCCTATTGATTTTAGTGAGAAATGAGATCTAAAGTCCATGATTAGATGAATTTAATATTTTTAAGTTATTTTATCATTAGGATATATCCCACAAAACGTGTATATTAAAATTACCCTATTTTGAAATCGCTTGGAATTTTATCTTCTCATGTGATTATACCACCGACAAAACATGTTTAGGTTCATTTTTAAATTTTTATTCTTAAGGATTATCCTTTTATTTAATTATGTAAAATATTTCCATAGTCCCCAAATTAAGCAAAGCTATATTTTGAGAAAGCTAGCTTTTCAATATTTTTAATATTTTATTTTTAATATTAACAGATATATATGTTTTATTTTTAATATTATTTTTATTTTTAATATTAACAGATATATATCTTTTTTTTAACTAAACAATAGCAAACTGCACAACCTTTCTTTTTGCCTGGAATTTTTTCTCCTTTGGATGGGGATATTAACATTTATCCTACTAGTCCCCTGTAGATAGGTACCTAGGTTTCTTCCAGTTTTTGATATTACAAATAGTTCTTTGAATAGCTTTATGCAAACAAAGTACATATTTTTGGTGATATATGCTTGAGATAAGTTTCTAGAAATACCATTTCTAAGTCAAGAGATAAATGGATATGCGATCTATCTAGATATTTTGAAATGTCTCATTATAGCGTTTGTGTCATTTGCAATTTCACTAACAATGTAAGAGTGCTGTTTTACCATAACTTCTTCAGCAAAGTATGTTGTAAGACTTTGTAGTTTTAATTTTTACTCATAGTGAGACATCATCTCAGTGAATTTTTTTCCTCTCTTCTCTTTTCTCCCTTTATCTCTTTTATGGGTATAAAACCAGGTTAGTATTACATGATCTCAATCCCAACACCCAAACAATCAATGATTTCATTAACTGTGGATACATTTCCAGTGGGACAATCATGTTTTTCTGAGGATTCTAATATTTGGAATTTAAAATACTAGTCTCTGCTGTCACATTGAGATGAAGTTGATCCATGGACCAAGAGCATCATTTTGATGTAGCCAGGTTTGACATATGGGCACAAATAGCAGAGTAAACAAATTATTTGGCAAAAAAAGAAACCAGAGGTACAGAGAGCAACAGAAAATGAAATCAAATGCCCCCAGATGGATGGAAGGAGTCATGTTTATTTGTGTGTCTGATCAAACAAAACTCAATGTGCAAGAATATGGCTTTCTTCATATTTCCACAAGCAAATGTAATTTCCATTGTGGGCTCCTCTCTGTACTGATATTAGAAAATATTACCTAGTCACTACCTAAACTTAGCAGACATTACTTTGCTCTATGCTGATTTTAAATTTCATAAGTTTAGGATTTAAACTCAGTTAGTTGAGGAGACAGAATGTTAATTTAGAACTTCTTCCTTCTCACTACGGAGGCTCTGGAAGCAGGCAGTCATTCATGGAATTGGTGGCAAAGGGAATCTGGTCCTTGACCATCTCTTAAAACTAGCCTCCACCGAGATACAACACTTTATATTTGGTCATTTTCACCATGTGCTATTAATGCTAAGGTCCCTAGGTTTACTATGGTGCCTGTTGTCCAAATTACAGTAACAGAAGTCTCCTTCCCTACTTGAACTCCAAAGCCTTTTGCAGTCTCTGGCTGCCTTCTTCCACACTTCCCTGGTATCCTGTGAGTCTTCCTTTAGGCCTGACTGCCTACTCTATGCTTGCTGTCTTACAGCTGTGCATCATTTAGGGTGCAGGGCTTCTTTGCAAGGCCGATGGGATCCTGGGCTACACCTGGAAGCATAGGCCAAGGTATTCTTGCTTTAGGATCCCCTCAAATTTATTTTTTCTGTTGTCATTTCCTCCCCAGGGGCAAGACTCAAGGTTCTTTAGGACTTGGAGGTTTTGGTTCATGACAGTGATTAACACTCCTGTCCTCCTCTCCAAATTTGGGAGAAAAACATCTCTTGGTCTAGCCCAGAAAAGGCACTTACTTCCTTTTTCGTGTGTGGGAAGAACTATGCACATCTTTCCAATGAAGCCATTTATGTAGGTCACTCAGGCACACAATAGCAAGACTGTTTCCCCTGGTTCCCTTTTCTCCCACTCCTTCCCTAAAGCAAAGCACAAACAGACCCTGTGAGCTAAAGGAAACGTTTTGGTGCAGAGTTACATGTATAGTTGCCTGACCCATTAGTCATCAAATCAGACAAGTCCACTCTGTGAATATAGATGACAGAAACTGTGTTTACCCAGCTGCTACACCTATACTTGAACTTCTAAAGTGGGCAAAACTCTATAGCACTTTAAGCTGTGACAGAGCTGGCTCTTGTATTTAAAAATAACATATAAAACTTTAAAAATTGAATGGCTGGATGTGATTAAACAGAAAAGGGATAATTCAGATTGAGTTTGTGTGTTGGTTGTGTCAGGTTTTTCACATGAAATACCTCATTTAAGTCTCATAACCATAAAGCAGCTAACAGATATTAGCTGCTTTATTTTGGGGAAGAGGAAACAAGATTGAGTTACTTAAGTTATAATGAGTCCACTGTTACGGGTTAAATTGCATCCCTTCAAAAGATGTATTGAAGTATTAAACCCGTGGTACTGTGAATGTGATCTCATTTGAAAATAAGGTCTGTAAAGGTATAATCAAGATTAGATGAGGTTATACTGAATTATGGCAGGCCCCCATATCCAGTGATTTCTATCTTCCTAAGGAAAAAAGATTTGGAGACAATCAGATGCACACAAAGGGAAAACAGCCACATGAAGTTGTAGACAGAGATTGGAGTAATGAAGTTAGAGCTGAGGAATGCCAAGAATTGCCAGCAACCACCAGAGGCTAAGAAAAGGCGAGGAAGTAGTCTTCCCTAGAGCCTTCAGCAGAAGCCTGGCCTTACTGACAACTTCAAACTTCTAGCCTCAACTGTGAGAGAATAAATTTCTGTTATTTTAAGCCACTCAGCTTGTGGTAATTCGTTACGACAGCTCTGGGAAAACTAATAAAATCCCCCATTCACTGAATGCCTACGAGGTCACAGACATTCTCCTCACCATCTATTATATGCTACTTAATTTAATTCTCATGCCAACCATCACCTCTGCTACAGATTGAAAGTTTGTGTCTCCCCAAAATGTGTATGTTGAAAGTTAATCCCCAGTGTGATGGTATTTGGAGGTGGGGCCTTTGGAAGGTACTTAGGTCAGGAGGGCAAAGCTTTCATGAACAGGACTAGTGCGCTTACAAAATGGACCCCAGACAGCTCTCTTGACCCTTCTGCCATGTGAGGACCCAGTGAGAAAGACAATTGTCTATGACCCAGGAAGTGGGCCACCACCAGCCACCAAATCTGCCAGCCCTTGATCTTAGATTTCCCAGCCTTCAGAATTGTGAGAAACACAAGTGCTGTTGTTTAAAAGCCACCTAGTCTATAGTGCTTTTGTTATATCAGCCCAAATGGACTAAGACAACCTTCAATTACAGAGATGACAGCAAGGCTTAGACAGGTTAGGTAGCTCACCAGTGTCAGACTATTTCAAAGTGATAGGGCCAAGTTTTTAAAGTTCAGAGTCAAAGAATCTACTATACTATAAATGCCTTTCTAGATTCACACAGCCAGAAAGTGAATTTGAAACCAGGTTTTCAGATTCGAACTCTTATTGTTAAACAGAATAAAAAGCTAAAATGCCACATTTTCACTACAAAGTTGACATTAACAAATAGAGGCTTGTAGGGATGTCATTGTAAGGTTCTAAGCATGACATATTAGACAAAGAATTATAAAGAAAGATTGCAATGGAAATATGCTAGTGAGATAATTAACTTAATTATCTTAAATTATTTGGTTTTGCTGCAGTTGTCTTGCATTAACTCTAACCACACAAGATGCAGTTAACAAAGATCTTTTTTGAAATTTTTCAATTTTTTTGTTACAGAAGATTTCAAAAATATACCAACATAGAATAATATCAGACACGCAAATATATAACATACGATTTCAATAATTATCCATTATTGACCAATCTTCTTTTATTTACATCTCTAGCCATCAATTCCAACATAAATTATTCTAAACAGAACTCCTATATTATACCATTTCAAACACACACACACACACATACACACACACACACACACACAATATTATCTAATTTAGGTATTTCTTCCTACAGAACCACTGTAGAAAAGGGAAAAAGAAAACGAGTTTACCTGACAGGTAATCTGGCACCACCTGCTCCCTACTGTAGCTGGACCAAAGGTTCTGTCCTTCTGCTTCTCCCTTCCTGCCTGGAGAAGGACTCAGGCTACCTTGCCAATCTTAATTCCTCAAGAAAAGTGAGTAAGTCCTACCAAGTCTAACTAAGAATTAGAAGTTCTTTGCCGGAGAAAGAAAATGGCAGCAGTCACCTCTAGCCATGTTTTTCTAACTCTCTTGATAATAAGAATCACCTGAGATTCTAATCACCTGAAGGTTCATTCCTGCATATTGCCCCATTGAGCAATAAAATATGGAAGTATAATTATTAATTATTTATCTGAAATAAAATACACAGAACTACAATTATTTATTGTTTATATGGAATTCAAATCTGCTGATATCCTGTATTTTATCTGGCATCTTTACTGGTAATGATTAAGAATAATGTTTTTAACATGCACTTCAGGTGTTTCTTGTTACAGTGTCTTAAGTAGAAATTCTAGGCAGTTTCATTTTTAGCCAAGCCTACCCTCACATTTCCAAGTGACCCTTATAAATGCTCAAATTGGCTGTGTAAATATCACTATCATTGTTACTTACCACTTACGAATACTTGCCATGACTTGCAATCATATTTATGTAGATTATTCAGCATGTGTCAGATGAAGTTAATTTATCCTTTGTTGATTATAGCAGTAAATTATTGATTCATAGTTGTTCTTCAAATTTTGTAGATCATAGTAATTGTTTCAATTTTAGAAATTAGAAGAAATGTTTCACAACACATGCTGGAAGCTGTAAAAGTGGGTCTTTGGAGGTGGCATGTAATGGTTCTTCTTGACCTTGAATTTATGACATCACTTGCAGCAAGCTCAGAAATGACAGAATGCGCCAGATCTTGACACAATGTTTTGTCCTCAGAGAATCCTCCTCTCTGGAATGTGCTTCTTCTTTTGGTCTGATGAAACACAAACTTCTTGGCTCAAAGGATATATTCAAGGGCCAATTGTTTACAAAAACATTTTCTTGAGGGCTTGAAAGTAGGGGTCTAGATGATAGATGGTGTTTTAAATGCATTTGCCATGTGTGAATCCCTGGAGGATCAGTAATGGAAGCATTTCCAAAAGTATTACCACTAATTAGGAATGTTGGTCTATGAAAAATTAGCCTCAGATACTTTGAAGGCTGGACATGTCAATGATTCCCAGATTTCTAAAGTCAAGGTGTGAGAAACTAATTGCCAAAAATACAAAGATGGATTTAATAAACATAACTGTGTCCAGCTTCAACAGTCTAGAAGCCCAAGAAAATTTCAGGATTTGATTTAACAGAACTTCCATGACCTTTGGTAGCCTTCCATTAAAGAAAAATCAAGCATATTTGATTTAAACAATTCTAGCCTTCAATGATAAATAAAAAGTATCCTTCACAAACATCTGAGATCTTGTAAAGTTTTTATTTTAAAAGGCCCAAATTTTCTCTAGGGTTTTAAATTATTTTCAAAGATTCGAAAGTTTTGGCTTCTCAGGACTAATACACTGGGAACAATGAAAGATAAACTAAGAAACTTTCCTCTCACAGAGCCTCCGGTTAAAAAGAAACATGATTTCTGTGTTCGGTCAGATTAGTATGTGAAATCTACTCAGATTCCACAAAACCATACAGAGTAACTGGCCCCTGACAGTCTCACTATATTTTTACCTTTAAGGTTTTGTTAAAATTTTGGATGATAATGGCTCTCCCCCAGCATCATTAAATGAGATGTACAATCAATCTTGAGTAAATTAATTGAAGAAAAAAGAACAAATGAATGAACATATCTTGAGTGAAGGACCAGCCATTTAATTGTGGGTGAAATTGCTGCTACAAGTTTTTCATATTAACAAGGATGCAATCAGCATAAAGAATGATGATGTTGAAAGTAACATATTTTCCTAACTGCATCAGTTACCGTGAAAAAGCAATAAACAATTCTTAAGAAAACCCTTCTGAGCAAATACTTTGGTTGTCCAAAATGAGGAGGAGCTGCCCACCCGAGTGTTTCAAAATCAGAATGATGACTGTCTTTTTCCACAAGGAGTATGCCAACTCTGAGAAGAGCTATGAGTCATGTCATTGATTGTATGCAGTTCTTGTTCTTTAAATTTTATTTTCATTACAAGTGTCTGATACTATAAAAATCAAAGGAGGGAAAAAACCTTAACCATTTCAGCAATGAACTCAAGGCCATATATTTGATTTTTAAAAATACCTTAAATCTTGCAAAAATCTTAGCTTTACTAATACTCGGATGTAGTGTTTATTTCTGACTATTTTAGTGCATGTCAGTTTACTTTGGACTATTTCAAGGCTTTCTTTGAATGTGGACATACTTTTCTTTGTTTGACATTAATTCAAGAAGCTTTATTTTACCACAGGCAATTATTTCCTATTGATTTTTACTACTAAACTCTTTCTCTTTTAAGACTAGTAAACTTAAAAATTAGTCAAGCTGTCTTAGGTCTTAGAAACTTGCTCTACCCCAAAATTGATTCCACTTACTTTTACTCAGTTCATCCAGGTAAAGTTTACATACAATAAAATTCACCAATTTTAAGTGTACAACTCAATGAGTTTTGAAAAATGTATGCATTCATATTTACATATTTCCTCATGCCACTTATAGTCAATCTTCTCTCCCCAGCTCCAGCCTCTGGCAACCCCAGATTTGCTTTTCATCACCAACATTTTGATTTTTCTAGCCGTATCTTCTAAACATTTGTATTTCGCTTCTTTCACTTAGCAATGATTTTGAGATTCATTCGTGTTGTATGTATCACTAGTTTGTTCCTTTTGTTAGTGAGTAGAATTCCATTCTATAGATATATCACAATCTGTTTACTCATTGAAATGTTGATGGATATTTGGATACTATCAAGGTTTGGAATATTATGAACATTTATATACAAACATATGTGAGAATATACGTTTTAATTTCTCTTGGGTACCTAAAAGTAAGAATGTTGAATCTCACGGTAAGCATACACATAACTTTATAAAGAAACTCCAAAATATTTTCCAAGGTGGCTATGGCATTTTTCATTCCCACTAGCAATGTGTGAGAATTCCACCAACAAGAAGAGAAAGACTTTATAATACTTGAGGCAAGGAGAAAAGTCAATCAATTAATTTTTTAAAAAAGAAAAACCTGCCATTTCCTAACTTTTTATATTGGTTTTGTTTTTCCTGATTATGGGTCACATTTTCATGCTTTTTTGAATTCTTACATTCTTTGAATTTCCCTGCATTCATAGAAGCAGGAAAACATGACCAAATGGTGGGCAATGTGTACTATGTAATTTCATTTTGTTCATTGCTGGATTTTGTTGTATTCTGTTAAAGAGTATTAGAGCTTGTTTGGCCTTTTGTGACTTTCTTTTAAGCTCAGTTAGAGTGGATCCAGAGCTCCGTTAGAGTGGATTTTTAGGTTAAGGCTAACTTAACTCCATTACCAACACAACTTTCTTGTGAGGATTCAACCCAGTGCTGCAGGTATTATGAGATTTTTCCACTGTCATTTGTAGGAATACGAACTATTTTCTTATATGCTTGGATTACTGCTTTGCATTATTTTTATTTTGTTTTGTTTTATTTTTGTTTTCCCACACCTGGGTAATTTCCTCTAGTACATGCCGTAGGTAAGTACTCAGCCAGTGATGAGCTCCCCCAGCACACCACATCCCTGCCCACAGATCTCTGAAGTTCTTATTCTATGCAACTCCCTCCTCTCTGTCCCACAGATTGTGGCTGTCTTGGATTCCCAAATTCCCAATCTCTGTCTCTACAACTCAGTGAGACTTTGGGGTTCTGTTTGAGTTTCTTCTCAGCTCACTACATCTTGGGAACTGCCTCTAGTCAGTAAACTGAGGGAATTGTGGCACTCACCTCACCTTATTAGGTTTCCTTTTCTCAGTAATCATGGTCCTGATGTCTGTAGTTCAATGCTAAAGAGTGGTGCTACTTTTTTGGGTGGCAGGGGGTGGGAATATGGTTTTTTCAGTCGTTTATGACAACAGGGTTAAACCTGGTCCCTGTTACTTCATTCAAAGCTACAAGTACAGGTTCTTCAGGTTTTCTCATTTTACTTTCAGATTTAAAAAAAGTTATGAAGTAAAATAATGAATGGAGAGTAATATCAATATGGAATACTGATGTCTTCATTATTATATATTTTTACAAATCCTTCACTAAAACAATTCTCGTGTTGGATTTTTACATGTTAACCTGTTTGTTGAATTTCTCAATACAGCATAATTAGAACTATTTGTGTTGCAATATATTTCAATCATAAGCATTCTTCTTTAACCTTCACTTCTTTCCAGAAATTTTAATTGCTATATTTTATGTGGTTACACTTTTTATATGTAATTATTTTTATCTCATAGTTCATCCTCTTTAATGACTGATATGTAATAGTCAAATTTATCCTAAATTTTAACTTTTAAAAATGGAATTCAACCTTATAATAAATGAAAAAACAGCACCTGGCTCATTCTGACCTTTCTCTTCTTAATTAGTTCCAATACATTTTTCTTCACCATCATTCTACTTCTGTCTATTCTTTGACTTTATTTATTTTTTCCTCCCCATATTTGCTTTACAATTGTTAGTTACATATTCTAATAAATAAATTCATTTGGAGAAGGACTGCCTGGGTTGCCTCTCAAAAAAGTTTTTAGGTAGGTTTTCATTCAATGAGTAAGAGTTGCTCAATGCTTCATTAAATTTTCATGACCATGTATTATAGAAGGGACAAGCAGAATGGACTCATATTACTGGGAAATGTGAGTTTGTGAGTCTAAAACTTGCATCAACCCCAGTACAAGTAAGATAATTAGGAGGTGAAAGACTGGAAATTTTAACTATATCCTATAATAGATTCACTTCTACTATCTTCAAGTCTAAGTTTTCTTTTTTCTTCTGTGTATCCCTAGTAAGATCTCTAAAATACTAGTCATACATAACTTTAAATATGAATATAATTAAACTCTTATCATGAAAACCTATTGCCAATTTGACACACTTAAATGAGATAGCTACACTTAAAATAATCTCTATTCAAATTGTAATAATCTAAGTTACTATATTGTTAAATGGAAATTACTCCAGCATTTTACAACTTTATAAATAAAATGCATAAACCAAAGATAACAAAAAATACAAATCTGAACAGAGAGCACAGAAATAAATCATGTATAAAAAGAATTTTGAATTGTGACAGATGTGTCACTCAACTAACACAGCAAGGATAGAGAATCCCATAAACTTTGTGGGAGAATTGACCAGCCATGAGGAAAAGAATAAAATTGGAAACTTACCTCACAGTTTGCAAAAAATAAATGCCGAGATTGATTAAAAATATAACCATGAAACCAAAACTCAAAAAACATTTTTTAAAAATGTAAATACCTTTATGACTTGGGGATAGAGAACAATTATGAAAATAAACCTATACACACACAAAAAGTACGTAGCATAAAGGAAACGTTCAGTTAATTTTACACTAAATTACAGTAAGATAAACTTCTGAACAATAAAAGATACCATGGACAAAGATGAGGCAAACCCAGTGGTTGATAATTCTAAAAAAAGATATGCAACCTCACAAGTACCAAGAAAAAGCCAATTAAAGCCATAGTGAGCTACTATTTTGAAAATATAAGATTCATACAAATCAATAAATTAGACAGTATAAATTTCTGGTGAGAATATGTAGGAACAAAGATTTTCTTACATTTGTTGGGAATATAAATTGAAACAATCATTTTGGGTAGCAACTTAGCAATATATAATGCAATCAATATATAAATACCCTATGATCCAGCAAGTTCACTTATTGGTATACTCTGGAGAAACTTTACGAGACACATGTTCAAAAATAAATAAAAATACTTTTATGGCCTAAATTGTAAATAATATCATTTGTAATAACAAATTTTAAAAAACTTA
This sequence comes from Homo sapiens, assembly GCF_000001405.40. NCBI lineage: Eukaryota > Metazoa > Chordata > Mammalia > Primates > Hominidae > Homo > Homo sapiens. The sequence continues at coordinate 74,739,469 of NC_000006.12, forward strand.
AATTGTCATCAAAAAAGGAATAAATACATAAATTGTGGATTATTAATAAGATAAAGTAATAGACAAAATGGATAGATCTTTAAAATGGATAAATTTTAGCATCTTTAAAATACTTTGAGACCAGGAAGTTGTATAATGTTACAAGGAGTATGGTAGTGTTTTTTAGCTTTTAAAACATGCAAAATGCTAACAGATGAATGATTATAGATGCGTGTACATCCAAGGGTTATTACATGTATACATATTTCCTAGTTTTGTCAACTAAGAGTGCCCAGAAGCAATAACATGCCAAGTAGCAAGAGCATACCTGGTATTCAGATTATAGTTTCTAATAACATTCTCCAATAAAAAGAAACAGATACCCTTAAAGAAGTGACTTCTAGGATTAATATAGGAAAAATACAAGACAAGCCTGGAGCATATTGTAGTGTCAGAGAGGAAGGAAGTGCTCAAAACACAAAATCATGGGGTAGTGACAAAGGTGCCAGCTTGAATGCTCCCAATGGCCAAAGCTGAAGGAATATGAGCAACAAAATAAATGAAGTAGTATTTGTATCCCAAAGCACAAGGTAAATATTTATGAGTTCATACTGATATAAATGAATGCTTAAATAATTAAATATATACAGACATACGTAAATGAGGGAGAAGAGAAATGTGTACAGAAAAGCTCCAAATAATTTGTGTATATCTTCCCCCTCAAAAAGGTGTAGTTTAACTCCCTCTCCACTTGAGTGGGGCTACACTTAGTGTCTTCCTTTCAAAGAGCACAGTATAGACATTCAGGAGGGGGAAGTAGAAGGGGGAGGAGATTATAATGAAGAAATTTGACAAACACTACTCAATGAGGTGATCTATGTTTACATGATCAGGGAAAAATCATGTTGATAGCATGCACCTTTGATATTATGTGATGAAAATGACCTTGACCTCTGTGACTGTCCTCCTCAAAGCCTATATACCCCAATCTAACCAATCTATGAGTGAAACATCACCAAATTGAGGGGCACTACAAAATACCTCTGAGTATTCTTCAGAGCTTTCTAGGTAATCAAAAGCAAGGAAAGCCTCAGAAACTGTCATGGCCAAGAGGAGCCTAGGAAGACAAGATGACTCAATGTAATGTGGTATTCTGGATGGGATTCTGGAATGGAATAAGAATATTAAGTAAAAACTAACAAAATCCAAATAGATTATAAAAGTTAGTTAATAATAATGGTTCAATATTGGTTCATTAGTTGTAACAAAGTATCATAATATCTACAGAAGTTAACTATAGGGGAAACTGGGTACAGAGTATGTGGTGACTGTAGTATCCTCAAAAATCTCCTATAAATATGGCCAGGTGCATTGGCTTATGCCTGTAATCCCAGCACTTTGGGAAGCCAAGGCAGGCGGATCACTTGAAGTCAGGACTTCGAGACCAGCCTGACCAACATGGTGAAACCCCTGTCTCTACTAAAAATACAAAAAATTTCCTGGGCGTGGTGGCAGGCACCTGTAATCCCACTACTCAGGAGGCTGAGGCAGGAGAATCACTTGAACCCGGGAGACGGAGGTTACAGTGAGCCAAGAATCACGCCACTGCACACCAGCCTGGGCAACAAGAGCAAAACTCCATCTCAAAAAAAAAAAAAATAGTTTCCTATAAATCTAAAGCCATTCTAAGTAAGACATTTATGAAAGCAAAAAGACGTTTTTATATTTTTGCTCTTATCCCAAATGAAAATGTCTCCTTTAATCATGTTGCAAGAATTTCTTAAGAAGTAATTTACATTTATACTTTCATTACATGACATGCACAAATTCTTCAAAATTCTCATTTGAAGAGTTCCACTGTTATTAAAAATTATTAAAATTGTTATCATTAATTAATACCTATAATTATCTATAAAGTCAAGGAGGTATGTTGCAAAATAATTAAAGCAAGAAGTAAATGATACTCGCAACTTTTAAATGAAGGGAGCAGTCCTCTGAAATTTCTTTCTCTCTATCCTCTGTAGTTGTAACAACTTTAATAGGATGTCCAGTACTATAAGCAGATTTGAAACAGTAAATTAAGGAAATGTATACACGGAGGCAAAAAACAGGAAGAATTAAGGTAGACTAAATGCTAATTCAGGATGAAAATATTTATTTTCATTAATAGGACATGGCTAAGAAGCATGAATAAAATGAAAAGATAATCTATTATCTAGGGGGAAAAATAGAAGAAACAAGGGCTAATGTAGCAGAAGAGTAAGCCCTTTTCTTCCTCTGAGGCACATAAGGAAGGGCAGCAATTGGGAGTGGAAATGAGGAGAACAGTCCTGGGCCAGCTGCTGCCTGTGGGTGGTGAGCTGTAAACTGTTGCTACTCCCAGCAGATCCCATGGAACCTGCCTCCGGCCTTCTGCTGGAACTCAGTCTTGTTTAACTCAGTATTAAGAACTGTGCTATATATTTCAAGAGCCATAAAACAGGAAAGCCAGAAAATATGTCAATAATGCTCAGTGAAATTTATAACCCTTCCCCAAATGATTCTGTTGACCTGCTTTATTTCATGCTGCTCTTTCTAAATATCCTATTTCAATCATCCAACTTAAAAAAAATCAATTACTTCCTATTGCATGATCTGACATATGAAATTAATGCCTGCTGGTGGTATTTTTTTAAGCTTTTAATTACATGTCTTGCCAAGGACAGAATTTATTATGTTTTCTATGAAAACCAGTTTTTTAATATGTTCTTCTCACAGTCAATATAAATACTGAGAATTTTATGATGCATTATTTTCTAAACTGAACTTTTAGAATGAAACTTCTTCATCTTAAACTTTAAAAGAGAAGGGCAAGTATTTTATCCCTTTGCAATGTTAATGTTTTACCTTAGAATGAGCCAAATGGTGTTACAACAATAGGAATGAAATGCAGTATAACTTTAGGTAGAGTACTATACTTTTTTTCCTTTTTTGGTAATTCAATTAAGAGCACAAATAAAAGGAGTATAATGCAAAATTTCTGCTGATTTTAAAAACAGCTTTTTTGAGGTACAATTGACATACAACAAACTGTACATATTTAAAGTATACAAATCAAGTTTGAACACATGAATAAACCCATGAAATCATCACTGAAAGCAGTATAATGAATGTACTCATCACCTCCAAAAATTTCCTCATGCCTTAATGTAATCCTTCCCACTTCCCACTCTATTTCCATGCAGCCACTTATCATGTTTTGTCACTATAAATTAGTTTGCATTTTCTAGAATTTTATATAAATGTAATTATAAAGTGTGTACTCTTTTTGGGTCTGGCTTCTTTCACTCAGCATAATTATTTTGAGAACAACCCATGTTGTCTGAGAAATAAAAATAAAATCCTAAGCCCCCCAACTGACTGAACAAACCCTCTCTTGGCTAGGGCACCCCAGAGAAACTTAAAAACTGAATTTGGGCCATGACAAGATAGGAGGTTGAACACACCTCCTTATACCTCCTCCTTCAGTAATCGCCATTAGGCTATGAGTTAAATAGAAACCAGCCCCATATGTTAAACAGAAACCAGCCCTTTTGAAAGCTGTGCTTTGCTGCTGATCTACACAACTGACCTGTATTTCTTTCTGACAAAGGACCACCAATAATAGACTGCTTTTGGTCAGTTTACAGAGGCTGCACACAAAATGCCTTTGCTTCTTCCATTTCACCTCTTGATGCACACAGCCTAATTTTCATGCATTGAAAGTGAACATGGGACATATGTAACATGTAAGTTTGCTTACTATGCATGTATACATGCCCCCTTTGTGAATAGTTATAACTTCTCATATAACCTGTTAAATACGCGTACTTAGATGACTCATTCAGCATAAATTTCTATGTCACTCTTCTCTATGAATATCTGCTTCTGGTTTCTATCAGAGGCTACATTTCCCCAGTAGCAACCCTTTATAAAACATAGAATTCCCTACTCTAAGTTTATGAACCTCATGATTCTTCAGCTGACATGTTATGCATCAACAATTCTTTGCTTTATTTTGCTGCATAGTTTTCCATGGATTAGATACCACCATTTGTTTATCTTCTCACCTGTGGGTGTATATTCAGGTTGTTTCCATATTTTGGCTATTACAGATAAAGCTTATATGAACATTTATGTCCAAATCTTTAAGATATCCTCTTAAGAGAATGAAAAGACAAGCTATACACTGGGAGAAAATATTTACAAATCATATGTCCATCAGAAAACTTGCATCTTGAATATATAAATTGCATCCTGAATATATAAATAACTCTCAAAACTCAAAAATAAGAAAACAGATATCCCAATAAAAACAATGGGCAAAAGATTTTAAGAAATATTTCACCAAAGAAAATGTGAAGATAGCAAATAAACTCAGAAAAAGTAGCTCAGCATCATTAGTTATGAGGCAATGCAAATTCAAATCATAATTAGGTACCAGTACATACTGATTAGAATGACTAACGCTCCAAGTGCTAGCAAGGATGTAAAGGAACTGGAACACTCACAAATTGTTGATCTTAATGTACAATGGAACAATTCCTTTGGAAAACAGTTTGGGGATTTTTCAAAAAGTAAACATATACCTGCCATATGGCTCAGCTTGTCCAAATCTAGATAGTTACACAAGAGAAATGAAAGAACATGTCCTTTCTGCTGAGTTTATTCACTCTAATGTTTGTTCTTCTAATCATTATTCAGTTCGATTCACAACTATAGTGATATCTGTGCTTATCAGTTTCCCTTTAGATGTACAGCTACAATATTAAGCTATTTTATAAAAGTGTGCTGAACATTTTTTACATTGCAATAAAAAAACCTTGCCACGTGGTTAATTCCTACTCACTAATTATTTACAAATATAGTTTACCATCAAACAACATGGGTTTGAACTGCAAGGGTCCACTTATAGGCAGATTTTTGTTAACCAAACATGGATTGAAAAATACAGTGTTCTTAGGATACAAAGCAGGCATATTGGAAGGACCAACTTTTTGTGTACTCAGTTTCCTCAGGGCTGACAACTGGCCTTGAGTATGTGCAGATTTTAGTATATGCAGGTGTACTAGAACCAACTTCCTGTATGTACTGAGGGACATAACTGTAGTGTTAATGGCAGATCTTGATGAATTTCTTTCAGTAAGCATCTAACTTTAACCCCGACAATGAAGTTAGTAAATTTTCTAGTAGCCCAAAAGTATATTTTCCAAAGTTGTTGGTACAAAACAAATCCTTTATTTAAGGATGGTAGTAAAATGCAGCTGAAATAGACTATCTGAAAGCCTACAAAGATAGCTTTCTTCAATTGTATCAAGTTAGACTATTATGTTAGTTCTATACAAAGGATGGATTCTTTATACCTTAGACATAGCAAGGAAGAAACATTAGTATATTTGAAAACAAAATTGTCTATAATTTTATAGAAATTCTATCTATAGAATAGAGATAATAATATTTCCATCTCACAGGGTTGTTTGAAGATTACATGAGATAAAGAGCGTAAAGCTCAAAGTGAATACCTGGCTATGGCCAACACTCGCCGAATGTTTTTCTTTAATACTGTCAATAATAACTCTTTGTTTTGTTAAATGCAATTCACACAAATAAGCTAGTGATAAAATTAACTGAGCTAATATTGTTCCAGATATAAGTGAGAAAAGTGAATTCTGGTAGATTTATTATATATGCCTCAAACACATTTTCATTTTGGCATAAATATTAAGAAGCACTAATAACTAAGGAAGGCCATTCAAATACAAAAGTTGAGACTCTCGGACAGATATGTAAAAGCATTATAGATCATACATTTTTAATCAGTGTATCTTTTGTCTTCGGTTTAGTTGCTAGTCATGACTTCATCACTTAAGCAGATGGATAATTTTTTCAAAACTCAAAATTATAGTTTTTAGTGCATTTGTAGTTTTAATTTTGTTGATTTGTGTTTCAAATTTGTACTACCTTTCTAGTAAAAATCTTGAGAAATATTGGCAGGTCAGAAGCACAGTTCATGAGATATATATTATACAAACATGGATCCACATTCTGATTCTAAGTTACTAGTTGTAACATCCTTGCCTCATTCTGAAAACTAAGTATTTTGAATAACATAAAGGACACTAATTCAATCATTAAAAAAAACTAAGTTTCATTTTAAATTGCCTCACTTTGACACTTATGGTGTTATCTTCCCAGCATATTTCCATAACCTACAATTATAGTATCACATTGTGAATAAAGCTCATATTTCCTAAAATTAATTCCTGACACTAAAATAGAATGTTGCTATTGTGCTCAGACATTTAATGTTTTTGACTGACTTACTATATCTATGAAGTGGAGTTGTATTTCTCAGAAGTATTTTTAGGAATGTTTAGCTATGTCTTTTAAAATTCCCCAGTGAACTGAAGAGGGCAACAGTTACTTAGTGGATGCTTGGTCCAAATACGACATTTTTTTAAAAAAAAACTTCCATTATTACTACTAGTTCTAATATTTAAAAGGTTAAATTACAAGTACTCATAGCCAATATTTTCATTGAAATTCTATGACATATTTATTTTTATCTTAAGGTTGTATTTATTGATACACAGAGTTTCATATTACAATTTATTCAAAATAAATAAAAGTAAAATATGTTTATAGAATTTTACAAAACATTAGATATTCATTCTAGCATTTATAAGCTTTTAAAATGCGAGATAATTTCACAAAACACATCTCTACATATAATCAAGTATTACATTGAATCCTTTTTCTTGTTAAAAGATGTAGTAATTTATTTCACTTCATTTTATTTCCTTTTGGTTGATTATATTAAATTTCAAACTTGTAATTTTTAGAAATTTCTATGGCAGAACCTGTAGCATTCCCCTGCCAACCCCAAACACTTCATATGCAAGTATAATATGGAAGTATCATCTTCTCTATAGTTTCCTAAGCAGTTAGGTAACCTGTACCAGGCATGAGCACTTTTAAATGACTGAAGGTCCTGAAAAGTTCAAATCTACACCTATAGACAATTCAGAAAATCCAGAGGTTAACTGCTCTTAGCCACTAGGATGGAATCAGGGACATCCCCACAGCAAATCACAGCTGCTGACATTCCCACTCCAAAGCACCAACTCATCATACTTAAAGGGACACCTAGAAGCCTCTTTCTACAGCCTTCTGATCTTTATGCTATCTAAAACCTACAAGCATACTGTGGGTGCTACAAAGATATAAGAACACAGACTTGGCAATCAAAAGGGCAGTGTCCAAATCTTAGCTCCAACACTTGCTTGTTAATTGGGCAACTTTAACTTCTCTGCATCTTATTCATCTACAAGACAGGAGTATAAATAAAAGTATCACACGTTGTTGTTGTTGTGAAGCTTAAAAGAGTCTAAAACTTCTATAAGCAAATAGGACAATGGCTAGCATTATTCTTCAAAATGTATGTTTTAATGCATTATGATTTTTGTTTTAGGTTTTGTTTGTTTATTTTTCATAATTATTCTGGTAGGCAAACAAATTTTCTTTTGGAAATACATTATGAGAAATTTTCTTCTGCTAATGTAATTGATTGCAATCCTGTATGAAAATATCCTTCATTCAATAAACACTTATTGCATGCCTACTACATGCCAGGCACCACACCAAGGGAACCAGTTGAGAAGTGTTTCAACTATAAAACTTGAAATTACCTTTAAATTCAAATGACACTGAAAACAATATGCATCCCCAAAGTGCTGTCTGAGAAGGTACAGTTTCTTTGCACTTTTAAGAGGAGAATGGAAAGTCACTCCCTTCTCATTCCCTTCTAATTGGAGAAGACATCCACAGAGATGCATGTTCTCATAGGTGGAACATACAGCCCCATCATGAAAGGAAGATGCATAAAAATCAATGCCCAGGGCAGAGGTTTATAAGCCTGGGCCTCCAACATGGAATGTGGAAGGCCAAGGGTTTCTTGTTTTTAGGAGTGGTAGAGGGGAAAGGATGAAGACTCATAAAACATGATACAATGCCAACTGAAAAAGAGCAGAGCACAGAAGTGTCTCTGTTTTGGTTATAATGTTTATGTGTGGAAACACTAGACAAGAAAATAGAAAAATGAAAGCAGCTGATACGTCAGCATGAGGAGACGGTGAGTAAATTTTTCTTCTATTTGATTTATTGTATTGTTACTATGATGTTACTTAGGCAATAAATACAATTCAAGAGAAAGTAAAAATTAAGACCAAAAAGTAAAGACATATTTTAAAACTACCACAAGCAAGTGGAAAATTATCAAAGTGAAATAAATTTGAATCAAATATCAAAATGAATTTGAATTAAAACTATCAAACTGAGTTATTTATTTAAAGCATTATCCTAAAATATCATCTAAAACAATCCCTAACATGAAAACAACTTGTAGGTCAAAATGGCATTAATTTATTCAACAGACATTCTTCCCTTACTGCTCAGCTCACTTTTTCTCTCCATGATGAGATACAAGTTGTTGGAGGCTCTGCTTCCTTCATTCTCCCCTCCCTGGGGACCCCTTCTGCCACCAGAGTTCCATGTCACCTCTGGAGCTCACAACTCACCAAGGGATCCATACTTAGTGAAACCTTGACACAAAGTTAGATCTAATAAAATCAAGTTTTGTTAAACATCTGAGAACTAGCCTAGGACTACCTCTCATTTGTAACTTTATTTCAAGGAAAATGATACTTACTGGGTAAATTTTCCCATGAACTCCAAACTTTCAACTTTCAAGGAAGCTTTCAGAACAAAACCTAGTCTAGCCTGGGCCCTGATTATTCTATATAATTCTTATATTCAGACATTATACTCAAACATCATATCATTCCAATCAATCAATCAGCCTCAGTAGTCAGATTTCTTCCAGAATCCTATGGAACTACAGGATTAGTACTTCTAAATGTAGTTGTTTTCTTTCTAAATGTAAGGAATGGTTAACATCATAGGCTATCATATAGAGGACAATAGCTGTATATCTCAGAGATATGGTTAACAACATGGTAAATGCATTTTCACCAGAATTCTGACTTCTGATAGATCAGGACCACAACTCTGCTCTTATGAACACAAGAATAATACTTACGTTCTATGTCTTTTCCATTATAGGTATACAGAGAACTACTCGGGGAAATTACTTAATCCAGATTGTAACCAAAGTCATACAATTGCAACATCATTTAAATTAAGTTTCACTGGACTAAACAATTTTGGAAACTAACATGTATCTGTTCCATTTTTCCTTTGATAACTTTTGATAACCTAGGTATTTACAAAAAGAATAATGAGGCAATAATTACCTTTAACCTGCTAAAAGCAGTACCTTTGGAGAAATGTAAAAGGAAAAACTTCAACTCTTCCTTTTATTAATGATATTTCTTCACCAGCACAGACACCAACATACTCTGGCAGCTTCCACAATCTATATTGTGTTAGCACCTTCATTCTATGACATTATTATGCACTTTCTTATGTGTGGTTACATGACTCTTCTCATCTGTATATTTAATCTGTCAAATTATATTGCTGTTTCCTTAGAATGAACATGGCTTTTCTTACTTTTGCACATCCCCTTACTGTCTGATTGCTTGAGATCATCTTCATGAAATAGTTCTTAAATAGGTATTTTAATGGTTTAATTGTTTAAAGATACAAAAAAATTCATATAGTTTTATAATTTTACTACTAAGAATAAAATATATATTTGCAGAAAAATCAAATTACATTAATTTGGATAGCTGCCCTGATGAAACTGAATGATTATTTGGCTATTAGTAACATATGTTTTGACTATTAACAACATATGATTTGACTATTAACAATATACACGCCCCTGTATCTGCTTTGTGCTATTTTAAATACACTGCATGTACAGGCTGAGTGCTATGGCGAACCCTGGGGATTCCCCCTTCAGGACTGCAGCACTCATTTCTCTTGATGCTGGTAGCGTTTCCTGCTGATGTTGCGCACTTAAGGCTCTCTCCTGAAATTGCCTTAGACCATGAGGAACTGCCTCACTGACGGCTATCGCTCCCTCCACAGAAGCAAGCCTTTTCATTCTTGCCTCAAATGGGGACAACTGAGAAGGGCCACCCTGCTTTCAAGAGCTCCATGGGATCAGCTAAGTCCTGTGTTGTATTTGCATCACAGTTCAACTTTTCCCTCTGCAAAAGCCTGCCTCCCTCACTCTCTTAAGGAGTGTTCCCAAGGCATTACACAATAAAAACCCTTGCATGCAAACCCCCAAATCTGTGTCTGCTTCCTGGGAATGCAACCTGTAACAATCTTTCCTATCTTATGATCCAGAAGAAAATATAATATGGGAAAGATGAATAATTTGTCCACAGGCAAACCTTGCACCCAAAATATCTGCATCTGGTAGTCTGTGTTTCCTAAGTGAAAAAGAACAGCAGCTAGGATGTTTTAATCATTTTATTTCCCTTGTGGTTGCTTAGTCGGGGCACTCCCTCGTCAGGTATTAAAGCTATGTAACTTCATTAAACATGACTTTAGAAACTCCTTACCCACAATGTATGTGCCAAAACAAATGTACTGCTGTCCGTCAAGCAGACCTAATGAATATCTGATAAGACATTTGACGCACTATTACATGATGAAAAAGAAAAACAAATCTGTAGAAAAAGAATGTGTAATACTTCCCTTTACTTTATGTGCAGCATAACCCAGAATTTGAGACAAAAATAAAATCACATATTCATTTTTTCCCAGTTAATTTATCAAACTCCAAAATTGCCCTTAGTAGTAGTAGGCACACTCTCTCAATTCTCAGGCTGGGAAGGGATTTAAAAAGAAGTTAAACTGCATCTTTAACACTTCATTCCTTTAAACAAGCCTGAGGCAAATAGGATAATTCTGAAAAGATGTATATGTGTTCTTATATTGCCTTTAGAGCTTTTCTATATTTATGAATATTTTTATAAAAGATGGGTGAATAGCCCATAGTCAGTGGAATAAATACAATCTTGATTCATTGGGCATCCAATAACATATGAAGGAGGCAGTTTTGTTTATCATAAGTTGATTTATTTGGAGGTCAGCTCAGCCTAAATTCCTCTTAGGCACCCATTGAGTATTGTTTGCCTGGCAGTGCTCATTGCCAAGGTATCATTACTGTGTCACACCCAAGTGGTCGTGGCCTCTCTCTGACCATCAGCACAGGTACCCCTTCTTATATCTCTAAACTGTGACTTTATGCAGGGTTCACTTGCAGTTTGAAAGGGCTCCTGCTCACAGTAAGTTCTAGATTTTGTATGCATTTATCCTCCTTACTCTTTTCTTCCTCTTTCTTGATCCTGCTTTCAGTAGTCAATTTGCATGCCAGGATTAAGTTTTCCCTGTTTGTATCTACTCAAGTCCCCTCCATTCAGCAAGTTTAGAAGTCCAAATGTCCTAACAAATGAAAAGAAATGTTAACCAGTCTTTATAAAGAGCAACCATCAACACTATGTGTAAAACATAGAGTCATGCTTTCTTTGTCCAGAACTCAGAGGTCTAGTAGTATTTATATTTATCTGGAATTTATCCTACACTCAAAAATTGAGCCAAAAAGGCTTCCAAAAAGACTAGAATTATTGAGTCCACATAATCAGCCACATACTCAGTTTGCATAGAGGAATATCCCTCAGGCCCTAACTCAGAAACATTTTGCCTTATTTTAGATATAATTTTTCTAAGCCCTGTAATCTTGTTTTCATGTTCTCTAAATATATATTAAATTGGATGAGTCAAGAAGGAAATGATAATAATAATAATAGCTAGATATAGGAGAAGAGGCTAAAGCTTTCTGAAAATCAACAATAGGGATTTTAAAAGAATAATAATATGGGGCCACAATATAGAGACACATGTTTTTGTTTGTTTGTTTGTTTGGAGATGGAGTTTCACTCTTGTTGCCCAGGCTGGAGTGCAGTGGCGCAATCTTGGCTCACCACAACCTCTGCCTCCCGGGTTCAAGCGATTCTCCTGCCTCAGCCCCCCAAGTAGCTAGGATTACAGGCATGCATCAACACACCCAGCAAATTTTATATTTTTAGTATAGATGAAGTTTCTCCATGTTGGTCAGGCTGGTCTCGAACTCCCAACCTCAAGTGATCCGCCCACCTTGGCCTCCCAAAGTGCTGGGATTACAGACATGAGCCACAGCGCCCAGCCGACACATGTTTTTTAAAACTGTAATAGACTCTAAAGAGCTCTCTGTATTGCTGCACATTCTAATAGTGTTGAAAAAGATAAATACTGTTATAATAGCAATTAATAAATTAAATAAATCTAAACTACATATTAGAGAGTTTCCTATTCAGCCAAAATGACAAAATTAAAACACATACTTAAAGCTGTCTAAGAAACTTAGTTACAGACCAATTCTTTTAATTGAAGTCTAAATATGTCACTCTGTTTTTAATACTTTTCCATTGTTTTCAGTTTTCATAATCACAGTCTCCAAATGGTGATGTATGCCCTTCAGAGGGAAAAGACAATCCTTTACAGTATAAGAAACAAATGTTAAAACATTTACATTTATTGCACCACATTTTTTATCTTTAAAAAGAAGTGCACTGAGTTGTATTGTAGGTAGGCTCTGGTACTTTGCCTCAGTTCCACTGATATGTGGTCACACAGGAAATAATAAGAATTCAGAGGTAAGAGATGGGGTGCCTCAGTGAAAAGTTTGATGGTGATACTCTCACTCTATGTATCAGCAAGTACATTTATTAATTATATTAGTCCATTTTCACACTGCTATAAAGATACTACCCAAGGTGGATAATTTATAGAGGAAAGAGGTTTAACTGACTCACAGTTCCACATGGCTAAGGAGGCCTCCGAAAACTTACAGTCATGGCAAAAGGCGAAGCAGAAGCAAGGACCTTCTTCACATGGTAGCAGGGGAGAGAACAGTAAAGGGTGAAGTGGGAAGAGGCCCTTATAAAACCATCTGACCCCAGGAGAACTCACTCACTATCACAAGAACAGCCTGGGGGAAACTGCCCCCACGATCCAATCACCTCCCACCAGGTGTCTCCCTCAACACATGGGGATTATAGGGATTACAATTTGACATGAGATTTGAGTGAGGACACAGAGCCAAACTATATCATTAATTACATCACTTAGTCTTTACTAGACAAAATTTCAGAAAATGAATGAGTGGTTAAAAATATTCATCCAAAAAATCACTGACTGAAGATAATACTAAGAATATAAGCACAAAAGAGCAAGTTAAAACTTGTAGAACGGAAACACCTTCTTCCCTTAACACCCAGTGCCAACTCAAGGTAAAGAAAAGGATGATCTAATAAGATTTGATAAGACGCTAGGCAAAAATGTTTAACATTATTAAGAAGACTACTAGAAATACTAATTTATATCTGCTTTCATGATGGATGAACCTCAAAGTATATATTGAACTTTGGATATCAGCTAATAACAATATAAACCCATCCCAATTAGAAGAACTCTTAAAACTACATTTTTTTCATCTTTAGCACATCCCCTTGGAATTTGTTTTTATTTGTGTTTAGTAAGGTATATCATTCACTCAATAGCTAATTATTAAGACTCCCCTTTCCAGGTACTGTTATAGACAATAGAAAGATATCATTAAATACAATAGGTTTTTGTTTTTTTAAAAAAAACTTATCTAATGAAGTTTACATACAATTACATAAATAAGTGAACACACATATATCAAAGGAATGCTCTTTTTAAAATTTATTTTATTTTGCTAATTATGTGTTTGGATATCACTGGTATACATGCAAAACTCCAAGGTTCTTACATGCTGTGTAAGTCATTCCTCCATACGTATGTGACTTTGATTCTTGCTCAGTATAGTCTCAAACTTCTCTTCCCTGTAAATGTGACATATTTGCAATTCTTCAAATATCTTATTATAACACTGCTCTTCTCAGTGCTTTGTGAGCCTCTCTTTCCTCTGACTGGAATAGTTCTTCTCGTCTTCGTTTCCCTTACCTTTTTGTTTCTCACATCTCCTTTCTCATTGTTCAGTCCCCCATCTCTCTGTAACCTCATGCAGTTGTTCCCCAGAATGTACCCATTCTATTCCTATGCCCTCCATCACTGTGCCCTGTATCCATTGTTGAATCTACCACAATGTTCTGGCATCATTTGTCAGCATAACTATGGTCTCCTTCAGGGAGAGATCCATCTTATTTTCTCCAGTACTAGCATTATGTCTAGCAGATAGTAAGCCCTATAATATTTTAATGGTATTGTCTTAAACTAATCTCCAAATGGTTTTCAGATAACTAAAGTTTTACTCTTTGTGTTTCATCAAATAAATTTAATCAAGGGATTAGCCTTGCTGGTTTTCCAAGAGAATGTGTGCCTGGTCAACTAGCAATTAATAGAAGTATTTGTACCACATGCTATCTTTATTTTAATATGTCTAAACCCATTAACCTGGATCTTGCTTGGCAAGATTTGTTCCACCACCAAAATGGTTATAATTTTGTGAGTTAGACTAGTATGATAATATTGTATAAAACAGGATTGCTAGAGGTTGCCTGTAATATTTTTACTTCCAGGAAACAAGCTGAACTAGAGTCAACATGTTCCCAGTGGCATTGTACTTTCTTATTTATTTTATTGAAAAGTCACTTAGAAAGAAATGCATGCTTTACAGCTATGAATACTGATGATGCACGTAGAATTGCAGGAACTCAAATTGTATAGTCCACAAAAAAACAAATAAATTTCAAGATGTGGATAAAGTACATAACTAATGTAGCATCATAAAAAGTTTTAATGATGCAATAGAACTAACTCAATATCAGGAAGAGAATAATTGAGTAAGATAGTTCAGGCAAGATGATCTCATAGAATATGTAATCTTGCCCTCATTTCAATTATTGTAAGAACTAAATGGGACCAAATTTGTTTGGAATTTCCATAGATGCCAGTCTCTTTAGTTGCTCATTATTCTCCAAATAGCAAAGAATACATGAACTTCTTAGCTGTTTTTAATTTAACAGATGTAATCAAATTACTATAAACATAGTTGCTTATCATATCCATCCAAATCTCTGGAAAATATTAAAATTTATTGTCAAAGTAACGAGAACAAAAGAAGCTGTGCCCTGGCATGTGTTCTGTTGGGAATTTCTTGTTGCTTTTTGTGTACTTTTTAGTGCAATCATGGTTGCAGCTGAACCTTATTAATATTTTCTCTCTCACAATCTTTCTTTTTCTTTTGAGAATGGCATTAAATGATAAAAATTACAAATTGATACCAAACGATAAAAATTACAAATTAGTTCATCACCACATTTTTCATGGCTCACCCATAATTTTTTCTTCCTTGATGAACAGATCATTGGAGTCTTGCCTTTGTAATTGGGACAACCTGCCTGCAGAGAGGATCTATCCTCTCTGCTGAGAGCTGAACACTCATTAGGACACCCAGGCTACAGAGAGGAGCTACCCTCTGCTGGTCTCCTCTGAGCTGTTTGATGGTTCAATAAAGCTCCTCTTCATCTCACTCACCCTCCACTTGTCTGCATATGTCATTCTTCCTGTATGCAGGACAAGAACTCAGCACCCACCCAATGGTGGGGCTAAAAAAGCTGTAATACAAACAGGGCTGAAACATGCCCCTTGCTTGCCACCTTTCAGGCGACAAGAGGGAGAGAAGAGAGAAGGAGATAAGAGAAAAGGAGATAAGAGCTGGGGCGCTTCAGGGGGCCCAGACCTGGGAGCTCCCCAAGCCAGGGCTGTGACTCCTCATTTGGGGCCCTGCAGTTCCTGGAGTCTCCAAGCTTTCAGGTACCACCGCATTCCCTGGTGGCAGCCATGAAAGCTGCTTGCAGTGCGACTGGGCCAGCTGCAGCCTCACAGGGAACTGGCACCTGTGTTGGCATGTGGAGCTGCCCACCCCGCTGCAGCAGCCAGCGTGCCTGACTGTGTGCCGTGGCCAGACTACAGGATTGCTCACTCACACACCCCTTGCCACTATGCTCCAGTCTCCTCAGAGACGTGGGATCCAGGCCGGTAGTGCAAGCCAAATGCAGCCTGCTAGGCCAAGTGGGCCCAGCAGGCCCGAGCAAAACTCAGGAAAAGGCGCCACCGGCCACAGAGGTTTCTGGCTAGAAAAGCAACAGCCCCAAGGATCCCATAACAATTTGACCAAAAAACCTAAAGTTCTGTTTTGATAAAGCACTTAAGTTTGTGAGAAAAACTACCTCTAGCGAAGAATATATCAGTTAGAATATACTTTCTTGCCACACGATTCCTGAACCCATTAAGGTATATGACAACATAAGGCAATATTTCCTTCGTTTCTAAATGTGTGCTCCTGTGTATGCCAAAGATAAAAGTGAGGTGCCAAGAATTTTTCTTTCTTTGATTCCTTCTTAGCCTTAGTGTTTCTTCACTTTGTCACATGCTATTATTTGTTCAACCCCATCTGTGAAGCATGTACTTGCTTCCCACAATGCTGCCATCAGTGAGAGGAAAACCTGGAAATAAAACCATTTATTCTGTCACTTGTCATCTTTTTCTGAATCACTTCTTAAGAACTTCTCAGAATTTGTACCACCCGTGATGACAGGGCTAATCTTCAACCAAGATAGTGAGGGTTTCTGGAAAAATTCTCTGGGTAAATTCATGTATGCTATAAACTCAGTGACATACTTGCTTTGTAGAATTTAATCCACCATTTCAAGTCTGTCTCATTTTTATCAATAATATGAGCAAATTATACATAACAATTAAAATGTGAAAAATACAAGGGTCAAACAGCCTTAATAAAAATTTAATGTCTGATTTTCTGCAATATAATTGCTTTATGTTTAATGTAATTTTTCTATGGCCTTTAACCTGGGCTAACTTGATATTATAGCCACAAAGAAAGATATGCTGAAATTTTCTCTCTCTCACATATTAGCTGTTTGCTTTAGACAGGTCACAACTTCTCTGAGCCTCACTTCCCTCTTCAGTAAGGGGAGTGTAATACAACATTTGGCCTTCCTATTGTGAAGGCATTATTGCAAAAATAAAACAAATGATTTATGTAGTGACAATTAGTACATAATAGAGTGCTATATAAATGTTATTATTAGCATGAGTGTGAGTTTTTCATTTTGCACCGACTTAATGAGTACATTTATGATACTGTAAGTGCCGAATTATATATATGACTATGCTCCCAATATCAAGATTGTAAATGCCAACAAGCAGAAGCAGCAGAAGCAGAGCCCTTAACATCACAGATTTTACACTCAAAAATGTAATTTAATAAATACCATCTTTTAAACCAGTTTTCAACAATTCATATTTAGAATTCCCCAGGAGTTAAGTTTGAATTTTAAGGTAAATGGACAGGCAATTATATTTCTCATGTTGGGCTAGATACATTCATTTGATTTTTGAGTTTTTTGTAATGTTTTGGGGATCCCTAAATATATTTAGCTGATAAATATTTCCCCATTTTGTAGGTGAGCAAACAAAAAAATAGAGAAGCTGAGTGACTACCACATGATGGAACACTATGAGGAGTGAAGTGTATTTGGTGCCCAGCCTCTCACCCCGCCTCACAGTTCAGTGGACCCAACTCCAGTGGAGTTGCCTTTCCAGTTGCAACACAGATTCCTCCTGAGTCTTAACCAAAGTGCCCTCTCTGACTTAAATTGCGAACACATGTGTTTCATGTTTGTAGCTGGATGCCAGTTCATATACTACTGGAACATTTTGTCTACTGTTACATAATTAAACTGGAAGAAACCCTTGGTAGGATGTGAAATAGCAATATGATCCAAAGATCATTAAAATGTCAAAAGTCCTTTAATGATAGTGTGTATTTGATTAACCACACAAAAATATTGACTTGATTTTATTTATATTAAAATTAATGTTTGGAAAAGAATATCTGCAAAATAAGATTATTTTGCCTTGTTTTTTTGCTTGTCTACAGCATACCAATACCTAACAAGGTTATAGTGAAGCTTGTGTTGTCTAATAAGGTCAGTGCTAAGTCACAGAACAAAAGAGATCATCCTCGTTGTGGATATATTGCTAAAATCATCAAGATGTTGGCTGAAAACCTATTTATTTATATATTCATTTTGTTTTGGGCAGAATAATTTAAACTATAACTTGTCACATCGAATAGCAATGACACTTCTGTTCAGAGTCAGAAATGACACTTCTGTTAAACTCCAGAAGAGTTTAAATGGAATGGGATTCCCTGGAAATTTTTTCTTCCTTTAATTTAAAAGAATGTCAGATGTTCTCTGTTTTATTCCATTGAGTGATAGAGAAAAACTAAGTTAACAAAGGAGGATCCATGAGTCTTTTCTCTTAAATATTCCTATGAACTTTTTAATTCAGCTACACTCAGAATCTTTAATATAGGAAAGAAATTTTTCATAATTGTTACGATTACATTCATTCTGACAAACAGAAGTCAATATTTAAACTTGTCCTAAGACAAACACTAAACATGCCAAAACCATTAGACTCAAGATGTGCTGTCATTCAATTCCCTTGCTGAACTACCCTAAAGCTTGAGTTTGCTGATTTTCACATGTACTATTTTCTGCAAAATTCACTAGCTCATGCCAGTGGAGATTTAATACCACATGCCTGTGCTTAGTTGAGAATTCCAATTTGAAGTCTCCTTGGCAAAATATAGCTGTTTATTTCAGGAGTTTTTCTCTTTGCTTTTCCAAAATTTCTTAAATCCAGTGTAAGAAAAGAGAAGTTTACTTAATTTTTTAAAAACAGTGCTATGAAATTCTTATTGAATTTGAGTCTCTTACACAGATTATGAACCATACAGATAATCAACAAAAAGTGGTCAATTATTTAAATGAACTTAAATATGTCAGTTAGTTTCTTTATCATCCTGTAGGATATTCATGTAAAAGGCATAAAATATGAAACACATATTCTTGGCCATGGATGTTTCCCTAGGAAGACAATGATGCCATAACAGAGAAAGTCACTATAAAGAAAAACTCTACAACTGATGACACTAGTGACATTCCCCTTGGGTTGCAACTAGAAGTGGCTCTGTCACTGTTAAGGAAGAAAGAAAGGAAGAAAGAAAGGAAGAAAGAAAGAAAGAAAGAAAGAAAGAAAGAAAGAAAGAAAGAAAGAAAGAAAGAGGAAGGAAGGAAGGAAGGAAGAAAGGAAGGAAGGAAATTAAAGAGTCATGAAGTCAATGTCAAATAGGAGAAAAATGCCATAGCCTAGGAAGAGTCAAACCAGATTTCTACCAGACAGTTTAGTAAATCAAATCAATCAAAAATCAATTTAAAAAAGCTGCCAGGGGAGTAATAATGAAGGTGCTTACAAGGAGTAAATGATGGCACAGTGATGGACACCCTACTTACAGGATAGAGTTTAAAATACTTTATGGATTTGTTTCTCCAATGCTTTCTTTGGTTTTTTTTTTTTTGGAAGTGAAAAATATTTCTAATTGAATATGGGAATTCAGGAGGGTGAGACTTTGTGTTTAATTAAATTTACACAGCTTATAATAAATGCAATTGTTCCATCATGATTTCTGTATAGAGATGTAGAAATATATCATCCTGAGGAGAGCTAGAATATAGACACTGATATGGTTTGGATCTATATCTCCACCAAATCTCATGTCAAATTGTAATACCCAGTGTTGGAGGTGGGGCCTGGTGGGAGGTAATTGGATCATGGGGGCAGAGTTTTCATGAATGGTTTAGCACTCTCCCCTTGGTACTGACTAGTTATAGGGTTCTTATGAGATCTGGTCTTTTAAAAGTGTGTAGCACTTTCTCGCTCTCCCTCTCTTTCTCCTGCTCCAGCCATGTAAAATGTACCTGGTTTCCCTTAGTCTTCTGCAATGATTCTAAGTTTACTGAGGCCTCCCCAGAAGCAGAAGTCACTAAGCTTCCTATACAGCCTGCAGAACCATGAGCCAATTAAACCTATTTTCTTTATAAATTACCCAGTCTCAGGTATTTTTTATAACAGTGTGAGAACAGACTAATACAGACACACAGACCAAATAAAGTTAAAGAACTAGGGCCCTTATAGAAAATGTATTCTTGGGGTGCATGTGTCCTTCTCTAGCTAGGATGGTAAATGTGATCCTAAGCTATTAATTGAAAAGTGATAAACTCAAGCTTTCCACTCTTTATTGAGAAACCTGAAAACACATTTATCCCCAACTCCATTGTATCAATACTCAGAAACAGTAGCAGGGAGATATGACAGATGACTGGAGTCAGGCAAAGCCAAAAAAAAAATCTAGTTACAATTTTTTATTTATTAAAATATCTCTGAAATTAACAGAACAAATAAAAAGCTTATTGATATCAATATATTGTGAACTTTTGCTCAGTCAGACATATAGGAAGTCTGGCCAGTGTTTCCCAAAGTGGGAACTGGGTCCTAAGGCTTAGGGTCAAAAAATGTTATTAACTAAATGGTCTGTCTATCCTAATTAATTCCCAAGTCTGGGTGTTTACCAGAGCAAACCCTTTTTGTCTGAAGCAGACATCCCTCTAAGTGTCCACAAAGACAGCATCTTCGGATGGCTACTTAATGGTCGGCCAAATCTTTAGCCCAGGGTGAGGATTAAGAGCCCTCAAAGTGCTGAAGAACCATTAGCAGTGGTGAAGCTCCAATCCCATTTTGGATTATAGCAGTTACAGTGGTTATGGAGAAGGAAGAGCAGATTACTCAGAGGTGTTGAAAAGGGTGACAGCAAAGACCTCATTTGAAGCCACATATGACAGTAGAGCTATGGGAGCAAATTTAGAATGACTTGTTAGGACAGTGGTACCTCTGCAAGCTGCCTTGACTTGGCTCTTCAATATAACAATAGAAGTGACATCAAGGACCAATCTGAGGGTTTCAGGAATGCAAGGGGTACAACTTCAGGAAGCCATTGGTGCAGATCACTTTGAAAAGTATAGGAACAATGGACGCTGTGAGGGTACTTTGTCAAAATGAATCAGTTATACTAGGGAGAAGGGGTCTGTGACTTTTCTCCCACTAAGGGTTAGAGCAGACATACTTTGGGCTGCAGGTGGCATGCAAAAGATTTGAAATATACTGACCTTTTATTTCTTACTTGACAATACCCATATTTCTGAGTGGATGCTCTCTTCTGATGCTTCACATCACATAGTATATGTCAGTCCATATACCACATGATACTGTGCCAGGCTTGATAATGAGAGTCAGAATTATTGTCTTATCTTCACCCCATGTTTTTTATATTATTGTTAATTGAGTCATACTTTTATAAGCTCAGTCTTCCCAAATAATATGAGAACGTATCAGAATACCTTTCTTCTATGCATGTAGGAGAAATTAACCTAGGATAATATTGCTTCATTTATGATTTCTTCAAATAGCTGTGGATTTATAGATTTAAATTCATTTTAACCATTTTTTAAGAATGAACTATGTTGATACTGGAAGAGGCAATCTAGGCAACAGTGCAATGTTCAACCTATCCAACTGGTCCTCTTCAGGTTTAAGAATAGTATATTTACACAAATAATTACAGTATAAAGCCAAATGTGTATTGGTTTCAATCAGGAGAATATGTTATTTTCCCTTCCTCATGTGACAACTTACTTTAACTTTCCCCAAGTGCTTTTTAAAAATATATTTATAATGTACACTGTGGCATTTAATGTTTATGCATTCTTGAAGCAATCTAGTTTTTTATTGCTTTAAAGGAAAATGTTTGTCTACACTTTCCAATAGTCTGACATTTGAAGCATTGAATTTTCTCTACTGAAAAAAAAAGTAAAATTTTTTACAAGACGTTGTCATTACTACTCAGTTTTACAAAAACTGACTCCTTTGTCTTTAATAATTAAAAGGGGAAAGTAAAACGTTTGTAGAGGATAACTACTAAGGTGGCTTTAATTTTATTTTTGCTATATAAACTTGTTTTCTGATGGCTTCATTTTAAGTCAGACACCATGACCTTCCCTAATTTTGGAAAAAAAATCTTTATTATTGCTTCCTCTTAGAACTATAGTTTATTAGTATATGCTTCCATCTGGAAATAAATTACCCAGTGATGCTCATGTGCCACACCAACTGAGTCAATCCGGGGTGTCTCCAATGTCTTTGCCAAACACAAGGATAGTCCAAGCCACAAGATGTTGGCTTTCCTATTGGATTAATGAGGACAGTATTTAAATTCTATGTCATGGTTTTAAGTCAACATTTAAGGCAAAAGACCTTCATTTATTCTGTCCAGTCAAATATAAACATGGATTAAAACTGAGAGCTGCTTCTTGAAGCGGATAATTTCTAATTTTCTCCCTTTTCCTGATAAAAATATCTTTGAGTATTATTTATTTTCATTTTATGTTGTGAATTGTCTCCTCTATCTTTAAATTAAATTTTAAAAGTCTCTTGACAAATAACCTAAGTCTCACCATGCCTCAACAAACACATCTACCAAAGGACCCAGTGAGTTTAAGAAGATAGGGAGGCTGGGCGCGGTGGCTCACACCTGTAATCCCCGCACTTTGGGAGGCCGAGGCGGGTAGATCACGACGTCAGGAGATCGAGACCATCCTGGCTAACACGGTGAAACCCCGTCTCTATTAAGAACACAAAAACATTAGCCGGGCATGGTGGTGGGCGCCTGTTGTCCCAGCTACTCGGGAGCCTGAGGCAGGAGAATGCCGTGAACCTGGGAGGCAGAGGTTGCAGTGAGCCGAGATCGCACCACTGCACTCCAGCCTGGGCGACAGAGCAAGACTTTGTCTCAAAAAAAAAAAAAAAAAGAAAGAAAGAAAGAAAAAAAAAGTAAAAAAAAGAAGATACGGAGAAAATTTTAGACCACATACACACACAAATTCTATTATCAGCAATGTCGGTGATCACAATTCTTGTTACCTATGCAATCACTGCTTGGTTGTGAACTTTATACCTTATTAAGAAAGGTCACTACCACTGAAGATCTTACTAGGTAAAAGTAGAAATAATAGCTGTAATTCCAATTACAACTCAAGCTTATGTAAACCTTGGAATAAAATGCTCTGTGGGCTTGTGTTACATATAGAAAAAAATATTTGTACTTATCTTAGTACTTGTGATATATATAGAGAAGCATGTATTATATACAAAGTCTCG
Source organism: Homo sapiens (assembly GCF_000001405.40). Lineage (NCBI taxonomy): Eukaryota > Metazoa > Chordata > Mammalia > Primates > Hominidae > Homo > Homo sapiens. The sequence goes on from NC_000006.12 coordinate 74,762,608, forward strand.
TTCCCTGTCTATAGATCCTCATTAAAGAGATTTGGGGTGAGGCAGGGACTCCATGTTCAACAAGTTTCCCAGGTAATGCTTATGAAGAAGTAAGTAAGCAAGAAGTAAGTTTGAGAGTGACTATCTAGAGATGAAATTCAAGGTTTTGTATAGCACCTTCACAGAGGAGAAATTTTTCAGGGACAGGAGACATATCACTTAATCTGAATTGGTATTAAGGCAACCCTAAGTAGAGCCAGGAAGAACAGAAATTCACTAAATTGCAAATTCTGGTTTCCTGGTAGAAATTTCTGAGGAGCATATTTAACACTGAGTATGAAATACCTCATTACCAGAACAGCTAAAAAGATGAAAAGAAGACTCAAATATATGCAATGCAAAACGTTGAGAAAATTTAAAACCTGCATTAAGAGAAAAGAAGGAACTGAGCCAAATTGTGACAGAGTTTTAGCACTTCAAATTTGATGAGAAAGCTTTCTCAAGGATCTAAGTGTTATTAACAAGGCAGAAGAATAAGGGAAAAAAGACAGTAGAATATCATTCTAAATGCTGAAATCTTACCAGGCTGTGGCATATATCCCAAGCCAAATTGATGATACGAATTTTTTTTTTTTTTTTTTACTAAACTTACTCCAATAAAAATCATCTCAAGTACTGAGAATCATGAAGATACTCTGTGTGAAGGGCAGTGATGAGAGGATTCAAATCCACATTTTTATTTCTAAATGGAGCATAGAAAATGACATCCCAGATTGTAAGATATACTTATTTTCTAATTGGGAAGAAGTAAGAAATTGAGCCTAGTTGGCTGGAAATTGGGTGGGAAGGGATCATAACGTCAAGTCATGGCTGCTGCTTGGGTAGTTAGTAATAAAGAATATTTATGGGAAGATGTTTGATGACAGTAAACTTTCCAGCAATCCCAGGAACCATGAGAGGTAGAGAAAACCCTACATATACTGAGCCCTATCTTGGGACCTTGTTTTGTCTTGACCTTGCAGCAATTCCTCTGAGTTGTTTGGGGATAGAATTATTTGTGGGAGATGGCTCCACCCTTTAAATACTCAAAACTAGTTATAGAAAGACCTTAAGTGTTTTCTTCTTACTTTCATTTCTTCCATAACTTTTCTTGGATCTGTAGAATCTACCTCAGTAACCTTTAAACTACATAAGGCTTAATTTAATCTGAAAGACATGAATCTGTCTCCTCAGATGCTACACATAAGCGGGATGAAATCTGTGTTTTAAAAACCTGTGAAATTTTACTTCTATAAAGGAAATAATTTTTCTGGCAATGAATTCAACTCACTCACTCAACCCCACTCTCCTTCATAAGCAATGCCTAATCATCAAGTGGATTTATTTATTTTGCCACTTAAAAATTTAACATCTACCAAGGATCTGCTTTCAATTTTTAAAGGCACCATGTCTTTTATCTTTGAGTATTTTCAAGCCATTTAAATAAATAGAAATATAGAGTGGTTTCATCACTCAAGCAGGACACTTATGCATGTCTTGTAGTATGAGTCATAATACATGTACGCTTACCCTAAGAGACCCTCAAACACTTTGGAAGTAACAACTCTATATGACTTTCTGGATTTAAATATTTATATCCATATAATCCCTGAGATATGTCATTATAGACACTGTGTACATATAAGCCACCTTGTACATCACATGCCGTGTATTTTTGTCCTTTCCCTTTCCTGCTATGGACACTCAGAATAGCTCATAAACAGAAGATATTTTGTAAGTGGCTGAATGTTGTGTTTTAAAATCATGTTCATAAAGGTTTTGACACTCTTCCCATCAATCAGTAGAAATGGTAGGAGTGATACTCTGTGAGGTCAGATAATAAAAGATAATGTGTCTTCTGCCTGACTCTCTTGGGACACTCACTTACAGGAAAGCCAGCTACTATGTAAGCAGTCAAACAGCCCTGAGTCTGCCATGCTATGAAGAATCCCAAATTAGTGTATGCAAGAGATCTTATGATGAGAGAGAGAGATGGTTGGTGAGCTCCCAGCCGATACCACACACTATTCCAGCTCCACTCACCATCTCATCTGACTGCAATAGTTTGATGAACCTCAATCCAAAACCACATAGCTAAGCTCAGTCCAATTTCTTGACTCACAGACACTGTGAGAAATAGTAAACTGATTTTGATGTAAGTCACAAAGTTTTTTGAGTAATTTATTTTACAGCATTAGGTAATTGAAACACTCAGACGAACTTGTGCTTTTTATTACCTCTAGCTATATAAGACACTTTGGCTTCCTTTGCCTTTAGGCCTTGGTGGTGGAAGCCACTGGCAGTGATGTCCTTAGATAAAGTCCTTAAAGACCAAGGAATTGGGAAAATAATCAAAGTGATGCTGAAGGCTGACAATGCCTTTTGCTGAACTTCTCTATGTCCAGAATTTTTACAGAGTCCATTCATATCTCTTCAATAGAATTCTGGAGACAAGCAAAAATTAAGCTTTCTGCCTACCATAGAAAAAGTGTATGGATTTATAACTGTGACAGAACAAGATCCAGTTGAACTGCCTCAATTCACTCAGGCTTTTGATAGGCTTGCGTTCAGATTCTGGCTCAACTATTTATTAGTTATTTAATCATGAACAGACTGTTTTCTAAGGAGGTAATTTTATTCAGCTTTGTCAGAATGAAGTTTCAAGAACCAGGAGCAAATGCCCAAACAGGAGTTTGAGGACAGAGTGGCAAGTATGGTGGGTATATGTTGGTGGCTTGGTTGGAGGATTTTATGGGAGTTAGGGTAAAGGGTGGAGGGAAGCTAGTGGGTATTTCACATTAAACAGATAAACAGCAGTTAACAGCCTAATTGTGCACTTATTTTCTTGAATTATTACTCAAATTTGTGTATCACTATCATTTATGTTAAAACTGTTTAGTAAATATTTACCTGGGTAATTTTGTTTATGTAAGTTAGGGTATATTGTGTGAAAGCTCTCCACACCTGGGGAAACCTAGTTAGTTTGTTCCCAGTAACGTAAACCTGGTTGCAAAGAGTTATTTGTGTGCTGAATCATCAAATAACTGTTGATTAATTGTATAACCAATGTTTGTAAAAGTTTAGCATCAGCACCACCTGCAGTATTTGTTCAACATAGAGATTTCTTGTCCCTAATGCAGGTGTACCAGATCTGAGTCTCTGTAAAGGAAGTCCTGCGATCTGCCTTTTCAGAAGCTCTCTAGATGGTTGTATTAGTCCGTTCTTATGCTGCCATAAAGACCTGCCTGAGATTGGGTGATTTATAAAGGAAAGAGGTTTAATTGATTCACAGTTCTGCAGGGCTGGGGAGGCCTCAGGAAATTTACAATCTTGGCAGAAGGGGAAGCAAACACATCCTTCTTCACATGGTGGTAGGAGGGAGAAGTGCCGAGCAAAAGAGGGGAAAGCCCTTTATAAAACCATCAGACCTTGCGATAACTCACTCATTATCATGAGAAGAGCATGGGGGTAACTGCCCCATGATTCAATTACCTCCCAACGGGTCCCTCCCACAACATGTGGGGATTATGGGAACTACAAATCAGTATGAGATTTGGGCGGGGACACAGCCAAACCATATCAGTGGTCATGAAAAATCCTGCTGGAAAATGGTTAGGGAGGCCAAGGTCCTTCATAAAAGGATTCCCAGATGTCCCAGAAACAGGATTTCTCATCTCTGTTTCACTATAGGCATTTACTGCTACTTGTTATTTTATATTTGTGTCTCCACAACATCTTCCCTTTTCTGAAATTTTTATTTCCTCTTAAATTTCCAACTACTTTTCTTTCTTACCTCCCATTCTACTTATTAGAAGGCTTTCCTGCTACCTAATGTAGAAGGTAGAAGTGATTGAAATGAAATTTCTTTGTATTCCCATCTTAATGCATTCTTAGTCTGGCTGAGAACTCGGTGTCTGTTTTCTTTATATGATTCCACTGCTACATGTCTGAGAGTGAAATTGCTCCAGTTTTTATTTTTCTCTACTGTAAGCTATGAGAATCTAACATGGATCTCATAACCAAAGCTAGAGTGTTTGTGTGCACACACACACACACACACAGATATCTATAGAAATAGATATAGATATAGATATAGATACAGATATAGATATATATCCTGTTGGTTCTGTTTCTTTGGAGAATTCTGACTAGTATACTATTAAAATAATTGTTTTATGCTTTTAGACCTATACAGTATATTTTTTATTCTGCATCACTCTACATAAATAAAAAGAAAACACAAATAAAATTATTTGATTAAAGTACTTAGAACATTCTGAACACTTCTAGAATAAAATTCATTGATTTTGATATTTTTCCACGAAGTAATTCTTTTCAATTTCATCATGATCATTGGTCACACAGCATTTCTTAAAAGACTTCACCGGCCTGGCGCGGTGGCTCACGCCTGTAATCCTTGCACTGTGGGAGGCCGAGGCTGGTGGATCACGAGGTCAGGAGATCAAGACCATCCTGGTTAACACTGTGAAACCCCGTCTCTACTAATAATACAAATAATTAGCCAGGGGTGGTGGTGGGCGCTTGTAGTACCAGCTACTTGGGAGGCTGAGGCAGGAGAATGCCATGAACCCAGGAGGCAGAGTTCGCAGTGAGCCAAGATCATGCCACAGCTCTCCAGCCTGGGCGACAGAGCGAGACTCTGACAAAAAAAAAAAAAAAAAAAAACTTCACGGTTGTCTCCAGGATAATAGTTCAAGGTGATGGCATTCATTGTATATATTTTCATGTTGGTCCTTTCTTGATCTTTCCATAAATGTCAGTTAAACAACTATGTCATGTCCACCTCCTGGCTGATAATAACTGTAAAACAATATTAACTGAAAGACACATTTTGACATCAGAAATGTTAAAATATGAAAAAATGTGCATCTTTGAATCTATTAACTTTTGGTAGTGCTTAGTAAATAGTCTTATCATTGTTATCAATGATGATGGTGATTATGATGATGATGAAGATGATGAATACTAGTTGGGAAATGTATCCTTGTACTTGATGAAGTGTGTGTTTATGTATTTGGGAATGAACATCTGATAGCTGTATTCATGGAAGTGCTAAAAAAAAAAAAAGATGTATACAAAATGAGCAAGAAAGTCAGTGGTCTGAGGTGTGACCTGATAAAAATTTTCATTTCATATCTTCTGATAGCAACCTATTTTTCAGAATATTAATAATCTCACTAAAGTTTACTGTTCTGATGCCACACAAGTTAAACATTTCATTGTCAGTGCTAACACTAAAAATAGGAGCCTATTACCACTGTTTTTCAGTTGCTTGTGGCAGAATTTTTATGGGCAAAATTCTTCATGGAAAAAAAATCTATCTTCCAGTCCAAAATTCCCATATTTTAGGGTTCCCTTCTTTTTGATACATTCTACATTTTCGTTCTTTTTCTTTATATTCACTACATTGAAAAATAAGCATTTCTACTCCAAAAATAAAACAGACTGAAACAGAGTGTCCAGATCATTCGAGATGAAAGCCATTTAGACCTATTCACATTTCACCAACTGGTTAGCATTCCTATGCAAATATTCTGTATTTATTTTGAAGTTTGTTCAATTAATATTATTGTTCTTCTATTTCCTACAAATGAGGTACTTGTGCCAGCGCAGTTGAATCATGCATTTTCCAGATGGCAAAACATTCTGAAGAAAGTATCGCAGTGATAGGTCTGGCTAGCAGACTCACCAACTCCTCCTTGCGCAGCTCCACTGGGAATAAATTAGTTTAGGCATGGCCTCCAGGAACTCAGTCAAGGTCAAATTTTTCCTTTATTTCTGCAGAAACAACAGCTCTGGAGAGAAAGAGCACACTGCACAAACTCTGAGTTTCAACTACTTTTCATTGGTAATTTTCAAATGATCTAGAGAAGGTGATGTGGCTAATAACAATCCAGACGCAAGCTCTTACTTTATGTTGTTCCAAAACCTCTAACAGTTTCCAAAATTATTTTGTTAAAAAGTACATCATTCTTGGCTTGTGAAACCTCCTCCTACTTTATTTCCCTACTGTAAGTGTAGCCATATAGCCAGAAAAGACAGGGTTTTATTGTATTATTTTCTAGTCTACAAATCAGGTTAGTTATATTTACATGATATGGTAGCTCATAGCTGAAATTTCTAATCATCACAAAAATTCAAATATAAAAAAATCCATTGTCCCTTCAGATTGCAGATAATCTTCATATCTGGCTATTTAAAATTATCTTAGTCTATGAGAAAAGGAAAGCAGTAAAGGGAGACAAAACCATAGTTCTGAGTAATTCCTGACAGGTAGGCAGCTCTAATTGATGATTAGGTGACATTCCAAAAGGGGATTTCAAGCCAGCTGCTTAATGCTTCATTCATTTATGAATTTACATACTTATTCACTCATTCATGTTTCCTGGGGAGAATCTACTATGCTCAGCACTGAGAACACAAAGACAAGCACACCACAGTCCTTGGTTCTAAAAGATGTACCCTCTAATAGAAGAAAAAAGATGAAAACAAGAAAGAACAATGAAATATTTTAGATAGTTAGAAGAAACAGAATATCTGGAGGTGTGATGAAGAGAATAGTAAGTTATTCCTGGGGAGTCATAAAAAACTGAAAAATTAGGTAACCTAACAAACTGTTGTATTAAAAAATGAACCTATGTTTCTGAATCACCTTGTCTAGAAAATTTATTCCACACTGGGGTAAAGCTATGGGTAGGAGTGAGGGCAGAGGGTGGAAGATTTGAGCAGGTGCCCAAAGACATGAAACTCTCTTATTTGTTCCCAGAGCTGCAAACATCTGATCTGATTAACTCTAGTGAGAGAATGAAGATTTATCCAAAAATAAGGTTAGATCAAAAAGTACCTTATTTCCTTATTTGCCACTCTAAGATATTTTCTCTTGTGAACTCTAAAGAGAGCATCATTTGGAATTTGTAAAGCACATATTAATACTTAGGTTAGGTTCTTGATCTGCTCAATGAAAGGCTTATTTACCATTAAAACATTAGAATTATAATCAGACCATTACTATAAAATATTTCACTTTATTAGAACATGTGGAATAAGGCAAAAAATGTTTAATTTTTGAGAACAGGAAATGAGTAATTTAGGAGTAAAAAAATAAGGTTTAGTTTCACTACCTTTATTGTTTGATTTTCCAGCTACCTTTCAAGTTTTTTTTTCTTTACGAATTCATTGGGCATCACTGGTGCCTTAACTGCCTCTATTCCTATTCCTCTTGAAACCTTGACAACTAGGCTTCTGTTTCTACCATTCCTTTCCTAGGCTCAGGAGAGATCCCTTTTAAACTTCCCATAGGTTTCCACTCCCCTTCCTTACTGCAGAGCCTTAAAACATTTCCTTCTGGTGTTCCATGGCTTCTTTCTGAGGGAAACCCTATATGGTGCCACTCCACTTATGTCCAGAATTACTTTCTGTACCAACATTCATTCCCTGAATACAATTTGATTTCAGTTCCTAGCAGGAAACCAATCTGCTTGAACAAATTTATCAAATGTCCCATATATCTCCCAGGAGTATTAGTATTTATAACTCAAATGAATTGGTTAAACTTTAAGCAGTTATGTAAATAGAGCAAGTATCAGGTTTTAGAAAGAAACATACTTATTAAATGCTGAACTGGCATCATTTAGGTCCACTGGCTAAATGCCAGTGGAGACTTCCCATTATGACATTTATAAAAATGTTGCAGCTTTTCAAAGTTTATATTCACCTTTAGAACCTTCAAATTATCTAAAAGTTCAAAGTATTTCCTATAGAATCACCTATGGCAGCAATGGCAGGGGCTGAAAGACAGTTTAAAAGGCAGTGGGGTCAGGCAGGGAAAGAAGGCGAGAGATTATGGTGACCTTATTTTCAAGAATTATACAATATTTCCCCAAAAGAAATAGTAATATTTGTAATCATATTCATTTAACATTTCTGGAACATAATAGAGGAGATTATTGTGATCTGTTGAGAATATACAAAATTACATATTAATTCATGCATTTGTTTACATATTTAACATTTTTCCTGCTTATTTTTAAATGACTATTTTCTTTTTTATTGAAGTGCATAGCACTATAATTTCTGAGATAAAAGAAGATTTTTCTGAAGCTTTAAAAGATCACATTTCAATAAGATCTCTTTTTTAAAAAAGTGATGTCTACTAACAAATGTGTATCTGTTATTGAATAATAAATATCCCTTTAAAAAGAAGAATAAACACATTTGGATTTAGTAAACCATTCCAAAGGATTTTTTAAAGGAATTTTACCACATGGTGAATTTCTTTTACAAGTTTTCATCTTTATTTTTTTAAATTAATATTTCCACCTTTTAGTCACAGCATTTCATAGACACATTGCAATACCTGTCAGGTTTAACTCAATATATTTTGAGCAGAAACAGATTTAATATATGAAATTAAATACTTAATCAATCTTTTTCCTTTATTAATTTATACTCATCTTTTAAGACTTAGCCTAATTTTACATTAGGGTCATCTATATTCACTGACTTTTTCTTTTGTAATTGTATATATTTAAGTTATACAATATAATGTCTTGATATACATAGTGAAATGTTTACTATAGTCAATCAAATTAACATACTCAACACCTCACATGGTTACCATGCGTGCCTGCGTGTGTGTGCGTGTGTGTGTGTGTGTGTGTGTGTGTGTGTGTGTGTGTGTGTGTGTGTTGGAAGAGCACCTAAAATCTACTCTTCTAGCAAACTTCAGCATACAATACACTATTATACCTATAGTTTTTATGTTGTGCCTTAGAACCCTAGATCTAGTCATCCTACATATCTGCAACTTTGTACCCTTCAACATACATCTCCCTATTTCCCCTTTTCCCCCACCCCTGTCAACCACTGTTTTCTATGTATTCGGATTTTTTTAAGATTCCACACATAAGCAAGACTATGCAGTATTTTTCTTTCTGTATCTGGCTTATTTCACTTAGCATAATATCTTCCAGGTATATCCATCTTACAAATGGTAGGGTCTTCATCTTTTTTAAGGCTAAATAATATTCCATTATATATTTCTTTATTCATTCATCCATCAATAGACATTTACGTTTTTTACTTGTCTTGACTGATGAATAATTCTGAAATGAACATTCTCATGTACAGCTATCTCTGCAAGTTGCTCATTTCATTTCTTTTGGGTATATATTCAGCAGTGGGATTGCTGGGGCACATGTAGTTCTATTTTTAATATTTTGAGAAACCTTCATACTGTTTACCATCATTAGCTGTACCCATTTACATTTCCACTAACAGTGTACAAGGGCTACCTTTCTCCACACCCTCACCAAAATATATGTTATATCTTCTCTTTTCGATAATAGCCATCCTAACAAGCGTAAGATGATATCTCATTGTGGTTTAATTTGCATTTTCCTGATGATTAGTAATATTGAGCACCTTTTCATATACCTGTTGGCCATTTTTTTAATGTCTTGTTTGGAGAAATGTCTATTCAAGCCCTTTGACCATTTTTAATTAGGTCGTTCATTTTATTTATTTATTATTTATTTATTTATGCCATTGAGTTGTCTGGTTTTCCTATAGACTTGTTTCTTATATAGTTATTTTTGCTTTTGTTGCTTGAGCTTTTGGTGTGGTGGCCAAAAAAATCTTTACCAAAGCCTGTGTCAAAGAGCTTTTTCCCTAAGTTTTTTTCCAGAAGTTTTATGATTTCAGGTTTTATGTTTAGGTCTTTCATCCATTTTGAGTTTGTTTTTGTGCCTGCTGTGAGATAAGGGTCCAATTTTATTCTTTTGCATATGGATATTTAGTTTTCCCGAAACCAGTTATTGAAGAGACTATTCGTTCTCCATGGTGTATTCTCGGAGTTTTGTCAAAAATTAGTTTACCATATATGCTCAGGTTTATTTCTGGGCACTCTATTCTGTATCATTAGTCTCTGTGTCTGTTTTTATTCCAGTACCATACAGTTTTGATTACTTTGTAATATAATTTGAAATCAGCACGTGTGATATCTCCAATTATTTTCTCAAGGTTGCGTTGGCTATTTGGGGTTTTTGGTGGTTCCATACAAATTTTAGAATTCTATTCTCTATTTCTGTGAAGAACGCTTTGGAATTTTGATACAGATTTCATTGAGTCTTTACATAGTTTTTGGTAGTATAGACATTTTAACAATATTACTTCTGATCTATGAACATGGAATATTTTTCCATTTATTAGTATCTTCTTCAAATTATTTCATCAGAGTTTTATAGTCTTATATAGTTTTATAGTCTTAAGTGTGCAGAACATTCATCTCCTTAGTTAAATTTATTTCTATTATTTTATTCTTTTGATATATCATAAACGAGATTCTCTTTAATTTTTTTTGGATAGGTCATTATTGATGTACACAAATGCAACTGATTTTGAAAGTTCTTTTGTATTTTGCAACTTTATTGAATTCATTTATTAGTTCAAAGATAATTTGTATGTGTAGGGTCTTTAGGGTTTTCTACATATGAGACCATGTCACCTGCAGATAGAGATAACTTTATATCTTTCCAATTTGAATGTCTTTTGTTTCTTTTTGTGTGTGATTTCCGTTGCTATAGTACTTCAGTGCTATGTTAAATAGAAGTGGTGAGAGTGGGCATCTTTCCCGTAGACCAAATCTTAGAAGAAAACTTTCAGTTTTTTTCCCATGGATTATGGTATTAGCTGTGAGCCTCTAATAAATGACCTTTATTATGTTGAGAAAATTTCCATTTATGCTCAAATAGTTGAGACTTTTTAATCAAAAAAAGTTGAACTTTGCCAAAAGCTTTTTATATATCAGTTGAGATGATCATGTGGTTTTAATCTTTCATTCTGTTGATATAATGCATCACATTGATTGATTAGCATATATTAAACAAAATCAACATTCCAGTGATAAATCCCAATTCGTCATAATGTATAATCTTTTTGATGTGTTGTTGAATTAGTTTTCTAGCATTTTATTAAGGACCCTTCCATTTATATTCATCAGAGATATTGCCTTGCATTTTTTTTTTCTTGTGGTGTCTTTGTCTGGCTTTGGTATCGGAGTGATGCTAACCTCATAAAATGAGTTTGGAAGAATTCCCTCTAGTTCTTTTTTTTGGAAAAGCTTACAAAGAATTGGTAATAATTCTTCTTTGAATGTTTGGTAGAATTCAGCCATGAAAGCATCTGATCCTGGACTTTTCTTTGTTGAGAGATTTTTAATTTCTACGTCAATCTCTTTATTTGTTATTGGTCTGTTCAGGCTTTCTAACACTTACTGACATGGTGACTTTCAAAGTTATAAACCATACTCAAAAATTATAAAATTGTATATGAGAGGTCTAAAATGGCTAAACAGGACTTTCTATCTTTCCAGAAAGCTAAAATATATTTGCAAGTGAAAAGTATTTATTTAACAAATATTTTTCAAACACGTACTATATATAGTATTTGCCTACACCAAATAAGTGCTTATTTTTATTTGATTTTATTAATTTTTTAAAAAGAAATATATTTTAAGGCCTTTCACTGTGCACCTTCTAATTTTAATGTTTTCTTTCTTTTCTTTACTAGGGACTGTGTTGGATAAGGTAAGAAATATGAGGTTCTACCCTATCTCTTTCTTCCCATCTCTATAATCTCAAACTATAAGTGAAGTTGTTTTTTTATAATGCAGTACTTCACAGATTCATGGGTAACTGGCACAATGAACTTCAAATTCTTACATTTTTGATATAATTAAATAAAGTAGACATAAAGTGTACAATCTCTTTTCATTAATTAATGTCCTTTGAAACTTCGGTAAAGTCTTGTCTTTGTTAAACCGCATAATTCTACATGGATTGTGATGAGTTTCGTAAGGCTCAGTGAACTTTTCCATCTCGTAATTTCTACAGTACTTAGAGAGCAGTATGTACCAAACATCTCATCCCCAAAGAGATATTTACATTTTAAATAATCCACAGGTAAACTGGAGTGTTACAAAAAAACAGAACATCTTGTACCAAGAAAGTCATTCCTTCTTGCTTTCCAGCTGGCCAAGTCAATTCCAGCATGTACACTTATGTTTTTCCAGATTCTAAATCCAGAAATCTTTGATGTCTTGGCCAATTCCTGGGTAAATCCAGTCCTTTTGTTCTTTTTGTCCTTTTATCATTTGATGGAATAGAAACAATCCAAGCTTTGGCACCAAGGAGACCTTGTTTGAATCCAGACTCTGACATTTACTAGCAGTTTACATAATCTCATTTCAGCTTTGAGAGTATCATCTGTAAAATACGAATGAATAACATGTCTGTCTTACAGGACTATACTGAGTAAAGAGTTTGGCACCACGCCTGGCTTACAACAGAGTTTTGATAAATCCATAACAATGGCAGTGGCAGCAGTAGCAGGAGTTAGCAGCACTAGTAGGTGGTGGTATTGGTGATGGTGGTAGTGGTAATAGAAGTAGTAGTAGTTAATATCAGTATTAGTAATAGTATGAGTTGGAGTGGAGATAAAACATGATTGGGTATTATCTTGAGTTGAGGCACAATAAGAGGTCTCTTAGATAAGCCTACCTAAAAAGGGGGCATTCAGAAAGATCTGTGAGTTATTATGACCTGTGTTTTTGAAAACAGGATTGTATATATGTTGAAGTTGTCACAGAGGAGATTTGAGAAAAAAATATAAAAGAATATTGGTTATAAAAAAGAATAATTGATTAGAAAAGTGTCAGCTAGGCAGGTTGTACAGCACACTCTAAGTGGGAAGTGTAGCTGGAGGTATCTTAAATTGGAGAAATTAACAAGTCCTAACTGTGTAACTTTGCTTTGTTGAGACTTGTGCCTGTCTTGATAGCATTTTGATATCCCTTAGGTTCATGAGTAAAGGAATAAAGGAGACCTTCATCAACAAATAATGAGTAGTCAAAGAACACTTCAGATGAGAGTAAATGAAGCACTCTAAATGCTGAACTAGCATTGATTGACACTGAGAATCAATGTTTATGTTTGTAGGTATAACATTTAGACATATACCCACCTTAATCCTAAAAAAAATTCGTCAGGCAAAATGACAGATCTAGCCACTTTATCCTTGGCTCATTACTAAGGATGGAAAGTTACAAAACTCAATTGAATTTTATCAAGTTTAATGGCATGTCTTTATAAAATGAATTCTGATAACCTGATTGCAATTTATTGTCCATAATTCCAAGGAGTTTGGTTGGGAAACTCAGAAGCCTTGATTATTGGTTAGTTTAACTTATTGCACATAAATATTTTTCTCTGGATGCAATCTCTCACTTCCTTCTGTTCTTACAAAATTACAGGTTTGAAGAGCATCAAGTAGCCAAGTTGTATGCTATGCATTTTAATCATCTCTTCATATATTATTAGATAATACAATTTCAAGCTGTTTCATTGTTTTGTTAACATTCCTGTTCTAATTTGAAAAAGAAACTAAGAATATATAATTTTATAAAATTTGTAGTCCTTACTCATTTGGTGGCCTCACCCTTATGTTTTCAACCTTTCCCTATACCCTGACTGTTTCCATCAACACCTATAAATACCCATACACACATACCACTTTACATATATCTGTCTCTATCCCTGCCTCCATCTGTCCCTACTGTCCTCACTCTTCATTTCTTCTTGGGTCCTCATATGTTGAAATTTTATCCATGTTCTCACTTCTGTTTTATCTGTAAATCCACTTCAATTTCACTTAGACCGTACTGTTTCATACTGTTTCTCTGTTTCTTTTCATTGAAGCCATCATAAATCATGTGTTCATTCATTGCACACATTGATTATAACTTCTATGTGGTAGATCTCATAGATATAAAAATGAATTGATGTTGTGTATGATCTCAGTGAATTTGTAGTACAGTAAGGAAAATTGCTTCCTCTTAGACTTTATTATTGAAGCTCTTCCACCATCCATGCCAGAACTCTGTCTTTGACTTTTTTATTCTAGTTTATTTGCAGACATATGTTGAGGGTCTACAATAATTCTAAGCATGGTAAGTAATGGATGGATTGTATCTGTGCCTTTGTATAGTAAATATTCTTACTCCTCATACTTCTTCTCTGAGTCTGGTCTGGCTTCTTGCTTGCTGCTTCCTGCCTTCTGTGTTTTCCCAAGAATATTGCTCAGATCATGATTGGGATACCTGGTACTTCTTTTATGATTCCTCAGAAACAGATTTCTCGAGACTGCAAAGGATACTAAAGATACTATTGGCAAGTAAGCAAATGTTGTGCCACAAATTACAAATCATGTGGAAGGGGCTGCTATTTTGCATGTTAACCTCAGAGCACAGATAACTCCAAACTCAAGCAGAAGTTTTTGTTATAAATAATATCTCTGGCCCCAACATACTACCAATTCAAAAGTCCTAAAACAAAGGAGATAGAAGAATTAGAAGATATTGTTTATAAATGATTTAATTTAAATTGAACATATTAAGAATAATTAATAGTTGTATTTTTCATTCCTGTATCATCAGATTTTAAATTTAGAACGGAAAATTTGTTCTTGACTTTAAATTATATTATACATCCCTTAAAGTTTAGTGCAAAGTTACTATTCTGCACTTTTTGAAAATTTGCTATGCCCATGCTAATCAATGGGCTTCAATAGAAATGTAAGAAGATAATGAATGACAGTAAAAACAATTCTTCATTATATGTTAACGTTATTGTGGAACAAATAAACCACATATTCTTCAATTTACAGAGAAATAGTTTTTGTGCAAGAATTTTATAGCAAAATTATCTAGCCCAAGTTATCCTACCTCATCCCTCCAAAATGTCAATTCTGAGACTCCAACTTTCAGCAGTCATTTGGTTACACTTTTCCACTACAATTTAATGAATAAATAATTATAATGTGGTGAAACTTTTGCCAAGATATTATGTTGCAATGCTTAGGTATTAAGAGATTGCTAGTTTGAAATTTTGAATTTATAACAATATTATTATTACACAGTTAATCTAGCGAAATGGATTCTATAATTATTGCATTGGATTTACAGGATCATATCTCAGCCTTATATACTTTACCACTATTGTCTAAAAACTGAAAAGGTTACAAGTGAAAATAACCATTTCTATCTATTTTTAAATTTCCAATGTGTCATGAATTAATAATTTGGTAAAATACAATCAAAGTGACTACTAGAGAAATAAAGACAAAATATATCATCTTAATTATTAAATTATATATGTATATGATTAATCAGTCAAATTTCTATAAAGGTATTGAAACATTTACTCTTACTCTTAATTTTTATACTTAAGTGAAGAAAAGAAATAGTCCATTAGTTGGCACTAATCTGAACCATGCTTTGAATAGCTCACATGGAAACAGTAATTGTTAATGTTTCTTCAGGGTTAAAACTTTATGATGTTATAATATTAATTAGCAAACAAATGGAAATAAGTGCCTAAACAACAGTGTTTTAATTTTTTAAAGACATATTTTTATATTAAAATATTTTCCTGGAATTTTTTTTAGAGATTAATACCATTTTTTAAAGTTTTATTTTAAGTTCAGGGACACATGCATAGGTTTGTTACACAGGTAAACTTGTGTCATGGGGGTTTGTTTTAAGATTATTTCATCGCCCGCATTAGTTATTTTTCCTGATCCTCTCCCTCCTCCCATCCTTCACCTTACAATGGGCCCCAGTGTGTGTTGTTCCCCTCTCTGTGTCCATATGTTCTCATTATTTAGCTCCTACTTATAAGTGAGAACATGCAGTATTTGGTTTTCTGTTCCTGTGTCAGTTTGCTAAGAATATGACCTCCAGCTCTATTCATGTCCCTG
This sequence comes from Homo sapiens, assembly GCF_000001405.40. Lineage (NCBI taxonomy): Eukaryota > Metazoa > Chordata > Mammalia > Primates > Hominidae > Homo > Homo sapiens. The sequence continues at coordinate 74,778,460 of NC_000006.12, forward strand.
CAAAGGACATGATCTCATTTTTTATAACTGCATAGTATTCACAATGTATATGTACCATATTTTCTTTATGGTATACATACCATTTACCCAATCTATCATCAGTGGGCATTTAGGTTGATTCCATGGTCTTGTTATTGTGAATAGTGTGCTGCAATGAACATGTGAGAGTATGTGTCTTTATAATAGAATAATTTATATTCCTTTGTGTATATATGCAGTAATGCGATTGCTGGATCAAATGGTATTTGTGTCTTTGGTCTTTGAGGAATTGCCACACTGTCTTCCATAGTGGTTGAACTAATTTACACTCCTACAAAAAGCGTTCAAGCATTCCTTTTTCTCCACAACCTCACCAGCATCTGTTTTGTTTTGTTTTGACTTTTTAATAATAGCCATTCAGATTAGTGTGAGATGGTATCACATTGTGGTTTTGATTTGCTCTCCTTCAATGGTTAGTAATTTTTTATATGCCTATGGCCATATGTAGGTCTTCTTTTGAAAAGTGTCTGTTTGTGTCCTTTCTCCACTTTTTAATGTTTTTTCTTGTAAATTTGTGTAAGTTCTTTATAGATGCTAGATATTAGACCTTTGTCGGATGCATAGTTTTCAAAAATTGTCTCCCATTCTGTAGGTTGTCTGTTTACTCTGTTGATATTTCCTTTTCTGTGCAGAAGCTCTTATGTTTCATTAGATCCCATTTGTCAATTTTTGCTTTTGTTGCAATTGCTTTTGGCATCTCCATCATGAAATCTTTGTTCATGCCTATGTCCTGAATGATACTGTCTTCCTTTTTTATAAGGTTTTTATAGTTTTGCGATTTACATTGAAGTCTTTAATTCACCTTGAGTTTATTTTTGTATATGATTTTAGGAAAGGGTCCCATTTCAATCTTCTGCACATGGCAAGCCAGTTCTCCCAGCACCATTTATTGAATAGGGAATCCCCTCTCCATTGCTTTTTGTTGTCAAGGTTGTCTAAGATCAGATTGTTGTAGGTGTACAATCTTATTTCTGGGTTCCTTATTCTATTTCATTGGTCTATGTGTCTGCTTTTGTACTAGTACCATGCTGTGTTGGTTACTGTAGACCCGTAGTACAGTTTGAAGTTGGGTAGCGTATGTCCAGCTTTGTTATTTTTGCTTAGGATTGCCTTGGCTATTTGGGCTCCTTCTTGGTTCCACATGAAATTTAAATAGTTTTTTCTGGTTCTGTGAAGAATCCCAATGGTAGTTTAACAGGAATAGCATTGAGTCTATAAATTGTTTTGGAAATTATGGCCATTTTAATGATATTGATTCTTCCTATCCATGAGCATAGAATGTTTTTTCATTTGTTTGTATCATCTCTGATTTCTTTGAGCAGTGATTTATAGATATCTTCCACCTTCCTAGTTAGCTGTTGGAAAATTATTTTTACATATCAAATGGAGGAAAAAGGTATGCTTTGCAGAATGAGAAGGGAAAGAACCTCTGGCAGAGATTGCTATCAGTTTATCCAATACCCACTCTTCTCATCTTTAGTAACACAGATCTGTTTTTATTCAAAGTGGCAATGAGCTCCTTTGCATTTAGGTATGATGGATACTATGAAAATGGAAGTCAATGGGCAAGACTTCTGAAATTCTTTTAAAAGAGATTTCCAAGAAGATTATGCAACTAGGGAAAGTTTCTTTTTGCCCCCTTCTCTTCCCCTACTTTCTTCCTGGAAAGTGGATAAGATGGCTGGAGTTCTAGAAGCCTTGTTGTAGTCATGGAGCAACCTCAAGGATGGAGCACATTAAAAAAGGGCAAGGCAGATAATCAGAAGAAACCTAGGACATTGATGACTTTATGGCTCACTGGTGAGCCTACTTTTAGATATTTTATCACAAGAGAGTAAACAACTTGATTATTTAAGCTACTATAACTGGCTGTTACAAGTAACTAAATGCAATTTCAAATGGCTAAACTAACTAAAATTAATTTTCCAACTTTTATGTTCCTAAAACTTTTCAGATCTATATAATCTAAACCTTCACCAATTCGTGTATGGTAGATTATAAAATGTAGATTTACAGATTATAAAACTGTTTATAGGTGAGGAGGGGTAGAGCAAGACGAACAAACAGGAGGCTCCACCAATCATCAACCCCCTTACAAGAATACCAATTTAACAACTATCTACACACAAGAAAAGCACTTTCATAAGATCTAAGCATCAAGTGAGCACTCACAGTACCTGGTTTTAAATTCATATTGCTGAAAGAGTCACTAAAAAAAGGTAGGAAAGACAGTCTTGAATTACCAAGCCCATGCCTTCCCCATCCCCCAGCATAACTGCATGTGCAGAAAGAGAATCTGTGTGCTTGGGAGAAGGTGAGCACAGGGATTGTGATATGTTACATTGAAATCAGTGCTACTCTGTCATAGCAGAAAGAAAAACCAGGCTGAAATGAGCTCACACTCACCTATGGAGAGTATTTAAGCCAGCCCTAGACAGAGGAGAATCACCCATTCCAGCAGTCAAAGCCTGAGTTCAGGCAAGCCCTGTTATCATGGACTAAAGTGATCTGGAGCTCTAAATAAACTTGAAGGTCCTAATGCTGAACTGGGCTCAGAGCCAGTGAACATGAGAAGCACACAACCTAGTGATACATTAGCCCAGGCAACTAAGGGAGTTCTTCTGTCACCCTTTATCCAGCATCAGGCTGCACAACTCACAGCTCCAAAAGAGACCCCTTCCTTCTGCTTGAGGAGAGAAGTGGGAAGAGTAAGAGGACTTTGTCATGCATCTTGGATATTAGCTCAACCACATCAGGACAGGTCACCAGTCAGAGTCATAAGTTCCCCATTCCAAGCCCTAGATCCCAAATAACATTTCTAGACACACCGTGGGCCAGAGGGGAACTCACTGCCTTGAAGGAAAGAAGCTAGATCCATCCAGACCCATCACCTTCTGAATAAAGAGCCCTTGGGCTCTGACTAACCAGCAGCAATACACAAATACTATGCCATTGGCCTTGGGTGAGACTGAGAATATCTGGCTTCAGGTGAGACTCAGCATGTTCCCAGCTATAATGGCTATGGGGAGAAAATCCTTTTCTTGAGAAAAGTGGCAGGAAAAGTAAAGGGGACTTTGTCTTGCATGTTGGTTGCCAGCTCAGACACAGAAGTGTAGAGCTCCAAGTGGGTTCTTGAGATCCCTGATTCCAGGCCTTCAATCTTGGATAGCATCTTCTGGACCTTCCTTGGGTGAGAGGGGAGCCCACTTCCCTGAAGGGTGAGTCCCAGGTTAGGCAGCATTTACCACAAGCTGACTTAAGAGCCCTTGGGGCTTAAGGGAACATCGACGATAGCCTGGTTGTACTCCCTGTAGGCCTAATATGGCAGTGGCTACAGAGCAAGGCTCCCTGCCTAAGGAAAGGAGAAGAAAGAATGGGAAGGACAGTGTCTTGTGGCTTCAGTGACAGTCCTGCCACAGTACAATAGAACACAAGGTTGACTTCTAGGGTTTTTGATTCTAGTCTCTGACTTCAGGTGGCACTGCTGGACCCATCTGGGGCCTGGGGGGACTCACCACCCTGAAGGGAAGTATACAAGCCTGGCTAGTTTCACCAACTGCTGATTGTAAAACCCCATGGCCTTGAGTACAAATAGGCATTAGCCAGGTAGTAGCTATAGTGGGCCACAGGCAAGACCCAGTGCTATACTGTATTCAGGTCTGACCTAGCGCAGTTCCAGTAATGGTGGCCACAGGGGTGCTTGTGTCACTTCACCCCCAGTACCAGGCAGCTCTGAACAGTGAGAGAAATTCCATTTGGGAGAAAGTAAGGGAGGAGAACAAGAGTCTCCACCTGGTAATCCACAGAATTATTTTGGATTTTATCCAAGGCCACCAAGAGAGTAAACTCTACAAGTCTGCAAAAACCACAGTGTTACTGGCTTAGGCTGTCCCCTAAAGCAGATGCAGCTTATACCATGAAACCAAAATCCTTTCAAACACCTAGAAAGCCTTCCCAAGAAGGACAAGCACTAACAAATCTACACTGCAAAGACTACAGTAAATACTTAATTTTTTGATGCCCAGACACAGACAAACATCCAAAAGCATTAAGACGATCCAGGAAAATATGACCTCACCAAACAAACTAAATAAGGCAACAGGGACTAATCCTGGAGAAACACAGATATGTGACCTTTCAGACAGAGAATTCAAAATAGCTGTTTTGAGGGAATTCAAAGAAATTTAAGATAATGCAGAGAAGGAATTCAGAATTCTATCAGATTAATTTAACAAAGAGACTGAAATAATTAAAATTAATCAAGCTGAGACTATAGAGTTGAAAAACGCAATTGGCATACTGAAAAAATGCACCAGAGCATTTTAATACCAAAATTGATTAAGTAGACAAAAGATCTAGTGAGCTTGAAGACAAGCTATTTGAAAATACAGTCACAGGAGACAAAACAAAAAAGAATAAAAAACAATGAAACATGCCTACAGGAACTAGAAAGTAGCCTCAAAATGGCAAACCTAGAAGTTATTGGCCTTAAACAGTAGTTAGAGAAAGAGACAGAGGTAGAAATATTATTCAAAGGGATAATAACAGAGAACTTCCAAAACCTAGAGAAAAAAATCAACATCCAAGTATACCATGGTTATAACATAGAACTTCTCAAACCTAGAGAAAAATATTAATATCCAAGTATATGAAGATTATAGAACACCAAGCAGATTAAATCCAAAGAGAGCTACTTCAAGGCATTTAATAATCAAACTCCAAAGGTCAAGGATAAACAAAGGATCCTAAAAACAGCAAGAGAAAAAGAAAACAATAACATACAATGGAGCTCTAATATGCCTGGCAGCAGCCTTTTCAGTGGAGACCTTACAGACCGGGAGAAAGTGGCATGACATATTTAAAGTGCTGAAAGAAAAAACATGTACACCCTAGAATAGAAAATCTGAAAAAAATATCCTTCAAATATGAAGTAGAAACATATGAAGATGTTTCCCAAGCAAACAAAAGCTGAGGGATTTTATCAACAGCAGATCTCTCCTACAATAAATGGTGAAGGGAGTACTTCTATCACAAAGAAAAATATGTTAACAAGCAAAGAGAAATCATTTTAAGGTACAAAACTCACTGGTAATAGTAAGTTCACAGGAAAACACAGAATATTATAACACTGTGACTGTTGTGTGTAAACTACTCTTAAGTAGAAAGACTAAATGATAAACCAATAAAAAAATAACTCTTCAATACATAAACATTAGGGTAAGATAAAAATAAAAACAACAAAAGTTAAAAAGTAAGGGGCAAATTTAAGGTATAGAGTTTTTATTAGTTTTCTTTTTGTTTGTTTGTGCAAACACTGTTAAGTTGTTATCAGCTTAAATAAAGGGCTATAAGATAGGATCTGCAAGCCTTGTAGTGACTTCAAATTAAAAAACATGTAACTGGTGCACAAAAAAATAAAAAGGAGAGATTAAATCTTACCATCAGAAAAATTACCTTCACTGAAAGAAAGACAGGAAGGAAGAAAAGAAGAGAGGACCGCAAAATAACCAGAAAACAAATAACAAAATAACAGGAGTAACTCCTTAATTATTAATAATAACTTTGAATGTAAATGGACTAAATTCTCCCAAAAAAAGACACCAAAAATGGCTTAATGAATTTAAAAAAAGACCCAGTGATCTGTTTCCTATAAGAAACACACTTCACCTAGAAAAACACAGATAAACTGAAAAAGATATTCCATGTCAATGGAAACCAAAAAAAGAGCAGGAGTAGCCGCACTTATATCAAACAAGATAGACTTCAACACAAAAATTATTTGAAGAGACAAAGAAGGTCATTATATAATGATAAAGGTGTCATTTCAGCAAGAGGATATCACAATTTTAAATATATTTGTACCCAACACTGGAGGACCCATGCTTATAACACAGAACTTCTCAAACCTAGAGAAAAATATTAATATCCAAGTATAGGAAGCTAATATTATTATGGCTAAAAAGAGAGATGGTCCCATATACAATAACAGCTGGAGACTTGAACACCTCACTTTCAGCATTTGTGGGATCTTCTAGACAGAAACACAACAAAGAAACAAGAGCCTTAATCTGCACTATAGAACCTGATAGATATTTATAGAACATTTCATTGAATGGCTGCAGAATACACATTCTTATCATCAGCACATGGATCATCCTCGAGGATAGACCATGTATTAGGTCACAAAACAAGTCTTAAAACATTAAAAAAAACTGAAATATTATCAAGCACCTATGACCACAATGGACTGAAACTAGAAATCAAAAGCAAAAGGAAGTTTGGACACTATACATTCCAACACATGGAAATTAAACAATATCCTCCTGAACGACCAGTGGTTCAATTAAGAAATTGAGGAAAAAAGTTAAAAATGTATTGAAACATATGATAATGGAAACACAACATACCAAAACCTATGGGATACAGAGAAAGAAGCATTAAGAGGTAAGTTTATAGCTAGAAATGAGTTCATCAAAGAAAGAAAAACTTCAAATTAACAACTTAATGATGAATCTTAAAGAACTATAAGAATAACCAAACCCCAAATTAGTAGAATAAAGAAATAATAAAAAACAGAGCAGCAATAAATGAATTTGAAATGAAGAAAACAATACAAAAGATCAATAAAACAGAAGTTAGTTTTTTGTTTTTTGTTGTTTTTTCTTTTTTGAGACTGGGTCTCACTCTGTCTCCCAGGCTGGAGTTCAGTGATGCAATCTTGCTTCATGGCAGCCTCAGCCTCCTGGGTCCAAGCAATTCCCCTGCCTCGGCCTCCTGAGTAGCTGGGATTAAGTTGCCCACTACCATGCCCGGTAAATTTTTGTATTTTTAGTAGAGACAGGATTTCATCATGTTGGCCAGGCTGGTCTCGAGCTCCTGGCCTCAAGTGATCCACCCACCTTGGCCTCTGAAATGCTGGAATTACAGGCATGAGTCACCATGCCCAGCCAGAAGCTTTTTTTGAAAAGCTCAACAAAATTGACAAAACTTTAGCCAGACTAACTAAGAAAAAAAGAGAGATTCTCAAATCACAGTGCAGTAAAAATAGAAATCAAGACTAAGAAACTCACTCAAAAACATACAATTACATAGAAATTTACAAAGCTCTTCCTGAATGACTTTTGGGTAAATAATGTAATGGAGAAAGAAATCAAGAAGTTCTTTGAAAGTAAAGAGAACAAAAACACAACATACCAGAATCCCTGGGACATGGCTAAGGCTGTGTTAAGAGCAAAATTTATAACACTAAACACCCACATCAAAAGGTTATAAAGATCTCAAATTAGCAACCTAACAGCACAACAAACGGAACTAGATAAGCAGGAGAAAATCAACCCTAAAGCTAGCCGAAGACAAAAAATAACCAAAATCAGAACTTAACTGAAGAAGATTGAGACATCAAAAAAATTAAAAAGACCAACCAATCCAGGAGGAGTTTTTTTGTTTTTGTTTTTGGTTATGCTTTAAGTTTTAGCATACATGTACACAAGATGCAGGTTTGTTACACAGGTATACATGTCCCATGTTAGTTTGCTGCACCCATCAACTTGTCATTTACATTAGGTACTTCTCCTAATGCTATCCCTCCCCCAGACCCCCACTCCCCAACAGGTCCCGGTGTGTGATGTTCCCCACCCTGTGTCCATGTGTTCTCGTTGTTCAATTCCCACCTATGAGTGAGAACATGCAGTGTTTGGTTTTCTGTTCTGGTGATAGTTTGCTTAGAATGATGGTTTCCAGCTTCATCCATGTCCCTGCAAAGGAGATGAATTCATCCTTTTTTATAGCTGCATGGTATTCCATGGTGTATATGTGCAACATTTTCTTTATTCAGTCTATCAATGATGGACATTTGGGTTGGTTCCAAGTCTTTGCTATTGTGAATAGTGCCGCAATAAACAAATGTGTGCATGTGTCTTTATAGTAGAATGATTTATCATCCTTTGGGTATATACCCAGTAATGGGATCACTGGGTCAAATGGTATTTCTACTTCTAGATCCTTGAGGAATCACCACACTGTCTTCCACAATGCTTGAACTAATTTACACTCCTACCCACAGTGTAAAACTGTTCCTACTTCTCCACATCCTCTCCAGCACCAGTTGTTTCCTGACTTTTTAATGATCACCATTCTAACTGGCCTGAGATTGTATCGCATTGCAGTTTTGATTTGCATTTCTCTGATGGCCAGTGATGATGAGCATTTTTTAATACATCTTTTGGTGGCATCGATGTCATCTTTTCAGACGTGTCTGTTCATATCTTTTGCCCACTTTTTGTTGGGGTTGTTTTTTTCTTGTAAATTTGTTTAAGTTCTTTGTAGATTCTGGATATTAGCCCTTTGCCAGATGGGTAGATTGCAAAAATTTTCTCCCATTCTGTAGGTTGCCTGTTCACTCTGATGGTAGTTTCTTTTGCTGCGCAGAATCTCTTTAATTAGTTCCCATTGTCTATTTTGGCTTTTGTTGCCATTGCTTTTGGTGTTTTAGTCATGAAGTCTTCGCCCATGCCTATGTCCTGAATGGTATTGCCTCGGTTTTCTTCTAGGGTTTTTATGGTGTTAGGTCTTACATTTAAATCTTTAATCCATCTTGATTTAATTTTTGTTTATGGTGTAAGGAAGGGATCCACTTTCAGCTTTCTGCATACGGCTAGCCAGTTTTCCCAGCACCATTTATTAAATAGGGAATCCTTTCCCCATTTCTTGTTTTTGTCAGGTTTGTCAAAGATCAGATGGTTGTAGATGTGTGGTGTTATTTCTGAGGCCTCTGTTCTGTTCCATTGGTCTATATCTCTGTTTTGGTACCAGTACTGTTTTGGTTACTGTAGCCTTGTAATACAGTTTGAAGTCAGGTAGCATGATGCCTCCAGCTTTGTTCTTTTGGTTTAGGATTGTCTTGGCTACATTGGCTCTTTTTTGGTTCCATATGAACTTTAAAGTAGCTTTTTCCAATTCTGTGAAGAAAGTCAGTGGTAGCTTGATGGGAATAGCATTGAATCTATAAATTACCTTGGGCAGTATGACCATTTTCATGATATTGATTCTTCCTATCCATGAGCATGGAATGTTCTTCTATTTGTTTGTGACCTCTTTTATTTTGTTGAGCAGTGGTTTGTAGTTCTGCTTGAAGAGGTCCTTCACATCCCTTGTAAGTTGCATTCCTAGGTATTTTATTCTCTTTGTAATAATTGTGAATGGGAGTTCACTCATGATTTGACTCTGTTTGACTATTATTGGTGCATAGGAATGCTTGTGATTTTTGCACATTGATTTTGTATCCTGAGACTTTGCTGAAGTTGCTTATCAGCTTAAGGAGATTTTGGGCTTAGATGATGGGATTTTCTAAATATACAATCATGTCATCTGCAAACAGAGACCATTTGACTTCCTCTTCTTCCTCTTTTCCTAACTGAATACCCTTTATTTCTTTCTCTTGCCTGATTGCCCTAGCCAGAACTTCCAATACTGTGTTGAATAGGAGTGGTGAGAGAGGGCATCCTTGTCTTGTGCCGGTTTTCAAAAGGAATGCTTCCAGTTCTTGCCCATTCAGTATGTTATTGGCTGTGGGTTTGTCATAAATAGCTCTTATTATTTTGAGATATGTTCCTAGCTCTTATTATTTTGAGATATGTTCCATCAATACCTAGTTTGTTGAGAGTTTTAACATGAAGTGCTGTTGAATTTTGTCACAGGCTTTTTCTTTATCTATTGAGATAACAATGTGGTTTTTGTCGTTGGTTCTGTTTAAGTGATGGATTACCTTTATTGATTTGTTTACGTTGAACCAGCCTTGCATCCCAGGATGAAGCTGACTTGATCGTAGTGGATAAGCTTTTTGATGTGCTACTGGATTAGGTTTGCCAGTATTTTATTGAGGATTTTTACATCAATGTTCATCAGGGATATTGGCGTATAATTCTCTTTTTTTTTTTTTTTTTTGTATCTCTGCCAGCCTTTGGTATCAGGATGATGCTGGTCTCATAAAATGAGTTAGGGAGGAGTCCCTCTTTTTCTATTGATTGGAATAGTTTCAGAAGGAATGGTACCAGCTCCTCTTTGTACCTCTGGTAGAATTCAGCTATGAATCCATCTGGTCCTGGACTTTTTTTGGTTGGTAGACTATTAATTATCGCCTCAATTTTAGAACCTGTTATTGGTCTATTCAGAGATTCAACTTCTTCCTGGTTTAGTCTCGGGAGGGTGTATGTGTCCAGGAATTTATCCATTTCTTCTAAATTTTTTAGTTTATTTGCATAGAGGTGCTTATAGTATCATCTGATGGTAGTTTGTATTTCTGTGGCATCAGTGGTGATATCCCCTTTATCATTTTTTATTGTGTCTATTTGATTCTTCTCTTTTTTCTTCTTTATTAGTCTTGCTAGTGGTCTATCAATTTTGTTGATCTTTTCAAAAAACTAGCTCCTAGATTCATTGATTTTTTGAAGGGTTTTTTGTGTCTCTATCTCCTTCAATTCTGTTCTGATCTGTTATTTTTCACCTTCTGCTAGCTTTTGAATTCATTTGCTCTTGCTTCTCTAGTTCTTTTCATTGTGATGTTAGAGCGTCGATTTTAGATCTTTCCTGCTTTCTCTTGTCGGTTCGAGTTCTGAGAACGTACTGACAGCCTCCTCAAGCGGGCCCCTGACCCCTTTGCAGCCTGACTGGGAGATGCCTCCCAGTAGGGGTGGACAGACACCTCAAACAGGTGGATGTGCCTCTGGGATGAAGCTTCCAGAGGAAGGATCAGGCAGCAATATCTGCTGTTCTGAAGCCTCTGCTGGTGATACCCAGGCAAACAGGGTCTGGAGTGGACCTCCAGCAAACCCCAATAGACCTGCAGCTCAGGGTCCTGACTGTTAGAAGGAAAACTAACAAACAGAAATGAATAGCATAAACATCAACAAAAAGGACATCCGCACCAAAACCCCATTTGTAGGTCACCAACATCTAAGACTAAAGGTAGATAAAACCACAAAGATGGGGAGAAACCAGGGCAGAAAAGCTGAAAATTCCAAAAACCAGAGTGCCTCTTCTCCTCCAAAGGATCGCAGCTCCTAGCCAGCAGGGGAACAAAACAGGATGGAGAATGAGTCTGACGAGTTGACAGAAGTAGGCTTCAGAATGTCGGTGATAACAAACTTCTCCAAGCTAAAGGAGCATGTTCTAACCCATGGCAAGGAAGCTAAAAACCTGGAAAAAAAGGTTAGAGGAATGGCTAACCAGAATAAACAGTGTAGAAAATACCTTAAATGACCTGATGGAGCTGAAAACCACAGCATGAGAACTTTGTGACACATGCACAAGCTTCAATAGCTGATTTGATCAAGTGGAACAAAGGATATCAGTGATTGAAGATCAAATTAATGAAATTCAGCAAGAAGACAAGATTAGAGAAAAAAGAGTAAAAAGAAACAAACAAAGCCTCCAAGAAATATGGGACTATGTGAAAAGACCAAATATATATTTGATTGGTGTACTAGAAAGTGATGGGGAGAATAGAAGCAAGTTAGAAAACACTCTTCAGGATATTATCCAGGAGAACTTCCCTAACCTAGCAAGGCAGACCAACATTCAAATTCAGGAAATACAGAGAACACCACAAAGATACTCCTCGAGAAGAGCAACCCCAAGACACATCATTGTCAGATTCACCAAGGTTGAAATGAAGGAAAAAATATTAAGGGCAGCCAGAGAGAAAGGTCAGGTTACCCACAAAGGGAAGCCCATGCCCATCAGACTAACAGCAGATCTCTCAGCAGAAACCCTATAAGCCAGAAGACAGTGGGGTCCAATATTCAATATTCTTAAAGAAAAGACATGGATGAAGCTAGAAACCATCATTCTCAGCAAACCATCACAAGGACAAAAAACCAAACACTGCATGTTCTCACTCATAGGTGGGAATTGAACAATGAGAACACTTGGACACAGGAAGAGGAACATCACACACCAGGGCCTGTTGTGTGGTCAGGGGAGGGGGGAAGGATGGCATTAGGAGATATACCTAATGTAAATGACGAGTTAATGGATGCAGCACACCAACACGGCACATGTATACATATGTAACAAACCTGCACGTTGTGCACATGTACCCTAGAAATTAAAGTATAATAAATATATATATATATATAAAAAGAAAAGAATTTTCAACCCAGAATCTCATATCCAGCCAAACTAAGCTTCATAAGTGAAGGAGAAATAAAATCCTTTACAAACAAGCAAATGATGAGAGATTTTGTCTCTGCCAGGCCTGCTTTACAAGAGCTCCTGAAGAAAGCACTAAACATGGAAAGAACAACCAGTACCAACCACTGCAAATACATGCCAAATTGTAAAGACCATCAACGCTATGAAGAAACTGCGTCAATTAATGGTCAAAATAACCAGCTAACATCATAATGACAGGATCAAATTCAAACATAACAGTATTAACCTTAAGTGTAAATGGGCTAAATACCCCAATTAAAAGACACAGACTGGCATATTGGATAAAGAGTCAAGATCCATCAGTGTGCTTTATTCAGGAGACCCATTCCATGTGCAAAGACGTACATAGGCTCAAAATAAAGGGATGGAGAAAGATCTACCAAGCAAATGGAAAGCAAAAAAAAAAAAAAAAAAAAAAAAAAGCAGGGGTTGTAATCCTAGTTTCTGATAAAATAGACTTTAAACCAACAAAGATCAAAAGAGACAAAGAAGGCCACTACATAATGGTAAAGGGATCAATTCAACAAGAAGAGCTAACTATCCTGAATACATATGCATCCAATCCAATACAGGAGCACCCAGATTCATAAAGCAAGTCCTTAGAGACCTACAAAGGGACTTAGACTCACACACAATAATAATGGGAGACTTTAACACCCCACTGTCAATATTAGATCAACGAGACACAAGGTTAACAAGGATATGTAGGACATTTTTTTAATTAATAAGATAAACCATTATCTAGACAAAGAAGAAAAGGGAGAAGATCCAAAAAAAAAACACACAATTAGAAATGAAAAGGGGGATGTTACCACCAACCCCACAGAAATACAAATAACCATCAGAGACTACTATGAACACCTCTATGCACACAGGCTAGAAAACTAGAAGAAATGGATGAATTCCTGGACATGTGTACCCTTCTAAGACTAAACCAGGAAGAAACTGAATTCCTGAATGCACCAATAACAATCTCCAAAATTGAATCAGTAATAAATCACCTACCAACCAATAAAAGCCCAGGACCAGACAGATTCACAGCCAAATTCTGCCAGATGTACAAAGAAGAACTGGTACCATTTCTACTGAAACTATTCCCCATGATTGAGGAGGGAAGTCTCTCCAATTCATTCTATGAGGCCAGCATCATCCTGATACAAAAAACCTGGCAGAGACACAACAAAAAAAACTAAGACTTCAGGCCAATATCCTTGATGAACATGGATGCAAAAATCCTCAACAAAATACTAGAAAACAAAATTCAGCAGCACATCAAAAAGCTAATCCACAACAATCAAGTAGGCTTTACACCTGGGATGCATGGTTGGTTCAACAAATGCAAACCAAAAAAATGTGACTCATCATATAAACAGAACTAAAGACAGAAATCACATGATTATTTTGATAGAGAAAAGTCTTTCAATAACATTGTAAATTGTACATCCCCTCATGTTAAAAACTTTAACTTTGTACAAATTAGAAAATGTCCATTTTCATTACTTATAAAACATTATTATTATCTGTATATATTTGCTTAAAGATGGTTACCTCAAATAAAGGGGAAAAAAAGAAGTTTAATTACAGTCAGTTTTGAGTACCTGGGAAAAAACTAAAATTGCAAGGATGTCATGAATTACAGCAATAAACTCTGTCAAAGTTCATAAATTCAAAGGAAAAAATTAACTTTGAAAAAGCAAGGTTATAAGCAGTTCACTGGTGGTATTTTTTTTATTACACTTCATAATTTAAATTCTAAAAAAAAGATTAAGACTGTTAGGACAGCATAGAATTATGTCTGAGGAAAATCTATTTTGAAATTCAGCATGAAATTTTTATTTTAATTAGTATTAGCTCCAGAAAATTTAGCAATACCTTTGATAATGAGAGAAAAACAAATCCTATTAAATTTTAAGAATGATCATATCCTTGAAGTATATGTCATGAAGAATGAATTTTATGAATTATGTTTAATGATGAGAACAAATGTCTATCAATTTTGGGAATAGTGTTAAATACTCTTCTGCCATTGCTATTCAAATTTTTATTTCAGGATTCAGCTGAGATCCACAGATTACATTTGGTAGTTATATTTCTTAACCCCTTTCAATCTGTAGAAAATAAACTATCCTTCTCTCCCTCTTTTCCTGAAGATATTACATTTTTTAAATGAATATAGCCCAGTTACTTTGCATAATGCTTAATCTTCTAGATTTATCTGATTTTTTATTCATTGAATTATTTAATTATCAAAATTTTAAAGAAATTCATTAGCTAGGCTTGATCAGGAATTGCATTTTGACTGGGAAATGCAAGCATAAAACCAGAAAGCATTTTCCACCAAAAGGGATCAAGACTCCTTTGAAAAAATGAAAACAAACAAACAAAAAAAGCTGGCTAATTGAAGTCTTGGCACTAAAAAAGTATAAAGTGAGACCGGAACATCTGAATAGGCTCTTACTAGCCAAATTTGGGGAAATTTGAGCATCAAAAATAATAATAATTGCTATTAATTATAAAACATTGAATAAAAATCTATACATAGAAGAAGATGGATAAGAGTGAAGCACCTGATGTCTCTGCATGAACTCTAAAATTCAGAAAATTTTGATAGAAAATTCTGAGCTTTGATGGAAATGTAGCTGGATTAGAAGATTTGGTCCTTTTATGGCAGCCCATGTCTCCCACTGATTACAACTATAAACTCTGGACAAAAAAAAAAAAAGAAAAAAAACTACTAGATAAATGTGAAAGGTAAACAAAAGTAGGTAGATTATGAAGGGGACTCAGTGTGAAGTAACCAGCACGGGGTGAGTTTCCTGCCTTTATTTTTTGTGTGTGTGTGGTGGAACAGTGCCTAAAACTCCAGTGGAAACCCCTGCCATATTAATGGCCAGAGTAATTATTAGAAAGGGACAAATATGAGGGAAAAATCTTGTCAGAGGAAGAGCTCTTTCCCTGAATTTTCTTTAATTTTGAATATAAACACTTACAAGTCTCAGTCCTACCCCTGAAGTATGCATGCTTAAGACTGACCGCTTTAAATGCAAAGCGAAACACAGGGAATTAGAATTTGAATCACCACATATAGAAGGTGAAATAGCAATTGCAACTGGATCCTAACTGTGTTGATTATTTGTTAAAACAAGAACACTGATATACTCTAAAATATTGTAGCAAAGCCCATAATCTACAATATGACATTCACTGTCATATTGGCCAGATATAGTCCAAGTTACTTGACATACAAGGAATCAGGAAAATGTGACACACTCTCAAGGGAAGGACATCAGGGTAACACATTTATTGGGGTTATTAGACAAAGTCTTTAAAGGTGTTATGATAACTGAAGACCGAGGGATCATGCTGAATGGCAGGCAGGACTAGATTGCAGCTCCCATGTGGATGGACACAGCAGTGTGTGGAGACTCACTCACATCATAAACTTGTGCCCCAGAACTACTTCAGGAATAAAGCAGGAAAGATGAGAGAACCCACAGACCCTCTGAAAGAAGCAGATTGCCCCTGCAGGATCCAGGAGAAACTCTAAATACTGCGAGCGCCCAAGCTGTGCAAGTGGGAAAGGGGGATCGTCCGTCCCTAAACACACATCCCCAATGAGGAACATGAAGGAGTAGATCATGGGAGAAGATTCTGAGCTTACCTGGACCTGAGTCAATTTAGAGAGCCAAGAGAAATACAGGTGCAGAGGAAACAGTGGGAAAAGCCCCGTGGACTCTCTGGGTTCCCTGGGAAGCCATTTCTGCCTTGTCTCATAGGGGTCCTTGGGGTCCTACCAAGGTCTGGTAGCCCTTGGGGAAGGCTACAAGAAGTACTGGGAAAAGACGGCAGGAAGAAGAAAAACTCCAGCTGGTATAAAAATAGGCACATAGACCAATGGAACACAAGAGAGAACCCAGAAATAAACCCAAATACTTACAGCCAACTGATCATTGAAAAAGCAAACAAAAACCTAAAGTGGGGAAAGGACACCCTATTCAACAAATGGTTCTGGGATAATTGGCAAGGCACATGTAGGAGAATGAAACTGGATCTTCATCTCTCACCTTATACAAAAATCAACTCAAGGACTTCAATATGACACCTGAGACCTAAAACTATAAAAATTATAGAAGATAACATCGAAAAAAAAAAAAAACCCTTCAAGACATTGGCTTAAGCAAGGATTTCCTGACCAAGAACCCAAAAGCAAATGCAAGAAAAACAAAGATAAATAGCTAGGACTTAATAAAACTAAAGAGCTTTTGCATGGCAAAAGGAACAGTCCACAGAGTAAACAGACAACCCACAGAGTGGGAGAAAATCTTCACAATTTATTTATCTGACAAAGGACTAATATCCAGAGTCTACAACAAACACAAAAAATTTAGCAAGAAAAAAACAAACAATCCCATCAAAAGTGGACTAAGGATAGGAATAGACGTTTTCAAAAGCAGTGTACAAATGGCAAACAAACATATGAAAAAATGCTTAACATCACTAAGGATCAGGGACATGCAAAGCAAAACCACAATGCGATACGACCTTACTCCTCCAAGAATGTCCATCATCAAAAAATTGGAAAATAATAGATGTTGGCGGGGACACAGAGAAAAGGGAACACTTCTACGTGGCTGGTGGGAATGTAAACCAGTAAAACCACTATGGAAAACAGTGTAGAAATTCCTTAAAGAACTAAAAGTAGAACTACCATTTGACCCAGCAATTCCACTACTGGGTATCTAACCAGAGGAAAATTAAGTCATTATACAAAGGAGATACTTGTTCACACATGTTTATAGCAGCACAATTTGCAATTGCAAAAATATGGAACCAACCCAAATGCCCATCAATCAAGTGGATATATATGTGTGTGTGTGTGTATATATATATATATATATATATATATATATATATATGATGGAATACTACTCAGCCATAAAAAGGAATGAATTAATGGCATTCACAGCAACCTGGATGGAATTGGAGACAATTATTCTAAGTGAAGTAACTCAGGAATGGAAAACCAAACATTGTATGTTCTCGCTCATAAGTGGGAGCTAAGCTATGAGGAAACACGGGCATAAAAATGATACAATGGATTTTGGGGACTCAGGGGGAAAGGGTGAGAAGGGGGTAAGGGATAAAAGACTACAAATTGGGTTCAGTGTATACTGCTTGGGAGATGGGTGCACCAAAATCTCACAAATCACCACTAAAGAACTTACTCATGTAACCAAATACCACCTGTTTTCCAAAAACCTATGGAAATCAAAATTTTTTTATAAATGGTATTATGGGAACTATGCTCCAAGAAATTAAAAAAAGAAAAAAACACACTAGAAATAAAGGAAAACAGGAAATCTTAGTGGAGAAATAAAAATTATGTAAAACAACAAAAGGAAATTTTAGAGCTAAAAAATTAATATCTGAATGAATGAAATGAATTAGATAACCTGAATAACAGAGTGCAGATAAGGTAGCAATAAACTCATGAACTTGCAGATTAAATAGAAATTACCCAGAAGAACAGACAGAAGAAAAGTTTTTAAATGAATAGAGCCTAAGAGACCTGTAGGACAATATTAAAAAATCTAACATGCATGTAGTTAGAATGCCAGAAGTCAAGAAGAGATTGAAGAAGACAATTTTTTTTTTTTTTTTTTTGAGACGGAGTTTCGCTCTGTCACCCAGGCTGGAGTGCAGTGGCACGATCTCGACTCACTGCAAGCTCCGCCTCCCGGGTTCACACCATTCTCCTGCCTCAGCCTCCCGTGTAGCTGGGACTACAGGCGCGCGCCACCATGCCCGGCTAATTTTTGTATTTTCAGTAGAGACGGGGTTTCACCGTGTTAGCCAGGATGGTCTCGATCTCCTGACCTCGTGATCTGCCCGTCTCGGCCTCCCAAAGTGCTGGGATTACAGGCGTGAGCCACCGCGCCCGTCCAGAAGACAAATATTTTAAATAGGCAACAAATTCCCAAATCCTATGAAAGACATTTACAGACTAAGAAGATTAGCAAACTTTAAATAAAATTAATTATTTTTATTGTCTGGAAACACCATAATCAAACTACTGAAATTCAAAGCTGAAGAAAAAGTCCTGAAAGTAGCTACAGAAAAGCAACACATAACACACAAGGGAACAACAATTTGTATTTCTCAGATCTCTCATCAGAAACCACAGAGGCTATAAAACAATAGAACAACATCTCAATAAGTTGCTGAAGGAAAATAAAATTTCATTTCCAGTGACAATATCCTTTATGAATAAAGGCAAAATAAAGATAGTTAAGATAAAGAAAAATTAAGAGAATTAATCACCAACAGATCTACTCTATAAGAAAAACCAAAGGACATCTTCAGGATGAAGACAAGTAATACCAGAGGGAAACCAAGCTCTTCACAAATAAAAGAACATCAGAAATGGCTAATATCTGGGTATAAGATTGTTTTCCTGTTAAAGTTCTTTTTAAGATATATATTTGTTTAAAATACTTAAACAATTTTATTTTTATCCTAGTTGAGAGAGCTTTAAAGGACATTTTTTAGACAACTGGAGAAATTTGAATATGGACTGGATAGTAGATAATATTGAATTACTTTTAATTTTTGTATAGGATAATAATATTGTGATTGGAGAATGCCCCTATATATACATATATATGCCATATATATATATGCCTACATATATATATGCCATATATATATATGCCTACATATATATATGCCAACATATATATATGCCAACATATATATATATATGCCAACATATATATATATATATATATATATATATATATATATGTTGAAGTGTTAAGGGATATAAGAAAGACAGCATGTGTAAATGTGGCATGTTAATAATTGGTGCAATTAAGGACATAAGGGTGTTTATTGTCCTGATTTTTTACTTTTTCAAAATAAATAGTTGTGGTGGAAACTAACCCTTTGATGGATTTCTAACACACATTGACTAAAATTTTGGAAAAGTGTGAGGAAATGAACTCAATATATTTGACAATTTTGAAGATTTCCACTTAACCTACAAATTATTAAATGAGGAGAGTGAGCCAAGGTAAGCATAAAAGGGCAGGTAGCAATTGGAATCTAAGATAAGCATTTTAGAAACATTTTTTATAAGTGTGATGTGAAGGCACTAGAAAAACTTAAGTAGTGGAGTGACATGTCCTAATTCACCTTCTAAGAAAATCACTTTGGTTATTTGGAAAACAGTGAATTTGTAGGGGTAAGATTAGAACCAATCAGATTGTCTAGAATCTTATTGAATCAGCGTAAGAAAGCAATAATGGCAGCTAGGGTGAGGCTGCTTATCTTAGAGATGGAGCAAATTGTTCTGACCAAAGGGGTATTTTAGACATAAAGTGACAGTACTTTCTAATGAATTAATTATATTAGGGTAAAATCAAAGGAGAATAATCAAGAATAATGCTGAGCAGTTGAGTGGAAAGGGGAGCCAGTGACTGAGATGGTGTAGTCTGTCAGAGCACTAGTTTAAGATGGCCAAAGAAGAGTTTGATTTTAGCCATGTTATTTTTCAGATGTATATTAAAGATCTAAGTGAAAAGGTCAAGTGGCAGTTCATATATCAAACTGGAGTTCTGGGGAGGACTAGGACAATGATATTTGGCAGATGCTGCTACACAGATGATACCATAGTCATAGGACTGTATACAATTATTCAGAAATATGCAGTAGATACATAAAAGAAAGAGACTGAGAAGTCGTCTCAGGTGGGAGAAAACCATAAAAGGTTGTGTCATACATGCCAATGGAAAAAAGAGGAAGTGGTCAGCTGATAAAATGCTACTAAAAGATCAGGAAAGTTAAGAGCAGAGAAATGTCTCCTAATGAGGCAAACTTATTGCTATTTCTACTCTTGTCAATGAGGTCTTAGAGTGGTGATGACAGAAGTCTGAAAGGGACAGATAAAATAATATCAGATGAGAAATTGGGGGCAAAAAGGACAGTGCCTAGAGTAGCAGGTGGAATTCCCGTTGCAATTACAAAAATCCCAAATCTCTTCCAATGGCCTATCAGGCCTTACATGGTCTACAGTCCTGGTATCATTTGTCTCTGTGTCCCAACCCAAATCTTATCGCAAACTGTAATCCCCATGTGTTGATGGAGAGACCTGCTGGGAGGTAATTAGATCATGGAAGAGGCTTCCTCCATGCTGTTTTCATGATAGTGAGTTCTCACAAAATCTGATGGTTTTAAAAGTGTGGCACTTCCAGGCCGGGCGTGGTGGCTCACGCCTGTAATCCCAGCACTTTCGGAGGCTGAGGCGGGCGAATCACAAGGTCAGGAGATCGAGACCATCCTGGCTAACATGGTGAAACCCCGTCTCTACTGAAAAATACAAAAAATCAGCTGGGGCCGGGTGCGGTGGCTCACGCCTGTAATCCCAGCACTTTGGGAGGCCGAGGCGGGCAGATCACAAGGTCAGGAGATCGAGACCATCCTGGCTAAAACGGTGAAACCCCGTCTCTACTAAAAGTACAAAAAATTAGCCGGGCGTAGTGGCGGGTGCCTGTAGTCCCAGCTACTTGGGAGGCTGAGGCAGGAGAATGGCGTGAACCCGGGAGGCGGAGCTTGCAGTGAGCCGAGATCCCGCCACTGCACTCCAGCCTGGGCGACAGAGCGAGACTCTGTCTCAAAAAAAAAAAAAAAAAAAAAAAATCAGCTGGGCGTGGTGCCAGCTGCCTGTAGTCCCAGCTACTTGGGAGGCTGAGGCAGGAGAATGGTGTGAACCCGGGAGGCAGAGCTTGCAGTGAGCCGAGATCGTGCCACTGCACTCCAGCCTGGGCGACAGCGAGACTCCATCTCAAAAAAAAAAAAAAAAGTGTGGCACTTCCTCTCTCCCTGTCTCCTGCTGCCATATAAGACACACCTTGCTTCCCCCTCACCTTAAACCATGATTGTAAGTTTCCTGAGGCCTCCCAAGCCATGCCAAACTATGAGTCAATTAAACCTCTTCTGTGTAGAAATTACCCAGTCTCAGGTAGTATATTTATAGCAGTATGACAATGGACTAACACAGAGAATTGGTAGGGAGTGGGGAACTGCTATAAACTGAAAATGTGGAAGTGACTTTGGAACTAGGTAGCAGGCAGAGGTTGGAACACTGTGGAGGGCTCAGAAAAAGACAAGAAGATGTGCAAAAGTCTGAAACTTCCAAGGGACTTGTTGAATGGTTTTGACCAAAATGATAATAGTGATATGGATGATAAAATCTAGGCTTAGGTGGTCTCAGATGGAGATGAGGAACTTGTTGGGAACTGGAGCAAAGGTTACTCATGCTATGCTTTAGCAAAGAGACTGGTGGCATTTTGCCCCTGCCCCAGAGATCTGTGGAACTTTGAACTTGAGAGAGATGATTTAGGGTATCTGGCAGAAGAAATTTCTAAGCAGAAAAACATTCAAGAGGTGACCTGGCTTATTCTGAAAGCATTCAGTTATATTTGTTCACAAATAGATGGCTTGAAATTGGAACGTATGTATAAAAGGGAAACAGAGCATAAAGGTTTGGAAAACTTGCAGCCTGACCATGTGGTAGAAAAGAAAAACCCATTTTCTGGGGAAGAATTCAAGCCTGCTGCAGAAATTTGCCTAAGTAACAAGGAGCTGAATGTTAATAGCCAAGATCATGGGGTTTCCAGGGCATGTCAGAGACCTTCACAGCAGCCTCTCCCATCACAGGCCTAGAGGCTGAGAAGGGAAAAATAATTTTGTGAGTCAGGTCCAGGGCCCAGCTGCTCTGTGCAGCCTCAGGACTTGGTGTCCTGTGTCCCTGTCACTCCAGCTCTGGCCATGGTTAAAATGGGCCAATGTACTGCAGGCTGTTACTTCAAAGGGTGCAAGCCCCAGGCCTTGGTGACTTCCATGTGGTGTTGGGTCAGCAGGTGCACAGAAGTTAATAATTGAGGTTTTGGAACCTCCCCCCTAGATTTCAGAGGATGTATGAAAATAGCTGGATGGGCTGGGTGTGGTGACTCACGCCTGCAATCTCAGCACTTTGGGAGGGCGAGGTGGGTGGATAACCTGAGGTCAGGAGTTTGAGATCAGCCTAGCCAACATGGAGAAACCCCATCTCTAGTAAAAATACAAAAATTAGTCTGGTGTGGTGGTGGGCACCTATAATCCCAGCTAATCAGAAGGCTGAGGCAGGAGAATCACTTGAACCTGGGAGGCGGAGGTTGCAGTGAGCTGAGATCATACCACTTATTCCAGCCTGGGCAACAGAGCAAGACTCTGTCAAAAAAAAAAAAGAAAAGAAAATACCTTGATGTCCAGGCAGAAGTCTGCTGCAGGGTGCAGGGCCAGAGCCCTCATGGAGAACCTCTGTTAGGGCAGTGTGAAAGGGAAATATGGAAATATGGGGTTGGAACCCCCACACAGTTGCCACTGGGGCACTGCCTAGTAGGGCCACTATCCTCCAGACCCCAGAAAAATAGATACACCAACATCTTCCACCATGCACCTCAAAAAGTTGCAGGCACTCAACAACAGCCTGTGAAAGCAGCCAGGGGGCTGAACCCTGCAGAGCCACAGGGGTGGAGCTGCCTAAGGCCTTGGGAGCCTACTCCTTGTATTAGCATGCCCTGGATGTGAGACATGGAGTCAAAGGAAATTTCGGAGCTTTAATATTTAATGGCTGCCCAGCTGGATTTCAGACTTGCATGTGGGCTGTGGCCCCTTTGTTTTGGCCAATTTCTCCCATTTGGAATTAGAACATTTACCAATTCCCATACCCCTATTATATCTTGGAAGTGACTAACTTGCTTTTGCTTTTACAGGTTCATAGGCAGAAGGACTTGCCTTGTCTCAGATGAGACTTTGGACTTGTACTTTTGGCTTAATGCTGGAATGAGTTAAGAATTTGGAAGACTGTTGGGAAGGCATGATTGGCTTTGAAATGTGAAAAGTACATAAGATTTTGGAGGGGTCAGGCAGAATGACATGGTTTGGCTGTGTCCCTACCCAAATCTCATCTCGAATTGTAATCCCCATGTGTAAAGGGAGAGACCTTGTGAGAGGTGATTGGATTATGGGGGTGGTTTCCTCCATGCTGTTCTCATGATAGTGGATGTGGTTGCATGAGATCTGATGGTTTTAAAAGTGGCAGTTTCACCTGTACTTTCTTGCTGTCTTCTGCTGCCTTGTGAATATGTGCCTTGCTTCCCCTTCACCTTACAACATGATTGCAAGTTTCCTGCGGCCTTACCAACCATGCAGAACAGTAAGTCAATTAAACCTGTTTTCTTTATGAATTACCCAGTCTCAGGTAGTATCTTTATGGCAGTATGAGAAGAGACTAATACAACACCCACTCCCACTTTCATTTACTACTTTTCAGCAAAAACTATGTTATCTCTGCCTCTCCAAATCTTCAAAAAACTTTTTTTCCTTTCTATTATAAGGCCTGTGCACTTGTTTTTCTGCTGTTTCTTTTGCTTGGAATGCTTTTTTAACCAACTCCACTTAACTGGCTTTCTTTTACAGTCATTACTAACTCAGCTCAAAAGTCATCTCCAAGAAGGCACTATCTAGCCTTCACACTTAAAATGGCTCACAGCCAACTTATCCATTAACCTATTTTTCTTCTTTGCAACACATATCACTATGTAAAACCGATGCATTTATCTGTCTTTCTACCAATAATGGATGGTACATTTTACAACAGCAACAGTGTTGTCTATGCTGTTTACCCTGGATCCTCAGTCCCTGGCACATAATAAAAAGTCAATTAATAATGTTGAATAAATTAGTCATGGAAGCAAATGCGAATCAACCATTAAATGCAACTGTTTTCTTCAAATATGAAGATATCAGAAAAATATTCAGAGCATTCAAGAACTCAGGAAAAGCAGCACTTTTCCTGAGTAGTACTCCTTTGGAACATGAAAGCAAGCAAGCAAACAAATAAATAAAAATGACAATCAAAGGGAATCAAACAAAAGATAAATCCAACGAGGAACTCTAAAATGGAGAAGCCATAGTAAAATGGATTCATGGTGTATTTTAGGTTAGTACAAAACAATTGTAGAAATGGTAGCTACACAGAGACTATAAATTCTACATGTCTTAGAATTGTAAAATTTAAAATATATCAAAATCAGAGTGTATTCTGATTATTAGGGAAAACCAGAGGAAGCTTAAATGAGGTACTTCCTCATCTTTACAAGATGGTAATCAACCAATTTTGTCTTGCTGAAATTTATAGCTTTAAAATAGTCACCAACCTTTAAGTTTTTCATAATGTTTTCAATTAGTTTTGGAAGAATCCTCTGAGATTAATTACCTTTTGTTGAAAGGAAAAAATTATTTGAAGTTTAGCAATTCCTTTACTAGCTTTCTTTGGTTAAATTTTTTTAAATCAGCATTTTTTTTTATTGAAAAGGAATGTATCTTGTGATTCTGTTTTCCTTAAAGTATATATTATATTTTATATGATGTGTTATTTGTTATACATCATATCTAATATCTATCTATATATATATAGACAGAAATATTTCTTGGATATTTATCACAAACATATCATTTTCATAAAATAGTAAAGCCAAAATATATCTGGAGGTGGTCTCAGAAGGCCTACAGGATACACAAAGGTCTTTGGCCAGCTCCAGGCCACCTAGAGCTGTTTGTTGTCTGCCCTGGGACTTCCCGGGGGTCTTGGCATGCAAGGAAATGATGAGGGCATAGAGCGGCTGCTACAAAGGTGTATGAGCCAGGCTGCTCGTTAACTCCAAGCCTACTTCCAGAAAGACCTCTGCTCTTTGAACACTTAAGATAGAATCCCTTACTGGGCCAATTAAAAAAAAGGAACATAATTTTTTTGAAAATAATTAGGAGATCGTTGGAGATATTGGTGGTTTGGATTTTGTAGACAATCAGATGAAACATCTCTTTTTTTTTTTTTTTTTTTTTTTGAGAAGGAGTCTTGCTCTGTTGCCCAGGCTGGATTGCAGTGATGCCTTCTTGGCTGAATGCAACCCCTGTCCCCCAAGTTCAAGCAATTCTCCTGCCTCAGCTTCTAGAACAGCTGGGATTATAGGTGTGTACCACCACACCCAGCTAATTTTTGTGTTTTTTAGTAGAGATGGGGTTTCACCATGTTGGCCAGGCTGGTCTCCAACTCCTGACCTCAGGTGATCCACCACCCTCGGCCTCCCAAAGTGCTGGCATTACAGGTGTGAGCCACCACACAGGGCCCAAATACCTCTTTTTAAAAGCCAAATGCTTTTTACTTAAAGAATTTTATAAGTATTTTTATTCTTTCTAACTGGTTTGACAATATTTTTTTAAATATTACCTAATTATTTGGAAATATAAAAAAGTATTTATTGGCTTGGCATGGTGGCTCACACCCAAAGTAATCCCAGCAGTTTGGGAGCCTTAGTTGGGAGGATTGCTGGAATCCAGGAGTTCAAACCAGCCCTGGTAACATAGCAAGACCCTATCTCTACCAAAAATAATAATAAATAAATAAATTATCTAGGTGTGATGATGCATGCCTGTAGTCCCCGCTACTCAGGAGTCTGAGGTGTGAGGATCTCTTGAGCCCAGGAATTTAAGGCTGCAGTGAGCTACGATCATGCTGCTATGCTCCAGCTATAGCAACAGAGAGAGGCCCTGTTTCAAGAAATAAAATTAAATTAAAAATTGTTTTTTCATATCCTTTACCCACTTTTTGATGGGGTTGTTTTTTCTTGTAAATTTGTTTAAGTTCTTTGTAGATTCTGAATATTAGCCCTTTGTAAGATTGATAGATTGCAAAAATTTTCTCCCATTCTGTAGGTTGCCTGTTCACTCTGATGATAGTTTCTTTTGCTGTGCAGAAGCTCTTTAGTTTAAGTAGATCCCATTTGTCTATTTTGGCTTTTGTTACCATTGCTTTTGGTGTTTTAGTCATAAAGTGTTTGCCCATGCCTATGTCCTGAATGGTATTGCCTAGGTTTTCTTCTAGGGTTTTAGGTTTTACATTTAAGTCTTTAATCCACCTTGAATTAATTTTTGTATAAGGTGTAAGGAAGGGATCCACTTTCAGCTTTCTGCATATGGCTAGCCATTTTTCCTAGCACCATTTATTAAATAGGGATTCCTTTCCCCGTTGCTTGTTTTTAATCAGGTTTGTCAAATATCAGATGATTGTAGATGTGTGGTGTTATTTCTGAGGCCTCTGTTCTGTTCCCTGGGTCTATATATCTGTTTTGGTACCAGTACCAGGCTGTTTTGGTTACTATAGCCTTGTAGTGTAGTTTGAAGTCAGGTAGCGTGATGCCTCCAGCTTTGTTCTTTTTGCTTAGGATTGTCTTGGCTATGCAGGCTCTTTTTGGGTTCCATATGAAATTTAAAATTGTTTTTTCCAATTCTGTGAAGAAAGTCAGTGGTAGCTTGATGGGGATAGCATTGAATATATAAATTACTTTGGGCATTATGGCCATTTCATGATATTGATTCTTTCTATCCATGAGTATGGAATGTTTTTCCATTTCTTTGTGTCCTATTTTATTTCCTTGAGCAGTGGTTTGTAGTTCTCATATACACCATGAAATACTATGCAGCCATAAAAAAGGATTAGTTCATGTCCTTTGCAGGGACATGGATGAAGCTGGAAACCATCATTCTCAGCAAAGTAACACAAGAACAGAAAACCAAACACCACATGTACTCACTCATAAGTGTGAGTTGAACAATGAGAACACGGGGACACAGGGAGGGGAACATCACACACTGGGGCCTGTTGTAAGGGCGGGAGGGCTGGAGAGGATAGCATTAGGAGAAATACCTAATGTAGATGACAGGTTGAGGGGTGCAGCAATCCATCATGGCATGTGTATACCTATGTAACAAACCTGTATGTTTTGAAAATGTATCCTAGAACTTAAAGTATAATGATAAAAAAGAATAGAGTATTATTTGCAATATGGAATAGTAACATGATTGTAATAAATAATATTTTAATTGAAATTGTATTCCTTCCAAATAAAATATAATTGATTGCCCTATCAATTGTGCCTCCTTATGAGCCTCTAGCAAAAGAAGAAAATTTATCATCTATTGAAAGAGAAGAAAATTGAAGTAGAAGGAAATAACCTTATATTAGGTCTCTCTCTTTTGTATTGGCCTTTATTATAAAATACTTGAGAAAAAAATCTGTGTTATTAAATGTATTTTTTACAATGATATCAAACACTACTGATTAAACAATATACTAGCTAAAAAAGAGAAATGTAGGAAGTTATAATGAGGGAGAGAAAGAGAGAGAAATTACACTGTTTCTACTCTGTATTCCATGAATAAGGGAACATTTTGTTCCTGATATGCATTTTAAAATCCCTCTGGCAATTGTTCTTTCACGGGCAATCTACCAATATTCAAACATTTTATGGTCTTCAGTACTCTCCAAAAGATTCCTTTAAACCGCTGTGTTCTTCAAAAGAGGTTAGCCCCTTCACAGTCCCCTGCTTTGCTCTGGATGCAGTTAAAACAAGATAAAGAGGAACAGAATTAGGATGACTGATCTGACACACCTATTAAAGCCAAACCAGATGGTCCCCCGCCTGCTTTGTAGCCCATGTTGTTCATCATCAGATTATCTTACTCTCATGTCTGAAATCTTTTTGTTTCTCATAAATTTTAGAATAAAGCAAATCCCTTACCATAGTCCACAGGACTCTACACCATCCAGCTCCTGACTACTTCTACATCATCTCTTTCTTACAGCCTGTTTCATTAGACCTCAAATGCCCTAGTTTTCTTCCTCTCCCACACATTTCCAATCTTGACTCCACCTCTGGGTGTTTACGCTGGGTGTTCCTGCCTCCGGGTGTTCACACTCTGCTTAAGAGCAGTTTCTCTCATATTTTCAGCAGCCTAACTGCTTTTCATATTTTAGGCTTTGGATTAGATAGATCTCCTCAAGGGTAACTTTCCTATCATTACATTTAAAGCACTGCCTCCTCCAGTCATTCTTTCCCCATATTCCACTCCTCATCTTTATTTTTGTGATAACTCTGAAAGCTATTTGAAATGTCATCATTTTTAATACCTGTCTACCTGCTTTCTTTCTGCCTTCCCTCACTGGAATAGCAGCTCCATGAGAATAAAGACTGCCTATGTTGCTTATTTGGCATGTAGTGTGGGCTCGACAAATAAATAAATGAATGAAAAATGAAAAAATCAAACAACCTCTCTCTCAACCTGAAACTCAATATATTGTCTGAAAGTCTAAGGAGTAACCAATCACCTTGAGGTGTTCTGTGCATGTGTTTATATAAATACGGCTTTTAAATAAATTTATAAAACATATCTAACCTAAGATAAGATTTTTCTACCTATAGTTACTTATATTTAATACCCTTTAATTTACTATAAAAATTATTCACTTTCTATAAATGTCTCTTTTTTATTCAAGGATTTAACTATACAGTACTCCATTTTATCTGCAATTTTGCTTTTCACAGTTTCAGTTACTGAAGTCAACCATACTCTGAAAATATTAAATGGAAAATTATAGAAATAAATATTCATAAGCTTTAATTGATTGATGTTCTGCATAGCATGATGAAATTTTGTACATCCCACTCAGGACGTGAATCAGCCTATCTGTGCTATGGACGCATCCCGCCTGTTAAGTGACTTAGTAGCCATCATGGTTACCAGATCAACTGTTAAGGTATCACAGTACTTGTGTTCAAGAAACTTAATCATGGACCCAAAGCACAAGAGTAGTGATGCTGACAATTCAGATATGACAAAGAGAAGCTAAAAAGTACTTCCTTTAAGTGAAAAGATGAAATTTCTCAGTAAAGAAAGAAAAAAATTATATGCTGAGATTGCAAAGATCTATGTTAAGAACCAATCTTCTATCCACAAAATTATGAAAAAAAGAAAAAAGAAAGTTGTGCTAGTTTTGTTGCTGTACCTCAAACTGCAAGTTATAGGCACAGGGTGTGATAAGTGATTAGTTAAGATGGAAAAGGCATTGAATTTGTGGGTGGGAGACATGAACAGAAAATGTGTTCTGATTAATGGCAACATATTGCATCAGAAAGCATTGAGGCTAAGCTGAATGAAGACTTCAGCAAAGGATCCACTACACTGAGTGACACCAAGCCATTTACTGCAAGTAAAGGACAAAGGATGGTTATACAGATTCAGGACTACAGAAGGTCAACAGTAGCCTAATGCTTCATCACAATGCTGCCATTTATCTCACTTCCTCACGTAGGCATTGTATCATCTCACATCATCACAGGAAGAAGGCTAAGGGCAGCACAGGAAGATATTTTGAGAGAGAGAGAGACGCCACATTCACATAATGTTTAGCACAGTATATTGTTCACATTTTCCTATTTTATTATTAGTTACTATTATTTTATTAGTTTTTTATTATTTACTGTGCCTAATTTATACATTAAACTTTATTTTAGGTATGTATTAATGGAAAAAAAAAACATAATATATGTAGGATTCAGCACTATCCATGGTTTCAGGCATTCAGTAGGGGTCATCCTCCCCCAGAAAAGAGAATACCATTGTATATTATATGTATCATTTCTACAATTATTTAATATGTCAATGACAGTAAAGAAATATTACACTGTGCCAATCAAGGAGACTTAGAGATTAAGAAAGAATAAGATTAAAAGCAAAGGTTGAAATGAAGAGTACAAGAGAAAAGGGACATACACAGTAACATTTCTATTCTGTCTTACTGTGCTTATACTTGCAGATAAATAAACATATATATGTGGATATATAAACACACACACATAATACATATATATGTATATGTATATGCATGTATGTATACTGACCATGAAAATTGTATGAAAGCATCATCAAATGGCATAGAGTGATTTAAGAATATACTATATTAACATTTTTGGTAACAAGTCAGAGGTATTTTTGAGACAAGAGGTCTCGCTCTGTTACCCAGCAGTGCTGTGATCTCGGCTCACTGAAACCTGTGCCTCCTAGTCTCAAGCGATTCTCATGCCTCAGCCTCCTGAGTAGCTGGGACTATAGCAGCACGTGTCACCACATTTGGCTAATTTTTGTATTTTTAGTAGAGATAGGGTTTCACCATGTTGGCCAGGCTGGTCTGGAACTCCTGGCCTCAAGTGATCCACCCACCTCGGCCTCCCAAAGTGCTAGGATTATAGGCACGACCCACCACAGCAGCCTAAATAATTTTAAATGACACTGAAAGTAGTTTTGTGGGAGAAAAAATAAATCAGCTACTTTTCTTATATAAAAGTGTTCTTTATATTAATTACAACATTATTAAATATATTTTAATGCTGATTTAATACAGTACAATTGGTAGCCCTCTTTAATTATCAGTATTTCAAATTTGAAATGGAAGCGATAAACATTTATCTTGCTTCTGTTACCATCAACATACCATAAGATTATTTCATATTTTTTCCCTCTATCCTTTAGCACCTGGAGGAACTCTTAATATTGAGACTGAAGGAAAATAGTAAAAAACCAAACCTAAGGCCAAAGATAGTCTCTCTAGGAGTGAGTTAAGCAAGTTGTGGCCCTTTAGGATTAGTTTATTGTGTTTTTTTTATCCTTTTAAGAGCAATAAAAATGTAATTTGTAATTTATGATTCCATCTCTCTGTCAGTGCATCCAATGATGTCTCCACCCATGCCCATTCTGCCAGCCTGTGCAAAAATGAAGCTCACAGTACAAATACTGGTACTGGATCCTTGCCCTTACTCAGAACTTGCTCTCATCTGGGCCTCCTTATTTCTATTCAGTGGCTTCCATCTGGGTTTTGCCTCTCTGTCCTGTCAGATTGCCATTTGAGAGGAGCTATTCACCTGGCTTTTCGTTTCCATATTGTTCCTAGACACATCTTTGGATCAGGATTGTCTCCCTGCCCTGTGGTCTCAGGCCAGGTTTGGCTGACAGGCCCAGCAAGAGTTTCCAGCTAACCAGGGAGAGAAAAGCAAGTCATATTTAAACCCTAAGGTGATGGAATCAGAAAATTTTAAACTAAGCAATCGTTGCTGTTCTTGGAGAAACAGTAGCATTTAGCCCAATTTGTCCTTCTGATCATTGTAGGCTAAATTAGGTAGGGTCAATAAACTGGAGAAGGTGAAATTTCAGCTAAACCTTAAGGAAGGGTAGAATGAAGTCAAGCACAAAAGACAAATAATGCATGTCAGATAGAAGTAAATAATTCGGCCAAGGCACAGCATGAGCAAAATACATATAACAGATGATCTTGGGATAGCAGCCTCTTTCAAGTTTGCAAAAGTAGGCTTTACCAATTTATGAGACATTTTGAATGCTGCCTTTTTCATACTCTTGTACTTTGCTTTTTGCTTTTTCTGAGTGGTTGTCTGAAAACGACCTGTTATTATACTCACCATATAAACCTACTATATTTAAGTATCTCTGAAGGTGAAGGCAGGGGATCTGGCTTTATCAAGTTCACCAGTTCATTTGTGTTTGAGAAAAAATACTATCGAGTAATCAGTTTTAAACATTTTTCTTAGCAATCAACCATCATATGTTGAAACTTAGCATATAAAACAAAAGCCCTATTTGCATGATGTGTGTGTGTGTGCATGCGCGTGTGTTGTGTAGGGAGCTCTTGGTGCCCCAGAAGCTCTCAGTTATTTTTTTAAATTGCTGTAATTAATTGGGAAATCACAAAGGAGTCTTTGGATGACAGTGAGTGTTTAGAAGCCTCACCAATCATGAGTGTGTGAAACAGATTTGAAGACAAAGAGACTTAAGGTAAAAGAAGAAAAGAAAAGAGAAAAGAAAAGAAAGAAGGAAGGAAGAAAGAAAGAAAAAGAAAAGAAAAGAGAGAGAAAGAAAGGAGGAAGAAAGAAAGAAAGAGAAAGAAAGAAAGAAAAGCAGCTAGAGGCTAGTGTAACAGATATTAATTTGCCACCTCAAAATCAAATGTGCAGGAAATGCCAAGTAACTTTAATTTCTTTGACTCAACTAAATCTCACTTTAAGTCTCCCAGAGTATCTAACTTAATACTAAATTTAGTCTCAATCATTGTTGTTGGGCATCTTTTCCAAATCTATCCCATATATGTAGGAAGGTCCTAGAATCTAAAGCAAAGTAATCATTACAGGAAAACCTCTTTGGTTTTGGTCCATCCAAATCACTGCCAATAAGCTCATTAGACAAGTTCACTCCATAGCTTAAAGTCCAGTGGCTCTGGATGTCAGTACAATGGCTGGATAAGGACTTCTGAAAATTCTCTCCTCCATAAAAACAATGAGAAAACTGGCAAAAATGGCCAAAATTGACTATTTCAGAACTCTGGAAATTAACCAAAAGTTTGCAGCAACCCAGGGGGCTTTTGGAAAAGAAAGAGAGAGAGAGAAGGAAGACAGAGAAGGAAGGAAGCAAGGAAGACAGGAAGGAAGGGAGGGAGGGAGGGAGGGAAGAAGGAAGGAAGGAAAAGACGGAAGGAGGGAAAGAAAGAAAGGAGCGGGGGAGGAAGGAAGGAGAGAGCGAGGGAGGAAAGAAGGAAAGTGGGAGAGAGAGAGAAAGAAGACAGAGAGGGAGGGAGGGAGGGAAGGAAGGAAGGAAGGGAGGAAAAAATAAAAGGAGGGTGTGAAAGAATAAAGGAGGGGGGAAGGAAGGAAGGGGGGGAAAGAAGGAAAGAAGAAGCTCTATCTCAGTAAGAACAGCAAGCTTTGTGTCATTTTAACCTGCCCAAGTCCCATCCTTATTCTTCAGACAACAACTCACACTCAGTGAAAACCAGCAGCCTGAAAGTCACATAAAGAAGGAGACCAGAGCTCTTTCAAAATCTTAAATAGCCTCCAATTCCCAAAGAATTGTCATTATTTTACTTATCTGGTCATTCCCTAAAATATCTTACTTGCAAGGCTATCTGCATTTGACCTGACTCAGAGTTCAGCCAGTATGAAAATCCTTCCCTTTCTCCCTTCCTGCCCAAAAGCCTTTCCCTGTAGTGGTGTTATCAAAATCAATTACAGGCAACTATTTACCTTGTGGTTACCTTTGTGGACAGGCACTGGGGGAAATCTTAGAACAACCAAACTGTTTTAAAAAGAAAAGCAGAGGAATGAGATGGCCATAGGAGAGATCTGAAAAGCTTTGATGTATTCCTGAAAATCTAGACTAGGCCACATGAGTGTAGTGATATGCTCATGACGAGTGCTATGTGCATTTTTAGGAAATACCTAAGAATGCTCTAAGCTCTAACTTCAGACTGACATTGGGGCTCTATGCAATCAGGAAGTGAAGGATAAGGTTGAGTTGTCAGCTGTCTGGCTGAGTGTTGAAGTATACTCAAAATGCATACAGAGCCCCATTTCAAAAACTGAGAGACTTTTTGGTTCAAGGTATTTAAAGACATCTAAATAACTAACGAATAAATATAGAAGACAGTATACGTGTATTTTTGTTTGCAATTCATTATTTTTCTATATTATTTAAAAAACAACAGCATGATGAAACAATTCTAGATCTAAGTTAGCAGGCACACAATGTATAAAGATGCAATCTGTGACAATAACAGCATAAAGGATGTGGGGGACTGAGCTATCTAAGAGTAGTTTTGTATACTATTGAAATTAGTTAATATTAAACCAAACTGGATTTGTATAAATTAAGATGTTAATTGTAATCCCTAAGACAACCACTAAGACAATAACTAAAAATATATATAGTACAAAAAATGACAAGAGAATTAAAATGGTACAATAACAAATATATATTTAAGACAAAATACAGCAGTAATGGAGAAAGAGAAGAACCAAAAGACATTAAGACATATAGAAAGCGAATAGCAAAAAGGCAATACCATTCAGGACATAGGAATGGACAAAGATTTCATGATGAAGATCCCAAAGGCAATTGCAACAAAAGCCAGAATTGACAAATGGTATCTAATTAAACTAGAGCTTCTGCACAGCAAAGGAAACTATCAACAGAGTAAACAGACAACCTGCAGTATGGGAGAAAATTATTGCAAACTGCATCCGACAAAGGTCTAATATCCAGCATCTATAAGGAACTTAAACAAATTTACAAGAAAAAAAAAACAACCCCATTAAAAAGAAGGACAAGGACATGTACAAAAACTTTTCAAAAGAAGACATACATGCAGCCAACAATAATATTAAAATAAGCTCAACATCACTGATTATTAGTGAAATGCAAATCAAAACCACAATGTGATACCATCACACAACAGTCAGAATGGCTATTATTAAAAGGTGAAAAAACAAAAGACGCTGGCAAGGTTGTGGAGAAAAAGAAATGCTTATACACTGTTGCTGCAAGTGTAAATTAATTCAACCATTGTGGAAGACAGTGTAGCAATTCCTCAAAGACCTAAAAATAGAAATACCATTCAATCCAGCAATCCCATTACCGGGTATATACCCAAAGTAATATAAATCTTTCCATTATGAAGACACATGCATGCATATTTTCATTGCAGCACTATTCACAATAGCAAAGACATGGAACCAACCTAAGTTCCCATTGATAATAGACTGGATAAAGAAAATGTGGTACATATACACCATGAAATACCATGCAGCCATAAAAAGAATAAGATCATGTTGTCTGCAGGAACACAGATGGAACTACAGGCCATTAACCTTAGCAAACTAACGCAGGAAGTGAAAACCAATACTACATATTCTCACTTACAAGTGGGAGCTAAATGAGAACACATGGACACAGAGGGGAACCACACATACTGGGGCATATCAGAAGGTGAAGGGTGGGAGGAGGGAGAGAATCAGGAAAGATAACTAATGAGTACTATTCTCAATACCCAGGTGCTGAAATAACCTGTACAACAAACCCCCATGACACAAGTTTACCTACATAAAAACCTGTACATGTACCCTGAACTTAAAATAAAAGTAAAATAAATAAGGAAATAAAAAATAAAGAAAATTTCAAAACAAGCTAAAAGAAATTGAAGACATAGCAGAGCAATAAAGAAAATAGGATTGGCATAAAGCAGAATTAGAAAAACTCATCAATGAGAACAAAGGAGACAAGAAAGATTTGAAGAGGAAGATAATAAAAGAATTAAAAAGTTACTTCACAATTGAAGACCAAATTGAAAATAACACTAAAGCAAATAAAAATAACAAAGTGACAAAGAGAAAGAGATATGGAAAGAACATGATTGAAAAATAAATAATGAAAGTGATTAAAAGTATTTGAGAGAAAGTGCTAGTCAGATGACTTGCAAAAAAGACTCAATATATACATAACAAAAGTCACTGAAGATGAAATCCAAAGCAATAGGACAGAATACATATTAAACATTACAACCAAAGAAAACTATTTCTAAAATTTCAAAAAGGCTTGAAACTATATATTAGAAGATCTTGTGAGTCTGATGTCAGCGAGATGGCCAACTAGAGACCCCTAGCACTCATCCTTGCCACCCCCCAAACAGAGACAACCAAAACAACCAAGAAACAACTACATTTTGAGAGAAATAAGTAAAGGAGAGCATAGATCACATCAAAGAATTAGCAGAAACTGGTGAGCACAGAAGCTCAGGATAGTTCTGATAGAGAACAGAAGGAAACACCTAGCCTCCATCACCCTATCCCTGAGCCAGAATCAGCTAGGATGCAGGAGAAACTTCTGCTGGAGGGGAAATGGTCAATCAGAAGATCTCAGCAGTTCCCAACACCTTGGACACCTAGAATCTTCACCCTGCAGCTTCACAGGGACTAAACCCAGCTGAGAGAGGTGCCTGGAGTCCACACCTGTATGCTCTCCCTAGAGAAAGAATTAACACTGTGTCCTGCCCCTGCAGCCCACATGGCTACTGCACTATGTCATCTTGGAAGTGAAACTGCTGCAAGAGTGTGTCTTGCTTCTGGTGCAAGTGGCACCAGAGGGGCACAACAGAGCTGTGAGCAGCTGTTACACTCTTCCTTGTGGGTCTAGGTGGCAACGGAGCCACTTCGCCTACTCAGCTTAGTCACAGCTGCACCACAGCCCACTCAGGCTGGAGCTAAAAGCCAGATACTGCCGCCTAAGGAAACGATGCCTTGGCAGAGCTGCTACATCTATCCATCCCAATGGGTGCTGCACCCTGCCCCTAGGAATCTGAGGTGAAGCTGCCCATAGCCTTTCAAGAAAACAGTACCTTAACAAAGCCACTTTATCTGTCTCTCCCAGTCACAGCTGTGCCCTGCACCCTTGGATAGAGCTAAAGCTGTGCACTCCTTCCTAGGAAAATAGTCCTTCGGTGGAGATGCTCCATCTACCCCTTCCAGTTGCTGCTGTGCCCTGCATATAGGAGCCAGAGCTGAAGATGAACACTGCCTCCTACGGAAATGGTGCTTTGGCAGAAATGCTCCAAAAACCCCTCCAAGTTGTAGCTTTACCTGGCTCCACGGTTTTCCCTGACTCCTTCATGGGTGGGAACTGGAGTGCATAGGCACCAGCAGGGGTGAACTTCAATCACTTGAACCCACGGTGCTCAAACCTTCACAGGAGGGAGCACACTGGTGAGCAATTGCAGGAGCTGGGGGTGAGCACTTTTGGGTTCTGGTAGGAACAAACTCTGTATTGACTCCACAGCAGCATCTAGCAGGGTTCCCCTGACTCCTGAAGCCCCAGAAGGAGTATTATAATCAGTGATCTTTTAGCTTTGCCATCCGCAGATGGCTTAAGTGTTCAGAGCTCAGTGGAGGGTCAGTGTGACAACCTTTTGCACCTGCACCTGAGTTCTTGTCTAGTATCCAGGAGGAATGAGGTCACACAAACAAACTGGAGATAGTAAATGTGGGGGATTTTATTGCTGATGAAAGTGACTGTCAGCTGAATGAAGGGGAGCTGAAAAGGAGATGAAGCAGAAATGTAATCTTCCCTCAAAGCCCGGCCGTACCTGACCAGACTCCTCTCCAAAGCTACGCCATCAACCCATCCTTCTGAAGTCAAGCTGCTTCTCTCTAACATCCAACCATAGTCTCGAATGTCCAGCTGCTTCTCCTCTTCTCTCTTTACTGGTGGAGCCTGGGGATTTTATGGGCACAGGATTGGCGGGAGGTGGGCCATGGGTGGTTTTGGAAAAGGCAATATTTGAGCAAGAAAACAGAGATGTATGTTCTCACTTCGGGCGGTGGTTCCAGGCTTGAGGCTGGGGTCTTTGCTAGGGACCCACCCTCTTCCGCTCAGAATTTCCCTACCTCCTGTCCCTATCAATGGGACTCAAAGTAAAGCTACATACAGCCTTTTAGGGAAGGGGTACTTTGGTAAAGCCATGCAATATACTCCTTCCAGTTCCTGTGGTACCCTATCTTCCTTTGCTGGGGCTAAAGCAACACCTGGCATCCCAAGGAAGAGGTGTTCTGGCCTCCCAGAACAGCCACATCCTCCTGTGCATGAGCTAAAGTGGTACTCTGATACTTGGGAAAACAGTACAGTAAAGGCCACTCCTGCTATCCAAAGGGACAGGAGGCTGCAGCTGATTGTAGACCATATCAAAACCAACAGGATGAGAGATTCCTTTGGCTTAGTTCCTCACTGTGGAGAAAATGAGAATAATGGAGGACCTCAAAAGCCCTCAACACCAAGAAACTTAACAACTAATAATGGCACCACCACTGCTGCCACAAACTCCCATATCCTAGGTCACTGAGACACCCACACTAATCACTGATGTTGACAGCAGCAGAGGAAGTTTCATGGATACTATATCACTGCACCTACTTGGAACCAAAGTCACCACACTCTTCTCAATTGACACAAAGACCCATCTTCAAGTGAAAGTCTTCTTCTATGAAAGCCACTTTGCAAAAATGTGAAAGAGGTAGTTGCTCTACCAATGCACAAACATTAATGCAGGGACACAAAACACATGGAAAAGCAAGGATATATGACAGCACCAAAAGAACACAATAACTCTCCAGTAACACACCACAGAGAAAAGAAAGCCTATGAATTTTCATAAAATGAATTAAAAATAATAATCTTAAGGAAACTCAGGGAGATGCAAGAGAATACAGAAAGGCATTTCAACAAAAACAAAAAACCAATTCATGATGGGCATGAGAAATTTAATAAATAGATGGATATCATACAAAAGAACCAAAAAGAAATTGTATAGCTAAACATTCAATTAATGAAATAAAGAATATAATAGCTTCAACAGCAGGCTTGATCAAGCAGAAGAGAAAAAGCCTCTGAACTTGAAGATAAGTCATTTGAAATTGTAAAATCAGAGAAAAATAAATAAATAAGAATGAAAAAGAGTAAAGAAAGCCTACAGGACTTATGAGATGACATTAAGTGCACAAAATTTTCCCTTATGGGATTACCAGAAGGCAAATGACTAGAAAAAGCACCGAAAATCTATTGACTAAAATAATAGCTGAAAAATTCCCAAGTCTTGGGAAAGGTATGAACATCCAGATCCAGGAAGCTCAAAGAGTCCCAAATATATTTAATTCAAAATGTACCCTCCGAGGAACATCATAGACAAATTGTCAAAACACAAAGATAGAAAGATAATTCTAAAAACTGCAAGAAAAAGTAACAAGTCACATATAAGGGAATCTCCATCAGACCAACAGCAAGTTTCTCAGGTGAAACCTCATAGACCATGAGAGATTGGGATTATCCATCCAAAGTGCTGAGGAAAAAAAAAGTGCTAACCAAGAATACTATGCCTAGCAAAGTTATAATTCAGAGACAAAGGAGAAGTAGTCTTTCCCAGACAAGAAAAACTAAAAAAATCAACACCACTAGTTAGCATTACAAGAAATGTTCAAGGAAGTCTTACATCTGGAAGCAAAAGGTCATAACTATCATCATGAAAACACACAAAAATATAAAACTCATTGCTAGAACAGATACAGAGGAGAAAGGAAAAGGAATAAAACCTTATCACCACAGAAAACCACCAAACCTCCAAGAAAAACAGAAATAAAAGAACAAAAGATATACAAAATAACCAAAAGACAATTGACAACATAAGAGTAAGTCCTCACTTATCAATAACAATCTTGAATGTAAGAAGATTAAATATCTCAATCAAAAGATATAGACTGGCTGAATGAATAATTTTTTAAAAAAATTCAAACATAGCCCACCCATAAGAAACTCATTTCACCTCAAGAGACACCGATACACTGAAAATGAAGAGTTGGAAAAAGGCAGTCCATACAAACAGAAGCCAAAATTGAGCAGGAGTAGCAATATTTATGTCATGTAAGACAGACAGAAATCAAAAATTGTAAAAAAGGGGCTGAAAATCCACTATTTAGTGGTAATAGGATCAATTCAGCAAGAGAATATAACAAATGTCAATATATATATATGTAGCCAACATTGGAGCATGCAGATATATAAAGCAAATATTATTAGATATAAAGGGAGACATAGACTCCAACACAATAATAGATGAGGACTTCAACACCCCACTCTGAGAATTGAACAGATCATCCAGACAGAAAAATAAATCAACAAAGAAACGATAAATTTAAATGGGACTTTAGATCAAATGGAACTAACAGACATTTTCTATTTTTTTTTTTTTTTTTGAGGCAGAGTTTCTTTCTTGTCAACCAGGCTGGAGTGCAATGGCAGGATCTTGCGATCTTGGCTCACTGCAACCTCCGCCTCCCAGGCTCAAGCAATTCTCCTGCCTCGGCCTCCCAAGTAGCTGGGATTACAGGTGCCTGCCACCACACCCAGCTAATTTTTGTATTTTTAGTAGAGACGGCGTTTCACCATGTTGGCCAGGCTGGTCTCAAACTCCTGACCTTAGGTGATCCACCCGCCTTGGTCTCCTAAAGTATTGGGATTACAGATGTGAGCCACTGCAACTGGCCAAACATTTACTAAACATTTTATCAACAGCTGCAGAATACACATTCATTTCATCATCACATGGAACATTCTTCAGGATAGACCATATGTTAGAACACAAAACATCTCAAAATTTTTAAATTTGAAATTATATCAAGTATTCTTTTTTTTCTTGTTGCCCAGGCTGGAGTGCAGTAGCACAATCTTGGATCACTGTAATCTCTGTCTCCCAGGCTCAAGAGATCGTTTCACCTCAGTTTCCTGAGTAGATGGGACTACAGGTACATGCCATCATGCTCAGGTGATTTTTTAAAAATCCTTAGTAGAGATGAGGTCTCACTGTGTTACCCAGGCTAGTCTTGAACTCCTGAACTCAAGCAATCCTACCACCATGGCCACTCAAAGTGCTGAGATTACAGGTGTGAACCACTGCTCCCAGCTATTTAAGTATCTTTTCTGACCACAGTGGAATAGAACGGGAAATCAACAACATGAAAAACTTTCAAAACTGTACAAATACATGGAAATTAAACAACATGCTCCTAAATGACCAATGGGAAAATGAGGAAATTAAAAATGGGGTGGAAATGAATGGGGTGGCTTTAAAAGGATACCTAAATTTGGAGAATTAGTGAAGTGAGACTAAAATGGAAAAAGGTGTATTAGTTGAGGGGTGACTGTTAAAAATGCATACAGCCGAAAGATAAAAATTTGGGCTCTGGTTGAATTGGATTAAGGCTTTTTGTTTTGGGGGTTTGGCAAAGATGTCTTTTCCTGGGTTAATGAGACCAGATTAAAAACTATCTTGAAACGAATGAAAATAGAAACATAACATGGCAAAACCCATGGGATACAGGAAAAGTGCTATTTAGAAAAGTTTAAAAGCAATAAAGGCCTACATCAAAAAAGCAAAAAGATTTTAAATAAACAACTTAATGATGCATCTCAAGGAATAAACTAAAATTAGTAGGAAAGAAATAATTAGGATCAGAGCAGAAATAAACATAATTGAGACTTTAAAAACAAAGAAAAATCAAAAAATGAAAAATTAGTTTTTTGAAAGATAATCAACAAACCTCTAGCCAGAATAACCAAAAAATAGAAAAGATGCAAATAAACAAAATCAGAAACAAAAACAGACATTACAACAGATAACCTTGAAATAAAAAGGATCATTAGAAACTATTAGGAACAAGCATACATAAACAACTTGGAAAACTTAGAAAAAAAATGAATAAATTTTTGTACAGATACGACCTACCAAGACAGAATCATGAAGAAATGGAACCCCTAAACAGACCAATTGTGAGTAACAGGATTGTATTAGTAATAAAAAATCTCCCATCAAATAAAATCACAGAACTTCATGGATTCACCATTAAATTCTACCAAATATTTAAAGAACTAGTACAAATTCTACTCAAACTCTTCAAAAAATTGAAGAGAATTCTTCCAAACTCATTCTACAAAGCCAACATTATCCTGATACAAAAACCAGAGAAGGAAACAACAACAAAGACTTTAGATCAACATCACTAATAAACATAGATTCAAAATCCTCAAAAAATACTAGAAAACTGAATTTACTAGCACATTAAAAAGATCATATACCATGACAAACTGGGGATTTATCCCAGGGATGCAAAGGTGATTTGGCATATGCAAATTAATAAATGTGTATATCACATCAACAGAATTAAGCATAAAACCCATATGATCATCTCATTAGAGGCAGGAAAAGCATTTCACAAAAATTAACATTCCTTCATGATTAAAAACTCTCAAGTATAGAAGGAACATACCTCAACATGAAAGCTGGAAGTTTTCTCTGTAAGAACTGGAGCAAGACAAGAATGCCCACTGTGACCACTCTTATTCAACATGGTACTGTAAGTCCTAGACAGAGAAACTTAAAAAGAGAAATAAATAAAGGGCATCCAAATTGGGAGAAAGTCAAATTGTCTTTCTTTGCTAACAACATTATATTATATATAGAAAACCTGAAAGCTCCACCAGTAATGAGCCAATGAAAGAGAAATCAAGAAAGCAATCACCTTAAAAATAGCTACCAAGAAAAGTGCCTAGGAATAAATTTAACCAAATTTATTCCAAATTTAACCAAAAAGGTGAAAGATCTCTACAGAGAAAACCATAAAACACAGATGAAAAAAATCAAGGACACATAACAATGGAAAGATATTCCATGTTCATTGAAAGGAAGAATATAGTGAAAATGACCATACTATCTAAAGAAGTCTACAGATTCAGTGCAATCCCTATCAAAATATCAATGAGATTCTTCACAGAAATAGAAAAAACAATACTAAAATGTATATCAAACCACAAAAGACCTCAAATAGCCATAGCGTTCCTGAGTGAAAAGAACAAAGCTGGAGAAATCAGACTACCTGACTTCAAAATATATTACAAAGCTATAGTAACCAATACAGCATGGTATTGGCATAAAAACAGATATATACACCAACGGAAGAGAATAGAAAGCCCAGAAATAAATCCATGTATTTACAGCCAACTGAGTTTCACCAAAGGTACCAAGAATATTCACTGAGGAAAGAACGGTCTCTGCAATCTGCAATAAATGGTGTTGGAAAAACTGGATTTCATATGCAGAAGAATGAAACTAGACCCTTCTCTCTCACCATATACAAAAATAAACACAAAATGGATTAAATACTTAGTTGTAAGGCTTGAAAGTATAAAACTACTAGAAAACAACATAGGGGAAATGCTTCAGGACATTGGTCTGAGCAAAGATTTTATTAAGAACTCAAAAGCACAGGCAACAGAAGAAAAAATAAGCAAGTGAGATATTATTAAACTAAAAACTCTCCAAAGCAAAGGAAAAAATCAACAGAATGAATAGATAACCTGCAAAATGGAAGAAATTATATTTGCAAACTATTCATCTGACAAGAGATTAATGTCCAGAATATACAATAAAAGCCAAAAACAAACAAAAAAATCCAATTAAGAAATGAGGAATGAGCTAAACAGACATCTTTCATAAAAAAACATAAATATGGCCAACAGGTATATGAAAAATATACTTAGTAACTAATCATCAGGGAAATGCAAATTGAAACCACAATGAGATATCAGTTCACCCCAGTGAAAGGATATCATCAAAAAGACAAAAATGACAAATGCTGGAGAGGATGAGGAAAAAGGGGAACTCTTCTACACTGGTAGTGGGAATGTAAATTAGAACAGCTATTATGAAAAACAGTATGGAGATTTCTCAAAAAACTAAAAAACTATCATATGACCCACTAATCCCACTCTTTGACATTTATCCAAAGGAAAGGAAATGAGTATGACAAGAGAGTTTTGTGTTTATTGCAGCACTATTCACAATAGCAAAGATATGGAATCAAC
Source organism: Homo sapiens (assembly GCF_000001405.40). Lineage (NCBI taxonomy): Eukaryota > Metazoa > Chordata > Mammalia > Primates > Hominidae > Homo > Homo sapiens. The sequence goes on from NC_000006.12 coordinate 74,821,942, forward strand.
CTAAATGTCCATCAGTGGATGAACAGAAAAAGAAAATGTGGTATATATACACAGTAGAATATTATTCAGCCAGATAAAAGAATGACATGCTGTCATTTGAGGCAACATGGAGGAGCTTGTAGGACATTATGTTAAGCGAAATAAGCCTGGCACAGAAAGATAAATTCCTAATGCTTTCACTCATATGTGGAAGTGAAAAAAGTTGATGACATAGAAGTAGAGAGTAGCATTGTGGTTACCAGAGGCTGAGAAGATGGGGGGATGATCCTGAGAGGCTGGTTAACAGATACAAAATTACAGCTAGATAGGAGGAATAAATTCTAGTGTTTTACAGCACTATAGGGTGACTATAATTAACAACTTACCCTATATTTTCAAATAGCTAGAAGAGCAGATTTTTAATGTTACCAATAAAAAGAAATGATAAATGTTTCAGGCAATAGATATGTTAATTGCCCTGATTTGATCATTATACATTGAATATATATATATCAAAATATCACACTCTGCTTCATAAATATGTACAACTATTATTGTCAATTAAAAATAACAAAAGCAAAAAAAATGAAAACAAAAAACTATATCACATACCGGGGGGAAATCAACCCAGAATGGACAAAATTACAATATATTGTAGTAAAAATATTGAATTGAAACCTGAAGAAAAAATATCTTAAGAGTCCAGACACAAAAACCAGGTCACTTACAATGGAAAAAATATAGATTGACTCAAGACCTTTTCAGGTGAGTGTTTTATGCCAGAATACAATGGAGCAACATATGTAATATTTCAAGGAAAAAAACATTGTTATTCACAAATACTTATCTAGTCAAATTGACTTTCTTTTATAAATAAACTGTGAGGAATATGAAATATTGTTGCCATGAGAATTTCCTAAATAATCTACTAGAAAATAAGCTTCAAAATATTAAAATGACCAGAGATTCACTGGCATAAAGACTAGTTATGGGCATAAAATTTATATTTACCTATTGAAATAAAACTAAATAATCATTTCTTAAAAGATAATATAGTATATGATAGTTACATTCTCCTACAAAATAGAAACAGTATAACTACAACAATCATTCATGAATTGGAGGTATAAATGAAAAGTAGAACAAGCTCACTAATACCAAGTATATTGTTTAAATTTAGATTGCTGAGGATGAAGAAGATTAGGGACTGGAAGACAGTACAAGTTAATTTTTCTTCTAAGAGTACTGAATAAACTGGTAGCCTCCAAAAAGTGGATGGGCATTAAAAGTATTGTATAAATGAATTTAATATGCAGGTAACCATTAGAACGAGAAAACAAACATTTTGAAATATAATAAAACAAAAAATAAAAAACAAATCAAATTACATAGTAGACTACATCTACATCTATATTTATGTTAATACATAGATAATATATCCATATATAATGAAATACAATATTGCAGAACTGAAGGCAAACATGTTAATCTTAACAATAAATTAAAAAGTGCAAAACATATATACTAAAAGAAAAAATGTTCAAATGGGTCAACAAAGCAAAAATAAATGCTATGGTATATACTAAGGACACACCTACAACAAAAAAATCAGAATGATAAAATAATAGGATAAATATACAAGCATAGAAATATAAAGAAAGTAAATTTGGAAATTTTAATATCTGAAGACATAGCAATCAGAATATTTAAAAGGCAAAAATTGATACTTTCTAGTGCTAAATTTCACAAAAAGTATAATTATTGATATGTATTTATTCACCCAGTGAGAAAGACACAGCTTTCATAGGGCAGAAATTACGTGAGTTTCCAAGATAGACAGAAACACAATAATAGTAGAATATTTTAATAAACCTTGCTGATCCAGCTGTGATGAAGTCAATAAAACATTAATAAGACCTATGCGACATAATCAGTAAAGTAAATCTAAATCTTGATAGTACAGAGTATATCCTCTTTGTAGGTATACATGGAACATTTGCCAAAAAAAAGGAGTATATTTTAGACCACAAGTTAACCTCGATAGACTTTCAAAACATAAATTATAAAAACAGCATTAGAATGCAAAAAGTATCCTTTTTTTTAATACTTTAAATTCTAGGACACATGTGCACAACGTGCAGGTTTGTTACATATGTACACCTGCACCATGTTGGTGTGCTGCACCCATTAACTTGTCATTTACATTAGGTATATCTACCAATGCTACCCCTCCACCCTCCACCACCCCACCACAGGCCCCGGTGTGTGATGTTCCCCTCCCTGTGTCCAGGTGTTCTCATTGTTCAATTCCCACCTACGAGGGAGAACATGCAGTGTTTGGTTTTTTGTCCTTGCGATAGTTTGCTGAGAATGATGGTTTCCATCTTCATCCATGTCCCTACAAAGGACAGGAACTCATCCTTTTTTATGGCTGCATAGTATTCCATGGTGTATATGTGCCACATTTTCTTAATCCAGTCTATCATTGATGGACATTTGGGTTGGTTCCAAGTCATTGCTATTGTGAATAGTGCCGCAATAAGCATATGTATGCATGTGTCTTTATAACAGCTAATCTTTTGGGTATATACCCAGTAATGGGATGGCTGGGTCAAATGGTATTTCTAGTTCTAGATCCCTGAGGAATCGCCACACTTTCTTCCACAATGATTGAACTAGTAAAAAAAAAAAAGAAAAGAAAAGAAAAGAAAAAGAAAAAGAAGGTCATTGTTCATTTCATTTACAACGTTTCCTTAAGGAGAAGCCATTCGCTCATTCCATTCCTGGATGATACCCCTAATCCAAGCCAGGGCTTGGCTCAGCCTGCCCTATACAGGCCTTGTCAGGCCCTCAGTTCAAAGGAGAAGCTTAAGACTGAGGTCCTCCAGGCACCACGTAAGGGGAGTATTTAGGGCATTTCATATTGGATCTAATAGGTGGCTGCTGAGTCCACTTCTGATGCTGTAAGGTGAGCTTAACAGGGGCATTCCAAAGTGGATGGGCAGGTTCTTTCCATATTCAGGTTTTTAAAATTCAAGACTCTAAACTGGTACCATATACTTTGGGTACAGCATATTGTTATTATTTGAAAAGACACATGAGGCAGAAGTCCCTGACACCACAGTGTGAGGATGGGAGGTCTGGTTCCAGCATGCCTAATAAAACTGTAAAAAAAAAAAAGAAAAGAAAGAAAGCAAAAAGTATCATTCCTATTAATTTAAAAAGCTCACAAGTAAAAATCTTCAGTCTGAGAGGAGATACATGGACCAAAATTATAGACTTTCTAAAAAAAAAAAAAAAGAAAAAGTGAAATCTGATGTATTAGAATATATCAGACACTAATAAAAATTATCAGAGGAGATTTCATAGCATTAACTCTATTAAGTACATTGACTGGACCGGGCGCAGTGTCTCACGCCTGTAATCCCAGTACTTTGGGAGGCCGAGGCGGGCGGATCACCAGATCAGGAGATCGGGACCATCCTGGCTAACACAGTGAAACCCCGTCTCTACTAAAAATACAAACAATTAGCCGGGCGTGGTGGCGGGCGCCTGTAGTCCCAGCTACTCGGGAGGCTGAGGCAGGAGAATGGCGTGAACCCGGGAGGCGGAGCTTGCAGTGAGCCGAGATCGCGCCCCAGGACTCCAGCCTGGGCAACAGAGCGAGACTCCGTCTCAAAAAAAAAAAAAAAAAAAGTACGTTGACTGATACTATATAGGGTTGATCATAGTTACATACTTATAGTTTGGGTCTCCTATGTCCTTAATGATTTTCCGCCTATTTATTCTATCAATTACTAAGAGAGGAATAATAACGTCTCCAACTATAATAGTGGACTTGTCTATTTCTTCTTTCAAATCTATTTTCACTTAATTTTGAAGCTCTGTTTTTAGGTACATACATACATTTAGGATTTCCATGTCTTCTTGGAGAATTTATAATGTGTCCTGTTGGTTCGCAATAATACTTCTTATTCTGAAGTCTCCTTTATCTGAAATTAATATAGCCACTCTAGCTTTCCACACTCACCTAAATTCAGCCTTTATTAGTTCATTAAAAATTATTATTTTAATCTTCCTACTGATTTGTATGGCATTTGGTGGCATCAATCCAAATAAGCAGATGCATAGGTCCTGTTTCTCCCTTCAAGTTCCTGTCTCTCTACAGATTTCAGTAAGCTGTCTGCCTTGCAACTGTAGTTTTCTGAAGAGTGCAAGAAAAATTGTTAATATTTCATTTGCTCGGGCTTATATTTTGTTGTGGGATGGAAATGATGCTTTCCAGCTGTATACATCTCTGGGATGAAACTGGAAGTCTTCTAGTAGATTTATTTACTTCTGAGTTTAGTGTGAGTAGCCGTAGGCATACCATTTCTGATATTACATGTTTCTACTTACATACAGGAGACACTGGAAGAAGTCAGTAAAAATATTTTTTTCCTTGGGATCACAACAGGATGCTGAGAGGCTCACTTCGAAGCCTCCTGGCTTATTTGGCTTCTCTGATCCTTAACCTATGTTCTGACTACTTTAAAAGCAGAAAAATCTTTTCTTAATGTTTTCTGGCACCGTTTCCTTCCTCCCATCTGGAAATGTGGTTGTCTGTATTATCCGCCCCTTATTGACCTGGGCGTGAATTACAAGAAGGGAAGTACGTGATCTTTTTATACTTTCCTATCCACCACTTCCTTTTTCTGTCATTTGCACATTGAAATTTTGGAAACATTTTTTGTTGTTGTTCACAGATTATTAAATACAGTCATAATATTTGAACCTGCGAGGGCTGGGGCACGGTGGCTCACGCCTGTAATCCCAGCACTTTGGGAGGCCGAGGCGGGCAGATCACAAGGTCAGGAGATCGAGACCATCCTGGCTAACATTGTGAAACCCCATCTCTACTAAAAAAAAAAATACAAAAAATTAGCCCAGCGTAGTGGGGGGTGCCTGTAGTCCCAGCTACTCGGGAGGCTGAGGCAGGAGAATGGCTTGAACCCGGGAGGCGGAGCTTGCAGTGAGCGGAGATCGCGCCCCTCGACTCCAGCCTGGGGGACAGAGCGAGACTCCTTCTCAAAAAAAAAAAAAAAAAATATTTGAACCTGCGAGAAAGCTCGGAGATAATGTAGTCCAACTCTTCATTTTGGGGTGGGAAAGGAGGCTTAAGAAATATAAATAACCCTAGTTTTACAGAAAGAAAGACTGTCATCGATTACCAATGATCCAATAATCCAACTGCTTTCTTTCAACCGTGTTTTTTTCTTTCTTTCAACATAATGTCAATGAATGAGCATAGATAGAGAGAAGAGGTGTGAGGCATAACAAATCTTAAGACCTATGCTAGCTTATTGACCACATAATTAAAGTGTTACTAGAAATCTTTTATTTTATAAATTTTACTCCATTTTAGCATAACTCTTCCTCTATTTTAAAAAAAGTCTCTTATAGTTAAGCTTTCTTTCTAGTCACAGCTATACAATTTTGTTTTTTTGTTCTTGAGATGGAGTCTTGCTCTGTCGCCCAGGCTGGAGTGCAGTGGCACAATCTCGGCTCACTGCAGGCTCCACCCCCCCGGGTTCACGCCATTCTCCTGCCTCAGCCTCCCAAGTAGCTGGGACTACAGGCGCCCGCCACCACGCCCAGCTAATTTTTTGTATTTTTAGTAGAGACGGGGTTTCACCGTGTTAACCAGGATGGTCTCGATCTCCTGACCTCGTGATCCGCCTGCCTCGGCCTCCCAAAGTGCTGGGATTACAGGCGTGAGCCACCGCGCCCGGCCAGCTATACAGTTTTTTAAAAACACCATGTGCTGTGAAATCCATACCTAATTTTTTTATCTTAAAATACTTTTGGAATTTATCAATATGCCCTCAAGGTGGTTACAATAATTATTTCATAAGTTTATGGTTATTATAGCATTTCTATAATTTTGGCTGCATTCTGCATGTCTTTATTTTTTCTCTCAATATATTTGCCACTGTGTTTTTCATGTATAGTGTGCACATTAAATTTTTTAAATACAATAAATAAAAATAAGTTTACCTCCTAACATTTCTACTGTTTTTAATTGCACAAACATACATTATACAATTTTAAAGAGCTAAGTCTAAAAGAAAGAATACATAAAGTTCACTATATAATCATTTTTTCAGACACTTTTATCATTACATTATGAATAGTTAATATGAGTTTCCTTTGTTTTATTCCTAGATTTCATAATGCCATGACTTGACACTACCAAACTAATCAGAAAACAAAATAAGCATTATATACTAGGCTTTTATGGGATTAAATTGTGATAACACAATTTAATGACAGAACTCAAATTCTTGAAAATTTTGTTGGCACTTCTTATTTCTGTCATGCATCTTACATGCTTGGTTTAGCAAAACTCTTGGTGTTTAAATGCTACAAGATGTGAATAAACTTGTTGATTTGAGAGTCCAAGCCATAAAATAGAAGATTTTGATTTGTACTCCAATATTTTAAGAATATTCTTAAAACTACATACTTTTAAGTACTAGGGTGCTAGTAAAAGCTTGAGTGCATAGTATATAAAAATATTTAAATAAATATTACGAACTTCAGCTAGTCATCTGAATCTTTCTACACAGTGTCGAGGATTACATCTTTTGAAACATTTAGCTGATTATGTGAAGTTTTCATCCAAATGTTTGACATCATGTGAATTCAAGTTTGGTTAGCTTTGTCTTTATACTGAATATAATTAATATAAACAATGACGTTTTCATTGAACATTATAATAAACACTTATGTCTTATAAAAATAAGAGTTGTTCAGCTTCAATAACTAAAGAAAAATGTGGAAATCATCTTTTATTTTTACCAAATCTCAGAAGTATGTAAGAGCACAGAAAAAAAATCAGAATTAATACTTCCCCAATGTAGTGATTTATATTATTTTTAATTGCTGAACTGGTTTCAACTAGATTTATTTCTCTGGTTAGAAGGAAGTTAAAAAGAATTAGGAGGAAATATCACTTTATATTCATGTATATGCCACAAGTTACAATAAAAATATTGTTTGTGTTCTTCCCTTTGCCTTCCAGTGTTTTTGATGTTTACAATCTGATTGGTCCAAGATATTGACAAACAAGAGGAAATAAATGGATGAAGTGATACAATATGCATTCTTATTTTCTATTTCTGAGTGTGTGTTAGATAAACTGAAGCAGAGGATAGGCACGGAGAGAACAGAAGCTAATGTTCAACTGCCCAATCTGGGTATCAGGAAATTACTACGTAGAGAACCAGGTGCCAATACATCTCAGCCTAGTCTAATTAGGAGAGTGCAGAAGCATGGTGAGACAGAGAAAGAATCTGATTGGTATTCCTGAGCCTTTCTCACTTCCTTGGTAGTTTGGAGCCTAACAGAAGAGTCAACAGGGCTGCCAAGGTCCCAAAGGGTCTGGAATTGCTTACCAGACTGACAGACAGTATGGAGTATGTGGCAGATCCAGGAGGAAGTGAGAAGAATAGGAATCAGTGAACAGCAGGTGGCCTACTGTTTCTCAGGAATAAGAGACCTCAGTTTCACCAGCTATAGACTCTGGAAGGCCTAGAAACCATCTGCTAGTGGCAAATGTTATCACTCCAGAAACCAGTGGACCCTAGGCAGCCTGTATTCAGGGCTGAAGATAAGAGATAAGAGACCACTGCCATTTCCCACCCATACCACTAAGGCATGCAAGCCCTCACCCCTTGTTTACTTATATTCCAAAACTATTTAAGAAAAGAGGCAGAGGAAGGAAGATGATATTAAGAGACAGAATATTACCAAGGCGACCACTGAAAATATCAGTTCAGACCAAGTCTAAAACCATAATGTACAATAAGTTTATATTTTTTCAGCTAAACAATATGTGAGAACTGATGAAGCAGAAATTAGCTCTAAATCAAATAATGTACATTTTCCTTTGCATGTATGAATTGTAGTAAACACATGTACACTTATATACATAATATACATATATACACACAGATATAAATTACATTGAGTGGCTGGATGCAGTGGCCCACGCCTGCAATCCCAGCACTTTGGGAGGCTGAGGTAGGCAGACCACTTGAGGTCAGGAGTTCTAGACCAGCCTGGCCAACATGGTGAAACCCCGTCTCTACTAAAAATACAAAAATTAGCTGAGTGTGGTGGTGTGTGCCTGTAATCCCAACTACTCTGGAGGCTGAGGCAGGAGAATTGCTTGAACCTGGGAGATGAAGGTTGCAGTGAGCTGAGATCACACCACTGCACTCCAGCTTGGGCAACGCAGTGAGACTCTGTCTCTAAAAATAATAATAATAAAGAAAAAATAAATAAATTGCATTAAGTATTATGAATTACTAAGTAAAACAGGATATATAATTTGTCAGATTCAAAGTATTTTTCATTTAACAGGTAACTTTTTTATTATTAATATGAATATACCAAAATAAAGCAACTTAATACCATGAAACTGCAATGGTTTAAACGCTTAGTCCAAATAATAATGGAAAAGGGTCATTTTGGAATATTACTCAGGTAGCAAAATGATTATTAACTAAGAGTCTTATACTATCTCTAAATCACTCCCATTTTAGATATATCTTGAAGTGTTTCTTCTCTTGGTTTAAATTTAATTGACTGAAATAATTTAAGTGAAAGATGTGCACGGCTGGTGTTCTTCAGAAATGTGATCATTAATGTTTCTCTGTAAAAGAATACCTTATTGAAAGACATGGTGTATTAGCCCATTCTCATGCTCCAGATAAAGACATACCTAAGACTGGGTAATTTATAAAGAAAAAGAGGTTTAATGGGCCCACAGTTCCACGTGGCTGGGGAGGCCTCACAATCATGGTAGGAGGCAAGGAGGAGCAAAGCTACATCTTACATGGCAGCAGACAAGAGAGTGTGTACAGGGGAACTCCACTTTATAAAACCATCAGATCTTGTGAGACCTATTCACCATCACGAGAACAGCACATGAGAAAGACCCACCTCCACGATTAAATTACCTCCCACCACATCCCTCCCATGACATGTAGGAATTATGAGAGCTACAATTCAAGATGAGATTTGGGTGGGGACACAGCCAAACCATATCACACGGCATTGAGGAAGCACACTGATTGCATTGTTGAACTTACTTGAAATTCTGATTTTAAAAATTTAGACAAATGTTGATAATATTCACTTACCTATATCAACTATGTATTTTTATTTTTCTTATTATACTTTAAGTTCTGGGGTACATGTGCAGAATGTGCAGGTCATACATGTTTATTGCAGCACTGTTCACAATAGCAAAGACTTGGAACCAACCCAAATGCCCATCAATGACAGACTGGAGAAAGAAAATGTGGCACATATACACCACGGAATACTATGCAGCCATAAAAAAGGATGAGCTCATGTCCATTGCAGGGACATGGGTGAAGCTGGAAACCATCATTCTCAGCAAACTTACACAAGAACAGAGTACCAAACACTGCATGTCTCACTCATAAGTGAGACTTGAACAATGAGAACATATGGACACAGGGAGGGGAACACCACACATCAGGGCCTGTCAGGGGATGGGGGACTACAGGAGGGGTAGCATTGAAGAAATACCTAATATAGATGACGAACTATGTATTTTTAATAGTATGAATAAATAACTGATTTTCTAGGAACTAACCACACTTGTTCTTAAACTCAGCTTGTGTTATATTTATTTCCTGAAATAATTTGGTTCTTATCACCTTGACTGGCCTCTTAGTTTTACCAAAACAAAAGCTCTGGCCCCCAGGAATATGTGCACAGGATTTTTCCCCTTTTATTTTTAATAGACACATAATCATTGTACATACAGAGTGATATTTTGATAACTGTAATTATCAAATTAGAATAATTAGCATATGCATTACCTTGAACATTTATTATTTGTGTTTTAAACATTCAAAATAGGCCCTTTTAACTTTTTAAAAATAATTCATCCTACAGTGCTACAGAACACTGAAACTTATTCTACACTTCTAGCTGTAACTCTGTATCTGTTTGCAAGAGAAATAAACTGAAAACAACTTGAATGACCATCAATATGGGAATGACTGAATAAATTATTATATCTCTCTACTAAGTATAGAAACTAGTCATTAAAATTATAATTTAGGGCTCACACACCCTAACCATGGGATGTCCAATAAATACTGTTAAATCACTAACATGAGTTGCAACATAATGTGCATAATATATATCATCTACTTCAGGTGTTTGACATAATTTGGATTTTTTAACTATGATTTGTAATCACTAAATAGTGTTGGAAATACCTGATCATTAATGGATTCGTAGAATTCCCCTATGAAACCATCTAGACCTGGTGTATTTTGTGTTTACTAGGTGGGAGACTTTCTTTCTCTATTTTTTATATAATAATGGGTCTGTTTAGATTTTCTGTCTCTGCTGATATCAATTTTGTTAAGTTGTATTTTTTTAGGAAATTAGCCATTTCATCTGAGCCTTCAAATTTATTTGCAAAGATTGTGTAAATTAGTGTCATCATTTAAGAATTTTCTATTTTGATGGTTATTTTCCTCTTGTCATTTCTAATTTCGTCTATTTGTGCTTTCTTCTTTTTATATTGCTAGATTAGTCAGTGGTTTATTTTGTTGGTAGTTTTTCAAAGAGAATTTTCTTTCAACAAGGAATTTCAACCAACAAAAGATATTTTTCAAAGTACTGGCTTTTAGATTTATTTATAAGTTCTATAATTTTTCTGCTTTCTAATTCATTAACTTTTTCTTTTGTCTTTACTAATTTCTGCTGCTTTATTGTTCTCTATCATTTAGAATTTAAGTTGTTTACATTATTATTGTATATAATGGTTACATGAATATATAGCTGTTTCTAAGCCTGGAATAGTCAAAATACAAGATGAGCCTGAAGCATCTTGTAGTGCCAGAAAGTAAGGAAGTACTCAAATAAATAAACTGTGGGTCATGTCAAATTGACACAGGAGCCAATCTGAACGAACTTTGAGCAGTAAAAGCTGAAATGACTTGAGAAAGAAAAGTTTTATGTAACAACTAAAAATATAAATGTACATAAGTCCATACTAATATGAATAAATTATTTTAATAAATAAATGCTGGAAGAGAAGGAACGCATTTTTCTTACAAGAGAACTCCTAATACTACATGTATATATACTACTTTCTTCAGGCGGTTAGCTTAATACCCATCCCCTTGAGTGTAAAATGGTCTTAGTGACTCACTGTCAAAGAATATAGAAAGGGAAAAATAGTAACTTTGCAGTGGAGAAACCTGGTAAACAGTACCTTAACCAAGTTATCAAGGTTAGTATTATCAATACAATGTTGATATTGTGTACTACTCTTGATATATGTGTGATGAGAAGAGTACTTTTCTTCTGTTATATTCTTTCAGAACCCATGAACCCAGTCTAATCATGACAGAAACATTAGACAAAGCCAAAATGAAGACATTCTACAAAGTACCTAACTAGTATTCTTCAAAAGTGTCAAAGTCATGAAAAACAAAGCAGTCCTGACAAACTGGAGGAAACTAAGGAGACATCACTACTACCCAGTGAAACATGATATCTTGGATTCAGTTCTGGACATTAGTAAAAAAATAAAAAATAGGCCAAGCGCAGTGGCTCATGCCTGTAATCCCAGGACTTTGGGAGGCCGAGGACGGCGGATCACGAGGTCAGGAGATCGAGACCATCCTGGCTACCACTGTGAAACACCGTCTCTACTAAAAATACAAAAAAAAAAAAAAAAAAAATTAGCTGGGCGTGGTGGCAGGCACCTGTAGTGCCAGCTACTCGGGAGGCTGAGGCAGGATAATGGCGTGAACCTGGGAGGCGAGCTTGCAGTGAGCAGAGATCGCGCCACCGCACTCCAGCCTGGGCGACAAAGCGAGACTCCATCTCAAAAATAAATAAATAAAATAAAAAATAAAAATAAAACTTATGAATGAGTTATTAATAGCAATGTACCAATGCTAATTCTTAGTATGGACAAAAGCACCATGGTTATATAAAAGGCTGACATTAGGGAAAACTAAGTAAAAAATATGTGAGAACTCTATTATTCCAACAACTTTTCTATCTATCTAAGATTATTTTAAAATAAAATTTTTAAAAATCTAGTGTGGGTTTCAAGGGCTTAAGATGAAATTAATGAAGTGTTCAATTATAGCTTTATTGAGTCAGCTAAGGAAGACTCGAGGGTGTTGAACTATAGTTTCTTTTTTTTATAATAATAAAATTTTTATGGTTTAGTGTTAAAATCTCATTGATATACAATCATGATCATATAGAAAGTAACTTCACATTTTTCCTGTGCCTATATTTCTAAAACTCACATTAATATCTTTATTTAAATAGAAATGTAATAAGATATTGCATTTCTATTCAAATAAATGAATGACCATGAATGAAAGTAAAATCCAGGAATATTGATGTAGACTACTTTTTGTCATTGCCAGATCACAAAATGATATACATCATCAGTCATAATCATATACGCATTTTTTGTTGTAGACCAAAAAAATAAAATTTAAAACTGATCTTAAAGGTTATTTTACTAATATGCAGAAATCTATTTCTGGGTTTCTTTTTTATCTTTTATTTTAGGTTTATGGGTACATTTGAGGTTTGTTACAAACTACGGGTCATGGGGGTTTCGTGTAGATTATTTTGTCACCCAGGTAATAAGCATAGTACCTGACAAGCAGATTTATTGAGCATTTAGTAGGTAAAGAGCACTGTGCTAGGTTCTCGGATGGAAAATTACAACGTCTACCTGTTATAGTCCTTGAGGGACCTCAACATCCTTAGTAGATATGCTCAAACTCTTTAAAGGAAACTTCCTTGGTTTAATTAGGTACAAGAGACTGTTTTATAAAAATGTAAGGGCTAAACTAACTCTAAGAGACAGATGCCGTATCTCAGCCTGCAGAAAAATTCATCCACTCTTTTGTATTTAGAATATGATCATATAATCTTTTGATGAAGCAATTTCTTCAAGCCTTTTAAATTATTTGCCCAGGCAAGTATTTCTGGCAAAAACCAGCTCAAAGCAAAATTATCATGTAATTAGTTAAACATATTGCATTTGAATATTCAATTTCAGCCAAACCACAATCTTATCATTTTAAAATAATCTGTTTTCTATTACCAAAACTAACGATTTCTCCAGGAGTTAAACACTTAGGAAAATATTACAACATGTTTTGCTGGCCTCAAACTAGCCCTTTAAGTCTATGTTTTTCAAACCATTTAGAGTGACCTATGAGTGAGCCATAATATTTTGAAATAGGTCTCTACAAGCATCTGTTAATGAAATAGAATAAAACAGAACAGAATAGGAATAACCAAAATGTATTTGATGAAATAAGAATTAATATTGTTTTTTTGAATTCTTTTAAGTTTCAGGATGTGTGTGTATGTGCATGTGCGCACGTGTGGTGTGTGCACGCACATGCACACACATTAAACCCTGGTGTAAAATACGTTACACATGAGTCAAGAAAAAATATTAAAATGATCTGCTCTAAGGGATTGTCCAGTGATGTCACAGGACCAGAGCATATAAGTTTTATTTTTTATTTTTTATGTTTTACTTTTTTTTTTTACACTTTAAGTTCTAGGGCAAATGCGCACAACGTGCAGGTTTGTTACATATGTATACATGTGCCATGTTGGTGTGCGGCACCCATTAACTCATCATTTACATTAGGTATATCTCCTAATGCTATCCCTCCCCGCTCCCCCCACCCCACAACAGGCCCCAGTGTGTGATGTTCCCCTTCCTGTGTCCAAGTGTTCTCATAGTTCAATTCCGACCTATGAGTGAGAACATGCGCTGTTTGGTTTCTTGTCCTTGCAATAGTTTGCTGAGAATGATGGTTTCCAGCTTCATCCATGCCCCTACAAAGGACATAAACTCATCATTTTTTATGGCTGTATATTATTCCATGGTGTATATGTGACACATTTTCTTAATCCAGTCTAACATTGATGGACATTTGGGTTCGTGCCAAGTCTTTGCTATTGTGAATAGTGCCGCAATAAACATACACGTGCTTGTCTCAGCCCAAAATCTCCTTAAGCTGATAAGCAACTTCAGCAAAGTCTCAGGATACAAAATCGATGTGCAAATATCACAAGCATTCTTATACACCAGTAACAGACAAACAGAGAGCCAAATCATGAGTGAACTCCCATTCACAATTGCTTCAAAGAGAATAAAATACCTAGGAATCCAACTTACATGGGATATGAAGGACCTCTTCAAGGAGAACTACAAACCACTGCTCAACGAAATAAAAGAGGATACAAACAAATGGAAGAACATTCCATGCTCATGGATAGGAAGAATCAATATCATGAAAATGGCCATACTGCCCAAGGTAATTTATAGATTCAATGCCATCCCCATCAAGCTACCAATGACTTTCTTCACAGAATTGAAAAAACTACTTTATAAGTCCATATGGAACCAGAAAAGAGCCCACATTGCCAAGTCAATCCTAAGCCAAAAGAACAAAGCTGGAGGTATCATGCTACCTGACTTCAAACCATACTACAAGGCTACAGTAGCCAAAACAGCATGGTACTGGTACCAAAACAGAGATATAGACCAATGGAACAGAACACAGACCTCAGAAATAATACCACACTTCTACAACCATCTGATCTTTGGCAAACCTGACAAAAACAAGAAATGAGGAAAGGATTCCCTATTTAACAAATGGTGCTGGGAAAACTGGCTAGCCATATGTAGAAAGCTAAAACTGGATCCCTTCCTTACACCTTATACAAAAATTAATTCAAGATAGATTAAAGACTTAAATGTTAGACCTAAAACCATAAAAACCCTAGAAGAAAACCTAGGCAATACAATTCAGGACATAGGCATGGGCAAGGACTTCTAAGTCACCAAAAGCAATGGCAACAAAAGCCAAAATTGACAAATGGGATCTAATTCAACTAAAGAGCTTCTGCACAGCAAAAGAAACTACCATCAGAGTGAACAGGCAACCTACAGAATGGGAGAAAATTTTTGCAATCTACTCTTCTGACAAAGGGCTAATATCCAGAATCTACAATGAACTCAAACAAATTTACAAGAAAAAAAACAAACAACCCCATCAACAAGTGGGCGAAGGATATGAACAGACACTTCTCAAAAGAAGACATTTATGCAGCCAACAGACACATGAAAAAATGCTCATCATCACTGGCCATCAGAGAAATGCAAATCAAAACCACAATGAGATACCATCTCACACCAGTTAGAATGGCGATCATTAAAAAGTCAGGAAACAACAGGTGCTGGAGAGGATGTGGAGAAATAGGAACACTTTTACACTGTTGGTGGGACTATAAACTGTCGATTTAGATTTGGCGATTCCTCAGGGATCTAGAACTAGAAATACCATTTGACCCAGCCATCCCATTACTGGGTATATACCCAAAGGATTATAAGTCATGCTGCTATAGACACAGAGCATATAAGTTTTATGTGATGAATCTTAACAATAAGCAACATGAAAGTAAATAAAATTTTTAAAATATCTTGGGGAAACAGAAAGAACTTTTTGAAGGAAGTGAGATTTAAACAGAAGTCTGAAAGAAAGAATAATATTACAGGTGGCTGAAAAGGTGAATACAAATGCTTAGCATGAATAAGAATAATGTAGATGTTTATCAAAATATTTGGGGGGCCTGCATCACGATATTTGATTCAATTGGTCTGAAGCGTGACTGAGAAACTTGAATTTTTAACAAACAATTATATCACACAAACACATTCACTCACTGCAATTCGGATATATGGGGTCCAAGCAACTTGCAAACTTTAAGAAAAGAAACCATAAAGAAATTTAGGGCCAGGCACGGTGGCCCACGCTTGTAATCCCAGCACTTTGGGAGGCTGGGGCAGGCGGATAACCTGAGGCCAGGAATTCAAGGCTAGCCTGACCAACGTGGTGAAACCTTGTCTCTACTAAAAATACAAAAATTAGCCAGGCGTGGTGGCGAGTGCCTGTAATCCCAGCTACTCGGGAGGTTGAGGCAGGAGAATTGCTTGAACCCGGGAGGCGGAGGTTGCAGTGAGCCAAGATCATGCCACTGCACTCCAGCCTGGGCTACAAGAGCAAAATTGTCTCAAAAAAAAAAAAAGAAAAAAGAAAAAGAAACTTTGGGAGTGATCACATAGACAAGTTTGGGACAAAGTAAGAGTATAAAAAGGCAAATTTTAGGAGATTAAGCTGGAAAGATATATTGAGCTAGATTGTGAATAGATTCAAATTTCAAGTTAAGGATAGTATGTTTTTCCTAAAAACAATAGAGAGTCATTCATAATTTTTATGGAATGGAGTAGCATCACATTGAAGGATTAATATGATATTGATATTAAAATAAAGATAAACTGAGAGTGGAATATTGGTTACAAAGGTGTTGAATATATAGGTATGAATTAAAAGGTCTAGCTTATCATAGAAGAAGAGAAAAATTTGCACATTGAGAATGTCTAGGCTTTTACATAAAATATCATATTGAGTAAAACAATAAAGTTTCAGAGTATGTACTTAATAAGAATACTTAACCACACATGTCAGGCATATCCATGACCACTGTAATGATTCCTGTTATTTTGTTCCAGTCAAAATTTAGCCTCTCATCATGTCCCTGATATTCAGTGAAAATGTCCCTGGAAAACTCTATATCTCTGTTGAAGAAAATAACAATCCATTTTATTCCTGACAAAGTAAGAGAACATTCTGGAATATCTGATGCATTAAGTTTCTATGGCACTCACATCAATTTTCAAAGTGAAATAGCCTTTTGCATTAACTACAAATTAATAACTTATTTCTCCTTATATCCATATTGTTTTCATTAAGCCTTAAGTATGAAAAGATGCTATTGCTATTTTTAATATAAATTTTTTAAATAAATCTTACCTTTTAAAAATGAAAATTTGCATTAATTTTAATATCCTTGAAAATTGATATCAATTTCACAGTCATTTATCAATCTATTAAAATTATTCTATGATTATTTAATAGAATATAAACAAGTTTCTCTTGCAATGTGAATAACGAAAAAAAAATTAGCAATGGAAATAAACCCCAGGTGTACCGTAGAGTTGGATAGATAATTATTTTAAATTCTATTTTTCACAAAGAAAATTGCATGGGAGATTTCTGGAGGCCAGAACTGTCTTTCTAAGGAAATAGAACGTTAAGGAAAAACAGATTTGACCCAGAGCCACACATGCATAGATGGAAAACTTGGCAAACGTTGCCACAGTCTAGCAATTCCAGGAGTAAACAATAGTATGTGCATCCCAACTAAATGGCATCATATTGTCAGAATAGAAAAGAAATCCATACTCTTAAGCCTCAACCCAACTGGCATTAACTTGAGTAAAATTATATATTTTTAGAAATATGGATTTGATCAAAATACTAACCACAGACAACAGGCACATCCATGACCACTTACACCACTGCTAATACTTCGTTCCAAGTCTGCACTGGGCTCTGTTTCTCTATAACAAGTTTATTTTGATAATTAGAATCATTAGAACTAATTTAATTATTAGAATGTAAAAGTCTCAATTCTGATTAGAGGTTACAAAAGCAGCTCTCTTCTTCAAGAACCACTTATTTCCCAAGAACCACTTACTTCCCCAAATTATTTAAATTGAGAACTTTAGTGTTAGAAGTGTTTTTAAAAATCAGCTTATACAGCCTTTGCTTCTGAATTTCTAAACACTTTAGTATGCATGTATGTGTGTGTGTATATGTGTGTCTGTGTGTGTGTGTATATATATATATATACATATGGAAAGGACAAACCTATTTCTATCAATAAACATTGTCTATGGGGGTTGCCTACACCAAATGGTTATACTAAACTTGTCTACATGATCACTCCCAAATTTCCTTTTTATTTTATGTTTATTAAATGCCTGGCATTTTACTGAGTGCTTTATATGTGATAATCACACGAATATACCTATCATGGAAGTGCTAATATTACACAGTGATATGCTGTGTGTATAGTCTTGATGTGTCTCCCCACTCAAATCTGAATTATATTGAAATGTAATTCCTAGTGTTGGAGGTGGGCACTGGTGGGAGGTGATTGAATCATGGGGGAAGATTTTTCGTTAATGTCTTATCATCACCCCCCATTGTGGTAGTGAGTGAGTTCTTGTGAGAGCTGGTTGTTGAAAAATGTGTAGCACCTCACCCCTCACTCTCCTGCTCTTGCTTTCACCATGTGACATGCCTAATCCCCATTCACCTTCCACCATAATTGTAAGTTTTCTGAGGCCTTCCCAGAAGCTGAACAGATACCAGCCTCATGCTCCCTATACAGCCAGCAGAACCATGAGCTAATTAAATCTCTTTTCTTTATTACCCAGTCTCAAGTATTTCTTTATACCATTGCAAGAATGGCCCAATACAGAAAATTGTTACCAAGGAGTGGGCCATTGTTATAAAGAAAATGCAGAAATCTGAAAATGTTGAAACACCTTTGAAATTGGGTAACAGGCAGAGGCTGGAAGAGGTTGGAGAACTCAGAAGAACACAGGAAGATGAGGGAAAGTTTGAAACATTTTAGAGACTGATTAAATAGTTGTGACCAAAATGCTAATAGTGATATGAATGATAAAATCCAGGCTGAGGAGGTCTCACATGGAAATGAGAAACTTATTGGGAACTGGAGCAAAGGTCACTTTTGTTGTACCTTAGCAGAGAACTCAGCTGCATTGTGCTTCTGCCCTATGCATCAGTGGAACTTAGAACTTGAGAGTGATGATTTAGGGTATCTAGCTGAAGAAATTTCTAAGCAGCAAAGTGTTGTAGATTTGACCTGACTGCTTCTAACAACCTATGCTCATAGGCAGGAGCAAAGAAATTACTTAAAGCTGGAACTTGTATTTAAAAGGGAAGCAGAGCATAGAAGTTCGGAAAATTTGGAGGCTGGTCATTGGTAGAAAAGAAAAGCCCATTTTCAGAAGAAGAATTCAAGTGGCTGCTGAGCAACTACTTACTAGAGAAATTTTAATAATTAAAAATGCAAGTGCTAAAATCCAAGACGAGAAAAAGGCCTTGAAGGCATTTCAGAGATCTAAGACACAGCCCCTCCCATCACAGGCCCTGAGGCCAAGGAAGACAGAATGGTTTTGTGTGCCAGGCCCAGGGCCCTGCTGTCCTGCCCATACTCAGGACATGGCTCCCTGGACATGGTTCCCTGCATCCCAGCCACTCGAGCACCAGCCATGACTAAAAAGGGTAAGTCAAAAATAGCTGTGAGACAAAAATAGAATCTATAGAAATTAGAAGCGATTCTTCTTTGCAAATTTCCATTTGAAAGTAATAAATAATTTTAGTGTTATTTCTGGCCATGTCATATTATTGAATATTATTAAATGCCTGGCATTATACTAAGTGCTTTGTATGTGATAGTCACACAAACGTATTTGTATGTGGATCACACTTCTCTATTACTTTCCAAACTACTTGATATATATTAGCAATGTATGGCTGTAATTAATCATTAGTCTACTAGTTAAACTGAATTTTATAATCAGGATTTTAAAAATTACTAAACAATTTTTTTTATGGCTGCAAGAAGCACATGGAAGAAATTTAAAATCATTTTTCCCATTATCCAAAGACAAGCACTCAACACATTTTGGTATAAATCATTCCAGGCATTTTTTTCCTCCACTTATAAGGCAAGATAATTTTTAAGTGTTTTTTTATCTCTGCTGTGGATATATTTTTTTATTTATCCCAAGAAATTAGTGAAATCATATTTTAGGGGATTTATGTTGCAGATATATCACAAGAGATGATGGAATTCTGTTGGGGAAAACTAAGGGGTACTCAAGGCACTTAAAATTAAGAACCATGCCTGAGAAGCTGTGGGAAGACATGCTCTGACCAAGATCAGAATGAACGCACCCAAGCCATCCACCTACAAGCTTATGAAACATTACCTTAGCAGTGGTAGCCAACATGGAATGAGGACCCAAAAGCTTCTCCAGAATGTTACATGCACCATAAGACCCACAGAGCTTTCTTATGTTTCTAAAGAGAAAGGAGGGAGAGAGAAAGAAATGTAATATGTCTTGAACCCTCTGTCAAAATAAATTTATAAATGTATATGATTTCAAACTGAGTATAACATTGTATGTAAGCCCTTTGAACTCCTATGCATTTACTTGCCCGAATTAATGTGATAAGGGCATTTGTTGGTAACTCAAGTCCTCCTTCAATCTTTCATTTTTTAATTTCAGACATAATTCACATACCATGAAGCTCACCTTTTAAGATGTACAACTCAGTAGTTTTTAGTATATTCACAAGATTATGCAACCATCACCACTATCTAATTCAAAACTGTTTACATCACTCTAAAGAGAAACCTTGGGCTGTTAGCAGTCACTTTTATTTCTGTCCCACCCCTCATTTCCTGGCAATCAATATTCTACTGTCTGCCTCCGGTATTTTCTTTTCTAGACATTTAATCTAAATGGAATCATATAATATGATTTATGTTATATGATGTTTTTTCAGGCTTCTTTCACAGTCTATTTTGTCAGGCTTCTTTCACAGGAATGTTTCCCAGTTTCATTCCATGTTGTAACATACATCAGAACTTCATCTTACAGTGGAATAATACTCTGTTTTATATATATATATATTTATATATATATATACACCACTATTATTTATTCCAACAGTTGATGGACATATGGATTGTTTCTACTTTTTATCATTATGATAAATGCTGCTATTAACATTCCTATACAAGTTTGTGTGTGAAGATGTTTTATTTCTCTTGCATATATACTTAAAGGTAAAATTACTGGACAATACTGTAACTCTATATTAACTTTCTGAGGAACTGGAAAACTTTTTCACAGCAGTTGCACCCTTTACATTTCCATTAACAATGTATTAGAGTTCCAAATTTTTCACATCCTTGAAAGCACTTGTTATTGTCCACCATTTTTATTATAACAATCCCAGTGGATGTGAAGATCCAACTGAGTAATGTCTCAGTGCGGTTTCCATTTTAAGTTATCTAATGGCTGATTATGTTGATTAGCTTTTTAGGGGCTAATCAGTTATTTGTACATCTTCTTTAGAGAAATATATATTCATATCCTTAGCCCATTTTTAAAATTTGGTTATTTAGATTTTTTACTTTTCAGTTGTAAGAATTCTTTACATATTATGGATACTAGACCCTTATCTAATATATGATTTACATATATTTTCTCCCACTCTGTAGGTTTTTTTCACTTTCTCTGTGGTATCTTTTGAAGCACATTTTTAAAAAATTGGTTAAGTACTATTTATCTGCTTTTTCACTGGTTGCTTTTGCTTTCAGTGTCATAGCTAAATCATTGCCTAATGCAAGATCATGAAAATTTACATCTATGATTTCTCCTATGGTTTTTATAGTTTCAGGTCTTAGTTAGGTCTTTGGTCCATATTTGGGTTCATTACGGTATATGATACAAAATATAGGTGCACACTTATTATTTTGCATACGCATATCAGGCTGTCTCCGCACTATTTGTGGAAAAGAGTAATCTTCTGTACTTGGCATCACTGCCCAAAATTAACTGAATGTAAGTATATGGTAGATATCTGGATTATCAGTTCTTCTACTTTGTTAATCTATACGCATATCTTTATCTGAGCACCACAGAATCTTGATTTCTGTAGCTTTGTAGTATGTTTTGAATCAAGAAGTGGGTTTCCCCACTTTGTTCTTCTTTCTAACTTTTTTTACTATTTATATAAATTTTTGGATCAGTTTGTCTTTTCTGTAAAAACAAACAGCAGTTGTTCTTTTCATAGGAATTTTCATGCATGTGTAGATAAATTTGGAGAGTATTACTATCTTAATAATATTAAGCCTTTCAATTCATGAATGAGGGATGTTTTTCCATTTATTTAGATTTTCTTTTATTTCTCTCAACATTTCATTTTTGGTGTACATGCCCTGTATTTTTATTTGTTAAATTTATTGCTAAATATTTTAATGTTATTGTAAATAATTGTTTTGTCAATTCTATTTTAGGATTATTCATTGTTAGTATGTAAAAATACAAATAATTTTGCGTGTTGATCTTGTATACTTCAACCTTGCTATACTTATCTATTAGCAAGTAATAGTTTTTTGAATGAATTCTTAAAGGTTTTCTATATATAAATTTTTATATATAGTATTACTCCTTCAAGTATAGTATTCGTTCTTCCTTTCCAATCTGGACACATTTATTCATTTTTCCTACTTAATT
The DNA here is from genome assembly GCF_000001405.40 of Homo sapiens. Classification (NCBI taxonomy): domain Eukaryota; kingdom Metazoa; phylum Chordata; class Mammalia; order Primates; family Hominidae; genus Homo; species Homo sapiens. The sequence goes on from NC_000006.12 coordinate 74,844,269, forward strand.
GTCTTGACTATATCCTGTAGCAAAATTTGAATAGTAGTGAAAATTGTTAATATGTTTGTCTTGTTCCTGATTTTAGGAGGAATCCTTCAGTTTCACTTTTAAGTGTAATGTTAGCTGTGGGTTTTGCAAAGATGTAATTTATCATGTTTAGAAGGTTCCTTTCTAGTCATTGTTTGTTGAGTGTTTTTGTCATAAAGTGATGTTAGATTTTGTCAGATGTTTTTTCTGCGTTTACTGAGATGACTGTGTGTTTTTTCAAAAAACTTTATTCTAATAATATGGTGTATTACATTGATTGATTTTTATATGTCAAACCAAACTTGTATTCCTGTGATAAATCCCACTTAGACATGGTATTTGATCCTTTTTATATGATGCTTGTTTCGGTATGCCAGTATTTTGTTGAGAATTTAGGGTTCGTATTCATAAGGAGTATTGGCCTATATTATTCTTTTTTTATGATATTATGGTCTGATTTCGCTATCTGGGTAAGACTGGCTTCAAAAAAAAGGCAAGAAATGTTCCCTTCTCTCCTATTTTTTGGAAGGGTTTGGTGTTAATTCTTTAAATATTTGTTAGAATTCATCAGTGAAGCCCTCGGGTCCTGGGATTTTCTCTGTGCTAAGTTTTCTGATTACTAAAACAATATCTTTACATGGGGTAAATCTAATCTAATCCGATACTTTTTTTCATTTTTGTAGTTACGTCTTTCTAGAAATTTGTTCATTTTATGTAAGTCATCTAATTTGTTGGCATACAATTGTTCACTGTGTTCTCACATAATCCTTGATTTCTGTAAGATCAGTAGTAATCTCTCCTCTTTCATTCCTAGTTTTAATAAATTGAATTCAAATAAATAATTTTTTCTTTTTCTCTTGGTCAGTCTAACTAATGATTTGCCAAATTTGTTGTCCTTTCCCACAACCAACTTTTACTTTCGCCAATTTTCTCCCCTTTTTACCTTTTTTATTTCATTTATTTCTACTCTAACCTTTATTCTTTCTTTCTTCTTGCTCTCAGTTTCATTTGTCTTTTTCTACTTTCTTAAAAAGGAAGATCATGTAATAGATTTAAGATTTGTTTTGTTTTGTTGCAGGCATTTAAAGACATAAATTCCCCATTTGAGCACTGTTTGTCCTAAATCCCCTAAATTTGGGTATGTTGAATTTTTATTTTCATTTATCTTATTTTCTAATTCCCATTTTGATTTTTTGACCCAATGGTTATATAGGAATGCATCGTTCAATTTCCATATATTTGTGAATTTCCAAAATATTCTTCTGCTATTTTTAATTTCAGTTCATTATACTTGTAGAAAATACTTTGTAAGATTTTAATCATTTTAAGTTTTTTGAGGCTTGTTTTAGGGCTTTGCGTATTATCTGTACTGCAGAATGTTCCATATGCACGTAAGAATGTATAGATTGCTGCTCTTCAGTGAAGTGCTTTCTAGATATCTATTAGGTCTAGTTGGTTTATGCATTGTTCAAGTATTTTATTCTCTTGCTGATAATGCGTAGTTGTTCTATTCATTTACAATGGGGCATAATAGTAATCAACTATTACTATTGATGTGTTTATTTCAATTCTTTCAGCTTTTTATCATGTATTTTGGGGCCCTAATGTGAGGTGCATGTAGGTTTATAATTGTTATATCTTCTTGGTGGAATGGCCTTTTATGATTACACAGTGTTTTTTTTGTTGTTGTTTCTAGTAACCATTTTTGTATTACTACTTTGTCTGATATTAAAATAGCCAATTCAATTCTCTTTGGCTTACCAATTTCATGGCATATAGATTCTTTTTTCTTTTTTTTGGCCTATTTGGTCTTTGGATCTAAAATGTTGGCTCTTATATAAAGCATATAATTGGATCATGTGTACTTTTTTCCAAGTCTGTCAATCTCTGCCTTTTCATCAAAGAATTTAATAAATTTGATTCATTAACTGATAAGAAAAGACTTGTCTGTCATTTTGCTATTTGTTTTCCATGTGCGTATGTCATTTAGTTCCCCATTTCCTCTATTACTGACTTCTTTTTCATTAAGTAGCTATTTTTTCCCTTATAGGTTTAATTTGCTCATTTTTACTGTATATTATTGTCATTTTCTTAGTAGTTGCATTGGGGGTTGTCATTATCACCTTAATTTATGACAATCTAGTTCAGGTTAATACCAATTTAATTTCATAGAAATACAAAAACTTCATTTAAATATAACTCTGTTCCCCAATCTCCTTTAAGCTGTCTCCCCAATAGTGCTGTTGTACACCTCCAATAAATTTAATTTTTTATTTCAGTTATTTTACTTTCTAATTCCAATGAGTGAAGGAAAGAAGAAAATAAAGGGGATGGCTCCTAAGCCTTCCCATACCCACAACAGTCTCATCTCTTTAGGAAGCTCTAAGGAGAAAAAGACTAAAGCCATGACATAAAAGAAAGAATTTTTTCATCTAAGATACTGGGGCCCAAACATAGAACTCTGCAGCTTTGAGCCTCTATATAACAAAGTGCAACACAGAGTTACAGAGGGTCAATTCCTCATTACTTGGGTATGGGTGATCAGCTCACCACCTGACCACTCAAGGTAGTCACCATAGAATACCACCATGCTCTGTTTTGCTGGACAGAAAAAAGATGGACCACAGAACACCTTCCCCTGAAAAGCAGCATTCTCTCCATAAGCTCCAGCAGCAGTGCTGATGGCAGTGGGGATGTTTCTCGAGTTGTTGGCATGGTGGACCTCACATAAGCAGCCTTAGCCAAAGAATATAAATAAACATTTCCTGACCACCTGTGAGACAAACTTGGGGACTTCCAGATATACCTGGAAAGAATTTGAAGCAATACTGAGGTACAGAAAATTTTGAATATTAAATGCTAATGTGACCTAATATATTGTCACAGATTTTTCCCTTATTTTAAATAGTCTTTATTTATTGGAGCAATTTAGGTTGACAGGAAAATTGAACAGAAAGTACTCAAAGTCTATAATTTACATTAGGGTTGCATTAGATATTCTATGTATTTTAACAAAGTTATGACTACATGTATCCACCATTATAGTATCATACATGATAGTTTTACTGCCAAAAAATCTATGCTCTCTCTATTCACCATTTTATCCCCCCTCTAACCCCTAGCAACCATTGATCATTTTACTGTCTCCACAGTTTTGCCTTTTCTAGAATGTCATATAGTTGGAATTATACAGTGTGTAACCTCTTAAGATTGGCTTCTTTCACTTAGCAATATGCATTTAAGTTTTAAAGTGTCTCACTTTTAAAATGTCTTGATAGCATATTTCTTTTTAGCACTGGATAATAACCCATTGTCTGGATGTACTGGAGTTTATTTATCCATTTGCCTATGGAAGAGCATTTTGGTTGATTCCAAGTTTGAGCAACTATTAATAAATCTGCTATGAACATCCATGTGCAGGTTTTTGTGAGGGTGTGTTTTCAACTCATTTTGGGTAAACACCAGGGAGTATGATTTCTGGATCATATGTTAAGAATATGTTTAGTTTTGTGTGAAGCTGCCAAACTGTCTTCCACGATGTCTGTACCATTTTGGATTCTCACCAGTAATAAATGAGAGTTCCTGTTGTTCCATATGCTCACCAGTATTTGGTGGTGTCAGTTTTCTGGATTTGGGGCATCCTAATAGGTGTATAGTAGTATTTTGTTATTTTAATTTGCATTTCCCTAATGACATATGATGTGCAGCATCTTCTTGCATGCTTATTTGCCATCTATATAGCTTTTCTGGTGAGGTGTTTGTTAGGTCTTATGCCCACTCACAGAATTTTAAAGTTTGAGACTAATCAGGTTATATTCTAGATAACACTGATTGAAATAGTTACTTTCTTATAGAATCAACCTAAGTGCCCATCAACAGTGGATTGGAGAAAGAAAATGTGCTACATATACACCAAGAAATACTACTCATCCATAAAGAAGAATAAAATTGTGTCCTTTGCAGCAACATGGATGCTGCTGGAGGCCATTATCCTGAGTGAATTAATGCAGAAACAGAAATATTGTGGTTCTCACTCATAAGTGGGAGCTAATGCCGTACACACGGACATAAAGATGGAAATAATAGAGACTGGGGACCCCAAAACAGGGGAAGGAGGAAGGAGATCAAGTGTTGAAAAGCTACACATTGGGTACTATGTTCAATATTAGGGCGGTGGATTCAGTAGAAGCCTAAACTCCAGCATTATGCAATATACCCGTACAATAAACCTATACAGGCACCCCCTTGACTCTAAAATAATCATAATAAAAAAGAAAGAAAACAGTTACTTTCAAGATAATTATTTAATTTAGGGTTTAAATTCCCTTCTTCTATTCATCTATCTTTTTTCTTTCCTTCTCTTTTTTTTCTTTTCTCTTTTCCTTTCTAACAAAAGCAGGAGAATATGCACGTGATTTGGTGACATGATATAGAAGACAGCAGATGGAATTGCCAGACAAAATACAGGACACGGTTAAATTTGAATTTCAGATAAAGAATGAACAACTTTTTAGCATAAGTATGTTTCAAATATTTAATTATTTATTCGAAATTCAAATTTATATTCATATATATTCATATATATATTCAAAATATATACAGCCTATATATTTTTCTTGCCCATTAAATTTTAAATTTTCCTTGGTCATGGTAATTTTCTTCACAAAAGTTTTTAAGTTATCTGTAAGCTCTCACAATGTTAAAGTAGAAGAGAAGAAAAGCTGACTAAGTTTAAAGCAGTAGCAAGGGAAACAGCAACTTGGCCATGATTTCTCAGTTGATTGTTTTCAGGCATTCTTTTTCCTTAGTAAAATTTTGTGCAACTCATCTACATAATCACTTAGATTTAACCAAATTAATATCTTAACTGAGATCATGGCATTTTTCTCATAAATTGGTAGATCTGAAACACAGAAAATAAGTACATTGTTTTTGCTATTCAAGTACACAACAATTGGGTGGAATCAGAATATTCAGCAGTACATTGCCTAAATTGGTGTCTGCTCCTAGTAAAAGCTGTGCTTCTGATTTGCTACAGATTTTAAGAAAAGGGTACCTACATCCTTCTCTTTAAACTTGTCATCTTTCTTGTAAAAAAAATTATACTCTTCAGAATAAAAAGTTCTGCTTTTACTTCAGTAACTATTACTCTAGTTGGCTCATCATTCTCTTCCTTTGTCTCCATCTTTACATTCATTACTGCCACCTTTTGCTTGACTCTGCAATGTTTTATTGGAAAATGGTTAAAACCAACTACAACGACAACAACAAAACCCTGGACTACTCTGGGTAATATATTTGCCAAATAAACTGGAGTTTCCAGGGGAAAATGAAAATCCAATCAGGGATCCAGAGATAAACAAGCCTAACTAAAACACAGCAATCAATTTTCTTGTGAAGGCACTTATTGCTCCTACTGATGGGTCCATTTTTTTTTTCAGACTCAGCCTCCGTCTTCCTCACAGATGTATTCTCAGTTCTGCTGCTATAAAACCAAAATGTTGATTCTTGCTATAATTTTGTTGAAATAAATAGGTAAGGAGACTACGTTTCAGCTAATGTTTTATTAGCTTCATTTTCAGAATTACTAAGGTCATTGTTCCCATGTTGCTGTTCAATATTTGCTAAATATTTATTAGAGTTCTTAAAAATAGATTTCAGATCATAGAGTGGGCTTGCATTCAAGTGTTTAACTATCCAGTCATGAACAGACAGTTTAAAGCAGCTAACTGCCTTGTACAGGGATTACCACGGCATGATTTACTCATAGTAAAAACAGAAGTGTGAGGCTACTGACTGTCGCTATTAGATTGAAGATTTGAAATATTTTTTCCTCAATTACAGTAATAGAATGAAATGTTGCCTTGGTTTCCTGGCTGCCTTTGGACTGGTGAAGAAAAGGGCAGTAGTTATTGTTGTTTCCATTTGGCAGTCCTTGTGAAGGCTTACTCCACTACCATTACCAAATTCAGAAAATGCTTCTCCTTTCAGAATATACAACCAATCCTTTGAAATCTTTGAAAGCCCATCCCCTATCTGATCAGATTCAAACCCAACATTTCTACGTGTTGCTTTTTTTTTTTTTACTCTATTCTTCAAAACTTCCTCGTTGGCCACTGAGAACGTTCTCAGCTCTTCTGCTTCATCTTCTTGATTCCAATTCCTATCTGTCAATTCCTTCTCAGCAATCTTTTGGCCATTTTTTTTGAACTTCCATGGTGGCTACCACAGTACTTGATGGATTGTGAAGCCCGGGTGCACAGGGAGCTACTAGTTTCTGGATAAGTGGGTGGGTCACTTCTGGTATGCTTTCGATGTACTTCCCACATGAAGTGCTTCGTAGTTAGCAAACCAGGAGTTTCTAACACCATGTCCCCCATGGGCCTCATCTCTCTATGTTGGAGAGTGAGGAGGAGAGCTGTCTGCCTCCCCGAAGACCACTGGAGTTAACAGCACTGAACACACTCCATTTTGTAACTCCAAGAGCATCCTACATTTTTATTTGCTAAATCCGCCAACCCTATAGTGGGGATCTGGATATTCCAAGGAAAAGATGAGAAGCATCGTCAAGACTGAAAGGACCGACATCACTAGTAGAAACAAGGGGGAGGGTGTTAATTGCCGAGAGAGGTCATTGAGATCCCTACACAATGGAGTCACGTATACTTCCCCTTGTAAGCCCCTAGATAGGGGAAACCACTTGGGAAGGGTTTTGTGTTGTTTTTGTTTTTGTTTTTGGATACTAAACTACCTAATTTCCTGAAAGCAACTGTTTTGAACCGATGTTACTTAGAAGTAGTGATATTGAGTGTTTTCCAGTGAGCAGAAGTTTGACACTCATGGGAAAGTTGAAGTTACATTTTAACAAATCAGTTGTGACAGTAAATTTTAATGTGTGATGACTGCCTTTTGGATATGTGTTTACAGTACCAAGATGTGGTGCCAGGATTACATGTAGTAGGAGAGCAGGGGCAGGAAGCTCCCTTCCCTGCCCCAAACACACACACACACACACACACGCACACCCCACAGGATGATGCCTTTGCTACTGATGACAGTCACCAGTGTGGGTCTCTGGATACCTCACCACCACCACTTTCCTAGAAGAGCTAGAGACATCGAACACTATATCCTCCATGGGAGTTTACAAGAGAGGCAGAGGAATCTCTGCACCAGAGGTGCTTCCATAGATGGTGTTTTAGACAAAAGACAACATAAGACAGGTTTTAGATTAAGTGTGGGAGAGATGATGAGACTTGTGTTCTGATGGCCTCTTGCAAGACACAACATCCTTTGTGTCAATAGTAGCAGATTCAGTGATAGTATATCTTCAATATGAAGTCTGGAAGTCTGATTTTCTTTATAATTCTTTACAGTGACTAGCACAGTGATCTATTTAAAAGGACAAATTAGTAAACAAAACTGAATGTTACTGAGCACATATGCTCTGAAAAACAGAAATTGGGAAATTCCCCTTGGCAAATCTGTTTTAGTGTTGACAGAATGCCTGTGGTCTGGATCTGCCACACATCAGTGTCCTCATAGCTCTTCAAAACATGTGTACAGGATTCTTCCTGACACACTTCTCGGGAATTGTAGCACTTCTTATTATTAGCAGATTTGGAAACATAACAATATAAAACATTATTTAAATATACACTTTGGGACAATCCTCACATATCGAAGAGGTTTTTAAGTAACAAAATAAGTGTTTATTGCAAATTTATAACTGGTTTCCATTATCAAACGGATAATTTCAGAGCTGCTCAACACAATGTTGTTTTGTCTATAATGTCATTTAAGTAAAACATGACATTGTACTAATTTTTGAAAGCAAGTAAATTATTTCTTACTTCTTCAAAATGCATTAAGTACTTGATAAATACCAGATACTTGAAAAACATAAAGGTTGCTCTTGAGAGATTTATGGTCTAGTAGGGAAAATCAGTTAAATAAATTAGGTTAATATATTACAGATGGGAGGGGAGCAGTAACCTGTACCAGCCTCACTCAACCACCCAGACTATGTTCCCCACCTTGCTAAGGGAAAGAGAACTTTCATTGACACACCTTCATACCTAGAGTCTGTCCTACAAATGAACAAGGCAAAAATATCTGAATAAAAAAAATGAATTAAGCAAATAAACATATAATATACAAAAGAAAAATACAAATGGCTAATATATAAATCTATTGATATCATTAAGGAGAAACTTAAGAATTTTTAAAATTAGGTCATGTGATAATTATTTAATGAAATGTTAAAGAATAAAATTAGTAAATTAGTAATCATGCCTAGTTTTAAGGAGAATATAGAAAAACAGGTGCTTTTCAAAAACTGCTAGTAGAAGTGTAAATACATATCACATTTCTAGAAGGTAATATGACAGTACATGTTAAAACCTTGTTATATGTATACCTGTCAATCTAGCAATTTAATTCTTAGGAATTTAACTCAAAAAAGTAATTAGATATATATATACAAAGATATTATAAGGATACTCCTCGAAGCATATATTATAATAGCAAACACTTGGAAACAACCTAACTATCCAAAAGAGGAAGATTACTTAAAGAATAGCATTATATTGGTTTTAAAAGCATGGGTTCCGATTCCATCCCTGACTTTCTTACTAGTTGTATGGCATGCTTGGGGGTGGGCGGGGGGAGAAACAGGGATGTATATCTATATATGTATTTAAAACATGCAGGTCGCATCTGATGGCAGGGAAAATATTCATAATATATAGTTTGTTGGAAAGCAAGTATTATTGTATAGAATATTTTCATTTACAAAAGTATTTATACACATATACACATGGACAATATTGGTTGTCTATCTAACAATCATTCCCTAAACCTTCTTACTGGCTAGAAGAGCTCACCTGACACTTTAAGGCTAGAAATGCCAATAACTAACTTTCCCAGATTCCTCTGAATTATGGCCATGGGCATGTGACTCAATTTGGGTCAACAGAATTTGAGAGGAGGTATACCTGGGGGCTTGTGGGAAAATTTTTCCTTCCTGAGAAAAAGAATGTTATAAGGAGAAACTCCACATTCTGCCTCTGTAGGAGGCAGTGAGAAAGGTGATGTCTGAGCTTGAGTGACCATTTTGCAACCATAATAAGACAAGCCAAGGAACAAAAGCCAGTATGCCATGGACACTAGAGCAGCTTAGACAATGTATTACCCTGCTCAGGCTGCCAGGAAAAAATATAAAAAACTGAGTGGCTTAAACAACAGAAATAAATGTATTCTCTCACAGCCCTGGAGGCTAGAAGTCCAAGATCAAGATGCCAGCAGAGTTGGGTTTCTTGTGATGCCTTCCTGCCTTGCTTGCTGAGTCCCCTTCTTGCTGTGTCCTCATGTGGCCTTTCCCCTGTGCATGCACAGAGAAAAGAGCTATCTCTGGTGTCTCCTGCTCTTCTTTTAAGGACACCAGTCCTATTTAATTAGGGCAACACCTTTATGACCTCACTTAACCTCAAAGGCCTTATTTTAAATATAGACATGTTAGGGATGAGAACTTCAACATATGAACTTGTGGAAAAACAATTCAGTCCATAGTGGACAATAACCATTTAACTAACTATCCTGTGATTACACATGTGTATGTGCCTTATCAATTATATTTATGCTCAGGGCGAAAGTCTGGGAAAGTCGAAAGCTGGAGTTAGACAAAGACACAAAGATTTAGTTTTCTTTCAATTTCACTTGAAAATAAAAGCATGACTTTATAACCAAGACATAACATTGCAAGGCAAAAGAACCAGCTCTGTAAATCTAAATATCACACTGTAGTTAACAAATGTTCTTCAAAGAGAAGGCATCCCTATGTGTTGCAATCTATATTTTTAAAACACACTAAAAATAGGTCAGAAAATCATTTGCACCTGGAGAATATGTAATCTTAACAGTCCCTCCCCACAGATTATAAAATTGTGTCTCTGAATGTGAAACAGTTTAATAAAATATGTTAACAGTAAGCATACTTTCCTTAGGAATTTGTTCTATTACTGGAAATTATGTAAATAGCTTCCCCTGTTTTTTTCAGAATTTTAAAAACTTTATTTACATGTGTCTTCCACATTTTTCAGAGAAAATATTTACTAACAAACTTTGTGGGATTATCTCAACTATTTACATGGCTGTTTATTTCTTTTAAAGTTTGCACCATTACACAACTTTACATTCCAATTTGTGAAGTTGTCATACTAATTAAAATAAAATTTGCTATTATACTATTCTCTGCACTAATTTTAATGGTGGAAGTTTTGCCACATGAAAGGGACCAGATTTGTCATTAAATTTCAAGATATTTGTAAGCAGAATTTAGTCTAGAAACATAAAAAATGCTTCTTTTGAAATTATAAAAAAGGCTCAGAAAAGACTTGTGTCATTTAAGTGTAAAATACAGAATCATTAAGGTGTCATTTAAGTCATACCATTTAAGTGCCTCATATGGAATCACTCATCAGTAGACAGCAGGAGTCCAGAGAGTGACTGAGGGATCTGAAGGATGCAGGTGTGTGATAGGAATAGGGTACAATGTGCCAGCTGGTACTTTAGTGGCCAATACGTTCTCGTGACAAGCCAGTCATCTCACTGGTCCAATAATTTTTCTTTATTAAAAGAATTTCCTTCTGCTACCTAGTAAGTGGAATTACTACTGCCTAAGAAAACAGGTCTCCCAGTAGATGACATACCATAAAATGTAGAGAAATTAGAGGGGAAAAATCTAGACAGTTTAAGATAGTATGCTGGCTTGCACATGTTTGCTTTAGTTACTATTACTGCTAATAGGTGTGTCATCAAACCACTTAAATCTAAAAAAGTCATTTGGTAAAATCACTGAGTTTTCACTTAAATGGCAAATGAAAGAATTTATATGTATTCTAAAAACCCACGAGTGCTGTCGAAGAATTAAATCAAAGGAGACATACTGTTTTTTGTATGTGTCCCCCTTTTGGCAAATAGAATTCTAAATGCAAAAATAACTTAAATACTAACTAAAAATGTAAAATTTGTAACTTATTATCACATTAGGTCAAGATTTGACTTTAACAAAGGAGATGAGATGTTAACAACATTACCAAGGCCAGAGAGCAGGCATCTGGAGTAGAAGTTGGGGCTGGCAAACAAAAAGCACATTTTTCCTCTCCACATGAAAATACATTTGTAGAATAAGTTCATGAAGAGTCCATATTACTGGATACAAAAGTTGAAGAAGACACATTCTGGTTACAGTATGAATTCAGTTTATAAGCCTACTCTGATTACAGAGGTATAAGCTATCAAATAGCAACAGATTCACTAAGTCAAAGAAAAAGAGAAAAACTTACTTTAAGCTGTTTAGTCTTGGTTCAGAATTTCAGCTCATACTTTGGTTAAAAACAATAATTTCAATAAGAATTTTGTGCTTCAACTTTCCATAACTATTTTAATAGGTATATTTAAATGTAACCCTTAAGTTATTATTACATTTTTTATTCAGTTTCAGAATGTTGTTTGGGGTCTATTAAAAGGTTTCAAAGGCAAATTTATAAGTATTTTTATTATGAGAAAGGTCAGCAAATTCACTGAGTTTAAAAGTCTACCATAAATTCATTAAACCATTTTATTCTCCTTTGGTGTTTGGAAAATTCCAAGTAAATCAGAGTAAATGTAATCACATTTCAGCATCCTTACCTTATGATGGTATAAAATACCCCATAGAACAAGATGTTTTAGCAAAGGATTTTTTTAACGAGAAAAAAGTAGAAATTCAAAAGAATGAGCAAACAAGCTTGAAAAAATATTATTAGTCTTTATAAAATATTGCAATAAAAATCAGGCTATTTTTATTCAATAAATACTAAGTTATGAGCACAAAATTTTCTCACATTTGATAATTCTCTTAACTGCAACAATTTGTGTCTGGTTAACAGCTTAGAGGTACGTATTGGTTGAGACTACCACAGTTATATTCAGTGGAAAATGGCAACTAAGTATGAAGACTAATAGAAAGGAAGGCAGCTATATTTTACCTTTCACTTATTTTAATTTGTGGATTTATTCTGATGCATATTCAAGATTTCTAAATCTAGAATTTGTGTCATCACCATGGTATTAGTTTCCTAGGGCTATGATAACAAAATACCATAACCTGTGTGGCTTAAGTAACAAATTTATTGTCTCATAGTTCTGAGGCTAGTGATCTGAGGTTAAGGTATTAGAAGGGTCAGATTTTTTCCAAGGGATCTGAGAAAGGATCTGTTCCAGGGCACACTCCTTGGATTATGCGTAGCCATCTTCATGCTCATGTGGTCTTCACCCTATATGTGAGTCTATCTCCAAATTCCTCCTTTTTAAAATGATGCTAGTCATATTGAATTAAGCCCACCCTAATTACCTCATCTTTAACTTGGTAAAGACTATTGAGGTACTGGAGGTTAGGACTTCAGCATAGGAAAGAGGACACAATCCAACCCATAACAATCATAAATCTCAACATTCATGACTGCAAATATTGGAACATACATGCTTACGAGGCAGGTACTAGAGATCGTCTTTCCAGCTCATTATGGAAGCAGAGGGTCTTTTCATCCAGGGGAGAACGCTGGCAGTCTTTTAGGTTTTCACTAACACCAAATAATCGTTCCACCTGCTCCTCTAATTTCTCAAACTTAATGCACTGTTGTCATTAAGTGATGTGAGATATTTACAGAATAGAAGATGATTTAAAATATATGCTTTGTATGCATTCCTTTTAAAATTATAAGTATACTTTTGAATCTAATCCCAGCACTTTGGGAGTTCAAGGCAGGCAGATCCCTTTATGTCAGGAGTTTGACACCAGCCTGGCCAACATGATGAAATGCCATCTCTACTAAAAATACAAAAATTAGCCGAGCATGGTGGTGCACGCATGCCTGTAATCTTAGTTACTTGGGAGGCTGAGGCAGGAGAATCATTTGAACCCAGGAGGCAGAGGTTGCAGTGAGCCAAGATTGCACCACAACACTCCAGCCTGGGTGACAGAGCGAGACTTCATCAGGAAAAAAAAAAAAAGTATGCTCTTTAATCAAGTGAGTCATTGAAGGTCTATCTCAAAGTCCACTCTACCAAACTGATACCTTGGATCTTGTTATATTAACTCCTTGCAGGATGTTGGTCACAGACTTACATTTTTATTTTAATCCTCAGTTTATCAAGGTAATATTGGAAGCAGGCCTTTGAGTTTTGATTCTAGATTTACTGAGAAACTACTGTTGTCTATTTTTGCTAAGTTTGGTCATTAAGAAAAGAATTTTCTTTGTAAACAGCCAGCTTGTTTTCTCTTCTCTGAAAATGAAAATTACATTAATTTAAAACATCATCTTTTTTGCATTGGTTCTCTGTTTTCAGAATGTATGTTTTCAGAACAATTACGTTGAGTTTTATATTGGGCATATTTGTTTTTCTCCTCTTAAATGTATTATTGTCTTTTTAAAATAATGTGTGTGTGTGTACTGTCTGGCAAATTTCTCTCTAAAACTTTTTGGAAATGCATGGGAGAAGTGAGTTAACAACTTGAAATTTAATATACATGAAAAATATATATATTTTTGTTCTTTATATTTCTATTAACCTGTACCCACATCTATGATGACAAAATTATTCTTAATAACTAAGGATAATTAAGACAATTCTATCTGTCCACAGGTCGAATGGTTCTTAGGGTTTATAAATATCTGTTATTTCAACTGCATCACATGGCTGAATGACAAGTACTGGATGATTTAAGCAAATGTCACCCCGAAATACTATGGGAATCTTAATAGCCTCCTTAATAGGCATAGTTAAGAACTACCTGTTTTCTTAGCAACATGTGACTTACTAAGGGCTTAATTAAAATTGAGTCTGCTAAAGGTATTCTCAGTAACTTTAAAGCTGAGGTTATGCTTCCCTACTGTCAGACACTTGTATTAATTTGCTGTGAGCAGGGCTATAAGAGAATTTTATATCAAGTCTAAAATCAAGTTCAGAGACAGAAATTTTAAATAATACTCCTTTCATATATTTTATAAATTAATTTTGTTTGCTTTTATCTGTAGTATCACCAGAATTTGATGAACATTTGAGATTGAACAACATTCTATTCATGTGCATTTATAAGTTGGGTAACACTTAAATTCCTTAATTTATCTGACTCTCAGAATCCCCCAGATCAGATAATTATACATTCACATCAAGGTTGTTTTTGTTATTAAATGAGTAAAACACCTCTTTCATTGATTGATGTATAACTCTTAGACATATTAAATTACCAATTGGGTAATAACCAAGTTCTTATCTTCCCACTTCTGTCCAGGAAAATATTTGATATCTGGGGTATTTTAACTTAATTTTTGTTATATAAGCTGAATCAATCAGAGTATAAACTTTAACTCAGAGTTTAGACCAATTGCAGCTTTCTGTCTTGTCTATAAGAATTCTTTTTCACAAAGGATATTAATCCAGAGTCCTTGCTTACCTAACAAGTTTCTTCATGTTACAAGAAAACCTTATAACCCAATAACTCCCCCCACTAATTGATATTGACACTATTCTATCTGCTGGGCCTATTTGCTTGCATTTGATAATTCAATAGCATTTTTCTTTTGTGATAGATGTTTATGCCCCATCTTTCATTATGATGTGGTGTTAGCCAATTGCCTGTCTCATTCACCCTCCTTGGGACAGCTCCTGATTTCTTAATCCAAATGGAGCTATGATGCCTGGAAATGAGGCAGATGAGTTTATGCAGGGATAGGTTACCTGGTTTTGGTCAAAACATTTTAATAAATTATATGTGGATTCCACAATGTTCCTTTCTAAAAATAGATGAAGTCATACTCTAAGTCTCAATAGAAAATCTGAAAGTGTAAATTAGGGTGTGAAACTTCTCACACCTCAAGTTATAGGGTATCATATTTTCACAAACCATTCATGAAAAAAAGACATTATAATGATAGTTTGTATACTAAATGTGTTGATGTAACTTCAGATCTTTGTAGACCAAATAGATCTATGCCAAAATAAAAAGGAAAGGGTAACCAAGATCTATGAACTAAATACTTGAATTTTTTTAAGTTAATATATCATGTTCCCCACAGTGTTTACTTAACCAAAATTGGAGAAGCTTGATATCTTGCTGAATGGCAATAAGATACCTTAATCCACACATGCAATTGTTTTATTCTATTCATATGCATATATCATATTTCCATATATCTACTATAAATAACATTCTAAATATAACCCATTCCACTTAATATGTAAAACTTTTCATGAAACGAGTATCTTTTTTTTGTTTGTTTTTTGAGATGGAGTCTAGCTCTGTCACCCAGGCTAGAGTGCAGTGGCACGATCTCGGCTCCCTGCAACCTCCGCCTCTCAGGTTCAAGCGATTCTCCTGCCTCCGCCTCCTGAGTAGCTGGAACTACAGGCATGCACCACCACACTCGGCTAATTTTCTGTGTTTTTAGTAGAGATGGGGTTTCACCGTGTTAGCCAGGATGGTCTCGATCTCCTGACCTCATGATCCGCCAGCCTTGGCCTCCCCAAGTGCTGGGTTTACAGGTATGAGCCACCACACCTGGCCAAAATGAGTATCTTTAAACTTCTAACCAAAGGAATAAAATTATTTGTGTTTTTTAAAATATATTTCAGTGTCTGTGGGACTCAATATTAAAGGTGTTGTCAAAAGAAACAGCTGGATGATAATTCAATATTACTTGTCAACTAAGGTCTTTTTGTTGTTTTTTGTTTGTTTGCTTTTTGAGATGAAATCTCACTTTATTGCCCTGGCTGGAGTGCACTGGCACGATATCAGCTCACTGCAGCCTCTGCCTCTGGGTTCAAGCCATTCTCCTGCCTCAGCCTCTGGAGTAGCTGGCATTACAGACCTGCACCACCACATCTGGCTAATTTTCTTGTATTTTTTAATAGAGATGGGATTTCACCACATTGGCCAGGTTGGTCTCAAACTCCTGACCTCAAGAGATCCACCAGCTTCAGCCATCCAAAGTGCTGGGATTACAGGCATGAGCCATTCATTGTGCCCAGCCTCAACTAAGGTTTTTGAAATAATTTGCAAAATTTCATCTTCTGTGTGTCTACAGTTGCTACAATTGCCTCTCATTTATCTTCTTTTATGGCAGCAGAAACCTAGAACTAATATGTTTAGAAAATGAAGTAAACAACTTAAAAATATTGTGAGTGGGAACAACCAGAGAATGCTGTCAGAGCTTTAAAAATTCAACTTCATAATCCCATAACACATACTGTAGATCCATTTGGTGACAAGACCATCTGCAACTCCTGGTGCTAACAGAAAACTGTACATGACAAACTAAGTTTTTGGGGTTTTTTTAAGTACTTTAATCTTATTTTATCCACTTGAATGTCAGTTCTGCTGCCAAAGAAATTTAGCAATTACTCTATGTTGTGATTGCATTAGAAGCTGCTAAAAACAATAAGTGGATGGTGAATAGGTTCCAGACTAAACTCAGAGCATGAGAATGTACAGAAAATATGCTGTAGTTAATTTGCCTAATAAAAATTTTGTTTTTTGTTGTTTGTTTGTTTTTGAGACAAAGTCATGCTCTGTTGCCAAGGCTGGAGTGCAGTGGCATGATCTTGGCTCACTGCAACCTCTGCCTCCCAGGTTCAAGCTATTCTCCTGCCTCAGCCTCCCAAGTAGCTGAGACTACAGGTGCATGCCACTACACCTGGCTAATTTTTTGTGTTTTTAGTAGAGATGGGATTTCACTGTGTTAGTCAGGATGGTCTTGATCTCCTGACCTTGTGATCCACCTGCCTCGGCCTCCCAAAATGCTGGGATTACAGGCATGAGCCACCATGCCCAGCCAATAAAAATTCTTGATAGTAAAGTACAGATTTCTTTGTTTTTATTGAGATAAAATATATGCCTATGATTTACCATCTTTATCATTCTATTTCATCAGTCTACTCTCTGTCTTCATGGGATTCACTTTTTTAAATTTTTCAAGTAGCAGAATGTTATTACATTAATAATATGTTAAGTAATTTGCAGTTTTCATTTTTCTTATAGCCTAAATTTATAAAGTTTTAAAATTATCATCTGTATGAAATTATACAAAATAGCAGCATAGGTCCTAAAATCAGCATGTTCTTTAAACAAATTTACAAGAAAAAATCAAACAACCCCATCAAAAAGTGGGCAAAGGATATGAACAGACACTTCTCAAAAGAAGACATTTATGCAGCCAAAAGACACATGAAAAAATGCTCATCATCACTGGCCATCAGAGAAATGCAAATCAAAACCACAATGAGATACCATCTCACACCAGTTAGAATGGTGATGATTGAAAAGTCAGGAAACAACAGGTGCTGGAGAGGATGTGGAGAAATAGGAACACTTTTACACTGTTGGTGGGACCGTAAACTGGTTCAACCATTGTGGACGACAGTGTGGCGATTCCTCAAGGATCTATAACTAGAAATATCATTTGACCCAGCAATCCCATTACTGGGTATATACCCAAAGAATTATAAATCATGCTGCTATAAAGACACATGCACATGTATGTTTATTGCGGCACCATTCACAATAGCAAAGACTGGGAACCAACTCAAATGTCCATCAATGATAGACTGGATTAAGAAAATGTGGCACATGTACACCATGGAATACTATGCAGCCATGAAAAAGGATGAGGTCATGTCCTTTGTAGGGACATGGATGAAGCTGGAAACCATCATTCTGAGCAAACTATCACCAGGACAGAAAACCAAACACCACATGTTCTCACTCATAGGTCAGAATTGAACAATGAGAACACTTGGACACAGGGTGGGGAACACCACACACCAGGGCCTGTCGTGGGGTGGGGGGAGGGGGAGGGATAGCATTAGCAGATATATTTAATGTAAATGATGAGTTAATGGATGCAGCACACCAGCATGGCACATGTATACATATGTAACAAAGCTGCATGTTGTGCACATGTACCCGAGAACTTAAAGTATAATTTAAAAAAATAAAAAATAAAATAAAATCAGCAAGTTCTACCATTGCTCACAGCTTTTTGTAAACTGAACATGAGGTAAGATAGTCACTGAAATGCATTTTCCCCATCTTATCTGTAGATTATTTAAAAGGCATGATGACAATAATGAAATATAGTTAAATACACAGATAACTAAAACTACAAAACTAGTATGACCAAAGAAAAAAAAATTGATTTCTTTTGCACAGAAAGTAAGCACTGCTAGGCCGGGCATGGTGGCTCATGCCTGTATTCTCAGTACTTTGGGAGGCCAAGGTGGGCAGATCACGCGGTCAGGAGATCGAGACCATCCTGGCTAACACGATGAAACCCTGTCTCTACTAAAAATACAAAAAAACAGCGGGGCGTGGTGGCACGCACCTGTAGTCTCAGCTACTCAGGAGGCTGAGGCAGGAGAATTGCCTGAACCCAGGAGTCGGAGCTTGCAATGAGCCAAGATCGCACCACTGCACTCCAGCCAGGGCAACAGAGCGAGACTCGTCTCAAAAAAAAAAAAAAAAAGAAAGAGAGAAAGAAAAAGAAAAAAAGAAAGTAAACACTGCTGATTTTATTAGACATCTATGTGCTTTTATGTAGGACTTCTTGCTATGATCATGCAATTTATAGCCAGCCAAGAAGCTTGAGTGATGATCAAAATCTTTCTTGTTTCACCTACCAAGCGTTGCTGTTTCACTCGCACTCTGTGAAGCCAGAGGCAGAATCTTTTTTCCAACTTATCAGTGTAGAGAGGGTACCTTTTCTAAGTCACTGTATGTGATGGCAAAGAAGCCCTATCTTTTGGATCATTTTATTTTAGCTAAACCCACCCAAAAGTTTCCATTAAGGCTAGTAATTTCATATAATATCAATCTGAGCAGTTTGTTATTTTAAAGCCTTCTGGTATTTTTGTTGTACATTGAAAACACTTTCAGAATTGCTGAAATAAAATGAGAAATAATACAGAAGGAAATGTATCTATTCTCAAATGGGGGAACATCTCACAATTCATACAAGATGCATCAAAGAATTTAAGAAAGATATAATTTAGTCCAAAATGAAGGATGACCTTGGAAGTGTTCCACTAACATTCCCCAGCATGTGGGCACAAGCACTGGAGATTAGAGAGGGAAAAGATAGGAAATTTCTATACATCGCCCCATATCCACAGGTCATCTGTGGAGGTGAAACTAGAAGAGACGCCAGGAGCTTACATATTAACATTATCTGTTACTATTACTTCTCCTCTAACTTTACTTCTTAACTGACAGCTGTTAGATGTGAAGGTGAGGATGGGTTGTTTGAGAAGTGGAAAAGAATATTCCCAAAGCCAACTCTGCAGTTTCAGACCAAAGATAACTTTGGAAGGGGGGTGGGAAACAAAGTGTCCCATGACCACTCACACTTTCAGTGATTCACTAGAAGGAATCACAGGACTCAGCAGATAATTTTACTAATGGCAAAGATTTATTACAGCGATAGAATAAAAATCAGTAAGAGAAAAGACACAGTGGATTCTGAAAAAATGAATGTTCAGGCTTCGTATTCTATCTTCCTTCTTTGTCATATAGAGCACATATTCCCTCCATCAGGGAAAATGCAGCAACATTCTGTGTTATATTTCTGCTTAGGGGAGCCTGCTTGAGACTAATAATTTAGAATTTGTATTGGGGGCAGCTCAGTAAGTACCTTTTGGCTAGCAACTACAAAAATTCCTGACTTTCAGAAGGAAAGCAAGTCTTCATTATAAATCACAGTGTTTGCACAATCTAGGAACAGAAAAACTACCTTATCAGCTAGTGACAAAGTGAACATTTTGAAAGCCAAGTTACCAGATGCTGGCCAAGGGCCAACCATGCAAGCAGACCCTTCTACAGACCTTCTAACCTCAAGTCGGCTGTGTTAACTCTTCTGCACAGTCCCATTCTGAACCTTTACTAAAAGAATCCCTCCCCTACTCATTTGCCAGATAAAGAGAGGTGAAATTAGACTAGACAAAACTGAATTAGGATGTTTTAAGCTGCAGACCCAAATACAGAAATGAAATGAAGGACTAAATGCAAGGAGAGTAAGTAAAAGTCCGTCTGTTGAGCCGAAAGGTTCTCAGGCTACCCCACTGCCCAGGGGATTGGAAGATTCTACTCTGAAGAAACTAAATATTTCCCAAGAAAACACTATATCGTACTTCATGTAAAGATTTTTCAGTAAAATATTAAAATATCTGTAATGTATTTTTAAAATTAAGTAACTTATTAAGTTCTTTTAGTAGGTACCTGAGATGATTTGCTAAGTATTCCTTTTCTAAAAACTGCCTCTTCCACTATCAACCTGATTTATATGGAAGTGCTTCTTTCAATACGGTGTAACCCTGTCCCCTGGTCCAACTTGATTTAGGGTTTGTGCCCAATTCATGTTGAATCCCTTTCTAGGATATCTTAACTCACCCCTAAGGAAAGCTTGAGGTCATTCTCTTCTCAGTGCCTTCAAAATAATGAGGTGTCAAATATGGAAATCATTGGCAACCGCATTTGCTACCGGTATGTGGATAAATTCGTCTTGCAATGAAAGAGGATAAAGTTCAACAATGAAGAGGAATGGTAGCACATGAGAACTTGGTATAAAATGTGCCATTCTACCAACACTCCCTATAACCTAATTATTTCATCGGTAAAATGAAGGAATTGAATGCTTGTTTTCAGTCCTGGCTTGGCTTTGGGGTCACCTGGAGAGGTTTTTGCCTTCGTTTGTTTTTTTTTAAAGCCCAGATCTCACTTTTCATACCTTTTCATTTCCAAGTACCAAATTCTATGATCCTATGATTCAACTTGAAAAGTTATTTAATATATTAGTCTAACCTGAGAGATGTTATGGAGATAAAGATTTAAGAAAAATTGAATGAATTGAAATTATATCATAGAATCTATATGCATATATCTCATTTATCCATATTCCAAAAGATGCTAGTCAATTAAATATTAGATTTGTTATTGTCACTATTTATCACAATGACAAGAAAGGAATAGAAGTATCTGAGGCAAGAGAAGAGTATAAATAATACCAATGTAGAAACAAAAGCTTTTGTAGTATTTGAGGAAAATCTTGCCGTACAAAGGCAAGAGCTTTTTAAAGACAATAATATTAAATTCAGTCATCTACAAAGAATTCAAGAATTGTTTTCAAATGTCTATTTTATCTTAGAGAACAGCTAAAAAACAAAGATAAGTAGCTGTTCCAGCAGGGCCTTCCAGACCTCTGGCCTCGTATAGATACCCTGAAAATTCAACAAACCAGAGGTCACAGACTTCTTTCCTCCCTCCCAAGGAAAGAAACAGAAGAAACATGTCCATTTCTCATTTTCATCCAAGTCTTAACATCATCTAAAACTTTTATTTTCCAATTTTTTATTATTTTTATAGATTGAGTCAATTAAACATTCAGAGCATCTACACTAGACAAAACACAATGCCAGTTCTAAAAGAAAAGAAAAATAAATACAAATTCTGCCTTACTCTAAATTTACGGGTAAAACATGTCTACACATAAAAAGTATGGACACCACAAATAAATATACACACATTGATATAATATATACACAGACATATATATATATATATATATAGCTCACCTGATATACAAATGTGTGTGTATATAATCTTTATGGCTCACCTGATACATACTCTCTCTCTCTCACACACACACACACACACACACACACACACACACACGAGGTGAGCTATAAAGGTAATAAGATCATATAATAGAGCCATTACACAGTGAAGAGCAAAAGTCCAGATTTGAAATCCAGGATATTCACTTTATAACAGGTTATTTAGTCTCAACTTCCCTATTTTCAAAATGTGAATCATGATATTCATTTCAAAAAGCAGTTGCAAAAATTAAACAGGTGTATATGCAATATGAATATCATAAAATCTAGAATACAGAAACCACTAAAAAGATGAGTTGTCTTAGTCAAGACTCTTTTGATGGCAAGTTTTTAAAAAAAAGTTCAACTATTTTAAATATCTTTCTCAAGGAAATTTTTTAAGGAAAGTTTAATTGGGCATCAAGAAGCACAGAAACCAATAATAAGCCGCTGGAACTCTAAGTAACTATTCTCACAATTGTTTCTCTTTTTCTTTTTCTCTCTGGCCATGTAGCCACAGCACATGTCAACACACACTTTGAAATCTGCAGAAAACTCATAACCACCCATCAAGATCCAGTTTAAATATAATTTGTCCTGCAAAGTGTTTACAAATTCTGCAGAGTAGAATTAATCCCTTCCTCTTTGTGGTCCCATACATACGTACATACTGGTACATGCTCTGTTAAGGTCTATCCTCTTTGAGAGCGATAAGAGTGAGATCCCCAGAACCCATGACTACAGGGACTATCAGAGTCAGCATGGTCTTCCCTACAAATGGTTTTCAAACTGCTGCCTCTTCTATTTCTTAAAGTTCATGGTTTTCCTTTTTTGGTTTCTAAAAATTATGTGCAGATGTTCTGGTTGTCTATCACTATGTAACAAATAACTCCAAGACTTAGTAGCTCAAAACAACAATTGTTGTATTCCCAATCACAATTTCTGTGGATCAGGAACTCAAGAAGATATTGAATACGAGGTTCTAACTCGGGTGTCTCACGTGGCTGCAGTCAAATGTTGGCTGGAGCAGGACCAGGTGACTGACCAAGGATCTTTTTTCTAAACATTGTCCCAGAGCTTGTCCATGAGATCTCCACATGGGATAGTTTGGGCTTCTTTATTGCATGGTCTTCCCAGGACAACTGAATTGCTTGTAAGGCAGGTTAGGGTTCTAGTGTTATTGCTACATAACTAACTACCCCAAGTGGCTTAAAACAACAAAAAATATTTATTTGCTTATGAATGCTTTCAAATTTCATGGTCTGAAATTTGAGCAGGACTAAGCATAGTGTCACCTAGTCATTTAATTAGAAATTGGAGAGTTCACTTTTAAGATGTCTTGCTCATGTGGCTGACACATTAGTACAGTTTATTGGCTGAAAACACAACTAAGACTGTGGAACCGGGATCTCAGAGTAAACCTTTTAATACATTTTTGGGGCTTCTTTAAAGTATGATGTTTGGATTCCAAGGGTGAGTATCCCATAAGAGCAAGGGAATTTTGTGGCATTTTCAAATCTAGTTTCAGAAATCACATAGCATCACCAATGCCACATTCCATTGGTTATAAAAAAATGTTGCTAAATATGCCAAAATTCAAGGGAAAGGAATTAGACTCCACCTCTGGATGGAAGAGTGGCAAGGTTCTAAAAGAACGTGTGTAATGGGAAATCTTGTTGAGGACAGCTTTGGAAAACACAATTTTCCACAGCATATTCCTAAGAATTCCTAAGAACTGGAAAACCTGAAATCTTTGGGGTAGGATGTATTGTAGAATTCAGAATTATTCAGCTATTAGATAGGTTACATGGTATATGTAATATTTATTATGTAAACTCCCCAGTAGATCTGGGAAGTAATTGTAATCAAACACATTAATATTTTCCCAGTATGGTAGTCATTCTAAGTAAATAAACATTACGATGGGTGTCAGTTCAGATCACAATTTGCCACCAAATGAATTGGACACATATATACAAAAACAAAACATTTTCAGAATTTTTTGGGTTTTGGTTTCATAAATAAGTGATTGTATAACAAAAGTTACAATGTTTAGTAAAGATTAATGTCTTGGTGTTTTCTCATGTATCTATAATCTTTTTATTTTTAGGTCATAAATTTTTCAAGGAGTGTAGTACTAGTTTGCAATTTTTATTTTATTTATTTATTTTATTTATTTATTATTATTTTTTTTTTTTTTTGAGACGGAGTCTCGCTCTGTCGCCCAGGCTGGAGTGCAGTGGGAGGATCTCGGCTCACTGCAAGCTCCGCCTCCAGGCTTCACGCCATTCTCCTTCCTCAGCCTCTCGAGTAGCTGGGACTACAGGCGCCCGCCACTGCGTGCCCAGCTAATTTTTTGTATTTTTAGTAGAGACGGGGTTTCACCGTGGTCTCGATCTCCTGACCTCGTGATCCTCCCGCCTCGGCCTCCCGAAATGCTGGGATTACAGGCGTGAGCCACCACGCCCGGCCGGGTTTGCAATTTTTACATGTCAAGATGAAATAAAGGAGAATATTAATTTAACATTTCAAGATTTAACATCTCAAGATCGCCAAGATTTTAGGGTGGAAATCCAAAATCATGTTGGCAATGACAATGAAAACTGTCTTCTATCTAGAAATAAAAAAGAATATGAAGAAAAAACAATGGTGGTGTTAGAGAAAGGTAAGCCTCTTCCACTAACTATTAATTCAACATAAATATGGTTTAGAGGAATCTCAAGAGAAATTTGTTGTTGGCAGTGCTCAGAGATCATTGCTCCTGCATAACTTAACCCCTTTAAAATGTTTAACATTTTAACATGGAAAATTTAATAACAATTAAATTTTTTGATAAAATTTCAGATTTTTCTCTATTGGCACTCTTTCTATGATGCTGTTTAACCTCGGCTTTAACTAGACATTGACTTTAACACCCAAACTTTCAGCATCTGACCAAAATGTGTATTTTGTTACCTCTTTAAACAGTTCAATATATAGAACTGTTACTCTTTCATTTAAAAAATATTTGACTACAAAAGCAAGATAAGAACAAATTAAACATTACTTCATCTTTGATATTCAATAATGTTCATTTTTCCAAAGACTTGTGTTACAGTACCCATTTTATAGTGTTACATATTTTTCAATCAACTTTTCTTTAGGTAATTAAGAAGATAAAAGAATGATTACATTTTAAAGATTAGAGAAATTTTGCATACTTAATCTCACCTCACTTTATACATGGGGCAACCAAAACACAGGGTAGCAAGTTGATTTGCCCAAGCAAGTTTTTAATCAGTGTTGTGAAAATTTTCTTCACTTCAATTTTCTCCATAAACTCGTGTTTAAAAAAACAAATTAATCCTTCCACTATAAATGATACTAGAGGCTCTGTCCTTGACTTCCACTCATTTTCACAAACTAAGAAAAATGAATTATTTTTACAGTTTTTCCTCAGCAAAATATTTCTTAACCCCTTTTTGATCAAATATCAGTAATATGTATAGTTTTCCTGATATATAGGTGATTTCTCAGGTAATACAATTCACTATGTTTAATTTAGCTGTTACATTAAGAAATAAACAGCTGAATAAAATATTCACTGTTAAAAGTTTAAACTATGGCCAGCCACGGTGGCTCACGCCTGTAATCCCAGTACTTTGGGAGGCCGAGGCAGGCAGATCACGAGGTCAGGAGATTGAGACCATCCTGGCTAACATGGTGAAACCCCGTCTCTACTAAAAATACAAAAAATTAGCCAGGCGTGGTGGCGGGCGCCTGTAGTCCCAGCTACTTGGGAGGCTGAGGCAGGAGAATGGCATGAACCTGGGAGGCGGAGCTTGCAGTGAGCCAAGATCACGCCACTGCACTCCAGCCTGGGTGACAGAGTGAGACTCCGTCTCAAAAAAAAAAAAAAGTTTAAACTATAATAACAAAATAATACATATTTTTATTTTTTTTTTGGTCAAACATGAGTCCATAAAGGTTTGCCCAACTACGATCTGACCTATAGATCAGTAAAGTCTGAATCACAAACTAAATTACAACTAAATAACTAAATAACAACATTTAGCATCAACAAAAAGCATGATGAATGCTTTTTGGGTGGTGAACTACTTGACTTTCATTTTGATACAATGTACCTGCATTCAAAATTTATAATAATTCAATTTTCAGCATTTTTTTTCCAGAAAGACTTCTACATTCTATATTTTTCTATAAAATATAAACTGTAGTTATACATAGTCATGTATTCACCCCCCTAAACCTTATTTCCTCCTTTCCCCCAGTACATTTCTCAGAAAGAGGAAAAAAAAAAAAAAAAACAGAGCTGATTTAACACTTTTAACATTAACCTCAGCTATGTCTGCAAGGATATAGAGTGGTGTGATTTTGTTTCGAGGTTTTTCTTTTTCCTATTGGAATGTGGAATGTTAATTTGTGCCTCCGTTTTGTCCAGACTTAAACACCCATTCCCTATTTTATATGTCTTGTAGGACCCACAGAGTCTGAGAATGTGACAGAAGAGCCCTTCCACGTCTGGGAATGCAACAAGGAACATATTATATCTATTTTTAAATCTTCAAAATTCCTGTAGTAGCTGAGAGCTGGAAATGCTACTTGGATTATCTCATTGTTGGACCTCACCTAACACCCAGTTTCCTTTCCCTCACATTGTGTACTTGGACTTTGCTCCTGCCATTTATGTGCTTCCTGCAATACCGTCATAGACCACCATCACCTCCACATTCATTCTCCAACCACTGCTACCACAATACTCTGACTAAATGATAACCTGTGGCTGGAAAGAGTTAGGATACTTTTCTAAAGCCCAAACTAAATTCCACTCAACAAAGTAATTGAATGGTATCTTTGTGAGTTTGAATTGTTAAATAAGGTCTAAATGATAGCATAGGAATGAAGATTAGCAGAAGTCAGTATGGCAGACAAACCAAGAGACTGGAGCTTCACACTTTGGAGAGACAATTTGAGTTTTTGTTCCACTAAATGACATTCATACACGAAAGACACCTGAAGATGTTACAACCACAACACCTCCAGATGTATTTCCAATGGACTCTTCCTTTGAGATTCAGCTTAACTGAATATGTATTTACTGATTACCTTCCACACAAAAGGCTTTATGTTTACTGACTCTTCTGTAATAAGTACTGTGATAGGCAATAGGAAGACAGAGATATCATGCATTCTCCTTCCTTAAATAAGTCACAGTGTAATAGGGATGACAGACAATACTAGGAAAAATGAGCTGTGCTAGAAATACAAGCAGAAAGAGCTGGGAACTCAGAAAAGGGACATCAATTCATCCTGAAGAGAAAAGTGATACTTTCGGGAGAGATATGTGTGGTGGATGGCAGTGGGTGAATGACAAAAGGGATTGGGACATAAGGTGATCTTAGGCAAGGAAACAAAACAGATAAAAGCACTGGACAAAGCATAGTACTTTCAGAAACCACAAATTGGTGTGCTGGGAGCTCATATGTAGGTGTGAGATGAGATAAGGCTGGGGAGATAATATCATGGAATAATACTATGAAGGTTTCTATATTATCAGTATAGAGAGTATGGATTTTATTTACCAACAATGAAGAGCCATTGAACCATTGAGCAGTTTAACCAGGGGACAGGAGAGAGTTACATTTAAAAAAATTCTGGAAGCAACAGAATGATGAGATAGATTTCTGAACTAAAGCAGTGGTCATGGAAATGAGAAGGAGGAATTTAAAAGGGATTTAGAGTTTCATCATTTGAGAAACAATAAAGGTGTACAATGATCCTCATTTGTATATTTATCTTAATACTGGGCATTTGCAAAAAGAAATGAGTTAGAAAGAGAAATAAATGGTTTTGATGAGGTTGAGTTTGAGAAACACAAGAAATATCCAGGAAAGAGCCCTCAAGCACTCATAGTCTGGGGAAGGTGGTTACATGTGAACAAATAATAGAATGTGAGTGATGTGGTTTGGCTGTATTCCCACCCAAATCTCAACTTGAATTGTATCTCCCAGTATTTCCACATGTTGTGGGAGGGACCCAGGGGAAGGTAATTGAATCATGGGGCCGGTCTTTCTCCTGCTATTCTTGTGATAGTGAATAAGTCTCATAACATCTGATGGGTTTCCACTTTTGCTTCTTCCTCATTTTCTCTTGCCCCTGCCATGTAAGAGGCACCTTTTGCCTCCCACCATGATTCTGAGGCCTCCTCAGCCATGTGGAACAGTAAGTCCAATTAAATCTCTTTTTCTTCCCAGTCTTGGGTATGTCTTTATCAGTAGCATAAAAACAGACTAATACAGTGAGTACATAGTAAAGGCATAGACACTGGTTGTTTAGAATATAGTTCACCTTTCCTAAGAGACAGTCTTATAGAGGCAATGGCACAGAAAATCTCTCACAGGAGAGGTAATATGTAAGAAGAGTCTTGAAGATCCTTAAATGTGGAAAGGAAAAAGAAAAAAAAAAGTACTAAAGTACAGGATCATAAAGTTCCATGTAGTGGGGCTCTGGATAGTTCAATAGTACTAGACCACAGAACAGACCAAAAAGAAGGAATGACTGAAGATTATATGAGGCTCAGTTTTTATGTTTGTTTGCTTATTTGGGGTTTTAAAACCCATCATTTTGGTTTTAAAAATGATTGGATTAAGCGAAGATTTCTCAACATCAACATTTTTGACCTTTGGGGTCAGATAATTCTTGTTGTGAAGACATGGGGCTGTCCTGTGTGCTAGAGGATGTTCCTCACCATCCCTGGCCTTTACTCATTAGACACAAGTAACACACCTCCCCCTATCTGTGACAACCAAAAATGTCTCCAGACATTGAAAAATATCCCCCCTGGGGAAGGCAAGACAACTCAGTTGAGAACTACTAGGTTAAGTTAGCCAAATTATTGGATTCCCAAGTCATATAAAGAAAATGGTAATTAAAAGGACAGAGTATCTGTTCCATTTTCTAGTCATCTCATATTTTTGCCCACTCATCAAAATTATGTTAATATTTGAATCAGGGATCACTGGAATCATAATTGTCTTATCTCTGAACAATACTTACCTTATATTTTGTCTCTCCCTTAATTATCACTACATAATTAAACTTTTCTCTATTTATGCCTTTTTTCTCTTTTTTACTTCTATCATTTTATTTCTATTACTTTTCCTTTTTCTTCCTATGGCAAAGTTTACTTAACATTACTACAGTACCTTATAGTGTTCAGAGTTCTTTCACAAAGAGTTAGTCATGGTCAGTGGTTGTGAAGGAAGGAAGTTTGGAAGTTTATTATTCACTAAACCTGGAAATGAGAAAGAAATAAAGAAGGTAATGTCATAGTAGCTAAGGAAATACCCTATACCAGGAAACTGAAGGGAGGAAGGAGGGGAGCCTTATTAACAGACACATTCCTTTTTTCTCTCTCTTTCTTTTGAGAAGCTTTTTAAGCCAGCAGAAATAGAATGATTCATTTTTATATATACTTGATATGCTGTAGATGTCTGTAATTATGTTAGCAGTGAAAATATAATGGAATGCATTGGAACAGGGCTAAGGCCTCCCAGGCTCAATATGCTACAAATCATTTAACAAAACATAAATGCAGAGCAGTAATACAGCCAGGTCACCAGGTAAATAAGTTGCATCCCTATCTTCTCAAATTTTTTGACACATTTCAACCTAAGAACATCAGTATCCTTTCATCTAACAAATTGTTAGAAATGTTTTATTTCATGAAGAGACAAAGACCTTTTTGCCTTTCAAATACCTTATTTAGACACTGAGTAGTTAATGTTTTATTTAGAATGATTAATCATTCTGCAAGATTTATAAAATACTTATGAGAGGAAAAAAAAGACCTTTAAGTTGGAAAATTCCTCTCAAAGGAATTCTAAATGTCACAAAGAAAATACTGGGCCAGATTTTTTTTTTTAATTCTCTCTGCATCATAGTGTATAATTCACATCTGGGTTGCCACAAAGAGGCCGTAACTGTTTACGGATCATCATTATCAGAGACAGAAAAATATAACTGTAGTGAAGTGGGGCCCAGGGTAACTGAAATCGCAAGCAGATCTCCCTGAAGGAAGTCCTTGAATCTGGCCTCCCATCCAAGCCAAAGAAATGGAGCCAGACCATGAAAGCATTTTTGTGTGGATGCATAGCTCCCTCCTACAGAGGGCTGCCTCTATGAACAGTGACTTCGTAGTTGGTGCTTTCCCATCATTTTTGTCCCCTTCTAGTCTGTTTCTGGAACAATTTTACAAGGTTAGACAAGATAAATGTTTTTCTGTTAACCTCCTTGTGAGCTGTAAAAAGTATATTACAATCCTTTCACTGAAATGAAGGATTTATGGCTTCCTACTAGTAGTTTAGGTTTATGTTCTGAGCCTCAAGGCAAGATTTTAGAAACAGCTTCACTGCCCCCACAGCCTGTTCTTTCTATATATCCTCCTACTGGCCTTACTGAAAATCCAGTCCTGCCTAACAGAAAGTACTTCCAATTCTAGTGCCTAGGGAAAACATGGCCAGACTGAGAGGGTGCGAGAGACCTCTGTGGGAAGACGACATCCAAGAAGAAATAGCGCATTAATTTGTTGCCTTTTCATTTGAGCAAAAGCTCTGCTCAACTGCCACAGACAGTAAGATAAATCAATGTCAAGAATTCTGCCAGCAAAAAGGCACTAGTATAGAGGTGTTAGGAACAAGAATAAAGCATAACAGCCATGCTGCCTATGGAGAATCCACCCACCTTTGATGGGTCCCCAGCATTGAATAGGCAGCTCTATTACTCATTTTTTACTCTTTTTTTTTTTTTTTTTTTTTTTTTGAGACGGAGTCTCGCTGTTTTGCCCAGGCCGGACTGCAGTGGCGCTATCTGGGCTCACTGCAAGCTGCGCCTCCCAGGTTCACGCCATTCTCCTGCCTCAGCCTCACGAGTAGCTGAGACTACAGGTGCCCGCCACCGCGCTCGGCTAATTTTTTGTATTTTTAGTAGAGACGGGGTTTCACCATGTTAGCCAGGATGGTCTCAATCTCCTGACCTCGTGATCCGGCCCCCTCGGCCTTCCAAAGTGCTGGGATTACAGGCGTGAGCCACCGTGCCCGGCCTATTACTCTTATATGTATGGTTTGCATAATGGTATGATCCTGATAATCCCGCTATCTGTTAAGAACAAGCTAAACAAGGTTTTTCTCTCACTAAATATGTTTCCTTGTAAGAAACAAAACAAAATCTTCTCAATGATCTTTCCATAAAATATCAAGAATCCAAAGAAAACTCTTCATTGACTCAGCACCCATTCCAATCAGACTAATGGAATGGGCGTCATCATTTCTTCTTCTTATGCAGAGAATCTCAGAACATTTTAAAGAATATCAGCATTTCCTGGGAAAATAAAGTGTTAACAGAAAGTGCTTAACAAATTTGTGATGCAATTTTATTTGTATTTATAGACTACGATAGATTTTCTTTTAAATCTGGTGTTTATCCTTTCTCCTAGAACTATAATTTTATCCTATTTGTCAAACACCAGATGTTTAAAAACAAGTTACTTCTGCCAATAATATGTTTTTAAAAATTGTATCTCATTGCAGTTCTAATTTGCTTTTTTGCAGTATTAGCAGTGAGATTGTGATTTTTAAAATATGTTTAAGACCCATTTCTTTTTCTCTCTGGTCATATTCCTTGTGCATTTCATTGTTTGGGTTTTTCTTTTTCCTTTTGTCTTGATTTGGAAGAAGCGGTTATATCATATAGCAAGAAAGTTAACTATTTGTCTGTCTTATAAGTCTGAAACATTTTTGTTCTCGTATTTACTTGTTTCGATTTTTTATGGTATATTTGCCATACACAATTTTTTTAAGTGATTTGCAATTGAATTGCATACATTCTAATTGATAAACTGGATATATCAATCCTTTATTTTATAGTTTCCAGATATTATACCACACTCATAAATACTTTCCCATATTCCAATTATTTATTTTAGTATTTTATAATTTTTCAAAAATTTAAATCTTGTATATATCTGCAATCTATTTTGGAGTGAGCCGCAACTTTTGAAGAAATCCAAATTTATGTTTTTCTAGATAACTACTCATTATGGCAAATCCTTCTTTTCTTCACCAATATGAAATGTCACTTTCACCATTTATGACAATTGCTGTGTGATTATTCAGTCAGGTTTCATGTTTCATGCTCTAATATTCTATTCATGTATTTGACAAACTTTCCTGAGTACTTACTATGCTCCAGGCACTGTTCTTCTGTTTCAGGTACTAGAGATACAGCAATATAAAAATACTTTTTTGAAAAAAAAATAAGTAAGAAGAACAAGGAGGAGGAAGGGAGAGAGAAAAGGTAAAAGAAACAAGCCCTCTTTCTCCACTGGGTTTAACATTCTAGTGGATAGAGATGATCAAATAAATAAGTAAAAATACATTAGATGGTGATAATTGCTACGAATGCAGAGCAAAGCAGAAAGCGGGGAGAGGGTGTTGGAGGTGTGGATATTTTAATGCGTTGGTTGGCAAAGGTTTCATTGACAAAGGAGCGGACACCTGAAAGAGGTGAGAGAGTAAGTTACTAGATCTCTTGGAGAAGAAAATGAACAGCAAGTGATTGTATGTTTAAGGGGCTGTAAGGAAAATAATGCAGCTGGAGTAGAGTGAGCAAGGGAACGTAGAAGAGAAGGACTTGAGAGGGACAGAAGAATTTGGAAGGTGCTGGGTCATGCAGTAAAATGTGATATTTTTGGAGAGTTTTGAGCAAAGAAGTTATACGTTTTATGCATTGAAAGCATTAATATGATGAATATGTTAATAATTACACAGGATTAAAGTGCAGAAATTGGGCAACCAGATAGAAGATTAACAATAATAGTAGTTTAGATCTGGGTAGTAGGGATGAAGGTAGTAAGAAGTGGCAATAAAATGATGGATATATTTTGAAGGTAAAACCAATAGGATTGGTATTCTAGTGAATGCTGGGTGCGATAAAAAGATAATTGTGAAAGACACACAATTTTTGATCAAATAATTTAACAAATGGAATTGCTATTAAGTAGATTGGGAATACTATGGAAGAAGCAGGCTTAGAGAAATATCAGAATTGTTAAAACATCCTTGTATATCTCACATCTGCACCACACATGGGCAAATTAAAATGTTACAAGCTACAACTAATTAGGACCATTCACAAACATTCCAGTCTTCTTTCCAGGCATCTGATAGTATTAGTCTTCCCTAATCAATTTGAAGTTACACATGGCCAAGTGACTAGCTATAGCCAATAAAAGTTAGTTACATGGATGATGGTTTCCAGCTTCATCCATGTCCCTACAAAGGACATGAACTCATCATGTCTTATGGCTGCGTAGTATTCCATGGTGTATATGTGCCACATTTTCATGTACCCTAAAACTTAAAGTATAATAAAAAAAAAGAAAGTTAGTTACATGGAATATCTATCAACTGAAGCCTCCATCAACCTGAATCTCTGAACAACCATATGAGCAAAGCTCTTCGTCCTATGTTAGATATGTAGCCATAACAAGAAATAATTTTTTGAGTTAATCCATTTGAATTTTAACAAATTTTGTTGGGTTAAACCACTTAAATTTTAGAGATGTTTGTTAGTGCAACATATTCTTGCAAACACTACCTGCAATATCCAGAATAATGAACACATTCTGATTGGTATAGAAATCGGAACCCAATGTGAGATGTAGTCATAATGCATAACATAAAACTACTAATACATAGAATTGCTTGGTAATCAGGAGGTAAGTAGTAAGGAAGCTGTTATTGGAAGCTAGAAGGATTATAATCAGTAGTCCTTTTGGTAAAACTGTTTCCTGTAGTGGCTTGGAAGGAAGACGATGTATCTAAAAAGCCTGCAGCCTTCATAAAAGAGATCAGAAAATAGTATCAGCATTGTGTGCTGATTGCTGTTGGCTTCATTTGATAAGGTATTATGAAGAAGAGATGAGTTCAGAAAAGAATTGGTTAACTTCAGCCACTTTCTTTTATAGAAATAAAAATTGAGTAGCAAAAATACAATATACATACAAAGCTGCAAGAGGCTACTATTTTTCCTTTTTCAACTTGTCAAAGAAAAGCTTGAGAATGCCTTACAATGACAAGGCCAATTACAACTCAATAAGGATAAAATCAAGAGTATAACTTTCAAACCCATTCTTATAAGCTCTAGCTAGATTAAGAAGGCAAGAAGAGCAAGTAAAGTGCAACTAAAGGCTTAATGCTTACTTATTTCTTTCCACTGAAAAAATGGTTTAGAGGAAAGAAAAAAAAACAACCTTGTAGGCTCCTAATTAACAGAGGGTGGAGACAGAGGGGAAATAGGATAAATCTAATTAGTATGCCTAAAAGTAAACTATGTGTGGTTGTTGGCATACAAAATTGAATGTAATCTAATACATATGATGCTGTTTTAATACAGTTATACTACCAAAGAAACCACATACCTAAACTGAAAAAGCTCAGTGACTTAAAATGATTTTAGGTCTCCAACCTTCCACAGTTATGAAGCAGACTGATAAAATTGCTCAGCACTCAATGACAGACAACTTTTCCAGTATCTACTTTAGATTACATCAAAGCGTAATGGAAAAGAAGAATATTTTAAGCAGCAGAGCCAAGAACCATGGCGAGTAGTGAATGGGAAGTCCTCCCAATTGGCAGAATTGGGGTATCATTAAATAATATTTTTCACTATCAGCGTAGGCCTGGCTGGGTTTCAGAATTGCTATGCAGCGCTTTGTATCTCACAGTCTTTCCCCTTACTTAATGAGGATGCTGTTGTTGTTATCCTATCCCTCTCCCACCATTGTATAATGGGTGTATAAGAGATAGATAATTTTTATTTACACTTACAGGTCTGCAGACTAAGAGGAGCCATGCCCAGACATGATAAAAAGATTATGGAGCACCACTCACAGATCCTGGACTCAACAATGGATGCAGTCACTGGATGGAACTTTTGGGTAAGGGGGAACCAAATATTTGGGGATCAGAAAGGGCAGCCTTTGGCAGTCATTAGGGCTATTCATAATTGTTCCCATTCTCCTTCCTGACACATGAAAGTGTTACACTTCACTCTTTTTGCCGGTAGGCTTAGAAATATTGCACACATTGACCAATAAAAAGTGACTTATGTCACTTCCAGGTAGTAGCTTTAAGAAAGTGAGATTCCTCATGTTCTCTTTTCCTCTTTCTGTAATTATGAAGGTATATGACAAAATGGATCCTCCATTGTTTTGGGTTCTTGACTGACTATAATGAGCAGAGCCTTCCAACTCATCCGTGTTGGACTTATAAAGTGAGCAAGAAATAAACACTGTGTTAAGTCACTGAGATGTTGTAATTGCAACTGCAACATAACCTATCTTATCGTGACTCATACAATGTTATTTTTAAGTGGAGTTTCTTTCAGAAGCCCAGAATTGACTGCTAGGGCCAAATACTGGACATAAAGTGACAACAACTACCAGGCGCATATCCTGAAGCGAATCACAAATAACTACAACAACACAGTCTTAAGACTTGAGCAGACTTGCCACCCAGGAAGGCTGGCTGCTGACTAAGGCAACACTAGGTAATTCTGTAAACAGTTGGAAGAGCTGAAGCTGCAACCACATCTCTCATGCCAAAAACTGTGGAATAGGAGGCCCCCATAGGGCCCTCTGAAAATACACACCTGCCTCTCCTCAAAGCCAGCTCAGCAAGGCTAACACAGCAAGTCAGTGTTCGTCACAGAAAGAGTGATGATTGACAGTAGTCACCAGCTACAATGGTGATATATCCTTCATCTTCTGCTCCCTGTTCCATTCACAGAAAGAGCTATATAGCATAAGAAGAGAGAAAAGAGAGAAGAGTTACCCCTGGGGGATTCCAGTCCTAGCCTCCCTCCGCACAAGTAAAAGAGGAATGAAAGAGGAGATCATGATCACTCTCCATTTCAGATCTACTGGGGAAAGAGGAGGGGCTAAGGTTTCAATCAGATAGGAAATTACAGTCTTAAAATGGACTCACTTTAAATAATCTAAAGTGACCCAAGATCTGTCCAAGATGTCTAAGATGTTAATCTGTCCAAGATGTTGTTAAGTTATAAGAAAAAGAGATTCATCTGAGTATGGTTTCGGTAAGTGACTGGAGAAAAACAGAATGGTTTCATATTCACTTCCCACTGAGTTTAGACTGTTGGAGAAACCAGTCACAGCTGTGACCCTGTTGGAAAACTGTTGTGCAAAGATGAATGTGGGTGCTGAAAAAGATGTATGTGAGAAAACGGATGTAACAGAACTAGGTTTGAAAGCATGTACAGAATGCTTTGAATCTCCTAAGAAAATATAGAATGAAGTTAAAAAATTTGAGAAAGGAAAAAAAAAGATGAGTGCAGTTTTGTTGCCCAAGAGATAGATTTCTCTCTCATTACTAGAAAAATACCAAAAATGGAGGAGCATGGAAGTTGATTTTTGATGTTCTTATCTCAGACCCTGAATTTCTCAGAAGGAAATCTCTCGCTAAATAAAAAGAACATACAGTGACCAGGATGTCAGAGTACTTGGGTGTGAAAACATCCCTATAGCCCCACACCTAAACATGCCATTTAAGACATCAGCTAATATGCTAGAGTAGACAGCAGGAATGCTGTACTCCTTTTGATGAAAAAAGCAAATTATCAATAATTGAATTCATTTTCCAAGAATGATACTCCCAGCCTAAGAGACATATGAACTGTGGCTGAGACATATTACCAAATACTTTAGCAATGGTGGACAGCTGATAGGCTGTCTTAGGACCAAATGTTGGTGATCTTCATGCTGTCAAAGCCACTACTACTTTAGTGACTGTGAATGCATGTCTCAAGTAATCAAACAGGCTTCTGGATGTGGTTGAATACCAGAGAGCACGGTATGTCAGCCTTTTGGATAAACACCAGGAGGCTGGTTGAAAAGATGTCTGAATATATAGACTGTAACAATAGACTGATCTGGAGGGCTCTGGCTAGGGTACCTGCTATAGATAGAATGCTTGCATCATGAGGGAAGAGCTTGCATGAATGAGATTAGTGCCCTTATAAGGGGCTGAAGAGAACAGAGTTCTTTATGTCATATGAGGACAGAGCAAAAAGACGGCTGTCTGTGAACCCAAAACCCATTCCCTCACTGGACACAGAATATGCACGTGTCTTGATCTTGGACTTTCCGGTCTCCAGAACTGTGAGAAATAAATCTGTGTTGTTTATATGCCAGCCAAATTATGGTAGTTTGTCATAGCGGCCTGAAAAGACTAGGATAGTACCCTTAGACTCAGGAAATATGGATCAGTCTCTTTAAAATAAGTGTAGAAGGGCAATACTTGGCAACTTAATTTGCTCTGAGATCAATCTGCCTAAAATTTGACACTTCTTTCATCTTCTTTCAACTACTAATGCTGATAACGGAAAGAACCGAGAAAGAAAGTGATGGCTCACATCAAGATTTAAGAAACAGGTGTCAAATGGATTTCAGGGGAACTAGCCTGGTAATCTACCAGAGTGAACAAGGCATTATCAGAACAGGTAAAAAGTCCAGGCAGCCACTTTGTCAGATTTTGGAAAGCCTGGTATAAACTCCTTTCCTGAGATCCCTTCCAAAATACACTGGAAAAACAAGCATACTCACTCATACATACAAATGAGCAAGTCCATCAAGCTGCCTACTGTGTGACTGGGCATGCAAAGCTACAAAGATTTATAGGAGGAGGTCTAAGTCTATAGCGGGCTACAAATAACACTGCACAACCACAAAACAGAAGGATTCAGAAAAACCTATAGGGAGTTAGAGAAGGGCAAGTGCCCAGCTTTGCCTGTGGGGAATGTAGGCATTTTGTGTCAGGCTACACTCATCAAAGTGACATCATCAAAGCATAAGAATAGTGTAAAAGCAAAGGCAGCCTGTGGACTTTGAGAACCACAAACCAGTTAGGGAGATAAACTGCCTGGTCCCGTAAGAAAATAGTCTCTCATCCTGTTAGGAAAGAGGAAAATCTTGAAACTCTCCCTGGTGACGGACCCTTGGTAGAGGAGGGCTTGTCTGTGACCTGACAGCACCAGCCTCTCCTGAGTACAGGAAGGGCCTGCAGTGCTCACAATCTGGATCCGTCTATCCAAGAAACTCATGTAGAAATGCAAAGGGTGTTATAAAATAAGAGAGAGACTTTCTTAGCCAAGTTTTTTATTCGAGGCTGTTGAAGAAGTGAGCAATATGTTATGAATTCTGGTTGGAAGATCAGCCCAAACTGTTGTTCAGAATTCAATCCTGTGTGGCTTTCTTTAAGGCAAAGATAGCTTCTCAGTGCCTGATGAAGCCATAGATGCCTTGAGCAGTCAACCATGGGAAAGTGAAGAGCTCAGAGGGTCCTTGGCCAAGTTTTCTGACCAGGTAAATTCCTGGAACTTCTGTCAAGGCCATTGAAACATAGAACTTTCTCAGAAAAACAAAACTAAGGTTGAATTTCCCACCAATAGAGCATGGAGGATAAAAGCCCGTGAAGTTGGAGTAACAAAAAATATTAAAATGTGACATTTCTCCCATCTGAGTTTCATGGAGCAAATTCACATTTAAATGTATATATTGCATAAATATATTTCTAATCAAAGACTACTCTTTGATACAAAAATATTTCTATAATATTTGGAAAGTGTGGATTTAAAGAGACAAAAATCTCTGCACAATCTTGCCACTAAAACTTCTGGCTATTAATGACTACTTCATATATCACCTCAACTGAAAAAGACATTCTAACGGATCAGATAACATTAAATAACTCTTGAAACAAAAAGTATTAGAGTTGCTTGAGGTTTGATATAGTTGCACTTATTACGCCAAATTTTATAATTTAAATGCCATCTATATATTCTGATGACTCCTAGCCTCACCCCTGAGCTCAGTACATCCAGTTGCCTACTTGATATCTCCATTTAATGTTCACAAGTCAAACTTGATATGCACAAACCTCCTGCCCACTTGAATTCTTCACCTTAACTAATGAGACTTCCATTACTCAGTGGGTCAAGGAAGCAGGAATTTTAGGAATCACTTTTAATGGTGCCTGATCACTCATGCTTCGTAAAAAGCCTACCCAAGTACTGTTGGCTGTGGGCACAAGATAAATTTCAATTTCATCCACTTTTCCCCAGTTCACTGCCTCACCTTAGTCCCCACCTACCTTGTCCCTCCTCTGGAACACAGCATGGGCCTCCTAATTTGCTGCTCTCTAACATCATCCAGTATGCTCCTACCACAGAATGATTTCTTTTTTCTTTTTTTATTATACTTTAAGTTTTAGGGTACATGTGCACAATGTGCAGGTTTGTTACATATGTATACATTTGACATGTCGATGTGCTGCACCCATTAACTCATCATTTAACATTAGGTATATCTCCTACTGCTATCCCTCCCCCCTCCCCCTGCCCCACAACAGGCCCCAGTGTGATGTTCCCCTTCCTCTGTCCATGTGTTCTCATTGTTCAATTCCCACCTACGAGTGAGAACATACCGTGTTTGGTTTTTTGTCCTTGCGATAGTTTGCTGAGAATGATGGTTTCCAGCTTCATCCATGTCCCTACAAAGGACATGAACTCATCCTTTTTTATGGCTGCATAGTATTCCATGGTGTATATGTGCCACATTTTCTTAATCCAGTCTATCATTGTTGGACATTTGGGTTGGTTCCAAGTCTTTGCTATTGTGAAGAGTGCCACAATAGACATACGTGTGCATGTGTCTTTATAGCAGCACGTTTTATAATCCTTTGTGTATATACCCAGTAATGGGATGGCTGGGTCAAATGGTATTTCTAGTTCTAGATCCCTGAAGAATCGCCACACTGACTTCCACAATGGTTGAACTAGTTTACAGTCCCACCAACAGTGTCAAAGTGTTCCTATTTCTCCACATCTTCTCCAGCATCTGTTGTTTCCTGACTTTTATGATCGCCATTCTAACTGGTGTGAGATGGTATCTCATTGTGGTTTTGATTTGCATTTCTCTGATGGCCAGTGATGATGAGCATTTTTTCATGTGTCTTTTGGCTGCATAAATGTCTTCTTTTGAGAAGTGTCTGTTCATATCCTTCGCCCACTTTTTGATGGGGTTGTTTGTTTTTTTCTTGTCAATTTGTTTGAGTTCATTGTAGATTCTGGAAATTAGCCCTTTGTCAGATGAGTAGATTGCAAAAATTTTCTCCCATTCTGTAGGTTGCCTGTTCACTCTGATGGTAGTTTCTTTAGCTGTGGAGAAGCTCTTTAGTTTAATTAGATCCCATTTGTCAATTTTGGCTTTTGTTGCCATTGCTTTTGGTGTTTTAGACATGAAGTCCTTGCCCATGCCTATGTCCTGAATGGTATTGGCTAGGTTTTCTTCTAGGGTTTTTATGGTTTTAGGTCTAATATGTAAGTCTTTAATCCATCTTGAATTAATTATTGTATAAGGTGTAAGGAAGGGATCCAGTTTCAGCTTTCTACATATGGCTAGCCAGTTTTCCCAGCACCATTTATTAAACAGGGACTCCTTTCCCCATTTCTTGTTTTTGTCAGGTTTGTCAAAGATCAGATAGTTGTAGATATGCGGCATTATTTCTGAGGTCTGTGTTCTGTTCCATTGGTCTATATCTCTGTTTTGGTACCAGTTCCATGCTGTTTTGGTTACTGTAGCCTTGTAGTATAGTTTGAAGTCAGGTAGCATGATGCCTCCAGCTTTGTTTTTTTGGCTTAGGATTGACTTGGCAGTGCAGGCTCTTTTTTGGTTCCATATGAACTTTAAAGTATTTTTTTCCAATTCTGTGAAGAAAGTCATTGGTAGCTTGATGGAGATGGCACTGAATCTATAAATTACCTTGAGCAATATGGCCATTTTCACAATATTGATTCTTCTTACCCATGAGCATGGAATGTTCTTCCATTTGTTTGTATCCTCTTTTATTTCATTGAACAGTGGTTTTGTAGTTCTCCTTGAAGAGGTCCTTCATGTCCCTTGTAAGGTGGATTCCTAGGTATTTTATTCTCTTTGAAGCAATTGTGAATGGGAGTTCACTCATGATTTGGCTCTCTGTTTGTCTGTTATTGGTGTATAAGAATGCTTGTGATTTTTGCACATTGATTTTGTATCCTGAGACTTTGCTGACATTGCCTATCAGCTTAAGGAGATTTTGGGCTGAGACGATGGGGTTTTCTAGATATACAGTCATGTCATCTGCAAACAGGGACAATTTGACTTCCTCTTTTCCTAATTGAATACCCTTTATTTCCTTCTCCTGCCTGATTGCCCTGGCCAGAACTTCCAACACTGTGTTGAATAGGAGTGGTGAGAGAGGGCATCCCTGTCTTGTGCCAGTTTTCAAAGGGAATGCTTCCAGTTTTTGCCCATTCAGTATGATATTGGCAGTGGGTTTGTCATAGATAGCGCTTATCATTTTAAGATACATCCCATCAATACCTAATTTATTGAGAGTTTTTAGCATGAAGGTTGTTGAATTTTGTCCAAGGCCTTTTCTGCATCTATTGAGATAATCATGTGGTTTTTGTCTTTGGTTCTGTTTATATGTTGGATTATGTTTATTGATTTGCGTATGTTGAACCAGCCTCGTATCCCAGGGATGAGGCCTACTTGATCATGGTGGATAAGCTTTTTGATGTGCTGCTGGATTCAGTTTGCCAGTATTTTATTGAGGATTTTTGCATCGATGTTCATCACAGATATTGGTCTAAAGTTCTCTTTTTTGGTTGTGTCCCTGCCAGGCTTTGGTATCAGGAATGATGCTGGCCTCATAAAATGAGTTAGGGAGGATTCCCTCTGTTTCTATTGATTGGAATAGTTTCAGAAGGAATGGTACCAGCTCCTCCTTGTACCTCTGGTAGAATTCGGCTGTGAATCCATCTGGTCCTGGACTTCTTTTGGTTGGTAAGCTATTAATTATTGCCTCAATTTCAGAGCCCGTTATTGGTCTATTCAGAGATTCAACTTCTTCCTGGTTTAGTCTTGGGAGGGTGTATGTGTCGAGGAATTTATCCATTTCTTCCAGATTTTCTAGTTTATTTGCATTGAGGTGCTTATAGTATTCTCTGATGGTAGTTTGTATTTCTGTGGGATTGGTGGTGATATCCCCTTTATCATTTTTTATTGCATCTATTTGATTCTTCTCTCTTTTCTTCTTTATTAGTCTTGCTAGCAGTCTATCAATTTTGTTGATCTTTTCAAAAAACCAGTTCCTGGATTCACTGATTCTTTGAAGGGTTTTTTTGTGTCTCTATTTCCCTCAGTTCTGCTCTGATCTTAGTTATTTCTTGCCTTCTGCTAGCTTTGGAATGTGTTTGCTCTTGCTTCTCTAGTTCTTTTAATTGTGATGCTAGGGTATCCATTTTACATCTTTCCTGCTTTCTCTTGTTGGCATTTAGTGCTATAAATTTCCCTCTACACACTGCTTTGAATGTGTCCCAGATATTCTGGTATGTCGTGTCTTTGTTCTCATTGGTTTCAAAGAACATCTTTATTTCTGCCTCCATTTTGTTATGTACCGAGTAGTCATTCAGGAGCAGGTTGTTCAGTTTCCATGTGGTTGAGCGGTTTTGTGTGAGTTTCTTAATCCTGAGTTCTAGTTTGATTGCACTGTGGTCTGAGAGACAGTTTGCTATAATTTCTGTTCTTTTACATTTGCTGAGGAGTGTTTTACTTCCAAATATGTAGTCAGTCTTGGAATAGGTGTGGTGTGGTGCTGAAAAGAATGTATACTCTGTTGATTTGGGGTGGAGAGTTCTGTAGATGTCTATTAGGTCCACTTGGTGCAGAGCTGAGTTCAATTCCTGGATATCCTTGTTAACTTTCTGTCTCGTTGATCTGTCTAATGTTGACAGTGGGGTGTTAAAGTCTCCCATTATTATTGTGTGGGAGTCTATGTCTCTTTGTAGGTCACTCAGGACTTGCTTTATGAATCTGGGTGCTCCTGTATTGGATGCATATATATTTAGGATAGTTAGTTCTTCTTGTTGAATTGATCCCTTCACCATTATGTAATGGCCTTGTCTCTTTTGATCTTTGTTGTTTTAAAGTCTGTTTTATCAGAGAGTAGGATTGCAAGCCCTGCCTGTTTTTGTTTTCCATTTGCTTGATAGATCTTCCGCCATCCCTTTATTTTGAGCCTATGTGTGTCTCTGCACGTGAGATGGGTTTCCTGAATACAGCACACTGATGAGTCTTGACTCTTTATCCAATTTGCCAGTCTTTATCTTTTAATTGGAGCATTTAGCCCATTTACATTTAAGGTTAATATTGTTATGTGTGAATCTGATCCTGTCATTATGATGTTAGCTGGTTATTTTGCTTGTTAGTTGATGCAGTTTCTTCCTAGCCTCGATGGTCTTTATATTTTGGCATGTTTTTGAAGTGGCTGGTACCAGTTGTTCCTTTCCATGTTTCCTTCAGGAGCTCTTTTAGGGCAGGCCTGAGGGTGGCAAAATCTCTCAGCATTTGCTTGTCTGTAAAGCATTTTATTTCTCCTTCACTTATGAAGCTTAGTTTGGCTGGATATGAAATTGTGGGTTGAAAATTCTTTTCTTTAAGAATGTTGAATATTGGCCCCCACTCTCTTCTGGCTTGTAGAGTTTCTGCTGAGAGATCAGCTGTTAGTCTGATGAGCTTCCTTTTGTGGGTAACCCTACCTTTCTCTCTGGCTGCCCTTAACATTTTTTCCTTCATTTCAACTTTGGTGAATCTGACAATTATGTGTCTTGGAGTTGCTCTTCTCAAGGAGTATCTTTGTGGCGTTCTCTGTATTTCCTGAATTTGAAGGTCAGCCTGCCTTGCTAGATTGGGGAAGTTCTCCTGGATAATATCCTGCAGAGTGTTTTCCAACTTGGTTCCATTCTCCCCGTCATTTTCAGGTACACCAATCAGACGTAGATTTGGTCTTTTCACATAGTCCCATATTTCTTGGAGGCTTTGTTCATTTCTTTTTATTCTTTTTTCTCTAAACTTCTCTTCTCACTTCATTTCCTTCATTTAATCTTACATCACTGATTCCATTTCTTCCAGTTGATCGAATCAGCTACTGAGGCTTGTGCATTCGTCACATAGTTCTCATGCCTTGGTTTTCAGCTCCATCAGGTCCTTTAAGGACTTCTCTGCATTGGTTATTCTAGTTAGCCATTCATCTAATTTTTTTTCAAGGTTTTTAACTTCTTTGCCATGGGTTCAAACTTCCTCCTTTAGCTCGGAGAAATTTGATTGTCTGAAGCCTTCTTCTCTCAACTCATCAAAGTCATTCTCCGTCCAGCTTTGTTCCATTGCTGGTGAGGAGCTGCGTTCCTTTGGAGGAGGAGAGTGCTCTGATTTTTAGAGTTTCCAGTTTTTCTGCTCTGTTATTTCCCCATCTTTGTGGTTTTATCTACCTTTGGTCTTTGATGATAGTGACGTACAGATGGGGTTTTGGTGTGGATGTCCTTTCTGTTTGTTAGTTTTCCTTCTAACAGTCAGAACCCTCAGCTGCAGGTCTGTTGGAGTTTGCCAGAGGTCCACTCCAGACCCTGTTTGCCTGGGTATCAGCAGCAGAGGCTGCCGAAAAGCAGACATTGGTGAACAGCAAATGTTGCTGCCTGATTGTTCCTCTGGAAGTTTTGTCTCAGAGAAGTACCCGGCCATGTGAGGTGTCAGTCTGCTCCTACTGGGGGGTGCC
Organism: Homo sapiens; assembly: GCF_000001405.40. Lineage (NCBI taxonomy): Eukaryota > Metazoa > Chordata > Mammalia > Primates > Hominidae > Homo > Homo sapiens. Next base: position 74,888,698 of record NC_000006.12, read on the forward strand.
TCCCAGTTAGGCTACTCGGGGGTCAGGGACCCACTTCAGGAGGCAGTCTGTCTGTTCTCAGATCTCCATGCTGCATGCTGGGAGAACCACTACTCTCTTCAAAGCTTTCAGACAGGGACATTTAAGTCTGCAGAGGTTTCTGCTGCCTTTTGGTTGGGTATGCCCTGCCCCCAGAGGTGGAGTCTACAGTGGCAGGCAGGCCTCCTTGGGCTGTGGTGGACTCCACCCAGTTCGAGCTTCCGGACCACTTTGTTTACCTACTCAAGTCTGGGCAATGGTGGGCGCCCCTCCTCCAGCCTGCTGCCGCCTTGCAGTTTGATCTCAGACTGCTGTGCTAGCAATGAGTGTGGCTCCGTGGGCGTAGGACCCTCTGAGCCTTGAGTGGGATATAATCTCCTGGTGTGCCATTTGCTAAGACAGTTGGAAAAATGCAGTATTAGGGTGGGAGTGACCCGGTTTTCCAGGTACCGTCTGTCACCCCTTTCTTTGACCAGGAAAGGGAATTCTCTGACCCCTTGTGCTTCCTGGGTGAGGTGATGCCTCACTCTGCTTTGGCTCATGCTCAGTGCACGCTGCACCCACTGTCCTGCACCCACTGTCCGACACTCCCCAGTGAGATGAACCCGGTACCTCAGTTGGAAATGCAGAAATCACCCGTCTTCTGCATCACCCACGCTGGGAGCTGTATACTGGAGCTATTCCTATTCAGCCGTCTTGGCTCCACTCCCCACATAATGTTTTCTTTTGGTTCCTCTGGGCTTTCACTTTCTTTACTATCTTCTAATAATACTTCTAATATACTTCTAATAATACTTTATCTCATCCTCTGCCTAACTTATACTTTGAATTACAGAAATATCATATGCCCAGAGAGATCCCAACAGACTCTTAATCTAGACTAGATTTCCTTCATGTTACATCCCCTGAAAAAGCCCAGTGCATTCCCTTCACAGCATTTATCAAAGTTTATCCATTTACTCAAGTTATTTTTCCCATTATGTCCTAACTTCTGTGTTATTTACTTCAGCATGGTTTTAGCAAAGTGCTCAATAAATATTTATTGCATAAATGAGATGATGCTGCTCCTCCTAGAGATCACACTGGAATAATGCTGCAAGGGAATTTAGAAACTGTCTATTCATTTTAGGGGTGTGGAAACCAGCAGCTATCAAGTGCCTCTCTCAAGGCTATGTAAATGGCCAAGTAGCAAAACCAGAATTTCTGATTTTTAGCCTTTGCATCTCCTACAATGTCACTTAAGAGTAATGAATTTCAAACATTAATTTAACACTCTTCCACTTTTTTTCCAGCCATTAATTGAGTGCCTACCATATAGACACTGGGACCACAATGAAGAAGATAACCACTGATCCTGTGGAACTTTTAGCTAATGGAAATCAATTCCTGAGTATCCATGTAATATTGGATGCTCAGCATTATTTATCGGGACTCATTAATTGATATTTCATAGGAATTTAAGAATGTTTTCTCAAGGAAAAGCTCATTATTCTGATTGAATTCAAGAAAATATTTCTTACTGAGTTTAGTGATATAAAACCACATGAAACTAACAGTATCTGATTAAGACCAATAGCCAAGTTCATTTTTAATGTCTTTATCCTACAAATCAACAAAACTTGTCAGTGAAAAGAGGAATATTGATCAATCACTTGAATGTTTCATTAAATCCAAATCTTTTGTATAACAGTGAAAAAGTATTTAATGTTTGGATGGTTTAATTTATCTTCATCTGTATGGGCTTTTTCTGTTATTTGGGCCACTAATGTGTTTTAGTTTAGTTTTTTGGTTTTGGGTGTTTTCTGTCTTTTTTTTTTTTTTTTTTTTTTTTGGTAAAGTCATTGTGTTCTCTCTTGGTCTTCTGCTTTCAACTATCAGGTTGCCAATTCAATTACTCACAAATCTCTCTGAAAAATATTTTGAAATTTACTTTTGTTTATATAACATCTTATTTTCTGACATTTGTCTTTCCTTTAAAGAAAAATATTTTATAGGCCTGCAACATGACTCTTTTGCAAGGAAATTTTACTAAAAAGATAGCTACTGTAGATTTTTTTAACTTTTTTAAATTTTAAAAAGAAGGCAATATACTGTATTCTGAAAAATTCCAATTTTAATGACTGCTAATTCCATTGAACAGCAAAATATTTGTGCATTAGACGAATTTAAACAGGAATGAAGAGTGTATGTTCTATTCTATGAATATTATATATTACATATATAATAACACTAATTATATATCTAAAGACTTTTACTGGCAGGTTTACATCTACAAACACCTAACAAAATAAGATATTTATTTATTAAAAAAAAAAACTTTTTTGAACTAAATCCAAAAAGCTGAAGTGCATGATACTAGAAATAAGCAGCATCGGTGGGTAGCGGGGATAGAGTAATGAGGTAGATTTTTCAACAACAACAACAAAAATGTTAACTAGATAGGAAGATTTACCTGTTTTTAAATAGAAAAGAAGAAACATGGACATTTAAAGTTGGGCAGGGGACATAAAACGCTCTATTCCATTTTCTCACCCAGGACTCAGTTGGCCTTCTTTAGCACATGCACTGCAGAATCCCCATGTGGGAAACTCATGTGAATTGCTTATTTAACATTTTTGGTGATATAATCCCTAAAAGTAGAAAGAAGCACAAAGATTCATGGGTGTGCTGCTACTGGTGTCACAGCATCAAAAGGAGCTAAGGAGGAAAACCAGCTGCTAGAATTTGAATTAGAAGAAGAAACCACTGCAGATTGTTTATGGAAGCACAGATGGCTAAAGCGAAAACAGTGTTCTCAGAGTCAGCTTGCCAGGAGAAACACTGGCAGGACACAGTTGCACTCTGTTAACATTTCCCTCCAATTTGAAAAAGTCCTAATTTCACTGCTGGACAATGATATTTGACACTTTTCATATATGACTTGTATACAGATTACAGCAATAAAAGTTAAAACTGCAAAACATCTGGAGAGAGAAAAAAGCAGCTCTTCTAGCAGGAGGTCAGGGCACACAGTGACCTTTTGGAGCCCTCAAAAGAATTACAGAAGCTTAGGAATGGCGAAACATGGAAGGGACCGCCAAGCATGACAAACACGTAATTTAAAAAGCATGGTCAGATTCAGGGTTATAAAAAAATAAAATCATAGAAAAGGAATCCACTTGTAGACAATTTGTGATAATCATCTATCAAAAATGAGATTAAGAGTTTACATTGCAATTTACATGAATATAAAAACAGTCTAGGAAAAATTTGAACAAGTTTATATAATTGTTCATACAGAGGCACACAACTGAATACACAGTGTAGTTTACATAGTTCTATTTTGGTTTTAATCTCTCGAATTTTATGCTGAAAGAAAACTTAACACAATAAAAATAATACATCATAATCTCATTCTGCTTCCTAACATAGGAAAGATTTTCATATCACACAACGGCCTGATCCAGAGATAGCTACATAGATTGAGAATAGCATTGAGATAATTCTTAAAGCTTTCTGTATTTATTTAACTTTCTAATTAGAGTTGCTTAAGAGTCCCAGTCTCTGAGTACGAGTACACAGCCCTGTATATACACATACGATACCCACCCAGAGGCCGGGGCAATCTTCCAGCTGAGCACCAGGAACAAGAGGGTTTGCTTTCTGAAAGTGATTGCTTTTCCCAACTTCAATCTAAATATAAATAAAAGAACGTGGAAAGATATAAAATATAACTTATTCATCATGTTCTCCCACTTTTATATTAAGAGAAGACTCAAATCAATCTGTATTATTTAACTATGCCAATACTTCATTACTGAACTATGTTAATAAAATGTATATCTGGAAAACTAGACACAGAAAATAGCTTCAGAAAATTAAATACCAAAGTGAAAATTAGAACATATACTTCCACATTGATTTTCAAGGATGATGCAAATTCTCACTGCTCAGACTTTCTTTTAATGCATACACATAATGATCTGTGAATCAATTTTCTTTGACTTTACCTAGCAATGAGCTTGTTCATTCTCAAGTTCTATATCTGTGACGCCAAACATTCAAGTAAAGACCAAATAATTCATTTGGATTTCCAGGGGTTACTCTCTGCTCTCTTCAGTCTTCTCTCTGCCATATTCTTACCTTTCATTTCCTCTTCTGAAACTCAGACAAAACACTACAGGGCAGTGATTCTCAATGTGTGTTCCAAACTATCAGTCAGCATCACCTGACTAAAGTGTCTGATAGTCAACAAGAAGACTTGCAGCCTTTCAAGCATATCACTTTGACCACCATCTAAGACAGGCTTAACTAGAGAAAGGCTAGATGTAGTCAGACCCATCAAGAGGAAGTGATCATTGTCTAGGCAAGAGCTGATGTGGGTCCGAATTGGGGCTGTGGTAATAGGGATGAAAACAACGAAAAATATTTAGGAGTTAAAAATGGCAGGACTTATGATGTGCTGAATATTATGGAGTGGAATAGGGAGATTGAAGCAGTTTTGTTTTTGTGACTAAGGGCAGGGATTAGAGCCTTGGCTATGCGACTTGTCAGCTACCTGACCTTGAGCAAGATATTTTCCCTAAGCCTCAAGTTCTTCATCAGAAATAATGTTAGCATCATAGGATTGTATGAGGGTTAAATTAGATCATATATGATGGAGATTAGCACAGAGCCTGGCACACAGCAGAGGTCAATACATCCTAGCAGGTTTAAGAATGCTCTAGAATTCTGGTCTAAATGGGAAAAAAAGGAATAAAAAAAGGAAGGAAGGAGGGAAGGAGAGCGAGAGTGTGTGGGAGGAAAACTGAGGAATTTGGTGTGAACATGTTTTTAGAAATTAAATTTCAGATTATTCATTATTAAAAAGTCATCTCTATTTTTCCATGTTCTTTTTTTAAAAATTGTTATTGATGCATAATAGATGTACATGTGATAATATAATACATTAATATAATATGTAAAGATCAAATCAGGATAATTGAGATATCCATCATCTTAAATATCTGTCTTTTCTGTATGCTAGACACAAATTATTCCCCTCTATGTTTTGAAGTATACAATAGAGTTTTGTAAACTATAGTCATCCTACTGATCTATCAAACTCTATTCATTTCTTCTAACCACATATTTGTACCAATTAATCAGCCCGTCTTTGTCCCCCCCTTCCCTTTACCCTTCCCAAGCTCCGATAATGAGCAATCTACTCTTTATCTTCATGAGATCCACTTTTTCAACTCCCACAAATGTGTGAAAATGTGGTATTTGTCTTTCTGTTCTTGGCTTATTTCACTTAACATAATACCTCCAATTCCATCCATGTTGCTGTGAATGACAGAATTTCATTCTTTCTTACGGCTAAATATATTTTATTATGTATGTATATATGTGTGTGTGTGTGTGTGTGTGTGTGTGTGTGTATATATATATATATATATATTCTCTATTTATCCATTTATAGAAATCTAGGTTCATTCCTTATCTTGGTTACCGTGAATAGCACTGCAACAAACATTGGAGTGCAGATATCTCTTCAACATATTGATTCCTTTCTTTTGGATATACACTCAGCAGTGAAAATGCTGGGTCATATGGTATATCTTTAGTTTCTTGAGAAACCTCTGCACTGTTTTCAATAGTGGCTGAACTAATTTACATTCCCACCCACAGTAGACATGGGTTCCCCTTTCTTCACATCCTTACCAGCATCCATTATTCCCTATTTGATAAAAGCCATTTAACTGCAAATGATATCTCGCTGCAGATTTGATTTGCATTTTTCTGATGATTAGTGAAGTTGAGCATTTTTTCATATACCTGATAGCCATTTATATGTCTTTGTCTGAGAAATGTCTATTTAGGTCTTTTGCCTTGTTTTTAATTGGTTTGATTTTTGTGGTGTGATGTTTTGGTTTTCCTGTTTTTGCTGTTGAGTTGTTTGAGCTCCTTATAGATTCTATTTATAAATTCCTTGTCAGCTGGATAGTTAGCAAATATTTTCTCCAATTCTGGAAATTATCTTTTCACTTTGCTGACAGTTTCCTTTGCTATGCAGAAGCTTTCTAGCTTGATGTAATCCTAATTATCTATTTTCAGTTATTATCTATTTTCAGTTTTGTTGCCAGAACCTTTGAGGTTTTACACACACAAAAATCTTTGCTCAAACCAATGTCCTGTAGCATTACCCCAATGTTTTTCTCTAGTAGTTTCATAGTTTCAGGTCTAAGATTTAAGTCTTTAATCCATTGTGATTTGTTTTTTACTTATGGTGAGATAGGAGTCTAGTTTCATTCTTCTGCATATGGTTATCTACTTTTTCCTAGCACTGTTTATTGAAGAAACAATCCTTGCCCATTGTATGTTCTTGGAGCCTTTGTCAAAAATGAGTTCACTGGAGGTATGTGGATTTATATCTGGGTTCTCGCTTCTATTCAATTGGTCTATGTGTCTGTTGTTATGCCAGGACAATGCCAATTCTGTGAAGAATGTCATTGGTATTTTGATAGAGATTGCATTGAATCTGTAAATAGCCTTGGGAAGTATTCTCATTTCAATAATATTAATTTTTCCAATCCACGAGCACAAACTATATTTTCCTTTCTTGTGTCCTACTCAATTTCTTTCATCAGTGGTTTATAGATTTCCTTGTATAAATCTTTCACTTTTTTGGTTGATTCCTAAATGTTTTATATCCTTTGCAGCTACTATAAGTAGGATTGATTTCTTGATTTTCTTTTCAGATTCTTCACTATTGACATATATAAATATTACTGATTTTTTTGGTCAATTTTGTATCTGGTAACTTTACTGAATTTGCTTATTAGTTCTAACAGCTTTTTGATGGATAGTTTAGGTTTTTCTATGTATAAGATCATGTTGTCTGTGAACAAGCCTAATTTGACTTCTTCCTTTCCAATTTGGATACTCTTTATTTCTTTCTCTTGTCTAATTGCTCTGGCCAGGGCTTCCAGTATTACACTGAATAACAGCGATGAAAGTGAGCATCCTTGTTGTGTTTCAGATCTTAAAGGAAAGACTTTTGATTTTTCCCCATTAAATACAATTTTAGCTGTGGGTTGGTCATATATGGCCTTTATTACTTTTAGGTATATTCTTTCTATACCTAGTTTATGAGGGTTTTCATCATAAAAGGAAGGTAAATTTTATTAAATGCTTTTTCATATCTGCACCTATTGAATTGATCATATGTTTTTTGTTCTTGCTGCTGTTAATGTAATGTTTCATGGGGGGTTTTTTATTTGTTTGTGTTGTAACATCCTTGTATCCCTGAGATGAATCCCATGTAATCATGGTAAATGATCTTTTAAATGTGCTGTCGAATTTGGTTTGCCAGTATTTTGTTGAGGATTGTTGCATCTGTGTTCATCAGGGATATTGGTCTGTAGTTTTCTCTTTTAGTTGCGTATTTGTCTGGTTTTGGTACCAGGGCAATCCTGACGTCACAGAAGGAGTTTGGAAGAATTCCCTCCACTTCAATTTTTTGAAAAGCTTGAGTAGAATTGGTGTTAGTTCTTTAAACTTTTGGTAAAATTCAGCAATGAGGCCATCAGTTTCTGGACTTTCCTTTGATGCAAAACTTTATTACAGCTTCAATCTTATTACGCATTAATTTGTTGAGGTTTTCCTTTTCTTCATGGTTCAATCTTGGTAGGTTGTATGGATCTGGGAATTTATCCATTTCTTCTATGGTTTCTAATTTGTTGGCATAGAGTTGCTCATCATAGTCTCTAATGATTCTGTTTATTTCTGTGGTCTCAGTTGCTATGTTTCCCTTTTCATTTCTGATTGTATTTATTTGGATCTCTTTTTTTCCTAGTCTAGCTAAAGTTTTGTCACTTTTGTTTATCTTTTCAAAAACCAATTTTTGCTTCTGTTAGTCTTATATATTTTTTTCTAGTCTCAATTTTATTAATTTATGTTTGATTTTTATTATACCTTTCCTTCTACTAATTTTACGTTTGGTTTTTTCTTGCTTTTCTACTTCTTTGAGATGTACCCTTGAGTTTTTATATGAACCTTTCTACTGTTTTGATGTAGTTACTTATTGCTATAAACTTACCTCAGTACTGCTTTTGCTATATCCTATAGATTTAGTATGTTGTAATTCAGTTTTCTTTTGTTTCAAGAAATTTTTTAATTTTCTCCTTACTTTCTTCATTGACCCATTGGTTATTCAGAAACGTGTTTAATTTCCATGTTTTTATGTAGTTTCTGAGGTTCCTCTTGTTATTCATTTTTAGTTTTATTCCAGTGTGGTCAAAAAAGATATTTGATAGTATTTGTCTGTTGGGACTTGATAGAATTTGTTGGGACTTCTTTAGTGGACTAAGATATAGTCTATTCTAGAGAATGTTTCATGTGCTGATGAAAACAACGTGTTGGGTGAAACGTTCTGCAAATATAAGTGAGGCCTGTTTGCTCTAGTGTGTAGTTTAACTCCAAAGTTTCTTCTTCAATTTTCTGTCTAGATTATCTGTCCATTATTGAGAGTGAGGTGTTGAGGTCCCTAATATTATTGTATTGCCATCTATCTCTCCCTTTACATCTATTAATGTTTGCTTTAAATACTTGGGAGCTCCAGTGGTGGGTGCATAGATATTTTATAATTGTTACATCTGCTTCCCAAATTGACCCCTTTATCATCATATAGTAACCTTTTCTCTTTTTGTACTTTTTGAGTTACAGTCTATGTTATCCCAGTATAATTACTCCTGCTCCTTTTTGGTTTCCAGTTGCATGTATATCATTTTTCTCCCTTCACTTTCAGTCTATTTGTGTTTCTATAGGAGAAGTGGGTTTCTGGTAGATATCACATTGTTGGGTCATATTTCTTTATTCATTCAGCCTCTATCCTCCTATGCCTTTTAATTGGAGAATTGAGTCCATTCACATTCGGTGTTATTACTGATACTAAGGACTTACTACTGCCATTGTGTTACTTGTTTCTGGTTGTTTTGCAGCTCCTGTATTTTTATATTCCTTGGTTTCTATTTTCTTTTGTGGTTCTCTGCTCTTGTGGCTTGATTTGTTGCTAGTTATTTTTAGTGGATCCTTTATAGGATTTTGCATTGTGGTTACCATGAGGCTTACAAAGAACATTTTATCAATATAACAAGTTATTTTAAAGAGATGACAACTTATCTTAGATCACAAAGAAAAGATGAGAAACAAAAAGTAAAAAAGAAAAAACTCTGTACTTTAACTCCATCCTCCCCATATTCTAACTTTCTGTTGTCTCAATTTACGTATTTTTATATTGCCTATCTCTTAACAGGTTGCTGTAGCTGTTACTGTTGTTGATAGATTTGTCTTCTGGGCTTCATACTAAAGTTGTGAGTTAACTGCATACCACAATTACAGTATTACATTATTCTGGGCTTGTCCCCGTATTTAGTTTTATCAATGGGTTTTATACCTTTAAAGGTTTGCTTGTTTTGCACATTTAATGTTTTTTCCCCTTTGGATTGAATAATTCTCTTTAGCATTTCTTGTCAGATGGGTCTGGTGGTAGTGAATTCTCTCAGTTTTTGTTTGTCTGGGAAGAACTTTATGTCTCTTTCGTACATTTGAAAAATAGCTTTGCTGAACACAGTATTCTTGGATGGCAGTTTCTTACTTTCAGCACTGAAAATGTTGTTCCATGCCCTCCTGGCCCGTATAGTTGGTATTTTTTTTTTTGAGACGTCTGTTGCCAGATGAATTGGAGCTCCTTTACATGGTATTTGCTTCCTTTTTCTTTCTGCTTTTAGGATCCTTTCTTTGACCTTGACCTTTGACAGTTTGATTATTATATGCCTTAAGGTAATCTTATTTGGGTCAAATTTCTTTGGTGCTCTCTGCCCTTCTATCTGTACCTGGATATTTAGATCTTTCTCAATTTTGGAATGTTTTCTATTATTATTTATATGAATAAGCTTTGCTGCTACTGAACTCCTTTTTGAACATCAACATTTCTTAAATTTGATCCTTTTAGGTAATTTTCTGTATATCATATATAATATTCATTCTTTTTTATTTTATTCGTCTGTATTTTAGAATAGCCTGTCTTCAAGCTCACTAATTCTTCTTGATCAATTTTGTTGTAGAAATCCTATAATAAATTTTTCAGCTCAGTAAATGCATTTCTAAGTTCCAAGATTTGTTTTTCTAAATTATTTTAATGTCTTTATTAAAATTCTGTAAGTTTCTGAATTGATTTTTTTCTATGGCATCTTGGAGATCACTGAGTTTCCTTAAAAGTGTCACTTTCGGCCGGGCACGGTGGCTCAAGCCTGTAACCCCAGCACTTTGGGAGGCAGAGGCTGGCAGATCACAAGGTCAGGAGATCGAGATCATCCTGGCTAACACGGTGAAACCCGTCTCTACTAAAAATAATACAAAAAATTAGCCAGGCGTGGTGGCGGGTGCCTGTAGTCCCAGCTACTTGGGAGGCCAAGGCAGGAGAATGGCGTGAACCCAGGAGGTGGAGCTTGCAGTGAGCGGAGATTGCGCCACTGCACTCCCATTCTGGGCGAGAGAGTGAGACTCCATCTCAAAAAAAAAATTATAAGTGTCATTTTCAATTCCTGATCAGAAAACTCACATATCACCATCTCATTAGGGTGAGCCATTTCTTTTTATCCATTTGAGGAGTCATGGTTCCCTGTTTGCTATTTCTTGTGGATGTATTTCTATGTCTTTGCATTAAAGAATTATTTATGCAAGTCTTCTATGTCTGGCTCATTTTGCTTATTACTGAATATGTTTGCTTAGAGTTTTTTTGTAATTTACCTATCAAATATCATTTTTTCTGGTAAGTTGCTGCCTTTTTTTTACCACTAGACGGCACCTTAAGTCCAGGTTTGCCTCAGCTCTAGTAAACGATAAGAGCATTGCCCATCCCACACGAGGGAGATACCAAAGGAGTTATTCTGGCAGTGTGGGAAAGCTGGCTAGGGGATCTTGCCCAAGACATCTGTGGGAACAAACTTCCTGAACGGTGCTGCTGAACAGTCACTCTGATTTGGCATCTCCCTTGGCTGAGTTATAGAGCAGAGTTTCCTAGGCTGGGGATTGTTGTCCCACCTTCATTTGTCTCTGCCTGAAGGAATGTCTCTTCCTTCAGGCTCCCTTGATGGTTCCTGTGGGTTGAGACAGGAACAGGCTGCCTGCCAGGAAATCCAGGATGTTAGGAAAACTGCTTGTTCACCTCGACTTCACTTTTTCTAGTGTAGAGACAATGAGTTGGGAAGAAATTTTCTGCATTTTTGGTGCCAATCAGATTCGGAGGAGGAGCATCACAGAATGGAAGTCCTATTCTCTTACCACCTGCTTGGAGTTTTTCCACTTCTCTGTGCCTTGGGAACTGTCTCCTTGTATATCAGTTCTGGGATATTACTGTTGATAAATCTTGGTGCTATATATTTATTTTTGGTTTTCTGTGGTGGGGGGAGTGTAGCCAACTTGCTTCTATGATACCATTTTGGAACCAGAAGTCTCTATTTCCATATTCTCCTGAAAGGATTGTTATATTTCCTACAGATGGTCTCTTTTCTATGAATTACCATGTACCTCAAAGGATACTCCTTCTTTTTCCCACCCACATACTAACACACACATCCATTTCTTGAGCAAAGTACTTCTCATTCTACAAGAACCAGCTCTCAGGTTTCTCCTCTGCTTCTCTCACCATCTCTGCCTCCTTATGCAGAATGCAAGACAACCTCCCTTGTGCTGCAAGTATGTCTAGTACTAGTTTACACATACCCCCTCTTGCATGAATGTATTTACATGTCCATTTCTCCCAGAGTGAGCTCCTTGAGGAACCATGTTATCAACCTCTCTATCCCCATTACCCAGCTTAGTACTTAGCACAAAGCAAGTGCTCCACAACTTTATGCCTCTATAAAAGTTTGCCCCATATATTAATCCAAGATATCTAAATGTCAGGCAAGAGTAATTGTATCCTCTTCAATCACTTATGATTTAGTAAGATTTACTAAGTCCTAGATATTATGACAGAGACTACAGAGTAAATCACATGCTTTCCGCCTTCAAGGAACTGAGAAAACAATTGAAGAGCTAAGAAATAAACACATGGAAGGTTAAGTAACAGTAATACACATCAAGAAAAGTTCAGAATAATACTAAAGCCATATCATAAGGCACAAGGTTATGCCCAAAAAGTTAGTCACTGACACTAACAACTACAAAAGTTCAGAAGATGACAGAATTACTCTCATCTGCCACAGTTAGGCATCACTTTGCAGTAATGATAGGTTTGACATTATCCTAAAGAGTTTACAAGATTTTGATATGTAGAAAGGATTTACAGAGAGAAGATACTCCTAGTGAATAGGGTAGTATCAGCCAAAGCAGGACAGCAATGAAAGGTGGGAAATTACAAAGCAGTTTCTGGGGCTTGTTAAAAAAAAAAAAAAATCTGGTTAGATGGAGTAAAGCGTTCAAGTATGTAGAGGAAGAGATGATAACCACATAGCTTAAAACCAGTCTTTGGGGTGCAGTGAGTAATGGCAAGTCCAGAGGGTGAGGATAGTATGCTGAAAATGGTTTAGTTAGACTGAATTGGCAGTGTTGAGCTTGGAAAGAAGAGCAGCAAGACGGAAATCAACTTTCATTTACAGAGCTTGCTTTGTGTCAAGTATTATGCTTTATGTACATTATTTTTAGTTATAACAATTTTATAAGATGACCCTAACAACCCTATTTTATTTTACCAGGCTAGTAAATGACAGTTTTGGGGTTTGAGTCCAGGGTATCTAACTCCAAAAAAAAAAAAAAAAAAAAAAAAAAAAAAAAAAAAAAAAAAAAAAATCTGTTCTGGATCAAGTGTGTGCTGCTTCCAAGGTATGGTATAAGAAGAGGCTGTGGAGATGGCCAGGAGGGGACAGATACACAGGAAAGATGTAATAAAGAACTTGGTGACTCATTGAATGTAAGGGAGAGAAAGTTAAAATTAATTTCAAGCCTTCATGTCTAAGGGATGAGAAAACAATTATATTAATACAAGGAAGGAAAGAAAAGGAATAGGTTCAGGGAGCAGTGAAAAGATCAGTCCAACATTAAATAAGTTTCAGATGGTGGCAGGTTGTTTGAGTGGAAATGTCTGGTGGTTGGAGATTTTGAGAATGAGCTCTGGTTGTATTTTCCTCAGCTAGAATGGATATTGCAACACTGGCACCGCAATGGAAGATGAAAATGCTGATGGAAATCTAACCTCGACCTACGAACTCAAGATCCCTTCCTTCCCAAATTTTCTCCAAGTTTGCATAAAAATATGAATCATTTTTTTAAATGTACATGATTCTGAGGAGCTCATTCATTGTGGTTCAACATAGCAGACTTTTTTTTAACCAACCAAGACTTTCCTGCCATCTGATGCCAATTTGGGCTAAAATACCTTTTTCCCCTAGCAACTTAAAGTGTGAGAACATATGCTTTCCTCTGCCTGCACCCTGTCCACAGTACATCCTGTAAAATTCCATCCTTCAGCAGTTAACTTATAGCTTTAGAATGATACAAGTCTTAAAATAAAAGTTTGAGGGCTCAAGGAAAACACTGAGTTCCTAATGTAAATATATCATGAAGCCAAACATTTCAGAAAATATTCAAGTTCCATAATTTTGCCTTTCTTAAAGGAGTCTTTGGAGAGCTATTGCTTGTTCTTTTCCATTAAAAAATATGAAGTTTATGCAGTGATCATTTCCCCTAGGGTTGCAGATGTAGGCAAGCTGTACTTGGCCCTCCAAGAAAGATACACAAAGTTTAACGTTTCATTATACTCTGAAAAAAATGAACTGTTTCCTAAGCAGGCTCTGTACTGTTAGGATAAATTGTAATACCAAATTTAATGTATGCCTTACTCTGGAAAACAATAAGAAATTTTGAAACCTCAATAAATGTTTATTTCTAATATAAGTATGATCCAAAATGGATAGCATGGCATTATTCAGTAGCTAAAAGTTAGATGGAAAAATGAACCAAGCCATTTCTAAATGTATTCCATAACTTCAGAAAAAAAAGTCTGATGAATAAAATGTGTATGAATATCTCATATTCTGTCAAAACTTGTAATAATGAAGGTAATATGGAGAATGAAAATGTAGTTTTAGGTAGGTGGACTCAATGAGGAAAAATAATGTTTTCTGGATCCAGAAATTACAGAGGTATGCTAGGTATCTTTCTAGAGAAATAGAAGAAGCATATTCTTTTATTAACAGCAACACTCTGAGTATAGCTTACAGGATAAAGAGAAGACAAAAACAACAGAAAACATGGAACCAGCAATGGAAGTTCATTTTAGCAGCGTGATTGACACCGTGTAACTTATTCCAAGAGGTGATTGATAATATGAAATGGGTTTCTCTTCTGTAGGAACTTGGCATTGTTTGTTCACTCCCTCTTCCATTTCTGAGTGTAAAATATGTGTGATGATAAAAGTCCAAGGGGATGCTTGTGTGAGCAGGCTGTACCAAGTCCTCTTCCAAAGAATTGCAACTGTGCAACTCTGGCCAGCCTTTTAAAATCCTAGAATATACTAACTTGCTTTTCCAAAGGATAGTGATATTCTGTAACTAAAATCCCAGAATTCAGGTTTGTTTGTTTGTTTTTAGGGTTTTATGAATTTTCATGAAAAGTGACCCTAAATCATGTATGCAGAACAATTAGAAGGCTGGAATAGATCAAAATGTCTGGCAATAGAGGAATGATCAGGCAAATTATGTTATGTCATCTTGAGGAAATATTATTTAGTGATTAAAAATAATTATGAAAACTAAAATGAAAATTCAAACTGTTATGATTTATTATTACTGATAAACAAGAACACAATATTGGTTACAAATATGGAAAAATATTAATTTGCACAAAGGCTAAAAGGAAATATATCATGTGAAAACATTACATTTGGATGATTGTATAATAGATTTTTAAAAATTTATACTAATTTTAGTATTGTTTTATAGATTTCAAAATAATTTCTGAATATCTATTGTATTATACTATGTTTAAATGTCTAACACAAAAATAGAAATTTAAAAATGAATCTGGGGGTGGAGCCAAGATGGCCGAATAGGAACAGCTCCAGTCTACAGCTCCCAACCTGAGCGACGCAGAAGATGGGTGATTTCTGCATTTCCATCTGAGGTACCAGGTTCATCTCACTAGGAAGTGCCAGACAGTGGGTGCAGGACAGTGGGTGCAGTGCACCGTGTGCGAGTCGAAGCAGGGTGAGGCATTGCCTCACTCAGGAAGTGCAAGGAGTCAGGGAGTTCCCTTTCCTAGTCAAAGAAAAGGGTGACAGCACCTGGAAAATCGGGTCACCCCCACCTTAATACTGCGCTTTTCCAACGGGCTTAAAAAACAGCACACCAGGAGATTATATCCCGCACATGGCTCAGAGGGTCCTATACCCACAGAGTCTCGCTGATTGCTAGCACAGCAGTCTGAGATCAAACTGCAAGGCGGCAGCAGGCTGGGGGAGGGGCACCTGCCATTGCCCAGGCTTGATTAGGTAAACAAAGCAGCCCGGAAGCTCGAACTGGGTGGAGCCCACCACAGCTCAAGGAGGCCTGCCTGCCTCTGTAGGCTCCACCTCTGGGGGCAGGGCACAGACAAACAAAAAGACAGCAGTAACTTCTGCAGACTTAAATGTCCCTGTCTGACAGCTTTGAAGAGAGTAGTGGTTCTCCCAGCACGCAGCTTGAGATCTGAGAATGGGCAGACTGCCTCCTCAAGTGGGTCCCTGACCCCCGAGCAGCCTAACTGGGAGGCACCCCCCAGTAGGAGCAGACTGACACCTCACACCGCCGGGTAATTCTCTGAGACAAAACTTCCAGAGAAACAATCAGACAGCAGCATTTGCAGTTCACCAAGATCCACTGTTCTACAGCCACCACTGCTGATACCCAGGCAAACAGGGTCTGGAGTGGACCTCTAGCAAACTCCGACAGACCTGCAGCTGAGGGTCCTGTCTGTTAGAAGGAAAAGTAACAAACAGAAAGGACATCCACACCAAAAACCCTTCTGTATGTCACCATCATCAAAGACCAAAGGTAGATAAAATTCACAAAGATGGGGAAATAACAGAGCAGAAAAACTGGAAACTCTAAAAATCAGAGCACTCTCCTCCTCCAAAGGAACGCAGCTTCTCAACAGCAATGGAACAAAGCTGGACAGAAAATGACTTTGACGAGCTGAGAGAAGAAGGCTTCAGACGATCAAACTAATCTGAGCTAAAGGAGGAAATTCAAACCAACGGCAAAGAAGTTAAAAACTTTGAAAAAAAAATTAGATGAATAGATAACTAGAACAACCAATGCAGAGAAGTCCTTAAAGGACCTGATGGAGCTGAAAGCCAAGGCTCAAAAACAACATGAGGAATGCAGAAGCCTCAGGAGCCAATGCAATCAACTGGAAGAAAGGGTATCAGTGATGGAAGACGAAATGAAAGAAATGAAGTGAGAACGGAAGTTTAGAGAGAAAAGAATAGAAAGAAATGAACAAAGCCTCCAAGAAATATGGGACTATGTGAAAAGACCAAATCTACGTCTGATTGGTGTACCTGAAAATGACGGGGAGAATGGAACCAAGTTGGAAAACACTCTGCAGGATATTATCCAGGAGGACTTCCCCAATCTAGCAAGGCAGGCCAACATTCAGAGTCAGGAAATACAGAGAACGCCCAAAGATACTCCTTGAGAAGAGCAACTCCAAGACACATAATTGTCAGATTCACCAAAGTTGAAATGAAGGAAAAAATGTTAAGGGCAGCCAGAGAGAAAGGTCGGGTTACCCACAAAGGGAAGCCCATCAGACTAACAGCTGATCTCTCAGCAGAAGCTCTACAAGCCAGAAGAGAGTGGAGGCCAATATTCAACATTCTTAAAGGAAAGAAATTTCAACCCAGAATTTCATATCCAGCCAAACTAAGCTTCATAAGTGAAGGAGAAATAAAATACTTTACAGACAAGAAAATGCTCAGAGATTTTGTCACCCTCAGGCCTGCCCTAAAAGAGCTCCTGAAGGAAGCACTAAACATGGAAAGGAACAACTGGTACCAGCCACTGCAAAAACATGCCAAAATGTAAAGACCATCAAGGCTAGGAAGTAACTGCATCAACTAACAAGCAAAATAACCAGCTAACATCATAATGACAGGACCAAATACACACATAACAATATTAACTTTAAACGTAAATGGACTAAATGCTCCAATTAAAAGACACAGACTGGCAAATTGGATAAAGAGTCAAGACCCATCAGTGTGCTGTATTCAGGAAACCCATCTCACGTGCAGGGACACACATGGCTCAAAATAAAGGGATGGTGAAAGATCTACCAAGCAAATGGAAAACAAAAAAAGGCAGGGCTTGCAATCCTAGTCTCTAATAAAACAGACTTTAAAACAACAAAGATCAAAAGAGACAAAGAAGGCCATTACATAATGGTAAAGGGATCAATTCAACAAGAAGAGCTAACTATCCTAAATATATATGCACCCAATACAGGAGCACCCCGACTCATAAAGCAAGTCCTTAGAGACCTAGAAAGAGACTTAGACTCCCACACAATAATAATGGGAGACTTTAACACCCCACTGTCAACATTAGACAGATCAACGAGACAGAAAGTTAACAAGGATACCCAGGAATTGAACTCAGCTCTGCACCAAGCAGACCTAATAGACATCTACAGAACTCTCCACCCCAAATCAACAGAATATATATATATTTCTTCAGCACCACACCACACCTATTCCAAAATTGACCACATAGTTGTCACTCCTTGAATTAAAGCACTCCTCAGCAAATATAAAGAACAGAAATTATAACAAACTGTGTCTCAGACCACAGTGCAATCAAACTAGAACTCAGGATTAAGAAACTCACTCAAAACCACTCAACTACATGGAAACTGAACAACCTGCTCCTGAATGACTACTGGGTACATAACGAAATGGAGGCAGAAATAAAGATGTTCTTTGAAACCAATGAGAACAAAGACACAACATACCAGAATCTCTGGGACACATTCAAAGCAGTGTGTAGAGGGAAATTTATAGCACTAAATGCCCATAAGGGAAAGCAGGAAAGATCCAAAATTGACACCCTAACGTCACCATTAAAAGAACTAGAAAAGGAAAAGCAAACACATTCAAAAGCTAGCAGAAGGCAAGAAATAACTAAAATCAGAGTACAACTGAAGGAAATAGAGACACAAAAAACCCTTCAAAAAATTAATGAATCCAGAGCTGGTTTTTTGAAAAGATCAACAAAATCGATAGACCGCTAGCAAGACTAATAAAGAAGAAAAGAGAGAAGAATCAAATAGATGCAAAAAAAATTGATAAAGGGGATATCACCACCGATCCCACAGTATACAAACTACCATCAGAGAATACTACAAACACCTCTACGCAAATAAACTAGAAAGTCTAGAAGAAATGGATAAATTCCTTGACACATACACCCTCCCAAGACTAAACCAGGAAGAAGTTGAATCTCTGAATAGACCAATAACAGGCTCTGAAATTGTGGCAATAATCAATAGATTACCAACCGAAAAAAGTCCAGGACCAGATGGATTCACAGCCGAATTCTACCAGAGGTACAAGGAGGAGCTGGTACCATTCCTTCTGAAACTATTCCAATCAATAGAAAAAGAGGGAATCCTCCCTAACTCATTTCATGAGGCCAGCATCATCCTGATACCAAAGCCTGGCAGTGACACAACAAAAAAAAGAGAATTTTAGACCAATATCCTTGATGAACATTGATGCAAAAATCCTCAATAAAATACTGGCAAACCGAATCCAGCAGCACATCAAAAAGCTTATCCACCATCATCAAGTGGGCTTCATCCCTGGGATGTGAGACTGGTTCAACATACGCAAATCAATAAATGTAATCCAGCATATAAACGGAACCAAAGACAAAAACCACCTGATTATCTCAATAGATGCAGAAAAGGCCTTTGACAAAATTCAACAGCTCTTCATGCTAAAAACTCTCAATAAATTAGGTATTGATGGGACATATCTCAAAATAATAAGAGCTATCTATGACAAAGCCACAGCCAATATCATACTGAATGGGCAAAAACTGGAAGCATTCCCTTTGAAAACTGGCACAAGACAGGGATGCCCTCTCTCACCACTCCTATTCAACATAGTGTTGGAAGTTCTGGCCAGGGCAATTAGGCAGGAGAAGGAAATAAAGGGCATTCAATTAGGAAAAGGGGAAGTCAAATTGTCCCTGTTTGCAGATGACATGATTGTATCTCTAGAAAACCCCATTGTCTCATCCCAAAATCTCCTTAAGCTGATAAGCAACTTCAGCAAAGTCTCAGGATACAAAATCAATGTGCAAAAATCACAAGCATTCTTATACACCAATAACAGACAAACAGAGAGCCAAATCATGAGTGAACTCCCATTCACAATTGCTTCAAAGAGAATAGAATACCTAGGAATCCACCTTACAAGGGATGTGAAGGACCTCTTCAAGGAGAACTACAAACCACTGTTCAATGAAATAAAAGAGGATACAAACAAATGGAAGAACAATCCATGCTCATGGGTAGAAAGAATCAATATCATGAAAATGGCCATACTGCCCAAGGTAATTTATAGATTCCATGCCATCCCCATCAAGCTACCAATGACTTTCTTCACAGAATTGGAAAAAGCTACTTTAAAGTTCATATGGAACCAAAAAAGAGCCCGCATCGCCAAGTCAATCCTAAACCAAAAGAACAAAGCCAGAGGCATCATGCTACCTGACTTCAAACTATACTACAAGGCTACAGTAACCAAAACAGCATGGTACTGGTACCAAAACAGAGATATAGATCAATGGAACAGAACAGAGCCCTCAGAAATAATGCCGCATATCTACAACTATCTGATCTTTGACAAACCTAAGAAAAACAAGCAATGGGGAAAGGATTCCCTATTTAATAAATAGTGCTGGGAAAACTGGCTAGCCATATGTAGAAAGCTGAAACTGGATCCCTTCCTTACACCTTATACAAAAATTAATTCAAGATGGATTAAAGACTTAAACGTTAGACCTAAAACCATAAAAACCCTAGAAGAAAACCTAGGCAATACCATTCAGGACATAGGCATGCGCAAGGATTTCATGTCTAAAACACCAAAAGCAATGGCAACAAAAGCCAAAATTGACAAATGGGATCTAATTCAACTAAAGAGCTTCTGCACAGCAAAAGAAACTACCATCAGAGTGAACAGGCAACCTACAAAATGGGAGAAAATTTTCGCAACCTACTCATCTGACAAAGGGCTAATATCCACAATCTACAATGAACTCAAACAAATTGACAAGAAAAAAACAAACAACCCCATCAAAAAGTGGGCGAAGGATATGAATAGACACTTCTCAAAAGAAGACATTTATGCAGCCAAAAAACACGTGGAAAAATGCTCATCATCACTGGCCATCAGAGAAATGCAAATCAAAACCACAATGAGATACCATCTCACACCAGTTAGAATGGTGATCATTAAAAAGTCAGGAAACAACAGGTGCTGGAGAGGATGTGGAGAAATAGGAACACTTTGTCACTGTTGGTGGGACTGTAAACTCGTTCAACCATTGTGGAAGTCAGTGTGGCGATTCCTCAGGGATCTAGAAGTAGAAATACCATTTGACCCAGCCATCCCATTACTGGGTATATACCCAAAGGATTATAAATCATGCTGCTATAAAGACACATGCACACGTATGTTTATTGTGGCACTATTCACAATAGCAAAGACTTGGAACCAACCCAAATGTCCAAGAGTGATAGACTAGATTAAGAAAATGTGGCACATATACACCATGGAATACTATGCAGCCATAAAAAATGAAGAGTTCATGTCCTTCGGAGGGACATGGATGAAACTGGAAACCATCATTCTCAGCAAACTATGGCAAGGACAAAAAACCAAACACCGCATGTTCTCACTCATAGGTGGGAATTGAACAATGAGAACACATGGACACAGGAAGGGGAACATCACACTCCGAGGACTGTTGTGGGGCAGGGGGAGGGGGGAGGGATAGCATTAGGAGATACATCTAATGCTAAATGACGAGTTAGTGGGTGCAGCACACCAACATGGCACATGTATACATATGTAACAAACCTGCACATTGTGCACATGTACCCTAAAACTTAAAGTGTAATAATAATAAGATGAAATAAAAATAAATAAATAAAAATAAAAATGAATCTATAGTTTATCTTGATTAAAGAGGCAGAAAAGCACAGCATTTTACTGGATTTGAAGCCTGGCTCTGCCAATGTATTAATAATATAACCTTGGGAAAGTTATGTAACCCTTCTGTGCCTCAATTCTCTGCTCCATAAAATGTAAATATTAAAAGAATGAACCTGATCATTGACAAGATTAAATGAGGTAACTCATAAAAAGCATTAGTAGAGTGGTTGGCATACAGGAAATTTCACTAAATGGCAGCTATTATTTCTAATATACAAATATAAAGCATACTATGTACATGTGTGTTACATATATATTTACATGTGTAAAGGCACTCATATAGGCCTGTCACATTCACTCTGTAAGCAGGAGCTATCACATAATACCCATAGAGCTGAACACAAGCACAAACTATGTGCCAAGAATTCTGCTAGGAACCTTACAAAAAATATATATCATACATTATATGTAACACATTAGATGTTCTATATTACAGCATCTCAGCCTTACAAAAATTCTAAGACTTAGGAATCATTAGCTCTATCCTACAGATGAGAAAAGGGAGGCTCAAAAGCTGAAATAACTTCCCCAATATCACAGAGTTACTACGGGGCAAGAACAAGGCTAGCTGATACATAGATCTAGTTCTCAACTGCTGGCCACACTGCTTTCAGTAAGTGAGAAACAAGATACACTTAGCTCATATTTCAGCCCAGTACAAGCCTCATCAGTCTGGTGACACTCAATAAAACAGGGTTCCAGTTATTCCTTCAATCACCTCTGAGGCTGAAGCCCTGCTGTGAAACCCGTCTGCTGTCTTTTCAGTAGGAATCCTGGCCCTCCTCATCTCAGCTACCCACAGCAAAGCCTATTGGGCTACCCTAAATTTGAGAAATGAGGATGAAGACAGTGAAGTCATTTCAAACTTAAGGGAAAATAATTTCCCATTAGAAAGGTATACAAAGAAAAGTCTTTTCTACAAATAAGTCATTTTAACTATTTAACATTGTTAAATAAGTTTCTTCTTTACTGTTGGAACTCTTGTCTTTAATGCACTACTGTGAACTTTGGATCTTCAAGAGAAGAATTTAACATGCAATATTTCCAAGGTTATTTTTCTCCCTAGAAACTTTTGTTCTGTAAGCCCCAATTAACACCTCTGGAATGAGTATTCCTGGGATCCCATCGTGGAGATGCTGATGTAGTGGAAAAAGCCCCTGCCAGGCATCAGGAGAATATAGTTTGGGTCCCGGCCCTCCACACATTGAGTGGGATCTTAGGCAACTGCTATGGACCTTGGTTTCCTTCTATTAAATAAAGAAATGAGGTCTAATATGCTATTGTGCAGAATGTTTTTTGTGTCATATGTGTGAAAAAATCTACCCACATAATAACTCCACACCATAGTGTGGCTGCTAATGCCATCTTTCCACATGATTGAGAACTGGTTGATACAGGAACAAGTGTTAACAAGAGTAAAGCCCATATTATTTGTTCTCCGTGTAATACAGGAGGAATGTAAGAATTATAAAGCTACTAACAGAAAACTTAGCAACCTAGCAGGTCTTCAGAAATATACTTTTATGCCAGACTACACACAAATGCTATGCTCAGAAAGCAATCCCAAGTGTTTTTATTGTGGAATTTCTTACTTTGCTTACTCAGGCTTACCTCCCATCACTCTCCAATGCTCCCTCCACTCCAGCCAAGCCAACCACCCTCATAAACAAAGCTCACTCCACCTACAATGCTTATCCCTGTATGTGAAGTTCTATTCTACCGCCCAGAATAGTGTATCTCACCTGATACCTGAAGCTTACCTTGGTTCAGGAGATTCTGAGTTTCTTGAGAATAAGAACTCTGTCTTCTTGTATTTTCAGTTTCTTACATAGTGCTAAGCATATTGTAAAGATTAAATGATAACCCCAGGTCACAGTAGTCACTCCTATCCCGAACTCCTTTCTACTTCTGTAACCACACAGATATGTAATTAAAACTATAATAGGTTAAACATAGTCATTTTTCATGAATGTAAATGGTATCTCCTCTAGCAGGCTGTAAGAGTCTGTTTTATCCCTGCATTTGTCATAATAGCTAGCATAATGTTATGCAAGTGGAAAATGTTCCTTAAATACTTGTCGATTGTCTGATTGTAGCATCTATTATTTTTCTTTTTAAATTTTTTTTTACTTTATTTTATTACCATCGAAGTTATAATAGATAATCACTATAGACTAGAACTTCTGCATTTAGGCAGACTAAATGCCTGCATGGCCATGCTGCCGGGTCTCCAAAGAATGCCTGACCTTGTAAGCACCTAGATTAAAAACGGCATCCTGTTCTCAGTCCTGGGTCTGGGAAAATGCCTGCAGCTTCTCCCAGTATCTTTCTCTCACAGCATCTCCAAGCCTCTCCCCAAGTTAGCTCCAGGACTTGGGAGAAATAAAGTGCTGTCCCTCAGCCTGGGCTGCTCAGATCCCTAAGGGAAAGGTGAGTCACAGAGGGAGACTCTCTGCCTCTCTCATGTACTGGGGCTTCACTCACTTTTATCAGCCAGATGCCGTCAGAGGGGCTGTTTGCTCTCGTTCTCCTCCCTGGGATCTGGGATGTCCTTCATGATTCCAGTGGATTCCCATTTTCCTTCTTGAATTAAAGTTCATAGAGTTTATCTTTATACACTATCTTGCTATTTCCAAGTGAGTGAGGCACGCTAAAAGCCTGTACTCTACCATCTTAGGGGGAAGAAAAAAAAAACACTAGCCTCTTTTAAAAGAACCATTATGTTAATAATATTGCTAGTTATCAAATGATAATTATATGCAAGTACTGTGATCAGCACTTTATATACATTATTTACTTTATACCTCATAATTAAGTTTGAGATAGGTAATATCATCTCTATTTCTTAGATGAGAAAACTAAAGGTTAATGGAAGTGATGATTTTCTCAAGGTCATGCAGCTGTTAAATAAAGTGACTGTATAATTTATTGTTAGCCAGGATACTTCTGAGTATGAGCAAAATTACTAAAATAATGAAGATATATACTTTATGAATTATTTATTTATTAACAGACAATTTGTTTTATTAGATTGGTAAATCTGTAAAATAGTTTTATTCAAAAATTATTTTAATAAAATTAATATAAATTATAATTTTCAAAAAACAAAAATTAAACACATAAATTAAAATATATTGATTAGTTGAATATTAAAAATAACATATGTTAACTATTCTTGATACATATTTCTATCCCTAAAATAATATTTTTGAGAAAGTTTTTCATTTTTTTAAGTTTTTTAGAAAATATCCTGCAATATTTTGTAAAATTGTATTTTATGAGAAGTAAATTTGAAATTATAACACTTTTAATTTAATTTTCTATAGAAAATATACTTTACTGAGAAATATATTTTCCAAAGGTTTGACATACTCAGAAAAATACCTGCTAAATGAAGGTTATTCTCATTTCTATTTTTATTTTTTGTGTTGAAATAGATTAATTTTACAGCACAAATAATTTCATCCAGAGTTCTCCAGAGAACTTCATTTTGTGCAAAACTTATTAAAATAAGTTGTCTCTATGATCCTTTGAATATTTTTCCAAATTTAAACACTGCAAAATTGTAGGCCCTCTCAATTTCATTTCAATTCCAATACAGAATTTTTAAACTGTTCAATTAAAATAGGAGTTTTATTAAAAGTTTTTTTCTCACAAGTCAGGATATTCTAAAATACCATTATAGAATTTACAAATTAAATCTTGAATCCACCAGAGCTCATGTCATTTAATTGGATCATTTTCTTCTTTACTTTAGGGATATAAACATCATTGTTTTCCTGTCTCAAGCACTGTTCTCAATAATTGAGATTTGTTAAAAAGCTTTGAAAACTTCAGTTTTAGGACCACATTTATTAAATATTTTGATTAAAGATTTCCAACAAATTTGAAAAAAAAATGAGCCAACATCTAAAGGACATATTTACAAACACTGCAATTCCATTGTAAACTAGATTGGTTTAAGCTCAAGTGTATTTTAGCATCTAATTACCGGTAGGTACAGGGAAAAAATATGCATTGCCATTTTTTTATTCAATGTCACCGTTTTCACAAAAGAATTATAGTTTAGTTATTCTAAATTTGTGTTTAAATAATTATACATTTTGACAACCAATTCCAAATAGATATCTCTACACATTTTTTAATTTCATAAGAGCACTATGTATACTATGACAAGATGCTCCACCAATATCTGCATTCATAGTGTTAGAGATTTTATACTCAGTGTTGAATTTTTAAATTGAATTTACAATAGGATTTTATAGCAACTCTAAATTTTATTTTCTTAAAAATAAAGCCAAGATGAAAAAAGGCATTATATTGACCTTAGCATAGGTTTTTGCACATCTTTAGAGTTTACAAATTTGTTAATAATTTTTTAGACTTTTTGTAAGGAAAAATAATTTTAGATTTATTTTCATTTGAAGCTCAATCCAATTACTCTCTTCAGCAATGTTAGCTTATAAAATAACTAAAGTGTAAAAGCATATCAGGATTACAAGAATGAATGAACCAAACACACTTTCTACAATAAGAACTTGAAATAAGTATGTCTACACAAAATAAGCTGGAGGTATTGGAAATTACAAGTCGTAAGCTTGTGCTATTGATCAGATAAAGAAAAAGTGCCCAATTTCAGAGAATTGGGTTGTTTTCAGCAATAAAATGCACTATTAGAAAGCAATCAAGTCAATAATTGCATAGATACCTTGTACGTAACTCGGGAGACATATTTTCACTCTGTAGGATATTCCATATTGATATTTTAAATCACAAACTGTAATATAATCCTGTTACAAGCAATGGTCTCAAAAAAATAAAATAAAATAAAATAAGGAATATATTCCAACAATAGCACTACTTCCTCACCCTTCTCTCAGCACAAATATTCCTTTGCCTACTGGCCAGACAGTTCCAAAACCTAAACGTGAACAGGTCAACTTTAAAGCATCTAGGGGCTCTCATTGTTATAGAATTAACTACAGCCTCCTTAGCATGACACACAACACCCCGCACCTTCAGACCCTGATTTATTTTCCAGCTCCCTCTCTCTTTCCCATGTTGTGCCTCATGGCAACCTTCCCACCTCTCTGCCTTTGCATGTGCTGTTTCCTGTGCCCACATCATTCTTTCCCATCTGCTCAGCCAGCTCTTACCAAGTATTCAAGGCACACATCAAATGTAACCTCTTCTTTGTAGATAATTCAACACACCTTCATTTATTACACCACTAATACCTTATATATAACATATTTTAAAAGTTATTTTTAGATAATGGTCTCCGCATCCAGGCAATACGTTTCTAAAGGCAAAAATTTTTAATTATTAATTTTTGTGTCTTTGGTTACTGCTTGATCATTTCTTTTTACTTCAACTAAATAATGAAACACATGTTCTGTTTTTAGTTTACAAACTTTAACTCAGGAATTTCCATAGATATGAACAAAACCGTGTTTCAGAGTGAAAGCTGATCACCAATAGATGATGTTAGTGACTGTAGCAGATTGTTACACATTTGGTTATCGTGCACTTCATTCGTTGATGTGCTTTCTACAGGTATGAGTTAACTGTTTTTCAAACATTAGAAACTTTTTAAGACACTGTAAGTGCAGACATAGTGAACGTTTAAAGTGATATTAAAAGGCATAAAAATACAAGGGAAATAAAAGCAGAAAAAGGTAAAACTGATAGTGGAGATAAAAAAAGTCAAATGTTGCACATACATAAAGGATGAGTTGTTTGATGATAGGAACAACTGTAGAGAATAAGGAACAAACTATGTATGCAAGAGTTGTAGTGTGCCTTTGTGGTGACAATAATCCAAATAATCAAAATATGAGTTCCATAAGGACAGAGACAATGGGTAAGTTTTCAGCTTGGTTTACCATACCTGGCACATAGTACTCTGTACTTATTTATTAAGTTAATGAATCAATTAATCAACCAAAGTTGAGGAAATTGGCCAAATAGAATGACATCTTAGTGCATATTTAGAGGATCAGCAATAATGGTTCTTAAAGCCTGAAAGGGAAAACTTAAAGGTGGAGCTAGATGAAAGTGCTACTGTTCATGATCTATTACTACCCAGGAATAATTCACTGAGTTAAAGACCCCTTAAAGTCTCCTGAAAAAAAGTGTGTGGCAAGGTAGTACATGCCAAAATTACTGCTGCTAAGGATCTCTCCGCCACATTAGAGGAAAGAGGCTACATGCCTCACTGGTGTCTCAATCTATGAAAATAATTGATTCTTTAAAATATGCCTAAAAAGTTGTCAACAATAATTATAGTACTGCATTGGTTTACAAATGGGCAGAAAAAAAAATTGTCTACTCATCTTCATGTCTTCATGCCAAGGTGAAAGAGAAATCTTAGCCTTGCAGATCAGTGGTGTCTCAACTTTTTCAAGTACAAGAGACCCTTTTCCATTACTCTGTCTCCTTTGAGTAAATGTTCAGTCATTCAAATTTTCTCCCATCTCCATGCTCACCTTCAAGGTGGATCTCGGTTGAAGATACAAGTGAAGAAAGATAGAAGGTTTATAAGGCTTCATTGTGGGGGAGGAACAACATAAATGTTCTGGTCTTGTCCTGTGTCTTTTGGGATCTCTGTTCTTCATGGTGCTGTCCCTTGTCAGCCTCATCATTGGCACCCTGTTGGTCTCAAGGCAGCTTGTGTTCTCTTGTTTGCATATCTTGCTGAGCCAACCCTACATTAGCTTATACCTGCACTGTGGGCCTCCTATGAGGTCTGTCTATAACTTCTATTCGGTCCCTGCCTCAGCAAGTTTCCTTTTCTCCAGTCTTTGTGAAACATCAGTTTGTCGTAATTAGAATAGGTCTCTGCCAAGTTAACCAGTCAAACTCTTAACTATATTCACCCTCTCCCTCAGAGTATGTCAGAATTTCTATGACATCAGAGTCTGAGGTCAGCCTTGAGAATTCTCAGTCAAGCTTATTTATCCAGACATCTTCTTTGGCTACTGCTAAACTAATGTACATCATTACTATAATCCCACTGTGTTATTTTGAGACCATAAGCTAAGGCAGTGTCTTTCTAGGTTTCCAAAAGAGAGAGTGAGCTAATATTCCTCAGCTTTAGACTTTAAGGTAAAGAACACAACTTGTTCTCTGATGTTTGGATCCAAAGTAAGAAGCCCTGTCATATACTTGACCTCCATCTTCTTCTTCCCACAATACCGTGGAAAATGCAAGTGGCTTCCTACTTCCCCTTCCCCTCTTAGTAGAACTTTGTTTCTACCTTGCCCTGCTTCTTCTGGAGAAAAGACACTTGTCTCAGTCTTAATTGCAAAGTGCTATCCTTTCTTTACAATGAGAGATACTTGTGATCTGCTTCAGCCAACTGAAGTTCTTCATAAAGAAATTGCATCTTGGAAATATAAAGACAATAATTTGTTAGCTAAATTTCTTAAAAATGTTATTCCCACCTTTTCCAGTTTTAAAGTTCAAGGAGCAATTTTCACTCCTATTTGGTATCTAGCCTGTTTGTAGAAGAAATTTTCCTGTAGCTAGGGCAAAATTATTTGTGAGAAATGTAGTGGGCATATGAATTATTTACATGTATCATAAAAGCTCATGATTCATGAGTAATATGTACTATAAATAATATTCTATTGCTTAACATAACACCACAAAACTATAAATTTGGCCATCTTTAAATGAGCTCTATTAGCTAAATGTAAAGAAATAAGGAACATTCAAATCCTGAGTTATATGTCACTATTAACATTTAGATGGGGAAATACACGCACAATAATAACCTATCCCATTTGGTAAACATTTACAATACATTAGCAGCTCAGAGAAGAGTAATGAGTTATACTAATATTATTATTATTATTTTTGAGACTGAGTCTCACTCTGTCACCCAGGCTGGAGTGCAGTGGCACGATCTCGGCTCACTGCAACCTCTGCCTCCAGGGTTCAAGCAATTCTCGTGCCTCAGCCTCCAGAGTAGTTGGCATTACAGGTGCCTGCCACCACACCTGGCTAATTTTCATATTTTTAGTAGAGACAGGGTTTCACCATGTTGGCCAGACTGGTCTCAAACTCCTGACCCCAAGTGATCCGCCTGTCTAGACCTCCCCAAGTTCTGGGATTACAGGTGTGAGCCACTGCACCAGCCATGAGTTATATTAATATTAATAAATAATTTGAAATAACAAAATTCCTATGTGCATTCAACACTAAAAAAGATTAACCCAACAGGAAAAAAATCATAACTGATTATGTATTTCGTCTGTAGGTCTTGGAAGCTATATAGATTCCCTATCTACATTTCTAAATAAAAGTTTTTCGTATTTCTCTATTTTATTTTCCTTGTGTATATTAAGATGGTATAATGTATGTTTAAGATAGTTTTAAATAAAAAATAGGCTTCTGTCATAAACACACTCTCTCTTTTTGGAATGCCAAAAGATTCACCTTCACCATCCCATCAATAATGTCTGTTTCACATTCACTCTGTGTGACGTGCAATGCTAAAGGCTCAAGATGTAAAGTTGATTGAGACACAATGAGCTTTATATTTAGTTTGAACATAGAAAATATAATTGTAAAAGATTTCTAATATAAAGGAGCTAATAGTAAGAGACAAATGTATGACATCCCTCATTGATTATTACTCTGGTAAACACCTGTTCAGTGCTCAGATGCAGAGCAGAGGGCACTGTGTCAAGGGGGAGAGAACCTAATCTTTGAGGTCTGACAAGTCTGTATGCCTCTCTGCTCCTGAAACTTACTAAATGGAAGAACTTGGGCAAGTCACTTAATGTCTCTGGGTCTGCTTGCTTGTCTACAAAATGGAATAACAATAGTCATCAGATTGTAAGGATTAAATGAGATATAAGGATTAAATGAGATGTTAATGTCAAAGGCTAGTCACAGTGACTGGCATAGATACACTGTTTCTCTCTCCAAAGACCCCATACAGCATGTGAGCCATGCTTCCTTTTTCCAGAGCCATATGTGGTCCTCTGAATTTACTCACTCTTTTTCAGAGCACTGTATTGCTCATTTGTTCTAGAATATATTTCTTGTTGTATGGGGATTGAGAGAAAGAAGGACCAGAAAGAACAGGATAGTGTGGGCTATGGAGAATTTGTTGGTTTATGATTGAGAATCTTTGTTCAAGAATCATATACAACATATTACAATGTTTATTTCTATGTGATATACTAACTTAGCAGCCACACACATAATTTTCACTTTATCTTATTTTACAGTGCTTTGTGGGTTAAAAACTTTGATCTGTTAAACTATTTTAGATGAAGATTTTGAATTTATTTTGCCCTTTCCTCTGCATGTTTTATATGGAATCTGTTCATTTCTGTTTTTCCCATCTAGAGACTTGGTGAATTCAGCAAGTAAATTTGGTTTCTTGAATGTCAGTGTTCACATTTGGTTTAATCATGTAAAAATTTTAGAAGAAAAAATCACTGCATAAAAATATCTATAGTCCTTAAAATAATATTAATTATCAAACAAAAAATTACTCAATTGGCTAATATATATATAACTTTTCGCCAGACCCCAAAAATGATACACTTGTAGAATTATAGACAAATAACATTTGAATCAATTGCACAAAATTCACCTTAATAAAAACTAAATCCAGTTGACAACAAAGATCCGGAATCTGGAGCCCAGAATAACAGCAGTGATTGCCATTTGAGAATGTCACTCATTTTTCCTCAAAGTGGTGGTTTTACCACCCGCTCTCTGACCTTCTACATACAATTCTAGCAAGCTCACTTAAATTTTTTTAAGGAGGAGATAAATACATGTTCCATTGATTTCAATGATATTTTTAGAATTCTGGCACTTTTTTCATGATAATATAAATCAGTTTCCTAAGAAGTGTGTGTGTTTGTGTGTGTGTGTGTGTGTGAGAGAGAGAGAGAGAGAGAGAGAGAGAGAGAGAGATTAAAAATACCTAGAACAAAAGGCCTAGAAAGATGCAGTGTTAACTGTTAACAGTGCCATGTTCAACTCTCAGGAGTGAGATTACAAACAGAAAATTTTTTATTCGATATACTCCTATATTCTTTGCATTTCCACCACATCTACTACAGTTATAATTTTTAATTAAGGAAAAATATTTCATTATGCACATAATATAACAAAGCATACATTTGAGGCTTCTTCCTTCAAGTTTCCCCCTCTCAGAAAATAAAACCATCATTAGCTCTTTTGCTTAGGTGCAAAACCTAAGATTTGTATTTGCCTTCTTTTTCCTTTACACAGTACTTCCAGACTATCAGCAAAATCTGTTGGCTCTGCCCTCAGAACATATCCTGAATCAAACAATTTCTCACCTACTCCAACGGCAGCCTTGTCTAAGCCACATTCTCTTCTCATGTGGGCTGCTACACGTGCCTATTAATCCATCGACAGCTTCTGTTCTAGCTCTCTAAAGTCAATGGTTCATGCTGCAGTAAATTGCTCATCTTTAAATGTAAGTCACTCGTGTCAGTTACCTGCTCAAAAACCTGTCCACATTATACTCAGAACAAAGACTAACCCCCTTATCGCCACATGATCTGATCCCTGTCTTTTTTTTTTTTTTTCAGTCCTACCTTCTACCACTCTCTCCTCCTTTCATTCTTTCATTCTGGCCTGACTGCTGTTCATCAAACACATCAAAGCCCTTCTAATTGACATGCTTGTTTCATTTGCTAGGTTTTGCGTATCAAAAACCACAGACTAGATGGCTTAAACAACAGAAATATGTTTATTCACAATTCTAGAGGCTGGAAGTCCAAGGTGAGGGTATCAGTCAGCAGGTTTGATTTCTTCTCTCTCTCCAGCTCACAACCTTCTCTCTGGGTCCTCACATGGTCTTTGTTCTGTGCTCACATATTATCTGTGTCCACATTTTCTCCTCTTACAAGGACATTAATGATATTGAATGAGGGATCAGTCATACGGCCTCATTTTACCTTAATTAGCCTATCTCCAAAGGCCCTATCTCCAAGTACAATCACTTTCTGAGGTACCAGGATTAGGATTTAAATGTATGAATTTTGAGGAATGCAATTCATCCCATAAGAATGTTATTTCCTCTAGCTAAAATGTTCTTTTCTAAGAACTTTCATGGTTCATTTTTTTCATATCATCCCATCTTCTGCTCAAATGTCCTCTCCTCAAGCAAGCTGTCTTTTCCACCAATTAATGAAAGGATACATACCCTCTTCGTTCTGTCTTACTCTGCTTTTGTTTTCTTTATGGCACTTCAATCACTTTGTAGCACTATGTGATTTTTTTTTAATTTTATTGTTTATCACACTTCCAGCACACCTACTCATGAGCGTGCACACACACACACACAGAGACACTCATGCTTTATGAAAGCAGGGGTTTTCCACTTTCTTATTTATTGCTGTAACCCCAATGTGTAGAATTACACCAAGAGCATTGTAGACATTCAAAAAGTATTAACCTAATGAATTAATATTTTACAGATTTTGCAAATAAATAGCATGGAGGCACTGGGAAAAAAAAATAATTAGGCCAGGCATGGTGGCTCATGCCTGTAATCCTAGCACTTTGGGAGGCTGAGGCGGATTACCTGAGGTCAGGAGTTCAAGACCAGCCTGACCAACACAGTGAAACTCCATTTCTACTAAAAATACAAAAAATTAGCCAGGCGTGGTGGTGAGCGTCTGTAATCCCAGCTACTCGGAGGCTGAGGCAGGAGAATTGCTTGAGCCCAGGAGGTGGAGGTTGCAGGGAGCCAAGATCATGCCACTGCACTCCAGCCTGGGAGTGACAGAGCGAGACTCTGTCTCAAAAAATAAATAAATAAAATAAATAAATGATTCCTTACAAGGACCATGCACAAAAACGAGCAAGGAAACATATTATTAATGGACATGCTCACTAAAATTACTGTTTGCTGTTGGCTATTTAACAACTAATTTAACATTATGTGTTTTACCATGATTGATGTGATTTATTAATTATTCACTGAGTTAGACCAGCTGTTCTCAATCAGGGGTAATTTTGTTCCCCGGGGGACATTTGAGAGTGCCAGAGATATATTTGGTTGTCACAGCTAGACTAAGAGTGCTACTGGCATCTAGCAGGTAGCAGCCAGGGATGCTATTAAACATCATACAATTCAAAGCATAGCCTCTCACAACAATTATTTGGCCCCGAATGTCAATAGCACTGGGTTGAAAAGTCCTGCTCTAAAAAAGTTTGCATCAAAATAATAGAGAATCTTTGACTAATGTACCGCTAATTCAACCCCATGACATTTTTGGCATAAAAGATGAATTCTATATAATAAAATATCAATATGTTTTTTTGTTAAGCCCGATTTTTAGCCAGCCCCAGACAAAACTACAGATTATTCAACTTTCCTTTAGGAAGCTTTTTACTTTTCCCCTTCTGCCTCATTCCTCTTTTGATTTTTTTTTTTTTTTTTTTTTTTTGAGATGGAGTTTCACTCTTGTTGCCCCGGCTGGAGTGCAGTAGGGCGATCTTGGCTCATTGCAACCTCTGCCTCCCGGGTTCAAACGATTCTCCTGCCTCAGTCTCCCAGGTAGTTGGGATTACAGGTGCCCGCCACCACACCTAGCTAATTTTTGTATTTTTATTAGAGACAGGGTTTCGCCATGTGAGCCAGGCTGGTCTCGAACTCCTGACCTCAGGTGATCCACCTGTCTTGGCTTCCCAAAGTGCTGGGATTACAGGGATGAGCCAATGTGCCCGGACAATATATATATTAAAATATATATTTTGTATATATAAATATATAATATTTTATATTTACATATTTTATATAAATATATAAAATATATATATATTTTTTGAGACTCGCTCTGTTGCTCAGGCTGGAGTGCAGTGGCGCGATCTCAGCTCACTGTGAGTTCCGCCTCCCGGGTTCACGCCATTATCCTGCCTCAGCCTCCCAAGCAGCTGGGACGACAGGCGCCCACCACCACACCCGGCAAATTTTTTATATTCTTAGCAGAGACGGGGTTTCATCGTGTTAGCCAAGATGGTCTTGATCTCCTGACCTCGTGATCCGCCTGCCTCGGCCTCCCAAAGTGCTGAGATTACAGGCGTGAGCCACCGCGTTCGGCCCGGCCAATATTTCTTTATCCCCATCAGTGTGTTCCCTTAAAAGCCAGAATGTCCCCACACCCAACTCCATTCCCCAGGGTTTAGAGCTTTTTCTAAATACGACACTAGGGTTTATCCTTGCCCAGGTTAAGCTCCAGATTTCTCACCAAGTTTTGTCACTTGCTCATGTCATTCACCATGCTAGAACACTGTAAACAACTCATGAAAAAATTTAGCAAGAAAACATGTAGAGTTCTATATTTAAGTTTCATCAACTGAATTTCACCAGGATAGGATCAGGGAGATTTAAACAAGGCTCATGTTGAAAAGATCTGGGATATTTTATCAATCCCTGCCTCCCTAGTGAACATGAACCAGAACTGTACTGAAAGCTTTATGCCCCAATCCAAGAACGTAATGGACCAACCACTTGAGCTGGTAAACAATACCTGGAATATATAAGAAATCCACAATAGTTATGTAAGAATCCATTTCTAGGAGTACATTGACAAATTACTATATTCAGAGGAATCACTAAAACGGCTGGGAAATTCAAAGCCATGTTTTGTGTGGAACAACTAAAAAAAACTTGAAATTCTGGTGCAATAGAACACTTAGGATAAATAGAATAGCAACCTTTAAATGGATGTGCAATGGGTACTAAAAAAGTTACAAAAATTATTTTATTTACTTTCGAGGAAAGAAGAACTAATACTACCAAGTTGAAGGTATAGCGTTGCAGGGACTGAGTTAGGCTCCATATGGAAGAATTTTATGTCATCTTGGCAAAAACTATGGCTGCACAGATCGCATGTTTCTTATTACTAGAAAAATGTAAGCAGACACCATGGTCTGCTTCTCAGGGATACTACAAAAGGAATTCATATTTTAGGTAGAAAGGTAGACTGGAAATCAGTATACGCCCTTCAAATTATAGGGTTCTATAAGTCTAACCATTCTTCTATTAAAAACAATTTTTAACTATTTTCTCCTTCCAAAATAATGTGCCATAAGACTTTCTCTTTACTTTCAATACCCCTAAGAAAATAAAGAAATGCAGTGTATTGTTTACCATATTTCAGACACTAGAAGATCATGTGATCAAATAAGTACCCTAATTTGATGTTACAATAAAACTTGATGTCACTTTTTCTAACATGCAAATATAATTTACTTTAGGCATTAGGGTAAGAATCTATATAATCTTTAGCAGCACAATTCTGCTCTACTTATTTATTTTTATTTTTATTTAAATACTTTCTTAGATATATTTTTTCAGGTAGTTATAAAATTTTTCTTTAAATTATATTTTTTATTTAAGAGTTATTAAGAAATAATAGAAAAAGCAATTAATTAGATACAAAGCGATATAAGCTCCTAGTCCTGGCCACTAATGAGTATGCCCTCTGTCCAGCTAAGTAGTCTGTTGATCTCATTTTTCTCATCCTTAAAATTAGAGTTTGGACTAGATGATCCTTAAGATTTTTCTCACCTCTTAATTTTTATGATCCTGTTACTTGACATCATAGGTAAATTTACTATCAAAGCTGCTAGCGTAAGTCTTGAAGACTTCCAAGAGTTATAAAAAGACCAGGAAATCAAAGGAAAGGGATAGACCCTGGCATATCCTGGTGTTTCATGTTATTATTGACATTGAGAGGTTTCAGTAGTACTGTAGTACCCCAATCAGTGAATAAGAGAAGTCACAGATTTTTGAGGGTTAATTACTCATCCAGTTTGGTATGGTGGAATCAAAAAGGAGGATGGAATGCACACATAAATAAGAGGAAGGAAAATAAACCCATGTCATATTTCTTCATTTTCTTTTGTTCCATTCTGCCCAGACACCCACTACCTTGCAGTGGTCAAGAAGCGCTGGATTTCTTTGACAAGGGTGAAGAAGCCATTCTGAAATATCTATGGAAGCCTAAATGTCAAGCCACAGTGTTGATTAATATTGGTTGGAGCACTGATTGGTGTTTCACACTTGGATGTCTTTAATGCCACATCAATGTAACTGTAAATGGTAGCCAAAGCCAATACTAGTGCCTAGTTCACTAGTGAAATAGGAGAAGTCACTGTATAAGCTGCTATCTTTCCTTCACCAGATGGGGATAATTTTTCTTTCTTCAAAATAAAATTCCAACCTCAGTTCCCCTGTGTAGCGTACGTGTCACTTAAATATTGATCCAACGTGGGTTATCAAGATTCTTTAAAATTTTTTAAGTACGCTCTTGAGATTATTTAATTGAAATCTTCTCCTTGTTGTCTCAAAACTTTAGGCAAGTAGATTACACTCTTTATAAGAACACATTGTAAATGTACTTTAACAACTTGCTTGACTTAATAACGTAACTCAATAATTTTTTAATTTTTTCTTTTTCCTGCAAAGAAAGCCTATGAATATGATTTAAACCAGTAGTTTGTCCACTATCTATAACAAAATAGGTCTCGTATTTTTAGGTGACAACCTATAATTTCCCAGCATGAAATATGTTAGAGGTATTAATTTAGACTGAGAACTCACTCTTAATTTGTTGATGTTCTGGATAGCTCGGCTTGCCCCTCCAGTGTGACCCAGGAGGCTGACCAGTATGGACCATATAAGTGAACTCCAGGGCCCTCTGGCTTCCAGCTGGGCTCGCAGATAGAGAATACCAGGAGATAAGGAATAGAGTGGGGCTGGAGGACATTTTATACACACACGCACACACGCATGCACGCACACACACATCTCTGCCTCCCTCCCCAGTGGGTCATTTCAGGCTGGCTGTAACTCTCCACAGAAAGTCACTGAGGATATCCTCTGCACCACTTCCTCTTTCCAAATTCTGGTTACCGCTTCCTCTCCTTCTCCTTTCAACAACAAGGGTGGCAACAACTCCACTGCTACCAGCTGGCATACTGTGTTACTCTTTTTGGTTTTCTTACCCTATGCCCTTGTTTTGATAAACAATATCTTTTTCAAACCATTCTGAAATTGCTCTAATTTGAGTGAACTATCTGAGTTTTGTTTGTTTTGTTTTGGTTTTTGTTTTTGTGTTTGTTTTTTTTTCTGGAGCCTGATCTTATAGATGAAGTTTAATAGAAATATGTAACTTCCTCTCAGATAAGCTGATTTTGGACTTATTTACCCTTTTAATAAGTTTTATTTTATATTTCTTTAAATTCAGGTTTTTATCAGTTAATTCCTTCTTGTCAATTTCTTTTGGTTTATTTTATTGTATATTTTCAAATTCCTTAAGTAGCTAGTTATTTTATTTCATCTTTACCCTTCAATAACAGTAATATATAATATTACACTTTTTTTCTGAGACCTGTTGGCTGCTAGATTTCATTAGACTTGAAGAAATTATTCCCCTTCCCATTGATTTCCAGAAAATTATTTACTTTTCTGTTTACTTTTTGGTCCAAATATTATCTAGTATTATTTCTTAATTTTTAAGTATTTTAAAATTTTAATAAGGGGTCTCCATTTTATTATTTACTTCTAATTTTAATAGTGTATGGGTCCTATAAAGGGTCCCCTTTTTGAATTGAGTAAGGATTTCTCTGTGGACAAGTACATGATAAATTGTTTTATACTTGGGTACTTGAAGAAAATTATATTCTCTACTTAAAGAATGTAAGATGTATACATCAAAAGCATTGAGTTTGCTAAAGAAATACTATTTTTCTGCTTAGTAAATTGATCTACTTCTGAGGGAAAAATACATTTTAAAAGTCTTTCACTTTCATTGTACTTGTATGAGGTTTTTCCTTGATTTTATTTTTTTAAGACAGAATTTCACTCTTGTTGCCCAGTCTAGAGTACAGTGGTACCATCTCAGCTCACTGCAACCTCTGCCTCCAGGGTTCAAGGGATTCTCCCACCTCAGCCTCCAGAATAGCTGAGATTACAGGCACGTGCCACCATGCCCAGCTAATTTTTGTATTTTTAGTAGAGACAGACTTTCACTGTTTCACCGTGTTGGCCAGGCTGGTCTCGAACTCCTAACCTCAGGCAATCCACCCGCCTCGGCCTCCCAAAGTGCTGGGATTACAGGTGTGAGCCACTGCACCTGGCCTCCTTGCATTTTTGATAGCATTTTCTGTATGTTATAACTGTGTTGTTTGATGCGTGTAATTTAATGGCTGATACATCTTCATAAACATAGATTTATATTATTATACAATATGCCTGTTCATTCTGCTAAGGTCTTTTAACCTTAAATTTTATTTTGTTTGATTTTAATGTCATCATTCCAGTTTTCTTTTGGTTTGCATTTCTTTACATTGCTCAATCCCTTTATTGAGCAAAAATGGAAGGAAAGAAGGAAGGGAGAAGGGGGGGGAGGGAAGGGGAAAAGAGAGAGAAGGAGAGACACAGAGAGATTCGACTCAATATGAACTTCTTAGTAAACTCACATGTCTGAACTTGTTTTTTTAACCCAAAGTAGTATTTTCTGACTTTTAATGGGTGAATTCAGTTCATTCATATTTAGTGCAAGGTCAAACGTTGGCTTTATTTGTTTCGCCTTACTCCAAATTGTTTACTGCTAATTTAATTGTTGTTTCCCTATTTTTCTTCACCTTGGCTTTGCTAGTATGATTACATTACTGGTCATTTATCTTTCCCTCATGTTAATTTCAAGGTTCTGGTGTATTTTTCCATTCCCTTAATGGTTACAGTTGCCTTCCCTGGCCTCTTAATCGGACACATATGTCGCTGTGATTGTTTTAAAAACAAGACACTAACTACATTCCTGTTTCTTCTACCACAGTGTTCTAACCCTACCTGCTTCCTCACCCCTCCAATATAAAGAGAATTTTAAAAAGCACTTTATATTCCCTCCATTCCTTAGTTCTTATATAAACTTCCCACCTTTTGGGATACTTCTATATCCACTTTCTTGTCTCCACATACCTATGGTTTGCTGAGATAGTTTAGTGCTTACCGTATCAAAACTTCCCTTATGGAAAGTCTCTTGTATTTCAAGAATCCAGCACTCACATTATATATTCTTAAATAGTGTTTTCTTAAACTAATATATAGAGCAATAATGACAGTTGAGCATATATTGTGTGCTAGGTTCTCTTCTAAATCTTTACATTTTTTAGCTAATTATTTGAGACCATACTATGGGATAAGCTCCACCATTTTTCTTATTCTTTTACAGATGAAGAAGTCAAACAAAGAGATGTTAAATACTTGCCTAATTTCACACAGCCAGTGAGTGATATAATCAGAAACTGAATCCAGGTGTGCTGCTCAGGGCCTGTGTACATAATTCCTGGGCCACCCTGCCTTGCCCCACCATGACTGTCTCTTTTATCTTGGTCCAGGTTGAGGTGTCTGCCTGAGGTCGTTTGTTGTTTCGTTATAGTCTTTTCTCATGCATTTTCCTTATATGGGGAACTTGGGTGGCATTCAGTTAGTGCTTACCTATCCACGACTTCACG
Source organism: Homo sapiens (assembly GCF_000001405.40). Lineage (NCBI taxonomy): Eukaryota > Metazoa > Chordata > Mammalia > Primates > Hominidae > Homo > Homo sapiens. Next base: position 74,928,533 of record NC_000006.12, read on the forward strand.
TTTTTCCTGACATGTGAATGAATTCTGGTTGTGTAAAGGATTCTTGGGCTGTGGGTCTTTTCTCTCAATGGTCTGTCTTCTAGTTTCCAACTGAAAATGAGAGGTCTTCTTTACCTTCATTTGGCTAAGGGACTGTGGGATGACAGAGAACAGGGAAGCTTCTTCCTGCAACCTAAGGAGGGTTGACATCCTGCCCACAGCCCACAACCTATAATAAAAGGACCAGGCAAACAATGTGGATACATGCACTGCTGTATCAGACAGATGATCATCTGAAAAAAATTAATAATGAATGCTGAAGGAGATCCAAATGTAATATAAAACAAAACAAAATATCCTCTGGAGATTACAATCATTATTTTCCAATGAAAACAAATCAGTTGATAATAAATAAGAATGAGTTTAACCAGTGAATGACCAGAATCAGTAGCCTAATTTTAATAAATCTTAAAGCACAGAAATTAAATTATAGCTTAAAACACAGGAAGTAGTAGAAGGCATGTGGTAAAAGATGAAAAAGTTATGGAAAGCCTGACAAGCAAATATTGGGTATTTGGGAAGAAAGCAATGAAATAGATACATGAAAATATAATATGTCTGGGCTGGGGAAAGATCTGAATCTGCACACTGAAAGAGGACAGTAAGATCCAATATGTTTTGATGAAAAAGGTGTACATCTAGGCATATCCTGATGGATAAGAAAAATAACTTAAAAACCTCTATATAGGAAGAACAAATTACGTACTGACAGAAAATTACAGTGTTGTCAATGTAGAGAACAAACTGGCTCCCACCCCAGAATAATAAATAAATTTATTTTTTCCATGATTGTTAGACAATATATTCAAGAGAAGGAAACTCATTCTTCAGGACAATTGACCCTATTTCCTTAATAAGTCAGTGTCATGATAAAAGAGATTTGCTCCATGAAAATAGACCCAAAGGGACATACCCACCAGATGCACTCTGTGGGTGGGAATTAGATACTGTTTAGATAAACCAGCAGCAAAAGTCATTCTGGAATCAACTGAAGAAATTTAAATAAGGTTTGGGTATCATATTAGATGAAAATGCACTGAAACAGTAGACTAAAAGATGGCTAACTGGAAAAAGCAGGTTATAGTATAAACAATTACACAAATACACACATATATTCATATATTTATATGTATGTAAACGCATAACATGCAAAATATAGATATGCATACAAACTGTGTATATATATAAAAACTATACGTTTATAAAATGTATTTATATATATATGAAAAATTTGAGAAGACATGCATTAGAGTTTCTACATGGTATTCTGTGGTTGGTGGCAATATGGCATTTATTCATTGTACTTTTCTAATTTTCAACAATGCAAATTAGTATTTTCATAAAATTTTTTCAAAAGTATTGAAGGATGAGGAGGAGGAAGAAAAGGATAGAAAGAAAATGAAAAGCAATAGGAGACAGGGAGGGGGAAGAATGGGAGGAGAAAACGATGTGGAGGAAGAGGAGAAGTAGGAAGGGAGGTGCTGAAAGGAAATCCAAGGACCACCAGGTAGAAGGAGGGTAAAGATTCAAGGACAAAGGACAGCCATGCTATGTGATCAATGTGAGTTCCTGGTACAGAGCACCGGTACAGATGCAGAATGTGGAAGAGCCTTGCCTGTTTCAAATTACCACAAACCACCACAGTAGAAAAATGCAGCCCCTACTATTTATGCTTAGCTTTCTACACAATAAAACATGGCATGATAGATTTCAGAAGAAAAATAGAACTAGATCCAATTTTGAAAAAGAATCCCAAAACATAGATTAATTATGGTTTTCTACAAATTATAGTGCCAGTTTATGCACATGCTAGTGACACGAGTTTTATGTGAAAGTATCTAAAATCATTAAGATGAATCTGAACTTTGTCTTATGATATTCTTATTCTTTATAGTTTTAAATATTGATTTAGACTCCACAACTTTGAACTACCTAATTGTTTTTAATGGTACAAAGCAATATTTACATTCATACTGTCCAGGAAAGAAAGGCTTCTGGACAAGTTTATCTTGTTAATAAAATTGCATGTAGCATATTTAATTTTCATAAATCACATGCTGTTTTATGGAAGAACTTATAATACTCTATAGAAGTCGAAGATGCTGAACTCAATTAAGTTTTAATAGATGTCATCAGCTGCCCCTGAAGACCTTCAACAATTTTTTTCTGACTCTTTTCCTTACTGGGCCAACCTGAAAAAGTAGGCTTAGTGCTATACTAATCCTCCCTGCAATTTGTCAGAATTAGGAAGCCTTGAATGTGCTTATAGTTAAATGTATTTTAAATACATTCGAATTTGACTTTTTATTTCATGAATAGCTGCATTCAGGATGTTAATGTTGCCACATTAGTGGAGTCACATTCAGGATCTACTCATTCACCTACCCTCCTCAACCTATTAATGAACCTGTTCACTATTATCAGCCAAGTGGTTTAATGGATTTCTTTCCACGAATTGATTGATTCTAAATAAATCTTTCCCCTTTTTTGATTCTGTAACACTTAATGTCAGGGCTCCCAGAAACTAACAAACAGCCACAAAAATAACTTAGAAATACAAATTATTGATATTGTTAAACAATGTATGTATATACAATGATCTCACTGAAGCCAAATCTCCTCCAACAGTACTTGATTGGACCTGTGAGGGCTTATGAGGAATCAGATTTCACACCCTCTTGGGGAGTTTTTCTCTTGAGCCTTTAAATTGGGTCTGTGTGGCACAATATAAAAGAAATATTCAGTTCATCCTTTTTTTTTTTTTTTGAAACACAAATATTTTGGGTTTGTTATATAGGTAAATACTGAGTCAACAAATAATGCTTCTCTCAAAGAATTTTATCTTTCAAGTTAACTACTATTTGTCAAAATATAACAAAACATTAAAATTTAATTTGTGAAAAAAATGAGGAAAAAAAAATTTAATTTGGGGTTCTTTTTGTATATAAAATTCCTCTGAAGGTACTTAACTAAATATGTTTCTAATGAAATACTGGCAACAATGTCATGAAGTAGCAAAACCTTCCAGGCAGTCTGAGATTTTGTTTTCCAAGAAGCCTGAAATATAAATGGTTGGAATGTATCTTGCAATGAGGAATATCAATGGCATGCTTACATAAACAGACGGATAACTTTTCCAGTTTGCTAATATACTAGGTCCACAAGAGCACATGGACACAGTTCACATTATACCACATAATCTTATTCCCTGTGTGCTAAATTGAACACCCTGTGCTCTGCACTGAATTATCAACTCTTTCCCATTCATGATTAGTCTGAATACTTTCACCTAGCCACAGAACCACAGCTGCCAAAAATGCATGCAGGCACACCCTCATATTCTTAAAATGAATGTACTTAACAAATTTCAGAAGCTCCCTTGTTCAATGTCTCAAAATTTTCTGCTGTCAGTCCTCTGTTCAACCTTAAACTAAGCTTCTTCATGTAATTATTCAAGACTTAGAAGTAATAATATGCCTAAATTCCAAAAGATGGTTTGAAAGGAATCTTACTAGTTCATTTTTACATTAACCAGTGGGCATTTGCTTAAATGAGGGAGTTTCCATTTGAATGGAGGTTAATGTCTACGAAAACTAGGGAGAAGCATTTGGAGAGATAACTTTTATCCCTAAGGTTTTCACAATCCCACAACCTCATTTTTCCGAAGTCATTCTATACTACCTATTGGCTTTGGTTGGTTAATCCTTTTGTATAAGGCAGGTAATGCGGCCTTTCCTATCAAAGGTAATGAAACCATTAGTGATCAGATCTCTTGACTATCAGCACCAAGCCACAAGAGTGGCTGACACTTAGAGTCAAGTGTTAATGTCAAGCTGGCTGTGACAAGCAGAGGCTTCCTCAGTTCACTTTAGCTGAGGATACTTGTGGTTGAATTGGAAATATGACACCCCAGAGACCCACTAATGCATGTCTACTCAGCCCTTATCTCATTATCAATGTTGTTTCCTTACATTCTGACATTAATTAATTACTTCCCCCAATTAGACAGCACTTTATGCCACACCACCTCAAACAACGCTGTCCAAGCTGCAACTGGGCACTGTTGGATCAAAAGTCCAAGTCTGATGCAATGCAGTTCCCCTATTGGAGCCTGGGGCTGAGAGTGGGCTGATTTCAGCAAGATGGAAAGCAGCCTGTGCTGAGAACCCTGCCTGGCAGAATCGGCACAGGTCACAATCTCTGAAGCATTACAACAGGTTTTATAATGTTGCATGCCCTGTATGACAGGATTTTTCACTCAAGTTTTGAGCTATAACTCATTGGTTACTCTTAGGTTTTGTCCATCTGACTTCCAGCAAAGCTTCAAATATTGGTTTGGTTGATGAAGTCCCTACTTTGTTTTCTTATTCTGACAACATGCATTTTCAGCATTAGTCTACTGAATTCTTCTAAATGTCACTAAGACTTGGATAAGCCCAGTTTTTCTTGTGCATAAAAAGAATTCTAGGTTGCGCAGGGGGCATTTTTAGCTAAACCCTCCCCAGAATCACAACCCCCCTAAAAAAAATAAACTAAAATACAAATTTATAATTCCCTTCCCACAAGTAGCAAAGTCAAGGGTCTTCATTAAAGATTATGGGAGTTATGCCCCCACTATGTCAGGGCACTTCTCAGAATAACTGCATTTCCTCAGTTTTCTCCATGGTTTCTAAGTAACAATGCTGCACAACTGGATACTGTACTAAGTTCACTCTCAGGGCTATTTGTTGCCCTCTGGAGCTGTGTGCACATGTAGAAGTTGGGTCCACCTTTACTGCTGGAAAACACATTTATGTAATCAGCTCTTTCAATAAATGTCACATATTTTAGATAGAATTACAAAGAGAAAGAGTTGCAGAACTTTAACCCTTTAAGAAAAGTAGATTTTTTTTGTCTTCATTATTTAAAATGTAACCCTAGGACTTTGGTTAGCCATAAAAGAATCGGAATTTATAGGAAGACAGAAGAAACAATGAGATAAAATGAGTGATGCCAGATGAAGAAAAAGAAGAAAGAAGCCAATTCTATAGCCTGACTCAATAGTCAGTTGAATGTTGCCAAATTAGAGAAGATTATTCTCTTGGACTTCAGAACTTAAATAAAGAACTAAGCTTGAGTAGTCAAGTAAGACTAGATTTGATTCATTCTTGGAGATTTCTTTCCATTTGAGAAAACCATAATTGAAATGCAATGTCACAATATGAAGTATTTTGCTACCCTTGACCTAAAAAGTATACTTTGTCCTTAGGCTTTTACTTTTTTCCAAATATGAACATGTAACATGTATAAATATATACATCTAAAGATGGCTATATGCTCAACTGTATTTGTGATGTGTACACACAAAAAGAAATTCTAAAATCTTCAAACTCCAAATGTTAAAGGCATCATGTATATTATTCTGACTCTGTTAATACTAGCAATATTATCATTCCTAACTTAGAACTCCCAAAAAAAGTCAAGTAGGCAAGAAATGTGTCCTGTCAATCTTAAGAGAGATTCAAGAAACATGTTGTAATTATAAAACAGGCTGCTTAGGAAATTATTACCCTGCATACACAAATAGCAGCATAAATTCTATGACTGTTAACAGAAGTATTCAGTATATATTTATAATATCACAGGCAGATTTCTCTTAAGTAAAGACTATCACAATTATCATTTCAGTAATTTTCCCCAAAGCTATTATATGCATTATAATCAAAAAAGGAAAAAAAATTCTGTACAAATTATGTATTCTGAATAGTAAGACAATTGATTAGCAAAAAAGATGCAATGGGTGAACTAGTAGAAAGAGTGAGGGAAGTTGTGCCAGTAAAGAGAGAGTTTGGACAAAAGAGAAGGAAGTTGTATGAGAGCAAATTTGCCATATAAATCAAGTCACTCAGTTCTTACACTTTATACAGTCCAAGATAAGTAGAAGCTTTTCATTCAATGACACTTTCACTATCTTCCATGGTGATAGTAGTAATAGTGTGAGATTTTGCAGGAAACTCCAAGGGTAGTTCTTATGATATGTTTTCTCGGAACTGTTTTGAGATAGGGGAGAGGGCCAAGCCTTTATAATCCCACATTAGTCCTTGGATGTGGGTTACCTTGAAAGAGGTATGATTTGGCATAAAGAACTAAGTTCTATTTTTTCTTTTATTTGTTCTGCAAGCTAGGAAGCCTTAAATTCCCCCTTGGTGTCAGCCGCGGCCTCCACTAAAGCTGCCTCAGAGTTCAATTTCTTCCTCCTCACTACTTGCTTCTCTTCCCTTCGATGGGTGTTACTCTCAAGGACGCACCTAATAAGCCTCCTAGACACTCATCTCCATCTCAGATTCTGTTTCTGGAGGAACCCAAGTTGAAGCATCCTTGAATTCCAAATCCCATGCTCTTCTAAGCTAATCATGCTAAGCATCTTGTGAAGTTTGTCCATAGCAGATTCAGAGCACTCAATCATACAGAACAGACAATTGGACATTTTTATGTCATCTCAGAGGAAAATCACATTTGCTTTAACTTTTCTCATCCCCAATTATCTTTTTCTCATCCCCAATTATCTTTTTCTCATCATTGATTCTTAAAATCCCTTTAACAATGCAAAATCTTTCATTCTACCATCATAGATATTTTAATGAAAATGCAGTTAAAATCACTGCAGTGCATGATATTTAGTTCAAGGGGTAGGGACCCAGCTACTGGAAGGCTATGGGACCATGCTGAATAATAATTCAATCTCCCTGGTCATCACTAGCTGTGAGTTATATCTACACACTCAGCAGCCATTTTATACATAAGGGTAAGTGTTTCACAGAATTCCTACCTTAGCCCTGTCTTATATTTTAGCTCTCTGTACAAAGGTACAATACATCTTTTATTCATGAAGATTCAGTTTTGCCTATCATTTAACATTAACATTTAACACCATAAAGTCATAAAGCTAGACAGATCTGCAGAGGTCATCAGATTGGATTTTGTCCTAATTATTAAAGAAAAACAATAAAATATTATCCTCCTTGTCCTTCTTACTCCACAAGAAATGGATGAAACCAGCTCCAAATTTGACCATGCTTCCTTGACCATTTTCTACTCCAAATAGAACAAATTAATTACAATGAGAAACTGCAATGTATGGCATAAAAAAGGGAAAAGTTTAATATCCAGGGTTTATACATAAGCACGGATACATGCACTTGATCATCCATGCACACATGTATACACACTCCTACTGATCCCTTATCACAGCCTCTCTGTTTTGTTGTTGTTGTTTACCAAACTATAATTTTGTAGCAGTCAGTGCAGAACAAATTATGCTGTGACAATAAACAACCCTTGCAACAGCAAAGCTAATTTTCATGCATACTACCCATCCATCAAATATCTATGCCACACTATTTCATCCTGGTACCCAGACTCAAGGAACAGCCTGATCTATCTCCTTCTAGACGTTTAGCATATTGATATAGTGTGAAATCGAAGAAGGTTTTAATTTTTATAATGTGTACTTGGCATAGGAAGCAAATAGACCATTTTTTGACTTAAAAACTGGAAAACAGAGCAGTAAAGACTTTCTCAGACATAATTTCCATTATATGGAAAATAGATTTCTGTTTTCTAGGTTGAAGACTTTATTTTTGCTTTAAGGATATAGTCTAGGAAAATGTGCTGTCCACTTTGAAGTAAAGTAAAAGCAAAACTGCAATCCTTTGACCTATCAACTTGAGATCAAGGTAAAAGTGATTATTCAAGGCAACATCATGTGATAACTTACAAAACTTATTATTTGCCATCTGTGTTCCTATTTTCTCCAAGTTTGGCTGCCAAATCAGTTTTAAATTTTCTATGGCCTCACACCCACTGAGAAAAGTGCCTCAGCCTAAGGGTCTTAGCTGTAGTCAATGACGGCTCTAAAAACAAAGCAAAACAAAATAAAAACTTTGAGAATTCCAGTTCAATAATAGCTCCTAGTATTTCCTTGATGTTCTCACTTCTGCTGAAAATTTTGCCTGTCTTAATTTTGGATTGGGGATTTAAAAAACAAATAAACAACCTGTCTCCTGGTTCTGGGCTATGTATTTTACTTGTCCTTACCTTAAATGGTTGGCTGATTTAGGCTCCTACCTTCAAGCCCTTTTTAGGACACAGCATTGGAGGAACCTCTGTCTTAAACTCTATTTTCTCAGCAAGCAACCTGAGGTAGCAACACCGGAGTGTGAGTTATTGTAGAGTCACAGAAAAAAGAGACTGACATAAAATAAATAAACAAAGACCAAATAGAAAAGCAGCCAAGAAAGAAGTAAGAAGAATAAATAGCTTGAATAGGCATTTTATAAAAATACCTAAATGATAAGGAGCTTGTTTTAACGGAGAAATTGAAACCCAAAGCAAATTTTCATTATTATGAGGAAGTTTACTTGTTCCAGATGCCAAAGGATCACACTGTGACTTTAGGGGGAAAAGTGACACATAAGTAAGCACTCTCTTTTCATTGTTTGGGTTGCCTCATACATAAAGTTAGGGAAGATCACATCTTGAACCAAGAATTACAAATTACCAAGACTACTGCCCCCATTCTTGGCATACCATATGCCTAAGGTGGCTGTAATTAGTCACTTCTTTGGATCAAGATACTTGGGCCCTTTGGTCAGCTGTTAATATGATTATATTGGGTTTTTTTATGTAATAACTTAGCTATTTTTTTTCTACTATCTATCAAGTTCTTGAGACAAAAAAAAGAGAAAGTTTCCTAGAAAATGAGAAAGAAATGTTTAGGCTCTGCAGTAGCACTAAGGGGTACCCTCAGACAGCTTAAACTCCACTGCCCAACCTCTCCCAAAGTCAACTCTAATACATGTTTAATCTAAAGAAAATGGTGTGTCTGTTCTTAATGCAGCTTCCCTGCAAATCTCGCAGACCTTCCCTTCCAATCAGATTGCCATCCTAGTTTCCTTATACAAAGTCTAGGATAGCAGAACACAGGCCTCTCCCCATCATGAGCATAGCCAGAGAGAGCCCCACCTATGGAAACTCTGGAGCGCAGGTGGGTAGCATCTGAAATCTGAGGAACTGACTTAATGAAACTGGGGAAACACCTATGAAGTGGGGAAGGGAACCTGGTCAGTTCATGGTGGTGTCAAAATATGTTAAAGGCTGGATGCAGTGGCTCCTGTTCATAATCCCAGCACATTAGGAGGCCTAGGTGAGAAGATCACTTGAGCCCAGGAATTCGAGACCAGCCTGGGCAACATGGTGAGACCCTGTTTGCACTAAAAATAAAAAAAAAAAAATAGCAGGGCATGGTGGCACATGCTTGTAGTCCCAACTACTCAAGAGGCTGAGGTAGGAAGACCACTTGAGCCTGGGAAATCGAGACTGCAGTGAGCCATAATTGCACCACTGCACTCCAGCCTGGGCAGCAGAGAAAGATCCTGTCTAAAAAGAAAAAAAAAGTTTAAGTGTGGTTCACAAAAACACAAAACCAAGAACAAGTAACAAGAAATCAGAAGTAGCTATTGGTGCACAGAATCAGTTGTTTGCATTGGCCAGCAGCAACAGGAAACTCAGTAGCACCATGACCCTGGGAGGTAGGTGCACTCAGCCAGAACTTGGAAGTTCAGAGAACAGGATTAAACTCCCTGGAAAGATGATTGTAAGAATTAATCAAGGCACCAGGGCTTCAGTCAAGAAGGCAAACTGCAATCTGTTCTATAGAAAAACTAGCCTATGAAACAAGGAAGCTACATGAATGTCTGACTGGGCCAACAACCAGGGGAGGCTTTGGTTCAGCAAGGTTATGCCCAACACAATGTAACTCAATTCCCCCCAAAAAGACAAGCTGCCATGCAAGGAAACTCTTGACTTAGGACCCAGACTGTGTTTAGACCTGAATATAAGCCCAACAATACTTGTCCTTGGGAAACTGAGGAAGAAAAGGCAAGAAAATCGGCTGGATACTTTTTTAAATAATCTATATTTTATGATTCATGTTCTGAGAAAGCTCTCATGCTGAAATTTACATAGTTACAAATATTAAAAATGGTTGGCAAATACTATTTTTGTTTTGCTAGGTTCTCAGAAAGAAAATACAAAGGGTAGCATATCTTTTGTGAGACATTTATCTTAGAACAAGCAGTTACCTTATTTCCTGGCCCCTTTGAAAGCATTACACAGTAATCTGACAATATATTAACATTCACATTTGAACCACTGACTACATTCACAAGAAACAAACATTTCTACTTTCTTGATGTTATTCATCTGATGTTTACAATTTGACATGTAGTTCTTCATTCATATCAGCTGTCTATATATATATTATATATATTTATATATAATATATATATATCATTATAAATATTTAAACCAAACCATACTTGAACATCTCAATAAACTTCCCTATTATTGTGACTGTATATGCAGAAGCTCTTGAAAACATGATCCGTCCACTGTGGATAAGAGAAAGACCTCTCAACGAATGAAAACAAAGCTGTCAGTCGGGGAGGAAGAGGGTGACCAAAGAAAAGTTGAAGGGGACTCTGTGTAAAACATATCTTTGTTTTTCCATTTAAGAGTCACATTTAATGAAGAAAACTTTATACACAAATATGTGAAGTCTCTTTCAGATGATACTTTGCCTCTCTTATGGCTTAAAGATACTAATGTGGAGGAAATGCCTTGTGTCTCATGTTCCATCCTGGCTTGTGTGAAATTTTATTGGCTTTCCAAGAAAAAAAAAACAGGTCAAATATAGTTTCCATCTATTACGTTCACAGAGCTACTAATAAACTTGAGCCTCATTTCATGCTGATAGCTGCATAGTGTCAGCAAAATTCCTTGGAAACACATAGACTTATGATCCTCAAATAAAGAGATAGTCAAACCATAAAGGGATTCCAGCATTCAAGAGGATTCAACTGTCTATGTCCAGACCCACTAGATGTCACTGTGTGCGTGAGTACATTTGCATAAGACTGACACATGTTGAAGAGGAGAGGAAACCACTGTGGGACAGAATGTCAGGTAACAGAGGTTGAGATTGATGTACATATTTACAAGCCAGGGAACACCAAGGATTACCAGCAATACCAGAAGCTAAGAGAAAGACATGGAACAGATTCTCCTCTACAGCCTTCAGAGAAAGCATGGCCCTGCAGAAAACTTGGTTTGGACTTATAGCCTCCAGAACTGTGAAATAATAAATTTACACTGTTTTAAGGCACCTCCTTTGCAGTACTTGATTACAACAGCCCTAGGAAACCAACACAACCCAGCCAGTTCTAGCCCAGGTTGCCTGACTAGCAATGCCCCTAAACCAGTCATTTCTCACCACAAACTGCCTGTTCAACAAAGTCTAAATGTCTTCGATGTCTGGATTACTGATAAATGCTCTTTTCAACAGCTACTACTAATTTTTCCCAAGCAGTTTCAGTTACTTTTTCCACTTCTGGCTCACTCCAAAGAATTCCAGAGGTTTATGAAATGTTTGGAAAACCAGAGGTTTCTTTTTTCAAAAGGAAAAAGAACTCTCTCATCTTAAACATCTCTCCCAGAATGACCTTAAAAAGCTTGAAATTATAGGCTATCATGGATAGCTGAAAAGCTCATATTTGAAGACTTGTTTGGGGATTTTCCCTTCTGGAGAGCGTGCTGGGAAAAGAGACAAGAGACATTCCTACATTAGGTTGGCTCTCAACTGTCCTTCAGGTCACTTCAGAAACAACAGTAAGTGGCATTCTCTACAGAGTATTAAAGAAGTATGAAATGTTGTATCAATTAAAACCACTGGCCTAGTCGTTTTTGACCCACAGTATAGACCAGAGCTCTTTCCATACACATGTGATCTGAGTCAACTCCTTTATTCTCTCTGGATACATTTCATTATTACATAAGATGTTGAAATGACTCTTCAAAACATTCCTTGCGCCAGTAAAATCTGATTGATTCACACATTCCTTGGTCAAATTTTTTACCTTCATGTCTTCTAACTTAGAATGTTAAACATGTATTTTCTCCAGGATTAGTGAATATATTTTATTCAATAGCTTGGTTGACTCTTTAGGCTTCTATTACTTGTCCGTCTTTATTCAGCTTTATTTCTTTGTGATGTGTGCCTGTGGCTTTATCTCCTAGTCATTTTCAGTATGAATGGAAATCCTGTTTACATAGCCCTTGAATCTCTAGAGACTGAATGAAAGATATGGGATATGGTTGCAATCCTGGCCCCCCTCTCTACTCAAATGGGTAACTCAGGGGAGGCATTACCTGAAAGAAGTCGAATGTGAAGTGGAGCCAAGAGCAATGAGAAACTCACACCAAAGCTGCTCTCCAACATGCAGAATTGTGGGTGAACTTCTTAGAAAGCCAGGGAATTTGGAAGGAAAGATGTCTGTGTAGTAACATTAACAACCCTGGTAGTAAAGTAATTGAGTGAGCATACATACCACTTCACTGTCACAGACTGTGCTTAAACTTTCATCTACATTAACCTGTTTAGTCTGGAAAAATCTAAGAGCCCGACTGGGATACAGCAATCTACTGCCAAAAATTTCAGGCACTAAAAAGCCAAAAATGATTTCCTAGGAACTAGAATTCTTTCTTTTCTATTGTGTAGGATTGCACTTACCAATATTATAGCCGCTAGTCACATGTGGCTATTAAAATTTTAATTTAATTAATATTAAATAAAATTTAAAAATTTATTTCTTTAGTCTTAGTAGCCAAATTTTATGTGGCCATTGCCCCTTATATCCAGTGGATACCATATTGAACAGCACAGCTGTAGGCTTCCTTTAGAAGACGCAATAGATCCAACAATGGATTCATGAGGGGTTTGCAGCTTTGCATCATCATGGATAGCATTCCTTCCCTTCAAAAAAACAATTAAGTTTATAATTCACAATGGTATAATAGTGCATGTATTACATTTCTAACTGAAAAATATAAAAACAATTTTGTTTATCAGAATGTTCAGTTTAAACATGGTTTTGCTAATACTTTTCTATGCTCTTAGAAACTGAGTGTCCAAGATCATTTTAAAAACATCTGGTCTTGGCATTTCACCACATAATGAACTTCATTTTGCTTTCTTTCTGTTGAAATATATAGTTGATTTTGTTTTTAAACGTAAGATATTCTGAAAATAAAGTACTGTGAAATTAATACTTTCAAGAAAACTCTTCTCCAGATGTTTGTGATTTGGAACCTGTTTGAATTTAAAATACAAGGGATTTTTTTTTTAATCCAAACACACATGTGGCAGTAAAAAAGCTATGAAAAATTTTATGGCTATTATAAAGTAAAACAATACTTATATTTACATACTTAGTGTCATGCTCTGCACCATCACAATTTGAGCTGACTACATGCTTTGCTTTATGCTGCACCATATTTTGAACCTTATAATAGTGTCATACTAACAATATTCGGATGGCAAAGACATCCTCAAGTCAATTTCAAGACTAATAAAAGCAATTCCACTTCTGGGTTGTTGTTTGTATTTGTTAAAATTCTATTTTAAATAAGCCAATTCTCCATATAGATTTGACTTATAAATATGGGTAGAGAGGTTATGGTTGTCAAAAGTAAAGACAGGAATACCAATGATTTGTGGTTGCCTTTATTTTAACCATGTGATTTTCTATAAATAAAACTAATCCAGACATCCCCCTTTCCTAGTATATGTTCCATCCAAGAGTATGGATGACTCGGAGAAGCTGATTACCTTTCTGGTAGAATGCATACACTCTCTAAACACTGAGTCAGTAGCTTCTTTTTATTTCATGAAGTAACATATTTTTAATCTGAGTCGCTTAGAGGTGGATGATCCTCAAAATAGACTAAAAATAGACTAAAAATCCATACAAGCATGTTGCCATGCTCGTGTTTCTTCTCAAAGACACATGCTCTGCAAAAACAACCTCATTCTCAATAAGTGTTTAATGAGTGTCCACAGAGAGCTGGATCACTCTTGCATAAAGATGATGTGGACCACCAGCGTTACATGTATATTTAGACATAACTGAAAAGACTGATACAGGACAAGCAGCATAGAGTCATGAGTGAAACTCAATTCTTTTATAACTCAACAAATATTAAATAAGCAAGTACTGTAGTGGGGCATATGCTACATGTGAGGTTCGGGGGCTGGAAGGGGGAAAGTGAGAGGTAAAGATTAAGGAGATAAAAAGAAAATATTAATTTTTATTACGTGTATCTAAGTCAGTATAAATTTTTAAATGTGAATTGCTCTCCCTGCTGAACATGGAAAAATGAGTACTACTATCTAGTAAACAAATGTCATTGATCTAAACTCGTTTTAGATGTTCCGTGTAACTTTTTATCAAAATGTTAAAGAGAGGTGGCTGAGATGTAGTCTGCAAAGAAAGCACCAATATGTCAAGTAAATAGAAAATCCACATCGTATTTATGTGGTTTTTCTGTAAGTTGCCATGTATGGAAGGCATTCTCAGCCCTTTCACTGAGCCAATGTTCATAGTGGTTAGCTAGCTACGTGGTTACTGTCTGGTTAAAATGCACTGCTTAAAGTGTTACCTACATATAGGAAGATTTAACATACAGAAAAGGCTCTCTACAGATAGAAATATGCAATATAATGCTTTTGCTTTCATCTAAAATACTGTCAAAATATGAAACACTAAATTACCTTAAAAATAATATTAAGAGGCTGGGTGTGGTGGCTCATGCCCATAATCCCAGCACTTTGGAAGACTAAGGCAGGCAGATCATCTGAGGTCGAGAGTTCAAGACCAGCCTGACCAACATGGAGAAACCCTGCCTCTACTAAAAATACAACAACAACAACAACAAATTAGCCAGGCATGGTAGTGCATGCCTGTAATCCCAGCTACTTAGGAGGCTGAAGCAGGAGAATCACTTGAACCCGGGAGGCGGAGGTTGTGGTGAGCCGAGATCGTGCCATTGCACTCCAGCCTGGGCAACAAGAGCAAAACTCCATCTCAAATAATAATAATAATATCAAGAACACAGAAGAGAAGGTTTTATAAAGTTCACTGCCAACTAAATTATATTGAATAAATTAAATGTGTATCTTACACTTTAAAGTTGTGCTTCTCAAATGTTAGTGTGCATGTTAAAATGCAGATTCTGAGTCAATTAGATCTGAGACGTGGCCTGAAATCCTGCATGTCTATCATGTTTTCAGATGATGCAAATACTCCTGTTCCTCCTCACTTTGAACGGCACTAATCTGAAGAGTATTTGTATGAGCAACAATGCAAGCAAGATCTTTTCCTTGAAGACTTTAAGGCAGAGTAACTAATTTGGGTGGGGAGAGGAAATGGTGCGCTTCACAGTTAATTTTAAAATTAAGATCTCAGATTATCTGCATGGGTGGAGAAGAAAGTTGCCCATGTTTGTGATTTAGGGAGCATTAGAAGTGCATATGCAAACCCTCCCAAGAAAGGAGAAGCAAATGTGCCAATCATAGAGGATGGTGTATCATCATCAGAAATTGTGTTATTTGGTTTAAAACAGTGTTCCCAAACTTGCCTGGAAATAATAATTCACCTGAGGTAGTTATGAAAAATATAGATTCCCAGAGCCCATTCCAAACCAACAAAACCAAAATCTCCAAGGATGGAGTCTGGAGATTTAACAGTCTTGGATACTTCTTACCACCAGGCAAGTTTGGGAAACAAACAAACAAACTTCTTCCAGTGTTTTATTTAAAATGAAAATGCTACTGGGAAAAGTTATCTAGTAAACTAGCATCGGTCATATTTATCCAAATGTGTTTCTTGTGCCAACTAAGATTGGGATTGATGGGAAAGAAATTTGGATAAGGACATAAATGAGGTAATTTTGAAGGGAAAAATTAGACTGGGTAAGGCATAACAGGAAAGGACTCCTAATCAATCAAATCAGGACAAGTGAAGAAAGAGAAAATGAAAATAATAACTTTCATTTGCCAAGAGCATACCTTGTGACACTAAGACTCACATGCAATAATGCCTCTGTCCCTCTCAAACATATTACAAGAGGGTAGTTTCTACTTTTAGCTTTACTGTAAAGATAAGGAATCTGAGGCAAACCAGCTGGAAGGTAGGAAAGCCAGTATTCAAACCCAGGTAATCTGGCTCCATAGCCCCACACTTTTAACCACCATGCTAAATTTCTTCAAAAACAAACTCTGATGACTTCACAAATCTGCTTATACGGGTTAGTATCTGGGAAAGGAGATGGCTTTGAGGCAGTAACAATAATATGAAATTGACTCTTTTAAGGTCAAAAACAATCAAATAGTATCCATTTCATATGCCTAGATCTACATTAAATGGTTTTGTGAACATTAGGGTGTTTCTTGAGTATTCACTTTCTGTCTCAACCTGGACTAGTTACAATGAAGGTATATAAAGCTTACCTCCACCTATAAAAGCTGACACTCCAGGTGTGACTACAGACTGCACAGGGATTAGCAATGGGGGTCCAATGGCTGTTTCAGGTTTCTGTGATTGAGACCCAGGCAGGTTCAGAACTTTTAATCCACTGCCATTCTCTCTCCAGAATAGCTCCATTCTCCTGAAAGTCAAAAGCACAAAGGAAGATAACCCTTGTCTCCCTACAGGCTTTCTCAAGTAAAAGAAGAGCTAAAACAAGAAACCTTCAAGTAATAAGGCTTGCGCAGCACGGCACACCATCTCAGATTTTGCCAGCTCCTGACTCACAGACCAATTACCAGTCAGAAATGTTTTATTTGACCTATAGAATATTTTTATTTTTAAAAACAAATGAATAAGTACCAGCATTTAAAATATGAGAGACATTTTTACATGAACAATTAGATTTCTGGTTCCTCTTGAAACACTGGAGGACTAAGCATACCCACATCTCCTTATGACAACAGTTGGCAGAGGCTGATTAGCCAGGGGTCCTCTGAGACATGAGTATACTTTCCACAGTCACCACCAGCCCCAGTTGTCTCCTAGACCATTTTCGATTCACTGGAGTTTGAATCTCTCTGCTCTACTTCTAGTTCCACAATGTCTTCTGTCTCCTAGAAGCGCCTCAAGCAATTTCATGATATTTTTCTCCCAATAACACCTCCTGGGCTCTTCATTGGAAGACGAAGGACACAGGAACACAGGCTTTGGAGGTAGATAGACCAGAGTTCAAAGATGGGCCCGATGTTTGTTTTTATTATTATTATTATTATTATTATTATACTTTAAGTTTTAGGGTACATGTGCACAATGTGCAGGTTAGTTACATATGTATGCATGTGCCATGCTGGTGTGCTGCACCCATTAACTCGTCATTTACATTAGGTATATCTCCTAAAGCTATCCCACCCCCCTCCCCCCACCCCACAACAGGCCCCAGAGTGTGATGTTACGCTTCCTGTGTCCATGTGTTCTCACTGTTCAATTCCCACCTATGAGTGAGAATATGCGGTGTTTGGTTTTTTGTTCTTGCGATAGTTTACTGAGAATGAAGATTTCCAATTTCATCCATGTCCCTACAAAGGACATGACCTCATCCTTTTTTATGGCTGCATAGTATTCCATGGTGTATATGGGCCACATTTTCTTAATCCAGTCTATCATTGTTGGACATTTGGGTTGGTTCCAAGTCTTTGCTATTGTGAATAGTGCCACAATAAACATACGTGTGCATGTATCTTTATAGCAGCATGATTTATAGTCCTTTGGGTATATACCCAGTAATGGGATGGTTCGGTCAAATGGTATTTCTAGTTCTAAATCCCTGAGGAATCGCCACACTGACTTCCACAAGGGTTGAACTCGTTTACAGTCCCACCAACAGTGTCAAAGTGTTCCTATTTCTCCACATCCTTTCCAGCACCTGTTGTTTCCTGACTTTTAAATGATTGCCATTCTAACTGGTGTGAGATGGTATCTCACTGTGGTTTTGATTTCCATTTCTCTGATGGCCAGTGGTGATGAACATTTTTTCATGTGTTTTTTGGCTGCATAAATGTCTTCTTTTGAGAAGTGTCTGTTCATGTCCTTCGCCCACTTTTTGATGGGGTTGTTTGTTTGTTTCTTGTAAATTTGTTTGAGTTCACTGTAGATTCTGGATATTAGCCCTTTGTCAGATGAGTAGGTTGCGAAAATTTTCTCCCATTTTGTAGGTTGCCTGTTCACTCTGATGGTAGTTTCTTTTGCTGTGCAGAAGCTCTTTAGTTGAATTAGATCCCATTTGTCAATTTTGGCTTTTGTTGCCATTGCTTTTGGTGTTTTAGACCTGAAGTCCTTGCCCATGCCTATGTCCTGAATGGTAATGCCTACGTTTTCTTCTAGGGTTTTTATGGTTTTAGGTCTAACGTTTAAGTCTTTAATCCATCTTGAATTAATTTTTGTATAAGGTGTAAGGAAGGGATCCAGTTTCAGCTTTCTACATATGGCTAGCCAGTTTTCCCAGCACCATTTATTAAATAGGGAATCCTTTCCCCATTTCTTATTTTTCTCAGGTTTGTCAAAGATCAGAGATCAATGAAACAGAACAGGGCCCGATATTTTTTAAAACTTCAGGAAATGGCTCATGTGATAACAATTTCACTCTCAAATGAGTCACAGAGGCAAGCCAGTGCACACATTCTTTTTCATTTGATCTTTTTACAATTCTGTCTTGTTCTCAGCCTAGCTTCTTCGGTTTACACAGAACTTGGTTGAACCTGGAAAATGCCTTATTGTTTCACCTTTATTCTTGTTCTCCTGCCAAGGTAGGATGTTTTCCCCACTGAGCATTTGGCTTAAGTTGGGAGTTACTCCCTCCCAACATGACCAATGGTACCCAGATAGGTTTAATAAAATATATTAAACATATTTAGAATCAGTGTATATTTTTCCAATCACGAGCAAGACTTCAAATATGTCTTGAAAGCAGGAATGTGATTCTTTGATTTTATGTCTCTTGGTTCCACTGCAGCTTCACTTTCCTAACTGAACCTAAAATAAACTTATAGTCTGATCATATTGTACTTAAGTTTCTACCTACCAAAAGGAATCTGTTATTTCCTACATTGTTCTTTAGCTATTTTCTACACAGTTTTTCGATCTAGATTTAACACTCCTTATTGGCAAGGATTATTTTTATATGTTTTTCATGGATTCCTGGGCACTTAAAACAGTATCAGGCACATCAAATGGCTTCAAATAAATACTTCTTGCTCCCTGACTCAATTTTGCTCATTCCATTTTATTTGTTTAGAATTCAATGTGAATGCTTTCATTTGAGGTAATATTTCATTTATTTATTTAAAATATAGCCAATAAACAAAACATTGTAAAATTGCTGCAGGAATTTTACAGATCTTCTTTGTCTTTTGTTTGGGATTTTAATCTGGAATAAAAGTTTGGTATGCTGTTCACTGTAGAAACGGTGCTTTAGGCTGGGCGCCGTGGCTAACACCTGTAATCCCAGCACTTTGGAAGGTTGAGGCAGGTGGATCATTTGAGGTCAGGAGTTCGACATCAGCCTGGCCAACATGGTGAAACCCCATCTCTACTAATAAAACAAAAACTAGCCGGGCGTGGTGGCATGAACCTGTAATCCCGGCTACTCTGGAGGCTGAGGCAGAAGAATCGCTTGAATCTGTGTGCAGAGGTTGCAGTGAGCCAAGATCACACCACTGCACTCCAGCCTGGTGACAGAGCAAAACTGTTTCAAAAAGAAAGAAGGAAAGAAAGAAAGGAAGGAAGGAGATGAAGGAAGGAGAGGAAAAGGAAGGAAGGGAGGAAGGGAGAAAGAGAGGGAGGGAGGAAGAAAGGGAGGGAGGGGGAGGGAGGGAGAGACAGAGAAAATAAGGGAGGAAGGAAGAAGGGAGGAAGGAGGGAGGGAGGGAGGGAAGGAAGGAAGCAAGGAAGGATGGAAGGAAGGAAGGAAGGAGGAAGGAAGGGTACTTTAGACATTGACGCATCAAAAAATGTATGATCAAGCCCTCTGCCTTAATGGAAGTGACACCATGCCTACTCAGAGAAACACCTGTCAAAGAAGTTATTTTGGTATGAGTTGCATCTACATGTTGCAAAATGGTATCTAAAAAACCAATCTGATGCATGTATTTTTGTAAATGTTTATAAGCTTGAAATGTAGTATTAGCATTTCCTTTCCTCATTCTTCCCAGACCCAAATGTTTACAAATAGGAGTGAATCCAGAAATATTTTCCATCTTAATGTATGGATATCTTATATATCTTGTGATGCTCAGACACAAAGGGACAAAGACATTGCCATATAGACAAAGGAAATTGCCAGCATCTCTTATCCTTCAAAGAGAAACTCAAAATAAGAAAATCAGAACAACGGAGTCACATAAGTAACAGATCATAGAAGTCAAGAAAAGCAAATATAGGGAAATAAGCAAGACTCACATGTTGAGAGGGGTGGGGGGATGAGGGAGTGGTGGATAGAGGAGGCAAGATGCAGGACTAACTCTGCAACCTACCGTGTTTGTCAGGATATACCGCTTGCCACTGAACCCAGGCCTGTGTGCAACCATGCTGACTCTGCACAGCTTGACTCTGGGGGGAATGGAGCCCCCAGCTGTATAACACATAGGCCCTCGGCAGTCATAAAGAGACCCAACCAGTCTATACCAGTAAGCCCACATCTGCATCACCAGGGAAAGGGAGCAACATAAGAAATATTGTAATATACCAGCATACTATTTTATAGTTGTTTGCCTTATAGTATTTTTCCCCTGTTCCAAACCAAAAGCAAGACCTTTTTAACATATCCTTCAGCTTGGATAAAACTCCCCTTGTAATCTTTCACAAGATTCTGAGTCTGTGCTAATTAAAGATTGTCCTCTGGATCCCAAGTGGAGAGTGGGAGAATGCACATATTCTTGAGAGTAAGAAAAGCAGAGATTCCCAGAGGCTATGAAGAAGATAGGGTCTACAGGATCCCAAGAATACTGGGGAGCCAGTCCCCACAAAGTGCTAGAATGCCAGGAAAATATTTCAGAGTGCAAATAAAATGAGCCCTAAACACCAGAACTCTCAGCCTAGGCCAAGATTCCCACCTTCATATTGGTGCAGGAGCAGCAGCACCATAAACGACAACAGCCCAGGCCAGCTTCATTAATGAGGTGTCAGCAACCACTCACGGCCTGAGATGAAAGGCTCTGTCATAGCCCTTTATGCCTTATGCTTTCTGGTATGGCCTTGGGAAGGAAGAAGTTCCAAAAAGTAACTGAAATTGGATATGTTACATGTTCATGGAGTATAGATTCCTAGATAGGTCTTAATTTAGACCATTTAGATGAGTTCCATTTCTTGCTTGCTTGTTTGAAGTTGCAAATTTGTATCTTTCGATACAGCATCTGCACCACTGGTATCAAGAGCTAGAGTTACAGAAATAGCCACGAGCACATTATCACCAATATTGCTTCCTAACAGTGACATGTATTCTTATTTTTCAGTTGGTTAATGCCAAACCTGTGGACTCTCAATAATTATCACTTGCTCCTATGCTAACAGGCTAACAGAAATATTACCTCATTCCCTTTCCTCAATCATATTTATTTTTGTTATTCAAGTCAATATAATTAACTTTATCACACCAAACAAAAAATTCTATTCTCTGACATAATTATTTTAAAATTAGTGGAAGTAATCTAATCAATCTTATATACAAATAAATGTTGTCCGAATCCACAGCCATTGAAAATACCCTTCTGATAAATGGAATTCTTTGAAACAATAACTCAAAGACCACATTAAGTACCCTCTCTGCAAATAAATTATGTCACAGAGTTTAATGAAAGCCATAGGTTCATTATCACAAGTTAGATAGATTTTCCTCTCGCTATTTGTACTGATGCAATATAGTCAGAATTAGAGAATTACCAAATAAACTTGAGAACAGTTTAGTGTGAAGGTAAGTGAGAACAAACTGTTGAAGTTTTAATTTTATTATTTTCCCTTGATATTAAACTTCTTAGCCTCACTAGGTTTAGCGTTTTACATTTCTTTGTTAGTGGTGCTCTATTGTCTTGTTTGAAATCGAAAATGCTATTGACTTGATGACTATTTAGCCTATGCTTTATTTGTTTCCCTGGGTTATCCTGCTCCAAAGGAGAGGACATTGGTATAAGATAAGCCAATGACTGGTAAGTAGTGCAGAAAACTCCCTGCTCTGGCAGCACAGTACCTTCAGCATAGAACTGGAATAATATTATATTAAAAGTAGAACTTAATAACAAAATCGTTTTTCCATGCACCATGCCAAAAAGGAAAACATAATAAAATATGCAATGCATGCACTCATACTTATAGTCCAAATCATAATGAATGCTATGAAAATATGGATTTGGTTTTTACCAACTGATAAATAAGTGATATAATTTAGCAATCTGCCCGCTTAGAATCTCTCAGTCAAACGCAGGAAAATCCCTCTAGTAATTTTAACACAAAAATATTTTATTGGACCTAGAAACATCTTTCCAAACAGTAAGAAAAGGTAAGAGAAGAGGAGAGGCAAATAGACATGGAGGGTAGGGAGGAAAGAGAGAAGAAAGCAAATGGCTATTTTGAGTATTTTTAAGCATATACTATGTACATTTTTTCTTTAATATCATATTTGAACTTTCTAACATAATGAGCAAAAGCGCTCCTCTTTCACATGGTCCTGAGCAGTGACCTCTCACCTAATATACTCACATCTAACCTCTTGCTTCTCAAATCTGTCCTTTATGTGGTCACCAGTTATCCTCCCAAACAGACTGGATGATATCAACCCCATTTTTTAACATCTTTTACATAAATCCTGTTACCCAATTAATTAGGTCAAAACTTCTCCAGGCATGTCCCCTTCATTTATCTACACTAATACTCACCCAAACTATCTCTCACTGTATTTATTCACATCTTCACTCCCACAAGTGAACTGCTCAGTCAAGGAGAGTACCTCTTGCATTTGACAGCCATATTTGTGTTTCTTGTCATGCTCTTTCCATAGAGTTCCTTTCCAACTTCTTTCAAAATTTCTACCCCATTATACAAATTTCTGTCATATATACTTCATGAGACTTAGAACCCACTTCTGTTTTCTTCCCACCACCCTATACCCAGCAGCTAGCACAACATCTGCTGTGGTCAGCACTCTGGAGGGCAGAGACAATGTCATATTTATCTTTGTATCTGGTGCCTAGCCCCATATGCAATAAATGTCCCACAAGTGTTGGTTGAATTGAATAAATTTAAATTCCACATTTTGAAATTCTACTACTTTCTCAGGACTTACCTTAGACACAGCATTCCTGTGACCCTTGCTGGATCATGATGGTCCTGTCTACTCCCTCTTTCCTATTCTCTCCTGGCCCATTTTTAATAAGCCCTATTATAGCAATTGGTTCCTTTTGTGTTGCAGTATAATAGTTGTTTATGTGTCTTTCCCCTAAAATTTGAACTAAATCTTAGGTCAGAAGTAGATAGAGTTTATTTTGTACAATTCCTCACCAGTGTAGGAGCTGCTACTTCACAACCCAAATAAGCTGAGCCACTTAATCTTCTCTGTGTCCTGGCATTTCATGTACCAGTTCTAGACCTTTCACTACTCTGGAGTCTCTTCTACTTTTTGAAGAGGCACCTGGAATTAAGTTTATTAATCTATATATTCTCTTCAACCATGGGGAACAGTGGGATTCCTTCCCATAGTTGTCATATTATGCCTACCACCAGACCTGCCTTACAAGAGCTCCTGAAGGAAGCACTAAATATGGAAAGGAAAAAATCACTACCAGCCACTACAAACATACAGTCAAGTATACAGACCAGTGACACTATAAAGCAGTCACATAAATAAGTTGGCAAAATAACCAGCTAGCATCACAATGACAAGATGAAATCCATGTATAACAATACTAACTTTAAATGTAATGCCCTAATTATAAGACACAGAGTGGCAAGCTGGGTAAAGAGCCAAGACCCATTGGTATGCTGCCTTCAAGAGATGCGTCACCTCCAAAGACACTCAAAGTAAAGGGATGAAGGAAAATTTACCAAGCAAATGGAAAACAGAAAAAAAGGAGGTGTTGCAATTCTATTTTCAGATAAAACAGTATTTAAACCAACAAAGATCAAAAAAGACAAAGAAGGGTGTTGATCAAAAAAGACAAAGAAGGGTATTACATAATGATAAAGGGTTCAATTCAACAAGAAGAGCTAACTATCCTAAATATATATGAGCCCAACACAGGAGCACCCAGATTTATAAAGCAAGTTCTTAGAGACATTCAAAGTGACTTAAACCCCTACACAATAGTAGCAGGAGACCTTTAACTTTCCCCTGACAATATTAGACAGATCATTGAGACAGAAAATCAACAAAGATATTCAGGACCTGAACTCAGCACTGGATCAACTGGACCTTGTAGATACCTACAGAAAAAACAACAGAATACACATTCGTCTCATCACCACATGGCACTTACTCTAAAATCAATCACATAATCATAAGTAAAACACTCCTCAGCAAATGCAAAAGAACTGAAATCATAAATCTCTTGGACCACAGTGCAATCAAATTAGAACTCAAGACTAAGTAATTCACTCAAAACCATATAATTACAAGGAAATTGAACGACCTGCTCCTGAATGACTTTTGAGTAAATAATGAAATTAAGGCAGAAATCAAGATCTTTGAAACCAATACAATGAACCAGAATATCTGGGACACAACTAAGATAATGTTAAGAGGGAAATTTATGGCACTAATTGGCCACATCAAAAACTTAGAAAGAGCTCAAGTTAACAACCTAAGATCTCAAAGAAAAGAGCTAGAGAACCAAGAGCAAACAAATCCCAAAGCTAGAAGAATACAAGAAATAACCAAAAGCAGAGCTAAACTGAAGGAAATCGGGCCACAAAAACCATTCAAAAGATCAATGAATTCAGGAGTGAGTTTCTCAAAAAAATTTAGTAAAATAGATAGACTGCCTGTATTAATATAATCAGAAAAAGCCTTAGTAATTTTAGAGCCTCTTTTCTTCAACCATATATTGACTTTATGATCTAAACTTTTAAAATATCTATTAAGTCATTAAGTCACTTTTCATATATTAGGAACAGGTTTCCACTGTAATTCCATGCTTTGTCTCAGTCACTATTCTATTTGTTGAATGACTCATTTGTTGAATTAATTATGGATTAATACTTAAAAAAATCTTGACCAAATGGATATCATAAAAAGACTTCGCAAATCCCCTTCTAAAATCAAGACAGATGATAATAATGAAATTCCTCTATTCCAATGATTCTCAAGGTGTGTTTCCTGGACTGGCAGCTGCAACAGCAGCACCTGGGAACTGGTTGGAAATGCAGATTATCTGACTCCATGCCAGACCTACTGATTCAGAAACTCTGAAGGTGGGGCCCAGAAAGCCGGTTTTGACAAGCTCTTTGGTGATTCTGATACACTAAAGTGTGAGAACTACTTCCATAGTTTATCAACTGGATAATTCTCATGCTGTTCCTTCGATTTGCTATCTTCACCATGTTTGGCAAGTCTTTCCCTATAAGAAGGAATGGCAGAGCTTATTTCCAATATATTCCAGGTACTAGCAGGGTAGGTGGTCTTTAGTAAATTATTTAAACTGTTAGACACATTCTGTCCTCGTTTGTAAAATAGCACAGTAACAAAAATATTGCAGCATTGTAGGGATAGGGAGGATTAAAGGTAGTATACCCATAAAGGTATAAGCTGTACTTAATGTCCTTAACACATACTTTTTCTGATTCCCTTTCCTTCTCCTTCCATTTTATTTTCGTATTTATCAAATCACCTGTTTCTTGATACTCTATGTTAATGATCCAGTCTGATTTAGACAACGACGAATTTCCAAATACTTGCTTCTTATAATTTTCATTTAGCTAAATTTGCATTTGGCCATGAAGTTTCTACTATTTCCATCCAGTGATTTTACATTTCTATCTAGGCAATTATGTTTAAAAAGTACTTGGATGTGGAGTAGATATCATGGCTAAGCTTTCCATCTAGAACTCACCTTCAAAGCTCTAAGTTTATTAACATCACCTTATGTGAGGTCCACTCAAACTATAGTCAACAAATATTGAGTCCACCCAATGGTGGACTTAGCAATAGGCTAATAACCCAATGGGCTTAGCAATAGGCACTGGGTACTGGGGATCTGTGGAGGGTAAAACAATCCATTCCCTCACAGAGCTTCCAATTGAATGGATTAAATATATGCATCCAGCTGACTTCTTCCTCTGTATCAGAATTTATTTTTCTGATGAAGAAAGCTACATTCAGTGACTGAAGTAGGAAAACATGATGGAAATAGAAGTGTAATTATGTGCAAGAAGAAAAAGACAGAAAAGCATGTCTCAGAATATAAAATCCTGATTTCTGAAACCTGCTGTTTATTAGCTTATACTCACTAGCAGGATTTCCAGTTGTAACAAATGCTAGCCCTGCCAGGAAATTAAAGGAATATAAACTTTCTTCTAATCACTATTGAAACTAGAAACATTCT
This sequence comes from Homo sapiens, assembly GCF_000001405.40. Lineage (NCBI taxonomy): Eukaryota > Metazoa > Chordata > Mammalia > Primates > Hominidae > Homo > Homo sapiens. The sequence goes on from NC_000006.12 coordinate 74,955,057, forward strand.
GTTTAGAAAAAGCTTGATTAATTTCAGTGTTCTAATCATGATTTTATTCAAATGCATTATTATTACTAGAGATTCAGAAGTTTTTGGAGACAGTCCAGTGGTTTCTGTGTGAGCCTTATTTGCTCAAACTGTACATATCATAGGCTTCTTGAGAAAATTGTCTTGTCCACGAATCTAGCACAGTGTGCAGCCCAGGGCAAGATCTCAATAAGGGATTGTTTATAAAAAAAGAGATCATAGTCTTGTAGCCAAAAAAGTAATCTAAACTGGGCCTACTGTTTCCAAGGATATGCTTATTGAAAATTATAATGGGTGTAGATACCCTACCCTCAAGAAAGATGGTACCAATTTACATTTTTCAATAACAGGGTGAAAGTGTACACTTTCCCAAATCCTCAACAATGCTGTATTTTGTTAGTCTTTATTTTTTGCTACTTTAATCAATTAAATATTAAAACTGGATATCCTTATTTGCATGGCATAGATGTAATGCTGAACATTATTTTATGTTTATAATGGTCTACTGTTTTTCTTTCTGTGAATTCTCTGTGTTCTCTGTACATGTTCTTAAAGATATACTCACCTGTTTGCTTACTGATTTCATTTTAGTTTTCGCAAATATTTTTCTGAATTCAGCGCATGTTTCTTTTTTTTTGCCTCTTTGCTCAATGTTCCTTTGTGTCCAATGTCCATTAACAGAGAATTTGGTTCACTAGAGGATAATACATATATATAATGCAATATTACACAGTCATTAAGAATGATGTAAATCTCTATTTATGGATATGGGCAAATGTTCATCATACATTGTTGAGTTTATATGGAAACAGGATAAAAACTAGGTTGAGTTTTTTATCTCATTTGTATGACATGTATTAATGTATGAGTAAATGTTCAAAGGATAGCATTTTCCAGATTTTCTTTGTTTTGTTCTCCAAAAAAAGGTATTCCAGTCTCATAGATTTGGGAAGTACTGCACATTAAGTCTTTTTTAGAGTTTCTCATAGCACAATCAGGAATAAAAATTCTGTGGCCTACAGCAAGCATGCTTAACATTGTTTAACCCAGCATTTCTCAAACTTTTCATTAAAGTCTTCTACTTTAAAAAATAATCTGAACCAGCATTTTACAGACAGCAGTTTGAGAAAGATGGCATGGAAAGCCACCTGGAAGGACACACCAAAATGGTAGGAGTGGTTATCTCTAGATACTGAAATGTAGGTAACTTTTACTTTAATATGTTTCTCTAATATCTGAACATTTTACAAAAGCCTGTATTATTTTGCAGTTAGAATAAATAATGTAACAATTTTCATTTTGAAAACAAGAGGAAAATCAACTATGCAAGCCAAATGTAGGGATCTTAAACATCGGTTTAACCCATTTGTCATGAGAACATTAGTAACATTTATTTTATAAACAAAGGTGTTATCAACATAATCTGGAATTGTTTGTCCAGTCACATGGGTGAAATTGGGCTGATTCTGCCCTTCTCAGAGACTGGAGAGTATGCATGTGTGTGCTGATACACTCAACAAGAAGATCTCCAGAAGCTGCTCCACTAGGCAAGGGGAGAAAGGAGATAAGGAGATGAGAAGAGAATGGATTGACAGACAACTAGGCAAGTTGGAATTGTAATAGAAAATAGACCAGCTTAAGCTCCACCTCCCCCACCCCTACCCACACAATCGATGTTCAGCATGTGTCAATTTCCTTAAGGACTGTGTTTGTATAACCTTTCCACACTAGTGGCATTGTTTCAAGACAGGAGGAAAGTAAGGAAAATAGTCAAGTAAGATACTCTTTGACTTTCTTCTTACAATGAGGATATCTCACTATTTTATTTATTTATTTCTCTATACATGCTAAAAGAAACTTTAAAACAATTTCTAAAACAAGCTTCAACTCAGAAAAATATGCCGCTAAGCCTGAATAACCTGATTCCTTAGGAAGAACATCTCTTCATCAGCAACTGTGCACAAAACCAAAGACACAAGTTTTGCAAGATATTTGCTTATATGGTGGCACTTATGAGCATTGCCTTCTTGGGCAAGAAACAACTTGGAAGGAGCAATGCTTATTCCAGCAAAAAGGTTTTATTAAAAGTGTAGGCAAACTACAAATGGTATTCATATCACAGAGGATGCTGCCAAAGACCTCAGGGGCATGAAAAACACAGCAAGGTGGCACCATAGTCCCGTGACTCAAGCTTACTCAAGGTGTTATGTCGGAGTCTTTCAAGGTTACTTTAAAGTTTCTAAATATCTCGCGGGGAACAATTGGTTCTGGAAAAAGAAAATATTAGAGCTAAAAATGAAGACAAAAATACGCTTTTGGTGGGCGTGGTGGCTCATGCTGGTAATCCCAGCAATTTGGGAGGCCGAGGCAGGCGGATCACAAGGTCAGGAGATCGAGACCATCCTGGCTAACACGGTGAAATCCCGTCTCTACTAAAGATACAAAAAAATTAGCTGGGCGTGGTGGCGGGCGCCTGTAGTCACAGCTACTCAGGAGGCTGAGGCAGCAGAATCCCTTAAACCTGGGAGGTGGAGGTTGCAGTGAGCCGAGATTGTGCTACTGCACTCCAACCTGGGCAACAGAGCCAGACTCCATCTCAAATAAATAAATAAATAAATAACTTTCCACTTAAGGGAAGTCCAGTAAATCAGGAGCTCATCACATCCACCACATCTGTGTTGCGGACCCAAGCATGGAGGAGTAAAAAGTGAGAGTAGTTTCCTCTTAAGGATGTGGCCTAGGCATTCACATCACTTCCACTCATATCCAATAGACCAGGACTTAATTATGTGACCACTGCACTCAAATGCAAGATGGGGTGGGAAATGTGAACTCTTCCTAGGTTACATGACCCCCACTAAAAACATGGGGTTCTATCCCTAAAAGGAAGAATGCAACAATGGATATCAGACAACAACTACCAGATTCTGCCACAAAGAGCCTTGTTTCCATTATGCAAATATTTTACATCTTTCAGAATAGTTTTACGAGGTTTTCTTTTTCATGTACAAACTTCCTATTATATTGTTAATTCTTAGGTATTTTCTATTTTGGAGGGCTACAAATGAGATCTTCTATTTTATTTTATAACTGGTTATTACTGGTGTATGAAAAATATATACATATTGTAGGCACCCAGTTTTCTGAATTTTCTTTTTTATTTCTAAGAGTTTTTTTTATTCTATTGAGTTTTCTAGAAAACTGTACTATCTCCTGTAAAGAAAGATTATTTTTCACTTATTTTTAAACCATATTTCTGTTTCATTTACTACTGTTTAATTTAGAACTTCTAAAAAGAACTATAGTAATCAAAAATCCACTAGAATAGTTTTTCACTGTTCAGACTGAATGTGGCAATTGCATTTTGTACGTGTTTTAACTAACAATTTTTAGAGCAGTTTAGATTTACAGAAAAATTGAACAGATACTCCAAAGAGCTCCCATGTGTTCTGCACAGTTTCCGCTTATTAACATTTTATATTATAGGTTGGTGCAAAAGTAATTGCCATCTACTTTTAATGGCAAAAAACATGATTTAAAATAATATTAGTTATAATATAACTATAGTATGGTACATTTGTTGCAATTAATGAAAAAATAATGATACATTTATTAGTAACTAAAATTCATACATCGTGTATTCAGTTTATACTGAATATATACATATTATATACAATTATACTGAATATATACATGTTATATACAATTATACTGAATATATACATATACATCGTGTATGTCTTTAGTTTTCACCAGATTCCTTTTAATGATCCAGGATCCCATCTAGGTTACCACACGACATTTAGTTGTCCTGGCTCCTTAGGCTCTTGGTTGTGACATTTTCTCAGACTTTCTTTGTTTTTAATGACCTTGACAATTTTGAGGAAGTTATTCTCCAGGCTTCTCCTCTATTAGGATTTTTCTGATGTTCTTCTCATGATTAGACTAGATTTATGGGATTTAAGAAATAAGACCGCAAATATAAAATTCCTTTTCATGTCATATCCAGGAAACATAATATCATCATAACTTATCACTGTTTATGTTTACCTTCATCACCTGCATGAAGTGTGTTTGTCAGATTTATCCATTGTAATATTACACTTTTTTCCCTGTTTCCATATCGCACTCTTTAGAAGGAAGTCATTATATGTAGTCTTAAAGGATGGCAAGTTTTATTCTCTTCTTAGGTTAGAGTATCTACATAACTTACTTGGAATTCTGCAAAGTAAATTTATCTCTTCTCCCTCATTGAATAATAATCATTTATTTATATCTGTATGAACTCATGCATAGCTTTTTATACTTTGACTTATAATCCAATACTTAAAAAAAAGTTTTTCTGCTCAACTTGTTCTAGCTTTAGCCATTGGGAGCACATTTCATTGGCTCCTGCACCTGTTTGTCTATTATTTGAAAATAGATAACCTCTATAACTTTCAAAAATATTGAACTCTTTTACAAAGAGTTTTTAATGTTTTTAAATAAGAAAAATGTCCTTCTTTAATACCATTACTATATGAAATATTAAAATATACAATTTTGACACTAATATATTAATGAATTCTCATTTTTAAAATCCTCTTCTATTTCTGAAATAAACCCTTCTTTATCTCAATATTTACTTTCTAATAGACTAGTAACTTGATTTGCTAATATTTTACTAAACATTTTATCATTTAAACTCAAATATGAGCTAAGTAGCTTCATTATATTTAATTATTTTATTTTCATTTTTTAATTTTTGTGTTATCATTTAGTATTAAGATTATGCTACCTTCATAAAACCTAATGAAGATGTTTTCACTTTTTCTATACTTTCAAAAATTGAATATACTGAGGGAAATAGTAGTAACTTAATGGCTTAAAATAACTACTCTTTAAGACCATTTGACTCTGCAATCTTTGGGAAAGTTAACTGATTTTTGTTATTTCTTCCAGTATTATTGAACAGTTAATACTTTCTGCTTTCTATTATTTAATTTTGTTTCAAAAATATCTCTAGTCTCATATATTTCCAAATAGAGGTGCACATATTATTCTTTTGTAATTTTCAATAATTTATTTTTTCTGATGATAAATACCATTTTTCTTTCAAATTTGTTTGTTAGTTCTGCAGGGGATGGGGTTTCTCTTTTACTTACTTAATCTTGCCATAGGTATAATTTTTCCCAAAGAAATACATCAATTTTATTTATCCATTCTGTATTCAAAATCATTTGTGTGTGCTTTCCTATTTATCAGTTCCTCCTCTTTTTTTCTTATGTTTGTTTTGTTGTAACATTTCTAGTTGTTAGGTAAAATATATAGTGGTTGTACTAGCTGGCATTCCCACCAGCAGTGTAAAAGCGTTCCCCTTTCACATCAATGCCATCATCTATTATTTTTTGATTTTCTAATTATGGCTATTCTTGCAGGAGTAATGTGGTATCTCATTGTGGTTTTGCTTTGCATTTCCCCGATAATTAGTGATGTTGAGCATTTTTTCATATGCTTGTTGGCCATTTGTATATCTTCTTTTGAGAATTGTCTATTCATGTCTTTAGCACACTTTTTGATGGGATTGTTTTTTTTTTCCTGATTTGTTTGAGTTCCTTGTAAGTTCTGGATATTAGTCTTTTGCCAATGCATACTTTGTGAATATTTTCTCCCACTCTGTGGGTTGTCTGTTTACTCTGCTGATTATTTCTTTTGCTGTGCTGAAGCTTTTCAGTTTAATTGGGTCCCATCTATTTATCTCTGTCTTTTTTCCAACTGCTTTTGGGTTCTTGGTCATGAAGTCTTTGCCTAAGCCAATGTCTACAAAGGTTTTTCCAATGTTATCATCTAGAATCTTTATGGTTTCAGGTCATAGATTTAAGTCTTTGATCTATCTTGAGGTGATTTATGCATAAGATGAGAGATGAAGATCCAGTTTTATGCTTCCACATGTGGCTAGCCAATTATCCCAGCATCATTTGTTGAATAGGGTGTCCTTTCCCCACTTTATGTTTTTGTTTGCTTTGTCAAAAATCAGCTGGCTGTTAAGTATTTGGCTTTATTTCTGATTATGTTCTATTGCTCTATAAGCCTATTTTTATTCCAGTACTATGCCGTTTTGGTGACTATGGCCTTATAGTATAGTTTGTAGTTGGGTAATGTGATGCCTCCAGATTTGTTCTTTTTGCTTAGTCTTGCTTTGGCTATGCAGACTCTTTTTTGGTTCCATATGAATTTTAGGATTGTTTTTTCTTGCTCTGTGAAGAATGATGGTGGTATTTTGGTGGGAACTGCATTGAATTTGTAGACTGCTTTTGGCAGTATGGTCATTTTCACAATACTGATACTATCCATCCATGAGCATGGGATGTGTTTTCATTTGTATGTGTTGCTTATGAATTCTTTCAGCAGTGTTTTGTAGTTTTTCTTGTAGAGGTTTTTTACATCCTTGGTTAGGTATATTCCTAAGTATTTTATTTATCTTTACAGCTATTGTAAAAGGGGTTGAGTTCTTGATTTGATTCTCAGCTTGGTGATTGTTGGTGTATAGCAGAGCTACTGATTTGTGTACAATAATTGTGTATCCTGAAAGTTTGCTGAATTCATTTAGCAGTTCTTGGAGCTTTTTGGATGAGTCTTTAGGGTTTTCTAGGTAGATGATCATATCATCAGCAAAGAGCAACAGTTTGACTTCTTTACCAATTTGGATGCCCTTTATTTCTTTCTCCTGTCTGATTGCTCTAGAGAGGACTTCTGGTACTATTTTGAATAGAAGTGGCAACAGTGGGCATCCTTGTCTTGTTCCAGTTCTCAAGGGAAATGCTTTCAACTTTTCCCCATTCAGTATAAAGTTGGTTCTGGGTTTGTCATAGATAGCTTTTACTATTTTAAGATATGTCCCTTCTGTGCTGATTTTGCTGAGAGTTTTAATCATAAAAGGATGCTGGATTTGGTTAAATGCTTTTTCTGTGTCTATTGAGATAATCATATTATTTTTGTTTTTACTTCTCTTTATGTGGTGTATCACATTTATTGACTTGTGATATTAACTTGCATATGTTAAACCAACCCTGCAGCCCTGCTATGAAACCCACTTGATCGTGATGGATTACCTTTTTGCTATGCTATTGGATTTGGTTAGCTAGCTGAGGATTTTTGCATCTATGTTCATCAGGATACTGGTCTGTAGTTTTCTGTATTTTGTTATGTCCCTTCCTGGTTTTTGTATTAGGGTGATACTGCCTTCACAGAATGATTGAGGGAGGATTCCTTCCTTCTCTATCTTTTGGAATAGCTTCAGTAGGACTGGTACCAATTCTTCTTTGAATATCTGATAAAATTTGGCTGTGAATCCATCTGGTCCTGGACTTTATTTGTTGGCAATGTTTTTAATACTGTTTCAATCTTGCTACTTTACTTGTTATTGGTCTGTTCAGAGTTTCTATTTCTTTCTGGTTTAATATAGGAGGGTTGTATATTTCCAGGAATTTATCCATCTCTTCTAGGTCTTCTAGTTTGTGTGCGTAAAGCTGTTCATAGTAGCCTTGAATAATCTTTTGTATTTCTGTGGTATTAGTTGTTATACCTCCCATTTCATTTCTAGTTAAGTTTATTTGAGTCTTCTCTCTTCTTTTCTTTGTTAATCTCGCTAATGGTCTATCAATATTGTTTATCTTTTCTAAGAACCAGCTTTTTGTTTCATTTATCTTTTGTATTGTTTTTCTTGTTTCAATTTCACTTAGTCCTGCTCTGATCTTTGTTATTTCTTTTCCTCTGCTGGGTTTGGGTTTTGATTGTCCTTGTTTTTCTAGTTCCTTGAAGTGTGATCTTAGATTGTCCATTTGTACTCCTTCAGAGTTTCAATGTAGGCATTTAATGCTATAAACTTTCCTCTTAGCACCACTTTTGATGTATCCCAGAGGTTTTGATAGGTTGTGTCACTATTATCTTTCAGTTCAACTAATTGTTTAATTTTCCTCTTGATTTCATTGTTAACCTAGAGATCATTCAGTAGCAGATTAATTTCCATGTGTTTGTATAGTTTTTAGGGTTCCTTTTGGAGTTGATTTCTAATTTTATTCCACTGTGATCTGAGAGAGTGCTTAATATAATTTTGATTTTCTTAAATTTATTTAGACTTGTTTTGTGGCCTATCATAGGGTCTATCTTGAAGAATGTTCCATATGCTGATGAAAAGAATGTATGTTCTGCAGTTGTTGGGTAGAATGTTCTGTAAATATTTGTTAAGTCCATTTGTTCTAGAATATAGTTTAAGTCCATTGTTTCTTGGTTGACTTCCTTGATGACTTCTCTAGTGCTGTCAGTGGAGTATGGAGTCCCCCACTACTATTGCGTTGCCATCTTATCTCATTTCTTAGATCTAGTAGTAATAGTTTTATAAATTTGGGAGCTCCAGTGTTAGGCACATGTATATTTAGGATTGTGATATTTTCCTGTTGGTCTAATCCTTTTGTTAAATAATGCCCCTCTTTGTCTTTTTCAACGGTTTCTTTAAAGTCTGTTTTGTTTGATATAAGAATAACTACTCTGGCTCACTTTTGGTTTCCATTTTCAAGGAATACCTTTTCAACTCCTTTATCTTAAGTTTATGTGAGTCCTTATGTGTTAGGTGAGTCTCTTGAAGACAGCAGATACTTGGTTCATGGATTTTTATCCACTCTGCCATTCTGTATCTTTTAAGTAAGCATTTAGGCCATTTACATTCAAAGTTAAGTATTGAGATGTGAGGTACTGTTGTATCCATCATGCTAGCTGTTGCCTGAATACCTTGGGTTTTTTTCATTGTGTTATTGTTTTATAGATCCTGTGAGATTTATGCTTTAAGGAGCTTCTATTTTAGTATATTTCAGGTTTATTTCAAGACTCAGGACTCCTTTTAACATTTCTTGTAGTGCTGACTTGGTAGTGGCAAATTCTCTCAGCATTTGCTTGTCTGAAAAAGATTTTATCTCTCCTTCATTATGAAGCTTAGTTTTGCTATATACAAAATTTTTGGCTGATAATTATTTTGTTTAAGGAGGCTAAAGATAGGGCCCCAGTCCCTTCTGGCTGGCAGGGTGTCTGCTGAGAAATCCACTGTTCATCTGATAAGTTTTCCTTCATAGGTTACCTGATGTTTTTGCCTCACAGCTCTTAAGATTCTTTCCTTCATCTTGACTTTAGATAACGGGATGGCTATGTGCCTAGGTGGCGATCTTTATGCAATGAATTTCCTGGTGTTCTTTGAGCTTCTTGTATTTGGATGTCTACATCTCTAGCAAGACCAGGGAAATTTTCTTTGATTATTCCCTCAAGTAATTTTTCTGAACTTTTAGATTTCTCCTTTTCCTCAGGAATACCAATTATTCTTATGTTTGGTCATTTAACATGATCCCAAATTTACTGGAGGCTTTGTTCATTTTTTAAATATTTTTTCTTTGTCTTTGTCAGATCCGGTTAAGTCAAAAGACTTATCCTCAAGCTCTGATTTTCTTTCTTCTACTTGTTCAATTCTATTGAAACTTTCCAGTGTATTTTGCATTTCTCTAAGTGTGTCTTTCATTTCCAGAACTTGTGATGTCTTTTCTTTATGATATCTATTTCTCTGGAGACTTTTTCACCCATATCCTGTATTGTTTTTTAAATTATTTAAGTTGGTTATCACCTTTCTCTGGTGCATTCTTAAGTAGATTAATAATCAACCTTCTGAATTCTTTTTCTGGCAATTCAGAGATTTCTTTTTCATTTGGATTCATTGCTGGAGAGCTAGTGTGATCTTTCAGGGGTTTTATACAACCTTGTTTTGTCATATTACCAGAATTACTTTTCTGTTGCCTTCTCCTTTGAGTAGACTGCTTCAATGGAAAGATCTGAAACTCAAGGGCTGCCATTCAGATTCTTTTGTCCCACAGAGTGAGCCCTTGATGTGGTGCTCTCCCTCTTCCTGTAAGTATAGGGCTTCCTGAGAGCCAGACTGCAGTGATTGTTATTGTTCTTCTCAGTCTAGCCACCCAGCGGGGCTACTGAGCTCCAGGCTGGTGCTGGAGAACGTCTGCAAAAAGTCCTGTGATGTGATTCATCTTCAGGTCTCCCAGCCATGAATATCAGCACCTGCTCCATTGGAGGTGGCAGAAGAGTAGACTCTGTGGAAGTCTTTGGTTGTACTTTTGTTTAGTACACTGGTTTTCTGGAATCCTGGTTATGCTAACAGTTAAGTTGTCATGTAAACAGACTGAAGACCTCTGGCTAGCCAGGGTATTGCAGTTAGTGGAATTAGCTATTGTTTTCTCCTTCACTGGAGCAGTGTTGTTCTTGTCTAAGTTGCTGTAATGGCTTGAATTGGTTGGCCTCCAGCCAGGAGGTGGCAGTTTATCAAGAGAGTTCCAGCTGCAGTAGTAGAAGGGGGATATAATCTTGTCCTACATTGGCCAGGATGAGTACTCTAGTTTCTCAGGTGATGGGCAGGGCCATAGAGCTCCCAAGATGTTATGCCTTTTGTCTTCAGCTACCAGAGTGGGTAGAAAAAAACCATCAGGTGGGGGCAGGGTTAGGTGGGTCTGAGCTCAGACTCTCCTTGGGTGAGACTTACTGTGACCACTATAGGGGATTGGGGGTGGTTCTCAGGCCAATGGAGTTATGTTCCCAGGGGGGTTATGGCTGCCTCTACTGTGTCATAGGGAAGTGAAGGAAAGCCAGCAGTGAAAGGCCTCACCCAGCTCACACACAGCCAGCAAGGCCAGTCTCACTCCTGCCATGCCTCCCTAATCATGCTGAGTTTATATCCAGGCAGCCTTCAAGCAGGGCTGAGATCTTACCCCAGGCTACAAGCCTCCCCACTGAGAAAGCAAGCAGGGCTCTCAGACCTTGCCCCTCCCCACCTGCCCACACCTTTGGCTGTGGCTTCTGCACTCATCTGTACTTCCCTTTCACCCTCCCAACACTGGATTCTGCTCAGGAAAAGTTCATGCTCAGTTGAAATGATTACAAAGTTCAGCTAGGAGCTTCCTTCACCCTGTGGACCCTCCCAAATTCCTCTGGCTGCCTTCCCGTCCCCAAGGACCTCTGTGAGATAAGGCCAATAATGGCTTCCCTGGGCTTGAGCTGAGAACTGGGAGTGCTTACAGGGCCCTTCCCATTGCTTCCTCTATTTTCATATGTTGTTCAGCCCCCTAAATCCATTTCAGCTCTAGGTAAGGTTAAATCCTTCTCCAGTAACCTGGATTTTCAAGTTTTCCAGTGGGAATGTGTGTTTGGAGGCTGACTTTTTCCCCTCTCACACTTTGGGAACTCACAGTTTTTTGGCTGTCTCACAGCATTTGCAGCAGTAAGCTGCTTCTTTCGAAGGATCTATGAATTCTTTCTATTTTCCTGGTATGTTCTTACAGTTGTTCTTGAAGTAAATGTTCACAGTGTGAGTATTTAGATGCTGTTCTTTCCATCTAAGTGGGATCTGCATGTTAGTCGTGTCTCCTAGCTGCCTTTTGTTTCTCCTATCCTATATTTAGTATATGATTTAAAGCTATGAATTTGCTTTTGTGTACAGAGGTGGCTGTATCTGTGAAATTTTAATGACTAGCCTTTTCACATTTAATATTGTCTATATGATCAATTTAGAATTAGAAAAGGCAAGTCTTTATTTAGTAAGAAAATTGTAGAATAACATTCATAAATCTCGAGTTTTAAGAAAAGTAATATTTTGGAATAGGTGGGAATTAGGACAAGAACATAAGTGGTCTCTAGGGCTTAATGATACATTTTTTAATTAAAAGAAAGGTTGGAGGGAGCCTCACTTTAAGATGATAAAAAGAAACCTTGAATTTCTATAGTCTAATTACCTAAACAGACTTAATTTGCTGACTAGTGAAGATTCGATTTTGGTATGCTATTTATTGTAAAAGATTTTCTCTCTTGTGTTTTATTTTCTCTAATGTAAGATATAGGTGGCCTTTATGCATCTGAGATATAATTTTTAATTTGTAGGTTGATGGCCTTAAAAATTCTTTTTTATAATCCCCAGAAAGAAATGCATTTTACATTACAACTCTGTGAACACATGCCCACACACAAATTAAGTAACAGTTTTACAAAAAAAAAAAACTTACCTTTACAAAATGCACTGATATTCAGTGCAGCCTTGAACAACAAGAGTTGTTGTTCTCTTCCTTATGATTTTCTAAATAACATTTTTTCTCTAGCTTTATTGTAAGAATACAGTATATAATATATATAACATACAAAATATACATTAATCACCTTTCTGTGTTACCAGTAAAGCTTCTGGTCAATAGTGGGTTATTTGTAGGTAAGCTTTTGGTGAGTCAGAAGTTACACAGGGATTTTCAATTTCTCAGGGAGATCAGCACCCCTAACCCACAAGTTGTTTAAGGGTAAACTATATTTTTATTCTGTTCCATTTTATTTTATAATTTTTAAAAATACTAATTTTGAGCCGCTAGGATCAAATAATTATTTAATTGTATAAGACCCTTGGTTTACAAAACACTGCTCTGGGCCTTGTTAACACTTACATTTTTAAGCCTTATTCATTGGAAAAGTACATGGTGTCACAAAACTTTTTTTGTTTAACGTATTTGTTTGTTTTACAATGTTGTTAATGTGTTTGACAATAGGTCTATGATCATCATTTAAATGGAGAATGGCATTACCAAGATTCGTTTCTTTTCTTCTACTTTTTTGTATTTTCAGAAATACACATAGTCTGTGATGTTTTCTGAGCAATAACAAAAATTGTTCAATGTGCTCTATTCTCTTACAATTCTAAGTTCCTAGAAGATGATCTTTTATTAGCATTGATAAATCTTGAACACAAGAAAAGCATTGATATTTTTTCAATGTTGCCAAATGTGGCAGTATCAGCTGAGGAGTTTTCCTCTGGCTTCACACAGGATCTTTCATTCTCTTCCCCAGTAGCTTGAGAGCAGGGCAGTAGAGGGAGGAAGAGACTTCAGTTACAATGTTGAGCAATCTTTGTTAAAAGGACCTGGGCTTTGAAGTTCTTGCGTCAAGTTTCACTCAACATGGCAAAGTATTATTCTCTGAGATATGCTTTCCTATTTTGGATCATGCCCCAAATTCATTGTTAGTTCTGAAATTTTTACTTCTCTCAGGGAGGGGCAGCCCTTGTTCATTGTACCTGAATCATTAATTTCAAACATGGTGACTTCCCCTAACTCCAGTCAGGGCAAATATAAGGTCACAGACTCAGGTTGCTTCTCTCCAGATTGGGGAGTGTAAGACAAAATTCTCAGGAATTTTCCTACCTGTCACTAGGGCTCCTGAGGAGTGGGTTGGGTTTAAGAGGCTCACCATTCCACAGTCATGTTTCTTTCCTTAGCTATAATTCTTTGAAGCACTGGGTTTTGTCCCATTCTGGTTTTAATTGCTGCTGTGGACTTTTTTATTTGTTGGAGGGGAAAGACGTGGGGGTGCTGATTTGTACTCTCTTATTGTCTTTCAGTTCATTACGAATTGTAGTAGGGATATTCTTCAGGGAAGCTTCATTTCACTCTTATCCAGGAAATTTCTATTAAATTTTGTAACCAGCTTTATGAAGTTATGTATATCTAACTTTATGTTAACTAGTTCTTTCCAATTAAATTACTCTGCTGAAATCTAGTTATAGAATGTCTTACACGTATCTAAATTAAAGGATATAGCATTCTCATCTTGAGAGAGAAAAAAATCTGTAATCACAAATGTGATTCTCCTTTCAAAAAGAAAGTCAGTTTTGATTAAAAGAAAATTATGAACCCTCTCATCTATTTATAAGGGAACTTTTATTTTTTTATTCCAGTACTCTGTTCTACATATCTTCTCTTTGCTGGTAAGAGAGGTTAGAGGATACACAGTAGTTGTGACCTGATGAGCTAAACTCAGGTCTATTTTACAACTATTTTCTGATATAATGAAATTATTTTTGTTGTTTTTCCACTATTCAATGTATAGAAATAAGGACTATACTACTATTAAATTCATTTAATATGAAGTCCTGTTTTTAGCCATCTGCACTGTAGACTTCTACATGCTTTTCCAAAAGTTAAGAATTATAAAGTATGTTTTTAATGTGATTGTGGTAATTCATAAATCAAACAAATGTAATTTTTGAATTTTTAATTTTCCTCCCCAAACCCGTATTCTTGTTTCCACCAGTGTCCAAAAACTGTTACCAAAAAACTGTTAGTTCCAGTGTTTGAACAGCAGCTCTTTGTCTCTGCTGTGACATGTTTAAAAGAAAAATTGCTTCTAAAGTCACAAATCCTGCAACACAATTCAAAACTGTTTATTCTTTAACAAGGAACCTGTAGAAAGAATGTGCTATTAGACTGTTTATCTTAATTGTTTTCTTCTTGCTCCCTGTATCTTATCTTCTCATCTCCTTATTTTATGCCCTTTTCATTTTATTTGAGTTCTTCAATGCCTATAATTTTCTGCTCCTTTTTCATGGTGGTCAGGTCATTGTGCACCCTACCAAGAACACCAAATAGCATATAAACTTTTCTGTGATTTCCAAGGTAAATCATTTTGAGCTCTATGCCCTTCCATGAGCCTACACATGATTTTTTTTCCACTCTCCAATTGTATTTCTATTGGCCCTATGTAAGTTTTGTTCTGTGTATTTATCTTCAAATATAAAGACGTGGTATTTCCAAAAGACTAGGGAAATAGCAGGTCATTGGCTCTGCTCATTCTTTGGCTGGATGCCAGTCAAAATTCCATTCGAGGCTTACTGCAGGTTAACATGTGCAGTTTCTAATTTAATTCCCAGTGTCTTCCAGGTCTTCATGTGCTTCAGCTAAATTTAGGTGAGCTTGGCTTCAAATTCCACCTCCTAGGTGTCTGATAATCCTAAGAGATTGTGCACAATTTGCAATCCACGGCATTTCCTGAAACCAAGACTCTTCCTATTTTCAGACTACTTACCTCTGCTTTAAATGTTCCAGGATGCAATGATCACCTCAGTCTCTCCCTACTTCCTAACTGGTGAGAGTTGAAAACACTTGCATCCACAGAGCTTCACTATCCAAACGGAGGAGTCAGGACAGCTGTGTCAACATGACTTAAGTATTTATGCTAGGACATTATTAAAGGAAGATAAGGATGTCAATAAATACATAACTTCATTTATTGCTTTAGTAAATTCCTGAAAACCAGTTTATCAAAAAAAAAATCTAAGCAGCTTGCCCAGGAAATATTTTACTTATTAGGAATCATTCAAGATCCTCACACCATTGTAATTGTCAATCCTAAACTATTATGTTAGGAACTTTGCAAAATTCTAACATGTTTCCACCTTGAAATACCAACCTTAAGCCACTTAAGTCTGGATAATCTTTATAAAAATCCTCCTGTGATCTGCCTCTTCTATGACACTTCTAAGATGATCTAGGTAGCCTTCTGCTTTCTTGCATTAGGTCTAATAAATGTAGTTCTGATTGGTCAACAGGTTTTCTGATAGTCTTCTGAAGTGTTGACATCTCCTAGGGATATATATCATCCTAATGAGCTCACTTTATTTTAATGTAGAGAAAAAAATGGGAGTATTTTGACCTCGTCCATGAGTATGAGTAGAAGACTCACTTTTCTAGTCCTCTAGCTGATTTGCCCCTAGGTCTCAATCAGAGATTAGTAACTGAGGTAGATATCATCCATTATTTCATATAGGTAAGATTTGATGTGGCAAAACACAGCTAGGCTAGGATAATAGTTGTATTGTTATCAATCCAGACATTGGTAATATTGGTCTTTGGAGTTTCTCCAAGACTCTACAGTAGGTTGTCTACAGTAATTACATTTAGACTGTTTTCATTTTCACCACATTTTTATTTTTTTAAATATTTTAGAAGATGTTAGAAGATAGTCCATGGAGGACTTTTAGGCAGATGTCATTTTAAACCACAAATGTGTGACCCTTTTCAAAGGAAAATATTTGTGTCTATCATTCAAATTGGTCATTCGGTTTTTTCCCCTTCTGTTTATTAAACCAATATTTACTGAGTATCTACCCTGGGCCAACGATTGTGAAAGGCATGGAAGATTTTTATTCCTTACCTTCCAGGATAACATACTAAAGTAGTCTATTCAATGATAGCTTTTATATATCTATTCCTCATGTGAACATAGATTTTTCTCCCTGAGAAGAAAAAAAAAAGTATTCCATAATTTAAAGTGGGATTAAATGTTAGTGAGGAACAAAAGGTATGAAAAATATATACAAATTATTTAAACTAGGATCAAGAGTTCTTGCCTCAAATTTAGAATTTTGAAAAGGCTGCATTTCAAACAGGCTTATTTTATCATGTATTTTTCTAGAATAGTCTGATAAATGGTCATTTATATAAATACTTGAGAAAACATGCCATTTTCTCCAGGCTAGAAGTGAATACTAACCTGACTCCTCCATGTTGGAAGGCAGCCCCATTAAAAAATTACAGAGAACGGGTGGTTTTTATATTTGTTGGAAATTATTTTCAAATAAATTCAATAATCATATCCTGAAATCCAGTTACACAAGGTCTATATTATGTGTACTACTGAAGTGAAAGTGACTTCTAAGAATTTTTAATATGTGCTAGTTTTCCCATCAACATAATTTATGGTTGACCAATTTCCAGAGTTTACATTAATAGTCTACATTAGTCTACTGTTAACTAAAGGCTAATAAAAAAATGAAAAGGTCATGTTAGGCCAGATTTAGTCCTCAAATTACTGCAGCAAAACATAATTTATGAAGATATGATGGGTGATCTCATCAGTGTGCAATGACCTTGTGTCTTAATTTTTCCAGGACAGCCTCTACACCAAATGTTTTGTCTTGTCATTCCATAAGAACTATTCAAAATAATTAGGTTAACTTCAGGTCAAATATCATGGTCTAATTTTCTCTGTGGTATAGTTTCCATGGAGCAAAATCCACCATACAGAACTGTATCTCTCATACTATAAATTCATTAATATTCCACAGAGAGTTTTATAATTGATTGTATTCAGCTATGCTTGGTGTGAATAGTGCTGGTAGTGCTGAATATTGCTGGTAGTGCTGAATAGTGTGAATTCATTTTTATCTTTTCTTGAGTGAAAGTTTTTAAAAGGGAGGGTAGGAAGGACATATAAGAGTGCTGGGTGCATGTGGGGTATATGAATTAGTATTAGAGAATATTAATGAAGATAGGAGGAGTCCCAGATAAAGAGATTAAAAAAATTAAAATAATAAAAATTTATATTTTGTTATCTCAGAATTTGCCTGGATTTGGCCCTACATGCAATGGCTTTTCAGCTCATGCCCAGTAAGAGTTACATATCAGTTATATTCACAGTTTGATTCCATTAATTATGCTTATCAATAACTATTAAATGGAGAACAGCTCTCCATTTAATTTAGTTAGTTGCTCTCCTTTCCCTGATTATCGGGGAAAAATGTATGTTCATGACAATCTAATACCAAAGTGATTTTGGGGAAAGGAAGGTATTGTTTCCACCCCCAGAAATTATGCAAATTCTATCCTGGCCTTGGGGATATTCACTGAAGCCAAGTTCCACAAGTAAAATTCCGGTCTTTGCACATCCAGCATAAAAAGCCTCTGTAAGCTGGCAGTTCTAAGGCCATCTTGACGATATTAAAGTTCAGAACAATTTGCTCAAAGTAAGCCTGAGGATTTCTTAACAACCCAATCGCAGCAATCTGACCTGGAGCTTAATCTGAAATTCCCAGTCTATCTCAGCATCAAACTATCCTTTGAAATGAAGAGACAACATGAGTTGACACCTTTTCAGTTTATACCATCTATATACATGTCTGAACAGAAGGCAGAAATTCATGAGACATCATTAGACACTAGAGGAGGTTATAAAATTCCCATTGGCAAATAATCTATGTGGGATGAAGTAGGTTAAAGTCTTCCTTGAGGCAGGGAATACCCCTCAAAAAGTCCCCTCCACCCTGAGAAATGTCATGACCAAGCAGTGAACTCCCATCAGATGCAAGTAGACATGAGAGAATTGTGCTGCCCAAGGCCTTGAACACTTCTATGAAGGATCTTATTTTGTATTTGTGCTTGTATTTAGCAGAACTGTGAAAATCATAATCAAAAAAGAGAACAACAGGAATACATTTCCTTCCCACTACCCTGAAGAATGGCAATGATGCAGAGGGCAAAAAAAACAATGGAAAAAGGCTGGAAACAAAGGAAGTAAATGGTCAGGAAAGGAATAGTGACCAAACAGATAAAGAAGAGATTTATATGAAACACTTAAAAATTAACCCACAAAAGCTCATATAATAAGCACATTTTATCAGTGTCTCGATTCTACAGAAATGTGGCTGTGGGCCAACCAAGGACAGTGAGGCCCCAGAATCTGAGATAAGGCACAGATTTAATATGGAAGTAGCAAGAGAGGATATATTATCTACCTCTAAAATCTTCAAAAGTACAGAATCAAACTTTCAGTATGCAGATGTTGGTGTGAGCCAGATTGAGACCTCTCAAAATAAAAAATTCCTGGAAGCAGAGGGAAGATATTGGTAATGAAAGAGGTGGAGGAATTTTATTAGCCAAAGAAAAGGCTTTCTGCAACTTGGAACTCCCTTCAGGTTAACTTCCATGCCAAATACTTATTCATGCCAAGAGCTTTTCAAAGAAGTCTGCAAGTGAAATAAAAACACCTGTCATGACTTTGGGTGAACCCTTCTGGACATTTGGCAAAAAGAGATTTCCTTGCTCTGTGGTATAGAATGCAACCAGCTACACACTGTAATTATCAAGTAATCTATAGTGTAGAAGACCTAGTCCATGTACACTCTCCTTCCAAAAGCTGTGACTGGCCTGGCACCTAAATTGTCTCATTAAATTCTGCAGCCTGAAGCCATTCTCTATCTTTAAGAGCATGAGAGCATGTTTTCTATTTGTATGACCTAGTTGGGAAGGCTGACTACAACAAACTGTGCAACATCAGCTCCCAACCACACCTCACCACTTCCACCCCCTGTGCTTTTCACAAAGGGATGGTCCCATATGGGAAGCCTACAGAGTACCCTAGTGAAAAGTCCACATAGCAGACTACCAGGCCCTCCCTGGGAAAACTCAAGAAGTAAGTAATAAGAAAAAAATTTACTCTTTCTTCAACTTCCATGAGAAAACAGCTGCCTCAGTCACTCATGGCCAAAGTGATATGGCCCAATGAACCTGGGCAGCTTCCATTACTCCAGACCATCAAACCTCCTTTCCCGCAAATCACCATAAAAGTCACTCCCACTGGCTGCAATTCCATAAGTAAGTTAATCAGCTTGCCTGTTCTTGGGTTTCCTCATTTTTAAAAATGCTTATTTGTTTTACACATTCCGTATTCTACGTAAGCTTTCATTTGATGAAAGTTTTCTACAGCTTTATCAGTTAGGGCTATTAATTGCAAACAATACAAACTGTCATCCATTTTGTGTTGCTAAACAGAATACCTAAGACTGGGTAATGTAGCAAGAAAAGTGGTTTATTTAGCTCACAGTTCTGCAGGCTGGAGAGTTCAAGGGCATGGCACTGGCTTCTAGTGAGGGCTTTTGTTCTACGTCATCACATGGTGGAAGGTCAAAGGGGAAGCAGCTACATGCAAGGGGGCAAAACTCAAGGGCATGCTCACTTTATAACCACCCACTCTCATGGGAACTAATTCATTCCTGTTAGAACTAACCCAGATGCTCAAGAGTGAGAACTCACTACTACAAGAATGGCATGAAGCCTCCCATGAGAGCAAAGCTCCCTTGATTCAAACACCTCCCACTAGGCCCCACCCCCCAACATTGGAAATCAAATTTGGCCATATTGGAAATCAAATTTCAACATAAGTTTCAGAGGGGACACATTAGACCCTAGAAGAAACTTACTGAAAAAACTTTTAAGGAATTTATTAAAAGAATCTAGTTCATGGAACCTTGTAGGAAAATCAGGAATGGAAGGTGCACAGCCAGGAGCAACAGCTAATATCACAGCTCAGAGATACTTGATGAAGATACCTGCAATAGAATGAATGTTTTTGTGCCTCCCCAAATTTATGTTGTGATCCTAACCCCTAACGTGATGGTATTAGAAAATGGGGCCTTAGAGAAGTAATTAGGTGGGTGGGGCTCTGATGAATGAAATTAGCACCCTTATAAAAGAGACCCCAAGCTCTCTTATTCTCTTGGTACCATGTAAGAAGACAATGAGAAGATAATAGTCTGCAACTCAGAAGAGGGTCCTTACCAGAACCTGACCATGCTGGTACCCTAATCTTGGACTTCTTGCCTACAAAACTATGAGAAATAAATTTCAGCTGTTTATAAGCTATCAAGTCTATGGTACTTTTTAAATTATCTCAATATTTACCACAAACCAATGAAATGGATACTATTATGATCCTCATTTTATAGATAATTAAACTAAGGCTTAAAGAGGCTAAATTACTATACAAGATCGTAAAACTAACACATAGTGGAGCTATGACTTGAAATCCAACAAAACACAATTTCAGGGAGAACACAATTTTTCACTCTTTGAGGGAGAGGTGTCTGTAAATCATCCAAATGAACACTTGTACTTGGAATCAGATAAACAAGTCTGACTGTGAGAGAAGAGTTCAAGAGAGGTAATAGGTAACTAGAATAAAATCTTTGAAGAATATCATAAAAACCACTTAGGAATTTTAAACCTACACTAGCCTGTGATCCTGTTTTTATCATTAGTAAACTGTGACACTCATAGGTAAATGAGAATAATGAACAATACATATGATTTTCAAGGATCTTCCTTTTGACAATTTGTAAGATTCACCAGAAATAGTTCACATGTCAAAAATGAAAGAGAATTAGTCTTCTAGAAGGAAAAATCAGAGAGAAACATATCCAAACTTCAAGAATTCTTAAAATTTCCCAGTTAGCCAACAATATTGTAATTAACACAAGGGAAGGAATTCAGAAAATCAACGAGCAACATAAACTTTGTCACAACTAACAAGTTTTGTCCCAACCTTCAAAAACTGATTTTTGTAATTTTTAAATATCTTGTAGGTAGTATTGGATATGAAATTCAGCCAAATCCATTTAGTCATTTGGAAAAGTAACTACAGAGGTTTCAGTTACTAAAGTATACAGGTTTAGTCATTTGGGAAGGTAACTACAAGGTTTCAACATGTCTATAAGGGTCTATGATCTGTCTCCTAGCCAGGTTAAATAAAGTTCATCATGTGTAGAAGCTTGTCAACAAAGTAAGAGGAATAACTTGAAATAGGCAGGAAAAAACTGGAAGAATCTGAGACAAAGAGTTGGATAGATGATCTCTTTCAGCCATAAGATATGAATCTATGATTTTTATGGTACATAAAGCTTTATTGTGGTATAATTTACATATCATAAAATGTGCCCATTGTAACTGTATACATTACTTTTTTAGTAAATTTATGGTTTTAGAGCATTTTCATCATCTCAAAAAGTTCCCTCAGCCCACATGCAGTAAATTCCTGCTACCATCCCTAATTCCAAGCAACTATTGCTTTCATTTCAGTCTTTCTCTTAACATAATTTTTTAAGAGTCATTCATGTACAGCATATATCAAGCAGTTTGTTCTTATTTATTGCTGAAAAGTGTTCCATTGTATGGCTATATCACATTTTGTTTATCCATTCACTAGTTGATAGACAGCTAGATTGTTTCCAGTTTTGGCTACTTGGAATAACATTGCTGTGAACATTCATTTTCTGAGCTTTTGTATAGACGTATATTTATTTTCATTTCTCTTGGGTAGAATTGGGTGGAATTTCTGTGTCATATGATTCTATGATTCTAAAAGCAAAATCTAAATTGAAAAGTGATCAAAGAAAAGCTATTTTGGAAATATTAAATCAAAAAATAAAAAGTAGCCAAATTCCTGTCCTAAGCTGTCATATCATTTCAGGAGAGACCATTATTTATTTTTATGTTTTCAATTCTTCTCGCACAGATGGTCAGCCCAGCAGAACTATTACACACCTCATTGTAGATCCTTCTGTTTATCCTTTGAGAACACCCTATTCTTTGCCACTTAGAAAACAAAAGAAAGCAAGAAGGCCAAACTCCTCAGCTCTGCCTCTTCTTTTCCTGACCTGCTTTTTCACCAGGGCTTCCTGGAATTTAGACTTATATTGTAAGTAAACAGGACACTGGTCAGCCCTTTATGAATCTCGAAAAATTTAACAAAACTGTACAAAAACTTCTCTGGCAGTTCTCTCTGACTCCCTTGATGCTTTCTCTGCTTACTTTTGTCCCTTAAATATCCATATTTTCTGGGGAATCTATTGCCTGACTCCTCTTCTTATTCCCACTAAATGGTCTGACTTACCATTCGTTCACATATCCAGGACTCCCAAATCCACTCATCCTACTCCAATACTTACATTTGCAGCTTCCTTTTTATTCTGCTACTCAGTCACCTACTGTAACTCAGCATTCAAGAACTGAATTCCTCATCTTCATCCACAGACTTGCTTCCCCTACTTGATTCCTCATTTTAGGAATCGAGATCATTTTCCACCCCAGTCTGCAGCATGAAAGTCATCCTTAACTTCTACTCCTCCCTTTAATCTTTCCCCACATATAATCAAACACTACTTCTGTGGATTCCACCCTCTAAAGGTTGTGTCTGACCCTCATCTCCCTTGCAAATGCGCATGTCTCAGTTGTGGCCCTCATCTCTTCCCTGGATCACCCATTCTCCCTGCCGGCAGCTTGTTTTCTCCATCCTTGGTATTGGCTCCAGGGGTCACTTTCATAAAATGAAAGTCTCGTCATGTCTCTACCCAGTTTAGAATCCATCAGGGCCACCCAATCACTTTCAGAAAAACAGTCCGCATTTTAAACATTATTTTTTTTTTTTTTTCAGACGGAGTCTCGCTCTGCTGCCCTGGCTGGGGTGCAGCAGCGTGATCTCGGCTCACTGCAAGCTCCGCCTCCCAGGTTCACGTCATTCTCCTGCCTCAGCCTCCCGAGTAGCTGGGACTATAGGCGCCTGCCACCACGCCCGGCTAATTTTTTGTATTTTTAGTAGAGGCGGGGTTTCACCGTGTTAGCCAGGATGGTCTAGAGCCCCTGACCTCGTGATCTGCCCACCTCGGCCTCCCAAAGTGCTGGGATTATAGGCATGAGCCACCGTGCCCAGCCCCTTAAGCCTGGTTTCTATGTTTTGTGTGATCTGGCCACCGCCTATATCTCTCATCTTATATTCTGCCACTCTGGAGAATCTACCTCATAAAGAAAAATCAGATGAAGTGCAATTCCTCAAAAATCAAATGCTTGCTTCTTACATTGTGTTCTTATCTTTGTACATGCAGTTCTCTCTGCTTTGTGTGTTCATGTTTGACTTTTACCATCTTCATGTTGCAAATTAAGCTTCAGGAGGCCTCCTCTGAATCTCCAGAATGTCTTAGATGCCTTTACTTTATGCTTCTAATAGTTTTCCCATATCTTATAATAACAATCACCACGTGTTGTGATTTTGCTTAGTTGTGTGCCTCCCCATACTTGAATGCGAATTTATTTAAGGGTGTAAACAGTATTATAACAGAATGTTAATAGTACAGTTTCCAAGATTTGAATCTTGCCTGTGCCTCTTACTATCTCCATGATCTGGGCACGTTTTTTAAACTCTGTGTGTCAATTTCCTCATTAGAAAAATATGGAAAATAATAGTATCTACCTCATTGCATTATTGGGAAATTGAAATTAGTTAATTCATCTAAGATACTTTGAAGGTTGATATTCTTCATCATCATCATCATCATCATCATGATAATGGAAGAAATGAATAAACTATTAATAGCAATCTCAAGGCAGTAATAATTAAAATAAGAGAATATAATTTTGCCCTCCCTCTTCCCCAAGACTACAAAGACAGAAATACATAGAGCCAACGAAATTTTGAAGAGTACCCTCCATTAACATGGTTGATACAGTGTCCAGGGCCAAGGGAAGAGACTGTTTCAAAATAAAAGGGACTGGTGATTAGTTTTACATGTTTTACAGAGGTCGAGAGGATAGAAAATTGAGGCAAGATCATTTGGATCTGGGTACTGGGCAGTCTCTCAAAGAAGAGTACACTTCTAGAGGAATGGAAAGGACAGGAGTCACACTGCTGGAGGCGGAAAGGTGGAGGAAGAGCTGAGGAAACCAGGACACGGATGCAGACCAGTTTTTCAAGAGATTCGACAGCAAAGGGGAGGGTTAAAGTACAGCAGAGGTGAAAGGGAGCAATAGAATGCTTATGGGTTTAATTTCCTAATCGCACTGCTTTGCCAGTTTTTCCATTTGAGGGGATAAATGTTGCCTTTACCAGAGGAAATAAATGCCTGTCACCTTAGGGACAACTTCTCTATTTACTAACCATCAGTGTCTTGCCAAGAGTAAAATGGATGACAACATCCTATGGGGAAATGTCGGAATTTTTTTTTTCGCATTGCACCATTTACTAGAAGAAATTCATTGTTTCACTATTCTTGCCACATTTTAAGGTGAAGAGACACACCTGGAGGGAGAAGAACAAGGATGTCCCTCCCTTGCTAAAACATGTAAGGAATGTATTAAATGTTTGATTCACAGATATCCATCAAGATATTAGTCACTTTTACATAGCTCATCATGATACATTGTAAGTTTAAAAATTTCAAGTAAATTGATTTCTTTTACTAAGTAGTGAATGTTAAATTTAAAAATGTACTTTTTTCTCATGAAAAACAAATCAAACTTCATGTACAAATAGTAAAAATAATAAAGTATAAATAACAAAAATTAAAACATGTAATCCTACCACCCACAAGAAAGTACTGTTAACAGTTTAATATATTTTCAACCAGTTTTTTCTATACATTTACATATGCACATACATGCACAAAATTTTACAAAATTAATAGAGTACTTATTATAAACTTTCTACCCTGCCTTGTATCACTTGATATCAAACTATAGGTACTTTTCCCTGTTCTTAAGTATTTATTAAAAACATAACTTACAATAATTATATAATGTTTCATTTATTTTATTTGATAATTTTATTTTTGTTGAACACATAGCAAGCTTTTCATTTTCATCTTATTTTTCACTATAAATAATATGGCAAAAAAAAACTTGTGCAGTAGCATTTGACTCTAAGTGTGATAATTTCTTAAGAATCATTCCTAGCCAGGCATGGTGGTACATGCCTTTAATCCCAGCTACTCAGGAGGCTGAGGCAGGAGAATCGCTGAGGCCAGGAGTTTGAGGCTGCAGTATACAATAATTGAACCTGTAAATAGCCACTGCACTCCAGCTTGGGAAACACAGTGAGGCCCCAAAATCTATAAGAAACATAAACAAATAAACAAGAAAAAAACAAATAACCCTATTAAAAAGTGGCCAAAGGACATGAACAGACACTTCTCAAAAGAAATATAGAGGTGGCCAACAAACATTATGAAAAAAATGCTCAACATCACAAATCATCAGAGAGATGCAAGTCAAAACCACAATGAGATACCATCTTACACCAATCAGAATGACTACAAATAAAAAGTCAAAAAATAACAGACGTTGGTGAGGTTGCAGAGAAAAGGGAACACTTATACACTGTTGGTGGAAATGCAAATGAGTTCAGCCCCTGTGGAAAGCAGTTTGGAGACTTCTCAAATAACTTAAAACTGGACTGCTATTTGACCCAACAATCCCATTACTGGGTATATATCCAAAGAAATTTAAATCAATCATTCCACCAAAAAGACACACACACACATTTGTTGATTGCAGCACTATTCACAATAGCAGAGACATGGAATCAACCCAGGAGCCCATCAATGGTGGATTGAATAAAATGTGGTACATATACATTATGGAATACAATGAAGCTATAAAAAAAGAATGAAATCATGTGCTTTGCAGCAACATGGATGCAGCTGGAGGCCATTATCCTAAGCAACTTAACACGGAACAGAAAACCAAATACCATGTGTTCTCACTTATAAGTGAGAGCTAAACATGGGTACACATGGACATGAAGATGGGAACAGTAGACACTGGGGATTTCAAGAAGAGGGGGCAGGTAGAAGGGGAAGGGCTTAAAAACTACCTATCAGGTATCATGTTTGTTTCTTGGGTGACAGGATCATTAGAAGCCCAAACCACAGTATCACACAATATATCGTTTTAACAAACCTGCACATGTACCCCCTGAATCTAAAATAAAAATTAATAATTTTTTACAAAATAATTGATTTTGATAATAATTACAATAATAAAGTACTACTCATTAGAAAGCACACATTGCTGTATTATTTTCCAGACATTAATAACAATTGATATTCCTACCACCAATGTGGGATGGGACTAAGCTCCCTACACCCATCCTTGCCAGCATTCCTAGTATCATTCTCCATATGATCTGTGAAATATGATCCCATATGCATTTGAATTTTCACTTACTGATGAATTTGAACTTTTTTAGTATCCATTATAGTCCATTTATATTTCTTCTTTTTATGTTGTTTGAGCATACTTTATTGGAGCCTTGTTTTGCTTAATGATTTTTACAGCTCTCCTTGTGAGAAAAATATTAACCCTCTGCCACATTTATCTTTTCATTTTGATGCTTTTTTGCTTTCTTACATAGATAAATGTGATACTGTTAAACTTTGTATGCCAGAATGTTAATGTAGTTTAAATATTTGGCACTTCCTCAGGGCTTTTATTCTTAGAGGGATTTTTAGACTAAATTAGATGAATTTTATTCATATTTTTCTTTCAAAACATGGTTTTATATGTAACTCTTTAACCCATCTGGAGTTTACTTTGGCATATAAAATGAGGTAATGTTTTAACTTTATATGTTCCAAATATCATCCAATCATCACAGCACAATTTTGTTAAATTATGACCCAATAATCCTCTCTACTACTAATTTGTAGGACCACCTTTATGGATAATACACTAATTCTTCTGACTACTAAGGTCTACTTCTGTATTTTCTATTCTGTTCCATTGATTTGGATACTAATAATGTAACATTTTGATGACCAACTTTAGAGTATGATTTGGCACCTAGTAGGGTCCTAATAGCATTTTGTTATTTTGTCTGGCTTCCTGTGCTTTTACTTCCCCAGAGAAATAATTTGTGTCCACACTGAATTCCCAAGACATATGTAGAAAATGCCAATTTTTTTATCTCAAATGGTCCCATCCAACTTTTCCAAGTTACTCCTTGACTCCTGGAAAATATTCTTTCTCTGGTGATGAAGTGGTGATGGGCCCAAATATCTTTCTTGTAGAGGCAACTGAAAAACAGATCTCCTGAAGTAGGCACGTATCCTGTTGAGCACACTGATTCCCAACCTATGCATTGGAAAGATGAAAATGACTAATTTTCAAAAGCAAGGTCTCTGAGTTTTCAATAAAATAAACGAAAGGATTTTCTTCTTAGGTTTTCAGCCCTTCAGTTATAAGCCTTAACTGAATAAGAAAACTATTTTTCTTCATCAAAGTATCTAACAAAACATATTCAGTTTGCTAATTGGTCCTATAAAATAAGTTAGCTGTTTGCACTATTATTACTTTTTCTTTCCAAATTTTATTTTAGGTTCAGGTGGTATATGTGCAGGTTTGTTACACGGGTAAATTGTGTGTCATGGAGGTTTGGTATATAGATTATTTCATCATCCAGGTAATCAGCATATGTACTCAATGTTTAGCTCCCACTTATAAGTGAGAACACATGGTATTTGGTTTTCTGTTCCTGTGTTAACTTGCTTAGGATAATGTCCTCCAGCTGCATCCATATTGCTGCAAAAAGACATGATTTCATTCTTCTTTATGGCGACTTTGTATTCTATGATGTATATGTACCGAATTTTCCTCATCCAGTCCACCATTGATAGGCACCTGGGGTGATTCCATGTCTCTGCTACTGTGAATAGTGGTGCAATCAACAAATGTGTGTGTCTTTTTCACAGAATGATTTAAATTCCTTTGGGTATATATACAGTAATAGGATTGCTGGGTCAAATAGTGGTCCAGTTTTAAGTTATTTGAGAAATCTCCAAACTGCTTTCTACAGAGGCTGAACTAATTCACAATCCCACCAGCAGTGTGTAAGCATTCCCTTTTCTCCACAACTTTGCCAGCATCTGTTATTTTTTGACTTTTTTATAAATGGCCATTCTGGTTGATGGGAGATGGTATCTCATTGCGGTTTTGATTCGCATTTCTCTAATGATTAGTGATTTTATGCCTTTTTTCATATGTTTGTTGGTCATGTGTATTGTATGTCTTCTTTTGAGAAATGTCTGTTTATTGTCCTATCCTGGAAGTCCTAGCCAGAGCAATCAGGCAAGAGGAAGAAATAGAAGTCATCCAAATGAGAAGAGAAGAAGTCAAACTATTTCTCTTCAGAGATGATATGATTATATATCTACAAAACCCCATAGTCTCTGTCCAGAGAGACTCCTAGATCTGATAAACAACATCAGCAAAGTTTCAGGATACAAAATTAATGTATAAAAATGAGTAGTAATTCTATACACCAACTGTTACCAAACTGAGAGCCAAAGCAAGAACACAATCCAACTTACAATGGCCACAAAAAGAATAAAATACCTAGGACTAAAGCTAACAAGGGAGGTGAAAGATCTCTACAATGAAAACCATAAAACAACTGAAATAAATCAGAGATGACACAAATGGAAAAATATTCCATGCTCATGGAGAGAAAGAATCAATATTGTTAAAACGGCCATACTGTCCAAAGCAATTTACAGATTCTATGCTATTCCTATGAAATTACCAATGGCATCTTTCACAGAACTAGAAGGAACTATTCTAAAATTGATATGGAACTAAAAAAAAGCCAAAAATAGCCAAAGCCATCCTAAGCAAAAAGAACAAAGCTGGAGGCATCACACTACACTATTATTTTTTAACTTATTAAGTTTCCTTCTATAGTATAAAGAGTACAAAATACCAATTCCTACTCAATTTTCAAATTGATTCTCACAAATCAAATCTTTCTTTGGAAGGGGTAATTGTAGTTAAGAAGCTGTTTCTTCCTGGAAGAAGTAGGAACACAATGGTTATTTACTAAAAATGCGTAGATCTCTTAATTTTGTGATGATCCAAAGGACAGGCCTCATCAGCTTCTTAAAGGGAGGAAAACAACTACATTTGTAGCCAATTTGTTAAAGATATATTTCTTTCATTAGGACTTAGCACTAACAAATGCTTTTCTGGATATCAGAAAGCTACATGCTTAAACCTTGCCAAGTCACTTCCTCAACTTCATTGGCTCATGCACAACCTTTAAAATTTCTCTCCCCTTAAATTAATCCAGTCTAAACATATCACCAACTAACCATGCCTGTGCATTTCAAATGTCAGCACTCTCACCAGCTCAGTAAAAAGTGCTTTCTTATAAGGAAAATTTAGGATTCCATATTCCATTGAGGTTGTTTCCATCTAAAAACATTAACACCACTTAACCCTGAAAATAACTCTATTGGATAGGGGAATGCCAAGATTTTGGCTTATTTGAGAGGTTTGGGGCCTTTCTGTTTGAAGTGGCTCCAATAAACAATCTTGAATCCTATAAGTTAAAAAATAAAAACATTATAGTACTTAATTGAACTGAATGAGGTTCTCTTTATTTGCAAAAGAATTGGAGGGAAATTGGTTTACTTTATTCTAAAATAATAGGCTATGGAAAATAAAGTTCCCTCTGTCTTCAGATTTTCAATTTTTACATTTATAACATGAGAGACCTTGAAGCCATATTCACCATTTCTTTATCTCCATGTTTAATGCCTTAGGTTAATCAGTTCACAATTTTAAAGCTCATGTCACCTGTCCAAATCTTCTGGGAAGTCACCTATCCAAATCTTCAGTGATTTGGAATTTGTCTGAATTGACTTTGACTTTACTTGATAATAAACTTTACTATAGTTTCTTCTCAAGTAACACTGAGACAAGAGGTTTACATAAGCATTTATAAGGTATGGTAACCTAAAAAATATAAGCATTACAGAAGATAGGCCCCCTAAATGTTGAATAATCAGTTATTAGAATGAGTAGTATAGAGACACTAGCTAAAGGGAGATCTGATGCCCAGGGTAACATGCAAACAGGCAACAACGGATGTGTATAGTGATGGGGAGAGGAGAGCAAGGAGGGAAGAGTATGTTAAAAAATCATTTTTATAAATGATTGACAGATATCCATAAATATATATTAAATGTAAATTTTATAGGGTATTCAGTGCTTGTTTGGTCCCATAATTAGTCTTTAAAACAATCCTAGAATTTAGACAGTACTGTCCTCAAAATAATCAGCTCTGGTGTTCAATTTAATGACCAAGCATTATTCAGCACCTATGGGAATAGAGTCTAAGTTCCTGCCAATTACCACCTCTCTGAGGGACAGTGAGCAAAACACTCTGCATTATTCCAGTATTAAGCACCCCATGGCTTAAATGAACACAGTAACATTTTCCATCAATGCTTTCTAATCAAACATTATGTTGACTTTTGTAGGGCCACCAATATTGAAGTAAAACCTTCAAAGATTAATTTCCTAGATTTTATCTTAAAATTTAAAAAAAAAAACCTACTCTCTTTAAAATAAAGTTGTTCTGTTTCCTAAATGTGTTATGTTATACTTAATGACCCAATATCAAGAGAGAAAACTCATGGATTGAGGTGGTCTGTCCTTACTCTGACTTCCTATCAGAAGATAGAATAAGTCTTTTCATGAGTTGTAAGACAGTATCACCCAAAACTTCTATGATATTTACAATGGCTGGTATGCAGTCAAAAATTTCCAAATGATATGGTTCAGACTTGTGTCCCTGCCCAAAACTCTTGTCAAATTGTAATCTCCAGTGTTGGAGATGGAGCCTGGTGGAAGATGACTGAATCATGGGAGCAGACTTTTCCCTTGGTACTGTGTTACAATAGTGAATGAGTTCTCATAAGATCTAGTTGTTTAAAAGTGTGTAGCACTTACTCTCACCTCTCTTTCCATCCTGCTCTGGCCATGTGAAGTGCTCACTCCCCCTTTGCCTTCTGCCATGTTTGTAAGTTTCTTGAGGCCTCCCCAGAAGCAAAGCAGATGCCAGCATCGTGCTTCCTGTATAGCCTGTGGGACCATGAGCCAATTAAACCTCTTTTCTTCATAAATTACCGAGTCTCAGATCTTTCTTTGTAGCAGTGCAAGAACACTAATATAAAATTGGTACCAGGAGTAGGGTATTGAAATAAAGATAACTGAAAATGTTGAAGTGGCTTTGGAACAGGGTAACAAGCAGGGGTTGGAAGAGTTTGGAGGGCCTGGAAGAAGACAGGAAGACAAGGAAAAATTTGAGACTCCCTAGATATTGGTCAAATGGTTGTGCCTGAACTGCTAATAGTAATATGGACAATAAAGTCCAGGCTGAGGAGGTCTCAGATGGAAATGAGAAACTTATTGGGAACTAGAGCAAAGGTCATTTCTGTTATGTCCTAGCAAAGAGGTTGGCTGCATTGCGCCCCTGCTCTAGGAATCTGTGGAACTTTGAACTTGAGAATGATGATTTAGGGTATCTCACAAAAGACATTTCTAAGCAGCAAAGCATTCAAGCTATGGCCTGGCTGCTTCTAACATCCTATGTTCATATGTGTGAGCAAAGAAATGACGTAAAACTGTAACTTCTATTTAAAGGGGAAGCAAAACATAAAAATTTTTAAAAATTGCAGCCTGGCCATGTGGTAAAAAAGAAAAGCCCGTTTGCAGGGGAACAATTCAAGCAGGTTGCAGAAATTTGAACAACTACAAGGAAGGCAAATGCTAATAGCAAAGGCAATAGGGAAGGGACCTCAAAAGCATTTCAGAGACATTCACCATAGGTCTCCCATCACAGGCCCAGAGGCCTAGGAGGGAAGAGTGGTTTTGTGGGGTAGGTCCAGGGCCCCGCTGCCCTGTGAAGCCTTGGGACTCTACTCTCTGCATCCCGGCTGCTCCAGCTCCTGCAGTTGCTAAAGGGGCCCCAGATACAGCTCAGGCCACTGCATCAGAGGGTGCAAGCCACAAGCCTTGGCAGTTTCCACATAGTATGAGCCAGTGGGTGTGGAGAGTGTAACAGCTAAGAATTAGGAGCCTCTGCCTAAATTTCAGAGGATGTATAGAAAAGCCTGGGTGTCCAGGCAGAAGTCTGCTGCAGGAGCAGAGCCCTCATGGACAACCTCTATTAGGACAGTGCAGAGGGGAAATGGGAGGTTGGATACCCCACACAGAGTCCCCACTGGGGAAGTCCCTGGTAGAGCTGTGAGAAGAGCGCCACAGTCCTCCAAACCCCAGAATGGTAGATCTGACAGCTTGTACCATGCATCTGGAAAAGAATGGAAAGAGAGAGAGAGAAAAAAAAGGTTCTACACACTTTTAAACAACCAGTTCATGAGAACTCACTCACTGTTGTGACACAGTAGCAAGGGGGAAAATTTGCCCCCATGTTCCAGTCACCTTCCACCAGGCCCCATCTCCAACATGCACTCAGCACCAGCCCATGAAAGCAGCCACTGGGGGCTGTACCCTGCAAACCCTCAGAGGTGGAGCTGCCCAAAGCCTTGGGAGCCCACCACCTGCACCAGTGTGCCCTGGATGTGAGACATGATGTCAAAGGAGATGATTTTGGAGCTTTAAGATTTAATGACTGCCCTGCTGAGTATCAGACCTGAATATGGCCTGCAGCCCCTTTCTCTTGGCCTGTTTCCATTTTTTGGAATGGGAGTATATACCCAATGTCTATATCCTCATTGTGTCTTGGAAGTAACTAACTTGTTTTTTATTTTACAGGCTTGTAGGCAGAAGGGACTTGCCTTGTCTCAGATGAGACTTTGGACTGTAACTTCTGAGCTAATGCTGGAACGAGTTAAGACTTTGGGGAACTGTTGAGAAGGCATGATTGTGTTTTGAAATATGAGGACATGAGATTTGGGAAGAGCCAGGGGTAGAATATGTTTTGGATCTGTGTCTCCACCCAAATCTCATGTCAAATTGTAATCCCCAGTGTTGGAGATGGGGCCTGCTGGATGGTGACTGGATCATGGGGGTGGATTTTCCCCCTTCCTACTGTGTCACAACAGTGAGTGAGTTCTCATGAACTGGTTGTTTAAGAGTGTGTAGAACCTTTCTTCTCTCTCTCTTTTTTCTGCCCCAGCCATGTGAAGTGCTCACTACCCCTTTGCCTTTTGCCATGTTTCTAAGGCTCCTGAGGTCTCCCCAGAAGCCAAGCAGATGCTAGCATCTGCAGAATTGTGAGCCAATTAAACCTCTTTTCTTTATAAATTTCCCAGTCTCCAGTATTTCTTTATAGCAGTGCGAGAATGGAATAATACGCCAAGTCTCCCCAGAAATAAGATCCAGAAATAGACTAAAAACAGACTGAGAGGTGATCCAGATTTTAGAGTTCTCATACGTGGACTTTAAAATAAGTGTGATTAATATCTTTAAGAAAATGGATGACAAATTGAAACTTTAATCAGAAAATTGAGCTATAAGAAAAAATAAAATAGAAATTATCAAACATAAAAATAACTAGATTAGTAATGTAGTAAATAAGTTTAATTTACAGAATGGCTGTCACTGGAGCAAGAATTAGTGAGCTAGAAGACAGATCAGTAAAAAAATTCTAAACTAAAACATAAAGTATATGTAGAACATGCAGAATAGAATGTGGCACATATAAGTTATAGTGAATATGTGTATGCATGTGTCATTTAGTCCTTGAGGGAAACAAGAGATAAAATTGAGCAGAAATAATATTTAAAGGGTAATTATCTAACAATACTTCTTGGCCTTTTGGCTAAAATCAAGTAAAGAGTAATTATTCTTATCTGGATTAACCAAGATAAAAAGAGAGAAGATTCAAATTATAAAAATCAGAAATGAAAGAGGGATATTACTATAGACCTTCAGGGAAAAAAAAAAAGGATTATATGGGAATGTTACAAAGAACTGTATGCCGACAAATTAGATAGATGAAATGGATGAATTCCTAGAAAGACATAAATTTCCAAAACTAACATAAGAAGTAGAAAATCTGAGTAGATCTATAACAAGTAGAGAAATTTAATTATTAATTTTAAAACTTCTCAGGAAGAAAATCTTAGGCCCTAAATAGCTTCCTTGGTAAATTCAATGAAACATTTTAAAAAGAATTAATAACAATTTTTCACAAACACTTCCATGAAATAGAAGGGGAAGGAACAATTCCAAACTCATTGTATGAGACCAGTATATCACCCTGATGCCAAAAAGACAAAAATATAACAAGAAAAAAAAAAAGCTGCAGACCATTCACCCTTATGAATATGTATGGAAAAACTCTGGCAAACTGAATCTAGCTAACTATAAAATGATTTATACACCATGATCAAGTGAGATTTATTCCAGGAGTGCAAAGTTGATTTAATATTCAAAATTAATATAATTCACCACATTAATAAGATACAAAAACTATGTGATCAGGTACATAAAAGGAATTAAACAAAATCCAACACCGTTTCTGATTTAAAAAAAAAATTCAACAAACTAAGAATAGAAGGAAACTTCTTCAATCTGATAAAGGGCATCTGCAAAAACTTACAGCTAACATCATCTTAATGGTAAAAGACTAAGCGCTTTCCCTCTAAGATAAAACAGGGATATTTGTTCTCACCACTCCTATTCAATGTTATAGTAGAGATTATAACCAGGACAATTTGACCAAATAGAAAAATAAAAGGTGGATTTTATTTCCAGATTTCCAAATTGGAATAGAATAAAACTATTTTTATTCACAGAAGAAAAAGCTATATAAATAAAATCCCAAGTAATTCATTAAGTGATGAAAATTGAGACTTTTCCAAAGCTAATGACAGACATAAGCCATAGATTCAAGAAGTGCAAGAAACCCAAAGCAAGATAAATATAAAATAAACTATACCTAGGCAATGGTTTTTCAGTATAAAACAGCTAAAAACCAAAGACAGAAAAATATATTTAGTAAACCATATTAAAAAGACACTTAATATTTAACGAGCAACATTAAGACTGACATTCCACTTCTGAGCAGAAAGGATGAAAACCATAATAAAATGCAATCATAGCCTTAAAATGCAAAAGAAAACTGTCTAGATCTCTATACCCTGCAAAGATAGCTGTTTAAATGAATGTGAAATAAAGATATTTCCAGACAAACAAAAACTGAAGAAACTATTTACTAGAAGGTCTAAAGAAAAAAAAATCATAAATGAAATTCTCAAGTGAAAGGAAAATTATATGGAACATGTAAATGCAGTAAGGAATGAAAAACAATGGAAAGTGTTAATATGTACTTACCCTTTGGTAAATACGTGCTTACCAAAAAGGTAATTCTATGAACCAGTAATTCCATTCTTAAGTATAATGACCCTCAATATGCATTCTAATGTGCACCAAAACTCACGTATAAAAATTTAAAGAGTAACACGATCAAAAACAGGCAAATACTGAAAAAATCAAATGTCTATCAACAGAAGAACAAATAAATACATTGTAAATATTCATATAATGGAATACTATTCAGCAATGAGAAAAATAAGCAACTCTTACCCACAATAATATGGATAAATCCTTAAAATATAAAAAAGTACATACTCTATGTCTCCATTTGTATAAATCTCCAAAACATGTGAAACTAATCAATGGTGTTACATACCAGAATAGTGGTTACCTTATCAGGAAGGGGTAAGACGGGATTCCAATGATCAGCTTCTTGATACAAGGAGTGATTATGTAGGCATATGCACTTTGTGGAAACTCATCCAGCCATACATTTTTAAACTGTGCACATTATCTGTTATACTTCAACAAAAAGTTTATTTTGAAAGTACCAGCATAGTGGTCATTTGCAATGATATATTATTCACTTCACGAATTTACAGATAGAAGGTTTCCAGCAGTTCTTGCAAGCCCTTAAGTGGTGGCTTTATGTTATCCCCTTGGTAGATCCCCTTGCAAGTGACCCTTAAATGGTCTGAGACTATTAGATCTTGACCCCTACTTCAAATGCCTGTTTGAGAGTAAAGGGCCCAGTAACATCTTCAGGAATAGCATTCAGCCCTGTTCAAGGTATTCACATTTCAGAAATATCTAAACGGTAATTTTTCTCAAATATTTAATGTAAAAATCTTGATTGCACCATATTGCCAGGGATAAGAGATAATGATCTTTCTTATTAAAATCATGAAATAGGGGCCAGGCCCAGTGGCTCATGCCTATAATTCCAGCAATCTGGGAGGTCAAGGAGGGAAGATTACTTGAGGCCAGGAGTTTCAGACCACCCTGGACAATATAGGAAGACCCTGTCTCTACGAAAAAAAAAAAAAAAAAAAATACCTGGACCTGATCATGTACACCTATAGTCCCAGCTACTCAGGAGGCTGAGATAGGAGGATTGCCTGAGCCCAGGAGTTTGAGGCTATAATGAACTATGTGCACACTACTGCACTTCATCTTGAACAAAAGAGCAGAAACTGTCTCAAAACAACAAAAAATGTGAAATATGGCTATATGTTTATGTGTATTGTCTTTAGAAAGAAATTGGGTGTCATTGAGAATGACTAACATTGATTGCACATGGATGTGGCTAATATTCACGCCAAAATAAGTTATTGCTCACTGTCTTCATGATTTGTGTTTTGTCTGCAATAGACAGGGTGGTTGCTCACACCCCAGGGTTTTGCATGTAAGTGCAGGCCCCTGTAATCTTCTATCATAGAGACCCATTATTGGACTTTCCATTTGGAATTATTTTGTCCACACCCAAATTCATACTGAAGGGAAGAAAAGCAGGGAGGAAAGGAGGAGAAAGAGAATTCCATTGCTTATAGGACTATTTTTGTAGTTAATCAGGTGTGTTGCACAGGCAGAAACCAGGAAACACGCCAAAGCCATTTGCTATGCCTCAGATAATCCCCTTGCTTTTGTGGTTGGGTGTGATACATACCATCATCTTCAAGCTTGTTTGTTTTGGCTGCAGAAAACAAGTTCACACTCTTGTAGGAAAGTAAGTAAGTGAAAGAAAAAAAATCATCCTTTTTCCAATTTCAGAAGAGAGCCAAACACTTGGCTGAAACTATTTGAAATTTTCTGGCTAGGGCTCCATCTTATGGCCTAAATTGTGTAGGCAGAATCAGAGGCTGATAAACCTGCCACACAGTGGGGGGATCCACATCCCAAGTATCTTCTGTTTCTCTGGGCCGATCCCAGGCCCTCTTTCTGTGTACAAGAAAACTTTTGGGAGTGATAGATATGTTCATCGTCTTGATTGTAGTGATGGTTTCACAAGTATGCATATATGTTAAAGCTTTTCAAATTGTGCACTTTGAATACAGTTTACTATATGTCAATTACACCTCAATAAACTTGTTTAAACAAAATGTATAGACCTACATCACTAAAAACCCTCCTTGCCGAGTCATGTAGCCATATGAATTTGCAAGAGAAGAGCATTATTACTCTAACAGAGTACGCAATATATGAAGAAAATAGCAGAGGACAAATAGAAAGGATATGTAGATATCCTTCAACACCCAGTTTAGGAATTCACACTTAATTGTGTAGACAATGAGTAGCCTACAAAAGGACTTTTTTTCTTTGCAAAAGAGTGTATGGTCAGAATTACACTTGACAAAGCTAAATTTGGTAAATTTGGCAAAAGTGTTTCAAGATGTGTTGGAGAAGGCTAAAAGTGTGAAGATTATTTCAGAGGTTAATTAATTAAATAAAAGTTGAACCAAAGTCCTGCTTGTAAGATCTGCAAAGAGACAGTAGGGATAAGTACTGTTGCAGAAGTAGAAGAGGTGAGAAAGAAGGCAGGTTTTAAAGCCGCATGGTCAGAATGGACGTGCTTTTAACAGAAAGGCTCATAGGAAGTTGATTTAGAAACAGGCAGTATTAATTGGTTTAACTTCACAGAAACACTTCATTTATTTAGTAGTGATTTCGATTTACATCATTATGGTTTATATTAAGATAGCTTAGATGATAATTCACTAGTAGATCTGTGAAAGAAAGGCATGTTTCCCACTTCTCAGAAATATGATTTATACCCATTGTCTTAAATATGTTCTCTATGTGCATTATTTTAGGATTACCCAGGACTTCTGTTACTCCAAATTCCTATTTTTGCTATCCATTCCACTTTTTAAAATCAGAGCTGCCAACTATGCATGAAGTGTCTATTGAAAAGTTTATAGCTTCAATGGGAGATTAAAAAGACTGGAGTACTTTCCGAGCAGAAAGACTTCATATCCTGCCAGAAAAGATCATATCCAAATCCAACATATGTCATGGTAAAATGGATTTTAAAAATAAAACTATATCATCCACCCTCAGGGATAAGAAAGTGTATTCTATTTATGAAATAAAGAACAATATGTTATTTTTAAGGGAGGTTAGGAAATGTAAAAAGAGCTTTTAGAAATTACAAATATGATAGCAAACATAAAAATTTAAACATAAAATGAAAGATAAAAATTTTTAAAAAATAAAACAAAAGGATAGACAAAAAGAAAGAAGAAATAACATTGAAGAATCTAGGATGTCAGAATCTATTAGGATGTCAGAACTGATGGAAAAAATAATAAAAGAGAATTTTGCAAAACTATAAAGCACAAGGTTCCCAACTGAAAATATTCAGGACAATGAAGATTTTTAAATATCCATTCTAAAATGTCTCACCATAAATTTTTACAGGAAAAGAGATGATTTTAAAAGTTGTCAGAAAACAAAAGTAGGTCACAAGCAAGGAATTGAGAATAAGAGTGTCACTGAAGCTCTTAACAGCAATGTTAATTAGAAAATAATAGAGTGACACTTATGAAATTCTTCAGAAAAATATTTTCAACTTAGAAGTGTATGTCTCATCAAGCTATCAATATAGTGTGTGGGTAGAATGGAAACAATTTCAGACATTCATGGTTTCTAATTATTTATTTCCCATGCATTTATTGCACTATTTTTTAGGAATCTATTGGAGAATCTTCTTCACCACAATGCGGGCAGGGAGGGGAGAGAAAAACAAAACAAAACAAAAAAACAAGAAAAAGACATGGAACTGCAAATGAGAACCTAACACAGGAGCAAGGCAAAGAGAATTCCTGGAACTTCTACAGAAAGTCCCAGGATGAGAGCTGTTATCCTGCACAGCAAATCTAGATTGGAGAAGGAATATAAAGGGCAGCAGAAGGTATGTCTCCAAGGAAAAAGAAATAAACACAGGAATTAAAGATTACTTGAGCAGTTTTACCAAATAGGAAATTTTAAAAATAAGTAATCTGCAGAACAATTGAATGATGTGATGAGACTTAGTCATAGATTCAAGGAAAACTAAGCAAATGAAAGAACTGAGACAATTAACTCCAGGAAATACAAACAACAGTGAAAGAAAGAGAACAGAAATGCATATTACTTGGCTGATTAGTGAACAATATCTACCATTATAATAATAATGAAAATACTTAATTGAAATTTGTGATATAACTATTCTGGAAAAAGTGAGGTGCGACAGAGTAAAAAATCGTTATATGCCACATAGGAAGTCAATAGATAACGTCGAAAAGGGCTGAATCAGTAAAAAACACTATGCATACACAGTCATGCACTGCAAAACCATGTTTCAGTCAACAATGGACCACATATACAACACTAGTCCCATAAGATAATAATACCATACTTTTACTGGA
The DNA here is from genome assembly GCF_000001405.40 of Homo sapiens. Lineage (NCBI taxonomy): Eukaryota > Metazoa > Chordata > Mammalia > Primates > Hominidae > Homo > Homo sapiens. The sequence goes on from NC_000006.12 coordinate 74,994,817, forward strand.
CCTTTTTTATGTTTAAATATGTTTAAACACACAAATACTTACCATTGTGTTATAACTGCCTACAGTATTCAGTACAGTAACACTCTGCACAGGTTTGTAGCCTGGGAGCAATAGCCTTATACCATATGGCCTAGGTGTGTAGTAGGCTATAGCATCTAGGTTTGTGTAAGTACACTCTATAATGTTTCCACAAAGAAGAAATCACCTAACAATGCATTTCTCAGAATATATCCCCATTGTTGAGCAATGCATGACTACATGTTATTTTATTTATAATTACGGAGGTAATTTCTTGAAGAAGCAGCTGAAAGAATTAATAGCTATTTCTTGAAAGTGGAATAGCATGAAAAAATAATTTAGTAGGAATATACTTTTTTCATTGTAAGTTTTTTAGCACTATTTAAATGTTTAAATTATCTTTATTTGATGCCTTCATTGTGTCTGAACTCTTCCGCAAATGGCAGCATGGCAGGTCATTCTCCCTTCAAACTGTAGGAACCATATTGGTTAATAACGTCTTAATTTTCTTTCCAACTTTTACCAAATGAGAACTGAAGGGTCTTGCCTTTCTCACTGGCCACAAAAGTCCAGTTTGCAAATTAGAATTTTTTCCCAAGTGCTTTTCAGAGTTTTTGCCCAATATATGTTCTGGTCTTTTATCACTTTATCTTGAAATAATAAAGACTGTAAAAATTATGTTTCAACTTTTACTGTGTGATAATTATCATATTTGAAGCATACAAGGAATGCTCCATTGAAGAAGTGATATAATTATATTGAGCACTAATGCATCAAAAGCAAGATTTATTTGAGGTGTAGGCAACCTTCACTAACTATGAAAATATTACATTTAGGGACTTGGGATTTTGTTTTGCTTTTGTTTGGTTTGGTTTTCCAGTTTTAACCAACTAAAATTTCTAGAGTTGTTTCAGCTTGAGGCCATCTTATCCTCACAATTACTAATTCACACAACATCAGATAACTGAAATTATCTCTTACTAAAAATGTTTAACTATAACATTACCTTTAAAAAAAACTCGCCTAGGTATCACTTGAAATTTTTTATAATTCTCTGATGGTTCACATCTTGCCTAAACCCATATTAACCAATACTGTTCACCAGTAGTATTTCTACAATGACAGACATAACACAATTTATACTCAACTCTAACAAAGTGCTCAACTGGAAGTTTCAACTGAGGCACGGGCAATAAATAACAGATACCAAAATGAGTTATGAAATAAACTAATTTGGAGAAATTAAAAGTAGGTGAATTGTGTCTCCCCTGCCAAAAAAAATACGTGTGTGTGTGTGTGTGTGTGTGTGTCTGTGTGTGTGTGTGTGTGTGTGTGTTTCTAAAAGTTCTAACCCCCAGTACTTGAGAATATGACCTTGTTTGGGCATAGGGCCATTGCAAATATAGTTAAGGTGAGGTTATACAGAAGCAGGATGAGGCACTAATTCAATCTGATTGGTGTTTTTATAAGATGTCCATCTGAAGACAAAGGCATACAGGGAGAATGCCATGTGAAGGCAGAGGACTGGAGGGATGCCTCTACAGGCCAAGAAATGACAAGGATTGCCAGCAAACTACTAGGGGCTGGGAAATGGCAACTCCTGTACAGGTTTATGAGGGAGCAGGGCCTTGCCAACACCTTGATTTTGGGCTTTTAGCCACCATAACTGTGAGACAATAAACGTCCATTGTTTTAAGTCACCCACTTTGTGGTAATTTATTATGGCAGCTCTAGAAAACAAATGTAAGTGTAAAAAGGTAAAGAGATGGAGTTTACGAGAGGTTTTTTATTTTTGTTTTTATCTTTTGAGATAGAGATTTCTTTTAAAAGGGCTGCTAGTGTACCATAAGTCAGTGAGAGATGTGGGATGTGCTTTTCCCCACAGGTAGAGAGACTTCAAAGAGACCAATCAGAGGGCTTGGCATGTGTTTCCTGGGATCTGGGGGAGTTGCAGTCGGTTGCTGTATGGTACATAAAAACACGTACAGAATCTGAAAGCAAATGACTGCTATCAGCCAGGGAAGTAAGTCAAAAAGAGTAGAATATACTTAAAACCAGTTAAATTTTCACAGACAGCAGAGGCAACGATTCTGAGTATCTCGTGAACAAAATGTGGGATTTGTAAGAGAAAGAACCAATATGGAGCCATTTTGAGTTCTGCCAAAGACAAATGCCTGGAAAGGCAACGGAATCCAGATAGAAAGAGACCATCCCAGAGACCACCAGAAAACCAAAGCGTGAGAACAGAGTGGCCCACTGAAGCAAAATGCACTGACTAAGACCCAAGAAGAGCAGATAAACATTTTTAGTGGGCCCTCAGAAGAACTTGCCAAAGGTCCCCCAAGAGAAAGAGTCCATTTTAAACTCCTACTAGACTCAGAATAAAATCGTCAATCATCTCATTACACTGACAGTCAAGGAGGGACTAACATATGTCCTCTCTCTCCTTCCCCCTATCCTTTTGATGGTCATTAACAAATTAGGAGAGAAGAAGTAAGGGTAGGAGAAGCACCATGAAGCACTTCCACAGCCTGTGGGGTACAAGAGGGACTGTCAAGAGAAGATTTAACTTAAAATCAATTTCAGAGAGAACCTCTGTCTAGGATACGATAGCTTGTGGCAGACTAAGCAACTCACATTAAAACAACTGAGAAGATGCCAAAGTATAAAATATATATGTATGGAGGCATCACAGAGATACCAAGGCCACCAGGACACAAGGGGCCAAGATCCTATAGATATGGGCAACACACTGAAGTGACTAAAATTCTAAACTTTTTCCCGTATTTTCTGCTAAGTAAAATGACCAAAAAACTGAAATGGGAAATAGAGCTTCCCACAGTATATAATGCTGAGGACACAAAAGTTGGAGCTCGAGGCTGCCAATGCAGGAGAATTTGAAATAAAAGTTCCAGCAAGTTGGGAATAACAATGCCTGACACTTTGTGCCTCTTCTGCAGCATTTGTCAATTCCTAAGTGATGTGTAAGATCCTGTCAATTCCTCAGTGATCTCCAGAATTTTTGTTAAAATCTCTGAAGGACTACATTTTAAGACTACATCCTAACTGTAAATGCATGAGGCTATATAAGAGCTTAAACCCAGATTTGAATTAGCTCCATCTTTGTACAAAGATGACCTTTCATTATTCTATCTGGCAGAGCTGAAATTAATCCTCTCAGGAATGAGATAATGGTCTCCAGAACTTCTTAATTTTTTCATACACAAACACACAAAATTAGTTGTTCAATAAATAATTACCAGAAATACCTAAAACTGGGGCCAAGTAAGAAAATGAACAATAGAAATAGGGCCAAAAATGAATTATATATTAGATTATCAGACATATATTTGAAAATAACTCTAATTCATTGGAAAATAAATGACAAGACAGAAAATTTTGCCATAAAATTGGAACTACTAAAAAAAATCCAGTGGAAATCCTCCACTTCAATGACAAATTAATAACAAAATTAACTGATAGGTTTAAACACAGACTGGAATAAGCTGTGAGAAAACAGGAGATAGAACAATTCCATAGAAACTATGCAAATTGGCATATGGAGAAAAAAAGAGACTAGAAAATACAGATATATTTGGAAAGGGTGAAAAGGCCTAACGTATGTTTAAATGGAATTTTAGGAAAAGAAGAAAAAGCAAATAGGGCAGAAGTAATATTTGAAGAAACAATAGCTAATTTTCCAAAACCTGATGAAAGTCACTAAGTAACAGCATGCATAAAATGCTCCACAAACTCAAAACAGAACACAAAGGAAACAATATTCAGGCGCCTCGTAGCAAAACTGCCAAAAAAGAAATCTTAAAAGTAGCCATACATTTTTTGCAAACCAAATAAAAAACAATTGCCTCCAAAAAACAGCAAGACTTAAAAGTGACTCCTAAATAGAATGATGAAAGCCAGAAAATAATGGAATCATAACTTCCAAGGGCTGAAAGAAAATAGTTATCAATTTTAAATTCTACACATTTGAAAATATGCCCTTCAAATATTATGACAAAACAAAACAAAGCAAAAAAGGGAATAAATAAATTAGTATGTCAGTAGAAAGCAATAATATAATAATGTCATATGGGATTTAAACTGTATGTAGAATTTAAATAACAACAAAAAAGCAGCAATAACTTAAAAGGCAGTGGGTGGTACATGAATGTCTAAGATTTAACATTATAAATCTGGTAAAAGCGCTCACTTGTATTAGACTCTAGAAATTAATTGAAAATGTGTTTTAAATCAGGGTTAAAAACTAAAAGAATATATTACTAAATACACATAACTGAAAAGGAGAAATATGAAATTTTAAAAAAACTTTATTCATTAAGCACTAAATAAAACATTGGTCAATGAAGAAATCACAGTGGAAATTACAAAACACTTAGAACTAAATGGTACTGGAAATACATCATACCAAAACTTGTGATCTGTACCTAAAGCCTTGCTTAGTAGGAGATTAATATACTTGAAAAAGGGAAAAGGCAAAAAAAAAAAACAAAAAAGTTATCTACTACTCATTTCAAAAAGTTAAAAGAAAAAAAATAAACCCAAAGAACTGTAAACTAGTTAAACCATTGTGGAAGTCGGTGTGGCGATTCCTCAGGGATCTAGAACTAGAAATACCATCTGACCCAGCCATCCCATTACTGGGTATATACACAAAGGATTATAAATCATGCTGCTATAAAGACACATGCACACGTATGTTTATTATGGCACTATTCACAATAGCAAAGACTTGGAACCAACCCAAATGTCCAACAACGATAGACTGGATTAAGAAAATGTGGCACATATACACCATGGAATACTATGCAGCCATAAAAGATGATGAGTTCATGTCCTTTGTAGGGACATGGATGAAACTGGAAACCATCATTCTCAGCAAACTATCGCAAGGACAAAAAACCAAACACCTCATGTTCTCACTCACAGGTACGAATTGAACAATGAGAACACATGGACACAGGAAGGGGAACATCACACACCCGGGACAGTTGTGGGATTGGGGGAGGGGGGAGGGATAGCATTAGGAGATATACCTAATGCTAAATGACGAATTAATGGGTGCAGCACACCAACATGGCACATGTATACATAAGTAACAAACCTGCACATTGTGCACATGTACCCTAAAACTTAAAGTATAATAATAATAATAAAAAAGAAAGTAACAGGGAGAAAATAAAAAGATGAGAAATTAATAAAATGGTAAACACAATACAACAGAGAAAAAAAATCAACAAAAACAAAGATTAGGTTTTCTATCGACTCCTAAAATCAATAAACCACTAACAAGGCTGTTCAGAAAAAAAGAAGAGAAGACACAATTGTCAATATCATGAATAAAAAGGGGAACCATCACTACACATCTTACAAACACTAAGAAGATATTAAGGGATACTATGAATGACTTCATGCCAATAAATTTGACCGTTTAGATGAAATTGAGAAATAGGAAAATAGCTACCAAAATTTATACAAGAAGTAGAAAATCTGAATAATCATGTATCTATCACAGAAATTAAACGTGTAATTAAAAACTTTTCCACAAGGAAGACTCCCAGCTCTCCCAAAACACTCAGTGACAGCCAGGCATCAATTAGATCTCTTAAGCAAATACTCTCCAAAGAGCCTAGAAAGACACAGGAAATAAATTTGATAATAATATGTACATAAAAAGAAAAAGGAAACAAGCAAAAATAAAATTGCATTTTGAATATGATCTATTATCAGTGTACTCATGAAACATTTTTCCTTCAGACTCAGAACAGAAAAAAAAGAAAAAAAAACTTTTAAAATCCCCCAGTGCTTTCAGAGGCCAAGATGGGAGGATTGCTTGAGGGGAGGAGATCAAGGCCAGCCTGGGCAACATAGTCTCTACAAAAATTAAAAAATTGGCCAGGTGTATAAAAACCCTAGAAGAAAACCTAGGTAATACCATTCAGGACATAGGCATGGGCAAAGACTTCCTGACTAAAACACCAAAAGCAATGGCAGTAAAAGCCAAAATTGACAAATGGGATCTAATTAAACTAAAGAGCTTCTGCACAGCAAAAGAAACTATCAGCAGAGTGAACTGGCAACCTACAGAATGGGAGAAAATTTTTGCAATCTATCCATCTGACAAAGGGCTAATATCCAGAATCTACAAAGAACTTAAACAAATTTACAAGAAAAAAACAACCCTATCAAAAAGTAGGTGAAGGATATGAACAGACACTTCTCAAAAGAAAACATTTATGTGGCCAACAAACATATGAAAAAAAGCTCATCATCACTGGTCACTAGAGAAATACAAATCAAAACCACAATGAGATACCATCTCATGCCAGTTAGAATGGCGATCATTAAAAAGTCAGGAAACAACAGATGCTGGAGAGGATGTGGAGAAATAGGAACGCTTTTACACTGTTGGTGAAAGTGTAAATTAGTTCAACCATTGTGGAAGACAGCATGGCGATTCCTCAAGGATCTAGAACCAGAAATACTATTTGACCCAGCAATTCCATTACTGGGTATATATCCAAAGGATTATAAATCTTTCTACTATAAAGACACAGGCACACATATGTTTATTGAGGCACGTTCACAATAGCAAAGACTTGAAACCAACCCAAATGCCCATCAGTGATAGATTGGCTAAAGAAAATGTGGCACATATACACCATGGAATAATATGCAGCCATAAAAAAGGATGAGTTCATGTTCTTTGCATGGACATGGAAGAAGCTGGAAACCATCATTCTCAGCAAAGTAACACAAGAACAGAAAACCAAACACCACATGTTCTCATTCATAAGTGGGAGTTGAACAATGAGAACACATGAACACAGGGAGGGGAGCCTCAAACACCAGGGCCTGTTGGGGGGTAGGAGGCTAGGGCAGGGATAGCTTTAGGAGAAATATCTAATGTAGATAATGGGTTGATGGGTGCAGCAAACCACCATGGCACATGTATACCTATGTAACAAACCTGCACATTCTGCACATGTACCCCAGAATTTGAAGTATAATAAAATAAAATAATGTATTACCAGAAAATTACCTTCTAATGTATTAATACAAAGTTGATTTTAATAAAAAGTATGTGATCCGGCAAAAAAAAAAAAAAATTAGCCAGGTGTGATGGTACACAACTGTAGTCTTAGCTACTTGGGAGGCTGAGATGGGAGGATCACTTGAGCCCAGGAGCTCAAGACTGCACTGAGCTATAATAATGTCATTGCACTTCAGTCTGGGTGACAGAGCAAGGTTCTGTCTCTAAATAATAATAAAAAATAATAAAATCTTTTCTACTTCCCATTTAGCACATAAATAACTTTTTTTCCATTGCTAGCAAATATATTGTGTTAGCTGATATCTTTTTTTATCTTTTGTGAGCTTTTAAAAAAAACTATAATAGGACATCAGTTGCAGAAGGACTGAAGTTGATGGCAATGAGTACCAGCAACCGTGCATAAAAGTTTATATTTCCAAGGAGTCAGGAGAACAAGAAAAAATGTTCATGTTAAAAAATCAGTAAGTTATATTTAACAGTCTCCAGATGGATTTGCAAGTAGTTCCATTTTTACCTTCAGATTTCCAGCTACCATTTTGTGAAAATATAGTATAAATATATGGGTTAATTAAGCCTCAGATTTAGCTGGCTATTAGTCTAAGTTGCAGGAGTTCACACTTTTTCTCAATTCTTTCATCCTGCCTGGCTCCTGGCTCAACAGTGGGCATGAGTTTACATTGGCAATTATATGCTCCCCACTAGAACTGCTGGAAACCTCACTTATATTAAAAACAGGGATTCTGAATTAAATAAGAACCACTAACTCTGACATGCTGAGAGTTCATATCTGGATAAATCAGATTTTCTTGTCCTTTAATTCTTGAAATTTTTAACATGTCCAATCCTCCAGCTAAAATACCATTCACTATATTTCTATAAATCCACTTACTTAAATCCTTTTATTAGAGTTGGCATACTTAGGTCTTTTGTGAATTGCAATTCTTTTTTAAAAAATCAATGAAACAGCACCTGAGCATAATTTCCACTACATGCATTTAAATAATGTGAAATTAATTTACATTTCATTGCCAGCCTTAGTTTAAAAATACCTTTATTATTTTATAAAAGTTATACAATAATATACATTTGGTCATGAGAAATCTTTTGAATTATTTTTAAAGATGATATGCACCATCCATCAATTGTAATTGATACATAAAAAATCTAAATTTACCCAAAAAAGCCAAGTGAAGAGAAGTACTCACATTACAAAAGCAGTCAAACTAGGGACCTGTTAAATATCTTGTTCCTATTATGCGATTTATCAAAATGTGATTTACCTACTATATTTTCCTGCAAAATATATATATATGAATACATATATTAAGCTGTGTCTCTTTATGCCATCATAATTAAATTGCCAAAGAAAAGCATTTATTTCTTCAGTCTAAACTGTGATAAATTTTATAACAGGTACTGTAATGATGGAATTGGGTAACAAAATATATTCTAAAATTATAAATATTATCTGCCCTGAAAAATCAAGAGGCTTCAAAATTTAGAATTACAAAAATAAATATTTACATGTTATTATGCTATCAGCAAAATATTTTTAATTACTTTCATTTAAAAATGTTTACAGATATAGAGAACAAAACAAACAGGGTTGGCAGAGGAAGTGTGGAGATGTAGGTCAGAGAATACAAAGTAGATGACATAGGATGAAGAAGTCTAGCGATCCAATGTACAACATGAAAACTGTAATAAAATTTTACTATATTTGGGATTCAAACTAAATCAGTAGATTTTGTAGCTCTTGTAGCACACACAAAAAATGGGAAGCTATGGGAGGGAGGAGCCAAGATGGCCGAATAGGAATAGCTCCGGTCTACAGCTCCCAGCGTGAGCAACGCAGATGATGGGTGATTTCTGCATTTCCAACTAAGGTACTGGGTTCAACTCACTGGGGAGTGCCAGACAGTAGGTGCAGGACAGTGGGTGCAGTGCACCGTGTGAGAGCTGAAGCAGGGTGAGGCAATGCCTCACCCAGGAAGCACAAGGGGTCAGGGAATTCCGTTTCCTAGTCAAAGAAAGGGGTGACAGATGGTACCTGGAAAATCAAGTAACTCCCACCCTAATAGTGTGCTTTTCCATCAGGCTTAAAAAATGGCACACCAGGAGATTATATCCCACATCTGGCTTGGAGGGTCCTATGCCCACAGAGTCTCACTCATTGCTAGCACAGCAGTCCGAGATCAAACTGCAAGGTGGCAGCAAGGCTGGGGGAAGGGCGCCCACCATTGCCGAGTTAGTTGTTTGATTAGGTAAACAAAGCGGCCGGGAAGCCCGAACTGTATGGAGCCCACCACAGCTCAAGGAGGCCTGCCTGCCTCTGTAGGCTCCACTCTGGGGGCAGGGCACAGACAAATAAAAAGACAGCAGTAACCACTGCAGACTTAAATGTCGCTCTCTGATAGCTTTGAAGAGAATAGTGGTTCTCCCAGCATGCAGCTGGACATCTGAGAGCGGGCAGACTGCCCCCTCAAGAGGGTCCCTGACCGCCGAGTAGCCTAAATGGGAGGCACCCCCGAATAGGGGCGAGCTGACACCTCACATGGCCGGGTACTACTCTGAGACAAAACTTCCAGAGGAACAATCAGGCAGCAACATTTGCGGTTCACCAAGATCCGCTGTTCTACAGCCACCACTGCTGATACCCAGGCAAACAGGGTCTGGAGTGGACCTCTAGCAAACTCCAACAGACCTGCAGCTGAGGGTCCTGTCTGTTAGAAGGAAAACTAACAAACAGAAAGGACATACACACCAAAAACCCTTCTGTATGTCACCATCATCAAAGACCAAAGGTAGATAAAATCCACAAAGATGGGGAAATAACAGAGCAGAAAAACTGGAAACTCTAAAAATCAGAGCACTCTCCTCCTCCAAAGGAACACGGCTTCTCACCAGCAACAGAACAAAGCTGGACAGAAAATGACTTTGATGAGTTGAGAGAAGAAGGCTTCAGACAATCAAACTACTCCGAGCTACAGGAGGAAATTCGAACCAACGGCAAAGAAGTTAAAAGCTTTGAAAAAAATTAGACAGATGGATAACTAGAATAACCAATGCAGAGAAGTCCTTAAAGGACCTGATGGAGCTGAAAACCAAGGCATGAGAGCTATGTGACGAAGGCAGAAGCCTCAGGAGCCGATGCGATCAATTGGAAGAAAGGCTATCAGTGAAGGAAGATGAAATGAATGAAATGAAGAGAGAAGAGAAGTTTGGAGAAAAAACAATAAAAAGAAATGAACAAAGCCTCCAAGACATATGGGACTATGTGAAAAGACCAAATCTACATCTGATTGGTGTACCTGAAAGTGAAGGGGAGAATGGAAACGAGTTGGAAAACATTCTGCAGGCTATTATCCAGGAGAACTTCCCCAAACTAGCAAGGCAGGCCAACATTAAGATTCAGGAAATACAGAGAACACCACAAAGATAATCTGCAAGAAGAGCAACTCCAAGACACATAATTGTCAGATTCACCAAAGTTGAAATGAAGGAAAAAATGTTAAGGGCAGCCAGAGAGAAAGGTCGGGTTACCCACAAAGGGAAGCCCACCAGACTAACAGCTGATCTCTCAGCAGAAACTCTACAAGCCAGAAGAGAGTGGGGGCCAATATTCAACATTCTTAAAGAAAAGAATTTTCAACCAAGAATTTCATATCCAGCCAAACTAAGCTTCACAAGTGAAGGAGAAATAAAATATTTTACAGACAAGCAAATGCTGAGAGATTTTGTCACCACCAGGCCTGCCCTAAAAGAGCTCCTGAAGGAAGCACTAAACATGGAAAGGAACAACTGGTACCAGCCACCACAAAAACATGCCAAATTGTAAAGACCATCAAGGCTAGGAAGAAATTGCATCAACTAACGAGAAAATAACCAGCTAACATCATAATGACAGGATCAAATTCACACATAACAATATTAACTTTAAATTTAAATGGACTAAATGCTCCAATTAAAAGACACAGACTGGCAAATTGGATAAAGAGTCAAGACCCATCAATGTGCTGTATTCAGGAAACCCATCTAACGTGCAGAGACACACATAGGCTCAAAATAAAGGGATGGAGGAAGATCTACCAAGCAAATGGAAACCGAAAAAAGGCAGGGGTTGCAATCCTAGTCTCTGATAAAACAGACTTTAAACCAACAAAGATCAAAAGAGACAAAGAAGGCCATTACATAATGGTAAAGGGAACAATTCAACAAGAAGAGCTAACTATCCTAAATATATATGCACCCAATACAGGAGCACCCAGATTCATAAAGCAAGTCCTTAGAGACCTACAAAGAGACTTAGACTCCCACACAATAATAATGGGAGACTTTAACACCCCACTGTCAACATTAGACAGATCAATGAGTCAGAAAGTTAACAAGGATACCCAGGAATTGAACTCAGCTCTGCACCAAGCAGACCTAATAGACATCTACAGAACTCTCCACCCCAAATCAACAGAATATACATTCTTTTCAACACCACATCACATCTACTCCAAAACTGACCACATAGTTGGAGGTAAAGCACTCCTCAGCAAATGTAAAAGAACAAAAATTATAACAAATTGTCTCTCTGGCCACAGTGCAATCAAACTAGAACTCAGAATTAAGAAACTCACTCAAAACCGCTCAACTACATGGAAACTGAACAACCTGCTCCTGAATGACTACTGGGTAAATCATGAAATGAAGGCAGAAATAAAGATGTACTTTGAAACCAACGAGAACAAAGACACAACATACCAGAATCTCTGGGACACACTCAAAGCAGTGTGTAGAGGGAAATTTATAGCACTAAATGCCCACAAGAGAAAGCAGCAAAGATCTAAAATTGACACCCTAACATCACAATTAAAAGAACTAGAAAAGCAAGAGCAAACACATTCAAAAGCTAGCAGAAGGCAAGAAATAACTAAGAGCGGAGCAGAACTGAAGGAAATAGAGACACCAAAAACCCTTCAAAAGATTAAGGAATCCAGGAGCTGGTTTTTTGAAAAGATCAACAAAATTGATAGACTGCTAGCAAGACTAATAAAGAAGAAAAGAGAGAAGAATCAAATAGATGCAACAAAAAATGATAAAGGGATAGTAGTAGATATGCGGCATTATTTCTGAGGGCTCTGTTCTGTTTCATTGATCTATAACTATCTGATCTTTGAAAAACCTGAGAAAAACAAGCAATGGGGAAAGAATTCCCTATTTAATAAATGGTGCTAGGAAAACTGGCTAGCCATATGTAGAAAGCTGAAACTGGATCCCTTCCTTACACCTTATACAAAAATCAATTCAAGATGGATTAAAGACTTAAACATTAGACCTAAAACCATAAAAACCCTAGAAGAAAACCTAGGCATTACCATTCAGGACATAGGCACGGGCAAGGACTTCGTGTCTAAAACACCAAAAGCAATGGCAACAAAAGCCAAAATTGACAAATGGGATCTCATTAAACTAAAGAGCTTCTGCAGAGCAAAAGAAACTACCATCAGAGCGAACAGGCAACCCACAAAATGGGAGAAAATTTTCATAACTTACTCATCTGACAAAAGGCTAATATCCAGAATCTACTATGAACTCAAACAAATTTACAAGGAAAAAACAAACAATCCCATCAAAAAGTGGGTGAAGGACAAGAACAGACACTTCTCAAAAGAAGACATTTATGCAGCCAAAAAATACATGAAAAAATGCTCACCGTCACTGGCCATCGGAGAAATGCAAATCAAAACCACAACGAGATATCATCTCACACCAGTTAGAATGGTGATCATTAAAAAGTCAGGAAACAACAGGTGCTGGAAAGGATGTGGAGAAATAGGAACACTTTTACACTGTTGGTGGGACTGTAAACTAGTTCAACCATTGTGGAAGTTGGTGTGGTGATTCCTCAGGGATCTAGAACTAGAAATACCATTTGACCAAGCCATCCCATTACTGGGTATATACCCAAAGGATTATAAATCATGCTGCTATAAAGACACATGCACACGTATGTTTATTGCGGCACTACTCACAATAGCAAAGACTTGGAACCAACCCAAATATCCAACAATGATAGACTGGATTAAGAAAATGTGGCACATATACACCATGGAATAATATGCAGCCATAAAAAATGATGATTTCATGTCCTTTGTAGGGACATGGATGAAGGTGGAAATCATCATTCTCAGTAAACTATCACAAGAACAAAAAACCAAACACCACATATTCTCACTCATAGGTGGGAACTGAACAATGAGAACACATGGACACAGGAAGGGAACATCACACTCTGAGGACTGTTGTGGGCTGGGGGGAGGGGGGAGGGATAGCATTGGGAGATACACCTAATGCTAGATGACGAGTTAGTGGGTGCAGCACACCAGCATGTCACATGTATACATATGTAACTAACCTGCACATTGTACACATGTACCCTAAAACTTAAAGTATAATAATAATAATAATAATAAATGATAAAGGGGATATCACCACCGATCCCACAGAAATACAAACTACCATCAGAGAATACTACAAACACCTCTATGCAAAAAAACTAGAAAATCTAGAAGAAATGGATAAATTCCTCGACACATACATGCTCCCAAGACTAAACCAGGAAGAAGTTGAATCTCTGAATAGACCAATAACAGGCTCTGAAATTGAGGCAATAATCAATAGCTTACCAAACAAAAAACGTCCAGGACTAGATGGATTCACAGCCGAATTCTACCAGAGGTACAAGGAGGAGCTGGTGCCATTCCTTCTGAAACTATTCCAATCAATAGAAAAAGAGGGAATCCTCCCTAACTCATTTTATGAGGCCAGCATCATCCTGATACCAAAGCTGGGCAGAGACAAAACTAAAAAGGAGAATTTTACACCAATATCCTTGATGAACATCGTTGCAAAAATCCTCAGTAAAATACTGGCAAACTGAATCCAGCAGCACATCAAGAAGCTTATCCACCATGATCAAGTGGGTTTCATCCCTGGGATGCATGGCTGGTTCAACATACACAAATCAATAAAGGTAATCCAGCATATAAACAGAACCAAAGACAAAAACCACATGATTATCCCAATAGATGCAGAAAAGGCCTTCAACAAAATTCAACAACTCTTCATGCTAAAAACTCTCAATAAATTAGGCATTGATGGGACATATCTCAAAATAATAAGAGCTCTCTATGACAAACCCACAACCAATATCATACTGAATGGGCAAAAACTGGAAGTATTCCCTCTGAAAATGGCCACAAGACAGGAATGCCCTCTCTCACCACTCCTATTCAACATAGTGTTGGAAGTTCTGGCCAGGGCAATTAGGCAGGAGAAAGAAATAAAGGGTATTCAATTAGGAAAAGAGGAAGTCAAATTGTTCCTGTTTGCAGATGACATGACTGTATATCTAGAAAACCCCATCGTCTCAGCACAAAATCTCCTCAAGCTGATAAGCAACTTCAGCAAAGTCTCAGAATACAAAATCAATGTACAAAAATCACAAGCATTCTTTTACACCAATAACAGACAAACAGAGAGCCAAATCATGAGTGAACTCCCATTCACAATTGCTTCAAAGAGAATAAAATACCTAGGAATCCAACTTACAAGGGATGTGAAGGACCTCTTCAAGGAGAACTACAAACTACTGCTCAATGAAATAAAAGAGGATACTAACAAACGGAAGAACATTCCATGCTCATGGGTAGGAAGAATCAATATCGTGAAAATGGCCATACTGCCCAAGGTAATTTATAGATTCAATGCCATCCCCATCAAGCTACCAATGACTTTCTTCACAGAATTGGAAAAAACTATTTTTAAGTTCATATGGAACCAAAAAAGAGCCCGCATTGCCAAGTCAATCCTAAGCCAAAAGAACAAAGCTGGAGGCATCACACTATCTGACTTCAAACTATACTACAAGGCTACAGTAACCAAACCAGTTTTGGTACCGGTACCAAAACAGAGATATAGACCAATGGAACAAAACAGAGCCCTCAGAAGTAATGCCGCATATCTACAACTATCTGATCTTTGACAAACCTGAGAAAAACAAGCAATGGGGAAAGGATTCCCTATTTAATAAATGGTGCTGGGAAAACTGGCTAGCCATATGTAGAAAGCTGAAACTGGATCCCTTCCTTACACCTTATACAAAAATTAATTCAAGATGGATTAAAGACTTAAACGTTAGACCTAAAACCATAAAAACCCTAGAAGAAAACCTAGGCAATACCATTCAGGACATAGGCATGGGCAAGGGCTTCATATCTAAAACACCAAAAGCAATGGCAACAAAAGCCAAAATTGACAAATGAGATCTCATTAAACTAAAGAGCTTCTGCACAGCAAAAGAAACTACCATCAGAGTGAACAGGCAACCTACAGAATGGGAGAAAATTTTTGCAACCTACTCATCTGACAAAGGGCTAATATCCAGAATCTACAGTGAACTCAAACAAATTTACAAGAAAAAAACAACCCCATCAACAAGTGGGCGAAGGATATGAACAGACATTTCTCAAAAGAAGACATCTATGCAGCCAACAGACACATGAATAAATGCTCATCATCACTGGTCATCAGAGAAATGCAAATCAAAACAACAATGAGATATCATCTCACACCAGTTAGAATGGTGATCATTAAAAAGTCAGGAAACAACAGGTGCTGGAGAGGATGTGGAGAAATAGGAACACTTTTACACTGTTAGTGGGACTGTAAACTAGTTCAACCATTGTGGAAGTTGGTGTGGTGATTCCTCAGGGATCTAGAACTAGAAATACCATTTGACCCAGCCATCCCATTACTGGGTATACACACAAAGGATTATAAATCATGCTGCTATAAAGACACATGCACACGTATGTTTATTATGGCACTATTCACAATAGCAAAGACTTGGAACCAACCTAAATGTCCAACATTGATAGACTGGATTAAGAAAATGTGGCACATATACACCATGGAATACGATGCAGCCATAAAAAATGATGAGTTCATGTCCTTTGTAGGAACATGGATGAAACTGGAAACCATCATTCTCAGCAAACTATTGCAAGGACAAAAAACCAAACACTGCATGTTCTCACTCATAGGTGGGAAATGAACAATGAGAACACTTGGACACAGGAAGGGGAACATCACACACCGGGAACTGTTTTGGGGTGGGGGGAGGGGGGAGGGATAGCATTACGAGGTATACCTAATGCTAAATGACAAGTTAATGGGTGCAGCACACCAACATGACACATATATACATATGTAACAAACCTGCACGTTGTGCACATGTACCCTAAAACTTAAAGTATAATAAAAATAAACTTTTTTTTTAAAAGGGGAAGCTATGTGATGCCATGGATATGTTAATTTGCTTCACTTTGCTCCACTTCCCTAGCCTTATTATTATCTGTGTCCCAGAACATCATGTTCTATACCTTAAACATACACAATAACACTTTTTTTAAAAAAAAGAAGAAATTGTTTAAATAGTAATAGGTTCTTCATATCTTGAAATTTATTATTGTGAACAAAGATTTGCATAGATGTTTACTTACACACTGTGTGGAACTTATCAAATCATTTCAGTTTAACATGATTCTGTGCAGAGAGTCAGCATCTAGCAAATATTTGTCTGACGTCTGATAGGAAAAAATAAAGGAAGTAGAAATCTATCTCTCTCTTCTAGGCACTGTATTAATTGATGGAAGACACAAAGCAAATACTAATGAAAACACTAAGGAAGACGAATGGTATAACAAATTAGGGCCTGACCTACATTTGCAACTCTATATTCTGATGAACACCGCCAGGCATCTGCCCTCTCATTTCTACCTTACTGTTTCCTCAAGCTCACAGTTCATGTTCTGGTGCCTTAGCAAGGGCTGTTTCCACTCCCCAGGATGTCCTGCCCATCTCTACCTCTTCTTCTCTACCTCAAATGCTAATTCTTTTGGCAGTATTTTCTCACTTTTTCCCTACATCTCATAGTACCTGAGTGGGCTGTCCCAGTACTCACCATATTGCCACCTTTATGTATTTTACAACTCTCTGCTGACTAACTGTGTGGCTCATTAGGCACTAGCCTCAGTCTATCTCGATCTCTATAGCATCTGGCCCTGGGGGTATACATGCAAATCCTGCACACATCACCCTCAAACTCAGAGCAATGGGAAAAAGTCTGTTTAGACTGCAACTAAGTTAAATGCTGCAGCCAGTTCTACCAAATGGAAGTTGAAGCTGAGCAGGTCATACAATAACTGGGAAGTACAGAGAACACTTGGCTGGAGTATGAGACAAGAGGAATGCGTGGCATTCTGCTCCATGCACAAGCATATGTTTCTCAAAACCAATAAGGGGTTTTTGCCTTGGAAGCATACTGAAGTTTCGATATGCATCAGATCATGGCAAATTGACTCCATGAGTGAATTTTTATGATGTCATAGTTCAGGATGCTATAACAAATCACCATAAATTGGATAGCTTAAACAACAAACATTTATTTCTTATAGTTCTGAAGGTTGGGAAGTCTAAGATCAAGATGCTAGCAAATCTGATGCCTGGTAAGGGCACCTTCCGGGTTTGCAGATGGCACCTTCTTGCAGTATCCTTACATAGTAGAGAGGAAGCTGTTGTGTTTCTTCTTATAAGAGCAAATTTCATTCATCAGGCCCCAACCTCATGATCTAACTATCCACCCTCAAGCCCTCATATCCTAATATCATCACCTCAAGGGTTAGGATTTCAATATATGAATATGGGGGACACATTCATTCAATAGTACATGGTAAACCCCATTTTCAAGACCAGAACAATTCACTGGTTGGATTTCCCAGTTTGTCCTACTTCCACTAATTTGTAGAATGCCTTTTACTAAACATTTCTGTATTCTGTATTTTAGAATCATTTTCATTGCTTTAAAATTTTGATTTTGCTGTCATTTTTATTTCATAGCATGTTTTAGATTATGTTTTTAAAAAATCCCACTGTCATATACTAACACTTCCCAGAAAACGTCCAAACAACAGTAAACGAATATTTTGAAATTGAATTAAGACATACAGGGCACGGAGTTTGAGATCTGAAAACAGACAGACTGCCTCAAGTGGGTCCCTGACCCCCAAGTAGTCTAACTGGGAGGCACCCCCCAGTAGGGGCAGAATGACACCTCACATGGCCAGGTACCACTCTGAGACGAAACTTCCAGAGGAACAATCAGACAGCAACATTTGCTGTTCAGCAATGTTCGTTGTTCTGCAGCCTCCGCTGCTGATACCCCAGCAAACAGGGTCTGGAGTGGACCTCTAGCAAACTCCAACAGACCTGCAGCTGAGGGTCCTCATTGCTAGAAGGAAAACTAACAAACAGAAAGGACATCCACACCAAAACCCCATCTGTACGTCACCATCATCAAAGACCAAAGGTAGATAAAAACACAAAGATGGGGGAAAAACAGAGCAGAAAAACTGAAATTTCTAAAGATCAGAGCTCCTCTCCTCCTCCAAAGGAACTCAGCTCCTCACCAGCAACGGAAAAAAGCTGGATGGAGAACGACTTTGATGAGCTGAGAGAAGAAGGCTTCAGACAATTAAACTTCTCCGAGCTAAAGGAGAAAGTTCGAACCCATCGCAAAGAAGTTAAAAACGTTCAAAAAAGATTAGACGAATGGCTAACTAGAATAACCAATGCAGAGAAGTCCTTAAAGGACCTAATGGAGCTGAAAACAACGGCACAAGAACTATGTGACGAATGCACAAGCTTCAGTAGCTGATTTGATCAACTGGAAGAAGGGTATCAGTGATGGAAGATCAAATGAATGAAATGAAGAGAGAAGAGAAGTTTAGAGAAAAAAGAATAAAAAGAAATGAACAAAGCCTCCAAGAAATATGGGACTATGTGAAAAGACCAAATCTACGTCTGATTGGTGTACCTGAAAGTGACGGGGAGAATGGAACCAAGCTGGAAAACACTCTGCAGGATATTATCCAGGAGAACTTCCCCAAGCTTTTATCAAGGCAGGCCAACATTCAAATTCAGGAAATACAGAGAACGCCACAAAGATACTCCTCGAGAAGAGCAACGCCAAGATACATAATTGTCAGATTCACCAAAGTTGAAATGAAGGAAAAATGTTAAGGGCAGCCAGAGAGAAAGGTCGGGTTACCCACAAAGGGAAGCCCACCAGACTAACAGCTGATCTCTCAGCAGAAACTCTACAAGCCAGAAGAGAGTGGGGGCCAATATTCAACATTCTTAAAGAAAAGAATTTTCAACCCACAATTTCATATCCAGCCAAACTAAGTTTTATAAGTGAAGGAGAAATAAAATCCTTCACAGACAAGCAAATGCTGAGAGATTTTGTCACCACCAGGCCTGCCCTAAAAGAGCTCCTGAAGGAAGCACTAAACATGGAAAGGAACAACTGGTACCAGCCACTGCAAAAACATGCCAAATTGTAAAGACCACCTACGCTAGGAAGAAACTGCATCAACTAACGAGCAAAATAACCAGCTAACATCATAATGACAGGATCAAATTCACACATAACAATATAAACCTTAAATGTAAATGGGCTAAATGCTCCAATTAAAAGACACAGACTGGCAAATTGAATAAAGAGTCAAGAACCATCAGTGTGCTGTATTCAGGAAACCCATCTCACGTGCAGAGACACACATAGGCTCAAAATGAAGGGATGGAGGAAGACCTACCAAGCAAATGGAAAACAAAAAAAGGCAGGGGTTGCAATCTTAGTTCTAATAAAACAGACTTTAAACCAACAAAGATCAAAAGAGACAAAGAAGGCCATTACATAATGGTAAAGGGAACAATTCAACAAGAAGAGCTAACTATTCTAAATATATATGCACCCAATACAGGAGTACCCAGATTCATAAAGCAAGCCCTTAGAGACCTATAAAGAGACTTAGACTCCCACACAATAATAATGGGAGACTTTAACACCCCACTGTCAACATTAGACAGATCAACAAGACAGAAAGTTAACAAGGATATCCAGGAATTGAATTCACCTTTGCACCAAGCAGACCTAATAGACATCTCCAGAACTCTCCACCCCAAATCAACAGAATATACATTCTTCTCAGCACCACACCACACCTATTCCAAAATTGACCACATAGTTGGAAGTACAGCACTCCTCAGCAAATGTAAAAGAACAGAAATTATAACAAACTGTCTCTCAGACGACAGTGCAATCAAACTAGAACTCAGGATTAAGAAACTCACTCAAAACCGCTCAACTACATGGAAACTGAACAACCTGCTCCTGAATGACTACTGGGTACATAACGAAATGAAGGCAGAAATAAAGATGTTCTTAGAAACCAACGAGAACAAAGACACAACATACCAGAATCTCTGGGACACATTCAAAGCAGGGTGTAGAGGGAAATTTATAGCACTAAATGCCCACAAGTGAAAGAAGCAAAGATCTAAAATCGACACCCAAACATCACAATTAAAAGAACTAAAGAAGCAAGAGCAAACACATTCAAAAGCTAGCAGAAGGCAAGAAATAACTAAGATCAGAGCAGAACTGAAGGAGATAGAGACACAAAAAACCCTTCAAAAAATCAATGAATCCAGGAGCTGGTTTTCTGAAAAGATCAACAAAATTGATAGACCGCTAGCAAGACTAATAAAGAAGAAAAAAGAGAAGAATCAAATAGATGCAATAAAAAGTGATAAAGGGGATATCATCACCAATCCCACAGAAATACAAACTACCATCAGAGAATACTATCAGCACCTCTATGCAAATAAACTAGAAAATCTAGAAGAAATGGATAAATTCCTTGGCACATACACCCTCCCAAGACTAAACCAGGAAGAAGTTGAATCTCTGAATAGACCAATAACAGGCTCTGAAATTGGGGCAATAATTAATAGCTTACCAACCAAAAGAAGTCCAGGACCAGATGGATTCACAGCCGAATTCTACCAGAGGTACAAGCAGGAGGTGGTACCATTCCTTCTGAAACTATTCCAATCAATAGAAGAAGAGGGAATCCTTCCTAACTCATTTTATGAGGCCAGCATCATCCTGATACCAAAGCCTGGCAGAGACACAACAAAAAAAGTGAACTTTAGACCAATGTCTCTGATGAACGTCAATGCAAAAATCCTCAAAAAAATACTGGCAAACCAAATCCAGCAGCACATCATAAAGGTTATCCACCATAATCAAGTGGGCTTCATCCCTGGGATGCAAGGCTGATTCAACAAACACAATTCAATAAATGTAATCCAGCATATAAACAGAACCAAAGACAAAAACCACATGATTATCTCAATAGATGCAGAAAAGGCCTTGACAAAATTCAACATCCCTTCATGCTAAAAACTCTCAATAAATTAGGTATTGATGGGACGTATCTCAAAATAATAAGAGTTATTTTATGACAAACCCGCAGCCAATATCATACTGAATGGGCAAAAACTGGAAGCATTCCCTTTGAAAACTGGCACAAGACAGGGATGCCCTCTCTCACCACTCCTATTCAACATAGTGTTGGAAGTTCCAGCCAGGAAAATCAGGCAGGAGAAGGAAATAAAGGGTATTCAATTAGGAAAAGAGGAAGTCAAATTGTCCCTGTTTGCAGATGACATGACTGTATATCTAGAAAACCCCATCGTCTCAGCACAAAATCTCCTTAAGCTGATAAGCAACTTCAGCAAAATCTCAGGATACAAAATCAATGTACAAAAATCACAAGCATTCTTACACACCAATAACAGACAAACAGAGAGCCAAATCATGAGTGAACTCCCATTCACAATTGCTTCAAAGAGAATAAAATACCTAGGAATCCAACTTACAAGGGATGTGAAGGACCTCTTCAAGGAGGACTACAAACCACTTCTCAACAAAATAAAAGAGGACACAAAGAAATGGAAGAACATTCCATGCTCATGAATAGGAAGAATCAATATCTTGAAGATGGCCATACTGCCCAAGGTAATTTACAGATTCAATGCCATCCCCATCAAGCTACCAATGACTTTCTTCACAGAATTGGAAAAAACTACTTTAAAGTTCATATGGAACCAAAAAAGAGCCCGCATAGCCAAGTCAATCCTAAGCCAAAAGGACAAAGCTGGAGGCATCACGCTACCTGACTTCAAACTATACTACAAGGCTACGGTAACCAAAACAGCATGGTACTGGTACCAAAACAGAGGTATAGACCAATGGAACAGAATAGAGCCCTCAGAAATAATACCACACATCTACAACTATCTGATCTTTGACAAACCTGAGAAAAACAAGCAATGGGGAAAGGATTCCCTATTTAATAAATGGTGCTGGGAAAACTAGCTAGCCATATGTAGAAAGCTGAAACTGGATCCCTTCCTTACACCTTATACAAAAATTAATTCAAGATGGATTAAAGACTTAAATGTTAGACCTAAAACCATAAAAACCCTAGAAGAAAACCTAGGCAATACCATTCAGGACATAGGCATGGGCAAGGGCTTCATATCTAAAACACCAAAAGCAATGGCAACAAAAGCCAAAATTGACAAATGAGATCTCATTAAACTAAAGAGCTTCTGCACAGCAAAAGAAACTACCATCAGAGTGAACAGGCAACCTACAGAATGGTAGGAAGTTTTTGCAACCTACTCATCTGACAAAGGGCTAATATCCAGAATCTACAATGAACTCAAACAAATTTACAAGAAAAAAACAAACAACTCCATCAACAAGTGGGCAAAGGATATGAACAGACATTTCTCAAAAGAAGACATCTATGCAGCCAACAGACACATGAAAAAATGCTCATCATCACTGGTCATCAGAGAAATGCAAATCAAAACAACAATGAGATATCATCTCACACCAGTTAGAATGGCAATCATTAAAAAGTCAGGAAACAACAGGTGCTGGAGAGGATGTGGAGAAATAGGAACACTTTTACACTGTTGATGGGACTGTAAACTAGTTCAACCGTTGTGGAAGACAGTGTGGTGATTCCTCAGGGATCTAGAACTAGAAATACCATTTGACCCAGCCATCCCATTACTGGGTATATACCCAAAGGATTATAAATCATGCTGCTATAAAGACACATGCACACGTATGTTTATTGCATCACTACTCACAATAGCAAAGACTCGGAACCAACCCAAATGTCCACAATGATAGACTGGATTAAGAAAATGTGGCACATATACACCATGGAATACTATGCAGCCATAAAAAATGATGATTTCATGTCCTTTGTAGGGACATGGATGAAGCTGGAAACCATTATTCTCAGCAAACTATCGCAAGGACAAAAAACCAAACACCGCATGTTCTCACTCATAGGTGGGAATTGAACAATGAGAACACTTGGACACAGGAAGGGGAACATCACACACTGGGGCCTGTTGTGGGGGAGTGGGAGGGGGGAGGGGTAGCATTAGGAGATATACCTAATGTAAATGACAAGTTAATGGGTGCAGCACACCAACATGGCACATGTATATATATATAACAAACCTGCACGTCATGTACATGTATCCTAGAACTTAAAGTATAATAAAATATACATATATAGAAAAGAAAACTTGTTCTGTGCCATAGTGAAAAATTCTACTATAATGAGTGATATGCTAAAAAAAAAAAAAAAGACATACAGAAATGCTTGAGTTTTTTTTTATTTTTTTATTTCTAAAATTTTTTACTTTTTAATTTCTATGGGTACGTAGTAGGTGTAGATATGCATGGGTTGCATGAGGTGTTTTAATACAGGCATGCACTGTATAATAATCACATCATGGAGAATGGGGCATCAATCCCTGCAAGCATTTATTCTAGTGCTACAAACTATTCAGTTATACTTTTTCAGTTACCGTAAAATGTAAAATTAAATTATTATTGACTATAGTCACCCTGTTGTGCTATCAAATACTAGGTATTCTTTATTCTATTATTTTTTGTACCCATTAACCATCCTGCCTCCCTCTCCTCACTCCCACACTACCCTTGCCAGCCTCTGGTAACCCTCTTTCTACATTCTATGTCCATGAGTTCAATTATTTTAATTTTTAGATCCCACAAATAGGTGAGAATATGCGAGGTTTCTCTTTCTGTGCCTGGCTTATTTCACTAAACATAATGATCTCCAGTTCTATCCATGTTGTTGCAAATGACAGGATCTCATTCTTTTTATGGCTGTATAGTACTCCATTGCATATCTGTACCATACATTCTTTATCCATTCATCTGTTGATGGACACCTAGGTTGCTTTCAAACCTTACCTATAGTGAACAGTGCTACAACAATCATGAGAGGACTTAGATCTAAGTTTTTAATCCATTTTGATTTGATTTTTGTATATGGTGAGAGATACGGGTCCAGTTTCATTCTTCTACACGTGGATATCCACTTTTTCCAGCACCATTTATTGAAGAGACCGTCTTTGACCAGTGTATGTTCTTGGCACCCTTGTCAAAAATGAGTTCACTGTAGGTGTATGAATTTGTTTCTAGGTTCTCTATCCTGTCTCATCGGTTTATGTGTCTGTTTTTATGCCAGGACTATGGTGTTTTGGTTACTATATCTCTGTAGTATAATTTGACCTCAGGTATTGTGATTCCTCCAGTTTTGTTCTTTTTGGTTAGAATATCTTTGGCTATTCTAGGTCTTTCGTGGTTTCATATAAATTTTAGCATTGTTTTTTTCTATTTCTGTGAGGAATGTCATTGGTATTGATAAGAATTGCATTGAATATTTAGATTGTTTTAGGTAGTATAAACATTTTAACAATACTGATTCTTCCAATCCAGGAACCTGGAAAATCTTTCCATTTGTTGACAACCTTTTCAATTTCTTTCAGCAATGTGTCATAGTTTTCATCATAGAGATCTTTCATTTGTTTGGTTAATTCCTGGGTACTTTATTTTATTTGTGGCTATTGTAAATGGGATTACTTTATTTCTTTTTCAGATTGTTCACTGTTGGCACATAGAAATGTTACTGATTTTTGTATGTTGATAAGATCCAAACATAAGATCATATAATCTGCAAACAAGGATAATTTGACTTCTTCCTTTCCAATTTGGATGCTCTTTATTTCTTTCTCTTGTCTGATTGCTCCAGCTAGGACTTCCAGTACTATGTAGAATAACAGTGGTGAAAGTGGGCATCCTTGTTATGTTCCAGTTCTCAGAGGAAAGGCTTTCAGTTTCTCCCCATTTAATATACTAGCTGTGGGTCTGTCATATATGGCTTTTATTATGTTGAAGTATGTTACTTCTGTATCTTTTTTTAGGGTTTAGTAGGGATATTGAACTTTATCAAATGCTTTTTCAGCATTAATTAAAATGGTTATATAGTTTTTATCCTTCATTCTGTTGATATGATATATCACATTAATTGATTTGCATATATTAAACTGTCTTTGCATCCCAGGGATAAACCCCACTTAGTCATGATAAATGGTCTTTTTAATGTATTGTTGAATTTGATTTGCTAATATTTGTTGAGAATTTTGCATCAGTATTCATCAGAGATATTGGCATATGGTTTTCTTTTTTTGACGTGTCTTTGTCTGGTTTTGGTATCAGGGTAATACCGGCCTTACAGAATGAGTTCAGAAGAATTCCCTCCTCCTCAATGTTTTGAATGTTTTCTATTTTTAAAAAGTTACACAGCTTTGGGCCATGTCCAATCCTACACAAGCATAAAACCTAATCTCTCTGCAGTTTATAAGTGGCATACATCTCAGTGCAAGGAGAAGAGAATAAAATGACTTTTTAAGGATTTTCCAGTGATTCAGTTTTGAAATAGTTTTGTCACCAGATGTTTCCTACTGCACCTGGGAAATAGGTCACTCTAGTAACCAAATTAGGAAATAAATGAAATATGACTTTAACAGGTAAGTTCTATTCCCTATGAATATATTTAATATTTATTATCAATTTCAAGACCATAGGCTTAGTCATTTGCTATAATTTACAACTACAAAAAAATGTGATTTTCAATTGAACTTATGAATCATTCACTTACATGAAAGAACAAAGGTGATCATTTCTGTTTTGCACGGTCATTGTTAGGACCACAGATAGAAATGTTTTTTCCTTCCTGCTAGCAACTTGGGACACATACCAAGTAAACTTGAAACAGCTCCAGATATTAAGTAAAAAACATTCAAATAAACATGCATTTATTATATTCTTAGAATTTTCAGCATAAAATGGTTCCCCTTTTCAAAGATCTACATGGTAGTTAAGAAGACAAGATTCACATTAATGGCATATCCAGAGTTCAATAGGACATCTGTCCAATAATGAAGTGTTAATTTGGTGAAACAGATGCTAAGTGTCTAGGAATTCAGAGAAAGTGAGACCACCATAGCTAGAACTACAAGGAAGACTACATGGAAAAGATTTAACCAGGGTCAACGATAAAGTGTAGAATTTTGAGAGGAGAAAAAAGAGACAAATGAATAGCAAGGCGTAAGGGTAAAAAAAATAGGTGTGTGAACAATGTGGTGTGTACAAATCACCTGAGTACACCAGCCTGAACAAAAGATTATTCAAAATCAGCATTTCCTAAAGTATCTTCTGTATAATGCTAGATCCCAGGAAGAGAATAAATGCATGATCTGCAACCACAAGTAAAATGGTTAACTATGAGGTCACCAGAGATTAAATGTTTGGTTCTGAATCCTAACCTTCCACCTCTGAATTGTGTGAACTTGAACACGTTACTTAATCTCTCTTGTAAAATGGGGATACCAAGGGTACCTATTCCACAGTGAATATTAAATAAGCAAACTATTCTATTAGGACCTGGCACACAATAAGCATGTATTGTATGTTAATTCTTTTTAGCGTTATGTTTTTCCTTTTAAAAAATTTGTGATCAAATAGTTTTAGGAATAGATGTATTAAGTAAAATTGCACAGGATTATTTGCACATGATTTCCCAGAAACCTTGATATAATAATGTGTCTTATAATATATCTCAAAACAGTCAGAGTATCCCAAATTTAATTGGCCTTTTTGTTTGGAACACAGCAGGTTTTCTGCGTAAGATTTTGGGAAATGCTGTTATATGTAATACAAGGCAAGTATGTTTAAAAGTATATCTGCCCCACAACCTTGAGTTTGTAGTGATACTGTTGACATATGAAATAATTTATTATTATCAATAATAACTAATACATACTGAGTACCATATGTTAGTCCTCCTAGCAGCAACCCTATAAGGTAGACACTAATATTATCTCCCCTTTTTCTATATACAGGAAGCAGTTCTTAGAGAATTTATATTTGAAGGCTCACAGTTCTAGTAAGTGGCAGAGCTTGCATTCATACTCAAAGTTTATAGACTTAACTGATGATTACATGATACCACACAGAACAGTCTGTCCTTCTTTGGTGTCTTATGGCCTTACCTTCTACCTCAAATTGGCTTGTCAGAAACTTTCTTCTGAAAAATACAGAAAGTATTTTGGGGAGCTATAATTTTATTCATCTCCTTACAGAAATAGGCACTTTTGAAACCACATTCCAAAGCACATATTGTAGTTTTGTTGAGTTTGCAGGGGGCTTTTATTCAGCCTTCACACACCACATGAGTTATGTTATCACAGGGCTCAGTTACTAAGCCAATCTTGGTGCTTTGAGAGGTGTGTACATTTCAGAGCCTAATGTATGCCATTTGCTGTGGCTTGATGTGTCCTCCAATTTTTACGTGCTGGAAACTTAATCCCCAATGTGGCAGTATTGAAAGGTGGGGCCTTTAAGAGGTCACTGAACCATGAGGGCTATCATGAGTTATCATGGGAGTGGAACTGGTGGCTTTTACAAGAGGAAGAAAAACCTGAGTGAACATGTTAGCACACTTATCCCTCTCACCACGTGATGTTCTGTGCCACTTCCAGCCTGCTGAGTTTCCACCAGGAAGAAAGCCCTCACCAGATGTTGAGCCATGCCCTTGGATTTCCCAGCCTCCAGAATTATAAAAAAAAATTAATTTATTTTCTTTATAAATTACCCAGGTTCAGGTATACTATTATAAGCAACAAAAAACAGACTAAGGCACTGTTTCGTGATTTTTCATTAATTTTGTTCTTTGATCATGTTCTGCTCCACAAACTGGAAGATCTCTATCCTGGGAAATTGAAAATACTGACTGGCAATAAGGTCAATGACAGTCTTCCTCAAAGTGTGGCCTGCCACTGTCTAGTGCTAGTTCCCGAGCTCTTTGCTGCTATCTGAGATTAAGTACAGAACTTGATGTGAGCATTTACAAAGTTTACAGGAACTTAACAAAGTAATTTTATGTTTATTAAATCTATCATTAAATTGGGGGTGTTGTAATTTGTATGTTTTTGTTTTCACTTTTGTTACTAGTTTTCATTATACTTTACAAAGATATCAGTCTGTAGATATAAGGGGGAAGAGTTAGAGAAGCACCAAACTAGGAGGTGGGAAGTTACTTTAGAAAGGAAATTTTTGTCCATCCCAGTCATCTCACCACAGTATAGTATTCTCTTAAAATGCCTAACTTCCTATCTGAAATTAACTATACAAAAAAAATATGCACTTTAACTCTGGAATGCTGAACAGAAAATGGGATGTGAAAGGAATTAAATTCCTCTCTAACCTGTTCTTTTTCTCTTTGCAGTTTTCAGTAGTTTACCAATATAATTTATATAAAGCAATGAATACTCTATTTATAGGCACTAATGTTTAAAACTGAGATATTTGGGAAAAATTGCTCTGGAAGTTAAATTTGTAATCTTTTGATATTGGTGCCATGAGGAAACCATGACTTTCCACAGAATGCCTTTTGATGCTGCTATCAGAAACAGGCTTATGAGTTGACTGGATGACAGAACTGCACCAGTATGACATTTAAGTCTTTTATAGTTTACATGCAAAAAGAAGGACTAGGGCATGAGTGTGAAGGCTACATGTTGAGGGAGGATATGACTCAAAGGTTGTGGGGTCAGAGGGAAAAAAATGATAAATCATGACATTACATACACATAGCTAATATTCAATAGCCTGTGTAAAAGGAACCATAAGTCAGGGCAGGTAGACAAAACCAGTCTTGAGAAAGGAAAACCAGAAGTAGTTATCACAAATATTACATTACCCTTTCCTAGAAAAAAATGCAATAAAATACTGAAAGAAATCCCTTTGGAATTACCTATTAAAACTGCTGTACATTCTGAGAAATTTTAATTGAGAATTCAGTGTCACCTAAGAATGAAAAAATTGAGGGCCAAAATGGTTCCTTCTATACTGTTGCAGAAAGAGATGCAGAAAGCTGATAAGAAATTCCAGAAGGTCATTAGGTATATTTTAGTATCAAAAAAATGAAACCTGAAAATGATAAAATTTAATGTTTTATATTTAAAAAAATAATATGGCTGGGCACGGTGGCTCACGCCTGTAATCCCAGCACTTTAGGAGGCCAAGGCAGGAGGATTACCTGAGGTCGGGAGTTCGAGACCAGCCTGATCAACATGGAGAAACCCCATCTCTACTAAAAATACAAAATTAGCTGGGCGTGGTGGCGCATGCCTGTAATCCCAGCTACTTGGGAGGCCGAGGCAGGAGAATCACTTGAACCTGGGAGGTGGAGGTTGCAGTGAGCCAAGATCGCACCATTGCACTGCAGCCTGAGCAACAAGAGCAAAACTCTGTCTCAAAAAAAAAAAAAACCATGTTTTTTTGGTTTGGTTTTAAAATTTGCTCAACTTTTATTGGCCTGTAAGTGACTTGTCTATTTTATTGGCATAAAAAGGGTTTGTGTCTATTCACATATAATACACATCTCTAAAAATTCTGTGTATCATCTGCTTTTCTATATTCTCCCATTAGCCTATATGATTATCAGGTACTATTTTTTCTTGCTTGACTCCACATTCTAAAATTAGCACTTCTGTTTTCCTCACAGTCTAAAACAAAGGCCTCAAAGATATAACATTTTTGAAATGGAAAAAAAAACAAATTATGTAGCACTGAATTCATAGGTCAAAAATATATCAAAAGTTTAACCCACATTAAGATTTCCTTCATGTAGTAGCTGTACAATATATTACTCATCTTAGGAAGTAGCTTTACTTTGAGTTCCCCTATTTACTGACAGCTGTGTTTATACAGAGAACAGCCTTGCCAAATTATTTGTTGCCTTTTGCTGTATAAAGTTGCTTTCTCCTTAATTCAGAATGTTTTAATTTAACGTTATTCATTCCTTTACTTTTACTTACAGCTTTTATTTTCCTAAATTATCTGTTCTTTTGTTTTCTGCTATTCTGGTAAGTGTTTAAGGACTTTTAAACAAACAAAAATACAGTTTAACCCTATGCTACTGTATCCCTTCTTTTAGCAAAATCATATTTGTTAAATGCAAGGAAATGTTGACTGGACATGTAAAACCCCCTTCATGCCTGTATTATTATAATACAACATTTTAGCTCTTCTCTACTCAATTTTACTATAAACTTCTGCCAAAATGCTCTTCTTTTAAGCACTTCTTCCTATTAAGTCTCTTTCTGTGGAAAAATCTATACCAGCTGACAATTGCCTCCCATTTTAGGTCTAAATTTCTCTCCTCTATCATAATACTCACTACAATTCTCTCCCAGCCCACCAGTCCAAAACTGTCTCTTCCCCATGGTCCTGCATATGTTTTCCACTTTAAGTAAGCATATCTTACTGTTCAACAAACTTGGCAGCAGCATCCCTGCCTCTGGGAGGTTGTTTGTGCTGGTCTCCACCTCTGGAACGTTCTTTGACTTACTTATAGTTCGAGAGCTGCCTTCCTCTTGAAAATTTCTCTTATTGCCTTAGCACTTAATTTTTCTCATTTACATATGCTCTTAATTACCAGTCTTTTCAAGGACATTTGTCATATCTCCATAATTAAATTGTTAACCCATCAATTTAGCAAAAGGAACATAAAAGATTACACAGATTCCCAAAGTCCATGAATCATCATAACAGAATAAAGTTCTAATATGGAAAGATGTAAGTATAAGACTGTTCATTGTCATTCTATTTGCTGTGACAAAAGTCCAGAAATACTCTAAATGTCCATCCATAGGAGATTGATTAAATAAATTGCAGCATATTTGTGTCATATTATATAGCAATTAGTTAGATCAAAATATTTTGACCTTAGAGAATACTCACACTATATTGCTAAGTAGGGATAGCAAGGTTCAGAGCAACATATATATACAATGGCTGCATTTTTATAAAAACACAAAGAATAGAAACACAGTCACTGGATTAACACCAATTGCCAGGGTTGGGGAGTAGAAAATTGAAAGGAGAGTGATGGGGAAAAAGACTGAAGTGAAATGGAAAAATACATGTGATAGTCATTCTGCTTCCTAATATTTGGTTCTTCTTACCTTTTGTACAGATGGAACTATGAACTTTTCTGGCATTCTTGTGGTGGGATGGTGCCTTGTGACTAGTTCTGACCAATGAGTTGTGAGCAGAAGTGAAGTGTGGCCAGAGCACTTAATTGCCAACTAGAAACTTCCAGAGTTTCTTTCCCACTTCTTCAATGATTGTGAAGTGATGTTCCCACAAAGCTTTCATTCCTGAGTTCCTGAGAGACTACAGAAGGATGCAAATCAGAGACCTCTGCTGACTCACCTGAAAACATGGGCAAGAAATAAACTTTTCTTGCATTATGCTACTGAAAGTCTGGAGTTGTTTGTTACTGTGGCATAACCAGTCTATTGTAACAGATATAATACATAATAATAATAGCATAAAAGAGTTTTATATGCATTTTTTATTTTATCCAGGCACAAGATTAAAAATTTTTAATAGTGCTAAAAAGCTATAAAAAAAATTAATATTGCCTCACTGTTACTAAAAAGAGTTCTATTCCCCAGAAGCAACTAATTTCATGCTTTTAGCAAATTTTATGGCACTCAACTCTATGACACCAAATGATGTGCTTATACTGCTATTCCTTAATTTATCAAGTTTAAACACCACTTCCTATTATTTTATCTCAGGATTCTACTCTTTTATAGCAAAATCACCATTCCCAATATCGCCAACAATAATAACCTGACTTTACTTCCCCGATTCTCCTAATATATCAGATTTTTAGTTAAGATAGCCAACTAATATTACATAATTATGACTATGTAATTAATCATTCACAGAAATAGCTATCACCCTCAAACTTTTCTTGGCCAATATGCTGAGAATCCTTTTACCTCTTATGTTCTCTGGGTTCTGTATTTCTATTTCTTACATTCTCCTGTGGTTCTTTAAGAAAAAAATACAGGACAGGGCCAGGCGCGGTGGCTCACGCCTGTAATCCTAGCATTTTGGGAGCCTGAGGTGAGTGGATTACAAGGTCAGGCGTTCAAGACCAGTCTGGCCAACGTGGTGAAACCCCATCTCTACTAAAAAAAAAAATACAAATTAGCTGGGCATGGTGGTGGGCGCTTGTAATCCCAGCTACTGGGGAGGCTGAGGCAGGAGAATGGCTTGAACCCAGAAGACCCAGGAGGCGGAGGTGCAGTGAGCCAAGATCATGCCACTACATTCCAGCCTGGGTGACAGAGCAAGACTCCATCTCAAAAAAAAAAAAAAAAGAAAAAAAAAATACAGGACAGATAATTTTTTGAGAACTATAATTTTTAGGGAGGAAATGGTTTTTCATCCTAATTTTGAAAGTACTTCTCCATTGTTTTCTAGCTCACAAACTTTCTTGGATCAATGTATGCCATTCTTAGCTCTAGATTGAAAATATGACATTTTGTCAATCTGGATGCTTTCAGGATTTTGTATCTCCTAATAAATCCTGATGTGGGTCTTTTTTTATTCTGGACATTTGACAGGCCCTTTAATATGGAAATGCATGCCCTTATACTGATTATTTGAAATTTCTTTTAATTTTTTGGTCCTCTATAATTTCTCTTAAGTGAATGTTGCCTCCACAAGCCTGTTGGAACCTAGATTGAGCCTCAATTTTCTGTTTCTTTTTATTTTGTCTTATCTTTTTATACACCATTCTGCTTTCTTAGATATTTCTTCAATATCACCATCTAGCACTTCTATTTAATTTTAATTTGGGGTATGATATTTTTAATACCTATGAGTCTTTTTTGCTTCTCAATATTACTCTTTATAGTATCCCATTCTAACGCTATGGATGCAGTGTTTTCTCATTTCTCTGAGGATCTTAACTCACGGTTTTGTAAAAAGCTTTCTTCTATCCCTTGATTGTATTTATTTCCTTTTTCCTGTTTAATTGTTATAGCCTCTATTCAGTGAAGGAGGCTTTTGCTAAATATTTTTTGGTCATCCTTGGATATCAGTTCATGTTTAAGAATAAGGCTCGAACGGGTAATTGGAAGACTCCATGCAGGAAGAGGTGATGAGAAGGGAAGCTTAGCAGTGGAGGGGGACAGGGAATTGTCAATTGGTTGGCTTCACCAGATGCGTAGATAACAAGATGGATTTCCTACTGAGGCTCCTCCTATATCAGAATACCTTCATCTTTTCAGTTTCTCCAGAGAAGGACTCTCCAATCTCCTGCCTGAGAAATGTATGCCTGAGAACCAGCACTCTGGTAGGCAGCAGCGAGTTAGGAGCAGTGTGGCTCACCGTTGAATATAAAGACCACTTGATTCCCTTTTTCAATGAAGCAGTTCACTCCTCAGCTCCTTCCTCCCTAAATGAAGAGCCAATCTGATTTTAATGTCTCTAAAGAAATAGTGCAGGTTTCTACACTCCTAGAGGAGTACTCACAATGTTCCGGGAGAAAATAAACACCGAGAATTTGCTTCCTATGTAAATTGTCAATTAACCTCTCTTGTTTTTAACCCCATGATCTTTGCTGCACTTGGAACCTCTGTCTTTGGAGCCTTTGCTATTTTCTGCAGAGAAAACTCAGCTTGCTTTCCTATAGTTTCCCTTCTGGGGACACTTTCAGCTGTACCTTTCTTTTAAATACCTTTCTCTCTTTAATATGTAGCTTCCAAAGGTAAACTTTCAGCTGTACCTTTCTTTTAAATACCTTTCTCTCTTTAATATCTAGCTTCCAAAAACTTGTTGCCCTCTCTTGCCTGTTATCTCTTCATTCTGTCTCTTTATCCTTTCAAATTTATACTTGTTTTATTCCCTTATTACTTTAGTAGATTTGTGAAAGAGAGCAGATATGAACACTTGTGTTACCTGTGCTATGTTTATCCAGAAGACAAATATAAAATAACAAAAAAGAAAATGGCAAGCTCTTTGAGGACAGGCTTTACACCCAGTTGACCTATAGCACCTATTGCAACAAGGGGCAGATAGAAGTTACTAAGTAAGAACTTTATTTGTATGAAGAAGACTTTATGGGTTAAACATTCATTGAAAGTGTACTGACACTTCAAACATGGGAACAAAGAATTTCTCACTTACTGCGCTAGGGCCTCTTTCTGGAGGCATTTAAAGTAAATTTGACCAAATCTTCCTCCCACTCATCCTTCTATTTGTTTTGATTTTGGATAAAAAAAGAACATTTTGTTTAGTCTTTTTCTTCTGCAGACATGTGTATGGGTTGGAAATGGAAAAGGGATTTGGTTACTCTTCCTCACGTGGGTTTACGTGGCCTAAGAACCCATCCACGTGTCCTGCCAAATCCACAGCCTGTGACACACAGAGCGCAATGCTGACTTTTTTCCATGTATCCAATACCAGATAAATGTATGATATGTTAAAGATTTTCAAGCTAAGCCACTCTAAAGGACAGGGGTGGAAGGAGAAGGGCACATTTCTCAGCCATCTGTTACTGCCCCATTCCGACAGCACTGGTTCCTCACAGCCTGACACCAAGGGACTCAACAGATGGAGGAATGTGGTTTTAAGTTCGCTGAGTTAATTGTACTTTTCTCTACTTGCAGCCCTCGGATTTAGACATCAGAAATGCCTGAACCCTTCATCTCAATAAACAACCGAGTTAGTGCTGGAGGAGCATATCTGAGTGATGTCTAAGAAATGGATCCCTCCATTATATGCCAGTTTCACCAGAAAATTCTTTATATATGGTTCTCTTATTAGAGTAATTTTCACTAAGGATTTAGCTTATTACAAGACGTGGGATCTGTATTGTATAATTGTTCATTCAAAAGTCAGCAAAGATCTTTTCAAGAAAATTTATAAAAATATTTAATCAAAGGAACATTCTTGGACTTAAAATTCCAAAAAGAGCCACAAATACATCTCTTTCATTCTCAGCTCTACCCTCCTATTATTAAAAAAAAAAAAAAAAAAAAAAAAAATCACCATTAAGCAGTGGCAAGCAAAGCGCAAGTGAAGGAAAGGAGAGAATGATTAATTTTCTATGCTCACAGGTACTAATTTCATTTTTCTTTACAACAATCTTAAAGGATGCAAAAAATGAGAAAGACATCCTCTCCCAAATATTTTAACTAGGTTTCAAAAAGGCCACGTTTGAGGAAAATAAGTTTTTTTCCATAAATTTTTTTAACACTAATGTAACAGGGGAAGAAGGCTCTGGCATTTGTTTACTATCCACTTTCTACCAGAACTCTGATATGTCCCTTTACATAAACTATCTCATTCAATCTTCACAGCAATCCAGTAAAACAGGTATTATTGTCCCTATTTCACAGATGACAAAACTGAGACCTAGTTCCAGGGTTGCTCAGTGAATATAGAACATAGTCAGAATTTGAACCCAAATCTTGTTTAGTTTGAATTATGTGACAGTTGGCATGGCATAGTGGTAAAAAAGCACAGATTTTAGAACAAGATTACCTATGTTTGAATCTTGATTGTATCCTTTCTAAATGACCTTAGGTAAGTTGTTTTGCTTCTCTGCTTTAGTTTTCTAATCAATAAAATGGAGATAATCAAATTAGTAATCTCACATGGACACTAGAAATTAAATGAAGACCTGCAAAGTCTTTAAGAACAATGCTTTGGTGGGCATTCCAAGATGGCCAAATAGGAACAGCTCTGTTCTGCAGCTCCCAGCGTGACCAACGCAGAAGATGGGTGATTTCTGCATTTCCAACTGAGGTACCTGTTTCATCTCATTGGGACTGGTTGGACAGGGGGTGCAGCCCATGGAGGGTGAGTTGAAGCAGGGCAGGGTGTCGCCTCACCCAGGAAGCATAAGGGGTTGGGGGATTTCCCTTTCCTACCCAAGGGAAGCTATGACAGACTGTACCTGGAAAAATGGGACACTCCCACCCAAATACTGTGCTCTTCCTACAGTCTTAGCAACTGGCAGACAAGGAGATTCTCTCCTGTGCCTGGCTCAGTGGGTCCCATGCCCACGGGGCCTTGCTCATTGCTAGCACAGCAGTCTGAGATCGAACTGCGAGGTGGCAGCCTGGCTGGGGGAGGGGCATCCGCCATTGCTGAGGCTTGAGTAGGTAAACAAAGCAGCCAGGAAGCTCAAACTGGGTGGAGCCCACCACAGCTCAACAAGGCCCACTGCCTCTACACTCCACCTCTGTGGGCAGGGCATAGCTGAACAAAAGACAGCAGACAACTTCTGCAGACTTAAACAGCCCTGTCTGACAGCTCTGAAAAGAGCAGTGGTTCTCCCAGCACGGCGTTTGAGCTCTGAGAACAAACAGACTGCCTCCTCAAGTGGGTCCCTGACCCCCATTTAGCCTAACTGGGAGACACCTCCCAGTAGGGACCAACAAACACCTCATATAGGCGGCTGCCCCTCTGGGACGAAGCTTCCAGAGGAAGGATCAGGCAGCAATACTTGCTGTTCTGCAGCCTCCGTTGGTGATACCCAGGCAAACAAGGTCTGGAGTGGACCTCCAGCAAACTCCAACAGACCTGCAGCTGAGGGACCTGACCGTTAGAAGGAAAAATAACAAACAGAAAGGAATAGCATCAACATCAACAAAAAGGACATCCACACAAAAACCCCAACTGTAGGTCACCAACATCAAAGACCAAAGTTAGGTAAAACCACAAAGATGGGGAGAAACCAGAGCAGAAAAGCTAAAAATTCTAAAAAACAGAGCGCCTCTTCTCCTCCAAAGGATCACAGCTTCTCACCAGCAATGGAACAAAGCTGGATGGCGAGTGACTTTGACGAGGTGACAGAAGTAGGCTTCAGAAGGTCAGTGATAACAAACTTCTCCGAGCTAAAGGAGAGCTAAAGGAGGATGTTCAAACCTATTGCAAGGAAGCTAAAAACCTTGAAAAAGGATTAGAAGAATGGCTACATAGAATAAACACTGTAGAGAAAACCTTAAATTACCTGAGGGGTACTGAAAACCACGGCACTAGAACTTTGTGATGCATGCACAGGCTTCAACAGCCAATTCAGTCAAGTGGAAGAAAGGGTATCAGTGATTGAAGATCAAATTAACGAAATAAAGTGAGAAGACAAGGTTAGAGAAAAAATAGTAAAAAGAAATGAACAAAGCCTCCGAGAAATATCGGACTATGTGAAAAGACCAAATCTACGTTTGATTGGTGTACCTGAAAGTGACGGGGAGAATGGAACCAAGTTGGAAAACACTCTTCAGGATCTTACCCAGGAGAATTCCTCAACCTAGCAAGGCAGGCCAACATTCAAATTCAGGAAATGCAGAGAACACCACAAAGATACTCCTTGAGAAGAACAACCCCAAGACACATAATTGTCAGATATACCAAGGTCGAAATGAAGGAAAAAGTGTTAAGGGCAGAAATTGCAAAAATTTTCTCCCATTCTGTAGGTTGCCTGTCCACTCTGATGGTGGTTTCTTTTGCTTTGCAGAAGCTCTTTAGTTTAATTAGATCCCATTTGTCAATTTTGGCTTTTGTTGCCATTGCTTTTGGTGTTTTAGACATGAAGCCCTTGCCATGCCTATGTCCTGAATGGTATTGCCTAGGTTTTCTTCTAGTGTTTTTATGGTGTTAGGTCTTACATGTAAGTCTTTACTCCACCTTGAATTAATTTTTGTATAAGGTGTAAGGAAGGGATCAAGTTTCAGCTTTCTACATATGGCTAGCCAGTTTTCCCAGCACCATTTATTAAATAGGGAATCCTTTCCCCATTTCTTGTTTTTGTCAGGTTTGTCAAAGATCAGATAGTTGTAGATATGCGGCATTATTTCTGAGGACTCTATTCTGTTCCATTGGTCTATATCTCTGTTTTGGTTACTGTAGCCTTGCAGTATAGTTTGAAGTCAGGTAGTGTGATGCCTCCAGCTTTGTTCTTTTGGCTTAGGATTGACTTGGCAATGCGGGCTCTTTTTTGGTTCCATATGAACTTTAAAGCAGTTTTTTCCAATTCTGTGAAGAAAGTCATTGGTAGCTTGATGGGGATGGCATTGAATCTATAAATTACCTTGGGCAGTATGGCCATTTTCACGATATTGATTCTTCCGACCCATAAGCATGGAATGTTCTTCCATTTGTTTGTATCCTCTTTTATGTCATTGAGCAGTGATTTGTAGTTCTCCTTGAAGAGGGCTTTCACATCCCTTGTAAGTTGGATTCCTAGGTATTTTATTCTCTTTGAAGCAATTGTGAATGGGAGTTCACTCATGATTTGGCTCTCTGTTTGTCTGTTATTGGTGTATAAGAATGCTTGTGATTTTTGCACATTGATTTTGTATCCTGAGACTTTGCTGAAGTTGCTTATCAGCTTAAGGAGATTTTGGGCTGAGATGATGGGGTTTTCTAGATATACAATCATGTCATCTGCAAACAGGGACAATCTGACTTCCTCATTTCCTAATTGAATACCCTTTATTTCCTTCTCCTGCCTGGTTGCCCTGGCCACAACTTCCAACACTATGTTGAATAGGAGTGGTGAGAGAGGGCATCCCTGTCTTGTGCCAGTTTTCAAAGGGAATACTTCCAGTTTTTGTCCATTCAGTATGATATTGGCTGTGGGTTTGTCATAGATGGCTCTTATTATTTTGAGATACGTCCCATTAATACCTAACTTATTGAGAGTTTTTAGCATGAAGCGTTGTTGAATTTTGTCAAAGTAAGATGTACTCTTATAAGACATCAGATTAGGTATGTTCTATTTGTTAAGTGGCTTAGTTCAGGGGAAACTAAACAAAATCTTCTTAATTGTCATTTTATTTTTATAAAAAATTTTTTGAAGTTTAAAAGAAAATTAAAATAACTTACACTGTATGTATCCTTACTTAAATAGTGTGTGTGTGTGTGTGTGTGTGTGTGTGTGTGTGTGTGTGTCCAGAAATTGATGCCCCTGCTGGATGGAGATGAAGGTGGGCTCAGGGCAGGAGTTGTTGCAGTGAAAGAGGTGGCTAAGGAAATTGAAGAACTTCACACAACAATGAAAAAGAGTAAGGGATGGGTGATGGTAGATTCTCTGAGCTGCTCTTTTAATCTCTTCTTCTTCTGTTCCCACAAACACTTCTACAATTCCCACAGTACTACTCCCACAAATCCTATTCCCCGAGAGCCAATTCGGCTCATGGAAACTGCCCAAGATTCTGTGTGACACAATGAATCTGGGTGTTTCTTTAAACACAGCGTAAGGGAATCTTGCTAAATACTTTTGGGCCCAAAGATATACCATTATTCCTTATGTGTTCACCCTTTTTATCAACACAAGATCTGGAAACACAGGGAAGTTGCAACACCTGTCTATTTCCTGATAGGGCAGAAAGGAAAATAGTAGCTATCAGTTATTTAGTACACACTATTTATTAATCTCTGCATTTCATTTATATTACTATCAATCCTCACAACAATTTGGCAGGGAAGTAGTTTTATTCCTCTTAGAAGATAAAGCAATTATGTTCAAAAGAAACAAAACAAATGAAAAGCCAATAAGCAACAAAACAAGAATTCAACTTCATGGGTTTTGAGCCCAAAGTCCATGGATTTTCCAATATACCTGATTGTGATTAATGCTTTTAGAAACCTCTAAATAGAAATGTGCTTGCTTCAGGGGCAGATTAATTGAGAATATATGTAGGGATTTATTTTTATTTAGCTGGTTTGCTCTATATTCAAAAAAAAAATTGAAGTGGCTTGAAATAAGGACTAATAAAGTTGAGAACTTTTGGCCACTATAGTAGTGTAGGAAGATGCCAAAAGTCCATTCCCCCACTGGAAACATGTATAAATTACTGGGGAGAAAATGTTCAAAAGCAAAAAAGGAAAACCTATAGCATTAGGAGATATACCTAATGTAAATGATGAGTTAATGGGTGCAGCACACCAACATGGCACATGTATACATACGTAACAAACCTGCACGTTGTGCACATGTACCCTAGAACTTAAAGTATAATAAAATATATATATATAAAATTTAATTTAATTTAATTT
Source organism: Homo sapiens (assembly GCF_000001405.40). Classification (NCBI taxonomy): domain Eukaryota; kingdom Metazoa; phylum Chordata; class Mammalia; order Primates; family Hominidae; genus Homo; species Homo sapiens. The sequence continues at coordinate 75,035,202 of NC_000006.12, forward strand.
AATTTAAAAAAAAAAAGAAAACCTACAGATGCCAGAAATGAAAAGAAAACTCAAAACCAGAGTCACCTATAGAAACTCCTGGAAGTCTCAGAAGTATATAAGCCTGAGAGAGGCAATGACATCACAGGCACAGGGCAACACAGAAGCTGGAATTAAACTTGGAATCCAGGAAATGTTTATCTGTCCATAAAATAAGGACTAGAAAATTTCTGCCAGCTAGACTGGAAAAGCAGGAGAATGCTGGCCGAGAATTTTCCACCATTAAAAAAACATGATTGCTCAGATTGAAGGAGCTAACCAAGAATAAAAAGATATGTATTCATACATAATGTAGAGAACATTAAATACAAAAAGAAAATACTGAAAGCTACCCAGAGAAAAAGACAGACTACCCACAAAGAAATACATTACTATCAAAAACTATCAAGTAAAACTAAAGCAATATGCAGAAGAAATTTTGTAGCCCTGTGTCCTTTATTATTAAAAAAAAAGAGACTAAAAATGAAAAAAGGAAAAGTAGGCAATAAAAAAATTTTAAGAAATTAAATTAAAAGAAAAAGAAAAATCATGTTGCCCTTAAAATCAAAAGCTCTTAGAAAATGAGTAGACAAAAATCTGCAGGGCCATGAGACAAAGAGAGAGAGAGGGAGAGAGAGAGAGAAAGAAAAAAAAGTACATTCAATATAGTTACAGAAACAGATTTTTTAATTTCTGAGAAAATGCAAATATACCAATCTATTTATATCAATGTATTGAATGTGTTAATGAAATGGCTGATTTGTTTTGAAAGTAAAAATTAGCAGAGTTGGCCCGAGTAGATAGAAAATCTATCATATAAGAAATAAAGAAATAGTCAAGGATCTGTCCTTTTTAGAAAACACAATAGTCCTAGGTAGTCTTATAGGAAATTTTTAATAGATCTTTATAAAATCAGTTATTGACATATATTTAAAACAATTTACATATTTAAAAAGGTAAAGTAGTCCAAATCATTATACAATGTAGCATAACTATTACACCAAAATTAGAGGAAGACAAGTATCCCACTGAAAAAGACAACCATTGTCCGTGCTTGCTGTGAACATACTACAAAAATTACTATGTAGACTACTTGAAGATTAAATCCAGCAATTGTATATATACAATTTTATAGAGTATACCAATAAAAGGAATTGAAGGAGAAAATATCTAAATACCTGATCATTTTAACAAATGTTAAAAATAGATAAAATGACAAGCCATATTAACCAATCCTCATTTCTCAGTTTTAAAAAAACTGAGGTCAGTACTAAAAGAAATATCTTTAATGTCAAAAATTAGCTACAAGAAACTCATAGCAAATATTATCCTCTATGATGAAACATAAAAAACAATTCCAAAAAGCTTGGGAAAATGCAGATTGTTCACTCTCACCTCTTGTATTCAAGAGTGTGAAGAAGGTCCTAGCCCTTATAACAAATACATTATTGGAAAGGAAAAGACAAGATGTCCTTATTTTTGAATAATTTCATTACCTATTTTGAAAATGCAACAAATGAAAACTTGTGTCCAGCATAATAGCTGGAGCTAGAGCACAACACTTCAACATTTTCTTAAACTTGGACAATAACTTACTAGAAAATTTAATAAATAAAGTACATTTAGCCGGTGTGGAACAAAGTATAAAATCTGACTAAAAGTCACTTTAAAAAATACATGGGTAAATGCAAAGACAGTATGTTTTTTGATAGAATTAATTTTATAAAATGTCAATTCTTAAATTATACAACTATATATAAAAATATACTATCAGGTTATAAGTTTTAAAATATATGAGCTCTGCCAAAATTTTTAAAAAGAAAAAAATAAATCAATGCAAAGTAATAGAGAGTCTACAAACAAATACGTATCATGGGTAACCAGACTTTGGAGGCAGAGCTGTTGCTCAAGAATCCCTGAGCACTGATTCTGCTTTTCCCCATGATACCCATTCCAAGGAATACTAGACAGCTATTGAAAGGAATCAGATATATCCGTTTACATGTATTCACAACAGACGTTCCACAAAAGACATATTGCTAAATAAAAACTCAAGTTACGTAACAATGGATTCTAACATGTTGTCATTTGGATGTTAAGTGTGTAAGATGTATGTACACTTTTGAATACAAATATATGCACTCATATGCATGCAAGTGTACAGGCAAAAGACAGATATCACAAGGCAAACTGGTAGAAGTGTTCACCATTGGGAAGGGCAGGAAAATGAAAGATAACTCTTACCTTATATATAATACATTTTTTGTAGTGCTTAAATATTGTAGAATTAAATGGACCCATTTTGAAAATAATGTTGCTTAAAATAAATTATTCGTTTTTGAGGCCTCCTTTACAGAAATTCAAGATAATCTAATGTAAAGCTCTATCAGTGGCAAAAAGCACTAAATCACCAATGCTTCTGTCCTCATTGTCTATTCCCTCAAGACTTGGCAAGTCTGACCCGGCTGGAAAAGTTGTACCACCTCTGATTATAAAGGATTAAAATTCACTTTCCATCCTTTACCTGGCTTTGTTTTGGGATAATTTCTGAGATTTGCAGCCCTTCAGACTTCCCGTTTCTGTTACTTCTTGAACATTTGATGCTTTCTTTCATAGACAGGATCTTGGAGTATGATCTTCATTAAGAAATGACTTGTTCTTTTGACCTAGTTAAGGTGATTAAAGTGTGTCCCTTACTGTCATTATTTTGAAGTATTTTTCTTGGACATTTAGCCACAAATTTTGCTCTTCTGGGGGCTAAATTTCAAATGTTGTATGTTTTCCAAGGAGCCCAATCAAATGACTTTGGATGAAATTCAAGAGTAGAAATTAAGAACAGCACATAATTCTACAACAACTCTTAATTTTTATATCGTCACATATCTCTATATTTTATATTTTCTTTGTTCTGATTTTGGTAGAGAGAAGGTTTCCCCTGGCTCTAGATAATACATAAACTCTCACAGATTTTCCTCCACATTTTTATTCTGCTTTTCATTTTTTACTTGCTAATCTATCTGGAGTTTATATTTGTGTGTGCCATAAAATGAGGATTTAATTTAATTTTTTCCACATGGCTAGCCAATTATGAAAAGACATCATTTAGTAGATAAGTACTTATTTCCTACTGAACTATCAGCTTTATAATACATTAACTTTCTATACACAATGGAAAATATTTTTGCTGTATGTATTTTATTCCTTCTGTTTATTTTTCTCTTCATATATTAATATTTTATTGATCATAGAGGTTTTTTAGCATGCTAGGGATATCTAGAAAAATAAGCAAATATTTAAATTTAAACAAATATTTTTTCTATATTTTCTCTACCAGAGATTGCTTGATTCTCTACCAGAGATTGCTTGATAAGGTAAACAATCTCTGCAAGCATCATGCTGTCACAAACTGAATACATGCAGTAAAGATGGTCAGAAAAAGGAAAGCCACTCAGAATGAGACCTTGGGTCTAATAGACATAAAAAGTATCACTGAGACTAAATCCATAAATGAGTCCATATAAAACTGAAACTGAAACATTGTTTGCCCAAGCATCATATTTTCTAGAACAGTTCCCCTGAAGAAACCCAGGACACATAAAGACTCCCGTGCTCTCCTGTAGCAATGTATTCCAGATGCAAATGAGTAACAAACTCGAGAAGTATGCCTTGCCTGGGAAAGCTGGAAAGATCGCCGGTAAGACTGTTGGGTCAAGTTCCCCCAATTTTGTAATTCAGAAAATCAAGAATCATCATTGAGATAATTAAATGCTACTTTGTTTAATCTATAGAACAGCGTGTATCACACATTTTGTCATAAATGGCCATAAATTTGGTAATATTGGCTCAATCTTTCATAAATAAGGCATGCAATGTTTCTAAGGAGGAAATTTTTTAGTATGATGCCCAAATGTAATTCTTCCTCATCTTGAAACTCATATCCAACTAGTCAGGACAATCTGCGGTACACCATGTAGAAATAAGAAAGGATTCAAAAGCTTACCTACTTCTTCCTGAGTGTTGTATAATTTTTTAAACTAGTAGTATCTAATGTGTGTGCATATATGCACACATATGTACATACACGTTTGTTAGTAACCTACTTTGTTCTGGAATGGAGTGATGGCATTGCACAAAGTTATACAAAATACAGCAAGATAGTATAAATTGAAAATAAGTGAGAAAGAAAAAAGAAAAAATAGAAATGAAGCAAATATAAAAATTGGTGTCACAAATTCCAATGCACTTAGTACCAGTAGACAACAAATATAGATCTAATATTTCTAGTAAACAATGCAGTGGCCTCATATATGTAGTACTTTCGTGTAGATTATCTCCCTACTGTACTGCTTGCAATGGAGGTGAGATAGTCCACTACTCAAATATATATTCTAACTTACAGGTCATCTTGGGATATGAAGCATTAAGCCTCACAGAATATAATGTATGCCATAAACAAACCTCAGACTTTTCTTGGAAAGTGCTGTAGAAGCATCATGCTTTAGAAACTAAATGGATTTATACACAAAAGCATAAGAATTTATTGAATGCCTGCTATATTCCAGGCACTTTGTATCTAAATCATTTATTACTAACAAGCCATTAAGCTGCTTATCAATAGCCTTATTTGGTGTAAAAGAAAACTGCAGATCAGAGAAATAAAATAACTTACACAAGATTGCACAGCTAGGAAAAGCCAGCACTGGGGCACATATCCCAACCTTTGAGCCCAATGTCAGTGTTGCCACTGCTCTACGTCAATCCCTAAATAACCAATGGCTTGTTTTAGACTTGATATAACCATGAAGTACTAGCAATCCAAAATTTAAGCTCCAAAAGAACTATAAAATAAATATAAACTTCCTTATAGTTGTTTTTATTACTTATATACACTGGATTATCCATTCTAAGTTTATTTTACACTTAAGATTTAACTTTTTAATAATTTTAGGTTTAGTAAACATTTCCGTAATAGTAATGATAGAGTGACACCAGCAAGATGGCAAAATAGGAAGCCCTAGACCCTTCATCCCCCCACAAACACACCAATTTGACAACAGTTGATGGGGAATTCCCATTCGGGTACCCCCCTCTCTCTCACAAGAGAGAGAGCTGTTCTCCTTTCTCTTTCTTTTGCTTATTAAACCTCCACTCCTAAACTCAAAATAAAAAAAAAGAGTTGATGGACAAATTCCAAAACTTAGAAACCAGTTGAGAGGTTCCTGTGCCACAGGTGTGCATGAAACTACTCACATCAAAGCTGGGGTAGAAAAATTTGATACCTCCAGGACGGTGCCATATGATCAGAGAAAACTCAGCTCCCCGCTTCTTCCCAGGAAGGGAAACAGGTGAACATGTTCAATGCTCCAACTTTTCTAGAGGTTACCCTAAGGAGTACTTTCTGTCTAGAATGCCTTGGAATGCTGACAATACCTGTCTTATTATAGCCACCTAGGGCCAGTGAAAACCGAAATACTGATTTGGGCTAGCAGTTGCCATAGTCCATAGCCCCCCTTCACTGCATCAGCACAGAATGAGATAACAAAAGTCTTCAGATCCCAGTTCCTCCCTAGGGATTACCCAGAGGACTGTTTTCTGTCTAGCCTGTCATGGAGGTGAGATCTGACTTAATATGGCCTTGTATAGGCAGTGAGAACAAAGACAACAGTGTGGGCTGGCATCGCCACAGACCCATACCTTTTCCTCTGGTTCAACACCATGAGCGGATGAAAAACGTCAGCTCTCAACTTGACCTTTGGGAGGGAAAGAGGTAGATTACATGTCCAATGCCCCAACTTTTCTGGGGGTTACCCAGAGGACAGGTATCTGTCTAGCCTGTCTTGGAATACTGACAAGACCCAGAAAAATCTAGCCACCTGGAGTCACTGAAAACAGAGATGGCAGTGCAGGCTGATATGTCACCATAGCCAGGCCTTCAGCCTGGCTCAGCACAGAAGGAATGGACAAAAAGCCATCTCTCAGTCTTTCCCTGGGGAAGAAAAAAGGTGAATTATGCATCAAATGCCCAACTTTTTGGTGTTATCCAGAGGACTGGCTTCTGTATAACTTAGAGCATTTATAAGACCCAGCATAATCAAGCCACCTGGAGGCAAGTAAGAGTAGAGACAGTGGTTTCATTTAGCACACAACTAATCACCACCTTCTTTCACTCCCTGCCCTGCCCCACACACAGATCCACACAGTGTGAATAGGTGAAAAACCCAGGTCTCAGCTTCAGCTTCTCCTTGTGGAAGGGAGGGGTTGCGTGACAGAGCATCCATGAGCCAACTTTTGGGGAAGCTTCTTGAGGAATGGGTTTCAGTCTTGTTTGTCTTGGAGCACTGACAGGACACAGTGTGTTATAACTGCCTAGGGGGTCTCTAAGAACAAAGAAAGCATGTTGAACCAGCACAAAGTTTGGAGAGTTCTCCAGGATCTCTGGCTGGGCTGATCTTCCCAGGCAGGAGGCCAGTCTGTGAAGACTGGAAGAGATGACCGTTTTGCCTAATGCACAGACAACAATGCAGAGAGTCAAGGAAAATGAAAAAGAAAAATAGGGAAATTACCAACTCTAATGAAACAAAGTTATTTTATTTACCTGATAGAGAATTTAAAACAGCCATCATTTGCTATGTTCAGTGAGATCAGAAGAAAAAAGAGAGAATTTCAACAAGGAGATTGGAAATATTTTAAAGTACCAAATACAAATCAAGGAGATGAAGAATACAATAATTGAATTTAAAAATGTGCTACAGGGATTCAACAGCAGGCTAAATCAAGCAGAAGAAATGATTACCAAACTCAAAGAAAGGTCATTGGATATTATTCAGGCTGAGGAGAAATAAAAATTAAAAATGATGAAGAAAGCTTAAGGGATGTATGGGACACCATATGAAAGACTAACATATGCATTAGGGGAGTTCAAGGATGAGAGAAGAAAAAGACCAGAAAGCATAATCAAAGAACTAATGGTCAAAAACTTACCAAATCTGGGGAAGCAAAAGAACATCAGATCCAGTAAGCTTAAAGAGCCCCAATAAGATAAACCCAAAAAAATCTAAAATAAGATACATTATTGTTCAATTGTCAAAAGTCAAATACAAAGAGAATTTTGAGGGTCAGGCATGGTGGCTCATACTTGTAATTCCAGCACTTTGGGAGGCCAAGGTGGCGGATCACCTAAGGTCGGGAGTTCAAGACCAACATGCTGAAACACCATCTCTACTAAAAATACAAAATTAGCCAGGTGTGGTGGTGTGTGCCTGTAATCCCAGCTACTCTGGAGGCTGAGGCAGGAGAATCACTTGAACCCAGGATATGGAGATTGCAGTGAGCCAAGATCACACCACTGCACTCCAGCCTGGGAGACACAGCAAGACTCCATCTCGAAAAGAAAAAAAAAAAGAGAGAGAGAGAATTTTGAAAGCAGCAAGAGAAAAGCCACCTGTCACATATAAGGGAGCCTCCTAAGACTATAAGCTGATTTTTTGGAAGAAATCTTCCAGGTCAGAAGGGAGTGGAATGATATATTGAAAGTGTTGAAAGCAAAACAACAAACAAACAAGAATACTATATGCAGCAAAACTATCCTTCAAAAACAAAACAGAGATAAAGTTATTCCACACAAAAGCTGAGGGAGTCCATCACCACTAGATCTGCCTTACAAGTAATGCTATAAGAAGTTATTCAAGTTGAAATGAAAGAATGCTAAACAGCAACACAATCGTATTAAAAAAGTACAAAAACTCATTTGTTAAGGCAAATACCAAGACAAATACAGAACATTGTATTATTGTAGTAGTGGGGACACAATCACTTTAAATTCCAGTTTAAAAGTCAAAAGCAATGACAATTAAAATTATCAAAAGCAACTACAACTAAAAATATATACTAACAGATGCATAATATGACTGGATGTAAGTTATGACATCAATAACATAAAGTGGGAGGGGAATATTAAAAGTGTAGAGTTTTTGTATGTGTTTGAAATTATTATCAGCTTAAAGTAGACTATTATAACTATAAAATATTTCTTGTGAGTCCCATGGTACCATAAAGAAAATACCTATAAAAGTTACATTGAAGAGAAAAAGGAATCAAAGCATATCCATAATGAAAAACAACAAGATACAAAGGAAGCTTGCAAGAGGAGAAAAAGGGATCAAAGAACTACAAGAAAAATAGAAAATCGTTAACAAAATGGCAACTTTAAATACTTCTCTATCAATAATTACTTTAAATGTAAATAGATTGAAATACCCAATCAAAAAACATAAAACACCTGAGTCGATTTTTTTTATCTCAAAAGAAGGTATTTTATTGATGGTGGCTTGTGTTATTATCATCATTATTATCACCCCTTTCAATTTTTTTTTATTATACTTTAAGTTTTAGGGTACATGTGCACAACGTGCAGGTTTGTTACATATGTATACATGTACCATGTTGGTGTGCTGTACCCATTAACTCGTCATCTAGCATTAGGTATATCTCCCAATGCTATCCCTCCCCCCACCCCACAACAGGCCCTGGTGTGTGATGTTCCCCTTCCTGTGTCCAAGTGTTCTCATTGTGCAATTCCCACCCATGAGTGAGAACATGTGGTGTTTGGTTTTTTGTCTTTGCGATAGTTTGCTGAGAATGATGGTTTCCAGCAAAGGACATGAACTCATCATTTTTTATGGCTGCATAGTATTCCATGGTGTATATGTGTCACATTTTCTTAATCCAGTCTATCATTGATGGACATTTGGGTTGGTTCCAAGTCTTCGCTATTGTGAATAGTGCTGCAATAAACATACGTGTGCATGTGTCTTTATAGCAGCATGATTTATAATCCTTTGGGTATATACCCAGTAATGGGATGGCTGGGTCAAATGGTATTTCTAGTTCTGGATCCTTGAGGAATCACCACACTGTCTTCCACAATGGCTGAACTAGTTTACAGTCCCACCAACAGTGTAAAAGTGGTCCTATTTCCCCACATCGTCTCCAGCATCTGTTGTTTCCTGACTTTTTAATGATTGCCATTCTAACTGGCGTGAGGTGGTACCTCACTGTGGGTTTGATTTGCATTTCTCTAATGGCCAGTGATGATGAGCATTTTTTCATGTGTCTGTTGGCTGCATAGATGTCTTCTTTTGAGAAGTGTCTGTTCATATCCTTCACCCACTTTTGGATGGGGTTGTTTGTTTTTTTCTTGTAAATGTTTTTGAGTTCATTGTAGATTCTGGATATTAGCACTTTGTCAGATGAGTAGATTGCAAAAATTTTCTCCCACTGAATGGATTTTTTAAAAAAGATCTATTAAAACTATATGTCCTCTACAAGAATCTCACTTTAGATTTAACAGCAAACACAGGCTGAAAGTGAAAGGATGGAAAAAGTATTCCATGCTAATGGCAACAAAGAGAGCAGAGGGCAGAGGTGGCTACACTTGAGCAAAATAGACTCTGAGTTAAAAAAAAAAAAAAAGGCACCAGACACCAAAAAAAGACACTATATAATGATAAAAAGTTAAATTCACCAGGAAGTTTTAACAATTATAAATATATATGCACCCAACACAAGAATACAAATGTAAAGCAAACATTAACAGATCTGAAGGGAGAAACAGACAGGAATAAAATAATAATAGAAGACTTTAATACCCCCACTTTCAATAAAAGACAAAACATCCAGGCAGAAAATTAACAAGGAAATATTAAACTTAACAATGTCATAGACCAAATTGACCTAACAGACATATACAGAACATTCCACCCAATGGCAGCAGAATACACATTCTTCTCAAGCACTCAAGAAATATTGAGGATAGATCACATGCTAGGGCCCAAAACAAGTCTTTAAAAATTTAAGATTGTAATCATACCAAGCATCTTTTCCAACCACAATGGAATGAAACCAGAAATCATTAACAGAAGGAAAACTGGAAAATTCACAAATGTGTGGAAATTAAACAATATATTCTTAAACAACCATTGGTTCCAATAAAAAATCAAAAGAGAAATTAGAAAATATTTTGAGAAAATGAAAACACAACATACTAGCATTTATGGCATTCAGCAAAAGTAGTACCAAAAGGGAAATGTGTAGTGATAAACATCTATACTAAAAGCAAATAACTCAAATAAACAACCTAACTTTACACCTCAAGGAACTAGAAAAAGAACAAACTAAGTCCAAAGTTACCAGAAGTAAGGACATACTAAAGATTAGAGCAGAAATAGATAAAATAGAAAACTAATAGCAAAAACATTAACGCAACTGAGAGTTGGGTTTTTTTTAAAAGACCAAAAAAAATCAACAAACCTTTAGCTAGACTAAGAAAAAAAGAGAGAAGGCTCAAATTTGAAAAAATCACAAATTAAAGAAAATATAACTGATGCAACAGAAATAAAAAAAGATCATGAGACTACTATAAATAATTTTATACCAACAAAATGAGTAACCTAGAAGAAATGGATAAGTTTTTAGAAATATACAGCCTACTAAGATTCAGTCATGAAGATATAGAAAGTCTGAATAGACCTAAAATTTGTAAGGAGATTGAATCAGTAATCAAAAGCCTCCCAACAAAGAAAAGCCCAGGACCAGATGGCTTCATGGATGAATTCTACCAAACATTTAAGGAAGAATTAACATCAATCCTCAAATTCTTCAAAAAAATTGAAGAGGAGGAAACACTTCCAAATTCATTTTATAAGATCAGCATTACCCTGGTATCATACCAGACAAAGATATCATAAGAAAAGAAAACTAAAGGCCAATATTCCTGATGAATATTGGACAAATATTGGTCTTGGCAATGACTTTATGAAAGTAACAACAAAAGCACAGACAAAAAGCAAAAAAAGACAAGTGGGACTACATCAAACTAAAAACTTCTGCACAGCAAAGGTAACAATCAACAGAGTGAAAAGATAGCCTTAGGAATGAAAAAAAAATTGCAAACCCTATATCAAATGAATTAATTTCTAAAATATATATAGAACTCAATAGCAAAAAAATGAATAATCTGATTTTAAAATGAGCTAAAGTCTTGAATAGACATTTCTCTAAATAAGCTATACAAATGGCCAACAGTTGTATAGAAAGATGCTCAGCATCACTAACCAGAAAAATACAAAGCACAACCACAATAAGATAACACCTCACACCTGGTAAGAATGGCTATTGTTGGCCGGGCGCGGTGGCTCACGTCTGTAATGCCAACACTTTGGGAGGCCGAGGAGGGCGGATCACGAGGTCAGGAGATCGAGATCATCCTGGCTAACACGGTGAAACTCCGTCTGTATTAAAAATACAAAAAGTTAGGCGGGCGTGGCGGCGGGCGCCTGTATTCCCAGCGGCTCGGGAGGCTAAGGCGGGAGAATGGCGTGAACCCGGGAGGCAGAGCTTGCAGTGAGCTGAGATTGCGCCACTGCACTCTAGCCTGGGTGACAAAGCCAGACTCCATCTAAACAAAAAAAAAAAAAAAAAAAAAAAAAAAAAATGGCTATTATTTAAAAACCAAAAGACAAGTGCTGGTGAGAATGTGAAGAAATTCCAACCCTAACACGCTATTGCTGAGAATGCAAAATAGTAAAGCCACTATGAAAAAAGTATGAGTATTTCTCAAAAAATTAAAAATAGAACTACCATATGATCCAGCAATCCCACTTTTGGGTAGTTATCCAAAAAATTGAAATTAGGATCTCAAATACATATATTAGTACTGCAATGTGCATTACTATTTACAATTGCCAAGATATGGAAATAACCTAAATGTCCATCAACAGATGAATGAAGAAAGAAAATGTAGTATAAACATATAATGGAATATTACTCAACCTTAAAAAAAGAAGGAAATCATGCAATATGTAAAAACATCGATGAGCCTTGAGGACATTACAAGGCTAAGTGAAATAAGCCAATTACAGAAAGCCAAATACTGCATGATTTCACTTATATAAGGTATCTAAAATATTCACTGATAATCAGATGGTAAAATGGTGGTTTTCAAGGTTGCAGGGAGGAGGAAATGCGGAGTTGCTAATAAAAGAATATAAAGTATCAATTATGCAAGATAAATATGTTTTAATGGTCTGCTGTACTACATTGTCCCTACAATTAACAGTACTGTATTTTACACTTAAAAATTTGTTAAGAGGGTCTCATGTTAAGCATTCTTACCACAGTAAAAGAATATTGAAAAAGTAATAATAATGATAATAACAGTTTAGTCCCTTCAACTCTGATATTCCATGATTTTATGCTCCTAAATATTACATATCAGTTTACATGAATCACACGATTATTTTAAGGTATGTTTTGTGTATTTCGTATAAATATCTAATTTTCAGATGGAAAAAATTAAAAAGGGAGTTTCTTCTCTAATGTGTCTAGTCTCCTGATGTTCAATTCCCTGACAATAAAGACGAATAAAAATTTCCAAAGTAAAGGTTTTATAATTGACATGCAAAATTACTCTAAACAAAAACAAATATTTTCTCCACCTCAGTAGCTAAAGCTATCCAACATATAACAAATAAACTATTTAACAAAATATTTTGCCAATATTTTGGCAAAATAACGAAAAAGAACTTAAGGAAAGTTTAGGTTTTGTTAATAGGTTTTTTAAAATCCATGGATTAAAAAGTTATTGAAATTAATCAAATGAGTAAAAAAATGTAAATAAATATATTGAGGCAGAATAAATATCATATCAAAAATATAGTAGAGAATACTCTAAGTGAAAAGACAACCTAATACAGTGCAAACTAGAAAGGCAAAACTCCTGATTGAGGTAAAAATAAGAAAAAAATATAATATCAAGGAATCTGTATTTCATATTGAAAAAAAGATTGTGGACCAATAAATTCTATCCTCCAATAATGTAAAATAGGTAATTAATATTCTGCTGAAAATTAAACTGGAAGTTTCTGGTCCCAGATTTAATCTAAATCCTCTCACATCCTAAGTAGTCCTCAAATCTCATTCCTTGGTGAGAAAAAAAGAAAAATTAAGATAACACATTTCTTTTCGACAAATACATTTAAACACCCATTCTTCACCAAATAAGCACAACTATGTTTAGTCTGCCATTAACATTGACTCTGAGTGACTGAGTGAGGCAGGCACTCAGAAAAAATCATCAAGGGCCCACACTAAAAGGAATTAGAGATTATCTTAATCTAAACTTCTTATTGTTGCGTTGAGAAAAATTGGAGCCACAAGGTTTTTGTGCCATGTTACACAATTTCCACGTGGCAGAGCCTAGAGCCTAAACTTAAACCCATGTATCTCGACTTCTGGTCTTCTTTCCACTATGACCTTCTGAGTTCTTGTTCAGTGGAAAGAGTTCCAAGCTACAAATCATGAATGGTTGCCAACCTTGAATTGACCATCAGGAATGAAGACCATGATTCTAGAGAGTAGGTAGACATAGCACTACTCATAATTGCGCATGCTATGTTAGTTTTCTATTGCTGCTGTAAGACATTACCAGAAGCTCAGGGGCTTAAACACACACACACACACACACACACACACACACACACACACACACACACACACACATTTGTTATCTTATACTCCTGCATGTTAGAAGCCCAGCACGGGTCTCATTGGCTAAAAACCAAGGTGTTGCAGGGCTTCATTACTTTCTGGAGATTGTAGGGGGACGTCTGTTTCCTTGCCTTCTCTAGCTCCTAGACACTACCCGCATTCCTTGGCTGATGGTCCCCTTCCTCCATTTTAAATGCTTTCAATGTTTCATCTCTCTGGTAATTTTGTCCACGGTCAGATCTCCTCTTATTTTGGCTACGGCATAGAATGGTTCTCTGCTTTTAAGGATTCCTGTGATTAGAATGAGCCCATGTGAATAATTCAAAATAATCTTTTCCATCTTAAGGCCCATGCCCTTAATCACATCTTTGAGATCTTTTTTGCAATGTAAGGTAACACACTGGGCATAAACATCTTTGGGAATCATCGCTGTGCCTACCACATAGGCCCTTGGCACAATTATGCAGACGGGAACATTTTTTTTCAGCCTTCCTTACTTTCTTTCCTTCTTCCATCCCCTTGCCTATTTCCCTAGCCCCTAACTGTTTCCCTAGCCCCTAACCCCTGGAATTCTGGTAATTATTTTGGTAAAATTAATTGGAAGGAAAGGAAAAATGAAAGGAAAGCAAAGGAAAGAGGAAAGGAAAGGAAAAAGGAGAGGAGAGGAGGGAGAGGGAGGGGAGAGGAGGGGAGGGGAGAGGAGGGGAGGGGAGGGTGAGTGGGGGAAGATGGACAAACTTGCTAATACTCCAAAAAGGAAACAATTTTAACTTTAAATTGAAATCTTGAGACTCTAGCATCTAGAGGCCAGTGTTTACTATCACTGATGAAATTTTAGGTATAAAAGCCAGCATTTCCTTCTATTTTAAGATTAAATAGCATATTCTCCTGTGTATATATATCACATTTTCATTTACAATGTATACATATTTCAAAACATGTTTTTGCCACAAATATATATAATTTTTATTCATCAATTTTTAATGAATTTTTTTTATACCTGGGGATGGTTTGAGTGGATGGGGGAAAGAAGCACAGGAGAACCCTCCAGCTTCCCTGTAAGTATTCTTACATCCACTCTATCTCCCTAAGGCCATTTAGCCAGAGATGATCAAAGAAGGTCTACATTCCCTTCCAGCTTCTTGACCAGCAGGAAAATAATTTACTGTCTATTAGTCATTGAAGTCAGAATGGAAATGTTCAAATCCCAGAGAAAAGGTTCCCACTGTGGGTAATTAAAGCAGATAGGAACTTTCGTTTCCTAGTCAACCTGTCTTTCTTTTGACATGTCAGGGGAAAAGGGACACTCTTATGCTCTGTCAGATAATCATGTCTTTCAGATGTCATATTCAATGTTGACTGAGGCCCTTAGATCTTCAATCCAGAAGGCCCTACTCCTGGATTTCCATCGTTCTCTCATCTTTGCCTTCCTCTTTCTACTCTCTAAAACTCCCCAAAATCAAAGAATTAAATCCTTCCAAAACAAACAGTTGAAATTTAACAAAATTGGTAAATTTCAAGAATTTTAAAATTCAGGGGAATTTACAGATGATGCAAATCAGACCTCTTCCCACAGCCTCATCCCATTTTACAGATAAACAAATTGTGACCCAGAAGTCTAAATTTCTCTGAGGAAGCCACTTTAGCAAAAGTACCAGACCTTGAACCCAGGTATGGGACCAGGGTTCTTTGGAAAGCATGATGCTTTTATTCACCCTTCATTCCAATTCACTTGGATTTTATAATAATGTCTTTATCTTTGTTTCATTCACAGCTCTTCCACCTACAAGAGACAGAAATTGCCTAAAGTCAAGTGGAAAGGATAAGGGGGTCTCACAGATTCAAGAAACAGCAGGCACTGCCAGACATCATGGAAACTGGGAGTGTAGCCCTGAAAGCCCTCCTGCCCCTCACAGGGCTAGTGGTCCCTCATCTCTGATTCCCTCTAAAGTGTCCCCATATCTGCTTAACTTAGTCGTACTCTAGTCAAGTACATAGTACAATTGGGTCACCAGCTCCAACACTCCATTGTGATTTCTTCAACCCCAACCATCTGCTTCTCTATGTCTGTGTCTCTTATTATAAATTTTGGCAAAATGAAATCTGAGCAGATAATAAGCTATGTGTGGGCACAGTTCTTTGCTCTAGGAACACAAATGAGTCAGATGTTCAATTTTGGTTCAATCAGTGGCCACATCTGAATAAAATCTTCCCCTGCTTGGTGAGTGATGGGTTGAGGTAATGGGGGAAAGATGGATATAACTTATATGACTGGGATGGATATAATGTGGATATATGATGGATATTGACTTTTATGCTTGAGATAATTTTTACTTAACTCATTTTTCCCTTTTAGATATGAAGACTGAGTCTTCTTTAAAGATTAGTTTCATGTTTAACCAAAAATCAAATAATTATATCCTACCAAAATAAACAATTGAAATTCAACAAAATTGGTAAATTTTAAGAAGGTTAAAACTCAGGGGAATTCCCAGACAATGCAAATCAATCCTCTTCCCACAGCCTCATCCCATTTTGCAGATAAACAAACTGTGACCCAAAAGTTTAAAGTTCTCTCAGGAAGCCACTCTGTTAGCGAGAGTACCAGACCTTGAACTCAGGTATGGAACCCAGCACTTGGATGCTAAAAAACTGGGTAGGGCTAATTCACTACAGCCTTGTAAGACCAGCCTGGGTCAGAAACTGGAAATTAGTGGATGGTCTGATCCTCAGGGCCAGCCAGAGACCTGAGGCTGCCCAGAGAAGATTAAACACTGAATACCCCATCAAGCCATAAATAAGTAAATCTCTTTTGAACCTTTGTTTGGTCAAAGAGAATCATATTTTTCTGCTAATAAAAATGGTATGGCCTCTCCTCATGTTCAAAATAAGGGATTTGTTGTATGTATTTATTTCATGTGCTTCTGAGCCAGTCCGCATCTCAGGGGTCATATGAAAGAGTCTAACTTTAGATAATAAAACAAGCCAATCATCTTGGGAAATAATCTTATGTCATATATTATTTGGTTTCAGAGTAGCCACTGACTAGGCCTGACAACCTCAAAAAGGAGAAATTATCTTGTCTCTTGGTGAAGTGGGTTGGAATCGTCCCATGAAGCTTACATAAATTCCTAACAGAGATGGATAGGCATTGATGAAAAGTGTTTAAACTTCTAACGGCACCATCTCTATCTGCTGGATCAAGACCACTGATATTTCAACAATTTTATGTCACAACAGAAGCCTGAACTAACTGGTACCAGGTTTTTAACTTACTTTAGTGGTTTTTAACACTTTTTAATCTCGTTCTTGTTTAGATTGTTGATGGTTTGAGCCTATGAAATCTCTGCATGTCCTAGCTATAATCAGACCCTAACACTTTCTTAAATATTATTTGATAAATAATACAAATATTTAAAAAACACTTTTCATAAAGGATCTTTTCTATGAAAAAGAGGCTTGGAGTATCAATTCAAGGATATCGTTAATTTTTAAGCAGACAAAGTGAATACTCTCCCCAAGAAAATGGAAACAAATGCCTTGAGCTTGTTTTTTGTTTGTTTATTTTTTGTTTGTTTGTTTGTTTTTGCCTTGCACAAATCTAAAAAGAATTCCTTAAGGACTCCAGACAACAGCCTAACTTTAAGTTCTCAGTCTCATAAAACAACTATTTTAATTAAATACAGAGAATCTCCACCAACTTCAGCCCTCAATCATTTAACACTTTAAGAAAAAGGCTTTAAAATGGCATTAATAAAGACGCTGAGAAACTCATGACCATGGATAACAGAAAATGAGTTTTCAGTGAAAGTGATGGTTGCTGTTGCTATTATAATAAATGAGGTCCTGTAACTAGGAAGGCCTGGGCACTTTCCTCATGATGTTTAAATTAATCCATTAAACTCTACACGTGCAGTTTGTTCGACACACACTCTGAAAAAATGTGACTGCAAAGGCAATGTAAGTCCATATGTCTCTAATAGTAAAGAAGGCTCACTCCAGAATCTTTTGCAACAGCCTGGGAAATGCACAGTTCAAGATTCATAATTTGAGATAAAGGGAAATGTCATGTATGCCTCTCCACAAACCTAACTGCTCAAAAACCTCTCCCCATCTTACATCTTTTGAAAAGAAAAGAAAAAAGAAAGGAAAAGAAAGAACTAATCTACGCGCAGTAATGACTCTCACAGGAGAATTTCCTTTCCTGGTTATAAGAACTCCTGCCACCTTTGTATATCACAACCACTGTTGCCTGTTATGAATCTGATGAAGAAATAAATGTAATCATAAGTATAAAAGTTACATGAAGTAATTTGTCACTTTTGATTTTTAAATCCAAACTTCAAAAAAATAACTATAAATAGTTGCAGAGAAAATTCTTTATATCTAAAGTAATATTAAGTAATAAATGGAATATGCTGTTTTTTAATCAATGTATCCAAAAATTATTTCAACTAGACAGAAAGAAAATCTTACTGAAAGGGAATTAATGTGGAATAAATTCAGCTTTCTTCCAACAAACACACATCAAAAGTTAGCACTCTGCAATCCTTCAGCAAAGCTACCATTCCACCAAGAATCACAGATGCAAGCATTTTTCCAGATAAATGAATTCCATTTCTGGTCTATGATTTTGAAAAGGGTCACAATTTAGTTAACACATGACAGTGCAGGTACACCATTATCTGACAGTCTACAAGCCACAACATCCTGGAAGAATGGTATCAGCCCTTCTTTCCGACATTTTTTAATTAACAAAAAAATCTAGGTATATTTCCAGGTCATAACAATATACAGCAATAACTTCATAGGGATTATCTGAAGGTTTTAAAATAAGATCTGAATGGTTAACACAGACATCCTATAGCCCAAAATGGAAAGATTTATATTATTAAAGTGGCAATTTCATTTTGATTTATTTTTCCCTGTGAGTATTTAACAAACTGGGGGAGAAAATGTAATCCAGATCTCTAATATCTTAGCTCTCAGAAACTGAAAGAAGAATCTGTGTTCTGATCTGTTTTCTACTCATTGCAACAATTAGAGCCAAGGGAGAGGGTATCTCAAATGAGTACAGTTATTTACTAAGTTATTTTCTGAAATTACATCCATTGACATATGAGTATTTTTTTACAGAAATTTCATAAAGTTTTCCTTTCCAATGTATGAGCACAGTTTTCAAAATTGTAAGTACCTTTATAATTATAAAGGAAAAAACACTAACAGTTTTTGAAGGTTTGTGTCAGGCACTGTGCATAATGCTTCATATGTATATTTCACTTCATTATCACAACAATTTCATTAGGCAGATATTATTTTCCATTTATGACTGACACATAATAACTGCACATATTTATGGGGTACAATGTGATGTTATGATACAGGTATAAATTGATCAAATGGTAATTAGCATATCTGTCACCTTAAACATTTGTCATTTCTTTGTGATGAGAGCATTCAAAAACTTCTAGCTTTTTTGAAATATACATTATCATTAATTCTAGTCATTTTAATATGCAATAGAGTGCCATAACTTATTCCTGCTATTTAACTGTGGCTTTGTACTCACTGAGCAATCGCTCATCATCTCCCCATCTTTCCTACCGTCTCTATCTTCTGGTAACCACTATTCTACTTTCTACTTCTATGAGAACAATCTTTTACATCCCATGTATGAGTGAGATTATCTAGTATTTGTCTTTCTGTGCCTGTCTTATTTCACTTAACATAATGCCCTCCAGTTTCACCCATGCTATTGCAAATGACAGGATTTCATTCATTTTCATGGCCAAACAGTATTGCATTATATATATGTACCACATTTTCTTTATCCATTCATCCATGAAGGGACATTTAGGTTAATTCCATATCTTGATTATTATTAGTAGTGCTGTAATAAACACGAGTCTGTTTTTAAATGTCTATCTTTAAAACAAGCATCACCCTTACTGAAGTTTCCCTAGACCTCATCCAGATTTTCCCACACAAAGGACTCCAAAGGACCCTTCCTCATCTCTTAATCCTTCTTTGGGGAGGTCTTGAAGGAGAGAAGTTTGTTCTATTTAGAATGTGAGTGTCAAACATGGCACTAAGGTGCTTCAGATTAATACACAGCCACAAATAAAGTGAATGCCAAAAACTTACGGAGCAGAATCTTGGGCAAAATGCTTTAACTAGCTTATATTCAATTAACTTTGCAGGTACACAAAATTAGGTACCTAATAGAAATACAAGTTTGACTTTTCACCTTTTCTATTGCCCTCAGGGATTTTCTGATAAATTGATTTCAACCCAGGGAAGCTAAGCTAAAAAGTATTATGGTGTGGCATCAGAGAGATAAAAAAGGTTGAAAAGAGATTTGTTGTAATGATCCTTTTGTATCAGTCTAGGTCCTGGCAGGAAACAGATTGTACAGTCAAATAAAGAGAATATGAGGAGAGTTTAATAAAATTACTTTACAGAAGTGAGGGTAGGGTATAGGGAAACTACAAGAGCCTCTGGGCTAGTATTTCTAGTTACCACTCCTAAGCTGGAAGAGGAAAAGGAAGGCAGTGGTTACTGAGAGAGCTGTGTGGAGAAAGCCATCTTATAAGAACTGTGATCCTCAGTTGAGGGACATAATCAGCCAGTTAAGAACCCACAAGGAGGGGACTGGGGGATCCTTCCCAACTTGGATCATCTATTAATGCCTCCCTATTGGCCAAACCCAAGCAAAGGAGGCTATTGGTGTAATCCCAAAAGGTCACCCTGCTTGGTACAGAGTAGGGTTGAGAGTGAGAGAAAGTGACTCTGAAGAAACAAAGGTAAGAAACCCAGTACAGCATTTGTGTTACAAGGCAATGGCTGCAGCAGGCCAGGCTGAGGATGGCTTAAAACTAAGAAAGTATGCAGTATCTTTTGGCATAGTCCTTGGGACAGAAATATATCATTCAGATCACAAACTGAGCTGCACAAAAATACCCTTGGCAGTGAAGTCAAAGGACAGGGATTCATTCACTGCTAGGGAATGTATTATTCCCAAGAAGAAAAAGATCATTAATTTTGGATTTTGTTCTCCTAATCTGTTTGTAGCAATGAAATACACTTCAAGCAGACACATCTGCAGGGTGAACATAAATTTGTAACCCCATTTCCTCAGCCATTTTTATTACAGCACCTGACAGAGAGAAGTTTAACTGGGAAGTGACAGAAAGCAGGGAAGATGAATGTCCTTAAGATTATTACAGGTCACACGCATATATTTTAAACATTATTCCTTTCCAGCAGGTCAAGGGTGTTGCTGAGTACATGTAAGTGACAGTATTTTAATGTTCTTTACTTGGGCCAATAATCATTTTATGCATCCAGGAAGGATCATTTCTTTGTGTATATCCCATTGATGATAAACGATCAGCCTTGTATGAAGGGCCTGGAATTCCTTTCCTCTCACTAGAACATCTTGAGTAATCTCAACTGAAATCCAGGATTTGTGACTGAGAAATGATATGTCACCATAAGATTTTAACATATGGCAAGTCCAGAATATTAACCTAAGACCAGGAGTGCCTTATATGGTAATAAAAGGTATGTCAGAATGTCTTTTATATTATCTGCTTGCTAGGGTTTGCAACATCTCTTTATCTCTCTCCCCACCTCGCGCTCTCTCTCTCCTCCTTCTCCTTCTCTCACTCTCTTTCTCTCATATATATGAGAGATATATAGATCTATATCTATCTACATAGTATTATAAGTAATGCTATATTAGTATTATATATATTACTATATTATATATATATCATATAGCTCTATTTTTCTCTCATATATATGAGAGATTTTATATATAAAGAAAAATATGTGTATATGTATATATAATCTTAACTCCTTTCTCACAGTTTTTTAAATTAAAAAAATAAAATTTGGTTCATTTTTTATAATAAAGAAATTAAATTCCCATCTAGGAATTTCAGAGAAAAGTTCACATTGTACCAAAAAAAAAAAAAAAGAAAAAGAAAAAGAAAAAACTCTTCTTTCAAGAATCAGTTGCTTGATTTTACAAGAAAAAAAAAAGGTTGGTCAGAGAAAATGAGAAAGCTTCACTATTGCAGTCTTACCAAGCACCCCTCCTGATTGCTATGAGATTAGCTCCTGGTCTCTAGAACCCAGTTTGTGACAGAGATGTCAAAGGTAACAGAGAGCTTTAGGCCCAGGTTTTTCCACAGGCAAATTCTAACAAACATTTAGGGATGAAATAATACTAATTCTGCACAATCTCTTCCAGGAAATTAAAGAAGAAGAAACACTTCCAAACTCATTTTATCAAGCCAGCAATGCCCTGATGCTGAAATAGACAAAGGCATTTAAGAAAAATAAAACTACAGACCAAAACTGCAGACCTTCTAAACAGAAACCAAGTGTCAGCAAATTGTAGTCTATGGGCTAATCATCTATAAATAAAGTTTTATTGGAACACAACCATATCCTTTTGCTTGCTATGACAGAGTCAAGCAGTTACAGATGAGATAGAAAACATGTGTTCTGAACGTCCACAATATTTACTGTATGATCCTTTAAGGAGTTTGCCAACTCCAGACTATCAGTGCAAAATTTCTCAATAAAATAGTAACAAGTTGAGTCTAAAATATATGAAAGCATAAAATACAAACTGACCAAGTCCACACAGGGGGAAATGAGGCAGAGCCGAAGCAAGGCAAGGAGGGCATCTATGCATGGGAACAAGGTCAGCAACAACCCCACACAGCGTTCAGGGCCCAGACAAACTGAATGTCTGTGCAGCGCTGCAGTGGCCTCCAGGGAGGCCTGGAGTGGGCTGCAGGGAGGGTGATCATGTTCCAGGAGGCAATAGAAATGAGATAATGGTTACATACATGGGGGATTGAGACAACAGGTAAATATACAGAGAATAATCTTCTTGCACCAGAAAGTAACAAAAAATAATTTTTTAAAATCTTAAAATCCTGAAAAAAAAGTCCTAAAAGAATTATTAGGATAGGTCAAAACACACTAGGCACCAGCTTAAAGGACCTACCACTTACTAAATTGTGGACAATTTGAGCATCAAAAGAAATAATGATATTAATGGAGTATAATATATTAAATAAAAATAAGTCTTGATGAGTCCAGACTAATATAAATAAACACATACATAAATAAGTAAGAAAGAGAGAAAGCTGGTATTTAGAGTTGAATACTAACGAGTGAGAAGTAACACTGAATTATAAAAAATTATCTTTTGGTAGCTAGGTTAGTTCATTTTCACACTGCTATAAAGATACTAGCTGAGACTGGATAATTTATAAACAAAAGACGTTCCATTGACTTACCATTCCATATGGCTGGAGAGGCTTCAAGAAACTTACAATCACGGCAGAAGGCAAGGAGGAAGCAAGGCACATCTTACATGGCAGCAGGAGAGAGAGTGAGGAAATGCCACATTTTAAACCTATCAGCTCTTGTGAGAACTCACTATCATAAGAACAGCATGAGGGAAACCACCCCCATGATCCAATCAGGGTCCCTCCCTCAACATGTGGGGATTACAATTTGAGATGAGATTTGGGTGGGGACACAGAGCCAAACCATATCACTCTTCACCTGGTCTCTCCCAAATTTCATGTCCTTTTCACATTTCAAAACCAATCATGCCTTCCCAACAGTCCCCCAGTCTTAACTCATTCCAGCATTCACTCAAAAGTCTAAGTCCAAAGTCTCATCTGAGACAAGGCAAGTCTCCTCCACCTATGAGCCTGTAAAATCAAAGACAAGTTAGTTACTTACAAGATACAAAGGGGGTACAGGGATTGGGTAAATGTTCCCATTCCAAATGGGAGAAATTGACCAAAACAAAGGGGTCACAGGCCCCATCCAAGTCCAAAACCTGGCTGGGCAGTCATTAAATGTTAAAGCTCCAAAATCTCCTTTGACTCCATGTCTCACATCCAGGTCATGCTGATGAAAGAGGTGGGCTCCCTTGGCCATCTCTGCCTCTGTGGCTCTGCAGGGTACAGCCCCCATGGCTGCTTTCATGGGCTGGCATTAATTGTCTGTGGCTTTTCCAGGTGCACAGCACAAGCTGTTGATGGATTTACCTTTCTGGGGTCTGGAGGACAGTGGCCCTCTTCTCACATATCCACTAGGCAGTGCCCCAGTGGAAACTCTGTGTGGGCACTCCAAACCCACATTTTCCTTCTGCATTTCCCTAGCAGAAGTTCTCCATGAGGGTCTCGCCCTGGCAGCAGACTTCTCTGGACATACAGGCATTTCCATACATCCTCAGAAATCTAGGCTGAGGTTCCCAAACCTCATCTCTTGTCTTCTGTGTACCTGCAGGCCCAACACCATGTGGATCACCAAGGCTCAAGGCTTGCACCCTCTGAAGCAATGGCCAGAGCTGTACATGCTCCCTTTTAGCCACAGCCAGAGCTGGAGCAGGTGGAATGCAGGACACCAAGCCCTGAGACTGCACAGAGCAACAGGGTCCTGGGCCCACCCCACAGAACCATTTTTCCCTCCTAGGTCTCCAAGCCTGTGATGGAAGGGGCTGCTGCCAAGATTTCTGACAGCGCTGGAGACATTTTCTCCATTGTCTTGGCTGTTAACATTCAACTCCTCTTTACATATGCAAATTTCTGCGGCCAGCTTGAATTTCTCCCCAAAAAATGGGTTGCAAATTTTCCAAACGTTTATGTTCTGCTTCCCTTTTAAACATAGTTCTAATTTCAAACCATCCCTTTGTGAACACACATGACTGAACACTTTCAGAAAAAGCCAGGTCACATCATGAACACTTTGCTGCTTAGAATTTCTTCTGCCAGATATCCTACATCATCTCTCTCAAGTTCAAAATTCCACAGATCTCCAGGGCAGGGGCAAAATGCCACCCATCTCTTTGCTAAAGCATAGCAAGAACGAACTTTGCTCCAGTTCCCAAGAAGTTCTTCATCTCCATTTGAGACCTCAGCTTGGACTTCATTGTCCATATCACTATCCCCATTTTGGTCAAAACCATTCAACAAGTCTCTAGGAAGTTCCAAACTCTCTCATATCTTCCTGTCTTCTTCTGAGCCCTCCAAACTGTTCCAACCTCTGCCTGTTACCCAGTTCTAAAGTTACTTTCACATTTTCAGGTTATCTTTACGGCAGTATCCCACTCTGCCAGTACCAATTTTCTGTATTAGTCTGTTATCACATTGCTATAAACATACTGAGACTGCATAATTTATTTTAAAAAAGAGAGATTTAACTGACTCACAGTTCTGCATGGCTGGGGAGGCCTCAAGAATATTACAATCATGGCAGAAGGCAAAGGGGAAGCAAGACACATCTTGTATGGCAGCAAGACAGAGAGAGAGATCAAGGAACTACCACACTTTAAAACCATCAGTTCTCATGACAACTCACTCACTATCACAAGAACAGCATGGGGGAAACCACCCCCATGATCCAATCACCTCCCACTAGGTCCCTCCCTCAGCATGTGGGGATTACCATTTGAGATGAGATTTGGGAGAGGACTCAAAGCCAAACCATATCAGTAGCCATGGTAGTAATAATGTGTTCAGCCAAGAAACATCAACAGATATGGCAAACTAGAGGCATGAGTGGGCTGGAATCCACTGTTAAATCTTCACGAATTTTGTGAACCAATTGTTAAAATTATTACAATCTAAATTATATGAATGTGCAATTAAATAAATTATATTTGAAATAAAGGCCCATTTGAAATGAAAAGCCCATCATTTGGGTTCAAACACCCTACTTCAGGCTACTGCACCCCTGAGCAGATATTCATTTGCTTTGGCCCTGTCACCCTGCACAGATGCCCTCTTTACCCTGTAGCCCCTTTTTCCTTCCTTCCCCCTAGGTAAATGCCTACCTCATTTCCTCCACAGAGGTAAAACTGTCATGTGCAGCTTTAGACTTATATTGTAAAAAGTCAACACTGCCAGAAACAAAAAGCTTTCTTTCCCAATAGTTCTAGCAAATGTTCCAGGGCTGACAATGATTGGCTGAATTCAGGTCACACAACAATGTCCCAACAAATCACTGAGGGGGATTTCAGGCAGGAAGAATTGGATGGAATATGCTGATTGCACAGGCCAGGGCCAGGTGCTGAGCCCCAGAATCAGGGAGCTACATTAACACCTCCAGGACTACATGGCTGAGGATGAGGTGGAAGTTGCTTCTCTGAAGGAAAACCACCGAGATGCTAGAACCAGAAGAAAGAAGAATGGAAGCAGAGCAAGCAAAACAACCCTGTGACTATCTACATATTTAGCATATAGAGGAGAGTATATCCATCAAAAGAGACAAGCAACAGCAGCCATTCAGGTAGTAGAACTGCCACATGCTAATGTCATGGGAAATAAGGAAAAGACAGTTTCAAGAAAGAGGAGGAGGCTAATAGTGTTTTATGTAACAAACATCAAGAGAATATACAGACAGAAAAGCCTTTGTATATTGCAATCCCTAGTGACCTTGCAGGACCACTAGAGCAAAGTCATGGGGATGCAGGTCATAATCCATGGACCCATGACTTAAGTTGACAGAGAAGAGATGGAAGCAATGGGAAAAGACTTTTCGTTTTCCAAAAAGTGTGGCAGTGACAGGAACGAATGAGACAACGTGTGGAAAAGGCATGTTTTTTTTAAAGGGGAAATGTGATAGTTTACAGGCAGACAGGAAAAAACTAGTAAATTGTGCCACATTTTGAGAACTCTGAAAATTTATTCAGATAAAGGTGTTAGATAGCTAATAGACTACTATTTAAGCTGTGTTCCAAATGATGTCACTTTTGTATTTCCTAAGTAATTATCCTCTACTGTAAGCTGAGAGCTTATCCTATACTGTAAGCTGACAGCTTGCAGGGAGTCTCTCACTCATCAGTTTACCAAAAGAGGTTGGCCCAGTGCCTCTAAATAAATTAATTAGTAATAAAAAAATTAGGTGTGCTCTGTCGAAATAGAGGGCTCAAGATTGACAAATTGCACTTGAAAATCCTTAGATTCGCTATCAGGCAGAGAGGAGCTGACAAAAACAGTGAACCTAACCAAAGCAGTGAAAATCCGACAAAGAAACATGTCCAAGCAATTTAGTCTTTATACTGAAACATCATATTGCTACAGGGTAAGTCATTCAATTCCCAGGAGGACATTTGCTCATTCATTTATTCATTAAATATCCTAGTGCCTACTATGTGTTTTAATAATAACACATCTATAACGTGGGTTTCCTTTAATGTAGATTGAGAAGCTTTTTTGTTTGATAGTTTTTTCAGTAATATCTAAAAATTAATCACCAGGACAACAGTCTCAGTTGGAATCTTGATATAGTTTTAAATGAGAACACACTGTGCCTGGGGCAGGAATTGTCTGCTTTATTCTGTTGTCCTTCCTTGAGGGTAAAACTGGTTTAGAAGAATGATTACCCATTTGAACAGTGAGCATAGCTGCATGCTCAAGAGAGCCCTTCAGTCTCCATATACAAAATTCTAATGAAAAATAAAAGTGAGAAACAGGTGAAGAAAAATTCCTTAATAATAATATAACACCTCCACTAAAATTTGTGGGATTTGAGTTTTCATTTAGTCAGTGTTGGCTAGAAAATGTAAACGTGTCTTAAATGCTGCAAAGGGCACAAAAACAGATGCATAACGAGAAAGAGCTGCTGCTCTTCTGGTCTAGTGATTCCATACAAACAAATATGTTCACAGGTCACCTAACAGACATTTTATACACAAGTTTAGCTTCCCCTTTGAACTGAGGAAAGTGGTCATCATCCTCCGGTAAGAAAAGCACTCTAACCTGGTGCCCCCAGTCTCATTCTCTCCCCTCTGGTTCATTGCTGCTTCTCTGTTACCAAGTCTGTGGCTGGAGGGGAAAATTCCAGAGCAGCTATGAGACCCAGGTGTGCCAGGGGAAAGCCTAAATTAAATAAATGGACATATCTGGCCTGATCACACTTGGGGCAAATTTATCTCCCATCTTGTCCCCATCACCTCCACTCAAGACCCTTTCTCTGCCATCTGGTTTCTGTTTTCCTCTCCCAACTCTCCCTATGCCTGTCCAGTCTCCCCTTCCCCCACTCTATGTTCCTTCAAACCTTTTACAAATAGTTCCTTCTGCCAGCCATACCTTTCCTCTAGGAAACTAAAGTCTCCTAGTTATGATGCAATGTGCTTACCTGAGAATATAGTAAAATCCCAAACGTATTGCCTCACTGGTATGTTTTGCAAACTGCAAAATGAGCCTAAGTTTCAGTCTAAAATTTTTTATCTTTTTTTACAGAAACCTAATCTTTATCTTTGGTAATCTACCTAATTTCTACCTTTGGTGGAACCTGATAAATTCTTAGAATC
The DNA here is from genome assembly GCF_000001405.40 of Homo sapiens. Classification (NCBI taxonomy): domain Eukaryota; kingdom Metazoa; phylum Chordata; class Mammalia; order Primates; family Hominidae; genus Homo; species Homo sapiens. The sequence continues at coordinate 75,063,118 of NC_000006.12, forward strand.
CTAATGGAAACAACACCAATGAAACATCAAGAGAAATACCCAACATCGTATGTATGATGGGCACACTTTGACTTTCAATTTAACTATATGTTGGATTATATTATGTATTATTTTGAAGCCACTATTGCCAACTTACTTTGCTTACTTACAGTTGAAATATTGAAGAGCTTATCAGTACCTATGGGTATCATCACACTTTTTAAGTAAAAAGCCACTCAAAAATTATAATTTAAGCCAATCATTTAAAAGGCCTTTAGAAACTATCACTAAAGCTTCTGAGGCACTTGGGGACTCAAGAAATTCATTTCAGATCAACTCTCATGTCTGTCACATATTACTTCTATAAAGACAACTAAAGCACCAGAATAATCAGATGATATTTATATTCTATAATTTCAGAGCTAATTATTCTGGTTTTAGAGAAATAGAGGTTCCTTATAATCTATGATAACTATCAGGAAATAATAATATCTTAGTTATATTCATCAGAAGTTAGAGAATTGGTCCACCAATCCCTCTTTTGTGTTTCTCCGACATAATTTTCTTCCCTACATCTCCAGGTTTTGCTGGCTTCTATACCAAAAGTCAGGCCTTCTATTGATTTTCCTAAGATAATTTCTTGGTGGTCTTGCAGGGGGAAAACATGAGCTATGGATAAGGCAACAAGGAAAATGAATATGACAACAAAACAAAGTGCTGTGAATAACAACAGCATGCATACCAAAAGATAGCATACTAATAAGATGAGACATTTGGGTCTTGTTCTGATATGCCAAAGCTTATCAGAATTGAATTGATTCACAGCTAAATTGACTCAAGCTGCCCTTGAAACAAGAATCTCTTAGAACCCTAATGTGCGGATGATGCTAGTTGGGAAAAAAAAAATACCCTGAATGAAACCAAACATAATTGATAAAAGCTGGAAGAGCTTCAAAACTCAAGCTGAATAACACTGGTGTTACAGAGTTCCTTAGCTTTGGAAGCTGAAGGATTCTTACACCTGGAGAAGCTATTCCAAGCACAGATGTCAATTAAATGATTGTTCTCACTTTTAGTGAGAATGCCTATGCTGATCTCAGTTAACCTTCTTTTCTTTCTCATGATGAATGAGAAATAATGAAGAAAATCAAATGGTGGGTATTAATTCAATTGTTCATATTTTGAAAAATTATTAAATTGTGTTAGATAACTATCCTTGAATCTTCTCGTGTTTTCATCCAATATTTATTAAAGTATCATATTTTGGTGAATCAACATCTACAGCATTTCTTTAGGAACTTTTACTTCCAAATTAAATACTCAATGAAAAGTTCTCAAAATATCACTGAGACAGTTTTTCTTTCTTCCAGATTTAGTCAACAAACTAACATATTGTGGCCATCATTCCTTTTCCCATTTTTGAGCAGAATGAATCTCTCTCACTCTTGCTCTCTCTCTCTCATTTCTTCTCTCCACCAATTTCAGCATTGGTTTTTCTCTGCTTACTTTCCCTCCACACTCTCTCATTCATCCCCACAGTTGACATTTTAGTAGCTAGCCTTTTCAGAAACTTTTAATAGCAAATTAGAGCCCTCCATAATGAATAAATCTGGTTGAATTGAAAATTTATCTGGTTTTTAAAATAAAACACAAAGTATTGGTAGTTTTTAAACAATCCATTTTTGTGCTTTCTGAAAACTGAGGTCAAAAACATAAGATTTTAAAAAGTTCATTAGGAGTGGAAGCTGTCAGAGTCTCAGGACTAAATGAACCAAGACACTGGGGCTGGAAGTAGACTTAGAACTCTAAGGTGAGAGTCCACAAACACTCTAGATCTTCAAGGCTACAAGTCTCAGCACATGCAGTTTAGCAATGAAGGCAACCCACTATCTAGTCAGTGACTTACTTATCTTTGATTATAGCATTTGAGAATCAAGGAAAAGGCTGCCTTCTCCCACATAAACACCTTACAATTCCAGTTCTCCCCAACCTCCCTAGGCCATTGTATCAGTTTTCCTTATCAAGAGGAAATCCAGCCTTAGGTTATATCTGGCTTGAAATAAAGTTGTCTCTTGGTTCTTCTCTTGCAACGATAAAATTGCCCTACAGCACCTGAGATGGTTTCCAATATGGCCTGCTTGTATCTGTCTCCACTATCTAAAAATGGCAAGGCTTGTCATCCAGCCCAACCTGCCACTTTCTCTTTCAGTCATTTATGCCATATTTGATTTCAGGTCAGAAGATAATTTCCTGCCCTTTTTACATGAGGTGTGAAATAAAGCCTCAGAAAAGCTGAAGCATTTTCACAAAGATCACTGAACTAGTTTGTAGGCAATCCACTTCTAATTCTAATCCTGTGTAGTTTTCTTAAATCGTGGCTCCTTGTGTATTATTCAGAGTCCCAGAAGAAATTTCTCCCACAGACTGTAAATGTTAACACTTTAATAGATGATTTACAGCTGTGTGAGCAAGTTAAGGCAATCTTATCAAACAATAGTGAAGCATCCAGAAACTAGAAACAGGAACTTGCTAGTGGGAAGGCACTACCACCCCCAGCGCTGAAGAGACGCAATGAGAAAACATCCTTGTGGGAGCCCAGTGAGAGCTGGAGCTGAGGAGAGGAAGACGCCCAGCAGGAGGTGCAGTGCGGTAGGACACAGCTAGCCAGAGAGGGGACATCAAAGAATAGCTGTCTCCTCCTCCCTCTGATCTCCTGCTGGTGCTTCCCACTGCCTGAACCCAACTCAAAGCCAACGAGTGAAAGATCCCAAGTGATTTATTCCTAGGAAGTCAGCTTTCAGAGTCCAAGAATGGATAACAGATCTGAAGGGAGTAGGGCTGAAAGGTAGGGAAAAAGAGAATAACCAACACACTTTGTTTAGGTTTGTGAATTAATGGTTATAATTGTGAATTAATGGTTATAATTTTTGGAGGTATACTTCATGACAATAAAGGTCTGAATCATTCCAATTTAAAAGAGTCAGCTTAATACTTTACTTGAAATTCTATCCTTGTGTAATCTTACTTATAAAAAAAGCACATGACCTCCAATATTCCTAAAACTATATGACATTTTTATCTGGCCAACCAATCATCTAGCATCAGGAAATGCATGTTACTAAGCCAGGTACTTTCTGACATGTAGTATGAGTTTCCCAAAGAGACTACATAGACCAAGTGAGAATTTTCGATGTCCTTCTCTTGAGAAGCTCCATGGGAAAAGCTGGAAAGAGGCCTGAACATGGAATCAACATAAGGCATTTCAATTGCCAAACTCACACTTTTCCTCTGCACTCACAGTCACTGAGTCCTATGGTGTCTCAGCTCCACTACTCCACAGACTCAAAGGACACTTATGACTCACAAAAGAGGAGCCTCCTTTGTTCCCAGATCTCTTTGTATATACTATTGATCTACAGCACTATTTATCAACACTTTCTATCCTATGTCTCTAACAGTGCTTTCTCATTCTATCTCCTGCATATTTCCACTAACCGCTCATTGTTTGTAATTTGTGTTACTAATGGAATAAGTATATTGAACTTGCATCATCAAATATCCACTCACTGCCATCCCTCAAATTCTAATATGATCTTCACCCCTTTCCTGGGAAAAATGCTCCAATAATTGAGAATCACTCACCTAGAGTCTTTGAACCATATAAGTGGAAACCATTGAAACCGAAAATATCTAGGATACATTTTGATAGCCCCATATTCTCCAGTAAGTATTGCCAACATCCCAGACAAAGGACTTTGTCCTGGCTTTTCATGATTTGATCTAGACTGGGCCTGTCACACATGTACAATTGATACAGCTGTTGGCCCCAAGAGTCCCCATTAAAAGTAGAAACAAGACTTTCTTGACCAGCCTGCCCATATGATGTGAAACCTTTGTCTATAGAATTCATGTCTACAAAAATGTGGCAACTCAAGGAGCACGCTAGGCTGAGTCACGATCTTAGCTGGGAAGGCTCCTGCTTCCTCTAACTCTTTTTCTTAGCCCTTTGCAATCTCATTCATCTTCTACTTTCTACAATATCTGATGTCTTATAGATTCTTCCCCACTTTTTTAATCAAACTGTTTTTCAAAATTCATTTGCCCTGGAGTATAGATCAGTAATAACAACTTAACATGTAATCCAGCCCACCCCACCTAAAATAGGATTTGAATGTAAGCATTAATAAGGTCGGATAGGCAAGGAGCAAGCTAAGTACCTGTAGAGGCTGAGATTGATCTTCAAAAGCAAAAGTCTTTGACACCAATTTTCCTGAGTTTCTGGCCTCTGCTCAGCCCTGGTTGTATTTTGCTTTTCTATTCTAGACTGGTTTCTACTATAGTTAGTATATTTGGTAATAATTACTATATTCACACATTGTGTGTTATATTACTGACATGGCTTGGCTGTGTCCCCATCCAAATCTCACCTTGAATTGTAGTGAGTTCCATGTGTCAAGGGTGGGGCCAAGTGGAGATAATTGAATCATGGGGTCAGTTTTCCCCGTACTGTTCTGGTGTGGTAAATAAGTCTCACCAGATCTGACAGTTTTATAAATTGGAGTTCTGCTGCACAAGCTCTCTTGCCTGCCACCATGTAAGATGTGGCTTTGCTCCTCCTTCACCTTCCACCATGATTGTGGGGCTTCCCCAGCCATGTGGAACTCTGAGTCCATTAAACCTCCTTCCCTGTATTAATTACCCAGTCTCAGGTATGTCTTTATTAGCAGCATAAGAACAGACTAATACAGTTACTCAGTATATTTCCAAAGCAATTGCACCATTTTACATTCTCATCATCATTGTATGATGGTTCTAATTTCTCCAGATCCCTGCCAACAACTTATTCTCTTTGATTATAGGTATCTACTGGGTGTGAAATGGTATTTCATTGTGGTTTTGACTTGCATATCCCCAATGGGTAATCATTACATGTGGTTATTGGTCATTTTTATATCTTTTTTGAAAAATGTTTATTGAGATGTGATGTTCATTCTAAATGGGTTATGTCTTTTTATTATTGAATTGTACATCTTTACATATTTTAGATATAAGTATCTTAGATATATGATTTGCAAATATTTTCTCTAATATTGTGGTTCATCTTTTCACCTTGGTAGTATCCTTTGAAGCACAAACATTTTTAATTTTGATAAATTTCAAGTTGTCTAATTTTTATTTTGCTGCTTGTGCTCAAATCTAAGAATACTTTACCTAAAGCAAAGTCAGAAAGATCCATACCTATATTTACTTCGAAGAGGTTTATAAACTTACCTGTTACGTTTAGCTATAGGATTAATTTGAGTTACTTTTTGTGTATAGTATAAGCAAGGAATCCAATATCATTCTTTTGCATGTAGATGTCCAGGAATCTCAGCATCATTCACTGAAGGCTATTTCTTTCCTCATTGAATTGTCTGGGCACTCTTGTTCCAAATTAATTCAACATAAATGTACAGGTTTACCTATGGACTCTCAACTCTATTTCATTGTTCTATATGGCTACCCTTTGTCAACACCACACTTTTTTGATTATTGTAGCTCTGTAGTAAGTTTTGAAATCGGAACATGTGGGTCCTTCAGCTTTGTTATTTTTCAGGGTTGTTTTGACTATTCTAGGCTCCTTGAATTTCCATATAAATTTTAGGAGAAACTTGCCAGTATTTGTAAAGAAACCACCTGGGATTTTAATAAATCTTGTGTTTAATTTGTAGATCAGTCTGAAGAGTACTGCTACCTTAACAATGTTAAGTCTTGAGATCCATGAATATGGGATGTCTTTCTATTTAATTAGAACATCTTTAAATTCTCTCAACTTTCAGGATATAAGTCTTATACTTCTTTTGTTAAATTTTGTTCATGTATTTTATTCTTTTTGATGCTGTTGCAAATGGAATCGCTTTCTCAATTTAACTTTGATTGCTAATTGCTAGTGTAAAGAAACTCAATTGATTTTTGTATATTAACCCCAAATCTTGCAACTTTGTTCAAGTCATTTATTAATTCTCATGGTCTTTTTAGTGGATTCTTTAGGATTTTTCTATATACAACATTATGTCATCTGCAAATAGATATAGTTTTGTTTCTTTTTTCCCAATCTGGAAGCCTTCTATTTTTTTCCTTACCTAATTGCCCTGCCTAGAACCTTCAGTATAATGTTAAATAAAAGTGACAGGAACAAACATCTTTATACCTGATCTTATGAAGAAAGCATTGGCTTTTTCACCATTAAATTTGATTTTAACTATGGGATTTTTATAGATTCCTTTGACAAGGTTGAGGAAGTTTCTTTCTATTCCAAGTTTGTTGTGTGTTTTTATCCTGAAGTGAGGTTACATTTTGTTAAATGCTTTTTCTGAGTATGTGGAGATGATTGTGTGTTTTTTGTCCTTTATTCTGTTGATATGGTGCATTTCATTAGTTTTCAAATGTTAGACATTTCTTGAATTTCTGGGTTAAATCTCACTTGGTTAGTATATAAATTATTTTATATGCTACTTTATTTTGTTTGCTAGTATTTTGTGAGGATATTCGCATCTACATTCATATAAGATATTGGTCTTTGGTTTTGTTTGTGCTACGATTTAAATGTATCCCCTCCAAAATTCACATTGAAACCCAATTCTCATTGTAGTGGTATTAAGAGGCAAGGCCTTTGGGGAAGTAATTAAGTCATGAGGGCTTCACTCTTATAAATTGATTAGTGCCTTATAAAAGGACTAGCGGCAACTAGCTTAGGCCCCTTTTGTACTTCCGCCTTCCACCATGTGAGGACACAGCATCTGTTCCTTTTAAAGGGTGCAGCAACAAGGCATCATCTTGGAAGCAGGGAACAGGGCCCTCACTAGACACGAAATCTGCCAATTCCTTGATCTTGGACTTCCCACCTCTAGAATTGTGAGAAGTTTCTGTTGTTTATAGATTATTCGTGGCAGATATTTTCTTAAAGCAGATCAAATGAACAAAGATAGTTTATTTGGTTTTTTCTTATGATATCGTTGTCTGGTTTTGGTATTGGAGTAATACTAGATTCATAGAATAAATTGAGAATGTTCTTTCCTGTTATTTGAAGAATTTCTAAATAATGATTATGCTTCTTTAAATGTTTGGTAGACATCACCCGTGAAGTCATCTGTGCCTAGGACTTTCTTTTTAGATAGTTTTTGATTATTCTTTCAATATCTTCACTTGATATAGGTCTATTCAGAATGCCTATTCCTTCTTGAGTTAGTTTTGATAGCTTGTGTCCTTGTAGAAATTATTTTGTTTAAATCACGTAATTTGTGGGCATGTAGTGGGTATAATCTCTATCAATCTTTTTTCAAGTTCATTAACTCTTTCTTCTCTTAGTTCAGATCTAATGTTGAGTCCCTCTAGTGGATGTTTGACTTCAGCTATTGCACTTTTCAACTCCAGGATTTCCATTGGATTCTTTCTTATAATTTTTATTTTCTTATTGATAACCTCCATTTAAAGGGGCATTGTCATCACATCTCCCTTTATTTCTTCATTCATGTTTCCACCTAGTTTTTAAAATATATTTATAATAGCCGTTTTGAAATCTTTGTTATATCTGACCCTCATAGGTATCTGAGCCCTCTCACAGTTTCTCTTGCCTGGTTTTTCTTACATATGGGTCACACTTTCCTATTTCTTTGCATGTCTTATAATTTTTTGTTGAAAACAGTACATTTTAAGTAATATATTGTGGTAACTCTAAATACTGATTTCTACTTCTCCCCAGAACTTCTTGTTATGGGTTTAGTGACTTAGCTAGAATATTCTAGTGAAATCTATTTCCCTTGCAGGGTGAAGCCTCTGATGTTTCTCCTCAAGAGGTGTACATAGTGACCCTAAAATAACAGTTTTTTAACAGAGCTCTCTTTGACTTTCTTTAATTTAAGTCTTAAATTAAGGAGTCTTAAATTAAGACTCCTGAAGTCTTAATTAACCTGTCTGCCTCTGTTGGTATTACACCCAGCCATTAAGCTCCACTAATTGCCAGCTGATTTTTCTTTTGTGTTCCACAATGTCTTGGGGGCATCATTTGCTCCACAGTCTAATTCAATTCATTTCTGGCCCCATTGTAGAGAGAGTTTTTGAGCAGTCTTTGAGGTTTATTCTGACTCCAGGCAGGCTTTTCTCAGCTGTTCTCTCTGGTAATCTATCTGACCTAGGGTTTATCTTGTTGCTCTAATAGAGCTAGTTGTCTCTCATAAATTGCATATCACCAAAATTTCCATTGTTTTCAAGAGCATCCTTAGGCTCGAACATCTCTACACTTTGTTCTAAATAAAGTCAATTACTTTAGGGATAACTTGGGAGCTCTATCTCCCAGTGGACCATCTCTACCCCCTACCTACACCCCAGGCAAAACTTCTGAGACCACTTCTCAGGGCCTGGGGAAAGACAGCCCACTTCTCTTAGATTAAAACCTCTGCTTTAGGGCCTGGTTGAGGTGATAGCCTCTGGTCTTCTCAGCTTTCCTCTCCTAGAATGCAACCTCAACCTTGCAGCAGAGCTTGGGTGAGAGTATTCAGGGCCCTGGTCTTGACAGCTTGCTGTATCAGGAGTATGGTCTCCATCTGGTGAGTGGATCCTTAATAGAGAAAGAGATTCTCTTACCTCATAGCTTTATTTGCCTAGAATTTAGCCTCTGCAACATGAGGCTAGAGAATATGAGAGATTTTGGCTTCCTAATCCTCTTAGGGAAATACCTTAGTCCTTGACTGGGAGCTGGGGAGGAAAGAACTTAGTTGGTCATACCCATCTGAAATGCCATCAAACTGAGCTGAGTCCAGGTAGCAAGGAGGAGAGGAAGTGAAGGAGCAACTCTTGGCTCAACAACAGACTCTTGCTATTCTTACCATAATAAAGTAAATTCTCTTGAATAAATGTTGCTTCATTTGCTATATGCCCTTAGGACAATTTTCAAAGACTTACAAATTAAATAATTTTCACTACTTATGATTATTTCACTGGGAACAATATCCAAGGAATTCCTCATATAACCACTAAAGAAGTGGACTTTTTTTTTTTCTCTGCTTCATTTTAACTATGCTGGAAGACCCTCTCCCTCTGTGCTACAGAGGCTATGAAAGAAGCACCTAATGCTGGAATTTCAGTCTGATAGGAGCAGATTCGGTGGTAGATCTCAGAAGTAATTTCTTAGAGCCCCAGAAATTAGCCAACATCAGCCTAGAAGAAGAGAGATCTTCCACCTTTTCAAAATATAGATCTGGCCCATGGTTCCATCTCAGAGCACCTTTAATTGCCAGGAAAGTAAAGGCTGTGGTTTTCAAGAAAAGATTTTATGATGTTTTTTTACTTTCAAATTGAGTTGCTTTTCTGAGATTTCATTAATGCATCAAAGGGAAAGAAATAAAGGGGAGAAAAGCAATTGAAAGAAAGTAGGGAGCGGAGCGTAAATAATAAACAAACAAAACCCAGGACACCTATTTGGCTGGAGTTTGATAAATGTGGCTGATTAGTGAATTGCTTCAAGGTTTTGCAGATCTATGGTAGGAGTCAAAAATGATATAAATCCCCCATATAACCTAGGGAGCATCAGATTTGCTTCTTGGCTCTCTCAGGGACTGCCCCTGCTGTTACTGACTCCTATGTTGGCCTACCTGCTCCCCACTATGTGATTTCTTATACCAACACAATTTCATTTATCACACTGAGACTTTTTTTCAACAAGTAGTATCAGGCTCCTGGTACATCTTTAGTCCCTGTATATGCCCATCTGCTTCATCTTGAGGTTTTAAATTTCACTGATAAATAAATGTTTGTTCTTTACAACATACACATTATCAAAGCTTAAAACAAACTGCCTGACAATAGTCTAGCTTGAAGTGATGTGCTCATGTTTTTCTATTACTTAATCTGAATTTAGCTTCCATGTTCTTGAGAATAATTTTAATAAACTGGGGAGTGCATCATAATGATTCAAAGTTTGGGTTCTGAGTTAGAGATATTTGAATTCTAATCCCGAATTTGTGATTTATTAGCTCTGTGACCTTGAGCACATAAATCTCTCTAAACTTCTGTCCCTTCATCCATTATATGATTATATAAGACAAATTTATAATAATTGCTAAAAATGTTTTTGAGCATTTATTATGTGCCAGTAAGTAATCTAAGGGCTTTCCATATATTAAGTCATTTAACATCTATTATGTGTTTTGCACCATAATGGCACATAATAAAGCACTTAATAAATGTTTGCTATTATTAATTAATCAAATTAAATATAAGCCACCCATTAACAATCAGAAATAAGTATCATCACTTTCTATCACAACAAAGACTAGCTTGGCCTTTATAGAATATAATCTTTCTATGTATTTGTTTTCAGTATGTTGTAAGAATAATGAGACCATATTTTACAAAACAGATTCAAATTAGTACCATCTTTAACAGTGATAAAATGAAAGTCTTTTTCCTCTTTTTGTCTTAGCTCAGATATAATCTTCTCCAAGAAGATTCTCTTCTACCCAATGTCCCACTGTCCTTCACCCACCCTGCCAACTTGGTTCAGTTACTCTCATATCATCTATAATGGTTCTTTTCATATTGTTACACTCGATTTTAACAATCTCTTTAGTAAGATTTCACTGCAGAATTCACATATGAATTGCCAGTCATTTTCAGTGCACTGGTGACAAAAAATGTAATGAGAAATTGGACCAGATTTTTAAGGAAGTTCCTCTCTACTCACAAGTTCCAGGAAGAGACTCTGGATTTCACATGGAAAGTACTCAGTGGGCTGCCTGCCCACAAGAATTAAAACCCCAAACAAGGTCCACTTGAAGTTCATGTGTCCCAGGATGGCTAAGGAGAGTGTTTTCAGTGACTAGAAACTTAGCCAAGAGGCATTCACTTTGTTTATAAGTAGGTTATTAAGCTCTAAATTTGTTAAAGTGACTTTCTAGATATATATTTTATTGATCTGTAGAATAAAATACTTGCACATGGAAATCTAAGGAATAATACAGTCAATAACCACTTAATAGCCAGCCCAATTTGAGACAGCATTCAAAATACCCAAGATAAAGCTATGGTAAACAACCGAATTGCATCCAGCTTGGATAGTAAATAATACCTTGGTGCCATTATCTGAATTGATAGTCTTATAAGACATTTCCTCTAGTAACAATACTAACCATTTATTGAACACTTGCCTTTACTAACATGATGGCACCTAATTCTTACCTGAGTTCTGCAGATCAGCTTCACTAGAAGTCCTCCAGACTTGAGATATATCTCTACTAAGAAATATGTCATGACAAAGATAATTCTGCTAAATAGCTGAATAACTTGAGGACTGAGAAGCAATTTCTAATGAGCCATAATTTAGACATAGTAAATAGAATGTTTCTGAGAAAAGAAACATTTCTCAGAAACATTTGAGATGTACATTTGTTTCTGGAACATTCTCTGTAACAGTTTGCTGATATCCTACTCATTGTAATCAATAACAAAACATCCACATGAAAATAGTTCCTGTGCCAAATATAGGAAAAAAAACAATTCTACTTATTTAGGAATTTCTATTAAAAATTACATCAGTTACTATATATGATTATATATGTATACATGTTTATAAATGTATTATCTCAAATACAATATTGCAAGGGAGTGATTTCTTACACCAACACAATTTTATTTTCCGTTAGTGGGTATAATAAATGGGTATTATACCCATCTGATGGATTAGGAAAGTAAAGAGAAGTTGAGTTACTCTCCCAAAGCAGCTAAAAAGTGGCAGAGTCCAGACTCATATCCAGGTCTTCCTGGCTCCAGAGCCTTGCTATTGCACTGTCAATCCTCAGGTGGACTGCGCTCTTAGTATTTTATTCTTAAAATATAACCCTTGGCCTTACAACCTAAGAACACAATGTTATTTAAGAAATACCTAATTTCAATTGATTTAAAATTTGTGAAACTATCCTTATTAACAACTTCTGACAGAGGTCAAGAAAATAAAACTATTCCCGGAGTTTTCCTATTTCTATATCCCTTCATTTTCCTCCTCCACATTCTTCCATCTGGCTAAATCAAGACAAACAATATTAGATGCCTCTGGTGTCAGATCCTATACAAAGGTCTTCACCATGATCCCCAAGAAGCATTGAGAAACCCAATTGCTATATTGAGACCAATTTATGGAACTATTGGATAGCAACGGTGGGGAGAGAAGACAGCATTTATTTAGTGACCAGTATGCTAGACATGTTCAAATATTATCTTCTCTAACTCTGTTGATAAGAGTGAAAAAGACTATAATCTACTGTTAAAGGAGAAACAGGTGCTAACATTTAAAATAATGGAATGAAAACTGAAGAGAAAGTAAGAAAACTTCCCCTCAACAAGTGAACTAGAACAACCCTTATGAACTAGAATAACCACTACAGGAGAGTCTCTAATGCCTTTTCACAAGATTTGTATCTACATTAATTTTCTAATATGGTAAAAAAAAAAAAATATTGCTAATATTGGCATTAATCTCTCCATAACTCTAGAAACAAGCATGAGGCCCAAGTTTTCAGGACTTGGGAACTGACATGTTAAGAAACTTCTTAAGATCACAGTTAGAAAGCATCTGCACCAAGGTTCCAATCCAGGTGTGAGAGCAAAGTTTGCACTCCTAACTACGTTGTTATTTGTATTAGTAACAGGATTATGCCTACATCACCACAGATAAACAGTGAGGACAGTGCAGTATAGTAAGAAAGTACAGGTTGGAAACCTCCTCCCTTTTCTAACTGCATGACCTTGGGTAACAGTTTAATTTTCTTTATGTGTTTTTTTCTCTCATCTGTACAACGAGGACAATAATACTTACAAGAATGTCTACGTGAAGGTGTTGCAGGACTCTCTCCGTAGCTCAGCTAAAGACAGGGTCCTCGTCACATGATCATGAAAAAAGGCTCACATATAATTTAAAAGGGGAGAAAAAAGGAATTTATTGGGTGAAAAGGGAAAAGAAAAGGAAACAGGGACTCTCCACAAAGGAAGACTGAGAGTCTCGTTAGTACATGCTTCCCACCTGGCAGATTGAATTCCAGGTAACACCCAGGAAGAGGAAGGGCCAGGCTCCTCCCCACTGCAAAAGGCACGAACTTCTGTGGCTCCACCCCAGTGCGCACTCCTCCCAGTGCGCAGGCCGGCTGGAGTTTCTCTGAGAACCCCTTCCCACCTGGCTGTCTTAAAGGCACTTAGTACCATGCCAGGCACAAAATAGGTTAGAAGTCTATTTTATTTCCTGTCTTGAAAATATAAATGGAAAATATTTTATAATTCCATTAGAAGTTCTCTTAATATTTATATGTTTTTGCAACAATTACAATTTGCATTCTGTTCCAAATACAATAATCAAGAAACTAAGAAGGTTGAAAACAAAATACATTTTATTTTATTAGAAAAATCCAAAGCTAGAAGGTATATGTAGAAGAAAAAATGTGTAAATTACGTTTGTTAGTTGGGGTCCACTTTAATAAATTGACCTTAATCAGCATGTTCCAGTGGCATTTGCTTTGAGTAATCTAAACACCAGAAATTTAAACTGATAAATATCTCACATCCGCTTTAATTTGGCAACCCTAGAAAATGTTCTGGGTAAAGGTACTTTCCATTTGGCATGCTTGTTTTATGCTATGTTTAAGCTAAAGTTATGGAGTAACTTTAACTACAATCAGAAGCTTCAATGAGTGACAGCAGTTCCCAACAGTACCTCTCTCAACAAAACATCAATTTTATAACAATTATATTGTCTAACCATCCTGCCAGGTGTTGACTCTTTGAAGAGTGGCTTGGGGGTAAAAAAAAAAAAAACAACTTTTTTATAAAAGAAGATAAAACATCCATTCTTCTTTGTGGCATTTCCTGAACACCTGAGGCTTTTTTTTATTAATAGCTCAATGAGGCTTTGGAGCAATCTTTATACTTTATTTTCCAGTTATGTACCTAAAAGAACAGCAGGTAAAATTTTTCCTATAGTCTATCCAATTACCCCCACTCAGGTTACCTTGAATTTACAAATATAGAATAACATCATTAAAATAAGCCCAATTATATAATAGCCCAAAGTAAGAGATAATTAGGGCTTCTGTCATTAATGGCTCCCATACAGGGTAAAACATTCCCAGAGGCATCTTCCTCTGCACTGCAACAAAGCAGACATAAAGTCCAACGACACTTGAATTATCCAACTTTCATACAACATTCTGGTGAGTTTTAAATAGAGCCTTGTATATCAGGAGAAAAGAGTTTGTTTCACCTGAAATCATTCTACGAATATTTATTGCACACTACCTACATAACAGCATTGTGGGGGCTTCTGGACACACAAAAGCCTGCCCTCATCAAAACTTGCCATCCAACAGGAAAAGGCAAACACTGAATAAAGAAGTACTAGTATGATAAAAGGTATCAAAGGGAAAGAACATGGTAATATACATTGCAGGAACCTTGAACTTCGGAAGCAATAGAAAAGATGTCCCAAAGAAAGTAGCATTACAGGAGCGATGTAAAGAATGAAATAGTAGGGCTTGACCAAATGAAAATAGAGAATGTTCCAGGTAAAGAAAATAGTGAAGGCTCAAGGTTAAGGAAGGATCAGGCAGGAAGTTCAATATTGTTGAAGAAAATCAACTGAAGAGATAAGTGGGGTATGATAATGTCAAAAAATAGGAAGAGCCCAAATCCCCGCTGGTATTTGAGTCTTGATAAAGTTTCTGGACTAGATACCACTAGACAAGTTTAAGGAATGCAATGACGTGACCAGAACTGCATTCTTAATAATCATTTTGGCTGCTATGCTGTGAGAAAAATGGATTGGCAGGAGGTAAAAGTGGATGGAAGAGATCAAATACAGACTCCTCCATAATCCAGACAAGACAATGGAGCCAAGGGAAAGAATGGCAGCAGGGAGGATACAGGGAGGTAAACTGTATAGAAAGGAGATAGGATTAAAAGGAGTTAGTGACTGGAGGATGGGGGAGGTGAGGGATAGAGAGAAGTCATATTAATTCTTAAGTCTCTGGGTTAAACAATTGAGAGAATAGATATACCACTCACAAAGACAAAAAAAAAAAAAAACTTGCAGAAAGGCTAGTGTGGGGAGAGTGCAGGATTTTCCCTTGTTCAGATCAAATTTGAAATACCTGTAAAGCATCCACCTGGAGATGTACCAAGGTAGTTGGATATACATGCCTCAAAAGAGATGACTGAACTAAAGATACAGTAGTCAGCTTAAAGGTGATACCCGAAGCTACAGAGAGAAGTAGAAAGTTTCCCGTCCTGGCTGGAAGCAAGGTTGAGAACTATCACTCTAAGGATATGGTTGGTAATCTATCTATATAATTGTGAAAGCATCCAATTTACATGATAATCAGACAGAACTGAGCCTCATGCTTTCAGCCACTCCTCAGGTCACTGCTCAAAGAAGCATTTCCTGATCAGTCTACCTGAACTAGCACACATACCATGTACACCCATCATTCTCCATCTTCCCGCCTATTTTAATTTCCTTCATAGCACTTATTACCCTCTGACTATATGCTTTGCCTATTTATTTATTGTCTTTTTCTGACTATAAAAATGAGATCCCCATAAGAAAAGAGACTTTGTCTTGGTTTTTCTATGTTCACTATAGAACCCCAGCACCATTTGAAATGCATCTATCACTTAACAAATGCTTAATTCAGTATTTGTGGAAGGAAGAATAAAAAGGGATCCAGAGTTCAAACAATAGGGATGCTGTTTTGATGAAGCAGAAGGAAAGGATATGTGCAGATGCAGGTGTTTTTGTAGCCTGCCATAGAAAGGTAATGTTCCAGTTTAGCTTCATATTCCTATATGAAATAACCACTTCTATGAGAAGTAGCATGAACTTTCCTGATCAGAATGGGGTACAGAGTTCAAGTTTAAAATTTTTTGGAAATAGTTGAGAACAAGGCTGGTCAAATTACTAAGCAGTGTTGACAGGCAAGCTGAGGTTGGTCATCATGGATTTTTTTGTAGACATAACAATCTGACCCAACAGGTGATTTTCTTCAACTGTGCTCAGTATCTGGGTACACTCATGGAGACTACAACCAGCTGGGATCATCTACAGTTAGGGTTTTAATACACACCTTTGACAGAATAAAATAGTAAGGGAATTTGGCTTATTTGGGTACCAAAATGCTAAACAGTATTTTTCCTTTTGACTCAGAATTGGCCAAATAGCTATAAAGATTCTAGCTATTCTAAAGAAAATTCTTTAGAATTTTTCCACCCACATTCTAAAGAAAACCATAAAGCATATTCCCACAGGATTTCTAAGAATTAGCAGAACTGGCTCTTCCATCTAAACTTTCACTCCACCACACCCAAGCAGTCTATATTTGCAAAAGATTGAGAGTCAAGAAGAATCCACTGAAGCAGGTTATCATTGTTATATGACAGAGTTGTGGCTTTTACCCTCCATTGTAAAAAGAGTGCTTCGAACCCTCACCCAAGTGAACCATGTGAAGGAGGTTCTAAGGGAATCAGTCACAGAGATCGAGCAGTGCCTATAAGGGCATGCTATTCTGTAAGTGGGTATCTATTACACAGCAGACTTGATTACCTAGCCTACCGGCTTATGTTCTTGAAGGGAGAAACATGAATGGCACTTGGCAAGCAAACAGAAGCAGCATTTGTGGTGGAAGACTCCTTTTATTTGGCCTAACAAGGATGCTTTAGTCTGCTGTGGTCAAATGGACATTTGGAAGGTAGTCAGATATGAGCCATCCTGCTGGAATACTTCTTAAGAGAACTTTAGGCAAGGGGAATGGACCTTAGCAGTAAGTAGCTGTGAGGCATTTCATGGAAGCAAAAGTTGAGTGTACATTAGGAGAGGTCATTTTGAAAATAAATGGGCAGTAGGTGGGCCCACTGCAGGCCGCCTGAGAAGCCCCATGATAGTGGCAGCGTTTGGGCACCTGCCACATCCAAAAGAGGATTCTACTGGCACAGGTTACATGGAAGAAATCTTAACTCCTTTTCGTTCAGTATGCTTCCCCTACCTAAACCTGGAGAAGCTGCAGTGGACGAGCTGACATATCCAACTCTGCAGTCCCAGTCCTAAGTCTAAGATCTGGCTTTAAGGTAGAAAGGAAAATAAATACTAAGCCAGGTTTGAGATTAAAAGTTTCAATTGGATTAAGTTGGAATAGACTGAATTGCAGTACTCATGCTTAAAATTATCCAAAAGAAATGGATCTGTCTGAGGTATGATAAAAGATAGAAAAATAGTATTCATAGAACCTAACTGAAAGCAGTGGCTAAAGACAAACAAAGCTGGTTTTGTACCCCCTTAGAGTAAAGGCTGTTTGATAAACAGTGTTTTAGGAAGACATGGATTCCAAGCTGGATAAGAAAGGAAGTGAAGACAAGGAGGGACTGATGGATGGAAGAACATAGAAGATTCACTGCATTGGGTGTCATGATGAAGCTGAGGAACAGCTGCAGTAGGGTACTTGAGCAGATGAGCTGGAAGCCCCAGAAGAGCTCAGCGTCTAAATTAGTGATTTCAAAGTTGTGGCAGTTTGTAATGAATTCAAGTTCAAGTTAAGATCCTGGAGATACTGAGTAGCTGAGGCTGAGTTATAAAAAAACAGTAAGTTCTTGAAAATAAGAAGGTCAAATAATTGAGGACGTTGAATTTGTCATCCAATATGGATGCTGAAGTGTCCCCAGAAGATGGCAGATATGAGGATGGAGAAAAGCACTGAAAGCCACATACTAAAGTTGCTACTGGAGGCTTTACTCCGGATGGCCATGTACCCCATGAAAATCAGCTACTACGTTGCAAAGTAAATAGGTTATAATGATGTGAAGTTAGCTGTGAGCCTCCAATGATAAAGGCTTTTTGTAGGAGGAGGAAGACTTATTGGTCTGGAAACAGCACTGAGAAGTGAGGAGGACATGTCCCCACCTACCAACTTTGGGAGGCATAAAAAGTCTCTGCGGTATTTTCAGAATCAATCCAGGAGGTGCTGGGATTGTTCACTATAGAGGCTGAGGATTTGGAGATGTTTGTTAATAACGGAATAGGAATTCTAGGTGGTCCAGTGTAAAAGTTGGTGAGACAGGAGGAATAGGAAATTGGCAGAGTCAAGATTTGCAGGGAAATCTGTATGCCACCTGAAGAATGTTGAGCAGGAGATATTGTTGAGTCAGGCTTGCATTTTAGATAAATCACCCTGACAGTTGTGTAGAAGACATTTTTTTAAGGGAATTCAAGGCTATGGGAAGGGAGACCATTCAAGAAACTATGAATTATAGTCATGACAATAAATCTCAAGGGTCTAAAATTGAGTAGTAATGAGATGATTAAGATATGTAGGAGTTCAATCAGCTAGACTTAATCAGATGTGAGAAGTGAAAGAAGGAAGTTTCCAAGGTCTCTCAAATTTCTAGCCTGAGTAACTTGGTGGCTGGTGGGGACAATGGAGGAAAATTATATTTATGGACAGAAATGTTCAGATCTGGACATTGCATGAAAAACTAAAGCCTTGAGTTTACCTCCACTTGACATTTCTCCTCTTACATAGTAACAGAGTAGCTGATTTTCATGGAGCACATGGCCATCCAGAATAAAGATAACATTTCCCATTTCCCTTACAGCTAAATGTAGCCAAATGATTAAGTTATGGTGAATGGTATGTGATACAAATTGTGTTTGCAACTTCCAGGAGGTGTCTTTAAAAGATGAAGCATATTCTTCACCTCCTTCTCCTTCCTGCTGGGGAATATGGACATAACAGCTATGTCTCTATTAACCACCTTGGACCATAAGCCTAACTTGGCCATGGAAATCACAAAAAGCAGAGCAGCAAGATAGAAAGAGCCTGGTTCCTTGACTTCTCAAACATGAGAAATAAAGAAATTTCTACTTCTTTAAGCCACTATAATTTTGTAGCTTTCTGTTACTCACAGCTGAACTTAATCCTAATAAATACCAGATGTGTTAAGTTTGAGGTGTCTGTGGAACTGAAGGAGGGGTATGCAGTACAGCTGCATATACTGACATAGAACTAGGCAAGAGATCAGGGTTAGGGACAGGAAACACAGGTCATTCTCTAAAAGCTAGTCCATGTGATTTTTTTTTCCAATAGCCTTCTGCAGCCTGATCTAAGAGTGGAAAAGCTAATAAATGTTTACATAAATAGATATTCAGATCTAAATCAATTTTCTGACCACAGGTATAAGATAAAGATCGATATTACTTTGTATTTAAAATATTGCCTTGGAAAATAAAAGTCACTGCAGCAATTTTGTATATAACTAGCTGGTGTTTATGAGGCAGGCCCCATGAGGACAGTATAATCACAAACCCCTTTTTATTAGGGAGAAATGATGATTAAAACCAAATGAGGAAGAATTGTATGTGCCAAATGCAATGTAAAAGATATAATGAATAACAAATATTTAGGAACGATTATACTGACCTTTTTTGCACAAAAAATAAAATGTAAGCTTGGGCAACTGCCCAGGTAGCAAAATTCTGAATAAAGTCAAAAATGGATGCTCATGTATTTAAGAAAATATACGTGCAAACTTCTGTTAAACTTGCTAAATCATTGCACAAATAGTCTATAAAAATACTCAGAAATTAGGACCCATATAAATGCTATTTGTAAATTTTGAAATCTTTCCCACTGTAGACTTCATGAGAAGCTATAACTTCTCCCCATGTTTATTTCAGGCTACTTTCTAAAAAATGAGAGCCCTAGTTCCAAATATACATTGCACATAAGGAATTTCTTATAATGCTTCCAAATGGAAAAGGCTAGAAAAAGTGTTTCAAGTTGTTCTGTATTCTCCTCAAAAAAAAGTTTGGATAAATAAACCAGCACCTACATGTTAGATTTCTTGTAGTTTTTCCGTGAGTTTTTAAAGACAGACTATCTGTCCTCTTCTCCCCATTGTTTAGTCCGTATGTGCTCAATCAAGGATTATAAAAGTAATTTTAACACAGAATCCAGCAAACACAATTAAGTAAATATACTATGAAAAAAAAATCACAACAAGCATCTCAGCTAGTTATTAATTTTGTGCTTAGCCCCTGGTTTGGATTGCCTCGGCCCCAAGTTCCCAGAACAGAATAGAAAGTGGTTAATCAGCGCATTGCCAACATCAAGAATCAAACCCACATCTAGCCAGTGATAGAAGGTTCAATTTCTTTATGCCTTGAATCCACGTGGCCCTGGGACTCCACCAGATCAGTGGCTGAGGACCCACCCATCTTCAGGGTCTTGATACACATGTTCTTCATCAAGAAGCATCAGAAACCCCAATGAATCAGAAACTAATCAAAATAAACTGATGGAACTTGGAGGTTTGAAAGCTTCTGCCCAGAGAGTAAGAAGATGGGAGTGGGGGAGGCCATCTAGTGATAAACTAGGTTAAGAATCACAAGGCCCAGAGTCTTAGTCTTGTTCTAATATTAATTAGCAGTCTGTTTCTTCCCAGCAAAGCAAAATAATTGGGTTGGTCTGGGATAGTCTCAGCAGTATCTTCTAGCTTCAAAAGTGCACGTGTTGGGAATTACAAGTGAATGCTATGAGTTTAGCAACCTGCTTGACGCCTCCTAAATGTAATGCATTTATGTGTCATCTGTTCGTTTTGATCCTCATCTCCAGGAGGTACTTAATTCAGATGTTTTGGTCTATGGAAAACTTTCTATCACTACTCCTCTCTCTTTAATTGATATTGGTTCTTTCATACCAACATTTACATTGTTTTCCTTGATATTTAGAATGGTTTTATTGCATTTGTAAGTGGAAAAGCAAGGCATCGCTAAATGTAAAATTTTCCATTATGGAATTTTCCTTCTAGCAATTAAACATGTTTTTGGGTTAAGTATGGTATAGAAAAGTGATTAAATGCATACGAAATCGTGTGGGTTATTAGAGATTATTTGGTTGTTTGGGGTATCCTAGGATACATAGTTGTTTTTCCACCAACCCACACATCCTCTATATTCCTAATAAAGCCTTTGGAATCTGCTGGGCTTTTTAAGGCTCTCACCACTCTCTTTCTATGACTTCACCGTATCATTAAAAATCTAAAGTTATTTAGCATAATTTAATAGTATTAGCAAGATTTGTAACCGTATCCAAGGATATGAACTTGTTTGTTGTAACAACCACTTGAGGCAGTCCAAAAGGCCCTTCAAAGAAAGAAACATGCCATGTCAAATTTTCAGTAGTTTTATTGAAAAATGCCTCTTTTGTTTCAGAAATAAATAATATAAGGCAGTGAAATTCACAATCTGCAGTTAAAATATAAAAGCAGCAATTCTATGTTCATAGTCTTGCAAATGTTTTCCAACTACTTTTGATAACTAAGAAATATTATATTCTGAAAAAAGTTCATACTAAATATACAACACAAACATGCAATTCCCTCTCTGCAGAATAATCTGCAATTTGGTATAAATGTTAGTGTGTCTAAAACAAGGAGGTTTAAGGCAATATGGAACTGTATCCCGTTGATGCACTAACTTCATCTACATGGCTTAAGGTTTGTGGTTGTTAAAGAGATGTATACGAGCATTCTATGCCCCGGCGTATAACAGAGATAGAAGAGGAAGATAAGTAATTGCAATGGAGTTGACGTTTCCCTCCTTTTTGGTTTTAGGAGGGGAATTATTTGAATCGTGGTGTAATTGAATTGAAAATAAGTATAGCAAAAGATAAACTGCCCGCTCGAAATACACAGCAGCTCTGGGTTCCAGGACTTAACTGCTTAACCTAAGAGTTTCACTGAGGCTGCCCGCTGTGCTAACTAAAGGCACACGGCATGTTCTCTCTTTGCAGCTTTTGTTAACAAAGTATTTTGCAAGCATTTCAAGGGCAAAGGCAAAAATGTCTACAGACTGCGTGCTTGGAGCTAGGCTTCCTGCAGAAACAAGGTTCTCTACAATCAGAAAGGGTACTCCTGGATGAGCAACGCTGGAAGAAACACCTCAGAAAAGACGTACACTGCTCTATCTGACCTGTAAATGAGAATTTCAACACCTCCCCCAAGCCTCGCGGCGCGGCGCGTGATCTCTGGTTCACTGCCCGGGTCCGTGGGGCAGGGCGCGCCGCCAGCGCCGGTGGGGCTCAGGAGGCTCCTCTGCAGGCTCGTCTGCGCCGTAGTCCTCGTATTCCGCTGTCCGCTCGGGCTCCACCGGCACGATGAAGGGCTCGCGCTCAGGCAGGTAGGCCCCGCCCTCGGGCACGTAAGGCTCTGTCCGATTCAACATTACAATTATGGCATGATTTGGAAGGCACACACACACACACACAGCAAAAGCTAAATCATCACCCGCGGTGATGGCACTCCAGTCTTAATCTCATAACTATAAATAGATAAGTTACAATGTCCCAATTATTTCCAGATAATTTGGTGATAATCAAATAATGAAATGGCACTTTCTTAAAAAAAAAAACCTTCAAAAATCCAGCAGTAAACACAATCATTGCACAAATACTTGGGAAGGGTCAGAGACTGGGCCAAAGAACTGTAAACGCAGTAACTAAGTAGGATTTTCGCAAATCCCCAAGTAACTGTTTATGCCTTCAAACTCCTCAATTCAAAGAACAACTTGGAAAGATGAGGAGGTGAGGGGAAGTTTCATTGGCTCCTAGAAACTGAACTCGGGGGGTGAAAAGCAACTATCACCAGGTAATATACAGTACATGACATCTTCTGTGGCTGTACCTCACACAAACTGAGTTACAGCTGGTGGGTGAGGAACACCAGTGACTACAGCAAAACAGGAAGAAAAGGTGATTTTAAACTTTGGTTTGAAAATTGCAGTTACAAAACCCAAATGAGAGGACACGGACAAAAAAGTAACAAAAAGACAGATGCCCTGAATCAGACACATCGCTAACAAGCAAGAGATGAGGAGATTCCATTTGGTGTTATTCCGGCATAGAGCAAGCGGCAGGCTTTGATGCAGAAGCTTATTGTAGAATTGTTAAGTGATTTTAGTCGACAGGATCACATACAAATCATTTACAAGCCACAATTAGTTTATTATTTACATAAGACATTTCTCTTTAACCAGGTTAATTGTTTTTCTTAAAATGGCATAGACTCCTCTGGTTAGTAGTTTTATTATGCACCTCTTTCAAAACTGAGGCTCCTCATGGCTGTGTGTTGGAACTTTTTTAAAATAATGTTTTTCTACATTATTACTGAAATGCATCAGGATTATAAACTGACACCACTGCTTTTGTCTCATTCAAGTTAGTAAAAAGAGTCTCCACCCTCCTTTGTGATGTCGACCCGGTTCGTTAACCATTATCTGTGGTGAGATTTCCATACAGACTCATTTCCTAATAAGCACGTGCGCAAACATCTCAGAAACAGGATTTTCATGTATTCAAACTGTAAGCAGCACTGGCGACTTAGAAAATGTGTTAGCCGGAACCTGAAACAGGTCAAAGATGATAGTTTTTAAAAGTTGAATGACTAAGTAAAAAATATAAATACACATCCATCTACGTATGTAATGGTTAAAGTATATATATATATATATATATATATCCATATATTTTTAGTTATTCTCACATCCCATAAGGAGGTGGTAATTTAAATTTATAAAGAATTAAATTGCAATTTTTTGAATGGGTTGCATGGAAATATACATTAAGATTTGTTATTACTTTTGGTCATATGTAATTATGCATATAAATATATAGATATATAGATATTTAGATATTCAACTACTCATGCACTATTTGAAAGTAGCAAATCATATCAAACAGCAGTATAATTTTTTAAATTTGCAAGATGCTTGAGGGTGCAGTAATGAAATGGTCGCCATTGACCACAGCATGACTATCTTATTTCCAGATTGGCATATCTACCCAGTCCTCACATCCCACAAAATCAAGTATAGGAGACTTCTGCCCTCTACAATTGTCAAACACTAGAATTTCATTAAAAATCCTTTAAAAACAATTATTAAGTCCCAGATTTTATAAATATTAATTCCATGGCTAGTATGGGACAGTTAACTATGTTCAGTTGTCTACACCATATTATTACATAGTTTACCCATAAATTAGATTCCCAAAACAATTTTTAAATACATATTCTTGGCATTTTACAGTTGTATTTAACAAATCCCTGTTCCCAATCTTGGGGAAAAGAAAAAAAAAAAGTCAATTACTAGCATGCTTTGAAGTCCCAAGAGAAGTAAGGGGAGGTTTATGATGTGATTTGGTAAATGCAGAAACATGGGGAAAAAAGAAAATAATTCAATCCTAACAGTGAAATAATGTTGTGTGCTATGATAGCAAACACTATTATTATATAATCAGAACTGAAAGAGTTGTTATCTTCAAGACATCTTCAAATCAGCCTTCCTTCAATCCTAAGGAACTTCATTTCCGTAAAGTTCTTTACTTCAGGTGAGTTGGGGTTCCTACAATGGCAACAACGTACCTGGATAGCCTTGCCCGTTGTATGGGATGCTGGCACACTGAGAAGAATCACAGTATCCAGGAGGACCTGGGGGTCCTCGGATACCTGAGTTTCCAGGACGGCCAGGGGGGCCAGGGGGACCTCTTGAACCTGTGGACCCTGGTGGACCTGTTCTGGATTCTCCTTGTGGACCTAGTGTGGAGTTAAAACAAATATATTTCCCCTCTTGTCAAATACAACTCCTGAGGTAGCCACCAATACTTTAAGTGGCACCTCCACTGTCTCAAAATTAGACAATTTACTATTGTATGGTAAGAAAATGTTTCCTTAAGAAATACCCAATATGAACCAAGGTGTGATGGAACTTTCTTACCAGTGACTCATCAGAGTTAATGCCAGAAGTATTTTATTCCAGAAAACCTGATTTAGCAAAAATTCAGCCAAACCAGAGATATCAGTGAGTTCTTTGGTTTGCTCCCACTCTCACAGAGAAAAGAGCACCTGAAGGAAACAGCTCTGTTAAGCAGCTACATTGAGCTGCCATCAAAAGAAGGCAGCGTCTGCTCCACACCTCCAGCCTATGCAAAGCAATATTGTTTCTGGATCAATAGTTATAGTTAACATAAATGGAAAGATTTAGCCATAGGGCTGTCCTTGGTTGCAAGGGTATCATGTGCCTTATAATGAAAAAAGAAATCATTTACAACCTAGTAAACAAAATGCATCAGACAGACATGTAGTAGTCCTATCCAAAATATAAAAATGCTTTGGGAGAGCAGTGAATGAAATTTACCAATATCTCAGGCCCTTTTAGTGAGGCTATGTTTTCTCAGTCTAATAGCCCCATATTGAAGACTACTGGAAAAAACAGGAAATATAACCATCTTTAAAGTCTATGAGGCCAAAAAAAAAACAAATAGGAAGGGAGGAAGGAAGGAAGGAAGGAAAAGGGAAGGAAGGAAGGAGACAGAAAGGGGAAATAGTAACCCTTTGTGTCACTAAAATTCATTTCATCATATATTAATGTTATAGTTAATGCCTAATAGAAACTTTTCATTTTTTTAACAAAGGGAACATGAAAATGAAGTTATGGAGGTTGAACTTCTTGCTAAAACATATGCCATGGTAATAAGAATGCTTTATGCTATAATAACAGGATGAAGTTGGCTGGGAGCGGTGGCTCACTTCTGTAATCCCAGCACTTTGGGGCCAAAGTGGGAAGATCATGAGGTCAGGAGATCGAGACCATCCTGGCTAACACGGCAAAACCCCGTCTCTACTAAAAATTAAAAAAAATTAGCCAGGCGTGGTGGCGGGCGCCTGTAGTCCCAGCTACTCGGGAGGCTGAGGCAGAAGAATGGCGTGAACCCAGGAGGTGGAGCTTGCAGTGAGCCAAGATCGCGCCACTGCACTCCAGCCTGGGTGACAGAGCAAGACTCCGTCTCAAAAACAAAAAAAAGAATAACAGGATGAAGTTGTGAATCTCTTCGGGATGGTGTGCCCTCTCGGTATTTATAGTCTTTGCCTGTTTAAAATACTAGCAAACCTACCTGGGGGGCCAGGCAGCCCCCGAGGTCCTGAAGATCCAGTACCCCTTTCACCTTTCTCTCCTGGCAAACCTAAGGAGGGAGAAAAAGAGAAAGCACAGGGGAAAAATTATCTGGAAGCATGTAATTTTCATCTTAACTGATAATATTTGATTCAAGTAATTCATTTCCTTAGTGAAAGCAGAACCTAATTTTTCACAGAAGTTCACTCTTTAAGCCAAGTTCTTTCTAGACATTTGTGTAATTCTAGATTTATGGCCAAGAAAAAATTTGGCTACAAGGCAGGGGAAAAATTATTTGAAGCAAACAAACATGTCTAATATATTTTTAAATAGTAATTAGGAACAGTAATCCTGAAGAAATTGTTATAATATCTCATTGAAAAACATATTAAAGGTATTTTATCTTTAGTAGCCCTATTAGTACAGCAGCCAAACCAGTAGAATTATAGAAATATGTAGGTTTTCTCTAGAGTATTAAGTACTCCTTTGACAAAAGTGGATACCCAGAATCCTGAAATATCTGGAATCAAATAGTCCTGTTTTTCTCCTTTTCCTTCAACTGCAGTTATCTATACCATGAAATTAGAGCCAAACAAACATACAAGACCAGTGCCAGACCCTGAATAAAGGAACCAAAATAAGTTGGATCTAAAACTCTAGGGCTGCCTAAGAACATTCAGTTGCTGCTCGACTCTTGCCGCAGTCACAGAGAGTAATAAGATTTGGGTAGCTGATTTAGTTTGCCAAGATAGAGTTTTTCCCATTAAAAACAACAAAAGTCAGAAAATAGCATTATCTTTACTGAGATCTGATAAAAACATACCATTTTTCTAAGACATGGATCTCTATGGCCTATGAGTTGCCTAACAGCTCTTCTGAGGCTGTCCAAACAAGACCAGGGAAAGCAGTTTGCCTAGGTCACCTTTCAGATGCCTTCAACCTGTCCCAACTCCTACATTTGCAAATTCCTTCCTTTATCCCAATACAGAAGCCAGAAATGCCTACCTCGTTCCCCAGGGGGTCCCTGCATCCCTGGTGTGCCCGGGAAGCCTGGCCGCCCCCCAGGCCCAGGTTCTCCTCTGGCTCCTGCGCTACCAGGAGGTCCCGGTGGACCCGGCGGGCCTGGCTGGTTGCGACTGGACTGGTAATCATTTGGAATCTGATTCAGCATCTGATTGAATCTGTTCATCTGACCTACAAGCAGAAATAAGGCTTGTTAGTAAGAAACCCAATAAAGGACGGATGAGAGAGTGAAACTGTTTTCTCTTAGTGTCTAGTGAAATCCATCTCCATTCTGCAACCCCTCTAAGGAAACAATCTAATTAGAATCCTAAAAATAAAATTAAGACAGTCTAATCATCGAGGACAAAATGGTCCCTGATAAATAACTGTTTCCACAAAATGCTGACCTACAAGCCACAAACATTACTACAAATATAAAAGAGTTGTTAAAGTTTAATATGGCTCTGAAATAAAGTCTTGAGATTTACCAGGTGACATCACTCAAAAGAAAACCTTTTTTATAATTAGATAATTCTACAATTTTTTGTATATCTAAGGCAATGATAATCAGGTTTCAGTGCAAACTGGAATTGCCTGTGGGGCACCTTGAAAAATCTGTATTTCTGGGCCTTATCTCCAAAGTCAATGATTCACTAAGCTTAGGGCATGGTGCAGGAACTCACTTCTAACAAGCAACATAAGTGATTCTAAGGCAGGTGTTCCTCAGTACCGCACTTTGGAAAACATTGATTAAGACTTCTCTAAGAGTGAGTTATGGGTTTAAGGCCCACACCAGTCTGCAGGTACTGAGCTTCATTACTTAACAGGCCTTATGGAATAAGAAGAGCCTGTGAAAAACAGGCAAGAGAGAGTTTCCTACCAAAATCAACTTTCACTGATCAAATTCATCTTGGTGGGCCCCCTTCCTTAAGGTCATAAAATGACTTAAAGATCTTAACTTAAAATATCTGATGTCTTAGTACTTAAGTTTACTGCTATTATTTTACCTTGGGTTATTATTTTATCTTAGTGACAATCTTTAAAATATCATTAACTTCATCTAATCAGATACAAAACTGACAATGTATAAGAACAAAAGCTTATCAAATGAAATGAAAGAGAAATCTATCTCTTAGAAACTTCATGACTCAAACTCTGCATTTTCCTGCAATTAATTTTAAAACAATTCATACAGTAAAAAGAAAAGAAATTTTACCACTTATCAATTGTTCACAGACTTGTCTTGCAACTGCTCGCATCATGTTCTGGGAAGCAATGTCTCCCTTGTTGAATTAATGAGAATGATTAGCATATTAGTTCTATAGTTTTAGGCTTCAATGTTTAACACACAAAATAAACGTAAGATTTTTTAAAAATACATACCCTATCACCTTTTTCTCCTTTCAACCCAGATGGACCCTGAAAAATATGAATTACATACATTAGAAACTGACAAACATACTCTAAAATGATGCATGAATAGACATAATGATGAACGAGAACAAGTTCTGTTTTCTAAAGCATTAGCAAAATGACACATCACATTTATATCCATGTTACTCACATTCTGCTTTTCTATAAAAAGGAATCTAATCTCTCTCTCTCTCTCTCTTTCTCTCTCTCTCTCTGAAGCACATGTCCTCCAAAATAGTGCACAGATGTGAATTTTGTGGTCACAATTGTAAAAGTTATGGACCATGCACACTTTTTACAATGCAATTCATGATACATATGGAACTAAAATACATATGAAGATTGCCCTTGTACCGCCATACTTTGCTTTATATCATCATAGTTGGTTATCTGAGCTGCTTATTGTGGAACGTCCATGAGATTAGTCTCCATTCAGTCTCACTAAGAACCAGCAGGCTGTTGTCAGCAGCTTAGCTCAATATATATCCCTTAACTTCATCCAGTGATTCTTTGTACATTTGAGATAAAAGAAACTGGGTTGAAGCTGGAAACCATCATTCTCGGCAAACTATCACAAGAACAGAAAACCTAACACTGCATGTTCTCACTCATAATTGGGAGTTGAACAATGAGAACACATGGACACAGGGAGGGAAACATCACACAGGCCTGTTGGGGGGTCAGGGGCTAGGGGAGGGATAACATTAGGAAATATACCTAATGTAGGTGATGGGTTGATGGGTGCAGCAAACCACCATAGCACGTGTATACCTATGTAACAAACCTGCATATTCTGCACATGTACCCCAGAACTTAAAGTATAATAATAAAAATATTCTACAATTAAAAAAAAGAAACTGGGTTTTTCTCTTATTAAATAACTCAATCTGATCCTACATCTAAATACAAGCATAGAATATTTGTCCCTACACTGTCATAAGCCTCTCACCATAAGAGATATTGGAAAAGTTTTCCTTAGAGTGCAACAAGTTTTTGTCTTTCAGTTATATATTTCCAGGCTGCCAACTGCTATCACCGAAGGAACATCTAAATCATTGACAAATCACTTCTCACCATCCCCATGGAAACCACTGCAGTCCAAACCAAGACTCTTGCCTGAAACTACTCCAATACCCTCCTAACTGCTCTCCCTTCTCCCCATTTTGCTACATTATAGTCTATTCTCCACACAAAAACCAGAATGATATTTTTTAAAGAAAAATTAGATCATGTAACTCCTTTGGCTCTAAGAGCCACCCATCCCATTCCCATCAGATTTAGAGGAAAATAATAATTCCTTATCATGGGCTACATGGTCCATATGATCATCTATGCCTAGCTATCTGACCTCATATTTTATCCCTCTCCATTTAACTCCCTTCACTTTGGTACCCAGACCTGTTGGATGTTCCTTTCACATGTCAGTCTCGTTCCTCAGCCAAGGCTTTCATTCATGCTGTTTCCTCTGCCTGGAACCCTCTTTCCATAGATCAAATAGCTTTCTCCCTCATTTCATCCCAATGTCACCTTGTCAGAGAGGTTCCTAGATGACTGTATCCAAAATAGCTGCCTTCCCACCAGCACAATCATTCTCTAACCCCTTACTCTGTTTCTTCTTCATAACACTCATTATCACGGGAACCTATATTTACATGGTTTTGTCTATATACCCCCCAGAATGTCTATGAAGGCAAGAATTTTGTCTTGTTTGCTGTTATATCACCTGACCCTAGAACACTGGCTAGCATATTGTAGGCACTAAACAAATATGTGTTTACTAATGAAGTATTCTATGAACATCTCATGGAAACATCTCCTATAGAATATCAGGTACTATAAGTTAGCAAGAAGATATCAACTGATTATAATAGCTAATGACATAAGCTAACAATGATTAAGCCAAGCTCTCTGCTAAGACCTATATATACCTATATGCTATGTTTGGTTTCATTAATTAGAGGAAGGTAAGATAAAATAGGGAAGAAAAAAAGAGGAAATTTGCTACTTTTGAAGGACGAGGAAAATGAAGGAGAAAAGGGGAAGTGCTGGGGTCTAAATAAATGTATACCAAATTATAATTATCGTAAGAAAAACTAGAGTTATCTATTTCTTTGCCAAAAGTATTGGATTTTTGTGGAAACACATATTGTATTTGGAGCATTTTACAAATGCAGGATTTTTTACATTTACTGCTATTTTGAGATTGTTCTGATTTTTTTTAATTTATTGGCACTCTGAGATTGTCCTATTGTTCATGATTTGTAGAAATCATCTTTATTGCCGATATTTAGAGATCATATTTCAAGTAATAGCTGTAGACATTTCTTTTAGGCTTCTAGCTACAGCCATCAATTATATGAGTAATATTCTTATATAAGACAC
Source organism: Homo sapiens (assembly GCF_000001405.40). Taxonomy (NCBI): domain Eukaryota; kingdom Metazoa; phylum Chordata; class Mammalia; order Primates; family Hominidae; genus Homo; species Homo sapiens. The sequence goes on from NC_000006.12 coordinate 75,093,902, forward strand.
TACTGAGGTCATAGTAAAACAAAATGAAATGCTGAATGGGTAGAAAAGTTTCATATACTTATAATTGCACTTGCAAAGTTTCTACCATGATCCATTGAGGAAAAGAGAGTACTAAAGTCACATGCTAGGGTACACGCAGTTTTTAAAGTATTTAGGTTGGTGCAAACGTAATTATGGTTTTTGTCATTCTTTTTAACCTAATATATCAGGAGTCCTTCTATCTTTATGTTGCCTGCTTAATTTTATGAATCATACAAGGCAAGCCATATCACATAAATGTCCAATTCTAAGTCTCTCTGAAATTACTTTTTTTTTAACTCGGGTTTGTAAAATTTGAACAATGCTTTAAAAAGGAGAAATTCTGTCCAGAGAAGAGCCCTGACAAATTTTTGTCACTGCTAATAGTTGGACTTAATTGTCTTTAAGATAAATTTTTATATTTCAGGATGCTATTTGGACAAAAAAAATTGCTTAAATAAATTCACACTTCATAAATACAAAAAAAGGAAAAGCTTGTAAAAAATATGAAGCCCAACACTCATTACAAATATTTGTGTATATTTTAGAAACTTCAAATTCAGTTTTGGAGATACTAATTTGGAAATACTAAATATGTGTACTACTATCTCAACTATTATTTTAACCAAAATATCTGCATAAGAGAAAGTTAAATGGGGTATAAATTGGGGCAGGACAGTATTAAAAAAGTAAAATGATAAAGTTAATAAATAATTTTAATTCTGGTTCTGATGTTCTAGCCTCCTCAACTAGATACAAAAGAACAAATGGAAAGCTGGATAATGCCACAAAAGGGTTAACATTAGCAAGCTAGGGATGGAGGCGCTGTGCACCATCGTCATGTATTTTTCCATCTTAAGCAGCATACCACTCCTAAGTAAAAAGAATCATTTTGCTGACCCAGCTCTGAGTGTTTATACAGCGCAGAAATATGTGTCTTGGCTCATAATCCCATTCTCCTTTTAAAGAAACCCAGTAACCACAATTTTCATCCCAGAATATTATAACAACCCAGAGAGAAAAATTTTGAACTAGTACCAAGTCAAATCCATGAGTTTAGCATGGTTTCAACAAATGCTTCAAACACATTACAGCAGAGATAACCTAAATATAACAAAGCTTTGCAGTTCTCATTATTTATTTCCACGGTGAAACCACTGTCAGTAGACATGCAAGCTGTCCGCTTACTGGTCTGCCATGATCTCCAGGTTTTCCTGGCTTCCCACTTGGTCCTGTGACTCCTGGGGAGCCTGGGCTTCCCTACAACACATGGAAAGGGAAGGGGACTGTTATGACAAAGGGAAAATCCCATCTAAAGTAAATGAATACAGCCTGTTTTAAACGCGTTTAAATGAAACAACTCATAATTACACATTCAGGAAAAATAAAACCAAATTTTAAGATAACATGAAATAGGGCCGGGCGCGGTGGCTCACGCCTGTAATCCCAGCACTTTGGGAGGCCGAGGCGGGTGGATCATGAGGTCAGGAGATCGAGACCATCCTGGCTAACAAGGTGAAACCCCGTCTCTACTAAAAATACAAAAAATTAGCCAGGCGCGGTGGCGGGCGCCTGTAGTCCCAGCTACTCGGGAGGCTGAGGCAGGAGAATGGCGTGAACCCAGGAAGCGGAGCTTGCAGTGAGCCGAGATTGCGCCACTGCAGTCCGCAGTCCGGCCTGGGCGACAGAGCGAGACTCCGTCTCAAAAAAAAAAAAAAAAAAAAAAAAAAAAGATAACATGAAATAAAAAACTCTTGACAACTACAGTGCAATCCTTATGGACTATATAGTTTTAAAATATATTTTGAGACCAGTTGAAAAATACACGCATATGTATATAATCAGTTTCACAATTTAAGACTATGATCCTAGTAAATTGGTTACAAAGTGGATGTGCAGAAAGCAATTCCCTTTTTTTTTAAGTTTCCTACTACAAGACCAGACAATCTTTCAAAACACAGAGGTTGAAAATTTAGGCTGGAGAAGAATTAAGAAGGTGGCCAGTTTTGTGCTAAGTTGGGCACCATGGTGGCAGAGTCTTCCCTTGTCTGCTGGGAATTGCACTCTCAGCTTAGAAATTCATTTTTCCCTTTGGAGCATTTTCCACACTTTCATTCCCTTCCATCATGTCAGCACCCTTAACCCCACCAAAATCATAAGATTTTCTCCCTGTTGCTTTTACCACAGCTTCCAGACATTTTGGCCCTATATTTAATAGAATGTTTATAATATGTACTGGCCAATATGTCATGTTCTAAAGCCTAAAATTTTCTTAAAATGGAATGTTCAGATTTTGTCAAGCAATCCTTTACTCCATTAATTATGCAAATGTTAATCTCTATAGTAAATACTTAACATGAAAGTTTGCTGTGCATTTAAATCCCCCATTACCTAAAGATCTATATTTTAAACATAAATAATAAAATTATTTTAACATATGCTCTTGAGTATCCTGCCACACAGACATGGAGGCTATCCATCACCTCAAACAATTTTACTGCGATCTCACCTGGATGCAAGTATACAGATGCCAGTTTCAAAATCATTAGTTTCAGTATTTTCCCAATATCTTACGTTGAAGACCCTTTTAGTTGTAGATAAAACTGACTTCCTCAGAACAACTGATGGCTGTTCAATAATAAAGTTCTTGAAATTTAAATGTTATAGGCACAGATTCTTAAAATTCTGTAACAGGGGCCGGGCGCGGTGGCTCACGCCTGTAATCCCAGCACTTTGGGAGGCCGAGGCCGGCAGATCACGAGGTCAGGAGATCGAGACCATCCCGGCTAAAAGGGTGAAACCCCGTCTCTACTAAAAATACAAAAAATTAGCCGGGCGTAGTGGCGGGCGCCTGTAGTCCCAGCTACTCGGGAGGCTGAGGCAGGAGAATGGCGTGAACCCGGGAGGCGGAGCTTGCAGTGAGCCGAGATCCCGCCACTGCACTCCAGCCTGGGCGACAGAGCGAGACTCCGTCTCAAAAAAAAAAAAAAAAAAAAAAAAATTCTGTAACAGGAAATAACCGAACCACCGAGGTTATAAAACCCAACCACTTAATGTAGGGATGAAGAAACTGAGGCACCAACCAGCTGGTAGCCAGTTAGTTAGGGATTTCTTTTTCTTTTTCTCAAGTGTAACTTGATTAAACTGAAAGATTCTGTATTTTAACACGTCTGTTTTCTCTAGCACATTTTGATGTAGGTAAATAAAAACACAGTTCCCTCAATGATATACTCCACAGCACAGATGGAATGTGCTTCAAAGGCAGGTTACTAGCAAAATGAGGTGAGAGGGTGGGAGTGAAGGGCACAAAAATGAGACACATTTAGTTCTTACCGGCGGCCCTGGTGGGCCCCTGGGTCCCATTGCACCGTCTTTTCCAGTGAAGCCCTATTGTAAAAATGAAAGTAATTACAGTTAGGGAGGTCATAAGCAAGTGAAAAGAAAAGATGCTAAACAGGTTGCTAAAGCTGAAGGCTGAAGAGAAGGATTTAGCCCAACATGCTGTTTGGGAGGTAAGCTTTCAATAAAAAGACAAACAGCAAAAAAAATAAAATTAAAAAATTAAAAAATCTTTTCAGTTTAACTTATGCCTTTTACTGAATAATTAATTTCTATGCTCATTCACTTGTATAGTTATAAATAAAACAATTTTAAGAGCCAAACTAATCTTCTCCCAGGAAGGCAGATTCCCTTCATGAAGATATTATTTTTTGTTTTTGTAATAGCATAAAGAAGTCTAAAGGAAGATTTACCCATTCTATGGAAAAGTCAATGTCCACAGGCTGGCCCAGGAAGGATGCAGGTGAGAGGAAAGGAAAGTTACTGAGAAAAGCAAGCGGTATCATAAAAGATGATACTATGGTGGCAGAGTCTTCCTTTGTCTGCTGGGAATTGGACTCTCAGCTTAGAAATTCATTTTTCCCTTTGGTGCGTTCTCTGCACCTTCATTCTCTTCCATCATATCAGCACCCTTTAGCCCCAAAAAAACAATAAGAATTTCTCCCTATTGCTTTTACCACAGCTTCCAGATATTTTAACCATATATTTAATAGAATATTTATAATATGTACTGGTCAATACATCATGTTCTAAAGCCTAAAATTTCCTTAAGATGGAATCATCAAATTTTATAAAACATTCCTTTACCAAATATGCAAATATTAAGCTCTGTAGTAAATACTTAACATGAAAGTTTACTACACATTTAAATTCGCCCTTATCTAAGAATATACATTAAACATAAATAATAAAATTATTTTAACACATGCTCTCAAGTCTTCATACCCTGCCATACATACAGACATAGAGAAGTCTATATGGAAAATCCTGACCACCTAATTAGAAAACTCCCTTCCTCATTTCCTGAGCAACTGTCAGACAGTTAGAGCAGGACTATTTATGTCTCCACTCCTGGTGAATTTCTTTCTTCCTCTCCCAAAAGAGGCAAAGCTGGGCTGGATGCAATGGCTCATGCCTGCAATCCCAGCACTTTGGGAGGCCAAGGCAGGAGGATTGCTTAAGCCCAGGAGTTCAAGACCAGCCTGGGCAACATAAGAAGACCCTGTCACTAAAAAAAGTGAAAGAAAAAAAGTAGCCAAGCATGGTGGCACACACCTGTGGTCCCAGCTACTTGGGAGGCTAAGGTGGAAGGATCACTTGAGCCCGAGAGGTCAGGGCTGCAGTGAGCTGTGATCGCACCACTGCACTCCAGCCTGGGTGACACAGTGGGACCCTATTTCAAAAAAAAACAGAGGTAAAGCTGTCTTAACTGCCCTCCACTCAAAAGAGAGGAAATCCTCAATCCTGATAATAAGCAGTTAATTTTTGTAGTGCTCTGTCTCTCTTCAATACACACAAAGGCCAGAACTGCCTAAGCATCAGTTCACCAGGCAGGAACAGAGCACATCTCCCCACAGGCTTGATCTCTGGCTCGTGCGCCCACATTTATATGTTATTTTTTCTCTCTCTCTGTACAGTGCCAAATGACCTCTGCCTGGAATGAGTCATCCTGCTACCCAGTTAGCATTCACTCGCAACAGCAGATCTCTGAAATCCAGCCGAGGATTTCTGAGTCAGGTCATTTTTTAGAGTTGTTGCATTCCTCTGTCAGAGATTTTTGTCTCATTTTCCGCAGAGAATGAAAGTAATCATTTCATCCATATTCTTGGATTTTCACAAAAGTTGACCATTTGGAGCTCTTCCTGAATTAACTATCCACACTTTTTATTAGTACATTGACTTTACCATAGAAGTTTAAATTATTCTTTTTACATTTGTTGGAAATATTCCACTTCCCCAAAAAAAAACTTTTTCCAGAAACTTTTAGGGATAAGATTTCAGATTGTTTTCCGGAAGATCTAGGCCTGATTAACAAAAAACAGATCCTAAGCCTATCTGATGTAACACCAATATCACTTCTAAGGGCCACTTAAGAAAAAAATTCCCTATAATATTGCTTGGACAATTTGAATAAAATTTCTTCCACCCAAGTTTCTCCAACTACTATATAGGATGTTCTTTTTCATTTTTTATCGTAAATATTGTATTTCTAAATAATTAATCCTCCTTTAGTCAGTCTAAGAACTTTCTGATCAACCATTTCCTTTTAGAGGAAATATATTCGTAAATTGGAGTGAAGAAGATTTATTATGAAGTACTCAAAAAGGCTACCCACTATGCCATCTGCAGAACTTTGTGCCACAATTTTATTTTATTCTTCATTTTTTGCTGCAAGCCACAGCAGTTATTTCCACTTCTAACCAAGTGAGGGGGCTGAGAAGACTGATGGCCATTTTCATAGATACACATGTACAGATACCTGTATATGTGGTTCTTTTTTTACTTTCTAATAGCCACCAGCACTGTGCCTCATTTCAAAAATCGTCTCTGCTGAAGACAATCTCTGTATCTTGTTTCTCCCTACTTGATCCTGCTAACAAGTCTTCATTCCTCACCACAACCCTTGGCCTTGATCTCTTGTGCTTCCTTCTCTTCACTTCCACCACTGAGTTCACGTTTTGTTTTGTTTTGTTTCAGCTGAGATTCCCATACTCAAAGTCTCTCTAATGTTCTAAAATTGTTGATACCCCACCAGCTATGCACCCTCCTTTTTGCATTAGTGGTAGTTTACTAAGCAGTAGGTAGGTACACAGGCTGTGAAGGAAAAGGGAGAACAGTTTCCTGAAAAGTTCTCTTGCCCTCATCCCAGGGTGGCCTCACCACAAAGCTGGACACAGATTAGAATTTGAGAATGGAAGAGCACAGTCCCTTCCAGTCCCTTACTTTTCAGGGATGCAATTATGCTGCCTGATGGTGATGGCTGTCTGAGCACCAGTCCAGAAAGATAGTCCTGCTGGGAAGTGTGCTAGGGAACCCGCTGTGTGTCTGCATGAAGCCCACATTGGGGTGGATGTGATGGAAACAAGGCTTCGGTCGTAGCAGCAGCAAGCAAGTCAGCCCATTGCCACTTCTCAGCTGCAATATTCTGGGGTTTATTTTCTAATAAAGAAGACTGACTTGTCACCCATGTACTCTCACTGTTGTCCTTTACTGTAAAATAAGAATTCAAAAAAAAACCTAAAGTGCCAGTCTCAAAAGAGTCAGAAGATGTGTATGTCAGAACTACCTCCACATCCCATATCCCAGAAAATACAGTTTTCTCTTTGACCTCTCTCTTTTCTCTCCCCGAAACTCAAAAGGAGGCATGGGAACAAATAAAGTTCACTGGCATATCATCTACCATTTTGTATTATCTTAGGGCAAATCTTTGCTCCCTCTGAATGGCCTACCTCTCTGCCCAATGGTGTCTTGGAGGTGTTAAGGTTGATAGATTTATGTTTAGTGACAGCTGTTATAGTACTGGCTTCCTCAGATCCTGCTGCTAGTCATATATTTTAACTTGATTGATTAATCAAAATACAAACTACTCTCAGACTATTATTGGAACCATAAGATGCTGGAAAGTCATTAGTTCCTTTGTTCTGAGAAACTCTTAAAATTTCTGGGTTCTTTTTATTAAAGCATTTGTGGTCTCCTATGGAACCAAATATTTCACATTATTGATGAACAGAACATAGAGGTCATGTTCACCATGCTTCTTATTAACTTATCCTAGAGAAGACTGGGTTTCCTGTACTGCTTTCATGCTAAGTCAAGACCAAACCTGAAAGCTGCTACCAACAGGCAAATTCCCTACTAAATACCAGCTGTCTACCCCACCATCAAGGCCTAGAAGTGGTATTTGAGTTCTAAAGGTGTAGACAGGATGTCTTGAGTTTGTAGAAAGTGCTATGGGAGTCAAGGCTACCCTCATGGTTACAGAAAAGCTGCCTCACAACTAAGATTTTAATTTTAAGATTTAAAACAATTTGCTGAGATTCTTGAATCTCTTTTTAATCAGCTAAAATTCCTTTTCTGGACTTCTTTTTATGAATATGATATGGTAAGAAATTTTCTGAAAATTAAAATTTCAAAGACTCCCCTGGAGTCCCACCACTTTATTTCAAAGACCTTGAGATTGATCTGATGTTGGATGGTCCACTGACATTAGCTTTGCAGCTTTGCAGCTTTCCACAAGATATATTACCAGCCTTGCAAACTGGATTTTGAAGGGTTCTTAATTAATAGGCAACCATATGACATCATTTCCAACATCATTGTAGCCTGCTCAAGAAAACTTACTCTGTCTCCTGGAGGTCCCATTGGTCCTGGTGGGCCAGGTAATCCTGGGGTTCCCTGCACAGAAGGAAACAAACAAGTGAAACATTATAATATACTTCCTGTGTGGGAGAGAATCTTTGTTATTTTCCAAATTTTTTTTTTAATTCCAGAGACTCTGAATAGAAACAGGAGAACAGAGCCAAGCACATTGCCAAGCATACAGTAGATGCTCAGTCAACAAGCAGATACCTGAATTGAATAGCACCAACTTGAAGGTTAAGACCAGGGTATGAAATGGAAATGAGGTGAAACACATATCCAGGCTTCTGCTTTGCTACTTAATCTGGGTTCACCTTTTGAGGCACTAGAAAAGGAAATTTTCAAATAGCACATGACAGGGCAACTTAGAGACCAACTCACTGTTCGGCCTGGAAGTCCTGGCTCTCCAGCATCACCTTTCATCCCTTGGCGACCCTAGAGTGAGCAATGGGAAAACAGTTCTCAGGCGTTTCACAGAGATTAAGCAAAAAAGGAAGACATGAGTCACTTATGAAATCTTCATCACTTCATAAATCCAGTGTAAGCGTTCAGAATGAGCACAGAAGGGTATTTTTGAAAGGAGATGAATAAACCTTTTTTGAATTAATGCTCACTCTTTAAACTACAAATGCTGTGTTATAATTTCTACTTACAATGTTATGGGGTAATTTTATATAATTATGGGATATTATACCTACCTTAAAAGAATATAGTTTAACATAGGGGATATCTACTTTACTTATAAGAAAATGTTTAATAAAGTCAAATAAGTAGCAGTAATTTTTTCTACACAGTTTTATATTATTACATAGTCTATTTACGTATCTAAAATAACAGTCATCATAGAGGCTGCTATCTCGGTGACTAACCTCGTTGAATTATCTGAGAAAACATTTGATTTGGCAAAATGTAGAAAAGATTCATTTAACTAAATGTTTATCCACCACTCTCATTTAATACAGAAAGGCTTTGTGCTTACTTGCTCTCCCGGAATAGAGAGTCCATTGGGTCCCTGAGGGCCTGGAGGACCCTGGGGGCCTGGAGGACCTATGTCTCCACGAGGACCAGGGGGCCCCTAAAATACACAAGAGAGAGACAACCACAAAGTAATGTAATACCTTTTCAGTGCTGACATTTAGTCAGACACTTGTCATCATAACTCTAAGACATCAATCATATAATCTTTGTAAACTTTTAAGAATCTACATCTATGAATATATTCATTAATGTAATTTCTTCCCTTTACTATTGAAAAGTACGATAAATTTACAAGAACACTTACATTTCCATAAAAGTCCTATTAGAAATAGATTTTTTAAATAAAATACATTGCATATAATATATTCATATATTAATTTTCATAGATTTATATGAGATTAAATGCTTAAGTTTCACTGGATTTGATTTATTTTAAGCTAGTCCTCATTTCTCTTAGACTTCAGCTTATTTCTGGGACTAAAGGATATATAAATCAAGCAAGGAAAGAAAAGATGCCCATGGATGAGGTGCCCTGTGCTGGAGCTCTTTTACAATCTGTCTAGATGGAAAAGGCACAACCTTGGCATCAGGCCTGGGTTAGCATCCTAATCTTGCCCTTTCCTAATGGGGTTATTTTATCATTAATTATATTATGACCAAAAACTACACATTATCTTCATAAAATATTCCCCTGAGAAGCTTGAGTTGTCTTACAGAAAACCAGTGTGGAGCTGGCAGAAGGGGCAGGTGACCCCTTGTGAGCACATACGCAGCCACTCAGCATTTTTTTTCTGAGACTGGTGAAAAAAGCAGCAGCAGTAGTGCTCCCAACAGGCTCCAGCTCTCTAGCGGGTCTCTGCTCCCTGTGGGGTGTGGGTACCCCCTCTGCTTCCCCATGTTCTGGCCAAGGCCTTAAAGATCTTCTGCAGCTTCCCCATGTGTAATTGTTACAGCTATGACATGCATCCTATGCATTTCTTTCTCTGGCTAGTCTAATCCATCATTATGACATCCAGAGATAAGACAGAGGTAATTATATTACCTGAGGCACACTGAACCTGAGCTGACTTGCTCAAGATCACATACCCCCTTTGTGAAAATTTGAACAACCAGATTTCAACATATAGATAAGAATTTAAATGCACTCTAAAATATACTTACAATTGCCCCACTGATACCTCTTTCACCTCTGGGACCTTTAGCACCAGGTCCTCCCTAAAATACATAGAGCACATAGTAGTGTGAACATAGGAAAATAGGAGGAAGTTGATATACAAAAAGTCCTTCAAGAAAAAGTGCAATTTCCAGACAATTATTATTCTACAGCTGCTTGCAAAATACTGAAGCAAATATTTCATGTCATACAAATATGCGAGGCAAGAGAATTTCAAAACTTTGTACATTCTGAGTGTCTTTAATTATATTTCAAATTTCAAATTTTCATTTGAAAATTTGAGGTTTATTGGGAAAAGCAAACATTATACTACTTGTGTACAATAAAGAGAAAAATGAGCTTTGGATTTATGTGAATTACATTCCTTGGGGAAAATGATGGGCAAAAAGAAGAGTATCTTAAATCGCTCAGAGTATTAGAACATGTACTTAACAGGAATTCAGAAACAACTGAACAAAGAGGAAATAAATATCACAGTGACATTCAAGCATGTTACCTCACTACTACAGGGGAAAAAATCCCAACATCTCAAAAACATCTAAGTCACATCCAGGACATAATTTCATGATTATAAATATAAATCACTGTTACTAGAAAAAAAGAATGGTAACCCCAGTGACATTTTGATTCTATATATGAGGAGCTGGCTTGTAATTAACCTAAAATCGGTCTACATTATTTGCTATGACCCAAGAATAGTAAATTTTCATGTTCTGTGAATCCCTGAGCTCCTCCTGTGTTAATTACATATTTTCTTAAAAGAAGCCAAGGGAGATTAGAGCTATCCTCAAAACTGGCCCAGATCAGATACTGGATCGACTAACTCAAGGGGTTTCACATTGATCAATGAACTCTATCACTGCAATCTTCAATGTTTTGCCTTGCACTTTCTTGGTTTTCCCTCCCAACCAATGCATAAATCTGGTCATAGTCTTCTCACTCAAGTTATTCCAAACCCAGAGTTTATGATATCACATGTGTAAATTACCCTCTCTATATGTTATTCTCATGATATGTCTGCTACATAAGATGCACATGTTCTAGGTTCTCAACAAGTTGTTCTTGGGTCAGCCTCTCAGCTGTGGCTTTATACCAAACATATAAGAAGCTTTCAGGAGACGTAAGGAATTTTCAGTCATGTAATTACAGATGGAAATCCAGGTTCATATCTTTAAGAAAAAATCTCCTAAAGACTAGCCAATATTATCATTCTTGCACGGCTGAAGAAATATGTCAAATGCCACAATCAAATATTCTTCCCGATTTACTCCATTTCAGATGTCCAAATATACTAAAAAGATGGTCTGCAATTTAGCTTGCTCTATCCTAGAAAACCTGGATGAATTGAAGTATTTTACTGACTCCATATTGGCAAATAGATAATCACTCTAAAGATTTCAAAGGAAAAACCAGAGGATCTATTTCAATTTCCTTACTGCAGGGCCTGGAGGTCCTGGAGGTCCAACGCTGTCCTGTGTACATGTGCAAGAATTTGGAAAAGCAGGGCATTTTCCCTCATCTCTCTGAAATTTTGAAAAGAATATTTACCTTTAAATTTAGAGGAAAAAAATGACTTCCCATCCCCACCCCCACTTACATGCACAAGGAAGTCTGTTTCCCAACTTAAAGAAATAATTTTAATTATCATTATGAATAGTCTTATGTTGAAACTTGCTGTGCTCCTTTATGTCTTTATTTTATGCATTACGTTAGGAAACCTCACTGACAAAGAAATGTTTACAAGACCACTGAGATCTCTGGTAATTTAATCCAATTTCCTCTAATCCAGTGTTAGAGACTTGTTGTGTACCTCAAATATCAATTCCCATCTGGAAAAAAATCCAAAATTCTTTCCTCTTTCTCCATTATCCACATTGTTTTGTCCTTCACTTCATTCAGGTCTCTGCTTAAATCTCCCCTTATCACTGAGGGCTGCTACTACCTACCATCACTGTCTGTCCCTTTGCCCTGATTTGTTATGCATCCTAGGACTTTCACTCAATAATATAGTATATATGTCCTTATTAATTCTTTCTCTCCCAGTGCCTTTCACTGGAATACTCACTTTTTACTGGCTTAACACAAGCACACAGATTGGTGCCTAGCGTATAATAGGTGCTCAATAAATATTTGCTGAATAAATAATGCACACTCTTCCTGTGGATGTATGTGGGTCTTTGCTGGCCAAAAGCTTCAAATCCATCACCAACGTTCAACTTTGTAACTATTACCACCTACATAGATACTATTAAAGAAAAGTCATCATCTCAAAAAGAAATAATATGGTTATTTCTACCATCTAAAAAACCTTAGTCATCCAGAAAGGTGCTGGCTTGTTTTGTAAAATGCTGATACTTTACAAGCAATAAGAGGGCTTTACAGTAAGTGGTCTTATCAAACACATTAACTCAGCAGGACTTTTCTCTTAGGGAGAAGTCCCAGAAACAGTCTGTGTATTACCAGCTTGTGAGGGAGGGATCACACAGGCACTGGCTTTTCTGTAGTAGCTGGTGAGCACCCACACATTGCGTGTCTTTTAGCTCCATCCTGAATATACAACTGTGCAGTGCTACTTCCTCTCCCAGGCACAAGGGTTTATTACTGGGGGACTGTTAAAGCCATGGCAGAATTCAATTCTGTTTTACTTACCCTAGAGGGAATATCACAGCATCTGTCTCTACTGGTCCACACTGGACTGCAGACAATGTCAAAACTCTGGATTTGGAACTGCAAACAACCAACAGCAACATCAGCTAAAGATGCATGAAAAACATTTTATATTGGCACTTCCACATTTTAACATTGCCAACTTCTCACACATACTCTCTCAAGGGTGTGAGCCATTGAGAGCAATGTGATCCTTACTTCATGAGGAAAGACCATGAAAACATATGCCTACGAGAAAGAGATAGAAAAGTGAAACATGTATGTGAGATTCCCACTCCTGATTCACTTCTTTGGCCAAAATGCATGTTTGAACATATGTCTACGAGAAAGAGATAGAAAAGTGAAAGGTGTATGTGAGATTCCCACTCTTGATTCACCTCTTTGGCTGAAATGCAATGTTTGAGTGAGTTTTGTTCCACTTGTTTGTTAGGTATTTTCTTTTTTTTTTTCTTTTTTCTTTTTCTTTTTTTTTTTTTTTTTTTTGAGACAGAGTCCCACTCTGTTGCCCAGGTAGGAGTACAGTGGTGGGATCTTGGCTCACTGCAACATCTGCCTCCCAGGTTCAAATGCTTTTCGTGCCTCAGTCTCCCGAGTAGCTGGGATTATAGGCGTGCACCACCATGCCCAGCTAATTTTTTTGTATTTTGTAATAGAGGCGGGGTTTTACCCTGTTGGCCAGGCTGGTCTTGAACTCCTGGACTCAAGTGATCCACCCAAAGTGCTAGGACTACAGGCGTGAGCCATGGTGCCCAGCCTTGTGTTATTTTTTAAGAGAATATTAATTTCTATAATTAAATGAATTTGAAGCCCACACACATTTCAATCAAATTTGTTTTTTGTTTTTGTTTTATTTTGAGATGGAGTCTCACTGTTGCCCAGGCTGGAGTATAGTGGTGTGATCTTGGCTCACTGCAACCTCTGCCTCCTGAGTTCAAGAGATTCTCCTGCCTCAGCCTCCCAATTAGCTGGCATTACAGGCGCCCACTACCACGCCCAGCTAATTTTTGTTTTTTTAGTAGAGACGGGGTCTTACCATGCTGGCCAAGCTGGTCTCAAACTCCTGACCTCAAATGATCCACCCGCCTCGGCCTCCCAAAGTGCTGGGATTACAGGCATGAGCCACCACACTCAGCCTACATCAAGCTTTAAGAGCCCACCCTTATAGAAAAGTAACATTAAAGTAAATTAAAGAAACAAGTCTTCACTTATTCTACAATTGATGCTCTTCTTTTTAGAAATTATTACCAAGTGCTTGACCAATAACTTTTCTGATATCCTCAACTATTTCAAGATAGCATATATTTTATATCTTTCTATAGTTTAAAAATAAACCACTTTTGATAAAAAGTAAAAAGTTGTTTAGACAATGTTATTATTTTAAAAACCTGATGTAATTGTTATACTTAAATATCAGATTCAATATTCAACAGAAGGTTTGGATTTTAATCAAAATTCTATTACATTTGAACTAATTGTTTCTATATTGTGGAATAAAAATTTTCCTTTTGAATCTAGAAGAAAATCCTGTCCATGGAAGAAAGCTAAATTAAATAAATAAAGCCATTTTTAAAATAATAACTATAGAAGCCAAACAGGCTAGCTTTGCTTTTAGGACAATAGGTCTATTGATTGACATTGATTGATTGATTGATTGATTGATTGAGACAGGGTCTCAGTCTGTCACCCAGGCTGGAGTGCAGTGATGCCATCATAGCTCTCTGCAGCTGCAAATTCCTAGGCTCTAGCAGTCTTCCCACCTCAGCCTCCCAAGTTGCTAGGAATACAGGCACATGCCACCACACTCAGCTGATTGGTTTTTTTTTTTCTTTTTTATAGAGACAGGGTCTCACTATGTTGCCTAGGCTAATCTTGAACTCCTGGCCTTAAGTAATTCTCCTTCCTTGGCCTCTGAAAATGCTGGGATTATAGGCATGAGCAATGGTGCCTGGCTTTGATTGACATTTAATATGAATTTAATTAACTTGGTATGATGACAACTTTAGATTTAAATTTTCCCTATTAGATAGCATTGTAAATGGGGTTGGCACGCTCCTGCCTCAAACCTGAGATAGTGAAAGTTGTGAGTAATGGGGTCAGCTGGCTGCCCTACTCCACTGATCCTTTTGATACAGGCAGCCGAATGGCTCCTCTGTGAGCAAATGTGGGCTCTGGTGAAAGTTGCAACTAGTGTCCCCAAATGCTTAATATCCTGATTGTACAAATCTGTATTAACAATTATTGCTGAAGAACAAAATAGGAACTATTTTCTATTTCACTGGGTATGTTGGCAACTCTTTGTGTGGTGTTCTCCAATTTGATCCTGTTTCAAAATGACTACATGGTGTTCCCTGGTGCCTTGACATCTTATTTTGTTTCTAGCAAGTAGTTAAAGCACATTATTATGTTCTGTGGACATATTTTCTCAATGTACTTCTTCCAATGTTTTGATCTGACCAAGAAATTTGACAACTTAAAACTCACTGAGAAAAATAGAATAAAATAAAACTCAAGGAGTTGTTTAGAAAAATGCCATTTCAATCTTAACACAAGGTACCAAGAGAAATAAAAATGTGTTACTCACTGCGGCTGATTTCCTTTCCCCTTTAAGGAGTTTTCCAAGAATTTCATAACCATCAGTTGTTATATTTCCAGCTTCCTTGATGTCTTTTTCTATAATTTCATAGCAGTCAATGTAAATCTTAACACTTTTTGAGGTCACTACAATATGAACCTAAAAAGATAATTTGTTTCCATTATAAAATTTCTACACTAAAAAAATTAGCTGACTCTGCATAGTTTAGATCAGATTTTTTTGAAGTTTTTTAAGCTATTCTCATCCTAAATCAAAAGTCTTACTCTGAAAATCCAAGAGCAGTTGGCAATGTTGATGAAATCATTTGCTAATAATATGAAATTAGACAAGCCACTTAACCTCTGGTCTCAGTTTCCTACAAACACATACACTTGCATAATTTCTTATTTTCCCACTATCTACTCTTACTGAGATGACCAGAGAGGATATAGTAGATGAAATGACTTTGTAAGCTATAAAGAGCTACCCAAGTAGAGGTTAATAAATCATGTATATACTATTATATTCACTACAAAGAAATTTCAGATGTCTTCCACTAATTTTACTAAATTCAACTTTCAGTTTGTTGTTCCCCAATCTCAGGCAGAAATAATCTGCATACCATATAGATACCTCATACAGTAAAGAACTAGCACATGTCTTCTATAGGGATTCAACTCTGGAAATCGATAGAATTCAGGATTCAATTTTCTTTTAAGGAAAGAAGTTTATATTGATTTATTTTTCGTTTGCTACTGAAGACACACAGAATGTTAACAACTCTATTAGTATAGATAATTAATAAAATGTTTGTATTTCAACAATGTAAAGAATGGTCCTGGGTAATCCTTGTCTTTATAGTTATGCTCAGAGTTTCTACTTATCACAGCACAAATACTCAAGTAAGCCCTTGATGATGACTTTGAAAAGTTTGGCAGCAAATTAAAAGGAACAGAAATTCCCTTAAATGCTCTCAGTCAGTAAGCATAAGAATAATTTCTAAAGTATTTTTAAACTAAATATTTTTCCCACATGGAATCACCGCCAAACCATAAGTTTACTGCATCTGTGATAAATATAAATTCCATATTTCTTTTATATAAAAGTAATACATAACTTACCAAAAATAAAGTTTAAATGCCCCCAGGACAATCAACTAATACTGAACTCAAGAAGAACACCATGCTAGGATATTTTTTATCTAATAAGAACCAAAACTTTTTGGCTCATATATGAACAACCACAGATGCAAACATTGACAAGGCATGTGAAAAACCACAGTATCCAGAAAAATTATTTCAAAATTTTTAATTTGTGACAAAATTATTCCAGGAACACTTGTCATTGAATGCTAACCATAGAGAAACACATTCTAAAAGCACATTTTGCTATAAGGTATTCAGTGTGTTTTACTGCAGTTTAAACAAATGCATAGTTACATTTCAGATTGGGCCCTTCATCTGTAGATCATTGTGCCAAGTGTGTAGAGTAACCAATCTATTTCCTAAATGATGTGTTGTTGGTCCCAGACCAGTAGAAAAAAATAGGGACCCTCTTGTCACTCATCTCCCTTCCCAGACTCTGCCATTCTAGTTCTCTTTCTTATTATAAATGTCTCACATGAATCCATGTCATCTTTCAACAATAGAAGGGAGACACAAAAAAAGCTTTTCAAGAGAATCCCCAGGAATGGATAACTGTCTGTCATTCCTTAATTAAACTATTTTAGTTAATCCCTCTCCCCAAAGTTCCCTCTCCCTGTCACTAATTTCCTGCTCTTGAAATATTGCTCATTCTCATCCCAAGTTTGAAAAACTTCAATTCAGGAATTAGACGGAAAGTGAAGAAAGAGTGCTTGAATCCTTGGCTCAGTAAAAAAATGTGAACAGCTGAGAGTGATTGAAGGTGGTACTTGAATTGATGAGATGAGAGTGGGTCAATGGGATGGGGGTATTTTATACTTGCAATTTGCAAGATGCTAGATCTTAGATTAAACTGATTCAACACATACACATACACACAATGGTAACTGTAGAGGTAATAGATATGTTAATTAGCTTGATTGTGGAGATCATTTCACAATGTATGTGTATATCGGAACATCTCATTATACAGCTGAAGTATATACAATTTTTCTATATGACATCTCAATAAAGCTGTTTAAAAAGAAAGAACGGGTTTAAGGAATGGAGGAGAAAAAAGAGCACAGTGGGAAAAAAGGAGAAACTAAAAGAAAGATTATTAAAATAAAAAACAAAGAAGAAGGTAGAGAATTTGGAAAGAAAAGACAGAGCTTGTGAGGAGAAAAAATAGGCATTATATAAAACCCAAGAATGCAAATGCCTTTCTGGGGAGGCAAATGGTATAAAGAAGAGAATGTCAAAAAAAATTGTCTGATTTGCAATCATTAATATCACTACAGACCTCTAAAAAATACTGCCTTTTAAAATTTTTAGATAAAATGAAGCATTCCATGACAGTTGGAAATTTTAAAATAACAGTTACCAAATGGTTATCAGTGGTTTAGTGGATGATCAGATTCTCAATATCTTCAGTGGTTATGAAAGGAAAAATAAAAATAGTCCTTTTTAGCAAGTTACTCAAATGTAAGTTTCACTGAGCCACAAAAGTTCATCAGACCTTTGCCAGATTCAACATCTAAGAACAGATAAAGATCAGTTGAAGCCAATAACACTTGCTAAAGTAGAACTTGCTTTTCTGATGAGGCATTTATTTTACTGCACTTCACTATGGAGGTCTGTAAACCTTTAAGTAGATATACGATTGTACTCAGGGATTTTTGTTTTTCCTTTTTTTTTTGTTATCACTAATATGTACATTGAAGCTTCCTTAAGCTTGATGAGGAGAGTCCTTTACCATCCTTATCAAAAATCTGATTAATGAATAAGAACAACACTCTGGAAAGAAAGCAAGATTCCTCAGGAGTAGAAACAGTAAGAAATACTGCTAAATCTACTCAGGTAGAAGAAATTTCTTCAATTTTCACTTGAGAATCAGCTTGAACTGGAAACATCTGTCTTTTATGTATAAGGGCTAATCTTTCTACATGCCACACTGGAGAAATTTTAAAGCATCTGTGCAACAACTGGTATTCCTGTTAACATAATCCAATGGATGAAGAAATACTATTAAAAAGTCAATTCCTACACATAAAGGGGAACAACACACACTGCGGCCTATCAGAGGGTGTCAGGTGAAAGGAAGGAGAGGATCAGAAAAAATAACTAATGGATACTAGGCTTAATACCTGGGTGACAAAATAATCTGTATGATAAACCCCCATTACACGTTTACCCATGTAACAAACCTGCACATCTTGCACACATACCCCTGAACTTAAAATAGAAGTTTTTTTAAAAAGTCTATTCCTAACTTCCATTCCTAACCTAGATCGTTCTTTTTATTTCTAATGCTTCTAACTTCAGTATTTTCTAAGTAAGAAGTGCTTCTTATTTGTCAACGAATTGTCCTTTAGAAACCTGAAAAAAAAAGTTTCTACTATCTGCTGGATGTTGACATACAGAAAATTGATTAAGATGATCAAGAATAGACAATCCCTAGAATGCATCTTAGAACTTTTAATAAGATTTTCTAGAGAATTGTGTTTTTAAAGAATAAGTGTGTTCACATAAAAATTAATCTCATAAACATTTATCTTAATTATTTTGGTAGATATTGATAACTTTTGGATTGATAAAAATAATTATTCTGCATTTCACTGGCATGTTTGTACTTTTCAATAAAATACAAGCAGAAGAAATATCAATTTCTGCATTTCACTGGCATGTTTGTACTTTTCAATAAAAAGCAAGCAGAAGAAATATTATCAATTAAAACATAATCCACTAAAATTAAGCTTTTCAAACTAAATAACATAAAGATTCATAACCAAATGGTAAGCAGAAAAGTAGGTGGATAATGTTATATATAGTATGATTCAAATTTTAAAAAGAAATAAGCATTAAAAATAAATCAAAATATTACTCGTTATCTCTTGATTAGTATATTGTTTTATTTTAAATATTATTTGAATTAACCAAATTCTCTAAAACAAGATTTTATTTTTAAAAGACATAGTTATAATTCTGCCAATTTAACATGACATTTTAATAAATAATAAATTTGTTTTATATTTTTTTCTAGAAATAAGACTCAAATAATCTTATGTTTTTACCTTGTGAAAACTTCCATAAAATAATGTCTTTACTTCTTCTGTGTCAAATGTAACAGTTTGCACCTCGCCTCTTGTATCCTTGTTAAAGAATGATAACGTCTTGCTAGAAGCTGTAATCAACATAAAAGTGTTATTAAATCATATGCATTGTATAATTTTTATTTAAAGTATTAGCAAATAATTCTTGTTGGAGAGATTTCTTTAAAAATATAATAATTTCAGTTATGATAAAATGCAATTAGGATATTTACTGATGTGTTATACTTGGAAAAGTTCAAACATAAAAGTATATATCAAATAAATATATATATAGTCTATATTCAGAAAGTTTTTTAAAAGAGAAAAGAAAAACATAATCAAAACTAAGTATGCATGTGCCTTAAGATAAAAATTCTTACGATCTGCAATCACTCCAACTTGTGGTTTGTAGTCTCTGTCTGTGATTTGCCAAATTGCAAAAGGGTCACTGGGAGTTTCTGGGAGAAGTCTGAATAATAATATAATCGTGTATGAAGGAGGGAGTCCATTTGGGTGTAGGTCTCTGTTGGATAAAACAAAAGAAAGAAAAAGGAGAGGAAAGAAAAAAAGAAAGGAAGAAAGAAAGATTGATTGCTTTAACATCAAGAACAGATACTCTTTTAAATCTTTGCACCAGAATCTCATATGGGTAGTATTAGAGGCTATTTATACTAATCTGGCTCCTTCTGACTTCTCCTTAGAAGGAGAAAAATTTAGGAAGCACATCAAAAGAACAAGCACTAAAGACCAGTTATGTAAATTATAATCGATTACTTCTAATTTGATAAAGTCACAAAAGTCTGGGAAATTACAAAATAGTCTTTTATCCTACTATTAATAACTAATTTTTCTAGACACAGAGTATTATAAAATTATATGATAATTTTAGAATGATAAACATTATGACTATGGGTATCATTTAAAGAGAATGAATCTTACTAAATATACTTAATTTCCAATGTCAGCTGTATGAGATCATAAAATGGCTTAAGGTTTTAATTTCTCTCTCCCTCCCTATCAGTAATACTTTTTACACTTCCAAATTTCTCCCCTGAAATCAAATAAATCACCCCCAGAGCTCATATATTCCCAAAAACAAAATCCATTTTAAATATGAAGGCCATATACATGTGCAAACATTTAGTGATGATAAAAGGATGGGAATTGATTGAAAGGAAATGTTTATTGGCCCTCAGCTGTAAGACAGAACAAAAAACAAAAAATTGGTCCCATGTGTCCCTCCAGAGTTTAGTCAATCATTGTTCTGGGGGAATCTTTGAAGTGGAATTGATGGTTTTCTATCTGAGAACATTTAATAACACTTTCTCCCTGAAGGTAAGAAAAAGAACCAGATAATAAGCTCATAGAAAAGAAGCTATTCCTCCATGAATTTTGATAGAGGACACAAAGCTTTCATGTCCTAATACCACACCACTAATGCCATCTTGCTTTTAAAACATATGCTCTGGGTAAGCTGACATGATGTCTTTTATACGTTCAAGAACTATCTTTATAATATTCTATGTTAAAAATATTTTCTTCACATCAACTCATCTCTCACCTAGCCCATTTTTCTCCTTCCTTAATTAGTGCTTGTGAAAAAATTATGTAATTGTATTTATGTTTCTTTCCTTTCAGCCAAAAGTTCTGATGCTTGAGAAAACAATAGGCTGTCATAAGTTAAAATGTAGAAATCATACGCTGAGCTGACTGGAAGAGTTAAACACTGGGTATTACAGTTCACTGAAAAACCTAGAACTCCGAGCCAACATGGTTAACCATTAAAGGAGTTAGAGACTTACAATGTGGTCAAACTACAACAATACAATCTCTGCCTCTTAAAATAAATTAGCTTTGGTTTTAGTCTGAATTTTCCATCAGCTTTCTCAGAGCATTTCATATTTCAGACATCATTCCTGACCCTGTCCTGAGCTTACAATACCTTAATTTCTCATTGTTCTTTTCTTTCCATAAATTGGCAAACATATTTTTCAGCATAAAAAGTTTTCATTTTAATGAATAAGAAATACAGAGTTCAGTTATCATACTCAGGTGCAAACATTCATGAAGTAAAATAACATCTACAGCTACACAACAGATTGCTAGAGCATCAGCCAATAAAAACTACATGCCAACTGTCTGATCATGGACAAGAAACACTACCTTTCATTTTCTAGAGGTCGGAAACACTAAAAAGAATGCTCTCGGTCTGCACTTATTCCATCCAGTATTCTGCACCACAGAGAGAGATGTTCAAAATATTAAGTTGCCTTCCTGTTTTAACAGCTTTTCTAGCCTTAAATTCAAAAGGGTCAGTAATCTGTTACCAGCATGAGCTTCTTGGATCTGGCAATAACGAGGCCTGAGTCTTAGTCTCCTGTGTGCAAACAACTATGTAACCTGGAAACAATTAGCCTAACTGTATTTAAGAAAACCAATCAGGGTCATCCATAAGCAGTCTTCTGACAATTCTAAAGTCCCAGGATTCTGGGAAGTCAGCAAATATTCCAAGAACTTTTTGCAGGTCTTAAGAAAAGGAAAACCTCCTGTTGTCACACTTACGCTGTAGGCTGATTCACAAACGCATTCTTCTGAATCCTGTATGCTGAGTAGCTGGGGAAAGACCCTGACTCCAAAGATACTCCTTGTACAGAAGCAAAATTCTTTTCTGTCAGGTTGTATGCTTCAAGCATTTTAAAACCTTTACATCAGAAAAGAAAATATTAAACGGAGTACATTTTAATTATTTTATTGCTTAAATCTGGAAATTAATTTGCCCCAAAGTATAAATGCTTACCTGGTGAGGTGTAGCCATCCAAATAAATGAGAGGACAACCTGCAATGTACAGTGTTCTTTAAGTATGATTCACCAACACGATGTACAAATTATATATGCACAGAAAGTAGCAATGAACGTATTTCAAGTAATAAATGACATTGTTCATTTATTAAAATAACTTCTCAATTTAATATTTTATACATTATTTCTTGTACATTTCCTACGTGTAGGAGAAATACTATTAACCAGTGTAACAAATATTTCCCTAACATTCTCTAATCCAATTGGACTTTTACAGTACTCTTAAAAATAATAAAAAAGAATTACAGGAGGAATTTTTCACATTTTTCAATAGATTTAAAGAACTTCCCTCCCAGGGAATTTTAGATTTCTGCAAAGGTAGGAGGAGCTTGTCCATCCCCAACCCTCTTCTCTGCCAAGTCTCCAAGCCTCACACTGGCTACCAAACACCATGTAACAGTAACAAGTGTGCAGTAGTTTTTGCTCTGGACCCCTCAGAGCTGAGGGTACCAGATGGCTGCATCCAGGACTACTTGGGACAGAAGAGAAACCACTCCAGCCCCCTACTCACTTTCATCAGTGCAGCTCCACTCCGAACTTCAGCATAAATTTTCATAGTAAACCAACAAAGTCTGTTTACTCTAACCAGAGTTCTTGTTTTTAAAATAATGTTTAATGGAGGGGAATATTATATTTGTAAAGCATAGCCCTGTCTAGGATCAGGGGTCTGGACTAGCCACAGACCCCTGATCAATTATGTAGGATAAATTGCCTCCTGGTAATTATGGAGGATTAATTGCCTCCATAACCTATACCCCAAGAATTGGTGTTAATGGATGGTGATAAGAATAAATCGACTTAAATAATCAATTTTTGGTTCTTCACTGTAGTTAAAAAGCTGAACTTGAAAATCTAAACCCAAACAAACAAATGGGAACCAAATGAATTTCTGAGGAACCATTTTTCTTCATTGCTCTCTTGAAGCACGGATGTTGACAGAACAAATACCAATTGATTACTAATGGGGAAAACCTTCATCTCACAGAAACGCCTTCTATATGCAATTTGAGGCTGAGATTAATTTAACCAAATGTCATAGGCATTGGGGTGGTGGGAAAAGGATATATTGAAACACTTTATTTCCACACAAGGAAATTACATATTCAAGGCTAAAAATGGATTTCTGACAAGCACACATTTAGCATGATCGCAATAGGAACAGTGATTCATCAGGTTCTCAAGTGATTTCCCAGGATCTATTTATGCACAGACTTGATCCCACAAAGGATATAGAATTGTCTACTAAGTAATTGTTTTTCAGAATAAGTGAGGTTATAGATCCATGTTGACTGTGACTTACTTGAAGTGGCAGTTTCACAAACAAATGTAATAAGATTGTCTTCGATCTTCTCAAAAGATTCAAAGTCGTCCACAATGAACACGTGCCGTTCACTTGGTTTGCTGGCAATGTTGGCAAGCTCATTGTAGTCGACATCAGCCACACCAACTACAAAGACACTGAACCCTGCAAAGTAGCATTTATAGAATGAATCACGTATCTCTTTTTCTGTCCTTGTTGTTAGAACAATGCAAAAAAATTCTTATCAGAAATGATGCTGTATTTTCTTAATGTATGCAGCAAGTCCTTTTACTTGACGTGAACTCTCTTTAATAAATACATACTTTTTCCAGGTCTTTCTATTTTCTGGTCTAAAGAATTCATTTAATTTGATTTCCTAAGATAAAATCCCAACAATTCAAATAGGAAGATTTTAATAGCAGAAAGACTTCATGTGGTGCACACTGCCTTCCACAGATCCACAGTCCTGATACACACATGAGTTCTGCAGCCATTAATATTTTAAGCTTATGTGACTCAGAAGTCAAGAATGGGCTTATTTTAAAATCTGGGTTCTTGAAACTGATTTTCTCAGGAAACTCAGGCTCAAAGGCAGAACTCTGGCCATCTTGAAAATGGAATCTACAACTCTCACTGGCAACAGACGGGCTATGACAAATAAGCAAATTTAGGCTATGACAAATAAGCACATTTTTCACTCCGAAAGCTAAATTTGACATCAGGGGAAAAAAAGCTATATAAGGAATTAGAAATATATTTAGATATAAATAAGGTAACGTGAGAAGCAAATATTTATAAGCCCAAACTTAAATCTACCAGGAGTCACAAACATGCAGAAATCTGTGTAAGGTGTATAACATAATGGCAATACATTTTATAAAAGATCAGCAAGAACAACCTCTATTGAAAAAAAGACAGTATGACTTAGCACTAATCATAACTCATAAATTTAGCCAAAGAATCATGCATGTACAGATGACAAGTTCCATGTAATTACTTTATAATTTACTACAACAAATTATGCATAAGATTCTCTCTAAAAATATATCCACCTTAGACCTTGCTTGGGACAGCAGGGGGTAGGGGGGCTGTTAATGCAAGTACTGGAAAGATCTACTTTCACCTCTAATGATCTTAAATAACTAATCCAAAGAACAGTGTTACCAGGAGGCTCTCAGTATATTTGATTGGCAAGATCTATCCCACAGATGACTCCCTAAGACCTCAATACTCCTTATTTGCAACATATCTTTTAGCACTCATTAAGTCTGCATCTGCAAAGATGTGCTAAAGCTAAAGGCTTCCTTTTTTCTCTCCTTGCACAGGAAGCAGTATCAAGATTCATTTCTGCTATGGCAGGAAGCCTGCTCTAGCATCATCTCATTATCATTGCTTTCTGTAGCCTTCCAGCCAGTATGGGAAAATGTGGTTTGCCCCTTGTCAATCCTGAACCACATCTTATACAAAGAATACCCCATGTCATTTTTGAGCAGTTGCAAACCATTCCATAATTAAATATAAACTAGCATTACGAAGGTATACCGTGCAGAGTGAAACAGAAACAATAAAGTAACATCAGCAAATTTAGTCTTTTGCAATCATTTGTGAACATTTAAAAATGTTAAAATTTCAAGTGCAATCAAATTCATGTATGTGCTTGCCTGACTGCTGGATGACCAAAGCCGCCTTCTTGACCTCATCCTGGGACCGACCGTCCGTGACCACAACCAACACCTTAGGGACATTCTTCCTCATGCCGCTCTCCCAAGTCAAGACTTTCTCCTTGATAAACGTGAGGGCCTTGCCTACAGAATGTGGCATGGAAAATTTTAGTGTCACTTCAGTGAAAACTACCCAAATGCCATTAGTCACACCCAACTGATAAGAATCTGGATATCAGCATGAGATAATACACTCAGTTCTGCCACTACAAATGCTTGAAGAGTAAAGGTCTACATATACACATACCTGTTCTTGTGTTTCCTCCTCTGTACCTAATATTCTGGAGGGCCCCAAGGGCTAGGGCCTTGTCATTGTACGTGTTCAGCTTGAACTCAGACTTGACCTCATCGCTGTATTGCACAAATGAAACCTGAAGGAAAATGTGATTTGGCAGTGAGCATAAGTCATCTCATTTTATGTTTCAATCTTCAAATGATTCTCTAGCTGCGGAATAAAGCGGTGGGGGTGTAAAAAGTATCTCAGACCTGATAGAATATTGTAAGCTCTTTATAGCTAATATTACAACATCTACTGCACTTGTCTCATTAAATTCGTTAATTTTCAATCTTCAATGAAATTGTCATAATTGGCATTAATAATGAAAATATACTATATTCACGTTGTGCCTTTCTCTAGGACATAGAAAGGGATGAATAAAGGTGGGGAGTGGTGAGATCCCAGGATTAGACATGAGAACATACCATCTCGAATCCAAATGTTGGTTAAACAGTTGACTCAGCCAACTGCTACTTCCCACTGACTATATCCGTTCTTTATGGCAATACAGAAATGTCACATGTGTGATTATAATCATCCCTCATCACAACCTCATTGAAAATGGGATTTAGTGGAAAAAGTACAGACTTTGTACTCAGGAATCGCTGGGTTCAAATCCTAGCTCTGGCATTTAATAGCTATGTGACAATGGATTTTTTTTATCAGTAAAATGAGGATAACTATACTTACCTTCTAGGATTGTTTTAAAGACTAATAATCCTGTATACAAAGTAACTGGTACATAGATGTTAATAAAATATGATCAGTATTTTTTTTAGAAATACAAATTCCTAAAAGGATGAAAAAAGCTTGCTAGTTGAATTAATGTGGTTAAATTAAGAATATAACCACATTAAATTAAGAATATAACTAGGGTGAATTTTTACTCTTCTTGGGTTGGATCAATGTCCAGAGGATTATTTGAGGATTTGAAATTTAGTATACTACTATTCCATAAAAGAGGACAAGTTTTGTTGATGAAATTGTTTGTGGTTTATTTCAAAATAGCTTATTTTCATAATGCCACAATGATGATCAAACTGCCAAAATAAAGAAGAAAATTCACCAAAGAAATGGGAAAGAAAAGGAGAGAATTGTTTTTTAAAAAGATAGTCTTCTGCTTTAAGGAGTCAATGATTTAGATAGAAGATTAGACAGAACAGAGTCACACAATTAATGACAATATGAAGTGATATTTGTTGTAATGCAGCAATATAGACAAAATAATTCAAAAGCATGGAATGGGTAAAGCCATCATGGAACCTCACCAGAGGGGGTGAAATTTTAATTGGGTCTTTTAACTGTGTTAGGGTTACATGATGATTTATTCTTTGAGGCCCCTCCCTCATGGAAATATAAACTTCTCTAAGTACTTCAGTATAACAAATATATTTGGAGTGATTTCAGAGCAAGATAATTGGTAGTTATCCTTTTAAAAAAACAAATGAAATACGCTTTAGCTCAACAATGGACCTTCTTCTGGTCAAGGTAATTATCTGCAAAGTAATGATAGAGGCAGCAAGTTCCACACACCCACTCCAGTCACTGTTTATCACTGATTCTTCTAACTTCACAGGGGATGACAATCACAAAGAATTTAATATCCAGAACTTTGGATGAACTTCTATAGAAATGTGTCATGATTGGAAGTTTTAAGCAGGAAGTTAGAGTCCCTTAGAATCCCCTAAGTTCTCCAACAGGAATATTATCTAGCCAAAGATAAAAACTAAGGGAACATTTATTTTTCTATTGATTTATCATTTATACCCAATTCCCTCCCAAAAATACATGAATAAAAGAAATAGCAAATAGGAGAAGGTCAAAACAGAGTTTATATTGAAAAGACTTTTTACTTAAAAAGAGAAGTTCAAAGGAAAGGCAAGACATCACAAATGAGTAGCCACTGGCGGAATGACACTAACCTGAATCCCAGCAGGACTGATTTCATCAAAGCCTCCCACAGTATTGAAGATGAATTTTACAACTTTGTTAAAATTATCGTCCCCAATGCTCCAGGAGGCATCAGTCAAGAACACAATATCTGCCTTGGCCCCTTTGCATACTGCAAAAAAAGAAAGCAGAGGAAGCCCCAAATCTCATGAATTCTTTCATTTAAATGAAATCACATAATTGAAAATGCAATATAACACCTTGCTACGCAAAGTGTGGTTCTGCAGCAACAGCACTGCCTGGGAGCTTGTTAGAAATGCAGAATCTTGGGTCCTACCCCAGACTTCCTGAATCAGTACCAGCAGTAATAAGATGACTCACATGCACAATAAATTTAAGAAGCATTGCGGGGACCCTCAATACCTGCTCTGGAATTACTCCATTTGTTTAGATCCATTATGCAAAGATACAATCTTACTTAATGGAACTCTTCAAGTAGTTTTGAACAATAAATGAGAGGAGAAATCAAATAAAAAGTTTGGAGATTTGAAATGTAATTATTAAAGATTGACTTTATGCAAATAAGTCCTTTTTTTTTTTTTTTTTTAGACAGGGTCTTGCTCTGTCTTCAGGCTGGAGTGCAGTGGTGTGATGATCTTGGCTCACTGCAAACTCCACCTCCCAGGTTCAAGTGATTCTCCTGCCTCAGCCTCCTGAGTAGCTGGGACTACAGGCATGTGCCACCACGCCCAGCTAATTTCTCTATTTTTAGCAGAGACGGGTTTAACCATGTTGGCCATGATGGTCTCGATCCACCTGTCCCGGCCTCCCAAAGTGCTGGGATTACAGGCGTGAGCCACCGCACCTGGCCAAGTCCTTTGTAAAATTTAAATTAAGCCACTAGAATCATATGCAGGAAAGGAGAAGATTTTTATTGGAATATCTAGACTTAGAGGCTAAGAAAAAATTCCAAAAACAATTAACAAAATTTTAGTTTATAAAAACTTAGCATATAGAAGTATAACACCAAGAGTGAACCCTAACGCAAACTGTGGACTTTGGGTGGTGATGATGTGTCAATGTAGGTTCATCGGTTGTAACAAACGTACCACTCAGATGTGGGATGTTAATAGTGGAGGAGGCTGGGCATGTGTGGGGAAGGGCAGTCTGTCTGGGAGATGAAAAATCTCTGCATCATCCCTGCAATGTTGCTATGAACCTAAAACTACTCTAGAAAATAAAGCCTATTTAAAAAGAAAAAACTTGTTTTTAAACCAAGATTATTTACTGAATTTCTTTCTGTATCTAATTTAAAGGAATCCATTATTATTTTACCCCACAATAATACACTTTTAATTTTTAATTTTACTTATATAATAGGTTTAACGAAGTTGTAACGTTCGACATCCTTCTAAGATAAAATAAAAATATCTGAAATGCTTTCTATTAAATGCTGGAAACAGCATATGAGAAAAGAATAATACAGTAGTTATTTAACTAAATTTAATTTGACAAAGTGCTAGAGAATTGCCCTCAAATGCTGAGAGATCAACCTTAATAAATCAGTATGTCGTTTCACCAGTTCACTGCAAGTTACAATTATCTTTCAAATTTTGGTGAATGGAAAATTTTTTAGCATTGTATAATCCAGGGAACTTCTCAGGTTGGACACCAGGAATTTTAAAGCCAACAGCCTCAGGGCTTCGGTCGCAAATATAGCCAAAAGGGTTCACAGCGCTTACTGATGCCAGCAGCTAGCAGAAAGAAATGTCCACCATGTAACTATGGACCATGGAAGACCTAAATCTGTAAAACTGAGGAAACAGACTTCCAGCTGAAGATCTGGAATAATTTATGACTGATTTTATTCACACCAAAATGTGCCCAGAGATGGAGAGAAACAAATTACTGGTTATCTTTTCTTTCAATCTAAAAACTCTTCAGCAGCAATAATAGATCAGAAATGTTCTATATTAATTGTAAATGATGCACATGCAGCGTAAATAAGAAGTCTGT
This sequence comes from Homo sapiens, assembly GCF_000001405.40. Taxonomy (NCBI): domain Eukaryota; kingdom Metazoa; phylum Chordata; class Mammalia; order Primates; family Hominidae; genus Homo; species Homo sapiens. The sequence continues at coordinate 75,123,286 of NC_000006.12, forward strand.
AACTCCCTATCAGCTGAACGTATTGCCTATTTAGCTGTACTTACCATCCCGGGCTGGTGGAATGGTGGGAGGGGGAGGAGGTGTGGGTGGCTCTGTAGGGGCTTCTGTTGGTTTCACAGCTAAAATTTAAAAATAATAATTATAAAAACACACCATGTGCACATTTGATATCCCAGAAAGTAAATTTTAAGAGCAATTTAAATCCTGGATACCAAATCAAGTCGTACAAAATGAGACACCATTGTCATCGGTACTGACATGCTGGGGATTTTATTCCATCCAAATTGATGTCACTGGTAGTCATTCAACATCCACTACAGCTACAGAAAATAAAGATCTAAAGGGAAAATGTAAGGCCTTCAGATAGGGTCAAATGAGTAAAAGTCACTAATATGAATTCACCTTCTCAGCGAGAGCCATCTCTCCCTCCTTTAGCCCTTCCTCAAAGTAGCACCAACTCAATAACAGGGACAACTTGCAAATTGCTACAGAAAAAGGTCCTGAACCAGCTTTAGACTCCACATTCAGGAATCTGCCATCATCCCATCATTATTGCTACCCCTACGGAGAGGTACCTGCACAGGATTCACTTAAGTCTTCCTTACCTAGAGCATTCTATTCTAAAGCCTTATGAAAGCTTTCCAGATTCCTCAAAAACTTACTGGTATGTTCTTTAACAGAGACTCCTGGTCCCTCGAGATTTGGTGTCTGCACAAAAACAGTGACACCATAATCAGTGTCTGGTGAAAGGCCAGTGAAGCAGTGACTGGTTTCTGATCCACGCACTGTAATTTCTTGTCCCCTTGTTCCTGATTATGACAACAAAGGAAAATGCCAGTGTCATCACCAATTATATTTCAAGAAAATTTTATATCGCATTGTTATAAACAAAATGGCATCTTCTTTACTGAAATTTAAAATGTTTCCACTACATGCTCCAGATCATTTTTTTCTTTTTTACACACATACCATCTGCAGGGCTTAGTTTTAGCCTGTAGGAGGTGGCTGCCCGGTGAGGTGACCATTTGACACAGAATGTATCCCACCCAATCTGGTAAGTTTTCAGATCTGTTACATTTAAATATACTACAAAATAAAGAAAGAAAGAGATTTACTTTGTAAATTGAGGCAAAAAGTGTACTTTTAATCATAACACAATTTTCAAACTTTCACTGTGGCTAAAAAAAAGTTCAAAATTGTATTATGTTTCCTTATAAGAAACATACATGAATCATATTTAAAAATGTGGTACTGCCAAAATAGACCCCCCTTTCTTTCGCTGATTTTCAAGGAAAGGAAATTCCATATAGTCCCTCTCAAAACTAAGAATTTCAAAAACATCTCATGGAAAATAATGAAAACAATTTCTAAAAGGCTATCTGCTAAGTCGTTAAATAGTTATCAAAGCAATGGTGACCTTAAAATATATCTGTGGACTGAATCACACTAATCATGATTCAATAATTAAGTCAAATTAAATCAATGAATTTAGGTAATATATATCTTGGTATCAAATGTCAAGAAGAACTAAGTAGCATCACAGATCTAATTTTACAGGTCATTCATGGATAAAATGACAATTTCTATAATTTTTATCTTTTAAAATTCAAAGTATAATATTTTATGTGAAATACACAAATTTCTCACCATATATATTTTTATATACTCAATTATAATATTTATGTATTTGAATAGGTATTTTGTCTAACCAGACACAAAATAGCCTGCCTACATAATGCTGAGGAAACATGTATATGTTCAGAAACAGGAAATTAAAACAGGCTGACCTGGTAATTTCTACTACAGTTTTTCTCACAACCATGAAAATATCCATGACTCACATGTAGTGCCTTGATCTGTCAAGGGGACACTGAGTCCAGAATCATATTGAGCATAAACATTCACATCGTAGGTGGTGCTGGGATTGAGATTGTGTAAGGTATATGATGTCATTTCTCCAACAAAGGCTTCCATGGGCTCATTGGAACCTTTATTAACAACCACAAAAATACACAGAAACATGCCATCAATAGCATGAAATTTTGCTTAAAATTAAAGATCTTATAGTCAAAGGGTATTATGAACACGATTAATTCCATAGTCCTCATACACTTACTCACTGGGGCACATGCTATGTTATATGACAAATATGAAACTGTAAGCAGACACTGAATCCTTCACCCTCCTATTCTCAAAGCATAGCACAGTATTTGGAATATAGTAGGTATATAATCAATGTTTCTTTAGTGAATGAATTCTCAAGCTTCTTTCTCAAGCCCTATTTTGCCAACATAGTGTTTTGCATATAGTAGGTGTCCAACTGACACTTTTTCATTTATTGTAGAGATAATTTAAGAATTTCTATCTTGGACCTCATTCCACATACTTTGGCTGCTAAACTCCTTAGTTACCAACCCCACTTTCTTTTTTAAGTTCTCTTTCTATTTCTTACATAGGTTCAAATTTTACTTCCTTTATCTTGCCATCTCTCTTTCATGTTTTTTCTAGTTCATACTCTTACTGGATATATGGAAGATGCCCTAAGAAATCTGCATTTTTCTTCCAGTTTCTCTAAGAATACAGACAAAATATTAAAACAAAAATAACAAATAATTTAATCAAGGTGATACTAATTTAGGTGAAATTTTCAGAGGGGATTTGAAAGCAAGGCTGTCATGAATAAGCTGCATGGAATCTATGCCCAAAATAAAATAATACCTGGGCATAGTGGGAAAAATACATAGGTATATTGATGTAATATGCATTATTTCATGATCATATAGGATGTCTGAAGACAGGCATCTTTGATTTGTGCAACTTTATGAACCAAGTCAAACTTTTTAATCATGACATTTAATAAGAATCTCATCTACACCTATAATAACAATGGTACTTTAGATGACTGGCTTAAAATGTTATTGCCAAAAACATTGCCTTTGGTTACAGGAAACTTGGTGTGATCTGAACTCTCAGGAGAACCCAACAGTGGGGGATGAAAGAGAAAATACCCTCATATGCAAATAACCCTCCAAAGCATTTCTATGATGACAAAGGCACTTCCTTACCCACTGGCTTATATACTATTTTATATCCAAGAACTGGAGAAGGTGAAGGATCCCAGGACACCCTGAATCTTGTATACCATTCGTCAGAGATGTGTATGTTCTGAGGAGGAAGGAGTCCCACTGAAAACAAACATTGACACACATTACTGACCTTTTATTGGCACACAGGGAGAGCACAAAACTTTAAAAGTATCGGTAGGAAAGCCCAATGGGAGCAATTTCATAATATCCCATAATGTCTTTATCCAGAAAACAATTAAAAGGCATTGAAGTATTCAAAAAATGCTTAATAGTTTTCCAAATTTAAACAGCAACTCAAATAGACTCAAGAACTAGTGATTTCCAGAGCAGCCTTCTCAGCAGGAAGCAGTATCCAGAGCGGAAGTGTTCTATGACTCAGGATTATAGAAAATAAAAGAGATCTCAAATCATTTTTAGAATGTCATACATTACAGATTGTTGGAAACAGAAAGCAATTTAGAAACTATCTAGTCCAACCACTTCATCAAATACATAAGATATTATTTGCCCAAAACCACCCCAGCTACCTAATAATGTTTTTTCCCTGTACCTCTCTATCCTCCACCACCATTACCTAGAATAAATCCTTAAGCTTCCAGAGATACTGCCCCCAAGCCCACAACTTATAAAATCAATGCTGTTCAGGTAGTATGTTAAGTAGTTGCTGAGTTTACTATTCACAGCATTGCGCAAATAACGAATCCAACTTGAAAAACTTCTTTTTCATAAGAAAAACAAAACATGACTTTGGCCCTTCCTGGAAAATCCAAGATCTAGTTAAAAAAAATCCACTTTGATAGCATGAAATTCTGAAATATGCCATTTTCCCCAGGAAAGTCCCAAAATATAGTCTAAAATCTGAGAAAATTTAAAAAGTGAGGTTGTTAAAATCATCTTGAGTCATGTGAGTCTCCATTGACTCAGTCTGTAGACAACAATATCAATAAATACAGATTCTTGACCTTGAGAGACTGAGCTGAGTCAACTCTAGTCCTGCTTTTCCCTTAGGAGCTTTCAAATGTCACCTCTTCAAATTCTGTAATGTTGTCAAGATCATTTAAGCACAAAAAGACTTTTGGCAAGTGACTGCAGAAAGACACCTGAAGTCATGTTACTTAAGTAGATTTTTGGTGAATGAAGTGTAAAACAGCAATGCAAATATCTACCAGTAACAAAACTCAGATCTAGAGTTCATCCTACCTTTATGCTAAACTAGTGGCTCTCAGCCATTGCTGCACATTAATTAGAACATCAGCAGGTCCAGCCCACACCTCACATAGTTACATCAGTATCTCTGGGAGTGGAACCCAGGCGTAAGTATTTTTAAAGCTCCTCAGGTGACTGTAGCAAGCAACCACATTAGAGAATTTTTAAACCCTAAGAAATTACCACCAGTATAGTGTAAAAATGGGTCTGAACATTGATAATTCTATGCAAATTGCTTAGTACAATAAAAAATACATTTTTCTTTTTTAGAAAAAGCTAAATTTGTAGACAGAAAATGATTGCTCATCATCTCATTTCTGTATTTATGGCTTAAGATTCAATCGCAATGGAATATTTCTTACTGATACTATATTGACTTAACAATTTAGTCTTAACTGACACCATACCAGTTGAAACATTATTCAGAGAATATGCAATAGTTTTCCAAAGAAGAAATAAAACTATCTTAAGCGAATAAAAATATGTACATGGTCTTCTTTTTCTTCTCTTAGTGGACCTTTAAAAAGTTAAAAACAAATTCCTTTCACATGTCATCATTTTGACAAAATTTAATGTCTAATAAAAATAATACAATATTAGTGTGGTATTTGAGATGTATTGGTAAAGATAAAATTTTAGGTTTTAAAAGGTATAAAAGCAACATTAACATATTGACAATTTCAAAGCAAAAATAAAAGGGGGAGTACAAAACACTTACCAGTTCTTCCATTTCCTGTTAGATGGCCACCATCTCCATCTTCATAAACAGCAATAACAGTAATTTTATATGGAGTGTCAGGTTGCAGGGGCTGCAGTATTACATTGTTTCTTCTGCCTGGGACTGTGGTCTATAGAGGAAGTTAAATTATAAATATATTACCATCTAGAAGACTTCCAGATCAAAAGACAGTATTGTTTTATGTATTCCCATAAACAGTAATAGTAGTTTTTTTCACATTTTATTTTTGTTACACAATGCTCGTGACAAGACAAACTATCTTCACTTCTTCTCTGCAGCATAGGAGAGTGGTTTTAGAATCAGACAGCTCTGGGTTCAAATCCCAGATCAGCCACTTAACAGCCACGTGACTTAACATCTTTGAAGAAAACTGTATTAAAAGCAATGCCATGTGTGCTTCAGAACACCTTACTGAGTATTCCAGCACTCAGTAGTAAGTTTGTTTCCTTCAGATCTCATCATCACATGTTCCATTTTCATGTACAAATATGTACCCAGTACCCGCTGTGGACCAGGCACAGTGGGACAGGTATTAGCTACTGGGAATCCACTGGTGAGCAAAAATTGACTAACTTTCTGGCCTCAAAAATATCAGTTTGGCTGACACTAGTTAGCTGAAACAGATGGGAATACATTCAACTACCTCTTCGAAGAGGAAATGAACCAGACATCTCAATCTCTCTTCTAAACCTATGCTTTGCTTCTACAAACAACATGGATAAGGTATGCCAGTGAATCCTGGCCTGGAGTCCTATAACTACAAATGATAAATTGTATTTTTAATGTTTTCGGAAAGTAAAGGGAAATTGCATATTTGTCCATGGCAAGGCTGAACAAACACTAACCATGAGTTTCTCTGCTTTGGCAAACTAACTGTAGTAGTACTGTTTATCTCATTTTGATCAGAAACTATAAATGGTAGTTACATGTGTTTCTTATTAATAAAAATAGGGACTTGAATTAAAGGTTACTATATCAAGTTCCAGTAGATGAAATATTTCATCACATGGGGCTCAGGGAGGGAAAATTATCTAAGACGATCTATGTGGTAAAAAGATGGCAAACCACAGACCTAATTTACCATCAACATCTTGTGCAATATTCTGCAAATGTATCACAGCAATTAATCACTAAATTTCAAATAAAGCAGTTAGTTTTTCCATTTTTCCACTCATAACAAATGGATGTGCATAGTGAGGGCTATGAGGAAGCTACCAGAAACTTGAATCTGGTTCTGGAAAGACAAACTATGACACTCAAAAAGTTTGAAGCTAATAGGAGAGTATTTATATTCCAAAACTAAAGTGTACCGCAAAATGTTAAGTTTAAAGAAAAGAGAGATCAATTAACACTGGAATATTTAAGGGAGACCTTGTAGAGGAATTAGATTTGAGGAAAGGGTAAGATTTGGATAAATACATTATTTGAATATTAACTTAGACATTCCAGAATGATAGGTATCACATTTCACTAAACTTGGTTCCTGTGGTGTCATTAGGTGGTTAGAAATGCTCAGTTAATCATGTGATAAGATAGTTTTTCTATCTGTCTTTAGAATAAAAATGAGCCCAAAGACATTGCTTCTCTGTGGTATGGGAGGCCAGAAAGACTAAGTAAGCACATTTGGGTGGTCCCAACGTCATGTCAGAGAAAATCCTAAAGTGTGACTATCAAGGACTCAACCGTACTCACAGCATACCTCTAAAGAAGTTTAACTTCACTGTCCATTCAGCTAAGATGATAAAATGTGCCAATAAATGAGTATCAGACTTACATATTCATCAATTGGATCACCAACAGTGGGAGAATAGATGATCCTGTACTGCTGAACTGGCCCATCAGCATGATCCCAGGCTACCGAGAGGCTATTGGTTGTTTCACCAAAGACTCTCAGGTTCCTTGGTCCACTGCGTGGTACTAAATAAATAAAATACAATAGAGTTTGTTGCCTGCCTGTGAGCATTACCTAAGTCAGATTAAGGAGGTTGCTTGCATGTGTTTCATTCACCATTCACTCAGATGTTTCCTCCCATATAATAAAATATACATTTATGGTTTTAATGTGAAATCATAAACAGTGTATTTCAGAGCTATGGTTACATGCTGAACTTTCAGTGACCTAGAGCTAGCTTTGAAAGGTAGACTAGGAAAAAGGGGGATTATTTTAACCACTATAACTATATCTATTCAATAAAACATAAAGACTAAACCCTCACATTTCCAAAGTCCCCATTTGGTAAGATGATTCACTGCAGAGTAGAAAGAGGGAAAAAAAGAAGATACAGAGCAGAAGAGGGGAAAAAGGGGAGAAACCCCTCCTTAACTCATGTCCCAAATGAGAACACGAACAGAAGAAGTTCACGTCACACAAACAACAGTCACAGACCCAATGTTTTCGCCTGGAATGTAAATGTAGGGGATCCCAGGCAGAAAGCACCCATCTCTCACCACCCCCCTCCCACCACTCATTCAATCAGAGAAGCCCTGCCAATCTAGCTACAAGGGAATGGAATGGAGAAAGGATTTCTGCCTCACGCGTTCGGCCCTGGGCAGGGCTGGGATTTCCCTCTCCATCCGAGTACAGAGCCACAAGGTTCACGGAATAGAGTGTGTCCGGAATCAGCCGCTCCAGATGCACCATGCGCGTGTTTCCTGGCACTACTATCTGCAGGAGAGGAAATGCCAAATTCTGCCTGACAACAACTCAAATGCTTACCAAGTCTTCAGTTAGTCATCACAATAGTATTTATAATAAAATGTTGAGCCCAGACACATCAGAAGCCAACTGTGCTTCTCCATAAGATCCACCCAGACCATATCATTAAACAAAATTTGTCCTCAGAAATTCCCTTTCCAAAAAAGTGACCTCATCCTTGACCCTTAGTAGCTTCAGTTATCTCCGTTTATGTTTGTTATAAAGATTCTCAAATATAACATGCAAAGCTCATGATATTTCCCCAAAAAACATCCTGCATGTTAAATACACAAGAATAGGAACTCTTATTGTGGTGGGGGAGATTTTGTGTTGAAATAGAGACTCCATACAATACATACAGGTAAAGTTGTCTTAATATGTCCTACCATACATGGGCATGAAAATCAGTGTTCTTGCCAAATGCATATATTGTTAATCATTTGTTTATCTTTGTCAACACTGTTTATTTTTGCAAAGACTATAAGTCAAATTAGTTCATAGGTTTATTTTCCTTTAGGTATTCTGATACTATGCTTATTGAAATTAGCAATTTCTGATTTCTAAATTGTTAGTCTACTTACAAAACTGAATAATGTTATGAATGAAAGATAGATTGGGCAATTTGTAAGAACCAGTGAAGGTAAACTTTAAACTATTTTCATAACAAAGACATATTGACAAGGTCTAGCAATGATTTACATTTATTACTGGGGTTTTTAACTCATCCAGCTAATTCACATTTTCCCAAAATTCTTTTTATTCTTACTAACCCTATAATTAATACACCTACCTCAAGTCATCAAAAACAATAATTTAAGTATTATACACTGGCATGTTTGTGGTTTGTGTTCTCCCAGGCTATCAAACGTGACACAAACATGTGACTACATTCACCAGGAAATGCAGTTTCCATGACAAAATTACTTACAGATTCTGAGGGTCTTGTGCCATCCACAGGAGAATACACAACGCGATATTGCAGCACAGGTCCTGGAGCAGGGTCCCAGCGAACATCGAGGCTGTTAGGTGTAGGATTGTATACTTGGACATTTCTTGCCAGTCCTCTCATCACTGAGGAAATGAAGGCCAACATCTATTTTTTAAGTCTGTTTATATATCTCAAGCTTTTGTATCACTTTTCCAGAACCTACATTCTGTAACAGGATAAAATGCTATCTTCTTTATACTTCTAATTACCTACACACAAAGGCAGATTAAAACTCTCCAAACCCAAATTTAGTTAAAGTTAGCAAGTATGGCCTTTGTCTATAAGGAAGCAACATTGTATTCAATTAAAAACAAGCTAATAAACGTGGTGGAACTGGATTGGCCATAAAGGGTCATGGGATAGAGAAAAGAAATAGGAAAAGTAGTTTCAGTTTTCTAACATAAGTAATGGAGAGAGGAAGAAGAGACATTTTTTAAGAGTCTGCCTTCTAAGTAAAATCTGACAACAGCTATTGAGCTCATCTGATTCAGTCAGCTAGTTTCAACCATTCATTACTTCTTCATTTAACAAATTGCTACTCAATAACTTTGTGATTAATAGAAAAGGTAAAAGGAGAGAAAAATAAGATATACCCAGTTCTTAATTAACTGCCCCAATAGGAACTTAGAAAAACCTACCAATTAAATTGATGTACTAATTCCAAACTCTAATTTAACCAATAACATCATCTTCCTAGACCACTAATCCCTAACCAAAAGAAGACATTCATGCTTGGTTCCTTTTAACTATCAGCAAGTATATTTTTAAAGCCAAAGAAATATTTCTAAATCTGCACAAAAGCCTTTAAGCAATACTACAAAAAACAGTAAAACCACATAAACTGCTTCCTAAATGAAAGCATACAGATTTTAAGATCAAAAAAGCACTTCAACAAACAAACCAAAGACATATGAAATTAAGTAATGTGCCGAACAGATTTCAACAATTCGCACTATGAAAGCCAATTGTAAAGTCCTTCACAACAATTTATAAAGCAGAAAGCAAAGCTCAATGAATTTTTGTCAGTGAAAGAGATTAAGCAAAGTAGTATACTGATGATTATATGTACCTTTACAAATCTTGAAATTATTTCAAAAGAAGATGCCATTATAAATTTGTTATTTCACACAAAATGTTAACATTTGGTGTTAGGAAGGTAAACTATGGCTAATTTTTATGTTTTTAATTCTATCACACCAAACTTTCCTAATTCTCTTTAATGGGCCTTTATGGTCTTTATAATGAAAAGCAACACTTATGATGAAAAATTAATTTTTTGGCTTTATTACTTACATGTCCTTCCAGTATCTGATGTGCGTCCCCCATCACCTTCAGTATAAACGGGAACTACAGTCACAGTGTATGAGGTATCTGGCTGCAGATTCCTAAGAATGGCATAATTGGTATTCCCGGGGATTGGTACCTAAAGATTTTAATAAAACAAAAAGCATTGACTTGAAAAATTTGTGAAAGAAATAATAATTCAAATAACACAATACCAACTCAAGACCAAGTCAAGAAGTAGGTTCTGTAATATTAGGATGTCATAATAAGCCCCCACATGACCTGTTACAAGAGGTTACATATTTCCCTATACCCCTCCAGCCATCCAATACTCCCCACTTAGAACTTCCCAGAACGGCCGCTTCTTCCCCTGGCCAGGGGGAAGAATCCTGGCCACAATCCCTCTGTTACCCAGGCTCTAAGGCATCAACTATTTACCCTCTATAAAGTCTTATTAAATGAATATGAAATTCTTCAGCTCTAAAGCAAACTGGTTAACTCCTTCAGTTCCACTTTTAAATCACTCAGCTACCATTTAAACAAACTAGCATTTTTTACTACAAGAAATAATTACCAGTTCCTCTGGACCACCTGCTGCTGGTGCATAGAAGAGCTTGTACTGACGAGGATTTCCCTCTGCATGGTCCCAGCGGACATTCAAGGTGCTGGTAGAAGGGTCATACACTCTCAGGTTCCTTACAGTGTTTAGAGGTTCTGAAATGCACAGAAATCCCATCACAGTATAATGCTAACAATCAAGCACACATGAAACACAGATTCACTGATATCTCCCAGGCACCCTAGAACATAGCAGGCACCGCACAAACATTTGTTGAAGTAGTGAATAAACGACACACACTGTGTCCGCGTCAGCCTGATGCATATGTCTCATCTATCCACAAGACATTTTGGTCTTAGAGCACCTTTCTATCCTAGAAAGTAACATCTTTCTCCACAAACAGAGACAAGTAATTCCAAGCAAGGATGTTAAAAACGATCAATATGGCCAGGCACGGTGGATCATGCCTGTAATCTCAGCATTTTGGGAGCCCAAGGCAGGTGGATCACTTGAGGTCAGGAGTTCAAGACCAGCCTGGCCAACATGGTGAAACCCCATCTGTACCAAAAATATAAAAAATTAGCCGGGTGTGGTGGTGTGCACCTGTAATCCCAGCTATTCGGGAGCCTGAGACAGGAGAATCGCTTGAACCCGGGAGGCAGAGGATGCAGTGAGCCAAGATCGTGCCACTGCACTCCAGCCTGGGCAATAGAGCAAGACTCCATCTCAAAAAAAAAGAAAAGAAAAAACTATTAATATTATTTCTAAATGAATTTTTAAATATTAGTAAAACTTTGTGTCACCCCAGTGTTTCCAGATAAAGAGATGATTCCATTCTAATAGTAGCTATTAAAGAAGCTATAGGAACTCAGGTTTCACTTACTGGTCTTGCCTCTTCCCGTCATCCGACCTCCTTCACCATCAGGATACAGAGAGGATACGGTGATAGTGTAAGGAGTGTCTGGCTTCAGTTTCTGCAGGACCACACTGTTCTGCCGTCCTCCTATTGTGGTCTTGAGTAAAAAGGGTCTTGGTAAGTGTCAGCCTTGCTCTCTCCATCTCACTAATCTGTTAGAAAAAGCTCTTTCTACAGGGAAGCTGTTTGAGACCCTTGTCAAGTTCCAGAATTACATACCACAGTCAAGGTTTAACATACACCTTGTGGTATAACTTCAAATGTAAAATATGCACCTCAAATCATAAAAAGGATTCCAAGCTTTAAACTGGTGACCCCAAAAAGATATTTCAACTTGCTAGCCGCCAGCACTGCAAAATTTCATCCAAAACACATTTCACAGAACTCTTCAAAAAAAAAGGGGGCGGGGGGGACTAATCATAAGTGAGCTACAAAGGGACTTTAAGATATGAAACAATTGCATAATTTTAGAGGCTCCACACCACTTAATATTATTCTTACCTTTTTAACAGATGTTTTTATTTGCTTTAGAAACACATTAAAATGATTCAGCATACAGTATAAAGCTCTTGGTGTTTCCCCCAAGAACACTGTCACTCTAACAGCCTTAGCTGTGTTAACGACATGACCAGACCTTTTGCCAGGCCACACTCAATCAGGGGTTTCCAGTTGTCTCCATGATACCAGCCCCGTGGTATGAAGCTTTTCAATTTACTCTAATTATGGAGCTTAAAGTTTTTATTCGTTACTTAAGGCCATCTAGCTATCTTGTTGAAAGAAAATTTGTACAATTTATTAACAGTCTACCGAATTCAGATGTTTATGTCATACTAATTAAAATCGCATGAAAATGGCACACTGCCCAAAATGAGTGCACATGTAGATGGCTGGATGTGCTAGAACAAACCAGATGTTTCCAACTTAGCACTCATCCACTCAAGTAGTCTGAATTCCAGAGAAAAACCCAGTGAATCACGGTCATCATCCTCAATACGGACAAACTGAACTACCGTGGCTAATTTTAATAAATTTCATATTTGAGGTTATGAGAGAAAAGTATCAATACCAGTATAAGCCATTTTGATAAAAACTTAATACATAACAAATCTGAAAGCCTATTTAGGAGAACTGCTTTTATGAGTAAGCAGAGGGGCATCTACCTACCTCTCCCATCCAGCTCCCCAAAATAATTCTAGCATCAGTTATTCATCATTTTCATGATTTCACGGACTAGTGTTAAAATCCAAGTACCCCAAAGACTAACAAAGCTTAAGGGCTTCATACTTTCCAGAAGATAAGTTTACGAGACTCTTTATGATAGCAAACAGCTGAAAGACAGTAAAAGAGACTTAGGAGAAGCAGCTGGAACATCAATGCCCCCAAGATGGGAAATGCTAAGAACAAGCTTCTCCTGATTTGTAGTTTTACCGAAATCTGGCATGCCACAGAAAAAAAAGAAGTTCTGTTTCTGAAGTTAATATATCAGTCCATCTAATTTGTCTTATTTTCATATAAATGTCTATTGATTACAGTTGATATTAAGTTTATTAATTATAATCTATTTACCTAAAACAGACAAATTCTCAGTCCAAATGCATCACACTACCTAAGACTGGAGCTATAAAAGCCTCAAAAGACCAACTCAAAGTCACACTAGAGATGGGAAGGTTTCTGATTCAGCTAAGCTTACTTACTGGGTAGTATCAGAGATCTTTAACCACACACCTTAGATTAATGCCAACCCCTACCTTGGCTAATACCTCTAAACTGATAAGAGAAATGACCCATTTGCTTGAGCTCGGCAAGTCAGATGATTAAAGGTTAATAACACATGTGTCTCTAAGGCTATATAAGAAAATATTCTAGCCAAAAAAGTCAATAAAACTCTGTACCTCACCAAAACTGGAGATTTATTTTGAAATGAATCAGAAAACATAATCATACCTATGTAAAAATCATGAGGCTTCCTGACCTAGGATAATACATGCAGTTCTAATTACATAGTTCACAAAAGGCAAAGTTGTAGAAAGCCCAAAACCAGACAACTAAAGTAAGGGAGGTAAAATGGACAAAGGTTCTATTAAATAGGGAAAGACTAGGAAGAGAAAGAGGATGAAGACTGAGTTTCGAGTCCTACCATCTTTCTTGGGGACCTCCATTTGGATAATAGAAAAATGAAAAACAGTGTAAATTAGGTTAACAGGCTCCCACATCTAGAAACACCAGATCTAGAAGACACCCTATGACATGCAAAAAACAGGGGGAAATGAGATAAATAGAAAATAAACATTATAGGTAAGTTTAGCAAACTTTCAGCAGTTGATTAAGTTAGAGAGAGGAATGGAAGGTCAACATAGACTCAAAAACTATCTGGATATCGTCATGGATAATCCAGCACTAATAGTTTTTAAAGGAACTATGGATGCATTGAAGCACATGCCTCATGCTTTGGGGCTGTAATGAAGAACAACTATCATCTCTCATGAGAACATCCATTGAGTCTCCATGATGGCAATCCACGTGGAGTGCCAGCTAAAGAGTCAGATTATTCCATCCAATGCGATAAATCTTAATATCCCTTAAAAAGTAAGTATGACTAACTAAGCACTGAGGGGGAAAAAGAGTTTGAAGAGAAATGGTAGAATTAATCCAAGTTATAATTTTTATTAAAAAATTACCGTTTGCTCATTGCCTTCCCCTGTGGAAGGCTGATAAGTGATCCTATATTTCTGCACACGACCACTAGCAGGATCCCACTTAACAGTCAGGCTGTTAGATGTTGCATTGTACACTTGAAGGTTTCGTGGGCCACTTTTGGGAGCTGAAAGAAGATTGTTGAAAAACTGAGTAAGCAGACAGAACAATGCCTCCCCCTAAAATATATACAGCTCCCAAGGCAATCAGAGAATTCTATGCCTCTGGGTTTATAATTAAATTCGTTCCCTTAATAAAAATGGTTATTGATTCTTAAATGACTCCTTAGTATGGACTTTCATTTTGCTTCTGTCCCTGCAAACGTGACATGTTGAAGTTCCAACTTCCAATATGATGGTATTGAGAGATGGGGCCTTTGGGTGGTAATTAGGGTTAGATTAGGTCATGAGGGTGGGGCTGCCATAATGGGATTAGTCTTTGTAAGAAGAGACATGAGAGAGTTTATTCTCTCTCTCTCTCCTCCACGTGAGAGAGTGAGAAAATGAGAGAGACCGAGAAAGGGGCTGGCTAGCTATAAGCTGGGAGGAAAGCCACCACCCAGAAACGAATTGAATAGCACCTTGGTCTTGGACTTCTCAGCCTCCAGAATTGTGAGAATATAAATTTCTGTTATTTATGCCATCCAGTCTAATCTTTTGTTATGGCACCCCAAGCTGATCAATACACTCCAAAACAAGTAGTAGCAAAGCAAAGTTTTTCAAGAAAAGCCTATGTAAAAGAGTTCTCAATGAACATCTTAGGATTTAAAAGCAGATGACCTATTTATTATGTATCTTATGGTACTTTTCATTTATACATTCATTCATTATTTGTTCATTCAAACAATTCATCAAATTAAATTCTTACCTTGTGTTGTTAAGATAGGCACTAAAAGAAAACAGAATTTGGGAACACATTACTAATATAGCTGTAGCCCTATTTTTTAAAAATTAACTTTAAAATATCAATGTCCTATTTGAAAGCTAAACACCTACGTGTGCGCTCACTGCCAATCAGGTCATCACTTTCTGACTCATCAGGATAGATGGCAGTAATGGAAACTTCATAGATGGTGTTGGGGTTCAGGTTTTCGAACACCAAAGTGTTTTCATCTCCATTTAAGATGGTCTTGGAGAAAGAGGACAAAAACATACCCACGCAAAAGTAAGTCTCCACTTACATCATACACACTCAATGGCAGTTTATTCACATTATTTAGCCAGATGTTCCTCCTGCTCTGATGCATGTCATGAGCTCAAATGTCAATAAATGCTTATTGACAACAAGAGTAATACTTCTTTGAACTAAGCTTCCCTACAAATTAAATGGGACATGAAAGACAGAGAGAAAGATAAAGAGAGTTAACTACCTCCATCTTATCTGAGCTTCCAAAAGGTGCCCAAGTTATTCTGTAGAGAGACACATCTGAAGCTCCATGATCCCAAGTCCCTCTGAAACCCTCTGATGTTACTTCAGTAATCTTTAAGTTTGTTGGGGCTGGCACGGGTCCTATCATGAGAAAAGGCAAGCAGACTAAGTTTTTGAATGTGAGCTGCAAATGCAATTTAATATAATAAAAACTGCCTTGTTTTATATTAATGGACATCTGAAAACTGATTGAATACATTGCTTAGAACCAAATATTTCACCAATTCCTAGAGCTCTGGAAACTGCAAGCATTCTGTGGATATAATAGGTTATTAAGGATATTCTATTTAAATGATTATTTTTTTAAGATACCATTTAGTACCTTTCTCCAACTTTTTAAGAATCAAATCAACACTATGGACTCTTTCACACAGCAATACACAATACACAAAGCACAAACTTGGCCACATATCAGAGAGTTAATGGACCTTCTCCAGTCTATCAATAACCCCAAAGACACACATAGACTCTGGGTTAAGAAGTCCTTATTAACCGAGAATGTCATAAACTAGGTATGCTAATATATTATACATTAAAGATGATGCTCAAGGAAATAGTTATTCATTTATTGTTCATAATTTGTTGTTCTGATACCCAAAGGAAACAGTTTCATTTTTATTTTTTAAAAACACACATACCACTGCAGTTTAAAAATGAGAATGTCTGCCTAGCTGTAAACAACACTAAAAGTATTGCACTCTGACAATTGATTAGAACATACATACATACTGCTACACATACAGTGAATTCCAATCTAGGAATATTGCCACAGGAAAGGAACTCTGAGCATGTTACGATCCAGGTAACCCACACATAGCTTCTTCCTATAGATCACTAACCTTAAACATGATATGAAGCAGAACATGCTGACCCTGTTCAGAGAACTGAACACCTGGAGACCCAAATGACTGCTGAAATCCCCTTTCACAACCCCTCCATTGACCAGGTCCTCTGGCTGTTTTGCAGCACAAGCATTTTTTTATGTCTGCCACCATTCCTGAGCTTTCATTGTCACTTATTTCTCTATTTTCTGGTAACCAAAGCTAATTACACAAACCCCAGAGCCATTAAAAATTTGTTCTAATAATTACAATGAAAAGGCCCATTGAGATAAAGAGAGTGGTACTATTTCCACCAGCAAAACTGCAAAACAAAGCAGCATTAAGAATGTACTTTAAATGTATCTGAAAATTATTTGGAAATCTTAAGGGAAAATATATATTAAAAATATTAATCTACTATACTGAATTACCTGTCTCACTAGCCTTTCTTCCTGACTTCCTTTTCTGTTCACTACACCTGTTACGTTATTTTTATGCAAAGCTGTCGTCTACTGATGCATATGCATCAATTCTCAGCTCCAGCCATGACCCTTACAAGGTAAGAACTTAAGCCAGGAAAATAAATGAAATTGCTAAGAGATCTCACATGGTAAGAAAATAGCAGAGTCAAAAAGGGAGAAGTGGTTATGTCTGAAGTTAAGAAGCAGGTTATGGCCAGGCACTGTGGCTCACGCCTGTAATCCCAGCACTTTGGGAGACCGAGGCGGGCGGATCACGAGGTCAGGAGATCCAGACCATCCTGGCTAACACGGTGAAACCCCGTCTCTACTAAAAACACAAAAAATTAGCCGGGCATTGTGGTCGGCACCTGTAGTCCCAGCTACTCCGGAGGCTGAGGCAGGATAATGGCGTGAACCTGGGAGGCGGAGCTTTCAGTGAGCCGAGATCGTGCCACTGCACTGCAGCCTGGGTGACAGAGCGAGACTCTGTCTCAAAAAAAAAAAAAAAAAAAAAAAGCAGGTTATAACATTTGACAAGATGCCCTAATTAGGTATAGGCAGCTGGGCACTAAAGAACATGCCATTGAGCCTTTGGTGAGGAATTTTCTGGAAAGGAGGAAAAGGTTCCAGACTATAGTATCAGTCCCATCAATAGGTTACTGGATGTGGCTGGGCAAGTTGCTTAAATTTCTAGACCTGTGCTGTCCATAATGGAAACCACTAGCCACATGTAGTTGGCTATTGAACACTTAAAATGTGGCTAGTCTGAATTGAGATGTGCTCTAAGTGTAAAATACACACTGGATTTTGAAGAACTGTTACAGAAAAAAGGTAAAATGTCTCGTTAATAATTATTGTACTGATAGCTGTTGAAATTATAATGGATATATTTGGATATACTGGGTTAAATAAAACATTATCAAAATTAATTTCATCCATCTATTTTTGCCTTTTTTAATGTGGACACCAGAAAATGTAAAACTACATATAAAACTCCCATTATTTTTGTTTGGAACACTGCTGGCTCTAGGCCTCAATGTTTTTTTTACTACTATTTGCTTTATGTAATGGGCTGAGCACTGGATTAAGTTATTATGTGCCAGGCACTGGAGACACAAAGTTGAGCAAAATGTCTCTTCCTTCATTAGGAGAGAGCAAGGGGGAAGTAGAATCCATAGCAAAAGACCAACAGGCAATAATGACTGTGTTAAATACTATGGAGAAACCATGAGAGGGAGAGGAACTGACATCTCCAGGAGCTGCAGCAGACGGAGCAGGAAGCAGGGTCTGGGCAGGCTGCCCGGTATCCCCCAGCACTCCACTTACAGTGCAGTCGCCCCTTCCTCTGAAATCTGACAGCACACAATTTCAGTGCCACCTGACCTACCTTACATGATCCCATGTATTCTCAGTTAATTTTTTCTTATCTCCACAACTAAATCATGAACTGGTGAGGGCAAAGATGCTTATATTTTGTTACCCTTGATAACACTTCACGTATAGTAAAATACCCCAAAAAATTATAAATAATGCATCTTTTCCAAAGCAAATGTGCAACATACGTCAAGAAAACTTGCCCACCCCACTACACATACATGCACACACATACACAGGTGCACATCAAGTAGTTGTAGTTGGAAGATAAATTAATGACAGTGGCTGATGGAAAGTATCATAAAAGGAATGGATGCAAAGATAGAAGATGGGACACCTTGTTACAAAAAAATAAGTGAAAAACAATCTATGAATCCAAGCATTATTAAACACTGGCAAAGGTAGCATTAAGAAACAAAATGACCCAGTAAATTGTGTTACACATGCATGTAAAGTGTTGTTTCCCATTATCAGTGGAGCAGGAGCACAACTCACGGGTAGTTTCTTGAGCAGTCACTGGAGGAGACTCCCCCTCGTCATGTACTGCAGAAACGCTGACTGTGTACAAGGTCTGTGAGAAGAGGTCTTTGAGGGAAGTGCTGGTCTCTGATCTGTCCACCTCTACCTATAACAGTAACAGAGCAGTGGAACTACTTTTACAAAGGGTTTACTTTTGACATCTCTCTGTTGTTTACTGTACCTGTCAGCGTAAGAATATAAAATTGTGATCAGAAAAGAGCAGTGTTTTCCAATATACATGAGAATCCAGAAACTGGACACAGTTTAAATATTTCCAAACTGGAAAAAAAATGTATGTACTAGATCATATGGCACATGACTCTCTAGAAAATAATTACTGCCTATGTATTCAAAAAACCTAACCATTTTTCCACCTGTTTCCCTTTATATCACTGCATTATTTCTTTCAGCAATGGTCTCTTACGCACAGCATTACTTCATTTGCTATGCACAAGAATCTTGTGAGATCCACTGGCCATTGTACCCCTTTTAAATGGAAATGCAGAATGAAATAAATGTGTGCACATGTATAAAGTAGCTTTTGTATAATCCACAAATGACCAGCAGAACCAGTCACTGAGTGCTTAGAGAAATGACTCCTATGTTCCAAAAATGCCTCTGAGATTCTGACATTAATACTCCCTCAAGCACACACAAGTTTTGCTGGTTCATGAAGCCCTTCTAATTTGCTCTAACTTTGAATCCGGTCATCACGGAACTCCCAAAAGAACACTCCCAAAAGGACACCCCTCTAACAACATACTTCTCCTTTCTCTGTGTCCTTCTCTAGTGTCCTATCTTCCTGTTATCTGACAAACTGCTCCTCTTCATTGCTGCAACCTCTTGCTACCTTTTATTTTTAGAAACATGACATTTTCTAGTAATTCTTAGAATAGAAAGCCATATAAGGAATCTGGATGGGAAGGAAATACCATTTAGATTTGATAACTTTTTATCTACCAAGGGATGATCTTTTTGAGATTAATATCACACAGCAAAACATTTCTGTTTTGACAAGACAGTCCAATATATCATTGATTTTCAAAAACTGCTTTATTAATATCACAAGTTTTCAACACTGTGTTAACAAAGTGACAAGTATTCAAAACATGCTATCATCCATACTTGATAAAGTTCTTTTTTTAAACCTACTAGGAAAACAAATATTTTCATATCTACTATCATCTTCAACCTACCTCTTTGACATCCTCTTCTGGTGTTTTGTATCGAACAATATATTTACGCACTTTTCCAGGCACAGGTTCCCAAAAGACATTCATAGTGCTGTGAGTCACATCTCTGAGTTTCAGATCCTGAGGTCTGGGTAAAGGCACTAGAGAAGCACGAGATATTAAATCCAGATGTGCTTCTCAACCACAAAGCTCCAAAGCATCCATGCAAGCTTTCAAGAAGTTGTTTGGAGAAAATTTAAAGGTGTTTGGCAAAATAACTGAAAAAAATGATTATGATGATAAAAGTACCATGATTCTACCAGATAGACTGAATTCTTCTTAAGAAGGTTTTTCAAAAATAGAATATATTTAATTTTTTGTTATCACAAGGCTAACTTCTCAATTATATATTACTCTTCTTCCACATTATTTAAATAATCTCTTGCTGCTCAACCCCATAATAAATCATAATTCATCATAAATGTACAGCTCATGTTTCTTTATCAGATATTTAACTCAAGACAGAAAACAAAATCAATAGAGTTATGCACCCTCAAGAACGTGACAGAAAAAAATAGTTACAGAGTGAAGAATGAAGATGAGCCCAACATTAAGCATCCAATAAGCTTATAAGAAAACCCAGACACCTAAATTGTTAGAAGAAAATCCAAATGGTAAATGTTTACCAAATCTAACATAACTTTCCATTATAAAAGGGGGAAGGAGGATACGGAATGAGGAGATTTTCTCCTGTAATATGAGATGTATTTCACTCTTTCCAGCTGCCCATTTGACTAGTTTAACTTGTCTCTCATTCTGACTCTTTACATCTGTCTTCCTAACTCTCTAGCTCCACTTCCACATTTCTGCGCCTCCATCTCTTCAACATTTTTATCTTGTGTATCTCTCTCTGCCCTCCATTCCTCTACTGTTCCAGTCCAGCACCATACCCAAGTTTGTGACCATATTTGTTTTTAATCTCACTGTGACTTTGGGTCTCCTCTCTCAGCACTTTCAGAACATGAGTCTCTATCCCTGGCTGACTCCCCATTCCTTCCATCTGCCACTATCCCATTTTCACAAAACCACCAGCCCCAGACAAGATCTAACATATAAAGGAGGATTAATAAATATTTGTTTGTTGTCAATTAATTTACACTAACCCATCCTGTAGGGGATCTTTCTCTTCTCTGCCCCATCATGCTCTGTTTCCTTAGTCCCTTTTTCCTCCTTGAAGTGCCTTCAAAACTCTTCATTTTCTCAGAAGTGTGGGCCAAGACTCATTAAATTTAAGCCAGCTCATCTATCCCAGCATGTCAATCTCCCCAAGCATGAAGCAAAATACCAGCTGGGTAAGGCAAGAGGCAGTAAGTGGGTAAATGCAATCATTGTCACGCTTCAAGAAAAAAGCACCTAAATGCTTAGTAAAACAAGTCAGAAGTACACAAAAGGCTGACCAACACACACAAGAGAAATGCAAACCAGGAAGGAGTCCATATGGTCTATACTGCTTTGTATAATTTCACAGTGGTATTCCCAACATCTAGCCCAGTGACTGGCATATAATAGGGGATCAATATATCTTTGCATTGGGTAAATTGATTAATTCACTTAACTGAAACAGACTTAATCATATGTGCCACAGAGTTTCTACATCAACAAGAACTTGGAGCACCTTGATATTAAACCCAATGTCTTCCTCCAAAATTACACTCACTCAACATTCCCATTCTCATCAATGCTATATGTCATATTTCATGGATCTAGGATAACATCATTCATAAGATGCACCATTGTCTTATGCTGTACATTCTGATTGGCACCTAGCCAAGAGCAATAATAGTAAGACACCATTGATTGTAAAACACTTCAATTTCAGGCATGTTCAATGTGAAAAAAATACACATCCTCGAATGAATTTGAGATGCCTCCATAAATCTAGAATTGAGACATTTATTCTCAAATTTGATTGTCAAAAGTAATAACTGTGACTTTGTATATAAATTATCAAATTATTGTTAGCATCACATGAAATAAATTCTAATGAACATTATGCTCACAGCAATAAGAAGGGAAATAAAACTAAGCAGTAGCTTACAGGTGACTTCCCGAACAGTGACAGGTTCACTAGTGAGGTCGTGCAGGACAGCCTGGACTGTGACTGCATACTCCGTGTTGGGAACAAGGTCAGTCAGCTGCATGTCATTCACTGTTGGCCCCAAACGCACCTGCACATGGATATGTGGAGCAGAAATAAGATATTCAAATCAAACTTTTCCATTTACCTTTGGAATAGTCAACTGAAGTTTATTTGTACTAGATTATAATACAGCTTGTATTTTTCATTTATAAGATTACATCTCCTTTTCCATGCTGATGTTTTCTTTTTTTTTTTTTTTTTGGTTTGTTTTGTTTTGTTTTTGAGACAGAGTCTCACTCAGTCACCCAGGCTGGAGTGCAGTGGCTCAATCTCAACTCACCGCAACTTCCACCTCCCGGGTTCAAGCAATTCTCCTGTCTCAGCCTCCTGAGTGGCTGGGACTACAGGTACTTGCCACCACACCCGACTAATTTTTGTATTTTTAGTAGAAACGGTGTTTCACCATATTGGTCGGGCTAGTCTCGAACTCCTGACTTCAGGTGATCTGCCCACCTCCGCCTCCCAAAGTGCTGAGATTACACAGGCGTCAGTCACCGTGGGCAGTCCATGCCAATGTTTTCTACAATGTGTTGCAGACCACAAACCTACTTTTCTATTTTTCCATTTTGTACGTAAAGTTATAAATGAGTTTGTAAGTAACTGCAGTATAATAGGCACTATAAAGCTATAAAGTCTTGGGAAGACCCAATGTTAAAGAAACAAACATCTTTCACCTCTTTGGGTCTTGTTGGCTCTGTGTCCTTAACAGGTTTGTATGACAAGATGTAGCCAGTAGCTCCTCCCACAGGCTGCCACTGCACATGCATGGTGGTAGGGCCAACATCATAAATATTCAGGCTGACTACAGGCACTGGCACTTCCAAAACAGAAAAGCAGACCATCAGTCTAGTTCCTTTCATTCCACTCATTTTTAACCATTGTTTTGTACTCAATTATTGATATTTGTATATACTAGACAGTGGGTTACTGTGAGAAATCAATAAGAGTTAATATAATCCTTCCCATTGCCCCAAAAAATCCAATTTACATTGCTCATTGCACTTCATATTCAAGACTGCACGTTACCACTATCTTGTAGAAGGAAAATGTTAAAGTTCAGGTGTCAAATGGCATTCCAGTGAGTCTCTACAATAGATACCAACTTCCTGATACGTTACTCTCTTTTTCTGGAACATCACTAAGTTGACTATTTCTATTCTTCAATCACAGAACTTTATATATATGTAATCAACACTATTTTTTATATTTCTTCAAAAAATAAATTTAAAATAAGAACACTATACATTAATAACTGGAACATCAGGGATTTATAGGCTTCTTGAAGATAAACCCATGAAGCAGAGGAAAAAGTTTACAATCTCCCTATAACACCCATATTGCTTCCAATTATTTTTTGTTCAAAGATTGAGTTCAAAGTTTTAAGAAATTATCATATTAATCCTGCCAGTTATAAAATACATTATTTCTCACCTCCTATAGTCTAATATAAAGGGATATAAGAGAAGAGATAAGGATCTAAAACTTGAGCAGTACATAAAGTCAGTTCTTGCTCTAGAGAGTGATGCGCACTCCTTCTTCTTAAAAGTGGCTTTCCTTCTTCTCCCTAGAGCCCAACCAAGAAGCAAGAAGTAGGAAAGAATAATTTCATATGTCTCTGGAAGCATTACCAGGAATAGGAGCAAGGAACATCTACCCCAAAAGCGCTACTCAAAGCCAAAGCACTTAGAGTTTCTCTAGCAAAGACCAGATGCCAGAAAGAAAAGAGAAGATCTCACTGGCAGCCGGGAGCGCTGGCCGTTAGTAAAAGTGAAATCGGTATCTCTGTACGCTCTTCTTCCTGATCTTAGTCCCACTCCCCACATGGTATCCTTCCTCATATCTTACTCCTGATGTGCTTTATTCCTCAATAAAATGTCAACATATAACAACAGAGTAAAATGTAAAATTATCCCCCTGAAAGGTATATTTGCATTTTAGGAGATTTTCTTGAAAGCAAAAGTCTAAAGACTCTAAGAAGTGAATAACTCCATTAAAGGTTGTTTTCCCTCTAGATTATTATGGCAGTGACCCCCTATTCCACAGTGGAGCTCCATGATGGCAGAATCAGCCAGCAGGAGTAGAAAACCACTGAGTATTTTCTGGGCACCTGCACAAAGATGACACTCAGTAAATATTTATAGAATGAATGTTAAATAAAGAAATTATTTGGAAGGTAGGCAAAAATGGGCCATCATGCTTTATCTTGGAAAAGAAAGCAATGAGAAACAATTTTTTAATCTGACTCACAGGTTTTTTCTGTCCCCTTCAGAGGCTCACTATATTCATCTTCTACCACAGAATACACATTGACAACATATTCAGTTTCAGGTTTCAGATCTTTCAGCACTGTGCTAGTTTCCATTCGACTCACATAAAACTAGGGGGAAAAATTAAACAGAGCAACAACGTATGTATAATCAGTTCCCTTTTTCCTACTATACTTACAAAGTAGTTAACTGCAGTGAGCTTAGAATCTATATTTCAATTAGGCCATTGTCTTTTGTATTTGGAAACTATCAGATTACAATGAGATCTTGGACAATTCATATAATTTTTCTCCCAGCTGTTATTTATTTGTAAAATGAATGGGTAAAAATAGATCATCTTCAATGTTCCTTGCTAACTCTCTGATTCTACTACAAATTCATAAATAAATCAAGCATCTTCTAATTAGATTTTAATGAAAAAAACATAGTGATATTCTACAATTCTTAGAAACCGTAAGAATTTAAGCAAAGCTCTTTCCCTTTAATTAAAGCCAGACGGAAATGCCTGCCTAGCAAAGTCAAGAATAGAAAGCACTATTCTTGACTCATTTCTGGCCCCTCTTCATCCCTCTTGCCCCTCACCTAACATTATTCTCAGAGTCCTAATGAGGAGGACCCAATCTCAACATCAGGAAGAAGTAAGTTATAGGTGTTCCTACTCACTTCTTGACGTTTCCCTCCAGAAACTGGATAGTATTCCACCTTATATCGATCCACACTGTCAGAAGGTGGTGTCCAGCTCACTCTAAAAGAACGATGGGTTCGCTCAGAAATAACTAAGTTAGAAGGTGCTTCCAAATCACCTACACATGGAAATAAAGGGTATACACTTTTCTCATTATTGTAGAAAGGTGACAATATTTGAAATGACATTGAAACAATATTATGCTCCATATTCTAAGCTTTCACACACTTCTTTTCACATACTAAGTAGCTACAATAAATCTGTATTAGAGGCTCATCACCTGTAAGACCGTTATGAATAGGTAACTAAAAGGTTTTCTAGCCTCAAAAGATTAAAACATGAGCTCATTGTCTTTCCTTAAAACCTGATCCTCCTCTTCCTTACAAACTTTACCAATTTACAAGTCACTGAGACTCAAGACCCGATATGGTTTTGCTGTGTCCCCACCTGAATCTCATCTTGAATTGTAGCTCCCATAAGTCCCAAGTGTTGTGGGAGGGACCCACAGGGAGATAATTGAAACATGGGGGTGGTTTCCCCCATACTACTCTAGTGGTAGTAAATGTCTCACGAGGTCTAATGCTTTTATAAGGGTTTACTCTTTCACTTGGCTCTCATTCTCTCTCTTGCCTGCCACCATGTAAGACCTCCCTTGCTCTTCCTCCATGATTGTGAGGCCTCCCCAGCCACATGGAACTGTGAGTCAATCAAACCTCTTTCCTTTATAAATTACCCAGTCTTGGGTAGGTCTTTATTAGCAGCATGAGAACAGACTAAGACCTCTGAATCACCTTTTGATACTTTCTCCTCTCTCTACCCTTGTACATATAATCAGTAAATAAGAATTTAGGTCCTGACAATTTAGCTTCTCCATTGTCCCTATCACTATTGGCACCACACAACTTCCCTGCCCTCATTATCATTTTGTTTCTATATACTCATGTCTTCTCTCCTTAACTAAAGGTTATGCTCTGTGAGGACAGAATTGATTTTTCATTCATTCTATTCTCTAACAGGATCTAGTTGCATAACAAAGGAAGCTGACAATGTATCACTGGAGAGAGTGCAAAGAAACACATGTTTTTCAATCTGGGAACAACCTACCGCCTGTGATTGTGCTCCCTGTGGGTGGATATAGGTGAAATGACTAATACATAACAGTGTCTGGAATAAATGCTGATGAAAATGGAAATATTAAGCTCAATATGTCTAACAGGAAAATGGCCCAAATAATAATTAAAAGAGAAAGGGATTAATCCAATAACTCCATAAGCATGGCAAATCATTCTCGTATAAACTCTTTCTACTTTTTGTGCAAGCCAAAACTGGGGAAAGCCTTTCCATTCTTAGTATCTTAACTTTTATTGTACTTGGGTAAGAGTCAAACCTACAAAATTATCAAGCAATTTTACTGTCTGGGAAACTAGAATGAATGCAACTATTACATAGTTCATTTTTTAAAAAAAGCAAAACAGATAAAAGATGTTTTCATCCCACTCAAAGTTCTCTCCAATGGAATAAAACTACAACTCTCTCAGCTAATCAAGAGCCAGAAGCCTACAAATTCTGGCTGCCAGGCTGGTCTATTTCTCCAGGGAAAAGGTCAATCTGTTGTTCAAAATTCAAAAAAGAAAATCTGCAAAAGTTAGGAGAAAGAAAGCCAAGAGGGAACATTCAAATAAACATACCCCTAGCACCCAGAGCAAGTGAACCATTTCTACCACATTGTTTCTTAAACTTATTCCAACTTTTCCAAAACCAAATTAAATTAATGAAGGACAATTTTACCATAATCTACATGTACTTAAATAAAATTTTTCTCACATAATAAGAGCCATAATTTTTATCATTAATTTTCAAAAAACCTTCAAATTTGGTGATTACCATGTTTTGTCCCATGATTTGCACAGAGAGTAATCATTATGCACCATCCTTTTTTGGTATAAATCCAGTTCTATAATTTTATTTCAATATCCTAATTCCTTAGCTATATCTACTTTTTTAATACCCCTAAAAACATCTTTAAACATTTGACCCAGACCAAGTAATTTTTCTCCAGATCTCAGTTTCTTCACTGGTAAAAAGAGGTTATATAATTTCTAAATGTCTAAACTGTAAAATTGTAGCTTCTCTTTATATTTAGGGATTATAAGTGTAAAGTTTCAAATCTGATCATCTACAGTTGAGGCAAAGCAAATCAGATATAAAGACTGCTCTTTCATTCCTGCTCACACTAGGAAATTTAAAAAAGGTACCAAAACTGAGGAAAACAAGAGTCTGGGAACAACCATCCAATAGCAATGTAGTAACTAAATGGAGTGAAGATGCTTTAAGACAATAGGTATATACCAGAAAAGAAAGCATCTCTCCTTCCCTCTCTTCCTACCCCTTCCCATTTATATATATGTTGTGTGGGGGAGGGTGCAGGTATGCAGGATATAAACTAAATATATCCTCAAATAAGCTAGAAGTCATTGAGGTGCCATCACGAGAAACAAATCAGAAAAAAAAATCAGTGACTAATGCAGTGATTCTCAACTGGGGACAGTTTTTTTCTGCAGCAGACATTTGGCAACAACCGAAGATCTTTTTAATTGCCACAATTTAGGGGATGCTACTGACATCCAACCGGCAGAGGCCTTTCACACTGCTAAACATTTCATAGTGCACAAAATAGTGCCCTCCCCCCCACCCAAAAGAATAATTATTTGGCCCAAAATACCAGCAGTGCTGAGGGAGAGAAACTCTGGGTTAAACTTACCTGGACCTTTGACACTGTTACACAAATTAATGGTGAGATCATCCACTATCCTGGAGAGTGACTCAAAATCTGCCACATTGTATGCATGGGTATCATCAGGATCAGTTGCAATCATCTTTAATTCGACTTCATCAGCATTTTTAATACCTTCAAAAACGGATATATACAAATTAAAAGCACTTCTCAGAAAAAAATTAATGGAATGAAGCAAATGATTTACGGCTTTCTTAATTCATGGCTGCTTTTGGCCAACTATGAAGGTTTAATAATTAGTTAACTAAAACATACATATTATTTTTCTCAATAATAAAACAGAAACAAAGGATAATACAAACTGAAAGCTCTTTTAAATTGGCTTCTTCTAAATGTATATAGCACCAATTTCCCGCCAAAAAGACTCTCTTCAGTGTTTTTTCTGGAATGTAAAATAATGGATATCAAAAATAAACACGGTTCTGTGGAAAACCAAGTAGGAGTTTTTATGAATCCTATTAATACCACATTTTTCTTCTTGATCTATTAATTTTCGTTTAAGAAACCATGTAGTTTTGTCCCCAAAAAAAGAAGAAAAAAGTGAATTAACTTCCTGGAACATTATTTTGATAAATTATGTGATAGAAAAAAATGGGTATTTTTTTTCATGCTTCAGATAAAACTTCTAACTACGAAAAATATCCTCAGCACATTTGTAACCCCAGGGGCATCACTGTCCTTTTCAGTGCGTACCAATAGCAAACAGCTCCACTCCCTCATCCTTGAGTTTCTTTGAAGGTGCTTCAACATCGTCTTGTGATTTTCCATCAGTAATGAGCACACCAATTTTTCGAGCTCGAGGTCTCATGCCAGCTTGGGTCCTGAAGTTCTGTTGGCGAATGAAATTCAAAGCCATGCCTAGTGGGATTTTTAAAAGAGAATCAGTCACATCACCATTCAGCCACAAACCTTAACCAGAAGCATGAGCTGAAAGACTGTCAGACAGTCCTTACTCACCTGTGAGAGTATTGCCTCCTTTGTACGGCAAGTTTGCCACAGCTTGCAACAAGCTCTTCTTGTCTCTGTGTGCATTTAACTGCCACTCTGTTCTGGGATCCCCACTATACTGAGCAAGAGCTAAAATGACACCACTGGCATTAGTGCATGTGAAAGAGAAAGATAAAAATGTCTAAATGGCTCCAATGTTGTCAGAACCTACCAATTTGTACTCTTTTGGGGCCAATGTCAAAGACTTCCACAATACGAGAAATGAAACTCCTCACGGTTCTAAAATTTGCCCGGCCGATGCTCCATGATCCATCCACCAGCAACACAATGTCTGCCTCAGCTCTGGTGAGACACTCCATCCCTGACATGGCAATCATGAGACAAGACAGTAAGAAGCAAATTGTTGGCAAGGGTACTTCCTTGTCACACCTCTACCACTCCCTGGATCCTCAGTGTTGCCTGTCTCAGTACTATGGTCTAGCTCAGTGATGTGGAGTATAAGACTCTGAAAATATGTCCATCTGATTTATTAACCTCAATTAACAGTCTTAAGAGTCAGCAGTTCCTCCAAAGATTATTTCAGTGGCCAATCTTTCCTTTATCTTTGACTCGATTTCCTGCCCTCTTTCATAGAACCTGGAGACTTGAATTAAGCCATTGTTGAAAATTTGATGGGCTCACAAATTCAAAGGCTGAAATAAATAAATGAGAATGTATAGCTGTCTAACTATGAAGTACTAATAACTTTAATAAAATTGTAATGTAGTCAAATCATTAGATATTGCATTCTTCTGCAATATTTAATGGTCATAGCAGACAAGAATGAGATGGACTGATAAAATATGTAAACTAAAAAAAGGTTTTTGTGAGCCAAAAATTATCTTTTCAAATAGCTAAGCTGTTAGGTAACTACCACATATATATGAAGGATTAGACACATAACTTTTAAAATTATACCTTTTTGAGGTAAAGATATATTTTTTAAACCCTGATATATTATTATCTAGCTATTAATCATTTAAATTTATGATCTACTGTGAATAAAAATCATGTAAATATAGATGGTGAAGTTTGCACATTTAAAGAATCAAGAAAGAAGGAAGACAATTTAGAAAAGTATGCAAACAAATATACAAATTGAGAGCTGTAAAGATAAGCACAAACATTGATACATAGGAAAAGCTTTGGAAAGAGAAAATAATCCCAACATCCTCAGTGTACAAGCTACAAAATAAAAATATAAGTCAGTTAATATCATCATAAGAGAAACAATAGAACATTAATGCAAAACAGCAAGATTTGACACTTGATTTTGTCCACATCCATTTTTTTAATGTTCTCCTTTCCAAAAGCTTATATTACCAGCTATAAATTTTCCAGTTTATTACAAGGTTAGCATTTGGTCTTTATATTACAAAAGAAATCATTGGAAAAAATTAAATAATGCTCATCACACTACAGAATACAAATGTGTCACTCATATATTATATACTATATCAGGATTAAGGATTCCCAAATACTATCCCAAGGAAATAAGCCCTTACAAGCCTGCTCCTGCTCTGCCCAGATCTACTCTTTTTTAGCAATAATGAAAACTATCAGAAGTAAACTCTGTCCACCACCTCCGTCTCTAAGAATGTTAAAAACTAGCTTTATGTTCATAAAGGCTGTAATTGTGGCAGGGACAGAAAATCTAAGGGGCTTATGTTACCATTTTCCTTCCCAAGTCATAGTTGCCCACCCATTTATGTAACCTAACACTGCTTACCCAGCCCAAATAAAACATTTCTGCAATTACTTTAACAAAAGAAAACTGCATCTTAGTCATTAAAAATAGAAAACGGTACAATATCTACATTTAGTAAAAACTCTTTAAATAATAGAGCTTAATTATGCAATAATGCATAATTTTAAATTTAATATTTAAATGCATTAATAAATTTAATGCACAATTTTAAATTATGCGTTATTACATAATTTAAAATTACTACATTAATTACATCACTAATAATTATTAATACATTAATAATTATATATTACTCTTAAAAATAGATTTATGTAATAATTTAAGTATGAAATAATGCAATGCTGATAAAAGAAGTATAAAAAAATACTGTCAAAAAGCATGCTTGACTGGATGTTTGAAGAATTTTTTTGCTAAGTATGTAAATTATTGAAATAAATTTTAGTGTAAAATTTGTATCATTGTTTTCCATTGTATGATACCCTAACAGTTCACATTTGAAATAGTTTCCTAAGTTGTTTTCCTCAAGGAATGTAACTCAATTTCTTACCAGAAGATAAAATTGGCATAACAGTTGTGTCGGAAAGGGTTGTCATTTCTTGTCCAACAAGTGGTGAGCTTTCTCCTCCATCAAACATTCCAAAAACATTTACTTTATAGGTGGTACCAGCCCTAAAATGTTAAAGTATATATATAGCCTGTGAGAACCATAGGCTCAAGTGGTAGCACTTTTTTTTTGCTTTGTTAAAGACATTTTTCTTGATTTACAAGCTTACACTATGAAGAGTTTATAGTGTACAACATTATAAGAGAAGAAAAATAATTTCCGCCTCTTTCTCACTTACGCTTACCCTGTGAGGTGTCAAGAGAAACTAGACAGCAATCATTCCAGAGAACACTAGGAATTCACAGCACTGGTTTCTGTCTTGCCTTTCTAGCAGATGCAGAGTCTCTACCCTGCCTTTCAGCATGTCAGGAAGGGTCAGACTCTTTAATCTTACTGTTTCTAAGCAATGGGCTTTAAGAAAATAATTGAAGTGCTGTACCTTGCAAGGTAACATAAGACAATGCCTAACACAATGCCTGACACATAGTAAGCTCAATAAATTTTATACTCCCTACTCTGGTAAAAGTAAATCACAAGCATTTATATAGATTTCAATAGTCTTGAATGAATGATTGAAAAACAAACTTCCCAAAAGACTACACACAGTAGTTCATTCTTTTTACTGTAATGAATGTAGGGTGCTGTTCAAACTGAAACTTCCTTGTTTTTCACTGCACAGCCTGGAGCTGGACCTTTCATGAGCCCAGCCTTGCCCTTTCCTGCCAGCTGGCACCCACAAGGTCCTGCCTTCTTTCTCCTGTATGGCACACTGGAGGGGGATTCACACTCAAGATCTCAGCATGAGTCCCTCAAACCTTGCCAAAAGGTACAGGAACCCCCATGCTTCCACATGGCTACAATTTCGGTGACATTGTGTAATAAGAACATTAATTTCTTAAAAGCAGGGTGTTATTGAAAACACCAATTCTGATCCCTTAAAAACAAACAAAAATTATTAAACATTACAAAAAAATCCTGCTCAGGCCTAAATTCTGTTGCTGACCCCTGAATCCTAACTTCAACTCCAGCAGCACCAAGCATAAGAAAACAGCTTTAGCTGATTTTAAATACTTTGCTGGCAAACAGACATATAAGTGATATTTGTGTAAAGCCTACTAATTTACAAAAGCTATTCAACCTTGTAAACAAATTAATTTCATCCTTTGATACAAACGTAGTTAATTCCTACCTAAGTTCCTCCAAAACAACTGTGTTGTCATAGGGTCCAACCACTAACTCCCCCAGTCTTCTGTCATCCCCCGTAGGGTGGAATGTGACTTTATAACCCTTCACTTCCCCAGGGGCAGGCTCCCAAGTCACTCGGAAGCTTGACATGGTTGGGTCAGATGTTTTGAGGTTTCTAGGAGACTTAAACCGAGAAGCTGTAAAGACAAAAAGATTTTTAAAATATTATCTGTAAGACTAGGCTTTGGGGTTTCTTTTTTATTAGCCCCACAAAAATGCATATCCATAAAAAGGGTTTAAGTCCGGTAGCACAAAATAGCATGTTCCATAGAAGTCCAGATAACAGAGTGCTAGCTAAGTAGAAGTGTAAATAATTCTCACAATTCAGATTAGATTTGCATAAGAACATTAATATGTAGAATCATTTTACCAGGAACTAGATTGGTAAAAATAACATGTTATTTAGACATTGTCTAGTAATTATAATTTAACTTATTACGGAATCAGTTTTAAACATTTACAAATGAAGTAGACATACCAAAGTCATCTTTTAAAACATTACCTTCTCTCCCCCTCAAAATATAATTATTATTTCATACCTGTTGTTCCTGATCCTTGCCTAAGCTTTCCTTCTCCCATCTTGTAAATAGGAAGAACTGTGATGTCATATGTGGTCTGTGGCTGAAGTCGCTTTAACACTGTCGAAGTGACTGTGGGGGGCACCTTAGCAACCATTTGCTTCCCTCTCCCATGAGGGCGATAGACAACACGGTAGTTGACGACTTTCCCTGGTGCTGGTTTCCATGTAACTCTCATTGTGTTTTCTGTTTCTTCATCTACTTTCAGGGTTTTGGAATCTTGAGATACTGGGAGATAAAAGGAAGATTAAACTGTATACCATGTTGAAAAAAAATGTATGTCCACCTCTTCATTTATGTGAAAAGAAACTCTCTGTGGCTTCTTAAATATGTACACTGTTCCATTGCTTAGCATTGTAATCTCTCATAAATTCATGATGGCGTGTGAGCCTAATCTCATCAAGATCTCAGTAAGATGTTTTCGTTTTATCTAGCTAATACTAAAAAATGGAAGTTCATATTGCAGAGATTTCCTATTTGCCTTCTAGAGACTTTAGTAAAGAAAACATCCATTTCCGGAGATAAGGTTTTAGAATTTTTATTATATTTCCATCTGTAAAGAATTTATCCAGTAATAATGCTGTGGAGAATACTAAAAATTATGAATGCAGGGTTGGACATTTTACTTGAACTTTTTCAGAAAAAGTTGCAATCCATAAATAACTAGCCAGAGTGACTGTAGTTAACACCATTCTTATGATTGCCACGCACATCTCAGACTATGAGCACAAAAGAATAGGAAACTAACACTTCAAAATATCTCAGGGGCTCTAAAGATAAACTGGTATATGCTGAGTATTTCAGAAAGCACTATCTGTAAATAGTGTTTGCTTAATATGTAATCAATAATATGTAATTATTAAATTCCGTTTACTAATATTTCACAATTATTAATAACGCTATATGAAATAAGTAACCAACAGCCACAAATAACCTACAACATCCTATTTTTATATATAATTAGAGTTCATAAGCAGGACCATTTTATTCAGTTCAATAATCAGTGTTCAAAAGAACATAAACATGTTCTATAGAAAAAGATTAAGCTAAACAAAATTCAAAATCAGCAAAGAATCTTTCCTGATTGTAAGAGAAAATTTCGTGTTCAAGTGGTCAAGAGCCATTTGAAACAATGAAGAAACCCAGAAAAAAAAAAACCTAAGAAAAATAAACACAATAATTTTCAGACACGACATCAGCTGGCATAGGACACTGATCCCTAAGAGAGATAAGGAACAAAGGGGAATAGGTTCTATGATTGCCCAGCTATTGCTTGGAATTTCCAGTCCCCAGTAAAAGAAAGGGGAATCCAGATGGAGGCTGGTGGCCTCCCTTAATTGTCAAGATGTTGTTGCAAGTCTGGAGAGCCCAAAGCAACCAGAACTTGAAGAATAGAGTACTGTGAATGAGAGAGTGCCACAGAGAAAATACTTGGTCTTCAACCTAGGATAATCAGTGCACATGTGTAAGAAAACCACCCAAAACTAGGGAAAGAACCACCCCAAAGGAGCCCAGGGAACAATTTATTGAGCTCACACAGGGTTAGAAATGTTCCCCCTACCCAGAAGAGAAAACCTCACAACTGTAGGGAGATCATGTAGGATATTTAGTAGGTGATTGTCTCAATAATGGGGCAAAATTAGTCCTAAACTGAAACAGTTTAAAAGCAAATGTCAGATCAAACTATTTCCAAGTAACTTAACTGTATTCCAGAATAAAACTTAAGAGTATTTATAAGAACATAAAAATATCTAGCACCCAAGCAAATAAAATTCACAAAATCTGACATCTAATAAAAGTTACAAGACATGCCAAAAAGGAAAAACTTATGACTTGTATCATGGATTGAAGGTCTCCCACCACTAAATTCATATATTGAAGTCTCAACCTTCAATGTGATGACATTTAAACATGAGGCCTTTGTGGAGGCAATTTGGGTTTAATAAGGTCATCAGAGTGAAGCCTTAATCTGATAGGCTTGGTGACTTTATAAGAAAAAAAGGAGACACCAAAGAGCTCTCTCTCTCTTTCCACATTCACAGCCTGAGAAAAGGCCATATGAGGACATAAAGGAAGGTGACCACACACCAGGAAGAGAGCCCTCACCAGAAATCAAACCCTGCCAGACCTTAATCTTGAACTTTCCAGCCTCCAAAACTGTGAGAAAATAACTTTCTGTTGTTACAGCCACTCAGTCAATAGTAATACCTTTTGTTATCACAGTCCAAACTAAGACAACACATAATAAGAAGAAAAATCAATCAATAGAAACAGAACTAGAAATGACATACATTACAGAATTAAAAAGGATGTTAAAACACTTATTATAACTATATTTCATATGTAATAATGGTAGGAGAAAGATTAAGCATTTTAACTAGAGATATAGAACATATAAAAAGACTCAAATTAAACTTCTAGAGATAAAGATAAATCTAAAATGAAAAATACATGAGATAATATTTACAGCAGATTAGAAAATATAAAAAAATGATTAGTGAACTTGATGGCATTATAATAGAACATGAAACACAAGGAAAGAAAAAATTTTTTTAATGAACAGAGCATCAGTGAGCTGTGTGACAACTTCAAGCAGACTAACATATGTGTAATTAATTGGAGTACCTGAATAAAGTGGGGGTGTAATAAATAAAGTATTTGAAAAAATAATGGGATGGACTGGTTCAAATTTTATAAAAACCATAAACTCACAGATCCTAGAAGTGTAGTGAACCCCAAACACAAGAAACATAAAGAAACTATACCAAGACACATCATAATTAAATTGCTTAAAATTAGTAATAAAAATAAAATCTGTAAAGCAGCCATATTTTTTTAAAAACACATAATATGTATAGAGGACAAAGATAAGAATGATAAAGTAAGCAAATTCAATATATGGTTATGATGGTTATGAATTATGCTTCTGAGAGATAAAAAATATAATTTCAATCAAAATTATATTGGCTGCAATTTTTATTTTTAGGTTTAAAGAAACTAAGAGAACTCTCAGTGAAGTCCATTACTTTCTGGAAATATTAAAATTTATTTAGATTAATCATCAATTTGCTATTATTATTCTCCAGGTACGTGAACTATTAAAAGAAAAAAAGTTTATATATATAAAATATATATTATTATATAAAAATATATATTATATAAACATATATATGTATTTCCAAACAAAAAATCTAAAGACTTTTACCTGGAGTTTTGAAAATAGTACAAGAAAGAATAGTATATAGAAAAATAATCTATTTGGATTATTAGCATTACCAGTTGTCACAAATATCAAATAAGTTGATGGGTGTCTAACAGTTTTCTAGAAGGGGTTGTGCTACAATACATTTTCTCATCTTTTGTTTCATCTCTTAAATTTTTACTCAGTGGAACAAGACATTCTCTCTCTTACAAAATTTTTAAACGAATTTCACACAACTCAGAATTTAGAAAAATAAAAAGTTAAATCTTATGAATGTTGATCTAAAAAGAAACTTAAGTTTCAAAAAAAAATGGGATGCCAAGCTTTAAAATGTTTAAAGAAACTTAAGTTTCAAAAAAAAATGGGATGCCAAGCTTTAAAATGTTTCAAAATTTAAACATGTTAATAACAGCCAAAAGTGATATCTCATACCTTGATATACTTTAACAACCTCACTTATATTCCTGCCTTTTAATTAACTCTTCAAAATAAAGAAACTGAAATTAAATACAGTATAGCATATCTCATCCTAGTTTTAATGGGAAACTGGATTTTAGGGAGAAAAAAAAAAAACCCTTGTTGGTTTCCCATAACCAAAGAGCAAGAATTTTTACATCATTGATTGGATACCACATGCCATTAAATGCTGTTACACCCTCTCACATTGTAAGTTCTTTTCATGTGTTAGTAACTATCACCAGACACTTTCAAACATCCACTGTACCACTGCTAAGCCAGCTGCCATAAATTAGAAGGGCAATAGAAAGTGTCCCTTCTGCTGGCTTTCTAACCCCAATTCATGATTTTCATTGTATCAATGTATTCGTTTCATTGTATCAACAGTCTGCATACCATGTCCCTGAGTTTCAGGTGAAAGCAATCTTAAAGACATTCCCAAAATGCCCTCTTGGAAGCATATGTGAAACTCTAGGAGCATGGGCTCGGGTTTCTGCTGAGTTATCCACACCTTAGGATTCCTCTACCATCTGAATAGCAGATCTCACTCAGATTTCTGAAAATACTTTCTAAACAACAACAAAGTGGTGGTAGAACAAAGAAAGGTCCATGACTTCTTTCTTATTTACTTAGACATTTCAGCAGTTTTCACATACAGTCGCCCTTTGGTATCCATGGGAGATTGGTTTCAGGATCTCCCATAGAAACCAAAATCCTCACATGCTCAAGTTCCTGATATAAAATGGCATAGTATTTGCATAAACCTATGCATATCCTCCCTAATACAGTAAGCCCTCACCTAACGTTAAATAATTTCTTGAAAACTGCAACTTTGAACAACTGACATAAAGAAACCAATTTTCCAGAGGTTAATTGATATAAACAAGAGTTAAGTTCCTACATCATATTTCTGATCACAAAAACATCACCAAACTTCTCAATAAAAACCAAAACACTTCTCATAAGAAACACTGATGTATGTGTGAGCTATATACACATTTAAGAAAGATAAATGAAAACCAGTAACATAATTATTCACCCATTTATTCCAGTTAAGGGTCACAGTGGACACAGCCTGTCCAAGTAGCTCAGGGCGAAAGGGAGAACCCCATCCTAGGCACACACACACACACCCACACTCACTCAGGCTGGGACCACGTGGACGCACCAGCTCACCTAACATGCACATCTTTGAGATGTGGGAGGTAACTAGAGTACCTGGAGGAAACCCACAGACATGGAGAGGATGTGCAAACTCCACACAGATGGTGACCCCCACCAGGAACCAATTCTTTTTTCTCATCAATGTTATGATATTATTTGAGAACTTGTTAACTTTAAATCATCTCTGCATTACTTATAATACAATGTAAATGTCATATAAATAATTATTATACTGTATTTTACTAGCATTATTATTTATTGTTGTATTGTTATTTCTTATTGCTTTTTAAAAAATATTGTCTATCAGCAGTTGGTTACTTTTGCACATGTGGAACCTGAGAATATGGAGGGCCAATCGTAACCTAAAAATGAACATTTCATTCCTGCCACGTCTGCTCCTTGTTCAAAAGAGGCCTCCCACAGCCAATATCATATTGAATGGGCAAAAACTGGAAGCATTCCCTTTGAAAACTGGCACAAGACAAGGATGCCCTCTCTCACTACTCCTATTCAACATAGTATTGGAAGTTCTGGCCAAGGCAATCAGGCAAGAGAAAGAAATAAAGGGCATTCAATTAGGAAAAGAGGAAGTCAAATTGTCTCTGTTTGCAGATGACAAGATTGTATATTTAGAAAACCTCACTGTCTCAGCCCAGAATCTCCTTAAGCTGATAAGCAACTTCAGCAAAGTCTCAGGATACAAAATCAATGTGCAAAAATCACAAGCATTCTTATACACCAATAACAGACAAACAGCCAAATCATGAGTGAACTCCCATTCACAATTGCTACAAAGAGAATAAAATACCTAGGAATACAACTTACAAGGGATGTGAAGGACCTCTTCAAGGAGAACTACAAACCACTCTCAAGGAAATAAGAGAGGACAGAAACAAATGGAAAAACATTCCATGCTTGTAGATATGAAGAATCAATACTGTCAAAATGGCCATACTGCCCAAAGTAATTTATAGATTTAATGCTATCCCAATCAAGCTACCATTGACTTTCTTCAAGAATTAGAAAAAACTACATTAAATTTCAGATGGAACCAAAAAAGAGTCCACATAGCCAAGACAATCCTACCCACAAAGAACAAAGCTGGAGGCATCAAGCTACCTGAATTCAAACTATACTAGAAGGCTACAGTAACAAAAACAGCACAGTACTGGTACCAAAAACGTAAAGTGCAATAAATAGACCAATGGAACAGAACAGAGGCCTCAGAAATAACACCACACATCTATAACCATCTGATCTTTGACAAATCTGACAAAAACAAGCAATGGGGAAAGGATTCCCTATTTAATAAATGGTGTTGGGAAAACTGGCTAGCCATACACAGAAAGCTGAAACTGGATCCTTTCCTTACACCTTATACAAAAATTAACTCAAGATGGAGTAAAGACTTAAATGTAAGGCCTAAAACCATAAAAATCCCTAGAAGAAAACCTATGCAATACCATTTAAGACATAGGCATGGGCAAAGGCTTCATGACTAAAACACCAAAAGCAATGGCAATAAAAGCCAAAATAGACAAATGGAATCTGATTAAACTAAAGAGCTTCTGCACAGCAAAAGAAACTATCATCAGAGTGAACAGGCAACCTACAGAATGGGAGAAAATTTTTGCAATCTATACATCTGACAAAGGGCTAATATCCAGAATCTACAAAGAACTGAAACAGATTTACAAGAAAATATCAAACAACCCCATGAAAAAGTTGGCAAAGGATATTAATGGACACTTCTCAAAAGAAGACATTTATGCAGCCAACAGACATATGAAAAAAAGATCATCATCACTGATCATTAGAGAAATGCAAATCAAAACCACAATGAGATATCAGCTCACACCAGTTAGAATGGCAATCATTAAAAAGTCAGGAAACAACAGATGCTGGAGAGGATGTGGAGAAATAGGAACGCTTTTACACTGTTGGTAGCAGTGTAAATTAGTTCAACCAATGTGTAAGACAGTGTGGTGATTCCTCAAGGATCTAGAACTAGAAATACCAGTTGACCCAGCAATCCCATTACTGGATATATACCCAAAGGATTATAAATCATTCTACTATAAATACACAAGCACACGTATGTTTATTGCAGCAGTGTTCACAATAGCAAAGACTTGGAACCAACCCAAATGCCCATCAGTGACAGACTGGATAAAGAAAATGTGACACATATACACCATGGAATACTATGCAGCCATATAAAAGGATGAGTTCATGTCCTTTGCAAGGACATGGATCATGTTGAAAACGAACATTCTCAGCATACTAATGCAAGAACAGAAAACCAAACACCATATGTTCTCACTCATAAGTGGGAGTTGAACAATAAGAATACATGGACACAGGGAGGGGAACCTCACACACCGGGGCCTGTAGTAGGGTAGGGGGCTAGGGGAGGGATAGCATTAGGAGAAATACCTAATGTAGATGATGGGTTGATGGGTGCAACAAACCACCATGGCACGTGTATACCTATGTAAAAAACCTACACATTCTGCGCATGTACCCCAGAACTTAAAGTATAATTTTAAAAAAAGTTAACTTGGGAAAAAAATAGGACTTTCTGTTCATCAATGTTTAAATCAAGCAATTAGCCAAGAAATATTGAAAATTTCTTAGATGCTCATCTTCTGAGATACAGAGATTTATTTAGTTTCTGCCACCATATTTGCTTTTGGCGACAACACATCTCTTGTAGACATTTTAAATTCCAAATAATTATTTGAAGCCTCCAACTTTTTGGAAAAAGACAAAACGGAGGATAATTTCTGGAGGAAAAAAATCCCTCTAAATACATATACTTTTGTAATTTCTCAGCCACATGAACTGTATCTGTACTCCTACAAATAAATTTAGCTTTATGTGTCATATATGACCTAAGTTTACAATACAGCTTCTCTTGACAAGTGAATTTCCTCAAAAGTAGAGAATGAATTTCTACCATGTTCTTAAACTACATCAGCCAATATATTCCAGACACAAGATTTTATTTACTACCATAGAAACCAATCATGTGAATATCTGAGAACTATGTCTTCTCACATATTTAAATTTCCTATAAAGAAGTTGATTTTTAAAAATCTGGTGAATTAAGATACAAATTTAAACTTGAACATCCAACTGAGCTTGCAAATGATAAAAAGAAAATGAACTTAGACACAAAGATTTTAGTTTAAGGACAACTTAAAATCAAGATATAGGACTTAACTGAAATTGCTCATGGCACTTCTCCCTCTCTCTTCCTTTGCCAGAAAAATCACCAAATTCCTCTATTTCTTTTTTATAGAAGGAAATGCATGAATGCCCAGTCTTTCTCCTTTTCCTAAAACCTTCCCAAAACAAAAGGATTAAAGTTTTCTCCTACAAATGCTTAGAAATGCCCATGCTTAACAAATGACATTTGCTTTGGTTTGGTTTCAATTGTTTGTTTTTAATAGATTTTGTATTGTTTTAGAGCAGTTTTGGTACAGAGATTGAGCAGAAGGTACAGAAATTTCCCATGTACCTTTTCCCACCTCCACACATGCACAGCCTCCTGCATTATCAATATCCTTCACCAAAGTGGTACATTTGTTACAACTGCTGAACCTACACTGACACATGATTATCACTTAAACAAATAACCTTTTAGGATAGTGAATTAAGATATCCTGACACATCTTTCACCAGCCAGATGATTATGATAGGTAATTCATAATTATTTACAAAAAAAAAATATCAGTAAGAGTGAGGTAAATCTGAGCCATCAGAAAATTGAGTGGGCTTTTGATTTGACCTTACCAAATATAATAGGAATAAAATAAAAATAAAAATAAATAAAAAATTAAAAAACTAAGTTAAGTCTTGGTTGTATGATAATCATAGTTTCAATAGCGATCAATCATTTATCAATCATCTCTAAGTGGCTAGGCACTATGCTGGCCACTTTGTATATTGCTATTTTATACAATCCTCACAACTCTAAGAGACAAGATTTATTATCTGCATTCTACAGATTAGGAAACTGAGGCTCAAAGAAGGTTAAGTAACTTGACAAAGATCATGCAGCTATACAAATGTGCCCAAATTCTCTTCGCTTCATAGCTTCTGGTCTTTTTACTAGTTGGGTATTCTATCTAGTCAATCATTGCACCAGAAAAAAAAAAAGACAAATATAGGTAGTTGAAAGAGATTCGATATTTCAAAATTTGATATACTTTTAGACACTAACCTACTCTGAATTTAAGCCAAATTCTTTAAAGATCCTAATTCCTCAGTCTTCATTTATCATGTAAAGAAAAAACATTCAAGTGATTAAACTGCATGTCACTTGAGCTGATAACTATTGGGTAGCACCGGCACACACCCAAACACACCCATAATGTTACCTACATTCAGTTGTGGCATCTCCAGTCAAAGGTTCTCCTTCTCCACTGCTGTAAGTGGCAAATACTGAAATTCTGTATTTGGTCTCTGGCTGCAGATTTTCTATCATCGTATGAATTGCATCTTCAGGCAGATTTTTCTCTCCAGTGTCAACATCATCATAAAGTGATTTCCATGAGACCCTGTAACCGCGAACCATTCCTGGAGCAGATGTCCAATAAGCCCCAATTGATGTGTCAGTGATGTCTTTAGTAACTAAATCTTGAGGAGAACCACGTTCTAGAACAGAAATTAAAAGGGAATCTTTTTTAAAAATGTCTAGTAGGTATTTAAGTATTATATTCATTGATCCTGGTAGAGATTCTGACTTGCTGGACTCACACTCAATTTGTCTAAAATTGCCCATTTCTTCTTTTTGAGTTGTCCATCCTATTCTGTCTGTGGAATAGATAGATGCAATAAAACTTTAGAATTCTATTTGATTCCTACCTCTTAACTTTGCCCTCATATGCCTAGTCAGATAATCTTGTCCTTCAGGACAAGATTGACATCCAAATTTGAAGGAGTATTTGTCTTTAAAAAAAAATTCCAAAGGAAAAAAAATGTATCTAAGTCCCAGAATTTTATCACATTTTTGTCTGCCT
The DNA here is from genome assembly GCF_000001405.40 of Homo sapiens. Classification (NCBI taxonomy): domain Eukaryota; kingdom Metazoa; phylum Chordata; class Mammalia; order Primates; family Hominidae; genus Homo; species Homo sapiens. Next base: position 75,166,145 of record NC_000006.12, read on the forward strand.
TGTGACATGGCCCATTGTTCACAAAGATCTTTATTTCCTTACCATGATCTTTTCCTCTCTGATCTAATTTAAATAAACTCAGTTTCAATGCATGATTTACAACAACTGCAACAATCTCATATCACTTACAAAACTTAATGCCAACAACAGTTTATTGGTGAAACTTTTATTTGCTCATGCAGTTTAAAACGTAGCAGTGCAAACTTTCAATATAGCTTAACCCTAACAAAATTGAAAACAACCAATTCTTCTGGAAAACTTAAAAGTGATTAGTCACCAAAATAAAACATACCACTTGTTCTAGCTGATCAAAAACGTCTGCTACTAAATTTTGGCTCTTTCATTCAAAAAACATACAACCCAAGTGGAAAAATATGGAAACCTCAACTTAACAGGAGGCACAAATGTCTTTCAATAAAACCCTCACTCTCCATATTTTAAATGTAAGATAAATATACAGGTCACTTTATATTGTCTACCTTTACTAGGGTTTATGCCACAGTATGACATAAATACAAATCTATCTGCTTCCCAGCATACATTTTACCAGTAATTGTTGTATATTCATGCAAATGATATATAATGCTCTTACAAGAATTTTAAAAACTATTATTTTACTTAACTCAAAGAGTTAAAATGAATATCTTAAACGCAGTCATAATTTAACAATTATATTTCAACACAAAAAGTAAAGGTAACAATGAATGAAAAAGAAATCTAGGTGGACAAAAACCTATCATATATGGTCGATTTAGAGGGAAAAAATAAATGAAACAGAAGCTGGGCAGCCTACCAGACCCCAAGCCCAAATGGAAAATTCTAACTCCATTATAAATAACTTTAACTGCTGACAGCACATCTCATCCCTGGAAGGAAATTAGTTACATATTTCACTGGAACAAAGAATACTTATTTTTAAGAGCACATTGAATTTTTACCCTCAGCTCTTGAGGTTAATTCCCATTTGAAAGTCTTCTTTAGCTGTCTTTACTATGTAAATGGTCATACACCTTTCTATTTTCTCTACTTGGAATATAAAAGTACAATTTAAAACTGTTTGTTTTATTTGGTTTGGCTGTGGGCTTCTTTGTTTTGTTTTTTATTTGTTTTGATAATCGATATCCCAACAACTAGTCTCTAAGTTTTAAATGTACAGCACGTTTTTCCTTTGCTTGATATATACAATTTTCAATATGTGCCTTTTCCTCTAAATTTCCTAGATTGCAGTCAGGAACAGCTGTTGTGAAATGACCTTGCTTGAAAGCAATTTTGAATTTAAATGAGCTGCATTAACGACGTTTCAAAAAAGTATCAGACAAATAAGGTTAACTAGAATGTGGAAATTATCTTTCAAATTAACACCGGGGTAATTTTAAAACAATTTCAGCTTTTATTTTTCCCAAAGGTTTTGCTTCTCAACCTATTTTTCTTTCTACAGCACTAAATTTGTGACATTGTTTATTTCCATGACAACAGACATCAATCTCATAAACACAGGCTAATGATTTCACTGTGAGAAAAATAATAGGAAGAGAATTGTGGTTGAAGCAAAAATACATTCACAAAGATATTTCTGGGCTTAAAACAAAAGGATTTAAGATCACAAGACATGTCTTCCTATGGATTTTAATCAACTATTTTAACACTCTCAAGACTTGTAAAGCTAGAACAAAATACTAGTAAAATGCAATGAAGACCTTTCCCAAGGTTTATCGATATCCTGAAAATAATCTACAACAGCACTTTTTAAGATGCAAATTAAAAATCAACTAAAAAATATTTTTAAGCTCTAATTAATGGCATGACAACACTATTTTGAGTGAACACTGAGTAAGTTCTCAATCTCAGAAAAAAACTCACTAAAAATTGTAGTTCTGCCTGTGGTATGTAAAGGCAGGCACTGTCACTACAACATTCCATGTTAGTGACATAGCAACATAGACTCCAAAGAAAGGAGAAAGATAGTTCAATCGAGACACCACAATTGAGAAGATAAACTGCTTCATATGGGTTTCTTACATGTCAATCAGTCAGTTTGATAAGAATATTCCTAAATATTAAATCCATCCTGCTCCCCAAACACATTGATAATTTTTTTTAGGGAGGAGGGCTGAATATTCTGTTACATTACAACCAGGAATTTTGAGAATAAGTTGTACTCATGACAAGTAAATGTATAGCCCTTGAATTTTTAAAAAATGAGATCTTGGTTTGGCCAAACATTAGATTACCAAAAAATGAAGCAAGTGGATTGCGCCCTGTGGTACAGTTGGCAGGATGGAAGCTGGCAAGTGGCTGAACTGGTCTTGGGGCCAGGTATGCAACCATCTGAGCAGGTCAACAACAGGCTATGTCACCTCCTGGGGCCTTGGGGCCCTCAGCAGCAAAATAACTGGACTGGACTTGAACCGATAAACAGAATTGCCTGAAAAAACAAAGGCTGGACCCTACCCAAATCAATTAAATTGGAATATTTGGGGATGCACCTAAGTACTGGTGCCTTCTAAATATCTTTTAAATCTGCCCTGTGATTCCAAAACCTCTACAATTCTTTATTCTTTCCCCTTTTTGCTCTTCTTTCTACTTCTCCTCTCTGAGGTCTAGAGAAGCATTTATTCGGGAGGTGTGCTGGGTCAGTGTGGGAAGGAACCTCAAATCTGCTTTCACATAGAAATGGTGCTCCTTCAAAATAAAGACAGGTATGGTGAAGGTAAACTGGTCAAAATCATTACACACATGATGCTCTGTAGGACTGCTGGGTGGCTTGTATTTTGTGTGGTTATATTGCCATGTACAGAAAATCACTGCTTTAGGCGGCAAAATAATCTCAAGGCTGACCCTCAGAGAACAGAGGAGATGATTTAAGCTTTTCATCACATCTCCATGGACACATGTGGGATGTTCACTGCTCTCTTCTCCCCTCCATCTTGTCTCGACAGGAAATGGCTCTGAACACACGCATGCCTCTTATTGAAGAGCTGAGCACATTTTCACATTAATGAAGTTCTAAGTGTTACCTAGCAAGGCATTTACTTGGTTCAATACATTGTCATTTTTGTCCTGAATCTGAGGAGCTCCAGACATCAGTAACTACAGGAAGAAATTATCCGACTTGCTTTGGTTTAGTTTCATTATATTGGGTTTATGCAAGAGTCCCTTTTTAGAGTACCTAAGAGGGACTAGGAAAGAGAGAGGGAGAAGAACGTAAAGATGCCAGAAGACCAGTCTGTAGGCTATCTCTAGGAGAGGTTACTGCTCCTCAAAAGGGGAAGGCATAGAAACAGTGGCAGTGAACAGAAAGCAACCCTAGTAGACTTTTTGCCATGTAGTCACTACCTTTCCCTGAACCTAGATCTACTTTTGCTCTAGCAGAGGCTCCCTCCCTTCTGAGGTCCTCCTCTTTCTTCTGTTCCCCAAGATTTACAAATATGTGTCTTATGGTGCTGGGGTTTGTTTAGGGTTTTTTTTGAATAATGTTTAGTCTCATAGTACTTGCTCTCTTCTGTTCTGGATATATGCCTGTGTTCTCTCTATTAATTTTATCTCTGGTAATAGAAATTCTGGCAATCATTTCAAACAAGTCATCATCTACAATGATGATATTCCTTTATTACCATTCCTTTGATTCTATCTTGACAATTTTCCCTTACACTTTATTCTTCCTAGTATAGTACCAGTATAGGTATAAATGTCATAAGTTTAAAGGTATAAAACTCTATCAGGTTTTGAAATCTGGCTACTCAGCATTTCTGTCCTTATTATAAAACATAGTTACATCTATTCAAAAGCCATTTTTCTAGTGTGTGCTTGCATGTGTCTCTGTGCTGCTGCTGTGGGAAGTAATTCAGACAGGTCTACTTCTCATGATCTGAACATCCTGAAGGGATTGATTCCTACACTGCTTTTTTCCACATACCAAGCCAAAGAACTAATGCCTCATTTAAGTAACTTTCCTATGTTTCCTTACCCCTTTTCCATTTTCTTTCTGAAAAGCAAATTATCATCCAATTCAAATATAATTATAACACAAATTAGCCAATGATAAATGAAAAATTAATCATCATGAAATAAAACTGCATTTCATCTTATAGATTGTTCCAGCCAGCTTTCATTGAGTTTCATATACCACTTTCAAAAATAGAAGTTAAATTGAAAATGTAACGTAAACTCTCTTCTAAATCAATTTGTCTTTTCCATTAGAGCTCAGCTCAAAAGTCATCCAACTTTCCACAGCAATACAGAAGATCTGCTTGTGGATAACATTCATGTGGAAATACATTTGATTTACAACCAATGAATTAGAGCCACCATTCCAAAGGACAAAGTTCACTATTGATAAGTTAACTCAGTTACTTTAAGCTATGCACAGTTCTTAAAAACAACTTAACAATTAAATTACCATTCAACTTCAAAGTCGGCTTGAGCAAAAAAGTGTTTCTTCCGTAATTATCACCTCTCCACATTGACTTCAATTTTTATCTGACAAGCAATTAATTCACAGAAAAAGGAAATAGAAATTATTGTTTGGTGACTGTGCTAAAGTTCCCTGGCAACGTCAGAGTTATTATACCCAGAATGTATGATTTTTCAAATTATGAGACAGCAGTAAATCAGGGAAAACACAGAGGCCTTGTTTAGTCCATCTTTAAGGGGCCCATGTTACTCAACATCATGCAGAATTCCTGAGATGTGCTAAAAACCTCATTGTAACAAAATGTCAACTGAATACACTTGGTTTGATCTGTAGGAAGCCATTCATATCCAGGACATTAGCAGGTTGCTATAGCAACTGAAACAAAGGAAATTCTAAAAAGTCATATTTTCCATAGCCAAAAAACAACACTCAAAAATTTAACAAGAAAACATATTATTCTTCAAATTGAAATTCTCCTTCATTTGTGGTCAATCGCTGAATTAAAATGGGCAGTATTTATTGAGAGGTTTATAAAAACAGATTTTCCTCCAAGCACTAACAGCAGCAATTAAAGGTTCTTTCAAGACTTGAAGTTCAATTACATATACAGTAGGGTTGTTGTAATTACATTGTCTAACTGCTCTAACAACAACAGGGGAAAAAAACAATGTAAATCAAACCTAATGATGTATGCTCACATTCCTCTGAAGTTTGGATCTGAAATAGTAATAAACTCTGCCTTTGTGATTCTATTGCATACAGTACTACAGCCAACCATGAACTTCCCCAATGCCAGTGCTAATAAATCTCTCTTCCAGCAACAAGGGAATTTTCTGATCATTGGCTGCATTTCAAAAAAAGTACTAGGAAATAGATTCAAGTTAGGGATGGTTGTAGACCACACTACACATTTTTTCAAAATACAAAACAACAACAACTTTATTTCCTTTTGAATTGAAAGCCATAATGCATTTGAGGTAATCTATAAGATGTCCAACCTACAGAATGCTCCTGCCGGCTGACACCATGCCTCTGGATAAAGGAAACATTCCTTCAAGTTCTGCTCTTACCACCTCCTCTCCCAAGAGAAAAACAAATTAGAAAAACAGCAGCCCTCAAAAGCAGTTGCCTGGCTCTGTTTCTGGGCTTTCCACTCCCTGCATTTACCATCATATCCTATTCCTGTATATGGTATGTGGATTTGGCTGAGTTAATACAATAAAATGAAATGGAATAACCAGGGGCAAAAATCTTCTATTATTTTCATTTAGTCACAACTATGCTTTCACATATTTGTCAAGTTTACCACACATAATGCAATGGGATAAATATGTTAACAAAATCAGGCTGGAGGCCCTTCGGTAATCCTTCACTGCAGTAAAGCACTTTAGCATAAATGAACAAAATGTCCATTGTAAATTACTACAATTTAGTTAGGAATTAACTGTATTTTTTTAAGCAAACTTGCAAATTATCTAGCTTTCCTTCTTCTCAGGAAATAGAAAACAATAGCTTTTAAAATTTATTTTACTAGCTATGTGTTTCCCTTAGAGATTGTTTCTTATCAAAGACACGTGCGTGTGTGTATACTCACACATGCGTACAAGTTGATAGGTTTTTGATACCACTTGTGAAGAGCTATAATATTATAAACAATTGAGCAATACATCTGGCTTACAAAAATCACAGCCTAGTAGAATGTGCTTCCTGTAAAATTAAAAAGTACATTTTGTTAAATACAATTTGTAATATATTATTCTTGGCAAAAATGCCTTAATTTTTAGAATCGAGAAGATTTTTACTGAGCATAAATATATTTTTAAAAGCAAGAAAGCACAAATGAATACCAGAAGGCTAAAAGGCACAACCAGAAGAAAAACTATTAAATTATTTCCAAGATACTCCTTATAAAGAAGAAATGTTCACAAATACAATCTACATCTATCCTGTAAAAAATAAAGAGTGAAAGTTTGTCCTCTAAAAAAATCTTATGAACAACCTATGCTAAAAGATTGTGGAAAGCATATGGAGAAACAGAACTTCAAAAGGTCCAAAGAAAAGGACAAATTTCTCCAAAATTCTGGATGTTGCCCCAGATTGTAAAGATCACAAGCTTTTTTTGTTTGGATTATGTCTGTGTATTTAAGGCAATTTCTGTTTCTACTATTTTTTTCAAAACTTTTTGTGTTACCAATTATATTTGAAATACTAAAGCTATACAGTTGACAGCATGGGTTTGCACTGTGAAGGTCCACTTATATGCAGATTTATTTCAACAAAACGCAGACGAAAAATACAGTATTCACAGGATGCGAAAGCCACCTATATCCGGGGGCCAACTTTTCACATATACAGGTTCCCTAGGGCCGACTGCCGGACTTGAGTATAAGAGGACTTTGGTATATGCAGGGGATTTTGGTATATGCAGGCGTCTTGGAACCAATCTGCAGCCCCCAACCCTGAGTATACCAAGAGGCTTTTAGATATCAGATCTAAAGTTAATAAGCTATGTCCTCTTGATGAATTTTGTAGACATAGAGTATTTTACAGTTTCCAATGAATTTCACTTACATTCTCCCATTTGATCTCAACAATAACTCTGGGAAGAAAGAGGGAGGATAATCATCCCTTCTTTATAGATGAATAAACTAAGGCCCAGAGGGGTTAAAGGTTTACTCCAGGTCACACAGCTAAGCAGTACAACTGGGACTCTTCTAGTTGTAAGTACTTTAAACACTGGTATTTAATCTTTCATTTAAATCTTTTTCTAGAAACAGATTTCATGGACTATGGAAATTTAACTCTTGATCACTATTATTATTATTTTTTTTTTTTGAGATGGAGTTTCATTCTTGTTGCCCAGCCTGGAGTGCAATGGTGCAATCTCGGCTCACTGCAACCTCCGCCTCTCGAGTTCAAGTGATTCTCCTGCCTCAGCTTCCCAAGTAGCTGGGATTACAGGCATGCGCCACCACGCACAGCTAATTTTTGTATTTAGTAGAGACAGGGTTTTACCATGTTGGCCAGGCTGATCTCGAATTCCTGACCTCAGGTGATCCACCTGCCTTGGTCTCGCAAAGTGCTGGGATTACAGGCGTGAGCCACCACGCCTGCCCGATCACTACTATTTAAATTAGTATTTTTTATTTATTTGTTTTTCATTCTTAACCCTTGAAGTTTCTAAGAACTGCCTATTGTATGTCCTGTCTCATTAATTACAATATCTACAACCTTCCAAGCTCCTGGAGCCATCAACTTTGATGGATATTTTGCTTAGTCACTGTGATTTCATATTAGAAGATACTTCAGATTCATTTTCTTCCTATAATCATTTAAAATAAATCATATAAAATATAATGATAGGAGAAGGAAAGCTATTGCTGATAGTCCATGTAGGCCCCCAGTTATAGGACTGAGTCAACATCATGGGATTTTTAGCATTGCAATCCATTCTCATTGCGGTGCAATTAAATTTGTATTTTCTCTCCCTTGCATTATTCACTTAGTAGCTGTGGTGAGTTAAACCTAAGCTGTGATTATATCTCAAAAATCCTAAAAAATATAAAGGCCTCTGACAATTAACTCTAAAGAACCAAGGAAACTGCTCCAGTCTTGCTGATGTTTCTTACTAAGTACTTTATCGCAATCACTTTGAAAATTTAATACAGAACGGAATTTCAGAAATCACTTAGAAAACAAATAGAAACTTGGATTCTTGGCCAGGCGCGGTGGCTCAGGCCTGTAATCCCAGCATTTTGGTGGCCGAGGCGGGCGGATCACGAGGTCAGGAGATCGAGATCATCCTGGCTAACATGGTGAAACCCCGTCCCTACTAAAAATACAAAAAATTAGCCAGGCGTGGTGGCGGGCGCCTGTAGTCCCAGCTACTTGGGATGCTGAGGCAGGAGACTGGCGTGAACCATAGAGGCAGAGCTTGCAGTGAGCCGAGATAGCGCCACTGCAGTCCAGCCTGGGCGAAAGAGCGAGACTCTGTCTCACAAAAAAAAAGAAACTTGGATTCTTATATTTCTTGAGCTTTTATGCATGGTAAATGGAAAGAGCACTTGAATGGAAGTCAGAAAATGGCTCTTATCTGGATCTGAAAGATAGAACTAGCTGCATAAACTTGGGCAATCCAAACCTTTTTTCATAGATGTTTCCCAAGGTCCCTTCTCGCTCTGAATGTCATACACCTATTCTCCTTTCAACCAACCCATGGAACTATAAACACATCTCTTTGGTCTTATTATGCATCCAGCTCCCCAAGGCACTTCTGAATCAAGTTTAATTTTTTCAGTTGCTTACATTCTACATCTCTGAATAACAGAGAGCTTTATGGTTATTTGTTTTTCAATATGGATTCTTTTTAAGAGAAAGGATTGCACACTTCTAGATTCATTGTCTGAAGACATTTTAAGCTTCCTAGAGGCAGCACCACAAACAAGTTCCTGGATTTTCAGAAAATATGATGGTAATTACCTTCAAGTGTTGTTCCTTCACCAAAGAGGGCGTCTCCAGCCCCAGACGCATACAAGGCTGTCACAGATAAGGCGTATTGTGTCCCTTCCTTCAATCCCTGCAGCACCGTATTGGTTGTATCTCCCCTCACAGTGACCTCTTGAGTTTCACCCCCTGCCACTGGGGTATATGTGACGAGATACTGTTTCACTTTTCCTGGTGCCCCACTCCAAGATAATTTCATAGTAGACGTCGTAGGGTCAGAAACTCTTAAGTCTCTTGGATTCCCTCTAACTTCATTAAAAAATGACAACATCATCAAAACCCATTATTTAAAAAAATGACTTGAAAAACACTTTGTTACTTTACTTATGCATGTGCACTACATCAAAGTTATATCCTGGGTGAGACTATGACAATTTTAACTGTTGACCAGCCAACAAAGCTTAAGCATCTCTGAATCAGACCCTATATGTTAGTAGAAACAAGGGGAAAGATATTCAGTCCCTTTTCTGTGTTTACAAAGGTTAAAATCTTCCATGTAAAATCTTTCATGTTAGAATATTTCCTATAAAATAGTTTCCCTGTATTTCCTTAAAAGTGGAACAAAGCACTATAAAATATATACACATTGATTAGTATTACAATGCAGATTTTAATTCCTTTAAGAAATCTTCAGTAAAAACAGTTAATCAGTGTAATGCTATGAACATCTAAAGGTAACAGGAGCGAATTCTGATATAATAAAAATGATAAATTATAAACATATTGCTTTCCCTAGGGGGAAAAAAAGTAAGAGAAAAAACAGCTAAGTGAGACCGAGCCTTGGGTACAAATCCCGAGGGACCACCCATCCTTTTGTAGCTGTGATGTCTGCTATTTCATGACTTTCTTTGTAGATTGGTCATGTCCTCTTTGAAGGTTCCTAAGGAATCCAGCCCTATGTCACTCTCCACTGAGCATATAAAAGCCAGCTAGTTTTACTCCAGAAAATAGAAAGATAAAGAGGTATTGGGTCACATTATGGTACCCAGCACAAAGAGCCCTAGACCCTCAGCAAGAGAGAAAACCAATGAAGTAGTCACACTTCACCAATGGAAGAGAGGAGGAAGGAAGCAGGTAAAAAGAGAAAGCCTCCATAGCAGAACAGGCTAATGAGCTAGGTTGCAGGGGGAAGAGAGGAGAGTGAAACAGTGAAAGGAGGAAGAGAGATGCAGTGGGAGGGAGGGCAATGGGCAGTGGGAGCGTGATGCAGTGGGGGAGGAAGGAAAGTGATACAGTGTGAGGTGGGAGAGTGATGCAGTGGGAGGAGGGAGAGTGATGCAGTGGGAGGAGGGAGAGGGATGCTGTGGGAGGTGGGAGAGTGATGCAGTGGGAGGTGGGAGAGTGATGCAGTGGGAGGAGGGAAAGTGATGCAGTGGGAGGGAGGGCAGTGGGCGGTGGGAGCATGACGCAGTGGGGGAGGAGGGAGAGGAATGCAGTAGGAGTGGGGAGAGTGATGTAGAGGGAGGGAGGGCAGTGGGACAGAGAAGGGTGATGCAGACCAAGAGATAATGGATACTCCTTGTAAATGTCTGCAGTAGGACAGTAAAATCCACAAACTCAGATTCACCATTTATTAGCTGTGTGGTCTTGATTTATTATTTAATTTCCTCAGCCTCAATTCTCTTATCAAGCTGAGATGATGATAATAATAACATAAAGTCTATGCAGAGATTAAACAAAATATATGAAAAGCTCTTTGTACAGAACCTGACACCAGACAGGTACTCAGTAACTTTTCATTATTGCTAATGTGTCCTTGGCATTATTACTGCTATTTTAAAAACATTACAGCTAGGAAATAAAATGAAAAATTATGAATGCCTCACTTTTCCCCCAATGAAATCACGTATTAAACATTAATAATTTCAACAAACATCAGAATGTATACTGGGATCCTAATCATCCCATTTAAAGAAAACAAGTTAATGTTTAAAAATCTTTCTTAAGAAGTAAAATACAATTTATTTCAATGGTGCATAGCAGTTTGATTTTTAATTCTTAGTCATCCTTCAATTCACACTAAAACATTTAATAATATTATTTTTAAAAGAATATTGAGACTATATCCTAGCATTTAAATTCTATTGACACAAGGCCGGGCGTGGTGGCTCACGTCTATAATCCCAGCACTTTGGGAGGCCATGTCGGCCAGATCACCTGAGGTCAGGAGTCTCAGACCAGCCTGGCCAACATGGTGAAACCCTCTTTCTACTAAAAATACAAAAATTAGCTGGGTGTAGTTGCACGCGCCTGTAATCCCAGCTATTTGGGAGGCTGAATCAGGAGAATCACTTGAACCCAGGAGGCAGAGGGTGCAGTGAGCCGAGCCACTGCACTCCAGCTTGGGCAACAGAGAGAGACTCTGTCTGAAAAAAATTAATTAAATAATTAATTAAACAAATAAATCTATTGACACAAGTAAATAATGTCATGATTAAGTAAAAAAAAAATTTTAACTTAAATCTAAAAGGACTATGGTCTAACATACTCAAACAATTGAAACAAAGTGTCTCATTAGTTTTTTATCTGGATAGTTGTCCCAATTTTCCCCTCTAGTCTAAGAGTTTGGTTGTCACCATATGATAAGCATATTTCCTCTACCTTCTTCAGTGGCTGCATTTCCAGTTAATGGAGTACCAGGTCCTGAGAAATATTCAGGAATTACAGATACTTCATATTTCGTGTCTGGAATCAAGTTCTCCAGTGTTCTCCTCCTCTGATTGGGTGGGGTGGTAACTTCTCTGCTCTCTCCACCAGCAACTGGTCTATATATAATTCGATATCTTAAAACTCTCCCTGGAGCTTGAGTCCAAGTAATTTTGAAACTATCTGTAGTCTCATCTGTCACCTTTAGGTTTCGAGGTGCTCCTTTTACTGAAATAAAAAAGGAAAAATAGATTTTAAACCATAAATTGACTGACTTTATATGAAAAATACAAAAATTACCTTTTTATTACTAAATTATACCATTTCTCTAAAGAAATCCATGAGCAATTTATTTGCAAACATCCTGGTTTCTGTACTCATTTAGCCAGAGATTAACTAAATTCTGAAACAGCAAATATGAATTCTATAATATCCAGAAAGAAACTAAGTACTGTTAATTTTTTAATTACATAAAGATGTATATAATAGTAAACTTTTAAAATAATAAATATTCTATCAAATGCTAAATTTATACTGCTATAAACTTCAAGAATAAAAACAAGTCATTTCTTTGAATATAAGCAGCCAAGACTTTCACTCTTACTACATTTTCTCACGAAACTAGGAAAATAACACCTAACACCCAGCTCTACCATATCAACCCACCCAACCAAACCGTCTTATCCAGTCCGTCCCACACTAACTTTTTATCTGTATGGTCATTTGACTTGGAGAATAATTCAACCATACACAGGATGGAACAAGCACAGAATAGGTACTTAATGAATGCTCATTAGATCTACATCTTGAAGCTAAGATGCACTATGGGTAACACCCACAGACTCATAATTTTAAATGCATTTTTCATTATGCCCAAATGAGAACATCATTTGGTTTTGTGTTTAGTAAACATGTTTAAATGACCTTCTTGCTCAATGGGGCCAACTGCCTATACAGACAACATATTCAGGAAAGATGAACTAAAGGTCTTTGTCTTCTCAGTCCACTGGGGTGAAAGCCTAGCACAACACGCCTGGCAAATAACACACAGACATTTAGAAGTTTATTTAAATATTCAACACATCAATAGATCACTCCAGGGAGAAAGAAAGGAAGGAAGTATATCTCTCTAGAAGAGAAAGGAAGGAAGTATATCTCTCCAGGAAAGAAAGAAATGGTAGTTGGCCAACTTACACCCATGATTCATTTTGTATTGGAAGGAAAAAGATTAAACGAGTCAGAACAAATCAGCAGATAGACTGATGGGTTGGAATCCTAGCTCTGAAGCTTAACAGATATGTAATTCTGAGCCACAGATTACCCTAGCAGCAAAACATGACTATTTATAGGATTATTTAAGTGGTTAAATGAGATAATCTATGGAAAACATTTAGCAGAGCCCCTGACACATAGCAGGAGCTCTGTAATTGTTAGCTTAATGAAAGTATTACATTGGAAACTTTCTTATCAACTAAAGCAAATTTAAATCCCAGATTCCATTACAGACAATATAACTGAAAAGACTTTACCAAACTCCATTGTAGTAGACCAATGACCAAAAACTAGAGTGTGTATGAATGGAGTGACTTCTACTCAAAAACCCTGAGACAAGTCCTCTCTTGAGACAGATTTCCCATTCCCCTCCCAAAATGCTGAAAAGAAAGGGTCAGGGTCATCGAGCAGCAGTGTGGGCATTACAGGAAAAGCATCAGAAACTCAGAAATATCTGAGTACAGCCTTCTCCCTTATATGACCACAAGTCATAAGATGAAAGGACTTCTTAGACCATTTAGTTTATGTGATGGACTTCAGGAAGAAATATACCTAAACCATGCAAAAAAAAAAAAAGGAAAAATAGCAATCTTATCTGAAAAATGTTTCACAGAAAAAAGATTCTCTAGCTTTTATCAGTATAGTATGCCAATGTGCACCATCCCTGTCAGCAAATACTTCCTTATAACTATCTTAAATTCCTCACACTATTCTTTCATGGTCTTTACCTCCTATTCCCAGTCAAAAGAGGAAAGAACAATTGACATCTATTGTGATACTTTGCTATGCTTATGTTAAAGAATAATTGCCTTGCCTTAGTCTTCCACTAACCAACTTAAATTGGTGCCTTAAATGTCAAACATAACAAAGTGTGTCCAAATATATTCAATTCTATCCAGTAAGGAGTACACATGTAAACAAATACTGCTTAAAACATTTGGCAAAATGTGCACACCATGTTCATAGCAGCAATATTCACAAAAGGTGGGTGCAGCCCAAATGTCCATTGATGAATGGAGATACACAAAATGTGAAGCAGGGCGCTATGCCACACACCTGTAGTCCCAGCTACTCAGGAAGCTGAGGCAAAAGAATCATTTGAGCCTAGGATTTTGAGGCCAACCTGGATAACATAATAAGAACCCCATCTTAAAAGATATGTGGTGTATACATACAGTGGAATATTATTCAACCATAAGTAGAGAGAGCATTCTGACACACGCTACGACATGGATCAACCTTGAGGACATTTACTAAGTGAAATAATCCAGGCACAACAAGACAAGTACTGAAAGATTCCTCTCAAGTGAGGTAGTTAGAGTAATCAAATTCCTAGAGACAGAAAATAGAATGGTGGTTTCCAGGAGTAGAGGGAAGGAGGGAATGGGGAGTTATTGCTTAATGGGTACAGAATTTCAGTTTTGCTAGTTCTAAAGACGGATGGTGGTGATAGTAGCACAACAAGGTGAATGTACTTAATGCCACTAAAATGTGCACTCAAAAAATGGTTACAATGGTAAATATGTATATTTTACCACAACTTTTTAAAAAGAAAATAAATAATTTATAATATACTTATTACCTATATATACATATATATATTTGCCGTAACTCTGTAAGTACAGTAAACAATTTCAGAAAGATTTAAGACATGACATTCCTGAAATTTGGGACCAAAAAAGATGGATAAACAGTATTTCAAAAGTTAATTCCATAATTATCAACAGTTCTCTAGGTCTCCTAACTTCAAATTCATCAAAAGAAGTCTAAGGTTTTTTACTTAAAAGTTATTTTTCTCTTTTTAAAAAGATTTATGAAAAGCTGTCTTTTAAAGATGCCAAATCTTACAAAGGCATTGGCAATTCTGAACTATAAAGCAGATGGTTATTACAAACTGTAACTTTGTAGTGCAATAAATTATTCATTTTCTGAATAACAGTGGCAGAAACCCCATCACACCTTCTTCGGTGGTCTCCTCTCCAGCTAAGGGAATGCTGAAGCCATCCTCATACTCCGCAGTCACATTGACCAAATACAAGGTCTCTGGCTTCAGGCTGCTGAGAACAACACTGGTGCTCGATGCTGGCTCCACCACAGTGACCTCATCATCCCCAGCCGCTTCCTTGTAGGTGATGTGATATGAAAAAACATTTTCTCCAGCTGGAGACCAGTTGGTTTTGAAACCATAAGAAGTCACTTCTGAAAAACTAAGATCCTTTGGAGGGACGTAAGCTATTTAAAAAAAAAAAAAGACAGTTAAAAATGCTTGAATCTATAAAACAAAACAGTAACCAATATTTCAATGTTTATAAAATGGCTTACATTAATTTGGGAGAATGGTGCTCATTGAGACTACTGTACTGGGTATCTCATCTACATTTGACCATTGAGAGAAAGCCCCCCACAACTTACAACCCAACAAGAGATCTTGATTATTCACCTTGACTATCTATAATACTAACTTCTATTATTTAAATGACTGATTAAATTTGAATGTGAATTTTGAGATTCTTAAAGCAGTCGTAATAGAATGGCCTTGCCCATAATTGGAATATTTAAACCATAGCAGACCTAAAATGAACCATCTACATTTTCCCATTCATCCCTGGTACTTGGATATTAACCTTTGGTGGTTTGCAGACAAATATTTCAAAGTAAAAATTAAGGAATTTTTCCCAACAACAAAATATGTATTAAACTTAGCAGTTATTAAACTAAATCATAGAAAGAGACAATGTTTAACACATACAGTAAATCCTTAGGGGGCACACAGTCAAAATAGAGAAACGAGAGAATGCAACATTATTAACAACCAAAAAAAAAAGGCAGGAAGGGTATGGGGGCTAACGCCTATGATCTCAGCACTTTGGGAGACTGAGGCAGGTGGATCACCTGAGGTCAGGAGTTCAAGACCAGACTAGCCAACATGGGGAAACCCCGTCTCTACCAAAAAAAAAAACAGAAAAATTAGCCAGGCGTGGTGGCACACTCCTGTAGTTCCAGCTACTGGGTAGGCTGGGGTGCGAGAATTGCTTGAACTGGGGAGGCAGATATTGCAGTGAGCATAGATTGCACCACTGCACTCCAGCCTGGGTGACAGAGTGAGACCCTGTCTCAAAAAAAAAAAAAAAAGAAAAAAAAACAGTACATAGGAAAGCCAACTGAGTGAAAGTGATAGCATGATAGTGCTAGGACAGTTACAGTTTAGGAAGGCTTAATGAAAAGGATGGGACTTTTTATTATTATAATACTTTGAGTTCTGGGGTACATGTGCAGAACGTGCAGTTTTGTTACATAGGTGTACATGTGCCATGGTGGTTTGCTGCATCCATCAACTCGTCATCTACATTAGGTATTTTTCCTAATGCCATCCCTCCCCCAGCCCCCCCACCTTCCTATAGGTCCCGGTGTGTGATGCCGCCACCCCTGTGTCCATGTGTTCTCATTATTCAACTCCCACATATGAGTGAGAACATGCAGTGTTTGGTTTTCTGTTCTTGTGTTAGTTTGCTGAGAATGATGGTTTCCAGCTTCATCCATGTCCCTGAAAAGGACACAAACTCAAGGGATGGGACTTTTAACTACACATTGAAAAGTAGATCAGACAAATGAGGAAAATTCCAGATGTGACAAATGATGCCCAAAATGATTCAGGAAAGGAAATGCATAAAAAGAATCCAAAGGTGCAAGACTATATTCTCTTCACCTTTGAGTTGAAGGACCCAGCTCAGTATCCAGCACATAGTGAACACCCCATACATGGGATTTGGATTGTAAATGACACATACATATGATAAAACTTGTTCCTAAACCTGCTTGACAATCTAGGAACAGAAACATCTCATGACTCTTGTAACTAAACAGCTTTTTCACCAACTAAAATATGATCCATATCCAGGAGAAAGTCATATCTCAGAGCTAAGAAAACTAAGTTCAATAGTTTTCAATAACATAGGAAAGTTACTTTTTCGTGTCTATAAGAAGAATTGAACAAGCATATTATCCACAATTTTAGAACCAAAAATTCTTTGTTCATGAAGAAATAACTTTTACTCTCAAAGTCTACTAACCTTTCTTCTTTATAGCTGCCAATTCTTGCTCAATTCTAAGGCAGATAGACTGTGTGAGTTCAAAAGATATCCTCTGAAAAGCATCAAAATCTTCCACTGTGAACACATGGGTCTCTGCAGGAGGAGAGGCAATAGCTTCCAATTCTGAGCGAACGGCATCCTTCACACCAACTGCAAAGATTTCAACATCTGAATTCCTCAGTTTTATCGCAGGATCTCTGAAAGCATCTGATGATTTCCCATCCGTGATAAGAATCATGACCTTTGGCACATTGCTTCTTGATCCCTTGCTAGGCACAAATATTTTCTCTCTGACATAAGTCATTGCTTTGCCAGTATTTGTAGATCCTCCTCTGTAAGGGAAGGTGTTTATTGCTTCAATTATATCTTCAACTTTGGTGAATTTTTTCAAAGTGAACTCAGTATGAGGATCCCGGCTGTATTGCACAAGACTAATCTGGACCCTATTTGGTGAAATTTCAAAACTTTTTACAAGAACTTCCAAAAAGGCTCTAACTTTAACAAAGTTTGCAATCCCAATGCTATAGGAGCCATCAACCAAAAACACAATATCGGCTTTTATATCCACACCACGTGAGCATTCTGTAAAGAGAAAAAAAGTACATTAAACTTCAATACATATTAATCATTAAAATATACATATCTAGCTTTCTTAGTAAGCGTGCTTCTTTAAAAAAAAAACTATTGCAAATATTTCATTCAAAACTAAGTCCAAACAAGTAAGGCATTCTGTCAAACAGATCTTCACATATTCCAAATACAATGATGCACACATTGACTTACCCACTTGAACTTTCATTGGCTGAGTCTTCTCCATTATTGAAATGGGTTCACTGGATGTCATTCCCTTCATGGCGGAAACACTGATCTGGTATTCTGTGTCTGCTGAGAGGTCGCGAACACTGAGCGTGGTTGTCTGAGGCCCCACACTCAGAGCGTGCTGTCGGCTTCCTGCAGTCATTGGTGTGAGGATGACTTTGTAGCCAGTCACTGGACTAGGAGATGGATTCCAATTTAGCTTAACATATTTTGAAGAGACTTCCATGGCAATCAAATTTGAAGGAGGCTCAACAACTAAAAAGTTACAAGCAGACAGTGATTAATAACAGTGAGATGTAACCTTACTAATTTGGTCTTTAGGTTTGGACCTTCAAATCTCCTTATTCAAATTCATCCTAAATACATTGAAAAGAGTTGCCCAATACCCGCCTCAGTCCCCAATTTCACATGTCCCTATCAAACCAAAAGTGGTTCAACACTTGGCTTTTAGTCAAATTGCTGAGAAGTTAATGGAATAAGAAAGTATTTGGAAGAAATTAATGTTGGGACACTTCATGCCTAATTCTTCTCTGAAACCAAGATTTCCATTCTGGTTTTGGTATTCACTCATTGTCTTCATTCTCAAGCACCAAAGTAGGCACTTGATAAATATTTGTTAAATCAATGCTTCATTCAATTCTTTAGGGAATTTTTCTCTCTTAATAACATCATAAAAGTGTAATCTTTAAAAGATACTTTATAATATGCCAAGAAAGAGAAAGCATTTAGTACTTCTTAAATGACAGGTTCTTATAATTTTAAACAATTTTATTTTCACTAGTTTCAGGGTAAGAAAAAAAGTTCAACTATGTTCACAGTGCCACCAAACAGAGGGGAAACAATGGCTTATAACATGCATATTAACGCATGCATATCAGTCCTCTAAAAAATGGTGATCCTTACTCAACATAGAACATAGTCATGTATTTGACAGTTAACGTAAAGTATTTTAAGATATTTCAGACAATATCAAAATTCTGGATTTGTCAATGGAATCAACTTCCCGGAAGATATAGTTATAATTTTTCACAAATCAACCTGCAGGAAGTGTGTGTAAAAACAGGCCCAAATTTACACATCGCCTCCTCAAAAAAGCAACCAGATGTAGGACATAAAAGTGATGTTTATACTGAATAGGCAAAAGCTGGAAGCATTTCACTTGAAAACCAGCACAAGATGAGGTTGCCCTCTCTCACCACTCCTATTCAACATAGTATTGGAAGTTCTGGCCAGAGCAATCAAGCAAGAAAAAGGAATAAAAAGCATCCAAATATGAAGAAAGGAAGTCAAACTATCCCTGTTTGCAGATGACATAATCCCTCTAGAAAACTGCAATGTCTCAGCCCAAAAGCTTCTTAAGCTGATAAACAACTTTAGCAAAGTCTCAGGATATAAAATCAATGTGCAAAAATTGCCAGCATTCCTATACACAACAACAGTCAAGCTGAGAGCTAAATCAGGAACGAAATCCCATTCACAATGGGAGTTGTGAATAATAGAATAAAATACCTAGGAATACAGCTAACTAGTTAGGTGAAAGATCTCTACAAGGAGAACTACAAACCACTGCTCAAAGAAATCAGAGATGACAATGGAAAAACATTTCATGCTCATAGATAGAAAGAATCAATATCATTAAAATGGCCATACTGCCAAAAGCAATCTATAGATTGGCCACTACTCCTATTAAACTACCATTGAGATTCTTCACAGAACTAGAAACACCTATTTTAAATTTCATATGGAACAAAAAAGAATCCGAATATCCAAGGCAATCCTAAGCAGAAAGAACAATGCTGGAGGTGCAGGCTATCTGACTTCAAATTATGCTACAGGGCTGTGGTAACCAAAACAGCATAGTACTGGTACAGAAACAGACACCTAGACCAATGTTACAGAATAGAGAATCCAGAAGTGAGACTGAACACCTACAACCATCTGATCTTCAACAAACCTGACAAAAACAAGCACTGGGGAAAGGACCCCCTATTCAATAAATGGTGCTCAGATAACTGGCTAGCCATACGCAAAAGACTGAATCTGGACTCCTTCCTTAGACCACAGACAAAAATTAACTCAAGATGGATTACAGACTTAAATGTAAGACCCAAAACTGTAAGAATCCTGGAAAACAACCTAGGCAATACCATTCAGGACATAGGCCCTGGCAAAGATTTCATGACAAAGATGCCAAAAGCAATTGCAACAAAAACAAAAATTGACAAATGGGATCTAATTAAATTAAAGAGTTTCTGCATGGCAAAAGAAACTACCAACAGAGTAAACAGACAACATACAAAATGGGAGAAAATTTTTGCAAACTATGCATCCAACAAAGGTCTAATATCCAGCATCTATAAGGAACATAAACAAATTTACAAGAAAACAACACACAACCCCATTTAAAAGTGGGCAAAGGACATAAACAGACACTTTTCAAAAGAAGACATCCATGTGGTCAACAATCATACAAAAAAAAGTTCAACATTACTGATTATTAGAGAAACACAAATCAAAACCACAATGAGACACCATCTCACACCAGTCAGAATGGCTATTATTAAAAAGTCAAAAAATAACAAATGCTGGTGAGGTAGTGGAGAAAAAGGAATGCTTATATACTGTTGCTGGGAGTGTAAATTAGTTCAACCATTGTGAAAGACAGTGCAGCAATTCCTCAAAGAACTAAGAACAGAAACACCATTTAACCCAGCAATCCCATTACTGGGTATATACCCAAGGAATATAAATCATCCTATTATAAAGATAAATGCACACGTATATTCACTACAGCACTATTCACAATATCAAACACTTGGAATTAACCTAAAACCCTATCAATGATAGACTGGATAAGGAAAATGTGGTACATATATACCATGGAATACTATACAGCCATGAAAAAGAACAAGATCATGTCCTTTGCAGGGACAATGATAGAGCTAGAGGCCATTATCCTTAGCAAACTAACACAGGAACAGAAAACCAAATACCACATGTTCTTGCTTATAAGTGGGGGCTAAATGATGAGAACATATGGAGACATAGAGGGAAACGACACACACACTGGGGCCTATTGGAGGGTTGAAGGTAGGAGGAGGGAGAGGATCAGGAAAAATAACTAATGGGTACTAGGCTTACTACCTGGGTGATGAAATGATCTGTACAACAAGCCCCCATGAAACAAGTTTATCTATGTAACAAACCTGTACATGTACCCCTGAACTTAAAAGTTTTAAAAAATGAAAATAATTTTAAAAATAAATAAATATATATATATATATATATTTAAAATGATGTTTAAGTAGAAAATAGTAGGAGGGAAGCCACAGAGATGCCACATGGAAATCTGGCCAAACCTGAGGGATACAGAGGCAGTACAGGCTAGTCCAGCAGAAGAGAGAAGCCTTAGATTAGTCCAGCAGAAGAGAGAAGACACTAAAGAGAAATGTGAACACCTGTGATGTAGCCCCAGCCCCCTACACAGGGAAAGTTCCAACAGTGGCAGAAAAAAAGTCTGGCCTACCCTTGCATACATGCAACTGCACCCCAGGAAGAATTAAACTGTTTAAAAGACTGAGTGAAGAGAAGTAATCAGAGAAAAGTGGAGGTGAGTGAGATGGATTTTATAATAATACAAAGCAAAAAGGTTAGACAGTAGACAGTAAAACAAAGGATAGATTGAGAGCCCATGAAGTAATGAGAGGTTCTGAGACAGAATTAGGGCCAATGAACATTTTGACAAAATGTTCAGAGATTGAAGATTAAAGAGTTTGTATGATTGAAGATGTCACTATTTAGAATTTATGTTTAATCACTTATCGATTCTCAAGCTGAGAGGAGAACAATGATGGAAAAATATAAAGGCTTTGGGTTGTTATTTTTAATGTTCAAAAGGATGCTTTTGAAATGTCTTTTCTTTCTCCCATGTATTTAGAAGTAATAACTAATAGAAATGGGAGAATTTTCTAAGGGGAGGATCACATTGACTGATCTTTGAAATATTCTTAAAAGCTTTCAAAACATTACTCAGAGTATAATGATAGAAAACCCTTGTCCTTAGCTAGTTAGCAGAAACATTGTTATTATTTTAAGTTGCAAATGTCTTTCCAGCCCATCAATGTTTAAATCAGAGTGCAAGGTAATTAAAGCAAGTAGCAGAATAGCATAATCAGATAGACATTCAATGTACACAAAAGAGTCTTAAAGAAAAGAGTAAATCATAACTTGTCCCCCACCAAAAAAATTTTAAGAACTGTGCAATGATACATTTTACTGAATGTTCCACTAGAAGGAAAAACAATACAAATGGTATCAACAAGTTGAGTTGCTAAAAAACAATACAGTGGAGTATACAATTGTAGAATCACTGGAAGAAATATTTAAATAAATATGTCTACTTCTAAGATAACTATAAATACTCAAACAATGGAAAAGACTAACACATGGGGAATGCTACACAGTCTACTCACCTTCTTCTCCACTAACCAATTCACCAAGTTGTTCATCAACACCTGAGCACACCTGGGAGATGATCTCATTCTGAATATCCACAATTGCATCAAAGTTGGCCACATTGAAAACATGGTTCAGTGAAGGTGTGGAGGCAATTTGTTTGAGTTCTTTTGCATCTGCAGCTTTAATGCCTTCAAAACAAAAGGATAAGGACATATTGAAATGGGAAATGTGCCAACTGACTTGGAGAAGTTCTTCGTTTTCTCCATCTTTCACAACTGAAGACATATTCAAATCGTCATTAAGTCATAAGCCAGAATTGCTTTGTTTCATAACAGTTGCACATGCAACTGTGCAGATGACAAAAACATTTTGTAATTTGACATATAGTGGTCAGCCAAAGAGGAAAAAAGTGGTTGGTTAAACAGAGTGGGCTTTCATCCCAACCATACCATCGTATGTCTTTGCCATCTGTAAAGATAATACTTTTTTCTTCCAGAGTCCTCAATAAGCTGGAGCCCTCTGAATTCTTCAAGTATTACATAATATAGGAAACACATAAAAAACACTTAATGATAATACAAGGAGGATCTTTATTAGAATCATTGGCCCAGCATTCTTTGAAAAGTAGAGAGCTGGCAAAGAATGTGAATACCACCTTCCTAAATACATATGCTAAGGGAGTTATATGAGGGAAATAGATAAGCAGAATTTTTACTTAAAGACAATTTAAGTCTTTAATATTACACTATAAAAATGCAGTAAACACTTCTAATAGCATCCTTCCTTGAGGAATCAATCTTTCATCTTCCTAAACATTAAGTATACTGTAGGAGTTGTAAAATGGAAATAATTAACTGAACTTAACCTACCCAAGGAGAAAACTTCAACTCCAACATTACGAAGCTCTCTTGCTGGAATTTCCACTTCATCCTGGGATTTTCCATCCGTAATAATAATTGCCACTTTAGGAAAGCCAACTCTTGCCCCAGCAGATTCCGTGAAAGTATTTTTAACTAAATAATCAATGGCATCCCCTAAAGGGAAAAGAAACATGTTCATTTACTCTGTACTACACAATTTTTCCAAAGTCAAAAACTATGTGAACAATGTCAAAAATATTTAATATGTAATAGGCAATGCATCATTTCTTTCTGAAACAGACATTTCATTTATTTTTAACTTTAAAAAAATCTGTAGAACATACCTGTCATTGTGTTGCCACCTTTATATGGAATTTTTTTTATTGCAGCAAGAAGTTCATCCCTTTGGTAGTACTGATTTAAGTTAAATTCAGTCCTGGTATCAGAGCTGTATTGAACAACTCCAACTCTTGTCTTCTCTTCCCCAATGTCAAAAGCAGACACAAGAGCAGCAATGAAGTCTAAAATGTACTTGAAATTATTTCTTCCCACACTCCAAGAGCCATCCACGAGGAAAACCAAATCAGTCCAGGCACTGACAGAGCATTCTGAAATACATTTGATATCTTTTTAAATGATGCTTTATTAAATCAACTCATCAATACATGTTAACATTGCAAAAATGTTGGCTCCTTAAATCATTCTGTTCATTAGAACATATTCACCAATTGTTCTTCACCCACATGCACAAAGAAATATACAATTTTACTAACAACACATAGAAGCATTTTCAATGCCTTTATCAAGATGAATTCATGGAACTAGATGTCTTTAAATTGCTTTATAAGACATTATACAAAAAGAGATAAATAGATCTATAATCTGCTCTCCGGGAGCATAAAGTCCAAGTATTCGTGCTATCAACCTATCCATTTTTATAAACTATACCCTCACTCTTCTTTACAAGTACAAATTTTATAAAACATTTAGGAGTCATACAAAAGAAATATAAGCAAAGGGTTTTTATTCCTTGGTATTTATCAACAAATAAATACAAAATAATTGCTGTACCATTCAAGGAAGTGCAGTTGAGTTGAAGACCTAATTTGTTAATATACTCTTGCACTTTTCAATATAATTGTCTAAAGTTTGCATTAGGGTTAGTCTAGAGGGCTAAGGGAGCCTGATAGAAGTAAAAACAAGCATAAAATTATGCAAAATAGCCAAAATATATAGTCCTAATTATCAATATATTTAAATTTGACAATTAAAACCTACTTTTAGTGAACAAAGAGGGTAAACAATTATTTTTATTCAAAAGTTAAAAA
The DNA here is from genome assembly GCF_000001405.40 of Homo sapiens. NCBI lineage: Eukaryota > Metazoa > Chordata > Mammalia > Primates > Hominidae > Homo > Homo sapiens. The sequence goes on from NC_000006.12 coordinate 75,190,536, forward strand.
TCCATGTGGTATCCTGAAATTATCAAAATACAATGATCAGCTTTTGTAACTGAATATGTTATCTTTCCTTCTCTCTATGGTGGAGGTCAGGTTGGTTTTATGAAAATCTGTATTTGTAATGCAATACCAAGTGAATTTTCTGATGATGATTTTGTTCTTGCAGTCAGCTGATAGGTAATAAAAGAAGTATTTGGCTAGGAAGAGAAGGAGAGGGTGCTGAAAAATTTTGCAAGCCAAATAAATACAAGTTGTATGCTTAAATAAGTTTTGCACACTATTTAATAGGTGAATTTAAGCCTATTAAAAAGTCAATACTTGGCATAATACCTCAATTTAAAATAAATAATAATTGTTGAAAATATTAGCATCTGAAATAATGATAAACAGTGATCTGGAGGGGATACTTCCAGATAAAGAGACCTTTGTGTTTATAATCTTTTTATTGTCATTCTGGGTCATAAATCCAAGTTTTACGAGATGACAAAATTAGAAGTCCAAGAAACCCCTTAAGGATCTATCCCCATAAGTCAGAAAAGCAATATAAGACAAAAGGAGGCTAATAACTGCAAGATCTAGACTAAATAAAATTGCTTTCATCTGATTACAAATGCACCAATTTATAAGAGGTGTGTTACAGAGACTCTCAAAAAGGTTACAACTACCATCAACTAAGGCCATGTAAATAACCTAGAGAAGAGCATAACATACACACAGACTTAGAAAAGTATTTTCATGGCAATTGTATTACTTTGAACACTAGCTGAGGGCATCCCTCTCATGTTCCAGCCCTGTATTTCTCATATATTCCTAAGTACCACCTACTGCTATCAGTTTGTCTTTGAGAAATGAGTTGAGTCCTGAGATGTGCTTTGTTTTCACCTATTGCCAAAATCCTGCAGGAAAGGTTGGACACACACAATTTCAAAACACTCCCATTGAAAAGAATATCTAGTAAATAGAATGAAAAACTAGCTAGAATGTCAGAACTTAGGTTATAATGACTTAGTTATACATTATTCTTATATTGTCTGTGCTCCTTCCAGATAAAGCTTATATAAATTAATATAGGAATAAGATCAATCTATGTATATAATTGGAACATCTGTTCTATCCTACATTTATGACTTCCATGAATCTAAGCAAAAATAGTAAGAGAAACACTCACTTTGTATCTCGGTTTTTCCAGGTTTCTTCTCCACTGGCTTTGTCGAACTACCTGTTTGAACTAAGTTAAAACTTTATTATTACAAAAGGAAATGAACCCAAGCAGATATTCTCTTTAAAATAGAATAAATATATTATATTAGTTTTTGTTATTGTCTCTTAAATGTATGGCTCTGCCCAGCTGGTCATAGAATACTGCCAAATAATCATTCCCTTACAAGTAAGTTATTTTAGTGATATTTTTGAGATATTTCAAAAAGATATTCACATTGTTGTCCAGCAAAGTTTAACATTTTTAATGGTCTTCATTCATAACATTCCTGCTGTTTCCAGAGACCAGAGTTATAAATCAGGAATGAATTATTCATGTCCACTAATAACTAGGATACCAGAAAAAAATAGTTAGTACTGCTGTAAATTAACTTTGTATCATAAAAGATTAAATCTGAAGTTGGAAAAACCTTCTGCAAAATAAAAATTATACAAATATTTTATTTTATATGTGTGCTTACTTGTTAGTTGTCCTATAACTGGTACACTTTCTTCTACTTCATCATATGAAGTTATTGTCACCACATACTCTGTTTCAGGTACAAGTTCTGACAATAAAGTTTCAGTGGTACTAGCTGAAAGGGTAAATTCTTTAGTAGGCCCATCTGGAAATATAAAAAGGAAAAATATGAATGCAACAAAACATTTTTCACATATAACACAATACATTGTAATTCCCAGAGGTACTCAAAATCTGAAAAATTCAGTATATACATTTTTTCAGGACACTCAAACATTATTTTTTACTGCCTTCCAAAACTAAAATTTTGAATTTTAGAAATTTAATAAATGGACTGGTATTGCTTTTATTTGTTACAATCATATTTAATACTTGTTTGAGAATTCAAGACATTTCTAGTTTAAAGGTATACCAGAATATCGAACTAAAAATCTTTCATTGGTTTTGGAGACTAATGGTAGATAACAGTTTTATAAATGAGAGATAAAGCAGAGAAAATGAATTTAATTTTAAATTATGCATTGGAGGAGAGCAGAGAGAGAGAAATAAGAGATGAAAATAAACTCAAAGAAAACAAACCCCATAGGTTAAGACCAACCCCTAGTGGGAAAAAATCTGTGTGGAAGCAGTGCATATTCCATACTCAAATGGCTACATGCCTTAATGGGTAACATTGACCTCTGCATTGACTTAAGCAGGTATCAAATATTTCAAGGTCCAGTATACTAGGTGTTTACTTATATTTTGGCAGTTATGTACTCCCTTCTAGATTCTGTTAATTCTCAATTCAATCAGGAAACCTGGTGGTTCCTGGGAATTACGTGCCTGATATTTTTAATTATATTGTTTTCATCAAAATATAAATAATTAGGAAAGATAACAGGTGCAACAGACCACTGAAAAATGCTCTTGGTTTGCAGGTAGAACATGCAAAACCAACCAAGATCCCCAGAGGACATCAAGACACTCAGACTCTGCCAGGTTGGGTAGCCCCAGTGCCAGTTTTGGAAGTGTTAGGTGTCAGTTATTCCCAACATCTAGAAACTGGATGGACCCTGTTAGAACTGATTTTCTGATTTGGAATGAATATGTTAACTGCAAATATATTTGGGGAGAAAAGATTGAAAGAGAAAAAAGTAAATTTTTTACCCCTTTTTAAGTTTTTAAATCATCTTTTTAAAAAAAGCTACGTTTCCTGGTAAATCAATATGTAAAATCATTGGTATTTTTAAAGGCTAAAAGATAAATAAACACAGTTCTAGTAATAAGTTGTGTTGACATCTTCCATCTCTACTGTCAGCCAGTCAAGACTTCTTCCTACCATTTAGCCAATGTTAGTGGAAGTAGTTATTTTCTTTCTTTGTTTTTTTTACTATTTTTTAAATTATACTTTAAGTTCTAGAGTACGTGTGCACAACGTGCAGGTTTGTTACGTATGTATACATGTGCCATGTTGGTGTGCTGCACCCATTAACTCTTTACATTAGGTATATCTCCTAATGCTATCCCTCCCCCCTCCCCACACCCCATGACAGGCCCCAGTGTGTGATGTTCCCCTTCCTGTGTCCAAGTGTTCTCATTGTTCAATTCCCACCTATGAGTGAGAACATGCGGTGTTTGGTTTTTTGTCTTTGCAACAGTTTGCTAAGAATGATGGTTTCCAGCTTCATCCATGTCCCTATAAATGACATGAACTCATCCTTTTTTATGGCTGCATAGTATTCCATGGCATATATGTGCCACATTTTCTTAATCCAGTCTATCATCGATGGACATTTGGGTTGGTTCCAAGTCTTTGCTATTGTGAATAAGTGCCACAATGAACATACGTGTGCATGTGTCTTTATAGCAGCATGATTTATAATCCTTTGGGTATATACCCAGAAATGGGATGGCTGGGTCAAATGATATTTCTAGTTCTAGATCCTTAAGGAATCGCCACACTGTCTTCCACAATGGTTGAACTAGTTTACAGTCAGTGGAAATGGTTATTTTCTCATTCCATTTTAGAACTAAAAATTAATCAATAGAGTTTGGTTCTCCACATTTTGGCAACATTATTAACACTAAAGATAATGCCTGAGAACAAGCAAAACAAGTTTTGTTTAGTTTTCCAAGGATTCAGCCTAGTGTCGATGGAATCCACCTAGCCAAAGTAAATTCTTATCTGTCATCATGGTTGTTTACCATTATCACAGAATGGTGTTTCCTGGATACTGAAATGTGTAGGACACTGGGTAAGGTGTAACAACTTACTTCATCAGCTGATACTTTAAATGTTGAAAATATTAAGTAATTCAAGAAGAATGCCAAAGAATGAGGATTTGATTCTATAAGATCAAAGGTTACTAACAATATTCTGATCAGGTAAAAATAGAGTCAATTTTTAATAATAACAACCTACCACAGCAAAACATGTTAAACTCAATAACATTAAAATATAATAGTGGACACTAGACTGGAAATCTGAAACCTGAGTTCAGCAAATGTCTGGTGACATGGATCAAATCCCTCAGGCTTCCTAAAGCACAGCTTCTTCATGATGAAAGGGGAGAAGAGGTGGAGATTGAGTTATATCATCATGATGCTTCTGTCCTAAAACCCCAGTCTCAAAACTTACCCGTTGTAGGGTCCACCGTTATTCTGTAACCCACAATTGGATCAACTGGTTTTGCCCATGACATATGAACAGTATTTTCATCTATAATTTTAAAATTCAAGTCTGAAGGTGGGTCAACTGCAAAAGAGAGAGTTTATATTATTAAACTTTTCAATGTCACAAAATGGTCAATTTAATTAATAAAGAATTGTGTTGAGCAAAGCTTTCTAAAATTGTCTTTGCATAAATTTGTTTCCAACAAATATAAAAGATATGTTGTTGGATAAGAATAAAACTAAAAGCTGACAAAACATCAGAGAGTGTACATATTACAGAAGACAGCACAAAACACTTTTGATTCTTGAGTTGCTAGGTCATTCAAGAATGGCCAGCAAAATCAAGCATAATAGAAACATATTTGGATACAAGTACATACAAGTACAATGAAATCACATATAATAACCACATATGCAAACAATTCACATAACAATTAAAGGAATTTCGATACATGCTGAGTGCATTTTGAACAAGCATGCCAAATCACAACCTGCTTACAACCAGAGAAGTTAATTCAAAACATTGACATAATATGTTTTTTCCCACAATATGGACAAGAAACAATGATGGTTTTGGTTCATTCTCTGCATTATTTGCCTTGTAATTATTCATTGTTATTTGATAAATCTCAATATGTAGCAGAGATGAAAAATATATTTTAATGAAAATAAGGAATCATGGGAAAGTTATATCTGACAAGGAAATATACATTTAAATGTATATTCATATTCATAGGCAAGTATTCAAAAATAAGTGATGTTAATTTATAAATATATAAATAGCGATATTCAAAAGTTTATTAAACTAATATTCTGCCTGTTTACACCAGCTTGCTGAATGTTCCAGGGTGTAAACCAACACTATTATTTCCTTTGCAGCAGGTATACTCCATACTAGAAAGGGCATTTTAGATTAAAATGCCAGTATGGTCCTTTACAAAACAATGGTTAATTATGAAAAGACAACATCAATGTATATTTATGGACATTTATTTACAGAACTTAAAGAAAACAGTGAAGAAGGATCAGTGATCTGAAGACATGACTGCGCATAAAAACTTGGAAAAGTCAATGACAGGAATAACTGAAAAGTACAGAAATAGTTTACATACAAAACTGTAGAGCATCATGCATGTGTCAATGAAATGTTGACTTGTTTTTAGTTTCCCACAATGAACAAAAGCCTCCATGTACAGTAGTCATTACACAAAGACGTTTCCTAAATATTTTATAATGATATTCTCTCTACAATGTTCATGCCTCATCATGCAGCATTGTACTGACTCACTGTCAGTGCATGGTTGATGAATTAAAAATTATTACTCTTGAAACAGGTCAACAAATTAAGATGACTTTCAGCCACACTCTTCTTAAAATGTTTTAGTCTGAAAGTATTCCTTGTGAGTCAGAATTTTTGCATCTGTTTTGAGAGATTACAATTTCCTTTCAGGTTTTTTCAAAGGTCAATTAAAATACACTAGCAGCTTTGAGACATGAGTCACAGAATTTAACTGGGGTTAAAGATTTATGTAATATTAATAATATGTTTTAATGGAAATAATTAAGCAAACATTTGCTTTAGTGGACTGCTGCGTCCAACTGTAGGAGATGGCTTTTTATTTTTATTGGATACACTAGTATTGGAATGAATGTTATATTCTTACTATCCATACACAGGCAGTGAGATTAGACTATTAATCTACATGCATAGTTTAATTACTCAACATTCTTCAGTCTTTAATCATATTTTGAGGTTTAGCTGTACTCATCACTCAGTATAACATGCATGCAACAGATGTTAATAGGACAACGGGTATTAAGAATATCATTATAAAATATTGTTCCAGTAGCAATGGCTCAGGACAAATTTAATGCAAAGGCAGACACACTGGCCTGAGCATGCTTTTAAAAAAAATCAGTACATGGAAAAACAGTACCACCAACCTTGGAAGGAAAATGACCTGAAGCAGCGGACATTAGGTTAAAACTGCTGAAGGGCAGTAGCAGCCCCCCTTGTTGATATCCAAATGACCAGGATTCCAGATAAACTGAAAAATTGACTGTGGGGAAAAGTCTTTAACATTTCAGAGGATCTTGAGGTGTTCATAGAAACTGTGATATGTGAGAATCAAAGTAGAAAAGAATGGCCAACCCGCATGGGTACAACAGAGAGCCCGCTTCACTTTTCTTCTGGCCGATTTTATTGCATGTACAGCTTTTCAGGCATGCCATTCTATTTGTACATTTGTTTGTTTCATGAAAAAATAATAATAAAGCAGATGTAAGTGTATGACCCGTGTCAACATAAATCAGTGCTGAAAAATGTACTTTATTAATTTTAAAAATATTTTCTTTTACATAAAAATAATTCATAAACACCATCACATCATCACAGAGTCTAAGTGTTCCCTAAGACAATGCTGATGCTGGAAATTTTCTTTTCTTTTCTTTTTTTTTTTTTTTTGAGACGGAGTTTCGCTCTTGTTGCCCAGGCTGGAGTGCAGTGGTACGAACTTGGCTCACTGCAACCTCAGCCTCCTAGGTTCAAGCGATTCTCCTGCCTCAGCCTCCTGAGTAGCAAGGATTACAGGCGTGCTCCACCATGCCTGGCTAATTTTGTATTTTTAGTAGAGACGGGGTTTCTCCATGTTGGTCAGGCTGCTCTTGAAGTCCTGACCTCAGGTGATCCGCCCTCCTCAGCCTCCCACAGTGCTGGGATTGTAGGAATAAGCCACTGTGCCCAGCCCGGAAATTTTCAATTATGCACTAGCTGCATATTGATTATAACTGCAAAGAGCCATAGTTGCATAGGATGAGAATCCAAACCAAGAGAAACAGAATGAAAATTACAAATAAATAACAATCTTACATATATTCAAAAAACCTGAATACTGACAGTAAAGAGACTAAAATTTTAAGTATTTTTATTCTTATAGTTTAATTTCATATTTACAGATAATGTTTTTTGTTATCAAAACGCTATGCTACGAAGACTCATTCTGATGAAATTTTTGTTACATAAACTGGCAGGATTTAGGACATTTTGGGAATGATAATAATAGCTGAAACTTGCTGAGTGTTCTCTATAACAGGCAGAGAGCTGGTTACTGTGTTGCTGCTTTTTTCCTTATAAGAACCCAATGATGGGCCTTATTATCCCTGCTTTACAGATAAATCAGTGAAATTCAGAGAGATTAACACAGCCAATAGGCAACAACACTTGGATTACATGGTCTGACTACAAAACATACAGTTTTCTACTGTACTAGATTAAATGCAAAGTAGAAGAAATATTTCCATCAAAAATTAACTTTAGAAAACAATATTTATATGTAGTTACTTTTAACCCATTTATACCTGAGGTTGCAATTTTTTGAATTTTTGTAATCAGACCTTGGCAATGACCTTGAGCAGTAGGATATAAATCACTCCCACATGCTTAGCATTCCAATAGTGGAACACTAGGCATAAATGGGTTTAATATATACGTATTTTTAATATATACCTATATTTGTAAATATAAGCAATATTTATATGTAGCTGATTTATATATACATACATGTATAATTATATGTGCATATATTATACATATTACATATGTATTACATATGTAATATTGTTATTACATATTACATATTATTATACATATATACATAAATATGTGGTATTCAGGTATCTCCAATTCAGATATAGATGAAATTTGGTATATTAACTTTATACACTTGTTCAAGCATTTAAAACTAAAGTGTCCATCTTGATATATAACTTTTTGAAACATTTTTAATAGGGCACCCAAAAAGGGGCTATGTCCAAGAAATTACCGGCCACTGCAGAGATGAATGAAGGGAAGGATGGATAGACAGGTGGGAAAATGGATGAGAGGGAGTAGAGGAGTCTAATAAGTTTTGGTAAGTATACATAATGCGCTATAGATATATCAAAACTAAGAATACACTACTAAAATATCTTGATGAACTACTAAGATCTTTAGTTTGATATCTGTGATAACAACACTGGAAAGGATACTACCTTAATAGGAGAAATCTTGACAAGTGTGCAATAAGTGATGAGTTAACTATATTCTATAGGCATTAATTTACATTTGCCATGCAAAATTAGCATAACTTTAATTATCTTTGCCATGATATAGAAATCCATTTCATTTGAGTTTTCAAGGTACCATAAATAATCAGTTGAAAAAATAATATTTTAGAATAAGCTACAGATTATTTTGTACACATTACAAAACATGCCCTCTCATTAAACTTTCCGGATCAACCAGTTGTCAAGCACAAACAAAGCACAGTGTGACCAAACCAGCACTAACCTAGGACTAGAAGACTGGGGTCTTGTCTGTTTTTCATATCTAAGTAAGTGCATTAGTTGACCAAGTGATTCAGCCTCTCTGGGCCTCATTTTCTCATTTGGAAAACGAGAGAAGTAGAATAGATGATCTCTATGTTAGCCTCTAGTTTGAAATTTCTGTTATAACACAAATTAGACATAGGATTATAAAAATATATACAAATTAGTCTCAACCTAGACACAAGACAAAGCTATAGCCACAACTCACCGATGAATTGATAATATTCAATTGTTCATTATATATTATAAACTATAAATCAGACTAACCAAAATTAACACTCTGTTTTTCAGAAAACTTGTATTCATCTCTAATCCTAGATTAATTAGAAAAGTGCCCAGTTCTCAGGGAATACTGACCATTAATCTTTATATGCAAAGTGTTAAGTTTTCTACAGGATAATTAACATACTGTATCATACATGAACCAAAAATAATTCATACATTCTAGGCCACTCAGATACAGTTGATAAAGTCTATGCAGTGATGCGGTTGATAAAGTCTCTGCAGTGGCTAAAAATTATAGATACTGAAGTGAAAAAATCATTTCCACTCTTATTTCTATAGGACAAGATAACATAGTATGAAAAATATAGCTCCTAATACAAATAAGCAGAAGAAAAACAAGACAAAAATATTACCACTATAAAAAAGAAGAAAGGCAAAAAGTGAATACCAAAACATTTTAATGTTTTCAAAAAGGTATTGGGTTTTTAATATATAAAACATTAAGGTCATAGAAAATGGTAATAAAATAGTATGAATATAAGAGTGCAAGTGTGAGTCATGAAAGGAAAAGAAACGTAACTGTGGCTACTTTAGGACTCAGATCAAAATGGCATGGTACCAAATGGAGTCCCAAGTTGAAATTTTGAAATGCCCCCAACAGAAATATTTCAAAGAAATTCTGGTTCCAGCCCAGTGACCCCAGAAAGGCTTTGGCCCCAAATTTTGTTAGCCCTTCAAAGGCCCCTAGCACCACTTAGTAGTCAACAGCAGAGCTGTGCTGTCCGACACGGAAGCAACCAGACATCTGTGGCTAGCAAGCTCTTAAAATGTGGCCAGTACGAAATAAACTGTGCTGCCTGTAATCCCAGCACTTTGGGAGGCCGAGGCAGGTGAATCAATTGAGGCCAGGGGTTCGAGACCAGCCTGGCCAACATGGTGAAACCCCGTCTCTACTAAAAATACAAAAATTAGCCAGGCATGGTGGCAAACCCCTGTAGTACCAGCTACTCAGGAGGTTAAGGCATGGGAATCACTTGAACCCAGGAGGCGGAGGCTGCAGTGAGCCGAGATCAAGCCACTACACTCCAGCCTGGGCAACAGAGCGAGACTCTGTCTCAGGAAAAATAAAAATAACTTAAAGAATAAATTGCACTGTAAGTATAAAATACACACCCAATTGTCAAAGACTTAGTACAAAAAAAGTCAAGTATCTCACTAATAATTTTCATATTGGCTCCATGATGAAATAATTTAGGTTAAATAAAATACATTATAAAATTTAATTTATCCTGTTTCTTTTTCCATTTTGAATATGGCTACCAGAAAAAAATGTAGGTTACATATGTGGCTTACATTTGTGGCTCATACCATATTTCTATTTGACAATGCCAAACTAGAGAATAAGGCCAAAAAATGAATCCTATTAAAATATAATTATTAAATACTAACTTAAGGAGATGGGATACAAGAAAAGACACAGATTAAGAAGCAAAAAAAAAAAGAGCTGTACCATATGGAAATAAATACAAATTTAAAAGATAAAATATAATATGGGAATAATCAGAAATGTAGATAGTAAGCTGTTCTTTCTAACTGCACTTTGCTAACCAGCCAATATCTAATTCAGAATCAATTTTTTCCACTTACATCATTTCCAGCCTAACTCTTTTTCTAAGAATTCTCAACTCTTTCTGATTTTCAAATAACTATTTTCTTAATGAGCAATAAATGGGCCACTTCAGTGAATTATCTAAAAATATCTGTAGTAGGGCCTCCAGAAGTTCCTCAAATAAAATTCCTTCCTAACAACGACATAGAAAGGAACATTAAAAGCAACTTCATCTGACTATTACTTCACAGAGGCCACTCTGAAAAGCCTCTACATTCATAAAATATTCATCAGCTAAGAAAAGTCAGCAAGTTTCTGTCACTTTTCTTAACATGCCATACATTTTGGAAACACTCTGCTTCCCCTAATTTTTTTTTTACCTGTAGTCTTGAAGTAGAAAATCCAACACTATAGAAACCTTGAAAACCTTGGCATAATCATGCAAACAACCATACTTTCTCACAGCCTCTAAAAAAGCACACCTCAACCCAGAACTTCCACAGCTGTCACTTGGCAGAAGTGTTTTTTTTCCTCCCTTAACTTCATCAGGGGTATTTCTTTACTGAAAAAAAAAAAAGATATCTTTCATGACATTACCCCATTTTCTTTGCAGAATAAGAAAACTAATTTGTCAGGTCTCCAGTGACAACTGAGGGGCCACAGAAGCCGCCATGGGGTTGACATATTGAAATGGCTTGTTTAATGAACACTGAGAAATTAAGACATCAAGTGCACACAACAAATAAAATTGGGTGGGACATCTAACAAAAGCCCTCCATTTTCTAGAGGAGGGGCCACACGGCGCCGTTTTGGAAACCCATCTCGGAGCGCCCCACTGCCTCCGCGGGAAGGTCCGACGCACCCGGCTGTCCCTGAGGGAGGCAGGATGGAGCAAGGGCAGGACACTGGAGGTGGTGCCCAGCAACTCCGGCGCGCGCTTGCTTCCCAGGCTGGAAACCTTGGCCCAGGCTCAACCTGTCTGAGCTGGACCAGTCCAGGCCACGCGCCTTGGAGCCCTGCTAACCAACAGGGACAGCCGCGACCCTAGGTCGTGCGAACACCTGGGGTCCCGGATCTCCGCTTGCCTGCCATCATCCCCCAGGCTGCTTGGCTGCTGGCTCATCTGCCCGCACCGTCCGCCCCGCCGACTGAGCTCCCCACAAAGCACACAGAGGCGCAGAGCCAGCGCTGTTGGAGTCTTTTATTGTGTTCTGTCACCGAGGTCGCAGCCCCGAGCCAGGTGGTTGGTTACCAGCCAAGCGAGCGAGTGCGCCCGCTCTTCGGGGCTCCTGGGTGCCACCCGGAGGTGTCCTGTTGGTTGCGCTGATTAGAGCCGTCGCCCCCTCTCGGGCGGCTGGTCCTCTTATTAGGCGGCAGTGCAGGTGGCAGTGTGGACAGCACACCGCAGAGACAAGCTCAAGAAGACCACACAGCACTGTACGGAATGCATTAAGCAGAATACGAAAGAGCTGGACCTGAGAGCTGGGAAATGGACAAACCTCAGGAGAAAGGGGCGTTTCTCTGAAGGAGAGAAACCACCGGAGAAAGCACGAAGCGCAGGGAAAACAGAGCAAGCAATAGAAGCAAGAAAGATGTGTTTTTTCCTTTCTCGAATTTTGCATTGTCACTCGGTGAAGGGGAAGGGAGCCTTTTACCTTCTGCCTCAATGGAAGACAGGAGCAGGGCCGCGCCCAGGGCGGCAAGCGCTGGGGGAAGCCTACTCCGCATCCTTGGCCTCCGAGCTTACAGCGGCATGAAGAGATCTGCGGGAGGAAGTAGTGACTGCATCAGAACTGGGTCTGGGCAGGCCTTGAACCAGGTTAGAACTGGAGCCTGGACCTAGTCCAGAACCCGACCAGATCTGCCTTAAAAACCACAGGGCCTACTCCAGCACATAATGGGCCTATTGTGAAGCAGTGGAAGTCAAGTTCGTCTACAGAAGTTTAATCATGGCCCTAGGAGGAAGTTCAAGTTTAAAAAGGGTCCTGTTCTCCTGGAGACTGGTCCTGCTTAGCATCCCGGGTGAAGGCCTTTACCAGCCCTCACATGACTTCATCCTGCCTGGGTAATGGCTAATTCAGAGGTCATTTTATCCCTCACTCAACTAAATATCTCTTCCAGCTGGGGATTTTATTTGACTGCTTTTTTCCTAGCTGATGAACTCTTTAGGTAACTGTACTTTAGTGGTCTCAGGGTAATTTGGAAAAGTATAATAAACCTTTTTAATTCTCTTTTTTCTTCATTTTGTTCTGCTTTCAAATATGCAGCTCTTTAAGATCTGAAATGGATTATACAGAAATATGTAAGGCCCAGCTGAAACCTGACCCTCCTGCTAACTGTGTTGTTTTCACATCTGATAAATCCTTTACCTGAGATGAGGGAAAAACAACTCCAAAATACATAATAACAAATAAGGCAGCAAAATGGAAGAAGCAAGACACCCTTGTCTGTTTTTCCAACGTGTTTTTAAATAAAAATTATCAATAATAATCTTTGTATTTAACTGTTTATTTAAGCTGGAAGATTATTAGTATACATACCCCAGAGGAGAATATGTTCTGTTCCGATTTTTTCTAATTTTGTAATTACATTATGAATTCCTTAAAGACAAAGAATCTTATTCATCTTTGTGGTTTCCCAGCACACAGTAGGTACTTAACCCATGTCTACAGAATGGAATCTCCTAAAATAGTCTAGGGTTCAACCCAAAGACAAAAGCTACTAGCAAGGAACTGAACTGGGAAGTTGCCAGTGGCAAAACATAAAAAGAGTTGACTCTGAAGTACATAATTTATTGTAAGCCAACAGCCTAGGCCTCAGGAAAAATGGAGGGGGATAGGAGACTGTCCTGCGTCGGAATGCAAAAATGAGCCAAAGGTCGAGGCCTCTTTGAGAAAAGAAACTGACAATCTCCAACGATGACTTTCCAAATTATTGGCACAAAGCATGAGGGCAGCTTTCCTCAGCCTGTGTGTAAATTGCATTTTAAATGTCTGATGAGCAGGCGTGCCAAATTGCCTGGAGCTCCTTTTTATGAAGCCAAGATTAAAATTTTGGCACTGCCCTAAGTATCTAAGGGGTCTAGCAATTTCTTTCTTCCTAATTAACAACTGTTTGACATTTCTAACCCTCTTCTACATCAGTGAAAAGCAAGAGGTGAGACTGGCCCATTGTTCCAATCATCTTGCCTTAACTTTGGTATAATAATTTCCAACTCAGTTGGCAGTCGTGCTCGCGAGAAGTTAAAGGCGAACAATCGACCCACCGAAAAGCTGTGCGCAGATTTTTTTTTAACAGCTGAACTCAACGAAAACCTGAGTGGTAACACTTTTGCTGGGTCTCGATCGCCACCTGTCGCTTTCCCGACTTAGCTGCAAGAATGAATCATCTCGCGCCGGGATATCGGAACGCCAGCCAGCCAAGCATCCCGTCAATATATGTTTTAAAAAAGAAAATGCTTTCTCTCCTTTTTAGCCAAAACATTCATTTGAATGCTTAGCAACACTTCATTGAGCATTCTCAGACATAAATATCTGAAAGCGGCCGCCCCTACGTGGCAGCGAGGACTCCCTCACTTCACCCTCATGAATAAAAATGAGTCCACTGGGGTGGGAGTGGGGGCTAAGTGGACTCGTCCCCTTCTGCCAACTCGCCCCCTCCCAATTCCCTGCTGGAAGAACCCAATTCCTTAACTCCCGCGTCCAGTTAAAAAGAAAATCACACACACACACACACACCGCGTGCGCGTCGCCTACCTCCTCTCCCACCCACCACGACCTTGGCATTAGCCAAAGGAGAGCTTAGCGTTTATTTCCTTTCCTGCCCTATCCTTCCCCAGCATTCACTAGAAGACTACAGAGTCCGGATCGAGAGTCTCCCTGGCCCAGAGTCCCAGGGAGCCCTGAACTGGTCACTGAAGGGCTCCCGAGGTCGCCCGCTTGGGGGTACCTGTTCCGCTCGCTGAACGAGTCCGGCGACCCACGCTTTCTGATCCCCACAAGTCTAGGATCTGAGTGGGAAACCGCCGCGGAGATCTCACAGACCCCGAATAGGGCCTCCACCAATGCACCGGGAGGGAGTCGGAGAGGGGACTTTCTCCCGGAGCTGGGAAAAGTCCGCCAAGAATGAGTACCCTAGTGCTGCCTAACCCACCATCTCGGATGCTCTGAAAGGTAGGGGAGGAAGGAGCCAGAACACTCCACTAGGAATCTGTTACGAGATGCCACACACACCCGTGCAGCCTCGACGAGCTGCAGAGCACTCAGCGGGCCCTCCAAAGAATTCCGCACCGTGCGTCACCAAAATACCTTCCCAGCGCCCCCGCCGCACGCCTGCCCTCCCCGACAAAGCCACAGCCGCGAGATAACCAGGGCCCTGCTGCCCCAGAACCCGGCGCGCCCTCCATTGAAATCGACAGCATCTACAGATGAAACTCCTCTAGAAACGGAAACACTGAACGGGATGCTTTGCGTGCACAAAACCTTGCTCAGCTCTTAAGAAAAGCAACATTCCCCTCTCCCTCAAAAACCCCAAAGAATCACCAAATCCCAGTATACAAGGCAACGCTCTAGCCCACCTACACTATTACAAGTCCAAACTGTCCTCGCCCAGGATTCTTCACCGCTCCGGGCAAGGTGCAAGCTAGACGCCGTTTCCCGAGTTGTCTCTGGGAATGATGGGGGTAGGGGAAAGGGGACAGAAACCAGGCTGACCTGAGGCGGCGGCAACAGGGAGAGGTAGCGGCGGCGACAGCGGCTTCCCGGCGTCGGAGAAGCTGGTGCTCGGTGTGGCCCCCACACGCCCCGGCGATAGGCGCTGCACTCCAGGAGCACCTGGCGGCCGCCGAGGCGTGGGCAGCTGCGGGGAAGTCCAGGAGGAGGAGGAGAATCCCAGGAGGAGAGGCGGGCGCGGCAGGAAGACTGGAGATGGCCTGAGCCTGCAGCTGCCGGCGCGCGGACGCGTCTGGGGCGGTTCGCCTTAGCCAAGTGGAAAGAGACTCCGCGCCGCGGGCTACTTAATAGAGGGCTGTTCCCAGCTCTCAGTTTACTCGGTTACGAAACGCCTGAGAAGGTGGACGGCTGCCACGGGGTGATGTATGCTCCTCCGGCGGTGAAGGAGGTCTACTTTTGGGAACGTGTGCATACTTCGAGCATTCCTTCGGCGTGAGGTGGCGATCGCCGTAGTAGCAGTGCCCCGCTGGGGGGCGGGGAGAAGGGAGGGAGCGTAGAGGGGGACAGCCGCAGCCGGGTTCCCTGCCAAGGGAAGCCGCGTACTCCGCCACTTGGGGCGGACTGGGATTTCTTTAATGAAGCTCGGGTTTCCCTATCCCTGAGATTTCTTTAATGAATTTTTCTACATTAAGAACAATGGGGAGGGGACCGACTCCCATTTTCGGAAATGCAAGGATGCGTAACCCATTCACCCCCGCTCCTGCGGATCTCCATCCTTCATCTGATATCACCACCTCCATCTTCCTCCCCCTCTGTCCTGGGTGCACTTAAAACCGATTTACAGGATTTCCATTAACTAACTGTCTGTACACGCGGCGCGCCTTCTGTCTTTTTCAATCTCCAAGCGCGATTGGAAACCCGGACAGCCGCCCGCGCGGGGCTCAGTGATGGGATGGCTTTCCCAGTCCTTTCTCACTCCCCTGGTGCTTCAGGACGGAACTGGGAGGCTTAAGTTGAGCCAAAAGAGAGGGAGAGGAAACCTATGAAACCCAGGAGTTCTCAGAATAGGAAGCCGCTCAGTAACAAGTTGCATCCACTGCAGAAACTTCTCACCCGGACCAGAGCAAAACCTGGCCCCGAGCGGAGGCTTCGGACTGAAAGCTCTGCCCTTAAAACCTCGCGGAGCCAAAGGGGCGAAGAGGAGTAAGTTTGAAACCCCAAAGCACCCCTCCACACACAGTACTGGAGAAGCCAAATAGGGGGCTGATATTCTACCAACAACGTCGCCTCTTCTTACAGCCCCCTCCATCCTGGCATCCTACCCCTTGTTCCTGGGCAGGGAGTCTGGTACTCAGGGTTGCCAGATTGTACAAGGCGCACGGGAGGAAGCTTCGAGCGCTCACACCAAGAAATCAGAAAAATGCTACTGGAGAGATTCTGATTATAACGTCTGACCTCAGTATAGGCCCTGCACCGTTTTGGCCTCTTGAAGCCCAAAGGTTACTCCTGTAACGCTGGGGGAGCGTTGAACAACAAAGGACCGGGGTGGGGCGCAAGGGAACAGAGGAGCTGCTTCTCTGGAACTAACCGCCCGCCATAGTAGAATCGGAGGGCATGTTCCCAATGTAAATCTCTCTTCCCCATTGGCTCTGACGTCTGCAAATTTGGCCTTCCCTCTCCACTAGGCGTGATAGCCTCCAAACTTGCCTTTCGACTGACAAGAACTTGTAGGGCGCTCCCCTTTCTGCACATCTCCCCACACACAGGCTGCCTCCAGCAGAAGCCGGCGAAAGCAAGAGAGAAGACAAGAGGGAGACAATGAAGACAAATAGGAATCGCCGCCTCTGCACATTCCCCAACCACACAGCCCACTCGAAGTCCAGCTGGGCAGCTCGCACAAAGAGCCTACACAGTACACAAGATTTTCCCCCTTCAAATCCTCACAACCAGAGTGTCTGACAAACCCCTAGTGAGTGAGCGCGTCCCAGGGATGAAACACCCGACCTTCTCAACGTTGCGCCCAATCAGGCTTGCAACCACATTGCCCTGGTATCACTGAGCCCCGAATTTGTCGACAGCTGGCGTCTGCACCCAAGCTAACCCTTCACTCGCCTCCCCACCCAACACACAAAGAGCAGGGAGCCCAGTCCAACCAGGCTTGCAGACCGCGCGTGGACTGGTGGCAGCCTCAAAGACCGAGCCCGAGAACAGAGAAGTCCCTCAGGCCGCCAAGCGGGCACCCAGTAGGGCTGCGCCCTTGGCCTGCTCCGCTGCCTGAAACGGCCAGGGAAGCCCCCGGACAACGACACCCCGTCCAGAAAGGGAAAAGGAAAACTGCTACTTTGCACGCCAGCCCAAGCTGGCTGGTGTTTGTATTTCGGCCCAGATGTTCTCTCTCTCTCTCTCTCTCTCTCTCTCTCTCTCTCTCTCTCTCTGTGTGTGTGTGTGTGTGTGTGTGTGTGTGTGTGTGTGTGTGTGTGTGTGTGTGTGTGTGATGGCGGAGTTGTTGACTGAGGAGCATGTAACACTGAATGTTGATTTGTTGTTGTTGTTTAAAAGAGAGAACTCTTGTTGATTTGGCTCCGAGCTGCCAATGCATCTATCAACCCCGGAGTTGAGCAGTCACCCTCCGGGGATCCAAAGACAGTCACGGGCTTCCCTTTCCTGCGGCTGGAGGCCGCAGACTGGGTGGAAGAGGCATCTGTCCCCAAGGGCGTGCACATTGCCCTCTCCAGCCAAGAGCAGCGTGCTGGGGACCCTCGTGGGCATCTTCTCTTGCTGAGGCATTCTTGTTCACATACTTAGATTTAACGTATCTGAAAATAGTTGCTGCAAAGGAGTGTAGGTAACACAAACCACCACCTGCAAACTTCCTTTCTAGCTCAACAAAAAGGATCCTTAGGCAAAACTTCCAGAGTAGGATGAGAGGAACAGGAAGGAGAGGACTCCCGGGTTGGGGACTACACAGACTCCTCCAGAAACTAATTCAAGTACACTCATTCCCCGGGGACACGAGTGTAATTCAAATGTGTACAAAGAGGCAATCCGGGGACCTCCCAGCATGACGTTGGCATTTTGGTCCCCTGGGGCCTTTACGCTAGACTCCTAGTGTGATAAACGGTAAAGAACGGGTAACCCTCTTCCATCCTTCCCCTTTCAATGGTGCATCCAGTTCCTAATACCCTTTGGAATCCGTTGGTGATATTTATTGACTGGGGAAGAGCCAGTTGGATTTATTCCGTTTGGTAGCTCCCTGTGGCTTTTAGTCCTCAGGCGATATCACGGGCTCTGCCTCCTTCGCGCTTCCTCTGTTCAGCTCCCACCTCTTCACCCTCTGAGTCCTGGGCTCCCGGCGGTTCCGAGCCCTCAGATTTCTTGTCCGACAGCGCTATCTAGTGGTCAGCGCTAACCCGGCGTCAGAGGTTAAAGTTAACAGAGAACGTAGAGCTGGGAAGTTGTTGACAAGTTTACAAGTCTTGGGGTGAGTTTTTAAAAAAAAGTCTCATTCATGTATTTGATTCTCAGGGCTGAGAGGCGGCAGGGTGGGAGAACGAGTGAGGAGAAGGGCATCAACTTTCTTCATGCCGTTTAATTAGCTGCTTACAGAAATTCCTGCCCCAAGGCTTCTAGGCTCTCCTCAAGTTTCTTCAAAGAAAGGGTGAGTTTACAAGGGAAGAGATATTGATTTCAGGAAGAAGTTAATATTACAGAGTGCCCTTAACTTCTGTAATCTTAACTTCTTCAAAGGCAATGGGGGCCTCTTCACTGATTTGTTTGAGGTCAATTTAGCCGGCATTCCTGGCAACAGGTGAGACAGTTTCTAGAACACTTCCGTTGCAGGTTCTGGCTGATTTGTGCAGAAGGAAGGGGAAACCTCGTCTGAACGTGCAGCATTTGCCTATCTCTTAAGGCTGGCCCCAGTGTGAACTGTGAGGGTCTTGAGTGAAGAAAGCTCTCACAAGCCCCTTGGAATAAAAGGGTGAGGAGAGGAGGTAGTGCACCACCTGCTCTGATTCTCAGAAGCGGAGAGACAACCTGACCAGCAAGAGTCAAAAACTGTGTGTCTGAATCCTCTTCTTTCCATCCCTGTGTGCAACTCAAGTCAACATACATTTAATGAGCACCGTCTATTTACAGTGCCAAGCTCAGAGTAGCTGATATGAAGATAAGTAAGACAAGGCCTTGCCCTCAAAATTCTGTCAAGTAACAGCTGGGACACCTGAAGCAACTTCATGTGTGTGGCCTATTTAAATCTCCCAAGGTCGTGCACTCAGCATGTTGTAACATTAAAAATGAGACGCCTTAGACAACCACCCTCTCTGCACTAGCAAAGCTTAGGAATCCTGAGACCAAACCACCCTGAAAGGAAGGAAGGGGACGTGCTGCATTCTTGCCTCTTTGACAAGTTCTGCTTCTTTACAAAGGACTTTGCAAGTACTTCACCCAGACCATCTCACCTGTACCGAAATAACCTCCCCTACTAGCGAATGAGCAACTTTGGAGCAGAAAGCAGAAACTGCATCATATTTCTCTTACTATGCAAACTGGTAGCTCAAACCTCATATGACCTCAAAAAACTATAATTGCTTCAACCTAAAAAAGCTGATTGTAAAAAAAAAAAAAAGCTGTGGTTGCACACACGTGTTCAAAAAACACGGTATCCACATAAAATAACGTCTCAGGATAAATCATTCAGATTTAATAAAAGTCAAGTACTACTGGGAGTTGATTTTCCAGTTAGCTCTGACCTCCTTGAGCAAAAAGTAGAAGATAAAAGGAAATGAATTAACTTAAGAGCTAAGAAAACAAACCGCTGCCACTTCTTCCTTTGTTTCCATAAAATTCAGTACTTTTAAATCACACCACCACAGGCATCTTGCAATCTATTTGCTTTGGAACCATCAAAGTAGCATAAGGTGGAGAATTTCTAGTCAGGCCACTGTTCTGTGTGTCAGCAGTCATATATGTATACTTAAATACACTTTCAGATTGATGGAAAATGTGAAGAATCACGGGAATCTATTTTTCAAGATTTGGTCTTGGCTTTTAAACTAATTACCTAGTAGATTGAAATGCGGTAATAATGAAATCATAGTCAAAAGACGTTTCATTGCTCTCAGTAGGAGCTCCTGTGTAGGGTGACATGTAACCTGACCAGGTCTCCATTTGATAACTCGTTTTTGTTTTGTTTTGTTTTGTTTTTCTGACACAGAGTCTGGCTCTGTTGCTCAGCCTGGAGTGCAGTGGCGTGATCTTGTCTCACTGCAACCTCTGCCTCCCAGGTTCAAGCGATGCTCATGCCTCATCCTCCTGAGCATCTGGGATTACAGGTGCATGCCATCATGCCTGGCTAATTTTTTTATTTTTAGTAGGGAGGGGGTTTCACCATGTTTGGTCTCAAACTCCTGACCTCAAGTGATCCTACTGCCTCGGCCTCCAAAGTGCTGGGATTACAAGCGTGAGCCACTGCACCCAGCCTGATAACTCATTTATATATATTTACTAATTCATTCAGCTACATGTATAGAATACTGACATCGGTATATTTAAAGCAGACAAGAACCCAGATTTTGAAATGCTCCTAAATCTAATGTGATTGCGCCCTCTGGTGGAGAAGAGCAAAAGGATGTTATCTGATTAGACTCACTGAATCATTTTTATCCAGAATACTCGTTCTGCAAATGCTGTTACTCTAGTCATAATGTTAACTAGGAATTGTAGGAGTTTTTTTTGTAAAGGCAAACCAAAAGAAGTCCTGCCCATAAGAAACTTAAATATAGTAATAAGACCAGAAATAAACATACGTGGAAGCCAAATATGACTCAAGAGAAGTTTGGAGACAGAGTGTAATTGAAAGCTGAAAGATCAATGTGAAAAATGATTTGAGGAAAAATAGATGTATATAGGAACAAGATAAATGACATCACAGGAAGCAATCAATTCAACCCAGAACGTGCAAAATTCCAAGGGATAATCTACAAGATTTATCCTGAACCAGTTCCTCCACAAATCAATGACAAGAAAAAGGAAGAGAAAAAAAAATAGATTGTTATGAAAAAAATAGGAGCTATAACAACCAAATAATAATAATCGTTATCAATAAGTATGAAGGATCTGAGATTTTATCCTACTTCCAAGCTAACAAGTTAACCTGTTGTAGTTTCATGGGTGCTGACCGAACACACAAGGAATCAAAAACAAAGGACTGTATTGCTCACAATAATAGCAGCCAGTAGCCAGGGTCATCATTCACACCAGTTTCTCAAGCCCCAGTTCCAACAGGGCGATACAAGAAGAGACAGGTGACCCTTGCACATGCAGTGGGTTGCATTATAGGAATGGAATCTGAGCTTGGGATCTTTTATGAGGGCAATAAGGCTGCCTGGCTTTTGCCCTGGAGAGACACGTTGTTTTTGTTACACTGGACAGTAAACAAACTTGCCCTTCACTCTGGAGACAGAAATGATCACTGTCTTCCAAAGCTGTTAGTATGCAAACACCCTTGAAGAGATCATCTACAGTACTGGCAGTCAGAGCCTCTGCCAACAGACATGCAGAAACGTGAGAGACTTGTGGAGAAATATCTCCCAACAATAAGAATTGTTAAAAGTCTGTGGGAGGGAGAAAGCACTATATGTTGAAGTGGTCCCTGAGGAATTTCTAGAGAAGGAAGACTTTAAAGGACTAGGAGTGAGCATTCTAAGCACAAAGTTCAAAATGAGAACTTGAAAAAATAGCAAAGAGCAGGAAATGTGTTGGGCAATAAATAAAGTAGAGTGGTTTTAGCAGAATGTTTTTGAATAAAACTGGAATAGTAATGGGGCTTAAAAGTGGCTGAGAGCCTGGACTTTATTCCTCTAAATATAGAAATAACTACACTTTACAGAGTACCCACTGTATTTCAGATACTACATAAGGCATTTTGTATTTGTCAGTCCATGAAATTTAATTTTTATCTCTGTACTACAGATAAAGAATTTCATGAGGCAAGTCCAATCTGGCAACAGGGCTCAGGGTAACTTGCTGGGAAGACAACCTGCAAGCAAGGAGACTGGGGTAGGGGGTACCAGAATCCAAGGAAGAGACACTGAGAGTCTCTGTATGGTGCTCACAGCAGCAGCATGCAAAGAGAAAGATGGCTGGCTTTAGGAAGTAAAAACGAGACAATATCTTAAGATGATGGAGCAAAGCCAGGTGACTGAATGAATGATGATGGTGCCAAGGGGAAAATTAGAGAAGTGAGGCAGGTGAGCCAGTTGTAAGGGGACATGACAAAATGGCTTTAGACGTGCCTTATATATGATCAAAATCCTTGGATTTTTTTCCTAGTAAAGTTTATTGGACACTCTCTGCTATATTAATACAATTTGAATAGTGTCTCAGGTTCAAATACAGATTTTTTTAGAGTGATATACTCTTTTTTTTTTCAGGAAATTGCAAACCACGAAAAACTACTAAAAAGACATATTTGCACTCTATGCAACAGGCAGAGTTATTCAAAGGGAAAACAATGGCATTGTTATTTCTTGGCTCTCCAGCAAGCTTGTTCATGGGTGGCTGAATGCATAACACTGCATGTGATACAAAAAGCATCTGGGAAATGCTTAAACAATTATCTCCAGCCTCCCTCTATCTGCTTCTCAAGTGTTAGACTCATCAAGACTGTGGGACATAAAGTCCTCACTCATTGTTTAAACTGAGAAAATTATTTCAAACTCTCACACAAGGTCTACTTTAAAAAAAAAAAGTAGTTTGTAGTTTTACTTATTGAATAGCTTATTTTCTTATATTTTTGTTTCTTTCTTGATAGTAATAGCTTTAAAATGAAACCACTAATTGCCCCCAAAATACAAGTTCCTGATCTCTGATGTTAGGAACACATAAGGCCATGTTCACATCAAGAAAGTAGAGTTAGAAAGCCAAGTATTGAGGATTGAGTTTGTTTTAACTAACACACTTTTTTGAAATGAAGTCTTGTGCCTTTATGATTTTTATTACTACTGATGAAAATGAAGTTGAAGTGATTCATCTTGTACTTTCTAGCGGTGGCTAATACTCATTCAGATTTTTACCCTGGAACTAAAGTGAGGGTCTCAACAGACAAATAATGGGTTTTTCCCCATATGGCTGTTGTGTGGGCCCTGCAGTGCCTCAATAATACTCCTTCCACTTTTGGTTCACCCACATGTGAGGCCACCATGTGGCTTGGGGTGGTGCTGACAGGTCTCAAGCCAGACTGCACGAACAAAAATCACTAGGCTAGACTGAGAACATCTGAACTAATGTCTAAGGGCCAGCCTCAGACAATTAAATCTAACTCTCAGGGTGGGGCCTGGGCATCTGTATATTTTTTAAGTTGGCTGGGTAATCCTGATGCTCAGTGAGGGTTGACACACATTAGTCTAAGCCTTGTCACCCAGAAGAGCCAGAGGAGTCATCTATTAATAGAACTGGCAGATAAGAAGGACTAATCAATCACTTGTAGGACATACAGGTCCCCAGATCAATGGTTCAAGTGAGTGTTTATGGGTTTAGCCTGGCCAATAGTAGTTAGGAAAATTATTCTGAGGAAACTTGTAAACTGAGAGGAAAAGTTGACAGGCCAGGGTCATAAAGCCAGTGTGAAACTCAGGCCTGTCTGCTTCCCAAACCTCCACCCTCCCCACTTCCATGTTACACCTGGGAGGAATCTAGTTCATTGTTGTCATTGACTTTAAGGTTTATTTATTTATTTGAGATGGAGGCTGGCTCTGTCGCCCAGGCTGGAGTACCGTACTGCGATCTCAGCTCACTGCAACCTCTGCCTCCCAGGTTCAAACGATTCTCCTGCCTCAGCCTCCCAAGTAGCTGGAACTACAGGCACGCACCACCATGCCTGGCTAGTTTTTGTATTTTTAGTAGAGACAGGGTTTCGCCACGTTGACCAGGCTGGTCTCGAACTCCTGACCTCAAGTGATCCGCCCACCTCAGCCTCCCAAAGTGCTGGGATTACAGGCGTGAGCCACCACACCTGGCCTGACTTTAAAGTTTAAATCAGACAGAAACATGGATACAGTTTCATTTCCCAAAGGACACTCAAGATGCTATTTATTTCCTTTTCTTACTAACATTGATGCTAAAATATATATCCAAAGATGAGAACATTTTGCTTTATTTCTTCTCAGGAAATACAGGTAATATTTTCTCACTGTATTTATACTCAACAGATTAGTTGCATACTTATAAAGAAAGCAATGAAATTGTGATACACCTGATCTGATGATTATAGAAATTATCACAGTGACGGAACTTAAAAGGATCTTAGACTTCCTGCAACCCACTCCCTTGTTTCACATTTGCAAAACCTGAATAGTGACAGGAGTACAATCCAGATGCCAGCTGCCTGGCTCATCTTCCTTCCATTATTCCAGACACCCTATTCCTGGGCATGTCATGAATTTTGTAAAAACATGTTAGAACTCACTGCCTCCCTGTCTCAAGACTGAGGTTAGAATAGAGCCGTGGAAGGCTGCCACCAATCCAACATATCTGCATCTGCAGTCTTTCAAAGTTAAAGCGAAACAAAACTTGCCACAATACGTGATGACATATGCCACTACATGTGCCTGGCCCACCCAGCACTCCCAGTACAGCTGACAGAGCTGCTAAGAAGATCAGATGCCTCAACATCATTAGCTCCTGCTTCAGAGGGAGGAAGAGGGGGAGGTTGCAACCGTGCCTATTACTTAGCAGCATCAGACCTGTGTCCACAGGTCAGTGAGTGCAGGTGAAAGGGCAGACCCGGCACAGTGGACTTGTGTCCTGTGACAGGCAATGTCTGCTCACTTCCCAAGCCCACCTTTGCATCTAAGAGAGCATTCCCTCAGTCACTTTTAATTGCCCCTCTCCTAAGAGTGCCCACCACTGGCACTCTTCTTCATCAGAGGTTTCTGCTACTAGTAACAGAAAACAGAAATAACAGGGACTAAAATTCTCATGAGAATCAAAAGGTAGGCAGTCCAAAGCTGATCCAGTTTTCTGAAGTCCTCAGACACCCAGGTTCCTTCTATCCTATTATTCCACACATGAGGCCTCATTTCAAGGTACCACATGGTCCAAAATGGCTGCACCCACTTCAGAGATGATGTATGAATTTCAGCACCAGAAGAAGCAAAGGACAAAAAAAGGCAGGGGGAGAGTTTCAAATGGTGGTCTTTGCTGTCTTTTGAGGAAGGTTCTCACAAGCTGCTCTTTGACAATTGCAATTATATCTCTTTGGCCAGAACTTAGTCACATGGACCCATCTAACTGCTAGGGAGACGTCTGGAAATTTCTGGCCACCCATGTGCCCATCTAAAAATCTAAGGTTCTGTTACTATGCAAGAAGGGAAAAAGAATAATGACTCTACTACTAATAGATAGAAATCCAATGGTAAACATCTGTATTCTCCTACACAAAGCGAAAGTTTCAAAGTGCTGGGGCAGGGGACAGATAAAATGATACTATTTCAGAGTGATTGATGAAAAGATATTCTGACAGATTAAATGTAAATTATGCAATATAATGAGAGGAATGTCACTTTATTCATTTTAAATGCATACCAGAATTCAAAATGATGCTAACAAACATTGTGTAGTAGAGGCACCAATGTAAAGAATTACTCCTGATATGTATATAGAATACTAGCTCAGCTTACATTGCTGATACATTAATAAATCCCTATAAAGCACTTAGAAACTGTCTAGTCAGTTCAGGCTGCTATAACAAAAATACTATAGACTGGTGGCATCCAAGATCATGGTGCTGGCAGGTTCAGGTGAGGGGACTCTTCCTTATTTGCAGATGGCTGTCTTCTTATATCCTCACATGGCAGAGACAGAGAGAGAGAAAGGAAGCAAGCTCTCTCATATCTTTTATTTTTTCATCTTTTTATTTTTTAGAGATAGGATCTCGCTATGTTGCCCAGGCTGAAGTGCGGTGGCTGTTCAGAGTCACAATCATAGTGCACAACAGCCATCATGTCTCTTAAATGCACTAATCCCATTCATGAGGGCTCTACCCTCATAACCTAATTATCTCCTAAAGACCCATCTCCAAATATCATCACATTGGGGATTTCAACATATGAATTTGGGAGATGGGGGACACAAACATTCAGCACATGGCAGGAACATGTTCCCTTTAAGAAAGTAAATCTTTTGTGTTTATACTACCAGTTTGTTTGATTGGGACTTTTTTTCACGGATCCCTTTTTTCAGCAGATAGTGATTGGTCACCTTTTGTGGACTGATGTGCTGGGCACTTGGTAGCTAAAAAGCAAGCTAAGCCACATCGTATTCAAGGTGTCGAATACTCCTGCTGTCTGACATCAGTTTTAATAAGACTTTCATTGGAATTTGGACTCGTTCCACTTAGTCTGAAGAACCAGCTGCCAAGCACAAGGGAATCTCCTTTGCGCTATGGTCTTCAGAAATTCTTTAACTCCTGGTCCTCACACTTAGCATAATTTGGGGATTGCCTTTACTTAAAAGAAAAACCATCCTGTGAGCTGGATGGCCTATGAAAAGAGAAGGTCCCCAGAGGACAATGGGGCCATGGAATCATCATTGATGACATCATTGCATAGACGTGTGTTTTCCCTAGCGAGTCATTTACTCCATTAAAAAATTCATAACAAACTTCACTTCCTCTTTCCTATCATACAGGGCGTTGAAAGGATTACATGGTATCTTTTTTATAAACAAGCACTATGCTGGAAAGCAAAGAAGGCAAAACAAATACAGCTATAAATAGAAAGAGAATAGAGGCTTCCAGGAAAATGTAGGCGTCTTATAAATGACTATGACTGAACTGCTGTCATGAAAAGATGCTTGTGCTTATCTTGTAGACAACAAATAAATCACAGGACTCCCATATCATCTCAAAAATTAAGAAGGCTCCTTCTAGAACTTCAAGTTCATTGAAATGTATTGTAAATATTCTTTGACATATCACAGAATCTGAAACTGAAGGACACACCCTAGTCACATCTAAAGCTTCACAGTTTTTTTCTCTGGGTCTGAGATGGATGGCCATAGAAAGGAATTTATGAAGGTACCACAGATTACCTACTCCAAAGTGTGTAGGATGGTTTAAGGCGGCAGAAAAGAGATTAGAATCTGAGAGAAGAATGCCATTGATGTGTTAGGTACAGAGTAAGAGTCAGAAGAGGGTTAAACAGAAGAGAATTAAAGGGAGGGAAAGCATTTTTTAATTGACCAAATAAAAGAAGACACTCATGAAATATATATATTGCACTTGAGTACTACTCAAGGCAATGCCCACAATAGTCTTTTAACGCAGATGGAACTAATGTTATTTCTTAAGCATTCCAGATTTTTTTAATCTGATGTTTCAAGTGGAGGTTACATGATTTTCTTAAAGCCACATAACTAGAAAGTGGCACAGCTAGCTCTCAAACCCAAATCTACTGCCACAGCTGGCAGCAGAGCAAGGCAGTCTTCTGGTTCCAGTGTCCTCCCAGACTGGTTATTCGCCATTTACTGTATTCCTCCCTCACCATGTCACTCTGCTTTTCCCATCTTTGGCTCTCACTCAGGGACCCCTCCAGCCCGCTGCACCTGAACTCAGATTCCCATACTCTGAATGGCTCTTTCCACACAACTTTTAGCAAGGCCATTGAGAAATGGTCCTGATAAACTCTGATGAAGTAATCCTACCAGAGCAGCTTGGTAGGGACTTTGAATTCTAACAAGTATTTCGAGAAAACATTACCTGAGAAAAGAAAGACACTGTAATGAAGGAATTTGAAGTATCACTAACTAAAAAACAGAGGAGTTGCTTGGAAAGGAATAAATCCTATTCAACATCTTTCTACTCTGGCAACCAGAAAAAGCTAGGCCTTAGCACGTCTGTCCATTTATTTTTATATATTTAAAAAATAATTATATCTGACAAATAGAAAACCAAAAATCAAATATGATTATATTTATATTCATTTTAAAAATACTTATGAACTGGAAACTACAGATACTGTGTACAGATCTGTAAATTACAATCACTTTGGAAAAGTGTAGCATCTTACTATAAAGTTAAACACATACTATATAACCCAGAAATTCCAATCTTATATACTTACCCTAGATAAATGAAAATATATGCATATATAAAGACCTATATGTGGAGTCAGGTGTGGTGGCTCATGCCTATAATCCCAGCACTTTGGGAGGCCAAGGCATGAAGATCACTTGAGGCCAGGAGTTAGAGACTCCTGGGCAATGCAGCAAAACCCTGTCTTAAAAAAAAAAAAAAATAGATGGCATGGTGGTATGAGCCTGTAATCCAAGCTATTCAGGAGGCTGAGATCAAGGATCACTTGAGCCCAGGAGTTAGAGACTGCAGTGAGCTATGATCATGTCACTGCACTCCATCCTGGGGGATAGAACAAGATCCTGTCTCAAAAAAAAATAATAGATAATAAAGAACTGTATGTGAATGTTTATAGCAGCATTATCCATAATAGCCACAAACTAAAAACAACTCTAATGTCCACCAAATGGATGAACACATTGAGACCATGCAAACGATGGGTACTACCTAGACATGAACAGGAATATGAAAAGGAATAAACTACTGATATGTGCAACGTGGATGGATTTCAAACACATTATGCCATGTAAAAAAGTCAGACACAAAGGAATGCATGCTACAGATGATTTCATTTATGACAGCATAGTACTGGCAAAACTATAAAGAAAGAAATCAGAGCAGTGATTTTTAGGGGCTGGAGATGGGGTAGGAGATTGACTGCAAAGGAGCAAATGCAACTGTTGGCACTGATGAAAATGTTCCATATGATAAATGTGGCGTAGTTACAGGACTATATACATTTGCCAAGTCATTGAGTTGTACAATTTAAAAGGGCTAATTTTATTGTATATGAATTGTCCCTCAAAAATGTAACTTTAAAAGTGTATTAAGGAAAAAATGTTAGAGATTTTTTGAATCTCAGTCCTGAGAAAAAATGTTTAAAAAAGAAAAAGAAGAATTTATTGCATATTTGCTGTAAAACAGACACTCTAGGAATACAAACATGAGAGACATAATTCATGACTTTAAGGAGTTTATAATCCAGGGGAGAAGAGACAGAAGCAAACAAAGCCACAATCTTGAGTAATAAATGCATGTAGAGGTATACCCAGCAGGCTGTGGGCACACAGTGGGGTATCTAAGTCAGATTTCTGAAACTGACAGACTCCCGAAATGAAGGTGCTTCAGCTGAGCCATGGTTCTGTAGGAGTCAGTCAGCCAGATAAGAGAAGGACATCCTTAGCTAAGGAAGTACAAATTACAACAACAGAGATAAAGATAGAATTCACGGATCAGCTCTAGTTTTGAAAATTGCCAAAATGAATAATGTAATGAATTTAAATGAGAAAATATACACAACATGACAGAAATTACATTCTATGGCAGTGAGACATATTAAAATGTGAGCTTTTCTTTCCATAGAAGTGACTGATGAGCTTGAGAATCCTGAAAACCAAGTTTATAAATGAACAGGACTATTACTTATTAAGAATAAGCATTTCTTGCTTTAGCATGATGACCAAGGATCTTCAGTGACTCAAGGATGAACAGACTTCACTGATCTGTTCCATTTCTAATATCTACTACTTTGCTACTTCATGTCCTGTTTACTTCAATTTGTTGATTACATGGCTTAACTCAAACTTTCTTCTTTCTGTTGTTTTCAATGTTTAAAAAAAAAGAAGCACACAAAAGCCTAAAAACTTGGTTGTCTGCCATGTTGTATGTATCATCCTGGCACATACGGAAATCATTGAGCAGGATATGTTACTTCCTGGTACAAAAGTCCATTCCCAAAGAGGCAACAAAAACAGTAGAATCTGATTATCTAGCTAAAGCATATACAGAGTCTGAGAAGGCAGATTCTTTTAAGTTATCCCACAATACTTCTGCTTCAATTCTATTGGGCAGAATTTAGTTACATGGTTATACCTAGCTGCAAGGGAGGATGGAAAATGCAGTCTTTATTCCAAGCCATCCTATACCCAGCTGTTAGAAAAGGAAAGAATGGGTATGTAGGATAAACAAGAGTCCCTGAATTAAAGATGAGAGGTCTCTTATTTCTCAGAATACTGAGGTATGGAGATAATGCATTTTCTAGTAAAACATGAACCTACGATTTAATTGTCAAAATTTCCCCCTGATTTGAAGCTGTTTCTTTTTTTCTTTCTAAAAATTAATTATTGTTTATTTAGAGACAGGATCTCACTCTGTTGCCCAGGCTGGAGTGCAGTGGCAGCCTTATAACTCACTGCAGCCTCAAACTCCTCAGCTCACAGGATCTTCCCACCTCAGCCTGAAGAGTAGCTGGGGCTACAGGCATAAGCCACCATACCTAGTTATTTTTTTTTTTAAACAAGGTCTTGCTATGTCGCCCAAGCTGGTCTTGAACTTCTGGCCTCAAGCAATCCTCCCACCTCGGCCTCCCAAATTGCTGAGATTACAAGTATGTGCCCCTGCCGCTGACTATTTTTTTATTCAGTACAACTCTGGAGCCACACAGATTACAAAGCACTATGGACAGCGCCTGACACTGAGTAAGTGTTAGATAAAAATTAGCTGTAAATGTCAGGATCTGTTTGTAATGAATCCATAGAATCTTATATCTGCAAAAGGATATAATTTAATCTAATCTTCTCCCCCATCCTCCACCTCCCCTACACAGATAATCATTTATAGTACTGGTAACCTAGTGGGAAAAAAAGGTGAATTTTATAGAACAGTGCTATACGAAAGCAAATAGCATTTAATAAAATGTTTACGAAATAAGAAAATATTTTTGTGGGTGTGTGTTTTCTTTTAAAAATATTTTTTATTCCACTAAATTCTATTTTTTTAGGCCTTAAAGTTTCTGTGGCAAATAGCTTGTCAATATACTTAGTTAGTTCTGCCTCCAAATACTGCAACATTTTATGTACATTTTTTTCTCATTTGCCGAGATAAAAATTGGTGTTCATATAAATGATGGTTCCTCAGCTTTCCAAAGAGGAAGTTCTATTTTTATATGCTTATTTTTCTAATCTTTAATCAATTTATTTTAATCAGGCAAGTTTTCTAACAAATTGCCTGTATTCTTCGTAATAAAACAAAATTACACTTGCCTTTTCCAGTTTTCAACAGCAGTCATTGACTACCTTTCTCAAATTCATGCATCAGTATGTCAAAGGCAATTGACTTTCTTTTATAAAATCAATCTTATTTCCAAGAATGTCACTGAAAACTGAGCAAGAAAACACTAAAAATAATCTGCTTTCTGTATATCTTTTAATGTGAACTATAGTTTAAGAAATACCATTGTGTTGTAGATACTAGTGTTCTATTTTGGTAGATATTTCCTGATGGCTAATATTGTAAGGCAGACCTGAGAAAACCTAGATAAGATTGTTGATCTATTACTTTTATTTTATTAGAAAGTATTCTGGGTAATTTCCATAGTATCAAAATGATTCCCAGTAAAAGATGAATAACTACATATTTCCATTAACTGAAATGTAATAATAAATAAACACTAGCAAGGACATTTCCAGTGGGTTTTTTTTTTTTTTTAGGAAATTAAATAGAAAACAGCATTGCAGTTTACTTAAGGACAAACTGTTTTGAGAACTGAATTTAAAATTAGGCCAAAAGACTAATCATGTCATGAATTATTACACAATGGGAACAAATTTGCCTCCAAACAACCTTAAAAATAGTTGACCCAACAGACTGTGAATAATATTCTTTAGGAAACTAGTTACTGTTTAGGGAACTCTAGGCAAAACTAAAATCTTTCAAGTGTTCCCTTATCCACTAACAAGGTTCAAGTGTTACCAGTGTTTCCAACATCTTTGTCTCACAGTTATGAACATTCAAAAATCAATGACTCTCAAATTGTATTCCATCTCCTTCATACAGATCCCATTATCACACAAGAAGGGCCCCAAGATCTCCTTCCATGAAAAATCCTTCTCTCGCCACAATCTCTACTTTTCCAAGACCCTTATTCTTTCCAAGATTACATTGAGAACTGTGGGCAAGTTTGGCAGCACAATAATGTAATGCCACTATAATCTTCAAACATTTATCCAGCATATAATGCTGATGGAGTGAAATTAATTATCCACCAGCATTGTATGCTGAATAAATGTTTTAAAATCGTATACTCTTTCAAAAAAAAAAGGGCACTGGATTTAACATAGCATTTTAACTTATCTGGAAATGTCTCAAGTTACAGTTTTCTCATCCCCTCATGGGATGTAGCTTAAAGTGTCATATACGTCATATGTTAGTTTTTGAGGGCTGCCATAACAAAACTACCAGAAACAACAGAAATTTACTTTCTCATAATTCTGGAGACTCAAAGCCCAAGGGTGAGGGGTCAGTAGGTTTGGTTTCTTCTGGTGCCTCTCTCTTTGGCTTGCAGATGGCTCCTTTCTCACTCGCCCTCACATGGCCATCCCTCTGCGAGTGCACGTGTCTGCTGTCTCTCCCTGTGTCCTAATTTTCTCTTGTTAATAAAACACCCAGTCATATTGGAGTAGGGCCTAATGATCTAATGATTACATTTTAACGTAATTACTTCTTTAAGGTCCTATCTCCAAATAGTCACATCCTGAGGTACTGGGGGTTAGGATTTTCCACATTTGAATTTTGGAGGGACACAATTCAGCCCCTAACAGCTGGCCACCACAGAATATTAAAATTAGACAAGGGAGGACCGTGTTTCAACCTCTGACAGCTTTTGATCACAAAAGCTATCAGACATAACTGTCCACCGTGGCATTTCATACTTCATTTTTGGACTCTGAATCATTTTCTGCACAAGAAAATTTGCAACAACAGAAGAAACAAAAGCCATTTCATTTACTAATTAACATATCCTTGCTAAAGTAGAGTCAGTGTCCTGAGAGGCCAAAACAAACAAAAAACCCAGCAAATTAGTCCCTGCTTTGAATTAAGTGCTAGTTCTCTCTTGAGCTTTCTTTTGTGAATCAGACAAATTCATGGAAACTGCACTGACAGATTTAAAAGTAAGAAAATAAATCTTTAAAAATCACTCGTTCCTTAGAAACAGCATTACATCAAGTGTATCCATTGCATTTTGTGCTACAAATAACAGGAGATTTTACTAACAGGGATTTAAACAATAAGGACATTTATTAGATAACAATAAGCCCAGTGGCAGCAGATCCAAGTTGGTTAATTCTAAAGGACAATGAAGATGGCTCCAGTGGTTTCCCATTTCTCCCCTCTGTCATGTCAAGCATTGGTTTCTGTCATGTTATGGTTAAAAGGTGGAAGTCAGGCATCCCCCTCTCACACAAGTGCACCCAGAGGCTGGAAAGGAAGGCTTTATCCTCTCAAATCTTTTGTTTTGTTTTGTTTTGTTTTGTTTTGTTTTGTTTTTAATATCAAGGAGGAAAACTTCCCAAAGACCGCCCCTTACATTTCATGGCCCAGTTCTCTCCTAGGCCACTTCTGGTCAAGAGAAATGAAATTTATTCCGTTGCTTTTCACACACATAGACAAGATAGACACATGCTGTAGAGAAGTGCTTTTTAACTAATTTCCTCAAAAGGGCACCGTCCACTTCAGCTGGAATGCACTCAATTTACATTTCACCAGAATTTTCATGAGAGAACCTGAGATTATCAGTATCATGCTTCCAATGTATTCTGGTGTTTCCATGCCTTGTTCCAGTAATCTGTTGCTCCATAAAAAGTCCGTCCCAAACATAGCTGAAAGCAGTTAATCATTTATCTTTCTCATTGATCTTGGCTGAATGGACTCTGCCAGGTAGCTCTCGCATGGGGTCTCTACGCAGCTGCAGTCAGGCAGTGGCTGGGGCTGGGGTCATCTTGAAGGCTTCTTCACTCGTATGCCTGACACCTCATCCAGGCTGGAAAGAGTCCAATAGCTGCAGGCTAGAACAGCTGGGTCTCCTTGAACCTGTCTCTTTCTTTCTAGGAAGCCTTTCTACATGCTGACTTCAGGGTAGGTGGACTTTTCACATGGCAACTGAGGCTCCCTTAACAGGTGCCCCATGAAACCTGTCAGAAGCTGCCTGCCCTTGTCTAACCTAGCCTTGGAAGTCACACAGCGTCACTTTTGCTACATTTATTCATCAAGACAGCTGCAAAACCACCCAGGTTCAAGAGAAGGGAACATAAACGCCACCTCTTGATAAGAGAAGTTTCAAAGAACTAGTGGACATTTTAATACCATCACATACTCCTTAGAGATTGCCCCCACTGTTAACTGTTTAGCTGAACCACCTCTTAATTCACCTGTGACTCCACTGAACCTGCTTTCTATGGCCACCTGGACCTCCAGTCTCTCATCTCTCAGCGTTCTCCCTGTGGATAATTTTCACATTCACTTCACAGATCTCCAACGATGGACTGTTTGGAGGCAGAGATCATGGTCTTTGTGAAAAGAGACCAGGACTTCTAGTTAATCCCTATATTTCAGTAAAGCCAAAATCAACCCTACTAAGACAAAGACTTTCAAAACCAGTGTTCCCAACTAGTAAAGTTATAGGCTTTATTTTCTCTCATACTTTTTGGTCTCCAAAGGAGAAGTAAAGCATAAAAATATCCAAATAGCAATGTGGAAGGTTGTCCTACACCAAGAAGGCCCAAGATTATCTATCTACAGGTTTGTCCATCCCTTGAATGGACATGAGCAGAAAATCAAAAAGCAGGAAGGCCAGTGCGGGAGGAATTTTTTCCTTGGCAGGACATTCTGAGCCCACCTACGCTCCTGCCCCTCTGAAGGTGAAGGATTGGTTTTATACTGCTTTGTCTACCTAGTAAAAACAATGACCAGCTTGGGCAACACAGAAAGACTTCATCTCAACTGGGCAGTGGCTTACGCCTGTAATCCCAGCACTTTGGGAGGCCGAGGCAGGCAGATCACAAGGACAAGAGTTCGAGCCCAGCCTGGCCAACATAGTGAAGCCCTGTCTCTACTAAAAA
The DNA here is from genome assembly GCF_000001405.40 of Homo sapiens. NCBI lineage: Eukaryota > Metazoa > Chordata > Mammalia > Primates > Hominidae > Homo > Homo sapiens. The sequence continues at coordinate 75,225,760 of NC_000006.12, forward strand.
TACAAAAAACAATAGCTGGGCATGGTGGCAGGTGCCTGTAATCCCAGCTACTTGGGAGGCTGAGGCAAGGAGAATCACTTGAACCCAGGAGGCGGAGGTTGCAACAGGCGACAGTGAGACTCTGTCTCAAAAAAAAAAAAAAAAAAAGAAAGACCTCGTCTCTATGCAAAATAAATTTAAAAATTAATTAAATATAAATAGTAGTTCCAGCTACTTAGGAGGCTGAAGTGGGAGGATCACTTGAGCCTGGGAGGTTCGGGCTACAGTGAGCCGCCATTGAACCACTACACTCCAACGTGGGTGACAGAGCAAGAACCTGTCTCAAAACAAAAGACAAAAAACAGCAAACAAAACACAGTGAGCATCTGCAATCTTGTCTCATTTATTCTTGAATGTTTCTCTGCTTAGTATCAGTTAAGCAGACTGATCTTTTCTTGAATGAAAGATTGGACTGAGAGCCTGGAGATATGAGTATTCCTCGAGACAATTTCACAGAGAAAAATTAAAGAAAAATACTTAGGGATGGCTTAATCATTTAGAAAGAAAATGAAACATATTGTACACGTAATAGAAGGAAGAAAGAAAAGGACTTCAATGTAGTTTAATCAAAGACATATAATGCACTATGTGTAAACAAATCATTCAATCCTGAGTATCTTTGATTCAGCCTTAAATTATGTTAACATTATTTTGTTTGTTCATTTGGTTTGTTTTGTTTTAAGCAGGAATGTTGAGAGAAACAGGAAGTTGTACTTTTGAGAATGCAAAGCACAAAATTTACAGCTACTTTGTTTCAGTACAATAGACCTGAGAAGTTACACTTACAAGCTACAAAATATAAGTAAAATGTATACTTATTCTGCACTTTGTCATCACAAAATTGAGCTTCTGTCTAATTCTGTGACTGAGTTTAGAGTTTTCCTCTAAACTTTAGAAGTCTGTCTTACTAGCTTTAAGGATTTCTATTTTTAATCTTGATGTTACAAATATTTGTTTTGGAAACCGCATAGCTAACATACTTGGTGAAAAGTTGAAATCGTTTTTTCTAAGATCAGGAACAAGAGGAGGATACCCACTCTCACCACCTTTACTCAACATAGTACTGGTTACATGATCTTTTTTTTTTTTTTTTTTTTTTGAGACGGAGTTTTGCTCTTTCGCCTAGGCTGGAGTGAAGTGGCACGATCTCAGCTCACTGCAACCTCCACCCCCCAGGTTCAAGTGATTCTCATGCCTCAGCAGCTGGGATTATAGGCGCCTGCCACCGCGCCCAGCTAACTTTTGTATTTTTAGTAGAGATGGGGTTTCACCATGTTGGCCAGGCTGGTCTCGAACTCCTGACCTCAGGTGATCCACCCACTTCAGCCTCCCAAAGTGCTGGGATTACAGGCGTGAGCCACTGCGCCCGGCCATACATGATCTTATACTTAGAAAACCCTAAAGATTTCACGAAAAAAGACTATTAGAACTAATAAACTAATTCAGCAAAGTTGCAGGAAACTAAATCAACGTGCAAAAATCAATCGCATTTCTATACACTCACAATGAACTATGCAAAAAAGAAATCAGTAAAACAAACCCAGTTAGAATAGCTAAAAATAATAGTAATAAAATAATTCAGAATAAATTAAGCCAAGGAGGTGAAAGATCTGTACACTGAAGACTATAAGACATTGATGAAAGAAGTTGAAAAAGACACAAAGACAATGGAAAGATAGCTCATGTTCATGGATTAGAAGAGTTAGTATTGTAAACATTTTTATACTTCCCAAAGCAATCTATAGATTCAATGTAATCCCTATCAGAATTCCAATAACATTTTCCGCAGAGACAGAAAAGATAATCCTAAAATTCATATGGAACCACAAAAGATCGCTAATAGCCAAAGCAATCTTGAGCAAAAAGAACAAAGCTGGAGGCATCAACACTACCTGATTTAAAAATCTACTACAAAGCTAATATAATCAAAACAGCATGGTACTAGCATAAAAACAGCCACATAGACCAACAAAACAGAATAGAAAGCCCAGAAGTAAATCCATGTATTTACAATCAGTTGACCTTCAACAAAGATGCCACGAACACATATTGTGGAAAGGACAACTGTATATCTAGCTGCACAAGAATAAAGTTAAACCCTCATCTCATACCACATACAAAAATCAACTCAAAATGTATCAAAAACTTAAACATTAAGACCTGAAACTACAAAACTACTAGAAGAAAACATAAGGGGAAAGTTCCATGACGTTGGTCTGGGCAAAGATTTTTTGGATATGACCCCAAAAGCACAGGCAACAAAAACAAAACTAGACAAATGGAATTACATCAAACTAAGAAGCATCTGCCCAGAAATGGAAACAAACAATCAATAGAGTGAAGAGACAACCCATGGAATGGGAGAATATATTTGCAAGCCATACATCTGACAAGTTAATATCCAAAATATGATAAGGAATTCAAACAACTTAATTAAAGAAAAATAACACGATTTAAAAATGGGCCAAGGACACATTAGTGAAATATTTCACTTAGATAATTTCTATCCTACAACAGCATCTGTGAGAAATCCTGGAATTTTTTCTTAATTTCAGACACCACTTCCTCCAATATAATATATGGTATAATTACTTTCAGAATGTAGTCATTCTATTAATAAGGGAAAGCATTTTTACATTTTGAACACATTTCTGAAATATTAACTTCCACTTTCGTGAATAGCAGTGGACAAGGCCAGAATTTATGTTTTTCTGTAACGTCTTAAACTTACTAGTATTGGTAGAAGTAGTTAGATGAATTTAAGTCCTTTGATTCCAGTCACAAGAATTCTCCTTAAATACTTCCTTGATTTTGTACAGTATTCTTAGTTTGAACCTGTTAATTCATCCAATATTTATATTGATCTTAAATAAAATTTGTATGTGGCTAAATATTACTTGTGGATTTCACTTTCATTGATATTTCTATGGTCATTTCACAGTGTTTTTAAAATGTGACCTGTTGGATTTCTACTTTCACGAAGTTAATGTCATTTTCAGCCTAAAACTTGTCCTTTTAAATACTTTCCTCTGGTATTTGAAAATAGTGTGTATGTCCTGTTTACATGCCATGAATGCTATCAATTTGTTTATCTGATTAACTTGTCAAACTTTCTAATAAAATTATGTAACACTCCGGAAAAAAAATGGGCAAAGGACCTGAATAAACATTTCTCAAAAGAAGACTTGGCTGGACGCAGTGGCTCACTCCTATAATCCCAGCATTCTGGGAGGCCAAAGTAGGTGGATCACTTGAGCCCAGGAGTTCAAGACCAGCCTGGACAACATGGTAAAATCCTATCCCTACAAAATATACAAAAATTAGCCAGGCATGGTGGCATGCGCCTATATTCCCAGCTACTAGGGAGGCCAAGATGGGAGGATGGATTGAGCCCAGGAGGGAGAGGTTGCAGTAAGCTGAGATCACGCCATTGCACTCCAGCCTGGGCAACAGAGTGAGAGCCTGTCTCAAAAAGAAAAAAAAAAAGTTCAAATCACTAATCATTAGGGAAATGCAAATTAAGACCACAGTGAGATATTATCTCATACCTGCTAGAATGACTATTATCAAAAAGATGAAAAATATCTACTGTAGGTGAGAATATGGGGAAAAGAAAACCCCTACACATTGTCGATGGGAATGTAAATTAGTACAGCCTTTATGGAAAACAATAGGAAGTTTCCTCAAAAAATTAAAAATAGAACTACTCTCTGATCCAGCAATCCCACTATTGAGTATATATCCAGAGGAAACATAGTCATTCAGCCAAAGAGATACCTACATGTGCATTGCAGCATTATTCACAATTGCCAAGGTATGGAATCAACCTAAGCATTCATCAAATGCTTATTCAACAAATGAATAAACAAAGAAAATGTGGTATGTACACATAACGGAATACTAATCAGCTTTTGAAAAGAAGGAAATTCTGTCATTTGCGACAACATGGGTGAACCTGGAGGACATTGTGTTAAGTGAAATAAGACAGGCACAGAAAGAAAAATACCACATGATCTCACTTTTATGTGGAGTGTTAAAAATTCAAACTCATAGGAATAGAGAGCAAAATGGTGGTTAACAAAAGCTGGGGTTTAGGAGAGTAGGTCGATATTGGTCAAAGGACACAAAATTTCAGTTAGACAGTAATAAGTTCAAGATATCTATTGTACATCATCGTGACTATAGTTAATAATACATTGTATACTTGAAAATTACAAAGAGAGCAGATTCTAAGTGTTCTCACTTAAGACCAGCTTAAAAATAAGTACATGAGGCAACACATGTTAAATAGTTTTATTTACCCCTCCCATAAGGTATATAAATATACCTTATGGTATACCTTGTGGTATAAATTTATATATATATATTTATAAATATATAAATAAATATTTATATATACATAAATATATATATATATATATATATATATATATATATATACACACACACACCTTGTGGGAGTTACATAATAAAACATCATGTTGTACACCATAAATAGATGCAGTTTTTACTTGTCAATTTAAAAATATTCAAAATTGCATTATTATAAAAATATTTTAAAACATTAAGAACTCAGCATGTATTCAGAGGATGCTCATAAAATATTCATTTCTTCAACAGATATTATGTAGTAGACTAAAGAATTATAAGACAGCCCTTATACTTCAAAGAACTTAAAATTGAATGGGAGAAATAATGAATGTAAAGCATGCTTACTATTACTTGTATGTGTAAGCAGTGTTATCGGAGTTCAGAGAGGCAAATGACTTCTGACTGGCAAGATCTTGATATTTTCAATTTAGATTTACTGAAATATTATGTAATTCCACGGTAACAGAAGGAATGTGAAGTTTCTTTTCCTCCCTATCCAATACTTCCCTCTAGTGGCGCCATGGCTCCTTAACAATACAGCCCTACTCCCCAGCGGGTAAGAGAAAGGGTGGTGGGAACTTTCACTCCATCAACAAATCACTGTCAAATCTGAATTGATCTGTGAACATTAGTTTTGAGTTGAGCCATTTCAAATGAAACCCTTGTTTCTCTTAGAGAGAACTGGTGTCCCCAGCCAGAAAAAGTGTCCTACCATAAAAGTATCATGTTACAGGGCCCAGCCTTTTAGCATAAGATGCACTGGGAAAAAGCAGTAATCCCTGAGAAACAAGATATCAAAAGAAAAAATAGACCTCCCATAACTTTCATGAAAAAGTCAATTTCCCTGCTCCCAGTCAAAAGCTGAGGCTCTAGAATCCCGTGAAATGCTGTCAATGCGACAGGCAATTACGTCTTCGAATACTTTTGTTCCACTAACAAAAGAAAAATGTGGATTGTTTTCTAAGTATGGGTTGAGACACTGTGTGCCTAAAAATGCTTTCTTCTTTCTGTGACACATGCGAGTTTTATTAGAGAGGTGCTAATAAAAGCCCAAAGCTGAAACAGTCATCTTTACCGGAAACTTTGCAATACAGTTGTCTTTCAGTATCTGCAGGGGATTGGTTCCAGGACCCTCAGGGATACCAAAATCTGCAGATGCTCAAGTCCTGCAGTTGGCCCTGTGGAACCCACAGCTACGAAAAGCAGGCCGTCATATCCTTGAGTTCTTCATTCCTCAAAAACTGCATTTTAAAACAGGGATTGTTTGAATCCGTGGATGCTGAACTTGCAGACAGGGAGAACTGGCTGTACTGTGGCCTCCAGAATTGCTGCTTCAGGGCCTCTCTGAGGAAGCATGGCTCAGTATGTAACTCCCTAAAAGCAGAGACATTTTCTGTCTTCTTCATGGGTGTACATTCCAGGGCCTAGAACCTTGCCAGGTTCAGAGTAGACTTTTCAATATTTCCTGAATGAATACATGAAGGAAAACTGCACATTTCTCCATACAAACCAGCTCTGCCCCAGGACACAAGGAAGGGTAGCTTTGGGAGCATGTGAAGACAGAGCTTTGGGCACAGCAGCACCTGGATGGGTTGACTTCTTCTCCTGGAGTGGACAAGAAGGGGTGGGCGGGGATATGGAAAATCATGTTCCTGGGCATGTGAGGTGTCAATGACTCAAAAAAAATTAACTTCAAAGGGTAGCAATGTTCCTGAATGGACAGGTGGGGGCTCAGAATAATGGTTATTTGGGAACTAGTGTAGATGTAACCTCAGCTGACTCCCAAGCTGGCATGGCTTCAGCATAACACAGCATTAACAGCCTCACGTCTCCTGAACAGTGCTTTTTCAGTTCTACCATTCTTATATTCTTACATTCAAGTGTCTTGGAGGTTGTGTTCCTTTATAAGGAAAATGCTGCAACTGTAAATTATAACTGAAATCCCTAGATCATCTCCACTGTCTGCTTTCCTGTTTTCCTCTGGTTATAGAAGGTAGAAATCTAAGAATAATGTAGCCTATCCTTTTTACAAATTTACCCATTTTCCTATTAACTTTCTATTGATTTTGCTTTCTTTGTGGCAGTTATTCTGCGTCTCACACAAAACATAACTTATAAGATATTAGGTTACTGTTAATATCGTTACTAGCACCTCCTGCCACCCTTACTTTCATCCAAGCTGACAACTCACTTTGCTCAATAGTCTGAAATCTTGCTTAGTTTATTATAATAGCCTCCTCATTATCCATTTTATCTCCACTCTGGTCCATCTTATATATTACTGCCTAAATCTTCTGAATTTCTATAATCATATTTTCTCCTACCCCCAATAGTGCCCCATCAAAAAATCAAGAAATGGGCTGGGCACGGTGACTCATGCCTGTAATTTCAGCATTTTGGGAGGCCAAGGCGGGTGGATTGCTTGAGGTCAGGAGTTCGAGACCAGCCTGGCCAACATGGTGAAACCCCCATCTCTACTAAAAATACAAAAATTAGCCAGGTGTGGCGGCACGTGCCTGTAGTCTCAGCTACTTGGCAGGCTGAGACAGAATTGCTTGAACTTGGGAGACAAAGGTTGACATGAGTCGAGATCATGCCACTGTACTCCAACCTGTACTATAGAACAAGACTCTGTCTCAAGAAAAGTAAAAATAAATAAAAAATAAAAAGAGGTTTCATCTGTAAGAAAATCTTCAGAGCATTAGCTCCTTAAATAGAAGCCACCGATTGGCAGGAAGTGAGCCCTAAAACAAACTGCCAACAATGTTACCCTTCATTTGGTAGATCCCAGGCAGTCAGAGCCCTTCCTTGAAATTTTTGAACTTGGAATCAAAAACAGCCTTTATTTTCTGTCAGGTGTGTCCCACTGAATTTCACATGTTGAATCCCTAACTCCCAATGCAACCATATTTGGAGATAGGACCTATAGGGAGGTAATAAAGGTTAAATGAGGTCATAAGCGTGGGGGCCCAATCTGATAGTATTGGTGTCCTTACAAAGAGAGAAAGATACCCCACAACTTGTTCACTCTCCACACATCACAAGGAAAGGCCATGTGAGAAGGCTACCCTATCTGCAAGCCAGGAAGGGAGCCCTCATTAGGAACCAAATGAGCCGGCACCTTGATCTGGGACTCCTACGGCTCCAGAACTGTGAGAAACTAAATTTCTATTGTTGAAGCCATCTGGTCTGTGGTATACTGTTACAGCAGCCCAAACCATCTAATATCAGTGGTGAAGCTGGGAAGCATGTCATCAGAGGATACATTTCTGCCATGCTCAACAAGGGAATTTCAAAGGATGAACCATGACAAGAGATGGAGAGAGTCCTAAAAATACTCCTGTGCTCCAGTTGTTTATACATAGGACAAAGAGCAGAACACTATCGAAGTATTCTTCTTTCTTTTGTACCTACTATATGTATGAATGAGATTTATAATCAGAAAGTTTTTTAAATAATAATAAACGCATGGTGTTCTTTATTAAGTGTTCTATATAACTCCACTTCTTTTTCTCGGCCTACTTTATAATCATCTAAAACAAAAAAAGAATTTCTACCAACTAAAAGGCTTGATTTGGAAACCAGTTATCAAAAATGTATGATTTAAGCTAGGCTGCTACAGCTTTGGGAAATCAACATAGGGAATCTTTCAAGACTTGAGAAATAAACTCATGTTCAAAATTACTTCTTGAGAAATGCATCTTTTTGTTTTGTTTTGTTTGCTTTTGTCTTTCAATTCTGTAAAGGGATTCTGTCTGTTTCGTCCAGACATTTTTTTGATAAATATGGACAGAGGTAAACAAAAAAGAGACTCCAGGCTCCTCATCCTTGACTGAGACTTCCTGGTCTGTTCCTTTGTTGTATGGTCCAACTAAAGTGGAAAGAAAACTTTTTTTGAAATCATTTTAATGATCATTAGCATAGAATTAAGATGGGGAAACGATCAACTGTAAAGATATGTTTTTGTGACCAAAACAGTCAAGATGGTTCACTGCATACTGATTTCCCAAAGCAGGTACTATTTTAGGAAAAAGCACTGTAGGGAGAGTATCCAAATGTTAATGGCCATAGGCTGTTCTAGTTATAACTGCATTAACTGGGGTAAAATGGCCTGGAAAGAGAAAAAACAAGGCCAAACAAGGATACCAGCTTTTAGCCACCAGACTAATGCTAGAGAATATTTTTAGCAGCTCCCCAGAGGGAAGATGATGGCCTCCTCCAAGAGGTCAATAAAGATCTGGCATAATCTCAGAATTCAAGAAACAGCCCATCTTACATTGTACTAATGCAACATTGATAATTAGAAATCAACACTCAAATCCAAATTTACATACATACATGCATATATTCTGGCACTAAGTCTGCAATATCTAATGTTACGAATTTCCCTTCCTTTAACTGACTTCATGTATGCCTTAAAATTACCATTTCTTTCTTTTTTTGAGAGAGAGAGAGTCTCATTATGTTGCCCAGGCTGGATTCCAACTGCTGGGCTCAAGCCATCCTCCCTTCTCAGCTTCCAAGTAGCTGGGATTACAGGCACGTGCCACCGTGCCTGGCTTACAATTACCATTTCAGTAGGCAATTTTCTAGTTTCCAAGCAATGTAATTGTAAACATTTAATCCTTTTTTCCCTCCAGTATATTATACTGAGATAAAAATTTAGAAAATGTCTTGGGTTTTTATTGGTTTTCCTCATTAATGAGTCCTTCAAAATATCCTTGACTTGTAGAAGCTGGTTTTTTGTGTTTTTTTCAGATAGTAAATAGCAGCTGTAAAACTATAATTTCAATAGAAATAGGCAACTGGAATAGATACACAGTCAGACTCACAGGAGTCTGAAAGAAGAGCGAAATGAAAAAATTGCCAATTCTTATGATGCTAATTCATCAAACATAACCACGAATACAACAATATTCAAAAGGAATAAAGTTTGTGGGGAAAGCAACCAGTAAAATTATCCTAAGTACTTTTTTCCTTTTTTCTGCATTTAGGAATAACATGGTACATAACACATAAACAAAGGGCTTCAGAATAAGACATATCTAGGTTTGAGTTCTAGTTCAAATGTAATTATTGTGTATTTGATCTCTGTATGTTCTCAGCTTCCAGTTCTTACTAATGATAGTAACAATAACTGCCTGAGATAGATTGTCTACATTAATTTATATTTGGGATTCTTGCTAAATCAATATTATAGTTATCAGATCGTGTTGCAGATTATGAAACCAGAAAACAAATCTATCTAGACCCTGTGTGTAGTGGTATAACCATTTGTTGTGCTAGTCACTGTGGAAGAGAGAACAACAGCTGCTTTCTCCTACTCCCTATACTCTACAACACTTGTCCTCTTTCTGCAATTCATCCCTGCAAAGCAATTTCCTTTTCCCATTCCTTGGAATGCTTTTCTTCTCACTGTTAGCTGGCTCCTTTTTTTCTGGTCTCAGTTCAAATGTAACTTTACTCAGCCCTTTTCTAGCTTCCACTGCGCTATTCCTCCTAATAGATCACCCTGTTGATCTGCAGTTCCCACTATAGGACAGTATCAGGCTTATGAATTATTTGTTGTCTATCTCCACCAACTGGAATGTAAGACCCATGAAAGGGCTTGCTCATCTATTTCACAGCTGTATTCTCTGAGCCTACAACAGTGCTTTATACAAAGTAGACTCATACTCAGTAAGAAATTGTGGGATGGGTGGATGAGGAAGGGTAAGGTTTAAGTGAATGATAAAGATCCTCCTCTGCTCATAATCTGAACACTTTCCATCGTTTTCATGGCTAACAGCTGCTCTTAGTCTTCATCACCTCTCATCTAGGTTGCTGCAGTAAGCATCTTAAAGGATCTGCCTGTTTCTACCGCTGCCCCTCTATGGTCTATTTTATCACAACAATCAGGCTAGTCCTCTAAAACATGTAAGTCATTCTTCATTGAGAAATCCTATGATGGCTCTCCATGTCACTCAAAAGCCAGTCCTTAAAATAACCTACAAGGCCCTAATTGATGTGGCCCACCCCCTACTAACTTCCTCTCCATCACCCACTGAGTGGTATCTACTCTTGCCTTTCTGTTCTTTGAACATGCCAGGCACCTTAGGACATTTGCTCTAGGCTGTTTCCTTTTCCTAGAGTGCCTTTTGCCCATATACAGTTAGCCCTCCATATCTGTGGGTTCCGCATCTGTGGATTCAACCAACAGCTTGAAAACATTTAGTAAAAAATAAATGGCTGCATCTGTATTGAACACATACAGACTTTCTTATTGGTCCTTATCCCCAAAACAATACAGTATATTTACACAGCATTTATCCTGCACTAGGCATTATAACCAACCTAGAGATTATTTAAAGTATATAGGAGGATGTGCATAGGTTACATGCAAACACTACACCATTTTATATAAAAGGCTTGGGCATTCACAGATTTCCGTATCTGTGGGAGGTCCCAGAACCAATTTCTAACACAGTGGGATGACTGTTTCTGACCAGTTCACTTTCGGATGTCTCGAAATAATCTGACCTTCCTGTTGAAGCCTACCCTAACTTTAATACTGCAACCAACCAACCACACCCATGTGAGTTCTCCCCTTTGGTCTTTTTCCATAGAACTTATCTTTTAACCTACTGTGCAATTTATTTTTAAACTCTCTTTCCTACCACCCCTTTCTATAACATATGAGGGGAAGAATCTGCTTTTGTTCACCAGTGATTCCTAGGTACCTAAAACCAGTTAGGACACAGTAGGCACTCAGTATCTCTTGACGAATTACCAATCTCGATATATATAGAAGGAAAGTCCTGAAGTGGTTCACAAGATGCTACTCTCCACATGGATGCACAACAGGACCCAGGAAAAGGGAGTCCCAAACTTGAAGTCTATGAAATTTCCAGCTTCATGCATAGTTCTCTCAAAGCAGGAAGGGTTCTGCAAACCCTGAAGCAAACTACCTAGAGCAGCATCGTAATTCTTTTTGATTCTTACTCTCTGTATCTATTTGGATTTTGTGTTCCCTAAATAGACCTTTTTGAAACATTCCTATTATGAGCAGCCTATTATGGCTACCATTTATTAAGCACCTAACTACTGTTTAGGTTAAACAGTTGTGGGTCCATTAGATGATAGCTGGGGAGCCCAGGAACTGTCCTGCTTTGGTTGGTTCCTGATGAGAGAAACCTACCTGAACCCACTCGGAGTGTAGAAAAAAACAAATACTGAAATATCTTACAAAGCCATTCTACTAAAGCCTAATTCTAAGCTGTGGGATATATCCAATATTTAAGCATACTCTCACATAGCTGAGAAAAAAAAAAAAAAAAAGAAATATAGACCCCAGGAGCCAAAGATAATCTGCTTCCACTACCCCCGGGTTCTAGCATATTCCAAGATATACTGGAGTGGGTAGGGGGAAAAAGCAATATGCATTCAAACGGCAAGTTGAGACAGAAGTTGAGACTAATTTTGAGCTGTTAGAAGTAAAATTTCACTAAAATAACATCACAATAATGTTGCTTTCACAAGTTTAGTGGCAAAAGAATCATTTCTTTGATCCTTACCTAAGATTTACAAGGCTGACCAAAAGTTGAAATTATTGGCATAAAGTGATAAAATCAGACAAAGCATGGTAAAGACTGCTTTATTGGTGGCAGTTACTACAAGTCAATAAATATTGATCCCCAAAGAAGAGCTCGGTTATTTATCAGATTACTGGTCCATAGAGAGCTGAATGAAACTGAACCAAGCGATTGCTGGGATGACTGAAGTCACTCCTGCTTCTTGGGAAATGAAGCCACAGCCAGCTCATATATGGCATATGCTGTTCCTAAAAATAAAAAACAAAAAAGAACTTAACCATAAATTCTAAGATCTAAGTGTATAAATTTAATATTCCAGTTCAAAAGTTGTAAGTTTGCATTAAGACTACCTTAATTGGAACACAAAAAAGTATTTTGATAGGTGCTGGAAAAATTTTAAATAAATATATGTAAAATATATTTAATCTAGTTTTAATATAGAAAGTGTGGCACAATAATATATTTGTCAACATAAAATGCAAAAATTTTTAAAAATAAGATTAAGAACGTATACAAAGGTTATTTCCATATTAACCCAAGACTGCCTGAGAAATGCTAAGGATGATTAAATGCCAAAGAAAAAAAGAGTTCAAAATATGCAAGCCTTCCCTAAAGTGAATGTAAAAAAAAAGAGTGATATAATTTTAAAGTAATCAAATGTAATATAAAAAATAGCTGATAACTGGGCCGGGCATAGTTGCTGAAACCTGTAATCCCAGCACTTTGGGAGGCCGAGGCGGGCGGATCACCTGAGGTCAGGAGTTCGAGACCAGCCTCAACATGGAGAAACCCTGTCTCTACTAAAAATACAAAATTAGCCAGGCGTGGTGGTGCATGCCTGTAATCCCAGCTACTTGGGAGGCTGAGGCAGGAGAATTGCTTGAACCTGGGAGGCAGAGGTTGCAGTAAGCCGAGATCGCGCCATTGCACTCCAGCCTGGGCAACAAGAGCGAAACTCCATCTCAAAAAAAAAAAAAAAAAAAAAAAAGCTGATAACTGGAATTTCATTTTAAAAACTACTTACCAGAATGTCTAAGAAATGTCACATTGGCCAAAAGGAATTTAGGGCTTTATCTTTTTTTTTCTTTTTTTTGAGATGGAGTCTCCCTCTGTCGCCCAGGCTGGAGTGCAGTGACACAATCTGAGCTCACTGCAACCTCCGCCTACCAGTTCAAGCAATCTTCCTGCCTCAGCTTCACGAGTAGCTGGGATTGCAAGTGTGTGCCATCACACCCGACTCATTTTTGTGTTTTTAGTACAGACAGGGTTTCACCATGTGTGCCAGGCTAGTCTTGAACTCCTGACCTCAGGTGATCTGCCAGCCTCAGCCTCCCAAAGTGCTGGGATTACAGGCATGAGCCACCATGCCCAGCCTATACCTTTTATAATAAACTGGTAAATGTGTTTCCCCAACGAGGAGATTGTGGGAACCCCAACTTAAAGCCAGTCAGTCAGAAGTTCCGAAGACCCAAACTTGCAACTGGTGGGAAGGAGGGGACAGTCTTGTGCCATCAACCTGTGGAATCTGATGCTATCTCCCAGTAGATAGTGTGGAAACTGAACTGGAGGACACCTAGCTGGTGTCCATTACTTGGTGTGCAGGGAAAAACCCCCACACATTTGGCAACAGAGATCTTCCATGTTGATTGTTGTGGTGTGAGAGTAGAGTTTCCCAAACAGGTAATTAATATGATTTCTTCATCTTTAAAATGAGGACATATTATAGACTTCATGCAAGACTCACAGAAATCCAAGTATGTGGCATTCCTATGAATATGATAGGCATAAAATAATCACTCAAATATAGCATCCCTTCTCTTTACCTTCCAGTGGAAGTATTGTTCTGTACAAATTTTGTTTTGGTCATAAATATGTCTGTACAAAGTTTAGATGTAAAGTGTGCTTTTATTTTGCATCACAGTCAAAATGTTTTAAAGCCCTTGCTGTAAGAGGTGGGATATAATGGATGTTTTTGACTGAAATATAGCCTTCACTGCCATCAATGGGACTCAGAAAGCCAACTCTATCACAACATAATCATCAAATCTTACTGGTGTTATTTTTTTATTAAGACATCAAGGCCAGGCGCAGTGGCTCATGCCTGTAATCCCAATACTTTGGGAGGCTGTGGCGGGCAGATCACCTGAGGTCAGGAGTTCAAGACCAGCCTGACCAACACGGAGAAACTCCGTCTCTACTAAAACTACAAAATTAGCCAGGCATGGTGGTGCACGCCTGTAATCCCAGCTACTCGGGAGGCTGAGGCAGGAGAATCGCTTGAACCCGGGAGGCAGAGGTTGCAGTGAGCCGAGATCGCGCCATTGCAATCCAGCCTGGGCAACAGGAGCAAAACTCCATTTCAAAAAAAAAAGAAGACATCACAATGCTCTTATACAGTATGTATCAGTCACCCTCTTGAATCATTATGAGATATAGTAAGATATCAAATTCTGGAGACAAACTGCCTGCATTAAAATACTGGCATAGCAAAAGCAATAAAGTTATCAGTTATCATTACTATTACTTTTCTATAAACCTTCAAACATTCCAAAGGCCTTACCACCAACTGTAAGAATCATGGTGGCTCTATACAGGAGGGCATCAGCTACCCCACCCTTTAGATACAGTGGAATTTCATCATCCTCCTAGATTTAAAAAAAAAAAAAAAAGACAATAATAAATGTCTCACTCATTTCCAACTAAGTTTCAAAAGAACAGGCATATAAAATGATATAGCTCCTTAAATCCCTAGAATTAAAGTATTTTAAGTATTAAAATTTAAAAGACCTACAATTTTCTTTATTCCGTCTCTACTACTACTACTTTTAAAATAAGAATTCCTAAAAGTCAGCATTCTTCTTTCACCGTTAATTTGAGATCCATTAATGACGGTCTTTCCAAAGAATATATAAACATTAAAGCTATAAAACATACACACTGATCTCAACAACTTTAATATAACTTAAATATAAAAGAACCAATAATTGCCACACATTAGATTTAGTCATAGGAAACTTTTTTTCCCTTAAAAAAGTGGGGAAGGGATTTTGGTTTATAACCCTAAATTATATCCCTAGCATCTAATCCAGCATACAGTAGCTATTTAGTACATCTGTTCAATAAAGTATTGTATTTTTAGGTATATATGATACAACTATTTTTAATCACTTTAAGCTTTATTTAGGAAAAGCTAGAAACCATAATAAAACAAAAATCACTCATAATCAAACTACTTATAAAGGTAAATTGCTCTGCTCCACCAGGTCTTTCCCCAAGAGACAACCACTATTAGCACTATGGTACATGTCCTTGACTTTTTTTGTAATGTTTATATTGTCATATGATCTAATTTATACACATACTTGTTTATCCCAACTCTTACCTTTTGGTAATCTAATAATTACAAGTAACATCTCCTATAAAATACTTCAGTACCTGGAACAGTTTTTGCTTCTCCGGAACTTTATTTTTAAAATGCCTGCGGGAAGCAGTGCTTATCGTCCTCTGCCCAATCTGACGAAGAGCCTAAAATGAAAATATTATTAAATAGACTTAGAGCCTAAAGAAACCTTCAAAACCAACTATTTTCAGTCGTTCATATTATAGAAAAGGTAAATTGAGACTTGAAGCATATCTGATTTGTCAGCAGCAAAGTCATGCAAGAGCATCCAGGTTTTTCAATTTGTTATCCATCCTCTGCTCTTCGAATTACATTCTGCAGTCTCCAAATAACATATTCAAGAAGCAATTCATATAGATTCTAACCAAAAAATAAAATCATGATCTCTACCTGAACAGAACCAGTAGCATTTTATAATCCTTGATGCAAACATATTGACATACACATATTACAAAAATAGTGCTTAACCAAAATACACCAAACCCAAATATTTTCATAATATACTGCCATATCATCAAAAACCTGCCAGGCGCGGTGGCTCACACCTGTAATCCCAGCACTTTGGGAGGCCGGGGAGGGGGGCGGATCACCTGAAGTCAGGAGTTCGAGACCACTCTGACCAACATTAGAAACCCCATCTCTACTAAAAATACAAAATTAGCCAGGCGTGGTGGCACTTGCCTGTAATCCCAGATACTTGGGAGGCTGAGGCAGGAGAATAGCTTGAACCTGGGAGGCGGAGGTTGCAGTGAGCTGAGATCGCGCCATTGCACTCCAGCCTGGGCAACAAGTGTGAAACTCCGTTTCAAAGAAAAAATTCTATTACTAGGCAGGCAGATCACTTGAAGTCCGGAGTTCGAGAACAGCCTGAACAACATGGAGAAACCCTGTCTCTACTAAAAATACAAAATTAACCAGGCATGGTGGTGCATGCCTGTAATCCCAGCTAATCGGGAGGCTAAGGCAGGAGAATCGCTTGAACCCGGGAGGCAGAGGTTGTGGTGAGCCAAGATCGCCCCATTGCACTACAGACTGGGCAAAAAGAGTGAAACTCCATCTCAAAAAAAAAAAATCTGTTACTTGGCCAGGCGCGGTGGCTCACGCCTGTAATCCCAGTACTTTGGGAGGCCAAGGTGGGTGGATCACCTGAGGTAAGGAGTTCAAGACCCGGCCTAGCCAACATGGCGAAACCCCGTCTCTACTAGAAACACAAAAATTAGCTGGGCATGGTGGTGCGCACCTGAAATTCTAGCTACTCAGGAGGCTGAGGCGGGAGAATCGCTTGAATCCAGGAGGCGGGGTTTGCAGTGAGCCGAGATTGCACCACTGCACTCCAGCCTGGGCGACAAGAATGAAACTCCGCTCAAAAAATAAAAATAAAAAATAAAAAAATAAAAAAGGCCGTGCACAGTGGCTTATGCCAGTAATCCCAGCGCTTTGGGAGGCTGAGGCGGGCGGATCACTTGAGGTCGAGTCCGAGACCAGCCTGGCCAACATGGTGAAACCCCGTCTCTATTAATAATACAAAAATTAGTAGGGCTTGGTGGCGAGCGCCTGTAATCCCAGCTAGTTGGAAGGCTGAGGCAGCAGAATCGCTTGAACCTGGAGACGGAAATTGCAGTGAGCCGAGATCGTGCCACTGCACTCCAGCCTGGGCAACAGAGTGAGACTACGTCTCAAAAAAAAAAATAAAATAAAATAAAATAAAATAAAATAAATAAAAACAACAACAACAAAAAAAACCCTATTACTTGACAGCAAATAGACTGGCATGATTCCTTCTCAATTAAAATGCTTCTCTCATTACATTTTTCCTAAAAAATTTTAAAGAGGGTATACATCTTTTAAAGAAGAGACATGCACTACATATCCAGTTGAATTAAATAATGAAACAAATATGCTCTCGATTTTCTAAAATTACATTGAGGATTTTAATGAAGCAAAACTTCATTAAATAATTTAAAAAATAAAATAATCATTGTCGCATTTTTCTTTATCAAAATTTGGGGAAATATTTCACATGCTCAAAGTCGATGGAGGGGTGAAGGACAATGCACAATCGCCTGACGGAAATAACACTGCACTTCAGCCATGACTATTCCTAAAGTTCCACCCAAAATTGAATGGCTTGGTTTTTAAACTGCCTTCTCAAGCTCGCAAAGCTCAAAACCATTGAAACTTAAAACCTTTCAGTACCAGAAAAACACCTTTCTGCTTGATGCTTCCGGGTGTCAGACACTCCCCACCTGGGTCTTGGTTTTACTCAGATCGGAGCTACTAACCTCATCAATGACCGACAGGGTTAGAGGTGGTGACTAAGAACCCAAGACGGGTCTAACCCACGAGTCTCTGGTCACTTCCCCAGCCTCTCCACTCCTTACATCTACCCAGTAACGGCCTGGGGCGAGAGGAATAGACGGAAGGGAAAGTAAGGTCAGGGAAAAAGGACACGAATCAAGGTGACTTCATTAGCCGCCTTCGGCACCCCTCCCAGGTGAGGGTTTTCTGTCGTGGTGCCTCAGCCTCCTCTCCACTCCCTCGCCCCCATCATGAATGCAAGATGAGAAGCTCCTCACCAGCAGATTCCGCAGCATCTTGGCTGTTACTGACCAGCAACCGCCACAACTGAACACCACCAACGAAAATGGCCACGCCGGAACCGGAACTACCTCCGAGTCTTGCGTATGCATTCACGAACTTAAATCTTTCCGGGCCGAAGAGAGGCTTGCGCTCCTAACCATAGAGAGCAAAAGAAAAACTAGAGCGGCAGTACGGCTCTATCCGCTCTAGCCGGCTCGCCGTCTCAGTCCCGTGATCTCGTTCCTGACCTTTTCGATGTTCAGTAGGCTGGTCCCTGGAGCTAAGGCTGGGGAAAAAGCAAACGATTTATGAGACGAATGTAATAAGCTTAGATGAAGTCAATGTGAGACCAGGCTATCAAAGAAAACTAGTGTCTGTTTTGAGCGAGAAGGCGTAAAACTGGGCAACCTTGAAGCCGCTAGAAACTGAACAAAGACTGGGTTGGCCGAAATACAGCTCTGAAGCCTCATAAAATTCAAAAAAGAATTACTCCTCTTACGCGGATACAGTCAGTTTTTTCCACCGAAGGAATTGCTGCGGCACATTACTGTTCCTTGTGTTGAGAATATGCTGTAAGAGCTGTGTCGAGATACCAGTTTTTATATTCTTGTACCTTCGACTGCTGCAGAACTCCCCAAGCAAGAAGTTCTTCCACAGTGTCCCCAAATTGTGGAAGAGGCTCGCTCGCTTCTGAGGAAACGTTAGGGAACAAGAAATGGGATGGCGAATCTGGACTCAAAAGTCTTGCTGTCCCAGATCCAGCAGGGCACTACATTCATTACTGGAGTAGAGAAGCACAGCAATTATTTGTTGTACAGAAAGGCTGTCGGTGTCATCCATTTTGCTTAAGTAATCCCCATTACAAGTGTTTATTTCTTGTACTTACCCTCAAGTATGTACAAATGCAAATATCTACCCTGTATTACAATAATCTTTCCACTTTCTACAAACTCTTACAAATTATTTGATTGCCATTTCAAATAAGAAACCCATAGTTTCAGCAAAGGATAAAAATTAGTAATATTAAAACTATTCCTTATAATCCTTGGGGTTTTCTTCTTCACAATCTACTGTATGTCAATGGGCCCACCAAGTTACCAGTCCCAGTTAAAATTCTCTTCCTCACCAAGGTTTATAAACACCCCAATTCATGTCTTCCTTAGATTGGTACTGAAAGGACCTGGTTTTCTACACCCCTCTGGATTATGCATATAACCAAAACTCTGGGCAAAATTACCACGTGCCAATAGCTAGGGCGTGGGGGTTTTTTAAGTACATTGTCCATAATCTGAATTTGTTAGTTGTATGTGCTCTCTTATGTTTTCTCCACTTAGCCAACTCTAGATTGTAAATTTCCCAAGCGCAGAGATGATGTGGATTTCTTACCAATCCCCTAGCACTGCTAAAGACAGTATTAACCAATACATCAATTAATTACATTGGGTGACAGATCTAAGAAGCTTATGACCCTGTCCAAAAAGAGCCATGAGGCCAGGCGCAGTGGCTCACGCCTGTAATCCCAGTACTTTGGGAGGCCGAGGCGGGCGGATCATGAGGTCAGGAGATCCAGACCATCTTGGCTAAAGCCGTGAAACCCTGTCTCTACTAAAAATACAAAAAATAAGGCGGGCGTGGTGGCGGGCGCCTGTAGTCCCAGCTACTCAGGAGGTTGAGGCAGGAGAATGGCGTGAACCCAGAAGGTGGAGCTTGCAGTGAGCCAAGATCGCTCCACTGCACTCCAGCCTGGGCGACAGAGTGAGACTTCATATCAAAAAAAAAAAAAAAGCCATGAATTCACATTAAATAGATCCTAAAGTAGACATAGATTCTTGTATGCATGTTATTCAGTACAATTTCCCCCTTTACTGGATCATTCCATCTATTAACACATTCCCAAATTAAAAACAAACGAACAAACTCCTTTGATTACCGTTACCATCCTATAGATTTCTTTATACTTGTCTCTCCTTCTCCTCCTCCTAATCTTTTTTTGATCCCATTTTGGGCAGGCTTTTACTGCTCTTGTTTAGAATCACCAATAGCTTCCAGGTTGCTAAATAAACTGTCAATCTCAATTTTCACCTTCTCCATCTATTAGCAGCATTTAACATAGTTAATCCGTCCCTCACCATATACTTTTACTTTTTAATTTGGAGGTAAACCATACATGTAAGAAAGAATATGATAGTTTGAAGCATGGTCTTAAAGTGGCTTCCATAGTACTCCTTCGGTGGTTCTCCTATTTTAGTGGCTGCTCCTTTTACTTTCCTTTCCTGGATCCTTATCCTCTTAAACCTCTAAAATTTCAGTTTCTCACCTTTTTTCTACATTCATCCATTTTGTGATTTCATCTAACATTGAACTACTACTCCCACTTCCTGTAGATTGTATGAAGAAAGAATTGTTTTAGGAAAGAAAAACTATTCATGTGCTGACAACTCTCACTTATCTCTCGCCTGGCCTTTCCCATTAACTTGAGACATCTCCACCTAGATGGCTAATGCGCATCTCAAACTTACAAACAAAACTGAATTCTACTTTCCACTCCTTATTCCCCAACTTTCTCCTCTGCAATTTTCCTTATTTCAAGCCTTAAACTTTGTTTTCTATCATACTCTATAAACCAATTTATTAAAAATTTCTATTGGCTGCACCTTCAAAATATAATCTGAATTGAACCACTTCTCATTATCTCCAACAGTACTACTACTGTTGGCCAAGCCATCATCATCTCTTGTTCAGATTATGTCAAAAGCCTTTTTAACGGGTTTCCCTGTTTCCACTCTTCCACTATCTTCCACACAGCAATGATTCTTTTAAGAACTTAAGCTGGATCATATGACTCTGCTCTAAACTCGGTTGTGTTTACTCATGTATCCCTGGCATCTAGAATAGTAATTGGCACATAGAAAATGCTCAATATACATTGGTTAAATGAATGAACTGTATCCTGCACAAAAGAATGGACTATTGAGTATAAAAATTCAAAACATCTGTCTTAGTACTTGTGCTCCCTCCAAATGTTTTCAGTCCCAGGGTTCCTCATTCATTATCTTCTTGCTCCTTTTCTGTAAGTTGTGATTATCCTGACATACAAATGACTGAAATTTGCCTGCGTACCTAACAAACTTTATTGCATCTTCCCAGGCACACCAGAAACATTACCACATTTTAAAATTCATCCTCTGAACCAGAAGTTACTTTCAAAGTAGAATGCTTTCCAAAACATCAGTTTGGGGTTCTTTTATCCTTGCTCTTTTGTAATGTTAGAAAATTAGAAAATGGTTCTTTCGGAAAATACTTACTCCGGAGGGTTTTGTAACAGTATAACAAAATTGGCAGGGGGAATATGTGGGAAATATCTGGGAAACCTGAGGTAGGTAATGGTTTAAGTCTCGTCAGTAAGATGGACATCAGATGCGAAAGTACTAAGTGAAAATATCTCATAATTACTGATGCAAAGTTACCAGAGGACAGTTACCCAATCTTTTTTTTCCTTTTTTTCCTTGTCTGCTTTTTAGCAGACAAGATAACCCTGACTTTGATCCTGCCTATAGAATCGATAAGTAACAAAAACAGAGGGAAGCCAGAATAGTTTTGTGTGATTTGGTTGTGTGTGTGTGCGTACACACATCTGTTAATTCTAGAGCCATGCTTAACCAACTTCCAATTTTATAAAAATATAGAACAGTTTCATGTGAACTTTAATGTTACAAACTACTGGTTAGGTAAAAGATAACATTTCAATATAATTCCATACTTTATCATATTCTGAGTCACTTTTGGACATCAGGAAACAGTTGCTATCTTAGTTGCTGTATTAGTTTATTATTAAATACTTTAATTGCAAGCCTCAGTCTTTTCATCATTAAACTTTAGTTAGACTAACTCCTAATGATCTTTTTCTCTGACTCTAAAGTCCTTATGATAAACAATTTCATAAAACATATGAATGAGGACTAATCTCTGATTTTTTTTTTTATCTTGCCCAAATTCATATCTAAAGGGTCTGGGGAGTCCTGCCCTACAAACCACAAATTCTCATCAGATGGGTTTTATTTAACCCTGTATATTATGACTTACTTTCCCATGTGACTCTGGCATAAGGAGGAAGAAAATCAAAATGTTTTACCCCAAAACATGTCTCTCTGCCATATCTTGAAATTGCCCTACAAAGTTTCTTGTGGGAAAAATCCGCATTCTATAGAGAATCTCCTTTCCCCTTTCCAGATCCAGGAGATAATCAACTAAGAGCCAGGCACTCTTTTAAGTCTGATAAGACACATTTTATAACCTGCTCTCTCTGCAGTCCGCTGAGAGTTTCCTCCGCACAATAAAACTTAGTCTCCACATCCTTTATCTTTTTTTTTTTTTTTTTTTTTTTTTGAGACGGAGTCTCGCTCTGTCGCCCAGGCTGGAGTGCAGTGGCGGGATCTCGGCTCACTGCAAGCTCCGCCTCCCGGGTTCACGCCATTCTCCTGCCTCAGCCTCCCAAGTAGCTGGGACTACAGGCGCCCGCCACTACGCCCGGCTAATTTTTTGTATTTTTAGTAGAGACGGGGTTTCACCGTTTTAGCCAGGATGGTCTCGATCTCCTGACCTCGTGATCCGCCCGCCTCGGCCTCCCAAAGTGCTGGGATTACAGGCGTGAGCCACCGCGCCCGGCCCACATCCTTTATCTTAACCTAAACATTTCTTTTCTATTGATCCCAGATCTTCAGATAAACTCAATCAGTTGTCAACCAGAAAATGTTTAAATTTACCTATAGCCTGGAAGTCCCCCGCTTTGAGTTGTCCCGCCTTTCTGAACCAAACCAATGTATTTCTTAAATGTATTTGATTGATGTCTCATGCCTCCCAAAAATATATAAAACCAAGCTGTATCCCAACCACCTTGGGCACATGTTCCCAGGATCTCCTGAGGGCTGTGTCACTCATATTTGGCTCAGAATAAATCTCTTAAAATATTTTATAGAGTTTGACTCTTTTCATCAACATGAACATGAGTCATTCCCCATTGAACAATAATTACCGGTTACCTACTATGAATGTAACACTTTGTAATACACGCAAGGGAATATTGTTTTAAAGTCTCTGACCTTCTGGAGAATATAATCTAATTAGGAATATCATACATAACAGTAAATTTGATGCAGACATAAATGACTCTCCAGATGACTGGTACAACAAAAGTTGTATGGGAAATTCAAAGAAACTAGTGGGCTAAGGTTGTAAAAAGACAGAATTTTGGGCCGGGCACGGATTATAGCCTCACCCCTGTAATCCCAGCACTTTGGGAGGCCGAGGCGGGCAGATCACGAGGTCAAGAGATCGAGACCATCCTGGCCAACATGGTGAAACCCCATCTCTACTAAAAATACAAAAATTAGCCTGTAGTCCCAGCTACTCGGGAGGCTGAGGCAGGAGGATCGCTTGAACCTGGGAGGCGGAGGTTGCAGTGAGCCAAGATCACGCCACTGCACTCTGGCCTGGTGACAGAGTGAGACTCCGTCTCAAAAAACAAAAGACAATTTTGGCAAGGTCTGGTAGAATAAATGGAGCAGAAATTAAGTCATTCCAGATGTAGGACAAGAACATGATTAACAATCTGAATTTGGAATCAAGCGTTGATGTGCTGCAGAACTGCAAAAACAGAGGCCTAGATGGAGTGAAAAGAGAAAAAAAATATATTGTTGTTAAGAACTTGGAAGTCAGACAGATCCTGAATCTGCCATTTAGTGGTAGTGACATGACTGAACGTAAGATACATAATCTATTTATACCTCAGTTTCTCTTGTCTTTAAAATGGAGATAACAGTATTCATCATCATTGGGTGGCTGTTAAAATAACTCAATAAATATTTACTATTATGGGAAGAAAGGTTGGGTAAGAAGAAAAATCTAGGCAAAAGCTATAACATTTGCAAAGGCAAAGAAGACAGGGTGGCCAAATGTCTTGGGGAATTGCAAATGGTTTGATTTGCAGAACAAATGAAGAATGAGGTAACAGTGGAAGGCTGATTTCAGTGATGAATTAAACAACTTGAAGGGCTACTTAGAGGTTCAAGTAGCAAACTGTTAAAATCGGAGCCCTATTTCAAGATCGTTCTAGTAATAAAAGGCTGGATTGGGCATGAGTTATTAGGGTCAGAGAGTCTGTCAGAAAGCTCTCATAGTAATCCAAGGAGGAAGAAAAACCTAAACTAAATCATCAAGAGAGATGTAGATAAGGGGAGGGATGAGAGACCCAACTAAAAGGAAGAACATTCAAAAATCAACACAATACAGTGATTAGGTTGGGCAGCTGGAGAAGAGAGCTAGGGTTTCTGGCTTACCTCAAGGTGGTTGGCTATACCATTCACAGTAATGAGGAATGTAAGAAATCTCAGGTTGGTGTGAGATTATTCCTGTTTTGACCTTATTAAACCCAGGCTTGTGTGGAATGATTGCTGCTTGGGCCTTACTAACTTAGGTTAATTCATTATTAACCTTCATTTCTCAAGAGATTAATAATGAAAAATCTAGAGCTCAAGACAGATGTCAAGGCACAAGAAAAGATAGAGAAGTCAGTCAGTGTTAAGACAATGGAATAATAAGGTACTTAAGATTGTTCAGGCAGAATGTGTAACTTAAAGGCACAGAACATAATCTCAAAGAACTCCCAACATTAAGGAATATACAAAGGAGACTAAGGAACAGATAAGGGGAAAAAAATCAGGAGTCATTCACAGAAGCCACATGCTAAAGATGAAGTGGGAAGGAAAATGCCTATCAAATGGAGCAAAAAGATCAATATAAGGGTGAGTTCACTTGATCTGACAGAAAAGAATGGGAATTGTTCATTGAATATCTATTTTTCTATGCTTTGTGCTAAATGCTTTTTAACTGTCACTTTCCTTATTGCTCAAAACAAAATCTGTCAAATGGGTATTGAAATCCCTATTTTACAGACAAGGAAAGGTAAATGGCTTAGAAGATTTAAGCAATTGCAAGGTACAGCTTGTAAGTATAGGAGCCGTATCAGCCTACTCCTGAAACCCATACTCTTTCTACTGAATCTTTCAGACACAGGTGACAGTCAACAGAGTACAAACGATGTAATCTTGAGGTGAAAACCTGACCCTGACTGAAGCTGAAGATGATAAGAAAATATAAAGGACATACTGTTTCACAAAATTTGTTGTGAAAAGGAAAGACAACATGCCCTGGGGTTATTTTACACCACTGATACAGCAATTTGACAAAAATTTATAAAGCTATTGTCTGCAATTCTGTGCTTGAAACAAAGTGACATAACAAGCTTGAAAGGGATGTAAGGGGAGTTCAATCTTTTTCCACATTACCCTGGATAGAAAAGCTTGTGATATACAAACAGACAAGCTCCTATTAATACCACTTAAAGTACATAACAAGTTTATCTTTTAAGATTTTTTTAAAAACATTATAAAATCACCAAAAGGTGAAGGGTATATTTGCTTCAAGGTGTTTCTGATTTAAGATAGTGGATTGGCCCCATGAGTTTGTCTCTCCTCCATCCCACTATAGTAAAATGAAAGAAATTTTTAAAATATGAGAAAAATTATTGATAAGACTCATCATCTTAGATGAATCTCAGGGGCATTATGCTAAAGAAAAGAAGGCGTTTCAAAAGTTACATATGGCATTTATTCTATTTAGAACTTTCTAGAAGATAAAACTATGGGGATAGAAAACAAATTGTGGATTATGAGTGGGGGGAAGGGAGAATGACTACAAAGGGATAGTATAAGGAGTTATTTGGGGAGTGATGGTACTTTTCTTTATCTCTGGTGTTAAAACTCACAAAACTATGCTACCAGAACAGAAGTAAAATTTACCATATGATAATCTGAAAAACAATTTTAAAAAAGATATGAGCCCAAAATTTGAATAGAGAGGAGGCAGCAACAGACAAATGATTTCAACAAATTTGTGGAAAACTGAAAGCAGATGGAATATGACTGAGCTGAACAGAGAAAGCTGCAATCTAGAGGGACTACAAGGCGGATACCAGAGGGAAGCATGCTGATTGATTCCACAACCCCTGAGAAGCTCAGATTTGGAGGTGAAAGTTACAGCAAAGAGTGGAGGCAGGGACAGGCCTGAAAATGACTAGTTGAAAGCATATACAACAGAATGGCCTGATCCCCAAAGTCCTCTGCCCTACCCCTTAGCCATAAAAATATGATCTCTCACTTCCATCACTGTCTCTCACAGGTAGAACACCAGAGAATTTTTATCTGGAGAAATAAATGGGAGACAATTAAGTGGAAGAAATATGGGGAGGGACAGATACAAGGAAGTATGTGTGAAGTGGAAATCAGGAGGTGAGATGGAGGACAAGGAAGAAGCACAGTTAAAAGCAGTAAGTAAGAGAACCTCCCTAGACCCCTTGAAGCACTGCCCACAAACACAGAGCTTTCAAATAGTGTTTTGGAGTCTACTCATATATTGCCAAGACTAGCCAGAAATAACAGGAAATTCGCCTATATGAACAAGAGAAAAAACAAATTACAAATAGCAACAAATAAACTTTGGTGTTAATAGAGCAGTAAACAAAAGTAGTAATATATATTCATATATATATATCCTCAGAAAAATAAGATATCTATAAACTAAGTAGGATATTTTGGAAACAAAATAAAATGAAAGAAGTTCTAGAAATTAGAATATTTTTAGAAATGTGCTACAAATTCAATACAAGGAAGATAATGTTGCAAGAAAGTTATGTAAATGTTTTAAATAAGGCAATTATTAATTCCAGGAAAAATAAAATTATGCAAAAGAAAATCATATTACATTTGCCCTAGGGTATAAAATATTTATACAGTCATACTTAAATAACAGCTAATGCATTTACTAAATATTATGATATAACTACATAATAGAAGGCAAAGTATGTGTGTTAGAGAGCTAAATCATGTAACATCATGTAACAATAATGTCTAAAATTGTTATATCAAGCAACAGAATAGCCATACTATTTAGATACACTAAGGTAAAAGAAGAAACAACTTTTGGAGTCACAGTGATTGCCTCTGGGAGGGAAGGAAAGTTCAGGCAGGGACTACTATTTTTTATCATAAAGCCTTTAGAACTTACTATTTTATTTTTTAAAACTGTGTACATGTTACTTTGATAAATTTTATAGATATACAAAAGGAAATAAGGCCACCACGGTCTGATTTGTTTTTAGACAAGATATTTATTTTGAAGTTCCAAATGACATTAGCAGAATTGTGATTTTTATGTTTACTGAATGGTGCATGGGATAAAAAGGGGTTCTAAAACACTTTACTAGATCATCCAAACCCTACAATAGACACTTATGCATCAAAATTCTTGTAAAAGGACCACTTCCCTACTCCCTCCACCCTCCCCTCAAAATACCCATGTTCACAAAGAACAAAACCTTACAGCTTAACCAACAAAAAATGTGTCATACAATAATTCTAAGGCAATGGTTCTATGAAGACAGGAGAGGTAGCAGGCTGAACCGCATTCACTGACCCTATCTCTCAGCTGCTCCTCCTCACTAGTCAGGTTTTTCCTGTGTACCCCACTTCATTATTTCCATCATGCTTACCTCTCTGTTTACTGGACATTCCCCTTGATCTAATACCAAACTTAGCCAGTCTAACTGTAACTCAGATGATAATCTGACCACTTCCTGGTAAGAACAAATGGTTAATGTTGTCACAGTGATTAATAAATACAAATATGAATTAATTTAACAATGAATTACATTTTATCCCATCCAGGCATGAAGAAGTTAAAACCTGGACTCACTGACGCTGTGTTAAAATTTAGTGCTAAATGTAAGCAACAACACTGGAGCATTGTTATTTTATCAAGACACCTGAACATAGCAAAATTAATTTTGTTCATTTTTATTAACATAGGACATACTAACCAAATATTATCATTTAATAAAATCAACGTTACAAAGAAACTCACTAGCAAATAAACAAACGATATTCACTTGACTCTTCTCTTGGTTGAATGATTTTCTATTAATTAGTAGTACACAGCTATTTTTATCAATTTATGCTTAAACTGCCTTATGATTTCAATGAAATTTCTTAGCTTTTACTTGTTGAATAATTTTTTCAATTGGGAATCTTTTCATAATTCAAAATAGTTCCTGAAAATTAATGCATCCTTCAATGTCTTCTACTTAAGCTGGGTGCATTTAAAATGCAACACAATTCTTTGAAAGGAGACTATGACATTTGAGCATAAAGCCTATAAGAAAAAGAAATGTCTTCCCTCCCCCCATGCTTCACAGAGACTATACGAATGTTCCATACTCTTCATATTTAGCAACAGGAGTTCCTTAGAGATCAAACAGCAGAAAACAGGAGGAACTTAGGCCATCAATGGACTTGTAAAACAGATAAAACTCCAAATGTATTTTAAGATTCCATCTTCTCCACAGATGAGAAAGTGCTGAAAGGGCTCTTCAACTTTTCTTTAGCGACATCCTCTGTGCCCCAGTTAGAAAAAGAGTTGCAGGATGGTAGTCCTCCTTAAACAGCACAGACTCAATCTGGAAAGAGTGGCAGAAACCCCTCTCCCCCAACAATGTATCCCCGAAAATAAACTGCCAAGTGCAAGAGGGACAATCTTCAGAATAAATAATATTCTGAAGGACTGACAAAACAGACTATTTTTAGACAAAGAACACACCAAATACTCCGAAATTTCAGGATAACCATACATCAAGTACTTCGTGCAAGTAATATTTTTACCAGTTAAAAGTCATTATGAAACACACATTCTTTTAACTGAATTTCATATGTTATATAAAACTTGAAAAGTGTGGCACATTTCTACTATTAACCATTACATTGTTTTTTGTTTTTTAAAAAAAGTATATATTAATCAAAAGTATACATTACCCAGACCTTTTGATTTAAAATATAACTGAAGGAAAATATAAACTCTGAGTAAACAGGCATTCTTCTACACAAACATGAGTTATTTCAGTAAAAAAACAACAACAAAAAAGCAATTTCAATGTAATTAAGCCACCTCTGATTAATACATATTTTCATGCATGTGGAAAAATTATTTTTAACTAGAACTTTAAGAATAAGTTCCATAGCAAACAAGTTACAGCATTTATTCAATAAGGAATATTAAAATAATTCATTAGTAAAAAATAAAATAACTTCAACCATATACATATTATAATTTATCATGTACATACTCCAAAATCCCCATAATTTAATTAGGAAATTTATAGAACATCTTTTTAAAGTATGTCTTAGGAAAACCAACCAAAACAATTGGTGCCTTAACTAAAGAGAATGTGCATACACATTGCTATTTGACCTATATGCAAAAGTGGAATGAAATACATAGGAAATTAAGGTTACTGCTTTCAAAAATTTCTGGAATATTAGTACTTAAGTCAAAACACTTACCTGCAGAATAAAAACAGCCTGAGTATTTCCAAAGCTGAAGTAATTTTCTGAATGTTAAATATCACAAGAATGAAAACAGTCTCCATTAAGCACTTACATGTGGTTTACAGTTGAGGCAGAAGATGAAGGTCTGCCAAGCAGTTTTCCCATATCACCTGAATTCTTTCTTCCCTTATAAAGTATAAGCTTCAAGGGAAATGATTACATATAAAAACATTCCAAGTGAGTTGGGGTTCCTGACTGCAACATTCAACCAAACGGAAAGAGGAATTTTTTAATTCTCCTAAGCAGGACCTACCCAACCACTGCAGACATGAGCATTAATTCTTATGCCAGACAAGGTAAGCGTGTCCTTTGAAATCAAAGCTAAGCTTGACAAATAACTGTACTGGATAAACTGGATACATGAACCACCTCAACAAAGATGGTACTTTAAGCATTTATACACATGAAAATGATGAAGTGTATTATTTAGATATGGTCTTTCTTCATCTTTCTCTGAATCCTGAAAGGTTAGCAAGTCATTATACTCATACATCTTGTAATCCCTTTCTCCACAAAATACATACACATATACAGCTTCATATGTCAATATAATATCATCAACACAGCATAAAGATTTAAGCAGTAGACACAAGTCACATGAAAGAGGCTCTATGCATCATGTGGCCTGTCCGAATAAAAAGCAAACATTAGAATGCCATTTCAGCAGTTACAGTGTTGATATGATCAATATAGCTAATTTTTTTATACCCGTCATATATTTTTAGAAGTCATCCGTAGGGAAGAAGCAAACAACAAAGACTGCTTTTTTTTAGAAAAGTTATGTGCCAACTTCAAAATGACATACTAACCAGATATCAGCATTCGAAAGCTAGG
This sequence comes from Homo sapiens, assembly GCF_000001405.40. NCBI lineage: Eukaryota > Metazoa > Chordata > Mammalia > Primates > Hominidae > Homo > Homo sapiens. The sequence goes on from NC_000006.12 coordinate 75,256,047, forward strand.
TTGAATAGGACTGGCCTTGATGCACATGCAGATGATTTGCTTTCATAATATAAAATTAAATGGTAATGTCAGCTGTATTACTACTGTTTCTATATTTATGATTAATTACTAGCAGTACAACTCCCAGAAGGAAGGAGATGGATCCAACAGCGATGTAAGCAATCCCCAAAAATGGATTTTTTCCTCCCATCCATGAAATAGTGCTCAAGATCATCCGTTTTCGTCCATCAAAATAATGTACAGGGTAATCTGAAGAGGGTATAGGAAGATTTTTCCATCTCTGGTTACTTGATGTTTAAAATACAATTTTAAAAGTTGCCATTTAATTGTTGGTAATTCATTTGTGTAATTCTAGGATATACAGGTACCTCACTCCTACGTTCTAAATCACACACACACACACACAAAGTATTATCTTGAAAGACTGATTTAGCAAACTAAATGTTAGTAGTAAAAGCCAAAATATTTTACCAAAACAAATAAATGTAAAGGTTATGTAGTTTCTCAGGTGCTTTTGCTCTCATTACATGGAAGGGGCAAAAGGCCTCAAAGGAATGCAATGTGAAAAAAATACTTCAAGTGAACAATGAAGCCCACACAAGGAGACTGACAGACCAGGAGAAAATGGAAAAATCAGGAACTAGAAGTCTCCATGAGCTCAAAGAACACATGTATCAAGAGTGTAGTTATGAGACTATGAAAAGGCTCTGAGCAAAAGATCAAAAAGCATGGTAATAAAAAAGTTTTAACTTGCTGATTTGGAGCAATGGCAAAACTCACTCTGTGACACAGCTGATAGCTAACAGTGGCAGTGAAGGGTGGGCTGTTAAGGAGATTTAGGAAACAGGGCACCAGTGTACTAGATGAATTATCTACATGGACCAGTTGTAGAATTTTGCAAGAGGTAAGGCAGCAAAGAAGACAGAACCAAGTCTCCATGCAAAAAGTTTACAACTTTTTCAAAAGCATCTTTTGAATCTAGGGTTAGGCCCCATCTGTTTCTCTAGTTTCTTCAACTCTCCATCCCCACAGATGGGTCCCTATGGGTCCCTAACTCCCAATGGCAGGTTCAGTTCTGCTAACTTCTTAAATTAACCCTAAACTAAGGCAGGAATGATTTTAAGACCTCTAGCTAACCCAACATTCTGTGGGATACAGTATCAAATTACCCATGCTTGTCTCTCTCTAGTCTCCCAAACCTAAAGAAACAGGCTTCTGCCATCATTCTAGTCTTTAGTTCCCACCTTATGCCCAATTTTGATAATTAACCCTTGATGTTTTGCAGGTCCAAATTCCTGTCTTATCAAGTCTTCTCAATCTGCCATATATCATGCATTCCTTTAGATAGTTCTTTCAAACCTGGGACCCTGCTGCAGAATTCCTGTATGGAAATCATCTATCAACTAAAAATTCCTCAGTGCTTCACAGACTTCCCTTCATTGTGCCTTAGGCTACAGGTTGCTAAATTTGCCCTTACTCTCTAGAGATTTTCTGGATGCTAATTTTAACAGAGCTACTCTCTAGTTTGACTATCCCCTCAGGATAATGTTATTTCTACCAGCACTTGAAGTGGGTCTGTCTGTCCAAAACTGCTCCAATGTGGATTTAGTTTCAAAAACTTGGTCACTTTTAGCCTGCCATAGCAGGCCATATTTACTTGTGTATTCAGGTGCAACATCAAGAGAGTAGAATTCAAAAAAAACCTTATTTTGAAATTGGGTCTATTAATTTAACCATTTACTAATCCATTTTAAAACCAAAACCCATATGGATTATGACTCATTTGGATTATGGAAATAAAAATGCAAAGATCAGCAAACATTTACAATTCTAATATTGAGAGATCTCTTCACTCACAGTGTATGTAAAATATAGACTCCAGATTAAAAGATGCAAAGACTTTGGTTAGAATAAAAGAAATTACTGAGTATTTCCCTCCTAAAAAAGACTGCATCTATGCAGATATGGGTTGGTGTAACTGAGTGAACTAGCTAAGACGCAGGCTATGTTGGTAGCTGAGAGTAAAATTATGGCCTTTGGAGTCAACAGCCTGGTTATGAACCTCAACTCTTTATTATTACCTGTGTAAAGTCAGCTAAGTTACTTAAGTGCTCGATATTCCTGTATTCTGGTCTGTAATAGGGAGATATGCTGCTGCCTGAATTAAGTAATGAGCGGAAAATACTCAGCACAGTGTTAACACATAGTTAGAGTGGAATAAATGTATTTATCAGCACTGAATGTGAACTTATTAATATGGAACAATATAGCTAATAATAAAATGTTTTGATACTACCAATAGATCAAAATCATGAACAATTACATTGATACAAATTAACACATCCGTTGATTTTTAATATCTAAAATATATATATTAAAACAGCCCAGTACCACTCAACACCCAATTTTAGGTACTCTCATTGGCCTTTACATTAAGCCCAATTACAATCTCCCTTGTAAAAATACCTAGCTTGTTAATAAAACAAGCACCTATATTTTAAGTAATTTTACCAAACAATATGCTTCAAACCCCAGTACCAAGTATATGCGAATTCAAAACATTTCTAGAAGACGTAAATTTAAAAATACATTCTCACATATACCACACATACTTTTGTAAAAATGCAGAGACCAAAACTAAAGCACAAGGTAACATGCCACATAACAGATATAAGGTTGGACTCGACTCCTTTCAAGCTCTATGAATCTGTATACCCAGCCAAAAAAGGATACTGTATGTGACATTCAAAGAGTATCGGCCAGCTGGTAATGTTGGATGTAAATCACTTTTCCTTTCTATAAGACGATACAACTTGCGAAAAGTAGGTAATGCTGCAGTACGCATCCAAACAATAAAATCCTCATTTATGAATCCATTATTATCTGGGTCAGAATCCAGCATGTAAACTGGTTTAAGCCAGTTCACAGGCTTTGTTGTACCTTAAAAGGAGTGGGGAGGGGATAAGGAGACAAAATATTACATTGTGAAATTAAAGTGGCGGAGAAACGAATAAATTTGGATAATAAATAGGGGTTTATTCAAAAGAAGCTTTGCTGCAATTTTAAAATATTATAGCTGAAATGCTTATAAGACATCACAGAAACTGAATTCATAATTAAAAGTATACATTTCCTTTAGAATTTTAGTACATTAGAACATTTACCTAACTTGGTATGAAGCTGAGGAAAGAAAAATTGTGTTTTTCAAAGCATAACTTTAAGATTCTGAAGATAGAAAATTTAAAATACTTCATTAAAACTCCTAGTTTAATTTTTTAAGGGATATTAGTAATGTTTTACCTTTAAATCGTTCTTCCAGGTTGTCTCCTCCAGGGGGATTTCTGAATTTCACATTTTTATCTGTCCACCAAGCAATACCTTTCTTTTTCAAAGCGATAGGTATAGGATAAGAATCATTGCCAATGAGAAACAATTCTAATGTATCTAAACACAAGCAAAGAAAGACATTACTAACTATCTCTTGAAAACTCATAGCATCTGCTTAACTCTATGAGAAATAAGGACCTGATATTTGTTTCCAAAAGTGGTTGTGACAGAGTAGGCATATGATTCACATTTGTTCTTTATTCCTATGTGGATTAACTATGGTAACTTTATAATTCTAGATGGACTTCTCTTCCTTTAACAGAGTTCTAATTCAGTTACCCATAGGCTAGCTGACATGCAGTAAGATCAAATGTTTTAATATTAACCCAACTATAATTGCAAGGTAAATCTGCATTTCCTTCCTTCCAATAATGCATCCCCAATAGCTTCTTGCTTATCCATTTCTGTTTGCATTGTCTCATACAACAGCCACTAGGCACACAGGGCTACTGAGTCTTTCATATGTGGTTGGTCCAAATGAGTATGTTCTATAAGTGTACAATACACATCAGATATCAAAGACTTAGTATAAAAAATTAGAATATGAAGTATCTCAACTTTTATATAGTATTATATGCCGAAATAACAGTATCTTGGATATACTGTTACATAAAACATATTGCTAAAATTAATTTCACTTGTTTCTTTTCATAGTTTTAAATATGACTATTAGAAAATTTAAAATTACCAGGCCAGGCGCAGTGGCTCACGCCTGTAATCCCAGCAACTTGGGAGGCCGAAGTGGGCGGATCACGAGGTCAGGAATACAAGACCAGCCTGACCAATATGGTGAAACCCCGTCTCTACTAAAAATACAAAAAAAATAGCCAGGCGTGGTTGCGGGCGCCTGTAATCCCAGTTACAGGGGAAGCTGAGGCAAGAGAAATGCTTGAACCCAGGGAGCAGAGGTTGCAGTGAGCCGACGTCGCGCCACTGCACTCCAGCCTGGGCGACAGAATGACGCTCCATCTCAAAAAAAGAAAAAGGAAAAAAAAAAAAAGACAGAAAATGTAAAATTACCTACAGGACTTGTATTTATAGCTCACATTATATTTCTATCAGATAGTGCTGCTCTAAATGATCAACTATAGCTCCTTTTCAATGATAAAAATGAAGTCAGTGGGAAGGTCAGCCTGACTTTTATTTTTATATGAAATAAGATTAGCAGAATGTTTCTGCTTCTTTCTTCTCAGAGACAGAAATCCACTCTAAAATGTAAGTATGCTCAAAAGAAAATCACAAATCATTATAATACCCCATTCAATACTCGATTTAGTCTTAAATGTTTGAGTTTCTCAATTTCATTCATGTTTACTAAACTATCAAATCTGTAATGAAATTATGCAAATTGTCCTAATTATATATGTCTATATTTGTATCTATATCATACCATTAAACATGCTGTTGGCAATAGCTCCACAAGGAGCAATTGGTTTGTCTTCATTTCTTCGATAAGGTTCACATTCCTTACTGGGATTCTGGTTTTTACAAGGAAAAGAAGAGAGAAATTATTATCCAGGCCTTTGGGAGAACTATGAGCTATCCCTAAATTACTGATTAAGAATTCAACACCTATATTTTTCTCACTTATAATACACAGGTCTGTAATGTAAGTAGGCTATAGATAACACCACATTTAAATATTCAAAATGTATTCTGAACATTACTGCCTTACCTTTTTAATATAACCTTTACTTGCATATGTTTTGTCATATATGCATATATCAAATAAACATCTTTTTGATTTTCTTATCACAGAAACATTACCACAAAGGGTTTTCTGCCCAAGAAAAATTAAGAAATGGTCTATTGCCAATCCAGTTGTGATATAACAAGAAAATCTTAAACTGGAACTAAAGAGGCTAGAGGTTCTAGTTCCTTGGGCAATTCCTTTAATTTAACTGGGCCTCACAAAATAAACATGTCCAACTATACAATCTGAAATTTTGTGATTTGGGGTTAAATCCTATATCTAAGAAAGGAAGGAAGGAGTCTAGTGCAGATTCCTAGAATATATCAATCTTTAAACTGTGCATCCAGGTACAAGAAAAACAAAAATGCTGACAAGGCAGAACATTTGCCTGTGGTCCAGATTTTGGTTTTGACTTACTCCCTACTGAGGATCTTAAAGAGGTGTGGCAGTTATGGGATTCAACTAGAGATCATATCAAGTCTGAGGTTAGGGGTCTGTCTGAGCTGGGACCCTCCCGCCACATTAAGCCATGTCTCAAAACACATAAACATACCAAGATAATCTCAATTTGAAATTAAGAGGACCCTAATTAGACCTCTTAGGACTATTTCATTACCAGCTAACCTTGACTTGTATCTATATTCTCCATGTCTAGATTGGATAAAAGCACTTGTGTGAATGGAAAAGATAAGGCTAAGGAAGTCTGTGGTAGGTATCTCATAAAGTCTCTTCAATATTTGACTTCTCAGCTTTTTGGTCCCTACACCATCTGTATTGATAAAGCTATTAACAATAGGGCAAATATATCTGCTAGCCACTAAATTCTTAAGGAAGTTTTAAAAGAAAGGAAAATAGTATTTACTATCTATGTGTCAGGTACTAAACTAAGCAATGCTAGGTACTTTGCATTAACTGGCTTACAAAAGCTATTTGATGAGGGCCGGGTGCGGTGGCTCATGCCCCTAATTTCAGCACTTTGGGAGGCCAAGGTGGGAGGATCCCTTGAGTCCAGGTGTTCGAGATAAGCCTGGGCAACATGGCGAAATCCCATCTCTACAAAAATACAAAAAATTAGCCAGGCATGGTGGCGTGCACCTTTAGTCCCAACTACTTAGGAGGGTGAGGTGGGTGGTTTGCTTGAGTCCAGGAAGCAAAGGTTGCAGTGAGCAGAGATCGTGCCACTGCACTCCAGCCTGGGTGACAAAGTCAACCCTGTCTCAGAAAAAAACAAAAACAAGCCGGGCACAGTGGTTCACGCCTGTAATCCTAGCACTTTGGGAGGCCGAGGCTGGTGGATCACGAGGTCAGGAGTTCAAGACCAGCCTGCCTAAGATGGTGAAACCACGTCTCTACTAAAAATACAAAAATTAGCCGGGCATGGTGGTGGGGGCCTATAATCCCAGCTACTCAGGAGGCTGAGGCACAGAATTGCTTGAACCGGGGAGGCAGAAGTTGCAGTGAGCCGAGATCGCACCACTGCACTCCAGCCTGGGCGACAGAGTGGTGAGACTCCGTCTCAAAAAAAAAAACAACAAACAACAACAACAAAAAAAAACAAAGCTATTTGATGAGTACCTAATATGCAGCATGTACAATACTAGGTGCTAAAAACAGAAAAACGAAAAGAATACAATCCCTATTTTTAAGCAACTCAAAATGTAACAGGGGAAGCAGACCCTTACAAAACCAACTATCATACGAAATAAGAGCCATGATGAAGATGTCTACATTCATTCAGCAAATATTTATTAAATGCCTTCCATGTGCAAGCACGAGCCAGGCACTTGGTAAACAGTGATTAAAGAAAGTCATGCTCCCTGCCTTCATGAGCTTACAGTATAGCTGGAAAGAAAGATAACAGATAAGCAAATATGTAATTACAAATTACAGTAAGTGTTATGAAGAGGCTATGTGAGTATTTAATGGAAAAAGGATAGGAGGAGCTGCTTTAGAATCTATGGTAATGAAAAGTTTGACTCTGGAGGAGGTATCATTTAAGTTAAGACATAAAAAAAAGACCAGGAGCCAGCCATGTAAAGAGAAGACAGAAGAGAGTTTTAAGCAAAGAGAACACCACATGCCACTAAACAAGAACTTATTTCTGTGAAGGTAATGGTGAATGTAGCTGGAGCATGCCAAGAGGGAGGATGATATGTGATGAGATAAGAGGATTACGCATAGCTCAGATCATCCTGAGATTTTACTACAAGTGCTAATATGACCACTGAAAGATTTTAGGTAGGGAAGTGATATTTATACTTTTTAAAAACTTCACTATAGCTGCTATGAGAATGGCCTGGAAAGGAGCAGGATTGGATGATGTGAGACACAATTTGTTCATCCAAGCAAAAAGTGGTAGTGACTTGGAACAAAAAAATAAATGAAGTAAATATGTAAAGAAGCACATTTTTGCATGGAAGGGCACTTAGAAAAAATAGCAGGCCTTGAGATGAGAAGACCTCCAGGGAAACAGTAAAAATGACATTCTAAGCAAATAAAATGCTAACTGGCAAAATGAGCAGATTACTTGTGTCACAATGCATGGTTAGGGAGCAGCAAACAAGGCCCAGGGCAGCCAGGCCTTGTTTAATGTATTAAAAATAGTATATAAGATAATAAGGCTGATGCCAGATTGTACAGGGCCTTACACATAATATCTGACCCTTTACAGAAAAAGTTGATCTATTCCTGGTGTGGCCTGAAATCTTTGCTTACAGTTTGGAAGAAAAGAATCAGTTTCAGTTTTCTTTACCCTCAGTGAACACAGCACATATATAAATAAAATAATTGTAAATCAGCCACCATTTCTGGGGTTTTGGAACACACACTATCTATAATCCCTAAAAAACACATTCAGAAAGGTCTAGAAACTTGGTGTATCTCACAGTACAACATCTTCTCTGGATTTGAGTGCTAAAAATTGGATCCTATGGAATAAACCCCACATAGATTCAAAATATCATAGGCCTAACCAGAACCCTGTGTATACCAAGGAATCTTTAAGTAGACTTGTATTGCTTAAAATCCCACACATCAGCAACTGATGATCAGCAATAAAACCAATCAAGATAACCTAGAGCAGTTATATTTTACATTTCGGAGGCCCATGCTGCTCACAACATAGTCCTAAATTGTATTCTAAGAGATTCATTAATTCTAAGAAATCCTAAATTGCTCTGGGCCTCTGAATGTTTGCTGCATTGGCAACAGTAACATAAAATACTTAGGGCCGGACACGGTGGCTCAAGCCTGTAATCCCAGCACTTTGGAAGGCCGAGGAGGGCAGATCACCTGAAGTCCAGAATTTGAGACCAGTCTGGCCAGCGTGGCGAAACCCCGTCTCTACTAAAAATACAAAAATTAGCCGGGCTTGGTGATGCGCACCTGTAATCCCAGATACTCGGGAGACTGAGGCAGGAGAATCACTTGAACCCAGGAGGTGGAGGCTGCAGTGAGCCGAGGTCGCGCCACTGCACTCCAGTCTGGGCAATAGAGTGAGACTCTGTCTCAAAAAAATAAAATAAAATAAAAAATAAAAAAAAATACATAGGCACTAACCACTAATATGGAAAACTGAAGAACAGTAAAGAAACTAAGATCCCCTAGTCCACAGATTTCCAAACCAGTCTGGGCATCAATGCATCTGTGTGAATTCCAGGAAAAAATATTTTAACTAAAAATCCTCATGATACAGGCCAGGCATGGTGGCTCATGCCTGTAATCCCAGCACTGTGGGAGGCCGAGGTGGGCAGATCATGAGGTCAGGAGTTTGAAAGCAGACTGGCCAACATGTTGAAACCCCATCTCTACTAAAAATACAAAAATTAGCTGGGTGTGGTGGTATACACCTGTAATCCCAGCTACTCGGGAGACTGAGGCAAAATTGCTTGAACCTGGGGGGTGGAGGTTGCAGTGAGCTGAGACTGTGCCACTGCACTCCAGCCTGGGCGACAAAGTGAGACTCCATCTCGGGGGGAAAAAAATCCTCACTATACAAACTATAAATGACAACACTTTAATTTCATCCTAACAATTCTAACTGAACAGTTACTACATATTCTTATTTTACAGATATCATATTTTCATATTTATCATTTTACTTACAAGCAAAGCACTAGAATCTCCATTTAGTTGACTATCATCTCGAGATTTCACGTAACGACGATGGTTTTGATAGAAATTAGACAGTCCATAATACATAAACACGTTGCCCTAGAGAAACAGAGAGGGAAAAAATTTTCATATAAAAACTATTCTGTATAAACTTATTTCATGTGTACATAAAAGCTACGTAATTTGGACTTTTATTAGTTTACAATTTGTGATAGGTAGTGGGGTAAATTCCACCAGTACTTAGCAATCTAAAATGGCACAACTGTAAATAAGGCTAGAGAAGGTATGTTACAAAAAGCCACAAGTAAACTTTAAAACTATCCTTAAAGACGTCAAAAAAGTACTATTTACATTAAAAGAGAATATTCAAGGAATCTATTAGCCTACTCTGAGCTACCTTCAATTTAAAATTTTCTCTAATTCAAACTGGTCTTCACCCAGTTAGCATCGACTTTTCACAGGGATAATGGTCAAACTTGTTTCTTTTTTTTTTCTCCCAGAGACTAGAGTCTTGCTATGTTGCCCAGGCTGGCCCTTAATTCCTGGGCTTGAGCCGTTCTACCGCCTCTATCCCTAGACACTGGGAGGTGTGCACTACAGGTCTGTAGCACCACGTGCAGTTGAAACTTTCATTTTTTTTGTCCAAGTGAATTCTGAACTTGAATTGGGATATAATAAATTCCTCAAGAGGACACTATATAATATTATGAGTTAATAAACTACTAATTAGTAGAGTCTCTATGATAATAAGCCACTTTATAATAATCAAGAAAAGTACTTTAATATATTTAATAGCGCCAACTTTGAAATAACCTGGGAAAGAAGGGTAACCTATAAACATTACAATTATTTAGAAGATGCTAAGAAGCCATCTTAAATGATTAAAATTTTTAGAGGTAGCAAACATTAAGGTATTTTCTCCTTTCTGGTTGCTACCTCTATTTTCTATATTCTTATCCTTAATTAAAAGTAATTCAGTAACATTATAAGTAGACTTCATTTGATTTGCTATTTTTATATACACTATCATTTATTTAATGCTTGACTTTCAAATGTCAAACCATGCAAATTTTCCCATTCTATATAAAGAAAATGTTTACATGGAAACCTTCTTGTGGAAGAGAGGGAATATCAAAATTACATCACAGAAATTGAGAAAATGAATATTCTTTTTTAAAAGGAAATATTACCTCGAGATTCAGTACAGTAAATTCAATTTGTAAACTGAAAAAGAGATTATTTGAATGAACACTGAGATAAAATAACCTACTTGAAGTTCCCTGAAGAGTTTAGTCCAATTCAAAGTTTGAGCTTGTGAAGAAACACAGAGTCCACAAGAGAATGAATTTGAGGTTGACTGCCTTTGCAAAAAACAAGTTCTGAAGTGTTTTTTGAATGGGAGAGAAAATTAATAGAGCTTCTATATCACTACTAGTCTCTCGTTTCTTCAATTCTGCCTGTTCTGACAAAAGCAGAATTTATTGTATCTTTATTGTCTGCCCATCACACTGAAAAATCATGGACTTGTAAAGATACTTTAAATGTATATTCTGTTTCTGCTGAAACAAAGTTAAATAATTACATTTGTCTTCTACAAAATTTGTTTTCATGTATTATTCAAAAGCAGCATGATCCTGTCCTTTATGTCAGTGCAAGAGCATCTATAACCACTAGATGGCAACCAACTATTAGGGACTATTAAAGTCATCACTACCTTTAGAAAATCTTAAGTTCAGAAAATCTAAAAAGTTGGCATGTATTAACGCAGTTTTGCTCCCTTAAGAATAATTATTTTAAGCTCAATTTTCAGGCACAGGAGAATACAGAGTGGTCTTTACATGCCTATTCTGAATCTTTATGTCCGTTAGCATGTATTCAGAATGGCAGTGTAAATGCAAACAGATGGATTTCTAACTACTTATAAAAACATAAATGATCAGTAAGGTTTTAATAAGTGTTTGCATTTTTTATAATGCTTCATATGTCATAAAAATAATTCAATTAAGTAATGGGAGAATTATTTATTTTCTAAAGTAAAGCTTGCTTTAGTATCGTAAGTATGCACAACAATTTGAGCAATAATTTTAAAAATACAAGTATATAAAACTTGATAAAAAATTGATTCGTACAGTCATAACATTATCTGTTGAAAGGATAAAATACAATATCTTAAATTTTGTCTACAAAGTACTAACTAAACCATTCAAATAAATGTATTTAATTACCAGACAGCAAAATCCAACAGCCAAACACACAAAACGATCTTCCTCAAAAGCCTATAAACTCCAGTAAATTATACAGACTTCTCTATAAAAGGAAAATACCTTGTAAAAGACATTTAGTACAGTATCAGTATTTTTTAAAGCATGGCTTTTCTAGCACATTACTTGGAAACACAGACCTCAAATGACTTTTCCAGTGTGAAGTTAATGGTACAAAAGCAAGGTGTCACATCCGGAGATAAACATTTATTACAGGGACTGGAAGGCTCTGTTCCGGTATAATCAATCTGCAAGAGAAAAATATAACTAAGCACTTCCTTAGAGAAAGTGGATACCTAAAACACTCTGAAACGACTTGCTATTAAAAGGAAAATTAAGTCCAATGAAATGACCTAGAGCTCAGACAAAAACTGTTTTTAAGGTCATCTGTTTGACAGTGTGAGGTAGTAAAAACTGGAAAGGGTCCTCTGTTGTTCTACTGGCTGATCTTTCCAAGTAAAGTCCTCTCTTCTTTTTATCAAAGAAATATATTTATGCATAAAATCATACATACAAAATTCAAAACTGCATATTTACATAGCTAAAACATCTAAACTATTAAAATACTAGATTAACAGAGATCAATAAATCAGTTTTTCCTCTTAAATCTTTCAATCTTAAATACTTTTCAGTCACCTCAGCTTTCCATTATATACTTTTGAAAAAAATTAGGTTACCAAGAGCTACTGTTTTTTCAACACCTGGTGCTGAATTTGTCTTTGTCTTGGGTTCCCGGCAAGGAGCTTTATGCTTGGAATTTCCCAGGTGACAGAAGTATCTTTGTTATTCATAAGCCCCTTGATTCACACCAGAGTTTATGTTAGTTAACAAGATGACTCAGGATAGCAGCTAGTCACCAGAAAGACTAATTGTGTGATTGCGGACCTTTGGCCCAGCCCAATCTCTTAGGAGGAAAGTGGGGCTAAAAATTTAGTTCAATCAATTAGTCAGTGTTCAATCAATCAAGCCTACATCATGAAGTCCCAATAGAAACTCTAGACACTGAAGTGAAGGACAGCTTTCTGGTTGGTGAATCCACTAATGTGCTGGGAGGGTAATGTGCTCTAAGTATACAGGGAGAGGGCATAAAAGCTCTGCATTCAGGACTGTTCGAGACCTTGCTATATGTGTCTTCTAGGACCCCCTCTGAATATATAGCCAGTTGGTCAGAAATATGGGTGACCTGGAGATCCCTGAACTTGCAAATGGCATCTGAAGTGAGGGAAATCTTATGGCGAGGTAGTGAGAATGGTCTTGGGAACTCCCTGGATTTGGAGCCAGTTGACAAGAAGTATGAGTGGCCTGGGAACTTGAATTGCAGCTGGTGTCTGAAGTGGGGGCAGTCTTGTTGGGGACCATGCCCTTGAACCTGTGGAGTCTGACACTATTTCAGGATGGTTAGTGCCAGAATTGAATTGCAGTATACTGGTTGATGTCAGAAGATCTGGCCTGATCGCTAAATTGAAAGGCTTTTTTTTCCACCATAAACATTTTTAAATAGACTAATTTTTATAGTTTAAGGTTCACAGCAAAACTGAACAAAGTACAGAGTTCCCATATACTCTCTGCCTCTGACACACACACACAACTTCCCCCACTATCAACATCTCACACCACAGTGGTACATTTGCTATAATCGACGAACCTACACTGACACATCACCATCACCCAAAGCCCACAGTTCACACTAGGGTTCACACTTGGTGTATATTCTATGGGTTTTGACAAACGTATAATGAGTATCCACCATTATGTTATCATACGGAATAGTCTCTCTGCCCTAAAAAACCTCTGTACTCTATATCCCTCTCTCTGCTAACCCCTGGAAAGGACTGATCTTTTTACTGTCCTCATAGTTTTGTACTTTCCAGAATGTTATATATGAAATCATACCATATGTACCCTTTTCAGATTGGTTTCTTTCACTTAGTAATACTCACTTAAGATTTTAAATGTCTTTTCATGGGTTCATAGTTCATTTATTTTTAGCAATAAATAATATCCACTGTGTGGATGTGCCACAGTTTATTGATTTGTTCACCTACTGAAGGACATCTTGGTTGCTTCCAAGTTATTGAAATTATGAATAAAGCTGTTAAACATCCATGTGCAGGTTTTTGTGTGGACATTAGTTTTCAACCCACTTGGCTAAATACAAGGTATGCAATTGCTGGATCATAGAGTAAGAGTATGTTTGCTTTTTCTTTTTTTTTTGAGACGGAGTCTCACTCTATCACCAGGCAGAGCGCAGTGGCACAATCTCGGCTCACTGCAACCTCCGCCTCCTGGGTTCAAGTGATTCTCCTGCCTCAGCCTTCCAAGTAGCTGGGACTACAGGAGTGCACCACCATGCCCAGCTAATTTTTGTATTTTTAGTAGAGGCGGGGTTTCACCATGTTGGCTAGGATGGTGTCTATCTCTTGACCTCATGATCCGCCCACCTTGGCCTCCCAAAGTGCTGGGATTACAGGCATGAGCCACCGCGCCCGGCCCCATTATTTCTCTTAAATTCTTATTTTGGTCTTGATCTCCTGACCTCGTGATCCACCTGCCTTGGCCTCCCAAAGTGCTGAGATTACAGGTGTAAGTCACTGCGCCCAGCTGAGTATGTTTACTTTTGTAAGAAACTGCCAAACTGACTTCCAAAGGAGCTATACCATTTTGCATTCCATCATAATTCCTATTGCTCCACATCCTCCCTTAGCATTTGGTGGTGTCAGTTTTGGATTTTCACCATCCTACTAGGTATGTGGTAATATGTCATTGTTGTTGTAATTTGTAATTCTCTATTGATATATGATGTTGAGCATTTTTATATGCTTACTTGCCACCTGAATGTTATGAACTGAATGTTTGTGTCCCCCTAAATGTCCTATGTTGAAGCTCTATCCCCCAGTATGATGGTATCTGGAGAAGGGGCCTTTGGGAGGTAATCAGATTTAGGTGAGGTCATGAGGGTGGAGCTCCTATGATGGGATTAGTGTCCTTATAAGATGAGGAAAAAAGACCACAGCTCTCTCAATCTCTATCATCTGAGGACAAAGGAAGATGGCAGCCATCTACAAGCCTGTAAAGGGACCTCACTAGGAGCTGAATCTACCAGTACCTTGACCTTGGACTTCCCAGCCTCCAGAACTACAAGAAATAAACATTGGTTGTTTAACCCAACCAATGGAAGGTATCACCCAGCTGATTAAGACACCGTAGTACTCCTTGGTAAGGTGTAACATTTAGTGGCTTTTTAAAAGTCATACATTTGCTTAACAAAACTTGGTTTTGTCAAATTCCAGTATAACCTCCTATAGAAACAGTTTTCATCAAAGCTTATTTGTTTACTGATGAAATTGTTTAGAGAAACTTTTCTTTCACTGCATAATTAAAGAAGAGCTAGTCACATAACTAAAACAAACTGAAAACACAGGTCTCCCAAACGAAGAGAGGCAAAGCCTATGTAATCTTTCATTAGACCTGTTGGGCCACAACTTTGCACCTGGGGCCTTTTCATGCACAATATTCCACTTAAATACCAAGTTTTATGATGTTGGAGAGATGAAAGAAAAGACCATTCAGAAAAACAAACTATATTTTAAAATCTCTGTACATTTTCTCCCTCTTAAGACTAATCTAAGCATTAAAAAAAAAGTTGCCAGCTGAACTTATTCCCATATTATACGCTTTTGAACAGAAACCTCTCAAATCACTGTTTAGAATTAGTTTCTAGGGGCAAAATCTGCAAGAGAAATCATATTCTTTTTTTAACTGAACAAAAATAATCTGATGGAATTTGAAATCTAATAAATTATGCTACAGTATAAAATATAACAATATAACATTTTATTGGAACCAAGAGTAATCACTGAATATTAAATTACACATGAACAAAATGAAAGATAGCTATAACATCTTCATCACAATCTGATTATGATTTTTTAAATGTATTAAAAAATTACATGTCTTTTGATGCCATGAAAATCTGAAAGGACTATTTAAAAAAATCATTATCATTAATATATTAAGCCTATGTGTAAGGCATGACATTAGATACAAGATACACACAAAAGCAATCATACGTTATACAGTTTACACAGCCTGTTCCTTCACATACATATTTCATCTGACCCTCACCAAAATTCTATAGCATTATCTCCATTTTATATAAAAAGAACACATTCAGAAACTTGTCCAAGGTCACACAAGTAGTAATAGCTAGTGCTAAGCTGGAACCAAGGATTTCTGACTCCAAGCCTCATGTTTCTTCTACTAAACCATTTTTTCCCCCAAAATAGTCAGTCCCCTTTGCCCTCTAGCAGACTACTTTATCAAAGATAACATATAAATACCAAGAAAACTACCTTAAATTCTAAGTGCCAAACTAGATGGCATAGAGGAATAATAGATGGACCAACACTTCTTTCTTACTGAGAAGCAGCAAAGATTTGAACAGAGCCATAAAAGAAAGATGGAAAAGAGAGAAAGAGGTGGCATATGGAGAAGACAGAGGTGGAAATCACAAGGTATATTTAAGGACAATAGCATACACATTTTGTATTTATGGAGTTTTCATGTTGGAAGGAAATGAGGCAGCTAAGAAGGTAAACTGGACCCAAAACTATATACTGTATTTCACTGACTACTGTTTATTGAATGTATACTAAGTGCTGGGCATTGTAAGTACTTAATACACATGTAGAAAGTAGAAAAGCTCCTCTTCAAAGCTCATCTTGGTTTAAAAATAAAACAATAGACACTAGAAATAATAACTTCTTACTCTAAAGCCTCCTATCAACTATTAGTTCTTACACTTTAGCCCAGTTAGTTGCTTCGGCTTACTCAGGCATGCCTGGACAAGCCCAAGCAAGTCCTAGCTCATAGCTTATGCCCCTTCCTTATTTGGAAATGTTATTGCTTCCTTAAACCTTTCATAAGCAACTTCCTCTCCTTCTTTGTTCTCCCTTGCACTTACCTATTTAGGAAAGTTTTAGGTTATTAGCAAATCGGGTATCAGTTTAAAACTGTGAGGTCCAGCTCCAGCCAATGGATGCAGGATACGACAGTAAGGATGATCCAAATGCATAAGGGATAAATATGTTGCTTTTCCTTTGTTCAAGTGTGCTCTCACCATTGTTCCATCTTCAAGGAGCGCCCTTTCTGCAGAAAGTAAAGACTGCGTTTCTGAGAGGTCCTCTGTCTCTATGCTGACTTTTCTTCATGGCACTGATTATCTAACACACATCATCTCATTTTAAAAATACAATTACCCTGGCAATTGCTGGAATTGTTTCCAAGTTTTGTGGAACTGTCCATTGTGAGTTTTGGAAGGATGCAGGGCTCCACCTCCCACTTCAGAAACCAAAGGGAGAGATGGGTTCTTCCTCTCCATAAACCCATGGTAGCCAGTGTAAAGGTACAAGAGCTAGACTCAGCAATCAGACACTCCCACATAGACCAGTGAATCCTGGGAAACAAAGAGTGGATGTGATTAAATGAGCAGTCACAGTAGTAGTCTAGCAAGAGAAATTCAACAGCAGCTGTGGCATCTGGATCAGACTGTTTATACTTTCAAAACTCCCTTACTTCCCACTTGTCTCCAAACCTGACTCTCTGTACGTCCCATCCATTTTGTGTGAGAGTTACCCAATCCTCCTTTAATACTTTCTTTCCTGTCTAAGCTAGCCAGAGCTGGTTACTGCTGCTGACAATAAAGCCTCAGCAAGCTAAGTAACCGAGTGTTAAAATGTCCGGCAGGAAATAAGGAACTGAAGAGTTTTGAGGAGAACAACATAATCAAATATTTGCATATAAACAGATAGGAAATAGGACTTTCATTTCTTTCTGACTGCCCATCATGACGTAATCATTCATTCACCTAACATTTATGAATGCCTCTATGGTCCCAGCAATGAGGATTCAGCCTAGCACCTGACCTCCTGGAGTTCAGTATCTAACACAGAAAACAACATTAAAATAGAATGGATATTTTTATTAAAAAAAAAAAAAAAGTATAGGTGGTATGGCAATACAAGCTAGTCTAGTAGTCAGCAAATTTCTCCATGAAAGCTGCCGAGTAGATGTTATCTACAGGGAGAGAGTACAAAGAGAGACTACATCCCTGACTGGGGGCTTGGAACATGATATAGTTTTGATATTTGTCTCTCTTTGCTGCAGCATTTGCCAAATAACCTGTTTGTTAAATTTTCAGCACTCTCTAGATTACTCTTCAATAGGCAAATTTGTTTTGCCTTTAGATATGGATGGATATCACAGTTATACAAGTTTGATTTATAGTATATAATATTTTCCTTGGGTAATTTCAAGAACTCCTTCAGACCCATAATACCATTCAGATGACCAAAAAACTCTCAACAAACTGTGTTAAGATGTCTTGATGGTACTGACTGAGTTTCATTCACTCATTCAAACCTGAGTCCCTATTAGGTGCTAGGCACTGTCTACAGGATGAGAATACAAAATGGAAAAATACATTGTTCATGCTACAAAAGAATTTACAGACAAGTGGGATAGAAAGTCACATTTATGAATAATTACAGGATAATATAATTTTAAGGCAGGCTGTAAGCTAGTACTTCTGGAAACTGAGAGAAGCATATATACCAGGTGGAAAAAGGAGAATCAAGGAAGACTTTCCATGTTAATAGGAACTGCATGTGAAAATGTGATAGAATAAGAAAAGGAAGGTCATTTCAGGTAAACTATTAGCATGTCACATTCCAGAAACTATAGTAGTTTGCCATGACTAGAGCATAAGGTAGGGGAGTGGTAGGAGATGTGGCTAGAAAAGCAGAAAGTAGCCTATCATGAAGAAAATTACACTCTATGTAAAGGGGTTTGAACAGTATCCTGAATGCTAGACAGAAACAGCCATAAGAGAAATTTTAAATAAAAGAAGGAAACATTAAAACTAGCCTCTCAAAAAGAATCACTGTGGCACCAATGTGCAGAGAGATTAAAGAGAATGCCAGACAGAATGCCACCACAATAATCCAGGTGAAAAATGTTGAGAACTTAAACTAATAAAGTGGCAGCAGGAATACAAAAGACAGATTCACAAAAGAAAGAGAAGGTAGAATCTACAGAACTTAGTGCCTAGAGATGGGATGAGGGCAAATACACTTAGGTTGATTTCCAGGGTTTCTGGCATGAAAAACCCTATGGATGGTGATGCCACTCTCTGTAAGGTTTACCACTGCTTTTCATGTCACTAAATCAAAAGTCAGTTCTCAGGCCGGGCGCGGTGGCTCACACCTGTAATCCCAGCACTTTGGGAGGCCAAGGCGAGCGGATCATGAGGTCAGGAGATCGAGACCACGGTGAAACCCCGTCTCTACTAAAAATACAAAAAATTAGCCAGGCCTGGTGGCGGGCGCCTGTAGTCCCAGCTACTCAGGAGGCTGAGGCAGGAGAACGGCATGAACCTGGGAGGCGGAGCTTGCAGTAAGCCAAGATCGTGCCACTGCACTCCAGCCTGGGTGACAGATCGAGACTCTGTCTCAAAAAAAAAAAAAAAAAGTCAGTTCTCAGTCCTGCTCTTCTGTGAACCATGAGCAACAACATTTGGCATGTTGTTTACAAGCTCTTCCTTTGATTCCAGGGTACCAGTTTCCATGTTTTTGTCCTACCTCACTGGCTGCTCCTTTTCAGTCTCCTTTGCTAGTTCCTCCTTAGCTCCCCAGCCTCTAAACACTGGAGTGACTCAGGGATCTTCTTACTTTTCTTTGACCTATAAATCACTCTTATGATTTCATCCTATCTTAGGCCTTTATACACCATCTATGCTAATTAGGCCTTTATACATCATCTATGCTGATTAACCCTCAAAATATGTAACTCTAGTCTCAACCTTCCCCTTGAACTCTATATTTGTTTGCCTACTCATTATTCCCAACTTGGATGTCTAATGGCATCTCATCCTAACAAGTCAAATATTGAACTATTTATTCTGCTTCCCCCACCACATCCTCTTACTAGCATACTTAAAACCTCATTTTCCTACAATCTTCCCCATCTTGAAAAATGACAACTCCATCCTTCCAGCTACAAATCAAAATATCTTAGTCATCTTTGATTCTTCACTTTTCTCTTACACCCCATATATCAATTGCATGAGAAAATTCTTTTAGCTCTACTTTCATAAATATATTCTATATCTAACTGCTTTTCACTGCAACCATTCTACTGTGACCACCATCATCTCCTGCTTGAATTACTTGCAATAGCCTCTTAACTGGTTTCCCTGTGTGATATTGTGATTTACAGTAAGAAATACATATTTAATCTTTGCTCCCAGTTTCCTGGTACAGAGCTCCTAAAAAAAACTCTTACAGTCTCTGAGTGATGAGTGTCTTTCATATGCTAATGATACAATTGGTGGTTGGTGCCCCCTAAATAGCTTCAGGATGGAAGCTGGTCACTAGAAAGACCAAGGCATGAATAGACCTGTGGGAAGGGGAAAGGGACTGAAGGTTGAGTCCCAGGAGGCAGAGTGACTGAAGACTGAGCTGATCACCAACGGTCAATTATTGAGTCAATCATGTGTACATAATGAAGCCTTCATGAAAACTCAAAAAGACAGGGTTCAGAGAGCTTCCAGATAGCTGAACACATGGAAGTGCCTGAAGTGTGGCACCCCAGTGAGCACATGGAAGCTCTGAACCCCTTCTCCAAACATCTCCTTTTACATCTCTTCCATCTGGTTTTTCATCTGTATCCTGTGTAATATCCTTTATAATAAACGGGTAAACGTAAATAAAGTGTTTACCTGAGTTCTATGAGCCGCTCTAGCAAATAAAGCAAACTCAAGGAGGGCGTCATGGAAACACCAGTTTATAGCAATTTGGCCAGAAGTACAGGTCGCAGCCTGGGACTTACAATTGGCATCTAAAGTGAGAGGCAGTCTTGTGGGACTGAGCCCCTACCCTGTGGGATCTGATACTATCTCCTAGTAGATAGTGCCAGAATTTAACGAAATTATAGGACACCCAATTGCTGTGTGCTGGAGAATCTGGTGTCAGAACTGGATGGTGTGTAGGGAAAAATTTCCACACATGTGGTGTCAGAAGTGTTGAGTGGTGTGCGAGACTAGGAAATATGCTTTGGCTTTTTCCTGTCAGAAATACCCTGCTTTACTCTTATTTACCAGGCAATATTCTCCATGTCAAGGCCAGAGTGATTCTTTTTAAACATAAGTGAAATAATAACACCTATCTGTGCAAAACTTTTCAATAGCTTCTCACTAAACTGAGCGGAGAAGCCAAAGTTCTTATAGTGCTTCATGTGATATTCCTCCTAATACTTCCCAATACCCTCATCTTCTACCATTCTTCCCCCTCTACTTCAGCCATATTGGCCTCTTTGTTGTTCCTCAAACACCTAACTAAGCACATTCCTCAGGACCTATGCTCTTACTATTTCTTCTGCCTGGAACATTCTTCCCTCACATATCAATATGGTTCACTCTCTTCCCTCTTTTGGTTCTTTATTCAAATGCCATTTTACTGAGGCTTCCCCTGGCTACCCTATTTAAAATTATAAACCATCAACCCTTCCTTCATTCTTCTTCATAGGATTTTTTACCATTTAACATACTTCAAATGCAGCAAATTAAGGAGTTAAAGGGAGATGGGAATGGACATTGGCAATAAGCACGGACCCTTCTTTTTAAACAGATTGTGTGGAAAGAGAATACAGGAAACTACAGGAAACTAAACAAGAGGTCAGATGGCTAAAGTATGAATCCCACCTTTGTGACTAAGCAGAAGACTTAATCTCAGATTCAATGTCCTCATCCAAAAAAAAAAAAAAAAAAAAAATGGAGAGAATAATGTTACCCTTGTTAAGTGTCACTGTATCAACTAACATGATGTATGTAAAACTCTTAGCAGAGTATACTCTCAAAAAATGTTAGTCATTATTAATAGTTTTATTATGAAATACAATTAAGCCAGACACAGTGGCTTGCGCCTGTAATCCCAGCTACTCGGGAGGCCGAGGCAAGAAGATCACTTGAGCCCAGGAGTTTGAGGCTACAGTGAGCTATGAACATTGCCACTGCACTCTAGCCTGGGCAACGGCAAGGCCCCATCTCTATTTTTTTTAAAAAAAGGCCAGGTGCGGTGGCTAACAATGCTTGTAATCCCAACACTCTGGGAGGACATGGCAAGAGGACTGCTTGAGGCCAGGAGGTCAAGAGCAGCCTGGGCAACCAAGCGAGACCCCCATCTCTAGCAAAAATTTAAAAATTGGCCAGTCCTGGTGGCATGCACCTATAGTCCTAGTTACTCAAGAGGCTGAGGTGGAAGGGTTGCTTGAGCCTAGGAGTTTTGAGTTTGCAGTGCGCTACGACTGTACCACTGCAATGAAGCCCAGGCAACAGAGCAAGACCTTGTTTCTAAAAAAGAAAAATAAAATAAAAATAAAAGGATATTTTTGTTTTTTAAGGAGAAACCAAAACACATTTATATGCTGAACAGAGATGGAAAAAAGAGGTTGAAGAAAACAAGAGGAAGATGGTGATATTCAATACTCCTATAACTTTTTTTTTAAGTATCAGCAAAGCCACATACCTAACTCACTTTTCACATGAAAAAACATTAATGAGTTTCACTATGAAATCAAGTTGGATTCAATATTATTATAATCAATATAAAAATGCAAACATTAATTCCAGCGTCTAAACTACTACTCTCACGTCTATATGAGATCTAGCTCTCATCCTGATGACATACCATTTCACCACCAGATAAATCTTCCTCTAACCCTGTGTTGCAGAGACTGCTAATAGCAACCCCTCGCCTCAATTTCTATTCTATCTTTTTTTCACAATACAAAACTCTCACTTACTGAGAACCTTGTTATCAGAATGAAAACATTTTCCAGCCTCCCTTGTAGCTTGTGTGGCCTTGTTACTAAGTGGAGGTGGTACATGACAGTTTTCAAGAACCTTCTTTAAAAGGCCTTTATCTCTTTGTTCATCCCTTCTTCCACATTGCTACCGTGAAAAGGCAGTTAGAACCCTAGCTTCCATGCCGAACTGTAAGCATGAGAGCCAGTTCCTAAGAATGGCTGGGCAGTAAATGATTAGATCAAGTGAAGACTCAGTAAAACAGAACCTCCATGACAGCTTCACACTATGTTCCTAAGCCATTTTACATGAGACTGAAAATCATAATTACTCATTGCTCAACCCACTCCTAACTGATAGTGTAGCAATCATGTCACTTCCCTCGTTTAATATATTCATTATCAAATACTCAAGACTATCCACAATCTAGCACCAGCTAATTTGCTCTTACTCCTATTTTATCTATACACTTTTTGATTTCCTGCCACTAGATCGTTGTTCATATTAATCACCTTTCTTGGAATGCATCCAAACCTCCCCTAAAGAAGTGCTATTTATCAAGTACCAGCTCAAAGCCCACTTCCTACACAGTGTTCCATGGTCATTAGAAATAGATGTGATTGCATCCTCCTTTGAACTACCAAAGGATATTCTTGCCTGTGCCACTCACCTAGCAATGCTTAGTTTTCTTGTTATTGTGTCTCATCTTCCCCAAAAGATGCCAAGCTCCTTAAGAAGGTCCTCTGCTCCAAAAAGGTGTGTGGGGGGGTGGGCAGGGAGGGAAGTCCTGTGCCCAAACTTTCCCTATCTCCCACTATTCCCAGAGATGCACTTTGAAGAAAATGTATGAAGACAATGTCCAATGTTGATTAAAATCCTTTATAAATTTAACTCAGCTTATGAGTTTTCACCATCAAATAAAACCACAACACCCTTTATCAGCTAAAATTCAAGGGTAGCCAGACATAATGTCCAGACCTTAATAAAACCTTATGGGCCTAACAATCCTTTATTTTTTGAATAAAGTTGTTACCATGGGTTGTAACAACTTTATTCAAAAAATAAAGTTCACACTAAAGCACATAGTTCCTATCTTTAGAAACAAAAGAGGCTACCAAGTGGAAGACAAGCTACAGTTCTCTCATTTTGAAAAATTAATGCTTACTAACGTCAAGAGCATACAAGGCACAGTGCAAACTACAATGATAGTCTGGAGACTTGCCCATTAGCTAAAATCCAAGACAAAGAACCAGAGGCAAAATAGAACAGATGTAGATGAGCAGATAGGAGATATCACATTCTCAGCTTTGTTTTGCTACCACTGTAATTGTTCACCTAAGTCAAACTGGCATTTCTTCTTGGTAATTCTAAAAATACATTATATTTCTAAGAAACAGACTCAGAATTTAATGCAGTGGGAAAGGAGGAATTTGAAAGATGCGCATTTTTTACACTATATAGGAAAACGACTGGAAAACTTCCATTTTGAATGTAAATTTGTCAAAAAGGAAATCAACATAAGACCTAAACAGGTCATTCAACAAAATGCTGAGTAATAAGGTAAATCATTTTAAGTATTAATCAAATTAAGTTAAAAATCATATTTTAAGTACTCCCCCTTGAACTGATTATTCCACACTAAATGATTTATCTGAAGTCTTTTCGAGAGACCTTAATGAAGACAAAAGGTAAGTAAAACTTTCAAAAGCAACTTTCTTTAGGCTGCCTGATTGTCTGTGACAAAGAAATGAAGAATGATGTTCCTAAGCCAATATTAATGGTAAATTTTATATCTACTAAATCTGTACAAAGACAGAACCTAAGCAATTGCCAGGGATCATTACACCTATCTTGAACAATTATTGAGGACTAGAACATGTAAATTAAACACAGCTATTTGTGTAGCAAATGCTAACTTTGCTGGTATGATTCATTAAAACTCTAAGTCATGGGCAGGCAATTTTTTTCTGTAAGAGGCCAGAAAGTAAATACTTCAGGCTTTGTGGACCCAGAAGCATGGTCCAAGATATTAGGTATGTAGGTTCTTATGTAACAAGAGAGAAAACAAATTTGCAACAATTTTTATTGATAAAATTCAAAATGCAACAATAATATGTACAATTTTTTGGTAATATAGGTCTACTAATACTAATGAGAAGAATGGAAATTTTGGAGGAGACATTTCTCATAATTGGGATTCAAAGTTAGTGCTCTCCTATCATCAAATCGATTACAAATGTTCATCTGTTAAATGTTCCTGGGCCACGCAAAACATTCCAGCTGGCCATATTTACTTTCGCATTCCTTGCTCTAAGTACTAACATTACTTGAGAAACAAGTTAAAACACCACAAACCTTAATTTCCAAAAGTCAGCTTCTAAGTAACTAAAATCAACTTGAATATTAAAACCTTAAACTTTTTAACATAAAAGTGCCTAATCTTTAACGATAATTTATACAAAGCAACTTATTCTTCCCTGACTCTTAGCTAAAGCCTAAGTATAACAAAGATTGCTAAATACAGATGAGAAATTTAATCTCCTTAAAAATCTTATAATCTAATAATTCAATTTAGGAGTAAAAACATACATAAAAATTTTTATCAGAAACTAGGACAACAGAAAATAATCAGGATTAAATAATCGAGGGCAGTAAATAAAATAAGGTGAAGAAGAAAGTTGAGAGTTTATCAAACGTGGGGAATGGGGAGCTAATTCACTAAGATCTCATGAAAATGTACCTTAAATGTTTTTGGCAACACTAACTTGAAGTAAATGTTTAGTTTTTAAACTTAGTCTGAATAACAACCTAATCTGACTTAAACCATAAATTTAAAACTATGTAACTTCACACTGATACTTTTACAAAAGTTAAGAATAACCTCACTATATTTTTCAAGTAACCTCTGTATCTCAGTCTCACCAACAAGGGTCCTAGACTAGAAAATCAGTGCCCTTTGAAAGATGTGCCTGACTCACAATTGCCAAATTAAAGGAAATCTTCATTCCCTGCTCCTGATAATAAATGAAGATATTAAATATTTAAAATATTTTCTCGTGAATGATAAAGCAATTATGATTTTCTATTAGCCTCATTTTATTTAGATTATTGAAAATCTAAAAACCAACTAAACAAGATACATAAACCTAAAAAGTAGAGGAAATCTGCTACCAAATGTAAGCATTAAAATGTGAAAATATCTTTTTTTTCCAGGGGTGTCCAAGACACTTTTCAAAAGTAGTAATTTTTAATGTAACATTTCTGCGGGAATGAGAAAAATCCAGTGATTTTATACTTGAAAAAGTTTGGATTTTTGATTTTGGCACTTTAAGCTATATTAAAAAAGCATTTGGATTTGACAAGCCTCCTTTGCCCTAGTAATCTGAACTAAAATAGCAATGAAGGTTTTTTAAATAAAAAATAAAGTGTGAGTAACTTACAGTATGAAAGTGAATGTTGGTAAGAACTTCTCATTACCCATTTACAACTAGTGGGTAACAAAGGGTAGAGAACAAGCAGGAAACAAGTATGTGTGTTTGGGGAATTTCCAGACACAATTCAGAAGCATTTCTCTATACATTTAGCATCCAAACTTTAAAAATATATATGTGGATTCTGTCTGCACAACTGTATGTCAGTGTCAGTAAAAAATTCCCAATTATTCTTAATTTTCATTTCCTCCTGTTTCAAAGGCAATACAATTTAAACACATCCTGCTTTTTTAAAATCACATTTGAATTGGAAATCATAGAATTTTAGAGTTGAACAACCTCTTAGACGCAGTCTAATCTGAATCTTTTGGCTCTTCAAGTAAAGAAATTGGACTCAAAATTATACCTAAGATCACAAAGTACAGAGTGACAGAGCTGGGATTTCAACCTTAATTCCCTGACTCTTCAGTGCCCTTTTAACCAGGCTAAGCTGCAGCAGATTCTTCAGGCAACTTGAAATCAGAATTACACATGAGAGCCATTTGAAAAATTTCTATTTCGTCTACTACTTAGCGTGAAGAACCTTATTTTACTCCAAAACCCAAAGATTTTAAGAAAAGTTAAATATTTATTTTTATACTATAGTAAATACTAATGGAAGCTGAGTTCTGAAAATACTAATTTATATACAATTCCAAATTATTGCTATTTTCATCTTATTATCTTAAGAAGTTTAAATAAAATCATTCAAATTTCTGATGTTAAATTATTTTCTTCTACTTTACTAACATTGCAGTAAAAGGATCTTAGTGTAGGGTGAAAGCTTAAAGCTGGGAATCAAGACACCTGAGTTTCTGTCTCATTTTTTACAATACTCTCAACTAGTTTACTGTCAAATCTCAACCTCTCTATTTCTCTTCTCCTGATTAAGGATCAGGAGACAGATCCCTAGTGCCAGACATCTTATTTATATTGCTTCTAATTCTCACACCTTAGAAGATATGAATGATTCTACCTATTTTGCAGGAAACTGAAGCTCAGAGAGATTACGGAAATTTTCCAAGAAACTGAGCTGGTTAGTAGCTGAGCTGGAATTTAAAACCAGCTCTGCCTGACCCCAGCCAATGCCCATGTTCCTTGCATGACACCGCTTTGCCCATATCCTAATATAATGTGGGATCCCAGTATGGTTAGAACAAGTACTACATTTGCAGGACTATTAGGGAGATTAAGGTGATAAAACAAACTAAAATACATGCTGAAAAAAAATACTGTAACTCTCTAGTTATTAAATTGAGAATGAATTTTTAGTAAAAAACTTTAAAACTAGTTATTCTATAGATACTATTCTTATTACTGTCATCAACACTGAAGTAAGCACTGTAGAATTACAAAATACATCAATCTTGCTTTTAGAGATAACACTGCAAATTAAACTGGAACCCCATCCCTATTTCAGTAGTTAAAAATAAAATTACTCTCAAAGTCCCATTAAATCACAAAGTATATTTATTAAAATGTGTGTGTGTGTGTGTGTGTGTGTGTGTATAAACAGAACAGAAGGAATCAAGAGAACTTGGTACTAGTTCCTGCCCTTTCAAATAGATTTAGAAAAAAAAAAATTCTCAGATATGCAAGAAAAGATGAGAGATGCTTAATACTGGACACCTATAGAGTATATATTAATACAGTGTACTGTCAACCGTCTTCGCCCCTGCAGATAAAGATACTGTGCTTTCGACAAAGAAATGTTTCCCCAAGTTTTCCTGTCATGTCTTACACATTCAGCAAAGTTAATATCAGTAAAATGTTTGGTAGACAGTGCACAACTTACTCCCTGAGTGTGGTCACTGGCTCTTTTTGTAAAAAAAAAAAACAAAACAAAACAAGACAAAACAAAAACCCAGCAAAGGTAGGGCACATTAATAAACGTAGCCTAAAAGCAAAACCAGAATTGAAGTTTCAGGTTATCTTTTATGTACATCTTGCCCTACAACTAAAAATATCGAATTAGCTCAAAATGAAAAGTACTATGCACATTTGTCATAAGTCCTCATATGTGACCTGATAACATGCGACAGCTTCTTTACATTAGAATCGTCAATACCTCTACGACTCTGGTTCTTCTCCCAACAATGGCCAAGGTGTCCATCTCTGTGTCTTGGGATACTTCCCACAAAGGTAATGGCACTTTGACCCTGTCAATTCACTCAGGGTTACATCTACCTAGTTACAATTGCCCCCCGCCCCCACTTCTCTTTTTACCTCCGTGAACAACCCCCACTAATCCCCCACGGAACCACACAAACCGCCCACTGAAGAAGCGTTCTCCACCTGACCTATCTTCTGCATTAAACATTCATTCCGTCTCAGCTCATTCCGTGGATTTGCTCTTTCGTAAATCTCGAGCAAGACAAAGCTAGGACAAACCTGCAAATTCAGGAAACCCGCAGAAAGAGAAAGAAAAAACAGAGAAACAGAGGGAAGGGGGTGGTGGACGGCGCGAGGTCAGCCAGTCAACTGGATTCTGGGCGCTGGGAAAGAAGTGGAGTGGGCGCGTAGGACCCTCCTCCCGAGCAACGCCAACTCCCACCACAGCTCCCTCCCCTCACCTCGATCTCGCGGATGTTGTTGGAGGTGACAAAAATGCCAATGCCGATGGGAATGAAGATGAGACCGATGATGAAGAAAATAGGTAGCACCGTGCCAGCCGTAAGGATGGGCTGCCAAGCTGGCAGCCGTTGCTGTTTGAAGGCCGTGTTATCCGGTCTCCGAGTCTTCGCGGTGCCCCCCGGAGCACACGGGGGCCCACCGTCCACTTCATCCTTCGCGTTATAGTTCATCGCCATCGATCCCTGGGGCGCCGCTCCGCGATTTGCAGGTGGACCACCCAGGGGGCCCGCCGGCTGACCCTGACAGGAACCGCTCGAGCGCCGCTGCCGCCGCCGCCGCCGCAGCCACCAGCGCCACCGCCACAGCCACCTCCGCTGTAGAGCGGAAGAGGCGGGACACTCTTCCGCCAAAGGCTGCTGACGGGAAGCGAAAGTCGGCTGGAGACGCCAGAGGGAGGGAGAGAGGGAGGAGGGAGAAGAAGGAGGGACATGGGGAGGGGAAAGGGGAGGAGGATAGAAGCGGGAACGAAAAGGCGGACGCACCCTGATCATCTGTCCTGTGACGGGCTCAGCCATTGGATCGCGAATCTGCGTTCGCGCATGCGTGGTCCTAGAGCTACGGTGACACTTCGCGTGCGGTGTAGGCGCATCTTCGCTCTGTTGGCCGTGGCTTTAGTAAGCACACACCTGCCTGCTACTCTGGTTATCGTGGCGACGGCAGGTCTGGATTGCCAGACAGGTTTTTCTTTTTACCTCGAGGCTTTCTCTGAAGGGAGTCGGAGCATTTAAAAGGCGGCCTCAAGGTGGATTGAGTCGGGGGAGGATTAGCAGTATTTGCTTAGGTTGTAAAACCGCGACTTTATCTAATAAATCGCCATTCAAGGTGCAAATACAAACTTGGAACAGAGGTGCGTGACATGTACCCCTTTTGTCCTAAAGTCAAGAATCAATAATGTGACTTAGCCCTATTATCTTGCCTCTAATTAAGCGATTCTCACTTATTCTTTCTCTATTGCTAATTCTCACGTTACATTTCCCCTTTTCTGTGTCCACCTTTCTCTTTTGCGCATTGATATAGGAAGTGTTTTGTAATAGGCTGTAGCTTTTTCTCTTACTGTTATAAAAACCAGGACATATAGCATTACTACAAAATGAGATACTCCGTAAACACTTTAAAAGTGCCAGCTATTTAATGACCCAAGAAAATACTCGTGATATAAAAGTTGACTAAGTCAGGATATTAGAGTAGTGTAGCGACTATAGAAGTACAATATAGAGCGCAACTAAAAAGTGAAAATGGTAACTCTGCTGACCGGATGAAGGATTTTTTTTTCTGTTTCTTTGCACTTTTCTGTATTTTCCAAAATTTCTATAATAGGCGTTATGTTATTTGTAAAATTTAAACAATATATACAATCCATATTATACTGACATCTTTGAAATCCAGGCCAGAGAGTAAATCATATCATTTGAAAACAAATTACTTTTTTTTAGGCTTAGTCTGCAGTAATGCCTTAAAGAAGGTAAACTGAGGAAAGAGAAAATAAAGAGTGCTTGGTCCTCATAATTTACCGTTAAGCTGGGCTCTGTGGCTCACGCCTGTAATCCCAACACTTTGGGAGGCCGAGGCGGGTGGATCACCTGAGGTCAGGAGTTCGAGACCAGCCTGGCCAACATGATGAAATCCCGTCTTTACCAAAACTACAAAATTAGCTGGGCGTGGTGGCCGCGCCTGTAATCCCAGCTACTCGGGAGGCTGAGGCAGGAGAATCACTTGAACCCGGGAGGCGGAGGTTGCAGTGAGCCAAGATCCGCCATTGCACTCCAGCCTGGGCAACAAGAACGAAACTCCATCTCAAAAAAAAAAAAAAAAATTTTACAGTTAAATGTTTTTTTTCAAAATGACCACAAGTTTCAAAAATGTGAGCCAATCACATGTTTACTAGGCAGAGTTTAGAGTGATATAATACTTGCTGCCTTCTAATAACCGACTTGCTTGGGTTTGCTCTTACATGACATTCATGCTCAAATTCTTAGCACTACTGACATACTTAGGTCTATATTTTGTTTTGATCTGTTAAGTTTACCTTCAACCCCAGGCTCAAATGGAAAACAATCTATCACAGTTAATGGAGAAGGCTTTGAGTCCTTTTATTTTGCTAAGTTCTGTTAGTAAAAATGTATGCCACAATATGGGCATATTGCGAAAGTACATATAAGGCAGGTTTTTCCTCCCCATTTCTGCCTATATCATCATGCCCACTAAATTTGATAATTATTTAACTGATCTGCTATTCCAGCACTCTGTATATATGGTCATTTTACCTTCAATTTTTTGTTTTTGTTCTAGTGATCTGAGTGATTGTGATGTATTTATCTGCTTCCTTTTTCTTTATTTTTGTTTGTTCATAGGAAAATGAGTTAATCCCTTGTCTCTTTTTTTATTAGAAATTCGATTTTGACTGAAACATTTACAGAATTGAAACCTCCTGAGATTCTTCTCTAAAACTTAACATTTTCAGATGAGGTCCACATGGATGAAATTGCTTTTCCAGATCTCTTGATATCCCTCCATTTCATTTTCCACTACTGTATTCTTCCACAATATGCATCTTTACCCAGCTGAAACATTTTTTTCAGTGTCACATTATTATCCCAGGGAACTCAAAATTTTGTGATGTTCTTGGTTACATTATTTTATGAAGTCCTTACTAGGTGGTTTTTCATTTAATCTGCTGAAGTAGGAATTTTCAAAAGAAAGCGTCATTCAGCATTTCTAGGGCAACTAAAGAGAATAGTTCTCACAGTGGACTACCATTTATGCATTTTCAAACTGATTGCTAGGAGCGACTGGTGTGTGTTTGTGTGTATGTATGTTGATACATTTAGATTACATTTATATTGTTCAAATGATTGTTCATGTGCTGATTCTTGGTAAAAGTGGAATTTATGTGGCTAAATGACATTTATTAATGCTATCAGATTAACATTCTAAGTATGCAGTCAATGCACAAGCCCCAGTATAAAAGTGAATCTAAAATGATAGAACAGATGCAAGCCCAACAATCTGAAAAGGTGTGTATATTTAGCCTTTGGTTGGGAAGTTTTATACAATTTTCATTTTTTAGTTCAGTTGCTGTGTTGTGCCACTGAATTCGGTAACCAGAAACATCTAAGAAAAAAATACAGAAGAGTAACTATTGGGTATCCCTGGGAACAAGGAAGAGAAAACTGCAACTGGTCTTTTCATTGCCTAACCAAAGTAGATTTGCCACACAAATTTGCTTGTTGGGTTCCTTTTATGTTGGGTGCTGCTGTAGGTCTCTAGCTTCTAACCATATTCAAACCATTTCATTCACATCTGTAACAAGGATATTTTAAAAAGTTGAAGAGGGCTGAGAGATGTGCCATAGTTTTTACCATCATGAGTTTCAGAGAAAGTTCTTAGTGACTGGAAATGGTTTGAATTATTTTCAGTGACTGGGTCATATTTTTGCAGGAACAACAACAACAAAAATACCTTTTCCTTTTCAGTTGACCATGGCAGCTTGGTGGAACTGCAAAATGTTCATTTTTAATTATCTCAGAGGACTTTTAGGAGAAAGAGTGATGTAGAAATTGTATAATAAACTTCATTTCCTGTATTTATTGCATCAGATATTGATTCAAACTGGCTTTTAAAAATTACTTTTTAAAATTGAATTTTTCCTGATTTTTGTGTAGTGTACTTATTGAATACTTTCAGTTAGATATTTAGGAAAATCCCTTTGTTCTCACATTGACAGATTGACTGATTAGCCTGAGGTCATAGGTGTTGTGATAGAAAATCTTGCAAGTTCTTGAATAGCCAGTCAGTCATCAGAAATACAAGTCAAGCAAGATATTTTAATGGTTAGCGTCATTAGAGGAAAGAGCAATTACACCAAAATTCTTTAGTAGACAGCCTAAGAACTTTGTTGTTGATGGAAATAAGGCTTCATTTCTCATAATTCCATACTTTTTGGTTTTGGTTTTTTGTTTTTTTGAGACGCTGTCTCACTCTATCACCCAGGTGGGAGTGCAGTGGCTCACTGCAACCTCCACCTCCCAGGCTCAAGCGATTCTCCAACCTCAGCCTCCCAAGTACGTGGGACCACAGGTGCGTGCCACCACAGCCAATTAATTTTTTGTATTTTTGATAGAGACAGGGTTTTGCCATGTTGCCCAGGCTGGTCTCGAACTCCTGAGCTCAGGCACTTGGCTTCCCAAAGTGCTGGGATTACAGGCGTGCCTGGCCAATTCCATACTTTAAATGAAAGAATGTGATTCTCACAAGACTTCGGACTTCATGACTTCCACTGCATAGAATCTCTCAGTTGATTATATCCCCATGGCATGTATTTTTTCATTAGGTGCCATCAATTATAGATAAGGTCTTTTTTTCAGATATGATGTTGCCATCTCTAGGATAACAGCCAACTGACATGTTACATGTATAACAGTTAATTTCTTTAAAAAGGGGAACAGAGGAGGAAACAGAGAATCGTCAAGGATACAGGAAAGTAGATATTTTAAATACGTTAATTTTTTTTTTTTTTTTTTTTTTTTTTTTTGGAGACGGAGTCTTGCTCTGTCGCCCAGGTTGGAGTGTAGTGGCGTGATCTCAGCTCATTGCTATCTCCGCCTCCCGGGTTCAAGCAATTCTTCTGCGTCAGCCTCCCGAGTAGCTGGGATTACAGGTGCCCACCACCATGCCTGGCTAATTTTTGTATTTTTAGTAGAGACAGGGTTTCACCATGTTGGCCAGGCTGGTCTCAAACCCCTGACCTCAGGTGATCTGCCTGCCTCAGCCTCCCAAAGTGCTGGGATTACAGACGTGAGCCACTACACCCAGCCTAAAAACGTTAATTCTTTATAAATTATACGTTTGGACCATTTTTAGACTTGTTTTAAATTTATACTTTTCTATTTTTCCAAGTTTTAGAAAGCCAGCATGAGGGGGAGTTCATTTCATCATTTTTTTTTAACACTTGAATCACTTGAGTCATTAAAATAACTCCAACATATTCATGAAGGATCTTCACAAAATGGACTTAAATGTGAAAGTTAGCTTTTGTTGAGCCTCAGAAATCAAATACATTGGGCCAGGCATGGTGGCTTACGCCAGTAATCCCAGCATTTTGGGAGGCTGAGGCAGGCAGATCACGAGGTCAGGAGATCGAGGCCATCCTGGCTCAAATGGTGAAACCCCGTCTCTACTAAAAATACAAAAAATTATCTGGGCATGGTGGCATGTGGCTGTAGTCCCAGCTACTCAGGAGGCCGAGGCAGGAGAATCGTTTGAACCCAGGAGGCGGAGGTTGCAGTGAGTCGAGATCCCCCCACTGCACTCCGACCTGGGCGACAAAGCGAGACTGTCTCAAAAAAAAAGAAAGAAAGAAATCAAGCACATTTGCAGTCAATAGCACTAAATATTTATGACAACAAAGGCAAAGACCAAGGGCTTCCCTCTGACCAGCACACCATAAGGCACAAGATAAGTTCAACAAACTGTTTCACAACATCATCTATATTGTCACTGAATCTTCTGGGAGGAGAAATCTGCACTCGCTGTCTTTGCTTCCTTAACCCAGTCACTCAGTAACCCACTGCTCCCTGACTTCACACCCCACCTCCACTCTAACTGCTTTGCTAGTTAATCCCCACTCATCCTTCAAGATTCAGGTCAGTAGCCAATTCGAGGAATACTTGTTTGACCCCTTTGGTGGAGTTAAGAGCTACTTTCAGAGCTCGAGGTAATGTATATATGACGTCTGTCCTTGCACTTACTGTGTAGTATTGAAAAATATGTTTATATCTGTCTTTGTTACTAGATGTAAATGAATTCCTCAAGGTCAGAGACTGTTTTTATTCATTTCTACATCTCCAACACCTGGCAAAGTGCCTCGGCCATAAAAGGTACTTGATAAATCTTGTTGAACTGACCTGACCTACTCTCAGTGAACCCACATTTTAGTGGGAGAGACACCTTGCTGACAACTGAAATATTATGTAATGAAGTCAGTGCCACACAAGATATGTGTTCAAGGGGTTATAGGAGCTCTGAGGAGGTACCACATGTCATCCGCCTTATGATGTCAAAAACTAAACTGTGAGGAAATTGGAAATAAGGTCAGAGTTACATTGTGGTTCTCCATGTAGGAAAATAGAGAAAAGAGAGTCTTATGCTAATATTACATGTACTATAAATGCTAAGCAAGACTGTGTACTCTGGGTGATCATGTTCTTTTCCTCAAGCATGATCTCATCAGATTGTGGTAACCATGGAAACAGACATCTCTGGTGCCCTCCATTTCTGGGAGATAATCAGTTTGTTGTCTCACTGCCGACTTGTGTCAGTGCTCCACGTGGGCGCCAATACATGCCCCTTTGTGATGCAAAAATGAGCACATTTCTCTCAATAAAGCAGTATAAACCATCTTGAGGCCTGATGAAACTCCTTTCTTTTTAAAGGCATACCTTCCCTTAGAATCAGTGATTACTAAAGGTCTTTTCTTATTTAATCCAGATAATCTGCCTCTGAAACCTTCCGTGGGCACAGAAATTTCTGCAAGGAAAGCATCAGCAACCAGAATAATTTGGTGAGGAAGATTTGGCACAGAATACCCTGACTGAGGTATTGCTCCAAAAGGAGCAATCCTCTGGGGTTAGGAGTCAATTATTAGGTGCCTACAAAACACTCTGTTATTTCGACTAAACATGCCTTGCTGTCAAGGAGAAGAAAGAACTGTGCACTGAAAACCAGAACAGCCAAAAAAGAATGTGGCTGTGGTCATGGGAAAGGTCTTTGAATAACAGGGAAAAGGAGACAGGGCAGTTGAAGGAAGGATAAGAAAAGGCTACTTCCTAGCAGGAATTAATAAACTAATGTTTTTATTATTTAATAGAAACCCATTCCTTTCTTTCAAATAAGGCAGAGATAAGTTAGGATTGGATGTAGCTATATAGATCCCTATTTCTGGCACAGGCTGATAGCAATAAAGGAAGTCAGAACACAACCCCACTCTCACCCACATCCCACTTTGCAAAAACCATGACCCAAATGCCTCTGTAGATACTGGGCTGTGGACTGCTGGCAAAGCCTCAGGAGCCTTTGCTCTACTGAGTGATCTACCTTTAGATTGACAGCAGCGGCTGTGGAGTAACATCTGAATGTTGATTGACAGTGCAGTTTGTGGGAATAAAGCAGGGAGGGAAACCCTTTAACCAGTTTCCATTTCTTGGTGTCTTAAAGTTTTCATCTTACTAAAGAATCAAACCGTTGTGTAATCCAGAGGAAGAGCATCCCTCATCCTGGCAGCCCTGCTCTACCACATCTGCCTATCCATAGTGAAAGACACCATATTTTTAAGAAAATATGAAATGCAGAGATGAAAACTATTTTGGAGCAAATGATTTTAAATAAAAAGGTTGCATACTCATTTTAAATGATTTTAATTTTCTGAATATTATGTTCCAACTCAAGATATTGCACAATGCTTTAATATTACACTTGTTATTTTTCTCACACTAGTGAGATTTTGATAAACATAGTTGACTTTGGAAGTAACAGAGAATGTTTTCATTGGTTAAATAATTTCAATGACCTGTGAGGAACTGAAAGCAAGCTATTACATTCATATAAAAGATAAGTACATATCCATAAATTCACTTGGATTCAATGAAAAATAATAAACTTCTCGTGTACTTAATAAAACTTAAAAGGAAACAAAATTTTAAATGGTGCAAAAATAGAATGTATTTCTTAAAGTTTTGAAAACACTTAGACCTAAAAGAATTCTAAGAATATCTGGCCACATTATAAGCCTCTTATTTGTAAAAGCTAACACTTGATAATTTTAAAACAAAATCTAGATTAAATAAATATAGTTCTGCATTATTAAAGTAACAAAATCTGTGATGGTAAGGTAAAATTTCCCTAAATAATATAAACAAAAAACAACACCGGAAAGCAAATGTATCACGTTATGGCATCGATAAACATTTCTGTTCAAATGTGTGGATCTACAGCATTTTCTCTAGGTAACACACACAGTTGTTATCACATTAGTATGGAATAAATGCTGAAAAATTAAGAAATACTAATGGTTACTAGGCCAAAGTCAATTCCAAAAAACTCAATTCTTATAAACTTTTATTATAGTGATTTTTACTGTATTACAACACTTTTTTTCTCTTTTTCCTTTGCTTTGTGATTCATATTTTTAGCAGAGGCATAGCACTGGAGATAAAGAAGGGGAAATATGCTTCAGGTGCCAGTTGCGTTTTTTAACTTCCATTTTGCACTTTTGCTATTTTTAGACTTGTTGCTCATCAGATTCATTAACACACCCTACTTTTGCTATGTTTTTTTCCTTCATTTCCAGGAAAACTCAACCACAGCATTAGGAGAAAAGGCAAAAACTTCACATTGCCTGATACACCACTTATTCTTGCTCTGCCACTGATTTGTAGTAGCTGTGTATTACTGCAGTAGCGCTGTTGTCTCTATTAATGCTTAGAGATTCCACACCATGAATTTTTTTATGGTCATCCTAAGATACAATGAATTCTTCACATTTTGTGAAAATTATAGGCATCTGACAGCTGGTGTATTTATCTACCATCTTCATCAAACTCGAATATTTTATAAAATACTTGAGAAAAGATCTCTACCAAAGATACCCTCATGAAACACTCTCTTATCAAAAAGAAAAGGGTAAAATTATGGATTAGTTCAATTGTACCTTGAACTAGAAACACTGATTATGATTATATTTCAGAAAACAGTTATAATTATTTCATTAAAAATGATTCCCATTTAGAATGATGACTGGAGACTTATTTACAAGAAAAGATAGAGAAATTTTATGAGCCTAGGATTGTGCCAGGATTGCCTGTGAGGGCAGTTTTTTCAATTGCATATGCATGTTGAGATGGGACTATTTATGATCTTATTTCCTTATTCATTAGAGAAGGAGATGACCAGTGTTTTCTGGGGGTTTTTTGGTTAATTTTGCATATTCTCTTATTTCAAAATTAATCTAATTAATTTTATTCATGTGTCACTCAGATTGCATTTGGGTTTAAACAGAGGACTTAATCATAGCATGGACAGAAAAGGCTCACCATCTATCTAAATGACTCTGATTGCACCATCATCCTCATTGTTCTTGTAAGTTCCAAATTCATTATAAATCTGGGGAAAAAAAATCTTCAAATCCAAATATACATACATTTCTTATAGTATTTTAATTTAAATCAAGAAGTATTTAAAATCTTATCCTCTAACATTTTCACTATTAGTATAATAAAATTCCCACAAGTTGAGAAAGTTATTTGCTTCAAATACTAATCTAATATATCAAATAATTTTGCCATCAGAGGTACAAACATTGGCAAATAGGATACTTAACTGTGAGTCAAAAAATATAACAGTACTAACTAAAACACTTTTCTAATTGAAAATGTCATTACAGTCAACATTTTCAGAAAACAAAACCCAGTAACAATTCTAAAAAATCACACATACACACTCCAGTTTTCTTAGTAACCAAAATTCTGGAAGTTTATGTGATGTTTTCACAATCATTCAAGCTATGGCAAGCCTACTGTAACATTTCTTTTACTTTAAAAAATTAAAAATAATTTTAACATCATATAATTTATAATACATGTTGAAAATGATTTGCCAATTCCCCAAGGTGTAACTTAAAACCTTCCAAGGTTACATAGGGGAGGAAGTCCATCATTAATTTTTCTATTCCAGAGACTCAGTTTGGATGCCCGTGTGTGGGCTTCTAAAGCTGAGCACAACCTGTGAACTAGAGAAATGGGCCAGCAGTCCTCCTTGTGTGGCTTTTAGTTATCCTTGTGACACTCAGAAGCATTCTCTCTTTAATTTCAGTAAAGTTACATGATAAATGACTTCCACATTCAGAAACTGATGTGTCAACTCTTAATTTATCTTTAAAGTTATCTTTAAAGACCTTACTAAAAACATGTCCATATTAACAGTCTTTAAAAAAAAAAGTATATTACCAGGGTTTCAAGTAGACTTTAGATGCACATTTTCACATAAACCTAAATTCAACAGTAGCTCTGACGTTGAGATTTGAGTAATGCACGTTGTGCTTTTTATCTTCAAAGAATATATTCTCTGACCTACCTGTAGTTACGAAAATCTTTCAAAATCAAGGGGAAAAAAGTTATCGATCCTGAGATTTCTTGTACTACTTTTTCCTTCTGGGTTTTGGGGGTTTTTGTGTGTGTGTGGGTTTGTCTTTGTTTTGAGACAGAGTCTCACTCTGTCACCCAGGCTGGAGTACAGTGACACAATCATGGCTCCCTGCAGCCTCCATCTCCTGGGCTCAAGTGATCCTCCCACCTCAGACTCCCAAGTAGCTAGGACTACAGGCACGTGCAATCAGGCCCAGCTAACTTCTTTTTTTTTTTTTTTTTTTTTTTTTTTTTAAGACTCTCACTGTGTTGCCCAGGCTGATCCTGAACTCCTGGGCTTAAGCGATTCTCCCGCCTTGGCCTCCCAAAGTGCTGGGATTACAGGCACGACCCACCATGCCCAGTCTTATTTTTTAAAAAAGATCCTGACATTTTAGGTCTGTTTTTATATTCAAGTTTTGATTGGATTAGATTGTGAGAACTATCTTTATTTCACAGTCCTTATTATAAGTCTTATACATACAAGTAAATAATGCAATCAGAAGTATAATTGAACTGTCAGTCGAAGCTGTTCTTATTGCCCTTACTGGTTAAACTGGTACATCTCCTTTTATGAATTTGTTCTATATAAAAATCATTTCATCCAAGGTTTTTGGCCCAGAACACCAGAAAGAGCAACTTTAGAAACTGATTTTTAGTATTTAAAATTAAGCTTTTAAGTCAGAGCATTATTTGTTAGCATTGAACCATGATCAGAACCATAGCATTGTACAAGCAATAGTAAAACCTCTTCCAGAGTCTCCTGCTTCTAAGTTTTACCTCTTGAATTTACCTCAGGAAATATAGTTGTACTTTCTTTTTTTCAGAATTAACAAATTGATAAAAAGAAAATAATTATAGATTACCATTTTGAATGCAACAATACCAGTACTTTGAAGAACTGACAGCGTATTCCATAGATATATGTGCCAGAGACTATGAAAAAGGGAAACACTTTAGCAAAAAAAATCACATTACAAAATGTATTATAAAATATAAGTTATACAGCATGTGCCCATAGACCTGAAAGCTTTGCAAAAAGAAATTTCTTTTGGCACATAGATTGAATTGCTCTTGCTACATATTTTCATATTATCAGCAAGGCC
The DNA here is from genome assembly GCF_000001405.40 of Homo sapiens. Classification (NCBI taxonomy): domain Eukaryota; kingdom Metazoa; phylum Chordata; class Mammalia; order Primates; family Hominidae; genus Homo; species Homo sapiens. The sequence continues at coordinate 75,295,744 of NC_000006.12, forward strand.
ATTTTCAGCTTTTTACATTATATCCTTAAAAAAAAATCACTGGAAGTAGTAAAATATTTCCAGTAGTGATCAGTAGCATGGAGGACCTTAGTCATGATTGAGGGCTGTCCATTCAATAGGGATTCAGAGGTCGTACACACACCCAGTATGTGCTTGGTTTACCATTTCATCTGGAGTTCATTCGTAACTGGTGAATGATGATGCTTTCTATAAAGAGAAAAAAGACATGGCATTTTCAATTAAACTGAAACTGAGAATCAAGCTACATCATTTCACTAAAAGATCATAGATGTTAAATAACAAAACAAACAAAAACAGGTACATGAGGCTAATAGACTTTCCTGCATTACTATTCTTGGGCAACGTCTTTATATTGGCGTATGTACTTTACCTCGAAATTTCTTAAAGCCCTTTAGAAACTACGTCTAACGTTCTGACAATAGTAGATCAGTTTTGACCAAGGTAAGAACTGAAAACAAAGATAGTAATTACTATATACAAACCCCTTAATGAGAAACCAGACTATTTCCTAGAAGTAACTCTAATCTTCCAGCCAAATTTTCTGGTCTGAACAATATTTACACCTCTTCAATTTCTTTGTGTGTGTGTGTGTGTGTGTGTGTGTGTGTGTGTGTGTGTGGATTAGAGTTTAATAAGGAGATATTATTTCTAAGTCCATAAATATAGGTGACTCACTTTTATCTCTGCGTCTTTTTGCATAACTCTATATGTTTATTATTATTATTATTATTATTATTATTATTATTATTATTTTAGGTGGAGTCTCGCTCTGTCGCCCAGGCTGGGGTGGAGTGACGCGATCTCGGCTCACCGCAAGCTCCGCCTCCCGGGTTCACGCCATTCTCCTGTCTCAGCCTCCCCAGTAGCTGGGACTACAGGCGTCCACCACCACGCCCGGCTAATTTTTTGTACTTTTAGTAGAGACGGGTTTCACCGTGTCAGCCAGGATGGTCTCGATCTCCTGACCTCGTGATCTGCCCGCCTCAGCCTCCCTATATGTTTTAAAATATAAATTTATTCTTATAAAAATAAATTTAAACTAGATTGAGGTAGTAATTACAACAGTCCAGCACATTATGGATAATTAATATTTATATTTATTTGGCTGGTTTTTCTTTTATAGTAAACTTTATGCCTTAATGAACATTTATCAGTATGACTCACTTCATTCAGTCATTGAATAACTATTTATTGAGGCTGTATACTGTGCTAGGTAGGCATGGAACTACATGCATGATCAAAATGAGACAGATTCCTAACATCACTGAGATTATACACAGCAGGGGAAAGAAAATATTCAAACTTCAAATAGTTTCTTCATCCAAAAAATTTATTATTAGTACCTCCTTGTCAACATATGGTATATGTTGTGAGTGCAGAAACTTAGGGTTTATCAATAACATGAAGAAATTTCTACCTATTATTTTCACATCCATCCCAAATACCTAGTATTTAAGTTTTATTTTTACTTATGTAGTTAGTATATAAGTAAACATTAATTAAATCGTATTATGCCATAGACTTATAGGTTCATAGTAATTACACACAGTGCATGATTACCTGCCAAAAAGAAAATGTTTTCTTAATTTGGTGTCGTTAACTTTACCTCATGATGACCAATAGGTGGAGCTATTTCCATTTTTTCCCTCAGCCTTTTGGCTTGAATTTGAGGTAGATAAGAAAGCCAAGTAAGATGAACTATAGAATGTCTTATATACCTAAGAATATTTAGCTATGAAGGTTTTCTGAAGCTCTTAAGACATACATACTATATTGTACTATACCAGAAGCCCTTATAAACCATCTCGTTTTTTTCATTGAAAAAATATTCCAGCTTCAACTTCAAATGCCTAAAAATATATCAAAATCTTCAGGCAAACAATTTTAAGTACTAATTAATATCATGTAGTTAAAAATTAGCATCCAAAATTAAAATGATGTTTCTCACTAATTTAAAAAAAAATTCTGCAGTAGATTCCAAAGAGTAAAAAGACCCAAGTCTCAAATCTCCCTGGTAAAATTAAAGTTATCTCCAATTTCCTTCCCTTAAGAAAGCATAGATAAAGAGTGAAATCAGAATTGTTCTTATTGTGGATGTAATTCAGAAATCTTCTGCCTTTGTTTCCACAGTACAAAATAAGGGTATTAGAGAGCATCTCAAAAATCCCTTTCAGGGTTAACATTTTGTATTACTACAATACCTTCTTTCTCCTTCAGTGTGCAGCAGTGGAAATTTACAAAATGCTAGGATTAAGGCAATTTAGAGTTGCCTTGTCTTAATCCTAGCATTTTGCACAACTTAGAGTTGCCTTGTCTTAATCCTAGCATTTTGCACAACTTAAGAGTTGCCTTGTCTTAATCCTAGCATTTCAAAATCTCCATCATAGTAATAAGGGTCCGTACACAGAAGAAACAATGTCTTGGTTGGACCATAACATTTAATTACTGTATTTAAATTAGCAAACTCATAATCCATGCATCCTATGTATGCTAATGCTATTAATCAAATGTGTTATTAAAACAAATGTCTCAGAAATACTTGATAATGCTAAATAAGAGTTTATCTTATATAAATTGTACTTTAATAAAGGGTGGTATTTAATACTTATGTACATAAACTTTATTTAAAAGAATACAATTAAGCCCAAATTATGTTGTTTTATATGGAGACCAACTTCATTTTATTTCTAGAGATAGTGAGATAAAATCTGTATGATACTGGCTCTATTAATTGAAACTTATTAAACAGATTTACTAAATCTATAGTTGCTTATTAGCTATGTTTTCCCCAAGTCTCTGCTGAACTTACTCAATAAGAATCACCTAGCCAATGCACAAAATTGTGATAAATTTTTAAAATATTGCTTTAAAGCCAGGCTTGGTGGCTCACACCTGTAATCCCAGCACTTTGGGATGATGAGAGGGGTGGATCACTTGAGGTCAGGAGTTCAAGACCAGTCTGGCCAACATGGTGAAACCCCATCTCTACTAAAAATACAAGAAATAAGCTGGGCGTGGTGGTGTGCACCTGTAATCCCAGTTACTCTGGAGGCTGAGGTGGGAGAATAGCTTGAATCCAGGAGGCGGAAGTTGCAGCGTGCCGAGATAGCACCACTGCACTCCAGCCTAGGCAACAGAGAGAGACTCAGTCTCAAAAAAAAATATTGCTTTAAGCCATTACATTTTGAAGTAACTCATTATACAGCAAAACTGTCTGAGGCACATGGAGTCCATGTTGCCAGCAAAAAAAAAAATTAAATAAATTTTTAAAAATTAGTGCTTTGGGGATTAATGCCATTATTTGTGTAAAAAAAAAAACAGACTTGAATTCCCAAGTCTGTTCCTGTCTTTTTGTATATAGTACAATAAAATAATGTTATAAATCTTATTGAAGTTACAGATTCAGTGAGCAAATTTTATTCCATCTCCTACTGTCTTCATTTCATCCCAGAACAAGATTCAACTATAGGTCATTTGGGGCCTCTAAAATAACCCCAGTAAAATCAGGTATAATTTTTCATAACTTTTCTTCTTACAGATCATAATTTTGCACAACTATCATAATTTTTCTTCTTACAGATACCACTCTTCTGACAATAGTGATTTGGAGAGCACTTAATAGGCAGATTGGAACCAAAGACCATAGATAATTACCACCTCTGTCAGCAAACTCAAAATAGCAAAGCACTTAAATTTGGGACCCTCTGATATGAAGATGTTTATTAACATAATTTCCTTTTTTTCTAATTGGAAGTTTTAAAAACCCTAAATTTCAATGAACATATACATATGAGACACTGAGTTTTTATATATTTTTGACATTAGTGGCTTTATCAAAGTGTACTTAGAGACAATTTCCCCTATATGTTTCTCTCCAGTGTTACCTTGACGTTTTTTTCCTTAAAAAAACTTCAGGTAACACATTAAATGCATTATTTGTTATTATGACATTATTGTGAAATGATGTAGTTTTTATGAAGTCTTTTAGTACACTAGCTATTGGATAACTTCCTGGAAAGGAAGTTCAACATATTGTCAATTCCTAATTAAACTTGATTTCTGACCTTACTAAATATTCATCCTCCTTGGGTGGTATCCCAAAACTACTAGCCAGTCATATGACTTGAGATCCAAAGCTGTGTGCATGAGATAGGATTTGGGGAGAAATTTGGGGGAGAATGTTTCCTGAGTGCAGAGTGAGGCAACCTCACAACAAATTAGAATTCTGTTTCCTCCCAGGAGGTCTCCTTGGCTGTAGAGTGAGAAAGATGTACTCCCTAAAAAGCCAATACCTCCCTCCCAAGTAATTCATGTTTATACTCTGCCAAACACTGCAAAGGAACACTTGAGCTCTACATTTAAAAAAAAAACATTCTTCTCTAGCAAATAAGGCCACATCACTTTAATAGCTAGCCTCTAAGTTCACATACTAAAGACAAAACATACCAGAAATTCAACTTATAACAAGACGTTACATCAGCAAAGGAGGATTGCTTTATCCACAGGAAGCTGTACACCAAGTTACAGAACAAAAACATGTCCTCTTGGATTTTGCATCAATTTGCCTATATATAACCTGCTTCCCATGTTCTATGGCTCCCTACCCACCAGGGGCTCTGCCTAGAGGTACCAGCTTAGGGTTGTGCTATTCTTCCCCTCCCCCGACCAAGTACCAAATATCAGCTTTGAACCTACTGGCCTCAGAACAACTTGTCCACTGCAAAAATGTCCTACATTCTATTTACCTTTTAGAAGTACTTAGATATGATTTACTTTCAAGTTTCTCATTTTCCTAAACTGCTTCAGGGTTCAATCCTGTTATTATCACATTCAGAAATTAATCACAGTTCTGTTAAAACATCTGTTTTAAATAGGAAGTTCAAGAAACTTCCTCTCTTGATTTGGACTTGTATTCCTCTTTTGGATTCAGCTTAGCTAATTAAAAATACTTCCGCTAATAGGTTCTGTCATTTGCTCTAGGAAATTTTTGAACCAGATGATACAAACTCTCTTGGGAGTTCTCAACCACCTAATAATTTATTTGCTTCCTTCCAGCAGATTTCCCACTCTACCATCAGCCCAAATTATCTCCTTACCTCCCCAGGATGCAGAAGTCACCAATAATCACAGTTATAACTGATAAATTCTTTTTTGGCAAGCTAATTCTTATCTCCAGCATAGATTGCTGTTTTACAGATACAAGCAAATTTGAATTAGTTCCCATATATAACATTAACTATAAATAAAAATTAAGTAATGGAAAAATAGGTAAGTATTTGAGCAAAGCATGCTGAGGTTCTACTCTTTTAAACACAGATGGTAAATACCTAGGTTGTTCTAAGTCTATGGCTAGTCACAGAATAGCATGCAAAATAACATTATGTGTGAAAACTAAGGTCACTGCGCTTTTTAAATGAGGACAACAATATTCATCAAAATATTGTTGTAAGAACTTTTTCACAGTTTCTATATAGATGTCTTAGTAGCTCAAAATCATTTAGCAGTATTATTTTGATCCAATGAGTATGAGTGTTTCAGTCTATGTATGAATGTACATTTTACTCACTTGTAGTAGTTTCATCATATGAAATAATGAATAATGTACTGGGAGAAACTGAAGAACTGATTTTTGGTCCTGGCCTTATCATTAATAAGATGCTTAGACATCTGTACGCCTCAGGGATTTTTTTTAAAGGGTTTGTTGCTGTTTGTCTTCTTTAGTAATAGTAATTATCCTCTTGATCTCTAAGGTCTATTTCAGTTCTAACCAGCTCTGTGATTTTGCATATATGTAGCATTAGCAGAAGTAGAGAGGCCAAAAGTACTTTTACCAGGTAAGTAATTAATCATTAGATCTTAGGAAAAGCATTGTAGCAGGATCTTGCAAGGTGCTTGCTAAACAATAGTGAAGCATATTATATTATGACTCTAAGAGAGAATGCCAGAATCATAAAAAATTATAGCTCAGTGCTAAATCATAGGCCAAGGTAGGGTGATATGCCAAAGGTTACACAACCTTTTGGTGGTAGAAAAGAGTATGGCTCCAGTCTCATGGTTTTCAGTTCTCTCAGGTATCAAGTCCATTTTTCAGCAGCCCTTCTTCTCTGGATATTCACCCTGATATCTATCCTAAATCTAAATCCTGCTTTTTGGTGGTGTTTGGTCCTTTAAAATGAGAGCCTCTCTGTCCTATTTTGAGGGTCCTTCATGAACTTGAAGAGCATGAGACAAACCCCTGAAACTTTCTCATTCTTGAAGTGCCTTTGTGTTCTGCTGGGGGAGTCGGAAAGGGTGAGGAAAGGGCCATTTGTAACTCATGCATGTACTGTGTGTTTATACTTCACAGAAAGCTCTCAGGCCCCTTTCTTCACAGGCCTGGTGGCTTCTGAGGTGAGAACTCCCCAGTCCAGGACTCCTGGCTGTTTTGCATCCATCACCTGCTGTTGTGCCTTTGGAGGGAAATAGAAGTAACTTTCACCACCCAAAAATGACAGTACCTGGACTTCCTGTAATTCTGCCATCTCATTACCTGTGTGTTCTCACACAGGACTTGTTAGTTCCTTCCACGTCATTCTCACTGGTTTGTGTTGCAAAGAGAGGAATCAGAAACAGCTCTTTCTTGCCCAACTTTCTGCCATTTTTCAGCTTCTAGTTTTGTTTATCTATAGTGAGTGCCAAGCTTTGTACAGCAGTGGACAGGCCTTTAAACCCCAGGGTAGATTCTGAAATAATAGTTTATCTTCCTAGAAGAGGCAATGTTCATAAAATAGACTTTGATCAGAGAAGGACACATCCGCCAAAAGAAAAATAGGAGAAAGGGCAATACAAGGAGAAGGAACAAATTGAGCAAGTCAAGGAAGGGTGGCATGGCCTGACAGTCAAGCAATTATTTAAGCCTGGAGTGTGGGGGTCCCGCCAAGGGAAGGGAAAGATGCTCAGAAGAATGGAGAAGTAGAGCCCAGTCACAGAGTGCCTCAAGTACATAGCATTGTGTTCTATGAGTAATAAGGAACTTTTGGGCGGTTTTCAAATAGAGATGATGATATGATATGATATGACATGATATGATATGATATGATATGATATGATATGATATGATGTATGATATGATCAACTTGCATTTTGGAAAACTGCAAGAATGAAAAATGAATCCTAGAGTTTTGAGGCTGGAGATTACAAGACCAATTAGGAGGGTATCAGAGTAACCCAAATGAAAAGTAGTTAAAACCCTCAATTTAGGCCATGGTAGGGGAAATGGAGAGGAGGAGTCAGCTGCTAGAGATGTTAGTGGGTTAGAATGAGAGAATAAGCAGGACTTGCTGAATGAGGGCAGAAGGAGAAGGAGAAGCATAGATGGTTACCAGGTTTCTAGCTTGGGAGACTGAATGGGTTAGATATCCCTGTTGAGATGGAGAATAATAAGAGAAGGAGAAGCTTTGGAAGAAGATGGGGCAGTATTGAAAATGGTTTTTAGACAAGCTGATTTGGAAAAACACACTATAAAGATGGATACACAGTTGGTGATAGAAGTTTGGGAGTCATTGGCATCTGGGTGTAGATGAAATAACCAGAGCCAGCTTGTAGAGCAGGAACATGGCTCTTAATAGAGATGTGGGAAACATCAATCCTTATTGTGTATACATAAAATAAGGAGCCAACAAGGGAAACTGAAGCAGAGCAAAGAGGTGAAAGAAGCAGCAAAGCAGATTAGATATCTTGGTCATTGAGGGAAAAGAGCACAGCCTAACTCTGCCCTTGCCCTTACTAGAGACCAGAGGTTTGTTTTCTGGAAAAACTGACCTAAGAAGTTCTGGACCCAGACATAAGAATGGGCAGCAGACTGATTGCAGGGGAGTAAAAACTTTATACCTTGAGCTGTGAGATTCTCATCTTACCTCCCCTGACCAGAATTTGGATAGCCTGCCCCAGAAAGGTTACTGGAGGACTTTTTCCTTTAAAAACTATTAGAAGATGTAAAGAGAAAGAGGGAGAGAGAGAGAGAGAGAGAAAGAGAGAGAGAGGATAGATAGATAGATAGATAAAGACAGATAGATGATAGGCAGATCAATAGATAGATCAATAGATAAAAGAAGTAGAATATAACCAATCAGGGAAACAGAGAACTCAACATAGGCAAAAGGGCAACAGCTGTGCAGCAGGCCTAGAAAACAACCAGTCCAGACTGAATATGGAAGCAGAGGGCTGAACTAGGAAGGCCTCCAGGGAAAAATATGAAACTGGTGTGTTTAAGTGTTTGGAAAAATTACTGATAGGTGTTTGGCAAGTCTAATGGAGCATTTGGAAAAATATATATATAGATATATGGAAAACCAAGCAGATGAAAAATTAAAACAATTATTCTTTTGAAGGGGGAAATGTGGTAAGAGGAAGAGAGCATAATCATAGTATACTACTTGGCTCAGCTGATAGTAATATTTATTATTTATTTATTTTTATTTATTTATTTTGAGACAGGGTCTTACTTTGTCACCCAGGTTGGAGTGCAGTGGCACTATCTCTCACTGTGACCTCTGCCTCTCAGGCTCAAGCAATCCTCCCATCTCAGCTTCCCGAGTAGCTGGGATTAAAGGGATGCACCACCATGCCCAGCTAATTTTTTGTATTTTTGAGGCTGCAGTCTAGGTTTTGCCATGTCATCCAGGCTGGTCTCAAACTCCTGAGCTCTAGTCATTCACCTGCCTCAGCCTCCCAGAGTGCTGGGATTATAGGCGTGAGCTACCATGCCTGGCCAGATAACTATATTTAAATTTGCACTGCAAAACACATAAATATATAAATGTTGGCTGCTGATTTATCAAAAAGTTGAGGATGTAATCATATTGGGAAAATGAGAAAAAGGAAAGAGAAGGGATAAGTGAGAAGGTTAAACCTTCAACCATCAAAACAATAATGCGAAGACAAAAGAGATCTAAAATCTAGAAATAGAAAGTCACACTATAAGCACTTTAGTTAGAAATATGGAGATAAATGCCAGAAGAAAGAGCTAAGAGTTGGAAGTGATGTTCTCCGGGGGAAAAAACTGTGGGCTCAGGGAAGTGGTAAGGAACATCTGTTTTCATTGTCTTTTAGCTCTGGCTGATATTTGAACTATGTATATGAATTTCTTTATTAAAAATAAAAAGTGACTAATGATAAATAAGTGTGAGACTGGAGGCAGGAATTCTCTCAATAGCTCACCTGGGCATGGAAGGAGACTGGGCAGTAGCTACAGAGGACTGCATAGATGAAGGAGGAATTTTGCTAAAATGAGAGAGGTCAGAGGATAGCAAGTGAAAACGAGAAGTGGAAAGACCAGAGAACAAAGAAATAACCAATGATGAGACCCTAAAGAGACAGAAAGGAAACATTATCCAGGTTGGGAAAATTTGGGAATCATATCTTCCTGTTTCCTGGGAAATCCTCTCTATGCTCATCTCCTCATTACTCGTTCTCTCTCTCAGCCCTCCAGCCTCCAATATAAATGTGCTCTTCATATCTATAACCCCATGTTTTTCCCAACAAGGAAAGTCTCACCCTTTCCTCAATATTCTGAATCTGGGGAATGAGAAATTTAAATATTTTTACACTTGATATTCTTAGACTTGTTTTCATGTCTCCGAAATTATACTCTTCCCACACTACACATGAAAGCTATTTTTCACTTCTTTCTTGAAGACATTCGAGTAAGAGCTCTGGGTACACCCTTAACGAATACCCTAAAATCTCTAGAGAGAGCTCAATTGCCACCCATCAACCAGTCCTCACTGGAAATACAATTAAAACACCAGTAGAAACTGAATAGCTTTTAAGCAGATGACCTAGATATATAGCTCACATGTAAAAAAATGATAAACACTCTTGAGGCTGTGTCCCATATCGAAACATTTCTGGAATCATGCATGTAAGCTGGACACCACCATAGTGTGCTGAAATAGTCAGCACATTATAATTATTCTCAGGCAGTGAAGACCAGGGTCTCCTCTGTAGCTGTGTAGATCGTGTCCTGCACATCCCTAGAGGGCACCAACACACTGAAGTCTGTGGAAATGGCCCACCCTTCCCACCCCAAAGTCACCCACCGTCCCAAGATTTCAGGGTGGGGCCTGAGCAGCAGCTGTACACATCAGCCATAGTGAGACCCCTTTTATTTTACTACGCAGTACGTTTCAGGACAGAGAAAATATTGCAAAGTTTTCATCCCATTCACCCCTACAAAAAGCACATTAAGTTGCATCTTAAAAGTACTGTCTTCACAAATGGAAGTTGGATTTGTGGTACATTTAGTTCACCACCTCCTATCCCCAGTGGATTTTATTTCTAATGTGTGGCTTAAAGCAAAGCTATCCAATAAATATAGAGTGGGCTCTAAAATTACAAAGAAAAACTGTCATGGTAGTTGTTCTTTATCATTTCTGAAAAGCAAATCTGTGTTGTTCTGCCAAGTTTTTTTTAGCAGTTGTACTTTGTGGGTGGCTCTATTCCAATATCTAGATGTATAAACATCCTGTACACGCACTGTTAAGCCTTCAGAGCACTCTCCTGTAGATGGTATAGACTTCCTGGAAGAAACACCATAAGCATGATGTGAGAAGGTAAAAGCAAAAGCAGCAGCAAGCGGCAATAAGATTATGATAAAAATCACTGAAGAATGGCAGGTGGAGTCAAAAGGAATGCGGTGTTTGGTTCTTCTGACACCCTCATTCGCTCAAATACAATACGTTATGGTACAGTAACACTAAATACTTCACAAATGTCAGGTACACATTAGTAAAAACAGTGAATGTCTTCATTTTTGAAAGCGTTGAATGTTCACTTTATGAAAGAGGAAAAATCTTGTAAAAAAATATGTCAGTATTCCAAATGGCAATCTCTCTTGTTCAAATTTACCCAAAATCATAAAATGTTCTTTCTCAGTCTCTCCCTCTCCTTTGACCTTGAAATCCCATTACTATGGCAGGTCTTTAACATGGCTCCTCAATTTTCTTTTTTTTCCTTTTTTATTTTTTGAGACAGAGTCTCTCTCTGTCGCCCAGGCTGGAGTGCAGTGGCATGATCTTGGCTCACTGCAACCTCTGCCTCCCAGGCTGGAGTGCAGTGGCATGATCTTGGCTCACTGCAACCTCTGCCTCCCAGGATCAAGTGATTCTCCTGCCTCAGCCTCCTGAGTAGCTGAGATTATAGGCGCCCACCCCCACACTCGGCTAATTTTTGTATTTTTAGTAGAGATGGGGTTTCACCCTGTTGGCCAGGCTGGTCTCGAACTCCTGGCCTCAAGTGATCCACCCACCTCAGCCTCCCAAAGTGCTGGGATTACAGGCATGAGCCACCATGCCTAGCTACTCAACATTTTGTAATATAATGCCGAGAACTGATGAGCAGTAGGCAACAGCGATCTGATTAAAATGAATGTGAATACTATGAGGCATCTACATCTACCACCACTATATACAATTCAAGCCCAAGTTCTGCAAGCAATAGAAAATCTGGTGTGGAAAGGAACTCAGAGAAGAGCTTCGTTATCATGAAACATGTTGAATCATGAGATAAAAATCTAATCATACATCTTTTTTTTAAAGAAGTATGCTTTTTCCCAAATATCAAGAACAGGTGCTATCCATATAATTTTGGAACACTCACAATTCAAAAATGGAAAACTAAAAATCTGTGACTTTTTGCTGTTGTATTTTTGTAAAGTTCACTCAGTTGGCTCAAAAATGTCAGCAAAGGTGCAGCCTACATGAGATCTTGTGTGCTAAGCTGTGGGTTACTAGCCTTGAACTCGTTTGTGGTTATGTGGCTATGAAACACAAAGTCCACCTTAACATGGTTAATCTCACAAATACACCTGGCATTTTGCACTCACACTCTGCTTCATGCTTATTAAAACATGCCTAAAAATGAAAGAAACTGATTCAAACAAGAGTAAAACTGACAGAAATAATCCACTTCTCCACACCACACACACACATACACACCCAAATCATGAACTGGTTTTACACTTGCAAGTCTATACTTAATTGAGAAAAATATTTGAATTCAATTAAGATATGCATGATGTCATTTTTTCCCTTGGCATTAATGTATCAGAATTTACTTTCTGCTATTTTCTATCCATCACAATCTCTGTTGAGCTATAAAAGGCCATTTGGCAGCTCTTTTCAAACTATTCCACAATTTAAATCAATTGCACACTTGAATAGAGCACGAGTCTGACATTAATGATTTTAAAATTATTGCCTAAGAAATTCTGGGAATCTTATGGAGGAGCTAAAACTTCTACAATACACACAGACACACACAAATAAGTAAAACTCTGTTCTTAGGATTCCATATTTCATTTCCATTTTATTACATGTTCACATTATTTCCTGAAATCATCTTAGAACCTTTTGTTTTTGCAAAATTTTAGAGGTCCAGGCCCTGTGATAGCTATGTGATGTTTTTTCCAGCACATAAAGCAAATTCATGATGTGAAAGAGGCAAATGACAATAGTTAAAGTATGTCTTATTTTGTAATAGGATTTTTTTAATAAAAAATTATTGTGGAACAAGGTACATTAAATTTGGCTTGCAATTAGGAAATATGGGAGCCGGACTTGAAGAGCGTGTGATTGAGTCCCCACATCTAACTGATGAGGAAACAGGCTCAGATGGGTCTATTGATGGGTCCACTTGCTAGAAGCAAAACTGGAACTAGAAACCACGCCCTGGCTTCTAGGCAGCAAGCAATAGTTTTGCTAATTTTGTTCCCCAGCATCAAAACAAATGCACAAAATGGGAAAGACAAATGGTTATTAGTTGGTTATTTTATAAACACAATATTTAAAACTTAAATTAGTACATGTAAAGAACTGGCACAAACAGATGAAGGTTCACTTTCACGGCAGCAGTAGCATCTGCACAACATACCCCCTTAGCCACTGCCCTCAGCCCTTCCCCCCTCCGAGAGAGGTGGTGCTGCTGGCTGCAGATTTCTTCAGCTCTATTTTCATAGACTGAGTCTCAGCTCGAGGCTCGAATTTGGTCAGATTTCCTGCTCCTGGGGCTGCCACTACTGGCTTTCCTGCTTTCATACCTTTTGACATAGGAATGCGGGTGGGTGTAGGCCGCTGGGATGACCCGTCTTGTCCTGACTGTAAGAGAGAAAATACGTAGATACAAGGGAGATGTTGGTGAGTTTCCTCTGGATATGCCATCAATCTGAACATTAGTGGGACTCTTGCCACACAGGAACACCCACAGAAGACCCTTCCCCAGATAAAATAATTGTGAGAAACTTGGAGTTTGTATCTAATCCACTCTGATTATCTCCCCTTCCCTTCACTTAAAACAACTTTGCTTGAAACTTCCTTCTCTTCTGAAGCACTAACTTACCTCCTCTGCCCTTACTGAAGATGGCCTTAACTCCAGTTTCACAGAGGAAATAAATATAGACCACCAGGCAAAAACTCAGGCAACTTTACTCCTACTGCTCCCTAAATTAACTCTACACTCCCTCCTTTCTTCCATTTCAGATGAAGCCACTCGCTTTTCACCTCCTAAAGACCTCAGAATCTTCGCATGTTATTGTCGCTGCTGACCACATCCTCCTTTTTAAAGTGCTCCTAACACTGTCTTGCTGTGATTTCTTAGGACAGACTCATCAATTCACCTCTCATATCTGATGACCCCTTTTCAATCTCTTGCTGGCTTCTTGTTCTCTACTCTGCCTGCCTTCTAAATGTGTCACCATGTTCCATTCTCAGCCTCCTTTTAATGTTTAATATTCACCCTGAGAATTGCCTTAGTTATTACCCCATGTGTTCAAACCCTGGGATCCCTAGGCTTCAGTGCCCTCTAGAAATGCAGATCCTTATTCCCAACTACTCACTGGACATTTCTGATGTTCCCCAGACATCTTAAATATAACATGCCCCAAACATTACTTATCCTCTCTCCTAGACAGCTAGTCCCCCTAAAGTTTCTCATCTTATTCTCCCAGACAGCCAAATCAGAAACCCAAGAGTCACCCTCTCTACTCAATTTGTCATGAAATCGTTATGATTCTGTCTTCACTATATCTCTGTCCTCATTTTCACTACCATAGTTCAAGCCTGCTCCATCATTAAGATAGAGAATTGCAACAGCATCCCTGTCCCTCCAAGTTATCCTTTAAACTGTTTTCCACACACATGTTTCTAAAACATAAACAGTATGTTTTTCTCATGATCATCACCCTTTCAGTGGCTCCCTTTATCTAATCTATAAATATCAATTTCATAATGAGACATGTATGTGCCTCCCTTCAATATCCAACCCCAGTTTGCTTCCTTATTTTCTGCCCTTGCATTTTTTGCCCCATGCGCAACTGTTAGCAGCACAATGGGACTGCTCACCATTCCCCAAGCACGCCAGGCTCCTTCACACTGTCGTGCCTTCGCACATGCTGTTCTGTCTACAAAATCCTTCTCTTTTCCTTCTTGAAAATCCCTCTTTAACTGTGAAACCTCCACTTCTGTGAAGCCTTCTCCATTGGCTCCTTTGTACATACCTCTATCATAGAACCACTAAGTAGATTCCAAACCTGTCTATTCCACTGAGTCAAGAACTTCTACAGTCCTGGCTTCCCAGCACCTAGCCCATGCCTAAAGTGTAGCTGACACTCAACAAATGTTGAATGAATAAATGTACAAATGAACTACCCTCAGTGTTTAAATTCTAAGAGGAGTATTCCAAACCTTTTGTCCTTGATTTTATGAGATCTGATATACTTAAAATAGGTGGACCATTCAGAACTTAGAAATCTTAGACAGTTGCTTTGAAATGCTACCCGTGTATGAGGTTTAATCAGTAGTCAAAAATGTCAATACAGAGGGTAGGGCTACCTTGATCTGACACTTAAAAATGGTAAGAAAATGTTACGGCAGAAAATATGCTTTAAGTTACAATGATTTATACCTCCAATATCTTTTTATAAAATGCAGCAGAAAGAAGCAAAACCCTACACAACCAAGCTATGCTCTATGTTACCTAAAAAGCAGTATCGGACCACCTGAGGACAGTGAATAATTCTGAATGCTATTTGGCTCATAAGGAGCCAATAAGTAAAAGCTTTACTGGCAAAGCAATTAGTAATTCACACTTTGGAGCCTGCCTCGAGTCTATGTTTGTGCATAGAAAATTAAAGTAAATCATATTAAGAATATAGGAAAATAAGCCACAGTTTCTATATTTAAATTATGAGCTTCCTGTCTTTCTTAAGAGGTTTCAATTTATGCTGTAGAACTTGTTCAGGGTCTAGAAATCACGATTTCTAGTCTATTAGCTTAAGTTAACATCTAAACAGTACAAGCTCTTCTATAATTACATTTGCCAATTTGCCACCAATAAATGAAGACAATCACTGGAAGTATTTTGAAAAATATAATTTATAATTTATTTATTTATTTACTTTTTTGAGACACGGTCTCACTCTGTCACCCAGGCTGGAGTGCAGTGGCATGACCGTGGCTCACTGCAACCTCCATCTCCTGGGTTCAGGTGATTCCTGTGCCTCAGCCTCCAGAGTAGCTGAGATTACAGGTGTGCACCACTACACCCAGCTACTTTTTTTTTTTTTTTTGTATCTTTAGTAGAGATGATGTTTTGCCCTGTTCCCAGGCTGGTAGAATTTAAGTTCCGGCTTTTGTGCTTTGCACATGCTTTTCAATAATCATTCATTTAGCCTTCCAGCTAGTTTGTTTGTTTGTTTGTTTGTTTGCTTGTTTGTTTGAGATGGAGTCTTGCTCTGTCACCCAGGCTGGAGTGGCATGGCACAATCTCAGCTCACCACAACCTCCGCCTCCTGGGCTCAAGTGATTCTCCTGCCTCAGCCTCCCAAGTAGCTGGGATTACAGGTATCTGCCATCATGCTCAGCTAATTTTTGTATTTTTAGTACAGACAGGGTTTCACCATATTGGCCAGGCTGGTCTTGAACTCCTGACCTCAGGTAATCCACCTGCCTCAGCCTCCCAAAGTGCTGGGATTACTGGCATGAGCCACCGCACCCAGCCCCAGCTATTTATTAAATAAATATTTATGAAGCACGTGCTGTCTGCAAGATATGATTAAATAAAATACAGTTTTTATACATGTAAACTCACTTCTCTTTCACTTTTAAAAAAGTTTTTGATATTAAAATCTTCTCATCTTATTTTGGGATAAAATATGACTGTGGCCATATATAACCACATATTGAATATTTTAGTTCATAGAAACATAACCTAGGAGCAATTTTAATTCTTCCTCCATATAGACCATTTCCCCCGTCTCCATTCAAAAAAAGTATCTTAAACATTAAAATCAAATTTTAAGCCTTCTGATTACTATATGCTACCATTTCAAAGAGGCTATCTTTGCAAGTATTTTATGGCACTCTCCATAATTTACATGAATAGGTGAAGTTTTCCCTCAAAGTTGGCCTAATTTATTAAACTATTAGGTCACTTTTTACATTCAGTTCTCAGTGTGGATGGTCCTCTGGGAAGCATCTGTTGGTGGATTCAGGTAGCATGAGAAGCATGTGGCTGGGTTTTACTGTGGGTGCTGGGTAGTCTCACTACTCACGTCTCCCTCCCTCTGCAGGCCTGCGCTTTGGAGCCTCTTCTACTCACCACTGACTGGGTTCCTCGAGCAGATGACGTTGTGACCGGTGTTATGGTGATAGTGCTCGTCACTTTGCTTGCACCAGGCCGTGAGGAGAGGTGATTCCTGGGAGAGCGAAGGACAGTGCCGGTGGAAACCTCCTTTTCGGCTGTCACGTTTACTGGTCGGACAGTAATAACTGGACTGACTCCTTCACCTGAAGTCCCAGGGGACCGTTTAAACTGAGACCCTAAGTGAATGTGAATTTTATTGTCCTCTGTGGTTATGATATTGGCATTGGAGTTGTATTTCCGTACTGGAGTTGGAACAGTCTGTTTTTCTGGGGTGACTTTGAGGATTGTCCGTCCCATGGGCATTTCCTGGGATTCGGGAGAAACTGCAATCTCAGCTGGTGCTGCTGATGTAGACACCGTCATTATCTGAATAGGGGATGTGGGCCTGTCTGCAAATGCGCCTCTTCCACTTTCTGGAGTCTTCTCTCTGGAAAATGTAGTAATTGTGACTGGGGACATGGCTCGTTCTGGGCCAAGAGTAGTATCTCCACTTTTTTGTTTTTGAGGCATAACGTTTGGTGATGGAATAATGGTTATTCTTGGTTTCTGATTCCCTAAGGTAGGAATGACAGTGGTACTAGAAAAAAATTCTTCAGATGTCGGGCTTGTTATCTCCAAAGTCGCAGTGCTGTTCTCGTGGTCTGGTGTCACTCGAATATGCAGGGGCTGGCCCTGCTTTGGTGAAAGGACTACCTCTCCTGGGTGCCCTGGACTGGAATTTGTTCGGGGCCCTTTCTCCTGAGTGATGGAGGGGCCGTTTTCCCTCTTTCTCATCCATGGAATCCAAGACTTTCTCATAGTGAGCTCATTTGCTGCTGGAGGATACCTGTCTAGAACAGAAGATCTTTCCACGGGTTTCTTCAATCCCACCTGCCGAAGATTACTCATAATATGATTTTCTTCCTGGAAGGATTTCCGTATGAATACAGCTGGCGTTTCTTCCTCTGCTGCTTCACCGCTGACTGCATCAGTTTGGACTCCAGTTGACGTCACAGGAACATCCACCATTCTTCTTCCATTCACACTGGGCCTAAGAGCTCTGCTGTAGCGCTTGGAAAGCTCCAACTCTTTGGTCAGATTGAGAACCTCCTGCCCCATGTTTTTGTTCTTATTTTCTTCTTCCATAAATCTTTGTTGAAGTACAGAATAATCTACCTGGAGCTGAGAAAGCTGATCTTCTTTGTTCATTAATTCGTGAATCTTCTCTTTAAGAGCTTGTACTTCGGCTTTTAAGTCTCGACTTTTAGCTTCTTCCAACCGAAATCTGTGTCTCAGTTCAGCTTCCTGGCTCACAACCTCACCCTTCTCTATTGCTTTATTCTTGGCAATTTGGTGCTTGATCTCCTCTAGTTGTTGAGAGAGGAAGTTAGCCTTATCCTGCTCAGTTCTAAATTTCTGTTCCAGCTGATCATACTCATCTTCTGTCTTCATCAAATCCCCTTCGACCACTTCCAATTGTTGGAGACGTTTCTTCAGTCTCTCAATTTCAAGTGTTAGTTCCTTAATCTTATTATCTTCCGGGCAGGTGAGCTCAGACCCTTTTCGTGACCTTCCTCTTGTTATTTCTCTTTCCACTTCCTCTATACCATCAAGTCTCTTCTTTAGTAAGTCAACACTGCAGCTTAATTCAGAGGATTTTTCTTCTTCACTTTTCAATTTGCCTATCAACTCATCTCTTTCTCTTGTCAAGTTGTATACTTTTTCCTCCATTTCAGATTTTAGTTTTAAAAGTTTCTTACTTTCTTCAATTAGTTTTTCAGTTACATCCATAACTTTTCCTTGTTCCACCTTAAAATTTTTATTGAGTCCATCCACTTTTCTCTCTTCTTGTTTTATTTTTTCCATCATATTTTTCCTTTCATCAACCAGCATCACGGTAAATGACTTCAACTTGGTAAGATCATCTTTTAGGCTTAATTCAGCCTTTTCCAATCTACTTTCAGAACATTCCAATTCTTTAACTCGACTCTTGACCACCTCCAATTCATTTAGCAGGTCTTTGGTTAAGTTCTTTTCTTTCTCCAGATTTAAATGTAGCTGGGTGCACTCAGATTTACTCTTGCTAAATGCTTCTTCCAATTTCTCTAGTTCAGACATTCTCTTCTGTAGCTTCTCAACTTCAAGTCTGAGCTCCTTACTATGGTGTTCTTCCTCTTGCAGCTTCTTCCTCAATTCCCTACACTGGGATTCAGTTTTAGTGATCTCCTCATCTTTACCTTCCATTTCAAGCACACGCTTTCGAAGATTTTCCACTTCTGCCATGAGGCTAGAGTTTCCACATTCTCCTTTGGCAATTTTATCTCTTAATTCTTGAAGTTCTTCCTCTGCCTTCTGCAGATTTTTGTTGGTCTCTTCTAGCTCCTCGATTCTTTGGGTTAAGCCAACCAGCTTGAGTCTAAGTTGCCTATTGTGAGACTCTTGATTAGCCAGTTTAGCGTTCATCTCTTCATGCTCTTGAGAAAACCTCGAAGCCTTGTGTTCAAAGTCCACTTCTAACTTGAGCAATTTCTGTCTGTCTTCTTTGGATTTGGAAGTAATGGCTTTGAGCTTCTCTTCTTCTTCCCTCAGCTTCTGAGTAAGATCCTGTACTTTCTGGCTTTGCAGGCCAAGTTGTTCAATGTGCATTTGTCTTTCATCCACCAGCATGAGTGCAAAGGATTTGAGTTTAACAAGCTCATCTCTTAGTTTATTGAGTCGTTTAGCATTTTCCTTTTCTTTGCGGGCTTGATAAGCCTTTTCTTGTTCAAGGAGCTTTTTTAACCTAGAAAATAAAATATACCTATATGTTAAAAGAGTAATCAGCAAACAGATTTAAGCATTGATATTAAATAAAAAACAAAAAGCCACTACAATAAATCCCTTATCAATTGCTATAATTTCAATGTTTAAAGAATAGCCATTAATGAAATGAATGGGAAGTCAAAATATTAGTTACCCTTAGGGGTAGTGGCTAGAAGGGGGCATGAGGAGGGCTTTGAGTGTAACTAGTTTCTCTTTTGTAATTTGCATGCTTGCTATACAGGATTGTTTAGCTTACCTTATGAAATTTCAGTAAGCTGAACACTTCCGAGTATCTTTCTGCATATGTATTATACTTTAATACAGTAGCCATTAAGTAAAACTTAGGTTGTGCAATAATAATGACTATTTACATAATGTCTTCTGTATCCTTGGTGTTAGCATTTACTTTATTCTCAGAGTAACCCTATGAGATATGTATTGCTACTATCATCACCATGAAAAAACATGAGATACAGGGGAATTATGTAGCCTGCTACAGATCCCAGAGTCAGTAAGTGGCAGGGCTGGGTTTCAAACTTAGCCAGGAAGCCTTCAAAATTATTGCTCTCCACCTCTGCATCATATGATTTGAGGAGATAAATTTACTTTAAATGATGGTAAAGGTTCAGAAAAGAAGCAGCTTTGGGTTTTCTTATTTTAAACCCTTGACGTAAACTACGTAACTGTCACCTGGAAGGGACAAAGTATGACTGGCTTTCTGATACAAACACTGATTTACATAAATTGATTTTAGTTCACACCAGAACTGGCACAGGATTTTTTTATTTAAACAATACTTTTTTAATCAAGAACTAGATAGCAAGAAAATCTGTATATCAATACAAAAATGTGGCAGCCACAGGAATTATTGTTTCACTTGTGTGAAATACATTTTCTCTATGGCATTTATGAATATCTGTAAAAAGTAGGAATATAAATATGCTGAAGTAGCTATTTACCATTCTTGGGTTGGTCAGTTAACTTGTACTAATTTTAATAGTTTTTTTATTTACCCATAAAACAAAATTATAATCATATTTGCCATGTTAGTGTAAGAATGCATTTTAGTAATTAATAGGTTTATAAGGGAAGCAAGTTATAAACAACCAATGACATGCACTTATTTAAGTATAATAGATTTTATTCTTTCAGTGTATTTTGCTCCTTTACTATTCTGACTGATTAATTTCATATTTATGACTAGATTAGCTGTTAGCCAAGTAAATAGAATTTAATAGTCTCTCATTGCATTGTGTAAGAAATATTTGTGTGTTTTTTTTTTACTTGTCACTGACTGAAAGCTGGTGTACAAGAAATATTTGAACATACATTAGTAAAGCACAATAGAAGCTATTAATAATTAAATACAGTGTGAGATAAGTATTACAGAAATGGCTCTGATCATGTCGTTAAGATTTTTTCATAGAATTTACTTTTATAAAGCATGATTGTGTCTCAGCATCTCTAAACTAATGCATACCCTCCAAAAATCATTATGACTTTATTCCTAAAATAGGAGGAAAATATGATCTTCAAGTCCTACTGATTTGCCTAATACTGTAACAGCATCACTAAATGTGGTCCTTACATGTAGAAAACAGCATTTTATTGACCATGTTCTCTTTTTACTAAAAGTTGAAACAAGTGAAATAATGTCATAGAACCATAGATTAGGGGAGAAACTTTTCAGGATATTTTCAACATAAAATACCATTTTCAAATTCCTTGCCCTTAACTGGACTGTTAGAGATTAATTTATTGAAAACGTTACTGCTTCCAATTCTAAGCTTAACATGTTAAAGCTTCTAAAAATATATTTTTAGGAATACTATGCCTCTATACTGTTAGAGGCAGTGGATTGGAGTGACTACAACATAGGTTTTGGAGTCAGACAATCAAATCTGAATTCTGACTCTGTCACTTTCTAACTGTGTAATCTCTGGCCAATCACTGAAACTCTCTGATTCTCAATTTTTTCACCAGTAGAGGAAAGAGGGAGGGATATTAACCCATTTATGCTGGAGGTTGCAATTTTTTGTGTGTGAAAAATCAGACCTTGGTGATGACCTTGAGAAGCAGGATATAAATAAATCCCACAAGCTTAGCGTTCCAATAATGGAACACTAATACCAACCATATAGAATTGTTGTGAAGATTAATTGAAATAGTAGAAGTAAAGTGACAGATACATAGACTCAATACATGAATGTAATAAAGCACAAAAAGATAAGAACTATTGTATATGCTATTGGCTTCATCTGGAAAGACTGTCAGTGCTTTCTATATTTAACCAATAAATATTTTTGTCATTATCCTGTCTTTGATAGTAAAACTTGGGGCACTAATGTTTCAGCCAGAGAAAAGCAGAAGGCATTCCAATCAGTGGGAAATTCCATGAGCTAGAGCGTGATCTCAGCAGGAATTTGGCTTCCAGGAAACCACATTTTTCACGTTCTCCTAGCTGTGATTATTTCTGTTTTTCTAACCCCATTAGCTTACTCTCCCTCCTATTCTCTTTCACCACATCTTAAACCATGCCCATCTCATAGTTAAAGTGGCTCTACAGAAATACCAGGCTCATTCTCTGTGTGCTCCCAAAACCCAGTTTCCCAGTTGGTACAGCTGAGGGTCAGATCCAGGATCAAGGTAAAGTTGCTCAGCTCATTTTGGAAGGCCTGCCAATGCCTTCTGCACAAATAGACCTGCAATCAAACTTCTTACAGGCAAGACATTGGGGATGGGAATGATGGGATTCAATACCTGACCTCCTTGATAAGTTCATGTCCAGTCAGTCTCTCCCGTTATCTAACATTCCTTGCAAATGCTGTGTCCTCTGCTTAGTATTTCCTCCCTGCTCCTTTTTTTTTCATCCTGTCACACGTCACACTCAACTGAATGTTCCTGGATAGCTTTTCATCCTCCAAGTTTCACTTCAATGTCACTTCTTCAAACCCAATTAAGTCAGAACTTCTTATAGACTCCTATAATATCAATTATTATACAGTCTTTTTTTTTTTTTTTTTTTTTTTTAGAGACGAGATCTTGTTCTGTCACCCAGGTTGAAGTGCTGTGGCATGATTATAGTTCACCGCAGCCTCAACGTTTTGTGCTCAAACTATCCTTCGACCTCAGCCTCCCAAATGGCTGGGACTACAGGCACATAGCACATGCCTGGCTAAGATTTTTATTTTTTGTAGAGACAGAGTCGCCCCGATGTCACCTAGGCTGGTATTGAACTGCTGGTGTCAAGTGATCCTCCTGCCTCAGTCTCCCAAAATGCTGGGATTACAGGTGTGAGCCATCATGCCTGGCCCAGTTTTCTTTTATAACACTTAATCAACATATATTTTTTTCTAATAAAAAAGTTATATTTACTTAGAAGCATTCAGAATGTCAACAAAACTGCTGCAACTTTTTTCTTTGCAATTACAGAGTGGTATTCAGTTAACAGAACAACAATTATTTCGTATAAGCTGCATCAGAGACAACTGAAAAAGAAAAAACTACCATCCCCATATATAATTAATTTGTGCTGTGCACCAACAAGAACCTGCTTTAAATCTATGCCAATTAACAACCTCCATACTGTCCCAGGCAAGGTTACTGGCTATTGAAAATACTACCAGGACAGGACTATCTAAAGACACACTCTGTAGAGTGTTAACTATACAAAAAAAAAAGACACTGTACAGTTTAAAAAATCTTACACAGCTTTACATTTCAATTTTTTTCTTTAAAAAGAGTGAGTTGTGTACAGGGAGGTTAAATGCTTTATAGACATGAAAAAAAACTGTGCTAGAACCAACTTATTCATCATCGTCATCTTCTTCATCTTCATCTTCTTCACCTTCTTCCTCCTCTTCATCCTCTTCATCTTCCTCCTCTTCCTTCTTTTTCTTGCTTTTTTCAGACTTGACAATTCCCTTTTATGCTGCATCAGGCTTTCCTTTAGCTTGATATGCAGCAATATCCTTTTCTTGTTTTTCCTTCAGCTTCGCAGCCTTCTTTTCATAAGGCTGCTTGTCATCTGCAACAGTATTATTTCACACCTGTCCCAGTTTCTTCCAGCATCACCAATGGGCAGGCCAGGATGTTCTTCTTTGATTTTTGGGCGATACTCAGAGCAGAACATGAAAAAGGCCGAAGGAGAGCTCTTGGGTGCCCTGGAGTCCTTGAACTTCTTTTTTGTCTCCCCTTTAGGAGGGCTATAGATTTCATTTCTCTTTCATAATGGGCCTTGTCCGCCTTTGCCATATCTTCAAATTTTCCTTTCTCTTCAGCAGACATGGTCTTCTACCTCTCTGAGCACTTCTTAGAAAACTCTGAGGCCGGGCCCGGTGGCTCACGCCTGTAATCCCAGCACTTTGGGAGGCCGAGGCTGGCGGATCACAAGGTCAGGAGATCGAGACCATCCTGGCTAACACGGTGAAACCCTGTCTCTACTAAAAATACAAAAAATTAGCCGGGCGTAGCGGCGGGCGCCTGTAGTCCCAGCTACTGCGGAGGCTGAGGCAGGATAATTGTGTGAACCCGGGGGGCGGAGCTTGCAGTGAGCTGAGATTGTGCCACTGCACTCCAGCCTGGGCAACAGAGCAAGACTCCGTCCCCCAAAAAAAAAAAGAAAAGAAAAGAAAACTCTGAGAAGTTGACTGAAGCACCTGGGTGCTTCTTCTTATGCTCCTCCTCCGGACAAGTTTGCACAAAGAATGCATATCATGACATTTTGCCTCTCAGCTTCTTAGGATCTCCATTGCCCATGTTTAGTTATTTTTCTTCAGCAAGGCAGAGTCGCCCAGTGCCGGTCCGGCTCTCATTTGCCCCGGTGCTGTCTCTATGGAGCTCAGTTACTGCAATGGCTGTCCCAACTTATAATTTTTTTAATGTCTGCCTACCTCTGTTAATGCAAATTCCATGAGGGTAGCTGCCATGTTTGTCTTGTTTGCCCCCTTGCGTAATGCCTGACACATAGGATGTGCTCAAGAAATATTGACTGAATGCATAAACAAGAGAAAGAATGAAGATATAAACTTGAATTAGAAACATAAATCTGTAGGCTGGGAGCGGTGGCTCAAGCCTGTAATCCCAGCACTTTGGGAGGCCGAGGCAGGCAAATCGCTTGAGTCTGGGAGTTAGAGACCAGCCTGGGCAACATGGCAAAACCTCATCTCTACAAAAACAAAACAAAACAAAGCAAAAAAACAAAAATTAGCTGTGTGTGGTGGCATGTGCCTGTAATCCCAGCTACTCAGGAGGCTGAGGTGGGAGGATCACCTGAGCCCGGGAGGCAGAGGTTGCAGTGAGCCGAGATCACATCACTGCACTCCATCCCGGGCAAAAGAACAAGACCCTATCTCAAAAAAAAGAAAAAAAGAAAACAAATATAGATCTGGAAATTACCTAAATAGAGATGTATTAACTAAAGTTCTCCACGATGCTGAGTGAGTATACATTTTTGTTAAACAGATATTGCAGTTGTTATTAGGCCAGCAATTTTATATTAATAGTGGTTATTAGATGAGTTCCTCTGTCTAATGAGCAATGGCCTCCCTTGAAGAACGTGTCCATTTTAATTGTTAGCCTATTAGAAAAGAAATGTGTCTCTCAACTGAGAAACCTCAAATGAGGGAGGGAGCCTTCTCTATATGGGCTGAGCAAGATATCCCTTACTATCTGTCTACCTGTAGCACTGGAGGCTGAACAACCTCTATTTAACCTATAAAACAGCTATGGGAGTATTAGAACAGGCTGAATTAAGGCTTTTTTTCTCTCATAGGTTTTTGTGTCACTAGTTTGTCTTAGTTCTTCTTCCTCCTCCTCCTTCTCCTCCTCTTCCTCTTCTACTTCCTCCTTCTCCCTCTCCTTCTTCTTCAAGATGGCATCTTACTATGTTGTTCAGGCTGGTCTCAAACTCCTGACCTCAAGCAATCCTCCCATCTTGGCCTCCCAAAGTGTTGGGATTACAATTGTGAGTCATTGTGCCCAGACTGTTGTCGTTTTTTTGTTTTGTTTTGTTTTTTGTTTTGTTTTTTTAAAGGAAAGGGATTTTCACCCACAGTTGGATCAAAATCTAATGTGGAGCAGTACACCCTTGGGTCTATTGGGAAGAACAGTGGTAATTAAGGTGACAGAACTCCTAGGAGGAAAGAAAATCAGAGGGAAACATGCGATCATTTTGTCAGCCATCCCACCCTACATAGAAATTTTCACAGTGCTAAAAAGCTTAGTAATTGTTAGATTTTTATTTCCATAATGGAGGTGATATTTCCTTAGACATAGAAATGAATGTGATCGGCCGGGCGCGGTGGCTCACGCCTGTAATCCCAGCACTTTGGGAGGCCGAGGCGGGTGGATCATGAGGTCAGGAGATCGAGACCATCCTGGCTAAAACGGTGAAACCCCGTCTCTACTAAAAATACAAAAAATTAGCCGGGCGCGGTGGCGGGCGCCTGTAGTCCCAGCTACTCGGGAGGCTGAGGCAGGAGAATGGCGTGAACCCGGGAAGCGGAGCTTGCAGTGAGCCGAGATTGCGCCACTGCAGTCCGCAGTCCGACCTGGGCGACAGAGCGAGACTCCGTCTCAAAAAAAAAAAAAAAGAAATGAATGTGATCTCCAAAGTAGAACATATCTAAAGAGAGAAAAAGGATAGGATGGAGAAAAAACTTTGGGAAATGCCCAAAAATGAGAGATAAAAAGAATTAGAAGGACCTATGGAAGGCCTGTGCAGAGAGAGAAGAGGAGAAACAGATACAGAGAAAGAGGGAGCCATGGAGAAACACAGGAGCACCCAAGGAAGAGGGTTTTGGGAAGGCAGGAACAGGCTTGTGTCTCACTTTATCCACCTCCCCAGTCGATTCAGCATTCCACTTGCAGATGTTTTTTTCTCTTCCCTCATATTTAGAAATCCTCATTTTACATTAAACAAGCATTCGGCATTCAGAAATATAGCATGTATCTATTCACAAAACATAATGCCTATGGCATATTACATCTCTTTTTTTTTCAACAATTTCCTAATAGTTACAATTTCATTTTACACTTCAAACAATTAATTTGCTCTACATTACTGGGCACCATTTCCGTGTAATTATGCTATTTAAGAAGCAGAATAAGAGATTTAAGTTTTGCTTGTGCCAACTAGTCTTACCACCTCCTCTCCATTCTCTTCTCCGCTCACCTTCCCATTCTTCAACTATGCCTTGATTCTAAATATATTAGCATGAAAAGGAAACAAACCAGAAGACTAAGACTAAAAAAATAAATTAGTACCCTGATTCCCATCAGCAGTCACAGGTAGAGCCCTAAGTATCCTAAAATCAAACTTTTTCTTGGCAAATTTTAAATTTTCTGCAAGCATTTAGTCCTCTTTAGAGAACAAAGACAAGTAAATGAATTAATAGGTATTTTAAATTGTTATTGCCTTTCTTAATAACTATTCTTAAATGTATTCTTAATTTCTTATTTCATACTGAATAAAATTATACTTTTTTTTGAGACAGAGTCTCAATCTGTCACTCAGGCTGAAGTGCAGTGGTGCCATCTTGGCTCACTGTAACCTCAGCCTCCCGGGTTAAAATGATTCTCCCACCTCAGCCTCCTGAGTAGCTGGGACTACAGGCATGTGCTACCACACCTGGCTAATTTTTGTATTTTCAGTAGAGACGGGGTTTTACCATCTCGGCCAGGCTGGTCTAAAACTCCTGACCTCAGATGATCCACCCACCTCGGCCTCCCAAAGTGCTGGGATTACAAGCATGAGCCACTATGGCCAGCCAAAATTATACTTTTTAACTTGCAAATTGATCACTTATCAGCATGTTCAGAAATTTAATTATTTTCAACTAGAAGACTTTAAAAGTGTGGGCCCAGAAGTTTTTCCTTTTTTATTTTTATTTTTTGCCATTTAGAAAACTCTTTATTAATGTGATTTTTTTTACATTTAATTAAATAATGGCAATTGGATTAAAAACCCAGGTAAATGAGTGGCATAGTAGTTCCATTCTGAGCTCCAAATGTGAGTTTAGAATTTAATAGCTCAACTTTATATTCCCAAACATTCTATGATTGTTGATGGTGCATACATTTGTCAAGATTCATCAAATTATGTAATTAAAATTGGTGAATTTTACTGTATGTAAATTATATCTCAATTAAAAACCAGAAAAAAGAAATTAAAACCCTGGAAAGTGTTCCGAGATGTCAGATAAAGGGAGAAAGATTGTAAACAAATATTACTAGCGAGTGACTTAAAATATGATAGAAAACATAAAATTGGTTATTAATCTTAAGGCAGAAAGAGGTGGAAGCACAGGTGGGGAAGGTAAAGAGAAGGGAGCTGACATTTCAGGTGGTGTTAGAGGGGCTGACAAGAAAACTTTTTCTGGTGAGGTAATGTTTCAGGTCCTAGACAATCTCTAGTCCTAATATTACTTCAAGAGGCTCTTAAAAGCCCACCCTGCCAGAGCAATCAGTCAAGAAAAAGAAATAAGGGGCATGCAAACTGGTAGAAAGGAAGTGACATGGTTTGGCTCTGTGTCCCCACCCAAATCTCATCTCAATTATAATCCCCATATGTCAAGAGATGGACCTGTTGGTAGGTGATTGGATAGGGGTGGTTCCCCCCACGCTGTTATAATAGTGAGGGAGTTTTCATGAGGCCTGATGGTTTTAAAAGTGGCAGTTTCCTCTGCACTCTCTTTCCTGCTGCCTTGTGAAGAAGGTACTTAACTTCTCTTTTGCCTTTCACCATGATTATAAGTTTCCTGAGGCCTCCCCAGGCCTGCAGAACTGTGAGTAAATTAAACCTCTTTTATTTATAAATCACTCAGTCTTAGGTGGTGTCTTTGTAGCAGTGTGAAAATGGACTAATACAGGAAGTCAAACTGTCAGTGTTTGCCAGTGATATGATCCTATACCTAGAAAATCCTAAAGACTCATCCAGAAAGCTTCTAGATCTGATTAATGAATTCAGTAAAGTCTCAGGATACAAAATCACTATACACAAATCAGTAGCACTGCTATACACCAACAGTGACCAAACTGAGAATCAAATCAAGAACTCAATCCCTTTTACAACAGCTGCAAAAAAATAAAAATAAAATAAAGCACTTAGAAATATACCTAACCAAAAAAAAAAAAAAAGGAAAGAAATATACCTAACCAAGGAGATAAAAGATCTCTACAAGGAAAACTACAAAACACTGCTGAAAGAAATCACAGATGATACAAACAAATGGAAGCACACCCCATGCTCAGGGACGGGTAGAATCAATATTGTGAAAATAACCATACTGCCAAAGGCACTCTACAGATTCAATGCATTTCCCATCAAAATGTCATCATCATTCTTCACAGAACTAGAAAAAACAATCCTAAAATTTATATGGAACCAAAAAAGAGCCCACATAGCCAAAGCAACACTAAGCGAAAAAACAAATCTAGAGGCATCAATTACCTGATTTCAAACTATGCTAGAAGGCCATATTCACCAAAACAGCATTGTACTGGTATAAAAATAAGCATGTAGACCAATGGAACAGAATAGAGAACCTGGAAATAAAGCCAAGTACTTACAGCCAACTGATCTTCAACAAGGCGAACAAAAGCATAAAGTGGGGAAAGTATACCCTGTTCAACAGACGGTGCTGGGATAATTGGCAAGCCGCATGTAGAAGAATGAAACTTGATCCTCATCTCACCTTATACAAAAATCAACTCAAGATGGATCAAAGACTTAAATGTAAGACCTGAAACCATAAAATCTCTAGAAGATAACATTGGAAAAACTCTTCTAGACATTGGCTTAGGCAAAGAGTTTATAATCAAGAACCCAAAAGCAAATGCAACAAAAACAAAAATAAATAGATGGAACCTAACTAAACTAAAAAGCTTCTGTACAGCAAAAGAAGTAATCAGACTGGGCATGGTGGTGCATGCCTATAATCCCAGTACTTTGGGAGGCCGAGGCCAAGGCAGGTGGATCAACTGAGGTCAGGAGTTCGAGACCAGCCTGGGCAATACGGTGAAGCCCTATCTCTACTAAAAATATAAAAATTATCTGGGTGTGGTGGCACACACCTGTAGCCCCAGCTACTTGGGTGGCTGAGGCAGGAGAATTGCTTGAATCTGGGAGGTGGAGGCTGCAGTAAGCCGAGATTGCGCCACTGCACTCCAGCCTGGGTGACAGAGCGAGACTCTGTCTCAAAAAACAAAACAAAACAAAACAGCAGAGTAAACATCCCACAGAGTGGGAGAAAATATTTGCAAACTCTGCATCTGACAAAGGACTAATATCCAGAATTTATAAGGAATTTAAATCAGCAAGAAAAAACAAATAATCCCATCAAAAAGTGGGCAAAGGACATGAATAGACAATTCTCAAAAGATGATATACCAACAGCCAACAAACATTTGGAAAAAATGCTCAACACCACTACTTATCAGGAAAATGCAAAATCAAAGCCACAATGAGATACCATCTTGCTCCTGCAAGAATTACCATAATTAAAAAATAAAAAAAAATAGATGTTGGCATGGATGTGGTGAAAAGGGATCACATCATGTGTGAACACTTTTTTACACTGCTGGTGGGAATGTAAACTAGTACAACCACTATGGAAAACATTATGAAGCTTCCTTAAAGAACTAAAAGTAGAACCACCATTTGATCCAGCAATTCCACTATTGGGGATCTACCCAGGGGAAAAGAAGTCACTATATGAAAAAGACACTTGCACATGCATATTTTAGCAGTGTAACTCGCAACTGCAAAAATATGAAACCAGCCTGAATGCCCATCAACCAACGAGTGGATAAAAGGTGAGATATAGATAATAGACAGATGATAGATGATAGATAGATAGATAGATAGATAGATTAGATAGATAGATAGAGAGATAGATAGATATACACACACACACACACACACATCATGAAATACTACTCAGCCATAAAAAGGAACAAAATAATGGCATTCACAGCAACCTGGATGGAGTTGGAAACCATTATTCTAAGTGAAGTAATTAAGGAATAGAAAACCAAATATCATATGTTCTCACTTATAAGTGAGATCTAAGCTATGAGGACGCAAAGGCATAAGAATGATACAATGGACTTTGGGGACTCAGGGAAGTGGGGTAGAGGGGTAAAAGATAAAAGACTACACATTGAGTTCAGCGTACACTGCTCGGATGATGGGTGCACCAAAATCTCAGAAATCACCACTAAATAGCTATCCCTAAAGAACATATCCCTGAACAAAAAACCACCTGTTCCCCAAAAACTATTAAAATAAAATAAAGCTTAAATAAAGCCCACCCCAACTCCAATATTTGCTAATACCTAATTTTGACAACATATGAAATAAAAGGAAAGGTCTCCTAGGTAGTGTGAGAGCTTTATTATTTCATTTAATTTTCATTCCCTTTGAGCAAGGCAATACTATACCATTTTATAAATAAGGTAAATCATTATTTAACTTAAGAGAACATGACTAAGAAGGTTGGGATTTTGAATCAGATCTATTTGCACAAACACTGTGCTTTCATAACAATGCTATTGCTCAAATGGATATTGCCTGGACAGCTCAGGTTTGCCAGACTCTGTTTAGGTTAACTTCATCTTGCTTGATTCAGTTTATCTTAGAATTGTCAAGATGCCCCTTGGACTCTATTTTGTCACCCAGAATAACAGCTTATACCTAGCATTGTGTCAATGGCAAGATGACCCCAATTATTAATTAAATAGGTCAATGCACAGAGCCTTTCAAAGCACTCTCCAGATCTCCCTCCTGCTGACATCAATCCATTCAGTAGCGTGGACATTGTCATTCAATTAGCTGTGAGCCCACTGAGCTGTTCATTCTTTATCTCTTCTGAGCTCCCAATCTTCCCCATGAATCTGTTCCAACCACATCTTCCTCAAATCAGTCACCTACACCCGCTTCTTCCAGATGCTTAGGACTGAAATTTAGAGCCATCTTGAGTAACATCCCTGCATTCAATTCATCAGCAAATCTTGTCAATTCTGCTTTCAAAATATATCCTGAATCCAGTTACTTCTCACTTCCTCCATTGCTATCCCCCTGGCCCAAGCCACCATCATCTCTTATCTGGATTATTGCAAGAGCCACCCAGTCTGACTCCCAACTTCCACTCTTGTCCACCCACAGTCTGTTCTCTTCCCAGAAGCCGGAATGATCCTAAAAGAGGGTAAATCAGATCATGTCACTCTGCTTGTAAAAGGAAGGAGAAACGGGAAAGTGAACACAGGAAACAGGTAGGGCAGGATCAGTATTTTAAGATTTTTTTGTGTGTGAATATATATATATGAATATATATATATAAGTATATATGCATATATATAAATATAAAATAAAAAGGTCAATGCACAGAGCCTTTCAAAACACTCTCCAGATCTCCCTCATATATATTTAAGAAACTAGTTTGTTTTTCCTATATAAACATTAAGAGATATATATTAACGTTTCTTCTTAATTTAAAACTTTGTTTTTCCTTATTCTTTATAAATTAATAAATGAAAACATGCTACTATTGATAAATAAAGAGGTAACTATAGAATACCACCATTTTGAAATAATGGATGTAGGTAATGCTCATCAGTGTTTCTCAAAAAGAGACAGCCAGACATTATATACAAACCTCCACCCACGAAAGATTCTCTTAACAAAAAAAACCCTGAACCTGAATCAAATCAAGCTCCTATAACTACTAATTACTAGTTTAAAGGAAAGATAGGAGCAAGGAACTGCTAAATGACCTCATGATGATGCAATCAGAAAAATCCAAAATGTGGGCAACTACATAGGATAAACAAACTAGTTTCTTCAATCAATAAATTGCAAGATAAAATGGGAGCAGAAAGGGGAACCTATGGATTTTTTTAAAATTTAGAAGACATATCAACCAATTGTAACCTTTTGGATTCTTATTCAAACTGCTTTTTTAAATGAGATAATTGGAAAAATTATATTGTTGAGAAATAATTATTAAGTTTTAGGTTAGATAATGGATTATGGCAAGAGTCCTTTATTTTTAAGTCCTTATTTTTTAGAAGTACATATTGAAATATTTGTGAATGAAATTATGTATCTGAAATTTATATCAAAATAATTCAGGGGGGTGAAAAATAGATGAAACCAGACTGGTCATAAGTTAATTAATTGTTGAAGATTATTGATGGGTACATGGGTGTTCATTATACTGTTCTCTTTACTTTTGTAAATGTTTGAAATTTTCTGTAATAATGTTTTTGTTTGTTTGTTTGTTTCTTTTGAGATGGAGTCTCACTCTGTCACCCAGGCTGGAGTGCAGTGACATGATCTCACTGCAACTTCGGCCTCCCGGGTTTAAGCAATTCTCCTGCCTCAGCCTCATGAGTAGCTGGGATTACAGGCATGCACCACCACGCCTGGCTAATTTTTGTATTTTTAGTAGAGATGGGGTTTCACATGTTTGCCAGGCTGGTCTCAAACTCCTGGCCTCAAGTGAGCCACCCACCTCAGCCTCCCAAAGTACTGGGATTACAGGCATGAGCCACCGTGCCCAGCTAATAATGTTTTTTTAAAAAATCTCCTTTGTAATATTTAGCTCGCCCCTCTCACCTCCAGTCTCAGCTCCCTTGGCCTTTGGTTGTATTTTCACTTTCCTCACAGTGCCATGGAACTTTCACATCTGTCTGTGACTGTGGGTGATTCTCTTATTCCCTTCCATGTTTATATAATTTAGTTTGTTAGACTTTTACTTTTCTTCCTTATTGGAATCCATTTGATACTTAGTCAAACTTATGCCAGATAAAGTATTCTCAGTCTGTCCTATTCCACAGATACTTGTTAATTTATCTTTCTTCTTATGGTCTAAGGACAAACTGTTTGGGAGAAGGAAATGGGAAGTGAGAATTTTTTTAAAGCTTATCCTAATTATCCATTCTTGTGATAACCACCATCCTTGGAACACTTGTCAATCTGTGCTCCTAAATATTTAAGGGGACATCTGCCTGTATTCATTCTTACCTCTCTTTCTTGGAATAAAGTGGTGTAAGATTTCAGGGCTCCTTTTGCCCAACATTCTTGACACTCCCACTTTTCAACCACATTTCCAAATTTATCAGCATTAGCTCCAGAGCATCAGTTGTCTCTTTGACTCCTTAAGATTTTGTCACTTGTCCTCATCTTAATCCATCGGACCCCGTTTTGCAACACAAATGTCACCAAAAAGTCATCCTAAGCTTGTTTCTTAGCCAGACCATGTTAATTTCCTTCTCAGAACACTATTTTTGCTTTTCTTCAACTCTCCCCTTGGGTACGCCTCTCTGTCTTCCAAGACAGAGGGCAGGTTAAAACTCATAAGGGCATGATAGTAATTAAAGATGAATGAACCTCAAAAGAGTCAAGCTTACATGTAGTTTGAAGTCTTTAGTCACAATGTGTTTTTTCCCAACTAGAGTACAGTATAGAGCTAAGCACCTTGTTAAAATAATAGGGCATGGTTTAACCAAATAACTCAGAAAGGGCATTACTTTTTAATTTTTTAAATTTTTAATCTTTAATTTTTGTGGGTACATAGTAGGTATATACACTTATGGGGTATATGGGATATTTTGATACAGTCATACAATGTGTAGTAATCACATCAGGGTACATGAGGTATCCATGACCTCAAGCATATCCTTTGTGTTACCAATGATCCAATTATAGAATGTTACTTCTGAATAAATTACCTCATTTCCTCAATATGGTGATTATTATTATAGTTATCCAGAATTAAGGTAATGGCCCTAATATACTGTGCAGGGCTGGGATGAGAGAGAAGTGGATGAGGGTTGGGTTGTACAACTGCAGAGTCAGAGCCCGTCTTCACTTGAAATTTTGATATTTTCTTCATCGTGGATTTTTTGCATTAATTTTGATACTTTTTAAATAGTTCATTAAAATATAGTATATCTTGATTACTGAGTTTTTTGGCATCACCTTAAATTTTGCACCCAAGGTGAGAGCCTCACTTGCCTCACCCTAGTTCCAACTCTGATTTCTGAGTGCCAGAGAATCATTTTTTATAAAGAGATAAATGGTGAATCCTTCCCAATAGGACAAAAACTTTTGAGCTTTGTTTTTGTTTTGTATTTCTTAGCAGTGAAGATGAGTTTACAAAAGCCCTCGTACACTTTTTTTCTCCTCTTGTCTTATAAAGACCAGCAACGTTTTGGAGCCTGTGATCTCAAATTTTTGACCCTAGCCCAGTGCAGGAAGGCCTATTTCACATAGTCCCACTCTAAAAAAGAACTTGGTGATAAAAAAAATTGAAAGAGAAGAGAAAAAATCTGTAGACCTGTTGCTAGCAGCTTTTGTGAACTGCTTTTTCTTCATAAGAGAAGATCCTGTAGTTATATTTATGATTTTAAGCTATAAAACTATTATACATCCTATAAATTTTTAAAAAATCCAGTAATTTAATTACATTTCCTTTGCTAGTATAATTCAAGTAATTCAAATGGCAAACATACAAAGCTCAGGCAAATTATCATAAATGAAGTTTTATTTTTCATCAGATTTCGAGGGGGTTATGTATAATTCTGCTCTAGAATAGGAATATTGATGATGGGCCTTGGAACTAGTTGTTGAAAATTATAAACTAAGGACCTGCATTATGGACTCTCTGTGGGTTAGCCCAACAACCCACAACAAACTAAACTGATTGTGAAGTTTAATCCGTAGTAATTTACCTTTAAAACCCATAGATGGCAAGAACTGAAAACCATGAAAAGTTCATGACTAATAACAAATTATACGTCTTGGAGATGATTACATTTCTTACTATCAGGTAAGCAGAAACTTGTAGGTATTTGCAAACTAGGTAGCAGCTAGACTATATTGTAAAATACTGATTTAGTCTTCAAGAAAATCTGGTAACATGCTAATTTAAATTTATAAATGCTATATATGTTGTAAAATAAATTGCTCAATACGTAACTAGTAAATACCACTTAGTCACAATAAAAATTAAAGTCTAGGGAATTGTTAGTTGTTTGCTCATATGAGCCACAGAAATGGCTGGTATTTTCTGATAATTTGCTGACCATCCAGGAGGCCCATATTTGAGATTCACTGAGAGGGAACTCTCTGATTACACACTCTAGTATGAAGCTCCCTGACTCATATAGAATATAACCATGATTCATTAATTAACTCACTAATTCAACAAAGATGGGCAGAATGTCTCCTCCCCGTTGTCAGTGTATTAGGGGATAGGAATAAAAATATATATATTGCAAGGCTATGTTAAATGCCATTTATCCTTTAAATATAGGCTACTTGGGGACACCCAAGGATGGGGACATGGATGGAGGAAGTAGTTGTTCAGGGCTTTTGCAGTTGTCGGCCTTCCCAATACCCTTCTCCTGTTGTCAGGCGTATAACCCATGTGGCATATTTGTCAGAACTGGAAAGATCTCCTTCCTTTCTATGGAATCAGTGCCATGCTGCGACTCTATTTCAGCTCCCATTCCTTCACTAGTCAGGCACCCTTGTACACTACACCTTGTAAGCTACAACCTGCACGACTGCAGTGAATTGAAGGTTTATATCCCCTCACATTCCAAAATTTGTATATTAAAACCCTAACCCCCCATGCGCTGGTATTAAGAGTTGTGGCCTTTGATTGGTGATTAGGTCAGAAAGGTGGAGCCCTCATGAATGGGATTACTACCTTTAGAAAAGGGATCCCAGAGGGCTCTCACACATGAGGATATAAGGAAAAGACAGAAGTCTGCAACCAGGAAGAGGACCCACACCAGAACTTGACTGTGCTGGCACCCTGATCTCGAACTCTCAGCCTCCAGAACTGTGAGAAAAAAAGATTTTGTTGTTTATCAGCCACCCAGCCTATGGTACTTTGTTATAGCAGCCTGAATGAACCAAGACAGCAGTTCACAGTAGTCTCATGGGCTCTTCTTTCTCAACCTTAAGGTTTCTGTTCTTATGTCCTCTCCCCAAAGAGGACAACAATATGCCTTTTATTGTGTTTTCCTATTTTCTATGTTTCAAAGTACTTTTCAAACACCCACTCCAATTGGTCAGATGAAATACTTTTAAAATAAGAAAAAGCAGGTACTATTCTTTCTTTTTGATAATGTGTATAATCAGCCAGGTGAATGAATTTACCTAATAATTTTCACTAGGAACAGGAAAAGCCATGAACCATACAAGTTTGTCACTTAAATGTGTGACCTTGGGCTCTCCCTTCCAGGTGGCCCCTTCACCTTCTCTCCCCAACTCAAAGAGGCCTTCCGTATCCCATTCTTAAGGAATGTATTGCCCAGTTCATCACACCTAATTATGGGATGCTATATTTAGGAAATGCATATTGCCACAGGAAATTCTCTCCCTTGGAAAATAAGTTAAATGGAAGGATTCCCTGGGGGAAGCAGGGAGGATATTAGAAGCAGGTAGGTTTTTCAGTCCCTGAATTCACAGTATGAGGGTCTCCCATGTGTGAGGGTCTCCTTCCACATACACCTCCCACAGTGTGAGGAGCCTTTCCCCCATGGAAGGCACTTGTGGTCACACAGAACATAACAGGAGGAGCTGGCAGCATGAATGAGGTTTTCTGAGACTAGTCAAAGAAGTTGGAGACAATCCATAAAGGTACCATACACCTCATTTTACTCCACACACACTTTTATACAGTGCTGGGCAAAGTCATGGTTTTAAGCTTATACAGTATGGGAGCTCACAACATAAAAGTATTTTACTGTAAAGCTCTTAATTAAGATACTACTAATCTAATTTGTCTCTTGGGTAAATCCATTTTCACAAATAAAATTTGTTTAAAATAACTTAGACATAACTTAGGTAGCAAATTAATTTAAGTATATACATCACTTATTGGTGTGTTTTCATTTACTTACTCAGAAAAGTAAACCTCTCCCTTTTTACAATGGCAGTTGGGTTTATTGCCATGACATTTAAAGGTCTTTTAAAAAGTTTTAAATATAAGCTTATGTAAAATTTTGCTAAATTTTTTTTGAATTATTATGTTAACATTTATTTAATAATTATCTCACCCAGTTTTGGAAAACCTTTAAAACTAATTCAAAAAACTAAATGTTGAAACAATAAACAAAACTCCAAAACCTCAGACTTAATTTTGTATTGATCTTGACTATTGTTAATCTAGAAAAAAGACAAATGTGAGCATCCTTCTGTGGTGGAAAGGATACTTAATTTTACAAGTAAACAGAAGTTCATCCAGTCACATGGAATTAAGAATCCAGGAAGATCAATGTAGTGAACCCAAGATTTTCATCATAGTTGAACTCAAGATATTCATCACTTTAAACACAGAGACAAAACAGTATTAACAACCAATGTTACACAAATTAAATCTACACAAATGAAAACCATACCATCTGCCCCCATTTCAAATTTCTATAAAACGGGTCATGTGAATCTAAAATCACACTATAAAAATTTGGTTTTGGCCAAATGAAGTTCTTTTGTGAAGGACTCACAGATCTTTCAGCCCTACTGAGCACTAAATCAAGCTATTTATTTTTATACACTCTGCTGAATTTAGACAATGTTTTTTGGCATTTTGAAAAATTACTAAAGTTCAAGTTTTTACACAATTGTTTAACATAATCCAAACTTTACTCTCATTCCCACTTTGAAATCAAACCTCCTATTTACTTTATTATTCTTGTTATCACAGCCACACTGAGTGTTTCAGAACAAACACGGCTTTCTTTGGATCGCTATGCATTCTAATTCATTGCCAACTTTTACAAGCCTTTTCCACACATGCAAAGAGAGAGCTGCAGAAAATCCACATGACAACAACAACAATAACAACAAACCTTTGGGAAGAATATTTTACTTGAAATTAGTTGCTTGCTCATCAAGAAATCATACACTAGAAGATACATTTACAGTATATAGAAAGGCTGACTGTTAAAAGCCTTCAGAACACATTAGTAGGACTGCTGGTAGTAAGACAAGAGATTTTTCAGTTCTGGTACAAACTCCCCAAGGTTTCTGTAGGATGAAATTACTTCCCCCACCATAGAAAACCAGGAGCACTCTTCATACCATACCAAGGTGCATCTTGGCCAGTTTCAATCAAGGATTCTGAGGCATCAAGGAAAGTCACAATGAGCTGGTAATTTTCAAGGCTTGTCACCATCCACACTCAGTAAAACCTGTAGCTGCAAACTGAAAGGTTGTCGAGTTCTTACAGCCCTTGTCAGATTAGTCAGGGCTCTACAAATGTCCAAACCCAGCTTCCAAGATGCTCTTTGCAGTAACACTTAGAAATGAGTTTACTGCCAAGTAAGCCTATTAACAAATGAAATGCGCATGGACAAGAGTAACTAACATTGCTTAAATCAAAACAGATCTTGACTTCCTTACCTTAATACTAGGAAGCATAGTAGCTTTGTTTTTGTTTTTGTTTTTTTATAAGGGGGTACTGAAGTTTGTTCAACAGCAGCAGGCCTTGCTCAGCCCCCTACTCCACAGGGAATTAACCGTCACATTCCAGCCCTGTCATCAGAACAATGAAAGGTGAATGTT
Source organism: Homo sapiens (assembly GCF_000001405.40). Lineage (NCBI taxonomy): Eukaryota > Metazoa > Chordata > Mammalia > Primates > Hominidae > Homo > Homo sapiens. The sequence goes on from NC_000006.12 coordinate 75,334,805, forward strand.
GTGCAAAACAGCTTGGGAACACTAACTGATGATGTCATTCCTCCCTTATATGGCTCATTATTGTGCAGATTTACTTTGGTCTGTGAGAAGGGGTGGAGCTGCCCAAGACTGGAAGGGAAGGCAGCTCTTAAGAAGCAAAGCAAGTGAATGGGAATTACGCTCCACACTAAGGGAAATGCATTGGGAGAGGGATACATTTGGGGAGGAAGAATGAAATAAAGAAAAGATATGCATAAAATGTCAAATGGGCCTCACTCCCGATTTCTCAAACTAGCTAAACTCTATACAGTTCTATTCAGCACATACTGGAATTTAAATAGGGATCCCACTAGAGCCTAATCTATGATTCAGCCAACAGGAGAAAATTCATGTTTCAACTAAAATGCCAGTTAAGGTACATGGTATCTAAATGAAAACACTGCAGTATGGCTACAGAATGCCAAGTGCCTTTCATTTTAAAAATCATTTCATCTTTACAAAATATTTTTACTTGAATTTTTTTCCCTAAGTGTTTTTAAATGGCAAAAACTGCTGTCTGCAAAAACAAAAGTAGGTGAATACATTCAGCTAAAGTTAAAGAAGTGTCTGTTTCAGCATTTATACAAAATGTTTTCAAAAGCTTCTATCATCTTCAAATTAGTTGTCCCTCTTCTCTGTTTTTTCTTTTCTTTTTTTCCCATTGTTTCTTCCTCCCTTCCTTCCTCCCTCCCTCCTTCCCTTCATTCCTTTTTTCCTTCTCCCTGAGAGAGTGTATGAGTGATAAATCTAGTCAAAAAGCCATTAGGTAAATTAAACATTCCAGTATAATTTTTTCTAAGCCATATGCATAGAAATGTATGTCATTTATGTTATGAAATTTCATTTCAATTACAGAATAAAAGCACGATACCAGATAAATTAGTCAAATTAACTTTAAGGTTAACAGAATTAAATGTTTGCAGAGCATTTTTAAGCCTTCAGATATCTTTTATACTACATAAGTATAAGCCATTATGTTATGGCATAGAAAAGAATATGAAAAAAAATAAGGTCAAGACCATTGCTTTCTTACATCCCTAATGTTCAGTCATGCCCTTTGCTTTAAGAATATGTCTAACCTCTCAATAGCCTGAACTGAATATAATAATTACTTCATGTTTCAAGGTTGTAGTACTAAATAAGTGTGTTTTCATTACAGGGTTATAATCAAATAATGTAGCTTTCTGTAAAAGTTACATAAAGCAATGTTCATTGTTAAGGTAAAATTACAGATACTAACCAATTAGTTATTGTTTTGTTTTTTGTTGTTGTTTTGTTTTTTAGCTATTTTTTAATATGGATGGGGAAACTGACATTGAAGAAGAAAACAAGAAACTATTGCCACTGCCTGGCAAGGCTGCACTAGTGCTGGGGGAAGAGGCGTCTTGGCAATTGATTGATAGACTTAATCTGGGCTTGGCACCTACTTGGAAGGTAACTAAAGGGTATATTTTGTAACTCTGTGGCTTCAGTTAACTCAGCTGTATAATAGGGATATGGGTTTTAACTTACAGGGCTGTTATGAGAATTAAATAAAATAATGTAAGTCAGGGCCACAGAATCTGATGCATAGTGGGCCCACAATATATAATATGTTTCTGCACAGTTTAATGTTGATGATGGTAGGCAGTTTGTGAAAATATAAACTTGTGGTCTAATTTTGACAGGCAACATAAACCCATGTGAAAAAAAAAAGGGAATCAAGGGGTCAGGACCGATTATACAATCAAGCGGCAGGCATCTTGTACTCAGTTTGCTTCTAGTGATTCAAACTTGAATTATAGTCCTGGGGAGGCATTGCTTATGTTCAAGCCATATTAAATCAATATTTAGAGACAAATGATAATAGCAAGGGGAAATGTTTTATTACCTTTAAAAAACCTTTTTTAAAAATACCACAAATGTCAATCACAGACAGGTTTCTTTTCCCTCCCTGTTTAATACCACTAAACGACTACATTCAAAGTTAATTTAAAACTCCACTATTGAGACTCACTCAAAAAGGCTATATTTATTATAATTAATTAACACCCCCTTGGCTAAATAACACTGTTTATTAGAAGCCTCTTGGAAGCCAGAGATGTTTAAATGGTGCTATAACCCTTCTTAGAGTCACAGTAACAAGAAACGTCCCACTATTAGCTTCTGAAGGGCAGGGTTCTTTCTGTGTCTTTCTGTTTTCAGGAAGTATCTTGTATTCACTCATTCAACAAATACTTAATTGGTTGCCCACCAAGGACCAGGCATTGTCTTAGACACTGGTGCCTAATTTTTTTTTTCTATGAATCATATACAACCTTTCTTCAACTCCTCAGCACATATTAACTGAAATGTATACCCCAATGTAATATAGTGCATGTGGAAAGTATTATTGTGATTATAGGTCCCCAGGTCGAGTCCTAAGTCCACTATGAGTGGGAATCTTCTAAAAACAATTATAACTTTTTAAAGCACTGGATCCTAGAGACAGAGTATCCAGGCTCCTATTATCCTTTAAGCATCTGGTTGCCATGAAGCATCATGACCTGACCAAGTGACTCTTTAAAACAAGTCTTCCTTCAGTTGCTTCTTTTTCAAATTGATAAGGAAAAGAGATGTAAAGAGGACATGATTCCTGAATTATGAAAAAGATCTAGTTTAGCATATGGCAAGTTGGAAGTTTCTCAATGTATGTGGGCAATCACTGGGCTTGCCAATGCAATATGCTTTCATCTCACAAAACTTTTTTTTTTTTTTGTAGCAGAGCAGGGTGTGCTCCAGAAATTCAAGAAGTGGATGCATGGCAGGGCAGGAAGAAGAACATCATAGGATACACTAGAAGCACTGCACTTGCCTTCCTTAGTTGGGGCAGAGGTGCATTCTTCCAGGATTCCACCTTGGAAGCTTGGGAATGGTGTATCAGGTCTGGATAATAGTTCTTCCCACAACTATGCCTTCTTCCTTGGGAATAACATAATCCAAAACTTACCGTATGTTACAGATTCCGGGAGAAGTGAGAAAAACCTGAGAGCACTGGAAAGCTGAGTAAATCAGAAAGTACTGGAGGCAGAAATGGTAGTGTAGATAAGAGCACTTTCCTGATTTGAATACAGGTTTTTTACAGAAGTTGTTGTGTGTTATTTAGTCACATTGTACTAAATGACAAAGACTAGGTAGTCTAGAGCATTCCTCCCCTCTAAGAGCACGCTGGATGTGGTGCAGTCATAGTCCACCATTTCCTGTTTCCTTCATACTTCAGGTCAAATGAATGTGCTTCCTTAAGCATTTAAGAATAAAATAAATAAAAGGAACTCTCAGTGACCTCTTATATGATATTAGGAGCTATGCAGAAAATATTTTTTAAAATCCTTAAGTCACAGCATTTCTGAACTTAAGAGGAATGAGTTAAGACTAAGTAAAGTTGACCTCTTGTTTGCAGTTAAAGCTCACATTCAGCCCCTGAATAATATTTGAATAGTTTCTTGGCTAAGAGTTCACATCCAAGAGCTGAATATGTTATGCATTGAACATGAAAGACCCAAACTTTGATTAATCTTTTCTGCTCAAACTTTTCACCACCATGAAGCACTTTCCAAACACAAGCATTCTTGGAAAAAGAGTGCGCACACAGTCAAAGAGCCAGAGAGGAGCAACCTCCAAACATTGAAAACACCACCTTCCCAAGTTTCAGCCTCCTCTCTGGAGTCCAAGATTTGTAATGCTAATCCGACTACCTTCTTCCACTCTAGAAAAAAAGTAAAAATACGAAAACAATGTAGTTATTCACTGTAGTGATACGAGACAACACATTTTTCCAGCACTTTCCTTTCTTAGCTTTTTCTTGGTGTATAAGTTTATGCAAAAACAATATTTACTTGTTATTTATTGTGATGACAAATGTCTGCCAATTTAGAGCAGAATTCCCAGAGTTTTTTATTCCAGAAGAATAATCTCACTTATCACTTTTTCCATACCCAATTTTGCCCATGAGGCTGAAATAAACGATTAGATCAATTAAAAACTCAATCCAACTAGTTTGGAATGCGGGGAACAAAAACTCCCCTCAGTTGTTGGAAATGTTCACTTTTAATACAGTTGCTTCTATAACCTGGATTAATTTATTTTCTCTGGAATTTATACATCTCACTGATGCTTCAGTTCATGAAAAAAAATCCATAGGAGACTTCGATTTTGCATTTCTGACATAAAGAACATCTGTTAAAGTTAGAATTGATCTACAGTTGATCATTACAGTTGCCTGGATTACAAGTGATAGTTTCAGTGTATTGATAGGTCAGAAAGCATTTCCAAAATCTGTTACTAGAAAGCACTAGTTGTTCACTGTCTAAATGTTTGTCACTTGGGTAGACTCTGAGGCTGTAACTATTGATGGAAAATTTGTCTGTTGAAGTCCCATTCTAACTGGACTGTTTATTATTTCCTGATGATTTTTATTGTGTGTTTCTTAAAATGTCTCATCTACTCTGGTTCCTGAGGACTCTCTTGATTAATTAATGCTTATTTATCTCTCTGAAAAATAGGCATGAATTTTCATCTATATACATAAACTGAATCACAATCTACTTTAGAAATTATAGGGTAAATCTGTGCTAGACTTTCAAAATAAGTGAATTTGTATCTGGACTCTGCTAAATAACACAACAACTTCTGTAAAAAAATACATGCTTTTAAATCCTTCAGTTTGGTAGACTATTAGGCACAGCTCTTCACATTCACTTTTTTTTCTCATTTAAAGCAATTTGTTTTATGCAGCTGTTGGGAAAAGAAAATTAATATTCTACAGATTATTCGAATAAGTAAGTTTAAGCTGTGTTTAATCCTTTCAAGATATAAAGTGTGGGGAGGCCAGGCGCAGTGGCTCACACCTGTAATCCCAGCACTTTGGGAGGCCAAGGCAGGGGGATCACTTGAGGTCAGGAGTTTGAGACCAGCCTGGCCAATAGGGCGAAACCCAGTCTCTACTAAAAATACACCATTTAGCCAGGCACGGTGGTGGGCACCTGTAGTTCCAGGTACTCAGGAGACTGAGGCAGGAGAATCGCTTGAACCTGGGAGGCAGAGGTTGCAGGGAGCCGAGATCACACCACTGCACTCCAGCCTGGGCAACAGAGCAAGACTCTGTCTAAAATAAATAAATAAATATATATATAATATAAAGTGTGTCCTGTCACTTCTTTTTAATGTATTTTTTAAATATACAAATTTATAGAAATATAGCAATAAACTTATGACCCCAGCAAAATAACTCCAGCACTTCCTCTCCCAAAGGATGCTTCTAGTTACCACATATTTTACTTCTTATAAAATTTTATATGGCTAAAAATCATAATATTGCTTTTTAGAATAGAAAGTAAGTCATGTTTTTCCAGCTATGTATTTCATAGTTTTATTTTATTCCTCAAATATAATTTTTTATTACATAGAATTTATCTGTCCTTTGGAAACTTAAAATGTAAATGCTAAATTTTCTTCTGACGCAAACCACAACTGTTATATGGATGGTTCTCCTGAAATGGTAGACACTAGATCAGGCCAGAGGGAAATACTCTCACTAAAATACAATCAGTTGTTCCCAGCGTTTACAAATAAAGTATAGGAGCCATACAAAAAGATGACTATGATAATGGTCATTACTAAGGGACCCAACTTTTGCCAACTGATTTGGAATGCCATCTTTAAAATGTATTACGTTTTTATACCTATATAATCTATCTCCAGAAATTCCATCAGCTCTATTGGTCTGTCTGCTCATGTACCAATACCATGTTATTTTATGAACTGTAGCTTTAAAAAGAGTTTTTGTTTCTGCTAGAAAACTTTTTGTTTCTGCTTGTTTTTGGTTTCAAAATTTGACTATTTTTGCTTATGGGTTTTCGTTTTTGTTTTTTTTTGAGGTGGAGTCTCACTTTGTCACTCAGGCTGCAATGCAGTGGCATGATCTAGGCTCACTGCAACCTCTGCCTCCCGGGTTCAAGCAATTCTCCTATCTCAGCCTCCCTAGTAGCTGGGATTATAGGCGCACACCACAATGCTCAGGAATTTTTTTTTTTTTTTTTTTTTTTGTAAAGACGGTGTTTTGCCATATTGGCGAGGCTGATCTCGAACTCCTGACCTCAAGTGATCCATCCACCCCGGCTTCCCAAAGTGCTGAGATTACAGGCATGAGCCACCGTGCCTGCCCGTCCGCTTGTGTATTTTTCATATGAACTTTAGAATCCCTTAATTTAGTTCCCATACTTAAAAAAAGGTATTTTTAGAACTACATTAAAAAGTTGATATTAGGATTACATTAAATTTGTGAATTAATATTGGGAGACTTGAGGGTTTTTGTTTTGTTTTTTTTTTTTGGATTTTTTGAGACAGGGTCTCACTCTGTTACCCAGGCTGGAGTGCAGTGGTGCAATCTCAGTTCACTGCAACCTCTGCCTCCCAGGCTCAAGTGATCCTCCTACTTCAGCCTCCCAAGTAGCTGGGACTACAGGTATGTGCTGTAACACCTGGCTAATTTTTTTTTTTTTAAAGATGAGGTTTCACTATGTTGCCAAGGCTGGTCTTGAACTCCTGGGATCAAGTGATCTGCCTGCCTCAGACTCCCAAAGTGCTGGAATTACAGGAGTGAGCCACTGTGCCAGGCTTTTGACATCTTTATGATGTTGAGTCCTCCAGTCTTAGAATATGATCCTTTCCATTGGTCTCAGTCTTTTTCATGTCTCTAGGTAGCATTTAAGATACTTCTTTATGTAGATCTTTCACATTCTTAAATTTATGCCTAGATATTTTATATTTAATATAGTTTGTATGTAATATAGTTTATATTATTTTGTCATTTGGAAATATAAAAACTACTGATTTTTGCTTATTGATTTCATGTAATTTTGTACTTTGCTACTTTACTTTATTGAAGTCTCTAATTGTTTGCAGCAGGTTTTCAGTTTTCCTGAGTCTACATATAATTAAATACAATAACAGCTACCCTCAAACAATAGAAGAGTTTACTTTTCCTACACGTTGCATTGTTCTCAAAATGTCTTAGTTTGATAAACCGTAAATCATGATTTAGTGAAACTTGTATTGTTTTCCTCCAAGAGTTTAATACACAGATGAGTAAAAGAAATGATCCCTTTAGGTATTACATGCTATGCCTTGTGAATGGGGCTATATATTCATTATCTCATGAACATAAAATGCTATGAGATAGGTACTTGGTTATCTCCATTCTATTTAAGAGGAAACCAAAAATCAGAGAGGTTAAATAACCTATCCAAAGTCACAGACCACAAGTGATAGACTTAGTAACTGAACTCAGAGTTATCTGTCTCTAAATGAAATGCAGGAGACTAAGAAAATAACTGTCTCTAGGTTACAGATTTTATGAGGGTCTCACACCATGTAACTAGAGTAACCTAGAGAAGAAATTGACTGCAGTTGAAGAGGTAAAACTTAGATCAGATAATCCTCTGAAGGTCACAAGATATTTGGAAGCACATCATATGTAATCTGAAATGCCTCAATACTGCATTATTTCTCCTCAGCACACATACAGATTATTTTATCCATGGAGTGGTACTAATTGCAGGCCTCACACTCACGTGTGCAAGAAATACAATGATCTTCATTTTTCTGAATCTTTTATAATTTCTATTTGGGGTCCCATTCCACAGGTAACAGAAACTTCATCTTAGTTAATTACGGGTATGCTCACCCAAGCCTAGTTTCCTTTAGTAAATTCAGACTTCAGTCAAGTCAGGATCTCCTGAGTTCATTCTAGGGCTTCAAGCCCTCATTTCTGGAGTTGCGACTAACCTCTGGGACCATTAGGAAGGTGGATGAGAGGTCATCTGCTCATCATTCTTCCACACAGGCATCCTCTGAGATGCACACTGTGGTCTCTGATCTCAGTTGCCAATCTGTCCAAGTTCCTGATCCAAGTCAGTCACAGTTTCATGCTCTTGACCAGCCCTGCCTCAGCTATTTCCACAGCCTTTCAAAGGCACAGGGAAAAATCTAGATATTCTTTTAGAGTGGCAGGAAACTGAGGCTGTATCAAGCTTTCTCTGACTAAACATACTGGTCACCATTTTTACTCTTTTTCTCCTGAATTCTTGGAGGGAGAACCACAAGTTTTGCCTTTCTCTTCGACAAAGACTAAATTGTGCCCCCCAAAATCCATATGCTGAAGCCCTAATCCCCAATGTGACCTTATTTAGAGACAGGACTTTAAGGAGGTAATTCAGGTCAAATGAGGTCATAAGGTTGGAGTTCTAATCTGATAGGATTGGTAGCCTTATAAGAGTTGGAAGAGAGTGAGCTATCTCTACATACACATGAACTGGAAAAAGCCCACGTGAGCACACAGGGAGAAGCCAGCCATCTACAAGGCAACAGAAGAGGTCTCACCAGAACCCAACAATTCTGGCATCCTGGACTTTCAGCCTCTGGAACTGTGAGAAAATACATTTCCATTGTTTAAGCAAAAGAGTCTATAGTGTTTTGTTATGGCAGACCAAGCAAACTAAGATACTCTTGGACTCCACCTGGTAATCCCTTCAGTCTAGAATTCTCCACACCAACTCTCTTTGGGTTTTATATTACTCTCCATCTTTGTCCCCCACCCACTCCCCAGAAAAAAGCTCTGAACAGAGCCTCTTATTTTGGACTACCCCCTCCTACAGCATAAACTTCTCTTGCTTCCTTGTTTCTATCCTCTCAGAGAAACATCTTATCTAAATGGGAAAGAAGAGGGGTGATAAACAAAAATTGGATCCACTTGATTACATATTCTTTCTAATGCTATACCTGGATCCTTGCTTTTGATCCTACACACCAGATATTGATTTCTGTTCTCCCGTTTAGTTGTGACAAATTTCTCTTGAGGCAGTGGTTGCTCCTGGGTGACTACTCAAATGGGGACAGGCCACAAGGAAATAGAAAATACTAGGTTAAAAGATCCAATTACTATTGCACTATAATACATTTTCTATAATTGAGCACAAGCAAATGATAATGTGAAAGCTATAACAATTTTATTATTGTAACCCTTGGTCTCTGAGGTTCTAAGAACAGAGCCACCCAGATTAGTTAAGATGATGGGAGTTCTTAGAAAGAATATGCCAAAAAGTGAATAAATACAGAAAGCTGTCTCCACAGCCAGATAGGCCCAAAGAGAACTGGAATATTGTTCATCATTGTTTAACATACACCTGCAGTTCCAGTAACCCAACAGCAATGCTTATGGCCCAGTGCTTGTCATCCCTTCAGAAGTAGGCATCCATTGTAACCCCAGCTATGATGTGGTTTTCTTTACTCCAAGAATTTCTATGTTCTGGTGTGGTTTTTTTGTTTGTTTGTTGTTTGGTTTTTGGTGGTTTTCTAGGCTACTGTTGTCCTTTCTTCTTTCTGTTTTGTATGTCTCATGAGGGTCTCAATGGATTAGCTGACCACCATCAAACAGCACATGCCAGGCCACCTCATCCACCTCAGTCTCTCTAATGTCTAGGCCATCAAAGGTTGCAAACTAGCCACTTTAAAGACAAAGTGGCCAGGAGATGGCTTTGTTCACCACACATTATTTTATCAATTTGAGTCAACATTGAAAAACTGGAATATCTTACTAAAATCAGAGTTCTATCATTTTCTGAAACATAAGAATGGACAACACTGGGCCTACCAACTAAAATGGGGTCAGTTAGCCTGAGCTAAACTTTACCTTTCCCTGGTGGTCAGAGAATGGCCTCTTCAGTCTAGCAGTTTCAACCACTCATGCCATGTATGCTGAAGAGCTGGGTCAGCTGGCTCTGGAGGCACTTGCACTGGAGACCTCTGTGACCTTTGTCCAGGACAGTTGTCAACTTCTCTAACTGGTTGTGACCAGCATTTACAGGGCCACATGACAAAAAGAATGACAGCAATGTGAAAGGAGCTGCCTCCATTTCTCTCAGTATGAGGCCTTTTCAGCAAATCAGGAACTTAAGAGTTTCAGGGACTATCTGGTAATATCCTGAAAACTTTTTGAAATAGATCAGCTCTCTGGAGGTTGCAGTGAGCTTTGATCACACCACTGCACTGCAGCCTGAGCAACAGAGCAAGATGCCAACTCTAAAACATGAAAAATTTTAAAAATGTTTTTAAAAAGATAAACTCTCTCAATGACTGGTTCAGATCTAGAGAAACTGTGCCAACATGAACATCTACCCTTACTGGGTTCTCACTATTTCTCATATTTAAATGTCAAATACTGTCCTCCACTGTTGCTTTTCTTAGGACTTTTCTAAAATAAGAGATATCAAACACCAGGACTAAGGCATTCCTACATAGCTTGTTGAAATCATTTACAGTAAAGTGTACTTCTTGCCCATTTTTGCTCAAGCCCTCCCTTTCAACATTTTTTTTCTTATAATCAGTTTTCTTTGATTATTATCTCATCCTTTTGTACAATTGATATAGGAGTTAAAAAGAAATTACTTAGGCAGATAGTGAGAGTATGGAAGTCCTTGGTAAGGTTTTCCTTTTAATGAAAAACAGCCCCCAAATCTTTTTTTTTTTTTTTCTAACAAAGAGCAGCCCGTAAAATTGAGCTGCAGACATAAACAAGCAAGCGGGAAGCTCGCACAGGTGAATGCCAGCAGATGTGCCCGTAGGAATATACTACCTGGGACTAGGCCTGTTCAAAATGGCAGGGCCATCTTCTTTTTGCCAGCCTCACGTACAGTAAGGAGCAGACAAGCTGGTGCCGGCCAAGTGGAAAACCATTTGCATAATAAGATTAGGTGGGGTGACCAGCCTTTTCCGTGCGCTATGTAAACGTCACACCTGGTCAAACCAATCTGTGAGCCCTATGTAAATCAGACACTGCCTCCTCAATCCTGCCTATAAAATCTGCTGTGGTCAGCCGTCTTTTCCTTTTTGGACACCTCTCTCCCACAAAGAGAGAGACAGCTGCTCTCCTCTCTCCTTTCTTCTGCCTATTGAACTTTCTACTCCTTAACCCACCCACATGTGTCCATGTCCTTAAACCTCTTGGCACAAGATGAGGAACCCCGGGTATTTACCCCAGACAGCAATGCCACTTCACAATGTCATTAGGGTTCTTTCTGGTCCAAGTTCTATTGCTGTGGTGGTGGTGGTGGTTATAAAAGCCAAAATATATGGAATCTAATTAACTAAAATTCTCAGTTAAGCCAAGTTAAGCCCTAAAATCTAGAAAACATCCTTACCATTTTTATCTGTAGTAAAACGTGATCAGAACTGACATTTAGATTTAAGTATAATCTAATAGGCTCTGAGTTTATAAGGTACAGAGTCATCCAGGTAGTAGCACTACAAGATCCTGAATCATCAAATATGACTTAACTGGATTTTGTGGTGTATTTTAAATTTTTTAAAAGAAAGGAAAATGTGTTTGAGAAATATCTTCTATAGCAGTAAAAGTAAATTAATTCATGGCATAACCCTTGATTAATTAGAAATTTCTGTGAGTCAGATAACCCATTTTCCTAGGCATCCTTGTTAACATTATAATACTAAGACTTTAAAGAGTCTTTAATCAGAGGCTGTTAGCTCATTAACTTTGAGAATGAGAGTGCTATGAAGCTTGGGAAAAAGCTCACATCCATCCAAGACCCAGCATTTTTGTATAGGTGGAATCTGGTGAAATGAACCTCAAGGGCATTTTTAATGGTCTCCTTCATATTTAATCCAGAGGGGTGCCTGGTAGATAAGCAACATGCTCCTAGTTCCACAGCACTGATAGTAGGTATGTTACTATCCTATGTCTTTTAAAAGAAGTGACTCTTCTAACCCCAAACTTCCCAACCCCGGGAAGCTACCTTTTTAAGTTACTTTGCTTGGTCCCTTCAAGTAAGATGTATCCTCACTTTCTTTATACCATCTCCCACCCACCTTATCATCCAAAACAGACACCCCAGCTAGGGGTAACACCTCATCACCTCAGCCTCCTTTACTTTAATTACACTTTTCCAGTGGAAAGTGGGATTTGAATATTTTAAGGGTAAGAGGAAATGGAAGGTGGAGTTTGATTCTGCATTATCTCAGAAACTATAGAACATACTCCAGCTGGGTCACTGGGCCTCTGAATTCTAATTCCTCTTCTTTCTTGAAAACTGTCTATTCCCAGCAATTTCCTTCATCAGTGGGATACTGATATTAGGCAGTATGTCTTATGACCAAGTGAAGGTCTGTGAATTTGAACCTTAAACAGGCAACAGAATAGGTATGCAGTTCAAGCCACTGGTCAACTTTCCAAGTCACCTTTCTCCCTCTGTGCATTGAAGAAATAAGGTGTTCACTTTTATCAGAAGGTAAGAAGTTAGGAGTGCGAAAAGTTATTTTTTCTTACTGAAAAAAACTCAGTTCAAACCCTGATTCTGCCAATTAATTATTGGCAAGTGTCCTTGGGGGAAGGAATTTAACTTCTCTGCTTCATCATCTGCTAAAAGGGCTAATAATTACATATCTTATAGTTTTGTAAGGATTAAACAAGATGGTACATGTGTCTAGCTTATCAGAGGTCAATAAAAGTTAACTTTGCTTTTGAACAGCTTCTAGCAGAGTGCTAATCACAAAGAAGAAGGCTCAGTTGTTTTCTGCTGTTATGTTCCACATATGGATTACTTTCTGCTTGTTAAGACTTGAGTATTTACAAAGCATCAGCAACCTTTTTCTACAGAGTGCTTTATTTAGATTCTCTGAGCTACCAGTGAGAAAAGTCCATTTTGCTAACATGCTTTTGAGATATGGCCACTAAACCTAAAAAACTTAAGAATAATGTTCCAGGGAACCAGATATGAAACTTTTCCTATAAAGTGGATCAAGAATATTTCCAAAGATCCCAGTCCACTAGAGCAAGTTTTCAAAAACGTTGATTCTGACTAGTCATTCCCCCACATAGGACAGTATAATAGTGCAGACTGTCCCATTATCCACCAGATATATGACCAACCCCCTGTTCATATTGACTTAAAGGAAGAATACCAAAATGGGGCTTGAAAGCTTCCCTTCCATTCAAACCCCTGCTCTTACAGTCTGCTTCACAAGTTAAGGGATTTCTCTTAAGAAGCTGATTTGTACTTTAAAAAACTTAACTTACACTTGGAGGGCTTGCTGCAATATTATATGATGATGTAATTATTTATGTAGTCCCAGCTGAGCCTATAAAATCCAAAAGTTTTAAAATCTCTATCTACAGTGATAGATCTAGACAGCACTCCTCCACATCAGTTATACACACACACACACACACACACACATACACACACTTTTCCCTCAAATATTTCTTTAAGTCTCAGACCACTTTTTGATGTAACTGTGTTCTCTCTATTTTGACATTCTTGGAGCAGCCCTAGTGAAGCTTAAGATTAAAATCACAAGTCTTGCAGTTCAGGCAGAAAGTAAAGCACAGACTCTGAAGGTGATCTCATGTGCTCAGAATTATGCCTTTAAAAGTCAAGTTGACTTGAAATATGGACGAAACCAAATATAGCATTTAGACAAGGGGGATTTCTTTACCCAGCCGGAATTAATACAATAAAAAATATTTTTGTCTTTATTATTAACAGTGCTAATTAAGCCAAAACATTTTAAAATGGTGTTTTCTCTTTTTAATTTGGGACTATAACTATTTGTAAAACAAATATGCAATCAATGATGGTAACAAATTATGATCACAGTTTGTTGACTTAGAATAAAGGAAGCCCAGAACAATACATTGCCCACTTTAGGTACTTAATTTGTGGAATTTTTATACAAGATGAGTTAAGCAATTCCTGGAAAGTGAAAAATAATTTATATAGTTTTTACACTTACAGGGTCTAGGTCAGTGGCAAAACGAGGGAGTTAATTTGGAGGAGGGCTTTATTAAGCGCCCCCATAAACCTCATTAACCTTCTGTGATAACTACCCCAAATAGAAAGCAAGCTAAGTAAAACACTGTGTATGCTATTCAGATTCAACTTCAAAACAAGTCCCAGGCTGCTCCTTCCGAGAGACCACTGTGTCAAAGCATCTACCTTGACATTCTAGAGACACCGCTGGTCCTAATATCTCTGTGCTTATATCTTCATGATAACAGTCATTCTGCCTTTCAAAATTTTGTGTCATAGTTTGGATATAAGAGGGTGGGGTGGGGAACCTACACACAAAAATGAAACATAAACTATTTGCACAAAGTATTCACTTGTCCAAAAGTGCTAGAGTAGTGGCCTGCACTGTGTGATCTTGGTTGAGTTACATAATTGTTCTAGGCCTCAATGTCTCCACCTGTAGAATGAGGGATTTGAAAGGGCTGATCTCAAAATCTTTTACAATATTCAGAGCCTCAGATTCAAACAACATCAAACATCTGAATCTGGATGGCTTATCAACAGCTACTACTGATCCTGTGAGCCTGGGTTCCTTTTTGTTATCTTTAACCATTTTTCTGGAAGAGGTGAGAAACCCTTACAGAGCAGGACAAATGTGGAGAACGGAGCTGAAATGCTTCTGGTGCCCGGAGAGTCCCTGCTCTGCCCCGCCCCCAACCTCACCCCTCCACCACCAAATCAATAAGCCGCCTGGAATGGAGACAGCCTGCAGAGTCTCACCACCGGCGGGAGAAGCTGAGTGAGTGATTATAAGGAGAAAACCACTCAGGCTTATCTCAAACTTCACTTTCTTCCCTTACTCATGTTCACAGTAGAAACAAAGGGAAGCATTTCCGAAGCAAAGTTCTTGGCTGTGCTTTTTGCTCACAGGGACTTTTCGGGAAAAGGGGAAGGGAGTGCAAAACAAAAAGCATGTAAAGGACTTGGAACAGTCTATAGGACACGAGGACTCCCACTTGTTCTCAAAAATGCCGTTTCCTTATTAGCAGCAGTCCAGCTTCCCCTGCAGGTGCTGTGGCCGCGTTGCGCCTCGGCGGGAGCCTCCTGGAGAGGCTCTCTGGCAGAGCCCCAGGGATGCAGCGACCCAGCCAAGGTCCGTGGTCCGTGGTCTCCGCTGGGGAGGGGCTCCCCGGCAACTTGGCTCGCGGGAAAGAAAGCCTCGGGGTCAGCCTCCTGCCAGCTCTCATAAGTAGATCTAATTATGACCGCTTACTTCAAAAAGAGGATTTAACCCAAAGCAGATTTAGCAGGGCAGTTTCCAAAGGGTAGCAGGAATCCCAGGCTTGACCTTTGAAAAATCCCAAAAACTTCGCTGCCCCGGGAACTCGGCAAGCAAGTCACGGTGGACGCCTCAGATCGCAGAGAAATTCAGAGACGCCAACTTAAGGTATCAATCAGGTCCTACTAGGGATGTTTAATTTAGAATAAAGTGTCTGTCAGAGAGTGCCCACGGCATGTGCACTGGTGGTCAGTCACAGTGTTGAGCTGAGATAAAACGTTGACAGAAAAACAAAAAAGATTTAAGCACTAAAGTATAACTGATTCCATAAAAAATTATTTTAAAACATAAAGTGGTGTGAAAATTAAGTGAGAGTCAAAGGTCTCTTAGTGAATTCTTATCTAAAACGTGAAAGTTTGGTGACATATCCCAGTGGTGCTGATGAAAGTATCAAAAGCATGTTAGGGTAATTTTTTTTAAAGTTTTTTTTTTTTTTTTTTTTACTTTTAAAACTTTCTACGTAGCACTTTGCTCAGGAGAGGCTGTTGTAATTGTTTTAATAAAATTAAACAACTTCTATGAGAGAGGGGATTAAAATTGTTAGTCTGGAGTTGACCAACATGAAGGTAGTAAATAAACACATCCTGCATAGGCTTAGTGGATCCTGAACATAAAAGTACTCTGTGAACTATCATGCTCTCTATTTGATTACTTCAATTACTCTCACAGAACACAAAAATTAGGAAAACAAAAAACAAAGAAAAATAAACAGCCTGAATAAGTATGGTCACTCCGCCTACACACTTTTATTAAACCAATGACTCTGTAAGTGAACTTATACTACCTCAGGCATTTAGCTTAGGTGGGAAGCTAAAGAAAAGACAGATATCTGGTTCTAAATCAAATAATTTACAAGGTAATGAGAAATAATTCACACAGGTGCTCTTAGAATTATTTGATTTTCGATATTCTAAAAAGTTAATATCAAGTTGCAACTTTTTTACCTGACCACATTCCAACACAGGACACCTAACCAGATGATTGTTGTAGATAGCCTTGTGCCACATAACGACACTTCTGTCAACAAGGGACTGCATATATGATGGTGGTGTGCCTGAGGCAGCACAAGACAGCATGATGGTTCAGAGAGTACTTTTTTTTTTTGGAGACAGAGTTTCGCTCTTGTTGCCCAGGCTGGAGTGCAATGACGCGATCTTGGCTCACTGCAACCTCTGCCTCCCAGGTTCAAGCAATTCTCCTGCGTCAGGCTAAGTAGCTGGGATTACAGGTGCACACCACCATGCCCGGCTAATTTTTGTATTTTTAGTAGAGACAGGTTTCACCATGTTGGCCAGGCTGCTCTCGAACTCCTGACCCCAGGTGATCTGTCTGCCTCGGCCTCCCAAAGTGCTGGGATTACAGGTGCGAGCCACATGCGGCCACCACAGAATACTTTTATATTCATTACCATTAATATTCATTATACACTTAATATTTTATTTCATTTGCATAGGACTCTAAATAATTTGTTGACATGGGTCTAGTGACTTACTACCTTAAAGGGAGAACAGTGAGTCTGGTATTCACGGCCATTTCCCCCATTGTATCCCATAAGATTATAATACTATATTTTTACTTTACCTTTGATATGTTTAGATACACAAATACTTATGATTGTGTTATAGTTGCCTGCAGAATTCAGTAGAGTAACATGCTGTACAGTTTTGTAGCCTAAGAGTAACAGGCTGTGCCATATAGCCTAGGTGTGCAGTTGGCTATACATCTAAGTTTGTGTAAGCGTACTCTGTGATGTTTACACAATGATGAAATCACCTAATGATGGATTTCTCATAATGCATCCCCTTCATTAAGTGACACATGACTGTGTATGTAATTTATACTCTCCTTAGAACCTTGTTTGCAGTATCTGTAGCTTGAGGTTGGAAAGTTCTCAGAGATTGAGGAGGTGGGATTTATTTTCACTGGTTACTCCAGGATGTCGAATCAGTTAGTCTATGTGTTCAAACATGAAGCTAGTTAACCTTAGCTTAACAGGAACTTAAGACAAACATAAAAAACCATAAGTCTGGGATATAGTACACAACAATTTAGCCATTGTTCACTTTTCCATTTCTCCTTCCGCAAGGGATGTACCAAATCCAATAATAAATAAACATTACCAATAATTTTTTTAAAAAATGTTTAAGCCAAGCCTGTTCTATTTTATGCTTTTATTTACTGTCTAATTGTGATAGCTTCTTCTCACATATACACTAATCTGGGAAAACTAGATCTCTTTTTTGTAACTAAATAGATAATAAAGCCGGTCTAGGTAAATCTGTTCCCTAGTGGTTCTCAATTTGCAAGCTCTAAACACAAAAGCAGACATGCTTGGTAACTCAAAGCATGGGGATTCAATATCACTGGTTTCAAAGTCTGTGGAATTCACAGACATAAGCATTCAGCCTAGGGAAGAGAAGGCAGATAATAATTTAAAAGATACTGGGAAAAAAAACAGATGGTAAAGAAGAATGTATTATAAAATTTTTAAAGTTGGGGTCCCTGCTTCAATTGTGGCAATCCCTGGTCTTAGAAGACTAAATGAAAACCTACAAGAATAAACATCAAGGCTCAATGTGTCAGTCTTCAGTTGGTTTGGTTTGTTTTTTTACCCCAAGTTTTAAAAGTTATGCAGCCCTTAGAAAGTTCAGCAGGTAGTTCTAGTCATTAAGTGATTTATACACAGCCAAATACTAATATTTTCTACACTGGTATTAAAAATGAATAGGATTCATTTACACTTGTTAAGTTTAATAATTTGCCTTCCTGAAAAGCAGATTTCCACCCCAAAGAGAAAAACTAGATTACTTCAAATAGAAAGCAATTTGTAGAAAGACTTTTCAAATGTAGGTGCTTCATTGATCAAGTTTATATTTAAATGTAGTTTACATTTAAATGTAAGTGCTTCATTGATCATAAACTTATCAATGAAGCACCTACATTTGAAAAGTCTTTCTACAAATTGCTTTCTATTTGAAGCAATCTAGTTTTTCTCTTTGGAGAGGAAATCTGCTTTTCAGGAAGGCAAATTATTAAACTTACACGGGGTGGGGAATATCACACTCTGGGGCCTGTCGTGGGGTCAGGGGAGGGGGGAGGGATAGTATTAGGAGATATACCTAATGTAAATGACGAGTTAACGGGTGCAGCACACCAACATGGCACATGTATACATATGTAACAAACCTGCACGTTGTGCACATGTACCCTAGAACTTAAAGTATAATAAAAAATAAATAAAAAATAAAAAGAAATACATGATAAAAAAATAAAAAAATAAAGTCCTTGAGTTTCTTTCCAGCTTTACAGTTTCATGGCCTTTAACATCCTTGTTGGGAATGTGACGCCCTACCTATATGCAACCCCCAAAACATTCATGTAATAATCTCAGGTAAAATTCTGTATCATTCTCTATGGTTACCACCCATTCAAAAATTGACATTAGACCCTGGGCACCTGTCCACGATGCCCCTGGCTGAAAGACTGATCCCTGAAGGGACGGGCAGACATGAAAGGGCTATGGGCATCCAGATGTGACTGGTGGTGTGTGTGCACATTACCTCTCCCGCTCCTGCTCCAGCAGGTTGGTGAAGTCGTCGCTCTTGTTCATGTAGTCAGTGTGTTTATGCTTCTCGTTCTCTAACTCGTATACGGTGCGCCTATGACACTTCTCGGCCAGCAACAGCTGCTCTAGCATGCGCCGGTAGGTTTCTTTCTGTTTTTCCTCAAGTCTGTCCAGCTGAATAAGCAAACATGGGAAAGGGCTTAATATTTTATTGCATTTGCATAGGACTCTAAATAATTTGTTGACATGGGTCTAGTGACTTATTACCTGAAAGCGAGAACAGTGAGTCTGGTATTCACCACCATTTCCCCCATTGTATCAGTTTCTTTATGCTGATTGGCTGTGTAAACCAACCATAATAATGCTGCAGTAACTTCTGGCTTTCTGGCTTTTTTGTAAACATATATATGGTTCCTAAACTTCTTTCCTTTTTTGGGGGGGTGGGATATACCATAATTTTATCCATTCTACTGTTGATGACCATTTTGGTAGTTTCCAGCTTGGGTCTATTACAAATAATGCTGTTCTGAATATTCTAATACATGTCCTTTAGTGAACATATGGCATATGTGTCAGGTGTATACCTATGAGTGAAATATGGGTCATAGGATATGTGTATATGTAGCTTTATTAGATATGCTAAGCAATTTTCCAAAGAAGCTGTACCCATTTACGCTCCTACAACCAGTGTTTAGGAGTTTTGATTGTTCTACATCCTTGTCAACATTTAGTATTTTTAAAACTTTTAGCTGGGCGTGGTGGCTCACGCCTGTAATCCCAGCACGTGGGGAGGCTGAGGCAGGCAGATCACGAGGTCAGGAGTTCAAGACCAGCCTGACCAACATGGTGAAAACCTGTCTCTACTAAAAATACAAAAATTAGCCGGATGTGGTGGCACATGCCTGTAATCCCAGCTACTCGGGAGGCTGAGGCAGGAGAGTGGCTTGATCCCTAGAGGCAGAAGTTGCAGTGAGCCAAGATCTCACCACTGCACTCCAGCCTGGGCAACAGAGGGAGACTCCATCTCAAAAAAAAAAAAAAAAAAAACCTTTTAACCATTTTGGTGGGTGTGTAGTGTTCGCTCAACGTGATTTTAATGCTCACTTACCTGATAAAGTTCAAACACTTTTTCATTTGTTTATTGGTCATTTGGGTTCCTAAACTTTCAGGAAAACAACTCTTTCACGGTTTTAATGAGATAGCACAAAGCTCTATACTCAGAAAGAGGATAACACCCTTCCTAATAGAAAAATTAAGATCTCAGCATGTACATGCACCAGACTTCTCCCCTGGAAAGTAATTTTCATCACAATCTGTTTTTAAAGCTTGCAGCTATATGCATTTCTAGGAAAAGTATATGTAGGATCCAAAGTCCTCTTTTTTTCAAGAGATGCTAAATATAGGGAGGATTTCAGAACTTGTAGACAGTACATATCTCTAAAAGAGTTCTTACCAAATATTATTGCAGAGGCCGGGCGCAAAGGCTCATGCCCGTAATCTCAGCACTTTGAGAGGCGGAGGCGTGTGGATTGCTTGAGGTTAGGAGTTCGAGACCAGCCTGACCAACATGGTGAAACCCTGTCTCTACTAAAAATACAAAAATTAGCCAGGCGTGTTGGCAGACGCCTGTAATCCCAGCTACTTGGGAGGCCGAGGCAGAAAAATCGCTTGAACCCGGGAGGCAGAGGTTGTAGTAAACTGAGATCACACCACTGCACTACAGCCTGGGCAACAAAGCAAGACTCCATCTCAAAAACCAAAACCAAAACAAAACAAAACAAAAGAATAAAAAATCCGGAAATATTATTACCAGGTCTTTGTGCCTCTTTCTCTGATCAGGTTATAAGATTTTTTTTTTTTTTTTTTTTGAGACCAAGTCTCACTCTGTTGCCCAGGCTGGAGTGCAGTGGCACGACCACGACCTCTCAGCTCACTGCAACGTCCACCTCCTGGGTTCAAGCGATTCTCCTGCCTCAGCCTCCCAAGTAGCTGGAATTACAGGGCACAAGTCATCACGTCCAGCTAATTTTTGTATTTTTAGTAGAGATGAGTTTTCACCATGTTGGCCAGGCTGGTCTCAAACTCCTGACCTCAGGTGATCCACCCGCCTTGGCCTCCCAAAGTGCTGGGATTACAGGCATGAGCCACCGCACCTGTCCTGGCCAGGTTATATGATTTTAAAGAGATCATGCCTTGATCACCTTTTTAGTCCCTGGTGCTGAGCACAGGCCCTGGTACAAAGTTGATGTTCAGTAAGTGTTTGTTAAATTGGACCAAATCTTACAATCTTGATATTTCCCTATCCTACTCAGTATCCTATTTTCCCCCTTTGAGTTCTAATTCATTGTTCCACAACTTTGGCACTGCTGAGGCCAGATACATCTTCATTTCGGGGTGCTGTGAGCTGGAGGATGTTTAGCAGCATCCCTGGCCTCTGTCCACTAGATGCCAGTAAGCCCCACCTCCTGTGTGACAATCAAACCATCCTGACATTGCCAAATGTTCCCTGGAGGGAAAAATCCACCGCCACCCCAATTGAGAACCACTGTTCTAGTTGAAACAGACATATTTAAAATCAGTTCTCAATCTCACAACCAACTTTCTGAAACCCCACGGGGTAACTCCACAGGGTCTCAGCATCAGAGCTATTCCCCTTTAGTTTCTGTTTGCCCTTCAGTTATAAGGAGGATTTGAAGTTCTCTCTATAATTGCCTGATATGTTCATTGTGAGTGAATCATTCCTGGGGCCCAAAATAAAAGAGAGCTGCTCACATTATCTTCTTCCCAGATCTCCACTTCCCTTGTTTAGGAATAGGTGACCAGATAGAGACTGGTGGAGAAGCCCACGTTAATGGGTGGCTGATAATATCTGAGATCATCAGGAATTGCTAATTGTATTTTTACATCTTCTAATAATTTTTTGTAGTCTTTTTTTTTTTTTTGAGATGAAGTTTTGCTCTTGTTGCACAGGCTGGAGTGCAATGGCACGATCTTGGCTCACTGCAACCTCCGCCTCCTCGGTTCAAGCAATTCTCCTGCCTCAGCCTCCTGAGTAGCTGGGATTACAGGCTCCCACCACCACACCCAGCTAGTTTTTGTATTTTTAGTAGAGACGGGGTTTCACCATGTTGGCCAGGCTGGTCTTGAACTCCTGACCTCAGGTGATCCACTCACCTCTGCCTCCCAAAGTGCTGGGATTACAGGCATGAGCCACCGCGGCTGGTCAATTTTTGTAGTCTTAAAGGGACAGTCTATACATGAGGTTTTCCCATTGTAATAGCTCCATTCTCTATTACAAAATATTCTCCCCAAGAACTTTCCAAATTTCTACGTGTGATTTTCAACATATTTTAGAGAACGTGTCAAGCATTGCTGAAACATCATCATCATCATCAAAAATGTAGAAAAAGCAACTTTCCCCCCTTTTTCAGTCTTCCTGCTTTATCATAAAATAGGACCCTCCATCTTTTGGAAACTATTTGAAGATCAGTATTTTCCCTGTTTCTTCAGGCCCTACCCAACTCCTCCCAAAGGAAGGAGAGGTGACTTATTTGAAAGTTGTGTTTGGAATAGGGAACTGGATGTGTGCAGCCCAGCCCTTTCATTTCTTATTTTTTACTCTGCCTGTCATACAATGATACATTGTGATCTCAAAGCTCAAACTCTTCTGCAGTATCTCTCAATCCATGTAAGGAATTCTGGAGAGGAAGGTGGCAGCATTACTAATCAGATGTTTGACTGGGAAATGTAAAGAGATAGTCATTACATGGACATCTGGAGAAAAAAACAGCACATGGAAGTATCAAGTGTTCTGGGGC
Organism: Homo sapiens; assembly: GCF_000001405.40. Taxonomy (NCBI): domain Eukaryota; kingdom Metazoa; phylum Chordata; class Mammalia; order Primates; family Hominidae; genus Homo; species Homo sapiens. The sequence goes on from NC_000006.12 coordinate 75,357,362, forward strand.
CGCCCAGGCAGAGGGTAGGCCTTAGCCTTTTTACATCTATTCTTGTAGGCTTTTGAGACTGGTTGTTTGCAATAGCCACAGTTCTGGACTAAGCCACTGGAGTAGGTGGCTGAAGTCTTTGTGGGTAATGTTCACCTCACCAACACTAGCACAGCTTGACCACAACAGTAATTACATTATCTGGAAAGCAGTGTTTTCATCTCTTAATGCATAAGTTACTGAGGCATTGGTGTATGTAATGTGTTTCTTAGGCAGAGCTGCAGATCCAGACTTTAGAATGTAGAGGCTGTAAATTCTTCTGCTATAACACACATTAGTGTGTGAGGTTTTAGGTGTCAATTTTAAGTTTTGGATGTAAGAATAACATAGGTAGCAAAAGATCAGCTGTACCAGATGCTGTTTCTTGTTTTTTTGTTTGGAACTACATCAGTCACCTAAGAGAGAACAGAGGTAGCCTATTTTCTTGGCTCTATGTGGCTTGTCCAGAGGCTCTGAAGACTATATCCCATAACTATAGATTCTGTAGATTCATTAATCATAGATACTATATGTACATGGCTTTTGGTTTTCAGGATCCAAGCTGTGGCTTAGTACAGAGGAATGGGTTTTATTAAATGACTAGTGAAAGTAGAATAGGCACCTATTGCTTTGGAAATATAGATTCTACTTGGACGAAGTGGAAGGAAAATTGAATGAGATAATCATAACACCAAATGCCAAAAATTTACTAAGGAAAGAGTGTACCTGGAAGTCTTATTCTAATGAATAAAGTTAGTGGAGAAGTACAATAACTTGAGGAGAAATTTCAGTATGTTTTAGATAAAAAGGCATGATTCAGGAAGTGTTTTTAACTCTGTTACCTGCAAAGGGCTAACTGGAGAAGTATTAAGGAATTGGGGAAAAGAGAAGTCTACTTAAAAGCAAATATGAGGTCTTAAAGACCAAACTAGATTTACACAAAGGAGAAATGGATCTAAGTACTCTTAAAAATAGGGATATTAAAATGGAAGGTATTTCAGACATTGTTGAATCAGAATGCGTGCCCAGAGAAGATAGAGACAGGAGAGCCCAGAGGACAGAGCAGGGTGACTTTCCTCACAAAGAAGGCATTAGGCTCCAGGAAGGCATTGAGGAGGACACTGTAAATGGGCTGACAGTCTTTCATGAGCTCATCTGGGGGCCCTTCCCGTGAAGACTGCAACATCTATTCAAAGTGGTTATATAAAATATGAACAGATTTAAGAATCGAAATCTGGGAAGATCAGGGTAAGACATCTGAAGCATTATTTGGTGAATTTCAGTGTCTCAGCTGTTGTAGACGGAATTGCCAATATTTATTTATTTATTTAATTTTTTAATTTTTTAATTTTTATTTTTTTGAGACAGAGTCTTGCTCTGTCACCCAGGCTGGAGTGCAGTGGCACGATCTCGGCTCACTGCAACCTTTGCCTCCCAGGTTCATGCCATTCTCCTGCCTCAGCCTCCCGAGTAGCTGGGACCACAGGCGCGCACCACCACTCCTGGCTAATTTTTTGTATTTTTAGTAGAGATGGAGTTTCACCATGTCAGCCAGGATGGTCTCGATCTCCTGACCTCGTGATCTGACAAAGTGCTGGGATTACAGGCGTGAGCCACTGCGCCCAGCCCTTATTTATTTTTGAGAAAGAGTCTTGCTCTTTCACCCAGGCTGGAGTGCAGTGGCGCCATCTTGGCTCACTGCAACTGCCGAGGCCTCCCAGGTTCAAGTGATTCTCGTGCTTCAGCCTCCCAAGTAGCTGGGATTACAGGCACCCGCCACCACGCCTGGCTAAGTTTTGTATTTTTAGTAGAGATGGGGTTTCATTATATTGGTCAGGCTGGTCTCGAACTCCTGACCTCAAGTGATCTGCCCGCCTCAGCCTCCCAAAGTGCTGGGATTACAGGCATGAGCCACCGCGCCCAGTGATATTGCCAATATCACTGGGGCCCTGAGTGAATATACTCAAGAAATGTTGGGATGTAGTGTTTGAAGGAAAGATGAGATAAAAGGAGATTTAGGCAGGACAGCGTCAGATAAGTCCAAATGTGGGTGTGGTTAATGGAAAAAGGCCCTTTAATGAAGATTATCCAACTCAAGAACATGAAAATAGATAAGATTTAGGTTTAACAAAGAATACTCTTGGCAGACTCAGAATTCCTTGATTTCACATCTCTCATTGAGGGAGTCCACATAATGAAGAATATGGAAGGCAATATTAGAAAAACAAATGTCTGGGAGCACTTGAAGAAAATGACTAAAATGCTGAAGCTACAACTCAGCTGAGCCTTCCTCTCTCACAACAGAAAAAGTTGTGGCAGAAGAAAATATTTTTGTTGCCTTGAGTCAGACAAGTTACTCAAGGATTGAAAGTTCAAACATGAGGGGAGGCTAAGTTCTGAGGAAGAGTAAGGTCTGATCCCTTCTGGGTCTCAAATTACACAGGCTTCAGAAGGGTGACCCTCTAAAGCGATGGGCTTCCTAGGCCTGGGAACAGGGCCTGAAAAAAGAAAAAGATCAAAGAGGTCTTAAATACTCAGGTGGGAAAAATTGAGTACCTAAAATGAGACCTAGGCACTGAGGAGGTCACCACTGCAAATCCCTAGACTTTACGAAAAGACAGGAATGTTTTGAACGCCACTCACTGAGGGCAAAGACAATACCTGCAGACAGGCTCCACCTAACCTCGAGCTTGCCATTTCCCATAATTATTAAGCTGCTGATGACAACAGGCTCTGGTAAGAGCAGACTTACCAGAACCCTGCTATGGCTGAAGATTTTCTCTATCTACCTTCCTTCCCTCAGACATGCCCAAAATCTCTGCTTCAGTATCTGGTAGGAGTAACATGGACCTTCTTTATACTGAGTCCTAAGGTCAAGGAATATAATTTTGCTTGAGAAAAATGTATCTTAGTGCTAGAGACTCTCTTGTATTTTTTAAATTTATGAGTGTGAGGTTGTACTCTGATAATTGCATGTGTCCTAATAATTCTTTAGATTCTTCAGAAAAAAGTAGACTCTAGGGACTTCCGGATATATTAATACAACTTTGAAAATGCCAGTGAGTCCAGGTTTTTTTTACTAAAGGAGAAAACAAAAACAAACTCTACCCAATCAATTGAGATCCCACTGGCTTAGGCTAAGCAGAATACAAAATTAGGAAGGAAAGAAATGAAAGCCTTCAATGTTTTTGGAATTTTACTTAAGAATTATGAACTTTGATATTCCAGACTTTAATTTACGAAGAAGGGCAGAGAGATTTAATATTTGCTGTTTAATTCTTCCCCAGATATTTGGCAAGGGAAATAGGTCCACTGTACTGGGTTCATTGCTTAACCGCTGGTGAGTTCTATTGGATACCCTCGCTGGGCCTAATATGGTATGGAAATAAGAATGATCAGTGATTTTTGGCTTAAGGTATAACATTGCTTCTAGGAAACAAGAGCTAGACTACCTGCTCGTGATCCCAGGAGGCTAATGGAACAGTGATGTATCGCGGTTCCTGCCTCGTGAATTTGGAAGCAGGATTCTGCTCCTAGGTAACAAGAACTTGACTGTTAATTTAAAAGGTTAACAGACCCAAAATGTGTAAGTGGTGGAAGGCAATCTTTTCTCCTTCTATCATTCTATTTCTCTCACAAAATGGACTTCATTTTGGCAGTATCAGGAAAAGTATTTTCTGCCCTCTCTCTCTGCCTTCTCACTCACTTCTCCCCAAAGGGGAAATGACTCTTCAGATTGTTAAGAGGAGAAAGGAACCATGAAATATGCCCAGCTTAGCCAGTTCCAGAAGGACAACTCACAGGATGAGTGTTTTCTGTTCTGATCCTCTGTCCCTGAGTTAGGAATATTTAGGTCAGGCCTACTTTCTAAAGGTAGGTCAGAAACTCCCCTCTCTGTGTTCAGCCCATAGAACCCAGTGGATTGGAGGCAGTAATCCTGGGTAAGCGTGTATGCTCTGCAGACGCACCTCTCCCTTGGTGGTGAGGGTGGGGAGTGTCATCCCAAGCTCTAGCCTTGGAAGAAAATAATTCAGAAGCCCAAATGAGACCATTTATCCAAGCTGAGTTCTCTAATCCAAGTTATTATTATTATCATATTAAACAAATACATGTTTTTGACCTCTGTGTCTTTTACTCCTCAAATCTCCCCAAGTTTCAAACCAATTAAGGGTATGAGCAGTTATCATTTTTGAATCCCAGCAAATTCTAATAACTAATACTTGCTGAGTACTTAGAATATGCCAGAAACTATGTTAAGAGTTTTATAGGCACTGCTTTATTAAACCCTCACAGCAGTTCTATGAGGTGGACACTGTGGTTCCTCACACCCCACAGATGAGGAAACTGAGGCTTAAAGAGCTTACATAATCTGCCTATAGCCATACACAGCTAGCAGTGGTAAGTCTCAGAAGTGAAAGTAGATCCAGCCTGTTGACTGCATCCTATCTTATAATCATCTCTTAACTCTTTAGGAAAAGATGAGAATAGAGCTCCAGTCTATTCTTGCTGCAGTAATTTGAAAATTATGGGACCATCAATCTGTTGTGAATGCTGTCTACAGCAGATCTTATCTCTCAGAATTATCAAACTGAGCTGATCCAAAGGCTTGACATAAATTACATGTTAAACGTATAGTAAGTTGTTTCAGACTTTTAATTTCTGTTCTCTTTTTTCATTCATGACACTAATTTCACAACTGTAAATTTTTTAATATAAAGTCTGAAGGGTCAATGTGAAAAACTGGTATCGCAATCTGGCTCAAACTTCTGCTACAATGTGAGAGTATTTTTAAAATGTGGTATTATGAGTAATCGATAATAATAGTCATAGCCCTAGTAGAATTCATTTCATCTCAAAGAATTGCCCTAAGCATTTCATTAGAATTTTGCCTCTATCACTGTATTTTAGCCACTCACATTAGATCATTTTCATTATGAAAGAGTTTATAAAATTCAAAAAAGTGTCTTTATAACCATATCAGATAAGATCAATTTAATTTTAGGTTACCAATTTTGTAAGAATCCTGACAGCTCAATGTTAAAACTGGCAAGTACTTCAAATTTTTACACATATCATTTCTTAGAGAAGTAAAAGAATAATATACTGCAAGAGCATGTAACTATCAGAACCACATGGAAAAATATATTTCAGGCTTTGGTATGTTTAAAGAGAAGCTTCTACAATTCTTAACATTGAAGCTTATCCACTATAACCCTTGACTTATTTAATTACACTTTAATTGTATATTAGTGTATCATCAAAATTTTGCCTTTGAAAGAAAATGTTAAAGCATGTAAATGGAAGAATGTGAAGATATCTCCCTGAGGTTCCCATCCAGGGGACTTGTTGGTGTCATATTTTTACCTCTGAAATCGGTTTCTCATAGACATCTTCTCCTATGGATTTCTCCTGGGCAAGAATGGCATCTCGGTGCAGGACCCGCAGCACTTTCTCTGGCTCCGCAGACCCGTAATGAGCCTCCAGAACCTCAGGCTTGGTTTTCTCTGTCTTCAGCATGTGGATCACATCTTCTCTGGCCTGTAATAGAAAGTGCAGCAAGATCAGACGACTGACAATGTAAATCGCATACTGGGCTCAAAAAATCAACAGAGAGCTTATTGAATACATCCCCATCTTGTCAGGGCTATTGGCAAATTCACTGGGTATTCTGCTCTAATTTTTTTTTTTAACCAAAAGCAGATTGGCAAGCAGATACTCTGCTTCAGGTTGCTAGGAAGCAGGCAAGCAGAAAAAAGGATTTGTGCTAATATTAACTACATAAAAATTGCTTTATCTAAGTAGCAATAATTTGGGATGGGGTGGGGGAGGGAGGCAAGCAGGGCTGGTCCTGGCATACTTAACCTGTTCCAGTGCACATGAGGTCAATGACAGTCTAAAATCTTCTAGTTTTCTATTGATGTTCTCAATGTAGTATTCAAATCTGGTTTAAAATAAAACCCTGCTGCCTCCATTCTAGTTATAACTTCATGTGTAATTAACAAACAGCCTTTATTGGTTATTTCCTGTTTCTCATTAGGTGATTCATTTTGCACAGAAACACATGGTTGAGAACTCACATAATGCTTGGCTGTCCTTTTCAAATCTAATGTATCTAATGTATTCACAAAAAAGGTGAAATTTCACCCCTTTAACATCAGACTGTCAGTTAGATGAGTCAGCTTGGTAGGTCAGAGTTTTGTTTGTTTGTTTCTTAGCACAACGTATTGCTGAAGCTTTCAAGAAAACCACGATTGTAGGCTTTATATCATACTGTCTGTGGTTCCCATCACATAATGCAAATACACCTGTTTATGTTTTGCACTCGTTAGTAGGGTTGATCTTTCTAGTTATGATGGAGCTGACATTTGCTGAATGTATTTCCATATGGGGACACACTTGGAGCTATTTTTCCAGTAATGGTGATGGGTAAGAAGTGCCCTGACTTCATTCCAACTTATACTAAAGAAAAAGCTGGTTGGGAACAAAGTTTCAGCCTATGACAATGGAATAGAATTTTCTCCTATATTGATGCTAACTGTGGGACTGAAATTATAAACCTGGTTCATTATTATGATATTCTAAAGAAGAGAGCTAAGTAGTCAACTATGAGTATTCATGATACGACCATTATAAAGTTTGTCTTTCTTGAGGTTTCTCACTTTTGTTGCTTTTTTGGTCTCCAAATTAATCTAATTCCATATGGCTACAGAATAATTCATTACTGAGATGTCAGTGAACTGGAATTTGCAGATTTGAAATGTCTCTGCCACATATACGTATGCTCACTTCAAGACAAAAATGGAAAATATGAATTTTGAAGAACCCAGTGGTTTAGAATGTTGGTGAGAATGTTGAAGTCAGGAAGTAGTTTAATGGAAAGGCAATGTGTCTCCATGCAGGTTGAAAGAAGATAAGCACAGATGCAGGGTCAAGTTAGCCTGTACACTGTGCTCATCAGAAAAACGTGCCCACTTTATTCAGGAGACACAGCCCTGAGTCAGAGCACAGCTTACGTAGTGAGTGAAGAGCAGGCTGTATTTTAGCCCCATTCATCCTCTCTGCCAGGCACCATTGTACAAGGCATAACTCCCAATCTGTACTGAAGGAGTCTCAAGTTATGTAGACTGCTATTGGTCTTCAGGCAGAAAGTGCTCCTATGTTCATCTGACATAGGTGAATATATAAAGCATATTCTAAAATAATGATTCACAATGCTGACTGTGCTGAAGTCATTTGAGGAACTCTAAAAAATCCCAAGGCCCAGGCCACTCCTGACCAATTACATTCTAATCTTTTGGAGAAGGACCTACACATCAACACTTTTTAAGGCTCCCAGGTGATTCCAAAGTTGAGAGTACTGTGCCACACTAATAGATTATGAGACATAGCAACTAAATTGAATACAAATCCTTGGCATCATCCAAAGTAAACTTTCTTACTTTGGTGCAAGTGCATTTCCTTTTTCCGATCTTAAAAAGGTGTCATCACCTTTCTCCTTTAAGTCATCCTCACACCCGAGGTCAGTTTTTTGCTTAGACCAAATCTGAAAGAGACAAACTCGTCTTTAAAGAAGAAACACCATACTGTGAATTTAGTGACTTATGTAATGACAGGAAAGGAAAATTTAGAATCACATTTAAAGTGAAAAAATGGCGATGATAGAAGGTTGGCAAGCTGGAAGTTCTTGATAACAAACTACTGTCTCTTTCTCATCTTTAAATCAGATGAAGTAAAGGCCATTTTCTAAGGTTCATTTTTCTAACATGTGAAATGTGAAGTCTTATAGAGCAGACATAGAATGTACTGTCCTTTGAAAAAATAAATAAATAAATAATTTTAATATAAAAAAATTAAAAAGAATGTACTGTTGTTTGTACCATAAATTGAGATACTGATTACAAAATTTCTGAAAGACTAAAAGAAAAGGGCTTAGAAGACAGGGTAGTAATATTAAGGGCTGGTTTTTTTGTTTGTTTGTTTTTCTGTTTTTTGTTTTTGTTTTTGTTTTTGAGACAGAGTCTCAGTCTGTCAACCAGGCTGGAGTGCAGTGCCGTGATCTTGGCTCACTGCAACCTCCACCTCCCGGGTTCAAGCGATTCTCCTGCCTCCTCAGCAATTCTCCTCAGCCTCCTGAGTAGCTGGGACTACAGGCACATGCCGCCTCGCCTGGCTAATTTTTGTATTTTTAGTAGAGACAGGGTTTCGCCATGTTGGCCAGGCTGGTCTCGAACTCCTGACCTCAGGTGATCTGCCCGCCTCGGCCTCCCAAAGTGCTGGGATTACAGGCGTGAGCCACTGCACCTGGCCTAAGGACTGTTTTTAACCTTTTTTTTTTTGTTTATACAGGTATGTATTTTCTAAATTTTCTACAGTAAATATGTAACTAGTTTTACAAAGAGAAACAAAGTAGTACCTTCATAAAGAAAAAAGAAATACTTCATCATTCCTTATTCCCCAGAAATAAAACAAAGGCAAATAATTTCATAGAAAGTTCTGTCTTTTTTATGTTCCCAATGCTGAGAAAGCCACTTTCATTCTGACTATAGACAGTCCTATGCACAGTATCTGTAAGATTTAACACAAAGAAGGGTATAAAACAAAAATTGCTCAAGGATTATTCTATGACCTCTTTTTGGCATTGTCCTGATTTCTTTCAGAATTATTTCAAACACACCAGTAAAGCCAGAGGTAAAACAGCCACTGAGCTGGGTAAGTGTACTGAAAACAGGGTAGTATAAGGATTATAGGTTTTCCCACCTAATATTTATTATGATTTAGTCACATTCTAACTAGACACCTGAAGGAATCACAGCAGAACTATTTCCATATGGTCTTTCCACAAATGACGTTCTGAAAAAGTGTTTGTCCTTAGTTATGGATAAAGGTAATCAGAAATTGGCTCTCAAATGTAAACTGTATCAAGTAATCTTGACAGCATCAGTTGTACTGCTGGTTTGCACAAGTTTACATGGCTTGAGCATAAAAAATTAAATAAATCTTAAAGCTATCAAGCAAATATGAATTTTAATTAAAATATAGGAATAAAATTTTTATCATGATATAGTAGAATGTGTCCAGCTTTGAAGAGACTCAGAAATAGTTTCCAATCTCAGCTAAGTTGTTTGATTTGTGCAAGCTGCTAACCTTGCTTTGACCTAATTTATCATTTATGAAGTTGGATCATAATAACTTTCTTATATACTTGCTGTTAGTTTAAAATCAGATGTAAATATATAAGACGCCTAACATAAAACTTGGCATTAAAGTAGGTGCTGAGACAATAGCAATGATTTACTATGGTTTCTGTTAGGTCTCCATGATTAAATAACTTTTTGCTGCAGGGGTAGAAAAGGAATTTTATAAGATATATTTTTCCCTAACCAAATATAACGTGTAAAACTGATATTGTTAAAACTGTCTGGATATTTCACAATCTACTTTTAGGAATATTTTTTTCAAAAAGGAATTTCAAAATCAGAGCAGTCTCTCCAAAAGTTATTTAATCTCCCTGACTGTTTCCTTGTCTGTAAAGTGGGGACACAACCCCTATACATTATAGGGACTGTGTTAGGCTCTAAACAAGATAATGCAAATAAAGTACTTTTAAAACTGTAAGCAGGTATCTATTTCAGTTTAATCATTTAAGCTATTCAGTTTAAAAATACGCAAATATTATTGGTATTGATCATCTTGACCCCAAACTTCCTAATTCTCTTAGAAGACAGCTTCTTGTGTTCCAACTGATACCAAACACCTATTCCTTTCCTCCCCCGAAATACACTTTTGCTTGAACTGTATTAATTGTGATATGCTACATATACTAAATATTTCATCTTAGTTTAATTATCCTAGATACTAATTACTGAAGAAAAAGAGGCTATGGTGATATAATACATTGTATTTATTTACAACCACACTATTCACTATAAACTTACTAAAGGCTCTTTAATTGTATAGTAATAATCATGGAAAGAGGCTGGGTGTGGTAGCTCACACCTGTAATCCCAGCACTTTGGGAGGCCGAGGCAGGTGGATCACCTTAAGTCAGGAGTTCAAGACCAGCCTGGCCAACATAGTGAAACCCTATGTCTACCAAAAATACAAAAATTAGCCAGGCGTTGTGGCGTGCGCCTGTAGTCCCAGCTACTTGGGAGGCTGAGGCAAGAGAATCTCTTGAACCCAGGAGGCGGAGGTCACAATGAGTCACAGTGAGCCGAGATTGCGCAACTGCACTCCAGCCTCGGCGACAGAGGGAGACTCTGTCTCAAAAGAATAATAGAGATAATAATAAAATAGTCAATCAATAATATTGTGGTATCTAATCAATATATTAATGAAGACGACTATGTGATCACAGATCTATTTTACTATTTCAAACAAATGATTCAATATATGTTACAAAAAGATCCTATATTTTGGGGATAAAACAACTTTACATCTCCATTTTTGAGAAACTTGCTAATTTTTCTATAAAAGAATAAAGTTCAAAATGTAAGAAAACTTCTGTTCTTGAGCATTAATATTTTCACATAGAAATTTATCCAAAATAAGTTGTTAAGATCCTAGGATGTGGGGAAGCTGCAAAATAGACCACTATATTTAAATACATATAAAATGACCCAGAGAAGAATGCTTTGAAGACGACTCTATGTTCAACTTATTTACTCCTGATGATAGAGAACAAATATGAGATTACAGCAGAGAAACAGACACAGCTGTCACACCATTCTCTTCCATCAGACATAGTTCTTTGTGCCAGTGGAGGTGTAGGGAGGCCAAGAACAAGGATGTTCCATAAATACCCACAACTGAAACTGCACCAGGTGGAACAAGGGGTTTCTCAGCTGGCTGGATAAGAAGCTGATTCAAAACATGTGGGGGCAGCAAAGAGCTGCTCTGTGAGGCCTAGGGCCCACAGGTGAGTGTGCGATTCATCGTATAAAGTCAATGGAGTGAGTCTGTGCTTTGCTGGGAAAGCAGGAGTCATAGGTTCAAAAGAGGGCCGAATCCAATCACTCCTTCAATAAATATTTGCACACATTTACTTTGTGCAATGCATTGTATTCAGTATTGGAGAAATAACTGCATCCTCGGGAATTCAAGTCTGGAGAGATATAAACAAACAATTGAGAGGTGTTTACAATATGACATAGTAAGCCTTAGGTGGAGGAAATACTTGGGGCTAAGGACGTCACCTAGAAGAACGCTTAACTTGAATCTGAGCTAACAGAAGAGGCTTCCTGGATTAAGGACCTGAATTCTCATAATGAATACTTGAGCCACAGAAAGAAGAGGTAAGGTGAGAGTACTCTAGGCCCAGGCAAGACTATACAAAGGCCAAACAGATTTAAATGCATGGGATGGTGCAATATGAGACTGGAGTAATAAACTCATGAAAAGCTTTGTAAGCCATGCAATGAGTTTGGATTTTGTCACAGAAAAGCAAGAGACTTTGGAGTTTTTGAGCAGCAGGACAGCGATGGTCAGATTTGCGTGCTGGAAACATCATTCATCTGCTGTGTTAAAGGCACAGAAAGTCTAAGTTAGCCAGTCTGTTGGGGCAGGCCAGGAACTGTGTTTTGAAATATTTCTGTAGGTGATTCCAAAGCACAGCTGCACTTGGAAATCACTGCTCTAGGACAGATGACAAATTCAGCATCAAAAATACTTAAAACTCTAGCTGTGTTAGCTCAAGGTTCTTGGCAGGGTTGTCTGATTCCCAGGGACTTTGTTGCCTCAGAGGTTTTTTACTATTCTCCCTGTATTATTAGTCCCTGACCTTTCTGCACCAAAGAATCATGGTCATTTCCAGCCAGCAGCCTAAATGAGGAGGATCCCTGAAGACTGCTGGAAGTGTTTGCCAGTTCCGGGCAAATGAGGGTGACCAAATGTCCCAGATTGTGTGAGACTAAGGGAAGCTGAGTCCTGTGAATCTGGACTTTTGCAAACCAGGACAGTCCCAGGCAAACCAGGACAAGTTGGTCACCCTATGACAAACACCGGTCAGAAAGAGACTGGATATTCCATAATATTCCTGTGTCTAGCAAGGCAGCCATAAATGGGCTTATTATGCTCAGGAACTGAATTTCATTGATCATGTTTCCACAACTTAGCTTTTTTTAAAGGTACAACGCCATTACTAATTATTATGTCTGACGACAATTTAACTGTATTTTAAACTTGTGTGGCTTTTCTATCTTTGAAAGAAAAAAAAACATAATGAGTAGGAAAGAATACTTAGTTCTTATGCTCCTATGACAGAGCTTCTTCCACACTTCTAAAACGGGGATGGAATGCCCACGAGCCTTGGAGCTTGGAGATAAACATGGTGCATCTTCTTTTAGCACTAAGATTACTGAAAGACTTGGGGTAGATGATAAGTAGTTTAAAACTCAGAATATTCATACAATTTTAATATTCACCTGAGTGTTCAGAACAAAACAAAAGATATAAAATAGCATTTGCTTCAGCCAGGCAGCTTGGGACAGACTCTTAGACGATGTAACCATGACCCCAGCACGATGATCCACTCACTTGGCTGAGAGGAAGCATAGCCAGTGGGAAGTTTTAGAAGCCTGCCCTTACCTAATGACACCACACACTTTAAAGAAGGCATTCCTGCCAAAAGCTGTTGACTTTAAATGATAGATCCATTTTGAGGAAAGGACAAATCCATTTCTATGCTTATGGAAGAATGACACAGTTCCCAAGCACTATCGCTTCTTTGTATTATTTAACTTCTTAAATATGACCCCATTGCTGCAGTGAGTCAAGGAGCCCTAGAAAAGACAGTCCTGGAAAATCAGTAACATGCCCATTCTGTGATTGCTTTCCCATTCTGCTTTCCCACTCAACCATTCTGTATCTACTTACATATGGTAATTTATTAATTTACTTGTCTATTTCCTTCTGAGGCTGTGAGCTGCTGTGAGGACTGTGACTGCCTTGGGAGACTGTGTCTATAGCGCCTAAAAGAGTGCCTGCTGCATGGTAGGCACTCTGTAAATATTTGCTGAAATAAATAAAAGTAAAATTAAGTGATGTGAAAGTCAGAGAGGCATAAACTGGCACTGAAAATCTCAGAACAACCTTAACTACTTAGCCTTGTTCAAAAGATCTAAACAATTACATTTTGTCAACCTCTTTACTCTTTCATCTGATATATTTGTCTGTAATTTGGGAGTCTCTTCTTTTTTTTTTTTTTTTTTTTTTTTGAGACAGAGTTTTGCTCTTGTCGCCCAGGCTGGAATGCAGTGGCATGATCTCAGCTCACTGCAACCTCCACCTCCCAGGTTCAAGCGATTCTCCTGCCTCAGCCTCCCCAGTAGCTGGGATTACAGGCGCCTGCCACAACCCCGGGCTAATTTTTGTATTTTTAGTAGAGACAGGGTTTCACCATGTTGGCCAGGCTGGTCTCGAACTCCTGACCTCAAGCAATCTGCCCACCTCAGCCCCCCAAAGTGCTGGGATTACAGGCATGAGCTACTGTGCCCAGCCCACTTTCTTCTTTTTAAGTTTATTCCAAAAAGAAAATATGTAAACTGAATAAGGAAAAATAGTACATTCCACCAGAATGTTGCAACAGGAAATGGACTATCTTTAAATCTCATACAAATTGAATTATACTATTTACCTGAGTTGGATAAATACTAATATTATAAACAGATTGAAAGAAAAAAAGCTATGTAATGTATAATGTTATTAGCTGTTACTATAGAAATTAAACCCATTTTTTCCACTGAATTTTAGAAATCAAAGTTAACAAGATTCATAATACAACTATGTACAAGAAGAACATTCAGACATAGTTAGGTTACAGGGCCACTGGGGCTAAAAATGTGACTTTTTCTCTCTTTGGAGAAATTATTCTCCACAACTATATGGTCAATAGTAGCCTAAAAGCCTATATAGAGCTTGTTCATAAAAGAGTAGCACTTCAGACTGAATATCCACCAAAAGAAATCTGTTACTAAAATATCAGAAACAGACGCAATTTCTTATGTTAAAACTTGCTTTGCCACCACCATGATAGCTTGAGTTTTAAAATGTAAAATCCTCAAAATCCCAATTATGACTTTGCAGAAATAGAAAAAAATCCATAAATTCATATGGAATCTCAAGGGACCATGAATAGCTGAAATAATCTTGAAAAATAACAAAGTTGGAGGTCTCACATTTCCTGATTTCAAAACTTACTACAAACTTACACTAATCAAAATAGTGTGGTACTGTCATAAAGACAGACATACGATCAATGGAATGGAATAGAGAGCCCACAAATAAATTTTTGCATATATAGACAAATGATTTTCTACAAGAGTGCAAGATCTCTCAGTGGGGAAAGGAGAGTCTTTTCAACAAATGTTGGGAAAACAGGGTGTCCACATGCAGAAGAATTAAGTTGGAACTTTTCCTTGCAGCATATACAAAAAGTAACTCAAAATTAATAAAAATGTAAGAGCTAAAACTATAAAACTCTTAGAAATAGCACAGGAGAAAAGTTCCATGATATTGGATATAGCACTTATTTCTTGGATATGATACCAAAGCACAGGCAACAAAAGAAAAACATATAAATTGGACTATGTTCAATTTAAAAACTTCCTTGCATCAGAGAACACAATCAACAGTGTGGAAAGCAACCCATAAAATGGGAGAAAATATCTGCATATCGTATGTGCAATAAGAATTAATATCCAGAGGCCGGGTGCAGTGGCACATGCCTATAATCCCGGCACTTGGGGAGGCCAAGGTGGGTGGATCACCTGAGGTGAGATCGGGAGTTTGAGACCAGCCTGACCAACATGGAGAAACCCCGTCTCTACTAAAAATATAAAATTAGCTGGGCGTGATGGTGCATGCCTGTAATCCCAGCTACTCGAGAGGCTGAGGCAGGAAAATTGCTTGAACTTGGGATGTGGAGGTTGCGATGAGCTGAGATCATGCCATTGCACTCCAGCCTGGGCAACAAGAGTGAAACTCTGTCTCAAAAAAAAAAAAAAAAAAGGAATTAATATCCATATCTAGAATATTGAAGAACTCTTATGGCAAAAAAGAAAAAAAAATTTAATGGGCAAAGGACTCAAATAGACATTTCTTCAAAGAAGATATACAAGTGGCCAAAAAGCACATGAAAAGATACTCAATATCACAAGTCATTAGGGAAACACAAATCAAAACTACAATGAGATACTACTTTACACCCAACAGGATGGCTATCAAGAAAAGAAAGAAAGAAAGAAAAAGAAAGAAAGAAAGAAAGAAAGAAAGAAAGAAAGAAAGAAAGAAAGAAAGAAAGAAAGAAAGAGAAAGAAAGAGAAAGAAAGAAAGAAAGGAAAGAAAGAGAAAGAGAAAGAAAGAAAGAAAGAAAGAAAGAAAGAAAGAAAGAAAGAAAGAAAGAAAGAAAGAAAGAAAGAAGGAAAGAAAGAAAGAAAAGAGTTGGTGAGGGTACAGAAAAATTGAAACCCTGGTGCACTAGTGGTAGAAAAGTAAAATGGTGCAGCTACTATGGAAAATAGTATGTCAGTTCCTCAAAAATTAAAAGTAGATTACCATATGATCCCAAAAGAATCAAAAGCAGAGATTCAAACAATATTTGAACACTCATGTTCATAGTAATATTATTCACAATAGTCAAAAATAAGAAGAATCCAAGTATCCATTGACTGATAAATGGACAAACTAAATATGGTACATACATACAATGGAATATTATTCAGCCTTAAAAAGGAAGGAAATTTTGACATGTACCATAAGATTGGTGAATCTTGAAGATGTTATACTAAGTATAACAAGTCAGTTACAAAAGGACAAATGCTGTATGATTCCACTACAGGTACTTAGAGTACTCAAATCATAGAGACAGAAAGTGGAACACTGGGTGGTTGCCAGGGCAGAGAGCAAGGGGAAAAGGGATGCTATTTTTTAATTAGTAGTTTCTAGTTTAGAAGATGAAAATAATTCTGGAGATGGATGGTGGTGATAATTGCACAACAAGGTGAATATACTTAATGCCACTGAACTGTACACTTAAAGATGGTTAAAATGGTCAATTTTATATTACATATATTTTACCACAATCTTATTTTTATTTATTTATTTATTTTTTAGAGATGGAGCCTTGCCATGTTGTCTAGCCTGGTCTTGAGCTCCTGGCCTCATGCAATCCTCCCATTTCAGCCTCCCAAAGTGCTAGGGTTACAGGCGTGAGCCACCACGCCTGGCCAACAATTTAAAAAAATTTAAGTATACATTCACCTGCCTAAAAAAATCAACTAAGAAAAGAAAATTAAAATCTTCCCCAATTTTCTATCTAGAGATTATGTTTTTGAAAAAACTAAAATTTCAACCTGGGCGCAGTGGCTCAGGCCTATAATCCCAGCACTGTAGGAAGCTGAGGCTGGTGGATTTCTTGAGCCCAGGAGTTCAAGACCAGCTTGGGCAACATGGCAAAACCCTGTCTCTATAAAAAATGCAAAAATTAGCCAGGTGTGGTGGCCTGTGCCTGTATTCCCAGCTACCTGGGAGGCTGAGAAGGGACGATCACTTGAGTCCAGGAGGTAGAACACATCACTGCACTCCAGCTGGGGCAACAGACTGAAACCCCATCTCAAAACAAAACAAAACAAAAAACTAAAATTCCATGTAATAAATTATAAAAGTGTAGTCATATTTTCCTGTGATTAGTCATCTGAATGTCACTGTCATCCACGGATTTGAATGCATTTTTATTACGTGGTTTTCTTCTTTTTTCTATTTTACACACATTAGGATATTAATAGTGTGTCAGCTGCAGTGTCCTGGATTAAAAATTAGATAAGGTCACAGGTTCCCCCATGCAGTGCTATCATCCTACAGTGTATAATTTCTTAAATTCTAAAAGACTGCAAGCTCTCAGTTCTATGCTGATAAAGACCTTAGGCAGAGCCCTTAAACTGCCCACCTGTACGCATAATCAGCAGATAGGGTCCAGCTTTCTGTGAACCAGGTGAGAAGCTGAATTCTTTTTTTATTTTTTGAGACAGAGTCTTGCTCTGTCGCCCAGGCTGGAGTACAGTGGTGCGATCTCAGCTCACTGCAACCTCCACCTCCCAGGTTCAAGCAATTCTCCTGCCCCAGCCTCCTGAGTAGCTGGGACTACAGGCGCGTGCCACCACGCCAGACTAATTTTTGTATTTTTAGTAGAGACAGGGTTTCACCATTGATGGCCAGGCTGGTCTCGAACTCCTGACCTCAGGTGATCTACCCACCTCGGCCTCCCAGAGTGCTGGAATCACAGGCACGAGTCACTGTGCCGGGCCAGTGAGAAGCTGAATTTTTTAGAACATGGGAGAAGTCATTGCTAAGGTACAACTAGATGACATTTTCTCACAGTGGTTGTTTATCCAGCTTAGTAAATGTAATCCCCTCAACAGAAACCAGCTAGATGAGACCCAGGACAAATCAAGCATCTCTGGTACAACTCTGTTTATTAAGTTAAATTTTCTTCACCTCTTTCTTAATTTCCTGTGATTGCCTCCTTTTCAGTTATCTCTAGAAGTTATTTTTGCAGCTCGAGGGGGAAATCCTTCTATGTAATTCCATCTGGAGGACTGAGTGGCGGGTGGCCTTGCCACACAGCTATTTGCATGAGGCTTTTCCTGGGAAAGAACTCATCCCCAGGGAGGAAGGGCACCATTTTGGTTGAAGGACAATAGAGCAGGGTCAGAGGGGAGGGGTGAGTCTGAGTGCAGCACAGTGTCTGTCACTCAGTCTCCCATGTAGCCCACCCCCATCGGCCCTTGCCTGAGTCCTGGGGTGAGGGATTGTCATGAAAGACCCAAGTAAGAACTAGAGGAATTGGTAAATTAGAATTCAAAGCACCACAGCTTCAGCAGTAAGCGGGGAAGGTGGGGAAGAGTAGCCCTGTCTATAGCTTACATCATGCTCTCAGTATAGACATCAGCCTGAGCAGCCTCCAAGTAGACAACAACTGGCATAAACAGAAGAGCGAGTCTTTGGGGCACACACAACTGTGTTCGCTGTGCACTTACAGGGGCAGCCATCAGACCCACAGCAGGCTGGAGAAGGAAAAAAGGGCAAATGGCAAATGCCAATATTATCCCACAGGAGTGTGTGGAACATGTGTGGGTCATTTTCTGGGGTCTTCCAAGGCTTATGAGATAACCTAAAGGAGCTTGGCATTCTCACCAAGCGGGAGGGTGCAGGGGCAAGAGAGGGAAAAGATAGCTTTATAAAGTCTTTGATCTTATTTTTATCCTCAGACTGGTGAGGGCTGGAGATATGGGTAAAGCATTTTCAAAAGAGAAACTATCTTGATCAAACAAAATAAAACTACATTGTCTAGCCAGAATTTATACGAGGTTTATTTGAATCACATAACATTGAATTTCTTTGGGTTTACTGTGTTTTCTGATCTATTCATTTTAGCCTCTGACATAAGTGAATTCTACACTTACACATTTGACCAAGTTAGCAAAACTACTGTTGAATTTTTTGAACAAAAATGCAAGAAAATCTCAGCCATTCTGAACTTTTGAGGAATGTCACACTGTATATTTACTTTTACAAAAAAATCAGAGTTAGTATGCTAAATATTAGAGTTTTTAATTTTAAGGGTTTGGGCACAGGTACATCCTCAAATGTATTATAAAGTCCCCCTCCACTTAAAAAATATATAAGGTACATAATGTCTTTTTGAAAACTCAGGGTGGTCCTTATAAGTTATCAATTTTCTGATGTACTGAAGATTAATATTGTTGTGTCCTTACTGAATCCATTTGCTTTTTGTTTTTCTTTTAAAGCAAGTTTCTGATATAGACTCAGAGCTAGTTTTTTGCTTATTTTTACTCCTACTCAAGAGATGCAATGTGGTAGAAAGAGCATGCCCTAGGGAATCTTGTGTTAGAAACATGCATCGGTACAACAGTTCAGAGAGGTTAGTGTGCCTCTCTGAACTGTTTCTTTGTCTGCAAAATGGGCATAGCAATAGCTACCTCACAGATTTTTCATGGGCTAATGTATACAAAGTGCCTGGTAAATGTTGGTTACTCCCCACCCCTTGGGAGTCAAACAAATTATAGCTCTTTTGTTTACTACAGCTATGTGACCTCGGGCCAGTTAGCTCTGAATTTCAGCTCCCCAACCTGCATGAGAATGAAATATCTGTGAAGTGACTAATATACTGCCTGACATACAGTGAGGCCCAATGAAAGGCAATTTCCTCCTTTTTCTTTTTTTCTGATAAGAGCGAATTGCCTGATCCACTGGGCAACATAACCAAAAGCCTTTCCATAAACTGAACCAATAAGTTAAAGACTAAGACATTTTTTTCTCATCCCTGTTGTTCCCAATATTTGGTGACTACCCAAACCATTCATAAAAACATCTGTGATTCCTGTGCCATGAACCTAGTGGACCACTAGCAACTCTGTGTCAGCTTGTGCCACCCTCTGGGCCTCTTGAACTACTTGTTGATGGGATTTAAAGAGGCAGCTCCCTCCCTAATTCAAAAATTTGGACTACACTGTGTAGAGTCTGCAGTTCCCTCATCACCACTGTCAAAAGATTATATTACAGCAGAAATGTCTTACTATTTTTTCTAAACTTTTCTTAGTATTTTTTTTTAAACCCAGCATCAGTAAGAAACAATGCTACATAACACATTTTGCTAGTACTCATGCTGAAGGTAAATATTGCCCATATATGAAGGATGCAACCAAAGTCAAGCTCTCTGATTTAGGAAAGGAAAATAAAAATAAGCACAAAAATTAGAAATGTTAAGTTTTTTAAAAATTGCATCTTTAACAATATTCCCATTGAGTTCCTACTTGGAATGTCCTTTTTATAAAAAAAGAAACTAGACCCTTGAAAAAAGGGTCTACTTATTTATGATTTGTGATTTGTTAACTGCTTTTCATGGGCAATATTTGGCCTTACAAGGCCTGTTTAAAATGCCAAATAGTCAATTGCATTTGCTTGTAAAATTATCTTGCCCTTTCAATATATTGGACCAGAGATGGGACACATTCAAAAATTTTTTGAACATGAACATCTCATATGTACTGTTACCTAAGTGCTGTTGTTTAAGAGATACGTGATGCTCTGCGATTTGAGTGAGCATAAAATTTCTAGACCTGCCATTTCTGATACCTGATACTTCCCTATTCACAATAGTCACCACTTTGTAATTACAATTGCGCCTTTCTCCCTTCCCACAAGACTGAGAGCACTGAAGGCAGGAGCCTCTTGTTCTCTTTTGTGTCCCTAGCTCCTAGCACAATGACTGACACAAGTGGGTGCTCAGTAAACATTTGTTGAATGGTGTGTATGTGTGGATCCTACTTATCCATCAACAATTTATTGTGCTTCTTCTTTTCAAAGCAAAGGACAGAACTGCTTTTTAAAAAGCTACCTTTTTGCCCTTCGCTAGAGAAAGTTTAGATTCCAAGAGATATTGACTTATTAGTTTCATTTATGTTCACAAAATTTCTGTCAAATCTCTCCATGGTTCAGATTCCTTATTGAACATGAAGAAGAAATAGAAGTGAACAACAGTTGATCCTCATTATTCACAGTAGTAGTTATGTTCTATAAAGTTGCCACAAACATGAAATTAGTGAATACTGAATCATTGCTCCCCAGGGAAACACAGAGTTGGAGTCCTGTGAGTCTTTCTTTACATTATTTTCATCAACCAATCAATACATTACCTTATTTTGTATGTTTTTCTGCTTAAAGGCATCTTATTTTATAAAAACTGTTACTTAATTAACATTGAACTCATGATCAATGACACTATGTCTGAAGGACTCATGTCTGAAGGAAACTTACCTGACACACGTTTTCTCCTTAAAGTATGTCCTACACTTAGGAACACTAGACAGCACTTCAGCACTCTGCCTGGGGCCATTTTAAACAGCAAAATCAGCAACAAAAGCTACAAAAATGTGAAACATGTGGCACTAAATAGATAGCAAAAAAGATACTTGTCTATAGTACGAGAGCTGAAACAAGAGGGCAGACAAAAGCCTGTTCAGCCTCTGTTGGAAACATGCACATAGGCAACACAAATTTTTGGCCTCTCTGTGCATGTCTGGGAATGGCCATGAAAGCACAGCAAGTATTGATTTAGGGATTACAAATAAATGTTAGCATCCCGAATCTCTCAGCCTCCTTGTGACTGGAGGGGGTTATGTGACTAGCTGTGGTCAATAGGCTATGAGAAATGATGAGTGAACTGATGCACAACTCTTCTACTTTTTTCTTCCTGTCCAAACAACTAATGCACGTGAAGAGAAAACTGATGGCATTTTCACTTGATGGTGAAAACTCCATCAGCTTGGGTCCCTGAGTGACTACATGGAACACAAACACCCTCTGTTCCCATCAAATCAAGTTGGACAAATATAGTAATGAGAAAGAGTTTGGCCACTGGTATTTGTGGATTAATTTATTATTGCAGCATGTCCCTGTCTACCCTTATTAATACTGAAATTGGTACCAAAATAAGGGTACCAACATAGGTTTTGCCACCACCAAAATCTAAAATATAGAGCTGATAATATGTGGAATAAAACACATGACCCTCATTTCAAAGATCCTGATTCAGGAATTGAATTCTATTTCTTTACCTATACATAATACCTGAAAAAATGCTTTAGAGATCATCGAACTTAATGCTTTCATTTATGAATGAGAAATCTAGGCTGAAGTAAGGTGAATAACTTAAAATATTACCCTTTAAAATGAATTAAATGTTATGCATTTCATAAAAGTAAGTTGTTATTATTGCCTACCCCCTACCAAGGATATACAGTTGATTCACAACCAAGCCATGACTAGAACCCAAGTTGTTTTTTTATTACTAGGTATAAATGTAGTTTATTACTCAGTTTTTTAAAATATAGAAATACATATTACAAGGAATATTGACTGGAAGTTGCTGATATTCAGATGCCTTTTGCATATAGAAATAGGCGACTGTTTCGTTTGCATTACTGCTTTACACAGAAGCTAAAGATGCCTAATGGAGACAGAAAAAGACAGAGAGAGAGAGGTCTATCATTGAATTTCAGACTTATTCAAAGGTGTTAGATAGATTGCAAT
This sequence comes from Homo sapiens, assembly GCF_000001405.40. Classification (NCBI taxonomy): domain Eukaryota; kingdom Metazoa; phylum Chordata; class Mammalia; order Primates; family Hominidae; genus Homo; species Homo sapiens. The sequence continues at coordinate 75,379,487 of NC_000006.12, forward strand.
GGTCAAACCAAGGCAGACTTATTGGGAGAAACAACAGAGACTCTGAGGAAGCTCACTCTTAGGGAAGAAGAATCTGGGATGCGAAGTCAAACCCAGCAACAGGACCCAAGTGTTGGAGAGGCTGTTGCAGATTTCATTGCTCCTTCTCATAACCACTACCTCCTCTCTCCTTGGCTTTATCTGCACTGGCCTCCTTGTTGTGCCTCAGACTCTCCAGGCACGCTTTCCCCTAAGGCCTCTGCCCCTTTGCCTAGAATGCTCTTCCCGCATGGTGTGCTCTCCCATCTTCTTTAGGTCTTTATTTAAATGTTAGCTTTTTAGTGGAAACTTTCCTGATCTCCTATTTAAAACTACAATCCTCATCCCTGAAATATCCTAGGGCTTTTCTTGTCTTTATTTGTCTCCATAGGATTGCTATCTTTTAACAGATCTGTTCGACTGACTTTGTTTCTTGTCTGTCTCCTCCTCTAGAATGTAACTCCTTAAGGACTGAGATTTTTTGTTGTTTGTTCAACAAGATTTGTTTATGCTTTATCCCCAATGCCTAAAGATAGTATCTGGCCAATAGCAGATACTTCATAAATATTTGCTGGATGAATGAATGAATGAATATACATGGGTAGTTATCTGACTTCTGAATACAGGGAAGACGTTCTCTGAAATAACAAAGAAAAAAATAGAGATTCTAACTGTAAAAAACAATCATAGCCAATTAAAAGGCAAAAAAAAAGAAAGGAAATATTTGTAACAACTATGAAAGATATAGGGTAACTATACTTAATTATAAAGAGTTTACATATATCAGTGAGAAGAACCCTAAAGCTCAAAAGAAAAATGCCTGAAAGGTATAAATAGACAGTTCACTAAAGAGATATAAAATGTTCATTAAGAAACAGTTCAACTCAACTAACAACTAAAGAATTATAAATTGAAACAATAATGAGATACCATTACTCACCTCTTAAATCAGGACAAATTTTAGAACTATAATAGTTATTGCAAGTGAGAGTTTGATAAATAGGCATTCTCATAATTTTGTTGGGAAGACATATGACTCTAAAAAGTAACTGGACAACAGAAACACACAAGTCTTCAAAAACATTTATACCCTTTAATTGAGTTGTTTAAAAAGAAGGACAAAGATTGTTGCAGAAATATGACGTTATGTTTAATAGTAAAAAATGGGAAAAATAAATATTCAATAATAAGGAAATATCTGAGTAAAATACAGTACACCCATAGAATAAAATATTATACAAGGATTAAAAATATATCCAAGGGTGGCTGAATGATGTGGGAAATGCTTATTATAAATATTTAAAGTTGCATATATACTGTGCTTGCAATTATGGAAAAAATACATGTGAAGAAAAATACCCACCAAAATAGCCACAATCATTCTTTTAGGTTGGTAGAATTATGGATGATTATGAAAAACTTTTTTCATAACTTTTAAATTTTCCTAAATCATTGTTTTTCAAACTTGTTTTTGTCCTCCTAAGGAGACTTTTTAGGTATCTTTTCTGGTATTGCTCTCTTTTGAAACTTTAATACCATAGATATATACTGTACATATATTTATATTCTGTGATCCTTTTGAGGGCCATAAACCATTGTCACATCTAAAATTTCTTTACTGTCACCCACAGAACCAAATTTCACTCTCTTGAGAACAGTAGTGATGACACTGAGAATGCATGTTTTAAATAATCTATATCAGACTGGTTTTACTTTGATAATTAGATACAATTTTTTTTTTTTGAGACAGAGCCTTGCTCTGTCGCCCAAGATAGAGTGCAGTAGCTTGATCTCGGCTCACTGCAATCTCTGCCTCCCGGGTTCAAGCGATTCTCCTGCTTCAGCCTCCTGAGTAGCTGGGATTACAGGCGCGTGCCACCACGCCCGGCTAATTTTTGTATTTTTAGTAGAGATGAGGTTTCACCATGTTGGTCAGGCTGGTCTTGAACTCCTGACCTCGTTATCTGCCCACCTTGGCCTCCCAAAGTGCTGAGATTACAGGCGTGAGTCACCATGTCTGGCCTACAATTTTTTTTGAAAGAAAGTGCTACGTATTTCAGCTCAAAGGACTAAATTTCTAACAGTAGAATTTCTGGTCCTCTGGCACCTGAAATTTTGAAACAATGATCTTTCTATTATACCTAAAACTGCTTGTGTATGTAGACATTTGTTCTAGCTAATATAAGTCTGACTTTGGATTTGTAGATTTAGATATGTAATATATTTTGCAGGAAAGGACAGAGTTGAATTTAAAAACAACCAATTCTTACATTTTACTCTAGCATGGAGAAAATTCCTTTCAGGAGCATTATTTAATTTACTGCTTCTTAATTCCAATTCTATAGATGAAAAAATAAAGCTCAGATAAAGTAAATAGCTTGACCAAGATCCCATCATTAGTAAAACACAGAGTTATCTAACTCCAAAATATTTGTTCTTTCCATTATATGTTGCTATAGGTGTTAATAACAATTTTCAGTGAAAATATGATGTAAGCACAGAGCAAAGGAAAGCCCTGGAACAAAACTCACTGGGTAATGTTTCCTGTACTAACAATCATCCACAAGTGGTGCCATCCATAGCCATCTGGTCCAATTTCCCCACACTACATAACTTGATTGGCTTCTCATGGTCTTGCCAACATTTTTTGAGCATTGTTATCTTTTTTCAATAGCTTCCTTAAAGATGCTGCACTTCAATCTTCAGGCCAGGGCACGTGAGGCAGTGAACCCAATCCTGTAAACTTCTCTGACTCTCCAAGACCCCTTGCCAAGCCACTGCTGCTGGGAGACAGCCCTAGAGCATGACTTCTTGCAATGTACTTTGAAGTAGATAAAATATGCACTCACGGACATCTGTCTGTTATTTCCTGCACTCACAGCTTTGTTCTGCTTTATTGCCAGAGAATTCTATGGATGATGTCACTTTTTTCTGAAGAGAACAGGCCATCAGAGCTTTTCACTGACATAATTAATTATCTGTAGTTTGATTCTGGGCCAGAAAATTCTCAAGGCACAGCCCCCAAAAGAATTAACTCTACTGTGCTTGCTATTCTTAAACTGTTAAAGAGACAGGGTACCATATCTCTTTTTTTCTCAGGCACTGATAATGGTATTTTTGTTCAGTGATATCAAGTAACAGAAAGTGAACTGGGGCACTATTCTATGATTTCACAAGGAAGACCTTCGGTTCAATGGGCAGCAAACTCTAAAGGTCGCTACAGATCAAGTATACAAAGCAAAGCTTTTAGGGCTTAGTCTTAAATGCTACAGGAATGCATCACAATTACTGAATAGACTTTGGGGGATCTTGTGAATCTGCAGGCAGAAAAATGAGATCTCAACCAAAGCTAACCATGTTAAATTAGCCACAAGGTGAAAGGCTTCAGTTTATCAGCCACAAAAGCCTAAAACATAAAATATATTTAAACCTTTCAGGAGATAAGAAATTACCTGAATGGTGACCATATATTTTGAGAGTCTTCACCTATGTTTTCATATAGATCTAAAACAAATTAGCCAGTTGCCCAAAAGACTTGTTACTCTCCATTCTGCTGGGTTTCAAGATTATGTAAATGCACTGTTCTTTGTCTCTTTAAAACTGGAGCTCTGTGGGGAATGATGGACACTGTAGATGTCATAAGGCAGTGGAGGGGCTCTGTGGAATCAGGGCACTTGAGTCATTTCTGTCCCTGATCTTCACTAGGTGAGTAACAAGGTAAGATCTGGGAAGTCTCTCAACTTTCTCAACTCTGGTGGAAATAGCAAAATCCTATTTAATCTAAAGGATTAATGGAGACCATAGGTTTGAATATGCATATAAATATTGTCCCCCTAAAAAGGAATTGTTATTTATGGTCTCTTCTACTACCTTAATTCTGCATAAATGAGTTTGAATTGTGCTCTCTCTGAATGAATTTACAGTGGTAAATTATCTCTTCAGACCTACCATCAAAATTTAAAGACAAAATTATGACACAAAAATGTTTGTTATAAAAAAATCAACATTAGAGAAGTGGTTAAACAAAATGAAACGTATATGCTACATCCTCCCACATTCCACTCACCAAGGCTAATTCTATTAATAATTTGAAGTGGATCATTTCAAAATTGTTTTCTCTGTAGATATACAAATGTAGTAGTAACACATGCATTATCTCCCCCACCCAACAACATTATGAAGCACTTAGACAAGTAATGGACAAAGTGCTTTTTAAACATTATCTCATTTAAACCTTACATAACCTTATCAGATAGACACTATTATTATCACCATTTTGTAAATGAGGGCTCTGAGGCAGGTGCAGAAAAGTTCAGTCATTTGCTCAGTCACATTAACTAATAAGTGGTGTCAGAATGCGAAATCAGGCAACCTAACTTCAGAGCTGGCAATCTTAATATTATACTTTATAAATTCTCCATATACATATATCCATATAGAACCTCTCAAATATGTACCACCTTATTTTTTTATTCAACAATAGAATGGAAAGGTCAAGGAGAATTAAATTTCGTTGCCACTAATACTCATTTCACCATAACTGTTATGTCTTGTATTTCATTTTCAATAAATTAATCAAGCCTCTTCTATTTTTATGTCCGTCTTTCAGTTGAGTCTTTTTCAGTGTTCTCAATTTTTTTTACCTGAATCTATAACCTAAAATTTAGATCAAACTCTAATACAAAAAAAATTCCAAGGAAAAGATCAAATAATTGTGTTAGACTAGAATTCCACTTTGTTAACTTTGTTTGAAATAACAATTTCCACTGTGATTTATGTCTGTAGTAATTAAATCAAACCTTTACCAGACATCTCTGATTTGTCCTGCTCCTTGCTTTATATGGAAGTTGACAGATCTAGCTACTTCTTCTCTTTCCTTTAGCACCTGCACATCCTAAATGGAACAGTTAGTTATCTATCTCTCTTCCTCCCCCTCTTCTTCCATCCTTCATTCCATCTGCTAACTAATTCCTTTAGCAGCTATGTGCAAAGTATGTGGCTAGTTGCTGTGGTGAATCTCATACGAGTAGGACATAATCCTATGTTTGTATGACTTTATAATCTAGTAGGAGTGAGATTTCGGAAGGTTACTCCTATAGCTAATTGTTCATCAAGCCACCTTTTGGAAGGAAGGGTGAAAGGAAAGTTCTAGAGCATGAAATAGCATTGGGAAGTCTTCAGGATTAATCTTTAATTCCTGTTTTTTGACCATCTAATTGGCTCCAAGCCTTAGTGGACCATTTGATTTATAGAATCAGAATAATTTAGAACAACAAAAAAATTTAATTGCTTTTTTTTTTTTTTTTTTGAGACAGGGTCTTGTTCTGTTGCCCAGGCTGGAGTTCAGTGGCACAGTCATGGCTCACTGCAGCTTCAACCTCCAAGGCTCAATTGATCCCCGCGCCTCAGCCTCCCGAGTAGCTGGGACTACAAGTGAGCACAACCATGCCCAGCTATTTTTTTTTTTTTTTTTTTTGGAGAGACAAGGTTTCGCCATGTTTTCAGGTTGGTCTGGAACTCCTGGCCTCAAGCAATCTGCCCACCTCGGCCTCCCAAAGTACTGGGATTACAAGAGTGGGCCACCACGCCCAACCTAATTTCTTAATTTATAACTAAAGAAATAGAAATTCAAAGAAGTCAATAATTTGCCTAAGGAATACAACTAATTGGTTCTCGATTGCACATTAGAATCCCAGTCTCCTGATTCTCAGACCAGAGATCTCTCCATTATGCTAAATCACTAGTAAATATATTGCAGTAATCTCACATAGGAATTAATTCATATGCTAATTAATTTTTAAAACATGAAATGAGCAATTTTTGGCAAAATTAATATTTTAAGAAGCATTTGAATGCTATTGGGCGCACTTGAAGGAGTGCTGGCATACATATCAATAGCAGCTTGTCAATAGCAGCTTATGACTGTAAAATCAATGCCCTAAAAAATGGTAATTGATGTTTCACTGATATTTGACTGTGTATTCAAATACATCACTTGTCAATTAGCAATAGGAATGTGTTTACTGAACTTAAAATATCTGATGCAATGTATTTTTCTCTTACTCCTTTATCATGTAATGCAATATTTTACCTTAATTTTCAGATAAGTATATATATAGTATTATTTATATCATGCCTTCTTTCCATATGCAGATCCTGAAGTCAACCAGGAACTGGTTGGTAAGTTTGATAATCTTCTTGAGGGAAGATGTTGGAAAAACTTAATTTTGTTATAAGCTGATTAACTACTTCCAATAACCAATCTTCACTCAAAGTGGGGAGCACTCTGGTTAAGCATGTTACATATCATGGTCCCATTACTTGTAGCCCCTTAGGATTTTTTTTTTTTTTTCATGATAGGCTAACCCTGAGCTTTATCTGGCAGCATAACATTGATTATGGCATTGGGAAATCTTTGCCGTACTAGCTTGTATAATGTTTCCAATGTATCTACTTTTTCCAAATAAATGACCAAGAACCACTGGCCAAGATTTATATTAATAGCTGGAAAGTTTCAGGGAAAGAACTTTCTGGATTACGATAGAGTCAATAAAATGGTTCAAGTTCTCCCTAGCTTGTTTCAAACTCCTACTGCTTATTTGTAGTTACCAAGCTGCCAAAAATTATTGTTTCAGACAATGATATGCATTGACCTCTACTGAGTTTTTGTGGTCAGGAACCTTCTCTGAGCTGTCATAATCGTGCTTCATCATCTCCAAGCAAGTGGTCAGATGAAAGCATGGTGAAGATGACTAAATAGAAGAGGCAGGTGGATGAGATCAGTTAACCAGCATCGCCAGATTTCTCAGCACTGAACTCACTTCATGTTCAACAGTGGCCAGTCTTGTTAAATAATATTATGGGAATATCCCTAGAGTGTTCTTGCACATTTCTTCATGACCTTCAAGGCCAGTAAGCATGTAGTCTGAAGCCTTTTTTCTACAGCCACTCTTCACTTGCTTAATCCTGAGAGCTAGCTTAGCAAGATACCATGGAGCTGCAGCAATACGGCCACATCAGTTCCAGCTGAAGTCTTAGTAGCTGTTTTGGAGATAGTGTCACATTCAGCGGGATGAGTTCTCAAGGCTTACATCTCAAGATGACTTAATCACAGCAAAACATTTGAAGCATCTCTTCCTGAGGTGTCTGGGCGTTGCTTTTCCTAGCCACGCCTCCTAAGGATTCACCAAAGCCACAAACGAAGAAAACAATTACGTAACTCTGATTTTGCAGCTGCTAAAGTGGAGGCACTTGGTACTTTTAGAACTACCAGTAAAACAAAGAGAAAATTCATCTCTCTCACCCTCCAAACTCAAATCTGTATTTGGTTCTGCCACCATCTTTTCTTTTTTATTATACTTTAAGTTCTGAGATCCATGTGCAGAATGTGCAGGTTTGTTACATAGGTATACATGTGCCATGGTGGTTTTCTGCACCCACCAACCCATCATCTACATTAGGTATTTTGCCTAATGCTATCCTCCCTTTGCTATCCCTAATGCTATCCTCCCCTTGCCCCCCACCCACCAACAGGCCCCGGTGTGTGATGTTCCCCTCCCTGTGCCCATATGTTCTCATTGTTCAACTCCCACTTATGAGTGAGAACATGTGGTGTTTGGTTTTCTGTTCCTGTGTTAGTTTGCTGAGAATGATAGTTTCCAGCTGCAACCATGTCCCTGTAAAGGACATGAACCCATTCTTTTTTATGGCTGCATAGTATTCCATGGCGTATATGTGCCACACTTTCTTTTTCCAGTCTAACTTTGATGGGCATTTGGGTTGGTTCAAAGTTTGCTATTTTTTTGGTTCCATTTTTTGCTATTGTGAATAGTGCTGCAATAAACATATGTGTGCATATGTCTTTATAGTAGAATGATTTATAATCCTTTGGGTATACACCCAGTAATGGCATTGCTGGGTCAAATGGTATTTCTAGTTCTAGATTCTTGAGGAATTGCCAAACTGTCTTCCAAAATGGTTGAACTAATTTACACTCCCACCAACAGTGTAAGAGCGTTCCTATTTCTCCACATCCTCTCCAGCATCTGTTGTTTCCTGACTTTTTAATGATCACCATTCTAACTGGCGTGAGATGGTATCTCATTGTGGTTTTGATTCACATTCCTCTAATGACCAGTGATGATGAGCTTTTTTCATGTGTTTGCTGCATAAATGTCTTCTTTTGAAAAGTTCATATCCTTTGCCCACTTTTTGATGGGGTTGTTTATTTTTTTCTTATACATTTGTTTAAGTTCCTTGGATAGATTCTGGATATTAGTCCTTCGTGAGATGGATAGATTGCAAAAATTTTCTCCCATTCTGTAGGTTGCCTGTTCACTCTGAGGATAGTTTCTTTTGCTGTGCAGAAGCTCTTTAGTTTAATTAGATCCCACTTGTCAATTTTGGCTTTTGTTGCCATTGCTTTTGGTGTTTTAGTCATGAAGTCTTTGCCCATGCCTATGTCCTGAATGGTATTGCCTAGGTTTTCTTCTAGGGTTTTTATGGTTTTAGATCTTACATTTAAATCTTTAACCCATCTTGAGTTAATTTTTGTATAAGGTGTAAGGAAGGGGTCCAGTTTCAGTTTTCTGCATATGGCTAGCCCGTTTTCCCAACACCATTTATTAAATAGGAAATCCTTTCCCCATTGCTTGTTTTTATCAGGTTTGTCAAAGATCAGGTGGTTGTAGATGTGTGTGTTATTTCTGAGGCCTCTGTTCTGTTCCATTGTCTATATATCTTTTTTGGTACCAGTACCATGCTGTTTTGGTTCCTATAGGCTTATAGTATAGTTTGAAGTCAGATAGCGTGATGCCTCCAGCTTTGTTCTTTTTGCTTAGGATTTTCTTGGCTATACGGGCCCTTTTTTGGTTCCACATGGAATTTAAAATAGTTTTTTCTAAGTCTGTGAAGAAAGTCAATGGTAGTTTGATGGGAATAGCATTGAATCTATAAATTACTTTGGCAGTATGGCCATTTTCACAATATTGATTCCTCCTATCCATGAGCATGGAATGTTTTTCCATTTGTTTGTGTCCTCTCTTATTTCCTTGAGCAGTGGTTTGTAGGTCTCCTGGAAGAGGTCCTTCACATTTCTTGTAAGATGTGTTCCTAGGTATTTTGTTCTCTTTGTAGCAGTTGTGAATAGGATTTCGCTCATTCTTTGGCTCTCTGTCTATTGTTGGTGTATAGGAATGCTTGTGATTTTTGCATATTGATTTTGTATCTTAGACTTTACTGAAGCTGCTTTATCAGCTTAAGGAGTTTTGGGCTGAAATGATGGGGTTTTCTAAATATACAATCATGTCATCTGCAGAGATAATTTGCTTCCTCTCTTCCTATTTGAATACTCTTTATTTCTTTCTCTTGCCTGATTGCCCTGGCTAGAACTTCCAATACTATGTTGAATAGGAGTGGTGAGAGAGGGCATCCTTGTCTTGTGCCGGTTTTCAAAGGGAATGCTTCCAGCTTTTGCCCATTCAGTATGATATTTGCTGTGAGTGTGTCATAAGCAGCTCTTATTATTTTGAGATATGTTCCATCAACACCTAGTTTATTGAGAGTTTTTAGCATGAAGGGCTGTTGAAATTTATTGAAGGCCTTTTCTGCATCTATTGAGTTAATCATGTGGTGTTTGTTACTGGTTCTGTTTATGTGATGGATTACGTTTATTGATTTGGATATGTTGAATCAGCCTTGCATCCCAGGGATGAAGCTGACTTGATCGTGGTGGATAAAGCATTTTGATGTGCTACTGGATTCAGTTTGCCAGTATTTTATTGAGTATTTTTGCATCAATCATCATCAGGGATATTGGCCTGAAATGTTCTTTTTCTGTTGTGTCTCTGCCAGGTTTTGTTATCAGAATGATGGTGGCCTCATAAAATGAGTTACGAAGGAGTCCCTCTTTTTCTATTGATTGGAATGGTTTCAGAAGGAATGGTACCAGCTTTTCTTTGTACATCTGGTAGAATTCAGTTGTGAATCCATCTGGTTCTGGGCTTTTTTTTGTTGGTAGGCTATTAATTACTGCCTCAATTTCAGAACTTGCTATTGGTCTATTCAGGGATTCGACTTCTTCCTGGTTTAGTATTAGGAGGGTGTATGTGTCCAGGAATTTATCAATTTCCTCTAGATTTTCTAGTTTATTTGCATAGAAACATTTGTAGTATTCTCTGATGGTAGTTTGTATTTCTGTGAGATAAGTGTTGATCTCCCCTTTATCATTTTTATTGTGTTTATTTGATTCTTCTCTCTTTTCTTCTTTACTAGTCTGGCTAGCGGTCTATCTATTTTGCCATCATTTTTTCTAATCCTATATCTCACCTATCCCCATCTCCTGAGACTCTTCCACTGTGCTCTCTGAAACTCACATTCAACCACAAGTAAACTCCCATCAGTTCACAAACTCTTCTGAGAATGTTCCCTTCACCTCCTTGCTCTAAGGTAGTTATTCTCAAATTTGGCTGCACTTCAGAATCATCCAAAGCTTAAAACAAACAAACAAACAAACAAACAAAATACAGGTCCATGGCTCCTACCTCCAGAGGTGGTTATTTAATTAGTCTGGGATATGGTCTACGCATCTGCGGTCAAGTTTGAGAACTACTTCTCTAAAGGAACACTGGCTCTCTCCTGAGGACATTACTTGCCCAACAACTCAGAAGCAGATAATTTCTATCCCACTCTCCTTGTACCAATGGGCCTGGATGTGGGGTAGATTTTCCTCCTTGCTCATCATCACTGCTTCCAAATAATTCTCTCTCCCTGCTTCCTAAAATATACTAGCTTTTATTCTCATGTCATCAGATAATATTAATTATATCCTTTCTGTTAATAGCTGTACTAGTCCATTCTTGCATTTCTATTAAGGTAAAGAAATATCTGAGACTGGGTAATTTATAAGAAAAGAGGTTTAATTGGCTCATGGTTCCACAGGCTGTATAGGAAGCATGGTGGCATCTGCTTTTGGGGAGGCCTCAGGAGGTTTCCAATCATGGCAGAAAGCAAAGAGGGAGCAGGCATGTCACATGGCAAAAGCAGGAGCAAGAGAGCAAGGCGAGAGGTACCCCACTTTTTAAATGACCAGATCTCACAAGAACTCACTATCACGAGGACAGTACCAAGGGGAGTGGTGCTAAACCATTCATGAGAAATCCATCTCCATGATCCAATCACCTTTCACCAGGCCCTATGTCCAACACTGGGGATTACATTTCAACATAAGATTTGGGCAGGCACACACATCCAAACCATATCAATAGTCATGGGCCATTCAGTACCCCTGGGTCATTCATTTTCCTTCCTTCTTTGAAGATTTTTGCCTCTGGATTGCTGTTATTCTCTCTAATACTACTTTTGCCAATTTTTTTGTGATTTCCATATCCTCTTAGATGATATTTCTGATGTTCTGACTTCCCAGTTCCCTGAACTTCTCTCCTCTCATGATTCTGTCCTTCACACTACCTCAGCCCTCACTTGTATGGTCATACCCTAGTTTTTGCCATTATTATAAAAAATTACAACTATCTGTAATTTCAGGTCTCCAACATCATCTTCTATATTTCCAGCTTATTCCCTCTAGAGCTCAAAATCCAACAGTGCTTTGATGGCAGCACATTATAATCCATTGATTTTTGTCATCTTCTAATTGGCCTTCACCCTCCTCCTTCCATGCGCTCATTTTCCTTCTCATTCAGCTTAAATTTCAATTGCATACACCCTTAATGTCATGCCCATTCTCTCACATGATTGTACTCTCTTGGTCAAATTACAGCCTTGGTTAAATCTCTCTCCCCAGAGAAAAACTCATGCCAACTGATCTCATTTCAAATTCATGGTCACTAACTTTAACTGGGCTGTTAATTCTATCAAGAAATCACACTATATTCCTTCGGTCCACTCTCATATACTATTTCATAACTTCTTCTGCCTTATCAAATCACACATCTACCCCATTGCTCCCTGACTCACCAAGAAAATTGAAACAATTTGGGAAGAATTTCCACTATCTCTTATCACTTTCATACACCTACTGCATCTTTGCTGGTATATATGACCTTCTCCCCTATCACTAGAAGTAAACTGACTGTGCTTCTAATTAACACAAACTTCTTACTTTAGTCACTAAATCCCATCCTCTTTTGACTAGCTAGGACATTGCTCCAGTCTTTTACCTGTTGTTAATGTTTCCCTCCATATTAGCTCATTCTCATTAGCATACAAACATACTGTTGTTTCTTCCATCTGAACAAGATCCTCCCTTGACTCTACTTCCCCTGGAGATCCCACTTCATTTCTTTCCTTTCCTGTACAACACAACTCATTTAAAGAATTGCCTATACATACTGTCTCCAATAATCTCTCCCCCTAAGTGAGTGGGATTTCTTTGAGCCCACTCCAACCAGGCTTCTGCTTCCAGTACTCCACTGAAACTCTTTTATGAAGGCAAATCATGATCTGTCTATTGCTGAATTCAATGGTCAACTCTCACTCCTCATTTTTCTTGATCCATCAGCAGCATCTGACACTTTGGATCTTTCTCTCTGCCCTGAAAAATGTTCCACTTTTACTCCAAGATGCCCTACTTGCTGATTTTCCTCTTTCCTCTCAAACTGTTCATTCTCATTCTTCATTGCTGAGTCCTCCTCATCCTCCCAGTCTCTCAGTGCTGGAATTACCCAGGGCTTAGTCCTTGGACCTCTTATCTTTTCTATCTAAATTTGCTTTCTTCATGATTTTACTGGATTTCAAGGACTTTAAATAGCATCTATATACATGTGACTTCCAAATTGACAACTCCATCCCAGACCTCTTCCCTGAACTCTAGACTCATATTCAAATGCCAAAGTTTCAGATTCAAATCTGAAACTTCCTGTGCAGAGCTATATTTCTGGTTTCCACTTGTCTAAGCATCTGAAACTTCCTGTACAAAACTATATTTCTAGTTTCCACTTGTCTACTCTCCACCTATAGTCTTCTCCATCTCAGTAAATGACAACCCATTTCCCATTTGCTCAGGCAAACAACCTTGGAGTCAGGCTTAGCAAATCTCTTTCTCACATATCCCACATTCAACCTGCCAGCAAATACAATGAGCTCTTCTACACAATTTATACAAAATCTTAGCACTTTCCCCCCACCAGCACTGTTATTGCCTGATATGGTTTTGCTCTGTGCCCCCACCCAAATCTCATATTGTAGCTCCCATAATTCCCATGTGTTGTGGGAGGGACCCAGTGAGAGATGGTTGAATCATGGGGGCAGGTCTTTCCCATGCTGTTCTCATGATAGTGAATGGGTCTCACGAGACTGATGGTTTTAAAAACACGAGATTCTCTGCACAAGCTCTCTCTTTGCCTGGTGCCATCCATGTAAGATGTGACTTGCTCCTCCTTGCCTTCCGCCATGATCGTGAGGCCTCTCCAGCCACGTGGAACTATGAATCCAATTAAACTTCTTTCTTTTGTAAATTGTCCAGTCTCAGGTATGTCTTTATCAGCAGCATGAAAACAGACTAATACACTGCCCTAATCCAAGTCACCATTATCTCTTGTCTGGATTACACAAAGCTGCCTAGTTTGGTCCCTCTTTCTTTCTAGAGGTTCACATTGACTCAGAAACAGGGAAGTAAATAAAGAACTGCTGATGAAGGAAAGGATTCCTCCACTTTCTCTGTTTAACCCAATCACTGTCAATATAATAAAACTAAAACTGTCTTTAAGTACATAGAGATGGAATTTTTTTAAAAGACATAATGACATTTTTAAATGTTAATAAATAAAGTTATTCATATATATTTATTAAGTACCTAATATATGAAGATTCAGATCACCATAAATAATGAAAAAATATCCAAAAGAAAACAAATATCATTTTCCTAAAATTCGCTCTTATTTTTAAAATTCCTTGAAAGATCTTTTAAGTAAAAAGCCAAGTTTTTAAAAAGTAAAAAAGAATATTTGGGAAAATTCAGAAAAAGCATAATGAGAAAGGATTGGCCTTTCCACATGTAAAAACATATTATGCTACAACAGTAATTAAAACAATATGGTACCAGAGCATGGAACATGGAATAGTTGGATAAATCTTTGGAGTAAACTAGAAAACCCAGAAGTAGATTCAAATATTATAGGATAAAAGTGACATTTCATATCATAAGGTAAAATAGCTTGTTCAATTAATGGTTGTTAACTCATTATCTCTCAGTTACGAAACCATTTATATCTATTCTACTCTGTGATACTAAGCCTGAGATTCTGCAAATTACATTTCCCAGGCTCCTGTACTAGCTGCTTTCTGTTGGGTTCTGCTAATTGGAGTCAGTAGAGGAATGTTAAAAGGTGGGATGGGGAGAAAAATTTCCTTTCTACTTTGTCCTGTTTCTGACAATGTTGCTCCAGTAGTAGCAGTTAGCTGCAGCTCTTGGTTCTTCAGGCCTCCCACAACTAGCCTCATCAAGCTCCCTTAGAGGTACTAGCAGAGGCTGGGCAGTAAGCCCTCTGCAGAGGGATTCCTCCTCTATAGTCCTATGCACTAGTCATCTTATGTCTTCCCTTTGTTTCCTCAGCCCTAGAGGTGATAGCTGCTTCTTGCAGTTACCATCTCTGGTTACTTCAGAATTCTCCTTTCACTCTTTTAGGCTTCTAACATCTGTGTAACCAAATCCCTATTAACTCCTTTCTGTTTGAAATATCTAGTGCACTTCCTGTTTTCCTGACTAGACCCTGACTCTTATGAACAGCCATCCACAAAAAAGTAAAGTAGTTCACTTTAGGATGAATTTCAGATGGGTTAAATATTTAAATAAGAAAACCTGGTGGAAAAAAGTACTAGAAGAAAATTTGAAAGAAATTTTGTATAATCTAAGAGTGGGAAGGCCTCTCTAATTTTAATCCACATCAGAAGCCATAAAACAAAAATTGATGTCTGACTAATAATAGTAATAATAAATTCTGCATAACAAAAAGTGCCAAAAGTGAAGTCAAAATAAAAATAATGAGATAGGAAAAAATATTTGATTCACAGCTTGTATCAAAAAGAACTAATTTCTTTGTTATACAAAAAGCTCTCATTAATCAATAAAAGACCAACAATTCAATGGAAAAACAGGCAAAGATAAGAACAGACTAATCACAGAAAAAGCAATACAAATGTCTCTAACAACATTTGAAAAGATGTTCAACCTTACTCATAAGAGAAATGTAAATTAAAACTACTGGAAAATACCCATTTCACCTATCAGATTGGCAAAGGAATTACAGCACTGAATTGGCAAAACAACTGATAATGTACTGTGTTGGCAGGAATGTGAGAAACCAGGCCTATGAAGGGCAACTTTGCAAAATCTATCGCAAATTTATATACCATTTGACCCAGCAATTTCAATTCTGGGAATTTAATGAAGAGAAATACTCCTACATGTGTGATAATATATATGTATAATATATTAATGGAGCATTGATTGTGATAGCAAAAAACTGGGTACAACTTAAATGTCCTGCAACAGGAGACTGCACTATGTACCCAAATATACACTCTGACGTCACTGAAATGAATGTAAAATCTCTATGTGTACTAATAGGGAAAAATTTCCAAGCCATATTTGATATCAGAAAAAGGCTGATTTCAGTACAATATATATATAATATGCTCTCATTTGTGTAAAAAACAAAAAATATAGTATATGCTTCCATATATTATACCCTTCTGGAACTTTTAAACCATATGTGTGAATTAACCATTCAAAATTTAAACTAAAATAGTTTTAACATAATTTTTTTTTCTTTTTTCTGAGACGGAGTCTCGCTCTGTCATCCAGGTGGGAGTGCAGTGGCACGATCTTGGCTCACTGCAACCTCCACTTTCTGGGTTCAAGCCATTCTCCTGCCTCAGCCTCCTGAGTAACTGGGATTACAGGCACCCGCAACCATGCCCGGCTAATTTTGTATTTTTAGTAGAGACAGGGTTTCACCATGCAGCCAGGCTGGTCTCAAACTCCTGACCTCAAGTGATCCATCCTCCTCGACTTCCCAAAGTGCTGGCATTACAGGTGTGAGCCACCACACCAGGCCAAAAATTTCTAAATATATAAACTTTACCCCTAGAATTCTATTTTGGTGTTTTGCCTAATTTTTGAACACAAGTTTACTACTGAATTAGAGCATCGTCCCATCCATACACTTGTCTTGTTTTATAATTAAAACGTGATTCCTGAGCATGTGATTACAATAAGACTCTACCTTGGAAAAGATATTGTAGTGACACTTTATCAAAAAATAAAAGTTTCCGAACACCTGGACAGAACGGAAGTTCTCTCCCCTGAGTCCTTGATGAAATATGCAAGCAAGTTATTTTACGACAAATAATTGAATAAGCTTTTAAGCACTAGCTTAACAGTAGGTGTTTGTATGGAGAGTTGCCTTCTTTACCTAATGACCTTGACTTGGATGTGGAAACAACATAAAAAAATAAAGTAGGACAAAAATCAATGAAGAGAATAAATGCACTATACCCATCAGCCAACCTGGAACACATACAATCTTAGTGTCTTTTCTTTAAAATCATTTCCATAACACATAATGAAAAAGAATACTCTCCAATAAAAAGAGGCTCCCAACATTATTTAAGATGGGAAATATTCAAGGGACTGCAGACAGGTCAGTATGACAGGATCATAAATTGAGGAGATGTAGTGAAAGATAAGGCTGAAGTGGTGAGCAGTGGTGAGCCGGGGTCAGCCCATGAAAGCCCAAGCAGAAGACAGACTTGATCAGTTTTGTATTTTAAAAAGCTAACTCTTGCTGTGATCTGGGGAATTAGCCAAAGGGGGACAAGACTGCAGGAAGGGCATACCAGTTAAGAGTCTGTTGCAATAAACCATGTGAGCGGTGGTGAGGATGCCTGAAGTAAAGCGGTGGCAGTGGAGATCATGTCTCTCCAGCTATGTGAGGTCAGGGACTCTGTGGCTTACTCTTTTACATTCTCTCCATTGCCTGGCATTCCGTAATTGCCTGTCAATTATACCCTTGTTAGTTGAATCCACTATCTCGTGATGGTAGATAATAAATAAGAATGGCGAGCCTGTTGATCTCCTCTCTGCTGTAGGTAGACAACAGTGTGGTATCTGTGAAGATAATTGCAATGAGGCAGTGATACTCAAGAGGGAATGGGATCTTAATAATCACCTGTGTCCTGTCTCACAGGCTACAAAGGGAAGCCTATGTCTCTTAAACAATTAGTTCTGGAGTGAGAAAGTGCAGTGTTTAAAGCTTCCCATGCTCAACTCTTCAGTGACCCTATTAGTGTCTCCCAGTCAGGATTTGTAAGATTCTTTTCAAAGAAGGTCTTTGCTCAGGTATTTTGTAGTCAGTATACTGGGCACTTCAGGCTGACACGTTATGCCAAACCATCTATAAGTAAGTCATGTTACGTTCTCACTCATAGGTGGGAATTGAGCAACGAAAACACATGGACACAGGAAGGGAAACATCACACACCGGGGCCTATTGTGGGGTGGGGGGAGGGGGGAGGGATAGCATTAGGAGATATACCTAATGTTAACTGACTAGTTGATGGGTGCAGAACACCAACATGGCACATGTATACATATGTAACTAACCTGCACGTTGTGCACATGTACCCTAAAACTTAAAGTATAATAAAAAAAAGTAGTTTGATTAAAAATAAATAAATAAATAAAAGACTTATTCAGTACCCAACATAAAGTACCTATTTAATAAATATAAAAAATTCTAAAAAAAATAATAAGTCATGTTAGATATTGCAAAGATTACATATATGGCTCACACTCTGTATGCAACATTGATCTTATCAGCACTCACATGCTTATCCTTTCTAAACTCAAAGCTAGGAATTTACATTCCATTAAAGAAAAAAAAGGCATGCATAGTTTGATTACTTCAGAACACAACTCATCTTACACATTGTTTTCAGGTTAAAAAAGTTTGCTAATTAAATATATATGTGTATATATATATACAGATTTTTTTACATAACATATACACATATAAGACACACACACACACACACACACACACACACACACACACACACGTATACATATATATATATATATATAATTCCAAGTTGGCAGGAATTACAACATCCCATCTCAGGGCAGACCCATTTAAAGTTCAAAAACAGTAATGTTAAGATCCCTTTCCTTCCACTCTTCAAGGATCACTCACTTTCATTGGTGCAAATATGTGTTTTGAGCCTGTGAGACGGATTCCTTCATCTGTTGAGGAACATGCAAAATCTTGGTTTATAGCTGATTTTCCTCATAAATGAGCTGATCCTCATAGAACCATAGACTTGCAAATGTACTTTCATTATTTCTATTTTTTGAAGGGCAAAGGGACAGCCCAGAGACTGCTAAAATTTGTGCACATTGTTTCATGTTTATTTTCAGGCTCTTGATGAAGAAATATTTAACATCAGAGTAAGTGTTCTAGAGATTAATGGCTGCTGTTTGGCAAGGTCCATAGACGTCCTTTCCTGCCAATACAAATATATACATTGTTGAAGCACAAGACTATATCCACAGATAGGATTACATGTTAACTGAAAAGATTCAAGGTACAGTGTTCTTATTTCATCAAAGTGATGTCCTCTTTTGATTATGCACTATCACAGTGAAAGAATTCCAACAATTTTCATCAGTACCCTGCTTTCTCTCTTAAATACAGAGTTTGGAAAAAATATTTCTCTGTTGACAGCCATATGATATGAGTCACTTTGAGCCCTTGATTGTTTTGAAGCTGGTCTATGACGGGTTGACATAGTAATTATGAGGTCGTTTTAAATCCCAGCTGGGCCAGTTAGTTTTGCAAAGAAACATATTCCACTACTTTGTCTGCATTTGTAACCTTGCCTGCAAACCTAAAGATACTGCAGGTCACAGGAGCTTCAGAACAAACCCTCCATCACCACTACACTAGTAGAGGTCTCCTAAGGATCACTGAGGCCGAAAGGAGGGAAGATCATGAGGAAGGAAGAACCTAAGAAGGGGCCGTCTGTATCTATAAGTATTAGCCCAGTGACTTTCAAGAGTGTCCCTGAAACTGTTCAGAAGAGAGAAGAGAATAAAAAAGAGGTTAAAGGTTGCACTAGGCACTTGTAAACAATGTCAAGATGCTAAAAGTAATAAGTGATGTGGTACAGTGACATTTCACTAATTTGGTCAATTAAAATTTAAATTCACTATGGTCTGGACATGCTGGTCTACATTTTATTCTTAAAAACATTTAATAACTATCTTTTAAAAAGTTTTACATGAATAGTGTAAGCCAGCAAAATGCTCCTAACTTAAAGCGAAATTTATCTTTTTTTTAACCACTCAGACTGCATCTTCCCCTTCTTATTCTCCCAAAGGAAGAGAAGATGGGCCATCAATGAAAAATGGTGGTTACAATGAAGCAACTGATTTCACAGCTAAGGCGAGAGCACTGCACTTCCTCCTCATGCTTTCTGGTACACTCCATGTTCAGAGAAACTTCTCTAGTAACAAACTATGAAAATGGCTCCTCAAAGTATAGAATTTTACTTTATTTTTCAATGTTTTTCAATCACCAGTTTGACAATGGCATTGGCCCGTGTCACCATTGACTTTATTACAATTGATTTCTATTGTTCAGGTTGTTAAACTCCCACTAAGAAGCATGAAAAAGAGCAAGATGCACTTGAGGAGATAAAGCAGACCTTTGAAGGGAAACCAAACATCAGTTCAAGTTGTAACTTAGAGACCAGAAAAGATATTCCAAGTTTTTGTGAAGTTTAAAATGTGCTCTTTTGTATGGAAAAAATAAATCCTGTTGGCAAACAATTGATGTTTCCTCTTCTTATCTGTGGAATCGGATTCTCTTTTCCCATGAGTTTGCTCCTCAACTTGGACTGCTAAGACAATAGCAGCACATTATTTTACTACCATACAATAGGCCATTAATATACATTTGTTGGTTTTTTTGTGATTTAAAATCATTAGCTTTCAGTCTTTAGCATAAAGTGGAATTATTTAAAAACAAAATATGAAAACAACGTGATGCCACAGATTTTGGAGATTCATGCTGAAACAAAAGGTCACTGGGTTTGGGGTCAGAAGAGCATGGTACACCTTACAAGGAGGTGCCCTTAACGGAGTTTACTTAAACCCTCTGGGCTTCCGTTCAGACCTCATCTAACCTTTTAGGGTTACTGTGATTATTAAATAAAATAATGAAAATCCTGGCATATATTAGGCAGCACAAGAAGGTCACATGGGCAACACAGATATTATTTTTCTTTTGTCATTTCATATGTTATTTGTTTTTAATCTTTGTATTATGAAAAAGTTTTAAACATACATCAAAGTAACCTGAAGAGTATAATGCACCATCTATCTCTTCATATGCTTTTTTTGAAAAGGAGGGGTTGGAGACTTTTAAAGGAAATTCCAGGCATCCTATCATTTCACCCAGCAATCAGGACATTAAGATGACGGTGTTCTCAGAGCAGGAACCCATCTGGTTCCTGGCTGAGAGACAGCTCTGCCACTAATACTGGCACATCTGTGGAAAAAATAGGTAAAGTGATGCAGGCGTTAGGCACTGTGACAGGTAGAAAACAAATCCAGAGTGTTCATCGTGACCTGTTTCCTGTTTCCTTGGAACAGCCTCACTCTTGGTCGCTATGCTGAAGGTTCCACCAAAGCCAACCCTTTGCATTTAACATGCAATACTTTAGAAAAAAATTGAACTGGAAATATGCCCTTTATTTAAAAAAGAAAACCCAGTTTATACTTGCCAATTGCAACTACAAAGTAATTTTCAAAAAGCACCTATCAAAGTGCTTTATAGACACTGTCTATTCTCAAGAAGTTGTTAACTTAAAATAGTTCCTTAAAAGACAAACATGGACAAGTACAAGTCTTGTTAAAAATAGTCAATTTAGAAAAAGATGGAGATGAGTTTACCTAAGTGAGGCTATAGGTACCTGAATAGAATGGAGGGAGGAAAGAAGAGCATGTATACAGTCAGGAGAAGGTTAGAAAAAGGTGACCCAAATATTTCATGTCTATATTCCCTAGAGGGTAGGGACCTTTCTGATAATAATTCCATGCCTAGAGAACCGCAGGAGCTTTGATCAATCTAGCTCCCTTAATTTGGAAAGTTTCCAGGCCCCCCAACAGTCTGGTGCTAAAGGCCATGGGAGATTCAGGGATGGGGGAGGGAAGGGTAGGAGATATGTTAGTATGGGAAGGCAGTAGGATCAAGTCAACAGAAGTAGCTTTGACAAAAAGAGACACTTTACTTTTAGTGAAAGGGGAAGTAAAGAAAGTTGAGGCAATGAACAGAGTATTTTTGTTGTGGAAAGAAGTTGAGAAGATCTCAATCTTATAGGTAAAATACTTCTACATCAAAGCATCTGTGGAAGACAAAGAGAGCAAGGATAGGACTGGAAATTATGAAAGAAGTTTGTACTTAACATCTATAAAGCGTTTAAGTGTCCTTTTTAAAAAAAAAAATCAGAACAAAACAAAAAGCCTTTCCCCACCCCTACTATTTCCTTAGATATAGCCCTGCCATCTATCCACAAACTTGTCAAAAGTGAAGTTTACCCAAGCACTTGTGGACACCAGTAGTCTGGTATCAACCCTCACCATTCCTTGGAAAACACACCTTCTAAATGCCGGCTCAGTAAATAGCCTATTGTCAGTTTTCATTCTCCAGCTTTGCAGCAGCATTGAGAACTATGTCTTCCTGAAATTCTCTCCTTCCCTTGCAACCATGAAACATCTTCATTCTGATCGCCTTCCTTTCTCTTTAACCATGTCTTGTTTTCTTCTTTGGCCAGGTCTTTTCTCTCTTACCACCCTTAACCATAGATATTTTCTAAGAGAATCTCCTTGGTGTTAATTTTTCCTTCTATTCTCTTATCCCTTTGCTTCATCCATGGTCTCCTCAGATTAGTACCTTGTTTGTTTTTCTATATCCATTCTGGTCAATACAGTAGCCACGAGCCACAAGTGGCGACTTAAATTTAATTAACATTAAATAAAATTTAAAATTTAGTTCCTCAGTCTTATTAGCTACATTTCAAGAGTTTGCAAACCACATGTGTCTAATGGCTACCCTACAGGACAAGGCATATATAGAACATTTCCTTCTTCAAATAAAGTCCTATTGTACAGCACAGGTCTAGACCTTATCTCTCCCAAGCTTCAAATTTGGCAGTGTTCTACATAATATCTCTCCTGGAAGTCTTCTGGAATCACAAATTCATCATGCCCCAAGTCCTACCCCACTTAACATACATTTCTCATACCAGTTATCTGTACAAACTAATTTTACTTGAAAATGCTCCATGTAAAAAGAGCATATCCCCAAATAATTGGGAAATATTTGTACAGGTAAGTTGTAATATTTATATATAATTTAGTTTACTAAATGGAGACCATTTTCACTGAGGAAAATGTAGGCTGCAGCCATTTAGGGGGAAATCTCCATCTTTCACATATTACCCTTATGTGGTATTTTCCCATGGCCAGATTCCTGTAAAATAATAAAAGGATTTATGAGAGATTTTCTTTATTAATATGTCTTTTTTTACATTTCTCAATAAAACTAAAGTTCTCCCCTACAACACCAATGCGGACATTATTCTCACTGCAGGAAAGCCAACTTTCTGATTCTATTAGGAGTCCTAAAAGTATTCTGCCTGAAACAATGAAAATCAGACAACAAAGCTCTTTGCCAAAATATGAACAATACTACTGGACACATGAGATTCTGAAGCATCGTATTCAGCAAAGAATCAGATCTGGTTCTGATTTTAATCAGAAAGCAACCTGTCTCTCTGTTGCCTCCTAAACTTAGCAAAGACATGCCATTCTCAGCACGCTGACCATTTTGATGGTGTGAGGTTTCACTGGGCAGCCTCGCTCAGGGTGACCTCAGCCTGAGATTCTAAAAATGGAGCATATTAAGTGCAGGTGAGTCATCAATTTAAAAAGCCATAGAGAGTAACTAAAAGCCTCATTCTTCAGAAGCACAGGGACTCTACTGGAGGCCTTCCCATGTGACAAATGGAACTCATTTAGAAAAAGAAAAGCCATCTTTAAAGAAAAAAGTGATAAATGGTACCCCTGAAGGATAAGCCTATTGTTCTTGGTTGCACAAGTAATTCCATCTGAACTGATTATCACCATTCCCAATGGAGTTATGACATCTCTTGTTAAAAATGACAGAAAAGTAGAATCATAGTATTGTAGTGGTAATATCATTGTAAATATTTATGACCATTACTGTTAATTCATTAACATTATATATTATGATACTTATACTTTTCCTGTATAATTCAGTGTTTTGCAGATGTTAAAAATATTAATCTTATGACTGTCTCATAGGGTGTATAAATATTAGAGCATTTCAAGATTAATCACCAGTTACTAATAGAGTAACAATGATATGCCTAACCCTTTTCTAGATATAATGAGGCACGTGAAAGATGCAGAAGACACAGCTTCTCTCAGAAGTTTTTTTGGGCAACAAGGTGTAAGTACATAAAATACTTAGGGAATGTGGGTGTATTAAGTGCTATGGTTCATTTCATGAAGGATCAATGTAGGATTTCATGGCAGGAGAAAGATAAGCATTGGGGAGCAAGTCATTAGGAAATGCTTCACAGAGGAAGTGAGCCTTCAGTGGCCCCTAAAGAAATATTGAATAGGGCCAAGTGTAGTTGTTCATGCCTATAATCCTAGCACTTTGGGAGGCTGAGATGGGAGGGTTATTTGAACTCAGGAGTTCAAGACCAGCCTAGGCAACATCGTGAGACCCCATCTCCACAAAAATTCAAAAAAATTAGCCAAGTGTGGTGGTGCATGCCTACAGTCCCAGCTACATAAGGGGCTGAGGCAAGAGGATCCCTTGAGTTCAGGAGATTGAGGCTGCAGTGAGCTGTGCATGTCACTGTGCTCCAGCCTGGGCAACAAAGCAAGACTCTGTCCCACAAAAAAAAAAAAAAAAGAAAAAGAAAAAGAAATATTGACTGGTACAGGAGGAAAGTATGGGATAGGACAAAAATAAACACATATCCTGAATTTCCTTGAGAGCCCCAATTTACGTCTTGCAAGTATTTTAAGATTGTATGTGAGTATGGGGAAAAAATGTAGAGACTGCCTGATTAGATAGGAATGGTCATGTTAAGTAGCTCTAAAGATGAGATTTCATAGCTAAGAGGGAGATTTTTCAGACCAGTCTAAGCAATTTAGACTTCTATCTGATAAGGTGTAGGGACCTCTTCTAAATTCCTAAGCAACAGATAAAATGATCAGAGAAATACTTCAGAAAAAGTAGTTTGGCAGCAGTTATCCAGTTATCTACTGACCTTCTAGTCCCCAATGCTCATATTCGTTAGATGACACAGACTTGCACTCCACTCCAAATCCTGCCATAATCCTAGGAGGTTTCAACTTTTAATGGGAGATTTAGCCAATGTCCTAACTTCACCATTTCTGGACCTCATTAATTCCAATTGCTTTCACTTCCACTCCCAGGACCGCACCCAAGACCCTGTAATAGTTAAAGCTGTGCCACACAGCATGCATCTATAGTCCTAGGCACTTGAGAGGCTGAGGTGGGGGGATCACTTGAGCCCAGGAGTTGGAGGCTGCAGTGAGCTGATTATGCCACTGCCACTGCCCATGGCCTGAGCAATATAGCAAGATTGTCCCCAAAAACAAAACAAAACAAAACAACACTGCCGTACCAGAAACCCTAAATGCAAATAGCTCAAATTCCAGTTTTTCCAGCCCTCTCTTGCCTGTCCTGCCATTGGCCTGCCCACTTCTCCCAAGATCTCTTCCTGCTGGGCACCGTCTCATCAACACATTCTACTTTCTTATACTATTGTCCTTTCACTGCACCCACTTGGAAACTGCAACCCTAGATCCAGTGCTATAAAATATGTATCCTCCTTTACACGCAGGCTTCTAAACAGACTGCTGCCACTGCAAATGCATGGTCTCTCCCTGCTGAATCCTAAATTTCACCCATTAGTGTTTGTATTTGTACATAATCACCTTTCTTTAGCATTCCCCTCTGCAACGATTCAGCATGTACATAATCATCCTCAGGACCACCACTCACTTTCAGCAGACCATAACTTTGTTCCTTGATGAGAAAGCTGAGGCTTTAGGGGGATCTACCTCAACTGCCCGCCCCTCAGCTGCAAATGTTAGCCCCACTCATCTTTCCTCCTTCCATCACAGAGGAAGGGTCTCCTTCCTTTTCAAGACCAAAACCAAGTTCAACCCAAAATCATACTTTTGATTCACCACTTCCTATATCCTCCAAGATGCTGTCATCAAAAATTCTTTCTCTTTTCTACATCCTTGACTCTGCTTTTTTCTTGTCCTGCAACCTCTTAACCTGTAAACACAGTAAAGTGTCTTTCCCTCAGTTGACCTGAGTTTCCCTCTAGCTACTGTCTTCTTTCTATGCCTTTCTCATTCAAACTTTTCCAAATAACATCTATACTGGCTAAGCTTAGTAATGACAACAACCCCAGAACATAGGAAATGTCCCCATTAGAACACATGGGGAGTAAACTGAGGCCCAGAGTCAACACTAATAAAGTCAACTACCAAACCTTTTTGATTCTATCATATTTCCCCATAGGACTTGGCATTCAAGTCACACTGTTTTGGTCTTTTACTTTTTAAAAATCCCATGTTTCACTTAAAGCTTCAAAGTAGAGAAAAGCAACATGTAATTTCAAATCAGGAAGCCAACAAATGTAGGCCTAAAGGCCTACTCTGTGCCACACAATTAATTTCCACTAAGCTAAAGAAGGGGGAAAATTAGCTTCTCTGGCTATGTAAAACAACAACAACAACAAACAAACAAACAAAAAACCCAGAAAATCTAATTATTACCAAAAAAGAAAAAAGAAAAAAAAACATAAAGTTTTTCTAAATTATTTACTTAACTTCCCTTCACTTTGTTATAAATAAAGTTTCCGTGCTGCAAAAGAAATAGCACTCGAATATAAAATTTTCTTTTTAATTCTCAGCAAGGCAAGTTACTTCTATAGAAGGGTGTGCCCTTACAGATAGAGCAATGGTGAGTGCACTTGACAAGGGAGGGGAAGGGCTTCTTATCCCTGACGCACATGGCCCCTGCTGCTGTGTCGTTCCCCTATTGGCTAGGGTTAGACTGCACAGGCTAAACTAATTCTGATTGGCTAATTTAAAGGACTGACAGGGGTGAGTGGTTTGGTGGGAAAAATGGTAATGACAGAGCAGACAATCGGAATGAGTCGGGGTGGAGTAGGTAATCGGAATGAGACAGGGTGGAGCAGATAATCGAAAAAGCTTGCTTTACAAGGAAGTTAAGTTTAAAAGTAGAAGGCAAAGAATTGAACATACTGACATATTGATTCTCTGAAAAGAAATTTAGAACTCATATCTAACAACTTCTCAACCCACTGAAAATGGGCTTAACCTCACTAAAACTGCTCTGACAAATGTTCCCAATGAAATTAAAATTAACAAACCCAAAGAATGCCCTTTAGTCCTGTCTGACGGGGCCTTTCTGCTGATTTGACTAACTGAACCTCTCTTCTTGATACACTTTCACCTTTACTCCCCTGACTTCTACATCGCTCTACTCCCCTGGAATCCTCACACCTTCAGACTATTTTGTGGGAAAGGAGGACCTCTTATTTGTAGTCTGTAAATGGAGGTGTCGTTTTACCTCCACAAAATACTACTTCACTAAAGCCAGATTATTCACCAATGAACATGGCCCAGACTTTCTCACCCACTCTGATTCTGTTCATGTTGGCCCCTATGCTCATCTCTATCTGCACAAAACCCACCAATTCTTCAAAGTCCAAATTTTTAGTGAAGCTCCCATATTTTCATAATCTTTCCCTCCTTTGTATTCCTGTAATTTATATTGCAATTACCCAATACAATACTCATTCCTGTATATTCTCATCTATTCATCTATCCTAAGTCATGAGCTCTTTCTTCATGATTGTTGTAATATCTAGTGCCTAAAACCATACTTGACACATAGTAGGAGCCCATCAAATACAAGTATTATGATTATGTGTCTTTGCATTCCTCAAATCTCTCGAATAGCAATGTTTCTTTTTTTTTTTTTTTTCAGACGGAGTCTTGTTCTGTCACCCAGGCAGGAGTGTAGTGGCGCAACCTCGGCTCACTGCAACCTCCGCCTCCCAGGTTGAAGTGATTGTCCTGCCTCAGCCTCCTGAGTAGCTGGGATTACAGGTGCACACCACCACATCCAGCTAATTTTTGTATTTTTAGTAGAGACAGGGTTTCACCATGTTGGTCAGGCTGGTCCCGAACTCCTGACTTCGTGATCCACCCACCTCAGCCTCCCAAAGTGTTGGGATTACAGGTGTGAGCCACCGCACCTGGCATCAGCAATGTTTCTTAAATATTGTAAGATCAATCCATTTTGAATTAATTATTTATTAATTAAAGCCCAAAGAATGGATGAACTCTCTTGGTAAGAAAGAAGCACATATAGGAGGCTCACCTATAGTAGGTGATGAAGAGGAAAAGAGAAACTAATGAGCAATATTTTTAAAAATGGCTGGGAACCCCAAAAGAATGTGTTTATGAGTTAAGAAGTTACAGAATAGAAGAAGTTTCTAACAATCCACAGACGAATTATCTATTTTATAAATTTTTTATTTTTTTTTTGAGACGGAGTCTCACTCTGTTGCCCAGGCTGGAGTGCAGTGGCACAATCTCGGCTTACTGCAAGCTCTGCCTCCCGGGTTCATGCCATTATCCTGCCTCAGCCTCCCAAGTAGCTGGGACTACAGGCACCTGCCACCACACCCAGCTAATTTTTTTGTATTTTTAGTAGAGACGGGGTTTCACCATGTTAGCCAGGATGGTCTCCATCTCCTGACCTTGTGATCCGCCCACCTCGGCCTCCCATAGTGCTGGGATTACAGGCGTGAGCCACCGCGCCCGACCTTATAAATTATTTTTGAAGTATACAACACCTCTTCTGCCACTCATTCAGAATGAAGAGAGAGTCATTCTTGACTCTCAATGTCAAGAGTCAATGTGTCAATGACTTTGTCTCTGACTTAGCCTGGAAAATACCAACGCCAAATGGAATAGTGGTGCACTATCCAGCTGTGTAATCTAGTTTACTCTGTGCCTCCTTATACACAGGCAGAAGGGAGCTAACTATAACAACAAAAGGGAAAAGAATGAAACCAAATTTAGATCGTTTTTTGCTAAAATGTAGCCAAGTAAAAATATCAAGGGAATTTATTATATAAAATGGCTATTTTTTTGCATCAAGAAAAAAGAATTAGTTTGTCCCTTGTTCTTGAATCATTCTGCACAAATGTCCTTTTGCCAGATATTCTATGTTATGGCTTTTTGATATGAGTACCATTTCTTTCAAACTTCTGTCATTTTTAGTACAGCCAAGTTTACTCACTTTTTAAAAGTGCTATTTTGGGACTAATACAAGGGGAAATTAATCATGGTGCCCAAATGATGGGCCGGGGTACTATTTTATTACTTTCAGTTTAAACTGGGAAATATGTAACTGGTTTTTCACCTAGAGAATAAGAATGTTCCAATTTATTAGAAAGTAATTGGTATTGGAAGCAGTCACTGACAGAGGTATAATAATGGAAACCATCCCAGCTACTTCACGCAGGCCATGCGGGCCAGTCATTGTGCTGAGATGACAGGCCTGCATCTGCAGAGGTGTGGCTTGAAAAGTCTGAAAAATGTCCCTCTTCAAGACAAGGGTCACATTACTGGTTCTAGACAAGACTCCCTAAAATGCAAAATCTCTAGTAGATGCAACTCCATTTCTAATACATATCCATTAAAGGTGCACTTCAGGAGTTCACGGGATACCTGGACTGGCAAACAAAACAGCAAATGTGCATATTTTGCAAAGAGCCAAGGCCTACAATAAAGGTCATGTTGTTTATAATATTGGCTCAACAATTTTCCATAGATCACTTAACAGTTACCAAAAGTGGCAGGGCACTGGTGTACCAGAAAACACATAGAATTGTCTACAGCGTCCAAAATGTTGGATATAGAGTTGGAGAGAATGAGAGAGATCAAAAAGGAGTCTGTAAAGGAGAAAATTGGCATGACAAGCCTGAAGGAACCTCCATCTCCTCCTTTTCCCCAAGTCACTTTTAAGGTATACCTACTATGGGCAGACTTGATCTTATCCTATCTCCCAAAACTATAAGCTATTTTCTTTGTATGTCACCCTATTTCTTTCTAGCTGGAGATGTGATCCCCCCAAAGCCTGCACTGTTACACAACTCCAGAAGACACCATCCTTAGAGTAGTGAATATGAAGCCCCCCCAGAATTGTGCAGTGCCCAGCTCACATGGCCCTGTGGCATCCCTGCCTGCTGCCATTTTACTCATCATCTAGATTGTACCAAACATTGAGGCTCAGATCCCATTTTGTCTCCCTGGTGTAAAAAAAACCTTAAATTTCTCTTACCTAAAAAGTTTCATCTTTTCACAAAATAGCTTCAGCCTGTGAGTTTACAATGTGAGTCTACTTTAAATAAATTCTGGAGGCCAAGAATAAATGAAAGGTCCTGGAGCCCAACTTCCCTTGAACCTCCATAGAATGTAAGTGATATAATGGGAAGGACATTCAACAGAAGGATAGGAAATTTGGATTTAGAACTCTACATTGCTGTGCGACTTTGGGCAAGTCACAAAACTCATATGTGAGTTTCACATTTGTAATATAAAGGAGGTGAGGTAGATAAGACACTTCAAAGGCGCCTTAGAGTTCTAATATTTTATAGAACCTTGAAACCTCCTTTGCAAAGATTATGACAGTGAGAGGACTCTAGCATGGCTGACTCTATCTTGCTTCTAGCCTCACAAGCAGGCTGACCTCACTCACTCCTGGGTATAGGCCAAACTAACCACGGGAAGAATTTAGTTTATAGTTTAACTTGGAAGCAAGGATGATAATAATCCCTCCTAAAACTAACCCCTTCCTTGCTCAGGGACCTATAACTAATGAAAAACCACGAAACTAGGATTATGGGAGGGGACTGAATTCTGCTAAAATGTAGGCATAGTTTCTATAATGCCTTACTGCTCAGGAACCATGTGGCCAGAGATCACAAGATCTGTGACTTCTCCAATTGCTCCTATAGATAACACCACTATTGTAGAACTTAAGATTGGTGTTTTGAGATGTTTTTCAGATTTTTGCATTCTGGCAACTGACTGACCCCACCTGGACCCATGACTCCTGACTCAACCAGTCCTATGGCCCCCACCCAGAAATGGACTCAGCTCACAAGAACTGTTTTCCACACCCCTATAATACCATCCCCAACCAATCAGCAGCACCTATTCCCTATCCCCTTGCCCACCAAATTATCCATAAGACCTTAGCCCCTGAATTCTCAGGGAGACTGACTTGAGTAATAACTCCAATCTTTCCACTTGGCCAGCCTTGTGTTAAACCATTTTTCTCCTGCAATACCACAGTATCAGTGAGTTGATTTTGTCTGTGTAGCAGGCAGGAAGTACCCATCAGGCAATTATAACCTCAGAACACCACCTCCAGAGTAAGGGCATCTGACTCATATACAGTCACCCCATAAAGAGAGAGCAATAGGTGGTCTTTGGAGATCTGGGAGACAACTCACTAAATGCTCCATACATATCAAGCCAGATGACACATAGGTCTAAGCTGAGAGTAACTTATCTCATAAGGCATAGTCCTGCTTCTCCTCTCAGCACCAGCCATTCAGAAAGATTTTTTTTTTCTTATCTCTAGCCCGGCAAACCTAGCACATAACTTCCACATTTTTTTTGAGATTTTTTTTTTTTATTATTATACTTTAAGTTCTGGGATATATTTGCAGAACATGCGGGTTTGTTACATAGGTATACATGTGCCATGGTGGCTTCCTGCACCCATCAACCCTTCATCTACATTAGGTATTTCTCCTAATGCTATCCATTCCCTTGCCCTGCAACCTCTGACAGGCCCCAGTGTGTGATGTTCCCCTCGCTGTGCCCATATGTTTTCATTGTTCAACTCTCACTTATGAGTGAGAACATGTGGTGTTCGGTTGTCTGTTCCTGTGTTAGTTTGCTGAGAATGATGGTTTCCAGCTTCATCCATGTCCCTGCAAAGGATATGAACTCATTCTTTTTTATGGCTGCATAGTATTCCATGGTGTATATGTGCCACATTTTCTTTATCCAGTCTAACATTGATGGCATTTGGGTTGGTTCCAAGTTTGCTATTTTTGTTGGTTCCATTTTTTGCTATTGTGAATAGTGCTGCAATAAACATATGTGTGCATGTGTCTTTACAGTAGAATGATTTATGATCCTTTGGGTATATACCCAGTAATGGGATTGCTGGGTCAAATGGTACTTCTGGTTCTAGATCCTTGAGGAATCTCCACACTGTCTTCCACATTGGTTGAACTAATTTACACTCCCACCAACAGTGTAAGAGCTTTCCTATTTCTCTACATCCTCTCCAGCATCTGTTGTTTCCTGGCATTTTAATGATCACCATTCTAACTAGCGTGAGATGGTATCTCACTGTGGTTTCGATTTGCATTTGTCAAATGACCAGTGATGATGAGCTATTTATCATATGTTTGTTGGCCACATAAATATCTTCTTTTGAAAAATGTCTGTTCATATCTTTTGCCCACTTTTTGATGGGGTTGTTTTTTTCTTGTAAACTTGTTTAAGTTCCTTGTAGATTCTGGATATTAGCCCTTTGTGAGATGGATAGATTGCAAAAATTTTCTTCCATTCTGTAGGTTGCCTGTTCATGCTGATGATAGTTTCTTTTGCTGTGCAGAAGCTCTTCAGTTTAATTAGATCCCATTTGTCAATTTTGGCTTTTGTTGCCATTGCTTTTGGTGTTTTAGTCAAGAAGTCTTTGCCCATGCCTATGTCCTGAATGGTATTGCCTAGGTTTTCTTCTAGGGCTTTTATGGTTTTAGGTCTTATGTTTAAATCTTTAATCCATCGAGTTAATTTTTGTATAAGGTGTAAGGAAGGGGTCCAGTTTCAGTTTTCTGCATATGGCTAGCCTGTTTTCCCAACACCATTTATTAAAAAGGAAATCCTTTCCCCATTGCTTGTTTTTGTCAGGTTTGTCAAAGATCAGATAGTTGTAGATGTGTGGTGCTATTTCTGAGGCCTCTGTTCTGTTTCTCTGGTCTAGATATCTGTTTTGGTACCGGTACCATGATGTTTTGGTTCCTGTAGGCTTGTAGTATAGTTTGAAGTCAGGTAGCATGATGCCTCCAGCTTTGTTCTTTTTGCTTAGGATTGTCTTGGCTATGCAGGCTCTTTTTTGGTTCCATATGGAATTTAGAGTAGTTTTTTCTAATTCTGTGGAGAAAGTCAGTGGTAGCTTGATGGGAACAGCATTGAATCTATAAATTACTTTGGGCAGTGTGGCCATTTTCATGATATTGATTCTTCCTATCCATGAGCATGGAATGTTTTTCCATTTGTTTGTGTCCTCTCTTATTTCCTTGAGCAGTGTTTTGTAGTTCTCCTTGAAGAGGTCCTTCACATCCCTTGTAAGTTGTATTTCTAGATATTTTACTCTCTTTGTAGCAATTGTGAATGGGAGTTTGCTTGTGATTTGACTCTCTGTTTGTCTATTATTGGTGTATCAAAATGCTTGTGATTTTTGCACATTGATTTTGTATCCGGAGACTTTGCTGATGTTGCTTATCAGGTTAAGGAGTTTTTGGGCTGAGGCGATGGGGTTTTCTAAATATACAATCATGTTATCTGCACACAGAGATAATTTGACTTCCTCTCTTCTTATTTGAATACACTTTATTTCTTTCTCTTGCCTGATTGCCCTGGCCAGAACTTCCAATACTATCTTGAATAGGAGTGGTGAGAGAGGGCATCCTTGTCTTGTGCCGGTTTTCAAAGGGAATGCTTCCAGCTTTTGCCCATTCAGTATGATGGCTGATAACTTCTACATTTTTACCAGTCCACCCACATTTGCTAATGTTAACTCCCTCCCACTCTTAGCTACAACACCTCCCATATGACAATGCTACTAGAAGACAAGTGTCTACTACTACAAGAATATATATCTATAGTTCTAAATATAGGAGCTTTCTCATTTTAAACAAATCTAACATAGCTAAATCTGCATTTACAAGGACATATGTTTATATATATGGACTTGTATATGTGTGTGTGCATATATATATGGAATAGATTATCTGCTTTGCAAATGAATTCACCAGGGAATTCCTTAAAATACCAGGTCCTTCATTATCCTTCTCTTCACTGCCTCCCACATAAATGATGTCTTGCACTTTTTATTTATTGATAGCTGCTCAAGAATATATCTATTGTGTAATGTAGGTATATTGTATTTATAAAGATTAATGGAAAGCAAAATGCATTTCTTTGGAGCCATCTGACTAATTTCTTTAATATTTCAGAAGTGTGAGTTTATATTTTGCATATCTAGGATCTGAAACCTTATCTAGCACCACTATAAACATAAAAACCACATGAATCTTAAATACTTTCCAGAGTTCACCATGATGTAATAGCATTACGCAGAAATTAGAGTTTGCAAGAGCCACGGACTTCCCAAGAGCCTTTATGGATGGAGAAAAGTGAGCTAATGATGTAGTTTTGTAAAGGTTTCTAAGGCAAAAATTGTACCTTTCACTCAGGTCAATAGCTTTCGGCTGGGGGCAGCTTAAAAGGTAAAGTAATTCTGCCTCTGTACACAACCAATGTTAATAGACAAAAACACTAACCACATTTCTGGGAGTGGTGAAGCTATTTTTAGTAACAGTGGCTGCTCTAGAAAATTTTATCTTTTGCTGTGAAATGCCAATGTGATTTTTCTCAGTCTGTAAATGGTAAGCTCAATCATGTTTGTTTGTTTAAACTTGAGTTTTGTATGTTGTTTGTTTTTCTTTACCCCAGGGATTTCCTTATCTGTATGCACACACAGATGATAACAGGAACAGAGTGACCCACCCTAGTTTAGAGTAGGTTGCCAATTACCTCACTAAAGCTAACAGCACCCATAAGCCAACAAGGATTTTATTTCATGCAATTGTTAAAGTAATTATTTTTGCACCAACCTAATAGTATTCCTTCAAAGGCTCATGCAAGCTAAGAAACTAATAAAAACAAAAATGAAAACAGTAGCTCCACTCTTTAAGTCATCTTCTCCAGGAAAAAAAAAAAAAAAGTATTGTTCCTCTACTTCCAGAAATATAATTGTTCAGGGCTCAGAAACTCAGAAGAATCCTCACTTCCTGCCTGCCTCCTGGGTCCCTAGAAACATAGATTTAATGGGAGGGAGGGACATGGCTCATGGCAACTAAATAAGATTGGTGGGGGTGGGCAGAGGAAAGAGCATAGGACGAAGAATCAGGAAGCCTGAGATGAGATCCGGACAAACCTTCAATCCTTCTGGGCCTCAGATTCTTCATTTATAAAATACAGATGATACCCACATTTTTATTGTGATCATACGAGATAGTGGATGTGAAAATGCTTAGGAAACTATTAGGTTCTTCATAATGAATGCAATGCTCTGCTTATTTGTGTGCATCTCAATTCCTATGATGTTGTAGAATATTGAGACTGAAAGTTAAAAAAAGAGAGAAAAGACTGGGCAATAAGGCTGGTTTCAACAAAGCCTTATTTACCTCTATCTCTCCTTCTCTCTTTCACTCTACCTCCTAGAAAAAAGCAAAATTAGCAATTGACCTGAACTCTCCATTTTAATAATCACTGCATTTCTACATTTTTCAGTCACAGTCAATGTCTAAATTAGATAACCTAATTGATTACCTACTGACCGAAAGGATCTGTATTAAATCACCACCAAAATCATATAATGAAGAAATTTTCTGCTTCTAGAGAAGTTTGAAGTTGGAATCAGCACTTTTTCATTTAGCATTCATTCAACAAATATTTATTTAGTGCAAACTTGTGCCAGGCACTAGGGATTTAGAAATAAGGGAAACATTCTCCTTTCCCCATAAAGTTCATTACTCAGAGAGGGGAACAGATTTACATTCTCTTATTTTATAGCTTAGAAACCAAAGACACAATAACAGTTGGGAAAGTTTGACTCTACCTGCAACTCCCCTTCCATTATACTGAGTAGTTGGATGAGGTCTTCTTTGGATAACTCCAGGGATTTCTTAGTTTTTCGTTCACATTCTCCAGATGTTTTTAGGTGTCGTTTGACAGTTCCTGAGGCCATGACATCATCCTCCTTCCTATTTGATTTCTTCTTCTTTTTTGCATCTTCTGAGAGACTTTTTTCACCAGCATTGCCGATGATGGAGGGCTTGGGACAGGAGATATGCCCATCAGATGCACTTTCACCACCTTGGTTTCGAGATCTCATTCCCACCTACAACACATACATAAAAAAAGATAAGATGTTCTTTACCACCATCAAAATTATTTTTGCCTAAATACTTAGAAACTTATAGCAGCTTTACCACATCGCCAATAAGGAAAAATCAAATTAACATGTCATTAAAATTTTCAGGAAACCCCTTTGATGGTCTTCAGAAAAAATGAAAGTAAGATTTTAACCTGACAAACCCCTCAAGCCAAATGATCAAGGTCAGTATCAATAGTGCTAAGTCATATTGCTGTTACATAGCCCCCATAATAATATATCAATATTGGTTCATTGATTGTAACAAACGTACTATACTATCCTAATGGAGATGTCAATTATAGAGGAAACTGGGTGTAGGGCATATGCGTATTAGCTTTGTAATAATGTTAGGAATCTAAAACTGTTCTGAAATAAAATAAAAATCAATAAAAACTGTTCTAAAATAAAATAAAAATAAATAAATAAAAACTGTTCTAAGATAAAATTAAAAGTTTATTTATTTATCAGAAAAATCAAACCTGAAACCCTGCCAGGAGCCAGTTGGATGTCACAGTGTGGAAAAAAAAAAAAAAAAAAAAAGCCCACATAGGGTGGGGGCTTAAAATGGACAGAGGAAAAGGGAAAAGCAAAGGGAAGAGGAGGGTGGTGTCATTTTTAGTGATATGCGATTCTATTTTCCCATAGCCTCTATTTTAAAATCAGGTCTTTTAATGTCATTTACAGTAATAAGAGCACAAAGAATTGGGAGAAAATGAATCAATTTCAAAATCAAAACTTAAAACAGTATTTTGAGGTAAAATAAGGAAAAAAGACAAAGCAGCAGCTAAGATATTAACTTGTCCCATGAGAAGCACATTCAAGTCATCCCATGAGGAATGCTTTACAGTTTCTCTGTCAGTCTCTGAGCAAAAGAATTCTACCAACAGGTATGTTACAAACAAACACACCGAACTCACAGGCTAGGTCTCAAAGTGCTGTGAAGAGAGCTCTAATATCCTGTGGGGTGTATTTCAAATTTTGCCTAAACCCTTAAATATAGTAGATTAGCTCATGGGCTTATTTAAAAACTCACAGTATAAATAGCCCTTACCATGAACAGCTAAGCAAAAAGATTTTCATCACTAATTCCAGATAAAATATAGGGACTTTGTTATATGAAAGTAAATTTCCTTTATGAACCCAACCATACTTAAGAAACTAAGGAAAGATTTTTTAAAAACATTAGGTTTGTAACACAAAAATTAACACAGTGTGATGTTTCCTTTCAGATAGTGAATATCCAATTCTTCCAATGAATCTTGAAATCTACATTAATGCTGTTTTTTTAAAAATTGAACTCGTAAGCAAATGGACGCTTTTATGTGTGTGTGAACTTTCTACAGCACCCCAGCTTTTAACAATATAAACCAAAGGAATATTTCTTGATGCTAGCACCCTGTTTTCTGGTTCACTCAATGATTAGTTCCCAATTTTAGAGTATCTTTTGGGTTTCCCTAGTCAACAAAGAATAGAAGTTTCTTTGTAATGGAAGCCAGGGCACTTTGGAACAAACCTACTGTATTTTATCACAGCTTATTTGTGGGCAGAATGGACTGACTAAAGCCCCAATCCAAAAAAAAAAAAAAAAGAAGTGATGAATAAAGAGTTTCAAATTTAACTCATGACCTGTTATGGCTCACAGTTAAGACACATGGACTTCCCTAACTGAATTGTGATTCTGTACGACTTCATACCACATGTGAATTCTTTTTATCTGAAATAATTTTCTCTATAAGATCTTAAAGCTCTTTGAGATGACATACCAAATATTGATTTGACAACTTTAATTTAAATCATTAAATCATGAGTTAACAGAAATCCCAGACAATAGTTCCCAAAGCACAGGAAGTGCTTAATCTTACACAGTATTTAAATCTGATTGTATTATGTTACATGCATTTACTCAATCACAATTATATCTGCAAACATACAGAAAATAATCTATTAGTATCAATTTTATATTAGTTCTTTCTAAAAATTTCATTCTGAAATTAATATTTTAAAATAAAGTTTATTATAGTATTATATTAATGGCTTTTACACAAAAAATTCCACCCATTTTAGAATTATGTAATTATTTTATATCATTATTCAGGTTGAAAGCTTTAGTCTCCTATTCCCTTCCACATTAATTCACTTTGGCTGATGGAAAATTTCATGTGGTAGACCCATGAGGTTAATTTTGTCTTAACAAATATTTTTCTTTTCTGATATTGAAATTTCACATTAATTACTTTTCCTTTGGCATGAACATAAAGATTTTTAGTCCTTTCTCAGTTAGATAAATGAGGTCTTCTATCTATCTTCACAATGAAGTCAGCAATCAGCACCTGTTCTATCTCAGGAATACAAAAGTACTCAGCAATAACAAATGAATCAAGAATGTTTTAGCAAGGAATTAGCATCTATGAGGAAGATAAACATAATTTCTCAAAAGAATAACTAAGTCTGCTATAAATAATGTACACTTTAAAATGCTTTATTCTATTTTGGAGGGGGAAAACATCCAAGCAATAATGGACTTGCATGTGTCACATTTAGTGACATTTATACTCTTCATATTTTTAATAGCTCTCACTTACTGCTTCTTAAGTGTTACACAGTATAGGAAGCATTTTTCATACAGCACCTTGTTTAGTATTTACATCAACCCTGTGAAGTAGGTGCTATTTCTCTCAGGTTTATAGATGAAGCTACTGAGGTTTAAATAAATTAAATATCTTTTCCTGTATCACACAGCTACTCCTAGTGGAGAGAAAAACTAGAATTTGAACTCAGGTCGGACACTAAATACTAACCCACTATACAGCTTTCCTTACGGCTTTCCTCGAAGTTCTTAAACATATGCTAATTGGAAGAGGGGCTATCCCTGATAAATCAGGGGATCAAGAAAAAGTCAGAGGCCAGGCGCGGTGGCTCACACCTATAATCCCAGCACTTTAGGAGGCCAAGGTGGGTGGATCACCTAAGGTCGGGAGATCAAGACCAGCCTGGCCAACATGGCAAAACCCCGTCTCTACTAAAACTACAAAAATTAGCTGGGCATGGTGGCGTGCGCCTGTAATCTCAGCTACTAGGAAGACTGATGCAGGAGAATCACTTGAACCTGGGAGACAGAGGTTGTAGTGAGCCGAGATTGTGCCACTGCACTCCAGCCTGGGCGACAGAGCAAGACTCCGTCTCAAAAAAGAGAAAAAGCTACAAATGCTAAGATGTTTTCTCACTTCACATAACAAAATTTGAGAAATCCATATATATGTCTTCCTCCACAGACACTCTTGCAACACTCACATAGCAATTTAAATTAGGTTACTCAGCAATAATATGTTTTCTGAAATAATTAACCTTCTGCAGAACTTCTAAGATGATGAATCATTCAAAAGTCTTCCTGAGAAGCAATCTGGTCAATTATTAAGGGTACAGTTATGAAAACAGGATGTAAAGTCTGAACAGGGACAATTACAGACTCATTGTGTTAAAAGCCCTGGAGCTGAACAATAGTAAACACTTCATCAGTGTTGGCCAAATCCTGTCTATTGTGCTTACAAGGGTAGCAGGCAGGTAACAGAAAAGGCATCCAGAACTCCTTAGGCTTCCTACAGTTGATTGCATGGCTGCAAGTTTAAGGTGTGTAGATAGCATTTTCTGAAAGAAGCCAAGAATGCCTTCAAATCATCCCAGTGTATATCCTTTAAAAAAAGGTTCTCCCCAAGAAAAATATATAAATAAACTGAAGATTCAAATCACGTTTTATAACCCTTTTTAAAAAATCAGTGTTAACTGGAGCACAGATGCTTCTCTTTGATAAGCAAATTATCTTAACATAGTTCATAAAATATACTTACTTTTCCATTCATAGTAGTCAACAATAATTTACACGGAATTTGCTAACTAGAGTGTGAAGAAAAGAAAGATCAAATGTTATTCTGAGCCTCCCTCTTTTATCTATGGTCCTCTCTCCTTTTCATCTGCGTCCCCCCCACCCCCTGCAGCCTCCCATTAATTGGACAATGCCAGAGCATACTGTCAGATGAAAAATATCACAGGAATAAGCAAATGTAAAGCCTTTTAGTCATTTATGCTGAATTAACAAGTATTTCTAGAGCATTTGAACAAGAAAAGAAAAAAAAGGAAACAAAAAATGTCTACAGAAATTCTAGTTCCCAGACTTCCTTAGCTCTTGCAAATCTTGACCTTGAATTTTCTCCCTAGCACTCTCACCTTTGCTCTTGCTCCTTTCCAGATTTGTATTTTTGTGTTGTGATTCAACATTGGTCAAAATACTCCCCATCCCACCACCAACAAAAACTTCTTTTCTGTATAAATTAGGCTTTGGCATCTTTGCTATGCTTCTCAGGTATCCAACCCCTGTCTGTTCCTGGTTTTATTTTATCTATATATATTTTCAAGAACCTACCTAGTGCATAGAATGAGATGCCATAATAATTTTATATACTTAATTTCTATTTTAAAATTATAGAATTATGAGGAAAAATTATCATAGCAAAAAAGGAAAGCACATAATTACAAAAAAGCCGAGATTTTACAAGGTGGCCTGGCAAAAGGCCTGCTGCAAGTGGAGCTTCCAGAACATTACCACAGAACTGTCCTGACTCTTTCTCTTACACATAAATGACAATACCCAAGGCACCCAAAACTCAAAAAGAAAACATCTGTTCTAGTTTTATGTCATCAGTGAATTTTCAGATGCAAAAGACCAATTAAATCAACTAGTTTATTCCCTATCAATGCCAGATTACTTCCTGTGTGCGTTATCTTATTGGTTAAATCCGCATATAAATATCCCAACTCACGAAATGTTCAAACATTTCTCATGAGGTTATCACGTATTCTATAGCATATATTGCTCAGAAATGTTCCCAAGTTGCCTCTAAATTTTCCTTTCTTGTCTTCATCCCATTTATGCAACAAGCCACGTAAAATATTTGTTTTACTTCTAATTACCTACATTTATTAAATCCTAAAAAATAACTAAGGTTTTTACTTAAAGTATTTTTTATCCTATTAGGGTAGATCTATTCAGACTAATTGAAAATTCCTGTAAGTAATTTCACAAAATGTTAGAATTCAGAGAAAGGGATTCTCTTGGAGTCACTGCAGTGATGTTGTCATGAAAAGGCCAAGGAAAATATCATACTGTGGCAAATAGAAAAATATTATTCTACTCCAGCTTAAAACTATGGTGAAATATTTTATGACGTTCTGTTTAATATCCTTCAAGAACAATACCAGTAGGCCCAGAAAAATTTCCAGAAAAAAAAAAAGACAAAAAATAACAAGAGAATAGATCAGGGAACTGCCATGAAATAAGAAATCTTTTAAAATTAGCATGGAGTCTAAAAGAATGTACAATTTGAGTTTTAAACTTTGAATGGTGATAGATGGTAACCTTTCTTACCAACATTTTAATTAAAATCCCCACATTGATGACTCTTCTATCATAATGTGTCCGGTAGCTGTCCTCTACTTTCCATTCCACTAGCCATGACCTACTATTCAAGATCCTCCACTTTCCAAAAAATTGTATTTCCAGTCTTACCTTTCAATGCCTCCCATACATTTATCATGTTTGTTTAGTCACTGATTACAAATTATGTCTGGTATATTTTATTTTTATATCTTCACTCATGAATTTCTTTCTTAAAATGGCCTATTCTTCCCTTGTACTCTTCAGGCCTCGTCTGACTATTCCAACATGTGCCATTTCTCCTTCCTGGGTAATTTTGTACATTTGCTTGTTCTCTGTATTAATTACTTGGCACTTTTCACACTTGCTTATATTATTGTTATTGCCCCAAACATAATCTGTTTAAGGACATTTAATAAGACTTCTTCAAATCATTGAAATACCAATTGATAGACACCATTTGACGGTTTGAATTTATAACATTTTACATATTAGAATATAGGTTTATAGAACTCATTGCTTCCAATTAAAGTAACTAGATAAAATATAATTAGAAAGGAGAAATATTTAGATACACTTGTTGTTAACAGATGCCAAAAGCAATTAGCAATATTTGGAGAGATTTCTAACACTAAAATAATAAAATTTTCATGATAGTAACGTGCACTTTGGGATAAACATGGTGAATTAAAACTTGCATTTATTTCCACTCTCTGCTGAAACACACTAAAATAAAAATAAAGAAACAAAAGATGACAGAGAAAATAGGAGTATAAATGACAGCAGATGAGGATGAGAGATGTCAACACAATTTTGCAGGATGGAAAGTGGTTAGATGAGTGGGAACGTACTTGGGCATCTAAATGCTGGCAGTGTAGAAAGTAAAAGAGATGCAAATTGTTTGAATTTTCCCAATTACTCTAAAGCTAGGGATGTATCGGCTCCACAGGGCAACAGGGTAACCAGGACACAGGTCCCAGATCCTTAAGTCATGGTATATGTTTAGGAAATACTCATGAGACTTGAGTCCTGGGTGGTTACCGCAAGATTCAACCGGATCCCTCAAACTTGAGGCTGGAACTTCTTGTACTATATCCTTGTCACTGAGCCTGAAACATCAGCACCCTTCCTCACTACTCCTCCTCACTGTCCCTCCACAACATCTCTCTTCCCTACTTCAGCTCGTACTGACTTCCTCTGCTAAACTCCCGTAGCACATCTAGTTTGTATCACCCATTTAGGGCTTAGTAATACTGTCTAGCGTGGTTCTTGAATGGCTCCTGGTATTAATCTTGTTGACTCATCTAGAGTGCAAATAACTTTGCATAAGAATAGCGTTTCTATTTTATCTTCCTAAAATAACTAGCATGCTAGCCCGTCTACTCCTACGACTGAGGAAACTGAGGCTCAGAGTCACACGGCTGATCAATGGAATAGTTGGAACCAGGACTCATGTCTCATGAGTATTTCCTAAACACATCCCATGACTTCAGGATCTGTGATCTTACAGCGTGGGTATTACACTTCACTTATTTATACTCACTTCCAGTATCTATAACAGGGTTTTTAACTTTTTTCCTTTTTACTTCAATCACAGAAAAAGGTTACTTTCAATTATACAAAAGAGAAAAGCATTTAACTATCTAGTAATATACTGTTATATACAGTGGTGATGACATAATGACATAATTTTTTCTGGCATTTTCAACATCAGTGATTCATCCTTGAACCTCAAGTACATGTTAAAATATTTTTATATTTATAATTCTTTATTATTATAATTCTGATGTCACTGTCACTACTAGACATAGCATGTAATATATAATCATTGATTAAACAAAAAGAGTAAGACCCTCACACTTAAGTGATTATGAAAGTTCTTTTGTTTTCTGGTAAATTTTACCTTTACTTTTTCTACTTGATTACTATAATTTTTTTCAGACATTTTAGTAATACCATCTGGCCTCTGAAGAAAAGGGAATGTCACCATTTAGTTTAATTAAAGTTTCGAAATGTCTGGAAAATTACCAGACTCCTAGTTAGCCAGGACTAGAATTTCTTCCTGTATTTCATCAGGCTCAGAACTGAATAAGAATCAGCCATTTTCCTGCCACTAACAAAACAAGCCTATTGGTAGCCAGAAAGACAAGTACCTTAGGCATTATCTCAGCAGTCTCTATTTGCTGAATTATTCTTAAATATTACCTTTGTTTGCAATAATAATAGCTGACATTAACTGAAGAGCTTATGATGCACTGAGCAGTGGCT
This sequence comes from Homo sapiens, assembly GCF_000001405.40. NCBI lineage: Eukaryota > Metazoa > Chordata > Mammalia > Primates > Hominidae > Homo > Homo sapiens. The sequence continues at coordinate 75,422,711 of NC_000006.12, forward strand.
TAACCACCTGATAGACATTGGTGCAAAAGCAACTGCAGTTTTTGCATTGTTGAAATTTGCCATTTGATATTGGAATACATTCTTAAATAAATGGTTTGTTATACATCATTTTAATGTACATTTCTTGCTTTTTTTGCTAATCAATTATTACTTGTTATTTATTTTATATTTATTTTGGACTATGGAAATGATGTTACAAAAAGCAAATTTGAGGGATTTTCTTATTCGAGTTCAAAATGGGTAGTAAAGCAACGGAGACAACTGGCAACATCAACAACACATTTGTTCCAGGAATTGCTAAGAAACATACAGTGCAGTGGTAGTTCAATAAGTTTTGCAAAGGAGATAAGAGCCTTGAAGAAAAGGAGCACAGTGGCTGGCCATCAGTTGACAATGACCAATTGAGAGCAATTATCAAAGCTGATTCTTTTACAACTACACTAGAAGTTGCTGAAGAACTCAACGTCTACCATTCTACGTTGTACAGCATTTGAAGCAAATTGGAAAGGTGAAAAAGCTTGATAAGTGGGTGCCTCCTGAGCTGAGCAAAAATTTAAAAATTTGTCATTTTGAAGTGCTGTCTTCTCTTACTCTACACAATAGCATTGAACCATTTCTCTATTCTACACAATAACATTGAACATTTCTCGACCTGATTGTGATGCGCAACAAAAAGTGGATTTTATACGACAATCGGTGAAGGCCAGCTCAGTGGTTGGACTCAGAAGAAGCTCCAAAGCACTTCCCAAAGCCAAACTTGCACCAAAAAAAGGTCACGGTCACTGTTTGGTGGTTTGCTGCCTGGCTGAGCTACTACAGCTTTCTGAATCCCAGCGATACCGTTACATCTGAGACATATGCTTAGCAAATCGATAAGATGCACTGAAAACTGTAATGCCTGCAGCTGGCCTTGGTCAAGAGAAAGGGCCCAGTTATTCACAACAATGCCGGACCACACATTGCACAACCAACTCTTCAAAAGTTGAACAAATTGGGCTATGAAGTTTTGCCTCATCCGCCATACTCACCTGACCTCTTGCCAACCTACTACTACTCCTTCAAGCATCTTGACAACTTTTTGCTGGGAAAACACTTCCACAACCAGCAGGATCCAGAAAATGCTTTCCAAGAGTTTATCGAATCCTGAAGCATGGATTTTTATGCTACAGGATTAAACAAACTTATTTCTCATTGGCAAAAATGTATTGATTGTAATCATCCCTATTTTGATTAATAAAGATGTGTTTGAGCTTAGTTTTAATGATTTAAAATTCATGGACTGGAACCACTATTACCTTTGCACCAATCATTTCCTGACACACTGATAACAGCCTGCTAAAGCAAGTACTATAATTATACTTCTTATAAGGAAAATGAGGCTTACAGACTTGTAGCCATTTGCCCAAACAATATGGCCAGCACCTGGGAAAGCCTGAGCTAGAACACAGGTCTGTTTGGATTCTCCATGTGCAAGAAGTCTGAATGGAAGCTTTAGCCATCACATCAATACTACTGCAATACAAATGCATTTACAGTCACCTTGTCATGGGCTGAAATAAGTTTAGTCACAGGGCATAGCATCCCCCAAGAAGTCTCAAACAATAATAAATGATAAAGAATCCCACTATTCCAATAAAATTTTTTCTTTTATTTGTGCAATAACTCTTTCTTCTAAGACCACATTCTCTTTCCCCATTTCTTCCTCACACTGCCTTTCTACTCCTCAATACTTGAGGTTTTCAAAGGAGGTGAAGTGTAACTTTGCCCTCACAGTCTTGACTTTTGACTTCTTGGATTGGAAAAGTCATTAAGACTCCAGAAACAGAAACATTTTATGACAACTGGATGAGTAGAACTGTTTTTTTAAAGTAACTGAATTTTAAAAATTCTAGTCTGTGGATTAATTATTCTATTAAGCCAACTGTACAAAATTTCCTGATAGAAAAATATTTGTCTTTATATAGCAAATATTCCCAACTTTATTGCATTTTCCAGAAATGTGAGGCAAATCCCAGTTGATGGTCAATGTTCATAAAACAAGTTAACCTCCATGGGGTGAAAGACATGCTGTGATTTGGATGATATCATTGCTTTATGCTGACAAAGAAAAAAAATTAAATACAGCACAGATCACCCCATCTGTGTGCTGCTTATGACTTCATGTGTTCTAATCGCCTGTACACACGTCAACTATATTCAGGTATCCTTTAAATGCCTTTACTTTCAAATCCCTAGAGCATTTCATAACATAAAAGAATAACTTAAAATCAGTTGTAATGTATGAACTCAAGTTGTGTCTTTTTTGAACTTCTCCCAACTTCTGTCTCTTCTAATTGGCCCTGAGATCCCTTGTCTTAGATTAAATCAAAGCATATACAGCCTAAATTGAAAACAGACATAGCTACTACATAAACCAAGAAAGGAGAAATGTAAAAATTATTCCTACTAAAACACATCCTGTGAATGCAACTGAAACCACATGATTGTCAAAGATGTTTATTTGATGTTTAAAGATGTTTATCACTCTGAATACTGTCAAGCAATCAGCATAAACTTAGTTGCTATGTGAATGCCAAGGCTGACAAGAGCCATAAAGTTGAAGAGCTTTGTGATGAACTAATTAAGGTGCGCTAGAAATTTCTTTTATCTAAAATGTCATGCCACAATGCAGAAGTTTCAGATTCAGCGTGGGCAGGAAGTATATAAGAAAATGAGTCATCACCTTTTGGAATAATGTTTTCAAACACATAATGGCTCTTAGACTCCTATCTTCTCTACCCTCCAGCCACCCTACCTCAGCACACACCCAGCTCCACACTGGCCTTAAGGTGTCTCATCACCTCATACATCAACATCCTTAGCATTTGTTTCCTTAACATGCTGAATCCTCCTAGAGATGTTTGCCATTAACCCCAAGGAATCAAAGGAGCTGCATCCCTAACCCCACACATGTATTCTGTAATGCTGGACAAGTCACTTAACTCTCCAACCCACAGTGTCCTCATCTGTAAAATGAGGACAATAAAGTATTAGATGTGCTACCCACTGTGTATGTATGTGAAATCATAATGCCTGTTCTACTCTCCATATGTATGTGAAAGTATTTACTAGAAATATTAAGGCAAGAAGCATTAACCAATGCTAGATTAACTATTGGAGTCATCAAATACCTCTCATTATCCTCATATAGGTAGCACCAGGGACAAAACTACTTTACTCTCAACTGTGAGCATCTAGCACAGGGGTTGGCAAACATTTTCTTTAAGAGGCAGACATTAAATATTTTAGGCTTTGCAGGCCATACGGTCTCTGTTGCATCTACTCAACTGTACTATTGTAGCACAAAAGCAGCAACAAACAATACATACATGAATGGGTGTGGCTGGAGTTGACTCTTAGTTCTTAGTTTGCCAACCCTGATCGAGACTATGTGACAGAAATGATGAGTGTATTTAAACTGGGAGAAATATAAATGGTTTCTGCCACTCCTCATTCTGTCCTCTGGTTTACAGTAATTAGAAAATGACTGAAAATAAGAGAGAAGAAAAAAAAATGCCACTTCTTCTCTTCCAGATAAACCAAAAGAGGACATGAACATAAAAGGGTTCTCCCACAAAGTTTGAGGAATCTAAGGTGGAAGAACCCGACATTCTGTTTCATGGGTAAAAATTGAGAGTAGGATTCCGCTGACATTGGCCATGCCATGGGATATGCAGACAGGAAATACAGTTCTAGCCATATGTGACTGTAGAAAGGAGGTGATAGCGATGAATGCCCACTAAGTATACAGAGGAGATACAGAAGTGGCCACGTGCCCAGCAAAAGTGGAAGGTAGCTTGGAGAGGCAGCTGACATGCTAACAGGAGAGTCACCAAGGCAGATGGCTTCAAGCAGTCACCCAAACTGGGGCTGAAATGGAAGGCACAGCTACACTTGAAGGACTCTGCAGCCTTTGTGTGAATTATGGTGGGATTCCAAGACAGCAGTAGAGATAGGGGCATTTTACAAGAAAGAACCATGGGCACTACTTCAACAGAGGCCAAGCTGAGAGACGACAACAGAGGATACAGGCAGGATGGGCTTCACAGGCATGTGACCCATTACAGTTACACAGGGCCCTGCACTCAGTTTAATGCTCTGCTGTAGCTATCTTGAAATTCTTATTTTTGAACAAGCAGCCCCACATTTTCATTTTGCACGGGACCCTCCAAATTATGTAACCAGTCCCGATGGCAGCAGGGAAACCAGTCTAAACTAGATACTGGATGTGTTTCCCCCATTACTTCCACCAGACTACCATGCTAGCAAACTTCCCTCCCACTCCCCAACACTGATGTTCAGTGTTTGTGTGATACCCCAAGATATAAAGGAGGAGAGCTTGGGAGAAGGCAAAGGAAAGACGATAATGGAATTTTGATTTGGTCTAGGATTGACTTATACATGAATGTAATAACAACAAAATAATCACCAGATAAAATTTTACTGGAAAATATATAGATTAAGTTCTCTACCTCTGGCAAGGATTACAAGGAAGGAGTATAGGACAGGTAAGTAAAGAGCAAAGTTGAATTCAGTCATAAAAAATCAATCATTAGCCTTGTGCCCCTGACTTTTACATGTATCTTAACTTTGAAATATAATACTGGTTACAGTTTTATAAACTATAAAGTACTATAGGACTTTCAGGCTATGCATGCAAAGAAATTTTCCTTTAAGTCTCATCACTATTCTTCTTTTTCTAATTTTGAAAAAGAAAAGCAAGAAGACTCATATGGGGCCTGGAGGCAGCCAGAGTTCATTCAGTCTTTCCAACAATGAAATGACTGTACAGCTCCTCTCAGAGGAGGCTGGTGAGGACCTCTCATTAAGAGGGAATGGTACAGGAGTACTCTGCCCCAAAACTATCGATTGCGTCTCTCTCTGCCCCACCTAACCTCCTTACTTTAGACACATTTCTCATTTTCCCTTCCATGCTCCTCTTCTATGCTTTCTCTAAAATTTTAAAATGAAATCCCAGTGATATTCTGCTTTTGAAGAGGCCTCTCTATCCCTCACTTCCTTGAAATGTGCCCCAAGCCCAAACATGACCCCTCATATCCTTTTGAACTCTCACTCTTCCAGAATTACAGAATGGTGTTGAGAAATCAAGTTGGTTAAATTTAAATCACATGGCAGCATGACTACTGTAACTGTATATTCCTCACTGTCTTTGTTTGTTAACACTAGAGGATTTTTGATTGAAATTAAAATAGAAGTAGCCATTTTTAAAGAGGGTGGGTTGAAGGAAGAGTGAGGAAGGTCTTTCTTTAAATCATATCGCTAGCTTATTCTTCTTTGTGAAATAAGCCCTGGCAGAAGGAGGGGAAGAAGAACACAGCAGACATATCTTTTTCCTCCTCTTCCCTCTCAACATACTTAATTCTCAAATCCCCTTTTCTTTGCTAAGTGCCAGCCTCCTTGTTTGAGTCTCAGTCCAATATTACTTTCTTGGAAAGCCAAGCTGAACCCACGGTTCACATATCAGGCATATCTTTGCTTCTAAAACCTGGTGTTGAGGGTGGAGGAGCAGGAGTACCAAGACTATACCAGCCTGCAGGGCTCCAGGAGCATACTGCAAGTGGAAAAGCTCCCTCTAAAAGCCTAGGGCAGTGGTGCTCAAGCTTCAGTGTACCTCAGAATCCCCTGGAGAGCTTGTTAATAGATTATTGGTCACCACCTCCAGTTTCTGAATTTGTGAGACTGGGGTGGGGCCTGAGAATTTGCATTTCTCACAAGTTTCTAGGTGATGCTGATGCTGTTAGTCCCAAGACCAAACATGGAGAAAAAATGCTCTAGGACAAAGTAGGACTAAGTCCAGAAAATTGCAAAGAAGCCCCAGCCCCAGTATATCTACCTATTTCAACCAGCAACTCTGCCTTCTCAAAGTTAAACTAGAAATACTTGTCTTAGTTGGATAAAAATAATATTAACTGTAATTATTTCCATGAAAGGATTATATGCCACATTATCATTCATTTTCCAGCAGGGTCCCTGCTTGAGAGTTTAGACTTGTGGATTACAAAATGATGCCCAACTGACCAAACCTTCTTTGCAGACATGGTTTCAGTGTGTGTGTGCTTAATGAGACATTTTTATATCAGATTTCACAAATAATCCATTTAGATTTTGTTGAAAAAGTCAGAATATTTGGCACCACTTGACCTTTAGTCCTGCATAGCTACATTTAGCTGGAGTTGGGTAGTAGCTTATCCATTTAGATGGAGCATTTACTAGCTAGTTTACCACAATCCTTATTACTCACTATTACCTCTTTAGCCCTAAGAGTCAATTGCCATGTGTTTATTACTATGTTTGCACTATGTTTTTTTGTTATTGCAGAGAAATTCTTCTCTGTACCTAAGGGGAAAAACAAAAGCTACACCAAGAGAGTTTCATGTTTCAATTTAGAAAAAAAGAAGAATTTTTAGTTCTCAGGGGTTTCATACACAACTACTCTGCCAGCATCACTGTTTATTATCCATCTATCCTCCGAAACCAATTGAGTTTGGGTCCAGTCCAGACAAGCCTGGATGGCAAACAGAAATGCAAGGGGGATGGGTGGAAGCAAGAGGCCAACTCTGTGTGTAGGGTGGTCAAAGAAACGTCCTGGAGAGGAATTGTCCAACAAGAAGAAGCTGTGCTCCATCTACAAGCTTGATCCAAGGTCAATGTTACTTTCCAAGGGGAGAAGGAATGTTGTGCATAGCAGGGAATGGGTTCCTCAGGATGCCTCTATAGGCATGCAGCCAAAGCTGAGGCCCCTAGCAGGTATAAATAGAAGCACACCAGGAAAGGCTCTGTAAGAACTGGCTATGCAGGAGACAGGAAGTGGATTTGGGGGCACTCCTGAATGGTCCCTGTTGGAACCAGAAGAGGTAGCAGAGGCATCAACAAATCTTCAAAGGCAGCTCAGGAGCAGAACAGTGTTTGGAAGGCCTAAGGAACATGCCCTGGGGACCACCTCTTAAATTAACCTGGCAGAAAGTGAAGAGAAGGTTCTATAATAGTTCAGGTAGAAATGAAGTCAAGGAAATATGATACTGATCTTTTACTGTTACACCCCAGGCTTTCTCAGCATGAAAACTATGGGTTATATTTCATTTCACAAACTTTTTTTGTGTCCCATGATACTGCATAACAAGCACACCAGCACCATGCTGGATGCAAAGACACACACACAAAAATAAAACATGTTGCTTTCCTCAAGAATGTCATAGTCTAAGAGAGTGGTTGATTTGGTTTGGCTTTGTGCCCTCACCCAAATCTCATCTTAAATTGTAATCCCCAAGTGTTGAGAGAGGGACCTGGTGGGAGGTGATTGGATCATGGGGGCATTTTCCCCCATGCTGTTCTCATGTTAGTGAGTGAGTTCTCACAAGATCTGATGGTTTTATAAGGGGCTCTTCCCCCTTCACTTCTCTCTCCTGCTGCCATGTAAGACGTGCCTGCTTCCTCTTCTGCCATGATTGTAAGTTTCCTCAGGCCTCCCCAGACATGCAGAACTGTGAATCAATTAAACCTCTTTTGTTTATAAATTACCCAGTCTCAGATATTTCTTTATAGCAGTGTGAGAAAAGACTAATACAGTGGTTTTCAAATTTGTTTGACAGTTGATAAATAAAAAAGTTAATCACTTATCCCAAAACATGTATATGTATTTATAAATTATGTGTTATGTTACTCTCCTTATGTTTTAGGTGTATTATAAATCATATCAAAAAACAGAAAAAAATAACAAAATGAAGTAATTATAACAAATATTATATGTATATAGTATAAAAGACATCATAAATATATATAATAACAGCTCACACCCCAATGACTTCTCATGTGAAAACTGGTCTACAAAACAGACATTTAAGCAAATTTAAAAAATAAAAGAAAGCTTGGGACATGCTTTAGTAGTGGTCTCATATCTGAGGATTAACTAGACCTATTCCCAAATTAGTGGCAGTCTCATATCTGAGGATTAACTAGACCTAATCCTGAATAACTGCTAAGATCATAAGAAATTAAAAACTTGCAAAGACAAATGGCTGTGGATTAGGACAGAGGTGCAGGCTTTGAAGATTGAGCATTTCCCAGCAGATGGTACTCCTGTTGGTCCCTAAGAGGGGAAAGTAAGCTCTTTGCAGGCCAAGGCAAAAGCACAAAAACACATAGCTGTCTTGTGGTTTGATGTGAACCTAGGAGGAAAAGTTCAAAATGGAGGACAAGTGCAGCAAAATAATAAGTATGTATATTGTAAAACACAACAGATTAACTCAGGAAAGTTGCATGTTATAATAAGACTACACTCTGAGTTTGCATGTTCAGCCTTCAGTTTGTCCTTCATACGGCACTGTTATCCATTCACATCAGAAAAAAAGAAAAAGTGAGCCTTGGCGGTAGCCATGGTAACTAAATACTGAGCATGAGGGCAGAGGAAGGTCAAGGAACGTTCTATAGTTACACATCAAGAAAGTACAAAACACAGGTTATTTTTAAGTTTGGCTACGTTCCTATAATTTTTAATGTCTAAAATTTAAGATGTACATAAACAGTAAAGTCTGTTTCTCATGTAGGCATGAGAAAAAATATTTTCCCAGTAATTTAATACTATCTTCTTATTTTGTTGACACTTTATTTTCATCAGCTGCCATTCAAGCCAACAAAAATGCCCAGAGTTAGTATTTTCCAAATTTGAACCAGGGAGGGTGTCCTTTACCCTTCTTCCCCTTGTTTTCTGTTCACCCCTATTCTTAGTATACTAGCATGACTCACCATCCACAGAACATAAATTGAGAATTGCTTTTCTAGGAGTACTGGTGTGTTTGCCTTGAGTCGTTCATATGCTGTCATCTAATGACACTTGTGGCCAAGGACAGAGATTTGCCAGACAGCTGACAAACCAGAGTGAGGGTGTAGCATAGCCAATGAACAAAGGACTTCCCCCACACCAGGCACAGCCAGCTGTCCTAGGCAGAGAAGGAGCCTGCAGTATTGGACTCCTGGGCCAACTGAGGTAACAGACCTAAACACCCCTCTGTCCTTTCTACACTTCTGCTCCAAGGGAATATACACAAAGACTAGTGGGAGGATAAGGAGAAATATGAAAGAAAACAAATCAAAACCTCAAAAGATAAGACGAATGTGTTTTTAAAAATCTCTTATAGTACCCTATGCAAAAGATAGTGACATACATGAATTGTCTAAAAATAAAGTTTCTCTTCTAAGGATTATAAATAGCAGGATTCTGCTTGAACAAAAGTCCTAGCCAGGACCAAAGACTTAGAGGTTTTCTATTTCTCCATAGATTTCACCTAGATTGTAAACTAGTGATACCCTGTATTTGATACACTGTTTCAGTTTTACCAAAATAGTTCCATTGTTTTTATTAAATAGTTGTCAAGTGCATATTTATAAATACCATACCCTACATATGAATGTATCATTGAAAAGGTGATTTTAGAGTAAATCTTTGTCACTTTAAAATTTACTACTCAAAACTAAGTTTGAAGACAGACTTGATGTAAATGTTACCTATGAAATTATTTTCAGGATCTACTTTATTGTTTTCGAATTATTTTCAGGACCTACTTTATTGTTTCATTGTTACTGAGTGATTTCAAAGGGCCAGGCCCTTGGTAAAGGAAGGAGTTGTAGATGATTTGTGTCAGCATGGACCTCACAGTAACAAAACTGTTCCCATTGAAAAGATAAATCACAGAGAGAGCTGGAGAAATTAGGAAGATTTTTGCCTATGCTAGCTGATTAGGTGAATGAGTTATTTCCAAGTCAACTTTTATTTTAGTTTATTCTAAAAATAAATTGATATTTCTTTCACAAAGCCAATTCTGCAAAATGTTACTATGCAAGGCCATATAGGTTTCATCCACAGTGGCTCAAAGAGAGTGAATTTTTTTAAAGATTTTTATTTACTATTTTATTATTTTTATTTTTTTTATTATACTTTAAGTTCTAGGGTACATGTGCATAACATGCAGGTTTGTTACGTATGTATACATGTGCCATGTTGGTGTGCAGCATCCATTAACTCGTCATTTACATTAGGTATATCTCCTAATGCTATCCCTTCCCCCTCCCCCCACTTCCCAACAGGCCCCGGTGTGTGATGTTCTCTGCCCTGTGTCCATGTGTATTGTTCAATTCCCACCTATGAGTGAGAACATGTGGTGTTTGGTTTTCTGTCCTTGTGATAGTTTGCTCCAAATGATGGTTTCCAGCTTCATCCATGTCCCTACAAAGGACATGAGCTCATCCTTTTTTATGGCTGCATAGTATTCCATGGTGTATATGTGCCACATTTTCTTAATCCAGTCTATCACTGATGGACATTTGGGTTGGTTCCAAGTCTTTGCTATTGTGAATAGTGCTACAATAAACATACATGTGCATGTGTCTTTATAGCAGCATGATTTATAATCCTTTGGGTATATACCCAGTAATGGTATGGCTGGGTCAAATGGTATTTCTAGTTCTAGATCCTTGAGGAATTGCCACACTGTCTTCCACAGTGATTGAATAGTTTGCAGTCCCACCAACAGTGTAAAAGTGTTCCTATTTCTCCACATCCTTTCCAGCAACTGTTGTTTCCTGACTTTTTAATGATCACCATTCTAACTGGTGTGAGATGGTATCTCACTGTGGTTTTGATTTGCATTTCTCTGATGACCAGTCATGATGAACATTTTTTCATGTGTCTTTTGGCTGCATAAATGTCTTCTTTTGAGAAGTGTCTGTTCATATCCTTTGCCCACTTTTTGATGGGGTTGATTTTTTCTTGTAAATTTGTTTAAGTTCTTTTTAGATTCTGGATATTAGCCCTTTGTAAGATGGATAGATTCTAAAAATTTTCTCCCATTCTATAGGTTGCCTGTTCACTCTGAGGATAGTTTTGCTGTGCAGAAGCTCTTTTGCTGTGCAGAAGCTCTTTAGTTTAATTAGATACCATTTGTCAATTTTGGCTTTTATTGCCATTGCTTTTGGTGTTTTGGTCATGAAGTCCTTGTCCATGCCTATGTCCTGAATGGTATTGCCTAGGTTTTCTTCTAGGGTTTTTATGGTTTTAGGTCTAACATTTAAGTCTTTAATCCATCTTGAATTAATTTCTGTATAAGGTGTAAGGAAGGGATACAGTTTCAGCTTTCTACATATGGCTAGCCAGTTTTCCCAGCACCATTTATTAAATAGGGAATCCTTTCCCCATTTCTTGTTTTTGTCAGGTTTGTCAAAGATCAGATGGTTGTAGATGTGTGGTATTATTTCTGAGGCCTCTGTTCTGTTCCATTGGTCTCTATCTCTGTTTTGGTACCAGTACCATGCTGTTTTGGTTAATGTAGCCTTGTAGTATAGTGTGAAGTCAGGTAGTGTGATGCCTCCAGCTTTGTTCTCTTTGCTTAGGATTGTCTTGGCAATGTGGGCTCTTTTTTGGTTCCATATGAACTTTAAAGTAGTTTTTTCCAATTCTGTAAAGACAGTCATTGGTAGCTTGATGGGGATGGCATAGGATCTATAAATTACCTTAGGCAGTATGGCCATTTTCAAAATATTGATTCTTCCTACCCATGAGCATGGAATGTTCTTCCATTTGTTTGTATCCTCTCTTATTTCGTTGAGCACTGGTTTGTAGTTCTCCTCGAAGAGGTCCTTCACATCCCTTGTAAGTTGGCTTCCTAGGTATTTTATTCTCTTTGTAGCAATTGTGAATGGGAGTTCACTCATGATTTGGCTCTCTGTTTGTCTATTATTGGTGTAAAGGAATGCTTGTGGTTTTTGCACACTGATTTTGTATCCTGAGACTGCTGAAGTTGCTTATCAGCTTAAGGAGATTTGGGGCTGAGACGATGGGGTTTTCTAAATATACAATCATGTCATGTGCAAACAGGGACAATCTGACTTCCTCTTTTCCTAATTGAATACTCTTTATTTATTTCTCCTGCCTGATTGCCCTGGCCAGAATTTCCAACACTATGTTGAATAGGAGTGGTGAGAGAGGGCATCCCTGTCTTGTGCCAGTTTTCAAAGGGAATGCTTCCAGCTTTTGCCCATGCAGTATGATATTGGCTGTGGGTTTGTCATAAATAGCTCTTATTATTTTGAGATACGTCCCATCAATACCTAGTTTGTTGAGAGTTTTTAGCACGAAGGGCGTTGAATTTTGTCGAAGGCCTTTTTGCATCTAATGAGATAATCATGCGGGTTTTGTCTTTCATTCTGTTTATATGATGGATTACATTTATTGATCTGTGTATGTTGAACCAGCCTTGCATCCCAGGGATGAAGCTCACTTGATCATAGTGGATAAACTTTTTGCTGTGCTGCTAGATTCAGTTTGCCAGTATTTTATTGAGGATTTTTGCATCTCTGTTCATCAGGGATATTGGTCTAAAATTCTCTTCTTTTGTTGTGTCTCTGCCAGGCTTTGGTATCACGATAATGCTGGCCTCATAAAATGGAGAGTGAATTTTTAATGTAGCCTTTTAAAAAATCGAAAAAGTACTCTGTATTCTGGCTGTTGATTTTTTTCAAAGAACAAAATTATATCATAGGTACAATATCAATTCAGAGGTCCCTACAGATTTGTTCACTTTTCTTCAGAAGATGATTTTAAATCATTGGAGATTTCTTTGCCTCTTTAAGTCTTGAAATATAAATGAATGGGTAAATTATTGTTAGGGACTTAACTAACAATTAAATCATGTTTGATTCGGCCCAGATTCCACATTTTTATGCCTCTGCTGTTTCACACAATGAGAACTTAAAATCAGGTTTCCTGGAATACAGTAACCTGGCAGTAAAATTATGGCCTCTCAAACTCTGCTCCCACCCATGATGGGGGACCAAGAGACTTTCCTCAAAGACCCTTATTCAGCTATTTCTAGAATTCCCCAAGGGTGGGAGGGATGAATAACTCTGCTCTTAAATGCTGTCCTGACAGCTACCAAGAGACACTCTTACATTTCCTTCTCTCTTGATTTCTGCTGAGTGACTTTTCCCGTCATCATTGATACTACTGAGGTGTTATCAAAGGTACCAAGGAAGAGAATCTCAGGAAGGTGCACAGCCTCCAAGGTTTAAACCACTCAAACTTCTCACACACTAAAGGCACACTCATCTCTGCTTATTTAATCTGCTTGAGGGCTTTAATTACTCAGAAGAGTGAAGGAGCATAGTACAGTAGATTCCAGCTAACCTTGATCAACTGGAACACTGAATTGAAACAATGGGATTTTCTTGTTAATTTTCTCTTTAAGACCAATGGCAGGGCTGGAATCCCTGATGCTCTTGAGGCCCTTAGGATCACAGAAGTCATAAGAGTTGCAGAAGTCACTGCTGCAAGGCTGGGTACAGTGGCTCATGCCTGTAATCCCAGCACTTTGGGAGGCCGAGGCAGGCAGATCACTTGAACTCAGGAGTTCAAGACCATCCTGGACAACATGGTGAAACCCTGTCTCTACTAAAAATACAAAAGTTAGCCAGGCTAGCGGCATGTGCCTGTAATCCCAGCTACTTGGGAGGCTGAGGGGAGGATCACTTTAGCCTGGGAGGCCAAGGTTGCAGTGAGCCAAGATTGCGCCACTCCAGCCTGGGCGACAGAGTGAGACCCTGTCTCAGGAAAAAAAAAAAAAAGAAGACACTTCTGCAAAAAGCTTCCATTGTAAAACTGTATGCACCAAAGTTGGAAGCAGAATGGCTTCTAAGTTCCTTCTAGGAACAGGAGATCTAGTGGGAACAATCTGGTTAGAAGTAGGTACAAGGGAATCATAGATTACCTTGAGGCTGCATTTACTTAGAAAGCATACTTTTGTCACAAATCAATAATTATACGGTGGAGCTTTACAGAGTTGCTCATGGAGATTATGGGACAGATAAAGCCCTGTCCCAAAGCTATCTTTTGATGACGAGACAGGTGGAGAGAATTCATCTCTTTCTAACTCATTTTGGGTTGCCAATTTGTGCTGACAATAAGCCAGAAGTGCGGTGACATTTTAATGGACACTGGCAGAAATCCTCTGTATTTAGGTCAAGACAAACAATGGGAAATGATGTGCTGGTAAGCCAGCTCTCCAGAAAAAATAAAAATAAAAAAAGAAGGACTTGATTGGTAGCATTTGCACTTCCCATGGTGTAAATACCCCCATCATGGTCAATTTCAAGCTACCAGCATGACATTACTGAACGCAGAGTTGAGAAGAGATGAGCACAATCAGTTCCTGCAAGCCAGTGCCAGCTGGCTCCAGCACACCACTGAGAAAGGGCCAAATAACTCCTGCAGCCTCAACTCCCCGCTCTCACTTTTCCATGCAGACGGAATCAGATTGGAAAAACTTCCCTGCATTCCTAAGTGAAATATTATGAAGACAGAACTTGGAGAGATATACCAGATAAACCTGGCATCATTTGCTGTGCCCGATAAGGATAAAGATCATGCCTCAGTCCACAGTATTATGGCTGGTTCAAAGCAGACAGAATAGCATGGAAAAGGAGGAAAAAATCAGAAGGAAATAATTTGTCTTCTTGAAGTATGTGACAATAAGCTAGGGAGAAAATATGTGAGTTTGTATGGACAAACTTAAAACAAATGGCCTCTGTAAAGAAAACAAGCTGGATTTTGAACTGCAGTCAATGTTTTGTTCTTGTTTTTCTTTCTTTTATTAGAAATAAAGCTTAGTTCATAAGAATATTGGCTTTCTCATCTTCCTCACAATCCTCATTTCAGCAATCCTCTTGGCCAGAGATGCCTCATGGGAGAGCCTGAGTCTGTGATATTTCGGTAACAGTTGCTGATGTGTTGATACAGTCGGGAATCTCTCCTTGCTCACTATGAGGTAACTGCCACAAGTACAGTCCAAAAAGATGATGTCAAAGATATATACAAACAAATGGTGACCTTGAAGACTTCTAATGCATCTCTAATGGAACAAGGAGAGATGTACTTATTGGTCAGGGTCCTTCATGATCTGCTGAGAACATGTTTGAGCTGGGGAGGAACTGTCATCAAGAACCGAGAATTAGTCATTAGTAACATTGGCTAAGAGACTAACTGGGCATTCCAAAGCAATTAGCTGGTAACTAGGCATTTCAAAGAAAGTAGCTGCTTGCTTTGTGCCTTAGTTTCTCCAATCTAAGTTGGGAAATCATTAACTGTTGCATTTTTCATAGGAGTACGTTATAAGATTTCATGAATTAATTTATTGAAAATAAATAATTTTAAAAGAAAGATTTTAAAGACAAGGCCCTGTGTATCACGGCTGTCTCAGCCAAACTGCATTGTAACAACTCCTGCATTATCTCTGTTACATTCCATTATGTGGCACAGTGACAGTTGAAAGACAACCTGTTTTACTGTCATGAATTTCAGGCTATGCTTATTCCAGCTGCGCACAGTTGTATGCCTGCTAGTGGTCTTTTGGGGCAGGAAATATTAGCCAAAGAAGGTTAATGCTTCATCATAGGTTATATATAAATAGTGAAGCAATAAAAGACATAGTACTATGATTTTTGTCATTCACTGAGCTGTGATATAAATCCAACATCTGGATCTCATACTTTGGAGCCAGTTTATTCACAGCAACTGATGAGTACAGTCAGCCTGGGGATTTTGCTTTTCCTCTTCTTATCCTCCTTTATTTCACAGGGCTTTGATTAGAAAGCCTAAGATAAATTTAACCCAAGTAAGATATAAAAATGGAAACAGAAATTATACTTATTTTTGTCTGCATATTATAGCTTTGGTGTAACTGCCATGTCTTTAATCCCACAAGATCATAAACTGCTTGAGGGCAAAAACTATCAAATTCACTCTTGTAACCCCTGCAGCAATTAGCATAGGGCTTTCACATAATGCACAAGCAACAAATCTTGGTGCAATTGGATTAGGCTAAAAAAAAAAGGCAGCATATGGGAAAATGCAATGGATATCAGTACATTCTACGTAATCTCCAAAGGCAGCTCCACTCTGGCTCAGATAAATTAAAGAATGTAAAAAATGTGGACTGATATCTCAAAAGTTCTCAGAATCATAAGGCCCCTACTAGAATGCAACTAGTGGAAGCAACTAGAATGTTGCTTCTACTCATGGACTCTTTATTAAGATGAGGAATTGACAGGGTTTCCCAGAAATTACAGAGAAATCAGAAAAGCCAAACTGTGACTAAAAGGTTAAGAAACTAGAAAGATTTTGAACGACTCCAATAGGAAAAACTAAGCTCTGCCAGAGACAGGGGTTACAAACAGGCTGCTGACCAATGTGATAGGCCAATATTATACTCTCCCCAGATAACCTCTAATGAAATGTCTCCAGATCTTTGAATTCACTCTTCAGCATGTTAACACAGAGGTCCTGCATTATAGCAATTCCCTGGTTTGTTGAGAGAAGGAAATCTAAGCTACTAAAAGTTGTGAGAAAAGGAGACCATCCTGGCTAACACGGTGAAACCCCATCTCTACTAAAAATACAAAAAATTAGCCACGTGTGGTGGCATGCGCCTGTAGTCCCAGCTACTCGGGAGGCTGAGGCAGGAGAATCACTTGAACCCAGAAGGCAGAGGTTGCGGTGAGCCGAGATCACGCCACTGCACTCCAGCCTGGGCGACAAGAGCGAGACTCCGTCCAAAAAAAAAAAAGGTTAAATGGATTGTAAGAAAATATGGTCATGATTGGAGTGTGCAAACACATGTTCTTTGTCCCTTTGAGAATAGAACAAAAGTTACAATGTGCAAACATACGTGGAAGTCCTTAAAATATGAAGGAGGGCAGGCATAGGACAATGAAAAGTAAGCTATTCTTAATGCTGTAAAACAGAGTATAGTCACTCCTTGAGATGAATCAAACAGCTCAGGTTTGGAAAGATTTAGGTAAATAAGTAGATGATCAATTTATAATAGGACACTAAGAAGAAGTTAGAAATATTTATGTACCACTCCAGCCTTTGAGGAGAATGTCCTGGAGAGCAAGTGTCATATTATTTGACAAAGGTCACTGGGTATCCCTATCCAAAATAAACTCTAGGTTAGAAAGACCACAAACTTAAACTAGTGCTTGGTAAGTTCTTCCTAACACTGAAGTACAAATTAGGCCATTGTTAAGAAGTAATTCTCAATTAAAGAGGGAAAATAAATCAGCAAATCTTTCCTACTATGCTAAATAAACCAGTCAACAAATATTTCTTGAGAATCTATTAAAGGCAAATCACCATGGATATCCTACCTCACCTCAATAAAAAAATATGCATTTGCATGACCACATATTATTGCTATGATGGTTTGCTTTTCTTGTTAATATATAAGTCAATATTTTAGGAGTTTAAACTTGGTAAAAACATGTAATAATTGCATTGAGCAGATGACATAAATAAGATAGGAAAATAACTTCTGGGTTTTTTTTATGACCTTCATTTTGAAAATCCATCACGGGCTCTTTGGGCAACTTTTTGGGAATCTAACATTATTTCAGAATAAAAAGTTTTAAAAATACACTGTGGCAAAATGAAAAGCAAAAAAGCACTGAGATACAAGCTGATCTTTTAAAATGCTCAACTCCAAGTCAATAAAATTCTAAGAATCTGGAAATTCTGGATTCCATCTGCTTTCTCCAACCTTCATGGCAAATCAATTAGGTTTACTGCCAAGCCTGTGATTGTGCAGGAAGTGAAGGAGAAATTGCAGGTGAAGAGAATTTTCACTATGAAGGGCTTATCGAAGACATTAAACAACATTTGTAGTATTAAAAGCCATGCAACCAGTAAGAGGGAAATGCTGAGACCCGTCTACAAAGTGGAATGGCAGGCAAGATTGACTTCCTGTGTTCAAGAATCACATAACTCCATGAGACCACAGGTGAGGGCTCACTGGGAAATGCCCCCACCAATTTACCACGCTGGTCTTTGACTCCATGGACTTCTCTTAAGAAATGGGTATGACAGGCCGGACGCAGTGGCCTGTGATCCCAGCAGTTTGGGAGGCTGAGGCAGGCAATCACCTGAGTTCAGGAGTTCAAGACCACCCTGACCAACATGGAGAAACACCATCTCTACTAAAAATACAAAATTAGCCGGGCGTGGTGGCACATGCCTGTAATCCCAGCTACTTGGGAGGCTGAGGCAAGAGAATCGCTTGAACCTGGGAAGTGGAGGTTGCAGTGAGCCGAGATCGTGCCGTTGCACTCCAGCCTGGGCAACAAGGAGCGACGTCTCAAAAAAAAAAAAAAAAAGGTATGACCGAAGAGTAAAACTTCCTTTTTTTTTTTTTTATTGATCATTCTTGGGTGTTTCTCGCAGAGGGGGATTTGGCAGGGTCATAGGACAATAGTGGAGGGAAGGTCAGCAGATAAACAAGTGAACAAAGGTCTCTGGTTTTCCTAGGCAGAGGACCCTGCGGCCTTCCGCGGTGTTTGTGTCCCTGGGTACTTGAGATTAGGGAGTGGTGATGACTCTTAACGAGCATGCTGCCTTCAAGCATCTGTTTAACAAAGCACATCTTGCACCGCCCTTAATCCATTTAACCCTGAGTGGACACAGCACATGTTTCAGAGAGCACAGGGTTGGGGATAAGGTCACAGATCAACAGGATCCCAAGGCAAAAGAATTTTTCTTAGTACAGAACAAAATGAAGTCTCCCATGTCTACTTCTTTCTACACAGACACGGCAACCATCCGATTTCTCAATCTTTTCCCCACCTTTCCCCCCCTTCTATTCCACAAAACCGCCATTGTCATCATGGCCCGTTCTCAATGAGCTGTTGGGTACACCTCCCAGACGGGGTGGTGGCCGGGTAGAGGGGCTCCTCACTTCCCAGTAGGGGCGGCCGGGCAGAGGCGCCCCTCTCCTCCCGGACGGGGCGGCTGGCCGGGCAGGGGGCTGACCCCCCCGACCTCCCTCCCGGACGGGGCGGCTGGCCGGGCGGGGGGCTGACGCCCCCACCTCCCTCCCTGACGGGGCGGCTGGCCGGGCGGGGGACTGACCCCCCCACCTCCCTCCCGGACGGGGCGGCTGGCCGGGCAGAGGGGCTCCTCACTTCCCAGTAGGGGCAGCCGGGCAGAGGTGCCCCTCACCTCCCGGACGGGGCGGCTGGCCGGGCGGGGGGCTGGCCCCCCCACCTCCCTCCCGGACGGGGCAGCTGGCCGGGCGGGGGGTAGACCCCCCCACCTCCCTCCCGGACGGGGCGGCTGGCCGGGCGGGGGGCTGACCCCCACCTCCCTCCCGGACGGGGTGGCTGCGGGGCGGAGACGCTCCTCACTTCCCAGACGGGGTGGCTGCTGGGCGGAGGGGCTCCTCACTTCTGGGACGGGGCGGCTGCCGGGTGGAGGGGCTCCTCACTTCTCAGACGGGGCGGCCGGGCAGAGACGCTCCTCACCTCCCAGATGGGGCGGCGGAGCAGAGGCGCTCCCCACAGCTCAGACAATGGGTGGCCGGGCAGAGACGCTCCTCACTTCCTAGATGGGATGGCGGCCGGGAAGAGGCGCTCCTCACTTCCTAGATGGGATGGTGGCCGGGCAGAGACGCTCCTCACTTTCCAGACTGGGCAGCCAGGCAGAGGGGCTCCTCACGTCCCAGACGATGGATGGCCAGGCAGAGACGCTCCTCACTTCCCAGACGGGGTGGCGGCCTGGCAGAGGCTGCACTCTCGGCACTTTGGGAGGCCAAGGCAGGCGGCTGGGAGGTGGAGGTTGTAGCGAGCCAAGATCACGCCACTGCACTCCAGCCTGGGCACCATTGAGCACTGAGTGAACCAGACTCCGTCTGCAATCCCGGCACCTCGGGAGGCCGAGGCTGGCGGATCCCTCGCGGTTAGGAGCTGGAGACCAGCCCGGCCAACACAGCGAAACCCCGTCTCCACCAAAAAAATACGAAAACCAGTCAGGTGTGGCAGCGCGCGCCTGCAATCGCAGGCACTCGGCAGGCTGAGGCAGGAGAATCAGGCAGGGAGGTTGCAGTGAGCCGAGATGGCAGCAGTACAGTCCAGCCTTGGCTCGGCATCAGAGGGAGACCGTGGGGAGAGGGAGAGGGAGAGGGGGAGGGGGAGGGAAACTTCCTCTTTCTTCCCACTCTATTTCATAAATCCATGTCTACACACATGCAGGATCCCCAGTCAGTGTCATCCGTGGAGTTAGCCCTCCCTGATTTCTTAACAACCCTGCAAAGGATGAAGGACCAATGAGTTCTCAGAAGAGCAATCTTTTTACTATTAGAGAGGAAACAAAGAAGGAAGAAAATGTTCAAAGTGAACCTAAGATAGCTTTATATTTATGGTCCACAGTGAAAAATCTTGGAGTGAAAGTGTAAAGTTTCTTAATTGTTTGGGGAAATGATTCCCTAACTTATTTGTCCAATTTTTAGATCAGATGAAAAATGAAGAGTATTAGAAAATTTGTAGTTAGAATTCATTCTGCTCCTGGAACATCTATTAAACAAAAATAAAGTCAATCCATAGATTTTCTTTTTTCTTTAGAAATTTTATTATCCAAATTATACTATTTATTTAGTGCTGTTTGTAACATAATCAAGCCAAAACAATCAGCAGGAAGAAAATCACATATTTTTAAATGTTTATGCCAAAAGCATTAGCATTACAAGCATTAATCAATTTTTAATAGATTATCAAGGAAATAAACAATTTTAAAATGCATTTCAAAAATCTACCAATTTTTAGAAACATTTTTCTGAAAAACTTAAGTATTTTGGTAATCTAACATGATTTTAAGGGGAAAAATGGATATATCCCTGACTTGTAGTGAGTCACTGGGTGTCTCACTTCACTTTTCTGTGTCTTATTTGTAAAATAATGGAATTGTACCTCATTGGAGGTTGCAAACTGGTGACCCATTGGCCATAACCAGCCTGTGGACATATCCTATTTGCCAAGCATGTTTTTAAATCTGGGAAATTTCACATTCAGATTCTGATTCCTCATTTCTCTTAAACAACTATAAGATTGGCAACACTGGGTCTACATTCCCATGCAACAACAAAAGGCATACACTGAATAGCAGCTGTCGCCTTAGACAAGGTATGGACTCCTGGTGTTATGTTATCTGCCTGACTACTTAGGCATCTAAGTTTTTGATAAAATGGATTACCTCTAAATTTTCTTTCAGTTCTAACATGCTCATATTAGATTGAGCTGTATAGCAAAAGGGCCATTTAACCTCTCTAAGCCTCAACTTTATTTGAGTATGGAGATAACAATAATATCTGACTACCATTTGAGCTTTGTAGAGACAAAATGAAGTCATGAATGGTGACAACTCAGCACAGCACTATGCATGTAGAAAGTACTTAATAAATAGAAGAGGTAACAATAAAGGCAAATAATGGTAAACACAATGACTCAAATATAATTTTGTGATGGTCAATCCAATTTTACATACTGATGCTTCTCTTTCAAAGGCAGCATTGATCCCACCAAAAAATCAGTTATTTGCCTCTAATTTTCAGATACATTTCCCTCAGTTAATACTAAACAGGTTGTGATACTTCAATGAGATTCAGCCAATTAAAAGAAGTATTCTTTGAGTGTCTCTGGTTCTCATATTCTCCACTTCTGGTTGAACCAGCTATCAATATTTGATTCGTAGTAAGTTTTGATCCTACTTGATGTGCGTACATAGTCTACTATCAGTTACTCTTATTAAACACAAATAACCAATTTAACAGAGAGTTTGTGCTGGGCTTCTCATTGATACAAGAGTCACAAATGAGCCCATCTTTGTTATAAATTTTTTTTTCTACAATTGTAATTATATTGATGTTCATATTGTGTAAAATAACTCATTTAATAAAGTAGTACTTTGATTTACAACATCAAAAAAGGACCCCACAGGAGTTTTTAGGTGTCCCCTACCATCGTAAGTTGTTTTACAGTCAGTCTATCACTTGACACTCACCTAGCTCACTTCCTCAGCCACACCCTTTATATGTTAGATTGCTTTATTAATAACGAAGCTTAAATGGACCTGTTCCAGTGTGTGACTGGCACAGATTTATCCACACTTTAAAGGCTTCATTTTTAAATTAAACTAACTTACACATACTGCTCCTGTGTATATGTGTATTTGTAGAGAAAAAAATTCATAAGTTCTAGCCCAGCAATACCCTAGGACAGGTAATAAAATTTCAGACAATTAAAATAATTTATAATCCCCATGGAGTTTGTTTTATTGGGATTTTTACCTGTAATTGTGTAAGTGTTGCTTATATCACCTCAGAACTTGTGACTGATTAAAGAGAACTGAGCCAGTATAAAGGGTGTTCCACTGACTTTCAGTCCAACATAAATTCGAGGCTGAGACAAGATAGAAATAGAGCTGTAGTAGGCTACGCATTCTGACTTCCACTCCTACCTCCATCCCCTCTCCTCCCATCTCTGCAATAACCACTCTACCCTAAGTGCAGCCCCTCCAACTCATACACTTCAAAGCTCTTAGAAAAATATTTTCAACACAAAAGTGGTTTTGTGTCAATTCTCTGCTCAAGATTCTTGAGTCATTTGCCAAGATTCTTTGAGCTATTCCCCAAAATAAACTTCTTACTCTTACAAGACCTAAGCTTTTCAAGGTCTTTATACTCTTTTCTCATCCTTCCCCTCAAAGCACCCTATACTGAACTATGTCCTACTGATCTCTCTTCCCTAAACACACCACCCTTTCTCAAGGCCCCTGGAACTCTGTCTCTCTCCTACTCCCCACACTATTAATCTTATTATTCCTCAAATCTCAATGCAAGCATTACTTTCCCTTCCCTGATTTCCTTAGGAAAACTTAGCTGCTTCTTTTCTTACTCTCCTTGAACACTGATTCACATGTAAGTATGGCAGCCACCATGTTTATTTGAGCATGTGAGCTTATTGAAAGCAGGAACCACATTTAATTTTTTTTTTTTTTACTCCCAGCACCTACTACATCCTAGCACATCATAGCCAACACAATATCTACTAAATATTGAATAAATGAACCTGCTGAATTTCTATAGTCTATATATTTGTAGATTCCATTCTGCAAAGTCATAAGACTGTGCTTGTTACCACTACATTAATTAACAATATATATTTTTGCACCTCTTTTTTTGAACACATTTTTCCTTCTTCATTTATTCCTTTAGGACAGTACATCTGGTTGTGCTTAATACCTATTAACAACAACAAACTATCCAATCCCACCAATATAATAAGATCATTATTTTGCTGAGTCTTACAAATTTGAAACTTTCTAAGTATTTATAGGACATTTGTAACAAAATTTAAAGCATCACCATGGCATAGACTACTTTGAGAACTAATGTCAAAATATATAATCAGATTTACACAGAGAAAACTTAAGAGATCTTGACTTATAATCACCCAATTTTCAAAACTCACAAAATTTTCATTTTCTGAAGCTATTGCTATAGTTAGATTCTCCTTAAGAACTTATATTTATTAGAATATATTTATTCTTAAAAACAAATCCTCTAGTTGTTCCATTCACCATTTGAATCTTCCTTTTCATAGCTAATGGTAGATAATATGCTAACAACTATGGAGTAGTGTTTGCAGCTGCAATCATTATAAAATATTATAAACTCCTATATTAATCAAGGCAAAGCCCAAATTCTCTAGAGTGACATATCTGTTTCTTATTATAGTAATTGAATGCTGTGGATGTAACCACTAGCCATCTCAGTAAAATCTCCCTCTTGCATGTTTAGCCTAAAATTTAAATGAGCTAATCTACATTGCACAGTCATTCACAGAGAAGACTGTAGCTCTGCAGAATGGCATGCTTCCTGTGAAAGTGCTATGCACCTCAGTGGTTTCAAATCCATGGTGGCTTCTTTAGTGGTAAACATTTCGTTTACCTGGGTTCACACTCCTTGACTTTCACTTGGACAAACCTGAAAGCTCAAGGAAGCTACAACTGCCAACTTTTGCATAGTTTCTAGCCGCAACCATCAATCTCTCCCTGGCAATAAAAGGAGACTAAACCTTGGTTTGCCCCAGTTCACCTGGGAAAATGATGACTCTTTCATTACATCTGAGCCAAGGATGACGTTCTCCAGCAAATGTAAACTGGGTGCACAACGTTCCAACAGTTCTGTAATTTGGGGAGTTGGATTTTTTACACACAATGTGGCACATTTCCTGAGCTGGCTAATTGAGCCAGTTGCTTCTAAAAACCTGATGCCAAGAGTCTGCCCAATCATTTAAAACATCTTCTCTTTTTGGTTTTTTAAATAGTCAGTGTTCATTTCCTTGGTTAACATTGGTGTCATATCAAATGAAGTCACCAAACCTTAGGGAGGAGAAAATTTGCCTCCAAAAAAGTAGCATATTATTCAGAGGAAACATTTAGTCAAAACCGAAAAAGAAACGATTAAGGCATAAGGATGGTATGAACAACTCTACAAACTTCTGTCGTATTAAAAACCTTTATATATTTTTAGCTATAACAAAGTTTGAGTGCAAGTAGGGAAAAAGGAAAGAAAACGGTTATAAACATAGAAATGTAGAATTTTAGATTTCTTTAAAGAGTTCTTTTTTTCCCCTGCAAGAAACACTGGAAATCAGGTGCAGTATATATTTATCTTCTTCCTTTGTTTTTAATTGGCAGGAAGCATTTTCAATGAAATCGCTAGTTTACCATACATTAGCTTGAGCCAAGAATTGCATTTTCAAATCTCAAAAGACCTTTGGATGAGGTCAAGGTATCCTAAAGAAAATGTGCAGGGAGCCCTGGGATTCCACTGACTATTTGAAGAGAAGAGGAGAACAATGCTCTTCATCCATGGATTTGTAGACCTGTGCTTTACCTTACCAAACTGAGATGATTTAAAATAATCATAGGATAGAAAGATAGATGGAGGCTAGTTGTCTAGGGAATAAAGAATAGTGAACTTTGAAAGCTAATGTTAAGGACTGAAAGGTCCTGAAGTTATTTTTGCATTCTAGGTGTATGGGATTTTGATCAAGGATACTTTGGAAAGATCTTTATTTTTTTAACTGTGGCTCAAGACCTTTTCAGTGTGCCCTTAGCTAAATATCCAGGTGAGGCTACATGTATTAAATCTTCATCTTAAAAGTAAACTGTATTTAAAAACCTAAATGCACCCAGAGGTAGTCACAAATACAAATCAGACCTCTTTTCCCATTCTTTGAAGATTGAGCCCTTGAAGAAATCAAACCAGGTACCAATATAGAAGAAAGGGAATTTCTTCAGGATTCTTCATTGGCACTTTTCAAACATAAAAAAAAATAAAAATAATTGTAATATCACATTATTTTTATGGGGAGCTGTTCCCTACATATAGAATAATACCCCCCACATAGATGAGGAAAAAAGTCTTTGTAATTTTGCTTCAAAGATAGCATGCCAGACACTAAATAAGTTTGAAATTTCTGTTTATATTTGAACATTCACATTTATTAAATTTACTTTAACCTGGGTGGTAAACACACAGCATGGATTTTGTCATACCTTCCTCCTAGATCACTAATTAGCTATGGCATCCTTTGACTGCTGAGCCTGAATACATTCTCAGAAGCCTTCTCAATACATCACTGGAACAGCCTCTACTAATAGGTGAGAGTTCCTATTTACAAGGATATGTATTTAGCATTTCTGATCTCAATTCTTTTAAAATGAAATATGATTAATTCTTATGTGCTATTACTGTAAAAATAAGATAGCAAATACATCCCTTTAAAGATAAATGCCTTACAAAGACTTCATGTCCAGGAACCCAAAAGCAAATGCAACAAAAACAAAGATAAATAGATGGGACTTAATTGAACTAAAAAGCTTCTGCACAGCAAAGGAAATAATGAGCAGAGTAAATACACAACCCACAGAGTGGAAGAAAATCTTTGCAATCTATGCATCCAACAAAGAACCAATATGCAGAATCTACAAGGAATATAAACAAAACACCAAACAATCCCATCAAAAAGTGGGCTAAGGGCATGAATGGACAATTCTCAAAAGAAGATACACAAATGGCCAACAAACATATGAAAAAATGCTCAACATCACTAATGATCAGGGAAATGTAAATCAAAACCACAGTGTGATACCACCTTACTCTAGCAAGAATGACCATAATAAAAAAATAATAGATGTTGGTGTGGATGTGGTGGGATACACTGTTGGTAGGAATGTAAACTAGTACAACTACTATGGAAAACAATGTGGAGATTCTTTAAAGAACTAAAAGTAGAACTACCACCACTTGATTCAGTAATTCCACTACTGGGTATCTACCCAGAGGAAAATAAGGCATTATACGAAAAAGATACTTGCATATGCATGTTTATAGCAGCACAATTCGCAATTGCAAAAAAGATATGGAACCAACCCAAATGCCCATCAATCAACAAGCGGATAAAGAAATTGTGGTATATATGCACCATGGAATACTACTCAGTCGTGAAAAGGAATGAAATAATGGCATTTGCAGCAACCTGAATGGATTTGGAGACCATTATTCTAAGTGAAGTAACTCAGGAATGGAAAACCAAACATCGTATGTTCTCTCATAAGTGGGAGATAAGCTATGAAGACGCAAAGGCATAAGAATGATACAATGGACTTTGGGGACTTGGGGGGAAAGGATGGGAGGGCAGTGAGAGATAAAAGACTGCATTTTGGGTACAGTGTACACTGCTCGGGTGATGGGTGCACCAAAATCTCAGAATCACCGCTAAAGAACTTATTCATGTAAGCAAATACCACCTGTTCCCCAAAAACCTATTGAAGTTTTAAAAAGAAAAAAAAGATAAATGCCTTAGCTGGACATGTGCCTGTAATCCCAGCTACTCAGGGGTTGAGGCAGGAGGATCCCTTGAGCCCAGGAGTTCAAGACCAGCCTGGGACACAGCAAGACCCCATCTGTATTTTTTTTAAAGTCTAGGTAGCCTGGCTAAACACAAAATTGATGAAACCTGAACAAGAGTAGGACATTGAAGGAAATGCATTTAAAAACTAATGATATTTATTTGACTGCTATGGCAAAAATCCTCAGACATTTACTCCCAGCTTAACTATCTTAAAGTCTAAGTATTTAAAGTATGAGTGTTTATGACTCATTGAAAATAATCAGTGGAATCTGCAATTGCACTCAGAGTAATATGATAACCAGTTAGGAACAATTACTTCAGGTTAAAATACACATAACTCTGAATACTATGTTGATATATCTGATTATTTTATTTAAACAATTTTCTTTTTTTAGAGACAGGGTCTCACTCTGTCACCCAGACTGGAGTGCGGTGGTGCAATCATGGCTTACTGTACGGCAGCTTTTAAACTCCTGGGCTCAAGTGATCCTCCCATCTCAGCTTCCTGAGTAGGTGGAACTACAGGCGCACACCACTGTGCCTGATTACTTTTTAAAAATTTTTTTTGGTAGAGATGGCAGGGCCAAGGAAGTGGCCCGGGCGGGTGGAGGGATCTTGCTATGTTGCCCAAGCTGCTCTTGAACTCCTGGCCTGAAGGGATCCTCTCACCTTGGCCTCTCAAAGTGCTGGGATTATAGGCATGAGCCACCATGCCCAGGCTAAACTAATTACTGATTTCAAGAGATGTTCTACAAGTATTCTGTGATTGTTTAATAAGAATACCAATAAATTATTTTAGAATAATCAGAGGCCAAGTGAAGTGTCTCGCACCGGTAATTAACATTTTGGGAGGCCAAGACAAGAGGATTACTTGAGGCCAGAAGTTTGAGACCAGCCTGGGCAATAAAGCAAGACCATATCTCTATTTAAAAAATTAAAAAATTAGCTGGATGTGGTGGCATGTGCCTGTAGTCCCAGCTACTGAGGAGGCTGGGATGAGAGGATTGCTTGAGCCCAGGAGTTTCAGGCTGCAGTGAAATTATGACACTGCACTCCAGCCTGGGGAACAGAATAAGAACTTCTCTCTTAAAAAAGAAAAAAAAAAAAAAAAAGAGTGGCTGGGCACGGTGGCTCATGCCTGTAATCTCAGCATGTTGGGAGGCCGAGGCAGGAAGATCACCTGAGGTTGGGAGTTCAAGACCAGCCTGAACAACATGGAGAAACCATGTCTCTACTAAAAATACAAAATTAGCCGGGCATGGTGGTGCATGCCAGTAATCCCAGCTACTCAGGTTGCTGAGGCAGGAGAATCGCTTGAACCTGCGAGGCAGAGGTTGCAGTGAGCCGAGATTGCGCCATTGCACTCCAGCCTGAGCAACAAGAGCGAAACTCCATCTCAAAAAAATTAGTTTATATAAGTAATGTAATCAATTTACACTTTGGAGGAAATATAAGTTCAAATGCTAGTGGACTTCTCATTTCATGTTGGGGCAGGGATAAGTGTTGGGTGTCAGGGAGTGAGAGGAAACCACATGTTTCACAATTTCAAAAAGCAAGCCATTGACTTGCCATGATGTTTAGATTGAGGAACTGCTTTGATATGTTGATCTGTATAAACAGTATAAACAAAATTCAGAGGCAAATTATAAAATAGAAACATTATTTTCAAATATTATATATAAATATATATTTATATATTATACATATATGTATATGTAATTTGAATTAATGATTAATACATATTTATCATTAATATAATAATCAAAATATCAGTAATTATAGTAGAAACAACTTATAAATCAATATAAAACACTAATATATAGAAAAATAGGCAAAAGGTATCAACAGGTGATTCCCAAAGAAGATAAACAAATTTCTACTCTAACATAAAAATATATTTAACCTCATACATATATCAAAGTGCATTTAGAAAAATTAGTGACATTTATGGCAAAACAACAATAAAATATCATTTTAAAAAGAGTTACAAAGGCCAGGCACAGTGGCTCCGGCCTGTTATCCCAGCATTTTGGGAGGCCAAGGCAGTCTGATCACTCGAGGTCAAGAGTTTGAGACCAGCCTAGCCAATATGGTGAAATCCTGTCCCTACTAAAAATACAAAAATTAGCCAGATGTGGTGGTGTGCAGCACCTGCAGTCCCAGCTACTCGGGAGGGTGAGGCAGGAGAATCGCTTGAACCCAGGAAGCGGAGATTCCAGTGAGCCGAGATTGAGCCATTGCACTCCAGCCTGGGCATTGCAGCGAGACTCCATCTCAAAAAAAATTTAAAAAAAAGAAATTACAAAACTAAATGCTGGTAAATGTATGGTGAGATAAGCACTCTCATACACAACTAATAGAAATATCAATTAATGTGAGGTAGCCTGTAAAAAAATTCCACTTTTTCTTCCTGTTAAATAATCCGACCAGTTGTATAAAGAGGTTTAATATTTGGATCGAATAATTCCAACTTCTGGGAATTTATCCTTAAGTTATTATCAGAGATGCCACCAGGAATTTATTGACAAGGATTTCTACCAAAGTTTTTTTTTTTTTTAGTTATTATTATACTTTAAGTTTTAGGGTACATGTGCACAACCTGCAGGTTTGTTACATATGTATACATGTGCCATGTTGGTGTGCTGTACCCTTTAACTTATCATTTACATTAGGTATATCTCCTAATGCTATCCCTCCCCCTTGCCCCCACCCCACAACAGTCCCCGGTGTGTGATATTCCCCTTCCTGTGTCCATGTGTTCTCATTGTTTAATTCCCACCTATGAGTGAGAACATGCAGTGTTTGGTTTTTTGTCCTTGCGATAGTTTGCTGAGAATGATGGTTTCCAGCTTCATCCATGTCCCTACAAAGGACATGAACTCATCATTTTTTATGGCTGCATAGTATTCCATGGTGTATATGTGCCACATTTTCTTAATCCAGTCTATCATTGTTGGACATTTGGGTTGGTTCCAAGTCTTTGCTATATTATTGGATTCCAAATTCCACAACATTGGAAACAACTTAGATGACCCATAATGAGGGAGTTATCAAATAAGTTATGGTTTATTCACGTTATAGGAAATTACACAGAAGATAAGAATTAGATATAAAACTATGTCTTGTGCATAATACTAATCTTGTGACTATAGTATATAAGTAATTCAGAAGGACAAAATGTGAAAAAATACATCAAACTACTCAGCAGTTATTTTGGGTGGTGAAATTGTGTATGATTTATTTTCTTTATACTTATTTTTTCCCAAATAGTCTATAGTGACAATGTACTCCTTTTGCATTAAAATTTGTTTTTAAAAAGTAAGGTATGATGCCATTTAACATGAAGGTGTCATATTTTGATGAGACAAAAAGCCAGATGGAAGAATAAAAGGAATGATCAAGAACGTTGATAACTGAAACCTTAGTCTCCATTGATAGGTGTTTTGTAGTATAAAGTGTTCGCTGTAATTTCCAGCAAGGCAAGGGACTGCAGATGACGCAGCAGTCTCACCATCAGGCTCAAGCCAAGGTTAGTACATCTTGGATTACCCTAAGCTGGTCATCTTGGATTACCCCATACAGAGTTGTAAGGCTGTTGTCTTTTTCTCCTGTCCTTCTCCCCTTTGCTTTGCTTTGCTTCTTTAGTCATCTTACCCGAAGGCCTATCTTCTCCATGAAATGTATTTCCACCTGTACCCACTGCAACTTCTATGCCCCTAGAAAACTACAATATGTATTGTCTAGACCTTTCCTTTAGCACTGAAATATATTGTCCTATTTTGGAAGTTAATTGAGATTTTGATGCTTCAACTAGATTTTTAAACTCCACTAAGGGTTGGATAATATTTAAAATTCTTTTGTAGCCCTATATAGTCATTCAGTAAATATCTGTTGTGCACATAGTATGGGTTAGACAACTGTTTGAAGTGCTAGAGATTACATAGGTGAAAATTTTTTAAGAGAGGGAGAAAGGCTGGGAATGGTGGCTCACACCTGTAATCCCAGCACTTTGGGAGGCTGAGGTGGGAGGATTGCTTGAGACCAGAAGTTTGAAACCAGCCTGGGCAACATAGCAAGACCCCATCTCTACAAAAAATTTAAAAAGTTAGCCTAGCTTGGTGTTATGCACCTCTAGTCCTAGCTACTCTGGAGGCTGGTGCAGGTGGATCAATTGAGCCCAGGGGTTCAAGGTCACTGTGAACTATGAACAGGCCAGAGCACTCTGGCCAGGGTGAAAGGGAGAAAGAGAAAAAAAAATCTCTGTCCTTAAGGGCTTAAAATCTAGTGGCAAAGCCTGGTACTTGGGGCCATGTCATGTGATGCAAATACACAATAAGTCATAACAATGATGGTGCCACTAATGAAGACAGAAACAATGACAAAGAACACTGTATTAGTTTTCTATTGCTGCCATGACAAATTACCATAAATTTCAAGGCTTAAAACAACATCCATTTATTATCTCACAGTTTCTGCAGATCAGAAGTCCAGATACAGCGTGGCTTAATTGTTTCTTCTGCTTAGGGTCTCTCAATGATAAAATCAAGGTGTTTCAGGGATGCGTTCTTTACTGGAGGCTCTGCGAAGAACCTGTCTCCAAGATCATTCAGGTTGTTAGCAGGATTATGGTCCTTACAGCTGTAGGACTGAGGTCTTTGCTTTTTTATGGATGTCAGTGGAGAGGCCTTTACTTCCTAAAATTCTCCCCTTGATCCTCACACTAGAACCCTACATCTCAACACCAGCAATAGTGCATTGAGTCCTTCTCATGCTTGGAATCTCTCTGATTTTCCCTTTTGCAGCATCTCTCTTCCCTCTAGCTGGATGAAATGCTCTGCTTTTAAAGATGCATGGGATTAGATTGGGCCCACTTGGACGATTCAAAATAATCTCCTCATCTTAAGGTCCATAACCCTAGTCACATCTACAAAGTCTCTTTTGCCATGTAGCATTCACAGGAGTCAGAGATTAAGGTGTGGACATCTTCAGGGGGGCTATTCTGCCAACTAAAAACAGTAATAACAAAGAATAACTAAATGGAATACTGCTAACCAAAATTATGGATTCAAGAAATTTAATTAGAGTCCGTGAAGTCCCATGTCTTTTCTTATGATGAGAAATATTTCTACAATAGGCCTGATTTCCTGATGACTAAATCTGGAACATATTGACAATCTTTTGCTTGTCAATGTTTTTAATTAGCAGAAACCAATTTTAGCCATAGTTGAGTTTTCTCCTAATTACTCATTTCATTTTTGTAGGATCAACTAATTTATTCTCATCTTTGTCCTAACATCAGCCAGACACTGAAGAACCAAGGAACAAGAAATGTTTGTTTTGAGGGAGCAGGGGAAAAAAAAGAAGAGCCGTGCATTACCTCATAACACCCAAAATTATGTAACTTCTCCACAGGATAAGATCCGATCCTACAGTAAATAGAAAGGGTACCTAGGAGGTGGGAGCATTAGAAAGAAAGCTGTCTGGCCTCTTTGGGGATGGAAAGAACAGACTGGTTAAGGACTAATCCTGTGGCACCACAAAAAGACTTTCAAGAGATTGGGGGGGTGGGGGGACAATGCCAAATTCATATGACAG
The DNA here is from genome assembly GCF_000001405.40 of Homo sapiens. NCBI lineage: Eukaryota > Metazoa > Chordata > Mammalia > Primates > Hominidae > Homo > Homo sapiens. The sequence continues at coordinate 75,455,153 of NC_000006.12, forward strand.
ACATCTCTTTTAATGCTTGTACAGTGCCACTTATTCATCTGAAGAAGCAAAAGGAAATGCTTTCAACCCAGATCCCAGACACAGAGAGGAGCCCAGGTTTAAAAGCTCCTCCCTGCCAAGGACAGAGTGCCACTCAACTCCATCTTTGCCCATAAGGTAAATCAATTGCCCAGGCCCTTTGATGACATCACAACTTGAAAGACAAAAAAAAAAAATAAAATTGTGAGAGTTTTTTTCATGGTATGAAATGTATCCAAAGCTCATTTTTATTGCGATGTCCAAACATCAGTGCTAGTTGGGAAGAAAAATAACTAAAGAAGAAAAATTTTTAATGAAATTGATACTGGATTTTTGGGACAACCAAATTAGAAAATGCAGGCAAAGTGCTTTGTAAATTGTGGGGGGAAAATTTTTAAAGGTGATTGCTATTACTATTCTCAATTCCAACTCCTTTCTCTCACCATTGAGATAACTGAACCCAATCAACCCCAGAACAGCTTGACTTCCTCAAGGTCATGCCATTCCCTTGCTCAAATAACCTTCAAGGGCTCTCCACTGCCCACCAGAAAAACTTTTACCTCTTAGATTTTCCATTCAAGGCTTTCTTATCTTGATACATTTACCTTTCAAATCAAATCACCAGTGAATTACTGAACGGCTACTAAGGTCAAGATACTATTAGGCTGCTGTGGGCATAGGCAGAGTCACAAAATATGTTCTATTTCTTAAAGTACTTCACAATCCCACTGTTTCCCATATGAACAATAACTATATAGTTAAACTCATCTGCTTACTCTACCCCAAACCTACTCTCAACTTTTATACCTTGACGTCTTTATTTATGCCTTTTCCCTCACCTAAAATGCTCTCCATCAAAACTACCTCTTTCTTGCAAAATCTCACACATCCTCCTAGGCCCTACTCAAGTGATATCTCTCCTAAGTCTTCCTCCACACTAAGAGGCTAGTGGTTCTCAATCAGAGATTTTCCTCCCCAGGGAACATTTGACAATGTCTGGAAACACTTTTGGTTGTCACAAAGGGGTTGAGGGTACTACTGGCATGTATGAGTAAAAGCCAGAGATTCCACTAAACATTTTACCATGCATAGGACAGCCCCCCACCCCAACAACAAAGATTTATCCAGCCCAAAATGCCAATAATGCTGAGATTGAGAAAGAAGCAGTATCTCCTCTCAACTCCTAGAACACCAAATATTTAAACAATCTTTTGGCATCTAGCATATATTGCAAGATATATTTATTTGTCACATTTAGCAAATAAATATACAGGATGCTCAGTTAAGTTGGAATCTCAGATAAAGAACAAATAAGTTTTCAATAAAAGTGTGTTTCATTTAATATTTTTAATATTTCACATACACTCATACAAAAGAGTATTCTTTTTTCTTTTCTTTTTTTTTTTTTTGAGACTGATCTTGCTCTGTTGCCAGGCTGCAGTGTGGTGGCACGACCTCAGCTCACTGCAACCTCCCCCTCCTGGGCTCAAATGATTCTCCTGCCTCAGCATCCTGAGTAACTGGGATTACAGGCACATGCCACCACGCCCAGCTAATTTTTGTATTTTTAGTAGAGACGGGGTTTCACCATGTTGGCCAGGATGGTCTCGATCTCTTGACCTCGTGATCCGCGCGGGTCGGCCTCCCAAAGTGTTGGGATTACAGGCGTGAGACATCGTATTCCCAAAAATATTCTTTCTTTATCCAATATTTTCTTTGTTACTTTTTCTTATTTGCATGTATTATTTTCCTAAATGATATGGAAGTTTGTAAAAGAGAGGAAAAATTTTATGCTGTTCAGCCTTCTTTCAGCATTTAATTCATACCTATGGAAAGCACTGAAAAAACCTTTATCAATAACAATGATAAAATATTTTTTATATCCTTTACTATCTATGAGCACTGCAGGCTTACAGTTATCACTGACATATTTTACGAGTTTCAACATCCTCATGACTCCCTCATCCTTATGTTGAGTCTTCAAGCCCCATGCTATCATGAAGACAGCAAGTACCAGTGGAAATAAAAAAATGCCAGACCCTAAATTCGTCAGATGAGTCTGGCTCAAATTGAAAAAGCAGTGTGTTGAGTTTGGCACAACACAAAGACATGTACCTAAAGCTCTGTTTCATTTGATTATCCACTTCTCCACATGCACACTTCTTTATAGAACTGCTCTTTATACATAACTGCTCAAGAGCTTAGGGTAGAAAGGAGGAGTGAACTACCTGTGGCAAACCTTCTTTCTGTTATGACTGATGTGGGGTAAAATGTCCTGAAATCAGGCCAGGGTTAGAAACTCAAAATCCCTAGGCACTGAAAAGATTATCCTTCACCCCACTTTCATACGGAATTCAAAATAAGTTCCACAAAGTTAGAAATTCTCCCATAGTGTCTACTACACTGATGCTTTAAAAAAATACCTAATTATTTCAAACAAAGTCTCTCTCTCTCTCTCTCTCTCTCTCTCTCTCTCTCGTTTCTGTTTTATCAATGCCCTAAGCACATATTTAGCCTTCTCAGAGAGAAATCAGCAGTGGCTAAAAGGAATGGTCATTGTGTGACATCCCTATCCTAACAATGTTGAAAAATATTCTTTTTTGAATAGCTAGATCTATGAATGCAAAATTAATCAATCAGGAACATTTCCAAAAATCTGATCTAATGGAAGTCTGGCCTATCCCTTTAATTATTCTAATATGGAAAACTCCGAGGAGAACAAAACCATATATTTTTTAAAAACTTTTTGCCTAGAACATTGGTTTTCAATGGAGTGGAGGAGAGAGCAATTTTGTGCCACCACCTCACCCACCCCACCAATAAGGCTACCAGATTTAGCAAATTAATAATCAGAATGCTCAATTAAATCTGAATTTCAGACAAAAAACAAGCAAGTTTTTAGTATAAATATGTCCAATTAAATACAATAAAACGATTCATTCTTTATCTGACATACAAATTTAACTGGGTGTCTTGTATTTTATCTTTCAGTCTCCCTGGGGGACGTCTGGCAATAGCTAGAGACATTTGGGGATGTCAAAACTAGGAAGGACGCTACTGCATCAGGTGGGTAGAGGCCAGGGATGCTGTTAAACATTCTACAATACCTCCGACAGCACATCACAACAAAGAATATTCAGTCCAAAATGTCAATAATGTTGAAATTGAGAAATCTTTATCTAGAATGACCTTTGAGAACGTCTATTCTTTCTTCTTCTTTTTATTAGAAAAGAACAGAAGGTCTAGAGGAGTTAAAGTGGCTTGCTCTAAGCCTCACAGCTAATTAATTTCAAAGTTGGTCAACTTGGAGGCAAACGTAGAAAACTGGTTCCATTTCTGTGTGGCTCAGAAATGTTGCCTACTAAAGCAGATACGCTTAAGCTACCCAAGAGTGGATTCCTTCAGACTTCTCCAATAGAAAACATCAGTCAAGCCCCTAGGTGGTCTCCGGCTGGGAGGAAGAGGAGGAATAGGGATAACATTTTTCTCAAATATTTTTCCAAATCTTTTCCCTACCCCAAATTTTATTTATAGGAAAAGAAGCAAGGGAAGAGTGAAAACACTGGCTTGGAATGAGCTCTGATCATGTCTACTCTCTCCTACTCCTACTTTTTCTTGGAGCTACAAAGATAAATTGTTTGAGTCTTTAGGAGAGCCTAACTCCTTATTCAAGTATTTCCTTGCTCCTGGATGTGGAAAAATTGCTTAAATAAAAACTACTCAAAAGAAAAAAAAACTACCCAAAGAAGTTATTAAGTATTACAAAAGAAAAATGAAGGCATTGATGAAACCTACTAGAGATTATTTGGGGGACAGCCAAATGTCAGAGGCCTGTGAAATAACACGAAGTGGTGTACTGAAAATGTATTCATACGTCAATTCTTGCCACATAAGGTTTGCCTGGAGGCCCCAAAGCAAGCAACATGGCTCATCTAAGTAAAGAGCCAGCCAAGATAATCTAATGACCTAAGAATCTAATGACACTATACACTGTCTCTGATCCTGCTTGGTTTTATTTTAACAGACCGATTTTTATTGCTTCTTTTCTGTGAGTGTCTGCAATGATTCCCTGCCACTGCTTACTGAAATATTTTCTTAAATTATGAGTTGAGTTTTTTAAAACGCAGTATTAAAAATATTCATTCAGCATGTTATTAATTACTAGTATGAATTGTTGGCAGGATTGGACTATAGAGGAGTAATTGCTTTAACCACATTATCTAACTAAGGAGTACTCATCCTATTAAAAGAATTTTCACATGAAACATAAAAATGAATTTAGAAAAGGGCATATCCTATTGAAGATATTGGAAAAGAGTTTCCTCCTTCCTTCTCAGTCCCTTCAGCGCTATCATCCGATCATTACAAAACTTTCAAAAGAAATAAGACTTTGCCATTTACATTGCCTTTACCAGGCCTGGTACAACTAAGATCTGAATCTGTTCCTTTTTAATATCTTCTTGAAACATCCACCTTATCATTGTTATTTATATTAACATCTACATTCCCTTTTAGACACATAATTTTCTGTTACTTTTTGATCCACTGATTTAACAGGGATGCATTTCAATAGCAGTCTTTCCAATTGTCAAATATATTTCTTGTATCTTGATATTCAGGTTACCCACACACTTTGCATTCCCAAGAGAATTAGAAGATAATTTTCAGAATCTTGAAGTCATTTCTCTGTTTCCTGGGAGGCAGTTTCTCAAATATTTACATTAATCTCTTTGAGTGAGTTAAATAATTATAAGTAATTCAAATCAGACATTATTTTGAGAAAGGAAAGGCTACTAACTCCTGCTCTAATTTTCATTTTATTTGGGAAAACACTTAAGACTCCAACAGAGCCAATAAAGTTAATGGTGATCCTATGACTAGGAGGCCCCATAATTCCCTCTGCCATTAGCTCTTCACCTAAAAGACAACAAAAAATCTCCTCAGCCCAGTCAGTTGGAGCATGTCTAAGGATTCTTTGGTTGGAACTCCTTCAGGAATTTAGTGCGGTCTCCACAACTGCAACCTTCTTCAGGAAGTGTGAGGCATGATCAAGCTAACTAGAACCCTCAAAGTATTTTTGCTAAGTCTCAGCAAATATATGAAGACTAAAAAGGGATAAAGATACTCTCCCTAGAATTTAGTAGCACTCTGAAGAGAAAGTCCTTTCTGCCATTCTAAAGGTATTCGGCTCTTAATACATCTTTCTGATGACTTACTGTCATTTTATGCATATTAACATATTTTTTAAAGAATCTAAATATTATTTGGGGAAAAATCTATTACATTCTAAAGTAGACAGCTAAATTTTTATAGGAGTAATATTAGATATTGAATCATTTCTGTAGTTGAGAATCTGGGATCAATAAATTATTTTACAAAGTAGATATCTAGGAATTTCAGCCGTCTTAGAGTAAAATAACTCAGAATAACTAATAATAACTTTCATTTTCTTCTGAGGCTTGATTTAATACTGAGGTGAAAAGTTCCCCTTTTGGAAATGGTAATTTAGCCTCTATTTCTGAGATTCCAATGTGAGCCTTAGTCCTCATTATAGGTTTTTGTGCATCTCATCTCAGAAGATAACCAAGACAATATGGCCAAAAGACTGTAAAAGACTGAGCTTTCTGAGTGTTACAAAAAAATGTGTTGAGTCAGAATACTTGTTAGCTTTGTTTTTTTCTGGCTTTGATTGGACATGATTTGCTTATAAGAGAGATAAGACATGCTGATAAAAATAGAACTGGCCCAAACAAGCTGATTTGTAACAAAACGTTTAGTTCTTTCAAATTTTTCTGTAGCTAACATATTGGGTACATAACTCAAGTAGGATTTATTGTTTACTATAATAACCCACACGACCTCCCTCTCTATCTGACCTTTCACTTTTGTACTTATCAAATCTGATTTGAAGGAAATCAAGTTCCTCTTACTCTCTGAATCTGGGCTGTAAAAAACCTCAGCCCACAAAAACTGTGATAATAACAATACAAGCAGCCCTACTATGTGCTAGGCATTGCTCTAAGCTAAATCATCTTGCATAATCATCAGACCCACTCTATAAAATGGTACATTATTCTCAGTTTTACAAACAAGGAATCCAAGGCAGAGAGAAGTTAAGTAACTTGTTAAATATTGCTCTGCTAAAATTTGAGCCTAAGCAATTTGGGATCCAGAGTCTATTCTTTAACTGCCTCTCATGACACCATAGAAGAAAATTTATTGGCTTGGGCATAGAATTTTTCCTTTGCCTAAACTTATGTTCACGTATATATTTTTAATGTGGTCATATGGATTTTTTTCAGTCAATGTAATATTTGAATATTTTTCTAAGTTTTCATAAGTAAAGAAAAAAACAAAGTCCATTGTTCTCAAAGCACAGAACAAATTGAGAAGTTTGTCCTGATTTGTAACATAGTTTCCCTCAGGAAACCTGCAGTTTGAGACCTACAATGTTAGTAGGAGAATCATCCCTGGATTTGAGGGATATACAGCAATTATTTGATTTCTTTAGACCCATTTTATTCTCTCATTTGCAAAATGAAGGCGATAAATTAGGTTATTTCCAGATTCACTGCATGAAGTTGCCTGGACATACACATTAGAAAGCAAACATTCAAGAATTCTTATTAAGCACCGCTTGAACAAGGGCGAAGTGTGTGCATGCAACACAGGCGCTTAGGAGAAGAGAGGATGGGGTGTGCGTGCTCAGAGGGGGCAATAGGAAGTATTTTCTCAAAGGTGCCTACACAACTTTCAAGCAAGGACAGGTCCTCACTTGAAAAGTGAGGCATGAAAAGCAAAGGCATGGCTGCCCCAGGCCATCCAGATGTAGGCCACACTTGTTCACAGTGCCCTTCTTCAGCAGTGTGTCTTCACCTCTCTTCCCACACCCTTCAGTCTCCTTTTCATGCCCCATTTTTATTTCCACACTTCTTACCACCTCTCTTTCTTCCCCTACCAACTATGAAGCCCACATGGACTTGCCCTTTCTAAGTATCTCATCTCTTTAGGGCCCAGCTCCAGATAGATCACAATCAGAGGTGGGATTTTAAATATTTAACAACCAATCAGAATGGATGTCAGCTATGGTGCTGAAGTGAGTTTCTGAGGATGCCAGCTATAGTGCTGAAATGACTTGGAGGCCCTCTGAGGCACAAAGCTTGACCCCTTTGTCTTCTGGATTGTGAGGAGGCCCAGAGAATTGCAGCGGAGAGGCTGCACAACTGGAATGGCAGGGTCACTGGCTAAACAGAAGAGACACTGACCCAATCAGGACAGATAACAGCTGTAAAGAACTAGTTTGCCCATCTTGATATGTACCACATTAATATAAATCTTGCTGATAATAAAAAATAATTGCAAATAAGGTTAAATCTTATTAAATCTTACAAATTAAATCTCATATATGTGTGTGTATATATATATACACACACATACATATACCTATACATATTGATAAGTATTGCTATAGCTGTGTACAGCAGCTGCTTCAACAAATTTCTTTCCTTCCTCTCTCTAAGCTCTAGAAAATTATCTCTCAAACTCAAGCCAAGCCCACTGCCCAGTCTGTGTTTACTCTCCTGTTAAGCCATTGCTTTCTGGGGGTGCAGAGATGGGTCATTCTATACAAGCTGCCCCCATCCCTTTACTCATTCCAAAGAAACCACTTTTCTATCATCTCCACTTCTCCACTACCTCCCTCATAACCACAGTGGCCCAAGAGCAGTTAAGTGGAGGTGGGAAAGTCTGGGATAGGGGAATGGGAAGAGGGGTCAAAGACTGTAGCTACTCAGATGTTTATTTTTCAGTCACATAACTTCATCTATACCTGAAGTCTTCACAGTGGCCACAGAATGGAAAATGAGCACAATATATGCAAGAAATGTGAAGATGATACACTTGGCTCTTGGTAGAGAGTAAACAGATTAGCAAGAAAGGACATATCTGTGAGCAAAGGGCCAAAGAGTCTGAGTTTAGTTCCATGTTCTGGCGTATGTGCGGATCTTAGAATTGCTGCTCTCAGCGCACAAAGTAAAGCCCACTATTGTGCCCCATACCCCCCTTTCCCTAACTTCTAATCTCATGGAAAGAAAAAATTTCATATATTCAACATAAATTTTGTTTCCATTTAGCATTCAATGTACAGAATAAACAACCAAGCCATTGAATTATCTTGTTCTATTATAACCTAATTGATTACCGTGTTTGTGTGTAGTGGCGGTAAAACTAAAGAGAAAGAAAAATAACTAGCTAATTATGCTCAAGTATAAACATAGCAAAATATCTTTTCTTTTACATAAATATCCAGTTTTGGATTACTCAATTAAGAAAGCAAATCAGCTGAAAATAAACAGACTGAATGAGTTTCCTATGTTAACTCACATGATTCCTCTGAGACTTCCAAAACAGTTTTCTGGATATCATAAAATAAGGGTTCTTTGCACAGCATAGGTCACTAGAATATATTTGACCTAGAAAACAGCCAGAGTCTTAACAAGAGAAAAATATAGTAAAAGCATTATGAAAGCCATGAAGTTAAACCACAACAAGCTATCTGATGTTTCTTATCTTAGTTTATTCATATTAATACCTTTAGATTTCATGACCAGCTCAGAGTCAGTGAACTTTTTCCTTGTCATTTTATTTCCTTATCCAGAGATGTTTGTAGATGGTCATGTTTCTGAAAGAAGGTTCTAGTTGAATTGTTCATATTAGGAGTTAATAGGGGTTAAAAGGAAGGTAGAGATGGTAGGGGGACAGCTGAAAAAAATTGCTATGCTTCTGTGGCTTTTAAAAAATCCATATTTTATGAATCAAAACCATGAAAAACTATCATGATGTCTAAATATTTAGAAGGAAATATTATGCTTCACAGAGGTCATTCTGGCACAGATGTTGGACTGTTCCATGTCTGTCCTTAAGAATCCAAGACATCAGACCCTTGACGTCATCCTTTTAAGATTATAATGCTCCACAATTTTGATTAACTTGTTTTTATAGACTCAGGCCTAATACTCAAGTACTTACATTTTATTATTTCCTTCTTTTAAATTAACATCAAGATTTTCTTTCCAGTGACTAAAAATAGATTATTTATGCTGCAGTGGTAAATGAAGTCTATTTAAAGTACAGTGATTTGGGTTTAACTGCTAAAAATATTATGGGCCTGGGAGAAAATAATACCAGCATTTGTCCTAACATAGCGTTGATATTAACAAAAATGCTCAAGTGCTTTGTGAAAATCACAGAAAAACTCTGCACACTAAACATCAATGTATGCAGGAAATATTTCCTTTTTAAAACTGAATTTAATGCCTGAACATTTTGTAAATGTTTGCAAAGCAAAATTTGTTAACAGGTCTCTTAGCTCATGCTAAGAACAAAATGTTATTTTTACCTGAACTCACAGCCAGCCAATTCTACCTTCTGATGTACAAAGACTTTGGTTCATTAACAAAGAATATATTTGCTTACCTGTTAGTAACCCTATTTTAACTTCATACTATTCTCCCAAATCTGCACCTGTATATCCAGCAACTCATTCAACTCTTCTACTTCTACGTTTAATAAACATCTCAAACTTAACATGTTCAAAACTCAACTTCTGGTCTTACCCGCTATCTGGTCCTCCTGTAGCCTTCCCCACCCCCATTAATGCTGACTGCATCCTTTTAGTTGCTAGGCTGAAACTCTGACTCTTCCTTTTCTCTCACATCCACATCCAACCCATCCAGAAATTTTATAGTTCAACATAGAAAATATATCCAGAATATGACCACTTTTCACTATTACTATTGCTACCACCCTGGACCTAGCCACCATCATCTTCAACCTAGATAATGCAACAGCCTCCAGCCAGCCTTCTTGCTTCTGTCTTTGGCTTACTACGATGCCTTCTTAACACAGGAGCTAAACTTCACCTTTCAAAACTTAAGTCAAGGAGCAAGAGCAACACAAAATGGCAGCTACCATGGGCTCTGGAGCAAAAGTCCCTTACAATTTCCAACCATTGGAAGAACTCAAAGAAGCCCAGAAAGGAGCAGGAGATGGCACAGTTAACTGCGGTCTAGAAGATGATGAAGACATGACACAAGATGCACAGGGCTAACAATTGGGCCTCCAAGAACAATTTATGAAAACTGAATATACAGCCTTAAAATAAAATGTGGACCTAAATAACCAGAAGCAGCCCTTTTGTAAGATTTGTAACATAAATTAATCTGAATGGAGTTACTAGCTCCAATGAAGTGGTGGACCCATTTCACTGACCCATATCAATGCTAGCAAAATGGCAGAATTCATATAGCATCAAAGTTGTCCTGCAAGAGCTTCAGTGCCTAATAATGTCTAAAGAAAATATGAAACTCCTTCAGCTGCCTGAAGGACAGTTTCACAGCAATTAAAAAAAAAAACAAGCTCTTCTCCATCCCCTCATTCGATTTAAGCAGTCTTCATTTTCCACAGTAGTATATTTTCCAGGTGCATCTTATAGACTTCAAAGTACTGGAAAGGAAGCTCCCATTCAAGGACAATTTATCTTAAGATTCCAAAAATGACACTAATTTTTGTCCACTTGAAATATATAAATTGTGCTATAACAAAAATAAAACCAAAAAACCCAAAAACTTAAATCAGATCATGCTCCTTCTCTGCTGAACAAAACTTCTCAAAAGGAGTAAAAGTCAAAATTCTTACAATGGTCTACAAGACTCTGCTTGTTGTCCCCATCTGTTACCTCTCAGACCTCTTTTGCAACTCCTCTCTCCCTCATTCACCTGCTCCAGCCACGCCAGCCATCGCGCTGTTCCTCGAACTGCCAAGCATGTCCCCGGCTTAAGGCCCACCCAGGTTATTCTCTCTGCCTGGCTTACTTTTTGCCCAGATATTCACATGGCTTATTCCTCACCTCTTTCAAGTCTTTGCTCAAACATTACCTGCTCCACGAGGCATTCCCTGACCATCCTATTTAAAATTATAATCTTCATTTCCCTACTCACGCTCAGCACTTCTGATTCCCCTTACCCTAATTTATTTTTTATTTTTCATAGTATTTATCACCTTAACACTTGTGATATGATTTACTTATTTATTATGCTTATTATTTACAATATTTACCCCATGCTCCAGCATGTAAACTCCAGAAGGGAAATAATCTTGGTCTGTTCACTTTCCTGATCAAGTGCCTGAACCAGTACCTGGCAAGTGGTAGGCATTTGATAAATATTTCTTGAGTTAATGAATGGATAAATGAATGCAGTGTTTTATCAAATAGTGGGAATTAACTGCTAGCTTCATTCATGTATCCATTCATCAACAACGTTATTGATTCCAAACAACGTTATTGATCACCAATCAACATTATTGATTCCTGAATGCCTATTCTGCACCCAGTATGGACCCATATTCTGTCTTCTGTTAGACCCCTTGGCAATTAAAATCTGGGATTACATTTAATGTAGTAATCTACAAAGGTAAAACTATTGGTATGTAGAGGACCTAGATTAAGAGATCAACTAGGTCGGTGCTCTCCAATAGAGTTTTCTGTGATGACAGAACTAGTCTGTATCTGTGCTGTCTAGTACAGTAGCCCCTAGTCACATGGAACTACTGAACACTTGAAATAGAGCAATATGATTGAATAACCTAATTTCCATTTTCTATTTTATTTTATGTTGATTAATTTAAATTTGAATAGCCACATGTGGTTACTGTATTGGGCAGCACAGCTTTAGTTCATCCCTCTGCCTCTCTACCTGGGGCTTTCCCTAGGATATCCAAGGCAGATTGTTAACTATACCACTTTGTTTATCAGAAAAGGTTATTAACAGCTAGTTACTGTCTCCTTTTAACTCTCTTTTCTCCTTTAACTATCCTGTTCATGAATGCATCTTCTTTTAGAATTATTGTTGTCAACTAAGATAAAGCTTTTATATCATCTTGACCAATTTGTAAAATATGAAACCTTAAAAATTTATCCTCTAAATCCAACAGAACATTTTACACACTTTACTACTTGCACAATAAAATTTCTTTTACTTTTTTTACTTTATTTTCCAGCTTTATTGAAGTATAATTGATGTAGAAGGAACTATGCATATTTCTAATGAATAATTTGATGCATTTTGACCTAGGTATACATGTGCAGAATCATCATCATACATAACGTAATTTAAAGCTCAAATGACTAGGGTGACTGCTGACCCACAGGACATCCTTGTGTGAATTAGAAAGAAAGGGTCCCTCCTGCCTCTCAGTTGCTCTCTGACAGATGGGAAGAAACAGTGTACTTGCTCTCAGCTCTCGGCTACCTCCTCAGCTGGATGCCTTCATACAGTGAGCAGCATACACAACCATAAATGGCAGTCCTGCAAACTGGTCTGCTAAACTCATTTTCAAAACATCCTCCCAAGGTTTTGAAGATTACACACTGGTTTCCATTTCAAGGTGGTAGAACGGAAATAGATTGTGGTCTCCTTTTCCCACTAGAAATCTCAAAATTTTAGAACGAATTTTTTAATGCATATAGCTGGGAAACAGTATCAAGCTTTGGAGGACCATATAAACTTTGAGAAGACATTGGAAGACAGAAAGCAGGTGGTATTAGAAGGAGGATTTAAAACCAGCTCAAAACAAGAATAGGAGAGTGCTGCTAATAAATGTTGGGAATGGATACGAAGGACAAGAGGGAGGCCTAAGACAACAGACAGTGTTTGTTACAGGAGAGCAGTAGGAACAGCAAGGTTGAACTGTGCACCTTCCCTCTACCAACTTAGGCCACATTTGGAGTCAAAGAGTAGCAACAGGAGTTATTGCTTCCAGCTGGGAGTCAAAGGTATGGAAGCTTGAATCAGAGAAACAAAGCAGCATCCTGGATGCCCTGAATAGCTGGAGCTACCAATAGGAATAAGACAGCCCCTCCCCTACCAGGAGCTAGTCTGTGACGCCAGGGGCATCCTCATCCCCTCCCATACACTCTTGAAAACAGACTGAAATACAAGTTCCAGCAGCAAATCTGGTCCCTCTCTCTAAGCAGCCTGCCGGAGCACATAGAACAAAGAGCCTAATAAGGAGTGTCAGCTAAAAGATGAACACTCAGGAGTCACTTAGCGTTGGAGTAAGGCCAATACCATTAAAAAGAAATATAATAGAGTTCTTTGTTTTCAAAACATGAAGAACTTACAGCCAGTAATTAATAATGTCAGAAAAGGACTTCAGAATAATTACAAGTCATATCCACAGAGATATGTGAGAGGATATTAAATCCACAGAAAATAATCAATTAGAAAGTACACGTATTGAAATATTGATCTTTTAAATAGAATACTCGACAAGCAGGTCAAATGAGAATGGACACAAAGAACAAATTGCTGACCTGTAATATTAATCCAAACATTTCTTGCAGAATGCAATAAAAAGTGATGAACAGATATAAAGTATAAAATAAAAGTTAGGAATTATGTAAAATAGACTCAAATGCTCCATCATCCACCCAATTGGAGTTACTAAGATATTAGCAGGAATGGAAGGAAGGTAACATATACATTAGTTTAGTCACAATTTAAGGTCCAACCAAGTTCTGAGTAAGATAAATTTAAATAATAACCTATACCTAGATATTATATTAATATTTCCCAAACCAAGAATAAAGGAAACAAATACTAAAATCTTTGGGAAAGAAAAAACAAAATCTCTGATACAATTTTCTTGTTAACAAATGAATAAAATCAAAGGAGCAAGAAAAAAAAGTTAAACCTGCAATTTTATATCCAACCAAACTATCATTCAAGAATGAAAATGAAACATGAAGGAACCAGAAACTTTACCACTCACAGTAATTCTTTGATATAATTTTGCCAACCAAAATAAAAATGAATATTATAATAATAAGGAAGTTCTGAAAAATAATGGTGAACAAAAAATCCATTAAATTCTATTATTAATTCTAGATAAGTGTTGATTTTTTAAAACAACGATAGGAATTTTTAAAGTAACAATGTAGAATAAACTTCCAAATTAGGTCAATATGGAAGGGAATTGAAATGGGAAGGAATACTTAAGTAAAATTAAAGCATACAAAAATTTTTGGTTTTGTTTAATAAATGTAGAGAGACACTGACCAATTCTGAATATTACTAGAAAATATATTTCATTCAAGTGCTAATTGAATAGCATTTAGTAGAAAAACACAAATACAATTTATAATTTTTACACTATCACAAAAAAGTAGAAGAAAATAAAATCAATCCAACAAAGACAGAAAAAGCTTGAAATGGTATTCAAATATACTCCCCTCTCCCCTAATTTAATCAGGTCCACAGAATTTCATAGGCAACTCTGACCAACCCTTTAAAAAATAAAAAAGAATGTGCATTAGCTTGAATTCTTAAAAGGATTAGCTTTTAAGAATGTGCATTAGCTTTTTAAAAATTTCAAGCTGGACTGCATAAGGAAAGAAAACCATAGCAAATCTCACATAGATGCAAATTGCTAAATAAAATACTAGAAATTTAAATCCAGCAATTAATTAAAAGAATAATGCACTATGATCAAGTAAGGTTTATCCCAGGAATACAAAATATAGCTTTTTAATAATGAACAACCAATATAATCCAATATAACTGGCTAACTTAGTCATATGATTTAGGAGAGAAACAGTTTCAACAGGTGCCCAAAGACAATTGTGATTATGTGTGTATATGTGATACACTCGTGTGTGCATCTGTTTATGTGGGAAAAAACTAAGAACAAAAAGAAACTTCCTTAATATAATAAAGAGTATCTACCCCAAAATACAGCAAACATGATATTTATTAGACATATTGTCTGTAAGGTCAAAAACAGAACAAGAATGCCCACTGCTACTGTTACTATTCAACATTAGACTGGACATCCTAGCCAATGGAATTAAGTAAAACCATAGTAAGTTGTATAAATGTTGAAAAACAAGGGGCAAACTGTTATTATTTACAGAGAAAATGATAGAAAGCTCAAGATAATCAAAGGAAAAACTTCTATAACTAAGAAGAGAGTTCAGCAAGATAGCAAGAAACAAAAACAACATAAAAAAATCAACGACTTTTCTATATATTGCCATTGATTGTTTTTAAAATGTAATTGGGAAGGAAATTAATGAATTAATGCAACAATACACAAGTAGTTTGAAGAAACAGAATAGAGTTCAAAAAACAGACTCACAAACAGAAAATTTATAGAAAGTATAGTCAATAAGGCCACAGACTCTAAATCTAGATCCACAGGTTTTATTTTTTGCTCCACTATTTCTTGACTATGTGTGGCTGGGCAAGTTATTTGATATTTCTGTGCCTCAGTTTCCTTGTCTGTAAAATGAGGAATAATCATAGAACCAACCAATATGTTTATTTAAATGATAAATATGTATGTATATATGTATGCCTGTATCTATAGAACACATATGTTGATGAAATATGATAAAAGTGGAACTTCAAATCAATGGGAAAATAATGGTATGGCATTTCAAATCAATGAGACTAACTAGCTATCCCTTTTTAAAAAATAAAAGTTTGATTTTATCTTACACTGTTCACAAAATTGTAGTTAAGACTTAAAATTTTTTAATGATAAGAAATTATTAGTAGAAAATGTAGGCAAATATGTGGTGCCTTAGAGTCAGGAAGACCTTCTGGAATAAGACACAAAAAGCAAAAGCCATAAAAGAAAATATAATGAGTCCAGGCCAGGTGGCTCACGTCTGTAATCTCGGCACTTTGGAAGGCAGAGGCAGGCAGATTGCTTGAGCCCAGGAGTTCAAGACCAGCCTAGGCCACATGGCAAAACCCATCTCTGCTAAAAATAACAAAATTAGCCAGGAATAGTGGTAAACACCTGTAGTCCCAGCTACTCAGGAAGCTAAGGTGGAAGGATCTCTTGAACCCGGGAGGTGGAGGTTGCAGTGAACGGAGATCACACCACTGCACTCCAACCTGGGTGACAGAGCAAGACCTTGTCTCAAAAAAAAAAAAAAAAAAAAAAAAGAAAATATAATGAGTTTTACTACATCAACCACAGGAGTATAAAAGTGAAAAGACAAGTACTAGGAGAAGGTATTTCAACAAGTACTAGGAGAAGGTATTTCAACCTAAATAATAATAAAGGATTAGAATCAATAAATCATTTAAAGAAAGAAAAGAATCATCTATTTGAAAAATAGACCAATAGTATAAACTGGTAACTCACAGAAGAACTAATAAAAATAATCAAGATTTATATAAACTAGCACTCAACCTCACTGTGATGGAAGAAATTCAAATTTAAATTCAATAAGTATATTTATACACTGCTGAAGGGAATTTAAATATAAGTATTGCGCATTCACGGATAATTTTGCATATCCTGTCACCTCAAAATTCTACTGTTAGTATCTACCTCAGAGTCAACTAACTGTTGGAGTAGATATTGAGGAAGCAAGTACAACAATCTTCATCATAATATTATTTGTAACAGTGAAAAATTCAGAACAACCTAAATATTCACAAAATCAGGAATGGCGAAAGAAATAATTGTGCATCCTTTCTATGGAAGACCATGCTGCAATTTTCTAAAATGAAGTGAACCTATGTGTACTGAAAAAATGTCTAAGTCATGTTGTTAGGTGAAATAATGTATATATCATTTATGCTAAAATACATACATAGATATCTCTTCTGTGAGCAATGCTGTGGAGAAGTCTGGAAGCATATACATTATATTGTTAACAGTGACTATTTCTAGAGAGAAGACTAAGATAGGGGCATTGGAGAGGGGAATAATCAAAGGGTACTTCAGCTTGATCTGTAAAGTTATAATTTTTTATAAGGAGACTCTATTACTAACGTAATTTAAATTTTTAATGTACAAATTATAATTACAAAGTACTGCAAGCAATTTGCTTTAAACTGGTGAAATTAGTGAAACAACAGTCTTTATAAAATCTAAGCTATTTCTTCTTTTCATTCATATTACTGGAAAATCCAAAGATACTGCATGTCATACCACAGGAGTATAATCCTTTACTCTCTGGTCTTAAAAAATGAAAGGTAATCTTGGGTGGGTCTTTATTTTTGGGGGCCATGTTTTGGATGAAGTTTCATTTACCCACCCAGGGTGCTATGATATAAGTGCTCTTTAATTTCTAAAATGATTATTCTGGAAATAAGAGTTACCCTCTTAATATAATTATAACATTTGAATGTTAATTTAATAGAACAGTCTTCCTCAAGTCTTATTAATATTCATTGGGAGAACAATTTTATAAATCTAAGAATTATCCATTTTTTAAAAATTTTGATTCCCACATTGCATGTTTTGTGATAAGATGTTAAAGGACTAATTGAATTTGGCTTTTAGTGGGAAATGTAAGACTGTGAAGGCCAAACATACAAACATTTATTTCTTGATAACCACAAATGGCCTATGATTAAGATGGAACCTGATAATTTAAGGAAAATTAACTTGTCTAAAGTAGAACAGAGAATAATTCATGAATGTACTAATTTTTCTTTTTCTATTTCCCCGCTAGTCTACATTGGTCTTTAACTATGACATGTACAAACCAGTGGGAAAACATTAACTATGGTTAATGGACTGAATGGATTTATTTAAGAAGAAATATTTAAAGAACCAAAAGCATCAAATTATCTCCACAACACATATATTAGTCACAGAGACATAATGTAAAGTATGTCCTAAATATTACGTCTTCCAAAAACCCCATCTTAAGCCTCATAAAGATTGAAAGAAACAGCACATTTCGAAATCTCAAATTCTCTTAGCCATATTTTTACTTTTCTCTTCTCATCACCTATTTCAATATTTTTCTACCTTTCTAATTAAGGTCTATACTCTAGAGGGAAGACTGTGGGTATGGTAGAGCAAAGACTTTTTCAGTTGCAGAGTGTGCATATGAAACCAGGTCTGGCTACTTTCAAACTGACTAAATTTGAGAAGATCATATGTTGCTTTTTGACTTTATGGACAATCTTGAGGAAGGATCATTTACTTTGATACCTCAAAGTGCTTATTTATGACACAATAATATTATAGGACTTTAAAGGGTCAAAGAGGAAGGGCTAAGGAAATGTTACAGAGTGAGATAAAGAGACACAACTAAGTGTAATGTGTGATTCTGAAATAAATTACTTCACTATATAAGACATTTCTGGGACAACTGAGAAACTTGAATGGGTTCTGAGTATTAGATGATACTGATGTATCAATGTTAACTTCCTAACCTTGATGCTAGTGTTGTAGTTATACAGATGAATATCCTTGTTTGTAGGTGATCCAACTAAAGAAACACGAGACATCAGATCAGAAATTACTCTCCAGTGTTTCAAGAAAAAAAAAAGCCTTTGTCTGTGCTTCCAGCTTTTCTGTAAATATGTGACTGTTCCATTTTTAAAAAACACAATGAAACAAATTCACTCATGGGAAAGCAAAATGTCCATGCATACGCTAACTAAGAAATGTTTTATTTAAAAACATAAAGACACAGTTTTATTTGGGACAACGTATAACAATCTCTACCAAATCTATATGAAAACTTTTTTTAAGGGGAAAGCACGAACGCAGACCCCCACTACCACAAATTATGCAACTCAGTTTCCCACATTTGGGGAAACCACAGGAGTCAGCACATCCAGAGTGCAATGGATGAGCCTCGCCCTGGGAAAACCACCTTCATGATCATGGTTTTCAAATTTTTTAGGACGAAGGTAAGGGTATAAACATACACACATACAATTTTGGCACTATGACCTCTAGAGAATATCTTACTAAATTTTGAGTTTAAATAGAGTATTTCTTATCTATTTGGCCATGTGAACTGATCCATTAAATTATTTCGAAATAGCTTCAGCTCTTTTCCTTATTAAATGTAGTTCATGCTTACTGTAGAAATTTAAAATCACACATTTATATCTCCAAATGGAAATGGTTACCGTTAATGTTAGAAATATAGTCTTCTTATTTTTGCAATAGAATCTTAAAGATACTTTCTGTAATGCATTTATTTTTACTGAATATATTATTTTATTAATATCATTTACTCTCACATTTTATGTCTGCAGATTGTCATTAAGTGGATGTATTAAGAGCTATTCAAATCTCACCTTTCCTTGGTTAATAGTGCCCTATTATTAAACATATATTTGTTTCTAACTTTTCACTGTAACAATAATGCTACAATCATATACCTGTGATTCAGTTAAACATCCATGCTGTCTTTATTACCACCTCCTACTACCAGAGGACTGGAAGTGAAGGAGGAAGTAACTAGTAAGTAGCCATATGTCAGACCCGACAATGGGTCTTGCTTCTTCCCTTGAAGAACAGTCAGTGTATGCAAACAGAGGGACCAAAAGAACTGAGATGCTAGTTCTTTTTTTCTTCCAGCAGTGCTTGCTTGGGAGGTCTGCAGTTGACATGACAGCAGTGAGTGAGCTGTACATTAGGTTCCCCAGAGCTTCCTTTTTCCATGAAACTATTATACTCATTAGGTATTTAAAGAAGATATCAGACAAAAGTTTTGATATGGTCTGGAGCTGTGTCCCCACTCGAATCTCATATTAAATTGTAATCCCCAGTGTTGGAGGTGGAGCCTGGTGGGAGGTGACTGGATCATGGGGGTGGTTTCTCATTCACAGTTTAGTACCATCACCTTGGTACTGTCCTTGCAATAGTGATGGAATTCTCATGAGAGCTGGTCGTTTAAAAGTGTGTGGCACCCCCCACCCCCTTCTCTCCTGCTCCTGCTCTGGCCATGTGACATGCCTACTCCCCCTTCACCTTCCGCCATGATTATAAATTTC
Organism: Homo sapiens; assembly: GCF_000001405.40. Taxonomy (NCBI): domain Eukaryota; kingdom Metazoa; phylum Chordata; class Mammalia; order Primates; family Hominidae; genus Homo; species Homo sapiens. The sequence goes on from NC_000006.12 coordinate 75,474,997, forward strand.
CTGAGGCCTCCCCAAGAGCCAAGCATATGCCAGCATCACGCTTCCTGCACAGCCTGCAGAACCATGAGCCAATTAAATCTCTTTTCTTTTTAAATTACTCAGTTGCAGGCATGTCTTTATGGCAATGCGAGAATGGACTAATAAAGGTTTAATTGATCTCTAACTTAAAGTGAGTATAATTAAAATTTTTCAATAAAGCATATCTTAAATATAAATCAATGCTTATTTGAATTATAAATCACACATAGTCTGGGCTGGTCAGTGAAGTAGTTCCAGAGACACAGGTAAAGATCGAAGATTTGCTCTAAGAGCAGTTAGCCTTCCACAAGGAAATATTTATTTCCCGATAATCCTGAGAGCAATCTGGCAGGAAATAATGGATGCTCAATTCCTCTCCTGAAATCAGCTCACAGTACTGGTTGTATTTATGATGGGTAGCCATCATCCCTTGTTCCACCATTCCCTACAAAGGACAGCACAGCATCTTATTATATTATGATGATGTTGTTATTAAAACAATAAAAAATCTTTCTGAGGTTTAGAAAGTTAAAAAGACTAAACGTGGCTCACATTTTTTACTCTGATAATATCTTTGTGGGTAGATTTTTTAATTTCATAGTGAATTTTGTATACAAATCAAAACTATCAAGTATTAGAAAATCTATTAGGAAAAAAATTATTTTATGAGCCTCACCTCATTCTGTAAAAACCTACATAGCTGAGGTTTTAGACAAGCCCAAATTTTAGTTGACAAGAGGTTAGATCATGTCTTAGGGAAGAATTCAAAAAACAGTATGATTATATCCATAAAATGAAAATGATAATAGTCATCTCGTGCACATAAAGCATTTAGCACAGTTCCTAATATGGTAGGAAGCACTCAATAAAAGTAACTATTATTATCTGTCATTTACTTTCTTTCTAGAGCCAATAGCTTTAATAGTTACATTAAAAGTAACATTGGCCAGGCGCTGTAGCTCACACCTATAATCCCAGCACTTTGGAAGGCCGAGGCAGGAGGTTCACTTGAGGTTAGGAGTTCGAGACCAGCCTGGCCAACATGGCAAAATCCCATCTCTACTAAAAATACAAAAATTAGCTGGGTGTGGTGGCAGATGCCTATAATCCCAGCTACTCAGGAGGCGGAGGCAGGAGAATGACTTAAACCTGGGAGGTGAAGGTTACAGTGAGCCAAGATCACACCACTGCACTCGAGCCTGGGCGACAGAGCAAGACTCCATCTCAAAAAAAAAAAAAAAAAAGTGACATTGATGATCATCATATTCAGGTGACAGCTTAGAGATTGGGTCTTATTGGTATCATGATTCCTAATTTGTCATTCAGTTTAACTGGGATTTAGGTGACACTGGGAAATTGCTTCTGTAGTCAGGTCCAGATCACAGAAAACATAAGAGATTATACCCTCAGTTGAATCAGTTGTAAACTTCAGTTGGTATGAACAAAACTGAACAAACAAGTCAACCACTATTAATAAAGAAATTAAGTTGAGTTAAAGAAAGTAATTAAACATCAATATTATGCAGAATCTTTTCAGGAATATTTCATAAAATGGTGCTCAACCTATTCTATATGCATATTTTACGTGCCTATTTATAACTCTCCTTTTAAAGTTAAGCTGTTGCTCCAATGCACTTATGAAAAATATCTGGAATTTAGCTGAGGACTTTATATAATGAAGATTCTGGCCTTTTCTTAGTATATTGAGCACCCTTTACAACCCTTGTACTTACACCATGTTCTCCCTGTTTCTGAGCATAGTAGACACTATTCCTCCTAACAGCACCAAATTCCAAAATAGAAAAACAAATGTTAAAACCTAGAGTCATGACAGACCATCTTTCTGCTCCCTAGTGTCTGGTTTGATCTCACTGAATGTCAATTTGTTCTTGGAACTCTGTTCTGTTATACAACAATATGGAAGAAATGTTAGGTCCTTCCTCCAAGGTGGATATTTCCTGGAGAATGATTGCGGTTATTAGTTTTAATTGGAAATTGATAATACATATTGAGTTCGAAGGTTAATTATTGGTTAAAAAAATTATCCCTGTGAATACTAACTTTTTCTACAACATTAATAAAAGTGCCTTGATTTTGTGTAGCTTTCATGTATATTAATGTTGAAAGATGCTCTAAGACTGACTGAAGCAGAAGAAATAACAGAAAAAGCATTCTTGCATGATCTCATTTATATGTGGAATCTAATAAAGTTTAAGTCATAGAAATAGAGAGTAAAATGATGGTTACCGGACGCTTGGAGTTGGGGAGAGGGAGGGAATGGGAGTTGTTGATTAAAGGGTACAGAATTTCAGGTAGACAGGAAGAATAAGTTTTGAGATCTATGCCACAGCAGAATGACTACAATCAATAATAAGGCATTATATATTTCAAAATAAGAGAGTAAATTTCAAATGTCTCACTATAAAAAATGATAGGTGATGAATATTAATTAGCCTGATTTAATCATGCCACATTGTATACATATATCAAAACATCACATTATACTCCATAAATGTATATAATTATAATTTGTCCATCAAAAATAATATTAATAATTTAAAATATTTTAAATACCTAAAAAAATAGAGAGAAAGAAAAAAATTCTGAATAAAAGGGAAATAAGATATAATAAAGAATAAGCTCAGGAAAGCATGGGAAGTTGAGTACAAGGCCTAATGGAAAGGGTCCTTGTGTGATGCAGGGGGACAAAATTTGTACACATCCAGGCCTGAACCCAGAGGAAAAGGCGAAGAGAGGGAAACAATTCCCACAAGTCACAGTGTGATTATGTCAAGGAGGCTACAAGAGATAATAGGAAACAAGGATATGAGAATATAATTGGCTAGACTGTTTAAAGAAAAGGGGGCTACAAATGGACAATGGGAAGAATTCATTGAATAATGTACTGCTGTTAGATTTCTAGGTCTGACAATCATCAAACGGAAGTTGGAACTAGAGCACAGTTTGTGCTATTATTTTACACTTACATTGTAATTAACAGAATTAAATATGATGCTTGGACTCACTTCTCTTTACCTGTGGGTATGAGAGAAGTAAAGAGATTTCATTCACTTGCGCCCAATGTATGAAAACAAAAGGACAACTTATGTGATACAGCACTACTACTCATCTCAGCACATTCTTTGCAGGATCAAAGAGCAAAAGATAATCTAGATGATCAGCTTGGCTTAAAATGCTTCATGCTTAGCTTTACTCGGGGTAATGTTTCAGGAGTGGCTTCTTCCAAAAAAGGGCTTCCCCAGGAGAAAGCAGAAAAATGTTAGCACACAAGATCTTGAGTGAGATTTCACTCACATTGCTCTTCCCTACCCATTCACAAAATGACCCTGCTGTCAGTGCAGTGAGAAGCAGCTGAGAATTATTTACCACCTTCACTGGACACCTCATAGGACACATTCACCCCATACACCACTCTGTAACTGGAGCTTAGGTGAGCATCAGCCTCTCTCCATCCCCTGGAGTAACAGGCAGGATTGATGGGTAGTGAGCTGCCAAAAAGCCCAACATCTGGTGGTGATAGAGGCATGATGATACAGAGAAATCATGAGCTCTTATACAACAGGTATCTTGGGAAATAACGCAAGACAGGTGGTGTTCTGGATTCTAGGAAGATATGAGCCACAGCACTGTGGCTTGTCTATAAATTCGTATGTCCGAATTAATAAGCTGTATAACCTTGAGAAAGTTTAAACTTTCTGGGTCTCAGCTTTGTCATCTTTCCTAAAAAGAGGTTAGAGTCAATTATCTTTTAGCATCTACCAGTATCTACAAATACTACGGTAAACCAATTTTTTTCAGAGTATTTCATGCCCAAAACAGTTTAATGAGCCTGAGCAATTTTATTCTAGGTAATGATCCATGGCAAAGAGTTGTTTGGTGCAGTGCCCCATTTCTTCCACTTGCTCCTTGGTCCCTCACCCTCATGATCTAGTCATAAATGTGTCAATTTTGGCTATCAGTTTATGTTTTAATAATACATAACTAAGGAAATAAGTTGCTATCAAGATGTACTTGACACTTAAGGACTATGCAGCCTTGTTTTAACAACCCTATCCTAACAAGGTCCCTCCTAGGAAATCCTATCAAGCAACTGAGAAAGAAGTATATTGGCTGTTTTTTCATATAAGAGTCTCTAGGTCTGCCAAATTTTTACAAGTCAATAGATTTGAGAACAATAGGAGGAAGAAAAAACAATGTACTCTCAAAAGCACTGCATGTGTTTAGATTTTTTTATTTCTCAAAATGGAAATATCCTTATTTTTCTTCTGATTATAAGGATTTTTGCCACATATTGTTGTTTTTCTGGAAACTTTTGCAGTTGGTTTTCCCACCAGCAACATATAGTGTCAACTTCCTCATACCCTCACCATACTGGGTATTGAATTTTTTGTCTTTGTCAATGTATTTGTTGAAATAATACATCTTCTTTTAATTAAATTTTTAATTATCAGTAAGGTTAAATAGTTTTTCACATATTTATTCCAAATTATTTATGTCATTTGTCAATTTTTCTATTGTGTCTCTTTTTCTATTTTCATTTAAAAGAGTCTTGGTCAGGCGTGGTGGCTCATGCCTGTAATCCCAGCACTTTGGGAGGCCATAGCCAGTGGATCACCTGAGGTCAGGAGTTCAAGACCAGTCAGGTCAACATGGTGAAACCCAATCTCTACTAATAATACAAAAATTAGCCTGGCGTGGTGGCACATGCCTGTAATCCCAGCTCCTCGCGAGGCTGAGGCATGAGAATCGCTTGAATCCAGGAGGCAGAGGTTGCAGTGAGCCAAGATCGTACCGCTACACTCCAGCCTGGGCCACAGAGTAAAGCTGTATCTCAAAAAAAAAAAAAAAAAAAAAAAAAAAGTCTTATATTAAGGACATTTGTTCCTGGTTATTTTGGTCACAAATTGCTGTTTGTATTTTAACTTTGTTCATGATGGTTATAAGGGGTTTTTCTTCAGTGTAAAAGTTTTCATTCAGTTTTTATGGAATCAGATGTTTTAGTCTTATGTTTTACTGGCTTTTTGTCTTCCCCACCTATATATGTTTTAAATTTTTTTTGTTAGTATTTCACCTTCATTTTTTTAGACTTAAATTTCTGGTCCATCTAGTGCATATTTTAGTGTAAGTTGTAACAGAAATTTAATGTCATATTTTTCCAGTTATTTCAACCCTATTGATTGAATAATTCATATTTCCAGTATAGATTTGAAATCTTTTTTATAATACTACATTTTTATAGTATTAAAAATGTACACCATTTTTATAGGTATATACTTCTCTGAACCTTCCACTATTTTCCCTTGATCTCTTCATCTGATATGAACTGATTCTGATACCACCGCCTAAGTGTTTTAATTAATATGGGTTTAAAATTCTTTTTTTTTTTTAAGAGACAGAGTTGCACTCTATTGCCCAGGCTAGACATGAACTCCTGGGCTCAATCGACACTCTCCCTTCAGCCTCCACTGCTCCTGGCTCAAAATTCATTTTAATATGTGGTAAGGAAATTATCCAACATGTGCTCCAAAAATTTTCTGGCTATGACCTAGGTTTATTGCCTCAGCAGCAGTTAGGCACTTGAAGTGGAGTGTTGAATATATGTAAGTAGTTTCTCAAAGTGCACAAACTTGTAAAAGTCCTACAGCAAATACTTTTATAGGAAGCATTCATCATCTGTTTTTAAACATATTGAGAGTAGTCACTGTTTAGAAAAAATACTCAGCAATGTGGTTTGAGGGTCAGGAATTTTCTAGCCTGCAAGAGGCTTCTTTGGCTGCCTCATTATGGCCACTAAAGATTTAACTGTGATGAGCATATGTATGTATATAGCAGACCCTCTTCATTACATAATTTTTTAAAACATTAAAATTGTCATGTAAGTGAAAGACTGCAGCTCACTAATTCCCCACTATTTGTACAGCTATGTAGACTTGTTGTAACAAATCAGATGTTTGAGCTTTTCAATAACACTCATGTCTGATGCTTTCCCTTAGAACTTGTTTGTCAGGCCCTATCTTATTTTCAGCCTCTACAGTTCCCTTTCCCACAGCGAGAGTCACTTTATACTGTCTCTGGACCAATCACTGACCATCCAAAATCAGGTGAGTGGTCCCACTTCTGTGGTCTCACTAAACCATTTACCCACTAGTCACTTGGTGTTGAAATTGCCATTGTTTTACCCGTAACTCCTGTTAGAGAGCAGAGATAATATAACATTCACCATTGTATCCCAATCCCTAGCTCGGTGCCTGAAACACGAGTCTCAAAAAATATTTGGTGAATGAGTAAATTATTCTTACTAAATGTGAAGCAGGAGAGACACAAAGAACTCTAGCCCACCACTAGGATTTAGCATCATCTTAGTTGTTTTGACATTGTATGACAATGTTGGCATCTCACTCACAGTCTCTAGGACTGCTCTTCCTCCACAGCTAACCTGTTCCTGATTCCCACCTCCCTGCTCTCCTTCCTGCTCCTGCTGACAAGCTTGCCTAAATGTGGACTGACTCCCTGCCTGTGTCAGAATGCAGGCATCCTCTATCCGCCTGCCAGAATACCCTATAACCACATGTTAGACCTTCAGATCCCAGCTGCTAGCTTGAACCACTCTAACATCTGATGCCACACCATTTAGATCCTATGTTCTATCAGTTCAGCATCAATCCAACCCCTCTTTTAGCTACAAAACATGGGCCTTGCCTGATTGAGCCCCAGGACACATTCTTTAAGATGAGCAGACTGAGTGGACCTCACTCTATAATCATGTGCTTTCACACAGACCAAATCCTTCTAAATTCTCACACAATAATAGTGAGAGCTCTGTTGAAATTCAACTCCTATGAAAAAGTGTCTGGAAAGAGAAATTGAAATAATAATATAACCCAAATATAGTTTAAATTAGATGATTTTAATCTTTCACTAATACTATGTAGAAAAACAAGACCTCTGTTTTTTTCCCTAATCTTTCTCTCAAAAGGACAAAATTCTTCACTTTCTGAAAAACCACAGGCCACTTTCATCTGGTTTTCCCCCTTGTCCTCTTCTCTGAGCTCAGCATTTCACGTGCTCATTTTGGTGAGATTCCATCACAATACATCACCAGGAACACATGCGTTCCACTGGGACTTTATTCCCTGGAAGATGTGAATGGTGATGTAAATAATGGCATCATTGGAATTTGGAAGAAGTGATGCGAGAAAGAAATAAGGTGAAATAAAGCAAAATCAAGCAATTATACTCAATACATCCTTTTGGAGTAATGTAGATAGTATTGATGGTAATAGGGAAATTCAATGGTATTCATCAGCTGGAACTGTCAGCAGAAACATTAATTAAATGGCAGCTGTTGCTTTACCACTTGTAGAGGAGTGGAGCAATCCTAACTCCAAAATAGATTTCCAAGGATAGGAGCGTTTCCAGCTAATGAACTACAGCCTGGTTGTGGTTTTGGGTTAGTAGCTGCAATTAGACTTTTGTCAATAGTTATGTCTATGCCACTGTATTTTAAAGTAAGAATTCTAGTCTGTTAATGGAAATATGTATGCATCATGCTAATTAGAGCTACTAAGTCCAGCTCCCACTTAGTTATGAATTGGTTATTCTGTGATACTCTAGTGAACATTTAAAACATTTGTTTATTTTTAATTAATATTGTTAGAAAAGCAATACATGACCATAAAGGTTTAGAGAAAACTGAGAAGCAGAGAAATAATCATCAATGGTCACTAACTGTTACTGCCATGTTTATCAAGGAAACATTATGTTCACTTCAATCAATGGAAACTGGTCATTAATATTTACTTTCTCTATTCATGACATTTAATGAATTCAATTTAACAAACAGTTATTGAGTACTTGTTTGGTTCAAGGTGATTCTAAAAACAGTGCCAAGTCATAACGGAATTTATTTATCAGGTTGAATTTTTGAATTTACATGTAAATATGTGTCACAGAATAATTATAAGAATCTTTCACTTTTTGTTTGCTTTCTATTGCAAAAAAAAAAAATCTGTGCTACAGTATTTGCTATTGGTGATTTTCATCTTAGTAAGATTCATTTTACTGGACAACACACATACATTTTTCTCTAGGTGTGAAGAAGCCTGTTCCATAGAATTTCAAACTTACAGAATCAATCAGAAAATTAATTCCGTACATGCTACCTAAAAATGTAGATTTTAAAAGTTCTTCGGAGTACATTAACACACTGACCTGTCAGTTTCACAGGACAGATCAGCTTGTTTCCAATGCACCTGCTGTATAGGAAAGCAAAGTGATTAATCCTTTCCTGTTGTTGCTGGTATTGTGAGAGAAGATAGGGGGAGGTATAAAAGTCCAGACAGAGGAATCCCAGGAAAAATGGGGAACCCAGCCAAACTCACAAGACTAGGGGAAAGGTCAAGGATCCAAACAGGACAGTAGAATTTGTGTTCAGAATGTCTGGGGTAAAGTACATGTGCCCAAAAGTAAGGCATAAAATATTATATTGGTCCCCAAGAGAAAGGAAAGACAGGAAATAAGAAACAAAGTCATGAGGGGAAATAGAGCATCATAACAAAATCTTGAGGAGAATAGGTTGCCTCCAATTGGGCCAGTCATTGGGAAAATAGAGGGGAAGGCAAGGACCCAATCTCTAGTCAAACAGAAAGCCCAGTTAGCAGGAACTAAGGTCACCATAACCAGCTGCAACAAGACCCCTGATGCTGAAATGAGGGAGCAGCTGCCATTCAACACCTTATATTTTCAGAGTGGGCTCCAGAATAGCAAAGTGATTAAGAGCTTACACGCACAGGCTGGGGAGTCCAATTGCCTGGACTCATCCCAGACTTGCCACCTGCTTGCTGGGGGCTGGGGGGAGATGAACAATTCCCTCAGCCTCCTTATCTGTAAAATATATAGTATATGTGTATCTGCCTTATGAAACTGTTAGTGCCTAACATACAGAAAGCATTCATTAAATATTAGCTACTTTATTGTTTATTATGATTGTGTGATAGAAAAAAGTAATAGACTGGGGCTCAGGGGACTTAAGTTCTGGTCCTTGCTTTACTTCTTTTTCCACCTATGTGACTCTTGTACAGAACTGAGGTGCGGTCATAGAAAGGGACCCAGAAAGTAATCAAAAATCCTTAAGTCAAGATCTTAAAAGTAAGCCAGGCAACGATCCTGAGTGTCAGTTCTCTTGAGACAGGAACACAGCCACTGCAAGGTGTAGAAAGTACCCACTACCAAGGGTTGAATAATCACAGTTCCATACTCAATTCTACCTGCGGAAGGTTTTGTAACTTGAGCTGAGTGACTTCTCATTCTAGTACTATCTTCTTTAAAATGATGAGGTGGCACTCATCATTTGAAAGTACTGTCTTTTAAAGTACTTTTAAAGTACTGTCTTTTAAAGTACTTTTAAAGTACTGTCTTTTAAAGTACTTTTAAAGTACTGTCTTTAAAATGATTGCGATAACAGGTTCTCAATATTGGATGCGAATTAAAATCACACAAAAGCTTAGAAAATAGACCAATACTTGGGCACCCTCTCAGGCCAATTTAAATCAGAACCTCTGGGGGCATAGCCCAGGCATCTGCATTTTTAAAGCACCCCAGGTGACTTTGATGCACAGAGAGTGTTGAGAGCCACAGTACTAGATAATCAGATGGTTTCAAGTGAGGTCAGAGTCTAGAGGTTTCCACTCCTTTTGGTTTCCTGTAAGGTATAGCTGTCCCCAGGACCAAAGCCATGTAATCATTGACATTGTGGTACTCAAGGCCCTGTGCCTGCTCACAATCAGACTAGGGGCAGATGTGCAAAGAGAACTAGGAAATCTTACAGAAGTCTTAGATAATTCTTGAATGAATATGATAAGCTGTTAATATCTTAAAAATTAGCTAAAGACTAATGTGGAAATTATCGCTGTTGTGTACCAAAAGAAATTTAGAATAATTGAATGAGGAAAAAAATACTTCTAGAGGCCAACCAGTCAAACTCTTTGTCTCCAAAGAAGAGAACACAAATACTCTTTTTCTGGGTGGGTGAAAAAAAAATTACAGTTCTTTTTCTCCTTTGACACTATTACACCTTTTTACATAAAGACAGGAGAAGAAAAAAGGAAAACTGAGTTTATTGTAAAGAAATCAAGAGATGTTATGTCAAGAAAACAGACAGCCTTCGTGAAATGTAACACATCTCTGCCTTTACTTCTTTTTCATTGACTTGGATTAAACAGGTCTGTATCACACAGCAAACAGTATATTTGCTTCAGGAAGATGTTTAGCCTGTCAGGTGAGTAGCAGTACAAGTCCTGTGCTATTAACCAATAATGAATGTAGTGTGTTTGGGGATGGGGAGTTGGGGTGTGCTAGTATAGTTGTGACAAGTTACTGTTTCAATTTATTAGAATAGAATTTCTCAGAAAGTAGAGATTTATTCTGTTATATTCCATCCCATATAAAACATTCACCTTCCTGGGATATTCAATCCCACTACCTGGGATATGTGATACCCTGGAAAAGTAGTCTTTCTGGCCACTGGCATAAGAGAAAGCAAAGCATTATCTGCTCCATCGAAGTTTTATTAGAATCGCTCTCCTTTTACTTCAAACAATCTGAAAGTTAAATGCCAGAAATGCAAATAGAAACTCAAAAGTTTCAATTATTTCCAAATAGTCAGACATTTGGACATCATGCAGGCAAATAAAGATAAAAGAATTAAATAAAATATCCAATAAAATATGCCTCTGATCCATAGTAGCAAAATGGCTGAAAAGCGTCAGGCAATTTTTCTTAAACTACAGCAAGCTCTCTGTTTTATTTTATTTTTTTGAAGGAACATCATGCTGCCAGAATAGCAACTCACTACCAAAACAAAGTCATTTGGAACCAATAACAAGCCTTTATGTGGAGCACCTTCTACCGCCTTCCTCACTGCCTTCTGACCAAAACACACACACACACACACACACACACACATACACACACACACACACACACACTCCACCAAAGGTTTCTTGAAGAAGTATTGCTACCAACAACGGGGATAAGTATTTCATAGAACTCCCTCTTGAACCCACTTCACAAACTAAATGTTTATGACCAAGGTAGAGACTGGCAGCACATTCAAAGTTTACAATATAAGGTGGGGCTCTGAGTTGTCAATAGGAGCAACAGCAGACAAAAGCCCCAACAGTGTCAAAGGAGGTGGTACAAAATCAAATGCTCCATGGCATCCTCTTCTTGGGAATCAACCCAGCGTGTAGAAACCAAGAACCACATTGCCCCATCAACAACTGGAAGAATCACTTCTGCATCTCAGTGCCCCAGGCCTAGCTCATCCAGGGTGGCCCAACTCTACTGGCCATTGAAGCTTCTGATTCCACTTTGGGATCCTGGAAAAGAGCCTCTGTTAGCCTTCTGACCCTAAATCTCTTTATTCTTTGCACTTTGTGAATCTTTTAATACTATAGGGGCAGCTGTTACCTTGCAGTGTCACATTCTACATGTTTCAGTAAAACATCTCATAGTCATCTAGGTGGAGGTGTTCCATAAACAACTGCCTGAATTTTAAAAAGTGGTTGAAACTATCGAATAGATAAGGTCAAATTGCCTGGATTTGGATTTTAAATCTACTACTAGGTAAGTTATTTAACATTTATAACCTCATTTTCCTAATCTGTAAAATAGTGATAAAAATAGTACCTCATAGGGTTGTTACGAGAAGCAAATAAAATCATCCATGTAAAATGCTTGGCACAATTCCTGGCACATAGTAATATTCTCAAGTATATGCTAGTTATTCCTATCATTTTATATAGTAAATGTACTGCATATGTTGTATATTATATAGATAATATATATTACATGTAGCCATTATTATTATTATTACTTATGGAATGAGCAGAATGTAGAAGTTGGGGATGTCTTATCAAAAGTTGACGGGCCCTGAGAAGTGAACTCGACCAATGCAGCTGACTTCCTTAAAGACCAGAACGAACAACAGGCTATGGCCAAACCAGTTGGTTTGGTGTATTCAAACCAGAAGATGATATCTATCAACACAGCGAGTGAAAGTTAAGCTTATATGTAAGGCCACTCCCTGATCCAAATACCAGGCTGCTCTTCAAGCATGTGTCCCTTACTAAACAGTTAATGAAACACAAAGAGCTTTGAATACCTCCAGTGTCACATTTCAAGACTTATAGAATAATTAGGAAAAATCTGAGCTGGCAAAACTCTTCCTGGCTTGCCCTGATGAGCAGACCATCTTTGTTTTCCATTAGTGTGTGTTGTCGTCACAGTAACTACAGGGCTCCAAATACAGGCGCAGGGCATCATTTCCTCATGTGCACTTAGGCTGCCACACTGAAATAGCATTATTAACTCAGCAATGCCTCTTCCTTTCCTGTTGTGCTTGGTACCATGGTCAAAGAGGCAAGGCCTAAAATGAGTTACTTAAGATGTAAGTATATGAAAGAAAAAGAATGTTCATTTATTCCCATTATTGTGTCATCTATGACTTGTGTGTGTGTGTGCACGTGCGTGTGTGAAAACCTAATTTTTGCATAGATCTTTTAGATAAACAAGGGCAAGTTGGCAGTAACTCCATTGTCTTGGTGGTGCCAGCAGTCTATTGTTTTCAGTCAGATCTTCTTTTGGCCTGAAATCTTCAGCCAATTATTTTTTAAAGAATGCATTTGGCCAACTCTGATGTGTCCGTTTCATACCTTTCTTACACCTTTTCCTTACAAAGATAAGAAGCAGATAATTCATTTCTTTAAATTAACTTGGGAAGATTGCAATTACAGTTTTTACAAGATCAAAAAAGGCTATTTTCAAGGGCAGACTATAGGGTCCTTGGTCAGTGAAGCAACAATCATCGTTTCCTCAATGTTTTGGTAAAGGAGGTAGGCAACAGCATTTAGGCAAGCAAATAAAAACAGAAAAAACCTTAAACCTTAAGGGCTCAATTAAAATCAGATCACTCGAGATAATTTCTGCATTAGCTTTAAAAATTCTTTTTAGTTTGTATTTCACAGGCCTCAGAAACACATAAATCACCCAATATTATGCACATTGACACCACTTCCCAAAAATGGGAAAAAAACCCAAACTTTCTTTTGATGTCTCAGTGTTGCTGTGGCTTAAACAAAGCCCTCAGAGACAGAGCAGCAGGGGGATGCTGGTTTATGTTGTATTACTTCACTTCTGTGCTGGGAGTTTCTCAAGTTCTGCAATCAGCTGGTTAACAGCCAGCTAAAGCTGCTCAATTCATGTATGACTTTCCTTATTCTAAATTCTTCCACAACGGGCTGCCTGGTCTTTGAAATTAAACTGCCTCAGCTACTACCAGAGAAAGCTATATTCTGCCTGTAGCCTTTTCCCTTCTCTCATTAGCTAAAACATAGACTGACCATTTAAGAAAAAAAAAAAAACATAATCCAATATACTTTCCTGAGGTTTCTATATTTTTGCCCTGGTACCACTATAATATATTCATTCCGCAAAGCCAGGAAAAGTTATTTCCTTCTTTTCTTTCTTTATTTTACTTTTCCTTCCTACCTTCCTTTGTTTCTTTCTTTCCACACAAAGTTTTCATTAGAGAATGACAATTTTAAAATTTGTTTTGCCTCAACTTTTAGAGACTTATCCTTTCAACTGGGAAAAATAAAGTAAAATTGACAGATTTAAACCATTTATGTCCTGCATAAGGTTTGTTGCCACTAAAGCTGCTAAGAAACTTCCCTGCTTATAAGGGTGCTTTATATATTTTTGTTAAGTATACAGAATATTAAGCAGAATACACATACACACACATCTTATGAGATAACACTTTTTGTTTGTCTTGGAATGTACTTTTCTTTTCATATTTAAGAAGAATGAATAGGATTAAGGGCAATGAATCGCAAGAATTCATTTCCATTTAGTAAAGTTAAAGTTAGCTTAAGATGACCTTTTTTGGTCTTTTCATTTTTATCTGTTACTAGGTTAGTAAAACAAAACAAATCATCTAAGGAGAGAAATAAAGAATGATAAATTTAATAATGTGTTCTTGCATGGAGGAGGAAGTCTTCATTGCTGTACATTACCCAGTATAGTCGGCTGTAAAACAGACACCCAAGCACTGTGTATAAACACACTTTATCTCCAAGTGCAAATATAGAAACCATAGAACAGTCTGTGCTGTGGGTGATTTCTTAGCCTTTTTAGTAATGGTTCTATAAGACAGCAGACTGCTGAGTGATAAGGGAGAGTTTGAAACATAAATTCCATACTAAATTATTGGCTGCTGTTCAAATTGTGTCTGCTTAGAGTACCCAGCAGCAAAGTATGTCCCAAGCAGGATTCCAAACTTAAATAATACATTCTCCTGCCTTTCCTATAATCTATGAAGTTGAGATCACAAACTATCCGCATCCAAGAACTTTGTATGCAACAAAGATTAAAGTAAACAAATAACTATATTTAAGGTGTAATAAAGCCATACTAGCTTAAATTTATTGAAGAATAAATTATAAACTATAGATTTTATAAGTCATTTAATGTTCAAAAAAACTTCATAAGGAAATAGCATTATTACCCTCTTTTTACAGATGAAGAAACTGAGACACAGAGATTAATTTGCCTAAGGTCACCTTGAGCTAAAATCTGAATCCAGGCTATCTGACTGACTTAGTCATGCTACTAACCTTTTCTGACTCCTCTTCCATGAACATCTTCTGGTTATATCTTCAACTCAGATTTAAAGAAACAAAATGTATTTTTATTAGCTTATCTTTTTTCTATTTATTGCTATATATATTAAAAAAATGTAAAAATGAATTTATACTGCAGGCTTTTAGATGTCATTTTTCTAATAAATTGTTACCAATCTTTTTTCTCTTAAACCTTTCTGTTGAAATAAATCTCAACACGAGCTTGCCCCCTCATTTCTCCTAGTGCTACCTTTCTAAAACCCACGAGTTTAAAGAGGGAAGATTAGACAAATGAATGAAAATGTGGATTAAACAAACTCTGTAAAATCTTATATCTTAAGGCATATGTTTTATGAAAAAATGCTCACCTGCCAAAAAATGAAAACACAGGTAGCATTATTTAGACTGTGTAAACCCCAAAGTTTCACTCTAAACAATAAGTAAAAATTATAACCACAAGGAAACCGGTGCTTAATGAACATATTAAATATTTCACAAATTTCATTGGAAAATTCCATAGGGTTTCTTACTGAATATCCACTTAAAAGAGTAAGTTTCATCACTTTGACCATCTTAAAATATAAATACTAAGAGAATGTTTTTCTTTTGTTGAATACAGAACAAATTGCTTTGAAAGTATGATTCCTGCTTTATCTCACTCAATAAGGCTACAGTTTTCACGAGCAATTAAATACTGAAAAATGTCTTTTTCAAAATATCAAGAGAAAAACAACAGAAAAAGGATCATAACGTATTTAAATGTTTTCTTGTTCAAAGCCAGATTCTAATTCACGATCCACAAATAAGAGCCATGATTTAAATGAATTGTACCAAAAGTAACTATAAATAGAACCTGGCACCAAAAGATAACAAAAGTATATAAGTTACAGTATTTAGAGGTCTAGGTAGATACACAGGATTTGTGTGTGTGTGTGTGTGTGTGTGTGTGCATGTGTGCATGCATATATACATACACAGTCCTGTCATATTTCCCCTTTCTATTTTATTCCTGAGAGATACAACATCATTTCCACAATTGGGTACATGAGTGTAGTTAAAAGTGTTTATAATTTTTCTGTGCGTGGTAAAACCATGAAGACTTTCCTTGAGAAATTTCTGAAGTAAAAAACTATTAACTTACAGTTGCTTTTCTTGATTCTATACTTATCCATACTTTCTCATGTACTTATCATCAGATATCTAGAGCCACAAATGTGAATGGAACATCCACAATGTGCCTGCAGCTGAGAAGCTCCAAAGCCAAGTGATGCTTAGGATACGGCATTGCACCTAATAGACGTCATAAAATTGTTCTGAATATAAAGAGGCAAACCCTACTTAAAAGTACCCTAATTCTAACAGAGCACCAAGCTGTCTAAACTTAGAAAGAATCACTTCTAAAATGTATGATCCAGAATATCATTGTGAAAGTGGAAGACCCTGATCTGGGTCTTAAAGAGTAGGCAAAGTTTCTACAGGACCAGAGAGTAAATGTCTTCCAGGCAGGGAGAATAAAAGCTGGGGCAAAGCTGGGGTATTGAAATGTTCACTGAGTATGTGTTTGGAGAATGGCCCATAATCTGAAATACCTGAAGCAGAGGGACCTTGTTGTTGAGTCATGGTATTGAGACTGGAAAAGTTAAGTAGGTGCCAGATGATGGAAGGTTTTCAAAATACCCAGCCTAGGTGTTTGGCAGCAACTAGAAGTCCCAGAAGATAACTGAAGAGTAGATAGACAAACATAGCAATGCTTTAGTAAAACCAATCTCGTGGTCATGGGCAAGATGATTTGGATGGCAACAAGGGGTAGGAGGGAGCAGCATTGTTATAATCCAAACTAGGGTGAAGAGAACAGGCATTAGTGTGGTGGAAGACATGGCAATGGAATCTAACAACTTTTATGGTAAAGGGGAAAGGGACAGTTCCAAAATGTCACAGAACTATGAACTTGAGTGAATAGGAGAACAGATCTGCATTGTAGTGGAGAGCCTGATTGTTCATATAGTGGAGGAAACCGTGTTGTTTAGCCTGAGCTGAATTGCTGTTGATTCTCAAGAATAAATGTACAACAATGAAGACAATTAATGATACTGAAAAATTCACTTCATCAGCAAACATGACTTTTACACAGGGCCAAATGCTGCACTTAGTTATCGCCACACTGTCCCACTGACTCCAAAAGAAATTACATGCCTAGAATCAATGGTAGATTTTGGCCTTACACATACATTTTTAAGTCAACAATGTGACCCTTCTTAGGATAAAAACAAGAAAAATGTAAAGCATTTAGTTCTGACTTTTCAAACTCCTTCAAGACAAAGATATTTCATCTCTACTAAAGCACCAGGAGTTTCAGTCTCTAATAGTAAACTTACCAGAGTGCATTTTGCACTATTATTTATACATATTTGTATATGTGATTCGCTTATGTACTGTATAAACAAGTAAACAGAATTATAAAACATAACACATACTGAAATGAGTGCCCTATTTCATTTTCCTGAGCATATGCTATATAAGCTTTAATTAGCTTTTCTTAAAAGAAGATCATTTTCTGAAAAGGTTGATACATTCTTATTTGTCAACAAATAATATGTTAAAAACTGGTTTTGGGTAAATTCTTTCTTTACATTGATAGAATAGACTTTAAAAATTCCAATTAAAATGTGCTTCTATATCTTCTTTGATATTATCCTTAGACTAAAAAATTATTCAAATCATCATATTCATTTAGAGGTAAAATATTTTTATGGAAATCTACCCCAATTACAAACCACCAGATGTCAATACTAACTATATCAACAATGTACAACCATAAGTTGTCATATTCAACATGAAATTGGTTACTATAAGCAATTCTGATAAAATTGCATGGCAACTCATGGAAGGGGAGACAAGATGCCATCAGCTGAAAGGAGGATTTCCTTTACACTATAGTAAACACATTCATACACACACACATGCAACTTAACAGAAAATGTTTTCTAATTAAGTTTTTAAAAATAGAATCTGTTATATCTAAATACAAGTATTGATTTATTTTTTAAAAGTACACAAATATCATTATCTTGAGTAGTTATATTCAACAACTTCAAGAGTAGTGATTTAATACCAGGCATATTTTATGCCCAGTCAGAAGCATTTGGGGTGACTCTAGTGTAACGAGGTCAGAACCAGCACAAGGTGTACCAGTGTAATCAGAGAATTAGGCAAAAGGAGACACATGCAACAGCAGGTTTAAAAAGTACAGCAATACAAACACCATGCGGGACTTTCCTCTCATTTACCAAACACAAGCTGCTTAGCTAGTTTCAGTAAATGAAAGTTATTTTACTTCTAGGGGAGATATCCTTTTCATTGCTTAGCCATCCCAATTGTGAAAGGAGATGTGAAATTGTCCTTTGTCATAGTTCTGTTACCTGCCGAAGAGCACTAACTTGGGAGAAATATTTTGATGTCTACTAAAACACCATAAAATTATGTGTTTAAAAAGGAATTGGTATAATTTTGAGGAAGAGATGATGTTTCTGACTTTTTAAAAATAATTCACAATGGTTATCGTAACTTCTAAATGTGTTATCACATCATAGAACAGGAAGAATCAAAGGAAACAGACAAAACAGAATGGGAGAGAACTCTCTTCTTGTGGAAACAGATATTTCTTAAGAGAGTAAGTATTTATTTATTTTGGTCTTACCTGACGGCAGCTCCTTTAACCAAAGGTATGTCCTCTATGTAGGTAGTTTATCCTTTGAAGAACCCAGTGGCTTGTCTCACAGCCCAAGACAGATTCGAGTTCTCAAAAACTATCCAGCCCAAAAGAATACAGAGGAAAAAGCTTTTCCCACTTTCTTTCCCAGGACCAGCCAATAGCTGAAGTCATGCAGGAAACAGAGTAGAGAGGAGGGAAAGCAGCTTCTTCTCCCTGAAATCCCGATCAGCAGAAATTGGAAGTTGTTGTATATCTCCCACCCAGACTTTTGTTTAAAAGTTTTTTCTACTGTTGCTAGGTGTTGTTGGGTTCGGAGATTAGGTTTCTCCTCTTCTGCTCCCTTCACAACACTGTCAGAGCAATGGCTATGTTGAGGAGCTGAGCTCGCGGGTGCTATATTTAACCAGTGTTCTCAGCAAGTCAAGCCTGTCAACAGCTGAGAAGTTTGGAGCCGGCTTTACTCAGTTCCTAAGCAGCTGGGTTATCAGTGGATACAGCGCTGCTCACCCTGTAAAAGATTGCGGGAAAACCGGCAGGCCCTTTTAAGGACTTCTGCTCATTTCACAGAGGTAATTATTGTTTGAAGCTCTTAACTACAGACTGAGATTTGGGACTTAGGTTTTAAAATGTGAAGAGAAACAGAGCAGCAGTTGTCTTAGGCAGAGCAATTTACTAATGCAATATTCTTCTCGATTAGGCTCTCTCAGATAAATGTTCTGAAATAAAAAATGCTTTTTAAAAGTGTATCACTTCTGCATAAATGGAGGTCTTAAAAAAGTGTATCACAACTGTTGGTTGTGAAAATGAGTACAAGATCACTTCCAAACAGCTTTTGACACTGGTGTGTTTCATTTATAGCTAGATCACTTACCTAGTCATATCAAACTTTTGTCCAGCTATGTACCTGAATGTTATTAAAATAATATTACCATAAAGGAATGTCTATAACATTATGATTTTGAAAGGAGTAACATTAAGAAGGAAAATCTTAGCATCCTCACTCAGGTCATTCATTCAAAGTAACACACGGTAAACACTCCAGGAAATCCAGGACATGAGATACCTCTGGTTGTTGACAGGCTTGCCTCATCATTAACCCTCAAGTCTCTACAACATGAAGAATGTCTCAAGATACTTTATGTGCTTCATCCTACATAACAAAACGGTATGAATCTGCCGAGATTGAAACTTTTTAGAAATTGTTTAATTAACTAGTTTTGGGGACCGTTTTACTAATTACATATGTGAAATTAACACTAAGGGAAACTGAAGGAGGTCCTCTTGGCCACAGGTAAAGTAGGAAGGGAGACACACACACCACACACATATACACACACACACAGAGAGAGAGAGAGAGAGAAACATTATTGATTAACAAACTAGAATATGGCCCTGACAAAAATCTCACCAATACCATTATAAAGGTTGACCCTCTTCCTGAGATCAATTTATCAGATTAAAGATACCCTCTTTTTGACATGCAAACTGAAGATGAACCAAGGGCATATGTAAAGGTGTGGATGTAATATTTTAAGAGTTGCATACTTGCAGTAAGTAGCTTATGTGCTGGGTAACCCTATGTCTCTGAGAAAGTCTGCCACTTCAATCAGGAGTGTGTGTATGTCCTTCTTTTTAAAGAAATGACCCTCACCTGCTCAAGCCATTCAAAAACATCTCAGTTCTTCTCATTCCAAATACCACACTGACAGCATGCACCCTGCCCCTTTAATGTATTTACTACCATACACATGTAAAATTGCATTTGCTCAGACTCAGTCTTTCTGAGTCTGAGCCAACCATGATTTAAAAAAAAAAAAAAAGAGACTTCTATTAAGATGAAAGAGCTCTCATGTGAAATTAACTGACTCTTCTCGAGCTAATGGATCTTTTAGAAACTTAATCTATTCACAGTCCCCAAAAGTGGGTTCTAATAGAGGTAGAAAGTATATAAGTGAAGTATGAGATAATTCAGAATCATCAGAACTTTTAAAAAATTACAAAGGGGCTGGGCACAGCGGCTAACACCAGCACTTTGGGAAGCTGAAGTGGAAGGATCACTTGACGACAGGAGTTCAAGGCCTGCCTGGGCAACACAGCAAAACCCTGTCTCTACAAAAAATTAGCTGACCATGGCAGCACATGCCTGTAGTCCCAGCTTCTTGGGGAGCTGAAGTGAGATTATGGCTTGGGGCCAGGAGGTCATGGGTGCCGTGAGCCATGATTGTGCCACTGCACTCCAGCCTGGGCAACATGACCATGTCTCCAAAAAAAAAGTGGGGGGTCGGGGTGAGATGTGGGTAAATTACTGTTTGAAAAATATATATGCTTCCCCTCACACACACCAAATGCAACAGCCCCAGGTTAAAATCCACTAAAAATAACCCTGGGGATATATTATTTCACCCCTACTAAGAGTTCACTTTACAGATATCTCCAGACCAAAATGAAGCAAAGAAGAGTGGTAGCCAAATGTCGAGATAACTGAGGGGAAAAACCCACTTTGCCCTTACGGCCAAAAAAGGGTGATAGATTTATTTTTTCCACAACTATCCAGATAATTAAAGTTTTCAGTTTTGTTTTGTTTTATGAAAACCTATTCCCTTACCATTGTTTTTCCTTAACCTTTGGATTAGCTGTCTATTGTTGCTATTAGTTTATTTTTAAATAATGTGGTGACAAGCCACAGCATACAGAATAATTCATATAATTAGATATTGTTGCTATCATCAAATTATGTTCTTTAATCATACTAGGCATATGTGCATGACTGACTCAGTATTCTACAATAATCAGACTCTCTCTCTCTCTCTCTAACACACACACTCACACACACACAGGCAATAAAGTAAATTTATTTTGAAGGCTTTTCCCCCTGGGAATGATTATTCAGACTAAAGCATTTCCGACATAATCTGCAGAGGAAGTGGTGCTGCTAAGAACTATTAGAAATTTGTGTTTTGTATACAGTCAACAAGGAACTGATGTTTCAACACATATTGTTAATATATTACTGTTCAGCTGCATCCTTTCCCACAGCCCTCTCAGAAGTGTGAGCATTCTGAGAACCTCTGATAAATTTACAAGTAAAACCGAATATCCCAACTTCAAGGATGAGTCATGATGAAACTTTTTTTTTTTTTGAGACAGTCTCGCTCTGTCCCCCAGGGTGGAGTGCAGAGGCGTGATCTCGGCTCACCGCAGGCTCCGCCTCCCGGGTTCACTCCACTCTCCTGCCTCAGCCTCCTGAGTAGCTGGGACTACAGGCGCCCGCCACCTCGCCTGGCTAATTTTTTTTGTATTTTTAGTTTCACGGTGTTAGCCAGGATGGTCTCGATCTCCTGACCTTGTGATCCACCCACTTTGGCCTCCCAAAGAAAACTTTTCAATAAGAAGATAGATTAATGCTATTGGGGGGTGGGGGGAAGGCAAATAAATTAAATAAGAGCATTGACCCATTATCTCTACACCCATTTCTCAAACCAAATTTTCCCACCTTGTTCACTTAAATAAGCATAGTGATTTTTAAAAGCAAAAATAATTTATTAAGTTATTTAATAAGTTAATTAAGTTCTTTAATATACCAGTGAAGAGAAAAATAGACACTTGCTTCAAAACAATGTTTACTTTAACAATGTTTGGGGGTAGTGGGTGGGTGGCATGAGGCAAGTTTTCAATCAAACATTCTCTGTTAACATTTATTGCCTGACTCTGAGATGATGAATATAAGCTCACTGGTACCAGAGAATTTTTCAGTTTGTTTTTTTCTGGCTACCTAAGCACCAAAGTAAGTGTTCAATAAATAAGAAAGACTGAATGAGCAAATGAACATATAAAAGATTAAAGAAAAGATAAAGAAAACTATAGAGCATACAGAAAATGCTTCCAGGCTCTCTGGACAGAGTTGGTCATCATTAGATACATATAAAAACTCGTAAAAAGAAATTATTTGATTATGAATTAATTATTTTGAATTTGTTAATTTTTTGTTGTTGTTGTTGTCGTTTGAGACAGTTTCACTCACTCTGTCGCCCAGGTTGGAGTGCAATGGCATGATCTCAGTTCACTGCAACCTCCGCCTCCCAGGTTCAAGCAATTCTCTTGCCTCAGCCTCCTGAGTAGCTGGGACCACAGGCATGTGCCACCATGCCCGGCCAATTTTATTGTTTTTTTGGTATTTTTAGCAGAGGCGGGGTTTCACCATGTTGGCCAGGCTGGTCTCGAACTCCTGACCTCAAGTGATCTGCCCGCCTTGGTCCCCAAAAGTGAATTTGTTAAAATTTCAAAGGAAAGTAATAGATCTCAGGATAATAATAAAAATATCTATGCAACACTTACCATTAGCCAGACACAGAGTTCTAAGGGCTTAACATATATTAACCAAACTGATTCTCACAATAACTTTATGAGGTGGGTATTATTATTATCTCACATTTTACAGGCAAGAAATTGAAGCACAGAGATGTTAATAAGTTGGCCAAGGTTACATGTTAGTTGGTAAATAGCAGGACCAGAATTTGAACTAGTAAATCTGGTTCCAAAAATTTGTGTTCTTAACTACTTAACTGCCTCTTATATACAATAGTCACAGTAGCCTGTTCTTATCAATCACTGAGAGTTACGGCATATGAACTTCACTATCCCTGAATATATATACTTTTGACCAAAAAATACATTTAAAATCCAACAGCTTTGGAGGCAGATAGGAAAAAAAGATGGGATCATTTCATGATTAGCATAGTAAAATAAAAACTCGTTGGAACTGAAGTCCCGTTGAATACCAGAAAAGAAAAAAATTGGACTGAAAAGAAGATAATTGCTTTAAGAAAAAGTCTCTTTTTAAGCAAAGGATATGAGCTGTTCAGTATTGTTTCTAAAACAAGCAATGCATGATATTTTATGATGAATGAGTTTAATGCTTAATGAAATTCTAAAATTACATTCTAAAAATATATTTTTGGTCTATGATTTGATTTGATGAGCAATTTAAAAATGTTTTGGAGCTATGTGTTCTCAAAGTTGTAATCAACAACAAGAAAAAATAAAAAACAATGTAGGGGAAATCATACATTAGTAAGTTCTTTGGCATCAACATAATATTATATTACACTTGACATAATCAGCTTTCAAAATTTGAAAATACTTGCATTTTCAATTAATCTAGCTATTCTTCTATTTAGATTTTATAAAACCTTAAAAGAAACAGCACTAACACTGTTATAATAATATATACATATATTCATTATAAAATAGATACTTGTCCTGACAATTAATAAGCACTGTCACACCTACAAATAAATATTCATAAAATATTAAATTATTTATTTTTCCAACGCTTCAGGAAAGAGAAAGACTAGGTTTTAAATAAACTAATAATATTTTTGCTTTTGCCATAAATTAAGCACTTATATGCATGTATTAGACATTAAAATTCTCATTTCTCTGCTTGTGTGCTTGAAAGTGGGTTATTAGAACTAAAGCCTAAAAGTTGTTGTTTTTTTGACACCCCATAAGCCAACCTCTGGAGGACAAGCCTACCAGAACATGTCTAATCCTGAAAGTTATTTCAGGACCATATTCTACAGACACTTACAGATCACAAGCATCCTACTTTTCAATAGGATCAGATAACCTTCTCCTGAGACTATTTCCTGCTTCCTTTCCTGTGCCAGAGTCATGACCTACTCCTGCTCAATACTCAGTTCCTAGTTGTAACGGATGACTTTTAACAATTTCTTAAAAGGGGTTGGGACATTTACTCTTTAAGAAACAGATACAGAATCAGAAAGCCAGTGATTGAGCATAGAACCACAAAGAACAATGCATTTTCTCCTCAAGGTATATAGGTTTGTATATACACACTATATGTGTATATACATATATATATATATATATATACACACACACACACACATACACATACACACACACTGTATATATATACACACACAGTATATATACACAGCATATACACACACACTGTATATATATATACACACTGTATATATATATATATACACACACACTATATATATATATATATATATATTTAACTCTGAAAAATGGGCTTTCTTAAAAATACAGACATCAAGATATTTGATTCCGGAGTAGGGTAAAGCTAGTTTAAGTCCAGACTCCCTTATTTATTACCTGAGTGAGCTTAGCAAATCACTTAATCTCTCTTAAGCCACCTTTCCCTCTTCTATAAGATTAATAAAAGAATTTAAGACTATTCAGTTCTTCCCTTTTGCAGCCATTGCCGAAGCGAAAGCAGCCAAAATGAAGTCCAATCCCTTTGGGACTTCTGACTGAAACAGAACTGTAAGAAGCATTTCAATGCACCTTCCCACATTTGCAGGAAGATTATGTCTTCATCTCTTTCCAAAGAGCTGGATCTGAAGTACAATGTTAGATCCATGCCTACGTGAAAGGATGATGAAGTTCAGATTGTGCAAGAACACTATAAAGTTCAGCAAACTGGCAACGTAGTCCAGGTTCACAGGGAAAAAATATGTCATTTACATTGAATGGGTGCAGCAGGAAAAGGCTAACAGCACCACTGTCCATGTGGGCATTTACTCCAGCAAGGTGGTTGTCACTGGGCTAACACTAGATGAAGACCACAAAAAAGACCCCTGAAAGGAAAGCCAAATCTTGTCAAGTAGCAGGGAAAGGGGGATATATAAGGAAGAAACAATAGAGAAGATGCAGGTATAAAGTAATTTTATATAAAACTTTCATTTAAAACTGCTAAAATGGAAAAAATGACTATTCACAATATCCAAACACTAGCAACACTCTAAATGCTTTCTACAATTGAACAGATAAATAAATTGTGGTATAGTCATACAGTAGCATTGAGAATGAACAATCTACAACTACACAGCAGTGTAAATAAATCTCTCAAACAAAATGTTAAGTGCAAGAAACCAGACTCAAAAAGTACACTGTATGATTCCATAAATATCAAGTTCAAAAAGAGACAAAGCTAATCTATGGTGTTGGAAGTCAGGACAGTAGTTGCCCTTAGGAGATGGGAATACGATTCGAAGTGGACATGAGGAAAGTGTCTATGGCATTGGTAATGTTCAGTTTCTCGCTAGTGACACTAGTGTGTTCAATTTTGAAAATTAATCAGGCTGTATACTTATGATTTGTGTATGTTATAATTCAGTGAAATTTTTTCAATTAAATGTAATTGAAAATATATCATGCCTACGAGTCCTTGCCTTCTGAAATATTTACAGATAATATGATGTCTAGAATTTGCTTCAAAACAATCCAGTGTTGGCTGAGAAGGATTACAGGTGGCTCACGCCTGTAATCCCAGCACTTTGGGAAGCTGAGGTGGGCAGATCACCCTCCTCAGCCTGGCCAACATGGCCAACATGGTGAAACCCCATCTCTACTAAAAATACAAAAATTAGCTGGGTGTGGTGGTGCACGCCTGTAGTCCCAGCTACTCAGTGGCTGAGGTGAGAGAATTGCTTGAATCCATGGGAGGCGTGATCACTCCCGCCTGGGCAATAGAGGAAGACTCAGTCTCAAAAAAAAAAAAAAAAGAAATCCAGCGTGGGGAGAGGAAGAGAAGTGGGTGAGGGTATAATGAAACAGAATTGACCATCACTTGACTGCTGTTAAAGCTGGGAAACAGGTAATCATTATACTGCACACTCTTTCTATTTTCATATAGGTTTTAAGTTTTCTGTAATTAAATGTCTTTAATGCTTACTGTCTGGCATATAAATAGACACTCACTAAATGTTAGTTATTATTTATATAATTAATATTATGACTATCTGAGTCTTTACATAGAAGTCACATGGAATTCCATTGGTGTCATTAGATAATTAAGAAGATAATTGAGGGCCAGGGGCAATGGTTCATACCTACAATCCCAGCACTTTGGGAGGCCGAGGGGGGAGGATCACCTGAGGTCAGGAGTTTGAGACCAGCCTGGCCAACATGGTGAAACCCTGTCTCTACTGAAAATACAAAAATTAGCTGGGCGTGGTGGCATGCGCCTGTAATCCCAGCTACTCAGGAGGCTGAGGCAAGAGAATTGCTCGAACCTGGGAGGCGGGGGTTGCAGTGAACCGAGTTGCTCCACTGCACTCCAGTCTGGGCGACAAAGCAAGACTGTATCTCAAAAAAAAAAAAAAAAAAAAAAAGGAGATAATTGAATTTATACTATTAATATACACTATTAGCAACTGAGATTTAAAAAAATTGAATATAAAAAAGTTTATTCTCAAAGAAGGTGATTTTTTTTTTAAAAAGAAAAACAATTTTAAGAAAAAAAAAAAAGGTAAAGAAACTAGAAATGCCAGCCTGAAGCAATTAGTTTAAAAACCACTGGAAAAGAGGCTTCATCCTTGCTTTTTTAACAAAACTTTTAACAAAACCAGCAGGATATTTTTCTTGCCTTATCTGATAATTAAAGGTAAAAAATATCAAGAAAGTAAGGCATCCAGACAGCAAAAGCTGTAGGCCAACAGTTCGTAAATAACAGGAAATGTCATCACAAAGGTCGAACATTCAGGATGAAAAATTCAGGGCGAGAAGTGTTCAGAAACACTTGAATTTGGTATCCATCTTACAGCTGAGTCGGCCTTTGTATCCTTAATATTTGCATTCTTCACTTCTTTCATCTGAAAATGAAGTAATAAATCACCTTCTGGGAGAGGTGGAAGGGACAAGAAAGTGTTTTTGAAATGACAAAATATCTGAAAACTTTGTGTCTCAAAGTTTTCCTTTCAGTCACCTACCTTGAGAACTATGAGCTAAGTCAACTATATGGTGAAATGATGGAGAACGTTCTTTTAAAAGCTTTATGTTAAATAAGTATAATATAAAATAAATGTGGAAATTAGAGTCATTAGGTAGAGTGAGACAATTAAAAAGTCAATGAAAACTACAAAACAGTAATTTTTAAAAAAACCAAAACTGACCTTTATAAGATAATTACAAGTTCCTTGTTGAATCTTTAGCCCTTAAAAATAGCTTTATAGTCGGTGCAGTGACTCCCACCTGTAGTCTCAGCTGAAGCGGGAGATGGCTTAGCTAGGAGTTCAAGGCTGCAGTGAGCTATGATTGTGCCACTGTACTCCAGCCTGGGTGGCAGAGCAAGACCTCGTCTCTAATAAAATATTAATAATATTGCAGAAAAATATTAAATTTAGTTAATGAATTAGAAAAAACTCACTGAAAGTTAAATGAAAACAGCAGGTAATAAAACAGCATTAAATGTATTGTTGCATTATCCTATTTAAAGATAGATGTAGATGATATAGATATAGATACAGATATGAAAATAGAAATACATATATAGAAATTCCCTCCCCATATTATGCATATGTATTTCTATAGAAATACATATACACATACATATATGTGTATAAATGTGTGGATCTGAAATATTTACACATAATAATTACGATGGTTATCTTTCTGTATGTTCTCTAAAGTTTTCATATTGATTTTTTTTATAATAGGAAAATAAGATAATTTAAAATTATTTCCTATTGGGGTGGTTTTCCAACATGTTGCTAAGGTGCAGGCTTGAAGATTCGTGCTTGGTATGACTTGCCTTTCCTGTTACTACTCAGGATTTCAATGAGTCTGCCTCAGGATAATGTAATTATTAAGCAAATGACATAGTTGAATTTTGTCTGGTGTGGATCTGGCATTCAATTTCCTTAACTAAATTCCTCTTAATATTCACTCACGGAAAAAAAGAAAAAAGGTCATTTCGTGATTCTTCAAAATGAATTATGGTTGCTTTGCTTTCCATACTGTATGTGGGTTTTTCTGCTCTTTTATCCTTAAGAATGTCTTAACTTGCCATAACATTATATCATTGCATTTGCCTCTGTAGCTTTCTCCTGTGACACTTTCCCTTTGAGCCATCGATTGTGTTTGGGTCTGCCTGGAAATTTCTGCATGATGCAAGGAGGAGATATTTTCTCCTTTAGGGCTTACCTGAGGAAAAGTTTCAGTCATTTTGCTGTTGTTGACCTTAAGCGATAGAGGACAGAGAAACACTTTTTGCACTTCCTTAGCAATAGCTAGAACATGACATCACTATCTGAACATGTCTTATGGTAGAAACAGCCCTGGGAAAAAGGAGACTTTGTTCTGACCCCAACTAGCAAGACAATTTTTAAAAATGATTTAATCCCTCTGAGCCTATTTCCTCAATTGTCAAGTGGGAATAATGGTGTTTAATCTACACACCCCACCACCACTCTGCACCCTCCACCAGCACCACCACTGTGATGATGGGGAGCCACAGCTCTAAAAGCGAGAATGTTCCATCAGAGCAAGGAAAGGCAATGGTGTTGTTGGGTTCACCCCCGTCAATTTCCACTATCTAAAATTATTTTCATTGCCTAAAAATATTTTTATTACCTAAAAAGGTTTCCTTGTTATAAGCTTCATTTCTAACATAAAACATCTTTTTTACAAAACCTATTTTATTGTATTTATTTATTTATTGTATATGTGATGGAGTCTCACTTTGTCACCCAGACTGGAATGCAGTGGCAAGATCTCATCTCATTGCAACCTCTGCCTCCCAGGTTCAAGCTATTCTCCTGCCTCAGCCTCCTGAGTAGCTGGGACCACACGTGTGCGCCACCACACCCAGTTCATTTTTGTATTTTTAGTAGAGATGGGGTTTCACCATGTTGGCCAGGCTGGTCTTGAACTCCTGGCCTCAGGTGATCTGGGACCACAGGCGTGCACCACCACGCCAGGCTCATTTTTGTATATTTAGTAGAGTCAGGGTTTCACCAGTTAACAGGCTAACAGACCACCTGTTAGCCAGGCTGGTCTTGAACTCCTGGCCTCAGGTGATCTGCCCGCCTCGGCCTCCCAAAGTGCTGGGATTACAGGCATGAGCCACCACGCCTGGCCTATTTTATTGCTTAGGTTTTTATACATAATTCTAAACTGTTGAAAACATTGTCAGATATGTAAAGTAAAGAGGCAAGAATCTTTTTTTTCAAAAGCTGCTGATTTAATTAGTTGTAACCTCGCTGAAAGAAAAAAAAAGTTACAGTTCCAAAGCCAAATTTTGCACATTTAGGTAAACAAATAGTAAGTATTCTGAACTTCTCTGTGTGTGTGTGCTTGGAAATTCCGTCATCTGTAAAGCAGGTGCATTTGAATGTAAATTGACCAACACCATTTGTCAGAAAATGAATACATGTATTATGGAAGTAATAGACTTAAGCTACACACCAAGACCATAAACTCTAGATGTTTTCAAAGTATAAATAAGTAGATGAGAATGAGAAAGGGGAGTTGACAATGAGTGGTGACAGGAGCATAGCTCATCTTAGTGCCGGTTCAGACCTGCAAACAAGATGGCTGGTCCAACATGAAACCAGTTCCCCTGAAAAAACATGAATTCCATGTTTGCCTGTGTGGAATTCAATCAAAATCTGCTATAGGATTTATGTAATAAATGAATGTGGTGCATTTACTCTGTGCAAGGCCCCCTATAGCAATAGTTTTCAAGTGAGAGACATTTTGTCTGCCAAGGGACATTTGGCAATATCTGGAGATGACTTTGGTTGTCATAACTGAGGGTTGGACTGCCATCCAATGGTAGAGGCCAGGGATGCTGCTAAATATCCTAAAAGGTACAGGATAGCTGCCCCAAACAAATAATTATCCGGTCCAAAATATCAATAGTGCTAAGGTGAAGAAACCCTGCATTGGAAGATTAAAAAAATAATAATAATCAGACAAGAACGGTGCTCAGGAGCTTAGAGTCTGGCAATGAAGAGGAGGCAAATACATAAGAAAATGGGCAAAGCAAGAAGAGCTATAAGAAATACACAAATGAAAAATTATTTATAGCTTAGGGATCAGTGAAAATTTTGAAAAATAACACTAAGGCATTGTTACCAGTGAGGGGTCATCCAGGTTCTTGGTATTTTGAACAAAGAATTGGACAAAATGCACAAACAAAGTAATAAAAGAAGCAACGAAAGCACAGATTTATTAAAATGAAAGTATGCTCCACAGAGTGGGAGTAGGATCAAGTAAGAGGCTCAAGGGTGCTGGTTACAGAATTTTCTGGGGTTTAAATACCCTCTAGAGGTTTCCCATTGTTTCCTAGTCACACCCTATGTAAATGAAGTAGTCACCCATGACCAGTCTGTTTAGTTGCAGGAGGAGAACAATTAGAGGCTGAAGTGAATTACAAAGTTATACCCCTATGCAAATGAAGACCAGGCCCGCGACCAGTCTGATCAGTTGCAGGAGGGGACCTAGCAGAAGTACTTTCCATTTTTCATCTGCAATGCAGTGCAAAGGGAATAGCCCCTGATCCTTTTGTTACCTGGGGTGGAGAGGTAGGGTTTTCCTTTTGATTCATTTCTAGGAAGTCAACATGAATTGGACTTAGGTTCCCTGCCTCCAGACCCTATTCTCCTGTCTCAGTATCACCAGTGAAGGCTGCGAAACAGTAAAGATGGCAGGGTATTCAGATAGGAGGAGAGGAAGTCAAATTATTTCTGTTTGCAGATGACATGATCCTATATCTAGAAAACCCCATCATCTCAGCCCAAAAACTTCTTAAGATGATAAGCAACTTCACCAACGACGCAGGACACAAAATTAATGTGCAAAAATTGGCTGGGCATGATGGCTCACACCTGTAATCCCACCACTTTGGGAGTTCAAGGCAGGTGGATCACCTGAGGTCAGGAGTTCCAGACCAGCCTGGCCAACATGGTAAAACCCTGTCTCTAAAAAAAACACACAAAAATTAGATGGTGTGATGGTGTGCACCTGTAGTCCCAGCTATTTGGGGGGCTGAGGCAGGAGAATCGCTTGAACCCAGGAGGCGGAGGTTGCAGTGAGCTGAGATCATGCCACTGCACTCCATCCTAGGCGACAGAGTGAGACTCTGTCTCAAAAAAATAAAAATTAAAAATTAATTTAAAAATTAATGTGCAAAAATTACTAGCATTCCTATATAACAATAGGCAAGCAGAGAGCCAAATCATGAATGCACTCCCATTCACAATTGCTACAAAAAGAATAAAATACCTAGAAATATAGCTAACAAGGGAAGTGAAGGCCCTCTTCAAGGAGAACTACAAAACACTGCTCAAAGAAATCAGAGAAGACACAAACAAATGGAAAAGCACACCATGCTCATGGATAGGAAGAATCAATATCATGAAAATGGCCATATTGCCCAGAGTAATTTATAGATTCAATGCTATTCTCATTAAACTACCATTGACATTCTTCACAGAATTAGAAAAAACTATTTTAAGATGTATTTGGAACCAAAAAAGAACCCAAATATCCACGACAATCCTAAGCAAAAAGAACAACGCTGGAGGCATCATGCTACCCAACTTCAAACTATACTACAAGTCCACAGTAACCAAAAGAGCATGGTACTGGTACAAGAACAGACACATAGACAAATGGAACAGAATAGAGAA
This sequence comes from Homo sapiens, assembly GCF_000001405.40. Lineage (NCBI taxonomy): Eukaryota > Metazoa > Chordata > Mammalia > Primates > Hominidae > Homo > Homo sapiens. The sequence continues at coordinate 75,506,898 of NC_000006.12, forward strand.
CTCAGAAATAAGACTGCACACCTACAGCCATCTGATCTTCAACAAACCTGACAAAAATAAGCAATGGGGAAAGGATTCCCTATTTAATAAATGGTGCTGGGAGAACTGTCTAGACATATGCAGAAAATTGAAACTGGACCCCTTCCTTACACCATAAACAAAAATTCACTCAAGATGGATTTAAGACTTAAATGTAAAACCCAAAACTATAAAAACCTTAGAAGAAAATCTAGTCAATACCATTCAGGATACAGGCATGGGCAAACATTTTATGATGAAATCTCTAAAAGAAATTGCAACAAAAGCAATAATAGACAAATGGAATCTAATTAAACTAAACAGCTTCTACATAGGAAAAGAAACTATCATAAACTATTATCAGAGTGAACAGACAACCTACAAAATGGGAGAAATTTATTGCAATCTATCCATCTGACAAAGGCCTAAAATCCAGAGTCTACAAGGAACTTAAACAAATTTACAAGAAAAAAAAATTAAAAAGTGGGCAAAAGACATGAACAGACACTTCTCAAAAGAAAACATACGTGTGGCCAAAAAACATATGAAAAAAAGCTCAACATTACTGATCATTAGAGAAATGCAAATCAAAACCACAATTTGATACCATCTCATACCAGTCAGAATGGCATTTATTAAAAAGTCAAGAAACAATAGCTGCTGGTGAGGCTTTGGAGAAATAGGAATGCTTTCACACTGTTGAATGTAAATTAGTTCAACCACTGTGAAAGACAGTGTGGCAATTCCTCAAAGACACAGAACCAGAAATACCATTTGACCAACAATCCCATTACTGGGTATATATCCAAAGGAATATAAACCACACTATTATAAAGATACATATACACATATGTTCATTGCAGCCCTATCCACAATAGCAAAGACATAGAATCAACCTAACTGCCCGTCAGTGATAGACTGAATGAAGAAAACATGGTACATATACACCACGGAATACTATGCAGCCATAAAAATCCATTCTGGGACATGGATGGAGTTGGAAGCCATTATCTTCAGTAAACTAATGCAGGAACAAGAAACCAAACACCAAGTTCTCACTTATAAGTGGGAGCTGAATGATGAGAACATATGGACACATGGCGGGAGTGAACGACACACACTGGGGCCCGTCAAAGGGTGAGGGTGTCAGGGGAGGATGAGTACTAGGAAGAATAGCTAATGGATGCTGGGCTTAATACCTAGGTGATGGAATGATCTGTGCAACAAATCGCCATGGCACACGTTTACCTATGTAACAAACCTGCACATCATGCACATGTACCCCTGAACTTAAAATAAAAGTTGAAGAGGAAAAAAGGAAAATAACACTGTAAATATCCATCTTAACATTCCTTTAAAAACTAAATTTAAAGGCGCTAGTGATTTTTATCATTCCTTTTTAATATAAATAAAAATAACCACCAAATATCTATGGAAAGATCCACTCTATTCTTGCAACTGTATTAAACTGTCTGAGAAGACAAAGCTGAGTAAAACAGAGTCACTACTCTCTGGAACTCAGAATGGTCACATCTGTAATTCCACACTGACATTATTGAGATTCATTCTGTCAATGTGTTATAAGTGCCAGTTATGTGCCAGGTGCTTTGTGAGACACAAGACTTCAACAGGCAAGGTTCCTGTTCTTATGGAACACACTGTTTCTTGGAAGAGAGAGATAAAACTCAAACCAACAAGTGCATGATTTCGATGTGTGACTTCTGTTTCCAAAAATGTTGGACCATGGTCTAATAATCCTGAAAATCTCCTCACCAAAAAACACCTAGAAATTCCAGCTAAAATAATACAAATATTCTTTTAGAAACCTAGCTGACATGAAAGACATTACGGGAAACCCCTAATGACCAAAACCAAAGAGGGGACTGAAAATCAGAGCCATGAATATGAGGTTTCTCAGGTATGGGGGCTGTATTAGTCTCAGAAACCAATAGATTTTAATAGCCAGATAGGGATAGGATAGGATACGAAGCCTCAGGCCCATGGAGATTAAGATCTGGAACTAAAACCCCTGGATAAAGTTAGGACACTTGAAATAAAAACAAAAAACAAAAAAACTAAATTATAGGCACAGGAAAATAAGAAAACATCCATCTTGGCCTGGCTTTGGATGAGAAAAAAAATAGACTATGCTGAGAATTCATTACTACAAACCAGGTTTCAGTAGGTTTGATGAGCGAATATACAACAATCTTTTTGAGTCCCCAATCAAAGATGTTAAAATAAGAAGCTCTAGATTGGCAGTCCTCACAGAATACCTAACAGAAGAAAATGTTTATTTATACAGTCAATACCTGGTGACCAGCTGTGCTTCTTCATGGCTTGTGAAGCCATGGACAGCATTGTCATGCTTCACCTTGCATTGCTTCCCATCCTTCCCTCCTTTTCATTTCTCTTTTCTCTTAGTTTTACCATTCTGGAATTATACTTCCCAAATAAAGCTTAGTGCATAATCCTTGTTTCAGCTTCTGCGTTACAGGATACCTGAGCTAAGTTGGGGATTCCCATAAGAAGAAAAGGCCTGTTTACAGAGATGCCATCTAAACTGAGACCTGTAGGAGAAGAAGACCATGCAAACTATAGAGGGGAAGAGGAAGAGTAATCCTGACAGAAGGAATAGCACGTCGGAAATCCTCGATGTGGAACAGAACACAGAACCTTCAAGAAACATAAAGACAATGGCAGAGTATGGGAGAGAGAAATTTGGAAAGCTACATAAGCATCCTGCCATGTAGAAGAGAGGTCTCAGGCCTGGATCTTGGTTAAAGCTATGTATGTGTTTTCTTAATTTAGTTGCCAAAAGTTGAAAAGTAAAAGATATCATATAAAAACATCTGGATTTTGAAAAAATTTAAAATGTCTGTCAGCAATGGACCTGTATTCTTAATGGGACAACAATCAGCTGGATCTACCCACTTGAGACAAGACCTGTGACCTCATGTTCACCACTGCACCAACCGTCTTTTCAATTCATTCATTTTGCCTATTTGGCCTCTATATGCATTTGAATTTCTAGTTCCTAATTTAGGACCTTATTGGTTATGGCTTTTTAAAAGTGGAATTTTATTATAAAATAAAGGATAGCCCTTGACATATTTTAAGCAAGGGAATGATGTGATCTGCTTTATCTTTACACCACTCGCTGTGCAAATATACATTGGAGAGGACCAAGAATGGAAATAAGGATATGAATGAGGAGAGTATTGCAGGAATCCAGGTGAAAGATTATCATGGCTTAAAATAGAGTGGTAGCAATGGAAATGAAGAGAAGTAAGTGGATTCTAAGTGTATTTTGGAAGCAAAAAATACAGTATTTGCTGATCAATTTTATATTGAAAGTTAGAGAAAGAATAAAAATGATTTGTATTCTATTATTAACAACTTGAGCTTTCTGTGGTCAACAGTTGAAGGGATATTTATTGATAATCATTACTACCTGGCGAATTTAAAATACGTGAGTTAAAAATAAAGGAAATCTGATTCCCTAAAGGAGCTTGAATCCTATAAGTAGATGTAAGATTGATGCAAATATATGTACTTACAAGTAGCCAAAAATAAAAAGATATATAACTGTAATTGTAGAGAATAATAATGGCAACAGCTAATATTCATTGAGGATATATAGTTATCTGGTAAATACATCTCATTTAATTCTTATGATACATGGAGTTGGGCATTGTTCTTCTCATTTTACACATAGAAAAATAAGAAGTTAGGAAAGTTAGTTAACTAGTCCAAGATCACATAGCTTGTAACTGGCAGAACTGGCATTTGGGACCAAGCAGACTGACTCCATGGCACATTTTCTTAATCAGTACACTAGACTGCTTTTATAAACATGTAGTAGGGTCACAAATTTACCAGCATACTGAAACTCAGATATTCAAAGAAAAATGAACTCCTTTTTTGACTGAAATTGCTCTGATCTTCACAAACCTCCATCAGATGGTTAGAGGGGAGGAATTAACTTTCCTCAATCTTGCTTAAAATTTAGACCTATTAGATAATTGAAATAATCCATTGTTATCACATAAGAATACAGGCCCATGTTCTGACGTGTCTAGGAAAGAAATAGAGATTTCTCAGCCTTTCACCACATCTATGTGTGCAGTACATATGCACGTCCATACATATTTCATCTCCCCAAGATGGTACCTGAGCATACGGTGGGGGAGGTGGGGGGCTATGGTTTATGTGTGAACTGAGAACCACTAAAGTTCCCCAATCTAAGCTTGATGTTCAGTCCCATTTTGTTGTTGCTTGCCCTGCTGGCATTCATAACTAAACTCCTGTTCTGGAATTGTCCTTGATCTGGTTCCCAGCTTGTTAAAAACCTGGTAGTGTTACCAGGTTAATGGAGCCTTAGCTCAGTTCTCAGCAGTGCTGTAGAGCTCCCCACATCTGTGACATTTCCTACATCCAACCGTCTGCCCCAACAATCCACCTCCTGCCTCTGCTTCAGGTTGACCCCCACCTAATCAGGGCCACTAGCTAGGCTAAAATATAACTTGTCATTCAAAGTGAGATCTTGTGAGAGTGATAAAAAGGTCTATTATAATTATAATGAAACAACAGAGATAAAATAGAACAATCTCAAATTAGGACATAGGGCAGGCCCACTTGCTCTCAACTTAGCTGCCTTGCAAGTTACCCTTCCAGAAGTTTCAAGAACTCTTGAGTTCTTGCTGCAAGGGATGGAGGAGAGGCCCAGGAAAATTAAACTTTGCGGACTCCACCTAGTCACATTATATAGCCAAGTTCAGTTTGTTGTGGTTAAGTCCCAGGTTGGTCTAGGTTAGCCCAAAAATCAATCTCTTTTTGATCCAAAATGGAAATAGCCTCCCACACAACTATTTAACATACCTCCTCCTCTTTAGGCCAATGCCCAGAAAGGGAAATGGCTCAGTCAGATGCCATAGGAGAAGGGATATCTTCTCTTCACTATGGGAAAACTCTGTGACCCAAGTTCTCCAGACTTTCCCTTTGGCAGGTAATATCAAAGCTAAAGGAGAATGGAAAAAACAACAACAACAACAATAAAAACCCTCTCAATTCCACTAGGCTTGCTTTGAACTCTACTGTCTTCTTAAAGTCTAGTACCTATCTTCTTATCCTGGACCTGCAACCCTCAAGGCCCAGTTTTAGAAGGAGAAGATTACAAAGGAAAAATGATTTAAGGGAAAAGGTAGAAGTAAAGTGCATTGGTTTAATACTTGCAAATTAAAGTAACTGTAACATATAGAAGGCTATTCATTCTTACTCATGTTGTCTACAGTGAGAAAAGTATTTAATGTCATTCAAAATTAAACTTAACCCAGACTTGATAAGGCAATTAAACATATGTCCTTTATGAAATATCCTGTCAGAATGATTAGATCTTCAGAGGTCAAGGGTCAGCTGTTTTTAGATCTAAGATCTTGTTCTAAATATTCTATGGTTCTGTGATTTTATCTTTGAAAGGCCAAAAAGTATTATGTATCAAGTTTCCACTTAGGGCCTTGCTTACTCAAGTGTCTCAAACCTAAACTGCAAGTCTTAATGTTTTAGAGTGGCACTAAATGGCTTTCCAATATTGAGCAGGGATTATTGAGAGGTCCCCAAAGCTTGTGATGTTTCACAAGGGCATTCTAACGGGTTAGTTGTTCTATTTATTCTATTTAGTGCCAGGTAATGGCAACAAAGTGTTTCAATGTATATTGTTATTTCAGTTGATTTGGAATAATCCTAACCAAAAAAAGTTCTGTTTACTAATGTGCAATTTCCAGACAGAAACAGAAACACAAAAATGTTGAGTAATTGGAATCATGGAAGGACCAAACAAGAAGTGGCCAGATGGAGTTTGTCTGGAAAAGTTTTACAGTGCTTTTATGATTAATAAACCTAAGGAAAACATCTGAAGTTTCTTTGAAATGTTAAGAATGAACCATTGGAGAACAACTGTTCTTCAAAGAGTAGCAAAATATGCAAGGCAGTATCTCATTGGCGGGGTCGGGGGAAGAATCCTACACCTCCAATAAATTATTTAGAAAGTAGTAGAACATTGAAGTCTACAAGTTTGGAAGAAGTTCTCTTAACTCATCAAGTCAAGCTACTCCCTCCAAACCCTAAATCCCTGAACTTCCAAGACTATTTCTTTGGAGTTTGTGTTATACAACTGAATATTCCAGGAAATGCAGTTTCCTATTGCATATCCAGATTGGACGGGACTTAGCAAAAAGAAACTGTATGGAAATCTGGATAGTTCTCCAAAATACCTCTAGGCACTTCATCTGAATGAAAAGGTGCTTAAGAAACCACATAAAGAAAATACTCTGCTTTATAAATTATATAATTAGCAATACACATTCATTGAGTACCGACAGTAAACTAAGCTTGTTCTTAGGAATAAAAAGAATTATAAGTTTGTCCATCCCTTCAACAAATTTCATCAGTTAATACAATAGATATAAATGCACACAATTATAACAAATAGACATGTGTATTCTAACAATTAGAATACACACAATTATAATTAAGACAACATAAAACAGAATTAGGAAAATGAATCATAAATATTCTTCTCTAATGCAGGAGTTTGTGAGGAAGAAATACCCTTTTTGGGCCTAGGTAAATCAGAAATGCAGATAGATAAATATTAGACAAAGAGTACACCACATACCTAAAGAATAGATTAGCTAATTCTCAAATATTCATGATTACAGGGACAGAAATTATGTAGGTAAATGAAATACATCTATGAAATCCTCAAGTTTCATACCTTCAAATTCCAAAAATCTCATGCTTTGATACATCATATATCAATTCCCTTAAACCACAGAGACCAAATCAGAGGTTTATAATTTACTTGACTAAAAGCTATTTCAAGCTGTCACAAGGTGGTACTATGTGAAGCTATTGCCACTGGGAGAGAAGACCTGTTCTCCATCAGAATGGCAAGTAGAGTATCATACACTGGCCATGTTTGTGGGAACTGCCTGTGCATTTAGAAGCACTTCCAGCAGTTCCCTACATCCCATGCCTGATAAAAGTCACATATGTCCCGGGTTAGGATTCTCTAGAGAAACAGAATCGATAAGGGGAAGAGAGAAAGATTTATTATAGAAATTGGCTCACACAATTATGGAAGCTGAGACATCCCACAATCTGCTGTCTGTGAGGGGACAGTTTCCTGTTCAGTAGGACCAGGAAAGCTGGTGGTGTAATTCAGTATTGAGTCCAAAGTTCTGAGAACCAGAGGAATGGGGCAGCAATGGTATGAATCCCAGTCTGAGTCCAAAAGCCCAAGAACCAGGAGTGCCAATGGATAGATGTCCAAGGGCAGAAAACAGTTGACTTGTCCCAGCTCAAACAGAGAGATGATGAATTCACCCTTTCTCCATGTTTTTGTTTTGAGCTCTCAATGGATTGAATGATGCCCACTCACATTGGTTAAGGGTGATCTTCCTTAGTCTACTGACTCAAATGCTAATATCTTCTGGAAACACCCTCACAGACACACCTAGAAATAATGTTTTATGAGCTATCTGGGCATCCCTTAGCCCAGTCATGCTGACACATAAAATTGGTCCTCACAAGTTCATCCCATGTTAATCTGACACCCATACACATTTCCCTAAACCATACTTAATTTCCAGATAATGACTAAAACAAGGTCATAATTCTACCCAACATGACACAACTATTCTGGGTACAACTGAAAATACACTAACTTACTCCCCAGAAGAGGAGGTAAAGTCTTTGATTGGTCTTTACTTTTTTCCTGATACCCCATAACTTAAATACAATGATGTAAAATAAACACTGTTTAAATACTGCTATAAAGTAAATACATATTATGTTACATGATAAGGGAATAAGAGAGGAAATAAGATATTTACATAATATATGTATATATACACACAAATATATTCATAACAAAATACAGAGGAAATATTAATGACAATTTTAGTCCTTGTTTCTGTAACTGGTCATATTATTGTAGCCGATGCTTATGACTGTCTTCTTCTAATGCCCTTCTACATTCCTTTTGCTTTCAGCAGGCACCTCAGCTGGTTGTAGTTCTTAACATGGCAGGATGACCCAAACCTTCATTTCTGGAGAGTTTGGGCCATTTGTAGGCCTGCCTCGATTGTGGTGTTGTAGCCTTCCATTGATCTTAATCACAGGGCATGGAAATACTAAGAGACACTCTAAAGGACCTCTTGTATCCCAGATATACTCTTCCTTACCTCCATTTTAGAGTAGTAACCCAATTGCACCTTAATAGCCCAAGATCAATTACCCAGCCAACACCATAACTCTCTTATTTGCCTGTTGACTCAGAAGCATGAGGAGCCCAAAATGGCCAGGTGGCAGTTTTAACTTCTAGTTCAATGAAATTTTTGTTGTAGCACCTGGTAGACCCTGTGGAACTATGACCTCTAGGCCAGCAGAATACAAAGTCCTAGGAAGAGGACACAAAAATTTTGCCAGTGGGTCACTAGAGATAATAATGAATGGTGCCAGGCCTTTTCCACCCCTTGATTTCTGAACCTGTGAATGATGGCTGTCAGAGAAATAGCACCACATATTAAACATTGATTCAGAGCATAGAAACCTGGAGAACCTTGCCCTCTAGCTGGTGCTGTAACTCGGTCTTCAGAAAGCTATTCCACTGTCTTATTAAGCCAGCAGCTTCAGGATGGTGGTGAACATGGTAAGATCAGTGAATTCTTCGACCACAGGCCCATTGCCACATTTCTTTTGCGAGAAGTGTACCTTAATCAGAAGCAATGCAGTATAGAATACCATGACAGTGGATAAAGCGTTCTGTAAGTCTGTGGATAGTAGTTTTGGCAGAAGCATTTCATGCAGGGAAGGCAAATCTGTATTCAGAGTATCTATTCCAAAGATTAGCATTTGAATTGGTAGGCTGAATAAAGAAACAGCTCAGTGTAATCAACCTGCCACCAGATATCTGGCTGATCATCCCAATGAATGGTGCCATATCAGTGGTCTCAGTATTGGTCTCTGCTGCTGGCAGATTGGGCACTGAACAGTGACTTTAGGCATGTTAGCATTGGTGAATAGAAATCCATGTTCCTGAGCCCATGCTTATCCTCCAACCCTGTCACTCTTAACACTCTGTTCATGAGCCTATTGGATTATGACAGTGGTGGCTGGGGAAAGAGGTTGACTGTTATCTACAGAATGGGTCATCCTATCCACTTGATTTTAAAATCATCCTCTACTGAGATCACCCTTTGGTGAGCATTCACATGAAACACCAATATTTTCACTTTTTTTGGCCCATTCAGAAAGGTCTATCCACATACTTTTTCCCCAAATATTTTTGTTGCCAATTTTCCAATCACGTTCCTTCCAATTCCCTGACCATTCAGCCAAACCACGGGGTATAGCCCATAAATCGGTATATAATCTCAGGTCTGGCCATTTCTTCTTCCAAGCAAAGTAAACAACCAGGAGCATTGCCCAAAGTTCTGCACACTGACAGGATTTCCCTTCACCACTCTCCTTCAGGGATATGCAGTGAGGGGCTGCAGTGCTACAGCTCTCCACTTTCAGGCGGTGCCTGCACATCATGCAGAGCCATCTATAAACCAGACCCAAGTCTTCTCTTTCTTGGTCAACTGATTCATCATAGAGAATTCCTCATGTGGCCTAGGTGCATAGAGAGAAGGCAATGTGGCAGGGGTAGGGACCATGGGTATTTGGGCTACTTCTTCATGTAACTTTCTTATACCTCCAAGGCCTGCTTCCATTTTATGATGGAGTGCTGCCGTGCATGCCCAACTTTATTGCTTGGTGTGTCAGATAATACCCAGTTTATAATGGGTAGCTCAGGTCACATGGTAACTTGGTGGACCAAGGGAAAGCATTCGGTTTCTACTAGGCCCAGTAGCAGCAAAAACTGTCCCTCACAAAAAGAGCAGTTACCTGCAGATGATGGTAACTAATCCTAAAGGCCTATACTGTGATTCACCTATAGGAGGCTGTCAAAGACTCCAAAAAGCATTCTTATCTGCCACTGACACTTCAATCACCATTGGATCTTCTGGATCATGTGGCCCAAGTAGGAGAATAGCTTGTACAGTAGCCTGGACCTGTTGCAGAGCCTTGTCTTGTTATAGGTCCACTCAAAACTAGCAACTGTTAGAGCCATTTAGTAAATGAGCTGCAGTGACACACCTAAACGAGGAATATATTGCCTCTAAAATCCAAATAGGCCTAGTAAGTATTGTGCCCCTTTCTTGATTGTAGGAGGGGCCAGATGCAATAACTTATCCTTAACTTAAAAGGGATATCTTGATATACCCCACACCACTGGATCCCTAGAAATTTTACTGAAGTGAAAGGCCCTGAATTTTAGTCAGACTTATTTCCCACCCTCTGACATGCAAATGTCTTAAAAATACATCTAGAGTAGTTAGTATCTCTCATTCACTAAGTCCATTTAGCATACTGTCATCAATGTAATGAACCAGTGTGATATCTTATGGAAGGTCATCAAGATCCCAAAAAACCAAATTATGCCATAGAGATGGACAGTTGATATACCCCTGATATACAAGGTATATTGTTGGTCTTGCCAGCTGAAAGCAAACTTCTTCTAATGGGTCTTGTAGACAGGTAGGGAGAAAAAGTCATTCACCATATCAATAGCTGCATACCAGGTACCAGGAGATGTGTTAATTTGCTTAAGCAATAAAACCACATCTGGTACAGCAGATGTAATCAAAGTCACTACCTGGTTAAGCTTACAATAGTCTACTGTCATTCTCCAATATCCATCTGTCTTCTGCATAGGCCAAATACAAGTGTTGAATGGAGATGTGATGGGAATCATCACCCCTGCATCTTTCAAGTCCATGGTGGCACTAATCTCTGCAATCCCTCCAAGAATTCAGTATTGCTTTGATTTACTATTTTCCTAGGTAGAGGCAGTTCTAATGGTTTTCACATGGTCTTTCCCATCATAATGGCCCTTACTCCATAGATCAGGAAATGGATATGGGGATTCTGCCACAGGCTAAGAACTGGGGAAATAACCACAGAAAGAGTTTAAGGACCCACCGTGAGATGGACCTGAGCTACAATTCCATTGATCATCTGACTTCCAAAAGCCTCTACTCTGACTGGAGGGCCACGGAGATGTTTTGGATCTCCTGTAATCAGTGTCAATTCAGAGCCAGTGACCAATAGCCCCCAAAATGTCCGATTGTTTCCTTTCCCCAATGCACAGTTACCCTGGTAAAAGGCCATAGGTCCCTTTGGGGAAGGCTGAGAGAAACATTAAGGCTATAAATTTTTAGTGGTGTGCCAGGATCCTTCCTCAAGAGATCCAGCCTGCCTTTCATTCAAAAGGTTTTGGATCTGTAAACTGGCTCAAGTCTGTGTAGGAAAGGAAAAATAATTTTCTCTCACCTTTCATGAGTTGTTAGCTGGGTCTCTCCATAACAACAACAAAAAAACAGATTAACAAGTGAAAAACAAAACAAAAAGAAGTTTAATAACATGTATACCTTCTGTATACATGGGAGATAACCCAGATGAATGAGTAAATCTTCAGAGTAGATCTCAAAGAAGTAGTTTAAACTTCAGATGTAAATATCATCATTTGCTGAAACAAAAAAATAAGAGTGTAGGGAAAGGCTGGTTACAACAAGGTTACAACAAGTATAGTAAACAAGGTTAAGATTTGTTTTCCAGATTTAAGTCAATGCCTTCTCCATTAAGAGTTTTTATTTAGTCATGCCTCTCCTTCTGGTGCAGCGGAGACACTTTTATATATGGAGATTCTCTTTGTGGATATAAATTTATCTTAGAAAATGATAACTTCTACTCTGTTTTCAAGGCTTCTCCTATATCTGCAGTTTCTCGAAATAGACAGCTTAAAATAGTCCTTATGCCAAAGAGGCACATTTGGGGTGGCATACTCTGATTTCCTACAGCTATATTTTGGGGTAGTGAGTCCTGAACCCCATCATCTGGGAATTGATTAGGGAGCCATGATTCTCTGTTTTTATGATTAGACTTTGTTCACTTGACCTGGAACTTTTCTGCTTATATGGATAAAGTAAGAATTTAGTAAGCTTCCTATCTATTTCACTTCTAAGAGACACCATGATTAACCAGCTGACACCCTATGTCTAAACAAGTCAGAGGGTTCTGATTGTTGCTTTGACTCTTCTGTTCATTACACTAACTATACCCACCTTGTCTTTGGCAACTGAGCGCCATCACTTGGCCCCTCTCACTCCAGGCTCCAACAACACCAATTGCATTTGGCATTTCCAATTGAGCGACTATGGTTTCCTCTGTAAAATCTGGCCTACAGAGAAGAGGCCAGATTTCACTGAGCTCTTCAAGGATGCTGGTGGTCCCTTGCCAAGTTTATTTTTTCAAAGTATTGGTGAAAAATATGTCTTCTGGACCTCCTAGTGTGGGTGAATAGGTCTCAAATGACAAATCCACTCTAACATTCCCATCTCCCTAAGTCTTTGAATCCCTTCCTTTACATTAAACCAAGGGTGGTCAGGCATATCAATTTCCTCACAGTGAGTTACCTTTTGGTCCATGTTTCAGCCAAACAAACAGACAAACAGTTAGAGATCTTTCTAACTCACCAAGCTGCAACATAAATGTAGAATCTTGGCTTAGAGGGCCAATATAAATAAATTTGGCCTGATCCAACTTTATGTTTTTTCCACCATTATTTCACACCTTTAATATCAATTCCCACAGATTTTCCCTGGATTTCTGCTTATATAAATTAGAAAAGTCAAGTAGTTTTATTGGAGTGTAGTGTACTTCCTCATGGGTCACACTTTGTACCTCACCTTCAAGGGCCTTCTAGGGCTTGAGTTTAATAAACGTACATAGAAATATCTTATGCAGGTCACTTCACTTCTTGGTAATAAATCTAGAAGCAAAGAGTGGTTGGCGGTGGGGAGTGGTACTGAGGAGAATCAATATTGTTTTGCGTGGCAACTGCTTTAGGGAAGCCATTACCATTTCCTCAGGCAAGACAGGGTTAATCCCCTCAGATGGTAGTGGAAAGGCTGACACTACTATGGGTGGAGAAGCTACTTCCACTGGGGATGGGGCGACCTCTTCCACTGGCAAACTAGACTCATCAGAATTTAGAGACTCAATGTCCCCAGCTTCATCAAGATCTTCCCACACATGCCCATCTCCACTTATGGAATCCCATTCTTTCCCAATTAATGCCCTCACTTTAACATTAGACACCCTGTGAAGGTGGGAATTCCATCTGCATTGTAATTCAGCCAATGGAAGGATGACGTTCTATCATTGATTTTCAGCAATTCCAGCCCTGCAGCTACAGGAAATAAGGCTCTCTTTCAGGGCATACTTAGCTTTCAGGTCATTTATGCTGTGCATCAGCTGGGAATTCAAATCTCTGATCTCACCCTTTTCTTTCACCACTTTGTCCAGAGACATTAGGAGCAATCAATTAATGTCACTATATTTTTTAATTTACAAAAAAATGTTTAAAAGTACTATATAGAGAGTCACTTATCTCCCTGCTTCTTATAATTGGTTGATTAAGAGTAAGCAATGCAGATATTTTGCAAAGCTCTATTAACAGTTCATGCCATGGAACTATAAGTGTTCTCTTTACGACTGGAGATCAAGTATTAGCAACTTTAATCAGGTTAGAAAGCCAATTCTAGAAGTCCTCGACCTACCCAGAAAATTTATTCTTAAAATTCTCTTCCTCTGGAACCACTTTTGGTACCAAAATCTGTATTAGTCAGAGTTCTCTAAAGAAATGGAACCAATAGGATATATATAAAATAGAAAAGGACTCATGCAATTATGGAGGCCAAGAAGTTCCACAGTCTGCCACCTGCAAGGTGGAGAACCAGAAAAGCCAGTGTTGTAATTCAGTCTGATTCTGAAGGCCTAAGAATGGGGGCAGAAGGGTACTGTGGAGTGAGACGGTGGTATCACAAGTCCCAGTTGAAGTCTGAAGGCCCAGGAACCAAGACTGCAAATGACCAAGAGCAGGAGAGGACAGATGTTCCAGCTCAAACAGAGAGAGAGAGAGTAAATTCATCCTTCCTTGACCTTATAGTTCTGTTTGGGCCCTCAGTGAATTAAATGATGCCCACCCATCATCTAATTGGTGAGGACGACCTTCTTATATTCAGTCTACCAATTCAAATGCTAATCTCTTCCAGAAACAGTCTCACAGACACACCCAAAAATAATGTTTTACCAGCTATCTGGGCATTCTTCAGCCCAGTCAAGTGACAAAATTAACCATCACAAGTCCACTGTAGCAAACCTAGGCCCTACCTCTCTGATACTCTCTTGAGCTCCCCATACCCCCACCCAGAAACTATGGGTAAAAACCTGCCTTTTCCCATGGTTCCCCTAACACAACTTACCCTCCTACCCCAACATCCTCTCCTTTCTTTATTTCCAAATGAGCCTCAAGCAGATAGTATATGGGGAGCCTTACCACGAGTTGCACGTGCACCCGGTAGTGGTATAATAGTTGGATGGCAAAAGACCTCTTCCCTCATTCCTGCTCTGGAAACTTATTGAGACCTGATACTTGAGTAAAATAGTACTGACTGCACAACAATCTTTCCAGGTAGGTACAGAGGGGTAACAGACCCCCAGGAATGTGGACCATCCTTAAGGCAAGGAACAGGCAACAGAGGCCCCTGGCCTCTGTTAATTAATGACTTTTGAAAGTCATTAATTACCATCTGCTTTGCCTAAACACAAAAATAAATACATAAATATAGTATTTGCTTGAAATATACTAGAGACGATACACTATTTCTTACATGTCTGCGAACAGATATCAGCACACCAGCAACTTTCTAACATTTTACTTTCTAAAATTGTTTTTAGGAAGTTATTATGTATGGAAGTGTGAGACTCCCTGCAATGACTTTCATTCATTCCCATTTCACTTCTCTTTTTCCAACCAATGAAGCAATAGAAGCTATTCGGTAAAAAGTGGAATAGACATACACAAGAGATTAGGCAAGGCTCTATCTAAATATTCATTACTGATAAATCAAGATATAAATCAAGATGTTGTATACAAATGTATAAAAATATGAGGGGAGAAGGTATATTTTGCTAGGTAAGTATATGGTTGGGTAAAAAAGAGAGACAAGGTGAAATCCAAGATATTATCATTAGTATGTAAAAGCTCTGTGACTTGATTTGCATAAAAGATGCCAGACAGATTGATAGTTTCATATTCTGTCCCCTTGTCTGCAGTTAGTGAGGTTCACAAGGAGCCAAAAATACATACTCTACTACAAAGATGTGGTAGAGAGTGCTGGTGTCTACAAAAACCCATCTTCCCTTTTCCTATAATAATAGAATTATTGTTAGGTACCTGATTACCTAGGTAGCTGGCATTTCCTAAAGTCCTTTGCAATTAGATATGGCCTTGTTGCCCAGGCTGGTCTTGAACTCAAGTGATCCACCTTCCTCGGCCTCCCAAAGTTCTGGGATTAAGTGACCTGCCTTCCTTGGCCTCCCAAAGTGCTGGGATTGCAGGCATGACCCACTGTGCCTGGACAGGAGAATGGTTTTAAGCTGATATGGTGAAATATAAAGTAGCTGGCTGTCTTAATTTGAGTTTTCCCAGAAGCAGACCACAATGCAAAAATTTGAAGTTAGTAAATTTGGGTATTTCAGAGAATATGTTAAAGAAGCAGAAAAACTAATTGAGCAACAGAACCAATAAAGAGGACATGGGTAAAGCAGCTACCACAAGGGGCAACTGCAGCCTAATTTTGTAAGAAAACTTTGGGAAAATGGTGCAAAGAATACACCTTAGAAATTATTCCACCCAAGGGTTGAGGTACCTGTGATATTTATGCACCAACAAAGGGGTGAGGTCATTAGTTGAGGGCTGCTCCTGGGGATATGAATTACTTAGCACTTTAGTCTATACCTACTCAGAGCTGGAAGGAAAACACTGAGGCACAGAGACGCACATACTGGCAGTTAGGGTTTCACTGGAGCACCATGAAAGGCCCAAAGAAAGTGGAATGGGCACTAACATGTCTTCTGCAGTAGCACAATGTTTGAGCAGGGTTCAATAAAATATAGCATTAAAATAAAAAATTAAATTACTTGTTATTAAAAGGTATTGTTATTTCAAGACCAGCCTGGGCAATATGGCAAGACCCCATCTCTACAAAAAATACAAAAATTAGCTGGGTGGAGGCAGAGGTTGCAGTGAGCCAAGATCATACCACTGCACTCCAGCCAGGGTGAGAGAGTGAGACTCCCTCTCAAAATAAAATAAAATAAAATTAGCCAGGTGTGGTTGTGCACACTTGTGGTCCCAGCTACTCAGGAGGCTGAGGTGGGAGGATTACCTGAGCCCAGGAGGTCGAGGTGACAGTGAGCCAAGATCATGCCACTGCACTCCAGCCTGGGTAACAGTGAAACCCTGTCTCAAAAACAAACAAACAAACAAACAAACAAAAAACAGTATAGCCATTATTATTAGGAAGTATTAAGCTCTTTTAATGGATGAGGAAATTGGATTTCTCAGAAAGTAAGTAGCTTAACCAAGGTCAGTGTCAGAACTAGAATGCATACCCAGTACTATCTCACTCTGAAGTTTCTGCATCTTTGAAAAAAGTAGATCCTTTTAACAGAGGTGGAAGTTTTCCATTTTCTACTGTTGGAATTTTCAGTAGATGGCTATGTTGGAAGTTTTTTTATTGGAAGATACATTTCAGGGAAATTAGATAAAATCAATCAACTCTACATTAGCCTATAATGTTTTATACAAAATAAAATACCTCTGATAACACTTTTTGTTAAGCAGAACATTTTTTATGCCTGAACAGGCAAAAAGAGGCACATTAAGGCCATTTGCTAATACAAATTTGATTAGTATTATTTAGATTAGTTAGTCAAAACCTAACTGGAACTAACTCTGTTAAATAAATCTGCTTTTTAAGATGGCCTTTATGTGTATAGATGTACATTTTATATTCATATAATTTCAGATAAGAACCCAGCTCTACTCACTTCCGTATCAAGACTTGCCTGGAGAAAAAAAAATAGGTGAATACTTATCAAAGTATAAATAATTCACAAGGTTTAAAGTGCTGGGGAATTTCTGAATTTGAATAAAGAATTCAATCTATCTATCTAATAGAAGTTGGGTTTAAGTATTTCATAAATTAGTTAATAGATAAAATTCAGAGATATTTGATGAAACAAAGTTACTTGTCCTATGCTTTTTAATTCTTTATAAAGAAAAGCAGGCATACAGACAGGATAGTCAAAATCTTTATCCTTATTGGATTAGCAATTTAATCCAATAAGCAATTTTTTCCATGCATTCTTTTATATTTTAAGTTAATAGTTTGGTAGGAAAAATCCTTCAAAGTTGTCGCACACAAGCAATACACTGGGTTAAAATAATGATGTTGTAAATAATATGGAAGTATTACAAGGTCTTACAGGAAAAAAGCTGTCTGTTTACTCTTCACCGCCACTAGATATAATCTAAACATTACATTCCTAAAAGGATATGCAATATCACTCGCATTCAGGCTAGGCAATTGCATTCCTCTCTTGGTCTTAGCTGAACTCTGCGGCATGATCTTAAGCTTTGGCTATTTGAGGTAAACGAACTCTGTGGTCACGCCTGCCTTGGCTGAAACAATCTGTCAATATGGACGGGCATGGAGGAGAATACTAAAAGCCTAAAAACTCTGATTATCTTCAGAAAATGTAACGAGTCAGTTCCTATCCTTATTGATGTCAGACTTTTATAGGGAACGTTACATCACATAAAGTCTGAAAAAGAAAGCAAGCCAAAACAAACAGAGCTGCACATCAAAAAGTCTTAAGTCTCACAGCAGGCAGAGTTTAGCTACTGTAGCCATATTCATGATTTTTATTCAGACAATGGCAATAAAACAGAAACATGCACATTAGGGCTATGCACTTATCTAACTTATAAACAGAAGTATGCACACTGGAAATATGCACTTATCTAACTTAAGACCCATCTACCTCGAGAAATGTATTTGGCTTTTCATTTGTCCAATGATCCACACATGAGATACATAAGGCTTAATTAAATAATGAAATGTAGAATATATATATAATACATTTTATCTTAAAAATCTTTTACTTTTTTTTTTTTTTTTTTTGAGACGGAGTCTCACTCTGTCGCCCAGGCTAGAGTGCAGTGGCGTGATCTTGGCTCACTGCAAACTCCGCCTCCCAGGTTCAAGCGATTCTCCTGCTTCAGCCTCCCAGGTAGCTGGGACTATAGGTGCGTGCAACCATGCCTGGCTAATTTTTATATTTTTAGTAGAGACAAGGTTTCACCATGTTGTCCAGGCTGGTCTCAAACTCCTGACCTCAGGTGATCCGCCTGCCTCAGCCTCCCAAAGTGCTGGGATTACAGGCATGAACCACCACGCCCAGACACCTATTTTTTAAAAACAATATTTATTCAACATTCCACAGCATATTCTTATTTCAAACTCTCAAGACAAATATTTTCTCACTGAGGATGGCATACTGCCTGATTGAGCTTTAAAACAAAGTTACATATCAAGTGCTTGGGTAATGGAATAGCAGTATTGTGATTATGTGGGTTGGTTTTTTTGAAGTTCTCATCTATTGGCAATACAAACTTAAATATTCACAGGTAAAATGATATGATCTCTTGTTACTTAAAAGTACTTCAAATACTTCAGAAAAAATAAGCTTGAAGAGTATAGATGAAACAGTGATGCGGAATATTGGTAATTACTGAAGTTGAGTGATGAGTACATGTATATGCAGGGGATTGGCTCCAGGACTGTTGAGTATACCAAAATCCACATATACTCAAGACACACAGTCAGCCCTGTGGACCCCCTGTAAGCAAAAAGTCACCCCACATAGGCACATTTTCCATCCATTGAGATATGTGTTTAATCGAAACAATTCCTGTATAAGTGGACCCATGCAGTTCAAACCCCTGTTGTCAAAGGATCAACTGTATTATTCTCTTTTCTTTTGCATATGTTTAGAATTTCACATAATAAAAGCATAAAACATTAAAATAACAATCATATTTTGATTTTATGCTTTCAAATCACGATGTTAGGTATTTTCTGTAATAGTATTAATTCAGCATACATCTAAGAAGTTTTAATTACATATAGAAACTACACATTTTTCTTCAGTACATTCCAATGCTATATTAAAGTACTTAGAAAAATTAACTTTAGTAATAAGAATATAATCTTTTTAGAAAAGTGGTATGAATGTTTATCACTTTCCATATTTTTGGAAGGGATTTGCAAAGTCAGACATCCTCTGGGGTGAAGAGGAGGCCCCTCCAGAGAAATCCCAGGGAGAAGTGCATCTCACAGCGCAGTAACCCTGTATGCAAACTTTTTCCTCTTTGCATGGGAGTTCTGGCCATTTTTCTGACAGAAGATTTTTAGGCACTGTTTATTGATATACATTTTCAAGCACCTGGTCAATAAGATAATTATGAATTCCTATCTTGTTTTGCAGTGTGCGAGAGAAAACTATGTATTCATAGCAGATAAGCAATAAAATTTTATCTTAGTTTCAATAGATTTTGACAACAGAGTTTGTGGTTCTATATTAGAATTCATCCATATATGAGAAAAAATTCTTAAAATTAAGTACTTTTATTTTTTCAGCAAAATTGGTTGCTTCATCATACACTAACCTGACCGCATAGGCGTGTTCTAACATTGATAAATAGTACTTGAGCGCTACCTGGTGGCTCTCTTTCTCCACACAGCATAATTTTAGTCTGATAGTCTGACATGAGAATATCCTTGCACCAGCCTGGCACTCCAAATGCCAAATTAAAAGAAGACATTATTTGCCAGACAAATAGATCACCTACTCAAAGACTGTAGAATCCCAAACCTCGCAACACAAAACATCCATTTTTTGAAACATAAATAGCTCTGTTTTATTATGGTCAAATATTCTCTAATAATGCAAAAATTGAAAGGCACAAAAATAGTAGTATTGGTTATTTTTAACAACATACCATGTTTTAACATCCCAATTGAGTATCATTAATCACTCTCCCCTCTTGGAAGAAGTATGAGATTTGGAATTAGAAAACCAGGTATTAGATGTTTAATGTCATCTTTGAGCCATTGGAGAAAATTGTCCCATTCTGAGTGGAAGAAAATATTTTTAAAATATTCACTTTCTTTGTTCCCCATACTTTCTTGTATCCTCCCCCAAATCAGCAAGAAAATTGTTAAGTCAAGAGAACAAGAAAGAAACGGTCAATATTCAATGTGGTTTTTTTAATGACATTTAAAAAAGCTCCCTAGGGGAACAGTATATAAAGTTTACACCGTATCAATTCATTGGAAGAATAATAGAAGGCACCAATAAACTCTTATCTCTGCCCATGAAAAAGAAAATGAGGATCATCAGGACTACAAAGGAGGTGGCAAGCAAAGTCAGGATCCAGAGGTGACCAGCACCCCAGTGCTCAAAATTATAGTTTGCAGAATTCCTTCTGTTGAATAACAGGCTTTCATCTTTCTCATTTGCAAATCAGAAATTTTAATAGAAAATATAGGACATACCATCTTGTCACATTAATGCTTTCTATTTCTGAAGCTCCAATCTTTCTCCTGACCCATCTCATCTGACCAAAATTTCTAAGTACCTACACCACAATTGGCCTGAAAGTACATTTCTTCATTTTGCACCACATACTCCTTCCCATCCATCAGCCACAACTCACTATGTCTTCCTCCTCTCAAAGTCGTATTCATCCTCCAAATGCTAATTTAAACCATGCATGTTCCATGAGTCCAAATATTACTAGCCTGAGAGAATCTTTCCATCTCCTACATACCCACCCAGCCCAGAACCACATGGAGTGAGACAGAGGCAGATTCCCAGAGAAGAAAGGAGTGGGGAAAAAAAGCTAGGCAGACAAAAACAAGAAGTCACCATTACAGTTACAATAGGAACAAATTATAAAAGTAAAAATACACACAAACCATTCAGGGAAGTGCACAAAGTTGATTCTGCTGGGGGCTTTAGGGAATAGTGAGAGGAAAGATACTTGGGGCTAGAATGTGGAAGTTAGTGAAATGATGGGCCGAAGAAAGTGGTACTTAATTAGGCAGAAAGTGAAGAGCCAATGACTTTTCTTTTAAAAACACAATGGCATAATTTAATCTGGGTTGTAGGAAGATTTATCAGTCATCAGTGTGTAACAATGTTTTTCAAAGTGTGGTCCTCGGCTGACCAGTATCAGAAATCACATGGGTACTTTGTTAAAAACTGCAAATTCCTACATCCCACCTAAATTTACCAAATAAGAATCTCTGAAGTTGGGCCATGGGTATCCGCATTTTAAGCAGGCATTATAGGTGGTATTTCTACATTCTAAAAAGCTGAGAACAAATAAGGTAGCATTTTAATAGGAAAAAAGATTTTAACAGTAAACCTACACAATGACTTTAAGTGGAAGGTCATTGAAAACCTTCCACTTAATCCTCATGCATTTTGTCTATCACTAACTGTGTGATTGGGTAATAATTTAGCTGCTCTGAGCCACAGTTACTCAGGCTATAAAAAAGTAAAGTTTGAACTAATTAATCTTCCAAGCCTTTTTAAACATTGCAACATCATGATTTTTCAATCCTTCTTGAACTATTTCTACACCAATGTGTAATAAGGAGTTAGCTCAACAGGCTTTGGCTGCTCAAACTGCACAATCCAAAAAAAGGAATGGCTCTTGACCTGGTCCTGGGAGAGAACTTCTGAGTCCTTGCAATATCCTGCCTGATAAGAATGCGTTTGCGTGCCTCATACCTTGAGCCATTCTGTATTGGAGCCATTGCATGCCTCCAGCCTTTAGGGGGCTGGAGATTGAGTAGCTAAGGTCAATCACATGGGCACTACATATCTATGTGACTGACCCCCCCAAAAAAGTCCTGGATACTAAGCCTTAAGGGAACTTCTCTGGTTCACAATACTCCACACATATTGTCACAGGTCATTACTGAGCGAATTAAGCGCATCCCCCCTGCAACTTCACTGCTAGACAACACCGGGAAGCTTGTTCCCGGTTTCTCCTAGGTTTCAGCTATGCACCTTTTCCCGTTGCTCATTTTAATCTACACTCTTTCACAGTAATAAACCATAATCGTGACTATAACAGCTTTTCTGAGTTCCATGAGTCCTTCTAGAGAATCATCAAGCCTGAGAGTTGTACTGGGAACCCCTGACACAACAGCATTTCAATATGATAATATTTTCTATTTCATTCAGCTTAAAAATTGTAAGTAGTACATTTTGCATTAATTTTTTATTTTGCTGCTCTTTGACCCAATATCTACCAGAAATTTATTCCACAGAAATTATATAAAATAAGAAAAGCACTACATGAATTTAAATGTTTATTACAGTGTAGCAGAAAATTGAAAACAAGTTTCAAACATTACAGGAATGGCTTAATCAATGATGATATGTCCACCTAGTGAAATAGTGTATAGTTACTAAAATGTTTAATTAAAGAACATAACTCTTACCAAATTGTGTGTGCACATGGACAAAAACTAAAAGACAACATGGAAAACTAAGAGATGATTTATGGTGATATTTGAATATTTTTTGTTTTTATTATTATTGTAATATAATTGTTTTTATATAAGTATATATTTTAAGCACCAAATTATAAATTTAATTTCCTTGTTTATAGTACTAATTTTTTTTTAAATTTGAACTTCTAAAAATCATGGACCACTGATATATAGACCATCCATTAACTAAAACAGAAATTCTAGGTTCTACGTGGAATCCAGCTCCCTTTGACAAAGGATTAGGAAATATGAGAACAGAGCAATGTGGAGAGACAACATTATGTAATGGAAGGGGATTGGATATTAGAGTCAAACCCATCTAGGTTGAACACCAGCTTTACCCACTATTAACTATGAGGCCTTGAGTAGCTTTCTTCACGTTGGAGAGCCTAAGTTTCCTCATATGCGAGATGAGGGTAATAACAGCAACAACTGCATTGAATGGTTATTCTAACAAGTGAGTATAGCACTTTACAGTGTCTGGCATGGAAGAAAAGGTAAATAAATATTCAGTCCCTTCTCTCTTCCTCAGTTTCACTCTCCAAGATTCCAGATGTTAATCTACAAATATTTTAAGTGCTTTTCATCCTGTGATATCTAGTTTCAATATCATATTAATTATGAAGCAATATAGTCTTCATGACAAAAATAACGATGGCCCAATAGATCTGAAAAAAAATCTTAATTTTTTAGGTGATTGATTTAAGGGTTGATAAATGCATACATTACTGTTGAGCATTTTTCCACTTAGCTAAGTCATAAATACAATTCTGAAAATCAAATAATCTCATTCAAACTTATGTTACTAATTTTCAAATCCAAAATAGAGCGGCATTGCATAATAAATATTTATCACAGATCATTAATGAACCAAAACCAATAACAATAAAAAATCAGAGAAATAATGGGATAAAATAATGGATGGAAATTCTTACCACAGCCACTGTCACTGCCTTCCAAAAGCTTCTGGGCATTGTATTTTGCTAAAAAAATTCAAAGATGGAAAATTTTAGAAACCTTTTCTCTACTTTTAAGTGCACAAAAGAAAATTGTGTTCAAATTGTCTTTTCTTGATTAGTTCAAAAGCAAAATAAAAAATGACAGTGCAAAAAATATTTTCCTCCAGTTTGCAATGTTTTATTGACCATCCAGCCTATCTGATATGTTGCTTTAATTATGTTTCTGTGTGGGAAGTATTGTCTCCTACCAAAGCATGCTTTTTATTTAGTCACACAGGAGATTTTGAGAAAAACAAGTAAGACAATTTAAGTTTTCTTACCAGTGGGAGTCAAGTATGCATTGAGGAAATATTTGTCATGCTTACCACATTTTTGTGATATGCTCGTCTCACAGAGCCAGTGTACAACTTACATAAAAGAAGAATGGTTGTTGCGTATAACGCTGGAGAAATACTCCCTGCCGCCCATCTTCCCTCCTACAGAATTGCCAGGACAATCTTCCTAAAACATAACTTTTCAATTCTGAATCTTGTTTAAAATTTGTTAAGGTCTCCTTTTTATCTCCTGCCTGATACTCAGTCTCTCCAGCCTGCTTCCAATGATCCTCCCTGCAAAATCACCCCAATAACAGGATCAAATTAATCCAACCCTGTACCTTTGCTCATTTTCCTATAGCTGCTTCAAATGACTTTTATTTAAATTCAAATCATCTCTCAAGACCCAGATCAAGCCATCTCTCATTCATGAGACTTTTCCTAGTCCTTGTGGCTCACACTAACTTTTTCTAAATGCCCATAGCAGCTCTTATCGGAACTCTTATCTTGGCATGTAATAAAATACTCCTTTGTACTTTTGCCATTTCAAGTAGCCATATCCTTTTTATGATCCACCTTCTACTCCAGTTATTGGAAAATAGTAACTGTGGTATTGTAGAAGCAAAACATCATGATTATATCTGTGGTAGATTATGTTATTGTTTGCAATTATTCATTCCCTCCTTTGTGAGTAAAATATATTTCCCCAGCCCACTGATTTGGGGCTTGGACATGTGAATTGCTTTGACCAATGGAATATTTGCTGTATATCATTTCTGAACACAGGCTTTTAGAGAGATTATAAGACTCCAAAAGTACTCTAGTTCCTGTGCCCTCTGCCATAAGAAAGGCATGTTGCACATGAGGCTCTCCTTTAGTTCATGTTCCAAAATAAGTAGATATATGGAGTAGACTCAGCCTGCAGTCTGCATAGATTCATAGCATCCAACCAGTAGTTGACAACATGAACCGGAGACAAGAAATAAATATTTATTCTTGTAAACCACTGAGAATTCGAGGTTGTTATACAATGAAAGCTGACATAAATACCCACTATTTTGCTTGCACTATATCATGTATTCACAATATCTCATTTAACTGACATATAATTCTATATTTCATTGCTATATCATCCCCATTTCACATATGTGAAAACAAGGATAAAAAACATAAAGTAACTAGCCCAAAACACACAGTACTATAAGATTTTAGAATCAGACACACCTGGTTTTAAAGTTGGATTTTGCCACTTACTAAACTTAGTATCATATGCAAGATACAATCACAATGAAATTCAGTAAAATAGAGATAATATTTGAATTCTTCTCACAAAGCACACTTTTTAGACCTGTTGGGAGGATTAAATTAAATAATGTATTTGACTGTCCAAATGATTTAATAAATGTATATCTTAATTTATGTCACCATTAAATTGGACCATGATAAACTCTTAAATGTAGGCAGTTTAGGAAGCATGTGTGAGGAAGACAGACTGAGAATAAGAAAAGTCAACAAAATGATCAGGTTACAATGTGGGGAAATGGGCTCAAGCCCACTAAGATACTATAAGAGATATGTCTCAGATGGCCAAGTAAGAACCTATCAGGACCAATCTTTTCAAAAATAAGAACTCCTATTTACTTATAATCTCTGGACAAAATAAATAAAGTAAAATAAACAAAAAAAAATGACCCAAAGCCACTGGAAAGTGAACAAAAGCAAGAAGATTCTGTAAGAATTAAAACCTGGAAGAAGGACTAGAAGAGAATGAGTTTCCCATTGTTACAGATTTTAGCCTGAGGGCAGGCTGAAGTCAGCACTGCACAGGGTGGCTAAAATTCTAATAGAAAGTAGTCTTTCTGGCCTGAAGAATTAGAGAATGGAATTCAGAGTGACCACAGAACCTGGAAAGTGTGGAAGGAAACTGCGAAAAAAGAGAGCCAGAAAGGGAGAGGCCTGAATTCTGTTTATGAACTCTACCCAAGTCCCTGAACTATACATGAATGAGGCAGAGACTCTAAGTACCTCAGCTAAGGACAAGAAGAATGAGCTGAGATTTCAGCTGCTGGCCAAGAAAAAGCATGTACAGCATGAGTTTGACAAAGTTAATTTTCCACTTAAAATATTAACACTCTTTGGAGATATACAGTAGAAACTAGAGTCTTAACTACAAAACATTCTACAGAGTCCACAACACAATGCAAAATTGCCCAACATATTAAGAACAAGGAAAATGTTCATTTTCAAGAGACAAGACAATGAGCCAAGATCAATTCAGGTGAGCACAATGGCCCATGCCTATAATCCCAGAACTTTGAGAGGCCAAGATGAGAGGATCACTTGAGCCCAGGAATTTGAGACCAGCCTAGGTAACATAGTGGGACCCCATCTCTACACAAAATTTAAAAATTAGCCAGGTATGGTGTCATGTGTTTATTGTCCCAGCTACTCGGACAATAGGCACACGGAGGATCACTTGAGCCCAAGAAGTTGAGGCCACAAGGAGCCATGATCAGACCACTGTACGCCAGCCTGGGTGACAGAGTGAGATCCTATCTCTCAAGAAAAAAAAGGAAAAAGATCAATTTCAAAGTGATCTAGATGATAAAATTAGCAGACATGAATTTTAAAGCAGATTTTATAACTCTGTTCACTGAAATGAAACAAAATATGCTTATATTAGTGAAAATATAAAGAATATCAGCAAAAAAATAGAAACTTTAAAAAAGAATCAAAATTCTTGAAATAAAAGATGCAATTTTGAAATAAAAATCTAACTAGATGGACTTAACAGCAAACGGGACATGACAGAAGAATCTGTAAACTTAGATTAACAGATATTATCCAGTCTGAAGGACAAAGGTTTTTTATAATTTTTAAAACTATCAGTGTCTTGGAGATCTATGGGACAATGACAGAAGATCTAACACATATGTAATCAGATTCCTAGAAGGAAAACAGAGAGAATGGAGCTGGGGGGAGGGGGATGTTTGAAATTTAATGGCCCAAAATTTTGAAATTTGGTGAAAGACATTATTTAGAGTCAAGCTTCCCATAAAGGCCGGGGGCAGTGACTCATGCCTGTAATCCCAGCACTTTGGGAGGCCAAGGCGGGTGGGACATCTGCGGTCAGGAGTTTGAAACCAGCCTGGCAAACATGGTGAAACTCCATCTCTACTAAAAATACAAAAATGAGCCAGGCAGTAGTGGCGTGCGCCTGTAATCCCAGCTACTTGGGAGGCTGAAGCAGGAGAATTGCTTGAGCATGGGAGGCGGAGGTTGCAGTGAGGCGAGATTGCACCACTACACTCCAGTCTGGGTGACGGAGTGAGACCCTGTCTCGAAAAAAAAAAAAAAAAGTTGCCCAGAAGGATAAATTTGAAGAAAACCACACTTAGACACATCATAGTCAAACTGCCAAAAAGCAACAATAAAGAAAAAGTCTTCTTGAAAGTAGCCAAAGAAAAATGGCATATTGCTTATATGGCAACAACTATTCTAATATATACTGATTTCCTCCTCAGAAACTATAGTGATCAGAAGACAGTGAAACATCTCTAAAGTGCTAAAAGAAAAAAAAAAAATCTGTCATCTCAGAATTCTATATCCAATGAAAATGTCTTTTCAAGTACAAAGGCAAAATAAAGACATTTCCATGCAGTACAATATTAAAAGGAGAACTGCACTATAAGAAATGTCAAAGAACCTTTTTTTTAGACTGGAAGAAAAATGAAACCAAATGGAAACTGAGATCTTCAGAAAGAAATAAAGAGATTTTGAAGTGGTTAATATGGGTAAATATGAGAGACCATTTTTTCCTCTTTAAAAGATAAATATAATTATTTAAAGCAAATATTATGACATTGTCTTGTGAAGTTTTTAATATATGTAGTTGTAAAATATAACATCTACAGTAGTATCCACTTATCCTCAGGGGATATGTTCTAAGACCTCCAATGGATGCCTGAAACAAGATAGTACCAAACCCTATTGCCATCAAGCAAAACACATATCTATTCATGTCTTTCACTCACAGACTTAATGCCTTTTCCATCCTAACCAAGCACTCATCATGCACTGTGGCCATAACTTCTGCAGTGTGAGGTGCAACAGCAAAACTAGCATAAATTTCTTTTTCCTTATTCACGATTTCACAGACAGAAGATTTGTTCTTACCACAAATCTTAGCAACCTCAGCATGTGATTTTTTTTTCTTTCCTTATTAAGTTGGGAACTTTCACCTTTCCACTTAAAGGAAGCAGTTTATAGCTTCTCTTTGGCATATCCAAATTGTGAGTATCACTACTCTTGCACTTTGGGGCCATTACTTAGTAAAATAAGGGTTATCTGAAGCAAGCACTGTGATACCATGACAGTCAATCTGATAACCAAGATGGCTACTAGGTGACTAATAAGTGATGTATTAGTCCGTTTTCACACTGCTGATAAAGACATACCCCAAACTGGGCAATTTACAAAAGAAAGACGTTTAATGGACTTACAGTTCCAAGTGGCTGGGGAGGCCTGGCAACCATGGCGGAAGGTGAAAGACACGTTTCACATGGCGGCAGACAGGAGAAGAGAGCTTATTCAGGGAAACTCCCCTTTATAAAACCATCAGATCTCATGAGACTTATTCACTATCACGAGAACAGCACAGGAAAGACCTGCCCCTATGACTCAACTACCTCCCACCGGGTCCCTCCCACAACACGTGGGAATTCAAAATGAAATTCGGGTGCGGACACAGCAAAACCGTAACAGGTGAGTAGAGCATACAGCATGGATACACTGGACAAAGGGATGATTCATGTTCTGGGTGGGATGGAGTAGGATGGCACAAGGCTTTCATCACACTACTCAGAACAATGTACAATTTAAAGCTTATGAATTATTTCTGGAATTTTCCATTTAATATTTGTGGATTACAATTGACTGTGGGTAACTGAAACTGCAGCAAGTGAAACAGCAAATAACGGGGGAGACTACTGTATATCATAAAGGGCCAAAGGGGGTGGTTAATTGATATATAAAGTTGCATGGACGCCTGTAATCCCAGCACTTTGGGAGGCCGAGGCGGATGGATCACGAGGTCAGGAGATCGAGATCATCCTGGCTAACACGGTGAAACCCCGTCTCTACTAAAAATACAAAAAAATTAGCCAGGCGTGGTGGCTGGCGCCAGTAGTCCCAGCTACTCAGGAGGCTGAGGCAGGAGAATGGCGTGAACCCGGGAGGCGGAGCTTGCAGTGAGCCGAGATTTTGCCACTGCACTCCATCCTGGGCTACAGAGCCAGACACCGTCATAAAAAAAAAAAAAAAAAAAAAAAAAAAAAAAAAAAGTTGCATGGTTTCTACATTTTACATGAAGCAGCCACCAAAAATAATAATAACATAATAATAATAACATGAAGTGGTTAGCTAAACAGTAATAAATAAATAAATAAATAAAACAAAAAGAAAGCAGACAAGAAAGAATAAAAACAGAAACAAACAGAAAACAAGTAATAAAATAATAGGTCTAAATCCAACCACATTAGTAACTACATTAAATTTTAATGAACTAAATACTCTGATTGAAAGTCAGAGATCGTAAAATTAATAAAAAAGCAAGACGCAACAACATGCTATCTACAAGAGATGCACTTTCAATATAAAGGCACAAGTTGAAAGGAAATGGATGGGAAAGATATACCATGCAAATAACAACCATAAGAAGGCTGAAGTAGTTATGTTAGTATCAGATAAACTTCAAAAATCAGTCCACCTCAGTACAAAGAAAGTAGAGTTGCCCCTGCTTTTAGTGGAACAAGTGCCTACAGGGCAGAGAAAGCCCTCAGGCAGCAAAACAGCAACAGACCAAGTGCCAACAACTGTCTGCTGATGTAGGTGAATTTATGGAGCCAGGGGAATATAGTGCAGCCATCATTGGCATCTGCTATAGAGTGAGTTAATACATAAATTAATAAAGAGTGGTCCCAGCAAAGTAGATAAACAGAAAACTCTTCTGCTATAAGCACTTAAAAACACTAGGCAAATGTAACAAAAATACTTTTTACATGCATAGGCAATTCCCAATAAAGTTACCAGAAACTAAAAACGCAAATGACAATCAAGTGATCTGATGTTACAGCTACAGGGGAAAGTCGTGATGTTTGCAGATGGACAGAAGTAGATTTCATAATTCCCCAGATTCTTGTCTCTCTCATTGATTAACAAAGGAGTTCAGGTACCAAAACTGCCCCTCTGCAAGATGGCTTCCTTCTACTAAGAGAGACCATCTAAGCTCCAAGACCTTACCCAGTTAGAAAGAGATTCTGTGTCTGTCACGTTTCTTTCTGTTGTAAGCTATAAAAAACTGGCTTGGGGTGAGGGAGGATAAGTTTGAAGAAGGAGGAATTCTTGGCTTATGTAAATGAGAATTAAGCTTTGCTGGATTCAACACTCAGATAATGTCAATATGACTTGTTCTCCCTCCATTTCTCAACTCTTCTTTCCTCCGTGCTGACTTTCTTCACAGAGATCTAATCCACATGGTAGCAAGATGGCAGTCTGTATCTCCAGGCTTAGTCTTTATTGCTTCTGCCCCAGAAAATAAGAAAGTATCTCTTTTATTGTAGACAAACAAAAGTCTTAGGCCTGACTCTAATCAGTCCAAATAGGGTAGCATGCCCATTTTTAAACCAAACACCCCAGGGAATGCACCATTCTGATTTCCCAGTTAAGTCATATTCCCGCTCCTGAACATGGAATGGACTCAATACCACTTAAGCTACTGTAACAGACTCTTTGGTACCCTGTGTCACTTCCCCTTGTGCCACCTCTGATTTCAGCATCAGCTGTGATAGAATTTTCTGTGCATACTGAACCCACCACACTCAAGCACCTGCCCTGTGTTTCTCCACTTTTCTGCTTCAAGGCTTTCCAAAGCAATGGGAATTTCCTCAACCTCCACATGGGCACAGGCCCAAAGTGCAGGGGATTTAATGTCCCTAGTGGCAATATTCAACCAAGTAGGGATGGAGATAGCAGATAATTCTGCAGCCTCCCAACCTTCAGAGAGGTTATACCTAGGAACGTTCTAATGAGTTCCTATAGGATCTTTGACAGAATTGAGCCCCACTTGCCGCAGTGATAATGAATTTGATAAATCACTCTATTGGCTATTGGCTTTTCCATGTTTCATGTGTTTCATACTCTCCCTACTTCCTCACTTCTGCTTCTTGATATCATCTCCCAAATAAATCCCTACACCCAACTTCTAATCTCAGGCTCTGCTTAAAGGAATCCAAACTAATAAACTATATGAACTGGAAGTGAGATAAAAGATGCTTTTTCTGAAAAAAAAGTTAGGACACTGTTAACAGAAGGATGACAGCACAAAACAACAAATGTCTATTACAAACCATCAGTTACCCAAATTTCTCCTATCTATGTAGGGACAGACCAAGACTTCCCATCTACTCTGGAGAGATTCCCAAGAGTCCTATACACTCTCTAGCTAGACTGTCAAAGGTAACAAACTTGGATCCTATTTTAGCTCTTCTTTTTCCTTTTTTTCTTTATAAAAGGTAATACAAGTTCAAATCGATCAACTCTTTATTCTTCTGAGGATCATTTCTGTAAATTATATTAATCTTTTCAGTTACTGTTTGCTTTGGCTACCTGTATACTCTTTGCTGAATCCCAATATTTCTGTTCCTATCTTGTCTGGAAGAATCAGCTTTGGGAGCAAAGGTTTTGTTCAGTTTACCTTGATTTTATCACATTTTTATTAATATCCCCAACCAAAAGACTCAAAATAATACATGATATCTCCCTTTCCAATCTTAGACCTAGATGTTGTATATTATCCTAAGAATGACCATGAGCACAAACACTATGGGAATTGGTAAATGTTTTCTTAACTAGTAGACAATTTCATCCATTCAGGAACCCCCTACTACCCCTTACCAAAAAAAGTTCTATACTCCTTTTGTTTAGTTAAAACCCCTCTGTAAGGAAACACTTCCCCTTGAAAAATGCTAATCTCCCCCTTTAACCCTTTCCCCATTTTAAAAAAAGTGGGGGGCAGCTTGTTGCCAACGCTCATTTAATTTTACATAAACATGCTCTGAGGCTGAAGCAAATCTGTATGATTTTTAATGTGAAAATAAAATATAAAAACTGATCTTGGAGTTATTTCTAAACAGAACTAACATCAGAATCATCTGAATCATCAAAATTGTCTATTTCGGAAAAATTGAATTCATCAAATGAATCTTTGGTCAATAACTGTTCAAGAATGATGTTAACATCATGCATAGGAATGCTACATTTTCTAGGATTTGACATTTTCAGCAATGGAGAATTACTATATTTCGTAAATGGAAATGCCACTACCAAAACCAGAATGCTATAAGTAGAATGATGATGTCTTTTGTTTCTAAAGTTGATATACTAGAGCAATGCAAAAATAATAATAAAAGTGAGATGTTTAATGGCAAAGTTATCTCGGGGTAAACACTGCAGCTGCAAGTGCTGCTGGCAAGTATTCGCAGGGCAAAAGGGGAAAGAGTTAACCAGAAAAACGTAAACAATCTGAAACTGCCTTGGCAAAATTATAGCAGTTAGAAAAACTGACATAACTGATTTCATCTTGTTTCTAACTTCACAAGCTAAGTGCCTTTGCTGATTTCTGTACATAGACCAAGCTAACTGTGGGAGAAATTTAGTTTATAATTTAACTTTAAAGTGAGGATAATAACAGTCCCTTCCCAAAACTCACCCCTCTGTTTAGGGTCTGAAACCACATTTATAAAATTAATAGAAGCCTACAAAGTTAAGATTACTGTAGGACCCTGAATTTTGTTAAAATATATGCATAAACAGTAATCAATCATTGTCTCTTAGCTCACTTTTTATAATTGCTTACTGCTCGAGGAGTCACATAACCAGTGGTTACAATATTGGTAACTTCTCCAATTGCTCTTATAGGTAACACCCCTATTGTGAAACCTAAGACTGATCTTTGAGATATTTTTCAGACTTGGCATTCTGATGGACCAACTGACACCACCCGGACTGGTTACCCCCACCAAGGAGCTGACTTAACACGTGAAGACAGTTTTGACACCTCTGTGATTTCATCCCTGACCCAACCAATCAGTAGAACCCATTCCCTAGTCCCCTGACCACCAGACAATTCTTAAAAACCCTCATCTCCAAATTTTCAGGGAGGTGGTTTGAGAAATATCATCCATCCTCCTCACCTGGCTTCCTTGTAAGCAGCCTCCTCTTTCATAAATGAAGACTTTTTGTTCTTATTTTTCCTAAATAAGGACATATAAGGCCAGGCGTGGTGGCTCGCGCCTGTAATCCCAGCACTTTGGGAGGCTGAGGCAGGCACATCACCTGAGGTCAGGACTTCAAGAGCAGCCTGGCTAATGTGGTGAAACCCCATCTCTACTAAAAATACTGAAATTAGCTAGGTGTGGTGGTGTGCGCCTGTAATCCCAGCTACTTGGGAGGCTGAGGCATGAGAATCGCTTGAACCTGGGAGGCAGAGGTTGCAGTGAGCTGAGATCACACCATTGTACTCCAGACTGTGTGACAGAGCAAGACGCCATCTCAAAAAAAAAAAAAAAAAAAAAAAAGGACGTATAAGTTAATATAAAGCACAGAAAATTATTCTGGTAAGACACAGACACTTTGCTATACACAGAACTTTTTTTTAATCTCACCTATTGTAGACAAAGGCATTAATCAGTAAACCAAGAAAGCAAGACCATCAAAACGAGGCAAACTATGCCAAAATTTTAGCCCATTGCATATATTCTTTTCAGACTTAGGTATTATAAACCAAGGCAAATTCATTTTCAATGTTTCGTATTCTAGAATAAATTGACACCTTAGAATTGCCTTTTTCACTTGTCTTCTCACCAGTGTACAATGAAGTTTTTTTATATGCCATATGATATATAATATCACAGATTGAATGCAGGAGGTATGAGACTCTGGCTGTGTTCTATTAGCCAGCTCTCAAAGAGATTTGCAAAAATTTAAAACAATGCAAGTCTCCTCACTAATTTTTTAAAATATAATTTGTTTTTATTAAATGTGTTATTTAGGTTAGCATGCAATCAGTTCATCATCTCTATTTTTCAAAAGGATCAAATACTTTAAAGGTTTCTTAATTGTCATTTCCAATATGGCAAATGCTGATAAATATAACCTACTTAAACAAAAGCTCTTTAGTTGTCCTTAAAAGTTTTAAAAATGTGAAGCGATCCTGAGATCAAAGGGTTTGAAAATAACTGCATTAGGATAAAACTACTCTCTTTTTCCTTGACAAACAAGGCACATAAATAATTATATTTCTCTAGCACCAATGTTCACAGTATAGTCTCAATGAGCCATATTAATTATAATTTTTTTTAGACAAGGTCTCACTCTGTCACCTAAGCTGGAGTGCACTAGTGCAATCATAGCTCACCACAGCCTTGAACTCCTGGGCTCAAGCGATCCTCTCACCTCAGCCTCCTGAGCAGCTAGGACAAACTACAGGCACCACACCCAGCTAATTTTTTTCTTTTTCGTAGAGATGGGGTCTTGTTATGTTGCCCAAGCTGTAGTTATAACTTTTAATCAAAGTAGTTAACCTCTACTTTACATAGAAAATTGGATTAAGGTAGGTAATTGAAAACTGTTTAATATAAAGGAGTATTTTAGTAGACTAGCAAAGTTCACGAACACACATAACACAACTTTCTACAAACATACACATCCCTTTTACATCATAGAGTGGCAAATGAGCACATTCATTAAATGATCCAAAGATTTAGATTTACAGAATATTTAAAAATAAGCAAAAGCTTAGAAATAATATGATATTTAATAATCAAAATCTCAGAATTGCATCTTAGAAATTATTTACGTATCCAATAATTACCGATACATTTGCCTAATATAATATTAATTCAAGATTGTAAGCTACCCAAAGATCTCAAAAATTGTTTAAACTGGAAGACTTTAAAAACTTAATTGTTCTTTATATAAAAGTTTGTCAAAATAATTATTCTATTTTATTTCACACAAATTTATGTTTTTTATAATCTTAAACATTATGGAGGAGTAATGTTAGCTTACTTGACTAGAAAATCTGTATGTCCTATATAAGTTTAGAAAAAATAAGCCCCAGTAAAATAAATTGTATAATTATATTTTATGATTTAGTACACTGATAAATCCAGAAAAAATATAGTTGTTATTTTCTCATCAAAATTATTACACTAATCTCATTTGCTTTAATTATGTGAACGGGGATTCCTAAAATATTCCTAAATTAAGTTTCTATAAGAATTTTTTAAAGTTTAGCACATTTAAAATGTTAGAAGTCAAAGTCCTGGCTGTGCGCGGTGGCTCATGCCTGTAATCACAGCTCTTAGGGAGGCAGAGGCGAGAGGATAGCTTGAGCCCAGGAGTTCGAGACCTGTCTAGGCAATATAGTGAGACCCTGTTCTCCACAAAAAGGGGGGGAAAAAAGATAAAAAAAAAAGTCCTTCTGTTACAGGCATTTTTAGGGACTTTAGTTTATATAAGCACTTATTTAACTCAATAAGCCAATCAGAACAGAGCCCCTTTAATTTAAGAGATTATAATCTAATTTATTAATACTTTCTGGAGCTAAGAAAATATTTTATACTCATAAAATGGGAGGAAAGGGTCTTTCTGAATTATAGACACATAAACACAAAGACACATAGGCACAGATATATAGAAAACTTTTAGCTTCAGTTCTACAACTTCAGCCATAGGTCAAGAGTAAACATAGAAACACAAAAGCTCGACAGCCGGGCACGGTGGCTCATGCCTGTAATCCTAGCACTTTGGGAGGCCAAGGTGGGTGGATCAACTGAGCTCAAAAGTTTGAGATCAGCCTGACCAACATGGTGAAACTCTGTCTCTACTAATAATACAAAAATTAGCCGAGTATGGTGATGGGAACCTGTAATCCCAGCTACTCGGGACGGCAAGGAGGAGAATTGCTTGAACTTGGGAGGTGGAGGTTGCAGTGAGTGGAGATCGTGCCATTGCACTCCAGCCTGGGCAACAGAGAGAGACTCTGTCTCACACACACACACACACACACACACACACACACACAGAGAAGCTCAACAGGGCAAATATCGAAGAACTGTTCTCTTTCCCACTGAACATAACATTTTTAACTGAGTTCAAAATAAACAAACAAAAAGAGACTAGCAAGCCAAATTTTCTGTCATCCCTCACTCAATAGAAAATAAATCTCTATCATCCATTTACAGAAAGCATCAAATACATCACACCATAAAATCAAATCCCAAGTCACTGCTGCCACCAGTAGAGAATACTTATTTGTCATGTGTGAACAAAAGAAAACACAAAATCAAGGGAAAAAATGGGGAAAAAACTAGAGAAATAGCCAAGTTAAAGTTCTACTGACACTAGGGATTATTCTGGGATCTAAGAAACAATATGCCTAGGTTTAAGTAACCCACAAAATCCACTTTTCCAGCAAGGCAGTTTACCTGGCTTTGTCATCAGGCATCTCAGTGGATGACCACCTAAAACTATTAGGGATAATTTTTATAGGTAAAATTATGGCTATCATACAAATATAAAATTAACATATGCCAACTTTGTAACTCATTGATTAATGAGGGAACCAATAAGATGTTACATAGACCATGAGTTTCTTAAAAGAAGAAAAAGAAAAATTTTCTTTGTAACAAATTGTTCAAAGAACAATCTAAAGAACAGATAGATATAGGCTGGGCATGGTGGCTCACACCTGTAATCCCAGCACTTTAGGAAGCCAAGGCGGGCGATCACTGGAGTCCAGGAGTTCAAGACCAGCCTGGCCAACATGGTGAAACCCTGTCTCTACTAAAAATACAAAAATTAGCTGGGCTTGATGGCAGCCGCCTGTAATCCCAGCCACTCGGGAGGCTGAGGCAGGAGAATCACTTGAGCCCAGGAGGCAGAGGTTGCAGTGAGCTGAGGTTGCACCACTGCACTCCAGCCTGGGCAACAAAGTCAGACTCCTCAAAAATAAAAATAAAACAATAAAGAACAGATACATAGGCCATTAGGAATAATGAAATTAATTTGTTAATAGATATAAAATGGACCTCTTGGGGAGAAAGGGAAATCAATTGCCTCTCCAGCAGGCAAAATTCACTTACATTACTTCCCATTTTCTCCAACTTAACCGTGTTTAAAATACTCCATTAAGACAGTGGAAGATACAGACTCCTATAGTATTAGGTAACCTAGAAGTGTTCACTAAAAAAATTCAGTATTCCATTGAAAAGACACCCAGTAATCTTTTTTTCTTTTGTTTCTTTTTTCCCATTTCAAAATCTTTCACAATTTTGCCTGACAATACAATGAAATACTATTCAGACATAAAAAAAGGGTTGGGGGATAGAGAATATATGCGTTTTGGTATACAGAAGAATAAAATATCTCTGAAAATATTTTTTAAATGCCGTCACTATTGGTTGCCTCTAGCAAGGGTAACAGGGTGACCAGGGATCAGTGATAAGGAGAAGCTTCTCAGTATATATATAAAACCTTCTAGGGTTCGGCATGGTGGCTCATACCTGTT
The DNA here is from genome assembly GCF_000001405.40 of Homo sapiens. Classification (NCBI taxonomy): domain Eukaryota; kingdom Metazoa; phylum Chordata; class Mammalia; order Primates; family Hominidae; genus Homo; species Homo sapiens. The sequence goes on from NC_000006.12 coordinate 75,544,471, forward strand.
ATCCCAACCTTTAGGGAGGCTGAGGTGGGAGGATCATTTGAAGCCAAAAGTTCAAGACCAACCTGGCCAAGATAGCGAGATCCCATCTCAAAAAAAAGAAAAAAAAATTTTATGTCTTTGAGTTTTGAAACTTGAGAATCTATTTTTAAGTGAATAAATAAATTTATTTTTTGAGACAGAGTCTCACTCTGTTGCCAGGCTGCGGTCCTGTGGTGCAATCTCGGCTTACTGCAACCTCCAACTCCCTGGTTCAAGCGATTCTCCTGCCTCAGCCTCCCGAGTAGCTGGGATTACAGGCATGCACCACCACCCCCAGCTAATTTTTGTACTTTTAGTAGAGACGGGCTTTCACCATGTTAGCCAGGATGGTCTCGATCTCCTGACTTCGTGATCTGCCCGCCTTGGCCTCCCAAAGTGCTGGTATTACAGGCATGAGCCACCGCACCCAGCCAAATTAAAATTTTTAAAAAGAAAAAATAGCATAGCATACAGACTGGATATCGCCAGTTTCAAAGTAATTATGGAAATCTCCCACTTCTGTTTAGTTTCTTTTTTTTTAACTGACTCCTTAATTATTCATAGTTGCTTTTTTAGGTACATATTTAATATGTCTAATTCATCTTTTTTTTTTTTTTGAGACAGGGTCTCACTTTGTCACCCAGGCTGGAGTGCAGTGGCACAATCATGGATCACTGCAACCTACATCTCCCAAGCTCAAATGATCCTCCTACCTCAGCCTCCCAAGTAGCTGGGACCACAGGTGTGTGCACTATGCCCAGCTAATTTTTGTATTTTTTGTAGAGATGAGGTCTCACTATGTTGCCCAGGCTGTTCTCAAACTCCTGGACTCAAGTGATCTGCCCACATCAGCCTCCCAAAGTGCTACAGGAGTAAGCCACTGCGCCTGGCCTAATCATATTCTTATAACCCAATTTTCATTTAAAAGTCATTGCAAAACCTTGATACCAATAGGCAAATTCTTTTTTTTTTTTTTTTTTTGAGACAGAGTTTTGCTCTAGTTGCCCAGGCTGTAGTGCAATGGCGCAATCTCAGCTCACTGCAACCTCTGCCTCCCAGGTTCAAGCAATTATCCTGCCTCAGCCTTTTGAGTAGCTGGGATTACAGGCATCCGCCACCGCGCCCAGCTAATTTTTTGTATTTTTAGTAGAGACGGGGTTTGACCATGTTGGCCAGGCTGGTCTCAAACTCCTGACCTCATGATCCACCCACCTTGGCCTCCCAAAGCGCTAGGATTGCAGGCATGAGCCACCACGCCTGGGCCCAATAGGCAAATTCTTAATAATACCCTGATGATGAATGAAAGTGGCAAATTTTATGTTTATGTATGTTTTACCACTTCTTTAAAGGAGAATACCTTGAATATTCCAGGCACCAAGATGATTCTTTTTCCTGCAATATATCCGGGCTTAGTCTCTCTTTTTATAACAGGTCATTATCTTTTCATGTTTGTCAAACTCAGGATATGTGAGGAATACTGCAATAGACAGACGCCAAAGGTGGGCTGGGTAGAAAAGTTGGCTAATACCATGAGAATCGGGAATCTTCCCAAACCAGGGCCCAGAACATTACAGAAGATCAGTAAATCTTTGTTGAATAAATTAATAAGTGACTTATCTTAATAGTCACTTAGCACTGTTTTTGTATTTGAAATACTTGATCCATTTATCCAGTATTTATCCTGGTTCTCTGATCCCTCAGTCAGAAATCAGGCTGTCATCCTGTGAGAGGTAAATCCTCCTAGATGTCATTTAGAGGCAGAAGTATTTAATTGGTTCTTACACAGAGGATTAATCTGAGAGACAGACTTATTCCTGTCTTCTGCAAAAATGAGAAAACATTGTTTGAGCCTCCAAGAATTCTCTCATAAATTCTGTGTGCACTTCTCACAGTGGTAGTCTTCCCTTCCAATGTGGCAGCAAATGCAATTTAACCTAAAAATATCACAGGAAGACTAAAAGAACATTTGCTCTCCTTAGTTACTTCGTGCAGAACATAGTTATGTACTAAGAAATTATTTAAACAAAGAGTAAAATGCTTAAAGCTCACAGATAACTCCCACGAGATTTCCCAAGTGCACTAATATATTCAAATAGTACAACTCTGACACCAAGTGGTAAAAAAAAGTATAAGCTCTTTGAATAAACAATACTGCAGATGGTATTATTATGGGTAGACCAAAAATTTTACAGCCTTTCAATCAGTGATATTGTCTTAGCTCATTTTTTGTTGCTTATAACAGAATGCCTGAAACTGGTATTCTAAACACCATATGATTTATAGAGAAGAGGAATTTCCTTCTTACAGTTATGGAAGCTGAGAAGTCCCAGGTCGAGAGAGTACATCTGGTGAAGAATTTCTTCCTGGTGGGGACTCCCTGCGGAGTCCCAAGGTGGTGCAAGGCATCACATGACGTTCCAGCTCAGCTCTCTCTTCCTCTTCTTATAAAGCCACCAATCCCACCTCCATAGCCCATTAATCAATTCACCCATTGATTCGTGAATCGCTCACAACTCAGTCACCTCTTATAGGCCTGACCTCTCAATTCTGCCCCATGGAAGATAAATTTTAACATGAGTTTTGGAGGGGGTAAATATTCATACTATAACAGATATGACTTCCAAGACTCATTGTCAATGCTATTTTTGATCTAATCATTTCTAAAGAAGAAGATTAGCATTGTTCCTTGTATAGAGTTGCTGAGAAAATTAAATAAATTAGAAAAGAAAAAGAAATTTTTAATGCCTGATACACAATTAAGTGCTAAATAGATGTTAATTATTATTACTGCCTAATTTCATGTCTGCTAGTGATAAGGACACTAAGCATGCTGTCCCTGTCCTCCACATGCAAAGAAAAAACCAAATGAAACAAAGTGTTAACAGGTGCTATGATAGACATGTTTAGTAGATACATGGAAGGCACATAAGAGGGAGTGATCAGGTCAGGCGCGGTGGCTTATGCCTGTGATGCCAGCACTTTGGGAGGCTGAGGCAGGTGGATCACTTGAGGTCAGAAGTTTGAGACCAGCCTGGCCAACATGGTGAAACCCCATCTCTACTTAACATACAAAAATTAGCAAAGTATGGTGGCACGTGCCTGTAGTCCCAGCTACTGGGGAGGCTGAGGTGGGAGAATCATTTGAATCCGGGAGGTGGAGGTTGCAGTGAGTCAAGATCGTGCCACTGCACTCTAGCCTTGGCCACAGAGCAAGACTCTGTCTGCAAAAAAAAAAAAAAAACCAAAAATCAAAAAAAACCAGGAATGATCAGTTCTCTCTGAGCACTTTTTTCTTCAAATACAGACCTTTAGCGACTATATTAGTAATATATGACCTCACACACTGCTCATGTGTGATTGACCCAGGGTTGGAAACTCATCTCAGTATGGGTACATCAAATCCTTTATTTTAGGAATTTAGATTTGAAATTTTGATACATTTATCAGTCTGAGATGTTCACTTGAGCCAAGGATGTAAAATGAAGTGCTTTAAGGCTGTCATGTGCAAAAGAACTAGGACAGACCTGTCTACAGAGAAAAATAAAACAGAAATACAGAGGAGAGGCAGAGATGAGAGAGAGTTCAGATGCCTCCAGAGAGACACAGGATCTTCTTCCCAGTAACCAGCTCTCTGCAGTTCTAATGACTTTCCAATACTTGGTTCGAGACCTGAGAATGTTCTGGACAATATCCTTGCCCTTGAGTTTTGAGAGATATCCGTGCATCCTTATAATAAATTTCCTCTCCTTGTTAAATCTTGCCTTCGTGAATTTGTTATTTGCCACTAAAGTAATCTTGGCTTAGACACTGGATAAGCTCAAACATTAACTTTCCACCTAATATTTATTCTGAATAATTAAAATTTTATTATTTTAAATATCTGAGTACCACAGATATGTAATATAATTTTATACTATAAATTGGATGCTGTTTTTCACCAATAGAGTAGCTGTTTATTTTCTCAGATGTAAAAGGCTGTCAATCTTGATTCTTTGATTAAGAAGAAAATAGATTTCTCCACAAAGAAAAGGGTACATTTGAATTTAAAATTCTACAAATATTTAACTAGAACATTTTTCCTAGTTAATTAAATTAACATATAGGAGTATGCAAAGATATGTCTCACACACATAAATGTATTAAGGTGAAACCATGACAGAGAAAAACTCATCTAGTGTACAGTAGAGATCAAATAAAGAAGACTATCAAGTTTCTGGAAAGCCAGCACTCCACAGTTTACACATATGTACATCATAGTCAGTGTTTTTAAGAAAAAAAAATATGGCTGGGCATGGTGGCTCACTCCTGTAATCCCAGCACTTTGGTAGGCCAAGGCGGACAGATCACCTAAGGTCAGGAGTTCAAGACCAGCCTGGCCAACATGATGAAACCCTGTCTCTACTAAAAATACAAAAATTAGCCAGGGGTGGTGGCACGCACCTGTAATCTCAGCTACTCAGGAGGCTGAGGCAGGAGAATCGCTTGAACCCAGGAGGTGGAGTTTGCAGTGAGCCAATATCACACCACTGCACTCCAGCCTGGGCAATAGAGCAAGACTCTGTCTCAAAAAAAAAAAAAATATATATATATATATAGATGTATACCTCTATATATATATACATAAACTTTTGTTAGTAACCTTTAAATTTAGAATACACAGAAATTTTTAAGAAAGAAAATCATCTTTTTAAGAAAGAAACATCATAGTCACTGTTTTTAAGAAAAAAATACATATTAAATCAAATTTTGGAAGTAACTTTTAAATCAAGAATACACAGAAATTTTTAAGAAAGAAATAATCTAGTGCCCCAGTACTGAAAGAAATTTTGTTTGCCTATTTTTCCACTCAAATACATTTTTTACACTGATCATAATGAATGTGCAGGATTTATCTTTCTTCTTCCCAAATAATTTGTGAACTTTTTTTCACCATTAAACCATCTCCAAAAATATCTTTTCTGATGACTGAAAGATGGGAAGATAGGAGTAGAAAGAGAAAGGTTGTTCAAACCCTGTTCAGCTACCCCAAATACTGCTTTTTAAATGCTCTCATGCTATATAAAAGCTTTTAGAGACACATAGGACCAGGTATGGTGCCTTTACATACATACAGATATTCCCCTACATCATGCACACATAGGGACAACATGGAGAGACACATTTCTGTGAGTGGTCTGCTGACTAAATAGGAGTAGAAAGGAGGTGAACATATCAAACCATTGTTCTTTTCTAAACTTGGGTTACTTCTATGAGTTCTTCTAACATAGGGGATTTATTTATGATTGTATGCCCCCAAAGGCATCTATCCTAAAGTATACATAAATGGTAAAAGAAATACATATTATCAGTTTAGAAAAAAGTTATCGTCTTCAAGTCTCTCAAACCCTTTACAACTAGATGTGATTAGCTAGAATGGCTATTCCACATTCTGAGTGCTCCTAACCTTTCTCAATCTTTTTGAATATCTACTAGGAGGAGGTATTTTCATTGGCAGCTCTGCTTTGAAGTTTGTTTCTGCATAATCTATTTCTGTTTTATACCAAGAAGTCCCAGGCATGATATTCAGCCTTTCCCTCAATTCGAAATGCATATTCAGAGAGAAAGAGAGAAAATTTGCTTATTAAATTTTTCATACTTCCAGCCTGGTGCAGTGGCTCCCGCCTGTAATCCCAGCACTTTGGGAGGCTGAGGCGGGTGGATCACCTGAAGTCAGGAGTTCAAGACCAGCCTGGCCAATATGGTGAAACCCCATCTCTACTAAAAATATAAAAATTAGCTGGGCGTGGTGGTGAGCACATGTAATCCCAGCTACTCGGGAGGCTGAGGCAGGAGAATCACTTGAACCTGGGAGGCAGAGGTTGTAGTGAGCCAAGATCATGCCACTGCACTCCAGCCTGGGTGACAGAGCAAGACTCTGTCTCAAAAAAAAAAAAAAAAAAAATCATACTTCCAGAAGAATTTACTGAGGATTGAGAGAGGGGATGTGTCTCAGAAAGGATTTTCATACAAATTCAAATAGCATGGTGGATATTGTCATACTTAAAACTCCTCTAAATATTGCATTGGTAATTTTCCAGCAATTGTTTTACTCCTTTGGCCTCAAGCCATCTCCTTTCATCCTCATCCTTTTTCTTACTTCTTCCTTTCCAAATTACTCAGTGTTCCAAATTTTCTTCCCTCTTTGTCAAGCACTAATAACAAACCTAAGAAAATGACATGGTCAGTTTAACAAGATCTAAACTTGTGGTTTACAGAACAAAGAATACCATAGGAAATTCCCTCTTCTCCTTGCAGAAAACAACCACTTAAAAACAAGATAACATGAAATAAACCAAAATAACATGAAAGTAAAAAATGCATGGTTCATCTCATGAGACTAGAGACAGCTGATATCCAAGCCACAATATATTTGGAAGAGAGGCCAAAACCAGAGAAGAAAAAATAAAGTCAAGAGAAAACAGAGACAGGAGGTCTGTTGGTAAAAATCTCAGAATTAATCAGCAATGTACATTTCTCCTAGGTAAAAGACATGGTATTAGTCAAGGTTCTCCAGAGAAAGAGAACCAATAGGTGATGTGTATATATATTATATATACATATATATATATATTATATATATATAATATATATACACACACAAAATATACATATTTTATGTTCCCATATATTAATGTGATATATATTTATATAGTATATATTTTAATATATTATTTATAATCTATTGTTTCTGATTATATATACATACACAAACACATATACATATATACACACACAAAGAGGCATATAATAAGGAGGAATTAGCTCATGCAATTATGGAGGCAGACAAGTCCCAAGTTCTGCAGGGTGAATCAAGCAAGCTGGAAATTCAGGAGAATTAATGGTTTAGTTCCAGTCTGAGTCCAAAGACTTGAGAACCAGGAGAGCTAATAGTGTAGTTCCCGTCTAAACACTGGCAAGCTCAAAACCGAGGAAGAACTAATGTTTCAGATGAAGTCCAAAGGCAGTCAGGCAGGAAGACTTCTCTCTTACTCAAGAATAATCAGCCCTTTTGTTTTATTAAGGCCTTCAACTGATTGGATGAGGCCCACCCACATTGGGGAGGGCATTCTACTTTATACTTAGTCTACCTATTTAAATGTTAATCTCATCCAAAAACACACTCACAATAATACCCAAAATAATGTTTGATCAAATATCTGAACACATCATGGCCCAGTCAAGTTAACACATAAAATAAACCATCACAGACACACACTGAGGTGTGAAACTGAAACCACTTGTCAAAAACAGGAGACATAACATGCATAGACTAGTAACAAAAACATCCCTTTTGTTCCAAAAAGTAGAGAAGAAAGAGCTAAATGATGAACAATACCAATTTGTAGGAAGCAATGTTAAACATTATATTAGCAAAGAAAATCCAGTAGCACAATTAAGGAACAACACACCATAATCAAATATGATTTATTCCAGGAACACAAAGATGAATCAGTGTTTCAGAAAGTCTTTCTAAATATGGCACAAACCCAGAAACCACAAATAAAAGATTTATAAATTCAACTACTTAAAAAAGCTAAAATAGCCTGTAATCCCAGCACTTTGGGAGGCCGAGGCGGGCGGATCACGAGGTCAGGAGATCGAGACCACGGTGAAACCCCGTCTCTACTAAAAATACAAAAAATTAGCCGGGCGCAGTGGCGGGCGCCTGTAGTCCCAGCTACTCGGGAGGCTGAGGCAGGAGAATGGCGTGAACCCGGAAGGCGGAGCTTGCAGTGAACGGAGATCGCGCCACAGCACTCCCGCCTGGGCGACAGAACGAGACTCCGTCTCAAAAAAAAAAAAAAAAAAAGCTAAAATATCTGCACATTAAAACCATCATAAACAGAAACACTTTGGGAAAAATATTGCAACTCATGGCACTGAAAAGTGACTGATATTTCTGTATTTATACCTATCTTTCATAAATTAATAAGAAAAAGCTCGAGAGCCCTTTAGAAAAATAGGCAAATTTTATGAAGAGATGGTTTTTTGTTGTTGTTTTGGGGTTTTTTGGGTTGTGGTGTTTTTTGATTTTTGGTTTTTTGGTTTTGAGACCGGGTCTCACCCTGTCATCCAGGCTTGAGTGCAGTGGTGCAATCTGGGCTTACTGGAGCCTCAACATTTCTGGGCTCAGGTGATCTTCCCCACCTTAGCCTCCTGAGTTGCTAAGACTAAAGGTCCATGCCACCACACTTGGCTAATTTTTGTATTTTTTTTGTGCAGAGACAGGGTTTTGCCGTGTTGGCCAGGCTGGTCTCAAATCCCTGGGCTCAAGCAGTCCACCCACCTCAGCCTTCCAAAGTGCTGGGATGACAGACATGAGCCACCATGCCCGGCTGGTTTATTAAAAGGTAGAAAGGGTTCTTATGCTGCTGAAAAAGTATTCTCTCTCATAATAAAATAAAAGCAAAACAACTCTGAGATAATATTTCACCTACTAAATTGGCAAAGATTAAAAAATTGATACACTTTGACAGGCAAGATATATTACTTCTGGAATGTAGATCGGCACAACCTCTATGAAAGGCAATGTAACAGTATCTATCACAATTATAAATATACTTACCCTCTGACCCAGCAACTTCACTTTTGGAATTTATCCTCCAGATATACTCATTTATTTGCAAAATGATGGATGACCAAGATTAATCAAGGAAGTATCATTAGTAATATCAAGAGGTTAGAAATAACCTAAATGCTCACCAATAGGGACTAGTAAATATATTATGGTGTATTCATATGATATAATGTTATGCAGCTGAAAAAAATATGAGATCTACCACATCACCTAAGACAATACCTTGCATATAGCTACTAAATGAATAAATTACTGAGAGGAAGGAAGAAAGGAAGAGGAAGGATTCTGTGTACTGACATAAAGTAACCTCAAAGATATATTGTTAAGTGAAAAAAGTAAGATAAAGAAAAATATGTATAGTATTCCATTTAAAGATGAAAATGACTTATTAATATATTTGCTTTATTGGGTATATAATATCTCAAGAAGGGTATATTCAAAACTAATACCAGTGAATACCAGTGACTGGGAAACTCAGGGACTGAGGCATAGGAATTGAAGAGATAGTGTTTTCATTTCAAATTCTTAACCATAGAAATGTATATCACCAAAAAATATGATTAAAACATTTTAAATAATTTTTAAATACAAAAAATAGAATCTATATTTATTAGAAGGTGATTTTGTTTATAAATATATGTTAGCTGCAAAAGAAACTACTCAGCAACTCCCTCCACCTGGACCTAAGTCTAAACCCATACAAAAGCATTATAAATAGGCAGATAAGATATTTATGTCCTCTCTATTAGACTGTTCCACTGCAGTCCTGTCTTGGTATCTATCACTACTGGAAATCTTTTGCTTGGTACTTACCTTGTCCACCCTTCCTTGTGTTCAGCAGGATATTTGAAGGAAAAAAAGACAGTGAGAACTGAGTATAGATGCTCTCACACTTAGAATGGGGTTATGTCTCCATTAACCCATCATTAAGTTGAACATATTGTAAGCCAAAAATACACTTAATACACCTAACCTATCCAACATCATAGTTTAGTCTAGCCTACTGTAAGTACTCAGAACACTTCCATTAGCCTACAGTTGGGCAAAATCATCTAACACAAAGCCTATTTTATAATAAAGTGTTGAATATCTCACATAATTTATGGAACACAGCACACAGTAGAGTACAATATCAGTTGTTAACGGTGGTGGTGAAGTGGCTGACTGAAAGCAGCAGCTTACTGCCTCCTCCAACATCATGATAGAGTGAGTATATTGCTAGCTTAGGAAAATATCAAAATTTAACAGTCAAAGTATGATTTCTACTCAATGTGTATTGCTTTTGCGCCATCATGAAGTCAAGAAAATCTTAAGTTAAGCCATTGTAAGTCAGGCACCATCTGTATTTATTTTCCTAAATTCTACCCTTCCAAGACATCCCAGGAAGAGCTGCCCTTGTCCACCATGGATCACAGCTCCTGTCAACAAGCCCTCCCCACACAGCCTGCTGTGTGTCCACATTCCAGTACCAGCTTCTTCATGCCCCTCTCCCCACCCCCACCATATCATTCAGTTGTAGAGATGGTAGCAGTCCCATTATTATGAGAACCAGATTATTGCTGTATTGCTTGTAGGTTCCTTGTACCCCAGCCACACCTTTGTAAATATAGTCAGCCCTCCATATCCAGGTATTCTACATCCACAATTCAACCAAACATGGATCAAAAATATTCCAAAAAGTGGACAGTTGCATATGTACTGGTATAAACAGACTTCTTTTTCTCATCCATATTTCCTAGACAATAGAGTACAACAACTATTTATGTGGTATTTACATTTTATTGGGTATTATAAAACTTATTGTAATCTGGAGATGATTTAAAGTATACGGGACAGGATGGGCCCAGTGGCTCATGCCTGTAATCCCAGCATTTTGGGAGGGCAAGGCGGGTGGATCACCTGAGATCAGGAGTTCGAGACCACCCTGGCCAACATAGTGAAACCCCATCTCTACTAAAAATACAACAATTAGCTAGGTGTGGTGGTGCGCATCTGTAGTCCCAGCTACTCAAGAGAATTGCTTGAACCTGGGAGGCAGAGGTTGCAGTGAGTTGAGATCATGCCGCTGCATTCCAGCCAGGGTAACAGAGCAAGACTCTGTCTCAAATAATAATAATAATAATAAATAAAGTATACGGGACAATGTGCATAGGCTGTATGCAAATACTATGCCATTTTATATAAGGGACTTGAGCATCTGTGGATTTTGGTATCTGCCAGGGTCCTGGAACCAATCCCTTAAAAATACCAGGGGATAACTACAGTTCCTTTTTAAAATTCTTCTCAAATTATACACTTTGAGTATGCCATTTCATTCCAGGCCCTAACTGATAAATCATTTCAACCCTTGTCATTAGTTCTTAAACTAATATTTGCATGTTTTGTCTCAACTCTTTGCTCCTCTTTTTCCCAAGTTGCAATTCAAAATTCATTTAACCTCAAACTGATAGTCTTTTTTTAAATTTCATAACACTTACTAAAATATATGCAGAATCCTAGCTGTATTCATTTTCACCTGTATCTTTTCAGCATTCAAATTATTTTAAGTTTGGAAGATTATTGTTGAAAGAGATTTTTTTCATCTCCTCCTCATAAGTCAGAAAAAAATTTTTGGCCCCAGGTGGTTTACAGCCTTGCTTAACTAAGTGCGTGACCAGGATGGAAAGTTAGACCTATGGTAGGCAGCAGGGCCAACTTCATGGTCATGTGACCTGTACAGTCAGCAGGACCCACACTTAGAAGAGTCCCAGACTTGGTTTAATTCACTGCTGTCATCATCTTGAAAATATTAATATTCTTTGAACAAAGAGCTCTGCATTTTTATTTAACATTGAGTCCCACAAAATCATGATAGGCAGCTTTTAAGATGGTCTCTAATGGTAGACTGCCTTTAAGATGAGTGGGGATGGGAAAAAAAAGATGGTCCCTAATGGTCCCCACTTCCTGGTATTCACAGCCTTGTATAATCCTCTGCTCTTGAGTGTGAGCTGGACCTACTGACTCAACTTCTAACAAACAGAGTACTGACAGTGATGAAATGTCATTTCCAGGATTAGGTTTAATAGACTGTGGCTTCTATTTTGTGTTTCTCTCTTTCCCTCTCTCTCTCTTTCTTTCTGTCTGTCACACACACACACACATTCTAAGGAAGTTAGCTGCCGCGTTGTAAGCTATCCTGCAGAGAGGACTACGTGACAACAAATCATGGTCTTTAGCGAAAAACCAGTGAAAAGCTGAGGCCTGCCAACAGCCATGACAGGGAGCTTGGAAGCATATCATCCCCCAGGCAAGGCTTCAGATGAGACCGTAGTCCCACCTGACACCTTGTTTGCAGCCTGTGAGAAATCTTGAGACTGAGGCACCCAGATAAGCTATACTTGGACTCCTGACCCAAAGAAGCTGTGAGATAATAAATGATTGTTGTGTAAGCTGTTAGTACCTTAAATTTAGATTTTGGGTTAGAGCATTATGCAGGAATAGATGACTAATACAAATCCCCAAGATAAGCTTATTGCCATATGAAGTTCTTAAATAGATTATACAATTTTAAACGCAGACATTACAAAAATATAGCATTTTCATTCATTGTTAAGACTCAGAGAACCTGGTCTATACTGGATTTCTAATGCGATCTCAGTTTTTGCTGGATCACAAGTAGTTTATTGCCCTTTGACAAAACCTCAGCAAAGTAACAACAGTGTCCTTCCCTACCCTTTCCAAACACATCCATTAATGAAGAAACATGTATCTTAACAAAGTACATTTCATTTCATTAAGTACCAAAGCACACACTTACTTTTGCTTTCCTGGATGAGTACAATAGAGTGAAATGTTTCCTGAGCTCTGGGCTAGTGAATAGAAAAACTACACACTGCTTACCCTCCCCAAGTTTGTTTCAGGTAATCCTCTGTGATTTCTACACCATTAACATTATTTTTTAGTGCTGTTTTTTTGTTTCAAAGAAATTAGTTTAATTATTTTCCAAAATATAAACAACATGAAATTCCAAAACTACTAGCAGATGCTAAAACAAGTTTTCCCAGGCTTCCAGGAGAATAAACAGTCTGGTAACTGAAGATATGATCTAGATCTGGTTAAAACCATAAACCCCAGATTGTATGTTAATCACATTACCCCTGTATTTCTTCTGAAATGCAATTATTTCTGTGCAGTTTTCTTAGGCTATCTCTAAGTAAATGAGCCAATATGCCAAAGCAACTCATCCTTTAAAAGGAATTCAGCTAATCTGAAACATCAACATAAGCTAAAGATAAACCACAAACACAAGCATCGTATCCTAAAATAGACTTTATCAATCTTCTACCAACACTGAACTATAGTTTCAATTTCTTGTTTTTAATCCCTTACAGTGCCTAATCCAGTCCTAAAGAAAATATTTACTAGTAAACGAGTATGGAAAGAAGGAAGGTAAATAGGGGAAGAAGGAAGGAGGATTTTATTGGTTTGAAAAATAAGTATTATTTTAACATTTCCTTATAATTTACTAAGTGTTATGGTCTGAATATGTCCTCCAAACTTCACGTATTAGAAACTTAATCCCCACTGTCTTTTGCAGGGGAGGCATTTAGGTCATGAGGGCTCCACCATCATGAATGAACGGATGCTGTTATAAAAGGGCTTGACAGGCCAGGCCATGGTAGCTCGCACCTGGACTCCCAGCACTTTGAGAAGCCAAGGCGGGCGGATCACTTGAGGCCGGGAGTTGGAGACCAGCCTGGCCAACATGGCAGAACCCCATCTCTACTAAAAATATAAAAATTAGCTGGGTGTGGTGGTGCATACCTGTAATCCCAGCTACTCTGGAGGCTGAGGTACAAGAATCGCTTGAACCTGGGAGGCAGAGGTTGTAGTGAGCCAAGACCACGCCACTGCACTCTAGCCTGGGTGACAGAGTGAGACTCTGTCTCAAAAAAAAAAAAAAAAGTAAAAGATTTTTGAGATAAAATGTATTTTTTATATATATATGTACATATATATATATACATTGTACATTTCGTTATTTAATTAAGCACTTCATGCTTAGCACCTTTGGGTCTGTGGATGAACTTCAAAGAATCCATGAACTCTCTTTGGCTTTTTTGGCATCGATAATATTTTTCTTATATTTAAAACATTAACTCATATTTAAGAAACCAATATTATATTTGATTAATAGAAAGTCACAATGTCATTGCTCTGTTGCACAGTTTTTTAAAAATGAAAATAAAAAGACTTCACCACAATGCAGATAAACTAAGGATTGAGATCAGGCTACCACAGAAATACTTAGCCCTAATTGTATGACAATTGTAGACTTAAAATCCTGAACACAGGCATCCAGTTAAACACAGCAGATTAAAAATATAGAATGTATTGCCTCTCTCTCCTAAAACCACACTAAAATGACAGTAAGTAGATTTTTTTAACCACAAGGAGAAAGAGAATTTGAAAAAAGATCATAGCAATCAACATTTTGGCTGAAAAGCAGATGGATGAGTGGTAACTGACTTAACAAACCAGAGAATACTAAAACCTAACAGTGTAATGGAAATCCAGAAACAGACAACGGAATCCCAGAAATGCTCAGAAAATTGAAGCATCAGTTACTCTTGAAAGTCAAAATTAGTACAGATGGATTTTAAAATAGAAAATTGATATTTTTAAATGCTGTATAGTTTGACAGCTTCCTCTCCCTCAGAAACCTGCCCCAAAACTGAAGCTACTATCCATCCCCAATCCTGGAAGACAAATAAAGATCTGCTCTCTGAAGAAATGGAACTACAGATATTTTAATTCAAGGACAAGATATTGAAACAGAATGATCAAGTGATCATTATTCATTACCGAAAAATAAGATCTCTGACCCCCATTCCCTGGGAGAATGGATGATTTCTCCTAGCTCAAGGAAAATTACTTGAAGAGTCTGGTATCAGGTCCTGCCAGACGACACTACAGTAAAGTTTACCTGTGACTAGTTCTGCATACACATCCAGAGTTTCAAATCAACCTCACATTGCCTTACCATCCAATAGAAGCTGATAGCCAAGGACTGCCTGATACTTGAGAAGTCTCTAATGTGAATCAGCAATGAAAAAAGAAATAGAAAGAATTTGAGATAAAAAATATGCAGAAGGGGCCAGTGCAGTGGTTCACAGCTGTAATCCCAGCACTTATGGAGGCTGAGGTGGGCGGATCACCTGAGGTCAGAAGTTCAAGACCAGTCTGGCCAACATGGTGAAACCCTGTTTCTACTAAAAGTACAACAATTAGCTGAGTGTGGTAGCGTGTGCCTGTAACCCCTGCTACTTGGGAGGCTAAGGCAGAGAATCACTTTAACAAAGGAGGAGGAGGTTGCAGTGAGTCCAGATTGCACCACTGCACTCCATCCTGGGTGACAAAGCGAGACTCCATCTTGGAAAAAAAAATGCAGAAGGAATAAAACATTCAAGAATTTTTTAAATTCTTAGAAAAAAGGCCAGACATGGTGGCTCATGCCTGTAATCCTAGCACTTTGGGACAAGGTGGGTGGATCACTTGAGCCCAGAAATTTGAGACCAGCCTTGGCAACATGGTGAAACCATGTCTCTACAAAAAAATACAAAAATTAGTTGGTGTGGTGGTATGCGCATGTGGTTCCAGCTACTTGGGAGGCTGAGGTGGGAGGATCGCTTGAACATGGGAGACTGAGGCTGCAGTGAGCTGAAATTATGCCACTGTACTTCTTTCTGGCTAGGTGACAGAGCTGATACCCTGTCTCAAAAAAAAAAAAAAAAAAAAGAAGAAGAAAGAAAATTCTTAGAAAAAAAAATTTTTTTTGAGAAAGCATCTTATTCTGTTGTCCAGGCTGGAGTGCAGTGATGCAATCATGGCTCACTGCAATCACAACTTCCCAGGATCAAGCAATCCTCCCACCTCAGCCTCCTGCATAGCTGGGACTACAGGTACACACCACCATACCTGGCTAATTTTTTTTTAATTTCTTCTGGAGATGGGATTAAAAATATAAAAGCAACTTGCTCTTCTGCCTATGACAGAGTAATTAGTCTCAGACTAGCCTTCTCGGCATTAAAAAGCAAACTAACTAAACTAAAAAAACTGGGCAAAATATATGAAATAGTTGTTTTCAGGTATTAGACAACTAGAGCATAGGATGGTGATTGCTAAGAAAAGGAAAACACATGAGGTGAGTGAGCCCCACAATTGACTAAACTTTCCCTTGGGAGCATATCCCAGACTATGACATAGACATAGACAGAGAAGGAAGCCAATGAATACAGAGGTCTCACATTGCCTCTGAGAAAGCAAAGATCAAAGTTCGGAAGTTGGAACCCTGTGGGGTAGGATGCTAGAGAATAGAGAGTTGTGTGGAAAATGAACTCCAGAAATCCGCATTAGGGACCCTTTAAATTTTTGGCCAAATACTAATAAAAGATGAGACAATGTAAGGCCTGGCAGAGATTAGCTACTAGAGAGCTGTGAAGAAAGGGGGTTCTGGAGGCCACATGCCTGAGAGATGCTGGAGTTCAAATGCCAGGGTAGGGACATTTCAGTTAGCCTAGGCATTCAATTGAGACCCCAGAAAGTCTACACTTCGGAAGAAAGGCTGCTTCAAACCACCATGGCACATGTATACCTATGTAAGAAACCTGCACATTCTGCACATGTACCCCAGAACTTAAAGTAAAATTAAAAAAAAGAAAAAGAAACTTAGAAAACAAAAGAAGAAGAAGGAGAAGGAGAAAGAAGAAGAAGGAGGAGAAGGAGGAGAAGGAGGAGAAGAAGAAGAAGAAGAAGAAGAAGAAGAAGAAGAAGAAGAAGAAGAAGAAGAAGAGGAAGAGGAAGAGGAAGAGGAAGAGGAAGAAGAAGAGCAGCTGCTTAAGCAGTGAAGTAAAGGCTAGACTAGACCTGCCCTAACCACATTTTTTTTAAAGCCTCAAAATTATCAAGCTCATTTGGGAGGTAAATTAATTGCCTGCAAGAACAAAACACAGTCCTCTTCAAAGGAAGAAAACAAAATCTGTACTCACAACAGTGTACCAGCCAATGTCCAGTATGAAAGTTTAAAATTCCTAGATATAGAAAGAAGCATAAAAATACTACCCATAAGCAGGAAAAAAAAACAGATTTTACAGACTCAGAAATATACATATACACATATATATGTGTATATATATATGTGTGTATATATGTGTGTATATATATATATGTTGTGTATATATATGTTTAAAGGGCCTAATGAGTGAATAGATGCAATATAGTCTACCAACAGAAAAACTGAAACTTTACAAAAGAACCAATCCTGGAGCTGAAAAATACATCTGACATGAAAATTTTATTGGATAGGTTTAATAGCAGATTAGACACTTCAGAAGAGAAGAATCAGTGAACTTAAAAACAAAGCAGAGGCAGTAGGAATTATTCAAATTGAAACATATAAAGAAAACATGTTGAATATAATTATGAAATCTTCAGTGACTTGTAGGACAAAATCAAATGGCCTAAAATGTTGTAACTGACATACAAAAAAAGACAGAGGGAAGAAACAATGAAGCAAAAAAAATTTTGAAGAAATAACAGCCAAATTTTTTCTAAATTTGATAAAAATTATCAACCCACAAATTCAAGAGGTTTCATACACTCTGAGCAGCATAAACTTAAAGATAAACACATGAAGCCATAATCAAATTGTCAAAAACCAAAGATTATTAAGGAAAATCTTTAAAGGAGCCCAAGGGTGGAAAGGACATTATACACAAAGAGAAAAAGATAAGAAGTATCGTTGACTTCTCGTAGAACATTGAAATCTGCATACACCTTTCTTTTTTTTTTTTTTTTAGATGAAGTTTTGCTCTTATTACCCAGGCTGGAGTACAATGCCGTGATCTCAGCTCACTGCAACCTCTGCCTCCCGGGCTCAAGCGATTCTCCTACTTCAGCCTCCCAAGTTGTTGCTGGGATTGAAAGTGCCCATCACCAAGCCCAGCTAATTTGTTGTATTTTTAGTAGAGATGGGGTTTCGCCATGTTGGCCAGGCTGGTCTTGAACTCCTGACCTGAGGTGATCTACCCACTTCCACCTCCCAAAGTGCTGGGATTACAGGCATGAGCCACCACGCCCAGCCTATATACACCTTTTAATAGCAGAGGTCTAATCTTTGGTGTGCTCCCAGAAGGTGGACATTTCCAAATTTGAGCAATGTTTATAGAATAGATGAATTAGATAGCTGTAACATCTTACCTGCAGCCAGTGAAAAATATTCCCACTGGAAATGTATCCTGTTCTGATCCACCTAATAATATTCCTCTTTTTTGAAATATTAAGGTGGGTGTGGATAGTAAGTTTCAAAGTTCAGTAGCAGAGTTGGAATATAAAGTTGAGGAAATCTCTCAAAGCATAGAAGAAAAAAAAAGAGGGAATATAGGAGAGAAAATGTTAAAGAAAAGTAAAGAATCAGCATAGAAAATTCAACAACATACAAATAAGAGTTCCAGAAAGAATAGAGAAAAGGAGTAAAGAGAAATTTCAAAGAAATAATTAAAGAGTTTTCTTTTTTCCCCCAAGATGGTAGATTAAAGCTTTTAGCATGCCTCAGACACTTGGAAATAGCAAGGTAGTGCATAAAGATTAACTTGGTGACCTTTAATTCAAGAAGGAAAATTGGAATTCACCAGAATCATGAAGAACACCTCAGATCCTGGGAAGGAGAATGCAAGAAAACAGATACTGTGATGACATCCAGCTGATAAAAGTAAGTGAGTGAAGTTGCAGTATGTGAGCAAGGCATACGGCTTCCCTTTGTGTCTACTTTCCACTGGGGAGCAGGGCAACTCAGACCAAGGGAGAACACTTTGTTTCTCCCAAGCCCTGGAGCTAACTTGGGGAGAGGCTTGGAGACACTGTGATGGAAAGACACTGGGAAAAGCTACAGGCATTTTTCCAGATGTGGGACCAAAAGTGGAGTGCCATTTTTAATCTGGACTCATACAGTCAGCTATTTCTTGACTGACCTGGCGGCATTCCCACACAAGCATTTTAGTCTCAAGCCAGAGATTGGAGCACCTGCTCTGGAGCAGTGTTGGCCACAGCTGGCTCTTACACATAAGTGCCCCATCTACTGGCTTGTAGGTCAAACTGCACAGCCCAATAAAAAACCTGCTGACAAAAGTTCTTAGGGCTATAGAAGCAGAGCCAAAAGACCTTACCCAGCATTCTCTGTAGTCACACTGTGTGTGTGTGTGTGTGTGTGTGTGTGTGTGTTGGGGTGGGGGGGTGCAGTGGGAGATAAAAGAAGAATATTGAAGGAAAGAAAGAAAAATAATCAATATTACCCACATGAAAATTATTAGAGGTGCCAGCATCTCTAAATTAAAAAAAAAAAAAAAAAAAAAAAAAAAAACAGGGCAAGAATTCTGGCACCATGAAAAACCTGAATGTAATGACACCACCAAAGGATCACCCTAGCTCTCCAGCAATTGTCCCTAAACAAAATGAAAACTCAGAAATGACAGATAAGGAATTCAATGCATGGATTGCAAGAAAGCTCAATGATATCCAAGATAAGATTGAAAATAAACTCAAAGAAACTCCTAAAGCAATTCAGAAAATGAAAGAAAAGATGAACATCTTAAAAACAAATCAATCAGAGCTTCTGGAATTGAAAAACTCACTTAAGGAATTTCAAAATGCAGTTGAAAGCTTTGTCAATAGACTAGACCAAGAAGAAGAAAGAATTTCGGAGCTCGAAGCTCGAAGACTAGTCTTTGAATCTAGCCTAGTCAGACAGAAATAAAGAAAAAAGAATTTTAAAAAATGAACAGTCTTCAAGAAATATGGGATTATGTAAAGCAATCAAACCTATAAATATTGGCATTCCTGAGAAAAAGAGAACAATCTGGAAAACATTTTTTGAGGGACTAGTTTGAGAAAATTTCTCTAATCTTGCTAGAGAAGTAGATGTCCAGATACAAGAAATCTAGAGAACACCTGCAATATGCTACACAAAATGAACATCATCAAGGCATTAGTCACCAGACTGTCCAAGGTCAACACTAAAGAAAATATCTTAAAGGCAGCTAGAGAAAAATGTCAGATAATACACAAAAGAAACCCCATCAAACTAACAGTGGACTTCTCAGCAGAAACCTTACAAGCAAGGAGAGACTGGGGGTCAATTTTCAGCATTCTTAGAGAAAAAAGATTCCAACCAAGAATTTCATATCCTTCCAAACTAAGCTTCATGAATGAAGGTGAAATAATTGTTTTCCAGGTAAGCAAGTGCTGAAGAAATTTGTTACTACTAGGTCAACCTTACAAGAGATCCTTAAGGTAGTTCTAAACGTGGAAACAAAAGAACGATACCTGCCACCACAAAAACACACTTAAGTATAGCCCCCAGACCCTATAAAGCAAACACATGACAGAGTCTACAAAGAAACCAGCTAACAATTCCACAGTAGGTTCAAAACCACACTTATCAATATTAACCTGGAATGTAAATGGTCTAAACACCCCACTTAAAAGGCACAGAGTGGCAAGTTCTGTAAAAAAAATAAGACCCGTCAGTCTATCTTAAGAGAACCATGTCACATGTAAGGACACCAACAGTCTCAAAGTAAAGGATTGGAGAAAGATCTATCACACAAATGGAACACAAAAAATGAGTAGGGGTCTCTATTCTTATATCAGATAAAACAGACTTTAAACCAAACCAACAAAAGTTAAAAAAGGACAAAGAAGGGCATTACATAATGATAAAGGATTCAATTCAAAAGAAGACTTAACTATCCTAAGCATACATGCACCCAGCATTGGAGCACCCAGATTCATAAAGCAAGTACTTCTAGAAATGTGAAAAGATTTAGACAGCCACACAATAATAATGCGGGACTTCAACACCCCACTGACAGCCTTAGACAGGTCATTGAGGCAGAAAACTAATAAGGAAGTTCTGGACTTAAATTTGACACTTGACCAATTGGACCTAATAGACATATAATTAAAAGCCGAAACTATACCAGTCATACTCTTGGACCACAGTAGAATAAAAATAGAAATCACTACCAAGAAGATCTCTCAAAACCACACTACCTGGAAATTAAAGAACTGGCTTCTGAATGACTTTGGATAAACAACAAAACTAAGGCAGAAATCCAAAAATTACTTGAAATAAATGAAAACAGAGCACAACATATCATAATATCTAGAATACAACAAAAGCACAGTTAAAGAAAATTTATAGTCCTAACACTTAGAAAGATCTTAAATCAATGACCTAACAACACACCTAGAAAAACTAGAAAAACAAGAACAAACCCCAAAGCTAGAAGAAGAAAGGAAATAACTAAAGTTGAAACAGAACTGAATAAAATTGAGTTTCAAAAAACCATGCAAAGAATCAACAAAACCAAAAGTTGGTTCTTTGAGAGTACGAACAAGGTCTGTAGACCAGTAGTTAGATTAAAAAAGAAAAAGAGAATATCCAAACAAACACAATCAGAAATGACAAAGGTAACATTAAAACAAATCCCAAAGAAATACAAAAGATCTCAGAGACTCTTATGAACACCTCTATGGACACAAACTAGAAAATTTAGAGGAAATGAATAAATTCCTGGAAACACACAACCTCCCAAGATTGAATCAGGAAGAAATTGAAACCTTGAACAGACCAATATCAAGTTCCAAAATTAAGTAAGTAATAAAAGACCTACCAACAACAACAACAACAACGACAACAAAGCCCAGACCACATGGATTCACAATGGAATAGTACCATACATACAAAGAGCTGGTACCAATTCTACTGAAACTATTCTAAAAAATCGAGGTGGAGGGGCCCCTCCGAAATCTCGTGTCCTTCTCACATTGCAAAATACAATCAACCCTTCTCAACAATCCCCCAAGTCTTAATTCATTTCAGCATTAACTCAACAGTCCACAGTTCAAAGTCTCATCTGAGACAAGGCAAGTCCCTTTGCCTATGAGACTGTAAAATCAAAAACAAGTTAGTTACTTCCAAGATACAATGGGAGTACAGACATTGGATAAACATACCCATTCCAAAAGGCAAAAATCAGCCAAAACAAAGGAGCTACAAGCTCCATGCAAGTCTGAAACTCAGCAGGGCAGTCATAAGATCTTAAAGCTCCAAAATTGTTTCCTTTGACTCCATGTCTTATATCCAGGCCACACTGATGCAGTGGGTGGGCTCCCAAGACCTTGGACAGCTCAGCCCATGTGGCTTTGCAAGGCTCAGCTCCCATGGCTGTTCTCAAGGGCTGGCGTTGAGTGCCTATGGCATTCCCAGACACATGATGCAAGTTGTCAGTGTATCTACCATTCTGGGGTCTGGAGGGCAGTGGCTTTCTTCTCATGGCTCTACTAGGCAGTGCCCCATTGGGGACTCCATGTGGGGGCTCCAACCCCACATTTCCCCTCCACACATCCCTAGTAGAGGTTCTCGATGAGGGCTTCACCCCTGCAGCAAACTTCTGCCTGGACTTCCAGGCATTTTCATACATCCTCTAAAATGTAGGTGAAGGCTCCCAAGCATCAATTCTTGCCCTCTGTGCACCTGCAGGCTTAACACCACATGGAAGCCACCAAGACTTACAGCTTGTGCCCTCTGGAGCAGCAACCTGGGACATATCTGGGGCCCTTTAGCCACAGCTGGAGCTGGAGTTTCTGGGACACAGGAAGCAGTGTCTCCCAAAACAGTTCATTCTAGAACAGATTAGAGAAGAAAGCCTCTCTGCCATCTCACCCCTATCTATTGTTCTCCTTGTCTACCTTAACAGTCAAGCCTCAATAAATTAGAACTGAAGCAGAAACCACTAGCCAAGATGAACTATAAGTATGTTCCTTGCCCAAATGTGGCTCTGAAATGATAAAATAAAGTTGTATATGTCACCTAATTTTACATAGGTTAAACCAAAAGTGCTGGAGTTTCACTTATTGCTAGAACCTTTGGCGTCTTCAGAAGTCCTGTTTATTTTATATACCTAATTACTCACTCTATTGTTTTCCTAAAAATCAAATGAAGACAAATTCTTCTCTTCGTTTCTCTTTATTTCCCGTCATTTCCCTTCCTATTTCCTTTTCTTCCTATTCATTTTCATTCCTATTCCCTTCCCTTCCCTTTCCTTCCCTTTCTTTTCTTTTTCTTGTTGGTATAGCATAAGGAAGAGGTGAATAGGATGCTGTGCAGACGTGAAAGAGCTGCCAGTGCACGAGAAAAGAATGCAAGGCAGGGAGGAGGAAGCCATTAGGAGACTAATCAGTGGTGTGCACACTGGCTCTGAAAGGTGAGGAGGCATTGCACAGAGATGGTGAGTGAACGAGACATGAGTTTGGGAAATAGATAGAATGAGAAAAATAAGTAAATTAATTGAGACAGTGAGTAATTAAGTTGAAAGTTACAAGAATCAGATTTCCCAGTTGGAGAAAGCATTTACTTACATGGAGAGGGGGAAGATCAAAAAGAAATTGATGTGTTGAGTTAGAATTGGAGATATCATATGAGGGCATGATTTTAAGATTTTCCCTTTTTTTATTTTTTAACTTTTTGTAGAGACAGGGGCCTCACTTTGTGGAACTCTTGGCTTCAAATCACCCTCCTGCCTCAGCCTCCCAAACTGCAAGGATTATAAGCATGAGCCACTGAGATTTCCTTCAATAGAGCTATCCTCAGATGGTTCCTTCCTCAGTGAGCCACAAGCCAGTTGGCACTTATGACCATGGCTATAGAGATCCTAGTTGCAGTAGAAGAGGCACTAAAATATGCTTTTCTTCTTGTTTTCTCTTAAAGATCACCAAACAAAACTTTAAAAACTAAAAGAAAGAAAATACCTTAAATAAAAATTTAATTTAAAAAAAAACAATCAGGACTGACTAGGTGGCTGTCATGACCCATGGAGAGGAAGGAATAGCAGTGTGGTGTGGCAGCCCATCTGAAAGCCACACAGGGCAGGGGAGCACCCATCCTCAGCCAAGGGAAGTGCTGAGTGAGCGTGCTACCTAGCCTGGGAAACCATGCTTTCTCCACAGAACTGTACAACCCATGGATCAGAAGATCCCACTCGGGAACCCATGCCACTGGGGCCTTGAGCCCCAACCACGAAGCCACACAGATTCTCAACACCCACTCAGCTAGAATTGGTGTAAGCCTGCCAAGTTCCCAGGGGGATGGGCGGCCATCACCACTCCTGCGGCTGCCTGCAGTCTAAGCCATCTGAGCTCCTTCGGGGAGAGGTGGCAGCCAACACTGTGACTGCAGGGCCTCCCTGCAGGAACTCCAACTCCAGCCATGAGCTCAGGGATAGAACTCTGATCTCCCTGGGCCTGAGCCCCTAGGGAGAGAGGTGGCAGTAGTCTCTGTGGACCAGCAGACTTAGTCTTTCCTCCTGCTAGTTCTGAGGAATCCAGGCAGCCCAGATAAGTAGGTTTCCCCCCAGTTCAGCATACCTCCTCCACCAGGGGATAGCCAAAGTGCCTTGTTAAATGGGTCCTGCTTGCCGTGCCACCCAACTGGGTGAGACCCCCTGTATTAGTCTGTTTTTATGTTGCTGATAAAGACATACCCGAGACTAGGAAGAAAAAGAGGTTAAATTGGACTTACAGTTCCACATGGCTGGGGCAGCCTCAGAATCATGGCAGAAGGCAAAAGGCACTTCTTACATGGTGGTGGCAAGAGGAATTTAGGAAGCAGCAAAAGCAGAAACCCCTGATAAACCCATCAGATCTCGTGAGACTTATTCAGTATCACGAAAATAGCATGAGAAAGAACGGCCACCATGATTCAATTACTTCCTCCTGGGTCCCTCCCACAACATGTGGGGATTCTGGGAGATACAATTCAAGTTGAGATTTGCCTGGGGACACAGCCATACCATATCACCCCTCACCAATAGGGGTTGTCAGACATCCTATACAGGAGCGTTCCTATTGGCATCAGGTTGGTGCCCCTAAAGGTCAGAGATCCCAGAGGAAGGAGCAGGCACCCATCTTTACTGTTCTCCAGCCTCCTTGAGTGACATCTCCAGGTGCAAGAGCGAACCACATGAATAGGGCCTGAAGTGAACCCCCAGTAAACCACAGCAGCCTTACAGAAGAGGGACCTGACTATTGAAAGAAAAACAAACAAAAAGAAAGCAACAACAACAGCATCAACAACAGCAAAAAAAGTTTCCACAAAAACCTCGTCCAAGAGTCAGCAACCTCAAAGATCAAAAATAGACAAACTCATGAAGATGAGAAAGAATCAACAAAAAAACACAGAAAACCCAAAAGGCCAGAGTGCCTCTTCTCCAAATGATTGCAACACCTCTCCAGCAACGGCGCAGAACTGGATGGAGGATGAGATAGACGAATTGACAGAAGTAGGCTTCAGAAAGTGGGTAATAACAAACTTTGTTGAGGTAAGAGAATGTTCTAACCCAATGCAAAGAAGCTAAGAACGTTGATAAAAGGTTAGAGGAGCTGCTAACTAGAACAATCAGTTTAGAGAGGAACATAAATGACCTAATGAAGCTGAAAACTGCAGCATGAGAACTTCGTGAAGCATACACAAGTACCAATAGCCGAATTAATCAAGTGGCAGTAAGAATATCAGAGACGTAATCCCAGCACTTTGGGAGCCTGAAGCAGGTGGATCACCTGAGGTTAGGAGTTCAAGACCAGCCTGACCAACATGGCAAAACCCCATCTCTACTAAAAATACAAAAAATTACTTGGGCATGGTGGCACATGCCTGTAATCCCAGCTACTTGGGAGGCTGAGGCAGGAGAATCGCTTGAACCTGGGAGGTGGTGGTTGCAGTGAGCCAAGATCACACCACTTCACTCCAGCCCGAGTGACAGAGCAAGACTGTCTCAAGAAAAAAAAAAAAAGAATATTAGAGATGGAAGATTATCTTGCTGAAATAAGGAAGGCAGACAAGATTAGAGAAGAAAGGACGAAAAGGAATGAGCAAAACCTCTGAGAAACGTGGGACTATGTAAAAAGACCGAATCTACAACTGATTGGAGTACCTGAAAGAGATGGAGAGAATAGAACCAAGTTGGAAAACACACTTCAGGATGTTATCCAGAAGAACGTCCCCAACTTAGCAAGACAAGGCCAACATTCAAATTCAGGAAATACAGAGAACCCCACTAAGACACTCCACAAGAAGATCAACCCCAAGACATATAATCATCAGATTCTCCAAGGTTGAAATGAAGGAAAAAAAAGTTAAGCGTAGCCAGAGAGAAATGGGCCAGGTCACCTACAAAGGGAAGCTCATCAGACTAACAGTGGATCTCTCTGCAGAAACCCTACAAGCCAGAAGAGAGTGGAGGCCAATATTCAACATTCTTTAAAAAAAAAAAAAGAGATAATTTTCTTTTTCCTTTGAGACAGAGTCTCACTCTGTTGCCCAGGCTGGAGTGCAGTGGCAAGCTCAGCTCAGTGCAAGCTCCGCCTTCCAGGTTCACGCCATTCTCCTGCCTCAGCCTCCCAATGTAGCTGGAACTACAGGTGCCCACCACCACGCCCAGCTAATTTTTTGTATTTTTAGTAGATACGGGGTTTCACTGTGTTAGCCAGGATGGTCTTAATCTCCTGACCTTGTGATCCGCCCACCTTGGCCTCCCAGAGTGCTGGGATTACAGGCATGAGCAACCGCACCCGGCTGAAAAAGAGAATTTTCAACCCAGAATTTCATATCTAGCCAAACTAAGCTTCATAAATGAAAGAGAAATAAAGTCCTTTCCAGACAAGCAAATGCTGAGGGAATTAGTCACCACAAGGCTTGCCTTGCAAGAACTCCTGAAGGAAGCACTAAATATGGAAAGGAAAAATTGGTACCAGCCACTACAAAACACACGAAATATCAAGACCAATGACATTATGAAGAAATGGCATCAACTAGGGTGCAAAATAACTAGCTAGCATCATGATGACCGGATCAAATTCACACGTAACAATATTAACCTTAGATGTATATGGGCTAAATGCCCCAATTAAAAGACATAGACTGGCAAATTGGATAGAGTTAAGACCTATCAGTGTGCTGTATTCAAGAGATCCAACTCACGTGCAAAGATACACATAGGCTCAAATCAAAGGGATGGAGGAAAATTTACCAAGCAAATGGAAAGCTGAAAAGAGCAGGGGTTGCAATCCTAGTCTCTGACAAAACAGACTTTAAACCAAAAAAGATTTTTAAAAAAAGACAAAGAAGGGCATTACATAATAGTAAAGGGACCAATTCAACAAGAAGAGCTAGCTATCCTAAATATATAGGCACCCAATATAGGAACATCCAGATTCATAAAAAAAGAAAAAGAAAGTTCTTAGAGACCAACAAAGAGACTTAGACTCCCACACAATGATAGTGGGAGACTTTAACACTCCACTGTCAATATTAGACAGATCAATGAGATAGAAAATTAACAAGGATATTCAGGACTTGAATTCAACTCTGGATCAAGCAGGCCTAATAGATATCTACAGAACTCTCCACCCCAAAACAACAGAATATACATTATTCTCAGTGCCACATTGCAATTACTCTAAAATCGACCACATAATTGGAAGTAAAACACTCCTCAGCAAATGCAAAATAACTGAAATCATAACAATCTCTCAGACTGCAGTGCAATCAAATTAGAACTCGAGATTAAGAAACTCACTCAAAACCACACAACTGCATGGAAATTGAACAACCTGTTCCTGAATAACTCCTGGGTAAATAATGAAATTAAGGCAGGAATCAAGAAGTTCTTTGAGACCAATGAGAACAAAGAGACAACATACCAGAATCTCTGGGACACAGCTAAAGCAGTGTTAAGAGGGAAATTTATAGAACTAAATGTCCACATTGGAAAGCTAGAAAGATCTCAAGTTGACACCCTAACATCACAATTAAAAGAACTAGAGAAGAAAGAGCAAACAAATCCAAAAGCTAGCAGAAGACAAGAAATAACTAAGATCAGAACAGAAGTGAAAGAGATAGAGACATGAAAAACCCTTTAAAAAAATCAAAGAATCCAGGAGCTAGTTTTTTGAAAAAATTAATAAAATAGCTAGACCACTAGCTAGACTAGTAAAGAAGAAAAGAGAGACAAATCAAATAGACACAATAAAAAACGATAAAGGGGATATCACCACTGACGTCACAGAAACACAAACTACCATCAGAGAATACTACAAATACCTCTATGCAAATAAGCTAGAAAATCTAGAAGAAATGGATAAATTCCAAGACTAAACCAGGAAGAAGTCAAATCACTGAATAGACCAATGACAAGTTCTGAAACTGATGCAATAGTAAATAGCATACCAACCAAAAAAGCCCAGGACCAGACTGATTCAGAGTTGAATTCTACCAGAAGTACAAAGAGGAGTTGATACCATTCCTTCAGAAACTATTCCAAATAATTGAAAAGAAGGGACTCCTCTGCAAATCTTTTTTTTTTTTTTTTGACAGTCTCACTGTCACCCAAGCTGCAGTGCAATGGCACAATCTTGGCTCACTGCAACCTCTGCCTTCCAGGTTCAGATGATTCTCCTGCCTCAGCCTCCCAAGTAGTTGGGATTACAGGTGCATACCACCACACCCAGCTAATTTCTGTATTTTTAGTAGAGACGGAGTTTCACCATGTTGGCCAGGCTGGTCTCAAGCTCCTAACCTCAAGTGATTCACCCGCCTTGGCCTCCCAAGGTGCTGGGATTAGAGGCATAAGCCACTATGCCTGGCCCTCCTCCCTAAATCATTTCATGAGACCAGCATCATCCTAATATCGAAACCTGGCAAAGACACAACAAAAAAAGAAAGCTTCAGGCCAATATCCCTGATGAACATCAATGCAAAAATCCTCAATAAAATACTGGCAGGATGGGCATGGTGACTCATGCCTGTAATCCCAGAACTTTGGGAGCCTGAGGCAGATGGATCACTTGGGGCCAGGAGTTTGAGACCAGCCTGGCCAACATGTGAAACCCCGTCTCTACTTAAAAAAAAAAAAAACAAAAAGCCAGGTGAGGTGGCGTGTGCCTATAGTCCCAGCTACTTGGGAGGCTGAGGCAGGAGAATCGCTTGAAACCAGGAGTGGGAGGTTGCAGTGAGCCAAGATAATGCCACTGCATTCCAGCCTGGGTGACAGAGCAAGACTCCATCTCTATAAATAAATAAATAAATAAATAAATAAATAAATAAATAATAAATAAATAAATAAATAAAATACTGGCAAACTGAATCCAGCAGCACATCAAAAAGCTTATCCACCACAATCAAGTTGGCTTCATCCCTGGGATGCAAGGCTGGATCAACAGCCACAAGTCAATAAAAGTAATTTATCACATAAACCGAACCAATGACGAAAACCACATGATTATCTTAATAGATGCAGAAAAGGCCTTCGATAAAATTCAACATCCCTTCATGCTAAAAACGCTCAATAAACTAGGTATTGATGGAACATAACTCAAAGTAAGAGCTATTTATGACAAACCCACAACCAATATCATACTGAATGGGCAAAAGCTGGAAGCATTCCCTTTGAAAACTGGCAAAGACAAGGATGCCCTCTCTCACCACTCATATTCAACATAGTATTGGAAGTTCTGGCCAGGGCAGTCTGCCAAGAAAAAAAAATAAAGCATATTTAAATAGGAAGAGAGGAAGTCAAATTGTCTCTGTTTGAAGATGACATGATCCTATATTTAGAAAACCCCATCCTCTCAGCCCCAAAACCCCTTAAGCTGATAACCAACTTCAGCAAAGTCTCAGGATACAAAATTAACGTGCAAAAATCACAAGCATTTCTATATACCAACAATAGACAAGTAGAGAGCCAAATCATGAATGAACCCCTATTCACAGTTACAAAAGAGAATAAAATACCTAGGAATACAGCTAACAAGGGACATGAAGGACCTCTTCAAAGAGAACTGCAAACCACTGCTCAAGGAAATACGAGAGGACACAGATGGAAAAACATTCCTTCCTTATGGATAGGAAGAATAGATATTGTGAAAATGGCCATACTGCCCTAGGTAATTTATAGATTCAATGCTATTCCCATCAAACTAACACTGACATTCCTCACAGATTTAGAATAAACTATTTTAAAATTCATATGGAATCAAAACAATCCTGAGCAAAAATAACAAAGCTGGAGCCATCAAGCTACTTGACTTCAAACTATGCTACAAGGTTAGCTGGAGCCATCAAGCTACCTGACTTCAAACTATGCTACAAGGCTATAGTAGCCAAAACAGCATGGTACTGTTACCAAAACAGACATATAGACCAATGGAACAGAATAGAGACCTCATAAATAAGACCACACATCTACAACCATCTGATATTCAACAAAACTGACAAAAACAAGCAATAGGGAAAAGATTCCCTATTTAATAACAGGTGCTGGGAAAACTGGCTAGCCATATGCAGAAAACTGAAACTGGACCCCTTCCTTATACCTTATACAAAAATTAAGTCAAGATGGATTAAAGACTTAAATGTAAAACCCAAAACCGTAAAAACCCTAGAAGAAAACTTAGGCAATACCATTTAGAATATAGACATGGGCAAAGGTTTTATGATGAAATCTCCAAAAGCAGTTGCAACAAAAGCTAAAATTGACAAATGGGATCTGATTAAACTAAAGAGTTTCTGAACAGCAAAAGAAACTATCATCAGAACAAACAGGCAACCTACAGAATGGGAGAAAATTTTTGCAATCTACCCATCTGACAAAGATGTAATATCCAGAATTTACAAGGAATTT
This sequence comes from Homo sapiens, assembly GCF_000001405.40. NCBI lineage: Eukaryota > Metazoa > Chordata > Mammalia > Primates > Hominidae > Homo > Homo sapiens. The sequence goes on from NC_000006.12 coordinate 75,574,879, forward strand.
AAACAAATTTACAAGAAAAAAAATGTCATAAGTGGAAAAGGAGGCAGGGTGCAGGGGCTCACGCCTGTAATCCCAACACTTCGGGAGGCTGAGCAGTTGGGTGGGTCACATGAGGTCAGGAGTTCAAGATCAGCCTGGCCAACATGATAAAACCCCGTCTCTACTAAAAATACAAAAATTAGCCAGGTGTGGCGGCACACACCTGTAATCCCAGCTATTTAGGAGGCCGAGGCATGAAAACTGCTTGAACCCAGGAGGTAGAGAATGCAGTGAGCCAAGATCATGCCAATGCATTCCAGCCTGGGTGACAGAGTGAGACTCTGTCTCAAAAAAAAAAAAAAAAAAAGGTGGACAAAGGATATGAACAGACACCTCACAAGAAGACATTTATGTGGCCAAGAAACATACAGAAACAAGCTCAACATCACTGATCATTAGATAAATGCAAATTAAAACCACAATGCAAATTAAAACTACTGTCATCTCTTGCCAGTCAGAATGGAGATTATTAGAAAGTCAAGAAACAACAGATGCTCGTGAGGCTGTGGAGAAATAGGAACGCTTTTACATTGTTGGTGGGAATGTAGTTTAGTTCAACCATTGTGGAAGACAGTGTGGCAATTCCTCAAGGATCTAGAACCAGAAATACCATTTGAGCCAGCAATCCCATTACTGGTATATACACAAAGGAATATAAATCATTCTATTATAAAGATCCATGCACAGATATGTTATTGCAGCACTATTCACAATATCTAAGACATGGAACCAATCCAAATGCCCATCAATGATAGACTGGATAAAGAAAATGTGGTACACATACACCATGGAATACTGTGCAGCCACAAAAAGGAATGAGATCATGTCCTTTGCAAGGACATAGATGAAGCTGGAAGCCATCATTCTTAGCAAACTAACACAGGAACAGAAAACCAAATACCCCGTGTTCTCACTTATAAGTGAGAGTTGATCAATGAGAACACATGGACACAAGGAGGGGAACAACACACACCAGGGCCAATCGGTGGTGGTGGGGTGGGGCGAGGCGAGGGAGAGCATCAGGACAAATAGCTAATGCATGCAGGGCTTAAAACCTAGGTGACGGGTGATAGCTACAGCAAACCACCATAGTACACGTATACCTATGTAACAAACCTGCATGTTCTGCACATGTATCCCGGAACTGAAAGTAAAAAAACAAAAGTAAATAAAAAATACAAATACCCCAAATGCTAAAAGTTTATTTACATTGAAATTATCCAAAGAATATAAAAATAAATAGAAATAAAATGTGTTTCAGTGTTTATGTAATGCATGTATAACAATTCCATATATATGCAATATGTGATAAAATATACTTCAGTATATATGTCATGTTGTGGCAAATGCAATAGAGAAAAAGAGCTTGCAAATTGAGTACAAGAAAAAACACCCAGCGGAAGTTAAAAACAACATTCTGGCTGGCAGTAAATTACACAGCTGGTGCCATTTGGGGAGTAAAAAGGAGAAATATATTTAAAGCCTGGTGATTTTTTTTTAGAAGACTCAAAAAAACACCCTCCAGTTTCTTAAAAATAATTTTTTGTTAACTGGAAACCTCATTCTCTTTGTTTTCCTTATAGGCTTAATAACTCCAGTTGATATTTCAAAGGGATTTTTATTTCAGAACTTGAAAAAAATATGATACTAAAAATTATATAGTATGATTAGGTGAGAATAGAAAGCAATGGGCAGGAAAAAGCCCTATCAATAATTCAAATATATTATAAAATGACAAGAATCTTTAAAGTACAGTAGTAACATTGGAATAAAAGACCATTAATGAAATAAAATATAAAGCATAGAAATATGCCGTTTTATGGTTTAATATTAGATAAAGGAGGAATCACAAATCCATAAGAAAGAAGAAAATATTTTTTAAAATATTGGCAATTTATAAATTTTGAAAAAAAATAAATGTTCACTTCACCCTATAGTTCCAAATAAAATCTAAATAGATTGAATATTAGAATCTTAAGAAATTAAAACCAAAGGAGAAAAGGTAAGAAAAGTGAACATTTGTCAAATATCCGACGAAACATGCTAAACACATAGGTAACATAATATTGACAATATAATAATGTTACATGTATGTACCTTAAAAAAACTGAAATACAAAAGACAATAACAAACTGGAGAAAAACTTTAGCAGCAAAATAAACCAAAAAATGAGTTATTACTTTACAGAAAGTTTATACAAATCAATAAGAAAACTGCAAATGAGAAAATTATATCAAGCAGCAACGCTCTAATGAAGAAATAAAAGTAGCCAACAAAAAGTTAGAAAATGGCCAGGCACGGTAGCTCAAGCCTGTAATCCTAGCACTATGGGAGGCTGAGGCAGGAGGATCTCTTGAGGTCAGGAGTTCAAGACCAGCCTGGCCAACGTGGTGAAACCCCACGAGGTGAAAACTGTCTCTACAAAAAAATACAAAAATTAGTCAGACGTGGTGGCATACGACTGTAATCCCAGCTACTTGGGAGTCTGAGGCAGGATAATCACTTGAACCAAGGAGGCGGAAGCTGCAGCAAGCCGAGATCACGCCACTGCCCTCCAGCCTGGTGACAGAGTGAGACTCTGTCTGAAAGAGACAGAGAGAGAGAGAGAGAAGAAAGAGAAAGAGAGAGAGATGAGTTTTTCAAAACAGAAGCATGACTATAATTTTACGCCTGCAATCGCAGCACTTTGGCAGGCCCAGGTAGGCAGATCACCTGAGGTCAGGAGTTCAAGACCAGCCTGGCCAACATGGTGAAACCCCATCTCTACTAATACTACAAAAATGAGCCGGGAGTGGCAGAGGGCACCTGTAATCTCACTACTCAGGAGACTGAGGCAGGAGAATCACTTGAACCTGGGAGGTGGAGGTGCAGTGAGCTGAGATCAGGCCACTGCACTCCAGCCTGGACAACAGTGCAAGACTCCCTCTCAAAAAAAAAAATTAATTACTGCGAATTGACAACTGAAATAAACACCCAAGGGCAATGGCTCACTAACATCGTTGTCATATATGCAGTGCATCAGTTTAGAAAAAGTGAGAACTACAGAAGTGTCCAGAGAGCTTTTTAAAGACTGTGACAGCAACAATTTAAAATTATTCTTGCCGGTTGTGGTGATGTGAGCCTGTAGTCTCAGCTACTTGAGAGACTGAGACAGGAGGATCTCTTGAGCCCTGGAGTCCAGCCTGGGCAACACAGTGAGATCCTATCTCCAAAATTAAAAAAATTAAAAATTAATATATAAACGTATCTTTATTAGGTAATATACATAAGGTACAAAAATTTAAAAGGAGAGAAAGATGTGCAGTGAAAAGTAAATTTCCCTTCCACCTTAGTTCCCCCTCTCAAAAGAAAAGAACTGCTACCAGTTTCTCAGAGCTAAAACCATATTATGTAACCTTTCTTCCCCAGAACTTTTTTGTATTTCTATTTCAGTTTTCTACAACCTTAATCCACACACATACTCTACATGTGTAGTCATAAAGAGGACTGTATCACACTACAAAGTTAACCCTCTGAAACAGGCTAATATAATGACTAGGAAACTGATAAAGCCAGCCAACTGTCAAGATGATATTAATGGGCTTTGGATACTATTCTTCAATATGAAAGAGAACTCACTTTTATCAAGGTGTATTTTAGGATTAGATTGGTTTATTTGAAACAATCACTATACCAAGGGGAGTGGGGTTAGCCTGAGTTAGACAATTCAGGCATGCCCCTTAGAGCTGGGGTCAGCCCTAAGCCATAATGACTATATATCAGAACAAGGTGGAAATTGACCTTGTTGGTCAGCCTCGTGTCCAATACACCAAAAATCTAACTGTGACATTGACACAAACATGAAGAAGTCACAACTATTTGATTATTAATTTAGAAAAACAATCAAAGTACATGACCTGCCTTAGACTATGTAGAGAAAATAAGTATATTTACCTATACAGGGTTAGACAAAGTTCTTCTATGAACTTAATAGAAAATTATTTGTTATAAAATTTCAATAGTCTCCCTTTATCTGTGGAAGATACATTCCAAGACCCCCATTCCAAGATGCCTGAAGCATGGATAGTACTAAACCTGATTGCCATTGATAACTTACAGGTCGCATTTGACAGTTTTCTTTAAAAGTAAATAGGTGACCCGGCATGGGGGCTCATGCCTCTAAGCTCAGCACTTTGGGAGGAAGAGGTGGGGGGATCACTTGAGGTCAGGAGATCGAGACCAGTCTGGCCAACATGGTGAAACCCCATCTCTAATAAAAATACAAAAATTATCCTGGCAGATGCCCATAATTAGGTGGCAGATACCTGTAATCCCAGATACTTGAGAGACTGAGGCAGGAGAATCACTTGAACCTGGGAGGTGGAGGTTGCAGTGAGCCGAGATCATGACATTGCACTCTCGCCTGGGCAACAGAACAAGACTCTGTCTCAAAAATAAATAAATAAGTAATCAGGCTTCCAGAATAACGGCCTAGGGAAGGTTTTATAATTCATGGCAATACCCTGTCCCTGAGTAAAGAATTTGATCTTAAGTTCCTCAAATTGTTGACGTGCTGATTAATGCATAACCTACTGACACTGAAAGGACACTGATTTATTTCTGAATCATAAAGTTTTACTGACTGTCTTGCACATAGTTATTAATATTTTAGCCCATATGTTGCAATCTGTATCCAAAATTGCAAACTCTGTATTGTATCCTCCAATAAAAAAGCACAACCATGGTATGAGGAGTCCCCCTTCCTTCTCCTAAACTTTCCTACAAAAGCCCTCCAACTTGTGAGAATCCAGAATGCTCCCAACTTTGTTGTGTGTTTTCCCATGCCGATCCTCATATTTGGCTCCCAATAAACCTTTATCAAACTATTTCTACCTCAAAAGTTTTAGTTTTGGTCAACACCATCATTGGAACATGTTTCTGTTCATATCTACTACCCACAAATGTAAGGCCTTTTCCTTTTAACTAAGCACTTATCACCGTCTGTACCTATAACTTTTGCAGTTTGAGATACAACAGCAAAACTAGCATGAAATTCTTTTTCCTTCTTCAGTTTCACAGATATATTTGTTCTTACCATAGATCTTAGCAACCTTGACATACAATTTTTTCTTTCCTTATTGAGAACTTTCACCTTTTCACTCAAAGGAAGTACTTCGTGGTTTCTGTTTGGCGTATCTGAATTACCAACACCATTACTCTTGCACTTTAAGACCATCATTAAGTAAAAGGGTTACTTGAACACATGCACTGCAATACCACAACCATCAATCTAATAACTGAGAAGACTACTACATGACTAATGAGCAGGTACCATATGCAGTGTGAAAATACTGGACAAAGAGATGATTCATCTCCCAAATGAAAAGTCATGAGATTTCATCGTGCTATTCAGAGTGTCCCGTATTTTAAAACTTAGGAATTGTTTATTTCTGAATTTTCCATTTTATATTTCCGGAGCGCAGTTGAGCACAGGTAACTGAAACCATGGAAAGTGAAATCTCTAATAATGGGGGAACTTCTGTATTCCATATTACAAAATCTATTGTCTAAAACTATTAAAGACACCAAAGGCAGCCTAATTTATCCATGTGATTTAACAAAAACAGATCAGATGCTTAAATTTTTTTTTTTTTTTTTTGAGATGGAGTTTCACTCTTGTCATCCAGGCTGGAGTGTAATGGTGTGATCTTGCTCACTGCAACCTCCACCTCCTGGGTTCAAGCTATTCTCCTGCCTCAGCCACCCAAGTAGCTGGGATTACAGGCGCCTGTCACCATGCCTGGCTAACTTTTAGAGACGGTGTTTCACCATGTTGGCCAGACTGGTCTCAAACTCCTGACTTCAGGTGATCCGCCCACCTTGCCTCTGAAAGTGCTGGGATTACAGACATGAGCCACCGTGCTCAGCTCTCTAAATTTTTTTTCAAATAGGCCAATTTATTGATAACAGTAGATAAAAAGCAAATAGCACCACATTCCTATTCCCCTAGTCTTTCATGCCTCGCCTCAGAGTGTACTGTTCTCCCAGTCCAAATAGTCTCTCCCCTTCAAGGCACATATGACTGGCTACTGACACAGTGTTAATGGCTCCTCCAGGACCATAGCTTGTCTATAGGCTGTCCATAAAACCTTTTCTGGAAAAGGAGCTGGAGAGCTAAAGTAGGGTCTATAGATACAATTCAAATTCTACATAATGCACCCTAGACTGCTGCTTTCTATCCAAAATAGGCACTTGTCCCACTCATCCAAGTCTCCTACCTAAGAAGCAATGGCCTTTGCATAATAAAGACCCATTTATGGAACCAAATACCTAACTGTGTTATCTTGCTTAGGATGACAAAGTTCAGCAATATTTGGAAAATAAATTACTTCCATGAGTATGAAGTCCTGATGAGTACAAAATGTTTTCTAGCTCACTATATAATACATTCTACATTCCCATCCAAAACATTCCAAGCTAAATTGTAACTTTTGCTTGTCCTTTTCCCAAGAGGAGATAATCATAAACAATATTGCCAAAGGAATTCCCATTAAACTCCTGACACATCTGCCCTTTCCTGTCTCCAAATGAAATGATCTCATAGAAACTTACATCTTCAATTTGTCACATTACAAATAATTGTTGGTATCTATTCTTAATATTATACTGTCTGCTTTTCCTTTTTCAGTTACAAATTTTATTACATAGTGCTAATATATTTGCTGCGTCTTTTTAGCAAGATTTAAAAGAAAATGATTTATGTTTCATTGATACAGAGTATATAATCAATCCTTTAAAAAATTATTTTTAATTTCTTCCTTTTTTTTTTTTTTTTTTTTTTGAGACAGAGTCTCGGTCTTGTTGCCCAGGCTGGAGTGCAATAGCGCAATCTTGGCTTACCGCAACCTCCGCCTCCCAGGTTCAAGCAATTCTCCTGCCTCAGCCTCCCAAGTAGCTAGGACTACAAGCATGCGCCACCAGGCCTGGCTAATTTTTTTGTATTTTTAGTGGAGACGGGGTTTCACCAGGCTGTCCTGGCTGGTCTCGAACTCCTGACCTCAGGTGATCTGCCCACCTTGGCCTCCCAAAGTGCTGGCATTACAGGCATGAGCCACCGTGCCAGGCCATTTTTTTTTTCAATCGTTTTGGGAGAACAGGTGATATTTTGTTACATGGATAAGTTATTTAGTGTTAATTTCTGAGATTTTGGTGCAACTGTCACCCAAGCAGTGTACACTCTACCCAACGTGTAGTCTTTTACCCCTCACCCACTTTGTCCCCTTCCTCTCAAGTCCTCAAAGTCCATTATATCATTCCTGTGCCTTTGTGTCCTCATAACTTAGCTTCCACTTATAAGTGAGAACACATGATATTTGGTTTCCCATTCCTGAGTTACTTCACTTAGAATAATGTTCTCCAACTCCATCCAGGGTGCTGCAAGTGCCATTATTTCATTCCTTTTCATGGCTGAGTAGTATTCAATGGTGTATATATGCCGCATTTTCTTTATCCATTTGTTGGTCAATGGGCATTTATACTGGTTCTGTATTTTTTTCAGTTGCAAATTGTGCTACTATAAACATGAGTGTGCAAGTGTCTTTTTCATATAATGACTTATTTTCCTCTGGGTAGATACTCAGTAGTGGGAGTGCTAAATCAAATGGTAGTTCTACTTTTAGTTCTTTAAGGAGTCTCCACATGGTTTTCCATGGTGGTTGTACTAGTTACATTCCCACCAGCAGTGTAAAAGTGTTCCTTCTTCACCACATCCAAACCAATATCTATTTTTTAAAATTTTTTAATTATAGCCATTCTTGAAGGAGTAAGGTGGTATCTCATTGTGGTTTTAATTTGCATTTCTCTGATAATTAGTGATGTTGAGCATTTTTCTTACATTTATTGGCCATTTGTATAATTTTTTTTTTGAGACGGGGTCTCGCTCTGCCCCCCCAGGCTGGAGTGCAGTGGTGGGATCTCAGCTCACTGCAACCTCCACCTCCCGGGTTCAAGAGATTCTCATGCCTCAGCCTCCTGAGTAGCTGGGATTACAGGCGCTTATCACCACGCCCAGCTAATTTTTGTATTTTTAGTAGAGACGGGGTTTCACCATGTTGCCCAGGCAGGTCTCGAACTCCTGACCTCAGGAAATCCATCCGTCTCTACCTCCCAAAGTCCTGGGATTACAGGCGTGAGCCATCACGCCCAGCCTGTATATCTTCTTTTGAGAACTGTCTACTCATGTCCTTTGCCCACTTTTATGGGGTTATTTGTTTTTTCTTGGTTTGTTTGAGTTCCTTGTAGGTTCTGGATATTAGTCCTTTGTCAGGTGCAAAGTCTGTGAATATTTTCTCGATTCTGTGGGTTGTCTGTTTACTCTGCTGATGATTTCTTTTGCTGTGTAGAAGCTTTTTATTTTAATTAGGTCTCATCTATTTATCTTTTTGTTGAATTTGCTTTTGGGTTCTTGGTCATGAACTTTTTGTCTAAGCCAACATCTAAAAGAGTTTTACCGATTTTATCTTCTAGAATTTTTATGGTTTCAGGTCTTAGATTTAAATATTTGATCCACCTTGAGTTGATTTTTGTATAAGATGAGAACAAGGATTAAGTTTCATTCTTCTACATAAGGCTTGCTAATTATCTCATCACCATTTGTTGAATAGGATGTCCTTTCCTCACTTTATGTTTTTGTTTGCTTTGTTGGAGATCAGTTGGCTGTAAGTATTTGGTTTTATTTCTGGGTTTTCTACTCTGTTTCATTGGTCTATGTCAATATCTTTGATGAACACAGGTGCAAAAATGCTCAGCAAAATAGTAGCTAACCAAATCCAACAGCATATCAGAAAGATAATACACCATGATCAAGTAAGTTTCATACCAGGGATGCAGGGATAATTTAGCATATGCAAGTCAATAAATGTGATACATCACATACACAGAGTTAAAAACAGAAATCATATGATCATCTCAACAGATACAGAAAAAGCATTTGGCAAAATCCAGCATCATTTTATGATTAAAACCCTCGGCAAAATTAGCACAAAAGGGACATATCTCAAGGTAATAAAAGCCATCTATGACAATCCCACAGCCAACATTATACTGAATGGGGAAAAATTGAAAGCATTTCCCCTGAGAACTGGAACAAGACAAGGATCCTCATTTTCGCTACTTTTACTCGACATCGTACTGGAAGTCCTAGCCAGAGCAATCAGACAAGAGAAAAATAAAGGGCATTCAAATTGGTAAAGCGGAAATCAAACTGTTGCTGTTCACCAGTGATATGATCGTATACCCAGAAAATGCTAAAGACCCATCCAAAAAGCTCCTAGATCTGATAAACGAATTCAGTAAAATTTCAGGATACAAAATGAACATACACAAATCAGTATTATTGCTATACACCAACAAGGACAAGGCTGAGAAACAAATCAAGAATTCAATCCTTTTTACAACAGCTGCAAAAAATAAAAATAAAATAAAATACTTAGGCACACACCTAACCAAATAAGTGAAATATCTCTACAAGGAAAACTACAAAACACTGCTGAAAGACATCATCAACCACACAAACAAATGGAAACACATCCCATGCTCATAGATGGGTAGAATCAATATTCTGAAAAATGACCATACTGCCAAAAGCAATCTACAGATTCAATGTAATTCCCATCAAAGTACCACCATCATTCTTCACAGAACTAGAAAAAAAAATCCTAAAATTCATGTGAAACCAAAAAAGACCCCACGTAGCCAAAGCAAGACTAAGCAAAAAGAACAAATCTGGAGGCATTACATTATCCAACTTCAAACTATACTACAAAGCTATAGTTACCAAAACAGCATGGTACTGGTATATACTACCTGCTTTTCTAATACATTGAAACCAGTGTTGTAGTACATCCCTATATTATAGGTTTAATAGTTACCATGTAAGTTCAATACCTTCAGTAAACCAAACTTTCCAATATAGTTTTTACGTGCATATAACATAATATTAAGACAAATCTAAATTTTTCACAATTATTTGCTAGATAAATGTGGAGTCCTAACTGGGAGGAGGTGGGGGCACAGAGTCAGGCTGGTGGGACCAGGGTAAAGCAAAAAGAAGAAGCAAATAAGCTACAATACAATTCTGCCTTTCTTCATGGTCCAGGACACATAGCTGTCCTCTGCAAACAACTCACAACCTTCCTGTGACCAGTTATCACTAGACCCTCAGCTGACAGAAAAATTGTTAAGTTAGCTCACTGCAACCTTGGCATTGATACTGCACAAAGCCCTCTTCAGCACAGAGCACAAGCTCCATTCTATAAAATCCTGTAAAATTTCCAGCAGGCCTTTGTCTCTTCGCAGTTAGCTCTTCTCTTGCTGACTTGCCTGTTGCTTTCTTGCAATGTATTTTCATACTTTCTGTAATAAATCTGTCTTTATTTATCTACAACTGTCTTGGTAAATTTTTCTTAACCCTATGTTACCAGCCCCAGATAGTCACTGTTCATTCACCAGAGTAAAGATATCACATGACTTGGCCAGGCACGGTGGCTCATCCCTGTAATCTCAACACTTTGGGAGGCTGAGGCGGGTGGATCGCTTGAGGGCAGGAACTCGAGACCAGCCTGGCCAACGTGGTGAAATACTGTCTCTACTAAAAATACAAAAATTAGCTGAGCATGGTGGCGTGCACCTGTAATTCAAGCTACTCAGGAGGCTGAGGCAGGAGAATCGCTTGGACTGGAGGCGGAGGTTGTAGTGAGCAGAGATGGCAAGACTCTGTCTCAAAAAAAAAAAAAAAAATCACATGACTTAATTCAAATAGCTATTGATTATTAGATAGAGACATATGAAAGTACCAACATTTGATCATTTTGACCTACAAAAACAGCCATGTCCAGGTATGGTGGCTCACAGCTGTAATCCCAGCACTTTGGGAGGCTGAGGCAGGAGTATTGCTTGAGCCCAAGAGTTCAAGGCTGCAGTGAACTATGACTACATCACTGCACTCCAGCCTAGGTGACAGAGCAAGACCCTGTCTTTAAAATTAATTAATTAAAAATAGCAATCATTTGATTCCATCTTATTTCATAGTGATTTTAAAATAGTATACACAAACCAAATAATAATAAAAGAGAATGGAGGAGGCAGTCACCACAGCAACATCAGCACTGCCACTAGCTCGCAGAGCTCCAGCCAAAGGAGAAGTGGGGTAAGTAAGAAGGTACCATAGCTCATACAAAGCAAACTGCCTGCAAATCGACCAGTGACAACGCACCCAGAAAGCAAATGGCTAAAAAAGCCACTCGAGAGGGAGTGTACCCTCTACTTAAAGGGTGAAGAAACCTCATCATTATAGGCCTGGTACTGTGGCACTCCTTGAAATTAGACATTAACAGAAGTCCCTTGAACTTATGATTTGCCAAATTCCCTTACACCATCAGCATGAGAACTAGCTCAGAACTTTAAAACAGATCTGCACTTCCAGAGCACAGCTATTGGTGTTTTGCAGGAGGCAAGTGAAGCCCATCTGGTTGGCCTTTTTGAAGACACCAAATTGTGTGCTATCCATGTGTAACAAATTATGCCAAAAGACATCCAGGTAGCATGCTGCACATGTGGAAAAGTGCTTAAGAATCCACTACGACGGGAAACATTCACTCTAAAAAAATTATCTTCTTCCTGTTGTTGGTAGTTCTGAACATTATATTTTTTCCTTGGGGTCAAAATGTACTTAAATATATGATTGTGAGTGGATAAACAGGGGACAGAAAACAGGTATTGGCAGTTTTTCCATTTTCATTTGTGTGTGAATTTTTAGTATAAATGCCAGGGATGTAAAGCATTAATGCAAGTCAAAATGTTTCAGTGAACAAGTTTCAGTGTTTCAACTTTATAATAGTTATAAATAAACCTGTCAAAATTTTCTGGACAGTGCCAGCATTTTTAAAACAAGTAAATTGCTTATTGATGGCAACTAAAGGGTGTTTGTTGCAAATTTATCATACAGTAGATTCCATCCATTCACTTTTCTAACTGAATTGTCCCACAGGCAAGTACATATTTTTAATGTTGCCTGTCTTCTGTGCTATCCCTGCAAGTTTGCTATCAAAATACATTAAACTACAAAAAAGAAAGAGAGAAGACATGAACCAACTGTTTTTAACTAGAATTAGATTTTGACTGATACATAAAATGTTTTTCCTACTTTCAAGATTATAGAACACGTATGGTTTTCACATCTAGAATTTTAAAAACTTAATGATGGGCAAGGCCTGAAAAATGAGGAAATTTACACAAAATATGAAAGTCCAAAATGACTCCCTCCCTCCCCTCCCCTCCCCTCCCCTCTTCTCTTCTCCTCTCCTCTCCTGTCCTTTTTCTTTTCTCTTCTCTTTTCTTTTCTTTTCCTTTTCTTTTTTCTTTTCAGACAGAGTTTCCCTCCATCACCCAGACTGGAGTTCATTGGTGCTGGGAGGCTCACTTCAACCTCTGCCTTGTGGGCTCATGTAGCTGGGATTACAGGCTTGTGCCACCATGCCTGGCTAATTTTTGTATTTTTAGTAGAGATCAGGTTTCACAATGTTGGCCAGGCTGATCTCGAACTTCTGCCTCGGCCTCCCAAAGTGCCAAGATTACAGGCATGAGGCACTGCACCTGGCCAATGATCATATTTTCATTAGAAAAGGTGTACTTTTTTTAAAGAAAGGTACGATAATACTGTCAAACTTTGGAGTTTCAGAGAAAACATCTAAACTGTTCTTTATTTGTTAGTTTAACATTATTTGAAAATACTGAAAAATACTAGAAAGAAAGTAATTTCTTCCAAACTAAAATTCCATAAAAAAGAAGACAAGCTGGGCACGGTGGCTCACGCCTGTAATCCCAGCTCTTTGGGAGGCCGAGGCAGATGGATCACTTGAAGTCAGGAGTTCGAGACCAGCCTGGCCAACATGTTGAAACCCCGCCTCTACTAAAAATACAAAAATTAGCTGGGCATGGTGGCATGTGCCTGTAATCCTCGCTACTGGGGAGGCTGAGGCACGAGAATCGCCTGAACCCAGGAAGTGGAGGTTGTAGTGAGCCGAGATTGCACCATTGCACTCCAGCCTAGGCAACAGAGTGAGACTCCGTCTCAAAAAAAAAAAAAAAGAAAAAAGACAAAGTCATCCACACCTTCTAATTCCTTTCTTCTGACATAGCTATGCCACACAGATTAGCTATATATACTTATAAATCATATTTATGCAAATGATATAAAATTGGCCTGTATCCAGTGTGATGGCTCTGATGAAAAAAAGATGGCCTATAACTTGTTTTTTCTTTTTCTATTAATTTTTTTTTTTTAGAGTTGGGGGTCTCACTATGTTGCCCAGCCTGGGCTTGAACTCCTGGCCTCAAGCAATCCTCCTACCTCAGCCTCCTGAGTAGTTGGGACTACAGGTGTGTGCCACCACAGCCTTGTTTTTAATTCTTAATTAATCATGGATGCTTTCCTGATCAGTACTGTCAACCTAAATAACAAAGAGCAGAGATGCTATAAAAGATATTTATTTTGGGGCTACAGCATTGCAATGAGAATATGTGTGCCATAGTAAATTATGTGCATATTCAGGGAGGTAAAGGAAGGCAAAGGTTTTTAAGGGAAAAAATGAGGAGGATCACAGAATTGTTTTGACATCATTATCCTTGGCTATAAAGATCAATAACAAGTGTGACGTTGGTGCAGGGTTGGAAAGGCAGTTGTTGGGCAGATGTCCCTGCAGAAGTATTTCTTGTGTAAGGCTGCAATGGATTTTATGAAAGATTGTGGTTTTTACAGAGTCTTTGTGATAGTTTTTATTATCAAGCATATAAGCATGAGAGCCTTTTCTTTATGATGTTCCCCAGCTCTATTTGTCAGTGGGTTTTGGTTTTGTTTTTTTTTTTTATTTGTTTTTTTGACATCAGTAACTTCATTTTGGTTCTGACAACATCCATATTTTCCTCTTTTCATCAAGATCTTTCTCCAAAAGCATCACTGATTAAACATCCTGTAGTTAGGTTTTGATGTTCCTCAGTACAGAATAGACCTGTCCTCGTTATTGGTCTTGTCTTACATTATAAGGAGTAATTGGCAACTAGGAGTCAGTGTCAAAACTCTTTTAGCCATGTTTGAGCAACAAAGGAGGTTTAAAGGGAGTAGCTCTAAGGCTAAGTCTACCTGAAGTCCATTAATAAGTTCTGTTCTGTGGTCTTTTGTTTTCATCTCAAAGTGCTGGGTCAGCATTATTTTGTTAGGAGTTGTACTTCCACAAAAATTGTAGAGTTAACATATACAAAGTTTAGAAAGGGAAAAGACAAAGTAAAATTAATAGTAATATGACTATTCTAATTTGTATAATTATTTTGAGCCATTAATCTAGGCTTAAAGATAACCAATTGAATAAATTAAATGACTATAGGGAATTAGGCGAGACCTATTGTAACCAGGCAAACTACTTTCTTACTTTGTGTGTATGGGTCTCAACTTTTCCAGAGGAATTTATCCAGGTATAGCACATAGTATTACCAATAGCACAGACATTTTCTTATTTAACCAATGGATACTAAACAATTTTGTTTAGTTTTGTTTTGTTTTGTTTGAGACAGGGTCTCTCTCTGTCACCCAGGCTGGGGTGCAGCGGTATGATCTTGGCTCACTGCAACCTCACCTCCCGAGTTCAAGTGATTCTCCTGCCTCAGCCTCCCGAGTGCCTGGGACTACAGGCGTGCACCACCATACCCGGTGAATTTTTGTGTTTTTAGTAGAGACAGGGTTTCACCATGTTAGCCAGGCTGGTCTTGAACTCCTGACCTCAGGTGATCCGCTCACCTTGGCCTTCCAAAGTGCTAGGGTTACAGGCATGAGCCACTGGGCCCGGCCTACTAAACAGTTTCTTAGGTTAGGCTCTCTTAAGTTACCAGCAGAATATACTGATGGTGAAATTTCAATTACATCATTAGCTTACCAAGCATAAAAGGTAGCATTAAGAGGGGTAAGAGTCTAATTATGATATGGAGTCTTGCTTCAATGTCTTGAGAAAAGCTATCTACAGCGTGAAAACATCAACTGCCGCTCCTGGTTTGTAATTTGAAAGTCTCTGGTCATGACACCAAGTGGTTTGGTAAACCTTTTGTGTGGCCCATACATCAGGCATGAGGTTTGTTTCTTAAATTTCATCTAGTTTTGACTTATAGGGATTTAGGAACAAAGAAGCTTACTGCCAATTATTGAAGGAAATTAGGAGAATTCAAGATCTGATCTAGTCTACAGGTAGATAACAAGAACTTGAAAAACAATGCACAGGGCTACTATCTAGTAACAGCCGTATTATATTTCTTTAGAAATATAACTTTTTCTCTCTACGTTGATCATTAGGAATCTCAGACTTAAAAACTTCTTGAGCATGGGAAGCCAAACCAAGGCAGACTTTAGACTTTATTTCAGTCTTAAGGTTCTTGCGTCTGCCAAGAAGTGACAATTTTTATTCACTCACTGTAAGGCTAGAAACTACTAAAGCCAGACATTTTGTGCACACTCTTAAATACAACATTTTATTCAAAGACTTGGTAAAAGGCTAGGGGCATTGGCTCACACCTGTAATCCCAGAAACTTGGGAGGCCAAGGCAGGAGGATCCTGGATAACTTGAGGCCAGGAATTTGAGACCAACCTGGGCAATATAGTGAGACCCCACCTCTACCAAAAAAAATTTTGTTTTTAATTAGCCAAGCATGGTGGTACACACCTGTAGTCCTGGCCACTTAGGAGGCTGAGGCAGGAGTTTCACTTGAGCCCAGGAGCTTGAGATCACAGTGAGCTTTGATCATGCCGCTGCACTCCAGCCTAGATAACAGAGTGAGACTCTGTCTCTAAAGAAACAAATAAACAAAAATGCAAACACACAAAAAAAGACTTGGTTAAAAAAAAAAAATCAGTGTTTCCAATCACATCCCATTTATGAAGAGAGAGCAAATTTTTATTGAACTTATGTAAATAAAGAATACTCATAAGAATTTGCCACTTTTGGGAAGAATCAAGTAAGGGAAAAAAGCAAAGGTGTTTCCATCTTTATTAAAAGTATACTTTACCAAATTCTTGTAAACTATAAATAGCTTAGGAGAAAAAAAGTTCTTAAATCTGAAAAACAAAACATTTAAATAAAGAACCAACAATGGTTTAAATAAGTCATAAAAACATTATCAATTACTTAATTTCATGTAACTAATTTATCGTTTTGCTTGATCTTGATTAGCAGTTTTATGAACCTATAAATTTCCTTATTAGAGTTCTGAAGATTTTTATTTCATTCATTGATCTTAAAGTTATCAGAAATCTGTGTTCAAGACTACTTGTTAGAGTCTTTCCATGCAAAGCCATTTTGGACTATAGCTGATTGCAAATGCTTTTAGAGAAGACTTCAAAGCAATAACTGTGGATGACAGAAACTTAGAATAGTCATGGTTAAAAATCTGATGAAAGTTCCTGGCCAGGCACAGTGGTTCACACCTGTAATCCCAGCACTTTGGGAGGTTGAGGTGGGCAGATTGCTTGAGCCCAGGAGTTTGAGACCAGCCTGGGCAACATGGTGAAAACCCATCTCTACAAAAAATACAAAAATTAGCTGGGTGTGATGGTGTGCAACTATAGTCCCAGCTACTCGAGAGGCTGAGATAGGAGGATTGCTTGCTTGAGCCCAGGAAGCGGAGGCTGCAGTGAGCCAAGATCGCACCACTGCACTCCAGCCTGGGCAACAGAGTGAGACCTTGTCTCAAAAAAATAAAAAATAAATAATTTCCCAATTGACAAGGAAATGTAGTTATTTCCATTACATGCAGCATTTTAAGATGACAATCAGGCCAGGAGCGGTGGCTCACGCTTGCAATCCCAGCACTTTGGGAGGCCAAGACCAACAGATCATGAGGTCAGGAGATCGAGACCATCCTGGCTAATATGGTGAAACCCTGTCTCTACTAAAAACACAAAAAATTAGCCAGGCGTGGTGGCACGCACCTGTAGTCCCAGCTACTCAGGAGGCTAAGGCAGGAGAATCGCTTGAACCCAGGAGGCGGAGGTTGCAGTGAGCCGAGATCACACCACTGCACTCCAGCCTGAGTGACAGAGCGAGACTCCACCTCAACAACAAGAAAAAAAAGAATCAGAATCATGACTGACAATGTCATATCAGGAGGATCAAACTTTTATAAATTTTATACAACTCTTAGAATACT
The DNA here is from genome assembly GCF_000001405.40 of Homo sapiens. Taxonomy (NCBI): domain Eukaryota; kingdom Metazoa; phylum Chordata; class Mammalia; order Primates; family Hominidae; genus Homo; species Homo sapiens. Next base: position 75,592,142 of record NC_000006.12, read on the forward strand.
CACATTAATACATACCCACACAAATTTAAGTTTAGGAAAGATTTAACATAGCCACCAAAATTATGACTGTAACATATTTTTATGAATTGATATAATTTTACAACATTTATATCAATAGCATAAACATAAATGTAACTGAAGGAATATCTAGTATCACTTATTTTACAATGCTTCCCATACAATTTACCAAATAAGCCTAATTATTTAATATATCTAAAAGATAAGAGACACAACTTTGAGGCTCTCCAGGGGCCCAGCTGGAAAATCCCACTGTTAATTTTAAGTAAAAAATATTTAGTTTCAGATTTTGATGATGTGGGTGGGGGCAGGACCTGCCAAAGATGTTAAAAAGTTCAAAACACCTGATCAAAACAAAATCACAGGTTACTGTAAAATAATAGCCATTAATTTAACCAGAGTGACAAAAGACTTCAAAAGCAATACAGAAAGTTACATGGATGTAAAAACCTTAACCCTTTTAAAGCTCAGTTTTTCTATGTAGTCCAAAACCTAATAAAGACAAGATAGGAAATTATCTTGATAAAATGTAAAATCTTTGTTTTTTCAGGCCAGTTACCAAAACATAAAGAAAAATCTCTTGTAGTGTGATTGCTTCTCCTTATGGGAAGCCCATTTAGATAATCTGGAAGTCAATGCTGTTGAAAAGGGTACTTGAATTTAATCAGGCACAGGAAGAATGTATCTAGGGTTAAGAATATACATTACATTATACAGGAATGTAAACAAGAAAACTAATACCTTGAGTGAGGGAGTACATGGCTCTCACTAACAACATAGGAAGTTTCCTGATTACATGGAACAATTTAGGCACATCAATAAAAGCCAAGAGCACAGAATTGGGTTATACTGGAGGAACACACTGTGTTTCTAGGCCTTTAAGATAAATATTTCAGTGCTTGCTTTGACAGCACATATACTAAAGTTGGAATGATACAGAGAAGATTAGCATGGCCATAAGCTGCTAAAAAATAATAATTTTTTTTAAATTTCAGCATCAGACTGTAACAGTAGAGTTGGAAGAAAAAAAAAGTTGCAGAAATTGATGAATAGATTGAAGGAGAAAGTTATCACCTCAGCCAAGAAAAAAGATACACCTCTTCAAAGGACGAAAGAACAAAGGGCAAGATGTATGACCTGCAAATCACATGTAGCAAGGTACAGCAAAAGTTGAACTTTTTCTTTTTTAAGTTAACATTGAACTTCTAGGCTGGACATGGTGGCTCATACCTGTAATCCTAGCACTTTGAGAGGCCAAGGCAGGTGGATCACTGAGCCCAGGACTTCAAAACTAGCCTGGATAATATAGGGAGACCCTGTCTTTACAAAAAATGAAACAAAAATTAGCTGGATATAGTGGCACACACCTGTAGTCCTAGCTACTCAGGAGGCTGAGATGGAAGGATTGCTTGAGCACACAAGGTTAAGGCTGCAGTGAGCTGTTACTCCAGCCTGGGTGACAGAGTGAGAACTTGTCTCAGAAAAAAAAAAAAAAAAAAAAAAGGCTGGGCGTGGTGGCTCACACCTGTAATCCCAGCACTTTGGGAGGCCAAGGTGGGCTGATCACTCAAGGCCAGGAATTTGAGACCAGCCTGGCCAACATGGCAAAACCCCGTCTCTACTAAAAATACAAAATTAGCTGCGCATGGTGGCACTCACCTGTAGTCCCAGCTACTCAGGAGGCTGAGGGAGGAAAACCGCTTGAACCTGGGAGGCGGAGGTTGCAGTGAGCCAAGATCCCGCCATTGCACTCCAGCCTGGGTGACAGAGTGAGACTCCATCTGAACAAAAAAAAAAAAAAAAAGTTGAGCTTCTGAAATATAAATCTGAGAAGTTACAAAAAGAAAAAATTTTACCTTGAGAAATAAAATTACTAGTCTCAATGAAAAAGATAGCATCAGGCTGGGCACGGTGGCTCACGCCTGTAATCCCAGCACTTTGGGAGGCCAAGGCAGGTGGATTACCTGAGGACAGGAGTTCAAGACCAGCCTGGCCAGCACGGTGAAACCCTGCCTCTACAAGAATATAAAAAATTAGCTGGGTGTGGTGAAGGATGCCTGTAATCCCAGATACTCCAGAGGCTGAGGCAGGAGAATCGCTTGAACCTGGGAGGCAGAGGTTGCAGTGAGCCGAGATTGTGTCACTGCACTCCAGCCTGGGCAACAGAGCAAGACTCTGTCTCAAAAAAAAAAAAACAAACAAAACAAAACAAAGACAGCATCTCCAATCTAAAACTTGGGAAACTAAATAGATCTCAGGAAGAAATGTGGCAGAAATACAAACTGTTAGCAGTTCAGAAGATGGCTGTTAAAGAAACAGATTTGACAATTAAAAATCAAAACCTCTGGTAATTTTATTAAGAGCAAATGAATACTTAAAGAAAATCCTGTTGTTCTAACATAGGGGAGCAAATTTGTTTAGTTTTGTATTAGTGTATTTTTAATATTAAAGCTCAATTTTACAAAGACTCATAAATAATTGCCTTCTAATTATAGCTAACTTGATCATAAACAAAATTCCTCTCATAAAGTTCGCTTTCACAAACCTTATCACAACTTATTCAGACCACTGATGACATGCTTGAATTTTCTGCTTTGTCTTATACTTCTCTTTCTTAACTAGTCATTTTACCTTAGGACAAAAACTTACCATACAAGAATCTTTCTTATACAAAATTATTCTCTATTCTTTTTAACCTTCTTTACCAAAAATACATCCTCATATCCATAACTTTTTTCAGTACTAATGGATCTACTTCACTGGCTTAAATAGCTGCAAAGCGTTCTGCCAAAAAGATTTTCCATGGTGTATTTGATAATTTCTCTATCCTTGTAATATATCTTTCCATACTTGGCTGGGCGTGGTGGCTCAGGCCTGTAATCCCAGCATTTTGGGAGGCTGAGGTGCGTTGATCACTTGAGGTCAGGAGTTGGAGACCAGCCTGGCCAACCTGGCAAAACCCCGTCTCTACTAAAAATACAAAAATTAGCCAGGCTAGTGGCACATGCCTGTAATCCCAGCTACTCAGGAGGCTGAGGTGAGGGAATCGCTTGAGCCCAGGAGGCGGAAGTTGCAGTGAGCCGAGATCATGCCACTGCACTCCAGCCTGGGCGACAGAGTGAGACCCTGTCTAAAAAAAAAAACAAAAAAACAAAAAAACAAAAAAATACATATATACACACACACACACTATATATATATATATCCACTATATATACATACACTATGTATATATATACAGTATATACACTATATATATACACACAGTATATATATACACTATGTATATATGTATATATATACACTTTATATATATATATACTTTTTTTTCCCTATACTTAACGTTTGTGTGATTGCTGAAAACGTTGTGGCTCCTTTACACTGGGGTGGTGAACAATGGTTTGGCAAACTTTGAGGTCATCAAAGCATCTTCTTGAAAAATATGACTTTAGAAAATAGCCAACATTTGTATTAGACTATGCTCTTCAGAAACAAAAGAATCAGAGAAAGAAAAGCAGTAAGAAATTTACAAATATGTACACATACAAATAGGGAGAAAGATAAAGTAATTATCTCACATGTATTTATTTATAATAAAATTATATTTAGAAGAATAGATAAGGAAGCTAGTTATAAAATGAGTCTTTTAACCTCCTAAAGCAAAGGAGTTTAAAGTCCAAAGCTCAGAGTGCTACTTAATCCTTTTTTGTGTATGTTCTGAAAACTAAAGTTTGTCGACCTGCAGAAGTAATGAAGCAGTTCTGTTTGTAAAGTGAAGCTAATGAAAAATACAAAATCCTAATCAGATTTAGTTTGGAGTCAGCTTTAAAGAACAGCACTTTCGGGCTGGGCTTGGTGGCTCAGGCCTGTAATCCCAGCACTTTGGGAGGCCGAGGCAGGCAGATCACCCGAGGTCAGGAGTTCAAGACCAGCCTGTCTCTACTAAAAATACAAAAATTAGCCGGGCGTGGTGTGTGCACCTGTAGTCCCAGCTACTTGGGAGGCTAAGGCAGAAGAATTGCTTGAACCTGGGAGGTGGAGGTTGCAGTGAGCCAAGATTGCGCCACTGAACTCCAGCCTGGGCCACACAGTGAGACTCCGTCTCAAAAAAAAAGAACAGAATAGCACTTTCAGAAAACTGTGTTACATCCCATTAGTGCATTCCTTCTGCTGTTATTAACTGGAGATAAGAAGTGAAGAAAAAATACCAAGAAAGAAGGCAGCCATCAGCAGACTCAAATAAATAGGGAAAATACAACAATGATGACCTATGAAAGTACCACTTTTATGCATTATTTCATGTTTAAATACTTGCTTCTAGGTCCATGGATTATATTCTACCTATCATCACCACATTATAATGATAATAAGAGACCATGAACTTTGGAGTCTAGATGGACTTCAGCTCAAATCCTAGGTCTACAATTTTCTAGCTGAGTCACCTTGGCAAGGTCATTTAACCTTTGAGTCTATGTTCACTTATAAAATAAGAATGGCCAGGTGTGGTGGCTCATGCCTGTAATTCCAGCACTTTGGGAGGCCAAGGCGGGCGGATCACAAGGTCAGGAGTTCAAGACCATCCTGGCCAACATGGTGAAACCCCATCTCTACTAAAAATACAAAAAAAAATTAGCCGGGTGTGGTGGCAGGCGCCTGTAGTCCCAGCTACTCTGGAGGCTTAGGCAGGAGAATGGCATGAACCCGGGAGGCGGAGCTTGCAGTGAGCCGAAATCGCGCCAATGCACTCCAGCCTGAGTGACAGAGCGAGACTCCGTCTCAAAAAAAAAAAAGAATGACAGTAGATGTTCAGTAAAGGTTGGTTAGGAGATCTGGATAGTATACCTACCAAATCATATTGAGAGTACTGCCTTTACATAAATAAAATAGCTATACTATCCTGAAAGTGTGGTTCTCAGATCAGTACCACCTTTGAGCTTATTAGAAATGCAAATTCATGAATCCTACCCAGACCTATGTAATCAGATGGTCTGGGATAGGGCCCAGGAAACTGCTTTATAAGCTCTTTAGTTGATTCCTATGCATGTTAAAGTGTGAGAACTACTGCCTCGGAGATCAGCTAGAAATTATTTCCATGTGATCAATTCCATTAATGAACACGAAAGGATCTAGTGGTCATCTGCAGGACCAATTTATCTGCTAGGCACAAGAGGCACAGTGCCAAGGGCCCATGACAACTTTAAGGTCTTATGAAAATGTTTTAATTTTTTTTAATCAAAAGAAAAAATAAACATAATGATAATAAGTATATAACAACAAATCCAGTCTGGATTATATTTTATCTTTATATCAAAGTAGTTGTAAAATTAACTAATCTAAAATTTTTAAATGTAGTTTTATATATAGCATTTAAACTCTGGCCAAAAAAAGTTTGATATATTTCCTGTGGAGGAAGGGCCTGATGAAGTCATAGTGCTTAGGGCCCAGGAAAGTCATAATGCAGCCTAGTCACCTGAAAACTTCTCTGTTCACTTATAAATGTTGACCCTGAAGGAGCCTGGTAGGAACTATGTATAAGAAATGTGTGCTATTTTGAGGATACATTCACTTACAATTTTTAAAAGATTAGTTTCGAGCTTCATTTAATCAAAAGTTTAAAATTATAAGCATTAAAATGGCTGATAAATCACCTGCTAAAACCCTAGGAAAAAAATCTGCAACATGGAACAGGGACAGAAATCGTTAACTAAAGAGAAGAACTGGAAATTAAAAATGAGCATGAAATATGGTAGGATTAATAAAACAATAATAAGATAATCAGCAAGTTGGAAGTGAAATGGGATAATGTAGAAATTATGTTAGGACAGAAATTTACATCCTTATAACAGAAATGAATATACTATTTTCATATAATGCTCATCATTTCATCTGGCACAAATACACTTAGCCCTTGAAAAACCATCAACCAACCAATCACTAATTGCAGAACCTGCTATTGTCTCCTGAAACTTGTATTTAGTTGTGGATTAACTATATACTGCATGTCTCAGTGTGGTGCCTAGAAGAATGGGATTTAATAATTATGTTTTCAAAGAAATATATGTATTAAAACAGTTACTATTTTATTAATCATTATTAAGCTCTACCAGCATAGAATATGGGTCAGTTTATCCAAGTAGTTTTATACACAGCACTTTAAATTTGGCTAAACTAGAGGAAACATCCCCTATGATACAAAAGAATTTGCAGCTTTAGGGATAACATACACAAAGAGAAAACTTTGTTATATGTCTATAACCAACTCAAATCTTCCTTTTGTCAATTCCCAGCCCCCTCAGAGCAACTCAGATTATTTCAGCATTATAATCTTCAAATCCAAACCCTAGGTTCACACCTCAATTGCTGATCCCTTTTAGAGTATCTTTCCTGGATTTCTACCAAAATGTTATTTGGGGCATAGACATTTTCTGAACCTCTGAGAAGACTGTATTACAGCATTATAATCTTCACATCCAAACCCTAGGTTCACACCTCGATTGCTGATCCCTTTGAGAGTATCTTTCCTCAATTTCTACCAAAATGTTACTTGGGGCATAGACATTTTCTGAACCTCTGAGAAGATTTGTATCACATAGTCTTTAAGGAGTCTGGGTTCTAGAATTCTATGATTCTAAATTTTCCTTGGGAAAAAATTATTTTTGATACTTTGTATTATTTACTCATTAAGCAGATATGTATTAATATCTATTGGTGCAAGATTCTATTCAGACAAAAAGTGCATTGCAGATGGAGGGTAAAACATGTCCAAAGGCTCTAATGTAGAAAAGAGAAACTGAAAGAATTGAAAATGGCTGGAGCTTAATGAAGAAGATGAGAATGCTGCAAGAGGAGGCTAGTGAGGTAGGTAGGGAGGGCCTGGGATTTAGGACTTTATCCTAAGAGCAAAGGGAAATCTTTGAGTGGTTTTAAACAGTAAAGTGCTTTGATCTGATTTACATTGAAAAAAAAGAGAGGCCAGGCACGGTGGCTCACACCTGTAATCCCAGCACCTTGGAAGGTCAAGGTGGGTGGATCACTTGAACTCATGAGTTCAAGATCAGCCTGGGCAACATGGTAAAACCCTGTCTACAAAAAATACAAAAAAAATTAGCTAGGCATGGTGGTGCACATCTGCAGTCACAGCTACTTGGGAGACTGAGGTAGGAGAGGTAGGAGGATCACTTGAGCCTGGGAGGCAGAAGTTACAGTGAGCCGAGATTGCACCACTGAACTCCAGCTTGAGCCAGAGAGCCAGACCTTGTCTCAATAATAATAACAATTAATTAATTAATTTTTAAAAACATTATTGTGGCTTTTGTGTGAGAAATGGATTAGAGGAGGGGTAGAGAGATTAAGGAATAACCTGTTTGAAGCTATTATTGTAGTATAGTGAAAGATTATAGTGGCTAAGATTGATGGGGAGACACCGGAACTGGAAAAAATATGTATAGATTCAAAAGATAATCAGGAAGGAGATTTGATTTAAAAAAGAGGGGAAAGAGGAGAGAGAAGGAGCGAGAAAGAGAGATGAGAGATTCCTAGTTTTCTGGCTTGTGAAACCAGAAATGCATGAATGACATTAATAAATGACAACGCTATTCACCAGGCTAAAAAAACCAGGAAAGGGGCCGGGCGCGGTCGCTCACGCCTATAATCCAGCACTTTGGGATGCCGAGGCGGGTGGATCACCTGAGGTCAGGAGTTCGAGACCAGGCTGGCCAAGGTGGTGAAACCCCGTCTCCACTAAAAATACAAAAATTAGCCGGGCGTGGTGGCGGGCGCCTGCAATCCCAGCTACTCGGGAGGCTGAGGCAGGAGAATCGCTTGAACCTGGGAGGCGGAGGTTGCCGTGAACCGAGATCATGCCATTGCACTCCAGCCTGGGCGACAAGTGAAACTCCGTCTCAAAAAACAAACAAACAAAAATCTTCTACACACTTTACCTTGTTTCCCATTCCATGTGTTGCTGTAACACATGGTAATTACCACTAATTTAGCAATTTAACACAAATTTTTTTCTGATAGTTCTGCAGGGTCAGAAGTCCAATACCTTTCTGATTGGGCTAAAGTCAAAGTGTCAGTTTTCCTTTCTGGAGACTCTTGAGGAGAACTGATTTTCTTGCTTTTTCCAGCTTCCAGAGGCCACACACATTCCTTGACTCCTGGCACCTTCTTCCATTTTCAAAGCCAGCATATATGCATTTTAAAAGCAAAGATTTATTTTTAATTAAAAAAACAATTTTTCCAAATGGAATCAAGCTGCTGAAAGTTTTTTTTTTTTTTTTTTTGAGACGGAGTTTCGCTCTTGTTGCCCAGGCTGGGGTGCAATGGCACGATCTCCGTTCATCGCAACCTCCGCCTCCCGGATTCAAGCGATTCTCCTGCCTCAGCCTCCTGAGTAGCTGAGATTACAGGCACGTGCCACGACGCCCAGCTAATTTTGTATTTTTAGTACAGACGGGGTTTCTCCATGTTGGTCAGGCTGATCTTGAACTCCTCCCGACCTCAGGTGATCCACCCGCCTCGGCCTCCCAAAGTGCTGGGATTACAGGCGTGAGCCACCGTGCCCGGCCTTAAAGATTTTTTTAAAACTACATGTTGAAGTCTGTACAAATGGCCAGTTACCCACATTTGCCTATTACCTACACTTCTCAGTATTATACTGTCATTGGCACAGACGATGTCATAGAACACCACAACAGGATCATGCAATAACCTCAGGCAACAAAAATAAATTACATTCATTACACTACTCTTGCCAATCAGGAAAGATTATTGGTTCGCATTAGGAAAAAGATTTTAAAGGACGTTTTAAACAATAAGCCTTTCCGCTTAGGCCTTCGTTAATAGCACAACTGAATTAGAACAGTCCATTCCCCAAAGACTGCACTTAATCATGTCGGTTTTCTGCATCATTTTAATTGCTGTTGACTTTTCATTGACATTTAGCATAGATTTTTGCTCATTTTTGTTTTTTAAAGAACGATACTGAAAGACAAGAAAAATGCTATCAGAGGACTACAAACCTACAGGAGTTGAGTTTCAGTCGTGAAACATTATAATCATTTTCTGTGCTTTCCATATTTCCTTGAATGAGAATGTATTATTTTTATAATAAGAGAAAATTTTTAAAGGAAAAGAAGTTAAAAAAAAAAAAGGCCTCACTTGTAAGGTAGGGTATGGTTTTTTCAAGTCTCAGGCACGTAAATGACAAGGGACTTTTTAAAAAACAAAAAAACACTGCCATTTAAAGCTGACTGGTAGGATCTTCCCTGCTAAATTATTTTGGAAACTTCTTTAAAAATAAATGTAGACCACGAATCATTTACTAAACATATGATTCCAGTACCTCACTACCTTTTCTCTTCGGTTGGCTGTAGTTTAAATTCTAAGGTCTCCTCAAGAAATGACATTTTCACATTTCTTAGGCATCTGTGGTGCCAGAGGAGCAAACCCATCGCACACGCCAGGTCTGCCATGGGGCCCTGGGCGGTGGGGATTTTGGATGTAACGTGTCTAGGCCGAGCCCGCGCCGTGAAAGGCCTACCCTGCCGAAAGCCCGGGCGGCGGGCGCCCACAAGTCAGGGCTCGGTGCGGCGCCGCAGCCAGCTCTGCCCGCGAGCCGAGTCCGGGCTGCTGAGGGGGAGCCGCGCTGGGGGCGGCGGCGTCGGGGCGGGGGCGGGAGCCGGGCGGCAGCTCCAGCGCCCGTGGGGGAGGAGCGGCAGCGGCGGCGGCTGGAGCTGCTGTGGCGACCGACGCGAGGCGGTGGCAGAGGAGACCCACCCCTGTCCACATGGACAGTCGCAAAGGCCTCCGCTGATGCATTCACGCCTGGGCGGGGTGGGCGGACGGCCGTAGCGGCGGCGGCTGCAGAACGAGCTAGGGGCCTGGGGGCGCCTGACGGTCGCAGAGACCTCGCCGCTCCGGCGCGGCGGGTGCGGCCATTTTACGGCCTGGGACGAAGGGAGGCGTGTTTGTGTGCTCGCTTTCATTCTCCTTTCTTGGGAACCCACGGCTGGGGGAAGTTTCTCAGGCAGCCTGGGTGGGCGGTGGATGGGGAGTCGTGGGCCGAGAGGAACCGGGCCCGGGAAGCGCCGTCGTCGTCGTCGCCGGTCGCGTTCCCCCGGAGAGGCCTGAGAAGCTCGGGCCGCGGGCCTCGCTGCCCGCCAGCCCGCGGACAGGCCCGGGCGCGCCTGGCCTGCCTTTGTATAGGCCCGTCTGAACGTGGGAGCGCAGCCCGCCTGACGGCTGAGCCCGAGGCCCGCAACCCTGCGGCGTCTACCCTCCTCCGGCGCGGCCCCTCATCCCGGCGAGCACGGCGGCGGTGTGGGCCATGGATTAAGAAGGAGGCGGCGTGGGAGGAGGAAGATGGCGGCCGGCAAGAGCGGCGGTAGCGCAGGGGAGATTACTTTTCTGGAAGGTACGTCTGTTTCTGCCCTTGACGGGGAGAAGGGAGGGTATACTGGAAAACGTGGCCCCCAGAACCCCGGATATTCAGTTATCTGCGCTGGGTGGGTTTCGGGGGCGGTGAAGTACGAGGGATGAGCGATGACGGGGAGGGAGTGTGCTGCGAGCGCACCTGGTTCGAGTCCGCCTAGGCGAGGGGCTCGGCTGCGAGCCGGTTCGGCCCAGGGGGCGCGGGTGGATTGAGCTACGAGCCAGAGTTGGTGGGCGTCCTTTGAGAGTGCGCGCTGAAGTCTTTGACATTTAAAAAATTTTGGGGTGGTGGCCTAAGGATGAGAGCAGCCAGCATTCACATCTTGTCTGGTGTTCATGAAAAGTTTCAAATTGCTAAGGTTGGGTGCAACTGGGGACCAATCTAAGTAGGGAGGGGACAGACAGTTTCATTGAGGTGTGTTTTATACCCTCTGGTCTGTTTCTCAGAGTTTCAGGCTTGCTTTTGCAGCCAGCCTTCAGATTAGGCCTGGCCTTGTCTGATATTCTTTCGGAATGTGTTTTTATAAAAATATTCTGTAAAATAATTTATCTGGAAAAAGAGTAAGGTTTACAGTGTCAATTTTGGGGCCGTAACTAAAGCTTATTGACACAATTTGAGTTTTACTCACTCGTGAGGGAAAGTTAAACATTTGCTGTAAGTAGACTAAGCCAGCCTCAAGAAAAGCTGTATGTTTTTGTTGGGGAAGGTGGTAATGGGGAACAATATTGATTTTTTTGGCCTATGAATATATAAGGACCCCCAAAATAGAGCTAAATGTTATTGTAATTGTAGCCCAAGAAGTGTTTATATTACTTAATTTGACTATGGGTTCAGTGTTTACACTTTGTTTAGCAAAATGAGTCTCTGCTGCTCAGAGACTCATTCTTCTTGTTAAAAAGAATTAACTACTCTTTGGATAATTTTGCAAAGATGATTTTCATTGCAATATGTCATAAGCTTTACTTCAAAAAATAACTTCTTTTAGTATGTTTCGGAAAGATTACTGAATCAAGAAAGTACAATTTAACTTAAAATTAAGAAAATCCCTAAACAGGTTCTATAGGAGGGTGTTGAGGAATGGGAATGCTTTGGTACTGCTTTGTTAACAGCACCTCGAACAGTGCCTGGAACACAGTAGGTACTCAGTGTTAGTCTAGTGAAAGAATAGTGAATAATAGAGGTAATTTTTCTTAATTCTTCTTACTTGAGTATAGTAAAGTGAAAAAAAAGTCTTACCGTACAAGCCAGCCTTTATCTAAAAGTGATGAGAACTTTACAGGAGATTTCCTAGTAAGAGTAAGAAAAGCTTCTGAGTTTTTCTGGGTTCGTTTCGTATTACCTCCATTCCAGTTTGCGGAATGGGTACCTGTCGAGGCTGAGAGGGTGCAGCTTGTGTTACAGGTAGTGCTATGTGTGTTGTTTTTGTTTTGAAATTGGAAACAAAAGATGGCTTACTCGTGCTTATTATCTTCAGTATGCAGATGATTATACTTTTGTGCTATCCTAGATTTCCAGCTTCTATAGGCCCGATTGAGTTAAAATTCTAATTGGATGAACATAGGGAGGATTAAAACAAGCACAAATAAAGCCACAGATGTAGAGTTAATGTGAGTTTCAAACTACTACTTTTACTTTATTCTAATCTAAGGGTCTTTGAATGTATAGGTATGATAAATTCGAGTTTCACCATGTCTTAAGCATTTTTATAAAGCAAGCAAACGGTAACTTCTTTAGAGCATAAGCATAAGGGTTCTGGGCACGGTGGCGGCACGCCCTTAATCACACACAGCATTTTGGAGGGCCGAGGCAGGCGGATCACTTGAGGCCAGGAATTGGTGACCAGCCTGGCCAACATGGCGAAACCCCACTCTACTAAAAATACAAAAATTAGCCGTGTGTGGTTGGCGCGCGCCTGTAGTCCCAGCTACTGCGGAGGCTGAGGCAGGAGAATCGCTTGGAAACGGGAGGCAGAGGTTGCAGTGATAGCGCCACTGCACTCCAGCCAGGGCAACTGAGCGAGATTCTGTCTCCAAAAAAAAAAAGCATAAGGAAAAGGAACAATTTTAGTTCCTCATAACCAATTTTCATATGCTATATTGAATCTTTCCAAATAAATGATATTTAATACTAATGTTTTCTGCTTATTTCCCATGATTCTTTTGGTGTCTTACACTTTTAATAATAATAAAATATTCCGGCCAGGCGTGGTGGCTCACGCCTGTAATCCCAACAATTTGGGAGGCCGAGATGAACGGATCACCTGAGGTCAGGAGTTTGAGACCAGCCTGGCCAACATGGTGAAACCCCGTCTCTACTAAAAATACAGAAATTAGTCTGGCGTGGTGGCGCGCGCCTGTAATCCCAACTACTCGGGAGGCTGAGGCAGGAGAATCACCTGAACCCAGGAGCTGGAGGTTGCAGTGAGCCGAGATCGCACCATTCGCACTCCAGCCTGGGCGAGGAGCGAAACTACATCTCAAATAATAATAAAATATTCCACCATAATTTGCTGCATATTTTGTATTACCAGGTTTATAAGTGTTCAAAATATTTCCCCATACATAGGCTCCTAGGATTTAATATTAAGACATCTACATATTACACTTTCTTTACTTTCCAGTCGAGTCCTTGAAAAACTAAACTAGGTTTTCATTTGCTCATCACATTTACAGCATCCTACTCTAACAGTCAGTGTACCACGGTGAAGTGCATAAGAGAGTCAAGGACTCTGCCTTTATTTAGTCTTCTGTCTTAGGTTCTGTGAAAGCATATCTCTGTAATAAACTGTGAAAAAGTAATGACTTTTTTTTCACCATCATATTTCTTGCACCTGAAACATATTTGTTGTTAATGAAATAAACCAGATGATAAACAGTATGATAAATACGGAAGACATAAACAGCAATGATGGGGAAGCCATTTTACATAGCATTGAAGTCAAGAAAGGCATCCCTGAGGAGGTTACACTTAATTAAGTAAACACCTTAACTAAGAGACACTTCAGAATATGGCAGAGGGGATGCGTGTAAAGATTGATTTGATAAACAAAAAGGCTGAAATGTAGAAAGCAAAGGAGAGAGTGATATGAGAGGCAGGAGATCTTTCATGCAGGATCATGAATAATTTTTATATCTTTCTCAGCGGGAAGCCATTGACGAGTTTGGCGCAAGGGGGTGTAATGATATGGTTTATCTTTTTTTAAAAAAAAGTTTGGCTGCTTTTTGTGGAATTAATTAGGGGGCAAGATTAAAAGCAAGACAATAAATTAGGATAATATTGTAGTAGTCAAGGTAGAAGTGGTCGGGGCTTCAATTAGCATGATGTCAGTGGAGACTGGGGAAGAGAAGTTGATAGGTTGAGGATATGTTTGGATGTAGAGCTTACAGGACTTGATGAACTGTACATTGAGTGTCAGAATAAGAGGAATCAAAAGGTTTTGTTTAGCCTGAGGTATTAGTGGTACTGCCATTTACTGAGATGGAGTAGACTGATAGAAGAATGAGAAGGAAATTAACAACACTGGTCATACTAAATTTGAGATGCCTGTTTGACATTTTTGCTCTGAAGTATGTTTTATATCTTTATAACTACTAAGATTCTAATTCCATTTCTTTTTATAGCTTCTGTAGGGAAAAGGAGACCTACTGGTTGTCTTTATTTATACAAAAGCACACTAAAATTGTATGGATTTCATTAAGCCACAGCTTGTGTTAAAATTTTCTACTCTCCTCTCCCCTCTTTGACTTGTTTCTTTCACTTCTCTTCACTAACTGTTGCTCATAACCCCTTTTCCACTTATGATAGACAGTTTTGGCAGGTTGCTCCCCTGTATTTATTCAGTCAACAGATACTTATTGAACACCTACTATGTTGTAGGCAATGACACTGCACTGAGAGGCATAACAGTGAGGGAGAAGAAACCATGTTTTTTTCATAGAGTGTTCAGTCTAGTGAGGAAAGTAAAAAATAATAAAATAATACTTTTAAATGTAAAATTACAACTGACAAGTACAGCAATCAGTGGTGGATTGTTTATACAAGTTGAACATCCCAAATTTAGAAATCCAAAATCCTCCAGAATTTGAAGCAACATGACCCCCCTAAGAAATGCTCATTGAATCAATTCAGATTTTTGGATTTGGGATGCTCAGTTGGGATAATATAATAAAATTTGCAAATATTCCAAAATCCAAAAAAAAAATCTGAAATCTGAAACATTTCTTCTAGTTTCAAGCATTTCGGATAAGGGACACTTAACCTGAAATCATGAGAATTGGATCTAATCAGGGTGGTTTGAAGTGGGTATTAGAGAACAGAAGGTAGAGAGGCAGTGCTTTCTAGGTAGAGAGAGTAAAATAGGGGAGCATGGCATGTTTGGGGAACTTAAGGGAGGACAATAATGGTGTCAGATAGGAGAGCGGTGCAAGATGATACTGGAGGTGACATCACATTTATTTCAAACAAGGTCAATAGCCGGGCATGGTGGCTCACGCCTGTAATCCCAGCATTTTGGGAGGCCAAGTTGAGAGGATTGCTTGAGCCCAGGAGTTGGAGACCAGCCTGAGCAACATAGTGAGCCCGTGTCTGTACAAAAACATAAAAAAATGATATGGGAGGATTCTTGAGCCCAGGAGGGCGAGGCTGCAGTGAGCCATGATCGTACCACTGCATTCCCACCTGGGAGTACAGAGCGAGACCCTGCCACCCAAAAAAAAAAAGGTCATCAGCTGCTACATGGAGAGAGCTTCAGAGAGGGGCAGCAGATTATCCAGTTAGGAGATGATTGGAATAGAGGACAAAGGTGATTGATGGTGGCTAGCTTGTTCCTATAAACTTTCTTTTGATATTCTACCTTTTCTTTTTTTCACTCTGGGGGCTCTAACAAGCCTACCTACTCTCTTATACATTTCTTCATTTTTGTACTGCACTTGTTCATATCTAGTTTTCTTTTCCTTTTTTTTTTAACCAAGTGAATTCCTTCTCCTATATTTTCTCCCGTTTTTCCTGAAGTAACTTTTTTCTGCCTTCCTTTCTAATATACATATACTACTACTTTAGTTTGTTTTCCTTTTCATTTCAGCCTGTCTTCCTTTATGGACCTTGTCTACTAGGTTGAAAAGAGTGATGCTAAACTGTTGCATGCAATGTTGTTCTCTACAGATACCAGCAAAAATGCTTCTGTCTCCAAATGAAAAGTGTTTTCCATTTCGCCTTAGCCAGTCTTTTATGTTATATATAAACTCATTGCAGAACCCAATCAGTTTGCCAGTTTTACTGGAGACCGTAAATACCTAACACTGTCTGTTGAACTAGAGCACAGCTTCTCCCAAACGATTGGCATTCCATGGAATATGAACAGGGTTTCTAGTTTCTGCCTACTTAGGGGAATACACCTCTTTTTCTTTTGATTGCATTACTTTTGGAAACTACATCATGGTGTCATTCCTTATTTACTCCTTACTTAAGTATGTTTATTTCCTGATTTCATCCCAGTTAAAGTGATAAATTCTGTTTATCATGTGAGTTCATGTACTTGAAACAGTAAAGTAGAACCTCACTTGGAATGAAAGTGATTTTCAGGCAAAGTTTAGTGGGTCATACCTGTTATCCTGAGATAACACTTCGGGAGGCCAAGGCAGGAGGATTGCTTGAGCCCAGGAGTTCAAGACCAGCCTGGGCAACATAACGAGGCCCCATCTCTGCAAAAAATACAAAAATTAACCGGATGTCACAGCATGCACCCAAAGTCCCAGGAATTCAGGAGGCTGAGGTGGGAGGATTGCTTGTTGCTCGAGCCCAGGAGGTTGAGGCTGCAATTCATGACACTGCACTTCAGCCTGGGTGACAGAGCTGAGAAGAAAGAAAGAAAAAAGAGAGGGAGGGAGAAAGAAAGAAGAGGAAAAAGAGGAAAGGAGGAAGGAAAGAAAGAAGGAAAGAGAGGAAGGAAAGAAAGGAAGAAAGAAAGGAAGGAGAAAAGAAAGTGATTTTCGCTAGAAATGCATTGAGAATATGAACTCAAAAGTCAGAATGCTGAGGTTCAACATCTGGCTTTACTACTTGTTAGCTATGTGATCTTGGATAGATTACTTAACTTCTCTGTTTTCTCAGCTATATAACAAGGGTAATAATTGTCGTTAAAAATAATAATTGTAGTTACCTTATAAGATTGCCATGAGGATTGAGGAAATATATATTACTTAAAGCAATTCCAGGCATATAATAAGCACTCCGTGTTACTTGATATTATTTATTTTATTAGCAGATAGAGAAAAGAAAAAGAGCTTCCTTTACTTGCTTGTCTTCTCTTCTATTTGAATTTTAGTTTGCATTGTTTTTCTTTCACTGACTACCTTTTTCTAGATATTAGCTGATTTTGACCAGTGTTGTAATGAGAGAGGAAAGAGAATGAAATTACATACTTTGTATGTCTAGACTTTCATAAATTGATTATTCCTGTTGCTATTAGAAAAGTATGTTGAATATTTGAGGAACTTGAGGTATAGAAGGGTTGTTTGGCACAGCTTAAGTTATTGGGGAAGTCAGACTGTAGCCTGGGACCCGACTTAATAGCTTCAGCTTTCTTCAGCATTTCCTTCCTCTCCCTTTCTCCCCGCTTCCTCATCACTTTGCTTCCCTATTCTTACTCTTACCTCTTTTTCCTGTACCTCCCCCCAAAGGAAGGGGCGACTGAACAAGAGAAGGAAAAATAATAAGTTATTATGGAGAAGTATTATTTATTGATGAAGCAGCACTTTTAAGAGGGCAAAAATGGAAAGCCACAAATCTCTTGAGGCCCAACTTCAGAAATTTACAGTGTTAACGTCTTCCACATTGTATTGGCCAAAAGAATACAGAGCCAGCCCTGATTGAAGGGGAGAGGGAGTAGATTCCACCCTTCAGTGGGAAGAATGACAAATAATTTGCAGCTATCTTTAATCTATACAGCCATCTTTTCTCTCCCATACCTACCTGGTATTTTTTCCCCATTCTTTCAACAGTCAAAGTATTTTTCAACAGTCATGTGGTATTTTAAATGACAATTCTTATGAAACCCAAAATCCAACTTTTGGACAGTTTGGGAAGCTAAAGAAAGACAAAACAAAATGGGCAACTTAATTAGTAATTTATTTCAAAGATATAAATAGCATAGAAACAGTCATTAGTTTAATGTTTTGTTTTTGTTTTTGTTTTTTGAGATGGAGTAGATGGAGTCTCGGCTCCGTTGCCCAGGCTGGAGTGTAGTGGCGCCATCTCAGCTCACTGGCTGACTGCAACCTCTGCCTTCCAGGTTCAAGCAATTCTGCTTCCTCAGCCTCCCTAGTAGCTGGGATTACAGGCGCATACCACCATGCCTGACTAATTTTTGTATTTTTAGTAGAGATGGGGTTTCTCCATGTTGTCCAGGCTGGTCTCAAACTCCTGACCTCAAGTGATCCACCTACTTCAGCCTCCCAGAGTGCTGGGATTAGAAGTGTGAGTCACCGCACCTGGCCTTAGTTTAACTTCTAGTTGATTGGGAATGGATTCAGGAATTTCTGAAACTAGGCAAGCATAAGTATGGACAAAAGAGGAAGAATGTTAGAAACTTTTCCTTCCTTTTGTTTTTTCTTTCATTTAGTGATGCCTGGGTCTTGCTCTCATTTTCATTACTTAAGCTCTTAGAAATGGTCATACTATTCACGATACTAAAAGTAAAACAGTATCTTGATATAAAATGCCAGTTAATCCACTAAGTCACAGACTGTTAATGCTCACAGTTACAGCACACTTAAGTTGTATACCTAAGTCATATTACTTAGAATGATGCAACAATGGATAATCCATTATTGTGAACTGCAAATGATGGTTGCCATCATCAGGTAATAAAACAATGGCTACAGTTACAGAAAGTGATAGATAATCTGTGCCATATCCATTTGACACTAAAAACAGGGTTGTTTTTGGACCCTAATTTTTTTTGTCTACCTTAGGGTTTTGTACTTCCCAGAATCTTCTGCATCCATTGGCAAAAATTATTAACTATTATCTTCAGAGTATATGGGGCTTTCAGTGCTAAAATTGGGATAGTCCCAGGCACACTGGGATGTTTGGACACTCTGCCTTGTCCTAGTTTAACAACAGCTACCTTGAAGCCATCTGAAATCAGCCTGGAGTAGTATGAAAACAGCTATGTTCTGATCTTGCCTTTGGAGGTTGTTTTTGTTTGTTTTGTTTGGGGGTGGGGTGAGGGAGGAGTTGCTATATCAAATACATTTTATAGTTTTTGAAGATGCGTTTTTTCCCCCTCCCAAATTCACTGCATTACAGTTTTTGAAACAGAACGGGAGAAAAAAAATAACAAACAGTGCTGGCATCCAATAGATGGTAAATTCACTTTTCATTTTTAATAAAGAGTGGACGACGAGGAACTAGAAATTCTCCTAGGCTTGGAGAATTTAAACTGTTTAGTAACCTTGTTGTTTCATATATTCAAAAATCTACAACTTTCTACCTTCATAACCTCCTACTTATGAATCAAGAACTAAATTCTGGAGACAAGATGAAGGTACTACTTAACTACCATGACCCCTGCTGACTCTGCTTCTGTGGAAACCAATAACTTCTCTTTCTTCATAACCCCAGTGGTCACTATTTGAATGAAGTGGGATTCCAAACATTTTGGCATTCAGTCTTCTGTTTTCAGCCCAGGTTGGTTTTCATTTTTTAACCACAGGAGATATAAAAGAATGATTTAGTAAATCATAATAGCAGTTAAGTCTGAAGCTGTTCATCAGCTTCTCCTTCACAAGTTTGGGTATCAGCTCCTCAGTCTCTTTTGCTTTCACCATTTACAGGCTTCACTTATTTCTTGAGTCTCTGTTAATTTAAGCTTTTAATGAAACTGTGCATCTTCCTGAATTACGTGTTTGCACTTTCAAAGTTAAAGTGTTTCTCAAATTTCATTGGTCTGTCTCACAGAATACTGAATTCCCTGACACTTTGATGATCCTCTCACTTTAAAGCATAAGGAACATTTGGAACTACTTATCTCATGCAGTCATTTCTCGGTTTAATTTCTGGCTTTAGAAGTTTGTGTGCTTCAGCTTGAGATAAGTGTATTTTTAAGAGATTGTGTATTCTGTGTAAAGGTAGCGCCAACTGCACTGCTTTGGAATAGGTATCATTGCTAGACTTTTTCATTCCATAGAAAGTTAAGGAGTTTCCAGCAACACCTGTAGCACTAAACTGCTGCCTGACTAACGAACTGAACTGACTATGCTATCATCTTGCTGAAAGGTACATAGAAGTAGATAGACTAGTGAAGCTGGGGTGCTAAGGGAAAGAACATTTTGGTTTTGGTAGCTCACAGAGGGGTCTAATTTAATATTACATCCAGAAATATAGTATTTAAAGACTTTATCTTGAAGTAGTAGTGATCTATTAGTTTGTCTTCTATACCAAGAGATACAGGTTTTGAAGGTCAGGGACTTGAGAAAGGCTTAGCTAGGTGACTTTTCTTCTTCATGTAGCATCTGCAGGGATGATTTGGTGGTGGCTTGTGTGGTTTGGTCGGGAAGTTCCATGTCTGCAGTCTAAAGACCTCTTCAGATGGCCTCTGCAGCAGGGTACTCAGACTTGTAACATGGTGACTCAAGGCTTTGGAAAATCTTGATAGTTCTTAAGAAAGACTTGGGCTGTAGCCCTGCAGAGCCACATAAAATTGCTTTTCGAACATACACATTTAATTCTCTCTATATTTTCTTTTGCTGCATTTATATTTCTAAGTTACGTTTTTCTCATATTCGTAATTGTTGTGGTGCGCTTATGGCTCATTGCAGTCTCAAACTCCTGGGCTCAAGGGATCCTCCTGCCTCAGCCTCCTTAGTAGCTGGGACTACAGGCTTGTGCCACCACAACCAGCTGATTTTTTTATTTTTGTAGAGACAGAGTGTCACTATGCTGCTCAGGCTGCTCTCGACTTCTGGCCTCAAGCAATCCTCTTGCCTTAGCCACCCAAAACGCTAGGATTATAGGTGTGAGCTGTCTGATAACCCCATGAGACGTAGAAATTAAAACATCACTACAGTGGGAGATGATGCATAGAAACAGGAAACAGGAAAACTTAAAAACAGTACTGAAACCACTTTGGAGATCAGTTTGGCAATACCTATTGAACTTGAAAATGCACATCCCCAAGGACCAAATCATTCCATTGCTAAAGGATACCCTAGGTCAGGTATCAGAAAACTATGCCCCAGACCAGGCGCAGTGGCTCACGTCTGTAATCCTAGCACTTTGGGAGGCCAAAACAGGCAGATCACTTGAGGCCAGGAGTTCAAAACCAGCCTGGCCAACATGGTGAGACCCCATCACTACTAAAAATACAAAAATCAGCCGGGCATCGTGGCATATGCCTGTAATCCCAGCTACTTGGGAGGCTGAGGCACGAGAATCGCTTGAACCCAGGAGGCAGAGGTTGCAGTGAGCCGAGATTGTGCCACTGCACTCCAGCCTGCGTGACAGAGTGAGATTCTGTCTTTAAAAAAAAAAAAAGAAAAGAAAACTATGACCCAGCCAAATTTGTCCAGCTGCCTGTTTTTAAGAGGCTCATGAGCTCAGAATGGCTTTTATATTTTTAATGACTGGAGGGAAAAAGTCAAAAGAAGAATGTTTCATGACACATGAAAATTACATGAAATTCAAATGTCACTGCCCTTAAATAAAGTTTTATTGCAACACAGCAATACCTATTTGCATTATCCCTGCCTTCTCATTGAAATGGCAACGTTGAGTAACTGACAGGGACTGTATGGACTACACAGTGTAAGATATTTACCGTCTGGCCTTTTACAGAAAAAGGCTGGTGACCTCTGCCCTAGAGAAATATACATGCACAAGGAAACAAACTTAAAAAAAAAAGTTCTTAATAGCAATATGAGACATACTAAAATGTTCATAGTAGCAATGTATGTAATAGTAAAAAGGTGGATATAACCTAAATTTCCACAAATAGGGGGATGTATAAATAAGCGATTATATTTATACTGTGGAGCACTAAATGATAATGAAAATGAAAGCACTAGCTTTTTTTTTTTTCTTTAACTCTTTGAAAGTAAATTTCAGACATGCTGCTCATTTAACCGTAATTACTTTATTGTGTAACTTACCCTTATTTGTTTAGGAAATATACATTCTCTTAAGTTACTGCAGTGTAGTTATAAAACTCAGAAAATTAACATTGATACAATACTATAATCTACAAACATTTTTCCACTTTCATTAGTTGACCTAAAAATGTTCCTTAATAGCAAAAGAGAAAAAATTCTGGTTCAGGATCTGATACAGAATGATGTATTGCATTGATTGTTATGTCCCATTTGTCTTCTTTAATCTGGAAATAGCTTTTCAGACTTTGTCTTTCTTGACCTTGACATATTTTAAGAAAACAGGGTGGTTATTTTGTAGTTTAATCCCAATTTGCGTTTATCTGATGTTTCCTTATGATTCAAGTCAGGTTATGCATTTTTTAAAAATATAAGGAATGCCATAAAAATGATTTTTTTGTTCTTTTCAGTGTGTCATATTGAGGGGACCATGATGTCAATTTGTCTTGTTGTTGGGGAAATTAACTTTGATCACTTAGTTAAGGTGGTGTTCACCAGATTTTTCCACAGAAAGTTACTATCTTTTTTTTTTTTTTTTTTTGTTTGAGACAGAGTCTGGCTCTGTCACCCAGGCTGGAGTGCTGTGGCGCATTCTCAGCTCACTGCAACCTCTGCCTCCCAGGTTTAAGCCATTCTTCTGCCTCAGCCTCCCGAGTAGCTGGGATTACAGGTGTGCACCACCACGCCAGGCAAATTTTTTTGTATTTTTAGTAGAGATGGGGAATTACCATATTGGCCAGACTGGTCTCAAACTCCTGACCTTGTGATCCACCTGCCTTGGCCTCCCAAAGTGCTAGGATTACAGGCGTGAGCCACTGCACCCAGCCACTATCTTTCTCTTTGAAATTAATAAATATTGTGTGGAGAGATACTTTGAAACCTGTAAATAACTTGTTTCTCGTCAGATTTCACCCACTGGTTCAGCATCCATTGATGATTCATGACTGAATCCCCCAATTATTAATATAATGGTTCCCAAGTGATTTTTCTCCCTTTACTGCACCAACAATAGGACCTTCACTATGTACTTGAATAGACTTGCTGATAGCTTATTGCTGGGGAGAAATTAGATGTTTGCTGAAGGTTTGGGGAGTTATTCCTGTTTCAGATTAAGGGAGTGCCTTTCTATTCCTGGTTTGCAAGTTTTTTGTTGTTGTTGTTTTGAGACAGAGTCTCACACACTTTTTTACCCAGGCTGGAGTGCAGTGGTGGCCTGATCTCGGCTCACTGCAATTTCCAGCTCCTGGGTTCAAGCAATTCTCCTGCCTCAGCCTCCCAATTAGCTGGGATTACAAGCATGCACCACCACACCCAGCTCATTTTTGTATTTTTAGTAGAAACAGGGTTTCACCATGTTGGCCAAGCTGGTCTTGAATGCCTGACCTCAAGTGATTCACCCACCTTGGCCTCCCAAAGTGCTGGGATTATCTCGCCTATCCTGCTAAGAGGTTTGTTTTGGTTTGTTTGAGTCTTGCTGTGTCGCGCAGGCTGAAGTGCAGTGGCATGATCTCAGCTCACTCAACCTCTGCCTTGTGGGTTCAAGCGATTCTCCTGTGTCAGCCTCCCGAGTAGCTGGGATTACAGGTGCGCGCCACCATGCCTGGCTAATTTTTGTATTTTTAGTAGAGACGGGGTTTCGCAGCATTGGCCAGGCTAGTCTCAAACTCCTGACCTCAAGTGATCCACCCACCTCGCCCTCCCAAAGTGCTGGGATTACAGGCATGAGCCACTGTGCCCTGCCTGCTAAGAGTTTTTGTTTGTTGTGAGTGGATACTGTAAATTACATTTATGATTTTCAAATGTTTACTTTTGCTTTTTAGAATAAACCCTGCTTAATTGTAATGTGTTATTTATATATCACTGAGTTTGATTTGCTAAGATTTTGTTTAGGTTTTATATCTGTCTTTTTGTGAGATTGCTCAGTAATTTTCCTTCCTTGAATGTCACTGTCAAGTTTAGGATCAAGTATTCTGACTTCATAAAATGAGCTGCAAAGTGTTCCTTTTTTATTTTCTGCAAAAGTTCAGATAAGATTGATGCTATTTTTTAAAAGTTTGAAAGAAATTAGTGGCGAAGCCTTCTGAGCCTGAGTTTTGATTTTTTGGGAAGATTTGTCATAATGAATTCAATTTATTTTATTGATATAGCAGTATTAAAAATCTTCTTTTGCTTCTTGTGTTCATTTGGTAACTTGTGCCCTCATAGACATTTAGGTTTTTGCTTTCTTTGGTCAACTATACTAGTTCCTATTCATCCACCGAATGTTTATCTTTTTTCACTTTTGTTAATCTCTCTTCTACTATTATCTCCTCTCTGGTTCTTTTTGTTCTTATGGGTTGCTACTTTTCTTCCTCTTTCCATTATTGTCATTTTAGTGGAGGATATGGAGAAAACTTTAGGTGTTTAATTTGTGATATTTAACTGGGATCTCTCCTTAACCTTTTTCTTTCCATCTCCTTAATTTTCTAACTAGAATACAGTGGACATAATTTTCTACTCTCATAATTACAAAGGTCAACCATAACAAGTTATTGAAATGTAGTGATACTCTCAAGGACTTTTGAAGATTTTAAGTTTTTGTCCCCACTCCAGGTTGCCCCCAAACTTTTAAAAATCTCTTTTCTTTTTATAATTTATTTTTTCTCTCACTGGAAATTATCACTTCCATGGAGGTTCTAATCTAATATCAATTAGGGTATGATTGAGTTTGTTAGAATTATGTGTACACAGCCAGGTGTGGTGGCACACGCCTGTAATCCTAGTGCTTTGGGAGGCCGAGGCGGGTGGATCACAAGGTCAGGGGTTCGAGACCAGCCTGACCAACATGGTGAAACCCTGTCTTTACTAAAAATACAAAATTAGCCGGGCGTGGTAGCATGCGCCTGTAATCCCAGCTACTCAGGAGGCTGAGGCAGGAGAATCACTTGAACCCGGGAGGCGGAGGTTGCAGTGAGTTGAGATTGCGCCACTGCACTCCAGCCTGGGCGACAGAGCAAGACTCCATCTCAAAAAAAAAAAAAAAAAAAGGAATTGTGTGTAAAGAACCCCAGTTCCTTTAGTGCATAAATATTACGACGTCTCTTTTGACTTTTGAAACATAGGTTCATTTTACATTGTGTTTTTAAATTTTTATTTATGTATTTTTGAGATTGTCTTGCTGTGTCACCCAGGCTGGATTGCTGTGGTGTGATCATGGCTCACTGCAGCCTCAACCTCCCAGGCTCAATTGATCCTCCGTCCAATCCTCCTATCCCAGTCTCCTGAGTAGCTGGTACTACAGGCACGCACCACCATGCCAGGCTAATTTTTTTGTATTTTTTTGTAGAGACAGGATTTTGTCATGTTGCCCAGGCTGGTCTCAAACTCCTGGGCTAAAGTGATCTGCCCACTTCAGCCTCACAAAATGCTTAGATTACAGGCATGAGCCACTGCACCCAGCCTTTGGTGTTTTAAAACTTTTTCTTTTGGAATACATTTAAATTTATATAGAAGTTTCAATGATGGTTTGGAGAATTTCTTTCTTTCTTTTTTTTTTTTTTTTTTTTTTTTTTTGAGACGGAGTTTCGCTCTTGTTGCCCAGGCTGGAGTGCAATGGCGTGATCTTGGCTCACTGCGACCTCCGTCTCCTGGGTTCAAGTGATTCTCCTGCTTCAGCCTCCTGAGTAGGTGGGGTTACAGGCATGCACCACCACACCGGCTAATTTTGTATTTTTAGTAGAGACAGGGTTTCTCCACGTTGGTCAGGCTGGTCTCAAACTCCCGACCTCAGGTGATCCGCCCGCCTCCGCCTCCACCTCCCAAAGTGCTGGGATTACAGGCAGGAGCCACTGTGCCCGGCCGGTTTAGAGAACTTCTATATAACTTTTACTCCGCCTCCACTAATGTTGCCACCAAATATAGCCAGTGTATGTTTGTCACAACTATGAAATTTAACATTTGTGTGATAGTGTTATTACTATTACCTGAACTACAAACTTTATTTTGGATTTAACCAGTAATTCCATTAACACCCTTTTCATATTCGAGAGTCCAATCCAGGACTTTGGATTTGATTGTCTTGTCTCCTTAGTATACTGTGTTCTTTCACAGTTTCTTAATCTTTCCTTGTTTTTCATAACCTTGACAGTTGTACAAAATACTGTATACAGGTATTTTATACAGTGTCCCTCAGGTTGGGTTTGTCTGATGTTTTCTTATGATTAAACTGGGATTATGAGTTTTAGGGAAAGGATCACAGTGCTGAAGTGCTATTTTCATCATACCATATTAAAGGGTACATGCCATGAATAAGACATATCACTATGAATGTTAACTATGATCACTTGGCTGAGGTAGTGTTTGTCAGGTTTCTCCATTGTCAGTTTGTTTTTCCTCCCTTTTATGTCTGTGTTTTTGACGTAAGTTACCAAGTTGAGCCCATACTCAAGGGAAGGAAAATTCATTTTTATCTTTGGAGAAGGGAGTATATGCTTATATTATTTGGAATTCTTCTGTAAGGAACATGTGTCCCTTCTTTCCATTTATTTATTTATTCATCTGTTTTTATCAGTATGGATTCGGGAATGTTTATTTTATTTAGGAGTTATAACCCAATGCCGATGTTATTTATTTTTGCTAAAATTGTTCCAACTTTGGCCGTTGGGAATTCTTTCAAGTTGGCTTCTGTAACCTTTTGACATGCCCCTGTCTTTAAAAAAAAATAATGATTTTCTTGCATTCTGACCCTGTAAGTTACACCAGGTTCATATTGGTGTTTTTTCTGCCTCTGGCCTAGAATCAGTCATTTCTTCTAGGAACCCTGGCTCCTTTTATTAGAGAGAATGGTATTTAGAAACCAAGATCTAGTTGTAGGTGTGTTTGTTGCTACTGGGGTGTCACTGCTTCTAGACCCTCTAAGAAAGCAGCTCTAGCTCTCTATACTAACCCGTGTTACAACATACCTGTACATCTGTGTATGTATTAAATAAATGTGAGTTCAGGCTGGTATGTCTGACTCTAACCTAGCACCATAGGGTTCATTCTGTCTTTCCTCTCTTGCTTATTTGTAACTTCTTTATTTGACAGGGAGAAACCTTGTTTCCATCATCTACTATTTATTTACTTATGTTTTCAATCCCAGTATACATGTTAGGAAGTTTCATGTATACTGATGGTTTGCTCATTAAGACTTATTTCCTCCTGTTCATGATATTTCTGAAACTTTTTTTTTTTCAGGCTTGCATTGAAGTTTTATATTTTTTAGAGAGGATTTATGTTTGCTTGTGTTAGTCACTTTCAGGCTTTTTTTTTTTTCCTTTTAAAAGCAGTTTTTTATTGTGGTATAATATACATAACATATAAGTTACTGTTTAACCATTTTTAAGTGTATATTTATGCAGTTCATTGGTATTAAGTACATTTATAATGTTGTGCAGCCACCACCAATATTTATTTTTGGATCTTTTAAATCATCATAAACAAGAACTGTGTACCTGTTAAACAGTAATTCTCCATTTCTCTACTTCCTTTAGCCTCTGGTAACCTTGATTCTACTTTCTGTCTCTATGAATTTACCTATTCTGGGTACTTCATATATGTGGAATCATACAATATTTGTCCTTTTGCATCTGGCTTATTTCACTTAGTAACTGTTTTCAAGGTTCATCTGTCTTGTATCCTGTATCCAATTCGTATCCCTTTAAGGCTGAATAACATTCCGTTGTGTCTATGTGTGTGTGTGTGTGTGTGTGTGTGTGTACATATGTACACACATACTGTATTTTGTTTATTAATCTGTTGATAGAAATTTGGGTTGTTTCCACCATTTAGCTTACTGTGAATAATGCTGCTATGAACATTGGCATACAAGTGTCTGTTTGAATACATGCTTTTGTTATTTTAGATGTCTCCCTAGAAGTGAAATTGCTAGCTCGTAGGGTAATTCTATGTTTAACTTTTTGAGGAACTGCCAAATTATTTTCTACAGTGCCTGAACTGTTTTGCGTTCCCACTAGCAATGCACAAGAGTTCCAGTTTCTCCCACATCCTAGCCAATACTTGTTACTTTCCATTTTTAAAAGTAAATAATAGCAGCCAGGCAGGGTGGCTCACACCTGTATTCCCAGCACTTTGAGTGGCTGAGGCAGGGAGGATGGATTGAGGCTGGGAGTTCGAGACCAGCCTGGGCAAAATGGCAAGACCTCACCTCTACAAAAAAATTTAAAAATTTCCTGAGCATGGTGGCATGTGTCTGTGATCCCAGCTACTCCATAGGCTGAGGCGGGAAGATCATTTGGGCCCAAGAAGTCAAGGCTGCAGTGAGCCATGATGGCACCACTGCACTCCAGCTTGGGCTACCTTGCCTCAAAAAAAAAAAAAAAAAAAAAGAGGAAAATAAGCTTTCCTAATGGGTGAGAAGTAGTATCTCATTATGGTTTTGATTTGCATTTTTTAATGGTTAGTGATGCTGAGCATCTTTTCATGGGAGGATATTTTAATTATGGGTTTTTCATGGCCTTGTAAGTTGTGAAAATTCTGGCTACAAACCCTAGTTAATTGTCATCTCTTATGATTAGGGATTTCCTGTCTTAGTTCATTCGGGCTGCTGTATTGAAGTCCATAGACTGAGTGGCCTTTAAACCTCACATTTCTCAGAATTCTGGAAGCTGGGAAGTTAGATCAAGAGGTCCAGATTCAGTATCTGGTAAGGTCCCACTTTTTCACAAATGGTGCCTTCTGGCTGTCTCCTCACAGAATGGAAGGGGCAAACAGGCTCCATTGGGCCTCTTTGATAAGGGCACCAATCCCATTCGTGAGAGCTGTGCCCTCGTGATCTAATCAGCTCACACAGGCCCCACCTCTTAATACCATCTGTATCTTGGGGTTAGGATTTCATCATATAAATTTGAGAACATTCAGACCATAGCACTGACCATGGGGTGGATGTACTTTATTTGTCTTTAGTTCAACTCAGAAAGCCAGAGCCAAGCTTAAGACATCAGAATTATCCCCACTGCCTCTTCAGTGAGTTTTTTGTTCTGTTTTGTTTTTCCCTAGTTCACCAAGTCAGAGCGTTGCCCTTCAGCTTGTCTGGTTTTCAGTCTGACATCTCATTTTGCTGGGGCCTTGAGGTTAACCTAATAAAGCCTGGGTTCTAGGACATCAGGTTTTTGGTCATAGGGTACCAAGAGAGAAATGCCATCTTTGGAATTTCATTTAGCTCTCTGGGTTCCCACTTTCTAATTGTTAATGGCTTCAAGGGGTTTCAGCCATGCACTTATAAAATTTTTTAAAATTCATAATGAGCACATTTAGTGTTCTGATCTAGAGTTTTTCAGGTTGTCAAGTTTTAACCACATTGCCAAAACCGAAAACGTTGTTTGTTTTTCTTCTGTTAAAAGGCAGGTATCGTTGAGTTTAAGGGAGAGTCTAGCAGTCTGGATATAGTTCTCATGAAGAAGGCAAGCAAACTATTTATAGGTACTTATTTCTAGAATCAGTGATCAAAGATGAGATTTAGGGCTGATTTTATATATATTCATACATATTCATGTGCCCTCCGTTTTTATTATAGCTTTCTAATCTGAGCTTCTTTGTGTAGCAAGCACATGTATGGATGATTATGAATTAGTAAAAACAGATTTTAATGTCTTCTTTTTCTCTTTGGAGGAAATCAAATGTTTACAAAAAATAGACAAAGGCAACCAAATTAAAACAAAATCTAGAATAATCAAAGAGCTTGGGAAATGCACATATTTGTTTTATATTGAATAGCTCTATTAATGAATACTTACTGCAGTTTGTTTTTATTTCAGCTTTGGCTAGATCAGAGTCTAAGAGAGATGGAGGTTTTAAAAATAATTGGAGCTTTGATCATGAAGAAGAAAGTGAAGGAGATACAGATAAAGAGTAAGGATTTTTTTTTCCCTCAGATGTTTTATAAGAATAAAACTTCTCATTAGAAAAACAATTTCTATTGTATGGAAATATTTTTAGGAGTATGGTATTCTTAAGAAAACATATAACTCTTTCACAGTCGCTTTAAGGAAAGAAAAAGCAATTCCTTATTGATAAATAATTTTACTGTTATTTTCTCCATCTTTTGAAATGTATAAATATATGCTTGTAGTACATGTAACCTTACAATTAAAAATTGACTGTACAATGGAAGGCTTCAAAATAAGGAAATTGTTTTTTGTTTTTTAAAAAGGCATTCTGTTCAGGCAGCAATTTGGAAATCCACCATTTATCATGAGTAAGTGAACCCAGATAAGACCCTTGCATTTTGTATGAAAGTTTAAATACTACAGTATCTTTCTTCCCCAGTTGTGACCACCACCCCTACCACATCCATCTTAGGTCAGATTCTCACCAGAGAAAGCAGAACCATTATAAATGATAAACACAGGTGTTTACCCAGACAGAAGTTAAGCAAAGTGTTCATTACACTTTGTTAATCTACTTGGAATGACTGTTGTGTAAAAATTTTAAATGATAGTTTTAATAGAACTTTTTGTTTGTCATGAGATTTGTTTTTAAAGTTCAACATCTAGTTTTTTGGCCGGGCACAGTGGCTCATGCCTGTAATCCCAACACTTTGGAAGGCCGAGGCAGGTGGTTCATTTGAGGTCAGGAGTTCAAGATCAGCTTGGCCAACATGGTGAGACCTCATCTCTACTAAAAATACAAAAGATTAGCTGGATGTGGTGGCATACACCTGTAATCCCAGCTACTCAGGAGGCTGAGGCAGGAGAATCACTTGAACCCGGGAGGTAGAGGTTGCAGTGAACCCAGATCATGCCATTGCACTCCAGCCTGGGCGACAGAGTAAGACTCCGTCTCAACAAAACAAAAACAAACAAAAAAACATTGTTTTTAGTTTTTTGATTTATTGATCTGGTTTTCTGCTGGCCAAAATAAACAACAAATTCAGAGATCCACAAATATACACACAAAGTTCTACCAAAACTATAAATATGTTAAAGAAATTTTTATACAAGAAGTCATTCAGAATATATTGGCTAAATATTGTAGGTGCTTCACTTCTGTCTGGGCAACAGCTCCGTTCATCATTACCACTTTATGTGCCTTCACCGATGAGATGTTGATTTGAAGTTTTATTTGAAGGAGAGCTTTGAACTGGTAAGTCTCTCATTTAAAGTCAGTATTTTATGGTTTTCTTTCTTTCATTTCTTTTATACTTTTTCTGATTACTTTAAAATATAAAACAATTATTCAGTATGCATATAGTTTTGAAAAATTAGAATTAAATCTGAAATTAAGCTGCATAGAAAATATACCACTTTTTAAACATGTTTATAAAATGTTTACGAGAGACTTTTTAATCATTAAAAAAAAGTTTGGATGTATATAAACAGTAATACAACATTTTACATTTTTGTGTAAATATCTAGGACTTTACAATAAATAGCTGAGTTGTCTTCGAAAACGTTGTATTTGACTTTCTTTGATGGCAGATTTACTGTAGTTATACATTTTTTAAAAACTGTCTTTACGGTGCTAGCTGTCCTGTACATTTCATTTCTGAATTGTACTATTTGGTTCATCATGAGTCTCAGGCACATCAGCTTTTTGAACATGTATCTATTAACATGAACCTGTTAATAGATACATTAGTTTAATCTTCTAGAATTTCAGGCCGGTGATTTCTCAATGAAGGGTTGATATTTTCAAGAGTGGTAGAAGTATAACTATTTTACCATGGTAATACCACTGGAATTACTTTCTTTTCATTAGCTAAGGCTTTCTTTCCTTTCAGTTCATTTCTTTGTTTCTCTATCTTTCTACCCTTAATTTTCAATCTAAGACAAAAAGGAAAAATGAATGAGAATATATAAAATCCATAACTAAATAAACAGAATTATGTGTTCATTTATTGTAGGGTTCAACAAACTATGATCCATGGGCTAATCTTGCGTGCCACCTAATTCAGTTAATAATTTTTATTGGAACATAGCCACATGTATTGTTTATGGCTGTTTTCATACAACATATGAGTAGCTGCTACAGAGACCATATGGCCTGCAAAGACTGTGGTTTGGCCCTTTACAGAAAAAGTTTGCTGATTCCCTGAATTAGGTGAACATAGAGGATAAAACCTCAGAATTTAATATAAGGATTGTGATTGCTACTTATGTTTTTTTCCCCTTATTTTCTGTGTAGTGGGACAAATCTGCTCAGTGTGGATGAAGATGAGGATTCTGAAACCTCAAAAGGAAAAAAGGCAAGTGTTGCTTAAAATATTTTCTTCTTTTACATTATATACAAAAAAATTGTTACCTCAAAAGATTTAATATTTTTAAATTATAAACCCCAGTTACCCACTTTCTCCACTCCAGAGGCAAATGGTGTTCCCAGTTTGTTATTTATCACTTTGGGAATGTTTCATGCATTATAAAGAAGAGAAATATTTCCACCTCCCATGTTACACAATTGGTAATATACTGTGCATGGTTTTTCTGATCTTCCTTTAACTTAATATATTATCTTGGAGACCATCTGTAAGAGTTCATAAAAAGCACCTCATTGTTTTCAGTGAGTGCATAGTATTCCATTGTATTATATACCATTAACCAATTCCACCTATTGATGGATATTTACAGAGTTGTCAACTTTTTAATTTTTTTCTAAAATAATCTGTAAATTAGCCTTCTATATGGGTTATTTTGCACACATACAAGCGTATCTGTAGAATGAATTCCTAGAGGTTGCACTGCTTTATCAGGACAGGTCCATTTCTAATTTTGGCATACCAGATTTACACTTGTTCCATCGATATCTGAACGTATCTGTTTCCCCACACATCCGTCATAATGTCTTCAACCTTTGATCTTTGCAAATGAAAACTAGTATCTCAGTGTAGTTTTAATTTCCATTTTATTTTTTGTGAGGTTGAACATCATTTCATATGTATAGTCTCATTCTTTTTTAGAATAATTGTCAGTTAATATCCTTTGCCCATTTTTCTATCTGGTCTTTAGAATATTATTCATAGGAATTATTTTTATATTTAGTCTAAGACACACTTTTTTTCACATTTTAACATCTTTGAAATCTAGATGCATCTTATTAAGATAGCATGATATGCTTTAATTATTTAAAAAAAATGTTTTTGGCCAAGTGTAGTGGCTCACGCCTATAATCCTAGCACTTTGGGAAATCAAGGTGGGAGAATTGCTTTAGGCCAGGAGTTTGAGACTACCTGGACAACATAGTGAGACTCCATCTCTAAAAAATAAAAAATTTTGCACTGTAGTACATACAATAATGGTGTATTGTATAATAATGTTATAGGTTTGATGAAATAAGGTATTTTGGAGAAATTGGCCCTTTGCTGTGATACTAGTTGCTAATATATATACGTGTGTGTGTGTCCTTTTTTTTTTTTTTTTTTTCAGACGGAGTCTGGCTCTTGCCCAGAATAGAGTGCAGTGGCGCAATCTCAGCTTACTGCCACCTCTGTCTCCCGGGTTCAAACAATTCTCATGCCTCAGCCACACGAGTAGTTGGGATTACAGGCATACACCACCATGCCTGGCTAATTTTTTTTTTATTTTTATTAGAGACCGGGTTTCACCATTTTGGCTAGACTGGTCATGAACTCCTGGCCTCAAGTGATTCTCCCATCTCTGCCTCCGAAAGTGTTGGGATTACAGACGTGAGCCACCGTGCCTGGCCATTACTAAAATTTTAACTCAGTTTTTTCACTAGTCTTTTGTCTTTGCTTATGGTGGCTATTGCCATGGGGAAAATATATTTCCTTATGTCATCAGATGTATCATTTTTCTTTTAAAGGCTTTTGAGTCTACTGTCTTTGTTCCTAATGATGTTAATTTAATAACTTATTTGGGGCTGGGCACAGTGGCTTATGCCAGTAATCCCAACACTTTGGGAGGCCAAAGCAGGCAGATCACTTGAGGTCAGTAGTTCGAGACCAGCCTGGCCAACATGTTGAAACCTCGTCTCTACTAAAAATAGAAAAATTAGCCAGGCATGGTAGTGGGCTCCTGTAGTCCCAGCTACGTGGGAGGCTGAGGAAGGAGAATTGCTTGAGCTCAGGAGGCAGAGGTTGCAGTGAGCTGAGATTGCGCCACTGCACTCCAGCCTGGGTGACAGAGCGAGACTCAGTCTCCAAACAAAAAACAAAACAAAAAAACCCACTTTTATTTGCTTTGTCTTATTAGATATATAAAATAGTTTCACAATAGTAATACCAACATAATTACTAATAAAATGATTTTCAAATTATTTTGTTTCCTTGTTTTTGATGACACTAGCAGGTATATGTATAGTTCCACTAGGAATGTGTATTTAAATTAGTATATTTTTAAGTAATTTGAAATTGTTTATTTCTGTTTGGTATTCTACCAACTAAATAGAGAGTTAGGTTTGTTGTTGTTGTTGTTGTTTTTTAATTTTGTTTTTTATAGTGAGGAATTGCATTTTATTTTCATTTTAATTTTTATTATGTAAATTTTTTGGATGGTTTCAGCATCATATCTCAAAAGAAGTAATTTTCAGAGAAATCTAATTTTGTCTTGATTCCCTTTATTCTTTTTTCCCTATAAGTGACTTGTTTTAAAAATTATGTGGCTTAGCTTTTTATATATATATATATATGTAAGCATATACCACTTTTCTTGGAAAAACTATACACACTGTTGACACCTTGATTTTTTTACTTGACAGTATGTTATGTAGATCACTCTACAGCAAAGTATTTACAAATCTTTATCATCCTTTTTATTGTTATATAGTACTTCATTGGATGGATATACTGTAGATATTCAGTTTGTCCCTACTGATGAATAGAGATTTTTTTCCCCCAGTCTTTTGCTATTACGTATAAGACTTCACTAAAACCTTGTGCATAGATATTTTTTTCATATCTGTGTAGTATATTTGTGGGATAGATTCCTAGAATTGAAGTTGCTATTTCAGAGGTGAAATTCACATGTAGTTTTGCTAGATACTGCCAAATTCCCTATCTAAAGGTGTTAACATTAGCCATTCCCACTAGCAGTGTATGACTC
The DNA here is from genome assembly GCF_000001405.40 of Homo sapiens. NCBI lineage: Eukaryota > Metazoa > Chordata > Mammalia > Primates > Hominidae > Homo > Homo sapiens. The sequence goes on from NC_000006.12 coordinate 75,626,770, forward strand.
TATTTCCCTGTAATCTTGCAAAATATGTAGTCATACTTGAATTTTTGCTGATCTGAACATAGCACCTTCACATATTTCCTGTATTTACAGTGTAAGAATTTAAACAACTTTTAACATTTACTTTTTTTTCCGTCTTTCTGGGTTTTTTTTTCCCTCTGCAACAGCTCTATTTTATCATAATTTGAGGAAATTTATTTTATTTATTTATCTATTGAGACTGAGTCTCACTCTGTTGCCCAGGTTGGAGTGCATGGTGCGATATCGGCTCACTGCAACTTCTGCCTCCCAGATTCAAGTGATTCTCCTGCCTCAGCCTCCTGAGTAGCTGGGATTACACACGGACACCAACAAACCAGCTAACTTTTGTATTTTAGTAGAGCTGGGGTTTCACCATGTTGGTCAGGCTGGTCTTGAACTCCTGACCTCAGATGATCTACCCACCTTGGCCTCCCAAAGTGCTGAGATTACAGGCGTGAGCCACTGTGCCTGTCCTGAGGAAATTATTGAATTTGATGTTTTTCTCTTAATACTGTTCAGTTTTTCTTTATAAAGTTATTCATGCTGAAAAACTCTAAGGTTTTTCCCACTGCAGGTTTCCTAGCTTTTATTTTGACATCTGGATTTCCTGAAGTGCTATTTTTTAGGTGTTTTTTAGATAGACAAGAAAAAAGTAGAAAAAAAGGAGTGAACTTGGTAGATGAAAATAAGATGTGAGCAGGCACGGTGTCTTTTGCCTGTAATCCCAGCACCTTGGTAGGATGAAGCGGGAGGATCGTTCGAAGCCAGGAGTTTGAGATCAGCCTGGGCAACAAAATGAGACTCTACCAGAAATAAAAATAAAAAATAAAAGATGTTTTCTGTCACTAACTTATATAGGGCATTGGTCTTCATGTACACATATGTAGCTTTCAGATTGCTTTTTTTTTGAGACAGTCTTGCTCTGTCACCCAGGCCAGAGGGCAGTGGTGTGATCTCAGCTCACTGCAACCTCCACCTCCTGGGTTCAAGGGATTCTCCTGCCTCAGTCTCCTGAGTGACTGGGATTACAGGCATGGTGCCACCACGCCCGGCTAATTTTTTATATTTTTAGTAAGAGACGGGGTTTCACCATGTGAGGCTGGTCTCGAACTCTGACCTCGTGATCTGCCCGCCTTGGCCTCCCGAAGTGCTGAGATTACAGGCGTGAGCCACCACGCCTGGCCTGCTTTCAGATTTCTTATGATTTTTTGTAAAAGTATGTGCTTTATTACATATTTTTTAAATGTAAATATTTATGTTTTAAAGTAAAACCTACAGGACACATTGATTTATTTAGTGAACTGTAAAGATTATTCTGATATGATAGTATCATCTATTTTAAGTATACATGGACCATCTCTTAACAGTTAGAAATTTTATATTGTGCCTTTTCCGTCTTAAATTCATATTTCTTCTGTTCAGTTTTCCCATAGAATCTTAATATGATATACTTTTATGTAATTGAAAATCTTTTTATTATCCTATCACACTTTAATAGAGATATCCTTCACTGAAGATAAACTTCACTGAAGCTTAACATTAAGTAGAACTCCTGCTACTAAAGTTTATTTTTTTAAAAGCTGAGTTGTCATTATAATTATTAATGAACACTTGATCTAAAAAGTATTATTACAGATATTTATAATTATTAAATTTATTATGCAAAATAATATTGGAAATTTATCTTTTAAAATGGGTGAGGCTGATGGTTTCCCTTTTTATTCATTTAGTTCATCTATTCATTAATCTGTATTACCTGAATGAAACTTTCAGAACAATTTTACTCTTTCTTAAAAATTGACACATAACAATTGTACATATTTATGGAGGGAAATTTCTTTTTAAACTTTTTTGTTAGATACCAGTGCTGACAAATCCTGGTTACATTCTAAATAGATAAATATGGAAATAGTTTTGCTATAGTATTATCATACAATTCTTTTTTTATTTGAGACAGAATCTCACTCTGTCTACCAGGCTGGAGTGCAGTGGGGCAATCTCGGCTCACTGCAGCCTCTTCCTCCTAGGCTCAAGCGATCCTACCGCCTCAGCCTCCCAAGTAGCTGGGACTACAGGTGCCTGCCACCACGTCTGACTAATTTTTGTATTTTTAGTAGTTTTAGTGGTTTTGCCATGTTGGCCACCAGGCTGGTCTTGGAACTCCTGACCTCAAGTGATCCACCCACCTTGGCCTCCCAAAGTGCTGGAATTACAGGCATAAGCCACTGTGCCTGGCCACAGTTCTTTCCTTTTGAGTTAAATGCCAAAAATGACATAGTAATCAAACATTTAAAAATTAAAAATAATTTGTAATCCAGTCATTAGGTACTGGCCTTCCAGATTTTGGATAAATATACTAAAAAAGCTTTACCAAGATTTGAATAGCTAGTATACTTGTTACTTTTAGGTTTCTTTGTTTTGTTTTGTTTTAACCAAATACTCTCAGAAGTAATTGGAAAAACTGAAATCTTGTTAATTTCTATATGCTTTTGCCAATACAGCCTTTTTTTATTTTTTATTTTTATTTTTTTTGAGACAGAGTCTCCTGGCCCCCAGGCAGGAGTGCAGTGGCGCAATCTTGGCTCACTGCAACCTTCGCCTTCCCAGGTTCAAGCAATTCTCTTGCCTCAGCCTCCTGAGTAGCTGGGACTACAGGCGTATGCCACCATGTCTGGCTAGTTTTTGTGTTTTTAACAGAGACAAGGTTTCACCATGGTGGCCAGGCTGGTCTCGAACTCCAGACCTCAGGTGATCCGCCCACCTTGGCTTCCCAAAGTGCTGGGAGTACAGGTGTGAGCCACCATGCCCAGCCAGATTGAGGATTTAAAAGTTGATTACCATGACTAAAGCTACCATGCTTGATAATCCTTCAGAAGATCTTTGTGTGTCCCAGGGATATATACATATATCTACTTGGATTTTGAATAGCTTACAGGTAATGTATAGGTCTGTCAAGCTAAAGGAAGAAACTGAGGCAAAATTAATATAGTTAATAAGTTAATAGAGTAAAAATTAATATAGTGAGTTTATGTGAGCCACATTTGAGGACTGCAACCTGGGAGCATAGATTTAGGTTCTCCCACATGTATGCTTTGATTAGCAGCAGATATGAGTGAGTTTTTTAAGGAAAAAAGAAGAGACTATTCCTAAGTTGTTTACCAAGAATTTACATTAAAATAGCTAACAATAGATATGGATTGGCCATACTTTGTTCTTTGTATCACAAATTCCTGGAACATGAAGATAATGAATGAGGGCCACAATGTGCAACTTGTGATAACTTTTTTTTTTTTTTTTTTGAGATGGAGTCTCGCTCTTGCCACCCAGGCTGGAGTGCAGTGGCATGATCTCAGCTCACTGCAACTTCTGCCTCCTGGGTTCAAGCCATTCTCCTGCCTCAGCCTCCTGAGTAGCTGAGATTACAGGCATGCATCACCACACCCGGCAAATTTTTGTATTTTTAGTAGAGACGGGGTTTCACCATGTTGGTCAGGCTGGTCTCAAACTCCTAACCTGAGGTGATCCATCAGCCTCGACCTCCCAAAGTGCTGGGATTACAGGTTTGAGCTGCTCGGCCAACATTTTAGGTAATTTATCTGCTAGTCAGGAAACTACCGGCAAGAAAAAGCACAAAACACCTTTAAATAATTGCCTTTGGGCATGGATCAGGGGCTATGACTGAAGTCCCTTACTTATGTCTCTCTGGGCCTGATAAATTTTGCATATCTCACAGAGCTCAGACTGCTCTGAGCTATTTTTCTTTTCTCAGGTCCATATGGATCATTGGTTTAAACTATTATAGACTGGTTTCTCCATTTGAAAATGAGTGTGGAATTAAGAGAAATCCTTTATTAAATTTAGTTCACAGTGTCTTCATATCTTTCCCCTTCTCTTTCACAGAATCTTCTCTTTGTCTTTGGGCTTCTGCAGTTTCACTGTGCTTCTTTTAAGGGATTTATATCTTTTGTTAGTTAAGAAAACATTTTAGTCATTATCTCTGTGGATTTTACCTTTCTACATTATTATTTCTAGACCTCCTAATAGACATAAAACCATCATTTAAAAAAAAAAATCCGTAACCTATATTTTATGTTTAAAAGCAAAAAAGGAAAAAAAATGGCTAATGGAATGAAGAAGTATATCTCTGTACCGTATTCTGAATAATTTCTTTAGCTCTATCTTCCAATTTACTTTTATCTTTAGCTCTAAGCTGCTATTTAATCCATACATTGGATTTTTTTTTTTTACTTTTAAAAGATTTCAATGACATTTATCATTTATAGAACTGCTGTTGGTTCTCTTTCAAAGTTGTATTTTCGATAGTGTGTCTAATTTTTTACTGTTTCAATTCTTTGTTTTTCAGAATTTAAGTGCTTTTAACATACATATGTCTCTAACTTAATGGTTTCTATTAGGTTCTCTTATTATCTGATATTCTTCGGTGCTAAACTTCCTGAATATCAGTACTTTACTTAAATTACATGATGTGATAATTTTGGGTGGAAGATAACATTGATAATTTTCACATATTTAGTATTCTCAATGAACTATTCATTGATGCAGCAAATACATATTGAGCACAGTGTTCTAAGTGTTGGAGCAAAACAGACTTTTTTTGTTCTTGTGGAACTTAAATTCTAATAACTTGCTATGCTTATTAGTTACTTAATGATTAATGTTATAAACAGGAGTTGTCACATTAAGGCTCTACCCTGAAGTCTATTGTCTGTTAGCTACAGTGGTTTTTACGTTTTTAAATGCTTGGAAGAAAGAATCAAATGAATTCTATTTCATGACATGTGAGCATAATATAAAACTCAAATCTGTGTCCATAAGTAAAGTTTTCTTGGAAAACAGCCATGCTTATTTATAAATTGTCTATGGCCACTTTTGTGCTACAACAACAGATTTGAATATTTGGACAGAGTTGAGTAGATACAACAGAGACTATATGATCAAGAAAGCCTACAATACTTACTTTTAGCCCTTGGCAGAAAAAGTTTGCTGATCCCTGTATCAGTGTTTATTTTGTATAAATGTATTTCATAGATTGATATCCGGAGGCCCCCTTAAAGACTCCCAGTGAATGACTGAGACCCCAGAAAATAGTGGATATATATCCTCGGATGAAGCATTGATGAAACCATTCCATAAACAAGTGACTGTCACCCACACTTTGATTGTGTTGCCAGGACACAGGCAGATATTTTTTGTTTTTGTTTCTGGGAGCGTGTGGGTTCTTAAACACTCTGGACAGTAATACCTGGCTTTATCATATGCCTGACAGCATTGCTGCATAGTACCAGAGTTAAGCTGTCCTTTCATGTTTTATGCCCTGGTGCATTTTTATGAATTAGTATGTACTTCCCTTGCCTGAGCATTATTCATAATCTCTGAAAAATTTAAGTGATACCATAGCAGAACTTTAGAGACAACCTTAGTAGCTACTAATAGAGGAGTGGTTAAATTAAAATTTTTTTTGGAACGCAATTGACTGTTAGTAACTGATACCACAGAAAGCAAAACCATCGATAAAGGGGGACTACTATGTAGTATTTTTGGATAAGTCCTGTGTTAACCAGTCAGAATAGCAAACTCTAGGCTTGCCAATAACTGTCCACTTTCTAGAATTGTCATGAGATTTATATGAGATGATGTAATTCACATAGTATATGACACTAGCAGTTTTCTGGAAATAGCTACATTTTGTTATTATTAAATGCAGTGTTATTGAACCTTTGTAAACTGATGTTTCTTTGCAAATAATGTTTATAGTTGCAGGTCTGACATCAGTAAGGTCCATGTTTGTAATTGGTTTTCTAGTCATTTGATCTCTTTTCGAACAAATGGATTCATCTATTCACAGTAGTTCTCTTGATGCTGTGCTTGCATTACCTGGAAAACTGTCTTAGGCTGGGGTAGGGCGGTGGATTTAAAGTTTTAGGGACTTCCAGACTGAATATATCATCATGATTTTATTAATGGGAGTACTCTAATCTGTGAGATAATCAGCCATAAAATTTTAAAAACTTATTTACACCTTATTTCCTCCCAGTAATTTGATGTAGATTACCAAATTAGCACAAATAAAATAATGGAAAATCAAAACAATTAGGAGGTGAGTAGATGTGCCAGGATGCTAAAATAATTTATATGTTGTATTTTAATTCAACAGTTGTCTCTGAATTTTCTGGGAACTGAAATTGTGTCCTGTAATTTTATAATTGTATGATAAAGGAATCTTTACAAATTTATTTTGCTCCTTTTGCCTGTTATATACTGTGATCTCTCTAAAGTGATTGTTACTGATATGTTTATATTATTATTTGCATCTATTGAAGTATAAAGTATCAATTTCTGCCTGTACAGAAACTTTGATACTAAGGCAAAAGTTCTTATACATAAGCACAAGTTGAAATGACAGCCGATTGCCATATTTGGCTGTAGTGTTCTCCAGATAGCAGCAAGGCCTGATAAGCAGGGGAAATGCTTACTTTTTACTCTCTGGAGAAAGCTATCCTAAGATCCTCTACCCTAATTGTCTCAAATATCTTTGGAAAGATTCACATGAAAAGAAAGTAATACAATAAACCTCCATGTTCCTACAAATTTGCATTGTCTTTAGGAAAAAAAAAGTAGGCAGTTGAATTATTCTTAAATCCATGCCAATGCTATCCACCATCATTCCCAATAGCTGTATGTTTTTACTACTTTTAAATGGTTTTCAAATAGTTGTTGATAGATTGTCACATTATAGCATTTTTGACTCATATTTCTGGATCTTTTTTTACAGTTAAATCGTCGATCTGAAATTGTTGCTAATAGCTCTGGTGAATTCATCTTGAAGACATATGTAAGACGAAACAAGTCTGAAAGTTTTAAAACTTTGAAAGGCAACCCAATTGGACTTAACATGTTGAGCAACAATAAGAAATTGAGGTATAGGCACTTCACCACACATTCCTACAGAAAAGATAAAGGAAGAGTTTGACACCAAAAACTTAGAAGCTAATAGGCCCAACCTGTACCTTTTCTTCTGAATTTGTCTATAGGGCCAAGAGGTAGCATGGTCCCAGTATGTGGATTCTTTGCTTTGAATCTTAGGAGTAGGATTGATTGCAGTGTCTCTTGTTTCTGAATAAAACATTGCAAGAAATACTTTGTTAGGGTGGGATATCATGATTTTGCTTTCATACATTTAGTAGAATCTCAGTCATAATATTTGAAGAAGCACAATAGAGTGGTGTGGTCATGTCTCCTTTAGGAAATACTAATCAGGATTGTCTCAATAGGGGACTTAAAAATTTCTTATTCCTCCTTTTTACAATAGTGAACCACCATTATTGGTAGGATTGGGTATCAGTAGCAACTCAGAAATAGGGTTGAAAGTCACTTTTATTTCTGCTGTCTCAATTTATACATAGACAAATGAAGTACATAAAAGCTCAGTAACTTTCAAGTCAGTGGCAAAATCAGAAATAGTATTTAGGACTCCTGATTTTTATTTTAGTATTCTGCTTTATTTTTTAAATTTTCTCAACCTCCGCCTCCCGGGTTCAAGTGATTCTCCTGCTTCATCCTCCCGAGTAGCTGGGATTACAGGTGCCCACCACCATGCCCAGCTAATTTTTATATTTGTTATTAGAGACGGGGTTACAGCATGTTGGCTGGGCTGGTCTCGATCTCCTGACCTCAGGTGATCTGCTATTTTTAAATTTTTCTTTAATTGGATTGGAAACATTTGAAAGACAAATTCAGGAAATGGAAAACTCCCAAAAGACAATTGGGTTTATCCATAAATTTTTTGTTGTTGTTGGTAAAGGTTTTTGTGTGTTTGTTCAGATTTTAAAAGATTTTTTTTATAAATGTGTATATAATTTTTCCGTGTTCAAGTTATTTTTTGTTTCTTGAATCTGCAGTGAAAATACGCAAAATACGTCATTATGTTCTGGAACTGTAGTTCATGGTAGACGTTTTCATCATGCTCATGCACAGATACCAGTAGTAAAAACAGCAGCCCAAAGGTAAGAATTCTAATTGTCTTTGGTTAGTATATACATGGCATCTTCTTCAATAGGTTTTCACTTTTTTTAACCATTTTTTTCCTTTGTGAAACCTTACTGTTTTCACTGTCTGTAGAGAGATATATCTCTGAAATAATTCATGACATGAAATTATACTATTTTATATCTGCTTTTGAGTAATCAGATTCTGTAAATAGAGAATTTTTCACTAAGACCTGTTGTATTGCATTATAATCCAGAGAATCTAAGATGATACTGAAACTGATTTACAATATTGACCTGAAAGTGTTTGACTGAGATATCTTCAGTTGGTAGTTTAGCTCTGAAGAGTAAAATTACAGTTAATACCGTACTTTCTTTATAAGGCTTATAAGAGTTCATAGCATCAAAACAAGTCACATTAGTTTTAAATGTTGGAGAAAATGTTATTTTGTAGTTGTAGTTAGATTTAGGAGTTCTCATTGATCTTGAAAGTACTGCTTGAGTCAAAATAATGAAAGTAACATTTAGGGAACCATTTTTGGAATGTTACATGACCTTTCAGTTGACTGAAATTCTTAGGCTACAAGAGTTAAATAAATAATTTGTTTATTGCATTATAAACAGTTCCTTATAACTAGTAACATTTTAAGATTTGGCATATATTTTAGATACTGTTCTTCATTTTTTAAAAATGTAATATCTAGACTGCTCGTCATTTAGAAGACACGTCCTGAACCTTGCTATATTTTTCTGTTTACATAGATGGGCTATCAGATCTTTTACTTAAAAATGTTAAGTAACCTCATACTTTATGATAAACCAACCTTTTGTTTTTGCCTTAAATGTATTATTGTATCAAATAGTGTTCACCTGAGATGCTTGAGAAACTTAAAAGGACAAATTACTGTGCAGACCAAAAATTGGCTTACTCTACTGCAAAGTATACAAGCTCTCTGGCCTACATATGGCAAAAACATGAGAATAAACAATAAAAGGAGAGTAATTAGGGGAGAGAAAAAGAGTAGACACATTCTTATGCCCTGATCATACTAATAGAAACCATTGCTGATAAAGCTGACTTAATATTCTGATAATGTAGTCTAAGTTTGAAATACTAACTTAAACCTTATAATCAATTTAGGTGATTCATTTACAACCAAAATTATTACATTATTTTTGCTTTTGAAGTTGTCTGTTAGTTTGGAATTACTAGTGACCTATTTTCCATTCCTCATTTCCTCACTGGTAATGTTAAAAAAAAACAACCCGTTAATAGTCTGGAAATTGGGTTGCGATTTGTTTTACTCTAGGTCTCAACACCTATAACATTTTGCATGTGTATTATTGCTCATTTACATAAAAGATTAGATTCAGTTCATATGAACTAGTTTATACTGGTAAAATGTTTCTTTAAAAACAACAACCTGAGTTAATTTGTATTTAAGAAATAATCCTAATTGAAAAATTCTTAATGATTAGGGGCAGCAAAGAAAACTGTATAATCAAGTCAGCAGGACAGATTCTACTTACATTTGTCTTTTATTTATTCTGTATAAGAATAAGCATTTCTTATTCCAACTGCAGCATGACTGTCACTAAAAAGATTTTGATGTTCAAAGACAAGTCATTGAGAGTTCTTCGGTTTTCTTCCTTCAAAAACATTGAATGATTTTATGCTACATACCAGGCATAGATGAGGTGCATAAAGATGAATATGATAAAATCTCTACCAGTAAAGCTCAAGTTTGATTGCAGTAGAGATTGATTAGGGTACAGAAAGACAAGTAAACAAATGATTACATGCATGGTTAGGGCAGCAGTAGAGCTATACAAAATACGTGTAGTAAAAACTACAGAGAAGGGAACAAGAATTTATAAAGGAAACATTAAAGGAGTTTTTGAGTTTACCAGGTAGAAGAAGAAACTGCATGCAGTAGGAATCACGTCTTCAAAGGCACAAAGAAAGGCTTTAACTAAGATTGTTGCTTCCAGGGATTTAGCACAATTGTTAGACTTCAGGTGAGGGTAAACACATTGGCTTTTACAGCTTCTCCTAAATTTTCTTATTTTCTGAAGTCTTAATTTTTTTTTTTTTTTTAATTATAGAGATAGGGTTTTGCTCTGTTGCCCAGGCTGTAGTGTAGTGTCTCAGTCATAGCTCACTGCAGCCTCAAACTTCTGGTCTCAAGCAATCCTTCCACTTCAGCCTCCTGAGTAACTAGGACTGCAGGCATGCACCACCGCACCAGGCTAACTTTAAAAAAATTTTTTTTGTAGAGACGTGGTCTCACTTTGTTACTTAGGCTGGTCTCCAGCTTCAAGCAGTCCTGCCTCAGCACCGTAAAGTGCTGGAATTACAGGCCTGAGCACTGCACCTGTCTCAAGTCTTATAATAATTTGAAATGAAAACAAAAGCCATCCATCTGGTAATTCATACATAGTGTATTCTTGGGGTGAGTGGTATATCTTGTCTTTTAAGTAAATCAGTCCTGCTAAAATCTGAGTAATTCGTAGTTCTTTAGTAATAATATGGGAACGAGTGCTTTACACCTTTTTATCTAAACAGAATGGTGAAGTTTGTTAAAATACCACATTAGATTAGGTAGTCTTTGGGTCATAATTAAGATTCCAATCTATTTTCTTAACTGCTATTCCAAATGTTAAATTCATATTTAAAAGATAGATTGTTTATACACTAATAGTGATAGAGAAGTATGGAAAAAAATGCAGAAATTTAAAAGTCTGTAGTTCATACCATCCCTGCCCCTAACTTCAATCTGACTTGTTGAAACAACACATTTTATGGGTTGATGTTTTACTTACACTTTCACATTTTTTGACTTTTTATTAAGTATAGATAAAAAGACTTATAAGAACCTTATAAGAAATTCTTGTAATTCTTATAAGGTTCTTAGAAGTCTTTTTATCATCTTTATCTTTTAAGTCTTCCCCCGCAACTTAGGGGGATATGGATGTCTATGAAAGCATATATAATTCATAAATAGGAATATGGGCTCCTAGAATAAGTAATATTTAATTATTAGTGAAAAGCACCATTTTGAGAGGTTTTTTGTGTTTGTTTGAGACTGAGTCTCGCTCTTCTACTGCCCATGCTGGAGTGCAGTGGCGTGATCTCCACTCACTGCAGCCTCCACCTCCTAGGTTTAAGCAATTCTCAGCCTCCTGAGTGGCTGAAATTACAGGCGTGTGCCACCATGCCCAGCTAATATTTGTGTGTGTGTGTTTTTAGTAGAGATGCGGTGTCACTATGTTGGTCAGGCTGGTCTCGAACTCTTTACCTCAAATAGTCCACCCACCTTGGCCTCCCAAAGTGCTGGGATTACAGGCTTGTGCCACCACACCTGTCCCATTTTGAGAGAATTTTTGAAGTTGTAAATGAGGTCATTGATACCAGAATTTATCTATTAGTCTTTTTCCCTTTTCTTTTGTTTTTTTTTTTTTTAATTTTAAGGCCACAGTTATAGTACTAATTGAAGGTAATTTTTCTTTTCTATATTGTATGAAATAGTCCAACAAGAATGTAAGTTGACATTTTTACAAAGTCCTACATTACTAATAATGACTTTTCCCCGGTTTTATGTTTTATTTTAACATGAAAGCAACTCTAGGGCAGGACTTGATAAAAACACATATTGAAGGTACCTGTAAGAATACCATGACTTGTTAATCAGATACATTATAATGAATGCATTTTTTCTCAAGGATAAGAAAAATGAGCATTGATGTGTCTTTGTGTGTGTAGTGTGTGTGTGTGTGTGTGTGTGTGTGTGTGTGTGTATATATATATATATATATATATATATATATATTTTTTTTTTTTTTTTTTTTTTTTTTTTAACTGTTTTCCTTTTCCTAACTCCCTTGGCTTATTGGGAAGTATTATACCTAACCCGTTTCTTCTACCTCTGTTTTTCTACCTATTTCCTTTCCTCTGTACAGGTGAGTATAAAAAACAACAGAGGCCGGACATGGTTGACTTAGACCTGTAATCCCAGCACTTTGGGAGGGCAAAATAGGAGGATAGCCTGAGCCCAGGAGTTCGAGACCAGCCTTACCAACATGGCGAAATCTTGTCTCCATAAAAAATACAAACATTAGCCAGGCATAGTGGTGCACACTTGTAGTCCCAGCTGCTCAAGGTGGGAGAATCACCTGAGCCTAGGGAGATCAAGGCTACAGTGAGCTGTGGTTGTGCCACTGCACTCCAGCCTGGGTGACAGAGCCAGACCCTGTCATCTCAAAAACAAAAACAAGAGAGTACTAAACTGTTCTTATTTTTTGGGCACAGCAGTATAGAATTGGAAGTGGCTACATTAGGTATTAATGCCTAACTGTTGGTTTTCATTTTGCTTTTTCTGGAAATGCAGCTATATAAGAAATAAATACATAGGATAGGACAGACTAGATTTAAACTTTTATGTTTATATTTTGCTTCGCTTCTTTAATAGGGATGTGATTATATTCCCTTGTTTTTCTGTCATTTATCTAACCTATGTGTTTTTTAGTAGCAAAGATAAAATTTCAGATATATTAATGTACATTTATAATATTCTTTTCCTTTTGAAAATTTTTTTTAAATTTGTATATTTTTAATGTGTTCATGTAAAAACAAGTTACTATATTTTTTTTCTTCATTTGCTAGGATTAAATTGGTATTTTAGTTGCATACTCCACATGATAGGAGTATAAGAATTGATATAGGAATTTGGGGATTTTGTAAATTATGCTTTGCTTACAGTTAGTTCCAAATATTTCATTCCTTTTATAATAAGGATAAATAATATTAGACATGAATCTCATTTTATTCTAAATTGAGGGCTTATATAATTTCATTCTCGAGTAATTGATGTTAATAGCTTTTTGGAGTTTTCATGAACTATGGAGAAGGGTGGAACTTTTATACATTGGACTTGTGATAAGAAGCCAAGATTTTAAATTATAGGCTTTTCCTTGTGTCCCAAATCATATACCATATTTAATCTAAGACTTTTGTGCAAAAATTTCAGCCTTAAAAAATTTTTTTTCTTACTCCAAAGGAAATAATCATACCTGATATTAGGATCAGTCTGGAACCAGTAAAAATTTTATAACTTCTAGGAAATGCTATTGTTTCTTGAAGACTATTTCTGTAACAACAGTAGTCTCCTCCTTATTTGTGGTTTGATTTAACCATTCCCTTATTAGTAGATACTGAAGTTGTTTCTGAATTTGCTATGATAACATTATTGAATTTTTCAGATATTGAGAATTATGTCCAGGTGAGGGAAGTACATACTATTTATAAAAGTACAAAGGAGGTACCATGGCATTAAACATGAAAGGACAAGCTAACTCTTCTGCTATGTAGCAACACTCTCGGGCATATAATAAAACCAGGTGTAGTATACAGAGCAAAAAACCCATGTGCTCACAAAAACATTTGCTCGTCTTCTGGCAATGTAATCAGAAAGTGTGGTTGACACCCATTTTATTTATGAAATGTTTTTACCAATGCTTCATTTTGGTATATTGGATTCGGTACTATCATCAGTTTCAGGCACCCATTGGGGGTCTTGGAAAGGATCGTTAGAGAATAGCAGGGAATATTGTATTCTAACATATCTTCAAGTATTTGATAGTTAAAGCCCTTTTAAGATTTTTTTATATTTTTGTGTATTCATCTTCCTGTTTGTTTATTTTGTATATTGACAGAAATCGAAAAACAATTTAGACATGACTCAAAACATAGTATATTATATATATATAATGTATTTAAAACAAGTTGATCACAGTATAATTTTGCCTTAATGACTATAGTTACTGCAACTACAGTGATATATCAACAATGAGGTCTTGCCTCTTATATTTTTTTTCTTTTTCATGTTTTAAGCAGTCTGGACCGAAAAGAAAGGTAAGCTTAATATTGAAGAAATTAGAGCATGGATATAGTGGTAAAATATAAAATTATTTATATGTTTTGAAAAATATTGGTTGAATTAGAGTTTATAATTAAAGCTTTTTTTAATTTTAAAGTTTTAGTTGACATGTAATAATTGTACATATTTATAGGATACAGAGTAATATATCAATACAGGTATACAATGTGTATGATCAGATCAGGGTAATTAGTATATCCATCACCTCAAACATTTTTTGTTCCTTTGTGTTGTCAGCATTCAAAGTCCCTTTTTCTGGCTTTTTGAAAACATAAAATAAATTATAGTTAACCATATTCACCCTATAGTGCCACAGAAAGTGAGAACTCATTCTTCCTGTCTAGCTGTAATTTTGTATTTGTGAACCCACCTCCCTCCATCCTCTCCTCCCCTACCCTTCCCAGCCTACAGTATCCACAGTTCTACTCTCTATAATAAAAGGAAACTTGTTGACAGTACAACATGGTATTTGGCTTATATAGGTGGTATTTGAGGCTCATTCTGAATGTACATTTTTCTATAATGGTTATATATATTTATGCTAATAAGTGACTCCTTTCTTTTAAAATAGAATATTTCAGTGCTTTAGTAGTAAAATTGCTTTCAGTTACATCATCAAAATCTTTATCATTATATTTTAGTGATAATACCCTTGTTTTTATGCTTTAATAGACTGGGGGAGGGAGAGGGAAATGTATTAAACACCTTAAGCTTAGAGTTAAAACTTTAAACATCAAGTGTATTCTCTTCTGACTGAAAGGTTTGTAAGAGAATTTTGTGATCAGTCTTCTATCATTATTTGTTCTCTTTGTAAGAACACTGGCAGACACATGTTGTTCTTTTAGAGGATATTTGAATGGTATAAATGGCATGGAAAAGTGTTTAAGAAAACACACACATTTCTTTGAACATTTCAAAGTAAAATGATCATAATTGTTCTAAAGTGGGTATCCATAAGAGTAGCTGGACTGGGCAAGGTGGCTCACACCTATAATCTTAGTACTTTGGGAGGGCAAAGCGGGAGTATCTCTTGAGCCCAGGAGTTCCAGACTAGCCTTGGCAACATAGGAAGGCCCTGTCTCTACAAAAAAATAAAATAATTGGCCTGGAGTAGGTAGTAAGACAGTAAACAAACTGGAAAGTCCAGCTATTTTTAATTTCCAACCAAACTGTTGAATCAATTAAAAAAAAAAACGAGTCTATAGTGCCTTTCAAATGCCTGAATTTTGACATTTGTACATCAGCTGATGGATTAATATTTTGAATTGCTATGTGATGGCTCTGCATGGGCATGGTGGCCAGTGCTTCAGTTTTGACAGCATTACCATCCTTGGTGATGACATGGACAGCAATGTTTCTACAATTGTTTGAAATGGTAAATATATTTTTGATTACATGCTGCCTTTTAGGCATACGCTTTTATTCATTCCAAGTATTTATCGAACCTGCTGTTACAGGATACAGTGCATCCTGCATAAGGATACAGTGATGAACAAAGCAGACAAGATCCCCGCAGTCCTGTAGTTTACATTCTTATGGGACAAAGACTAATACTGAACAAGTAAAACATGAAATAATAATTTCCATGTAGAGAAGTGTAATGGGTTGATGTGATAGACTGACAGTATGATTTCTTTAAATCGCATATTCAGGGAAACTCTTTACTATGAAGCTAACATTTAACTAAAGACTAAATGGGGAATTGGCAGTGCCACGATCATAAGAATGGCTTTTCCAGATAGGGAAGAGGTTGTGCTAAGTTACTAATCCAGGAATGAGTTTGGCATGTCAAAGAACAGAAAAAAGGGGCCACTAAGGCTGGAGCTTAGAGAGGAAAGGAGACAATGTTATGAGACGGGTTTGGAGAGACTGGCTGGGACCTACGTCATAAAAGGTTTTTGTAAGGTGATCTGAAGCATTTGGATTTTATATTAGTGCGATAGAAGCTTTCAGAGCATTTGAGATAGGGAAGTATTGTTACCTGATAAATATTTGAGATTTTTAAACACAGTCTTTTGCATGTGATTTATAATTTGGCATAAATAGAAGTTTAAATCAGTGGCAATCAGTTAAGGCTGGGCAAGTTCCTCTCTAAATGGAGGTGTGTTACAAAGGAAAATCAGTAATAGTCTGTAAGTACTCAAAACTATCTCAGCAAGGTCTAGGAGTTGGGGAGGTAGAAAGACAGAGGTAAAACCAATCTTTTTGGTGGGGGAGGTGGGGATTGGAAGGGTTAAGGTGGAAAAATAAAAAGATTTTGAAGGTCTCATCCCATTAGGGATATAATATAATTTGCTTGAGGAAATCATTTGAATCTTGGTAACTGTAATAAGCATTGAGAGGGAAGGTAACTATATTCATTTGTTAAATTCAGTAAGGAAGCAAAAGAGTATGTTGTGCAAACAGTGTTGTATAAAAATAGGAGAAAAGAGGAAACAAAATGAAATAATAAACATAAATAGAAATATAAAAAGTAATAGAGTAAAATGAAAACAAGTCCTATCAGTAGTTATAATAACTGTAGTCAGTATATTTAACAAAAGACATGCTGATTTGATTAAACCCAGCTATACTACATTGTTTACAAGCATCATACTAAAATAACAATGTGAAAGTAAGTTTAAAGCCACAAGAGATGCAAACAAAAAGAAAGCATGAGTGGAATTTTAATTACAAGGGAGATGGAGTTAAGGATTAAAAGCAGTAGACAGGATAAAGGAGCACATTTTGTAATAGGCACAGTTTATGGGAACATAACAAATAAATGTAAAGCCTCCCCTAAAATAGTTAAAATTCAAGAAATTCAACATGGTAAAACCCCGCCTCTATTAAAAATACAAAAATTAGCCGGGTGTGATGGCATGCGCCTGTAATCCCAGCTACTCGGGAGGTTGAGACATGAGAATTGCTTGAACCTGGGAGGCGAAGGTTGCAGTAAGCCAAGATAGTGCCACTGCA
Organism: Homo sapiens; assembly: GCF_000001405.40. Classification (NCBI taxonomy): domain Eukaryota; kingdom Metazoa; phylum Chordata; class Mammalia; order Primates; family Hominidae; genus Homo; species Homo sapiens. The sequence goes on from NC_000006.12 coordinate 75,643,688, forward strand.
CTCCAGCCTGGGTGACAGCAAGGCGCCATCTCAAAAAAATGAAAACAATAGAATACAATTGTGGGAGACTTTAATACATCTTGAAAATTAAACTGGTTTATCAGTTAAATAGGAATAATGAATTTTAACTGTAAAATAAATAAGACTTGATTCATTTTCATAGAAATGTATGTATTTGGCCATCTTTTATAATAATGGAAAAATTAATAAAAAGAGCTATCATTAAAGCAAGGCAAACAACAATAACAAAAAGAGAAATGGTGTCCAGATCCTGGTTTCTAAATACCACTCTCCACTAAAAGGAATTTGGAGAAATGGCTGATTCTGGGGTTGTGATAGGTAAGACACAGAATGAGTATGGTATCAGAAACCTAGAAAATGTTCAAAAAATTAAGAGTGCCCACTTCAAAAGCACCTGTACTAAAATTGGAACAATAGAGAGATGATTAGCATGGATGACACACGAATTAGTAAAGCATTTCATATTCTTGTAAACTGTGTATGTTTTATCACAGTAAAAAAGAAAAAAAAAACACCAAAAGGATGTAGTTACATCAAAGGGAAACGGGAGCCAACTAAAAGGGCTCCCAAATGCCCAAACTGATAACAATTGGATTATAACTTAGACCGAGGGACACTCTATGAAATACCTGACGAGTTCTCTCTAAATACTGAAAAACACAAGAGAGGAGACTAAGGAGACATGATGACTTAATGCATTGTATCCTAGATTGGATCCTGGAACAAAAATGGGGTATTAGTAAATAGCTGGTAAATTTCTTTCTTTCTTTTTTTTTTTTTTGTTTTCTTTTTCTTTGAGACAGTCTGGCTCTGTCGCCTAGGCTAGAGGGCAATGGTGCAACCTTGGCTCACTGCAACCTCTGCCTCTCAGGTTCAAGCAATTCTTGTGCCTCAGCCTCCTGAGTAGCTGGGATTACAGGCATGTACCACCATGCCTGGCTGATTTTTGTATTTTTAGTAGAGACGGTGTTTCGCCATGTTGGCCAGTCTGGCCGCGAACTCCTGGCCTCAAGTGATCTGACGGCCTTGGCCTCCCAAAGTGTTGGGATTACAGGCATGAGCCACCTTGCCCAGCCGGTAAATTTCTAAGGCTAGAATTTAGTTCGTAATAGTGTACCAGTGTTGGTTTCTTTTTTGACGTGTGATGGCAATATTAAGGTGTTGACATTAGGGTAAGAGATATAAGGGTATTCTGAATTGTCTTCGTAACTTTTCTGCAAATCTAAAATTATTTCAAACTTAGTTTACTACAAAAAATAGACTTTCACCACTGAGGCTTATCGAACTTTTAATGAACAGAGCATTCTGATGTTATTTAAACAATTCAGGATAGAGAAATAAATGCTCTCTAGTTCATTTTAAACAGCTTGTAAAAATCTTGGGTTTATGAAATGGGACCTCTGAAGCTACACAAACGCAAACCCTAAGAAGCAAAAATGCTACCCACCTACACAGGAAGACAGCAGATGACAGTAGAGCTTCTCTGCCTCTGGTTGGTTAGGGGTAGAAAAGAAATAGCCACTTTGAGATTAAATCCTAGGCTTGATTTTCAATGAGTTTGGAATTTGAAATTTATACCTGCAAGAGTAATGGAATCCTCAAATTAAGAAATTAATGTAAATGCTGGCCAGGTGTGGTGGTTTATGCCTGTAATCTCAGCACTTTGGGAGGCCGAGGCAGGCAGATCACTTGAGGCCAGGAGTTCGAGGCCAGCCTGGCTGACATGGTGAAACACCATCTCTACTAAAAATAACAAAAATTAGCACAGCATGGTGGCGCACACGTGTAATCCCAGCTACTCAGGAGGCTGAGGCATGGGAATCACTTGAACCCGGGAGGCAGAGGTTGCAGTGAGCCAAGATTGCGCACGCTACTGTTCTCCAGCCTGGTGACAGAGCCAGACTCTGTCTCAAAGAAAGAAAGAAATTAATGTAAATTTTCATTTTAGATCATCTAGCAAAAAGGTTTTAAAACTGAATTTTGGAGAAAATAATATATGGCTAGGTAGTTTATCAAACATTTTTATCTTGAAATGTTTATATTCTTGTATTTAAGATACTCTGTTTCTTTATTATAATTTTTAAAAAACAGAACTTTAATTTGCCCTGCTTTTATAGGAAAAAATATAGCAAATATTGAAAACAGTGGCCATAAATTCTGGAAATACAGGGAAGTATACACATTAGTTTAATGTTACAATACTTGGTAAGATTGTAGCTATCATATGATGTATTCAGCATGTTGTCCCTCATTAGCAAAGATGGCTCAGTACACAAGTTCAAATTGCAAGAGCACTGCATTAATATAACAGTTTCATCAATCTCTATACATGCATGTATGATTTACTGTCTCAGATGATTTATGTCAATTGTTTTTACTAAATCTAGGTAAACCTGGATTTGGAAATAAGACTATATTATATTCTCTTTAGTGTGAAAGTGTATGGAATTTGAAAATATGCATTTTATTTTAATCCCAAGTTAGGAACTAAAAACCTACCTTCTTTCTTATAAGACTGTTACTACTACATCTCAGGCAAATTCTCATTTTCATAATGCATATCTTCACAAATTTCAAATTTTTCAGTGTGGAAATTGCCCAGTTTTACCAGATGTTGCTCTGCTTGATATTGGTGCAATTTGCTGGGATTCAGATTCTGGCATTGCTATTTAATAATTGTGTGACCATGGACAAGTTGATTAACCTTATTGCATTTCAATTTTTTCATGTATAAAGTATTAATATGTTATATAAGTTTATTGTGAGGATTAAAGGAATTAATAAATACAAAGCACACATGGCACATGATGCTATTTTCTGACTGCTATTATAAGTACACTACTGTCAGCCGGGCGCGGTGGCTCACGCCTGTAATCCCAGCACTTTGGGAGGCTGAGACAGGCAGATCACGAGGTCAGGAGATCAAGACCATCCTGGCTAACACAGTGAAAGCCCATCTCTACTAAAAATACAAAAAATTAGCTGGGCGTGGTGGTGGGCGCCTGTAGTCCTAGCTACTCGGGAGGCTGAGGCAGGAGAATGGCATGAACCTGGGAGGCGGAGCTTGCAGTGAGCCGAGGTCATGCCACTGCACTCCAGCCTGGGCGACAGAGCGAGACTCCGTCTCAAAAAAAAAAAAAAAAGTAAGTACACTACTATCTCCACCCATATTACTTTTTCTTTTGTTATTTTCATATTTTGTTTTCAGTTCAAGTGCCTTGACTTTTTGTAATATAAGAATTTGAAATTCTTGCAAGAAAATTTCTTTGGAACTTTTGTTTGAGTAAAATGATTTTAATGAAATGAAAGCTATGATTTACATTACTAGATCACCAGTGTGAATAGAATTACAAATAAATAGCCTCTTTTATTTTTATGTGGTTTATTTAGAGTAGGAAAGTAGCTATTGTAGCTCCCTGGTCTGTTGCACTTTTTGTAGTTCCCCTTCTGTGATGCGCTTTTATACAATTAGCTATAAGGTTTTTGCTTTTTTTCCCCCCAAATTTTGCTTTTTTCCCCCAAAATTAGTGTTGTGTTTAAATAGATACAGTATTTGGATGTAGTATTTAGATATAGTACTTAGTTACTAAGGATTATGTTTAAAATCCTTGATATTGTGTGTATTTGAAGTTTAAGAGAGGAATTTAATACTTTACAACAAACATACTTTATAGCCCCTGACATAATGTAATCATACTACAAGACTAAATACTTGTTCCACGATTGCTGATCTTGTACGTAACGTTTTTTGTTCTGATTTTGGAATTGTCCTCAAGACAATCTCATTCAACATTTATTCCTTTATTTATTAATTTGTTTTTAAACAACTAAAAAATACAGTAAAATTTTACAAATTGAGTTTCATTTATTGGTATAGTTTTGTTATTTTATAGTATCACTTTTTATATGGCAAAGAAGCTATGATTTGCTTTTAATAGGCTTATTGTAAGTATGCCATTAACTTTTTCATTTTGAAAACTGTATTTCCTGTTAGAATAAAACTACATAAATTTCTTTTTTAGGAAAGAATACCCACCTCATGTCCAAAAAGTTGAAATTAATCCTGTAAGGTTAAGTCGGCTCCAAGGTGTTGGTAAGTGTGCAGTTTTGTTACACCTGTGAAGGATTTCAAATTGCTGTATGAAAAGTACAATGGAGATACGATGCTGGCTTTAGAATATTCCCAGGTATAATAGATATATATGTAGAAAACCATTTTTTTGTAACTGATTTGAGAATTTCTTCAATGGTAACCTGATACCTGGAACAGTTGCACAGTTAGGTGATTACAGTTTGAAATCTTTTGATTATTTTAGCATTTTTGCTATGTTACAAATTTGCAAATAGTGTAACTGTAGTTGAGCTATAGCTTTGAAATTGAGTTTTATTGAACTATGTTATAATGTATTATGTAATTGTGTTTCCACTTACTGGTTTTGCTTCTAAAATTTAGAATACATTAGGGAAACACTCAATTAAAAAGAGACCACACCTGCTAAAACTGTGTTAATAGTAGATACTGGAAAATCATGGTGAGTAAGTATTTATATTCATATTGAAATATTTTTCAATATACTGGTTATTAATCCAAAAAATAAAATAAGGGCAAATAACATTTATAAAAAATATATCATCATAAAATCAGTTTTCATTATCTGGAATAATGATTCTTAATGTGTGTCCATCTTGTTTTTCTGAGGCCTTTGTTTGTTTAAATAGCTCTGATGGCTCTTACTTCCAAAATAGAATAATTTTTAAAAGCTAGGTTTTTCTGATAGCTTAGAATGTGCTTTTAAAAAACACCCACATTTTTTTTTCTACTTTGGGTGAAAATCTTTTGTGCATGTATTGAACATTTCTCTATTTCATAAAGAGAATATTCCAAACATTTCATCCTTTCTTAATAATGAACAGTCTTTATAGATGTGAATTATTATACTTTACATACTAAGCATAGTTAAGCTTACTAAGTTTATTAAGTTTAGTAATAGTGACTACTCTCTTCAGCATTTATTCTGTTATACCTTAAATGTTTATTGAGCTCTTACTCTGCTATATGCTTAGTCCAGTGCTTTGCATTCATTATTTACTTTTATCCTAGCTTTCTGTTGAAGATCCCTATAAGCTAAAAAACTTCCTCAAGGACATAGGGCTAGTAAATGACAGAGCTGGTATTGGAACCCATGTCTGTTTGATGCCAAATCCCACTCTTAAACACTGTACATTACTATATTCTTGCTCTGTCACAAAGAAGGTTACTACTAATCCTCAGAACTGTACAAAAGGTATTATTTTTATTTTAACAAATGCATTTCTGGCCTGGTATGGTGGCTCACACCTATAATCCCAGCACTTTACGATGTCGATGCAGGCAATCACCTGAGGTCAGGAATTCGAGACCAGCCTGGCCAACATGGCAAAACCCCATCGCTACTGGAAAAAAAAAAAATACAAAAATTAGCTGGGCATGATGGCACATACCTATAATCCCAGCTACTCGGAAGGCTGAGACACAAGAATCGCTTGAACCCAGGAGGCAGAGGTTGCAGTGAGCCGAGATCGCATCACTACGCTCCAGCCTGGGTGACAGAGTGAGACTTGGTCTCAAAAGTGAAAAAAAAAGCATTTCAAAGATGTTAAGTGATTTGGCCCACTAATAATGGTTTTAGATGCCTATCAGCCAGGCTTGTTACCAATAATTTTTAAAGTTTATTCAACAGCATTCATTAAGTAAATAAGCATATTCAAGTTAAGAGAAAAAAGAGCATGCTTATTTACTGTTCTTTTAACTTGGGTTTTGTTTGTTTGTTTGTTGTTGTTGTTTTTTGAGATGGGGTCTCACTCTGTAGCCCAGGCTGGAAGGCAGTGGTGTGATCTCAGCTCATTGCAACCTCCGCCTCCCGGGTTCAAATAATTCTCTGCCTCAGCCTCCCGAGTAGCTGGGATTACAGGCGCCTGCCACCAAGCCCAGCTAATTTTTGTATTGTTAATAGAGACGAAGTTTCACCATGTTGGCCAGACTGGTCTCAAACTCCTGACCTCGTGATCCACCCACCTCGGCCTCCCAAAGTGCTGGGATTACACGCGTCAGCCACCGCGCCTGGCCCTTAACCTATTATTTTGAAATAATTTTAGACTTAGAGAAAATTTGCAAATTTAATACAGAGACATACGTTTATTTTTTCACACAGCTTCCCTTAATGTTAGTATTTTATAATCCTCGTACACTTAGCAAAACTAAGAAATTGGTATAAGATTCTTAACTAAGCTGTAGAACTTATTTAGATTTCACTAGCTTTTCACTAATATCCTTTTTCTGTTCCACGATTCATTCTGTGATCCCACATAGCATTTGTCATGTTCTCTTAGTTTCCTTAACGATTTTGAAGACTAGTCAGTTGCTTTGTATAATGCCTCTCAATTTGGTGATGATGATGTCTTAGGATTAGATTAAGGCTATGCATTTGGGGCAAGACTTCCACAGAAATGATGTTGTGGCATTCTCAGTGCATCATTTTAGGGGTTACATGATGTTGAATATGTCTTAGGATTGGTAGTGTTAACCATGATCATTTGGTTAAGATACTCTCTGCTGGGTTTTTTCACTGTAAAATTACCGTTTTTCCCTTGGTGCTTAATAAAGATTTTAGAAGAGATATACTCTGAAACTGTGCAAATACCCTGTTTTTCTTCAAACTTTCACCCACTGATTTTAGCATCCATTGGTGGGTCTTGCTGGCATCAGTTACTGCTTAATGTTTGTCTAATGTTGATTTTCTGTTTTCTTCATTTCTTTTACATTTATTGATTGGAAATCGTCTGTAGGGAAGATCTGTACCTTCCTGATATATTTATTGATGATTATTAATTATTTATAGCTGTGGACTCATTATTAATAAATGAGGGTTTTATGAGTAATACTTGTAAACCTTAGGAGAGGAATGTTGATGTATTTAACTTGTAAACTTTGTTTTCAGCTTCTTTTGTGTTAGGTAGGTACATGTATGCTTGGGTGTAGGATAAATAGCAATGCTATAATAATACTGTATATATTGTTATATGAAGATTGCATTTTATTTCAAGATTTCCTTTGGAGATAACTTTTAAAACATTGAGATTTCAAACCACAAGATCACTAATTACTTGCATAACACTTAGCATAATTTTCTCCTAAACGATATCATGGTCTTTCTATAGTTAACACTCAAGGTGATTTTCTTTATTGTTCTCTTTGCCTTCTTTATTTTGAATTTGAGGCACTTAGTATATTTTTTTATAAGTTATAGCCACATATCAGTACTTACCAGCATGATAAGCAGTTCTTTACTATAAAATTAAAGTTTGTAAACCATTAAGTGTAATTTTTGGTCAGACCACAAGTCCTGTTGCTTTTTTATTTAGTTGCTTTAAAAATTTTTTCTAAACATACAGAATAACAACCGTTAAGATCTCATTTTTCTCTCCACCTACTCTCTCATTTGTTTCTTAAACTCCCTTTTTTTTCAGCCTGTTTTTTGTATCCTTGTTAGAGAGAACAGACATATATTGTCCCTGAATGTACATTTAATTATATTCTTCATGTAATTACATTATGTAATTACAACTCAATCACCTAATTTAGCACTGCTTAACACATGTTAACTTTTGCTTTTTGTTCGTTTTTGAGACAGGGTCTTGCTCTATTACCCAGGCTTGGAGTACAGTGACATGATTATGGCTCACTGCAGCCTCGACCTCCTAGTCTTACATCATTCTCCCACCTCCACCAAGTAGCTGGGACTGCAGGCGCATGCTGCCACATCCAGCTAATTTTTTGTATTTTTTATAGAGATAAGGTTTCACCGTGTTGCCCAGTTTGCTGTCAGGCTTCTGGGCTCCAGCGATCTGCTCGCCTCAGCCTCCCAAAGTGCTGGGATTACAGGTTTGGGCCACTGCTCTGGCCACATATTAACTTTCAACCAGTCATGGTAGCTGTTGTTAATATTTTAATATATAACTCTCCAGATCTTTTCTATGCACATATACTCATTTTTAAATTGATACATAATATTCATACTGTATGTACTGTTCTGTATGTAACTTGCTTTCTGACTTTATGATATCTAGTTTTTACACTCTCATTAAAAGATGACAGACATGGAACCAGCATGGAAAACACAATTAAAGGAAGTTTAAGAATCAAATGCACCAGCTATGGTAGTTCACACCTGTAATCCCAGCATTTGGGGAGGCCAAGGCAGGAGGATCGCTTGAGCCCAGGAGTTTGAGACCAGCCTGGGCAACATGGTGAAACCCTAACTCTCCAAAAAAATATAAAAATTAGCCGGGTATAGTGGCGTGTGCCTGTAGTCCCATCTGCTTGGGAGGCTGAGGCAGGAGGATCACTTGAGCCCAGCAGGTCAAGATTGCAGTGAGCCACAATCGCGCCACTGTCCTCCAACCTGGGCAACAGAGTGAGACCATATCTCAGAAAAATAAAAAGAATCAAATGGATTCTTAAATTTATGGAGGACTTCCTTACAACTTTTTTTTGACCTCGTGATCCGCCTGCCTCAGCCTCCCAAAGTGCTGGGATTACAGGCATGAGCCACCACGCCCAGCTGCAAATTTTTATATCCAAGTTTCTATAATCTTTTTTTTTAAATAAATGTGCAGTGGCCCACTATGTTTATGTGGCATAATTTGTTTTCAATGTTTTGACATTTAAAATATTATTACTGTACTGGTACGTGCTTTTTATATATTTGATCTATTTCTTTGCATCAGATCCCTAGAAATAAAATTTGGGGGACAAATGATATACAGATTTTTAAGACTTGATACGTTAATGCCAAAATGCCTTGTGTGGCCAGGCGCGGTGGCTCACGCCTGTAATCCTGGCACTTTGGGAGGCCGAGGCAGGTGGATCGCTTGAGGTCAGGAGTTTGAAACCAGTCTGGCCAACATGGTGAAATCCCATCTCTACTAAAAATCTCAAAAAAAAAAAAAAAAAAAAGAAAAAGAAAAAAAATGCCTTGTGTAAAGATGGTTAGCTCCCAACACAGTATTATTTGAGTTGGCCTATTTTCTCCTGCTTTTCAGCAACATTAGATTATTATCATTCTTTTAGTTTTTGCCAGTCTGATCAAAATGTTTTTCTTATATTTTCTTCATAACTGGTGAGATATCTTACTTACATGATTAATGGCCATTTGAATTTATTTTATTTATGTCTGCCCATTTATTTATGTGTCCTTTGCCTGTTTCTTACTTATTTAGCAACTCTTTGTTATCTTTGATGTATATATCTTTCCATTTTGTGGTTTTTCTGTTACTTTTTTCTTTTCTTTTTTTTCTTTTTTGACGGAGTTTCGCTCTTGTTGCCCAAGCTGGTGTGCAATGGCGCAATCTCAGCTCACCGCAACCTCCACCTCCCGGGTTCAAGCGATTTTCCTGCCTCACCCTCCCGAATAGCTGGGATTACAGGCCTGGGCCAGTCTGCCTGGCTAATTTTGTATTTTTTAGAGGAGGCAGGGTTTCTCCATGTTGGTCAGTCTGGTCTCGAACTCCCAACCTGAGGTGATCCCCCCGCCTCGGCCTCCCAAAGTGGCGGGATTACAGGCATGAGCCACTGTGCCTGGCCTTACTTTTTTCTAATGTTGTCAAATAGTACATTGTAGTTGAATCTGTTGTTAAAGTTGGGTTTCCTTAGTATTGTATTTAGTAAAGCTTTTCCAACCCTGGGATTTTAAAAATATTCACCTTTATTTTCCAAAAGTCCTTGTAGATTTATTTTTATTTATTTACATGTTTTTACATGTACATCATTTTTATTTAACAGCATTATTTTATTAATTAACCTTGTTTTCCCTCAATGCGTTTGGGTGAATGTCAGGAATGCCTACTGAAGTATTTAATAAATTGCTCTAGGAATCAATTTCAACATTTTTTCTCATGTTTTTGGAATGTTGTGTTTTTTTTTTTTAACTAGTTTATTTTGCAAATATATTTGTAAGTTTTCCACTGATATCTTAAAGTTAGGTATGATTATTAATTCAAGCTGGCCTTGTGCCCCTATAAAATGACAGTGTCTGTTCTTGGGAAACTCCACGGCTAGATAGACTACAAACTTGTAAACATACTGTTGTAGAGTCAGAAAGTAGTATGTAAAAGCCAATTTAAAATGTGGTATCATAAAGGAGTGGTCACTGCCCTTTTCTGGAGTTTTAATTAAATCTTCACACACAAAGATGAGGCCAAGCATGGTGGCTCACACCTGTAATCCCAGCACTTTGGGAGGCCAGGGTGGGAGGATCACTTGAGCCCAGGCATTCAAGACCAGACTGGCCAGCATAGTGAGACCCTGTCTCTATAAAATAAAAAAAAATTAGCCAGGTGTGGTTATGAGCACCTGTAGTCCCAGCTACTCAAGAGGCAGAGGTGAGGGGATCATTTGAGCCCGTCAGGTGAAGGCTGCAGTGAGCACAGGTTGAGGCACTGTGATCACGCCTCTGCACTCCAGCCTGGGCTACAGAGTGAGACCCTATCTCAAAAACAAAGCAAAACATAAGTAAAGCTGAGTTTTGAATCACTGGAATTTGACATACCAAGTCGAGGAGGAAAAGCTTTGCACCTAATGAGGATGGAATGCAAAGGCACAACAGGTGAAAGAGTCTCATCTTATTTGAACAAATAATGTATTTGATTGGAGAATGGGTAGAGGATAGCCAGAGTTGAAGCCATAGAAGTAGGTAGAGGTAGATTGTCATGCTAAAGAGTTTTTACAAAATCCTGTATGCCAAAAGTATAGTATTTAGCCAGAAGTGATTTTTAAAGAAGATAATGAGAATGTGATAGATACATGACTTTAGTTTTATTTTACACTGAAAATCAGTAGCAGCTACATGATGGAGAAAACCATTTTTCTAGTTTGTCTTTCTCTTTTGAAAAATTATAAAAAATAATGTAAAAGCAAATACATAATCATTATAAAGATAACAGTTTGTATTCTATCACTGTCGTCTGGGTACTTATTTTTCAGCGTATTAGTAGTATCACAACTAAAATCTCAAATAAGAAAGTTAAGCCTCTTCCTTACCCTGCTTCTCCCACAACTTCTATTATGAAAATGTTTATGCAGAAAAGTTGAGACTTCTACAGTGAACATGTGTATATCTATGTGGTAGATAGATATAATTAACACTTTTCTGTTCTTGTTTTATGACATGTCCATCTAGTCATCCCTTACTACGTTAATTCATCTTATTTTTTGATGCATTTTAAAGTCGATTGTAGACGCCTGGTATACTTCTAAACACTTCAGTGGGCATATTATTAACTAGAGTTCAATATTTGTTTACAGTTTATTTTCTTTTGAGGGCTTGTTTGGAGGTTCTAGCAGGGGAGCACAGCTACTTGTATACCCTTGAACCAAGATCGGTCCTCCTCTATTGGGGATGGTCGTCCTCTTTCACCCAGTGTGCAGCTTTGGAAGGGATGCGCATGGAGCGATGAGGGAGGAAGTGGACACCCACCTAGCCAGCCAGATCAGCCCAGTTACCCCTGGCGATCAATGGGGTGACAGATGTCGCAGCCAGATCACCCTCACATTCTTTCTTTTGAAATAAAATTTACTACAATGAAATACATAAATCTTAAGTATATAAAATTTGAAAACTACATATCCCTTTCTAACCAAAATCCCCATGAAGACATAGTAGAAATGGTATCAGCACCTTAGGAAAGTTCCCTCATGTTCTTTCACAGTTAGTCCCTACCTCTTCCCCCTCAAATGTAACCATTGTTCTGATTTTTCCTAGCATAGATTAATTTTACCTGTTCTAGGACTTCATGTAAATGGAGTAATGCACTATATACTCTTATGTGAGGCTTCTTTCATTCAGGATCTTATTTTGAGACTCATCCATCCTGGTGCTTGCATCAATAGTTTGTTTCTTTTTAACATTGCATTGTATGAGTATAACAAGTTATTTATCGATTTTCCTGATAATCGATAATATAAATAATCGATAAACAACACCTGGGTTGTTTCCAGTTTTTGTCTATTAAGAATAAAGCTGCTATGAACATTCTTTTTATGAAGGATCTTTTTTTAACTTGATTTTTTAAATGTCTTCTATTTATATCGAACCTGTATATAGATCACTCTTACCCAGTAATATCTTCCATAGTCTCCCCTTTTGTGCATACCTGGAAATAGTGTAGTGTATTTAAAAAGACATTGAGCTAGGCTGGGCGTGGTGGTTCATGCCTGTAATCCCAGCACTTAGGCCGAGGTGGGTGGATCACCTGAAGCCAGGAGTTCGAGACCAGCCTGGCCAACGTGGCGAAACCCTGTCTCTACTAAAAATACAAAAACTAGCCAGGCATGGTGACGCATGCCTGTAATCCCAGCTACTCAGGAGGCAGAGGCAGGAGAATTGCTTGAACCTGGGAGGCAGAGGTTGAGTGAGCCGAGATTGCGCCACTGCACTCCAGCCTGGGCGACAGAGCAAGACTCCGTCTCAAAAAAAAAAAAAAAAAAAGAATACACATTGAGCTACAAAATCTAGTAGGGAGTATCCTAATCTTCATGTTCCTACCGCAGGGTCTTTGGTAAATACTCTTTATTCTCTTTCTCATCCCTGTAAGAGGGATTCAGCATAATGTCACATGGTTTTTGTCTTAAGTACTTCTCTGGAGTAATCTGTTGAGGATTTGAGGCTACATCAGCCTAGCAAAAATCACTTCTGTGATCAGTTAGCTAGTAAAACTTCCACAGGCCACTTACTAAGTATTTGCCATCCTTGAACCAGTCCAATCTTAAGCTTTTTGCCATTTTATGTTTCTGCTGTAATTTTAGACTAGTTCATTTTTACTTGAGTTACCAAATCTTCTCAAGTGTTTTTCTCTTCTTTCCCTAGAAAATGGAATCCTAATGGAATTTCTTAACCCTGAGGCTAACATTTTTGTGTTTTTTTCTTAACTCTCTATAGATCTAGTTTCCTATAACACTATCAATCATTTACCATTTCTCCTCATGACATTGGTTTCAAAAGTCTCAGCTTAACTTTCTTAATTATGTCATTCCTTCCTTTTTCTCTTTCTTTCAGAGCCTTATAAATAACCTTGATTTAGGTAGGGATCAGAATTTTAATGTCATTTTTCTCTACCTATTATCAATTAAAATTTTGAATTATATCAAAGCTTTGGACATTTGTTTCCCTCTTTGTTATGATGGTAGAGAAAATGTGACATAGACATGATGTTATAGGTATGGTGAAGAGAAGAGTGTGATTACATAATCAGGATGAAATGATATTGTTTTTTTAAATGTCAGTCTCCAGGATGCAGCAGAAAACTAATTAGATACATGTTTGAGCAAAATAATGTGCAAAGATACTGTGTGGCTTAAAAAGATTAATGAAGTATGTTTATAAGGAAAAAGCTTTCCTTTGGGTACATTATCAAATTTAGTAAGGCCAAAAAAGCTTGTAGGGGCTTATGTTTTAAGACTGCTTTACTGTAAATTAAGTTTTTCAAATAATTGGTTGTGTGTTTCAGACAACTGTGTTTATTTTCCGAATTCCAAAATGTCTGCCTTCTTTTTATAGTGTCACATCATAGCTCTTCAACAAAGTAACTTAGCCTTCATAAAAATAATACCTGGATGCTCTGGACTGGAGCAGCTGCTCTGTAACCTCAGATTTTAGATCTCGGGAGAAAAAAAGCACTTTTTAGTTACTCTCTGGCCAGAGGCTAAGTCCTTAATTGTTCTATATCTGTGTATGAATCATTATCTCTGTGTCACAAAGGTAATGCCATTTTCAGAGATGACATAGTGACAATGTCTCTTCCTCCGACCCCTGTAATTTCATTTTTTTATGTGTCATATAGTTTTATGTTTCTCATGTAATTCATTAATCCAGGAAACATTTATTAAGCCCTTGTGTAGTTTCTAGATGCTGGGAAAACACATGACTAAAACGTAATTTCTGCTCTTCCCAGAGCTGGCAATACAATGGGGGAACAGAAGTACAAATAACAATAAAATGAGAGCTGTGAAAACTCTAGGGATTAATTGTGCCTAGAGTGGGGCAGAGGCAGCTTCTTAACAAAGAAGAGTTTGAATTCACCACATAGGCAGAGCTTCACTTGTGAAAAGAACAGCATATGTGAGGGTAAAAGAGAGAACACATGAAGAAATGAACCTTTTTGAGGTAAAGTTTAAGTGGAAGTAAGATTGAAACAGGAACTTCTGCTTGCCAAAAGATGGAATTTAATTAGAGTATTAGAATGACAAAGTCATGATTTTTAACTAGATCACTTTTTCAGTAGTGGGGAAGGATTTAAGGGGAGCAAAATTGGGATAGAGGACATCAGTTTAGGCAAGAGTTAAGCGTCAGAAATGTAGTGGCAGTGGGTTTGGAGAAGACAGAGTGAACTTAAGAGCTATTTAGAAGTAAAGATGAAGGGACAAGGAGTAGTCATCGATTATTTAAATTTCTAGCTTTGGTGTCTAGGAAAATAGACGTGCAAACAATGAGAGGGTGATGATCACTTAGTGAAACTTTGTGATTGCACTAAGCAAGAATAATTATAGGTTTCTTAAGATGGTGTTGTATATCAAATTAAATATTATATAATATTGATTTTTATGTCTACATAATCTTATTTTTAAAAACCAAATGATAAAAGAATATTAAATATAGGAAACTAGAAGTATTTAACAAAGCTGTGTTTGTGCAGGTTATTTTGGTTTACAGATTCTTCACTTATGTTTTAGAAACATGTTTGGCCTCTTGGATACTTAATCCTTTGCTGATAAAGTCAGATTATGGTAAATTTTAAATTGGCCTGTTTTGGAGTTCATCAAATCATTTAAACATTATAATTATATTTGTAATGAAAATTATTAAATTTACATAAAAAATATCGAGAAAAATTCTCTTGCGTGTTCCAAAGTTAGAAAATTAGCTTGTGGCAGGCTTAGTTTAGTTTCGTTTACCCAAACAATTGTACTGTTTGAATTCAGATTTTTCTCATTACTACTCTTAGAGTAAGTGACTTGGAAAAAAAGAAGGAAACCAGCCTGGGCAACATAGGGAGACCCTGTCTCTACAAATAATAAAAAAATTAGCTGAGTGTGGTGGCACGTACCTGTAGTCACAGCTAGTTTGGAGGCTGAGGTGAGAAGATCACTTGAGCTAAGGTGTTTGAGATTAGAGTGAGCTATGAGCATGCCACTGAACTCCGGCCTAGGTGACAGAATGAGACCTTGTCTCCCCAAAAAAAAAAAAAAAAAAAAAAAAAAGGGGAATTGTGAGTATGTGAGTGGTTAGGCACAGGAAGGGCTTCTGTTACCTTAGTAGAACAAAATAAAGTGAAGAGGATATTGATACACTTGATGAAGTGGTCCATATGTGGAGATCCTGCTGAGGAGTGAAAAATAAATAAGAGAAGAGTAATCCAGGATATAATTATTGGTTTAGTCTTATGTTCTGATTATTTTTTTGCTGAAACACTAGCTTATTTTAACTAAAACTTAAAGTTTATTTTTTTCTCCTTCCTTTAGAACGTATAATGAAGAAAACAGAAGAGTCCGAATCACAAGTGGAGCCTGAAATTAAGAGGAAAGTACAACAGAAACGACACTGTAGTACCTATCAGCCTACTCCTCCTCTATCTCCTGCTTCAAAAAAATGTTTAACCCATTTAGAGGTAAGTAGAGAAATTATTCTTTGTTGCTAATCAGATTGTGTTTTGATTAATATTAGTTTCAGTACTTATTAAATTCTAGGTGATCTTTTATCATAGGACCAGAAGAGACTTGGAAAACTTATTTAGGCAGCTTTTTCTGCCTTCAGTAGACCATTTTTATGCTTGTTCAAAATATAGAATTTATTTTTCTGTAAAGAATTTATCAGTGCTTCCCTGCAACATACTTCAAATGATTGCTCTCTGCCAGAATTTTTTTCAAATAATTTTAAGAAGCCAAAAAGTTACAAAAAATAGTAGAAGAAAATCTATATATTTATCTCCCAGATTCCTTGTTGTTCACATTTGCTTTATTGTCCTCACTCTCTATGCCTTTTTCCCTCCTTCCTCCTGCCTACCCATAAACGTGTGTATATGTATTTTTTTGTACTATTTGAGTTGAAGTTGCAAGCATGATGCCCATTTACCATTTAATATTTAAGTATGTGTGTTTTTGGTTTTTTATAATCAGAATACATCTGTCAAAATCTCAAAGTTAACATTGATCTAAAATTACCATTTAATCCACAAGTCCCATTCAAATTTCAGCTAAATAATGTCCTTTATGCTTATAGAATTGAATTCAGGGTCATGTGCTGCATTGAATTGCTGCGAATCTTTAGTCTCTTTCAATAGAAATAATTTCACAGTCTTATCTTTTTCATAATCTTGGCATTTGTTGAGGAGTATAGGACACTTACTTTGTGCCTCAAATTGGGTTTGTCTGATGTTTGTAAATGATGTGTGTAGTTTTCAAGAATGCTTCAGAAATGATGCTGTAATCTTACTGCATTACATCAGGAGACATACGATGTTGATTTTCACATTAATGATATTTTACCTTAGTTAAGATGTTCTAGATTTCTTCACTGCAATGTCAGTTAATAGGTATTTGACTAATTCATTAATAAGATTTCTAACATGAGCTAGAAGTATTTCTTATTCCATATTTATATATTCATTTATATCAGCATGTACATATGAATACTTTACTTAAAAGGGTTATAGTCTGTAACTTTCATGATGTTTCATGACTTACCTTGATGCTTCAATTGTCCCAGATTCCATGTGAGTCCCTTCAAGCTGGCCTCTGTTTTTTCTGACATGTCCCTATCATTCTTTGAAGACATTCATGACATTCACTTCTCTGCTTTTTAGTATAACAAGATGGTCTTAACTTATCTTGTATTTCTTTTTTTTTTTCCCCGAGATGGAGTCTTGCTCTGTCACCCAGGCTGGAGTTGAGTGGAGCGATCTCGGCTCACTGTAGCCTCCACCTCCCGGTTCAAGCAGTTCTTCTGTCTCAGCCTCCTGAGTATCTGGGACTACAGGCATCTGCCACCATACCCGGCTTATTTTTGTATTTTAGTAGAGATGGCGTTTCACCATGTTGGCCAGGCTGGTCTTGAACTCCTGACCTCACGTGGTCCACCCACCTCAGCCTTCCAAAGTGCTGGGATTACAGGCGTGAGCCACCGCGCCTGGCCATTATTTTGTATTTCTGTCTCAGCCCTAGAGTCATTCATTTCTCTGAGGAGCCATGCATACAAGGAGAAGGAAATATCTTCTCCTTTAAGTGGAGGGAACATATTTGGGCACTAGTTATGTTCATTCACATGGGTATTATTGTTTCTCGGCCTTCTCAGTGGACAAAGCTAAGAAATACATGTGTGTGTATTAATATTTAATCTATATTAGAATCCATAAGTTCACACTGATAACTCTAATTCCAGTCCAACACTGAGTTTATTTAATTTTTCCCACGTTGCATGTTTGTAACTCCCTTCTCCAGAGGTAAGTAACTTGACTCCCATCACCCCTGGTGTATTTACCTGTTAGCTTAGTTTTTCTTTATGTGATAATGTCCTGCCATGCCAACCTAAGTTTGGCTCAGGCCATGCTGATATCACCTACTGCTTAGCCTAGGTAAAGGAGGAGGAAAGCTCCTCCCTAAATACAACATCTTTTGTCCACTGGACATGCCCACTGAAAACCTCTGTTTGTTTGTTTTTAAAGTTCAGGGGTACATGTACAGGATGTGCAGGTTTGTTACATAGGTAAACGTGTGCCGTGGTGGTTGCTGCACAGATCATCACATCACCTAGGTATTAAACACAGCAATAATTGTTTTTTAATAGAAGTCTTCCTTCTTTTACTCTATTCCTATGCCAATTGTTCTTACTTTCTTCTTAGTGGAGATAAAGAATTGTAGCCAGCCTCTATGTAAACTTTAATTCCTAGACAAGGTTAGTGGTTTTTTCTTTCCATGTATAGTCTCTGAAATTCTACACTATGTACCACTTGTAAGAAAACAAGATCTGTGGGCCGGGCACAGTGGCTCATGCCTGTAATCCCAGCACTTTGGCAGGCCGAGGCAGGTGGTGGATCACCTGAGGTCAGGAGTTTGAAACCAGTCTGGCCAATATGGTGAAATCCCGTCTCTACTAAAAAAACAAAAATTAGCTGAGCATGGTGGTGGGCACCTGTAGTCCCAGCTACTTGGGAGGCCGAGGCGGGAGAATCTGTTGAACCCTGGAGGCAGAGGTTGCAGTGAGCCAAGATTGCGCCATTGCACTCCAGCCTGGGCAACAAGAGTGAATCTCCTTCTCAAAATAAATAAATAAATAAATAAATAAAACAAGATCTGTGAATTTAATGGGATTAACATCTTTAGGATATTTAGTAAAAATGACATAGTCTCAAAGACAGACTTATTAAGTGCAGTTGGTTATTTATGGGTAGAGTCTTGCAGATAGTATGTGATATGTAATTTGGAATTATTTAATTTTGTAAAACGCCTTCCACTTCTACTGACCAAAGCAGGGAATGAGATTTTAATCAGTTTTTTTTTTCTCTTCAATTTTTTTTGTTTGGAGAGATTGGATGTCGCTATGTTGCCCAGGCTGGTCTTGAACTCTTGGCCCTAAAGAGTCCTACTGCGTCAGCCTCCCAATGTGTTGGGCTTACAGACCTGAGCCACCATGTCCAGGTTTAGTCAGTTTTTGTTTTCCAAAAGAAACTACACTTAACATAAAATTTTTATGAAAATTTATTTACAGTATTCTCTACTAAAACAGAGCAGTATTGAGATTCTAGTTTTTAGAGAGTTAGGTTAATAAAATGTTAATCTCTAGTTTTTATCATGAAAATTTTTTTTATCTTATTCAGCATAGTGTATCTGCATTTTGTTCGTAATTCTCACAGAGTTCCAAGATAAATGTTTCTTAGCTGATGGAAGGCATATGGTAATAGCTCAGAACATACTTCTGTTCATATTTTAATATTGGGGATTTTAATAGTAGGAATGTGTTTTTTCTGTTTTAGTATCAATTTTATGAGAGGAAACAGCACTTTTCCATGGAATTCTTTTCATTTAGATTTGCCCTCTTTACCTTTATTATAGATACTAAAGTAATGGAGCCAGTCAGTACTCAGCTTGATCATATCCTCAGATTCTTGGAGACAGAATTATTTTATATATAGCTGACTGCTAGACTAGATAGTCTTGAAAATTTCTTCCAGCATTTTGATATTAAATCCCGACTAACATTACTTATTTAGGCTCTCATGGTAGCCATGATGGTAATGATGGGGAAGAGAGGGACTTAATTTTGAGACTTTGAGGGGATTCCTTAATGATGCAGTAAAATGCCAAAATCTTTTATTTCTTTTGTTCTTTTGGAACTTAAAGTTTATGAACACCGTGAATGTTCAAAATGTGGAAAGGAAAAAGAAAATCAGACCAAATGCCAAAGTTGTGGTGTTCTTTTTTCTAAGGATTTGCAAAGAAATTGCAGACAAGCTATTACTTTGAATGAGTCTACTGGACCATTATTAAGAACGTCAATTCATCAGAATTCTGGAGGACAGAAGTCACAAAACACAGGATTAACAACCAAGAAGTTTTATGGCAACAATGTGGAAAAGGTTCCAATTGATATTATTGTGAATTGTGATGACAGTAAACACACTTATTTACAGACTAATGGAAAAGTCATTTTACCTGGGGCAAAAATACCCAAAATCACAAACTTGAAAGAAAGGAAAACAAGTTTGTCAGACCTAAATGATCCAAGTAAGTATTTTACTCCCTTTAATATTGCTTATATCAATCCAGTATTTTTCAGATATATTTTTACAACCACTCTCCCCAACCCCATATATATTTTTAATATAAATGTGAGCTTAAAACTAATCTTGTTCTCATCCTGTCCATCTTAAATAGTTAAAAAAAACAAAAAAAAGAACCACAGAACTTGACCCTAGTCTTAGATGAAGTGCTAGTTATAACCAGCATTCTGACTTCGGCCAGGTTAATTTAATCTTTCTGATCTGTAAATGGGTAGATTTCCTGCTGATAGTGGGTTTTTTTTTTTGTGGGGGGGGGGGTGCCTAAAATAACATAAAGTATGCATAGCCCAATAAAATATTTGACATACAATATCCTTACCACATTTGTTCCTAACTCTATATCCTGTCTTTTTACTCTTATGTGTATGTGTATGGCATGCAGTCCTTGTTTATAATAAATAGCAAAAGATTAGAAATTATTGGGGACTGGTTGACTAGAGTATACAGCGTGTATACTCTAAAGGAGTGAAAGATCTGATAAACTGTGTAATTTCCAAGATCCTTAATTAAGTGAATAATGCAAGCTACAGATAAGAGTGTATACTGTGGAGAATGAACATAATTTCTTCTAAAAAATAGAAATTGGGCACAGTGGTGTCCCAACTACTCAGGAGACTGAGATGAGAGAATTGCTTGAGTCCAGGAGTTGAAGTGTAGCCAGGGCAATATAGTAGGACCCTGTTGCTAAAAAAAAAAAACAATAATAATAATTATAAACAGAACACTAGGCTTTCCTTTTAATATATACTTGTGTAGTTTTTCATTAAAAATATAGTTCATGGGCCTTTTTAAAAAATCTATATACATGTACACACATACGTCTGTATGTATATATATATACATCTATATATGTCAGGTACTGTGCTAAGCATTTTACATACCATTTGTTCTTGCAACGATTCTGTGAAATAGATACCCTTATTGTCCCTAATTCTACAGAGAAGAGAAATTGAGCCAAATAACCAGTAAGTGGCAAAACCCCACCTCTCAAATGCTATATATGTAAATCTGTTTAGATCGTCTAATCTGGCCTGTTAGGTTTTCTGCTAATAAAAGACCAGTGTTGAAAGAGAAACCATGCTCAATATTTGTTCCTGAGACTGGACAGTAAAATTAAAAAGACAGGTAGAGAAATACTGAGATGATACTTCTCTGGGACATGTACATTACTCAGTAAAAATTAAGCATTTATGTTTGAAATACTAATAAAGTCAACGCATGACTTTTGAATGCTTTTTCTGTGTCAGGCTGTTTCAGGCCTGGGGATATAGCAGTGAATAAGACACTGTCCCTGTTCTCTTATAGTTTATGTGTAGCAGGGAGAAACAGATAAACAAGTGAACATCCGCAACAAGGAACAACAGAAAATTTAAATCAGTTAATTTGACTGTGTGTGTGCTTACTTTATTGGGTTATCAAAGTGATATTTAGGCTGGGCGCATTGGGTCATGCCTGTAATCCCAGCACTTTGGGAGGCTGAGGCGGGCGGATCACGAGGTCAGGAGATCAAGACCATCCTGGTTAACACGGTGAAACCCCGTCTCTACTAAAAATATAAAAAATTAGCCGGGCATGGTGGTGGGTGCCTGTAGTCCCAGCTACTCGGGAGGCTGAGGCAGGAGAATGGCATCAACCCAGGAGGTGGAGCTTGCAGTGAGCCAAGATCGCGCCACTGCGCTCCAGCCTGGGTGACAGAGTGAGACTCCGTCTCAAAAAAAAAAAAAAAAGTGATATTTAAACTAATACTTGGTGGCCAAAATGCATAATATTGAGGGAAGTAGAATTCAGGCAGGAGCAAGCTTGTGGTGTTTCAGGGACAGAAATACTGGCTAGTGTGCCTGGAGGATAAAGAGACAAAAACAGAATATTATGAGAAAATTGGATAAATAGGCAGGGGCCAGATTATGTAAATTTACAAACCATAGCAAGGAGTTTGTATTTGACTCAAATACAATGTGAGTGGCTTTGTGGAATTAAGATATAGAGATAGATTTGCTACGATTCAGTAATGAGTACAAGGTATAAGAGCAAATTACCATCATAGTGTCTTTTCTTGCTCACGTCCATTTACTCAACAAGACTTATTGAACATAAGGCACTGGTCCAGATTTTTCCAAGGACCAGTTAAGATTTTAGTAGCTTCCTGTGTGAGATAAAATTACTTGGCTACAGCCAGGTGCGGTGGCTCACGCCTGTAATCCCAACATTTTGGGAGGCTGAGGCAGGCGGATCACCTGAGGTCGGGAGTTCGAGACCAGCCTGGCCAACATGGAGAAACCCCATCTCTACTAAAAATACAAAAATTAGCTGGGTGTAGTGGTGCACACATGTAATCCCAGGTGCTGGGGAGGCTGAGGCAGGAGAATCACTTGAACCCAGGAGGCGGAGTTGCAGTGAGACAAGATCGCGCACTGTACTCCAGCCTGGGTGACAGAATGAGATTCCATCTCAAAATATATATATATTTTATATATATATGATATATAAAACGTATATATGATATATATAAAACGTATATATGATATATATAAAATGTATATATGATATATATAAAACGTATATATGATATATATAAAACATATATGATATATATATAAAACGTATATATGATATATATAAAACGTATATATGATATATATAAGTATGATATATATAAAATATGATATATAAAATATATATACGATATATATAAAATATATATTATATATATATACTTGACTACATGGAGTTTCACACATATTTACAATGCATTCTATTTTGTGAACAAGTTGTATGCAAATTATTTTTTACACCTTAAATTTTTTGGGACTCTGAAATAGACCTACTGTTCTTCTTGTAACTTGCTGATATTGCTGTTTGGGT
The DNA here is from genome assembly GCF_000001405.40 of Homo sapiens. Lineage (NCBI taxonomy): Eukaryota > Metazoa > Chordata > Mammalia > Primates > Hominidae > Homo > Homo sapiens. The sequence goes on from NC_000006.12 coordinate 75,666,437, forward strand.
GAGTGGTGATGGACTGTAAAATCAAATTTTATATTTGTATCATATTTTTTAAAAGATACCAAGTCTTAATGCTTTCTTCAGATTTAACTTTTTATCAGATAGAGTGGATTGTATCTTCATTCATTTTTATTAATTTTAGATCTGGAGGAGGTCCAAAGCAAATTTAGGATATTTTCCACTTTGGTAATTTATTTGCATTTTTAATGGACAGAAATGAAATATAAAATTATAACTATAGTTTTAATATAAATTATAAATTATTAAAATACTTTTAGTCATTTTGTCCAGTGATGATGATGATGACAACGACAGAACTAACAGAAGAGAAAGCATATCTCCTCAGCCTGCTGATTCAGCATGTTCTTCCCCTGCACCATCCACTGGAAAAGTAGAAGCAGCGCTAAATGAAAATACTTGCAGAGCAGAGCGTGAACTACGAAGCATTCCAGAAGACTCAGAGTTAAATACAGTTACATTGCCAAGAAAAGCAAGAATGAAAGACCAGGTACTTTTCACTTTTGTTGACATTTGTTCAGATTAATGCCTCCATTTTGGGGTGTAAATTTTTTTTAGAAGGCAGTTTGGTAGTGCCAAGAAAAAATGATGGATTATTAAGTGGGGCTTAAATACCACATGGGAGATTATTTGGAAGAACATTAAGCCATATACAAAAATAAGTTTCAATTAAACTTAAGGCTTGAAGTATAAAAAATTCAACAAGAAAACACAGTATCAACCTTAAAATAAAATGTCAGTATGTACAAAAATTTCTTATAAAATCTAGCAGAGGAGAGAAGTCATTTTGACAGAGATATATTTTACTGTAATACTATGTTTCATTATGTTTTATATTTTACTATAAAAATTTCAAAAAGTTCACATGGAAAAAGGTAATATGAACGATGTCAATAGACAGTGTATCTAGGACAACTATTTGTAATGCAGATGACATAGTATTTTAATGTCTGTAATAGACTGAGAACTCTTAAAAATTACAGGATAAAAACAAAATGAACAAAGGATAAGAATGGACAAAAAGAAAATTCATGTAGTAAACTACCACATGAAAAGTGCAAATTAAGGAAAATGAAATATAACTGTATTCAATGGACTTTAAAAATTGTTAAAAAATCAATTAATATGTGCTGTTGTCAAGAATCCAAGGGAAAGGACACTTTCCCAATTTGCTGATGGAAAAGAAAGTTACTATGATCTTTTGGGAAAGAAATGTAAAAATGACCATTAAAAAATTTTTAATGTGTACTATTTGACCAAATAATTAATTCCTTAGACTCCATCTTCCCCAGTACGTAAGGCTTTATATGCAAACATGATTATTGGCAAACAAAATCGTTGCCTGTTAATATGGATATGGCTGAAAAAGTTAAGGTATATCCATATGATGCAGCCATTGAAAATAAAAATTAGAACTTATATCAGTGACTTTTAGGAGTTCTGCATGGTACTGTTATGTGAGAGTACCAAAATAAGGAAATATGTGTATATTACTTTAGTATGAATGTTTTTATAAAATAATAAACTTGTATGTTAAATTCTATATGTATGTGTTTATACATGTCAGTGTTCATAGGAGTACAGATACAAATATGGGAACATATATACTTGGTTATTAAGATGGGAACCTTAAAAAATGAAAAACAACAAAAGCAATCATAAGGATAATAGAAAAATATATGGATTTACTTATTTACTTACTTATTTAAAGGGGGGATCTTGCTCTGTCACCCAGGCTGGCATTACAGGTGCAAGCCGCTGCACCCGGCTGGATTAATATTTTTATATAATCTTACAGAATGCCTTTCCCACATGGTAGCACGAGCAAAAGTAGTAAATGAAAAGATGAATATATTTGATTAAATGAAAAGTAGAACAGTGTAGCAAAACACTCTAAACACAATTTGATAGGTAGATGCAAATGGAAAAATAGTAAGCTATGTGACAAAGTGTAAAGTGGTCCTTTATATATTTTTAATTTTTAAAAAATAAAGAAATAGAGGCAAACCATAGGGAAATAAGGAAAGGAAATGAATAGAATTCAAAAAAAATAGTAATCCAAGTAGTGAAAATGAAATTAAAATACCTTTTGTGAACTTCAGATTGCTGAAAAATTTAAAACTATGATATTGTCTCAATCTTGATCAGTGTTTGGAGAAGTGGAATGTTGAATGTATAAGTTGGTGTAACTGTTGAGGGCAGTTTGGCAGTAATTCTAAATGTGTACCACAACTGGCTGGACTGCAAAAATGCTCTTTGAAGAATAGTTTGCTATCGCAAGAGATTGGAAAGAACTTAGATGTCCAGCATATGAGTTCAGTTAAATTAATGATGAATTTCCATGTAATGGAATTTTCAGATGAGCGGTTTTCAGACTGGCACACTGAATCATAAGGGTACCTCAGTGTGTACTGTCTTTGATGATGCTCCATGGAGGGTGTGGACCATTCATATTCTAGACTAAATCCTTTATTGTAGATTCAGCTGGAGCAGCTCTTTCCTGTTTTATTAGTGAGCTAAATAACCTCTCATTTGAAGATATAACTCTACAGCTAAAAACAAAACAAAACACTTTTAAACCTCTCTAACAGGTTTCTTTAATAATAAGGGAAAATAGGCCGGATGCGGTGGCTCACACCTGTAATCCCAGCACTTTCGGAGACTGAGGTGGGCAGATTGCCTGAGGTCAGGAGTTCGAGACCAGTCTGGCCAACATGGTGAAACTCTGTCTCTACTAAAAATACAAAAAAATTAGCCAGGCGTGGTGGTGTGTGCCTATAATCCCAGCTACTTGGGAGGCTGACGCAGGAGAATTGCTTGAACCCCCTAGGGAGGTGGAGGTTGCGGTGAGCTGAGATCATGCCACTGCACTCCAGCCTGTGCGACAGAGCGAGACTCCATCTCAAAAAATAATAATAATGGAAAATATTAATGATAAATCTGTTAATAAGCCTGAAAAAGCAGTTTACAAAATCATATGATCATATTTTGTTTAAAATACATTTTTTTTTTCCTGTGACATAGATGGTAGAAATACCTTTAGAAGGATAATGGGAATGGTGGACATTCTTTTCCCTTATTTTCTGTCAAGATATTGTTTTATTCTTGTGATGATAATAAAGATACTAATATAATTACTTGTAATTAAAATTACATACCTATATGAAGTGTTTATGATAAATTTCTATTTGGAAGTGACTGGAATCATAATTTAACAGATGAAAATAGTTTAAAATATGTAAATATATAAGGAAGGGTTATTTTGTAATGCAAATAACAATTCTCCTAAATTGCTTGCTTTCTAAAGAATTACTGATTTAATTCAAGTATCACTGCCACTATAACTAGCAGCATTTTACTGTGCATGAAGCAATCTGCTAAACTGCTTTTTATGCATTAACTCAGTTGAGTGGGTACTCTTACTCTGCATATTTTAGAGTTTAGGGAACCAAAACTTACGTAAGTTATTAAGTTTTACAAGATCAGATTTTTTTTTTTTAAGAAGGAATTTCGATCTTGTTGCCCAGGCTGGAGTGCGGTGGTGCGTTCTCAGCTCACTGCAACGTCCACCTCCCAGGTTTAAGCAGTTCTCCTGCCTCAGCCTCCTGAGTAGCCTCCTGAGTAGCCGGGATTACAGGCACCTGCCACCACACCCAGCTAATTTTTTGTACTTTTAGTAGAGACGAGGTTTCACTGTGTTGGGCAGGCTAGTCTCGAACTCCTGACCTCAGATGATCCGCCCATCTCGGCCTCCCAAAGTGCTGGGAGTACAGGTGTGAGCCACTGCTCCCGGCCAAGATCACATCTTTAAAAGGTGGTGTGGCTGTTTGAATCCAGGCAGTCTGATTCCCAGAGTACTATTCCTGAATGCCATACTATTACTCAAATTTAAATAACAACCAAAGTATAGCTAAATAAGATACAAGGATTTACTGTTATATAAAAACCATGAATTTTAATTTTATCTAACACTGTTGAAGGGAAATCCATTTTATGTTGTGATATTTACATTTCTTATATTGGGTCTTTGCATATGTTTATACTTAGCTTGCAGCCTTATTTTAGTAAATTATTAAGTGAACATTTTCTTTTCCTTTTTAGTTTGGCAATTCTATTATCAACACACCTCTGAAACGTCGTAAAGTGTTTTCTCAAGAACCTCCAGATGCTTTAGCTTTAAGCTGCCAAAGTTCCTTTGACAGTGTCATTTTAAACTGTCGAAGTATACGAGTAGGAACACTCTTCCGGCTGTTAATAGAGCCTGTAATTGTAAGTACATCTTAAGCTCTTTACTATACCAATTATAACATTAAAAATTCCGTTGCTAAAGCTAATATATAATATTTAAAATTTATAAGTTAAAATATTTAATAGAATATCAGTTAGTTCAAGATTTCACATTGCTTTAAGAGTATATAAATAGTAGCTCCTTGCCATTAAAATGAGTTAGAAAACCTTCCAATATGTTATTGTTTATTATCATGCCAGCTTCGTGCATGAAACTTTCAATGAGTTAGAAAACCTTCCAATATGTTAGTTTTAGTATCATCCCAGCTAAGTGCATGAAAAGAATATATTAAAGAACTGTAGTGAGTGAATGAAGATTCCAGAAGTTTTGGGGTTTGCTGGAAAATGTATTATAGCATCAAGACTCCTAGAAATAGATTATTGTACTATAATGGCTGCCCAAAGGACTTTGTGTACTTTATCTTACCCATCATACCTGTGTACTTACTATTCTGCCACCAATCCAAGTTTTTATTTTCTATTTGAAATTTTAATATAATCTCCTTAACTAGCCTTCTTAGTCATTATTTTTTTCTCTAATGTATTCTAAACATTGTTGCTAGATTAATTGTAAAGCACTGTATGTGTTCTGTAAGCCTTTGTTTTATAATGCCTTAACTTGATGTCCCTATTTGTTTCCATCTCTTCTTTCAAACTGATATTGTCCTTTTTACATAAAGCACTTGTCTTTAAGAGAACTTATTGCCGGGCGCGGTGTCTCACGCCTGTAATCCCAGCACTTTGGGAGGCCAAGGCGGCTGGATCACGAGGTCAGGAGTTTGAGACCAGCCTGGCTAATATGCTAAAACCCCATCTCTACTAAAAATAGAAAAATTAGCCGGGGGCAGTGGCATGTGCCTGTAGTCCCAGCTGCTCGGGAGGCTGAGGCAGGAGAATTGCTTGAACCTGGGAGGCAGAGGTTGCAGTGAGCCGAGACGGCGCCACTGCACTCCAGTCTGGATGACAGATCAAGACTCTGTCTCAAAAAACAGAAAAAAAGAAAGAATTATATCACAGCAGGAAAGTTGTAAGGTATTTTATTATTTAATGTAATGAATAATAACTGTTTCTTTTCTGGTAAAGGTTCATGGTTCTAGGATACAATATGATCAAAAGAAAAAAAATTGTTTATAGGAGAAAATGAAATGTGAACCTGATTTCTTAGCAGAGCACAGCTCTATGAGAATCCGGCAAATTTTTCTTTTCCATCAAAAACCCTAAGCTTCTCACAATTTAAAAACTAAAGTTTCAGAAGTACCCTGGAGATTCGAAGCAAATTATATATAAATTGTCTACCCTTTATTGCCCAATAATATTGTAACATATGTCAGTGTTTTTAGGGATTTATGAAATTTGTGTTTTGTTACAGCCCTCATACTGCAGACTGTCTTTCCTGGTTTCTGTCAATTAACAAAAATGTCACTGTGTGTCACTTAGCACCTCAAAAATGTTCAGGAGTGCCCTGTAACTTTTACGGCTTTCTCCCACATTAATGCTGTTATTTATAACTCTTCAGTGTGATGAGTAAGGTTTTGCTGGTGATTTAGACATTTAATTAGAAAGTTGCATATTTAGTCTTAAAGCTGTTTATGAAGAACTACATTAAAATTTGGATGAATTTTTTCTAATAGGTTATATTTGCTACAGTGAAGAAAAACTTTGTAAATTTAGTTAAAAAAATAAAAGGCAGTATATGTAACATAAAATGTGTCAGTTTAAAAAATTATAATGCTAAATGAAATATTCCAGCCAAAAAATATAATGTAGAAATTTGCAGTGTGGTATTAACCTTACTTGTAGCATGAGATTTTTAGCAAAGGGCATTCTTCATTGAAGAATAATTAGTGGATCTGTATCTTCTTCAGATGGCGTAAATAAAAAGATGATTTGATATTTTCTTCTTGAACATAACTTCCTTATATTTTGTAGTGAAATGATTTATCTGCCAAGTTATGATTAATCTGAGAAACAGGTTTTAAATGTTTTACTATGTTTAATGTTTTATAAAATTCTACACTTGCTTATTATTAGATAATTTAATCATTTTAATTTGCTCAGTGATATAATTGGCATTATTATTTTTATGTATTTATTTATTTTTTGTTTTGAGACAGAGTCTCACTCTGTTGCCCAGGCTGGAGTGCAGTGGCGCAATCTCGGCTCACTGCAAGCTCCGCCTCCTGGGTTCATGCCATTCTCCTGCCTCAGCCTCCCGAGTAGCTGGGACTACAGGCACCGGCCACCACGTCCAGCTAATTTTTTGTATTTTTAGTAGAGACGGGGTTTCACTGTGTTAGCCAGGATGGTCTCGATCTCTTGACCTTGTGATCCGCCCATCTCGGCCTCCCAAAGTGCTGGGATTATAAGTGTGAGCCACTGCACCCGGCCAATTGGCATTATTTAGAAGCGTCCATTTTATTTAAAAGCAAGTGCTTTTTTAAAGAAGTAAAATGGCATATATTATTAGGAATACCACATATGCACAAATTCATTTTTCAAATGAGAAGATATAAAACCAAGGTTTTCATTCAGTTTAAATTTAGAAACTTTCACAATGTAGATGAAATAGACCAATGTCTACTTTTTTTTTTTTTTTTTTTTGAGACCGAGTCTCACTGTTGTCAGCCCAGGCTGGAGTGCAGTGGCGCAATCTTGGCTCACTGCAGCCTCCACCTCACGGGTTCCGGCAATTCTCCTACCTCAGCCTCTTGAGTAGCTGAGATTACAGGTGCCTGCCACCATGCCTGGCTAATTTTTGTATTTTTAGTAGAGATGGTGTTACATCATCTTGGCCAGGCTGGTCTCAAACTCCTGACCTCAGGTGATCCACCTGCCTTGGCCTCCCAAAGTGCTGGGATTACAGGTGTGAGCCACTGTGCCCAGCCCAGTGTCTACTTATAATATTAATGTGTGACTTACTTAGATATTTCTAAATGACAAATACTTAGATATCACTTCCTTCAATTCCTTTATCTTATGCAACAATTTTATTTAAATGCTTTATGTCAGCCAGGTGTGGTGGCTGTAATCCCAGCACTTTGGGAGGCTGAGGCAGGTGGATCACTTGAAGTCAGGAATTTCAGACCAGCCTGGTCAACATGGTAAAACCCCATCTCTACTAAGACTACAAAAATTAGTGGGGTGTGGTGGCGTGCACCCGTAACCCCAGCTACTAGGGAGGCTGAGGCAGAAGAATCACTTGAACCCGGGAGGTGGAGGTTGCAGTGAGCCAAGATTGTGCCACTGCCTTCCAGCTCGGGTGACAGAGTGAGACTCATTCTCAAATAAATAAATGAATGAGTGAATGCTTTATGTCATCATTATTGACACTTTTTGCATCAGCTAACATTTTTCCAAAACATATAATGTCAACATCCACGTATGCTAGAATGTTTCGCAAGCTACTCCTTTTTTTTTTTTTTTTTTTTTTTTAAAAACGATAAGGTCTCTCTTCGTTGCTCAGGCTGGAGTTCAGTGCTGCAGTCATAGCTAACTGTAACCTTGAACTCCTAGGCACAAGCAATCCTTCCACCTCAGGCCCCAGAGTAGTTGGGACTATAGGTACATGCCATCTATACCTAGGTAAGTTTTTCTTTTTTTGAGATGATGTCTCACTATTTTTGCCCAGGCTGGAGTGCAGTGGCACAATCTTGGCTCATTGCAACTTCTGCCTCCTGGGTTCAAGCGATTCTCCTGCCTCAGCCTCCTGAGTAGCTGGGATTACAGGCATGCATTACCACGCCTGGCTAATTTTTTATACTTTTAGTAGAGATGGGGTTTCACCATGTTGGCCATGCTGGTCTTAAACTCTTGGGCTCAAGCCATCCTCCCAAAATGCTGGGATAACAGTTAAAAGCCACCGTTCCCTGCCAGTACCCATGCTTAATGTCCCCAAATAATTTGTTATTTCCCAGAGAAACCAGTTAACACATTCCTTTCAGATGCAATCTTTAGAAAGTATGTTTAGTGACATTCTAGACTTTGCAATTAATTATTGTAGTAATTGCTAAATTTATTTTATATTTGCTTTCTCTTTTTATATTATAAAAATCTTCACACTGAAAAGTTGAAAGACTTTTGCAGTGAACATTTATATAACTCCCCGCTAAATTTTACTATTAGCATTTTATTGTATTTGCTTTCCATATATCTATTCATCCCTGTATATATTCATTTATCTTGTTTTTTAATACATTTCAAAATACTTGCCTCCTTTTTTGAATGTCTCTTCTGTAAAATAATTAATTCAGGCTATAATAGGCTTAATGTGTCTTTTCCACATTGAAATAATTAGTTAGAAAATACCATGTTGTAACCACCAGTAATAAGTAATTCAGGCAAGGACCTTCAGTGATGGGAAACCATTGAGTGAAAGTCAGACCCCCATGACATGCAATTTACCTGTATAACAAACCTGCACATGTACCCCTGAACCTAAAATAAAAGTTAAAAAAAGAAAAAAAAAAGAGGAAAGAAAGACTGATGGAAGGGATGTGACAAGAATGTTAACAGTTTAACAGTTAGTGGGTTTAGATAAGCAATGTTTAGGTGTTCATTATAATGTTATACCAACTTCTCTGTGGGATTTTAAGAGATAAACGAGTAATATAAGAAACATTCTAAGTATTTGAATAAAAAAGTGAAGCCTGCCTTTCTTTGTAAGTCTAGAGCAATACTAATTCATCTTTTTTTTTAGTTTTGTTTAGATTTTATCAAGATACAGCTAGACGGTAAGCTATTTTATGTCTTTTTACTTACCAAAGCTTTCTTTACACCAAAGCACTTTACAGGAATAAAAGATTAAATAATATTCATAGAATTTATTAAGATGGTTAGTTGTTACATATATCTTCTTATCAAAGGGCATATATCTTGGTGTAATTTCATTCAGAAATATCACAGAACCTAACTTTTTAGAAACCCCTTTTCATTTGGAAAAAATAAAAAAGTTTCTTTAAGGCAGTTATAAAGATTTTTTTTATTACCCACAAGAGTAATGATTTATAGAGCATAATAAATATGTGCTTACATTTACTTAAACTTGTATTTCCTCACAATTTCCCCCATTCATGATATTACCCTCTTAAGAATTATTTTTCCATTTCATTTGTTTTCCTCCAGAACCAGACCATGATCCTGTAGAGATTATATTAAATACCTCTGATCTAACTAAATGTGAATGGTGTAATGTCCGAAAATTACCTGTAGTGTTTCTTCAAGCAATTCCAGCAGTTTATCAAAAGCTGAGCATCCAACTGCAAATGAATAAGGAGGATAAAGTTTGGAATGATTGTAAAGGAGTAAATAAATTAACAAGTAAGTTGTGTAAAACAGATTATAATAGATAATAATAGATACTGTATTTACAATATCTGTTAAATAGCAAAATGTGAGTGCACTTTGACAGATGCCTTAGGTGTATATTATCTACAATTGTCACAGCCACCTTGTGAAATAGATATTACTTTCTCCATTTTACAGATGAGGAAAAACTCACAGAAAGTGGAAGGGCTGAAGATAAAACCCAGACTTACTCATTTACAAAGTTTCTAAGTGGATTAAAACCCAAAAGATCTGCACTCTTAACTAACACTGTAATCTGAGTAAAATAAAATTTTTTAACTGATAGGAATATTAAATGTAAATCAGCCATATAAATCTGGAAATCTTGAAACTTGGCCTGAATAGGAAGTTGTTAAGTTCCTAAAATGGGCCTTAAGTCTTTATAATACATAGATGTGGTTCTCCAGGTTTTTTTCCTTCACCTTTAACACTTAAAGCATGGCTTGACTGCTTAGAAGATATACACATTTCAGCAGTAATTGCTGCTTCAGCTTAATTATGAAAAAATGTTAGCTACCACTAAATTTGCAAGAGTTGGCACATTAGTGAAAAGCTGTTTTGCAGTTAGATTCTCTTGAGATACTACCAGTTCACATGGCAATTTTCTATTTGTGTTTGACAAAAATGTTAACTATTATATCTTTAAGACTATAGATTTAGATTTATTAGATGAAGTAAATTAGTTACATACGTGAATAGATTTGTTCTTGAACTGTTGTTAGAGTAATGTATTCTGGTTCCTTCCAATAACTTAGGTGACATTGGCATGTAACACATACTGGTCTTTCCAGTGATTGTTGTGTATCCACTGTATGTCAGACATTGTTGTGGACCTTTATACTGGGATTTCTGATTATCCTCCTGGAAAGAATTAATAATTACTCCTTTTAAAAGTATCTATTTACTTCTTTTGTGTTTTTTTTTGGACTTATATTTATTTCTTTTCAGATTTAGAAGAACAATATATAATTTTAATTTTTCAAAATGGCCTTGATCCTCCGGCAAATATGGTATTTGAAAGTATCATTAATGAAATTGGTATAAAGAATAACATCTCCAATTTTTTTGCGAAAATTCCCTTTGAAGAAGCTAATGGCAGACTTGTTGCCTGTACAAGAACCTATGAAGAGAGCATCAAAGGAAGTTGTGGGCAAAAGGAAAACAAAATTAAAACTGTAATTATGTTTTTTAATTTAAAAATATTCTTAAATTGTGGGTAGTTTTAAAGGGAAATATGTTTTATTTTAATACTGTTCATTTCAGTGTTAAATCTTTTTAATTTTATTTCAGAATTACTTACTTTTATGTGTGATTTGTAAACTACCTTGTGTCAAAACAGTGGTGGGTAGGTGCCAAATACCACTTGATACAGGTCTCAGAAGCATTTTTGGTTCCTCCACATTCTATCCTTATCTTTACTTTTCATCATCATTTTCTCTGTCATCCTTTTTTCTTTATACCCTACTTCCAACATATATATGCACACACTGCTACATTCAAATGGATTGGTTACCCTGTGTCTTACGTTTGAAGAAATTGTGGTCCGTGGTGTACATTTGTATGTAATATAGGCATATATGGTTGAAAACTTGAGAGATGAAGAATACATGCTATTTGATCTTTATTGTCAAAACATGTATCTAGTACTAAAATAACTATTCATATAGGTAGGTAACTCTGAAGCCACCTGAAGCAAAGGCCACAATACTACTAAACACATAGTATAATGGTAAATAATACAAACATAATTTTAAAACTCTAAGTTTATTTCCTATTACAGCAACTTAGCTTTGCTGACCTAATTTATTGGGAACAGATCTCTCACACTGCCTACAAACTTGGAAATATGGCTATCCACAGCGCAATCTTGGTGATAGTTGAGCAAGGACTCCCCAGAGAAGAGCTGTAAATATAGTTAAGTGGGTTGAGAAAAGAACAAAAGAAGAAAGGGAAATGGTTCTTTTTCTTTTGCATAGTTTGCATGGGAGACAGTGCCAGAGGAAGAAAAGAGCAGCATAATGCCACTGGGATGGACTCAAACTTCAGAGGAAGGTTCTTTCCTCCAAGGAACCCCTGTTTCACTTAGCTTTATGGAGGGCTGAAACTCATTAGACTGTGTTCCCTGAGCCTCTGCCCCTACATCTTATAGATTGCCTAGCCATTGAACTAAGAGGCAAAAACCACTTTGGTTTTTTTGAAAGGTTATTTGAATTTTACCAGCATTATTTAATTTCATGTAGATAGTAGAGAGAGAAGTAAGATACTGGAAAATTACTGTTACATAAGTTGGGAGAGTATCACTATCTAGAAGCTACAGATAATAAGAAAGTGGCCCCTAGTTTTGCCTGTTTCTTGTTTTTAATTGTTAAGTATCATGCATACTTTTTAGTTCCACATTTTTAATCCTTTTGCATTGAAAAGCATTCTTGCCTTGTGCTTACCCTTTTTATTGAAACTTTTCCTAATTGACTGTAAATTGCTAATTTAATTTCCTTTACCAGGTATCATTTGAATCTAAAATACAACTTAGAAGCAAACAAGAATTTCAGTTTTTTGATGAAGAAGAAGAAACTGGAGAAAACCACACCATCTTCATTGGCCCAGTAGAAAAGTGAGAGAATTCCTTTATATTTGCAATGATCTTAAATGTCTTTCTCTGTTTTATTACATTTCAGTTGTGTATATATATATAGATTTGTTTATTTGCTTGCCTTCTAATTTTGTTACAGGTTGATAGTATATCCACCACCTCCAGCTAAGGGAGGCATCTCTGTTACCAATGAGGACCTGCACTGTCTAAATGAAGGAGAATTTTTAAATGATGTTATTATAGACTTTTATTTGAAGTAAGTTAATTTTCCACTGATCTTTTATTAAATCTTTAACATTCCGTCATATCTTATGTCTTTGTTTTCCAGAGTCAGGCTTTTTGAGTTTTAAATTCCATCTCTGCCACTTACTGTGTGACATTTGGGGAGTTATTTTTTCTGTTTCTGTCTTTGCACATTTTAAAAATGAGAATTCTATCTAAAAAGTTGTGAAAATTGGGCCAGGGAGATATCTGGCTTATGTCTATAATCCTGACACTTTGGGAGGTCAAGGTGGGAGGATCGCTTGAGCCCAAGAGTTCACGACCAGCCTGGGAAACAAAGTGAGACCTTGTCTCCACAAAAAATTTAAAAATTAGCCAGTCATATACCTATAGTCCCAGCCACTTGGGAGGCTCAGACAGGAAGATTACCTGAGCCCATGAGTTCGAAGTTGCACTGAGCCATGATGGCGCCACTGCACTCCAGCCTGGTCAACAAAGCAAAACTCTACCCCCACACCCACCCCCGAAAACAGGAGTTGTGAGAATTAAATGAGATCGTACATATCAAGTAGTAGGAAAAATGCCTAGTACAGTGTTAGAAGTTTATGGTCTTGTAGGAAGCACAAATACAGAATTAAAGCAATGATAGAAGCATTAACATGGTACAGTCCTAGCAGATGAGAGAATGCTTCATTATCTTTGGAGGTTGGGAGATATGAGGGACCAGGAAGCTTTCCTGGAAGAGCTTACATTATGACCCAATATACATTATGACCCAACATAACACATGTATACACCTATGTGCAATGTGTTTATACATTTATCAATTTGTATGTTTTTACTGGTTTGTGATATAAAATGGACATGTATATGAAATAAAACAGAACTTAGCATCAGTATGCATAGTTCTCTGTAATATTTTCTAGTTTCTTATACTGTGTTTCATTAAACAAAACAAAACTTTTAAAAATTGATGCTGGAATCTGCTGAATTGATTTTATAGCCTATTGGTGGTTGCAACTCAGTTTGGTGGGAAAACACATTGTTATAAAGAGCAAAGTTTTGATCAGAGAAATGATATCATAATTGAATTTCTGTTAAGACCATTTTGATAGGCATGACATCGTGGAAGTCTAGATGAGAGGTGATTTAAGGAAATTTAATTAAGATGATTTAAGAAGCCTATTTAAGATATTTTAGTTGAAATGATGAGACATTTTATGAGGTAGAATTGTTTACTATATAGAATTAGTAGTACTCCAGGACTAATTAAGTGGATATTAAGGAGGAGAGGAAAGGGTACCAGGTAGCTCCTAGTTTTCTGGCTCACAAGACCTGCTAAATGATGTTGGCACTAAAGCAGTGAATGCAGAAGGAGAACAGGCTTGGGTGAGGAGGGGATAAGTTCCCTTTTAGAGGTCTGTGATATAACAAAAGGACAGTGCCAATAAGCAGTTGAGCAAATGGCGCTAGAGTTTGGTTGAGTTCTGACCAACAGAGATGGTAAGATGTTGTTTAATTGTGAGAATGAATGAAATTGCTTATGTAGGGATATAGAATGAGAAAAAGAGTATACGGACAGATCCTGGAGATTACATTTTAAGAGATAGACCGGGAATAAAAAGGCTCCCATGAATAATTTCCAAAGCTGTTGAAGAAGTAAGAAGAGAAATTGAAGGGAAGTGAGAGCTTTAAAGGAGATTATACTCAGTGTTAACAATATAGCAGAGATCAAGGCAGATAAGGGCTAACTAAGTATAATTTTGAGTTCACAATGACCCCAAGGTAATTAAGTTAACTATACAGCCTGGACTTGCACCCCTGAACTCCATTAGAGATGGTATCAGTGGAAGCCTATTGGAGGAGTCCCACCCCCATCCATCAGTAACAGGGAGCTCTCTGGTATCAGTGGAGGTCTAGTAGAGAACATGTACTTTTAGTCCCACCTCACAATAATGAGGTAACACCCTACTACCCACTGGAGTGTGGTGCTAGAGGAAGTCTGCTAAAACACAAGAATTATATTGCTCTACATAGTTGCCAGCAAAAACAAAAACCATAGTACTCAAAATGTCCAGATTTCAAAATGAAAATCATTTGCCTTACCCAGAATCAGGAAGATCTCAAACTGAATGAGAAAAGAATATCAATAGACATTAACACCAAGAAGACACAAATGTCAGAATTATTTGACAAAGATTTTAAAGCATCTGATACAGTTGAGGTTTGTGTCCCCGCCCAAATCTCATGTCCATTTGTAATCCACAATGTTGGAAGAGGGGCCTTGTGGGAGGTGATTGGATTCTGGGGGCAGATTTCCCCCTTTCCATCCTTGTTACATTGAGTAAGTTCTCACAAGTTCTGGTTGTTTATAAAAGTGTGTAGCACCTCCCCCTTTGCTCTCTGTTACTCCTGCTCTGGCCATGTAAGATGTATGTCCTTCCTCTTCACCTTCCCTCATGATTCCAAGTTTCCTGAGGCCTCCACAGCTACGCTTCCTGTATAGCCTGTGGATCTGTGAGTCAATTAAACCTCTTTTCTTTATAAATTACCCAGTCTCAGGTATTTCTTTTTTTTTTTTTGGAGATGGAGTCTTGCTCTCTCACCCAGTCTACAGTGCAGTGGCGCGATCTTGGCCCACGGCAGCCTTTGCCTTCTACATTCAAGCAGTCCTTCCACCTCAGCCTCCCAGGTAGCTTGGATTACAGGTACTCACCACCACACCCAGCTAATTTTCAGGTAGTTCTTTAGAGCAGTGAGAGAACGGACTGATACAGCATCCATCATAAAAATGTTTTAATGAACATGATGACAACTCTTGAAACAAATGAAAACTCAAAACAATATAAAGAAGAAACAAATGGATGGGTCATGCCTGTAATCCTAGCAATTTTGGAGGCCAAGGTGGGAGGATCACTTGAGGCCAGGAGTTTGAGACCAGCCTGGGCAACATAGCAAAATCCTCATCTCTACAAAAAAACAAAAATATAAAAAACAAGGAAGAAACAAATGGAAATTTTAGAACTCAAAATACAAAACTGAAATAATGACTTCAGGGGCTGGGCTCAATAGCAGAATGGAAAAGACAGAGGAAAGAATCAGTGAACTGTCTACAAGGAATGTCAAAGTAATGATATTAAATAGGTTGAAAGAAAAAGGATGGAAAAGATAAACCATACAAACATTAAACACAAGAAAGCAGAGTCTGACAAATAAACTTCTGAGGAAAGAAAATTACCAGGGATCAAGAAGGATGTTATGTAATGATAAAGGAATGATCCACCAAGAAAACATACTAATCCTATGTACTAAACAACAGAACTATAAAATGTGTGAAGCAAAAACTGATAGACCTGAAAGGAGAAACAGACAAATCCACAAATAAAATTGGAGATGTTAGTACCCCTCTCTCAACAATTGATAGAACAACTAGAAAGAAAATCAACAAGGATATAGAAGAACTCGACAACACCATCAACCAGCAGGATCTACTCAACATCAGGATTATATTCTTTTTTTTTTTTAATTATACTTTAAGATCTATGGTACATGTGCACAACATGCAGGTTTGATACATAGGTATACATGTGCCATGTTGGTTTGCTGTACCTATCAACTCATCATTTATATTAGGTATTTCTCCTAATGCTATCCCTCCCCCAGCCCTCCATCCCACAACAGGCCCTGGTGTGTGATGTTCCCCGCCCTGTATCCAAGTGATCTCATTGTTCAGTTGCCACCTATGAGTGAGAACATGCTGTGTTTGGTTTTCTGTCCTTGTGATAGTTTGCTGAGAATGATAGTTTCCAGCTTCATCCATGTCCCTGCAAAGGACATGAACTCATCCTTTTTTATGGCTGCATAGTATTCCATGGTGTATATGTGCCACATTTCCTTAATCCAGTCTATCATTGATGGACATTTGGGTTGGTTCCAAGTCTTTGCTATTGTGAATAGTGCCGCAATAAACATACATGTGCATGTGTCTTTATAGTAGCATGATTTATAATCCTTTGGGTATATACCAGGTAATGGGATTGCTGGGTCAAATGGTAATTCTAGTTCTAGATCCTTGAGGAATCGCCACACTGTCTTCCACAATGGTTAAACTAATTTACACTCCCACCAACTGTGTAAAAGCATTCCTATTTCTCCACATCCTCTCCAGCATCTGTTGTTTCCTGACTTTTTAAAGATTGCCATTCTAACTGGCATGAGATGGTTATCTCATTGTGGTTTTTGATTTGCATTTCTCTGATGACCAGTGGTGGTGAGCATTTTTTCATGTGTCTGTTCGCTGTATAGATGTCTTCTTTAGAGAAGTGTCTGTTCATATCCTTTGCCCATTTTTTGATGGGGTTTTTTTTTCTTGTAAATTTGTTTGAGTTCATTGTAGATTCTGGATATTAGCCCTTTGTCAGATGGGTAGATTGCAAAAATTTTGTCCCATTCTGTAGGTTGCCTGTGATGATAGTTTCTTTTGCCATGCGGAAGTTCTTTAGTTTAATTAGATCCCATTTGTCAATTTTGGCTTTTGTTGCCATTGCTTTTGGTGTTTTAGTCATGAAGTCCTTGCCCATGCCTATGACCTGAATGGTATTGCCTAGGTTTTCTTCTAGGGTTTTTATGGTTTTAGGTCTAACATTTAAGTCTTTAATCCATCTTGAATTAGTTTTTGTATAAGGTGTAAGGAGGGGATCCAGTTTCAGCTTTCTACATATGGCTAGCCAGTTTTCCCAGCACCATTTATTAAATAGGGAATCCTTTCCCCGTTTCTTGTTTTTGTCAGGTTTGTCAAAGATCAGATGGTTGTAGATGTGTGGTATTATTTCTCAGGCCTCTTTTCTGTTCCATTGGTGTATATCTCTGTTTTGGTACCAGTACCATGCTGATTTGGTTACTGTAGCTTTGTAGTATAGTTTGAAGTCAGGTAGCGTGATGCCTCTAGCTTTGTTGTTTTTGCTTAGGATTGTCTTGGCAATGCGGGCTCTTTTTTGGTTCCATATGAACTTTAAAGTAGTTTTTTCTAATTCTGTGAAGAAAGTCACTGGTAGCTTGATGGGGATGACATTGAATCTATACATTACTTTGGGCAGTATGGCCATTTTCATGATATTGATTCTTCCTATCCATGAGAATGGAATATTCTTCCATTTGTTTGTGTCCTCTTTTATTTCGTTGAGCAGTGGTTTGTAATTGTCCTTGAAGAGGTCCTTCACATCCCTTGTAAGTTGGATTCCTAGGTATTTTATTCTCTTTGTAGCAACTGTGAATGGGAGTTCACTCATGATTTGGCTCTCTGTTTATCTGTTAATGGTGTATAGGAATGCTTGTGATTTTTGCACATTGATTTTGTATCCTGAGACTTTGCTGAAGTTGCTTATCAGCATAAGGAGATTTTGGGCTGAGATGATGGGGTTTTCTAAATACACAATCATGTCATCTGCAAACAGGGACAGTTTGACTTCCCCATTTCCTAATTGAATACGCTTTATTTCTTTCTCTTGCCTGATTGCCCTAGCCAGAACTTCCAACACTATGTTGAATAGGAGTGGTGAGAGAGGGCATCCTTGTCTTGTGCTGGTTTTCAAATGGAATGCTTCCAGTTTTTGCCCATTCAGGATGATATTGGCTGTGGGTTTGTCATAAATAGCTCTTATTATTTTGAGATATTTTCCATCAATACCTAGTTTATTGAGAGTTTTTAGCATGAAGGGATGTTGAATTTTGTCAAAGGCCTTTTCTGCATCTATTGAGATAATCATGTGGTTTTTGTCATTGGTTCTGTTTATACGATGGATTATGTTTATTGATTTGCATATGTTGAACCAGCCTTGCATCCCAGGGATGAAGCCCACTTGATCATGGTGGATAAGCTTTTTGATGTGCTGCTGGACTTCGTTTGCCAGTGTTTTATTGAGGATTTTCACATCAATGTTCATCAGGGATATTGATCTGAAATTCTCTTTTTTTGTTGTGTGTCTCCCAGGCTTTGGTATCAGGATGATTCTGGCCTCATAAAATGAGTTAGGGAGGATTTCCTCTTTTTCTGTTGATTGAAATAGTTTCAGAAGGAATGATACCAGCTCCTCCTTGTACCTCTGGTAGAATTAGGCTGTGAATCCATCTGGTCCTGGACTTTTTTTGGTTGGTAGGCTATTAATTATTACCTCAATTTCAGAGCCTGTTACTGGTCTATTTAGAGATTCAACTTCTTCCTGGTTTAGTCTTGGGAGGGTGTATGTGTCCAGGAATTTATCCATTTTTTCTAGATTTTCTAGATTATTTGCATAGAGGTGTTTATTCTCTGATGGTAGTTTGTACTTCTGTGGGATCAGTGGTGATATCCCCTTTATCATTTTTTATGGCATCTATTTGATTCTTCTTTATTAGTCTTGCTAGCAGTCAGTCAATTTTGTTGATCTTTTCAAAAAACCAGCTCCTGGATTCATTGATTTTTTTTGAAGGGTTTTTTTTGTCTCTATCTCCTTCAGTTCTGCTTTGATCTTAGTTATTTCTTGCCTTCTGCTAGCTTTTGAATTTGTTTGCTCTTGCTTCTCTAGTTTTTTAAATTGTGATGTTAGGGTGTCAATTTTAGATCTTTCCTGCTTTCTCTTGTGGGCATTTAGTGCTATTAATTTCCCTCTACGCACTGCTTTAAATTAAGGTGATTTAAATGTGTCCAAGAGATTCTGGTACGTTGTGCCTTTGTTCTCACTGGTTTCAAAGAACATCTTTATTTCTGTCTTCATTTCGTTATTTACCCGTCATTCAGGAGCAAGTTGTTCAGTTTCCATGTAGTTGTGCAGTTTTGAGTGAGTTTCTTAATCCTAAGTTCTAATTTGATTACACTGTGGTCTGAGAGACAGTTTGTTGTGATTTCTATTCTTTTACATTTGCTGAGGAGTGCTTTACTTCCAATTATGTGGTCAATTTTTGAATAAGTGCGATGTGGTGCTGAGAAGAATGTATATTCTGTTGATTTGGGGTGGAGAGTTCTGTAGATGTCTATTAGGTCTGCTTGTTGCAGAGCTG
Organism: Homo sapiens; assembly: GCF_000001405.40. NCBI lineage: Eukaryota > Metazoa > Chordata > Mammalia > Primates > Hominidae > Homo > Homo sapiens. The sequence goes on from NC_000006.12 coordinate 75,685,929, forward strand.
AGTTCAATTCCTGGGTATCCTTCTTCACTTTCTGTCTCGTTGATCTGTCTAATGTTGACAGTGGGGTGTTAAAGTCTCCCATTATTATTGTGTGGGAGTCTAAGTCTCTTTGTAGGTCACTCAGAACTTGCTTTATGAATCTGGGTGCTCCTGTATTGGGTGCATATATATTTAGGATAGTTAGTTCTTCTTATTGAATTGATCCCTTTACCATTATGTAATGGCCTTCTTTGTCTCTTTTGATCTCTGTTGGTTTAAAGTCTGTTTTATCCGAGACTAGGATTGCAACCCCTGCCTTTTTTTGTTTTCCATTTGCTTGGTAGATCTTCCTCCATCCCTTTATTTTGAGCCTGTGTGTCTCTCTGCATGTGAGATGGGTTTCCTGAATACAGCACACTGATGGGTCTTGACTCTTTATCCAATTTGCCAGTCTGTGTCTTTTAATTGGGGCATTTAGCCCATTTACATTTAAAGTTAACATTGTTATGTGTGAATTTGATCCTGTCATTATGATGTTCGCTGGTTATTTTGCCCATTAATTGATGCAGTTTCTTCATAGCATCGATGGTCTTTACAATTTGGCCTGTTTTTGCAGTGGCTGGTACCAGTTGTTTCTTTCCATGTTTAGTGCTTCTTTCAGGAGCTCTTGCAAGGCAGGCCTGGTGGTGACAAAATCTCTCAGCATTTGCTTTGTCTGTAAAGTATTTTATTTCTCCTTCACTTATGAAGCTTAGTTTGGCTAGATACGAAATTCTGGGTTGAAAATTCTTTCCTTTAAGAATGTTGAATATTGGCCCCCACTCTCTTCTGGCTTGTAGGGTTTCTGCCGAGAGATCCACTGTTAGTCTGATGGGCTTCCCTTTGTGGGTAATCAACCTTTCTCTCTGGCTGCCCTTAACACTTTTTCCTTCATTTCAACCTTGGGGAATCTGACAATTATGTGGCTTGGAGTTGCTCTTCTCAAGGAGTATCTTTGTGGTGTTCTCTGCATTTCCTGAATTTAAATATTGGCCTGCCTTGCTAGGCTGGGGAAGTTCTCCTGGGTAATATCCTGCAGAGTGTTTTCCAACTTGGTTCCATTCTCCCCGTCACTTTCAGGTACACCAATCAAATGTAGATTTGGTCTTTTCACATAGTCCCATATTTCTTGGAGGCTTTGTTTGTTTCTTTTTACTTTTTTTTCTCTAACCTTGTCTTCTCACTTTATTTCATTAATTTGACCTTCAATCACTGATACTCTTTCTTCCTCTTGATCGAATTGGCTATTGAAGCTTGTGCATGTGTCGTGAAGTTCTTGTGCAATGGTTATCAGCTCCATCAGGTCATTTAAGGTCTTCTCTACACTCTTTATTCTAGTTAGCTATTCATCTAATCTTTTTTCATGGTGTTTAGCTTCCTTGCGATGGGTTCGAACATCCTCCTTTAGCTCGGAGAAGTTTGTTATTACTGACCTCCTGAAGCCTGCTTCTGTCAACTCGTCAAAGTCATTCTCCGTCCAGCTTTGTTCCGTTGCTGGCAAGAAGCTGCAATCCTTTGGAGAAGAAGAGGTGCTCTGATTTTTAGAATTTTCAGCTTTTCTGCTCTGGTTTCTCCCCATCTTTGTGGTTTTATCTACCTTTGGTCTTTGATGTTGGTGACCGACAGATGGGGTTTTGGTGTAGATGACCTTTTTGTTGATGTTGATGCTATTCCTTTCTGTTTGTTGATGCTATTCCTTTCTGTTTTCCTTCTAACAGTCAGGTCCCTCAGCTGTAGGTCTTTTGGAGTTTGCTGGAGTTCCACTCCAGACCAGCAGAGGCTGCAGAACAGCAAATATTGCTGCCTGATCCTTCCTCTGGAAGCTTCGTCCCAGAGGGGCAGCTGCCTATGTGAGGTGTCTGTCGGCCCCTACTGGGAGGTGTCTCCCAGTTAGGCTACACAGGGGTCAGGGACCCACTTCAGGAGGCATTCTGTCCGTTCTCAGAGCTCAGATGCCGTGCTGGGAGAACCACTGCTCTCTTCAGAGCTATCAGACAGGGATGTTTAAGTCTGCAGTTGTCTGCTGCCTATTTTTCAGCTATGCCCTGCCCACAGTGGTGGAGTCTAGAGGCAGTAGGCCTTGTTGAGCTGCAGTGGGCTCCACCCAGTTTGAGCTTCCTGGCCGCTTTGTTTACCTACTCAAGCCTCAGCAATGGCGGATGCCCCTCCCCCAGTCAGGCTCCTGTCTCACAGATGGATCTCAGACCGCTGTGCTAGCAGTGAGCAAGGCTCCATGGGCGTGGGAGCCGCCGAGCCAGGCACGGGAGAGAATCACCTTGTCTGCTGGTTGCTAAGACCTTGGGAAAAGCACAGTATTTGGGCGGGAGTGTCCCATTTTTCCAGGTAGTCTGTGAAGGCTTCCCTTGGCTAGGAAAGGGAAATCCCCCAACCTGTTGCACTTCCTGGGTGAGGTGATGCCCCGCCCTGCTTCAGCTCACCCTCCATGGGCTGCATCCCCTGTCCAACCAGTCCCAATGAGATGAACTAGTTACCTCAGTTGGAAACGCAGAAATCACCCATCTTCTGCATCGGTCATGCTGAGAGCTGCAGACCGGAGCTATTCCTATTTGGCCATCTTGGAACCGCCACCCCACCCCCCCGTCCAGGATTATATTCTATTTAGTTTAAACTGTGCCCCCATTTCAAGGACACCATTTTTCCTTTTGGTGTGTTTCAAAGTTCTTCATAGCTGACCAGACACAGTGGCTCATACCTGTAATCCCAGGGCTTTGGGAGGCCAAGGTGGGAGGATCACTTGAAGCCAAGAGTTGGAGACCCAGCCTGTGCAATATAATGAAGCCCTGTGTCTACAAAAAAGAAAATTTTAATTAGCTGGGCAAGCCAGGCGTGGTGGCTCACGCCTATAATCCCAGCACTTTGGGAAGCCGAGGCAGGTGGATCATCTGAGGTCAGGAGGTGAAACCAACCTGACCAACATGGAGAAACCCCAACTCTACTAAAAATACAAAATTAGCCAGGTGTGGTAGTGCATGCCTGTAATCCCAGCTACTTGGGAGGCTGAGGCAGGAGAATCACTTGAACCCAGGAGGTGGAGGTTGCGGGGAGCCGAGATCATGCCATTGAACTCCAGCCTGGGCAACAAGAGTGAAACTCCGTCTCAAGAAAAAAATTCAGCTGGGCATGGTGGTGCACACCTATAGTCCTAGCTATTGAGGAGGCTGAGATGGGAGGATCACTTGAGCCCATGACAAGAGTTTGAGGCTACGGTGAGCTATGATTACACACCACTGTACTCCAACCTGGGTGACAGAGCAAGACACTATATCCAAGAAAAAAATAAAATCTTTATAGATAAGTCAAAAGATGTTATCTCTTTTTTAAGTGATCCATACAAGTGGCCAAAAAGCATATGAAAGATGCTCAACATCAGTAATCATTAGAGAAATGCAGCATCAAAACAATATAACACAGTGTCATCTCACATCCATTAGGATGGCTACTATTAAAACAAAAACAAAAAAAAACAGAAAATAAGTGTTGATGAGGATGTGGAGAAATTGAAACTGTTATAAAATGGTGCTGCCACTGTGGAAAACAGTGCGTAGGCTCCTCAAAAAATTTGAAATAGAACTACAATATGATCCAGCAATCCCACTTCTGGGTATACAGTCTCGTGCCACATAACGTTTCAGTCAATTATGGACCATATGTGATAGTGAGCCCATAAGATTATAATAACGTATTTTTACTGTACCTTTTCTCTGGGCACACAAATAGTTTCCATTGTGTCACAGTTGCCTATGGTATTCAGTACGGTAACATACTATACAGGTGTATAGTGTAGAAGCAGTAGGTTATACCATATAGCCTAGGTGTATAGGACACTATGCCACCTCGGATTGTATAAGTACACTCGATGATGCACAACTTCAAATTACCTCATGATGCCTTTCTCAGAACATAACCCCATTCTTAAGCACTGCATGACTGGATGTCCAAAAGAACTGAAAGCAGCGTCTTTTTGTTTTGAGTTAGGGTCTCATTCTGTCACCCATGATGGAGTGCAGCATCACAGTCACAGCTCACGATAGCCTCCTGGGCTCAAGTGATCGTCCTGCCTCAGCTTCCTAAGTAGCTGGGACTACAGGTGCACACCGTCACACCCTGCTAATTTTTTCACTTTTATACAGATGGTGTCTCACTTTGTTGGCCAGGCTGGTCTTGAGCTCCTGCCCTCAAGCAGTCCTCCTACCTTGGCTTCCCAAAGTTCTGGGATTACAGGCATAAGCCACTGCTCCCAACCAGAAAGCAGAGTCTTGAAGACATATTTGCACACCCATGTTCATAACAGCATTCATAATAGCTGAGTGGTGGAAACAATCCTGCTGTCCATTGATGAACGGATAAACCAAATGTGGTGTATACATATAATGCAATATGTATACATTTCCTTCCTTAAAAAGGAAGGAAATACTGTTACTTGCTTTAACATAGATGAACCTTGAGGTCATTGTGCCAAGCACAGTAAGTCAGTCACAAAAGTATGATTTCTGTTATATGAGGTATCTAAAGTAGTCAAATTCATAGAAACAGAAAATAGAATTGATGTTTACTGGGATTTGAGGGGAAGGGGAAAAGGAGTTGTTTAATAGACATATGTTCAGTTTTGCAAAACAAAGTTACTGGAGATCTGTTTTTAACACTGTGCATATACTTTACACTGCTGAACTCTACACTCAGAATGGTTAACATGATAAATTTTATATGTTTGTTTTGGTTTTTTTGTTTTTTGTTTTTTTTTTTGAGATGAGAGTCTCGCTCTGTCACCCAGGCTCTGGAGTGCAGTGGTGCAATCTCGGCTCACTGCAAGCTCCGCCTCACGGGTTCATGCCATTCTCCTGCCTCAGCCTCCTGAGTAGCTGGGACTACAGGCGCTCACCACCACACCTGGCTAATTGTTTTGTATTTTTATTAGAGATGGGATTTCACCTTGTTGGCCACGCTGGTCTTGAACTTCTGTCCTCAAGTGATCCCCCCTGCCCCCCATCAGCTTCCCAAAGTGCTGGGATTACAGGCATGAGCCACTGTGCTCAGCCTAATTTTTTTTTTTTTTTTTTAATAGAGGCAGGATCTCCCTGTGTGCCCAGGCTGGTCTCAAATTTCTGGGCTGAAGCGATCCTCCCACCTTGGCCTCCAAAGTGCTGGAATTACAGGCGATTACCATTCCCAGCTAAAATTTTTTTTTTTTTTTCAAAGACAGATTCTTACTTTGTCGTTCAGGTTGGAGAGCAGTGACGCAATCACGACTCACTGAAGCCCAGACCTCCCTGGCTCAAGTGATCCTCCTGCCTCAGCCTCTCAAGTAGCTGGGACTACATGTGCGAGCTACCACACTCTGCTAATTTTTAAAATTTTCTTGGAGATATAGGGTCTTCCTGTGTTGCCCAGGCTATTCTCAAGGGATCCTCCCACCACTGTGCCCAGCCCAAAATCACTGTTTAACTTCATCTTATAGTTAAAGGAGTTCTGATGATGTTAGATTTTCCATTTTATGGAATAGCAACTAAACAGCTTCACCAGCATTCAATATTTAAATGATGTATGCACTTAGAGAAATTGGTGCACCCAAATGGAAGAAATTCCCATAAGGCTTTTTTTTGTTATTGTGTTTTGTTTTTTGTTTTTTGTTTTTGTTTTTTGTTTTTTTTTTGAGACGGAGCCTCGCTCTGTTGCCCAGTTTGGAGTGCAGTGGCGCGATCTCAGCTCACTGCAAGCTCCGCCTCCCTGAGGCATTCTCCTGCCTCAGCCTCCCGAGTAGCTGGGACCACAGGCGCCTGCCACCAGGCCTGGCTAATTTTTTGTATTTTTAGTAGAGACGGGGTTTCACCGTGTTAGCCAGGATGGTCTCGATCTCCTGACCTCGTGATCCGCCCGCCTCGGCCTCCCATTGTTTTTTGGTTTTTTTTGAGATGGAGTTTCACTCTCGTTGTCCAGGCTGGAGTGCAATGGCACAATCTCGGCTTACTGCAACATCCGCCTCCCGGGTTCAAGCTATTCTCCTGCCTCAGCCTCCTGAGTAGCTGGGATTACAGGCATGTGCTACCACACCCGGCTAGTTTTGTATTTTTAGTAGAGATGGGGTTTCTCCATGTTGGTCAGGCTGGTCTCAAACTCCCGACCTCAGGTGATCCGCCTGCCTCGGCCTCCCAAAGTGCTGGGATTACAGGCGTGAGCCACCGCGCCTGGCCTCCCATAAGTTTTTGTGGTAAGCTTGGGTTTTCCCTTTAATTCTAAAATGAGAGATATGATTATTATTTTAAAGTTAATAGTTGTGACACATGTACACTTAAAAAATCTAGAACTGTAGTCACAGAAATCTTATGGGTGCATATCAGAAAAACGAAACTAGTTACTTTAAAAGCATAAATTAGGCCAGGTGCAGTGACTCACACCTATAATCCCAGTACTTTGGGAGGCCGATGCTGGAGGATTGCTTCAGGCAAGGAGTTCAAGACCATATTGGGCAATATAGCAAGACCCTTGTCTCTACAAAAACATACAAAAAAAAAATTAGTTGGGCATGGTAGTGCAGGCCTGTGGTCCCAGCTACTCAGGAGAGTGAAGTGAGGGATCACTTGAGCCCAGGAGTTTGAGGTTGCAGTGAGCTGTGACCATGCCACTGCACTCCAGCCTGGGCGAGAGAGTGAGACTTTATCTCAAAGAAATAAATAAAGCACAGGCTGGGTGTGGTGGCTCAAACCTGTAATCCTGGAGGCTTCCCAGGCTAGTGCCTGAGCCCCACATCCCTCGCCCCCCATCCTCCCCGCATCCCACTCCTCCCTCACACCTGGCCCTGTGGCTCTTCCTCCTTCCCTTCCCCCGCCAAAAAAAAAAAATCTGTAATCCTAGCACTTGGGACGCCAAGGCAAGCAGACCACCTGAGCCCAGAAGTTCGAGATCAGCCTGGACAACATGGCGAAACCCCATGTTTACCCCCACCAAAAAAAAACAAAGTTAGCCAGGTATGGTGGCGTATGCCTGTAGTTCCAGCTACTCTGGAGGAAGAGGTAAGAGGATGGCTTCAGCCCAGGAGGCGGAGGCTGCAGTGAGCCACTATGTCCAGCTCAGTTGTCTTATATCACAAATACATTTCCTTTTTTTAAGGTGAATATCCCTTTATTCAGTTAAGTTTTATAAAACAGCCATTGTAGGCCAGGCACAGTGGCTCACGCCTATAATCCCAGCATTTTGGGAGGCCAGGGTGGGAGGATCATTTGAGGAATGGAGTTCGAGACCAACCTGGCCAACATGGTGAAACCTGGCCTCTACTAAAAAAAAAATACAGAAATTAGCTGGGTGTGGTGGAGGGTGCCTGCAGTCCTAGCTACTCAGGAGGCTGAGGCAGGAGAATCACTTGAACCTGGAGGTGGAGATTGCAGTGAGCCAAGATTGCACCACTGCACTGCAGCCTGGGAGACAGAGTGATACTCAGTCTGAAATTTAAAAAAAAAAAAAAAAAAAACACCAAAGTAGCCATTATAGTTTGGGCCAGCAAAAGTCTCATGGTTCACTCATTACAGTATAGTCCCTGGACTGATAGCTATTTATCTACATAGTGTGTTTTGAAGATACTATTGTAGAATTCAGCAATTAATATAAACTGTGTCTTGATCTGACTCACTGTCTTGTATTATCTTCTGTAGGGGCACACTGAGTTGCCTGAAAGCAAGAAATCTTAAATTATGTCATTTTCATTGAAACTTGAGCTTTGGAATTATTGCATATTAGTGATAAAAGTAACAGATCTCAAGAATGTGCCCTCTAGGGGGCCAGATGTTTTAAGCATTTGCTCTTTCTGTGTAAGATTTCACAAGACTTTCAGACTGTCCTCATTTTGATAATATTAATATGGCCATAAGCTTGAACTTGCATAAGTCCTATGAGAAAGTTTGGATCATAAATAAATTTAATATATCATAATTTCCCTTTGTGATATAAACGACTATTGTTACTTGTTTTGCTATAGATGTATAAAAAAATAACTAAGGCAATAAAAACTTAGAACCAGGCCAGGCACGGTGGCTCACGCCTGTAATCCCAGCACCTTAGGAGGCCGAGGCAGGTGGATCACCTGAGATCGAGAGTTCAAGACCAGCCTGAGCAACATGGAGAAACCCCGTCTCTACTAAAAATACAAAATTAGCCTGGCATGGTGGTCCATGCCTATAATCCCAACTAATCAGGAGGCTGAGGCAAGAGAATCGCTTGAACCCGGGAGGTGGAAGTTGTGGTGAGCCGAGATCATGCCATTGCACTCCAGCCTGCCTGGGCAACAAGAGTGAAACTCTTATCTCAAAAAAAATTAGAACCAATGTAAGATCACTTTACAGAGTCATTGTTACCACCTCACCACTGTACAAGTTCTTTCTCTTTATTTTCTATTTTCATAAAAAATACTATGCTGCTGGATCTTCGTGGTTTATTAACTGAACTGTTTAAAATGAAATAAACAATACATAATGATAACAGCTTTACTTAGATATAATACATATAACATACAATTCACCCATTTGAAGTATACAATTCAGTGTGTTTCATTGCCCCATAAAGAAGCCTAGTACCCATTAGCAATCACTGTTTTCTTCCAATCCCTCCTCCAGGCCTATGCAACTGTCAGTCTTTTCTCTATCTCTGGCTTTTTGTATTCTGAACATTTTGTACAAATAGAACCATAAAATGTGTGGTTTTTATGAGTAGATTCTTTTAGTTGGCATGTTTTCAAGGATTTTCTATGATCATGTATTATCACTTCATTTCTATTTCAGATATTTCATTGTATAAATGTAACACTTTATTTTTCCATTTGTCAGTTGGTTAGCATTTTTCTTATGCTTTTGGGCTATTATGAATAATGTGGGGACATATGCTCTACTCTAGATTTAGAGTGTGCCCTTGGTTTTTTTTAATTTATTTTTATTTTCTTGAGACCAAGTCTTGGTCTGTCATGCCCAGGCTGGAGTGTAGTGGTGTGATTTTGGCTCACTGCAACCTCTGCCTCATAGGTTCAAGTGATTCTCCCACCTCAGCCTCCCAAGTAGCTGGGATTACAGGCACTCGCCACCACACCCGGCTAAATTTTTGTATTTTTAGTAGAGACAGGGTTTCATCATATTGGCCAGGCTGGTCTTGAGCTCCCAACCTCAGGTGATCTGCCCACCTCAGCCTCCCAAAGTGCTGACATTACAGGCATGAGCCACCGTGTGCAGCCTAACAAGGTTTTTGGTTTTTTGTGTGTGTGACAGAGTCTCACTCTGTTTCTCAGGCTGGAGTGCAGTGGCTCAATTTCAGCTAACTGCATAGAATGTGTCCTTGTTTTAAAACATTAGATCTTTATGTTATAATTTTATTTTCAAATAGCAATTTTCATTGCCTGAAGATAATCGGATAGTTATCAAACTTTGCTAATAACTTCCTTGGTTCTAAAGAAGAGAGATTGATGGTTCTAAAGAAAAAAGATTTACTGAGTTTTTAATACAAAGCGAACTGTGGCCGGGCGCCATGGCTCACGCCTGTAATCCCAGCACTTTGGGAGGCTGAGGCGGGCGGATTACTTGAGGTCAGGAGTTCGAGACCAGCCTGACCAACATGGGGGAAACCCTATCTCTACTAAAATAGAAAAATTAGCTGGGCGTGGTGGTGTGTGCCTGTAATCCCAGCTACTTGGGAGGCTGAAGCAGGAGAATCACTTGAACCCAGGAGGTGGAGGTTGCAGTGAGTTGAGATCGCTCCACTGCACTCCAGCCTGGGCAACAGAGTGAGACTCTGTCTCAAAAAAATAGAAATAAATAAAGTGAACTGTTACATTAATTATATTTGAATTATTTTCTATCAAATAGATACTTGGTGCTTGAAAAACTGAAGAAGGAAGACGCTGACCGAATTCATATATTCAGTTCTTTTTTCTATAAACGCCTTAATCAGAGAGAGAGGAGAAATCATGAAACAACTAATCTGTCGTAAGTCAAACTCTGAAAATATTTAACAGATGTAAGTCACTCACATTTAACTAAGTGAAAAATCACGTACTTGAAAGAAAACACAAATCTCTGCAGTTCTCTTGCTTACTTTTTAAATTCTCCAGCCAGGAAGAGAACACACTAAATAAATCAGTTCCATTTTCATTCTTCATGGGTTCATATTCACCTTCCTTAAACTAACTTTGTGCTAGTTTTGGAATTTTTTTTAACAACTTATTTATATTGAGGCAATATCATTTAGTTCTCTTATCAGTTTACAAAATTAATATAATTCATAATATTCTAATACTTTCAGAATACCTGGAATTTATAAATGTTCTGGGTCAAATATCTAGAATAGTGTTTCCCAAATGTGACTAGTAGGTTTTTTTAAAATTACTTAGATACTTACTAACTACAGATTACTCTGTTTTATCCTAGATGTTCATCCATAATATCTAAGAAAGGAACCTGTGAATCTATACTCTTAATAAGCTCTTTGGGTGATTCTTCTCAGACAAATTAAGGAAATACTATTGTACATAGTAGGCCTGATTTGTTTTCTTTTTTTCAAGACAGGGTCTCACTCTGTCACCCAGGCTGGAGGGCATTGGTGTGATCTTGTCTCACCACAACCTCTACCTCCCACTCTCAAGTGATCCTTCCACCTCAGCCTCCCAAGTAGCTGGGACTAAGGCACACGCCACTCCACCCAGCTAATTTTTGTATTTTTTGTGGAGACAGGGTTTCACCATGTTTCCCAGGCTGGTTTCAAACTCCTGGGCTCAAGGAATCTGCTCACCTCTGCCTCCCCAAAGTACTGGGATTTCAGGTGTGAGCCACCATGCCCCACCTTTTTCTTTATAATTCCTCTCCAATAGTGATGGCATCTAGCTCTGATAATTTGCTGGTAATTGATCAAAAGATACACTTAAGAATTGGTACTTTTAAAATTTAAAACTAGTGTTAGATGTCTTGAATTGATGGCTGCTATGCATAATAAATAATTAATAATAATAATATATTCTCTTATTTCAGCAATTCCTAATGTTGCATCTTAGAGGTGATAACAGTCATTGGTTTTGACCAGTGCTCATGGCTATATTGCTTCATCTACCATCAGATAATGCTCACTTTTCCTACTGTCTTCTCCCCAGTTACCCTAAGTCGTGCTTGGCTACACCTCTCAATATAGTTGCCAGGACCAATTCTGCAGTAATAAAAATAGTAAAGAGAAGTCTAGGCAAGATAAGCACTAGAACTTCCACCCCTCAGATGGAGTAACAGGAGTAAAATATCTTTCTCCAAATTCAACAATGGGTAGTCCCATGCCTTCCTAGTTTCCATCCAACAAGTTCTATTTTCTTTCCCCAGTTTGTCAAACCATTTTATGCAACTGTTTGAGCTATTACATCTGAATCTTCTTAATTTATAAATCACTACATATAAGCTGGAGCACTAGAAATATTTCAGAAGCTTATAATTTATCTCTTTCTTACAGAATACAGCAAAAACGGCATGGGAGAGTAAAAACATGGACCCGGCACGTAGATATTTTTGAGAAGGATTTTATTTTTGTACCCCTTAATGAAGCGTGAGTAAGAATTTCCTTTAAAGGAAAATCTTTAAATCATGTAAATGATGGCAATTTTTAAATAATGAGTATGAGGTGAAGAATTCATTTTAAAACATCTTTCTGAAATCTCTTGTGTATATTCATATTTGTACTGCCTGTTTTACAAGAATTAATGCAGTTTCACAGTGAAGCATGTAAGATATTGAATTTTAGAGACAATAGACCAGATACCTTTCTAATCTCATTTTATTCATTAATGTCAAATAATACCATTTTTAAAAATATGGTGCTTATTGTCTAGCAAGTAACCTATAGAAAAGTATTATTTTATACAAAAAGATGATTAGGTCACATAAAGGAATTGGAATCTTAAGTTTAAAATACACTTCTGTTTTTAGCCAGAAAGGAGAAACGATGGTTGGATTTATGCCATTTTTCAATTAAAAACCATGTGGACTACTTGAAGCAGTTTCTGAGTAAATGGAGGTGTTTAAAGATTTGTATTATTCTCTCCCAATGACTAGATAGTAGTATTTTACAATGGAGACTTAAAAGTTTTTTGTGTTTTATTCTTTCGCTTTTCTATGCCCTCAATCCAAAGAACACCAGAAATACACTTGTAGTCGGAAAACTTGGGTTTATCACTTGCATCAAGGAATGACACACACCATGGGCCACTCTGGAGCCTCTCAATAAAAGGATGTTTCAAAGAACCTGTGACAGAATCTGGGCTTTCCTTGAGTGATATGGGGGAGGGTCTAAAGTAGTGGTTTGCCTAGGTAAAGAAGTAGCATTCACTCATTAATAAAGAAGAAGAATGTTGGCTATTTTGTGGTTTCCAACTGTGACCTTATGTTTTTCTCTGCTTAGACAAATTATGATATGGCCCTACTTTGTCTCATTCTATCATGGTTGCAGAATATGCTTTCCTGGAGTTGGTATTCTATGAGATTGTTTATGTCTAATAAGCCTAGCTGTGCCAAGCTAGCTTCTGAATTTTTTTTTTTTAACTTTTGTAGAGGTGAGGGTCTCACTGTGTTGCTCAGGCTGGTCTTGAACTCTTGGCCTCAAGCCATCCCCCAACCTCAGCCTCCCAAGTAGCTGGGATTATAGACATGAGCCACTGCTCCTAGCAAAGCTATATATTTTTAAATTCATATTATCATAGTAAAATTTAAAATAACATTTAAAACTAGTTAATTTCTTCATTCTCTTCAAAATAAGGTTTTGGCTGGGCGTGGTGGCTCACGCCTGTAATCCCAACACTTTGAGAGGCTGAGGTGGGCGGATTACTTGAGGTCAGGGGTTCAAGACCAACCTGGCGAACATGGCGAAACCTCGTCTCTACTGAAAATACAAAAATTAGCTGGGCGTGGTGGTGCGTGCCTGTAATCCCAGCTACTCAGGAGGCTGAGGCAGGAGGATCGCCTGAACCCGGGAGGCAGAGGTTGCAGTGAGCCAAGATCATGCCCCTGCACTCCAGCCTGGGCAGCAGAGTGAGACTCCATCTCAAAAAAAAAAAAAGGAAAAGAAAAAAAAAGACAGAAAAGAAGGTTTCTTGACTGGGTACTAATTTGTCTTGTAAAGTAACATGTGAACAGCTTACTAGGTGAAAGGGAGGAAAGCGATTTGTCAGAAATGAGTTATAAAAATTTTAAATAGAAATATTATTTGATTATACACGATTTAGGAATAGAGGCGCATCCCTCTTAGTCACTATACCTCTGCATGGAAGTTATTATCAGTGCTTCCAGTCATCTTAGTGAGAGGTAGAAAATGAACTCTGTAAGAGAGCTCTACCATTTGTAGATTAAAAAATAGCCTATAAATCAAGAGAGCTTGTTTTTGTTTTTGCTTTTTTTTTTTTTTTTTTTTGAAGAGACAAAGCTACAAATACTTATACACTAATTATGTTAGATTGGCTGCCATATATTTGTCATCTGTTTTGTTTTTATTTTTTCTGGTAGTACCAGTTTTGTTTTTCTTTTCTTTCTTTCTTTTTTCTCGAGATAGGGTCTCTGTCTGTCACTCAGGCTGGAATGTAGTAGCATGATGTCGGCTTACTGCAGCCTCAACCTCCCAGGCTTAAGTGATCCTCCGACCTCAGCCTCCTGAGTAGCTGGGACTATAGGTGCATGCTACCACGCCCAGCTAATTTTTGTATTTTTTTTTAGAGGATGGGGTTTTGCCATGCTGCCCAGTCTGGTCTCAAACTCCAGAGCCGAAGCGGTCCACCTGCCGTAGCCTCTCAAAGTGCTGGGATTACAGGCATGTGCCACTGTACCTGGCCCTAATTTTTTTCTGAAGTTTCTAAGCTGTTTATTAAAAATTGTTATAGTAATTTCCAGAAACACAAATTTGATGTGTGGATCTAATCTATCTTAAGTGAAATTGCCTAGGTATTTTCTTTTGTTTTGTTTTGTTTTTTAGAGACAGAGTCTCATTCTGTTGCCCAAGCTGGAGTACAGTGGTGCAATCATAGCTCACTGAAGCTTCAAACTCCTAGGCTTAAGCAATCCTCCTGCCTCAGCCTCCTGAGTAGCTAGAACTACAGGCGCATGCCACAGGCCCAGCTAATTTTTTAAAATTTTTTTGGAGATGGGGTCTAGCTGTGTTGCCCAGACTGGTCTCAAACTTCTGGCCTCAAGCAGTTCCCCCACCTCAGCCTCCCATAGCACCAGGATTACAGGCATGAGCCACTGCGCCTGGCCAAAAGTCTGTGTAACCCTCTCTCTTGCTGTTAAAGTTAACGTAGCTGTTATTAAAAGGAATCATAAAAGCAAAACCCTGGCTTAATGGAAGTAATTGTTGGAAGTAATTGTCTGATTCAGCTTTCTCTTCTTAGGCCAAAAAGGATTTTTCCTAGTTTTTAGGTGAGGATATTTGTAGCTTAGCCACATTGGCATAGCTAAGAAATATTAAGAACTGTGATAGGCTTTATTACAGCTGTAGGTTGAGAGTCACTGTATTATACTATATTTCATCAATTTTATTTTATTTATTTTGAGATGGGGTCTCACTCTGTCGCCCAGACTGGAGTGCAGTGGCACCATCTCGGCTCACTGCAATCTCCGCCTCCCAGGCTCAAGCTATCCTCCCACCTCAGCCTCCAACCCCAGTAGCTTGGACCACAGGCACGTGCCATCACACCCAGCTAATATTTTGTGTTTTTGGTAGAGACGGGGTTTTGCCACGTTGCCCAGGCCAGTCTCCAACTCCTGAGCTCAAGCGATATGCCTGCCTCAACCTCCCAAAGTGTTGGGATTACAGGTGTGAGCCACCGTGCCCGGCATCATCAATTTTTAAAACACATTTTTTTCACATTGCAACATGTCTAAAGTTGAGATGTGACTTTATAAATAAAATAAAATTAGCTATGTGTTAGAAGTGATGAAATGAGGAGGTTGGTGTGTTAGCCTGATCTAAATCCATAGGGTACTAAGGAATAATAATGAAGAACAGGAGAGAAGCAAGCTTTCATCCATCTGGACTTCGCAATACAGAAGATGAAGCCAGCCAGCCTATGACAGCCATTTCTACTGGATGCTGTTTGATGAAGAGATAGATAGTGCTGTTTCTTAGTACTAACTTGGGTACTCTAATATTCTACAAAAATGAGAAAGTGGAATAATTTTTATCCATGGCAAGATAACTTGTTTTTCATCCAGCAAATATTTATTGAACACCCTACCATAGGACAAATATTATTGTGCTTGACCAATAAGCTCCCTGACATCTATAGCCTGTTCCTTGTATCCCAGCACAGCCCTGTGTCTAGCAAAAAATGAATATTAGCCAGGACTGTACAGCTTCTTGCTTGTGTCCTATACTCTACTGTTGGGAACAGTGATACCTGAATTCAGCTGTATCATAAGCACCTACTTGATAGCTGGAACTCTCTACTAATACTTAAATTTTTGTGCAAGGACTAGGTTAGATATGTTATTTCTTTTTAATGTATTAAATTTCAATATAGCATGAGATAAAACATTACTTATATACATATTTTTGATATTAAGCCTTTCCTATCTTAATAACACACAGTAACAGTAAAAAGAACAAAACTATATATGCAATTCTTAGAATGTTGAAAAAATCATATGACCTAATTAGACTGCTGAAGACAGTTTAATCTTTTTTTTTTTTTTTTTTTTTTTGGAGACGGAGTCTCGCTCTGTCGCCCAGGGTGGAGTGCAGTGGCACAATCTCAGCTCACTGCAACCTCCGCCTCCCGGGTTCAAGCAATTCTCCTGCCTCAGCCTCCCAAGTAGCTGGGACTACAGGCGCACACTACCACGCCCAGCTAATTTTCTGTATTTTAGTAGAGACGGGGTTTCACTGTGTTGCCCAGGCTGTTCTCGAACTCCTGAACTCAGGCAATCCACCCGCCTCGGCCTCCCAAAGTGCTAGGATTACAGGCGTGAGCCACCGCACCTGGCCGACAGTTTAATCTTTAAGATGGATAGCTTTCCATCTTTTTACATAAAGAGAAGGCAAAGGGGAATGACGAGTTGCAAAGTGACATTACTTGCCAGAAAAAGCAATGAATTTTTCATTCCAAAAACAAGAAAGCGTTCAGGGATTGTTTGCAAAAGTAAATACAGGCTACATAATTTTAATACAAACTGTGTTATTTTTGAATAGACATTGTGTTCTGTTACTGAATCAGTGATTACATAAAACAAGCAGATTAATTTGAGAACTAAAAAAAAAATAGGCTTTTTTTTTTTTTTTGAGATGGAGTCTTGCTTTGTCACCCCCAAGCTGGAATGCTGTGGCACAATCTCGGCTCACTGCAACCTCTGCCTCTTGGGTTCAAGTGATTCTCCTGCCTCAGCCTACTGAGTAGCTGGGATTACGGGTGCACACCACTGCGCCTGGCTAATTTTTGTATTTTTAGTAGAGACAGGGTTTTGCCATGTTGGCTAGGCTGGTCTCGAACTGCTGACCTCAGGTGATCCACCCACCTCAGCCTCCCAAAGTGCTGGGATTACTGGCGTGAGCTACTGCGCCCGGCCAGAATTAGGCATTTTTAATAAATTAATTGGCAAGAACTTTAGAAAAAAACATTTTAATTGATATGTATTGCCAAATATAATAAACTTTTCTAATAACATATTTAGTCATTTCATTTGTTTTTTACAGTGCACACTGGTTTTTGGCTGTTGTTTGTTTCCCCGGTTTGGAAAAACCAAAGTATGAACCTAATCCTCATTACCATGAAAATGCTGTCATACAGAAATGTTCAACTGTAGAGGACAGTTGTATTTCTTCTTCAGCCAGTGAAATGGAGAGTTGTTCACAAAACTCTTCTGCCAAGCCTGTAATTAAGAAGATGCTAAACAAAAAACATTGCATAGCTGTAATTGATTCCAATCCTGGGCAGGAAGAAAGTGACCCTCGTTATAAGAGAAACATATGCAGTGTAAAATACAGTGTGAAAAAAATAAATCATACTGCGAGTGAAAATGAAGAATTCAATAAAGGAGAATCTACATCCCAGAAAGTTGCTGATAGGACTAAAAGTGAGAATGGCCTACAGAATGAAAGTTTAAGTTCCACACATCATACAGGTATGTATCTAAATGTTTTGAAAGAATGAAAAAATTCAGAATAATCTGGATTTTTTAATAAACAGGATTAAGATCCTGTTTTAAAAAAAAATCAGGTTAATGACTGGGTGTGGTGGCTCACGCTTATAATCCCAGCACTTTGGGAGGCCAAGGCAGGAGGATCACTTGAGGCCAGGAGTTTGAGACCAGCGTGGGCAACATAGCGAGACCCAATCTCCAACAAAAAAAAATAAATAGAAAATTTTTAAAGAATTTACTTATAACAATATAGTAACACAACTTACTTTTAATTTATACTGAGGTATAATTATAATAGCATTCACTCATTTAATGAGTGTAGCTTGAACTTTGATAAATGTATACATAGAGTCATGTAATCACTACTGCAATCAAAATTGAGAACCTGATCAGGGCACAGTGGCTCACGACTGTAATCCTAGCAC
The DNA here is from genome assembly GCF_000001405.40 of Homo sapiens. Taxonomy (NCBI): domain Eukaryota; kingdom Metazoa; phylum Chordata; class Mammalia; order Primates; family Hominidae; genus Homo; species Homo sapiens. The sequence continues at coordinate 75,703,516 of NC_000006.12, forward strand.
TTTGAGAGGCCAAGATGGGCAGATCACTTGAGCTCAGAAGTTTGAAACCAGCCTGGGCAACATGGTAAAGCCCTGTCTCTACCAAAAATACAAAAACTTAGCCAGATATGGTGGTGCCCATCGGTGGTCCCAGCTACTTAGGAGGTTGAGGAGGGAGGATCGCTTGAGCTCAGGGTGCTGAAGTTGCAGTGAGTGGAGATCGCACCACTGCAGTCCAGCCTGGGTGACAGAGTGAAACTCCATCTCAAAATTAAAAAACAAAAAAATTGAGAACTTTCCATCACTCAAAAAAAAATCCCATTGTGCCCTTTTTGTAGTCTGTCACTTCTGTCACCCCTAGGGTGCAATTTTGAAATTGCAGTACAAAGTTTATATTTTCCATTTATTGGAACTTGGATCTATTTTTATTTCATAGGAAATTTACAGTATTCAGCATTAACAGTAGTTGTGCAGTCTTAGATGTATAAGACAAATTAGATCTCAATTTACACATTGGTAAATTGAGATCAAATAACCCAAGGCAGAAATTAAAGCTTTCTCTTCAAAATAGTTGTGAACAGTCCTGAAGGGGTGGCCTGCCCTTCCACACCTGTAGGTATGTCTCGTCAGGTGGGACGAGAGACTGAGAAAGAAATAAGACACAGAGACAAAGTATAGAGAAAGAACAGTGGGCCCAGGAGAACGGCACTCAGCATATCAAGGACCTGCCCCGTCACCGGTCTTTGAGTTCTCTCTGTTTTGGTTGATTACTATTTTCACTATCTCAGCAAGAGGAATGCCGTAGGAGAGCAAGGTGATAATAGGGAGAAGATCAGCAAGAAAACATGTGAGCAAAGGAATCTGTGTCACAATTAAGTTCAAGTGGAGGTACTATGCCTGGATGTGCACGTAGGCCAGATTTATGTTTCTCTCCACCCAAACATCTCAGTGGAGTAAAGAATAACAAAGGAGCATTGCTGCCAACATGTCTCGCCTCCTGCCATAGGGCGGTTTTTCTCCTATCTCAGAATTGAACAAATGTACAATCGGGTTTTATACTGAGACATTCAGTTCCCAGGAGCAGGCAGGAGACAGTGGCCTTCCTCTATCTCAACTGCAAGAGGCTTTCCTCTTTCACTAATCCTTCTCAGCACAGACCCTTCACGGGTGTTGGGCTGGGGGACGGTCAGGTCCTTCCCGTCCCACGAGGCCATATTTCAGACTATCACATGGGGAGAAACCTTGGACAATACCCAGCTTTCCAGGGCAGAGGTCCCTGCGGCTTTCTGCAGCGCATTGTGCCCCTGGTTTATCGAGACTAGAGAATGGTGATGACTTTTACCGAGCATACTGCTTGTAAACATTTTGTTAACAAAGCACATCCTGCACAGCCCTAGATCCCTTAAACCTTGATTCCATACAACACATGTTTTTGTGAGCTCAAGTTTGGGGCAAAGAGGTTAGGGCAAAGTGGTTGGGGCAAAGTTACAGCATCTCAGGGCAAAGCAATTGTTCAGGGTACAGGCCAAAATGGAGTTTCTTATGTCTTCCCTTTCTACATAGACACAGTAACAGTCTGATCTCTCTTTCTTTTCCCTATACATTCCAATTAAAGCTTGGTTCTTCATTCCTCACTCTCCTTCACTGTTTTCAGTGGGAAGAGGAGCACTGGTCCAATCTTTGTTTGTTTAAATCTCTCTTCAGCTCTAATAACTTGATTTTTGTCCTTGAGTCAGTCCTGTAGTTGTAGAACCTGTTAAATCTAGTTTTGGCCAGGTGTGGTGGCTCACGCCTGTAATCCCAGCACTTTGGGAGGCTGAGGCGGGTGGATCAGTAGGTCAGGAGTTTGAGACCAGCCTGACCAACGTGGTAAAACCCCATCTCTACTAAAAATACAAAAATTAGCTGGGTGTGGTGGTGCCCGCCTGTAATCCTAGCTACTCAGGAGGCTGAGGCAGGAGAATCACTTGAACCTGGGGGCGGAGGTTGCAGTGAGCTGGGATCGCGCAACTGCACTTCAGTCTGGGCAACAGAGCGAGACTCCATCTCAAAAATAAATAAATAAATTAATTAATTAATTAAAAACTAGTTTCTGTTCAAATTCTTAAATTTGATATCAAGTCAATTGTATAATTTCCTCTCCAACCTACAAGTAAAATAATCCTCTCCATAAAAACCCATAACATGCTATAGTGTGTGCCTTGCAAACTTCTTAAACTGTGAATAGATCTAATACATTTTTCTTCTTTTTTTTTAACACCTTGCTCATGGAACTAATGAATCTTATTTGGATGAAAAATATTGGTATAGGACATAGAATAAATTATGTGAATTCAGAAAGAACCTATCAAAAATTGTGAATATGGAACATACTCCTGTTACTTATACCAGCTTATATTATTTTAGTGAGTTAGAAAGCTATTTTTGAGCCTTTTTTTTTTTTTTTTTTTTTTTTTTTTTGAGATGGAGTCTCTCTTAATCACCCAGGCTGGAGTGCAGTGGCGTAATCTTGTCTCACTGCAACCTCCCCCTCCTGGGTTCAAGAGATTGTCTTCTCTTGCCTCAGCCTCCCTAGTAGCTGGGATTACGGGTGCGCACCACCTCACCCGACCTGTTGAGCTCTTGTAAGAAATCTCCTGAGCAGGAAAATCTGGAGTAGATTAGTGGCTGCTCGGGGCTTTTGGGGGTGGGCAGGTGAGGTGGGTGGGAATGTAGGAAGAGAGTGATAGCTAAGTGGTATGGGGTTTCTTTTTGAGATGATGAAAAGGTTTAAAAATTGGTTGTGATGATGGCTGTGCATATACTAAAAAACATTAGACTGTATGCTTTAAATGGCTGTATATGGTATGTGAATTACATTTCAGTGTGGCTTTTTAAAGTCTCCTTTTGACCAATAATGTTACATACTTTAATGTGAATTCAAATGAATTAAGGTACTTGACTTAAAGCAATGGGACAAAAGCCTAGGGTTTCATATACACAAACTCCAGAGATTTCTAGTGCCCTCACCTACAAATTAATTTTCTGGTCAAGTAAAAGCCAGTTAAATTTGAGTAAATAGCCTCAAAAATCCTAATGGAGACCAAAGCCAAAAATAACTTGTTTTATGTAGTTTGCCTTCTTAATACTTGTATATCCCATTTACTCATTTTTGAATTATAGTTTGTACATTTTTGTTTTGTTTTTAGTATGTGTATACCATATCAACTATCTCTTCCTCTGAAACAAATGTTTCACAAAAAATCACATACAGTGATTTCACATAGAGTCAACAAGTGTTGACTACTTATGTCAGATAACAGGCTGTAGTAAATAAGTGGAAATTAGGTTTTTACAGAAAACTAGGGAAATAACAATGTGTGGAATCACTACTTTCACTTGCTGTTTTTTCACTTGACACCTTATGAAATAGTTGACTTGCCATGGTGCATGAAAAATGTGTACGCTTAAACTCTAGAATCACACTCAACATCTTCACATGGTCTCCTTATATGAGAAGTTCTCAGGAACTGACACTGATTGAGAGAACCACTGATCAAGTCATCACCTCTCAATTTACTCCAGATCACTTGTTTATGGGGGAATTGACTGCATCATTTAGGTTATTTTTCTCCTGTTTTTGAAAGGCATTTCTGGTTTAGTTTGTGTAAGGTAGATAGATATTTATATGACCACAGTTTACATAGATAATGATTTGCTGCTGGAAGTAACCTGATTATAACTGACTAATTCTGAATTACCTGAAGATTTTGGACAAATGTTATTCAAATATAGGTGTTTTAGCTTTAAACAGACTTAAAAATACAGATTTTTGGAAAAGATAAATTGAAGAGGTCATTATTTTTTTCTTTCTTCTTCTTCTTTTTTTTTTTTTTTTTTTTTTTTTTGAGACAGGGTCTCACTCTGTTGCCCAGGCTGGAATGCAGTGGCACAATCACAGCTCACTGAAGCCGCTACCTCCTGGACTCAAGCAGTCCTCCCAGCTCAACCCCCTGAGTAGCTGGGACTATAGGCATGTGTCACCTGCCCGGCAAAATTTATTTTCTGTAGAGACGGGCTCACTTTGTTGCCCAGGCTGGTCTCAAACTTCTGTGTTCAAGCAATCCTCCCATCTCAGCCTCCCAGAGTGTTGGGATTACAGATGTGAGCCACTGCGCTCAGCCCATAGTGCTTTTTTGTTGTTGTGGTGGTGGATTTTTGTTCTTTTTTGAGACAGTCTCACTTTCATAGAAGTTAAGAGTACAGCAATACAATCACAGTTCACCGCAGTCTCAACCTCCCAGGCTCAAGTGATCCTCCCACCTCAGCTTCCTGAGTAACTGGGACCACAGGTGCCCACCACTACACCTGGCTGATTCTTTATTTTATTTTGTTTGTAGAGACAGGGTCTCACTATGTTGCCCAGGTGATCCTTCTGAACTCAGGTGATCCTCCTGCCTCAGCCTCCCAAAGTGCTAGAGGATTACAGGTGCTAGGCCACTGTGCCCGGCCCCATAGTGCTTCATTGGTTTATCGGTTATTTTAAATAGTGTGCTTCTGAACACAAGAGTTAGATTTATGTATCTTTTCTCTTCTCCTTTTTTGAGACAGAGTCTTGCTCTATCACCCAGGTCGGAGTACAGTGGCGCAGTCTTGGCTTACTGCAACCTCTGTTGCCTGGGTTCAAGCAATTCTCCTGTCTCTCAGCCTCTCAAGTAGCTGGGATTACAGGTGCATGCCACCATGCCCAGCTAGTTTTTGTATTTTTAGTAGAGACAGGGTTTCACCATGTTAGCCAGTCTGGATTATATATCTTTTCAGATTTTTTGCTTCCTTTTCATCCCATCTTGTTTATATTAATATCTTAACACCTTTTTATTAACTTATACCAAAATTTATTTTATCCTGTCTACAATAACTAAAAGTCATGCTTTTCAAATTTTTGAGAGGAAAATAAATAAATAAAAATCAGCTGGGCATAGTGGTGTGCACCTGTAATCCCAGCACTCTGGGAGGCCAAAGCAGGAGGATGGCTTGAGCGTAGGAGTTCAAGGTTACAGCGAGTTCTGATTGCATCACTGGACTCCACCTGGGCAAAAGAGTGAGAGAAATCCTGTCTCTTAAAAAATAAATAAGTGAGGCCAGGCACGGTGGCTCATGCCTGTAATCCCAACACTTTGGGAGGCCGAGGCAGGTGGATCACTTGAGGACAGGAGTTCAAGACCAGCCTGGTCAACATGGCAAAACCCCATCTCTACTAAAAATACAAAAATGCCAGGCATGGTGGTATGTACCTGTAATCCCAGCTACTCAGTAGGCTGAGGCAGGAGAAATCACTCGAACCTGGGAGGCAGAGGTTGCAGTGAGCCGAGATTGTGCCACTGCACTCCAGCCTGGGCGACAGAGCAAGACCCCGTCTCAAAAAATAAAAATAAATAAATAAAATAAAAAATTGAAATGGTAGTAAATCTTACATTTCTTTGAAACATGTTGTGATTAGCTTCTTTCAGCAAAATAGTTGCTTATTATTTGTCTAAAAACAGACCTATTACTTACTTGTAGTTAATGTTCATTTTTGCCCTGAATTATATAATTTTCCACGTTTTCGAAATTTTAATTATAAAATTATGCAGTTGCATTTTCTTTTATGTTCTATGACATGCTGTTTCTGTTATTGGACATAGGTTATTTTCAGACTGTCATAGCTTTCATTACTAAAGATACCTGACTTGCCTAACACAAAAGTACTTATTTGTTTACACATATACATATGTATATGTATTTAAGTATATGTATACTTAATCATATAGCTGATAACTAGTTTTTAAATTTTAATGAATTTTAGCATCTGGGTAGTGGAAACAACTGTAATTGACATGTCAATCCAGGTTTTTAAAATAACTTACTTTATGTTTGTGATATTACACACTAAGGCAGATTTTGTGTTCTTGACTACTGTATCATTAATTAACTACTAGCATTAATTTCAGCCTCATATACTATGAGTGATAGACATGGCCTTTTTTATTATGTAATGTTTCTTATTGATACAGATGGCTTAAGCAAAATCAGACTAAACTATAGCGATGAATCACCTGAAGCTGGTAAAATGCTTGAAGATGAACTCGTCGACTTCTCAGAAGATCAGGATAACCAGGTAAAACTTAATGCTTGGCAAAAAGTTCTAATGTTTTATCTAATTAAAAGTTTTTCTTGCTGAACATGGTGGTGCACACCTGTAGTCCCAGTGACTTGGGAGGCTAAGGCAGAAAGATCTCTTGAGCCTAGGAGTTTGAGTTCAGCCTGGGCAACATAAGGAAACTCCATCTCTTAAAAAAAAATGAAAAAAGGAAAAAGAAAAAGACTTTATAAAGTCTTGTAAAGCAATTTCTTCAACTAGTAATTTATCATGGCTTCTGAATTTGGATCATATCTTAAAAAACAAATTCAGCTTTCAAGTCAGAAGTTGCCAGGATAAATGTATACATGCTGTTGTTGCTGCTACTGTGGTGTGGACTGAACTTTAATGTAATACTGATTAACTCACCCTAACTCAGCTACCACCACCAATACCCACCTTCCTCTTTCAAAGCATTTATGGGTCATACTTAACCTTTAACCTGACTTGACATTCAAGAAGCAAATGTTTAAACCTTCAGTTATATGGTACATGAGTACCAAAAATATTATATTGTTTTCCCACTTTTCCAGTTATTTTTTTTTCTCCTGCCTGATTCGATTTATATGTGTCATGGCAGAAGCAGATAATATTTAATTAAAGTTAATATAGATGAATTCTGACTTTTCCTTGGAGTCTCATTTGCCCTAACAAACAGTATGAACAGCAAGAATAAAGTATATCTGTGAAAATACTTTACTTTTTAGCTTCTGTTAAAAGAGGATTTTATATTGAGAAAAGTTTATAAGAATCCTACAGCATACCATTTTGTTAATTCTCTGACCTTTCATTAGTTGTTAGGACATACTGAGTTGTATAGTAGTGAAGATAGCTTTATACTGCACCATCTTTCCTTTTTGCTTAATCTTCCAGTGAACAAAAGGCATTTTAAGATATCTCTTGGTTTACAATGTATGGCAACTAAATATAGCTTTTCAATCCAACATATATAGGAATTACATTCATGATTTATAATGAGCACTTAGGTACTTTTGGTTATAGCAGTTACCTGTGATGTGAACAAGCTAATGTAACTGCTTTATTATTACTATTATTCCTACTATTGATTATTCCATTCGTAAAGTTGCCAGAAGCTTTCTCAAAGAACAACAATGACCAAAAAAGCCTTGTTTATTTTACATTCAAGAGAATCTACAGAATAAGGACTCAGTGTCCTTAAGTTAGCTTCTCTCAAGTGAGATGGATAAGTGGGTTTCTCAAGGAAAACAGTGTTTCCAAAAACCCTTTAAATATTTCTGATGTGAAAACATTATTCATGTAAAATAACATGTTATTTTATATCCTATTGTGAAATAGCTGTCTTAGCCAACAAACTAAATTTTTGTAAAAATAAACTAAAATCAGAGCAGTAATATTTGGTGGGAGAAGATTCAGTCATAATATATTCAGTCTTAAAGATTTATTCTAGATTGAGTAAATAGATGTAACAATTTGTTATAAACCTCTGGTAGTTTATTTTCCTTAAAATGTCAGTGTTGTAGCATTGGATAATTGGAATTAAGTAACATACCACATCTCTAGTGTCTAATCACCTAAATAGAGAAAAAGTTTTGACAATCATTACAAATATTTTTGTCTCCAGTGTGCTATTTTGTTAGGTTATTAGTTATTTAGATTATATATTTTCAGTATTAACAGTAGGCTGTCTTTTATAGGATGATAGCAGTGACGATGGATTCCTCGCTGATGACAACTGCAGTTCAGAAATAGGACAGTGGCATTTAAAGCCTACTATCTGTAAACAGTAAGCATTAACTGTGTATCTTGAAAACTACATAATTTTTAAGTATGCTCATAAAACATAACAGGACAGTTTTTTTTTTAAATAAATACTTAAGCAAAACTCATAAATGCTGTCAGAGTCAGTGAGGAAACTTGAGGCATGCTATCTAGGGATTAAAATGGGAAGAATGGGTAATCATTTCAGTCCTCCATTTGCCAGTTTCCCCAGCCTCTGCATGCACATGTCCACACACAAATGTTTTGTTTTGTTTAAATTTTTTATGTGTATATTTTTTGAGACAGAGTCTTGCTCTGTCGCCCAGGCTGGAGTGCAGTGGCACGATCCCAGCTCACCACAACCTCCACCTCCCAGGTTCAAGCGATTCTCATGCCTCAGCCTCAGGAATAGCTGGGACTACAGGTGCGTGCCACCATGCCTGGCTAAGTTTTGAATTTTTAGTAGAGATGGGGTTTTGCCATGTTGGCAAGACTGATCTCAAACTCCTGGCCTCAAGTGATCCGCCCCTCTGAGCCTTCCAAATTGCTGGGATTACAGGCGTGACCCATCGCGCCCGGCCACAAGTTTTGATAGTGAACCACTATTCCTTTTTACCTACAATGTTTTGGAGCAGAAATCACTATATATCAAAACAGTAACATGGGGTTGGAGTTTACACTGATTCCTTAGCTACTCTTTGAAGGCTGTGGAGTAACCCAAGGCAGACGTAAGAGACATGTTCCAACTGAGAACTCCAAATAAGGGTGAGTCAGTTTTGCTTTTCAGAAGTACGTGTTTCTTCTGAGATGCTGAACTTCTTAGGTGAAGTATTACCTATTTCTAGGTTTAATCTCCTTTGACTTTTTTTTATAGAAAATGTTGACAGAAACTCTATTAAGAGACTTTGAAAATGCAGCATCATTCTACAGAAAAATAGAGACCTAGGGTAGTTAAACAATCTGCTCCAAACTTTATAAAATTTTAGCAGGAAGAAGCTAGATCACTTCCAGACACAGTGGGTCACACTTTGTGCTAGCACTTCTGAAGACCAAAGCAGGAGGACCGCATGAGGCCAGGAGTGCAAGACCAGCTTGTGCAACACAGTGAGACGCCATCTCTGGAAAAAGTTAAAAAAAAAAAATAATAGCCAACTGTGGTGGCTAAAAAATAACCTAGATTTTTTTTAACATTTGAGGAGTTTGGGCTCTACATTAGACTTCCTTACTTGAGTTTACAACATAACTTTACAGAATTAAAATACTGAAAGTTGAATCTTCAGCCATCAATATTTATATACAGAGTTATATGGAGTGTTCTACAGAGTGTTCTGAAGTGGAATCTTGAAAAAAAAAAGTTCTAAACTAATTATTTCATGTGATGATTACCTGTTTTGTTATCTACAATAAGTTTTAGTTAAAAATGAGATTTTTGGTTGGGCGCAGTAGCACATGCCTATAATCCCAGCACTTTGGAAGGCTGAGGTGGGCAGATAGCTTGAGCCCAGGAGTTCTATACCAGCCTGGGCAACATGGAAAAACCCATCTCTACAAAAAAAAATACAAAAATTAGCTGAGTGTGGTCACATATGCCTGTAGTTACAGCTCCTCAGGAGGCTGAGTTGGGAGGATCACCTGCGCTCAGGACATTGAAGCTGCAGTGAGCTGTTATTACGCTGCTTCACATGGTGACAGAGTGAGACCCTGCCTGAAAAAAATGGGCCGAGGTTGGGGGGATTATTTTCTTTATACTTTTTCATGGTCCTTTTGTTGATTTTGGAATATGGGGATGTTCAATTTTTCAGAATTGTTTTGACTTTTTACTAATTTTGAAGTACTTTTAGAAACCAACTACAGAATTTTAGTATAAAATATAGCTAAGATATGGTTAAGTTAATATTCTATAATTCAATATTTAATATATCCATAGATATTTAAGTATTATTAGATTATAAGGTTCGTATGTGTCTATAAGGTTCATTTTTTTTCCCTCAGTAGTACTGAGTCATACAAAGGGGATTTTGAAGGTTTTAAATTTGATTGTTTATAATATGCCACTTTTAATCCTTTTATGCATTTGTAATATTATGAAGTATTCGACTTTTGGTCATTTTTACCCTGCAGACCTTGTATCCTACTTATGGACTCACTCCGAGGCCCTTCTCGGTCAAATGTTGTCAAAATTTTAAGAGAGTAAGTTCACACTTTATTTCGTATTCTGATGGGGATGAAGAACTATGTATATTTATATATGTGTGTATTCTTAATATATATGAATTATTGCAGGTATTTAGAAGTGGAATGGGAAGTTAAAAAAGGAAGCAAAAGAAGTTTTTCCAAAGATGTTATGAAGGGCTCTAATCCAAAAGTACCACAGCAAAACAACTTCAGTGACTGTGGTGTATATGTATTGCAGTATGTAGAGAGCTTTTTTGAGGTGGGTTTCAATTTGTTGGATCTGCTATAATAAATAATAAAATAGTGCATTTGACTTTACCTTAGTAAAAAACACAATAAGCAAATATTTTAAAGAGTTTCAAAATTATTGTTTCAAAAATTATTCCATGGAGCAAAAACTTCTAAATGGAAGAACCTTCAAGGCATAAAAATAGTATATTTACAGTTCATCAAATCCAAGGCTTGTTGAGCTCATTCTATCACTGAACAATCAACCTGCCCTCTCTACTAGCTCTTGCCACCTTAAGAAATCTCTCCCATGATTCACACTGCCTCTTTTAGCCTCTTTTCTCCTCTTCATAGATACATTTCTTAAGAAGTGTTTATATTCACTCTCTAATTCTACAGATTCTACTTCTCAAATCTCTAAAATCTGGCTTTATCCTTAACCTTATGTTAAAATTGCTCTTGACTTTCCAGCACCCTTTGACAGTGTCAACCATTTCTTCCTCACTCTCTTGCTTTGACTTCAGAGGTACAGTACCACACATAACCTCTCTTGGATATTCTTTACTCTGATCTTGGCTCCTATCTTCATCCACCATACAGTAGATGACCACTAGGTTCTGTGAATTGTGTCATTTAATGTCAGATAGATTTACTTGTTTATCGTCGAGTGTCGCTATTCTGAACTGCTATACCAATCTCTAACAGATTCCTATGCCTCCTGCCTTCTGGTTTTCATGGTTGTTTCCCAAAAACATAAATCTAATCCTGTTACTTTCCTGCTTTAAATCTTATAGTGGCTTCCTGTGGCTGTTGATTTACAGACCAAAATCTTTCACATGATTGATAAGCACCTATGTGATCTGACCCCCTATTTAAGCTTCTAGCCTCATTTTCCCACCATTTTCACTCTAGCTTTAATACAACAGCCAGCCACCTGAATGCCATTGTTTCATGTTCTTTCTTGCCTCTAGGCCTTGATTCATATTTCCTAACCTGGAATACTTTTTTGTTGCTTCTATTATACCTTGTCTGTCTAACATGTATTCATTCTTCAGGTCTTAGCCTAAACATCACTTCCTCTTGGAATTGCATAAAACCCCAGATATGTATTTTCACAGTACTCTATACTTCTGTCATAATACTTGCCATATTTCTTGTTTTAATTGTTGAATTACCTGTCTTTCTAAACTGGAGCTGGCAAACTTGTTAATAAAGTAGTAAATACATTAGGCTTTGCAACTGTGCAGTCTCTATTGCCTCTTAGTTCTGCTGTGGTCCAGTGAAAGCATCTGCAGACCATATGTAAATGAGTTAGTGTGGCTGTGTTCCAATAAAACTTTATTACAGAAACAGGTGGTGGGCAGAATTTGGTCCACTGGCAAACCCTGATCTAGACTATAAGATCTATGATAGAAACTGTGTCTTGTATCTCCAATACCTAACACAGTACTTGGCATGTGATAGATAATACAGAAATACATATTGAATGCGTTGTTGGGTTTTCTTATTTTTAACTTCGGAATGTTTCTGTGATTGAAATGAAAGGTTATTTATTACAGTTTTCTAATACGCATTTAATTGTATTTTCAGAATCCAATTCTCAGTTTTGAACTACCTATGAATTTGGCAAACTGGTTTCCTCCACCAAGAATGAGAACAAAAAGAGAAGAAATCCGAAACATAATTCTGAAGCTACAGGAAGATCAGAGCAAAGAGAAAAGAAAGCATAAGGACACTTACTCAACAGAAGCACCTTTAGGCGAAGGAACAGAACAATATGTCAATAGTATCTCAGATTGACCATTTCTGTTACTTGTCATTTCTACTTTCAGAAACTAAATGACTTTCAAATTTGGGTATAGACAATAAAGAACTGAAGTGCTCACTACTCAGTGATTTGGAAATTTTGATGCTTGTATAAATGTCAGATAATTAATTTCCAAAGGCGTATGTATTAAGTAAAAGTCTGTAAATATGTTAATGAGGCCAATTTTTCCAGCATTTATAATTATTTTTTTCACTTGTTAGGAAGCTTTTGTTATGTATTTTCTGTTAATAGTACCTAAAATTGCAACTTCTAAACACAAATAAAAAGAAAATATTTATAGGAGGAAATGATTAATTTGATATTCTTTAGTGAACTTGTTTAATTCCTCAGTGGGTGTGACATATTTCATGGGAATATTCAAATATCTATGGTAATATTTTGACCCTTTATATTTGTTCTAAAATAAGTCAAAATGTGAAAATAATATTAAATCTAAGATATTTTGAACTAAGCATCTTTATATGCTTGTGTAACAGGAACAAAGTAACAGCCTTTCAATTCATATACTGCCTTGTGTTCAGTGAACCCAAGAAATGTAATAAATATTTGTAATTTTACACAAATATTTAAGAGGAAAGAGTATTAAGAGCAATTCAAAAAAAGTAACCTTATACTACTAAAAAAAAAATTCTTGCATATATTATCATCAAATGCATTTTTGAAGACATCAAAGACTCAGGTTAAAACTATTTTGGTAAGTGCAGCTTGAATTTCAAATATCCCGTGTTACCTTTCTCTATTACAGCTTAAAGTATGCTACAATCTGTGTCATATAGTTAATTGATAAGCATTTTTAATCTGTGTAAACACAGGAATTTAAATAGGAATTTACTATTTTTTTATAAAGCTTTTGCTATTTTTTCATTGCTCATTTTGTTCTTATTATTTTGATAAAGTATCAGACTTTTTGCTTGAGTTCTTCAGTGTAAATTATTTTTTACATGTAAAAGTACTGTATTCAACCAGTTGCATAATACAGCAAAAATCTTTGAATTCCCCTTTAAAATAACTAAAATTTGATGGTTTCCATGACAGATTTATAGCACATATAGGGATCTTGCATGTATCTGCAGAAACTTCATTATTTTTCAAATGAAATGGTGTATACTTCTTTCAAATGAACTTTGAGACTTGAAACATATTTTAGTCATTTTTTGTTAAATATTGAATTTTTAAATACACATATATCAAAAATAGTTGAGAATAAAAAGAAAGCCTAATCATCAGCAATTATTTTATTTTTAATTTGGCCATCTCTGACATTGCAGTCAATATCTTAGGGTATTTTCTTGAATTTAATAAAGTCCCATGGGTGGGTTCAGGGTGAATGGGAGTATTAACAACAACCAAAAAATATCTATTGAGACACAGTAGAGTCTCAGTAAGAGAAATATTAAAATGTAAGAAAGGTCACCATTAGTGATATCAACTGTAGTTTGTTACTTTGAACTATATTTCTGATTAACTCTTTATAGTAATAACTTAGAGCTGTTAGCTCAGATATCTTAATTAGCTCATATGAAAAACAAGTTTAATTTTATTATTTACTGAACATGGCAAAATGCTTTTCAATCTATAATAAAACTGGGATAAAAAATTGAAGTTGTTTTTTTTAAAACCTAATAGCAATAAGCAAAATTGGCATACATAATTTTTTTAATGAACTATATTTTGTCAGAATCTGAAGGTACTGAAAAACTATTCTAAAATGCCTACTTGTTTTTGCATTAATTTGTAATGCTTACATTTTGCACCCTTAGATAATGTTTGATAAGATAAAAATATAATTTATCCCTTGTACCAACTCAAGTCAATCAGATTTTAACATGAAAAATATAGATTAATGTATGTCAGCTTTCTAGAGGTAGAATACTCAGCTATTTGATGGCATTTTTCCCACCCCATGTGAAATTTTATTTTTGGAAGTTATGCTAGTGACATTGCAATATATATTGAAATCTTCGGAGGCTGCCAGGTTGAGCTTCAAAACTAGACTTGAGAATCTTTCGTGTATATGCACATTCACTTGATAATTGTGTATTCTATGTAGTTTAAAGTGGGATCAAGCCTTTTAAAATGTGTTATTAGTACTTAGAAGTTGTAAAACAGAACTTATAGAGGTTTGTTACTAGACACTGAAACTGCATGACAAGTATCTGGTGTCTTAACTAATTAGATAGATCTGTTGTATTGGTTTTCTTGTTGGATAGAATAACAGTTAATCATTTTTAGAAGAGTTTTAGATTACTTGCCATAAAATTTGTATGTCTCAGCTCTTGTTGGTTTAGGAGCAGAAGTGGTGTTTAGTCCCTTCCCGTTAATGTTGCTGTGCTACTTCAGACAGCTGAAAACTTAATGGTATTATTTCAAGTTCACATAACCCTAAAAAAGGTTTTCTTTGTGTAGTAACTTGTGCTTAAACTTTTAGTCAATTAAATGTAGGAGGTTTTATTTGAAAACATAAAATGATTCTCTAAATTACATCTTGTTTTAAGCCACCAAAATGAATGCAGTAATTTTTCTTTAAAAAAATGATCTCTGAAAACTGTGAGACAATGTAAAAAGAATAAGTTTTAATTCCCCCAAAATCAAAAATTGTACTTAAAATCTCAGACAATTCACTGAACAGGAATAATAAAGAACATATTTTAATATATAATATGACCAAGAGTTTGGTGGAGCAAAGCGACTGGAATATAACAATGGAAGGGAATACCTTGGTCAGAAGAAACAACTCTTAAGACTCAGTGTAGTGCTGTTTGTCTAGAAGAGATACAGATAACAAGGCTGCTCTTTAGATAACTGTAAGGACAAAAGGAGAGGGAGATTATTGTTAAGGTGAACTACAGGCTGTCTAGTCAAGTGGACGTAAGTAAATAGTTGAAGACCAAGTGCAGAGAGGCAAAACTAGACTGTATCTACTAAGAAATGTGCTAAAATACTCCAACAGGGATTTCTGGTACATTTGTCATTTCCTACTCAGGAAGAAGAAAATGGGTTATGAACACTGCTATTCCAAAACTTATTACCTGTAGAGGGAGAATTGGTTGATTAAGTGAAAGCAATGTGGATTATGGGGGAAAGTAGCCCAGCCCTACCATCTTAATTCTTAGAAGCCAGATCAAGGAATAGTGCTAGCGTTTCCTAAAATACCATTAAGGAAACCAGAGTACAATGTACTTAGAGAAAGATGCCATCGACTCGTGGCCTAAAATACTCATAAAAGTTAAAAGCATAGCGGTCTTTATTGTCTTCATTACAAATGATTATGGTTAAATTGTCCTTAGTGGACATGATTACAGTGAGAAGGATGGTACCCAAAATCAGGATTTTTTTTTTTCTTTTTTGAGACAGGGTCTCACTCTATCAACCAGGCTGGAGTACAGTGGCACGGTCTTGGTTCACTGCAACTTCCACCTCCCTGGCTCAGGCCATTCTCCCACTTCATCTTCCCGAGTAGCTGGGACTACAGGCACATGTCACAAAACTAGGATTTTTATCTAAATGTGTATTAAAATCATCCAAGGAGCTTTACAAACTATAAGAATTTCCCAGTTAGTTCTGGTGCACACCTCCTGTGGCAAGCCACTGATTTGAAAGGATAAGTATTTGTCTCTGGTGGCTTTCTAGTTGCTGGTCCCAAAGGTAAGTGAGGCTTGTCTGCATTTTCTTCTCACCAGTGCTTTAAGATACGCTTTAAGTGCTTGCCTCAAATTCCCATTGAGAACTTGATTGAGGAGGTCGTGCTGTTACTAAGCCTTGAGAAATTAAAGTACAAGCGGAGTATCTCTTATCTGAAATGCTTCAGACCAGAGGTGTTTCAGACTTTTTTGTATTTTAGAGTGTTTGTATTCATACTGTTGAGCATTCCAAATCTGAAATCTGAAATGCTCCAAGGAGCATTTCTTTTGTGTGTCGTATCGGTGCTCAAAATGTTTCAAATGTTCAGATTTGAGATGCTCAACCTATATTAAACTAGTCATAGGTTAGAGACTGGCAAATGTCCTGATTTTCAAAGGGAAAAAGTAGATTCTGCAAATTATAAAGTAGTTCTTGATAAGACTCTAAGATGAATTATCAAAAGACTGGTTTATGAACTCCTAAAGCAGGGGTCACCAGGATCATATCGTGGGATCATGGGACCGCTAACAGCAAGTTTGTTATATATAATTTTTTTTTATACCGAATCCTGCTCTATCACCCAGGCTGAAGCACAGTGGCACGATCTTGGCTCACTGCAGCCTCAAACTCCTGGGCTCAAGCAATGTTCCTGCCTTAGCCTCCTGAGTAGCTGGGACTACAGGTGTATGCCACCACACCTGGCTAATGTTTTGTATTTTTTTTTTTTTTTTTTTTTGTAGAGACCGGGTTTCATCATGTTGCCCAGGCTGGTCTCGAACTCCTGGATTCAAGTGATCCAACTGCCTCAGCCTCCCATAGTGCTGGGACTACAGGCATGAGCCACTGTGCCCAGCCTGTTTAATATTTTTAATGGGATTCTGGACAAGCTAATGTGTAGAATGCAGATAGACCATGAATTCTCAAAGTGTGTTTGATAACTTTGTTTTCATAGAATAGATTATGTGGTCATTTAAATTTAGAAAACAGTTTAAGCAGGTCTCCTCACAGGACTTCTTGGAGTCTTTAATAGGCTAAGGTGCAGAACACAGCATTACTGTAGAATTTGGCCATATCCTCTCTCTCCTGGTAGAGAGATAAATGCTTCATGATAAATGCTACCCATCAGAAAACATAGTTTCAACTATTGGGGGTGTTTGTGAACTGACCTTTGATAGAAGATGCTTTTAAAATTGATTTGAGGTTTTTTTTTTTTTTTACACTTTATTAATAGTTGGGTATATATATGATTTGGAAACTTGAAAATATGTGACCAGTGTCTTAGGGAAATGAAGTTTAATGAGAATTTTTCTTTAATCATGATGAAAATAACCATTATGAAAAAATTACAAATACTTTTTATACAAGTGGGTTATTCTAGAAAAAAAGCAAATTTAGTGATACTAATCTTTTGTAAGGTTATCAAATCCCCTAAATTCCTCATATACAAGTAGCAATTGTGTAAAAATATGAAAGTGTATTGAAAGGTTATCTTGAGGCTTTTCCTTCTGTTTATATCTGAACTACTTAACTGCTAGATTAAACCCCCAACTTCCACTCAGTTATCTTTTATTTTAGAATTAAACTGCAATAGGCAAACTTTCTACCTAGAAGCATTTTTTTCTTCTAAGGAAATCTGTGCGCCGGCTGGGCGCGGTGGCTCACACCTGTAATCCCAGCACTTTGGGAGGCTGAGGCAGACTGATCACGAGGTCAGGAGATTGAGACCATCCTGGCTAACACAGTGAAACCCCATCTTTACTAAAAAATCCAAAAAATTAGCCGGGCGTGGAGGCAGGCACCTGTAGTCCCAGCTACTCGGAAGGCTGAGGCAGGAGAATGGCATGAACCCGGGAGGTGGAGCTTGCAGTGAGCCAAGATCACGCCACTGCACTCCAGCCTGGGCGATAGGGCGAGACTCCATCTCAAAAAAAAAGAAAATCTGTGCAAGAAAGTATTGGAGCTCAGCATGGTGATGCACATCTGTAGCCCCAGCTACTTGAGAGGCTGAGGTGGGAGGATCACTTGAGCCCAGGAGTTCAAATCCAGCCTGAGTCACAAAGCAAGACCTTCGTGTCTTTAAAAAAATTGTCTCTGTAAAAAAAGTTTAAATATTCTATAAGCTAGAAATTATTGTTATTAATTTCCAGTGTTTTTAACCCCTTCAATAACTGAAAAGTTGTTCGAACCAGTTAGAGAATATATTATTAAATAATCATAATTAGCTTTATACATGGTAACAAGATTTGATAAAAAATAAGTTAGATGAAAATAAATTAATTCTTATTTTTTGAATAAATGTTTTGAGTGTCTACTTTGTACTAGGTGCTGGTGACAAAACAGCCAGATACCATCCTCCTTCCTGGAGCCTTCTTATAGTGTAATGGAAAAGACATGTTAATCAGCCACACGAATTAATAATTTCAAGTAAGTATCATAGAGTGTATTAAGAAGTTCATAGAGTATATTAAGATAAGATAGCTTAATCTGGGGAAGTTAAGGAAGTCTTCCCCAAAGGTGTAACATCTGAACTACTAAACAAAGTCTGGAAGGGGAAGACAGGATAGTGCTTGTAGGCTGTGCAAAGGCTCTGAGGTACGAAGATGTGTAATTTGTTCTAAATGATAATGGTCTCATTTATTAAGGATGCCAAACATTGGTCTAAGCATTTTATTTATGTTTTATCTTATTTTATTTTTTTGAGATGGAGTATCACTCTGTTGCCCAGGCTGGAGTGCAGTGGCATGATCTCGGCTCACTACAATCTCCACCTCCTGGGTTCAAGCGATTCTCATGCCTCAGCCTCCGAGTAGCTGGAATTACAGGCCTGTGCCACCATGCCCAGCTAATTTTTTTTTTTTTTTTTTTTGAGACAGAATCTCACCCCAGGCTGGAGTGCAGTGGCGCGATCTCAGCTCACTGCAAGCTCCGACTCTCGGGTTCACGCCATTCTCCTGCCTCAGCCTCCCTTGGACTGTAGCTTGGACTACAGCCGCCCGCCACCAGGCCCAGCTAATTCTTTTTTTGTATTTTTAGTAGAGACAGGGTTTCACGTGTTACTCAGGATGGTCTCGATCTCCTGACCTCGCGATCCGCCCACCTCGGCCTCCCAAAGTGCTGGGATTACAGGCGTGAGCCACCGCACCTGGCCAGTGCCCAACTAATTGTTGTATTTTTCATAGAGACGGGTTTCATCATGTTGGCCAGGCTGGTCTTGAACTCCTAACCTCAAGTGATCACCCGCTCGGCCTCCCAAAGTGCTAGGATTACAGGCATGAGCCACCACACCTGACTGGTCTAAGCATTTTAAATCAATGAATTCACTTATTCCTCACAACAACATAAGAGATGTACTGTTATGACTCCCAATTTCCAGGACAAAGAAATCCAAAGAAATAGTTTCCCCAGCAAGGCTGGGTTTTGAATTCGCAACCTTACCTAGAGGCTAGGTTAACCTGTACTAGGTAAAAGAAAGTGAAAATAAATAAGATGTACCTATTTTTTTAAGAGATGCAATGTAGCATAATCTTGCTTATTACTGAAACTGGTTGTATAGGGGTTTGTTATGTTATTTGTTTAATATGTGTAAACATTTTCATAATTTTAAAAATAAAAGTATGTAATACAAGTTCAGAACGAAGTAGAAAGGTAGGCTGGGACCTAATCATGGAGGCTTTTGAAGCTATGTTCAAGATTTTGGTCATGGCCGGGCACAGTGGCTCTCACCTGTAATCCCAGCACTTTGGGATGCCGAGGTGGGTGGATCACCTGAAATCAGGAGTTCAAGACCACCAGCCTGGCCAACATGGTGAAACCCCATCTTTACTAAAAATACAAAAAATTAGCTGGGCGTTGTGGCGGGCGCCTGTAATCCCAGCTACTTGGGAGGCTGAGGCAGGAGAATTGCTTGAACCCAGGAGGCGGAGGCTGCAGTGAGCCAAGATCACGCCACTGCACTTCAGCCTGGGACAAGAGCGAGACACCGTCCCCCAAAAAAAGATTGATTTTGGTTATTATCCTAAAAAGCCATTGAAGCATTTCAAGCAGAGGAATAACATCAAATGTGAATGTTGGAAAGATCATAGTGGTAATGAAAGCATTACTGGGGACAAGAATGAGAGTAAACCTCTACTATAATAAGTAAACTAATTATGAAGTACTATAGTTAGGGTAACGGATACAATTATGCCTGTGATCATAGGAATGCTGAAATAGTAAGACATAATTTGGATATTTCATTTGAAATGTTCCTTTTAGAAACATGCAATAACAACAGGAAATAGGCCAGGCACAGTGGCACACACCTGTAATCCCAGCACTCTGTGGGGGGTCAAGGCAGGAGGACCGCTTGAGGCCAGGAATTTGAGACCAGCCTGTGCAACATAACAAGGCCACATGTCTACAAAAAATTTTTAAATCCCAGCTACTTGGGAGGTTGAGATGGGAGGATTGCTTGAGCCCAGGAGTTCAAGGCTGCAGTGAGCTATGATCAAGCCACTGCATTCCAGTCTGGGTAATAGAGCAAGACCCTGTCTCAAAAAAAAAAAAAAAAAAAAAAAAAAAAATAGGAAATGGTTGGTTAGTTGGTTTTGTCTTAGTCAGGACTTTTGTTTTTTTTCTTTATGAAGAAAGGAATTAGCTAAATATATACAGCTGAAAAATGGACAGAAAATGTCTAACTGAAGACATTTATAGAAAATTGGTTTTAATTTTTTTTTTTTAAGAGACAGTCTTGCTCTATTGGCCAAGCTGGAGTGCAGTGGCATCATCATAGCTCACTGGAGCCTAGAACTCCTGGTCTCAAGCAATCCTCCTGCTTCAGCTTCCCAAAGTGCTGAGATTACAAGTGTGGGCCACTGCGTCCAGCAAGAAAATTTATTTTAAAAGCAAAATTGTGTATAAAGCATGTGATACCACCAAAGAAAAAAACAGCACTAAAACACCAAAGTTTTGTAATTTTTAAAATATAAAGATAAAAAGAATATAAAATTAGCATGGAATATCAACACTCCAGAGGAAAAGATTTTATCAGTGTAAAAACAGTTTATTATACTTGATCTAGTCAGGCAACATTTCCAAATATGTTTCTTAGGGAAACTGTCCAAAGTTCTTGTAACATAGCTAGTTATGTTTTGTATCACTTGCTCTCCCCCATCCCATTCTCCTCCTGTCACAGCTAACTGGATTTAGGGTAGATACTTGATCTCAAAGAAGGTTAGTTTAGTGATATGACCTAGCAGATAAAAAGCAAAACAAAAACAGGCCAATCAGATTTGATCATTGGGAATTTAGATGGAAAATAAGGAACAAATTTGCAAACTGGAAGAAGAGAGAAGATGGTGTGTTAAAATGATAGTCTAATAAATTATTTCTTTCTTTCTTTTTTATTTTTTTTCTGAGATGGAGTCTTGCTCTGTCGCCAAGGCTGGAGTGCAGTGGCATGATCTCAGCTCACTGCAGCCTCTGCCTCCCAGATTCAAGCGATTCTCTGTCTCAGTCTCCTGAGTAGCTGGGATTACAGGCACACACCATGCCCAGCTGATTTTTGTATTTCTAACAGAGATGGGGTTTCACCATGTTGGCCAGGCTGGTCTCGAACTCCTGACTTTGTAATCTGCCCACCTCGGCCTCCCAAAGTGCTGGGATTACAGGCGTGAGCCACCGCACCTGGACAAATTACCTTATTTCTAAGACGGACATTGTTGGCCGGGCGCAGTGGCTCACGCCTGTAATCCCAGCACTCTGGGAGGCCGAGGCAGGCGGATCATGAGGTCAGGAGATGGAGACCATCCTGGCTAACACGGTGAAACCCCGTCTCTACTAAAAACACAAAAAATTAGCCAGGCGTGGTGGCAGGCGCCTGTAGTCCCAGCTACTCGGGAGGCTGAGGCAGGAGAATAGCATAAACCTGGGAGGCAGAGGTTACAGTAAGCCAAGATCGTGCCACTGCACTCCAGCCTGGGCAACACAGCAAGACTCCGTCTCAAAAAAAAAAAAAAAAGACGGATATTGTTTCCTCATATTTTAATCTCTGGAATAAAGCTACACTTCATCAAATAAGGAAACGGGTTTGCATAAGAACCACCTGGGAGGCTTGATAAAATGCAGAGTACTGGGCCCTGTCCTCAGAGTTTCCGATTCAGGGAGTATCCAGTGGGCCTTCAAATTTACATTTCCAACAAGGTCTCAGGCAAGACCACAAGGATGTATGTATGGCTTCTTAGTAGTGTTTTCAGCCAGGTGTTTGAAAACCTCTTGATGCAGGTAAGACCAAGAAAGCAGCAAGCATCAAAGCATCAGCATTCAATGAAACATGTATGAAATTTTTTGATGATATCTACCCAACAGTATTTTATTTGTAATTACAATTAAATGTGAATAACTTTGAGTCATGTGATCATACCATAAAGCTTTGCTCTTTAAATTATTATAGTCTGGATTTTAATTTCCTTTATAACCTATTTTAACTTTGTATGCTTTCATATTTTTCCCTATATTCATATACTCTTATATACATCTATATATAGTAATACATGTATAAAGGTGTATTTTTAAATGGTTTTTCTTATAAAAACTAGGATAATTACAAAAAACATTTTCCAGAATCTTTCTTTTGTCTCAGCATATCTTGTGGAAATCCATGCCATCTGGTATAATTAAAGTTTATTTTATGATGGACCACAATTTATTTATCTATTCCCTTGCTCTATCAGTGTCAATAGGCTTGTTATGCAACAGCAACAATTCCAAAATCTCAGAACTTACCCTCCCCAGAAAGCTTCCTTTCTTTGGTCATGCTGCATGCCCCAAAGAGGAAAATAGGGGAGCTCTGCTCATCAGTTACTCACCTATCCAGACTGATGAAGCTCTAGGTTGATACAAACTTCCATAGCTACTCGAGGGTGGGACGGGAAACTGGTGAGCAGCACGTTGACTCTTCCAGCTTCTACCCAAAAGTGTCACATCACTTCCATTCACACTGCACCACTCTAAAGTCAGTGGACACTCCTAACTTCGGAAGGAAGAAATCAGTTTACTCTCACCATATTTCCAAAAGGAGAGGAATATTTTGTGACTACCACACTAATGGGCATTCACTTGTTTCCAGTTTTTTGCAATTATCATTGTCTAAAATATTTCTCTGATTCTCTATATGCTGGTAGTTTTATTTCTTTGGAATAGTTTTCCAAGGATTGTAGGATCAAAGGTCATATGTATTTTTAATTTTTGTAGCTATTACCAGCTTCTTTTCCAAAAGGATGTAAGACTAACTTTTCTATAGCCATTAAAATACAGTTTCTCGTGAATCCCAATCAACAATAAGTATTATAGCTCTTTTAATTTTGCAAGCCTTTTGCATATAAGGCTATCTTTCATTATTACTTTGATTTGCATTTCCCTCACCATTAGTTTAATTTTTTTTTTTTTTTTTTTGAGATGAAGTCTCACTGTCTCACCCAGGCTGGAGCACAGTAGCATGATCTCGTGCTCACTGCAACCTCCGCCTCCCGGGTTCAAGGGATTCTCCTGCCCCAGCCTCCCAGGTAGCTGGGATTACAGGCACATGCCACCACGCCAGGCTAATTTTTGTATTTTTAGTAGAAACGGTGTTTCGCCACATTGGCCAGGTTAATCTGGAACTCCTGACCTCAAGTGATCCACCCGCCTCAGCCTCTCAAAGTGCTGGGATTACAGGTATGAGCCACCGTGACCGGCCCATCATTAGTTTAAATTTGAGGCTTTTTTTTTTCCCGTGTTAGCTGTGCCTATCATTTGTCCATTCTCCACTGGATTAGTCTTTTTTCCAATTAATATTTAAGCTTTCTGCATATAACATTGCCATCTGTGTTACAAATGTATTTTTTCCTAATTTATTGTCTGTAGACTTTGTGGTATATTTTCCATACCAAAGTTTTTATTTTTATGTATGTTTTGAGTTTTCAATCTTGGTTAAGACATTCCTTCTTGACTCAGAACAGTACATTTACTCACATAATTCTTGCAAAACTTTTAAAATATAAGTAATAAAACTACAGAGGCTGAGTGCAGTGGCTCATGCCTGTAATCCCAGTGCTTTGGGAGGCCAAGGTAAAAGGATTGCTTAAGGCCAGAAGTTTGTGACCAGCCTGGGCAACATAGCGAGACACACACCTGCAGTTCTAGCTACTGAGGAGGCTGAGGTGGGAGGAGCCCTTGAGCCCAGGAGTTTGAGGTTACAGTGAACTATGATCATGCCACTGCACTCCAGCCTGGTGAAAGCACAAGACCCTGTCTTTTGAAAAACACACAAAAAAATGGCCACGTGTGGTGGCTCATGCCTGTAATCCCAGCACTTTGAGAGGCTGAGGGAGTAGGATTGCTTGGGCCCAGGAGTTCAAGACTGGCCTGAGCAACGTGGTGAGATCTCATCTCTACAAAAAAATTAAAAATTAGCCAAGTGTGTTGGTGTGTCCCTGTAGTCACAGCCACTCGGGAGGCTGAGGTGGGAGGATCGCTTGAGCATGGGAGGTCGAGACTGCAATGAGCCAAGATTGGGCCACTGCACTCCAGCCTGGGCGACAGAGTGAGACCCGGTCTCAAAAAGAAAAAAAAAAAGAATATAACAACCATATCTCTTGTCATACACAGGTTTGGTTTGGTTCGGTTCAGTTCGGTTCGGTTTGGTTTGGTTTGGTTTTTGAGGCAAGGTCTCACTCCATTGCCCAGGCTGGAGTACAGTGGCCCAATCTTGGCTCACTGCAGCCTTGACTTCCCAGGCTCAAGCGATCCTCTCACCTCAGCCTCCTGAGTAGCTGGGACTACAGGCGTGTGCCACCATATCTGGCTAATTTTTGTATTTTTGTAGACATGGGGTTTCACCATATTGCCCAGGCTGGTCTCTAACTCCTGGGCTCAAGCAATCTGGTTGCCTCAGCCTCCCATAGTGCTGGGATTACAAGTGTGAGCTACCTTGCCTGGCCTATACTATTTAAAACTTTATATTTTCTAGATGGTCATTTGTGCCAGCACTACTTATTAAAAATCCTGTTTCACATTATAGTGAATTCCCATGTGTGTCATATATTAAATTATTATATTACTGAAATTTATTCCTGAAATTTCTATATTGATTGTCTGTAGAACATAGTGAAAGCTGAACTCAGAGGAAATGTATAGGTTTAAACATCTTCATTATTAAACACAAAAATTAAAGAAACTAAAACTTCATGTTAAAAATTAGGGCTGGGCCCGGTGGCTCACGCCTATAATCCTAGCACTTTGGGAGGCCGAGGTGGGTGGATTACCTGAGGTCAGGAGGTCAAGACCAGCCTGGCCAACATGGTGAAACCCCGTCTCTACTAAAAATACAAAAAATTAGCCGGTGCAGTGGTGTGCACCTGTAATCCCAGCTGCTCAGGAGGCTGAGGCAGGAGAATCGCTTGAACCCAAGAGGCAGAGGTTGCAGTGAGCTGAGATCGCACTACTGCTCTCCAGTCTGGGCGACAGAGTGAGACTTCATCTCAAAAAAAAAAAAAAAATTATGAACATCTGGTGATTTGTGAAACAGCACCTGTACAAAAATACTGGCTGTTTCCCTCTTCCTATTACCTTGACCACTCCCCCAACTTCCTAACACTTATTAATTTATGAAATTGTTCTTATCAATGAAGTTTTGTGTGTTCATTAAGTTACAAAATATTTTAAAATACAAAAATAAAATTAGGAACAGAACAGTGAATACTTTTTTTTTTCAAATAAATTGGGAAAGGAAATTGAGACAGAAGTTAACATTAATGATTGGAACTTCCTACTACACTACCATACTCTGTCCAAAAATAAAGTCACAATTAGATTTTTTTTTGAAAAGATAAATTAGATAAACTCTTGAGACTGATAGAAAAAAAAAGAAAATTTAAAAAGGAAAATAGGAGAAAGGAGACATATCACAGATACAGAAAGGCTTAAAAAAGACTTTAACATGGCCGGGCGAGGTGGCTCACGCCTGCAATCCCAGCACTTTGGGAGGCCAAAGTGGGTGGATCACCCGAGGTCAGGAGTTCGAGACCAGCCTGACCAACATGGTGAAACCCCATCTCTACTACAAATACAAAAATTAGCCGGGCATGGTGGTGCACATCTGTAGTCCCAGCTACTTGGGAGGCTGAGACAGGAGAATCTCTCAAACCTGGGAGGTAGAGGTTGCAGTGAGCTGAGATGGTGCCACTGTAGCCTGGGCAACAGAGCAAGAAAAAAAGAAAAAAAGACTTTATCATGTAATTATATTACTACAATCTGAAAGCTTGAAAGAAATACATAAATTTCTGGAAAGTTAGAAAATATCAGAACTAACTCAAGAAGTAAACAACTTGATTAGATTATGTACACTTAGAAGATACTGGCAAATAAAGGGTTACACAAGATCAGTTATTGCATTTAATTTTTTTTTTTAATTTTTTTTTCCAGAGGTGGGGTCATTCCAGAGGCTGGGCCACTGTGTCCAGCTAGATTTGAATTTTTAAATTAAATTTGGGCTGGGTGTGGTGGCTCACACCTGTATTCCCAGCACTCTGGGAGGCCAAAGCACGAGGATTGCTTGAGCCCAGGAATTTGAGACTAGCCTGGGCAAGCCCAGCTCTACAAAATATTTTTTAAATTAGCTGGTATGATGGCACAGGCCTGTGGTCCCAGCTACTCAGTAGGCTGAGGTGAGAGGATCTCTTGAGGCCAGGAGATTAGGCTTGAGGCCAGGATGAAGGCTACGGTGAGCCGTCAGCACACCACCGCACTCCACCTGGGTAACAGAGCAAGACCCTGTCTCCAAAAACAAAAATAAAATTAAAAAATAAGTAAATAAAATAAAAATAATTAAAAACACTAAATTTGAGGCAATTTGAACTATTCTAGGGCATACAAATCGGTGAAGGTATCCCAAATCATTTATAAAGCCAGTATATCTTTAATCTAAAAATTCTAGTAAAGATGTAAAAAAGTAACAAATAATATACTAAATAGTAAAACACTAAAAACTATTTAAATATCAAGAAATAGACAATACTATTCAATATTGATTTTTCACATACAGCAAATATTCTAACATAAGAAAAATGAAATAACTGGTATAACCTTTGGAAAAATAAATAAAAGGAACATTTCTGTTGATTAGATTGTTATAAAACTAGAAAGCTCAGAAAACTTTTTTTTAATACCCCTGGAACAAATAAGATAATTGGGCTATGCCTAGATAAAAAACTAATTCTAACAATGAGAATGTAGGAAAGGAATTGAAAGAAAAATTCACCGTAATAACCAACAACTATTAAAATACTTAGAATAAAACTAAGAAAAAAGGCAAATGAGAGAACTACACAGCCTCATCCATGAGCACAAGACTTACAAAGAACAGAAAGAAACAGATAATCATGTTCTCAGAAGGGAAGGCAAAATACTGTAAAATGTTGATTCCTTTCTAGTATTCTGTTACTATAATGCAATTTTATATAATGCCAGTAGTGTTCGTGGTGGTGTCTTAAATTTATTTTAACATCTCAAAGCTTGCCGAGGCGCTGTGGCTTATGCCTGTAATCCCAACATTTTGGGAGACTGAAGCACGAGGATGGCTTGAGCCCAGGAGTTTGAGATTGTAGTGAGCTATGATGGCACCATTGCACCTCAACCTGGGTGACACAGTGAGCCCCTGTCTCTTGAAAAAAACAAAACAAAACAAAAAAAAAAAAACAAAAAACCTCAAAGCTTAGATCAAAGGAAAAATTCCTGAGGGAAGCCAGGAAAAGAAATATCAGCATGGCCGGGCGCAATGGCTCACGCCTGTAATCCTAGCACTTTGGGAGGCAGAGGTGGGTGGATCACTTGAGGCCAGGAGTTCGAGACCAACCTGGCCAGCATAGCAAAACCCCATCTCTACTAAAAATACAAGAAATTAGCTTGGCATGGTGGCACACACCTGTGGTCCCAGCGAGGCTGAAGCATGAGAATCACTTGAACCAGGGAGGCAGAGGCTGCAGTGAGCCGAAATCGTGCGACTGCACTCCAGCCTGGGCAACAGAGCAAGACTCCATCTCAAAAAAAAGAAAAAGAAATATCCAAACGTATGACAAAGTCACTATAAACAAATCAATATGGAATCTGCAGAGGAAGATAGTATGAAAATGAGATGAGTTTAAAGAAATAGTCTGGGGCAGAGAAAGACCATGTGCAAAAGACACACCTACAACACACAAAGGGTGAAAAGGGAATATAATGAATGAGTACTGAAGTGAGCCAGAAATCTAATTATTCATTAGAATAATTGAAAAAATTACTGCCTGTTACTAGCAGGGTTTGAGATGCTAATTCACAGATTATTATAACAGTTATTATCATTAACATTATTACTATTATTATTTGGAGACAGAGTCTTGCTCTGTCACCCAGGCCGGAGTACAGTGGCATGATCTTGGCTCACTGCAACCTCTGCCTCCCAAACTCAAGCAATTCTCCTGCTTCAGCCTCCCGAGTAGCTGGCATAACAGGCACCTGCCACCATGCTGGGCTAATTTTTGAATTTTTAGTAGAGACAGGGTTTCACCATGTTGGCCGGGCTGGTCTTAAACTCCTGACCTCAAGTGTTCCACCCACCTTGGGCTCCCAAAATGCTGGGATTACAGGCATGAGCCACCATGCCCAGCCCAGTCAGTTATTTTTAATCCTTAAATCTTGAGAAAGTTGGCTATAAATAGGATAACCATAAACCTCCTAGGGAGAAATTGTTCTAGTCTAGATACAGCACTGGTCATAATTTCCTCAAATTGCCAAGTAACCTAAAAATCCCAGAACAAGACCAGATTTATGAACTGAAGATTCTGTCTTTTCTGGGATAGGCAATGGCTGTCAGATTTTTTTTTATCCTTTGTCAGACTTGTTAACAGGACATCATTGATAAATATATTTTCAATTAAATTCCTATATAAAATACAGTTCTCCATACAGCTCCCTCCACCCACAAACACTCAACTAAAAAGCTTCAGAAAACAATTCTTTACCTTTTTAAAGAGATTTGTTCTGATAATTTCTATCTTATTCTTTTTCTGGTGCTCCTTAAAGTCCACTACTTGATATTATCATCCACAATATGAATAATAACACTAAGGTTTTAGTATTTTATGCTTCAAAAGATTTAAATACACAAGAGTAAAATTTTTTCTAGAGCCAACTTGGATATATTGATGTATATACCTCTTGAATAAATTATGAACGTTATTTTTAAAATTTTATTTATTTATTTTAGAGACAACAACTACCTATGTTGCCCAGGCTGCCCTGGAACTCCTGGCCTCAAGTGATCATCCCACCTCAGCCTCCTAAATACCTAAATACCTGGGACTACAGGCATGCACCACATGCTCAGCAGTATTTTTTTTTTTTTTTTTTGAGACGGAGTTTCACTCTTGTTGCCCAGGCTGGAGTGCAGTGGTGCGATCTCAGCTCACTGCAACCTCTGCCTCCCAGGTTCAAGCGATTCTCCTGCCTCAGCCTCCTGAGTAGCTGGGACTACATGTGCGCCACCATACCTGGTTAATTTTTGTATTTTTAGTAGAGAAAGGGTTTCACCATGTTGGCTGGCTAGTCTCGAACTTTTGACCTCAGGTGATCCACCCCCGTTGGCCTCCCAAAGTGCTGGGATTACAGGTGTGACCCACCACACCCGGCCTTGTATTTTTTAAATTATCAACTTTTAGTTCAAAAAATGTAACACAGAACCAGGCATGGTGGCTCATGCATGTAATCCCAGCACTTTGGAAGGCCGAGGCAAGTGGATAGCTGGAGCCCAGGAGTTTGAGACCAGCCTGGGCAACATGGTGAAACTCCGTATCAACAAAAAATACAGAAAGTAGCCAGGCTTGGTGGTGTGTGTCTGTAGTCCCAGCTACTAAGGAGGCTGAGGTAGGAGGATTGCTTGAGCCCAGGAGGTTGAGGCTGCAGTGAGCTGTGATCAGAGCACTGCACTCTAGCCTGGGTGACAAAACAAGACCCTACCACCCCACCCTGCCCAAAAAATACCTACTTATATAGAGTGTCTTTTTTATTAGAACAAGCTTTTTTCAACCACTCTTTGGCTTATATTAATAAAGTGACTTTTGTAAAGCCTCTTAGAATGGGAGGGCTGGCTGCCAGAGGAACCAACAATGTCATTAGAGGGTTGGAACTTTCAGCCTCCACCCCTGATCTCCAGGTAGGGGAGAAATGCTGGAGGTTACCTTAATCATCAAAGGCCAAATGACTTAATCAATCATGCTTACATAATGAAGTCTACATAAACATCCTAAATGATGGGGTTCACAGAACTTCTGGGTTGGTGAGTGAATTCACATGTCAGGAAGATGGTATATCTGGCAAGAGCATAGAAGATCTGAGCCCCTTCTTACACATACCTTGCCCTATGCATATCTTCCATCTGTCTGACCATTCCTGAGTTGTGTCCTTTAAACTAAACTGGTAAACATAAACAAATGTTTCCCTGAGTTCTGTGAGCTACTTTTGCAAATTATCAAACCTGAGGTGAGGATCATGATAGATGGTCTGTCAGAAGTGCAGGTGACAACCTGGGACTTGTGACTGTCATCTGAAATGGTGGCAGTCTTGGGGATTGAGCCCTTAACCAGGGAGGTCTGACACCAGGTAGACAGTGTCAGAATTGAATTAAATTGTAGGATACCCAGTTGTTGGAATAGTTGGAGAATTACTACATACATTTGGTGTCAGAAGTATTCTGTGAGTGTTATAGGGAAATAGTTTCCCTTTTATAGGTTTACATGTAGAGAAAAAGTGCACAGATCATGAATGAATGTACAGCTCAATGTATTATTACTAAGATAACCCATCTGTATAATTCATTACCCAGGTTAAAAAAAATTACCAGTATGTCCAAAGCCTCCCACATGCATTTCTTAATCTACCAAATCCTCACCCTTCTTTTTAGAGATGATGTATTAGGCTGTTCCTGCATTGCTATAAAGAAATACGTGAGAATGGGCTGGGTGTGGTGGCTCACGCCTGTAATCGCAGAACTTTGGGAGGCCGAGGTGAGCGAATCACCTGAGGTCAGGAGTTCGACCAGCCTGGCCAACATGGTGAAACCCTGTCTCTACTACAAATACAAAAATTAGCTGGGCGTGGTGGTGTGCACCTGTAGTCCCAGCTACTCGGGAGGCTGAGGAAGGAGAATCGCTTGAACCTGGAAGGCAGAGGCTGCAGCAAGCCAAGATCACACCACTACCCTCCAGCCTGGGTGACACAGCAAGACTCCGTCTCAAAAAAGAAAAAAGAAATACCTGAGACTGGATAATTTATAAAGAAAGGAGGTTTAATTGGCTCACAGTTTTGCAGGCTTTACAGGAAGCATGGTGCTGGCCTCTGTTCAGTTTCTGGTGAAGCCTCAGGGAGTTTT
Source organism: Homo sapiens (assembly GCF_000001405.40). Classification (NCBI taxonomy): domain Eukaryota; kingdom Metazoa; phylum Chordata; class Mammalia; order Primates; family Hominidae; genus Homo; species Homo sapiens. The sequence goes on from NC_000006.12 coordinate 75,734,665, forward strand.
CAATCATGGCAGAAGGCAAAGTGGGAGCAGGCAATTCACAGAGAAAGCAGGAGCATGAAAGATGGGGATGGAGAGGGGTGTGAGAGGGGAAGGAGGAGAGGTGGAGGGAAGGAGAAGGTGCCATACACTTTTAAATGACCAGATCTCATGAAAACTCATGGTCACAAAGACAGCACCAAGCACAAGCCACGAGGGATCCACCCCCATGACCCAAACACCTCCCACCAGGCCCCACCTATAGCATTGGGGATTACAATCCAACATGAGATCTGGATGGTGATAAATGTCCAAACTATATCAAATGAGGTTTCACTATGTTGCATAGACTGGATTCAATTCAAACTCCTGGACTCAAGTGATCCTCCTGCCTCAGCCTCCCAAGTAGCTGGGATCACTGAGCAGGCTTCAATCTTTTTTTATTTTTATTTTTTTGAGATGAAGTTTTGCTCTGTTGCCCAGGCTGGAGTGCAGTACAGTGGTGCAATCTTAGCTCACTGCAACCTCTGCCTCCTGGGTTCAAGTAATTCTCCTGCCTCAGCCTCCCGAGTAGCCAAGACTACAGGTGTGCATCACCATCCCCAGCTAATTTTTGTATTTTTAGTAGGGATGGAGTTTTGCCATGTTGGCCAGGCTGGTCTCGAACTCCTGACCTCAGGTGATCCACCCACCTCAGCCTCCCAAAGTGCTGGGTTTACAGGCATAAGCCACCACACCCAGCCTCAATCCTTTTTAATAGACCACTTTGACCTATAGATTGTTGGGAAATGTACTCTCTCTCTCTCTCTATGTATATATATATATATATACACACACACATATATATTTATATTATATATTATATATTTATATTACATATAAATATATAATATATATATTTAGTTTATTATTCAGCAAATATTTGCTCCCCACACATTCATTATAAGACTATTCATCCTGCCTCATTGATCTAAGATAGGCCATCTGACTTTTTTTTTGACAATCAAATGTGTACAGAAGTAACAGTATGCCAATTCTGATGCTAGGCTTTAAGAGGCACCACATGTTTCTGACCTAAGAAAACAGGAGAACATGCCTCAGGTAGCCACTGGACCTTCATCTTACACCCCAGAACGAGACACATAAACAGACTGAATTGACTAGCAGACTACTGGAGTTGCCCTGGTGACCTGTATACTTACTTACCAGGAAGGAAACAAATGGTTTTTGTAAATGCATTGAGATTTTGCTGAGACTTTGTTGGCTACATAGCAAAGGCTAACTAATATAATAATAATTTGGTAAATCTTAATAAAGCCTTAGTGAATGAATTCAAGTTATTACTTTGTGAATTCATTTCATGCTTTGTTCACTTCAAACTTATGTTTATTATTAACTGTAGGATAATATTTAACTCTGACACATATTTAATTAGGAACTTCCTGGTCAGTGATGACTCAATACTTCCTTGATCTATTTCAAGATACTACTATTTTTAAGACTAGGAAACCAACCACTAACAAACTTTTAATTTATTTAACAAACATTTTCAGGAGAATACAAGGTATCACTAATTTCTTTAAATAGTACTCCCCACCCCCAATATTTTCTTGTCTTTTTATATTATATACATAGTAATTTTTTATTTACACAGTATCAACTTTGAATATTGTACTCATAACCTTGAGAAAAGTTACAATTTATTTTTTGTAAACTAGCAACATCATAGAATATTTTACATGTGTAAAATTGAAGGATAATTGGTGAAATTAAAAATTACAAATTCTAGGCCAGGCACGCCTGTAATCCCAGCACTCTGGGAGTCTGAGCGGGGTGGAATGCTTGAGCTCAGGAGTTTGAGACCAGCCTGGGCAACATGGCAAAATCCCATTTCTACAAAAAATACAAAATATTAGCCAGGTGTGGTGGTGTACGCCTGTAGTCCCAGCTACTTGGGAGGCTGAGATGAGAGGATCGCTTGAGCCTGGTAGGTGAATACTACAGTGAGCCATGATTGGGCCACTGCACTCCAGATGGGAGACAGAACAAGACCCTGCCTCAAAAAAAAAAAAATAAAAATAAAAATAAGTACTGTGACCCAAGTCCATGGGTGAGAAAAAAATTTACAAGTACTATGAAAATTCATTTTAAAGAAAAAAAAATTATATATACTTTATAAAGATTGAATCACCTGTGGAATAGTTATTTAAATTTAATGTCTCCATGGAGAATTGAGCAAAGCCCCCTCTCTTCTATAACAAAGCTCTAAAAAGTTCTAAAAATAATGTTCATTTCTGGCCGGATGCAGTGGCTCACGCCTGTAATCCCAGCACTTTGGGAGGCCGAGGCAGGCAGATCACGAGGTCAGGAGATCAAGACCATCCTGGCCAACATGGTGAAACCCTGTCTCTACTAAAAATACAAAAATTAGCTGGGTGTGGTGGCGCATGCCTGTAATCCCAGCTACTTGGGAGGCTGAGGCACGAGAATCGCTTGAACCAAGGAGGTGGAGTTTGCAGTGAGCCAAGATCACGCCACTGCACTCCAGCCTGGCAACAGAGCAAGACTCTGTCTCCAAAAAAACAAAAAAAGGTTCATTTCTGAAGGACCTGCACCGTTAAGAGTATGAACCTAATAAAGCTAGAATTCATTCAGCTCAATCCATTCCACAAACATTTACTGAGTATATGCCTTTTATGTCCCAGCTGGCTCTGTATATGCAAAGAGAAACAAAATCTCAGTGAGATCATAGGCATATAACATTCAATAGAATAAAAAGTGTGCTAAAATAGAGAATTGCACAGATTATTTCCTGTGGGCATTAAATTCAATCTGAGGATAGAATTATGTTTATAATATTAATGTCTAAATAAGGGTCAACCAATCATTGAAAATGCTTAAATTATGACCTATTTAGGATTAATGTATAAAAACACAATTTTACAGATTTTAAACACCATAATTTTTTTGGTGTATGTTCTGGACTGTATGTTCAGAAATATGTAGACTGTAGAAAATTTACCTTTCAGAATTGTGCCACCAGATTTTTTTTCATTTTTTTCCTGGTATTTATGCCTAATATATACAGATGATCTATCTATAGCAAATATATATTTATGATTTCCTTCTTTCAAATTTAATTTAAGCTATTTTGTCTACCTTCTCAAAGCTTGAGTCAGATATTTGATTTTTTAAATTAAATAATATCCATTTATTCAGTTGTTATTATTTAGTCATAATATACAACAGTAATGCCTGTAATTCTAGCACTTAGGGTAGCTGAGGTGGGCAGATCACTTGAGGTCAGGAGTTTGAGACCAGCCTGGCCAACACTGTGAAACTCTGTCTCTACTAAAAATACAAAATATAGCTGGGCGTGGTGATGCATGGCTGTAATCCCAGCTACTCCAGAGGCTGAGGCACAAGAATCGCTTGAACCCAGGAGGTGGTGGTTGCAGTAAGCTGAGATCTTGCCACTGCACTCTAGCCTGGGTCATAGAGCAAGACTGTCTCAAAAAAAAGACACACACACACACACACACACACATATGTATATATACACACAACAATAATATGTATTCAACTACTTTCCTTTTTTGAGACAGAGTCTCCCTCTGTCACCAAGACTGGAGTGCAGTGGCATAATCATAGCTTACTGCAGCCTCAAACTTTTGGGTTCAAGTGATCGTTTCGTCTCAGCCTCCTGAGTAACTGGAACTACAGGTGTGTGCCACCATATCTGGCTAGTGCTGGAATTACAGAAGTGAGCCACCTCGCCCATTCCACTTTTTTTTTTTTTTTTTTTGAGATGGAGTCTCGCTCTGTCACCCAGACTAGAGTGCAATGGCGCAATCTTGGCTCACTGCAACCTCCGCCTCCCGGGTTCATGCGATTCTCCTGCCTCAGCCTCCGGAGTAGCTGGGACCACAGGTGCCCACCACCACGCCTGGCTAATTTTTGTATTTTTAGTAAGACAGGGTTTCACCACGTTGGCCAGGCTGGTCTCAAACTCCTAACCTCAAATGATCCACCCGCCTTGGCCTCCCAAAGTGGTGGGATTACAGGCGTGAGCCAGCATGCCCGGCTCCATTCTACTTTTCTTATTTTGTTCCTGGGAGTAGTATCGCTACAGTAGGAAGACATCTTTAAAGGAGGAAAACATTTTAGAAGTTATATTTCTTATATACAGTTCTATACATTTTTAACATTCAGATTTCATCAAAACTGCATATAACAAAGAAATTCTATAATTGACTTCTCATATTAATCTCTGCATTTAAAACAAAACTAATTTCAAATACATGTTAGTATTTATTTTATTTATTTTTATTTGAGACAGGGTCTCACTCTGTCACCCAAGCTGGAGTGCAGTGGTATGATCATGGCTCACGGCAGCCTCAATCTCCTGGGCTCAAGTGATTCTCCTACCTTACCCTCCCAAGTAGTTGGGACTACAGGCATGCATCAACACCGCCTGGCCTTTTTTTTTTTTTTTTAATTTTTTATTTTGGTAGAGACAGAGTCTCCCTCTGTTGCCCATGCTGGTTTGAAACACCTGGGCTCAAGTGATCCTCCTGCCTTGGCCTCCCTAATTGCTGGGATTATAGGCATGAGCCACTGCTCTGGGCTGGTTTTATTTTTTTTTGAGACAGGGTCTTGCTCTGTGGCCCAGGCTGGAGGGAAGTGCCATGATCATGGCTCACTATGGCCTCAATCTCCCAGGCTCAAGTGACCCTCCCACCTTAGCCTCCCAAGTAGCTGATACCACATGTGTGCCCAGCTAAATTTTTTTTTTTTTTTTGGTAGAGATGGAGTCTTCCTACGTTACCCAGGCTGGTCTAAAATTCCTACTCACAAGTGATCCTCCTGCCTCGGTTTTATATTTAGAGAGCTACTTTTTTCTTGTTCAAATACATATACAAAATTTTCTAGCATTTAACAAGTACAAGATTAGATATGAATGTATTCTTTTAAATGATTTATTATTTGTGTACTTTTTCTATACATGGGCATTGATAGTATGCTATTTGTAGACCTCTTGGTAGTTTGCAAAATGCTTTTATTTTTGCATTATGTTATTTAATCATTACCCTATGGAGGAGGCATTATCATATTTTATAGATGAGTAAACTGAATCTCAGAGAGATTATGTGATTTATCCAGGTCACAGTCCTCTAGAGACAGGCCTGGATGCAGGTTCCTCACCTTGGTGGCTCCTCACCTTGGTGTCAAGTGCTGTCATTCCTCCTCACACTATTCACTGAGTAATAGAATAAATTCTAACATAATTCTGCTCCTTTAGAATGGCTTTGTATTAGTCCATTCACGCTGCTGATAAAGACATACCCAAGACTGGGCAATTTACAAAAGATGAGGTTTAATTGGACTTACAGTTTCACATGGCTGGGGAAGTCTCACAATCATGGCAGAAGGCAAGGAGGAGCAAGTCACCTCCTACATGAATGGCAGCAAGGCAAAGAGAGAGCTTGTGCAGGGAGACTCCTGTTTTTCCAAACCATCAGATCTTACGAGACTTATTCACTGTCATGAGAACAGCAGGGGAAAGACCTGCCTCTCTGATTCAGTTACCTCCCACCTGGTCCGTCCCACACCACGTGGGAATTCAAAATGAGATTTGGGTGGGGAAACAGCCAAACCATATCAGGCCTTCACTCATTTGCTTTCTTTTCATTTCTACAACCTGTTTAGGTTACACTTGGCTCAGTTTGAAAAAAAATGATCAACTCTCCTCTTTTCTTCAAATTACCACACTTGAGCTAAAATAGGACAAAGTAGATGAAATATTATTATTAAAATATTTGACATTTCAATTAAGATACTTGAGGTGATAATCTTTAGTTATATGTGCTATTGTTTTCAGTTTACTGTGAATTATAATGCTGCTGGAACAGTTCAAACAGACTAGCTGTTTAAATTTATTTTTTAATATTTTATTTTTTATAGAGATAGGGTCTTTCTATGTTGCCCAGACTGGTCTTGAACTCCTGGGCTGAAGTGATCCTAAGAGTCCCTAAGTGCTGGGATTACAGCCATTAGTCATCCACTTGGCCCAGCTAGGAATTAAAATTAGAGAAATGATAGTGAAATCTCCAGAAGCTGGAATGTTAAGAGATGTGTGGTAATCTGGTTAAGAAAGGTTTAAAAATTATCTATTGATAAAACACATTTCTGCTTTAATTTTAGTCGTTTATATTGAAAGTCTTTCTAAAATACATTAGCCTACTTTCTTTTTTCTTTTTTTTTTTGAGATGGAGTTTTGTTCTTGTTGCCCAGGCTGGAGTGAAATGGCGTGATCTCGGCTCACTGCAACCTCCACCTCCTGGGTTCAAATGATTCTCCTGCCTCAGCCTCCTGAGTAGCTGGGATTACAGGCGCCCACCACCACGTCCAGCTAATTGTTGTATTTTTAGTAGAGATGGGGTTTCATCATGTTGGCCAGGCTGGTCTCAAACTCCTGACCTCAAGTGATCCGCCCACCTTGGCCTCCCAAAGTGCTGGGATTGCAGGCATGAGCCACCACGCCCGGCCAGCCTACTTTCTTTTTAGAGTAAATTCAGGACAATAAACATTATTCAGTCTTTTTAAAGAAATGATTTATGGGACAGGCACAGTGGCTCATGCCAGTAATCCCAGCGCTTTGGGAGGCCGAGGTGGGTGGATCACTTGAGGCCAGGAGTTCGAGACCAGCGTGGGCAACATGGTAAGACCCCATCTCTACTAAAAAATACAAAAATTAGCCAGGCGTGATGGCATGTACCTGTAATCCCAGCTACTCGGGAGCCTGAGGTGGAATAGCTTGAACCCGGGAGTTAGAGGTTACAGTGAGCTGAGATTGCACCACTGCACTCCAGCTTGGGTGACAGAGCGAGACTCTATCTCAAAAAAAAAAAAAAAAGAAAAGATTTGCTGGGCTTGGTGGCTCACGCCTGTAATCCCAGCACTTTGGGAGGCTGAGGCGGGTGGATCACAAGGTCAGGAGATTGAGACCATCCTGGCTAATACAGTGAAACCCCGTCTCTATTAAAAATACAAAAAATTAGCCAGGTGTGGTGGCGGGCACCTGTGGTCTCAGCTACTCGGGAGGCTGAGGCAGGAGAATGGTGGGAACCCAGAGGCCGAGCTTGCAGTGAGCCAAGATTGTGCCACTGCACTCCAGACTGGGCAACAGAGTGAGACTCCATCTCAAAAAAAAAAAAAGATTTATGATTTTCACAATTACTACACTAAACATTAGGGTTTTTTTCATGATAATGTACGGTAGATGCAGATGTTGATGGTGTGTGGGTATGAGTTAAGATATAGTGTAGGGAACCTGCTTAATTCCCTATACATTCCAGATGATAAACATTAGCGCAGATTTGTTAATAACTGAGAAAAACAAAACTGTTAAAAGCTGCTGAATTGTAGATATCTCGCTTACTTATTTATTAAATAAACACTTAAGCACCTACTCATTCCTTTTACGTAAAATGGGAATAATAATATAACTTCTCCAAATCTACTGGGGTTGTTGGTTGAAGGCAACAGAAATGAACTCTGATTAACTTATCCAGAAAGAGAATGTATTGAAAGAATATGATGTAGCTCACAGAATCACTGGGAACAGTGAAGAACCAGGTTTGTAAAAGGTATAGGGCCATCCTTTAGGATGTCACTGTTGGCACTGCTGCAGACCCTGGCTGCTACAACCACGTGCACCATTGTGAATCACCACTCTCTATCACGTCATCTTTGCATCTCTGTCCAAACTGCAGATTTCAGGTGAGAGCATCTAGTTGGCTTAGCCTATGTTTCATGTCATGCCTATACCCTAGCTGCCAGGTCATGAAGAGAAGGACTTTGGCCTGCACCAGTTTCCAAAGTGTGAGGTGGGCTTTGCCTCCACTAAGACTCAGAATGAAGGATTCTCCAACTAATCCAACTAATGTGCTAAGAAAATAATAGGAAAGGCTGAGCACTGTGGCTCACACCTATAGTCCCAACACATTGGGAGGCCAAGGCAGGAAGATCGCTTAAGCCCAAGAGTTTGAGACCAGCCTGCGCAACATGGCGAAACTCTGGTCTCTACAAAAGACACATAAATTAGCCAGGCATGGTAGTACAAGTCCATAGTCCCAGCTACTCAGGAGGCTGAGGTAGGGATATCACCTGAGCCCAGAAGTTGAAGCTGCAGTGAGTTGAGACGGTGCCACTGCACTACAGCCTGTGTGACACAGTGAGATCATGTCTCAAAAAAAAAAAAAAAAAAAAAAAAGAAAAGAAAGAAAAGAAAAGAAAGAAAAAGAAAATAATAGACCATTTAAAAAATTATTGTTTGTTTTTTTTTTGAGATGGATTTCCCTCTTTTGTCTCCCAGGCTGGAGTGCAGTAGTGCTATCTTGGCTCACTGCAACCTCCTCCTCCCGGGTTCAAGCGATTCTCCTGCCTCAGCCTCCCAAGTAGCTGAGATTACAGGCACCTGCCACCAGGCCTGGCTAATTTTTTGTATTTTTAGTAGAGATGGGGTTTCGCCATGTTGGGCAGGCTGGTCTTGAACTCCTAACCTCAGGTGATCCATCTGCTTCAGCCTCCCAAAGTGCTGGGATTACAGGTGTGAGCCACTGCGCCCAGCCTCTTTTAAATTTAAAAGCTCAGTATTTTGGAGAGTTATTGAAGAGAAAAACAGATATAAAAATGTAATTATAAAACTACATGGCTGGGCACAGTGGCTGACGCCTGTAATCCCAGCACTTTGGGAGGCTGATGTAGGAGTATCACTTGAGCCCAGGAGTTCAAGACCAGCCAGGGCAACATAGTGAGACCTCATGTCTACAAATAATAAAATTAGCCAGGTGTGGTGGCGTGCACCTGTAGTCCCAGTGACTGGGGAAGGTGAGGTGACACAGGAGGGTCACTTAAGCCCAGAAGGTTAAGGCGGCACTGAGGCATGACGGCACCACTGCACTCCAGCCAGAGTAACAGAGCAAGACCCTGTTTCTTTCTTTTTCTTTTATTATTTTTTTTTAAGGGAAGGGATCAGATATTGAGGATGGGGGGTTCTTGCTAAACTGACTTGGCAAAGTTCTTGATAAAACTGGATTTCATAAGGAAGGACACAGATGGACCTAGGAGAAGGTTCACAAGCCTAACTAAAGTTTGGTCAAGCAAATACTCTTGGCCAAAGAAATCAAAACTTGGTAAAGGGGGTGACATAATCAGATTTGGGGGAGAGGGGTAACTCTCTAGGAGTGGTAGAGAGACTGAACTAGAAGGAGCAGAGGCGATGTCAAGAGTTTGGATAAAATAAGATGATGGTCTGTACTAAGGGATAACAAGAGTTAAGGCATCAACTTGGAAATGCCTTATGATATAGAATGAACTGGATTTGGTGACTCCAAAACTAGAGTCGAGGAAGGGAAGGAGTCCTCGGTGACTTAAAACCCAGAAACCAGTGTCTGGTAATACTATACATAGTCATAATAGGTCTGTGGCAAGGGGATTATCTGAGGCAGTGAGGAAGAAAAATATAATGAGTTTCTGTGATAGACCTGTGGGTGTTTAGCCTGCCTCACTTAAAAGTTGGTGACATACAGCTATTTCCTGGTCCCTGTGTTGTGTCTTGGAGTCTGGAGCGATGAAGACCTCTGTGCTCTTAGGCAAGTCCTTCCTCTTTTCTTTATTGTTTTGGAATTCTTCTGGACTCGATCCAGCAATAATTTCAACAGTTGGTTTGACTATTGAATAGTTTCAATAGTTTCTGATGATTGGTTGTTAGAATGAAAATAAGGCCCTTTGATAACACAGAAATTAGAATTGGGGACATGCGCCTGGGAGATAACTGTCCTGTCATTTAACTCACTGTTGTCATTTAACTTTGAGTTTTCTTATACTGTCACTTCTTGTGGGATCAAGAAAATTATGTTCCAAAGAAACGATGCTGCCATGTTCTTGGAGATCACTTATACACCAAAGTTGGATACTACCTATCCAAACCTTAACAGTGGTTTGCTTTGTGAAGAGGCTTAAATTTCCATCTGTGATGCATTTTGAAATGAGTGGGTTTGATGTCAACCCACTGAAAGATATCCCTCAAAAAACAAAAGGACAAGAGTCATCAGCTCCCACACAAAGTAAAAAATGTGAACCTAATTTTAGCAGTGTTAATAAGGAGCAATTATCCATGAATCGCTGCATCAATAATGCCTGTGTTATAACATCCTCTCCTCCTTAAGGTACAGGAACAAGTGGTACATACTTGTCCGGGAACCAGTTTCATTAATACTGTTGTATCTGCCCAAAAATGAGTAGCAATATCTGTTACCAGTTTCACTACCTTTTGGAGTTTTGGATAACCTTTCTATACTGTGATGTTTATATATTTTAATGAGTTAATTTTAGGTGAAATTGTAATTCTAACTTTGCATGTGAAATCAAGTTCATATACAATAAAGCTTGCCTATATAAAAAAAAGGAGTTGGTGACATAGATGCAGTTGAAGCTGTCAAAGCGGATGTCAGCCAGGGAAGGTGTAGAGACCCTCACACGCCTGTGTTATCTATTCCCACAAAAAAGGAGAAATGAAACCACAAAATTTTGCATATGATTTCAGGGGGATTTGTGGAGTTCCTATCTATGATAAAGGATCCGTGGATCTCAGTTAGAAATTTCTGGGATGGCACAAGAAGATCCAGGGAAGGGTCTTACAAATATTCAATGAGTGACAGCAAAGCTGAAAAACTTAGTCATGTGCCAAATAGTGACACTTGATCAATAACATGGCATATACAGTGGTCCCATAGATTACAATACCATATTTTTACTGTATTTTTTCTGTTTAGATACACAAATACTTCCCATTGTTACAGTTTTCTACAGTATTCACTACAGTAATAAGCTGTACATGTTTGTAGTCCAGGAGCAACAGGCTATACCATATAGCCCAGAGAGTAAGTTATACTATCTAGGTTTGTGTAAGTACATTCTACGATGTTCACACAAAGACAAACTCATCCAATGATGAATTTCTCGGAATGTATCCCTATGGTTATGTGATGCATGACTGTAGAGATACGGAATAACTTGTTGAGTTTTTGCAACAAATAAGATGAGTTGTATCCACCATGCTTAACTACAGCACAAGCAATTTTTCTTTTTTGAGACAGGGTCTCTCTCTGTCACCCAGGCTGGAGTGCAGTGGTGCGATCATGGTTCCCTGCAGCCTCAACCCCCCAACCCAGGCTCAAAGAATCCTCCCACCTCAGCCTCCTGAGTAGCTAGGAATACAAGCCCAGCCAATTTTCTGTATTTTTTGTAGCGATGGGGTTTCACCATGCTCAAACTCTGGACTCAAGCGATCAGCCCACCTTGGCATCCCAAAGTGCTGGGATTACAGGCATAAGCCACTGTGCCCTGCCAGTGCATGCAGTTTCTTACAAGTGTCAACTCTCTTGCCAGTTGTTCATCCATCTGTCCCATTTATTCAATAGTAATACTAATGGTAGGCACTGCTTAATGAATGACTACCATGTGAAAGCCACTCTGCCTGGCATTAGGGACACAAAGATTAAGTCCCTCACTATGACCTCAAGGAGTTTTACAGTCCAGTTGGAGGATACTTATAAGTAAACTTAAGTAGCAATAGTGAAATGTGTGTTTGAAGAGATATCTGCAATGGGTGTTAAGTGAGAAATGGGAAAGAGCACCAAAAAGCACCTAGGATTTGCATCAAGGGGGTTTAGGGAAAACGTCTTGGAGGGAACAAATAGGCTTTGTTCTGAAGGATTAATTGGATTTAGCTTGGCAATGTTCCAATGTAATAAATAGCATAGCCGTCTGTTCTGGGACACAAAAGTACTGCAGAATGACCTGAATATAAAGGACAAGAAATAGAGAAAGGCAGTGGGTAGAAATGAGATTGGAGAGGTAAGCAGGGCTAGGACACTGGATGCAAGTCATTCCAAAGACAGGCAGGTAACATTGTGCGAGGAAGTCTGGTTTAAAACAGACAGCTTTGTGAGTTTTGGACCGCAATGAATTGGGGACCTCATAACCAATGAAAACAAATTCAAATTTAATTAGAAGAAAAAAACATGGTCAGGCACAGTGGCTCACACCTGTAATCCCAGTGCTTTGGGAGGCCAAGGCAGGAGGATCGCTTGGGTCCAGGAGTTCATAATCAGCCTGGGCAATATAGAAGACCCCTGTCTCTATAAAAAAAAAAAAAAAAAAAACTGCCTGGCATGGTGGCATGTGCCTACAGTCCTAGCTACTCAGGAGGCTGAGGTGGGAATATTCATTGAGCCTAGGAGGTTGAGGTTATAGTGAACTATGATTGCACCACTGCACCCCAGCCTGGGCAATAGAGCAAGACTCTGTCTCAAAAAGAAAAGGGCTGGGCGTGGTGGCTCACGTCTGTAATCCCAGCACTTTGGGAGGCCGAGGCAGGCAGATCACTTTAGGTCAGGAGTTCGAGACCAGCCGGGCCAACATGGCAAAAACTAATCTCTACTAAAAATATAAAAATCAGCCAGGCGTGGTAGTGCACACCTATAGTCCCAGTTACTTGGGACGCTGAGGCAGGAGAATCGCTTGAACCCAGGAAGCAGAGGTTGCAGCGAGCCGAGATCACACCAGTGCACTCCACCCTGGGAGACAGAGGGAGACTCTTTCTCAAAAAAAAAAAAAAAAAAAAAAAAGAGGAAAAAAGGAAATCCCCATTATGTTAGGCAAACAAAAACAGCCAGTTTGTGACTGGTGGCTAAATCAAGAAGGATCTTACAAGACATTTTAAGTGGTTTGGACTTTATATCAAGAGTCAGAGAGTGCCATTACAGAAATTTAAATAGTGGAGTACATAAAAGACAAACTGATGACGTTGTAAAGACTGGATTAGAAGGGGATAAAACTGCGGCCTGGGAAACTGGTTAGGTGACTTAGGCAGTATGCAAGATTTGAAATGATAGTGGCCTGAAACAAGATAGTGGTAGTGGGTATAAAGAGGAATTTGATACATTAGAGAGATATTATAGAGCCAGAAGCAAAAGCACTCAGTAATGGATTGGAAGTGTGGGGCAAAGGAGAGAAAACAATCACGAAAGTCATTAGCTACAAAAAAATCTTTAAAATGTATTGATTTATCTAGGTGTGGTGACTCACACTTGTAATCCCAGCACTTTGGGAGGCCAAGGGAGGGGGGCGGGCAGGGATTGCTTGAGGCCAAGAGTTCAAGACCAGCCTGGGCAACATAGCAAGCCCCTGTGTTTACCAACAACAAAAAAATTAAGAAAATTAAAAAAATGTATTGACTTCTATTGGTTTGCCAAATGAAGTTTAGTATTAAATCCAAAATTGAGTCAGAGCAGTGTGAACTGAGACAGCCATCTTCATCTTCTCCCTCTTTTTTTCAGTTTGTTTTGAAATTTAGTTTTATATACTTAAGACTTACCTTCTGGCAATTTGGAATTAAATTTCTGAGATTGCTGTAAATTATTTCCTTTCTTTGTTTCTCTTCCTCTTTCTTACTTCCCTATTTTACTCTTAATATTTTATTGTTTTAGTTGAATTCTAAAACATCTTATCAGAACTTAGAGTTTTTATTTCTCCACCCACAGAACCATGGAGTCTTTAAGTATCAGAAATTTGTCTCCTCGTCAGAATCTTCTAGATTTCCAGAAGTTTCCAAGTCGCTACATATAAATGTTGCAGAAAAACGTGTAATTCTCATGTGCAAGTAGGCTTTTTTCAGCGGATACATTTAGCATTATAGTCAATTGTTATTTCGTTGCCTTAAAAGAAGCTGTTTTCATTGTAAAGGTGATGTGTTTTTACCATATAATTCAAATTTGCATAGGTACTTCATATTTTAAAAGGTGACTCACAGGTATGTCACTAATAAAAACAGTAACATTTAAACGACTGAGAAGGTAGGGGCTCTAAATAAAGTAAATGCGTCGGCGAGGGTAGGAGCGGGAAGAGGCAAAGGGGTGCGAAATTCCCATCCCAAGCCCCCTCCTCCAAAGACCGAATGGCAACTTAGTTGTGCGGGAAGGTTCCCCCCTATGCAGGGCAGCCCAGTCCAAGCCGGCCCGATCCGGGGCCGAGTGAGCAGTGGTTCTTGCCGCAACCGCCACGCAGCCTCGCTGCCGCCCAAGCGCGGACACCTGGTTCCTGGGTCCCCCGCGCGGAGCCCCGGACTCCTCGCCCCTTCTCCGAACAACTTTCTCCCTGCTTGAACTGATTCTCGCTGTTGGTAGACTGCACAGTCACAGTATCCAGCCGGACAGGACCTGCTTTGCCGGGACTGGAAACAACTACCGCGGCAAAAGAGGCCGTTTCGCCATGGGAAGAACAAGAACTCCCGGCTTGTCCAGGGGCAGCCCCTCTCTGCGCTGCAGGGCGCCTACCCTCGCCCCAGAGGCTCTGCGCCGCGGGCGGGGCGACCCCGGGGGTCGCGCGCCCTCTCCCGGAGCGCGCCCTCCCTCCCGGAGCGCGCGCCCGACGGCCTGCCGCGGCCCCGGCGCCCCCGCCCCTTCGGGCGCTCCGTAGCCGTGACGTGCACGCCGCAGTGCCGGGGACTCGGCGGGGCGCCGGCCGGCGGGCGGAGACCGACTCGGGATCTGTCCGAGCAGGAAGCCAGCCTCAGCCCGGCCGCTGTCGCCGCCCTGTCCTGGTGCCCGTCCGCGTCGTCGCCCTCTTCACTGGCCCTCATCACTTCTCACCGCGCCCTCCAGCTTCACCCGTACAGGTAGCCCCGCCGCCGCGCACCTGCCTTCGCTCCCGCACCGGTGAGTGTCCCAGAGACCCACTGCGGGGCGTCGGCGCCGGGGTCTCGCGTTCCCTGGCCCGGCCTTGCTCCCGGGCCTCCTCGAGCAGCTCCGGGGCCGACGCTTCTGTTCACTGCCCGAGGACGCGGGTGGGAGAAGCAGGTGATGGATGGGTGGGCCCTGGGCAGCAGTGGGGCCGGCGGTGGTTCTCGTTTCCACCGAAAGACAATCAGTCTCCTTTCATGGGTTCTCATCACCAAGGTCCCTTTGTGTTTCTTCCCTGGCTCCCAGGTAGAAGCAGAGCACTCAGGTGCCTAACTCGGACTTGGACACTCCGTGATAGTTTTATTTTCTCTTTTGTAAACACGCTTAAAATTCAGTGCAGGGGGAGCGCAGTTTGCTCTGAGATGTGAAGATCAAATGATACCATTAATAGTCTAATCATGTAGGAGACCAGATCGAGACTTTCTAAAGCCTTATTCTTAGTCTCCAGGTGGTCCAGTACCTTGAGTATGTTAATTTACGGATATGCTACTGAACAAGAACTTTTTTTGTTAATTTCCAAAAACTCCCTAAAACGATTAAAATGCTTAAACTCTGGGATTTTAATTTTAAGTAGGACACAATTTGATGGGGTTATTGCTAGAACATCCGTGTTTAAAAGTATTTCCATACAGTTTAAAAAATTCATTACCTTTTTTTTTTTTTTTTGAGACGGAGCCTTGGTCTGTCGCCCAGGCTGGAGTGCGGTGGTGCGATTTCCTCTCACTGCACCCTCCCCCTCGCGGGTTCAAGCAATTCTCTGCCACAGCCTCCCGAGTAGCTGGGATTACAAGCGCCCACCACCACGCCTGGCTAATTTTTTTGTATTTTTAGTAGAGACGGGGTTTCACCATCTTGGCCAGGCAGGTCTTGAAATCCTGACCTCTTGATCCATCCGCCTCGGTCTCCCAAAGTGCTGGGATTACAGGCGTGAGCCACTGCGCCTGGCCAAATATTCTTTACATCTTACCTGGCATAAAGTGATGTGGTGGAGGGATGCTTAAATCCTGATTTACAAGTATTAGTGAGAAATGAGGAGCACTGCCCTAACTTAATAGACTTAACTGTACGGGCTAAATAAGCCTCATTTTTTTTTTTTTTTTAATGCTCTGGTGGTATAGATGCAGTCTATCTAAATAAAGTCAGAACTTGAGAGTTTTAAAAATTAACTTTTTTTTTTTTGAGACAGAGCCTCGCTCTGTCAGCTCACTGCAACCTCCACCTCCCAGGTTCGAACGATTGACCTCCCTCAGCCGCCCGAGTGGCTGGGACTACAGTAAGGGCGCGCCACTGCCCAGCTAATTTTTGTATTTTTAGCAGAGACGGGGATTCGCCATGTTGGCCAGGCTGGTCTCGAACTCCTGACCTCAGGTGATCCACTCGCCTCGGCCTCCCAAAGTGCTAGGATTACAGGCTTGAGCCCCCGCGCCTGGCCTGAAAATTAACATTCTTAAGATTTAGCTGAAACTTATCTTCACACCATAAAACGTGAATCTTGAACTTGGACTGGTAGTGGTCATGGTACAAAGGTTGGCGGCAAAACAGCATTTCTGTACAAATTAACTGAACTTCCTAGATGTCTTGGGTTGTGGTTTTCAAACTGGAGAATGTTTAGTGAAAAAATTACCTTTGTGCCTTTTTTCCTTAATTGTAGAAACCGCCACAAATGTTACAAAGTGGGCTATAGCCAGAGCTTGAAACCATGCTGCCGTTCAAAATAGCTCACAGACTTTTATATATACAGCTCATTTTGAGTATTTTACGTTACGCAGGAATTGCATCCACTTTGGTAAACAGAAGTCATTTTAGTCTTATGTACATTTGCCCATTATTTTTGTATTTTTTGTGTGACATGCTGTTTATCATTCTCTCATCTTTGTAAGTTACATTTTTGTTTTCAGAAACCATTGTAAATGTAACAGAAGTATGAATGACATTTAAGGAAAGATCATGATTAAAAACTGTATAATATATAAAACTATATATGATATACATATATATTCTTGGTTAGTGCCTAGAAACATGAGCAAGAAAAATGTTATGAACAATTACAATATTTAATGTAAATTAATGCAATTAAATATTGCATTAAAAACAAAAGATCGTAAATCATAACCAGTAGGGATTATCTGAAATGGATTTTTCCCTGTTTATGTTTACGTGGTCAAGTTTTAAAATAACAGTGGCCAGGAAATCTGAGAGAGGCTGAAGGCTCTGTTCTCATCCTGTTGTGACTTTGCCTGGAGTCTGTGGTGTATCATGTAGCCCATTGTTTAGACAACTGGGCTGTATCTGGGTTCCAAAATGTAGCTTTCTTTAGAAAGTTTTAAAGACTTTGACCATGTGAGGCTTGAACAAATGCAAACATCCAAACATTGAAAAAAACCCATTTTAACTTTCTGTTGATAGTTGAGACTCCATTTTTGACATGTAAAATACCAGTTTTAAGAAGAGTTTACTAACCTCTGTGTAGTTTCATTTTTATATATTAAAATATCTAAAAATATTGGGAAGTGTTATAACTTAAATAAATCTCAGAGTTTATTTATTCTTTTTTTTTTTTTTCTCTGAGATGGAGTCTTGCCCTGTCATCCAGGCTGTGCAGTGGCACGATCTTGGGTCACTGCAACCTCCGTCTCCTGGGTTCAAGTGATTCTCCTGCCTCAGCCTCCTGAGTAGCTGAGATTACAGGTGCCCGCCACCACACCTGGCCAATTTTTTATTATTATTAGAGATGGGGTTTCACCATGTTGGCCAGGCTGGTCTCAAACTCCTGAGCTCAAGTGATTTGCCTGCCTTGGCCTCCCAAAGTGCTGGGATTGCAGTTTCATAGAGTTTAATTATGATACCCATAATGAGATATTTCATAATAATTTGTGAACTGGCCCTTTACTAGTATAAGATTGTTGCACATTTATTAGGCATCTTCCATAATTGGACAGATCACAGATTGAGGGGCTTGATCTACAAAATAATTTTCTAGGCTAATGGTCTTGTCCTTTTACAGATGAGGGAGTCTAGTCTCAAAGAATTAAATGCTTGCTCCAGAAGGGCAAAGTCTGGATTCACACCTGAGTCATTTGACCACGAAGCCCCTGTTTTTTCCACCAGAACAGTTTGCCTTGGTTTCAGTTCACTTGGTGGACTGTTTAAACCGGCAAAACTGGTATTATGTCAAAGAATGTAATTCAAGGTTTGACAAAAGCATCCAGGAGTAGATATGATAGGCCGTGAATGTAGTTCTGGAACAAATTTAGAATCCTGTGTTTGTGTCTTCATTCTCAAGTTGACAGCCTTGAACACTGATGCTGCTGCTTTCTCATTTCTCGTATAGTTCTAGGACATTATATGTATTGTGCATGTATGTATGCTGTTAAACATATGTATGTGTTTAACTTTGATAGGTTTGTGAGAACTAGAATTAGATTGTAATGTTCCTGGTTGGGATAGAACTTTAAAATTTTCCTCTAATGAAAAAGATAATTATTTATGCAGTAGCTATCCTTTAAATATTACATAATTAATTCTCTAATCTTGAGAGGGGGGACTCGTTTTTAGATTATGATTAAATTGTCACTTAGAAACTATTAGTACAAATCTTTTCTATGGTCTGTGGAATATCCCTTGAGCCGCAATAGACATAAATGACAACAGTGAGCAAATAAGCCCATTTTTTCTGGTAACAAACTAGGAATCATGCATTTCAGCAGTAGGATGTAGTTGGGTAAATGAGCAGAAGCAAGGTAGGAAGGCTGAGTTGGGTGGCTACCATTACGGATTTTTTTCATTATTTGCTTTGAACTATTAGGAATTGTGCATCTCAAGGATATTCATATTCAACTGTAAATACAAAACCACCACCTAATATAAATTAGTAATATTACTAATATAAATTGGTAATAGATCTGTGACACACACATCAAGAAGTAGAGTTAAATAAGCTTAAGTTCTCTTTTGGAGGCATTATATCTATATGCATGTATCTATGATCTATATATGTGTGTGTGTGTGTATATATATATATATATATATATATGTTTTTTGGAGACAGAGTCTCATTCATGCCACATGCAGTGGCATGATCTCGGCTTACTGCAACCTCCATCTCCCAGGCTCAAGTGACACTCCCACCTCAGTCTCCGGAGTAGCTGGGACCACAGGTGTATGTCACCATGCCTGGCTAACTTTTTTGTGTTTCTGGTGGAGAGGGGTTTTGCCATGTTGCCCAGGCTGGTCTTGAACTCCTGAGCTCAGATAGTGTGCTGCCTCGGGCTCCCAAAGTACTGGGATTACAGGCATGAGCTACCGTGCCTTGCCGGCATTATATAATGTTCAGAGGAACCAGGATCTTTTCATTTAAAATGGTTCTGATTTTATTTGACAAATTTGAGTGGACTAGAATCTTTAAATATTTTGCAACGTCTTTCTAGTTACTGTTTTCAAAAATTAGCTTATTTTTCTTATTGATTAGTGTAAGAATGACATAATGGTTTGAGAAATGACCATAAGTCCACCAAAAGTTTTCCCTGTGAGTACTGAAGCATAAAAAGTAAAACCTAAAGAAGAAATCTGGCATCTTTAGAAATCTTGCTGGTGCTAAAGAGAGAGGAAATAATTTTTTATACAGAAGGCATGTCTCAAGTGAAACCAAAACACCAAAGCACATTCCTTCAGTGTATATTCACATGGGGTAAATATGATGCTGAGTAATGTGCACAAAGGAAACTCTTGACAAAAACACAGTCATCTTTTGAGTATGTTAGGTCATTTGTTATTTCATTTGAAAATAACCTGGCTGGGGCGTGGTGGCTCACACCTGTAATCACAGCATTTTGGGAGGCCAAGGTGGGTGGATCACCTGAGGTCAGGAGTTCAGACCAGCCTGGGCAATGTGGTGAAACCCCATCTCTACTAAAAATACAAAAATTAGCTGGGTGTGGTGGTGGGTGCCTGTAATCCCAGCTACTTGGGAGGCCAAGGCATGAGAATCACTTGAACCTGGCAGGTGGAAGTTGCAGTGCACTGAGATTGGGCCACTGCAGTCCAGCCTGGACGATTGAGTGAGACTCCGTCTCAAAAAAAAAAAAAAAAAAAAAAAAAAAGTAAGCCGCTGACTAACCTTTACAAGGTAATATATTTTCTGTGGCAGAATTTTTTGATTTCTGATCTATGTGGATGAACATCTTTTTCAACAGATATTTACTGAGGGCCCACTGTGTTTTAGATATGACAAGTGTGAACTGATTCCTCCCTGTGCTGGCATATCTTTGGATCCAGGAAATAGGAAGAGTTGCAGAGATATGAAAAAATAAATAGAAACCATCCATTTGAAATCCAAAGACATATACGTCAAAAGCTAATAACTTATATTTGGATGGCATTTTATTGCTTTAAAATATTTTTGTATGCATTTGGTCCTTAAAACAACTTGATGAAGTAGATTTAGTAAATTTATTCCTTTTCTACAGGTAAGGAAATGGAGACTCAAAAAATTAAAAATACTGGCTGCATGTGGTGGCTCATGCCGGTAATCCCAGCACTTTGGGAGGCTGAGGTTGGGAGGATCACTTTAGCCCAGGAGTTTGAGAACAGCCTGGGCAACATGGTGAAACCCTTTCACAAAAAATATTATACAAAAATTAGCTGGGTGTGGTGGTGCACGCCTATAGTGCTAGCTGTGTAGGAGGCTGAGGTTGGAGGATCTCCTGAGCCCAAGAGGTCAAGGCTGCAGTGAGCTGTGATTGCACCACTGCACTCCAGTCTGGGTGACAGAGCAAGATCCCGTCTCTAAATAAATAAATACATTACTTAAAATTAAGTAACTTGTTCAAGGTCAATGTGGCTACTTAGAAGCATCATCTCTGTGTAGTCCCAAAGTAGTAAGTCCTCCACTTTCCCCCTATTGCTTATGTATTTAACCTCACATTATGGCTTCAAGTCAGGTGGTTCAGGAAGTTCTGAAAAATTAGGGTCACTAAAATGGTGATTATTAAATTGTTACAGGTTATTTTTTAATGGAAGATAGAAGATGAGCATGATGCATCATTATGGAACTACTTTAACATTTTAAATAGATTGCTAGACTGAAATTGGTAATTAGCTTTTCTAGTTGGAGAATTTTTAAAGAACAATTAGTTAAAAAAAGGAAGGAGAAAAATGTTCTGGGGGAATTTTGAAAATAACTTTTATTACTTTGTGCATTGGTAGTGATCCGATAGTTACAACTGTCTTTGTAAAGACTCACTAAAGAACTGTGTGTGCGTCTGTGTTGGTTCCTTTATGTCTTCATTTATTTAAAACGTACTGTAGTGTCTACCACGGACCAGGCACTATTCTAAGTTCTAGGGATACAGTGATTAAATTAAGACCAAGCCCCTGTACTGACATTTTATTGTTGTTTTGAATTAAGTTAATTATAGACTCTTCATACTAGGATGTAATCAACAGGGCTGACCCTAAAGTTGGGAAATAGGCAGTTGTCAAAATTGTGCAATTTAAAGGCTACTGCATGACTTACTTGCTCTGGAATATTTCTGACCTATCTGTCGAAGACTCCCAGACTATTGGGTTATGGCGCTGTTACCAACCTGCTTTGATAAATATAAGTATGTTCCATCATTTATCACACTTTTAGCAAAGAAAACTGAGAGAAAATAAATGGGAACTAGAATTGGACACGGTGATGCTTACCTGTAGTCCTAGCTACTCAGGCGGCTGAGGCAGGAGGAATGCTTGAGCCCAGGTGTTTGAGGCCAGCCTAGGCAACATAGCCAGATTCTGTCTCAAAAAAAAAAAACAACAAGCAAGCAAAAAACAAATGGGACTAGGACTGATATGTTGGTGTTGTAAGAGAAGAGGTTAGCAAAGTATAATTTTAATAGCAGCTATTGTTTTTTCTTTTTTTTTGAGACGGAGTCTCGCTCTGTCACCCAGGCTGGAGTGCAGTGGTGCAATCTTGGCTCACTGCAACTTCCGCCTCTCGGGTTCAAGCGATTCCCCTGCCTCAGCCTCCTGAGTAGCCGGGATTACAGGTGCTCACGACCATGCCTGGCTAATTTTTGTATTTGTAGTAGAGGTGGGGTTTCACCATGTTGGCCAGGCTGGTCTCGAACTTCTGACTTCAGGTGATCTGCCCGCCTTCGCCTCCCAAACTGCTGAGATTACAGGCATGAGCCACTGTGCCTGGCCAATAGCAGCTATTGTTTATTGAGCTTTTACTACCATGTCAGATATTATGCCAAGTGAGTATTTTTGTATACATTAGCTCAATCACTGTGTCACCTCAGTGGTGCTGGTGTTATGACCTTCATTTTACAGATTAGGAAACTGAGGGGCAGAGATGTTAAATTTGCTCAAGCTTATTTGGTGGTGCTGGAATTTGGGTCTCTGCTAGTACTAAGCAGGTAGTAGATACTAATGTGGAAAGAGTACTTATGTGTGTTGTGTGTGTATATATATATATATATACACATATATATACACACCATATATAGTGTGTATATATGTGTATATATGTATACACACATATATAGTGTGTATATATGTATACACACATATATAGTGTGTATATATGTATACACACATATATAGTGTGTATATATGTGTATATATGTATACACACATATATAGTGTGTATATATATGTATACGCAATATGTATTGTGTATATATGTGTATATATGTATATACAAGAGTACTTATGTGTGTTGTGTGTGTGTATGTATATACACACATATATACACACATATATTGTGTATATATGTATATAGACATATATACATATACATATATAGACATACATACATATGTGTGTGTATATATGTATATAGACATATACACAATATATGTGTGTGTATGTATACACACACATATACATATAGAACATATATACATATACATATAGAACATCAGAAGTCTGTGTGTGTGTGTGTATATATATGTATACACATATATATACACACACACACATAGAGACAGACTTCTGATGTTCTGCTAGGATGTGTGACACATCACAGAGGTGGGCGACCTTGGTGTGGGAGTGATGGGTGTGGGGAGTCAGGATAGCTTGTTGGGTGAGGGGTGGGAATTGGGGTTGGAAGGAGATGGGAGGGTATTACTTGCCTAACTACTTGGTCGTCAGGCTTAATCCTCTCTCTGACAGCCCTGGGGTTCCAGAGTTGCGTTTAAGCACAGTGCTTTCTTGTCCAGCTCCTGGGTAAGAGGATAGGCAGACCTGAGGCAATCCTGGTTTTGTCACTCATTAACTTGGTCAAATTATTTCATTTCTCTAGGCTTCAGTTTTCTCATCTATAAAATGGAAGTAACAATATTACCTACCTGGTGTGGTTCTTATGAGGATTGAATTAGATAATAATACATGTAAAACACAGATCACACTGGCTAGCACATAGTGTACATTCATTATTATTGTTGTTACTGTGTTTTTTTTTGTCATGTTTAATGTGGAATTTTCATCGAAAAGCAAGAAGAGCAATATATTAGTGATTTGGTTGGAATCTTGAAGTTGGCTTTTTTTTTTTTTTTTTTTTTTTGAGATGGAGTCTCGTTCTGTTGCCCAGGCTGGAGTGCAGTAGCGCGATCTTGGCTCACCACACCTTCTGCCTCCCAGGTTCAAGCAATTCTCCTGCCTCAGCTTCCCGAGTAGCTGGGACTACAGGCACGTGCCACCATGCCCAGCCAATTTTTGTATTTTTAGTAGACACGGGGTTTCACTATGTTGGCAAGCTTCCCTTTTGATTTATGTGCAAACTGGAATTAGAGAACTACTAGCTTAAACTTTTTCTTTATCTTTTGGTTAGGGAGGGCTTCAACAAGATTAACGACAATTTGCTTGGGTTAACCAGGCAGTATGTGGTAGAGGGAAGTGAAATATGTTACCAGAATCTCTTCATTGACTTTTTTTTAAAGCTTATTTGGGGCTTATAGCATTGTATGGAGAAGACAATGCAGTGTTAAATTTCGCACCTAAATTAGATTGTAATGACTGTTTCAGCTTTTTGTTTGTTTGTTTGTTTGAGATGGAGTCTCGCTCTGTCACCCAGGCTGGAGTGCAGTGTTGCCATCTCAGCTCACTGCAAGCTCCGCCTCCTGGGTTCACGCCATTCTCCTGCCTCAGCCTCCCAAGTAGCTGGGACTACAGGCTCCCGCCACCACGCCCAGCTAATTTTTCTTATTTAGTAGAGATGGGGTTTCACTGTGTTAGCCAGGATGGTCTTGCTCTCCTGACCTCGTGATCTGCCCGACTCGGCCTCCCAGAGTGTTGGGATTACAGGCGTGAGCCACCGCGCCTGGCCTGTTTCAGCTTTTTAACTAGCTTCATTCGGAGGTGATTAGTTAATATTAGTTAAAATTGTTAATTTTTAACGATTATACAAATAGTAAAAATGTATAAATACATGTTTGTATAGATCTTTTTTTTTTTTTGAGATGTAGTCTCACCCTGTTGCCCACGCTGGAGTGCAGTGGCATGATCTCAGCTCACTGCAATCTCCCCCTCCCAGGTTCAAGCGATTCTAATGTCTCAGCCTCCTGAGTAGCTGGGATCACAGGCATGTGCCACCATGCCCGGCTAATTTTTATATTTTTAGTGGAGACGGGGTTTCACCATGTTGGCCAGGCTGGTCTCGAACTCCTGACCTCAGCTGAGCCACCCGCCTCAGTCTCCCAAAGTGCTGGGATTACAGGAGTGAGCCACAGCGCCCGGCCGTTTCTATAGATCCGGTCATTTCTATAGATCTTAAAAACTTTCAAAAACTTAGATTTCTTTAGATAATGTGCTGTTGAATAATCAGACTTGGCATTGTTAGTCATATCAGGCAAAGCCCCAAAAGGAAGGAGATTTTACCCCTGGTGGTTCACATGAAGAGGCTATTTGCAGAGGTTAGAGAACAAACAAGTGTGGTAAAGCGCTCAGGGATTAGAAACAGTAAGAAATTCTTAGTTCTCCAGAAATTACCAGAGCAGAAAGCTGGCATTGTAGAGGAGGGCTAGAGGGAGCTGCGGTTTTGAAGCAGGAGGGGCGTGAAGGGAGGTTCCCTGATCTCTCTTCCCTCTTCCTCCGAGTCTCCACCGGTGACTTACTTTACTAGAACCCAGCTGGGGAGCCCAGGTGATTTTTTTTTTTTTTAAAGCTCATTCTCCCAGTGCAAGAGCAGAGAAAGAATTGAGGATGTGAAGGAGCAAATGGAGATTAACTAGGACATTATTTAGAACCTTTGGGGATTTGTAGCATTTCCTTGGTACATTTTAAAAAAAACTTGTAGCATTGTGATACATCTGCAAAATACTTGGGACTAATTGTTTTATACATGCTTTCAGAAATAGTTTAATCACTTTCTCATTTAACTGAACAATTATTTTAGGAAATTTTGATGATCCGTATAACCCAACAAGAAACATAATCTAGGTCTGTTAACACAAAGCACTTTTGTTAATATACTGTTATACTTTGCTGAGGTTTTCTGAAATTTTCTTCACTAGGCAGTCCTGGTTTAATGGAATACATGTTTCTTTCATTAAAAATCTTTAGTGACTAAATTAAAAATATTTTGGCAATAAGTCTTTCGCTTTTCTGGAATTTATACTTGTATTCACCTGGAATTTTTTTTGACAGCAAGAGCACTAGAACATAGTGTTGATATGGTAATAGTTCATAGAAGCAAGACTATTGGGAAATAGTTGTTCGTCCTTCCCAAGTCCTTTTGAGGACACATTAAATTTCTGTATAAATCTGTTGCAGTTTGCTGTTATCTTGCAGTTGCTGATATTTTGCTAATGCCAATTTTACCTAGTTAATCTTAGTTCTGGCAAAAAGTTTGTGCTCTTTATTTTGGATAGATTCCTTAGGGGTTACTAAAGAAAAGGATTTCTCTTCTTAAAGAGATGGTATGAAGGATTCTAGGGATATAAGTAATACTCCCCCCAAAACAATTAGATTATGACTTATATTTTCTTTCTTCTCTTGAGGATTCCAGGGAAAAAGAAGTACAAGATCTTACTCAGATTAAGAAGCAGCTAGAGAGGGCCTTGTTCATGACCTCCAGAAAAGGAAAAGCCGTATTGTGCAGGGTTGAGCAGATGAATAAACATCTGGCTGAGAGAATTTAGCATACAAATAAAGTATACCTCTGGATATAAATGTTATAACTGAGTTAAAAAAAAAACAAATATGTTTCCCAGCTTGTCTTTTTTAGAGAGTATGGTGAAAATGAGAAACAGGTTTGGAATCAACTGAATAACACCTGTGGTTGGAAACCAACCATTTAGACATTTTCTCTGTAAGTAGGCTTTTTTTTTTTTAAAGGAGTGATTTTCAAACTTTTGTGGGATCTTCTAAAAACATATTGTTTATTTGGATTTGACACTGATGGAATCAGTATCCCGCAGGAGATATTTGAGGCTCTTAGTTTTTCCATGTTGTATTCTTTGAATTTCCTTGATTTGAGGATTGAGTTATTCCAGAGAGAACTTTTCTCTTCTTCCTTGTTATTTTTTTTCTAAAATTAGATGAACCAGCTGTGTTTTGGTTTGTGGGCATGATTTGCTGTCTGTTATCCTTTTGGTCTTAGTATCTGGGG
Organism: Homo sapiens; assembly: GCF_000001405.40. Lineage (NCBI taxonomy): Eukaryota > Metazoa > Chordata > Mammalia > Primates > Hominidae > Homo > Homo sapiens. The sequence goes on from NC_000006.12 coordinate 75,761,041, forward strand.
GAAGAACAAAGAACCTGTGTGTGTTTTGAAGAAGAATGTATTAGTTTCTCTGCTCTTCTTGTTCATCTTGGTTGATCTTTAAGATGAGAAGAACGAAGAAAATACTTTATGTACTTATTATTCTTGTGTTTGATATTTCAAACAAAACTGTGGCTTGTATTGGCCACTGAGATGATGGAGAAAACAGGTGAATGTAAAGTGAAAAACTAGTCATCATGTATTCAAATGGCTAATTGAAGAGGTTTATGTTAAAGGTTTTCTTTCAGGTATGGGAGGAGGGAAAAGAAGGATGGAAATTGAATGAGTTTGACCATATGACCAGCTGTCACGACAGATGTTTTAGCAACCAGGAAATATTTATTTCAATCAGAATTTAATTTTATATTTTATAGGGATGCATTCTACTAATAAGCCTTTTTTTTGGAAGGAAAGTGAGGATAAGTTAGGAATTTATAAACCAATTTGGTGATTTTAGTAAGTCATTAGTAAAAATGGAGATAGCCTGGTGGCTGCATATACTGATGCTAGTATGTTAGAAAATGGGCTGTTAGAACACACACACACACACACACACACACACACACACAGACACATTTTTTTTTTCCTTTTTGCCAGATGTGCAACTGTATACAGAGGGCTATTATTTATTAAAGGTGTGTTTCTGGAACTGGCCCAGAATGTCATGGACTTTAGTCCTGTTTTCTAGGATTCTGCTATTTGGTATATAACACTGATATAGGTTAGTATTTTCAGAACATGTGGACAACAGAGTAGGTCAGCATGATTGAACAGTGAAAGGTTTATGTCAGATGGGTTCGGGGTGGCAGTATATTGTAATGATGGATTGAATGAGTGATCTAAAATCATCCTAGCACAGTATAATTGTAACAGTTCTTTTTTTTTTTTTTTAAGACAGAGTCTCACTCTGTCGCCCAGGCTGGAGTGCAGTGGCGTGATCTCGGCTCACTACAAGCCCCGCCTGCCAGGTTCACGCCATTCTCCTGCCTCAGCCTCCTGAGTAGCTGGAACTACAGGCGTCAGCCACCACGCCCAGCTAATTTTGTGTTTGTATTTTTAGTAGAGACAGAGTGTCACCATGTTAGCCAGGATGGTCTCGATATCCTGACCTCATGATCCGCCTGCCTCGGCCTCCCATAGTGCTGGGATTACAGGCATGAGCCACTGTGCCCCCGGCCATAATTATAACAATTCTTGAGGGCCAATTATATGCCGTCACTTTGAGTGTTTTGCAGTTATTTTCTCATTTAATTCTCACGTTGACCCTATGAGGTGACTATTCTTATTATTCTATTTTATAGCTGAGAGAGCTGAGGTCTAAGTAACTTGAGAAGGTGATAGATGTAGTAAGGAGTAGAGTCAAAAGATGCTTCCAGGTGGTCTGGCTCTAGAGTCTTTGCTCCACTTAGAATTCTAAGCTTGCTTTTTCTGTGTGCTCTTTTAAACACTCAGAGCTTTGAAAATCAAAGAGTTAATCTTTTCTGTTTTTATCTCCCTACACAAACAGTAGTAAAATGGTGACATTCGTGCATCTATGCCCCACTCTCAAGTCCAGGGAAGACAGTTCTGTGATACCCACTTCCCTTCTGAGCCAGACTCACCCTCAGATTTCTGCTCTGCACAGGGCTCCAGCCTCCGCTGCCAGTGGATGAGAGAGGGGAGGCCTCCTAGACCCAAATCTAAGCCATTGTCTGCAGCTCTTGTCTTTTAAACCTCTTAACAACTACCTGTTTTAGTTATATACCTGTTATAATTACATACTTAATGTATGTGCCTTAAGCAAATGTATTCCTGTAAAGTTTTATGTAAATAATGAATTTAAGTGTAATTTAATTTTTTTTTTGTAGAGATAGGGGTCTTACTGTGTTGCCCAGGCTGGTATTGAACTCCTGGTCTCAAGTGATCCTCCTGCCTTGGCCTCCCAAAATGCTGAGATTATAGGCATGAGCCACTGCATCTGACCTGTAATTTTTTTTTTTTTTTTTTGAGACGGAGTCTCACTCTGTTGCCCAGGCTGGAGTGCAGTGGCATGATCTCGGCTCACTGCAACCTCCACCGTCCGAGATCAAGCGATTCTCCTGCCTTAGCCTCCTGAGTAGCTGGGATTACAGGCACCTGCCACGCCTGGTTAATTCTTGTATTTTCTTAGTAGAGACGGGGTTTCACCATCTTGGCCAGGCTGGTCTTGAACTCCTGACCTCATGATCCACCCACCTTGGCCTCCCAAAGTGCTGGGATTACAGGCGTGAGCCACTGTGCCCGGCATAATTTTTTTATTATTCTGGGAAAGCTTCCTATTTAAAGGGTCCCAGTGATAATTTCTTTTGTAAAGAGAAGAATCTTTGTATAAAACAAATGATTGTTTCCTAGATTATATTAATAAAATACGGATTTTTCACACATTACTTTTGCATAAACATAGTTCTAGCTAAATACATATTTGATATAAACATGCCAAAATGAAATTTGATCTTATATTGTGCTTCATATTACTAATAAAAAAGGATTGAATAATAGTTTTTTCCTTGAATAAATGTCATTTGTTGGATTTGCACTAAAATGTGCTTTTGTAGGCTTATCTACAGTAAGAATAATATTCTTTTAGGCAGTAGGTTGAGGTTCAATATGTAACACAATAGTATATTATTTTGTTATAAAATTCATTAGGTAAATGCTAGAGTTCTACTTAAGTGCCAAAATCAGTATTTTATGATTCTGAAATAAATTATCTGAAAATAACAAAGTTTAGAGAGATAACTTAAAAACTTACAGTTGAAAGACAAACTAGTCTTTGAAAAAAATATTTTTCTGTAACACCAGGTAAAATACTTATTTCCTGTAGTTAATATAATGCTAATGAGGTCTTGATCCCAGATTCATTGTAATTTGTGCTGTGTCCCTAAACACTCAACAGTGACTACTCTGTAACTAATTAATAGATCCAGTGGCCTCATTTAGAGCATTATTCTTTTCCAACCTCTTCATCTATTTCTTTTTTTGTTTTTTAGAGATAGAGTCTCACTCTCATCCTGGCTGGACTGCATTCGTACCATTATAGATCATGGCAGCCTCAAACTCCTGGGCTCAAGTGATCCTCCACCTCAGCTTCCCAAAGTGCTGGGATTATGGATGCGGGCCACCATGCCTGGTCTCTAAATTCTTACTGTGTGATTCAAAATCCTTTTTGACCTATCTTGCCCCACTTTTTCACTATAGCACTCATCACACCTGTGCCATTCTCCTTCGCTCTAGCCCCGTTGGCCTCTTCCCCAAACGTGTCCCCATTCTCCTTTCTCCTTAGTCTTGTTCAAACAAACCCTTTGTCTGGAGTGCACTTTTCTTTAGTCATTCTTACCCATCTTTCACTACCTGCTTGAATTAAATCTTTGAAAGTAGCCACCCCAAATTTACTATTTGGAATTACACTGGTATTATAATGTACATCAAAGGTTCTGTGATGTATGTGTATCTTCTTTCATTCTTGTCTACTCTACCTAGATTGTGAATTACTGGAGGGTATAAACTGCCTAGCGAGGGGCTTTGTAAGGTTTTTTTTGATCAGTGGATCTCAGGTCTCAGGACTCTTTTACACACTTAAAAATTACTGAAGACTGCGTATTTTGTTTATGTGGATTATATCTATTGATATTCACTGTATTAGAAATTTAAAAATGATTTGATCCAGGCCAGGCACTTTGAGAGGCTGAGGCAGGCAGATCACTTGAGGCCAGGAGTTCAAGACCCGCCTAGCCAACATGGTAAAACCCCGTCTCTACTAAAAATACAAAAAATTAGCCGGGCGTGGTGGCAGGCACCTGTAGTCCCAGCTACTCGGGAGGCTGAGGCAGGAGAATGGCGTGAATCCAGGAGGTGGAGCTTGCAGTGAGCCGAGATCATGCCACTGCGCTCCAGCCTGGGCGACAGAGCTAGACTCCGTCTCAAACAAAAAAAAAAAAGAGAGAGAGACTTGAAGGTCAGATAGCTAACCACTGGCAGAACTGAAAGTTAATTCATAAGTCTCTTAGTTTGGAGTTCATTTTTCCTGTCAATATTGTGCAGTTAAAAAATTTAGAGGTAATTTCACATATAAGGCTATGACTAAAAAAAAAAGCTTTTTTTTTTTTTTTTTTTTTTTTGAGACAGAGTCTTGCTCTGTCACCCAGGCTGGAGTGCAGTGGTGCAATCTCAGCTCACTGCAACCTCCACCCCCTGGGTCCAAGCGATTCTCGAGCCTCAGCCTCCCAAGTAGCTGGGACTACAGGTGCACACTACCACGCCTGGCTAATTTTTGTATTTTTAGTAGAGATGGGGTTTCACCATGTTGACCAGACTGGTCTTGAATTCCTGACCTCAAGTGATCTGCCTGCCTCAGCCTCCCAAAGTGTTGGGATTACAGGCATGAGCCACTGCATCTGGCCAAAAATAAACATTTCTTTTTGTGCTATAATATAATAAAATTCTGTAGGGAAGAAATTTCTGAACTCTTACCCAGTGCTCTAGAATCAAGTTTCATCTATTTGTTTCACCTCTTAAAAAAAAAATTACCAGAAGTGATGGTATGTGCATCTAGTCCCACCTACTCAGGAGGCTGAGGTGGGAGGATTGCTTGAACTCAGGAGTTTGAGGCTGCAGTGAACTATGATCATGCCACTGCACTGATACAGCAAGAACTTCAAAAAAAAGAAAAGGCTAGGCTCAGTGATTTATGCCAGTAATGCAACACTTTGGGAGGTTGAGGTGGGAGGATCATTTGAGCCCAGGAGTTTAAGACCAGTCTGGACAACATAGCAAAACCTCTCTACTAAGAATAAAAAAAAGGTTAGCTGGGCGTGGTAGGTGTGTGCCTGTAGTTCCAGCTATTTTGGAGGCTGAAGTGGGAGGATTGCTTGAGCCTGGGAGTTTGAGATGGCAGTGTGATATAATTGCACCACTGAACTTCAGCCTGGGCAACAGAGTGAGACTCCGTCTCAAAGAAAAAAGCAGGCTGGGCATGGTGGCTCACACCTGTAATCCCAGCACTTTTGAAGGCCGAGGCGGGCAGATCACTTGAGGCCAGGAGTTCGAGACTATCCTGGCCAACATGGCGAAACCCCGTCTCTACTAAGAATACAAAAGTTAGCTGGGCGGGGTGGCGGGTGCCTGTAATCCCAGCTACGTGGGAGGCTGAGGCAGGAGAATCGCTTGAACCCAGGAGGTGGAGGTTGCAGTGAGCAGAGACCACACCATTGTGCTCCAGCGTGGGTAAAAGAACTAGACTCTGTCTCAAAAAAAAGAAAAAAAGAAAAAAACTAGTAGACAGTGTAACCTACACATATGTGTGTGTGTGTATATTTTATATATATACATATACAGATATATACACTTAAAAATTAATACAGTATTCTAACATAAAGGAAAGTTATTAAATTATTAATTATAGTAATTACATTAATATATTGTTTATTTCAGTTTGTGAAGGTGCAGGCAGTCCTTTACTACAAGGCAGAATAAAGTAGTCAGATGCTACTAACATCTACATGTAGAATAATCATGAATGCAGCAGCTGTAAATTAGACTAATATGCAAGTATTGTAATTGGTGACTCAAATATCTTTATTAGCATTGCTCTATAATGTGATTTTTCCAGCATGATGAACACCTTTTGGTAAAGTTCCAAATAAAGGACAGTCTTCTTTCAATTTATGTGTTATTGTATGCTTTTTAGTCAGTGTGTGTTAAAGCAATGCAAAAATATTTTAAATATATGTACACATATATTGGATTAGATTCTGGGCTTACCTATGTTCTCCTCTGAATTTGCTGTTCATTTTACCTTCTATACATCATTAGTGGCATCACAATAATTTGAAAATTTGAAATAAAAAGTTCTTGGCCCATACCCACAGGAGCTGGATCAGTTTGTAGCATCCTCACAGACATTTGTGCTGGCTGCAGTATTTTTATTTTTTTGTGTCATCTTCCTCAATTCATTCTTTTTTTTTTTTTGAGATGGAGTCTTGCTCTGTCGCCCAGGCTGGAGTGCAGTGGCACAATCTTGGCTCACTGCCACCTCTGCCTCCCAGGTTCAAGTGATTCTCATGCCTCAGCCACCTGAGTAGATGAGATTACAGGCGTGCACCACCACGCCCAGCTAATATTTTGTATTTTTAGTAGAGACGAGTTTTACCATGTTGACTAGGCTGGTCTCGAACTCCTGGCCTCAAGTGATCTGCCCATCTTGGCCTCCCAGAGTGTTGGGATTACAGCCGTGAGCCACTATGCCTGGCCCTCAATTTATTCTTGAGTGTTGCATTCCTGTCTTTAAGTGAGACACTGAAGCTTTTACATTCTGAATAATAATACATATAAATAAATAATAAGAATGAATATAAAATTAATGTTTCATTTAAAGTGATGTAAATGAGAAACTATAATAGTTATAAATAGTATATGGTTCATAAATACACATGATTTACAAATTCCTTTTTTTTTTTTTTTTTTTGAGGCAGAGTCTCACTGTTGCTCAGGCTGGAGTGTGGTGGCATGATCTCAGCTCATTGCAGTCTCTGTCTTCCGGGCTTAAGCGATCCTCCCACCCCAGCCTCTGAGTAACTGAGACTACAGGTGCGCACCACCACACCCGGCTAATTTTTGTATTTTTGTAGTCAGGCTTTTGCCATGTTGCTCAGGCTGGTCTCTTAACTTCTGAGCTCAAGCCATCTGCTTGCCTTGGCCTCCCAAAGTGCTGGGACTTCAGGTGTGAGCCATTGCCCCTGGCCACAAATTCTATTCTTAAGCAATTAAATTGGTGGAAATTTCTTGCATTTAAAAAAAATGAATTTACTACAGAAATTATATTTTGCCTCCCAAAACACTTTCACCATTTTTAAAAATAATGAAATAAGGTTTGTTGCCCAGGTTGGTCTTAACTCCGGGTATCAAGTGATTCTCCTGCCTCAGCCTCCTAAGTAGCTGGGATTACATGTTGGAAGAGCTGCCCAGTGTGTCTGCAATAATAAAAAAGAAACTGAAACATTTTACCAGTTTGCATTTGCCCAGGAGCTATGGTGATCTTCTTTGAGTCCTTCCAATTTTAGTATATGTGCTGCCAAAGTGAGCACCTCTCAGTGTTTTTATGGGTGTATCTATTGCAGAATGCATAAATAACTTTTTTACCTGTAGTTTTAGAATATTTGGATGTTAATAATCTGATCTATTTTGCACCTGAATTTAAATACAAGATTTTAAAAAATTTCACAAAAGAGTTTTCCTCCAAGTGTAAATAATTCATTTTATTTTATTTTATTTTATTTTATTTTATTTTATTTTATTTTATTTTATTTTATTTTATTTTATTTTATGAGATGGAGTCTTGCTCTATCACCCAGGCTGGAGTGCAGTGGTGTGATCTCGGCTCACTGCAACCTCCGCTTCCTGGGCTCATGTGATTCTCCTGCCTCAGCCTCCCGAGTAGCTGGGACTACAGGCGCCTGCCACTATGGCTGGCTAATTTTTTGTATTTTTAGTAGAGATGGGGTTTCACCATGTTGGCCAGGTTGGTCTCAAACTCCTGACCTTAAGTGATCCACCAGCCTCTGACTCCCAAAGTGCTGGGATTACCGGTATGAGCCACTGTGCCTGGCCAATAATTCATTTTAATACCTTCAAGGGATAGTGAGTTTGGGAATAAGCAAAGGGAGTAGCAAATTATTGCTGTAAAATATATGAACTATATATGAACTATTTTGCCATAGAGAATGTATTAGTCTGGTTTTTGTGTTGCTGTAAAGGAATGCCTGAGACTGAGTAATTTATAAAGAAAAGAGGTTTAATTGGCACAGGGTTCTGTAGGATGTAGAAGCATGGTACCAGCATCTGCTTCTGGTGAGGGCCTCAGGAAGCTTACTGTCATAGTGAAAGGCAAAGGGAGAGAGGTTGTTGTCACATGGTGAGAGTGGCAGCAAGAGAAAAAGGAGGGAAGTGCCACACTCTTTTAAACAACCAGATTTCTTGTGAACTCAGAGCGAGCACTCACTCATTTGTGGGGGTGGCACCAAGCCATTCATGAGGGATCTGCCTGCATGCCTGAAACACCTCCCATCAGGTCCCATCTCTAACATCGGAGGCCACATTTCAGCATGAGATTTGGAGGGAGCAAATGTCCAAACCATATCTTTCCACCAAATCTCATGTTCTTTTCACATCGTAAAATACAATCATCCCTTCCCAAAAGTCCCTCAAAGTCTTAACTCATTCCAGCAAGACCAAAGTCCTAAGTCTCATCTGAGACTCATCTCCTTCCACCCATGAGCCTGTAAAATCAAAACAAGTTATTTACTTCCAAGATACAGTGAGGGTACAGGCTTTGGGTAAGCATTCCCATTCCAGAAGGGAGGAATTGGCTAAAAGAAAGGGGTTACAGGTCCCTGAAACCCAACAGGGCAGTCATTAAATCTTAAAGCTTTAAAATAATCCCCTTTGACTCTGTGTTCCACATCCAGGGCACACTGGTGCAAGTCGTGGGCTCCCAAGGTCTCGGGCAGCTCCACTCCCTCTGCTGCTCTCAAGAATAGAATTGAGTAGGCTGGGCGTGGTGGCTCATGCCTGTAATCCCAGCACTTTGGGAGGCCGAGGTGGGTGGATCACGAGGTCAGGAGATCGAGACCATCCTGGCTAACACGGTGAAACCCGTCTCTACTAAAAATACGAAAAATTAGCTGGGCATGGTGGCACATGCCTGTAATCCCAGCTACTTGGGAGGCTGAGGCAGGAGAATTGCTTGAACCTGGGAGGCAGAGGTTTCAGTGAGCTGAGATCGTGCCATTGCACTCTGGCCTGGGCTACACGGTGAGACTCTGTCTCAAAGGAAAAAAAAAAAGAATAGAGTTGAGTGCCTGTGGCTTTTCCAGGTTCAGGATGCAAACTGCTAGTGGTTCTGTCATTCTCACTTCTGGAGGGCAGTGGCCCCCTTCTCACAGCTCCAGTAGGTGGTGCCCTGGTGGGGACTCTGTGGGGGCTCAGACCCCACATTTCCCTTCCTCACTACCCTAGTAGATTTCTCTGTTAGGGCTTCTCTTGCTTCGTCTTCTTGCTTCTGCTCTCACCATGTAACACCACCCACTCTCCCTTTGCGTTGCACTATGATTGTAAGCTTCATGAGGCCCTTTCCAGAAGCAGATGCTGCAGCCCTGCTTATACAGCCTGCAGGACTGTGAAGCAATTGAAACTCTTTTCTTAAAAGTTATCCTGTGTCAGGTATTCCTTCATAGCAAGGTAAAAACAGACCAACACAGAGAGATTGTTATAAAGATACAAAGAGAAATTCCGTAATGAGATACCTAGTTGAAAACAGCCAGAAGTAATGTTCTCATGTTGTTTATTATATATAGTATTTGTTGCTCTGTATGTGGTATTCAAACTTCTAAACTAACCTCCTTTAGGTTTGTTTGTTTGTTTTGAGACAGAGTCTCACTCTGTTGCCCAGGCTGGAGTGCAGTGGCATGATCTTGGCTTATTGCAACCTCCGCCTCCCGGGTTGAAGCGATTCTTTTGCCTCAGCCTCCTGAGTAGCCGGGATTACAAGCTTGCACCACCATGCCTGGCTAATTTTCGTATTTTTAGTAGACATGGGGCTTCGCCATGTTAAATAGTCTGGTCTTGAACTCCCGACCTCAGGTGATCCACCAGCCATGGCCTCCCAAAGTGCTGGGATTACAGGTGTGAGCCAGTGCCCTTGGCCTCATTTAGTTTTATAGGCATTTTCCAATGACCATTGTTTGTGTAATTGAAAGCCAGATGTCTTTTAACTGATTTATCTTTCCTGATTATTTGATGTCACATTGGCAATTTAGTTGAATCTTGATGGATAACAGTATAAATATTTTGATGTTGTTGACGAGGATAGTATTGATAGCTTACCCCAAGACACATGTGTAAGCTATAAGATAACAGCACTTTTTTTTTTCTTTTTTTTTTTTTCCCCCCTGAGATGGTCTCACTTTGTTGCTTAGGCTGGAGTGCAGTGATGCAAACACAGTTCATTGCAGCCTCGACCTCCTGGGCTCAAGTGATCCTCCCGCCTCAGCCCCCAAGTAGCTGGGACTAGAGGCTCATGCCACCGCGCCTGGCTAATTTTTGTATTTTTTGTAGAGACAGGGTTTCATCATGTTGTCCAGGCTTGTCTCAAACTCCTAAGCTCAAGTGATCTGGCCGCCTTGGCCTCCCAAAGTGCTGGAACTACAGGCGCCAGCCACTGCATCCAGCCCAGAAATTTTCTTAATAAAAAGGATTCTTCAAAGGGTTTTTTTTAGTGGCCTCCACTAAATTGTGTGTATAGCTCCCAGGAGTTTAATTAATAAACAAAAGGAAAAGAGTGAATATGTATTTTAACTCAAGGTACATTTATCTGTAGTTGTTCCTCATCAAAACTGCAGTAACTGTATTTAGATATTAGATGCTAAATGTATTTCTCTCTAAATAGAGTTTAGAGAGAAAAAATCAGCTACACAAAGATAGATCCTAAACAATTAAGAATCCTCCCAAATTTTAAAAGACAGTATGATGAAATCTTTCCCTTACTCCTGTTTGCAGTATAAATGAGATTGAGGTTGACTTTCTGAATAATTATTTACAGGAAAACAATAGAATTCACATTTGATACTGTGAGAAGTCAAATAATAGAATTCTAGGGTTGAGATACCTGTGCTACAGCTTAAACCATTAAGTCCCATATCTTGGAGGGTGGCATTTGTCAGTACTTTTTCAAAGATCCCCAGGTAGTTCCAATCTGCAGTTCAATTACTTATCTTTTTTAAAAATTAAATCTTTGTAAGTAAAACTTTCTTGTCAGGTGTTGAGGAAACTCTTGGTAACCAGAATGTTTTAAAAATTTAGTTTTTGTGTACTAATTTTTAAAATGTATGGTATCTTGTGGAGGAGTTAAAAAAGTAGAACACTCTCTGGGATAGAGACTTAAGAATTATTTAAAATTATTAAAATGGTACACTTGATACAAAATTTGAAAGTAGAAATTAATTCTGTTGAAACTAATACTGTTGAGTCTACTTTTCTGTTTCTGGCCTACCGTATCTAAACCACTCTAAACAGGTCACTCACTTGTTTTATCCTTATTTTAATGAGCTTCTGAGATGAAGTTTCTGTAACCTCTTTTTGTCTCCTGTTTGTCACAAAGATTCTTCATGTCTTACCTAAATTGCTTTGTTTACATTCTATGTTCGGAGATGTAGGTAGGCCATTTGATCATTGATGTGAGTATACACACTCATACACTATCCCCCACCCCCGTCGCACAGTTTAAAGCCTTCTCATTCGCATAGATAATTTTGTAAGTCTGAATAGCCTAATTTAGATAAACTTTCTTCGTAGTTCAATTAGAAAACTCTCCATTTTGAGTGCTTGGTTAGGTTTTAATATAAAGGAAACATTTTACATTAGGAATCATTGTTTTACTAACCTTACTGACAAAAAGAAATAGTGATGAGGAAATGACTAAAACCAGTTCAGACAGTATTGAGCATCCAGATACTACAAGGGTTGAGAACAGACGGGACTAAGAACACATGTGGAGAAGTCAGCTCTGAAAAGAGTTTTGGATCACCTTCAGGTATAGGTGGATGAAGTTACCGATGTGTTTTCAGTTGGAGAGGCAGAGTGTTGAGGAATTTTATACCTATTGTGTTGTATTTTTCTGTCAGGTAGGCATTAAGTCATCTTGATTTTCTGTAGGATGGAGATAATATTGGACCCTTCAATGAAGTGCTAAAGTTTTGAGATAGTATTTGAACTGTGTTGGTGATCTTTATAATTTTAGTAAATATACTTATTATTAAAGCATATTGTTCAATTATCTTGTTCAAATAATTGGATTTTTAAGTGTATTTACTTGACTTTTTAGGAAATGTTTAAATTGATTCTGTGAGGTAGGAAAGTGACTATAGGTTTATCTATATGTGTTTCTGATAGTCAAAAAAAGATGAAGTAATTGTCATAATTGTGACATAGAATCCATTAGAAGTGAAATAATATAGTTGGTGCAAATACTATGCTAGTGATAAACATGAGTGGTGAGAATGAAACAGATTCTTCCCAATTTGAACTTTCATATTCTGGTAGGCAGGCTGTTTACATGTGAGGATATTTTTAACACTTGATTGAATTTCTCCAAATTTTATATAAAATAATGAGTATCCAATTATGATCAGTAGTAAATAAAAAGTGGAATGTTTGACTTAACACTCAACTCTGCAGCTGAACCATTGTGGAGAAACTAAGGTTCGGAATGACAGCCACACAAGTTAGAGAAGATTTTAGGAAACTGGAATTGATTACCTTGAAAGAAATAAGACTAATGAGGTGATTCAGACATGTTTCAAATGCAGAAGGTAGTGATCATGTATCAATCAGTATTTTTTGGTGAAAACAGTAGAAGGCTTGATCTTCAGCTGCATTCAGAGGGATTTTAGACTAGTTTGTTAGTTTATTCATTGAGAGTTGTTTGCCTGCTATGTAGAGGCACAATGCCAGGATTGAGAGATGGATTTGTGAGCAGTACAGACACAGTCCCACCATCATCAAGCTTATGTTGCAGTAGGGAGATGGACATTAAACAACCTTTTATCATATGGTTATGCTTCAGTGGAGAAGTTCTGTGGGTGCTATGAAACCATATTAGAGAGGAAAGATGTGAGAAAGAGCAGTGTAAGATGGTGGCAAAACATTAGGATGGGTGACGGAATACCTCTGTGAACTAATCAGGCCTCTTTAAAAATTCACCCTTCCCAAACTACAAAATCAACTTATTTGTTCATTGTGGAAAATCCACAAAACCAAAATGAAGTGAATAAGAATCTTTGATATTTCTATTACATAGAGATAATCACTAGTTTTTTAGAAGGCCTTAAAAATTAAATGCATTTTCATCTTTATAAGGTGACTGGGAAATTTCATTTCTAGACCTGGAATTTATGGTTGTTGTTTCTCTGACTAATGCTGCTGTATCAAGAAGAGTAATTATCATAATGATACTACTGTAACACCTTGCTATAGCCCCACTTAATAATTGCTTGATGAATTATGTAAATGAATGTTCATTCATAGTCCAAAGCAAATAGTTTTTTGAGATGTTAAATATAACAGGTAATATAAATGCTTTTTTACATAATAAAATGTAATGAACTTATTTTTACATAATAAAATGGTATATATTTTTCTAGGTGAATGTAATTTAACAGCATGATAGTTAACATTTTTGTACCAAATAGGATTAATGATTTTTATTAATTATAGCCCTGTATAAATTTAAATAATTGATAGACCCATAATCCAGTAGTTTGAATAAAGTTATCTTTACTTTTGACATGTTCTTTTCATGCATTTCTGTCTTTCTACCACTAAATTGCTGATATTCATTTACTTTCCATTGGATCTTTTTTGCTACCATTAGAGAATGAATGCAATTTAATGTTTTATGTGACCATTTAGACCTTTAAATATTGAAATACATTAAAGCAACATGGGTGTTTTTACTTTTCATGTAACAATTGTCTTCTTACCTTTAAAAAAGTAGCTTCTTAAATAATAGTTAAAATTTTATGGTATATTTGTTAGAGATTTTCCTTAAAGAGGAAAATCAAGGAATTGAAGTCTTCCCCTTAGCTTTAATTTTAATCCCTTCCCCCCACTTTTATGAAGTGGTGCTTAAAACTGGGGGAGTTTATTGAGAAATTATTATTATTATTATTACTATTTTTTTTTTTGACGGAGTCTCACTCTGTCACCCAGGCTGGAGTGCAATGGCACGATCTTGGCTCACTGCAACCTCTTGTCTCCCAGGTTCAAGCGATTCTCCTGCCTCAGCCTCCCGAGTAGCTGGGATTGCAGGCACATGCCACCACACCTGGCTAATTTTTGTATGTTTAGTAGAGATGGGGTTTCACCATGTTGGCTAGGGTGGTGTTGAACTCCTGACCTCAGGTGATCTGCCCGCCTCAGCCTCCCAAAGTGTTGGGATTTCAGGTGTGAGCCACCACGTCCGGTGAGAAATTATTTTATGTATACAAGATTATCCTTTGATATTATCATTTATACATTGTAAAGAAGGTGCCGTTTTTGCAGTGCCAGTAGTCCCAATAGTACAGTGAGTTCTCTCCATTAAGTATAATCCTCCCGGGATTTGGGATTTGTGGTTGCCATGTTGCCACTGGTAAGGTTAGAGTCTTCATAATAGCCGAGCTGAGCAAATTCTTCCATAGCAGGCACAGAAGAAATTGTGCAGGTCACCTCTGGGTCAAGAACTTATACAGAAGATAATGCTGCCTTGGCTTCTGGCACTGGGGGGTTGGGCTGGCCCTTGTCTCTGGATGCTTCAAATGAGATGCATTGGCAACTGTCCAAATTGGAAATAAACTTCTCAGGTTCCAGGCCTCCCTTGGCTCTGAGGCCTGTGTACGGGAGACAGCAGCATCTGGGGTGGATGCCTGCTTTACCAAAGATCAGTCTCCAACCTTGAGGGCTGTGCTGCTTATCTGTTGACAGTTGGGGAGCAGATTGCCAAATACAGGTCAGGAGGTGTATATGACCTATAAAAGGGTCTTCTCCTTTTCCAGTTAGGCTGCTCAGGGCTTCAGCTTTATTCAGTTGTTCAATTTTATTTTGTTATTGTTTAACAATTCTGATGTCTAGTTAAAGTTTAGTAATGCATTGGTTTGAGGGAATATGGTCTGAGTCACAAATCCATAGAGCTACTATTATGCAGGGATGGAAAGTGGCTTTTTAATGGAGTTGACCAATCTGTTCCTAATATGAGTAATTAGTGATATTTACAAGGTAGCTTGAATCCTGATAGGCAGAGCACACTGGTGTTTTTCGTTTTGTTTTCATGGAATGTGTAGCGTATCATTTCTTTAAGATTTTATCCTACTCATCTTTTAATACTCCATTCAAAATGGAGTTCCTGTGTCCTGGTCCTTGTCCTTCACTGCTCCCCCGAGCACCATTTCTAGGACTACTTTATGTCAGTACTATAAATATTGCTGTACATTGTGGTGTACTTGTCTTTCTCCTTTTGTAAGTTGTAAACGCTTGATTTTATTCTTGTGTCTTCAGGGCCTAGTACTTTTCCCTGTTAGAATAGATGCTCCATAAATGTCTATTCAATAAATAATTTTATCCTGTGCACTGTGAATATATTGTCACTTTTTAAATATTGTTTTCTCCAAATATAAATTCTAGGCCATCCTATCAACATAAAATTTCTCAGAGGTGGTAAGATTGGGCTAGTCAAGGACTTAATGAGCAAGGGAACTTATAATACTATTTTTTAAAAAAGAATATTAGCAGCAATGGTTAGAAAGGGTTAAAGCCCCATAAATCTTTTTGAATAACATCTGTTTACATTGTGTTCATTTTAAGTTAATCAGCTAAAAAGTGAATGCATCCTTTTGCCAACCAGAAATCAAAATAATACAGCGGTTGGCATTCCCCTAGGCCACCACCTGGTTGCTCTTCCCTATTTAGAAACTAAGCACTACTATCATTTTGGTGTGTATATGTCTGTCTTTTACTATTACTTACATTTTTAGTCTTGTAGAAACGTGCAGTGTGTGTGTGTGTGTGTGTGTGTGTGTGTATGTGTTTTGGTAGAGATGGGGTAGTGCTGTGTTTCCCAGGCTGGTCTCAAATTCCTGGCCTCAAGCAATGCTCCCACTTTGGCCTCCCAAAGTGCTGAAACTATAGGTCTGAGCCACTGTGCCTGGCCTTGTATGTGTTTTTTGTTTATTTGTTTGTTTTTTTAACATGAAAGATCTTGTACTCCATAAAATGTTTTACAATTCTATTTTTTTATGTAACAATAGCTCATGTTGGAAGATAAAGATTCACCTTACTTTAAAAAATTATTGCATGACTCTCTGTCCAGATACAGCATAGTTTACGAAACCATTTTTTTAATCGATAGGTATTCAGATGGTTTGTGGTTTTTCCTCTCTTAACAGTGCTTTAGCAGATATCCTTGGTGTGTACTAAGAAATACTGGTTCAGAGGATTTACCAGTTTATAGTCTCAAAGTGAGAACAACTCAATGTGGCAGGTTTTTAATTTTCATAACTGTGATGGATGAGAAAAGTATCTCATTGTTAAATGTATTAATATCTTTCTTAAGGGTACATATCAGAATTTACGCTTGTGTCTTCAGGGCCTAGTACTCCCAAGCTCAAGTGATAAAGATGGATCACTTTATCAAGTGATAAAAATATGGTTTCCTGGCATAATTATTTACACAAATGTGGCTGGCTGTTTGAAACACAGACTTTGGGTTTAAAAGATTTTTTTAAAAAGTTGAGTTTGTGATTTCTTTCTCTTTTTTTCTTTTTCTTTTCTTTCTTTTTTTTTTGAAACAGGGTCTCACTGTGTCACCTGGGCTACAGTGCAGTGGCGCAATTTCAGTTCACTGCAACTTTGACTTCCTGGGCTCAGATGATCCTGGCACCTCAGTCTCCCCAGTAGCTGGGACTACAGGTATGCGCCACCACACCCAGCTAATTTATATATATATATTTTTTTTTGTGGAGACAAGGTTTCGCTGTGTTGCCCAGGCTGGTCTCAAACTTTTGGGCTCAATCTGTCTGCCCCCTGTGGCCTCCCAAAGTGCTAGAATTACAGGCATAAACCACTGCACCCAGCCAAGTTTGTGATTTTATATGAAGAAACACTTATTCCCTGCCCCCAATTCATTTTAGTTTAGCTTATAATACAAAGAAAAAAGTATTCTTTGTTCTTCAGTTTCCAGAATGAAATTATTTGAAGGCCAAGACCGTGGGAGACAGTTTCAAACTTGAAAAAACAGTTTAATACAGCATAGAATCAAGACACCATATTATATTCTGATTTAGAGAAATGGATATTTTGATTGTTAATTACTTATAATGGCCAAGGTATAAGACACCTTACAAATATTGTACAATATGGTATTTTTTTTTAATTTAAAAATTGAAACAGAGTCTTGCTGTATTGCCCAAGCTGATCTTAAACTCCTGGGCTTGAGTGATCATCCTGTTACACCCTCCTGAGTAGCTGGATTACAGACGTACATCATCACACCCAATGAATATAGTATATTGTCTTCTATATTTTATGGTTTCTTAAGAATTTTGCAGTAAGTCAACAGTTTTGTTTAATTGCTTTATGGTATTTTGTTTATATATATGTCTTGTATTGGCTTAGTGAATATAAGTAAAATAAATAGTTCTAAAAAATTTCTGGCCGGGCACAGTGGCTCACGCCTGTAATCCCAGCACTTTGGGAGGCCGAGGCAGGCGGATCATGAGGTCAGGAGATTGAGACCATCCTGGCTAACATGGTGAAACCCCGTCTCTACTAAAAAATACAAAAAAAATTAGCCGGGCGTGATGGCGGGCGCCTGTAGTCCCAGCTACTCAGGCGGCTGAGGCGGGAGAATGGCTTGAACCCGGGAGGCGGAGCTTGCATTGAGCCCAGTTAGTGCCGCTGCACTCCAGCCTGGGTGACAGAGCGAGACTCCGTCTCAAAAAAAAAAAAAAATTTTTTTTCTGCCTTTTTCTAATTTCCCGAAGAGAAAAAAAGGCATTGAAAGTGAACCAGAATATAAGCTAATTATTCTCCTAATTACTTCTGTTGCCATTTGAGTTTGTTTGCTAATGAAATTCTTTTTTTTCTTTTTTTAAATACTTAAAAAAAAAATGGAGGCCAGCTGCAGTGGCTCACGCCTGTAATCCCAGTATTTTGAGAGGCTGAGACAGGAGGATCCTTTGAGCCCAGGAGTTCAGACCAGTCTGGGCAACATAAATCCTATCTCTACAAAAAAACAAATAAAAAAATCAGCTGGGTATGGTGGTGCATGCCTGTAGTCCTAGCTGCTTGGGAGGCCGAAATGGGAAGATTGCTTAAGCCCAGGAGGTTGAGGCTGCAGTGAACCGTGATCCCGCCAGTGCATTCTAGGCTGGATGACAGAGTGAGACTTTGTCTCAAAAAAAAAAAAAAAAAAAAAAAAAAGAGATAGGGTTTGGCTACATTGTTCAGTCTGGTCTCCAGCTCATGACCTCAAGTGATCCTTCCATCTTGGCCTCCCAAAGTGCTGGGATTACAGGCACATGCCACTGTGCCTGGTGTAAATTCTTAATAAAAAACGAGGCCGGGTGCAGTGTCTCACACCTATAATCCTAGCACTTTGGGACGCCGAGGTGGTCAGATTACCTGAGGTCAGGAGTTTGAGAACAGCCTGGCCAACATGGTGAAACCCAGTCTCCATTAAAAATGCAAAAATTAGCCAGGCGTGGTGGCAAGTGCCTGTGGTCCCAACTACTTGGGCGGCTGAGGCAGGAGAATTGCTTGAACCCAGGAGGTGGAAGTTGTAGTGAGCCAAGATTGTGCCACTGCACTCCAGCCTGGGTGACAGAGTGAGATTCCATCTGAAAAAAAAAAAATTCTTAATAAAAACTGTTGTTTTAAAAAAATGCATTTTGAGACAGCATATCTGTTTTAATTGACTGAGTTGTCTTTCATTTTTGATACTTTATTGTAATATGTCATTTTCACTTTAGGAACTATATATTGTGTTCATTAACCTTAGTGTTTTCTTTTTTTAAATTCTTTTTCTATGGCTGTTTAAAAAGAAAAGTAGAAAGAAAAAGGTTTTATGCTTTAGTCATTTCATGTGGTAATTATTACAGATCTCTCATTTCTCCCTTGCCTGCTATTCGTTTAGTTTACAGTGCTAAATGACTTACCTTTTTCTTAACCAGTTTGTTGCTGTAGCTTGTTACACTTTTCATTCTTGCTGTTATCCCATCTCTAGATTCAAGTTTCCTTTTTCTTCTTTCCCTTTTAAGCCTGTTTTTATGTGTCCTTATTTTCTTGCCCTATATCTTACTGCTGTATGTACTGTCTCTTAAGCTGAAAACAAATTCTCTCTGTCTGGCCAAGGATTCTGGATTCTGACTGTCTTCATGGACCTCTTTGAAATCTACTTGTTGCAAAATAATTGGGTAATGGGGGCTGGAGGTCTAGGAAAAAAAATTGGGTAGTGGCAAAGATCATTGTTAAATCAGCACACTTTAAATATGTGATGTGGCCAGGCGCAGTGGCTCATGCCTGTAATCCCAGCATTTTGGGAGGCTGAGGGGGGCGGATCATCTGAGGTCAGGAGTTCAAGACCGGCCTCGCCAACATGGCAAAACCCTGTCTCTACTAAAAAATACAAAAATTAGCTGGGTGTGGTGGTGCACACCTGTAATCCCAGCTACTTGGGAGGCTGAGGCAGAAGAATCACTGTAACCCAGGAGGCGGAGATTGCAGTGAGTCGAGATTGTGCCACAGCACTCCAGCCTGGGTGACAGAGCGAGACTCTATCTCAAAAATAAATAAAATAAAATAAATAAATATGTGATGTGAAAATGTTACTTGATATTAATTTTTTTGTTCTTTATAGAGACAACATAAGGTATATGCTGGATTTGAAGTTTTGTGAAGATAAACTAATACTGATATACATCTGTTCCTCCAGAAACTTTAATCTTCTCTGAAACTTTGTTACAGGTTTTAACTGAACATAGAGCTATGTTTAGCCATTTGGGTTGAAGAGGGCATTTACTACTCATCCCTTCAATCAACAAATATTTAATAATTCCCTCTATATGATATACTATGTTAGATACTGGCTGCTTATGAATAAGCAGTATGTAATCCTGGACCTTAAACTCTAAGGAGAGATTAAACTTTTTTTTTTTCTTTTTTTTTGAGATAGAGTCTTGCTCTGTCACCCAGGCTAGAGTGCAGTGGCTTGATCTCGGCTCACTGCAACCTCCGCCTCCCAGGTTCAAGTGATTCTCCTGCCCCAGCCTCCCGAGTAGAGTAGCTGGGACTATAGGTGCACACCACCACACCTGGCTAATTTTTGTATTTTTAGTAGACACAGGGTTTCACCATGTTGGCCAGGTCGGTCTCAAACTCCTGACCTCAAGTGATCCGCCCACCTCAGCCTCCCAAAGTGCTGGGATTACAGGCATAAGCCACCGTGCCCAGCCGAGATTAAAATTTAATAACAAAATTGGGCCTTGGGCATCTAAAAGGTCAGTAAAATTGATTATTTTGAGAATAAAGTAGAAAACAAAGCAGAGAGAGACTAACACTATGTAAAGTTAAAAGTAGGTTCATAGAAAGGGGTACCTAATCCTGAGAAGGGTTAGAGTGAATGACTTCGGGGAGGAGGAGAGATTTGCTTAATTTTTGAAGCAGAGAGTAGAAATGCAATACAGGAAGAATAGGGGAGAGGTCTTTCTGGCAGGAGTACAAATTGTGTGCATGGAATGGTGACTCTTCAGTGGCCTTTGTGCACAGCAGATATGCTACGTATAGAGGATACCCTTGGAGAATTTGACCCATTCTGTAACAGTGAGAGGGATATTTTTTGAGTTCCTCCATCTCCAGCATGGAGTTGACACGTTGATCTCTGCTGGGGATAACTCAGCTTTCCAGGTTTTCAAGGTTGCATGTGTTTCCTCCAGTGTCATTTGGAGAAACTGTTTCTGTTCAAGATAAGATAAGACAAAGGGGGCTCCGTGGGTGGCTCATGCCTGTAATCCCAGCACATTGGGAGGCTGAGGCAGGTGGATCACGAGGTCAGGAGTTCAGAGACCAGCCTGGCTAATATGGTGAAACCCTGTCTCTACTAAAAATAGAAAAATTAGCCGGGTGTGGTAGGTACCTGTAGTCCCAGTTATTCGGGCGGCTGAGGCAGGAGAATCACTTGAACCTGGGAGGTGGAGCTTGCAGTGAGCCGAGATCGCGCCACTGTACTCCAGCCTGAGCGACTGAGCAAGACTCCATCTCAAAAAAAAAAAAAAAAAAAAAAAAAAGATAAAGGAATGGGGGGAGTGGCGTGTCACCTAAACCACGTGTGGACAGATGAGGACTGGTGCTGGAGTTCAGAGTGAAACTAATTATTCTGAGTAACCTTACTCTAAATATTATAGTGAGGTGAGTCATATAAAGTATGGGCAGGAAATTGAGATGACTTTGGGATGGGTTGCTCAGTTCTCTGGCTTAATGAAAATTTCAAAAAACATATTTTCCTTTGCATTTTGAATCTGACTTTGTGCTGGGGATTTTGTTTGAATTTAATGATAGACCAAAATGCAATTACTGTACACATTACCTTAATGTGTGTCAGTTTAAAATAGTTTTATATTGTCATAGATTTTGTGGATTTATCTTGGTTTCTTATACCAAGATAAATTCTTACCTTACACTGTCTTTTACTGTCTCTTACCCTTATTATATTCAAGATTCTTATTGCTGCTGCTTCCACATAATTTTTTAATTCTTTTTTTTTGGAAGGGGCAGGACAGCATGAAAGTATTTTTTTTGTCATTCTTTATAGCTGGTTAAAAGGAAAAATGGAAAGAAAAAGGTTTATACTTGAGTCATTTCATATGGTGATTATTACGGATCTCTAATTTCTTCCTTGCCTGCTATTCATTTAGTTTTCAGTGCTGAATGTCTTACCATTCTCTTAACCAGTTTGTTGCTCTGCTTGTTACACTTTTCATTCTTGCTCTGTTATCCCATCTCTAGATTCAAGTTTCCTTTCTCTTCTTTCTCTTTTCCCTTTTTAGCCTGTGTTTATGTGTCCTTGTTTTCTTGCCCTTTATCTATTATTGCTGTGCATACTATCTCTTAAGCTGAAAACAAATTCTCTCTGTCTGGCCAAGGATTCTGAGTGTCTTTGTGGATGGACCTCTCTGAAATTTACTTGTTGCAAATTTAGTTTTTCACAAAAGAACAAGTGATAGTCCTTGATAATCCTCAGTTAGCTAGTTAGCTTTTTTTTTTTTTTTTTTTTGAGAAGACAGGGTCTTGCTTTGTCACCCAGGCTGGAGTGCAGTGGCATGATCGCAGCTCACTGCAGCCTTGATCTCCTAGGCTCAAGTGATCCTACCACCTCAGTCTCTGGAGTAGCTGGGATTACAGGCATGCGCCACCATGCCCAGCTAATTTTTAATTTTTTTTTGTAGAGATGGGGTCTTGCTATGTTGCCCAAGCTGGTCTTGAACTCCTGGGCTCAAGCGATCCTCTTCCCTTGCCCTCCCAAAATTCTGGGATTACAGGTATTAGCCACTGAGCCTGGCCTCCCAGATAGATTTTTAGTCTTTCCTCAGAGTGCCTCTAGTTTTCTCCTAAAGTTTTAGTTTTTCTATCCTTTGGGAAATAGCCTATAGGCACAAGGTCTTGTTTTGATTTTGAATGGGAAATATTGCCTGGGTCACATGGTTGGGTTCACTGAACCGGTAACCCAACTTGTGGAAATTAGGACGTCGAAGTAGACTTGTTAAGTGGTGCTTTCAGCATTTCTCCCTTTTTCTCTTCCGGTATTTTGATGATGGCTCACAGGGTAGAGGTCTTTATTTTAATAATGACATATTTTCCAGAAGGGATAGTTTCCATCTCTGAGATGACATTTGATATCTTCTTTTTTTTTTTTTTTTGCCATTTAAAATATCCCACTTACCTCAGTAATGTTGACACATACCATAATTAGTAAGGGCCTCGGGCTGTGTCTAAAAGGTCAATAACATTGATTATTTTGACAATAAAGTCAAGGTTCCTTTATTAATGCCTAGGATCCACCTATCATTTTGATGATCATTTAGTGTTTGCAGGCATTATGAAAGAGTTGGAAATTTATCATCTAGACCACAACATAATTACATGACCTTTATTTGTGAATTTTTTAAGGTGAGGGGAGCAAAAAGGCTGTGTATTAGGAAGAGGTCAGATTTCTGCCTTATGGTTGATGGGATGAGGAAAGAAGTTTGAGTATAGTTCTTGTTTATCAGAGTTTGTCTTAAGTGGGATCATGGTGGAGGGACTTTTTTATTTTTATTTATTATTTATTTATTTATGAGACAGAGTCTTGCTCTGTTGCCCAGGCTGGAGTGCGGTGGCGCCATCTCCGCTCCCTACAACCTGTGCTTCCCGGGTTCAAGTTATTCTCCTGCCTCAGCCTCCCGAGTAGCTGGGATCACAGGCGCATGCCACCATGCCCGGCTAATTTTTTGTATTTTTAGTAGAGACGGGGTTTCACCGTGTTAGCCAGGATGGTCTCCATCTCCTGACATCGTGATCCGCCCGACTTGGGCTCCCAAAGTGCTGGGATTACAGGTGTGAGCCACCGTGCCCAGCCATGACTTTTTATATGAGTAGCCAGAGAGATCCTGAATGGGGGAGACTTTATTTGAGGGACTTGGAATTGGGAGGGAAGTTTGAAAAAAAAAATAGGATTGGACACAGAGAATGGAAGTGAAGTTGAAAGCCAGAATTAGGAGTGTAATAGAATCAGGCTGGGGAAAGCCAGCTTTCCATAGGATATGGCAGTATGGAGAAGAGCAAAGTGAAAGGGAAGTTTGCCCGGCGCGGTGGCTCATGCCTGTAATCCCAGCACTTTGGGAGGCCGAGGTGGGCAGATCACTAGGTCAGGAGATCGAGACCATCCTGGCTAACATGGTGAAACCCCGTCTCTACTAAAAATACAAAAACAAAATTAGCTGGGTGTGGTGGCGGGCGCCTGTAGTCCCAGTTACTTGGGAGGCTGAGGCAGGAGAATGGCGTGAACCCGGGAGGCGGAGCTTGCAGCGAGCCGAGGTCGCACCACTGCACTCCAGCCTGGGCAACAGAGTGAGACTCCGTCTCAAAAAAAAAAAAAAAAAAAAAAAAAAAGAGGGTGGAGCTGAGGAATAAAGTATCAGCTGAAGATTGCGGGGTGTAGCTTTAGTTTGAAACTTTGTTATAGAGAAACTAAAAGTGATTTGTGGTTTAATTTGTTAATCCTTGGAATTGGTGGGGGGCAGTGTAATAATGTAAGGAGTTACTTTATAATTCCTTATGCTTTTAGTATTCAGTGCACACTTTCATTTGTTCTCCAAATATGGATTTATATAGTGTTTTTAATTAAGTAAATGTAAATTATCATTTTTTCATCTAGTCATTTATTCAAGGGATATTTTATTGAGCATCAACTGTATGCCAGGCTCTTACAACTCAGGAAAAGGGAGAGAGAGGGATGTATATTAATTGCTGTCTGTTCTATTGCTGGGCAAACAGAGGAATGAATTTAGTATAATGTACAAGTTACATTGGTTTTATATGTAGCTTTTCCCAGGCTAATCTTTGGAAGCACAGAGTAGCAAGCTTTCTCCTATTTAAAAAGAAAGTCATAAGAATAGCTGGAAATTATCCTGAAATGTATTCTTTTGGAGGAAGTAGTATAGTGTAGTAATTAAGAACACAAGTTCTTAATTTGTCAAATTTATACATCTTTTCCTTTGTGATTAATGTTGTTTTGGATCCTAGTTTTTTGTTTTGTTTTGTTTTTTGGTCTTTTCTTTTCTTTTTTTTTTTTTTTTGAGACTGGGTATTACTGTGTTGTCCACACCAGACTGCAGTGGCTATTCACAGGCGTGACTGCAGCCTCGAAATCCTGGGCTCAAGCGATCGTCCCGTGGAGCTAGGAATATAGGCACGTGCTACCACTGCCTGGCTTTTGCGTTCTGTTAATTTTTTTTTTTCCTATTGTAAGATCATGAAGGTAATCTTCTATACAAACTTATAGAAGCTTTATTGTTTGCTTTTCACATATAGATGTATGACCCACCTATGTATAATTTTTGTATATGATGTGCAGTAGGACTCAAATTTTATTTTTTACCCCCAAGTGGATATCCAGTTGTCCCCGTGGCATTTATTGAAAAGTTCATCTTTCCCCATTATCTGCATTGCTTACTTCTGTTGTAAATTAAATCAAGTAAATATTTATATATTTATTTTTAAAATTAAAACAATTTTTTTTTGAGATGGAGTCTTGCTCTGTTGCCCAGGCTGGAGTGCAGTGGTGCGATCCTGGCTCACTGCAACCTCTGCCTCCCAGGTTCAAGTGATTCTCCTGCCTCAGCCTCCTGAGTAGCTGGGATTACAGGCACCTGCCACCACGCCCAGCTAAATTTTTTTTGTGTGTGTGTTTTTTAGTAGAGACAGGGTTTCACCATGTTGGCCAGGCTGGTCTCAAACTCCTGACTTAGGTGATCTGCCCGCCTTGGCTTCCCAAAGTGCTGGGATTACAAGTGTGAACTACTGTGCCCAGCCTATATATTTATATATATATAAATCTTTGCTCTTTTTCCTTGGTCTGTCTGTTCATGCACTATTACCACACTGTTTTATTGTGGCTTTATAGTAAATCTTTTCTTCCTGTCTAGGTCTTCTTGAAGAATGTCTTGGCTATTCTTGGCCTTTGCATTTCTGCATACGTTTTAGAATAAGCTTGTCAAGTTCCTGGAAGAAAATCTGTTGAAATTTTAATTGGGATTGCATTCAACCTAGAGATCATGTTGGAGAGAACTGACATTTTCAGTAGCATTGAGTCTTCTCACCTAAGGTCATAGTGTGTTGCTTACTTTATTTAGGTCTTTGTTAATTTAATAATGTTTTATAGTTTCTTTGTAGTATTCCTATATATTTTTTCTTTTCATTTTTATTTTGCTCTTAATTTCATATTTCCAGAAGGGCTGCAAGGGCTGTACTGTACAGTGAATTCCTGCATACCCTTTACCCAGATTTCTCAGATGAACACCTTACCACATTTTCTTTATCATTTTCTCTTTCTCTGTACATATACATACATATACACACGTCTTGCACAACTTTTTTTCTGAACTTTTTGACTGTAAGTTGACATGCTGTCCCTTTACCCCTAAACACTTCAGTGTGTATTTCTTGATAGCAGAATCATTATCTCATCTGACCATAGGTAACAGTTATCACTACTATACTTTAAAATCTGCAGACTGTTTTCGGAGTTCACATGTCTGAAGCATGTCATTCATAGCAAAGATAAGTCCCAGATTCTGCGCTGCATTCACTTGTTAGTGCTTTAGTCTCACGTCATCTGGAATAGTTATTTACCTTTCTTTGTGTTTCACGACCTTAAAATTTTTGAGGAGTTCAGGCCATTTATTTTGTAAAGATGCCTATGCAATGACATAGCACTACACACCCACTAGAAAGGCTAAAATTTTTTACACTTATACTACTAAATGCTAGCAAGGATGTCGAACAATGGGAACTCTCATATGTTGCTTACCATACTGCTGGGAATCCTACTCCCAGGTATTTATCCAAGAGCAATGTCTACACAAAGACTCACATGTGAATATTTGTAGCAGCTTTATTAATAGTTACCCCAAATTGGAAACAATTCCAGTATCCATCAGCAAATCAACAGATAAGCAAATAACCCCATGCAGTGAAAAACTACTCAGCAGTAAATAGAACCCAACTACTGACAGCCACAACAACATGCATGAATCTCACAAGCATTATGCTAAGTGAAAGACACCAGAACTCAGGAATACATGATTCCATATATATGAAATTCTAGAACAGGCAAAAGTAATCTCCATAATAACAGAAATCAGATAAGTGGTGGCCAGGAGCTAAGAAAGGCAAATGAAATTGACTACAAAGGGGGCATGAGGGAACTTTTTGGGGGAATGGAACTATTCCATATATATATATATATGGGGGAATGGAACTATTCTCTCTCTCTCTCTCTCTCTCTCTCTCTCTCTCTCTCTCTCTCTCTCTCTCTCTATATATATATATATATATATATATATATATGTATTTTTTTTTTTTTTTGAGACAGTCTTGCTCTGTTGCCCAGGCTGGAGTGCAGTGGCACAATCATGGCTCACTGCAGCCTTAACCTCCTGGGATCAAGTGATCCTCCCACTTCAGCTTCCCAAGTAGCTGGGACTACAGGTATGCACCACCATACCCAGCTAATTTTTATGTCTTTTGTAGAGATAGGAGTCTCACTATGTTGCCCAGGATTGTATTGAACTCCTGGGCTCAAGTAATTCTCCTACCTTGGCCTCCCAAACTTGTGGGATTACAGTTTGAGCCACCATGCCCGGCCTATTCTGTATCTTGAACTGTACTCCTAAGAAGTTGAATTTTACTATATGTAAATTATACCTCAACAAATGTGACTTTAAAAAAATCATTAGAATTTGGCACATTAACAGTGCAAAAGTTTCCAGCCTGGGCAACATGGTGAAAAAACACAAAAGATTAGCTAGGTGTGGTGGTGGGTGCTTGTGGTCCCAGCTACTTGGAAGGCTGAGGCATAAGAATCACTTGAACCTGGGAGGCGGAAGTTGCAGTGAGCCAAGATCGTGCCACTGCACTCCAGCCTGGGCAACTGAGCAAGACTCATCTCAAAATAAACAAAAAGTCATTCCAGAACCACGTTCTAGCATCATCTTTCCCTGAGCTTCTTCTGCCTCAGCCCAATCTCCTCCCACCAGTCTTTCTCACCTTTATTCCCACTGTGTCCCCCACACACTCTTCCAGCAGATCCTGAAAAAAACGATATTGCTTGTATTTACTTATGTTCTCCCCACTAAACTGAAGCACCCTGATGGTGGGGATATCCGATTCATGTAATGTAATACCAGCTAATTTTTGTATTTTTGGTAGAGAAGGTGTTTCACCATGTTGGCCAGGCTGGTCTTGAACTCTGGACCTCAAGTGGTCCTCCTGCCTTGGACTCCCAAAATGTTAAGATTACAGGCATGAACCACTGCCTCCGGTCCAGAATGATTTTGTCAGAAGAAGCCATTTGAGCTAAAGCGTAGAGATGGGATAAACCTGGAATACTTGGAGGAACTTGGAGCAGTTGAGAAGGCTGGAGAGTGTGGACCTGAGGAAGGAGGTGGGAGAAGGGAATTAAGGAATTAAGGTGGAATTAAGGAATTGAGGAAAGAAATAAGCGTTTGTCATGCTATTAAACAAATTTTTTGAAAAGCAAAGGCAACATGATATTCCTTCATATGCAATGTAACTTCTTCACAAAACCCAAAAATGAACATTATTCAGTATGCTGCAAGTAGGTTTTACTGATGAAATGAAGGAAGATGCTGAGAGGTCTCTAGACTCACTTGCTATTTAGATGTCTAGTTTCAGGTTACCAACCTCAAAGTACTTTCTGCCTTTCAAATTTAGATCTTCAATTCATTACAGTACCAGGTTTCATTGAATCTAAAATATCATGAATTCTAAGGTACACAATTAATATTTTATATACTGCTAAGAAAGAAAAAAGTCACTGCCAATTAAGTAATGACACATCATCAAATGCTAAATACATCTCAATTTTAAACGTGTTAATGTGTGAAAAAGTGCCTATTGGAGATACATGGTCTTTCATTTAATCCTCATAACAGGTTTCATGTACATATTATTCACTGTATGTCATAGCTTTTCATGGTAATTCGTATTGAGTAATCAAACCTGTGGTTGTTCACTCTTCGAATGCTGAATTATACCGTATTATAATTTAGTTAATTACCTTTTATTGTTAAATATTTATTTCCAAGTTTTTTTCTTTGTTTTGTTTTTCACCTGCCCCTCCCTCTCCACCTCTTTTTTTTTGTTAACTGCCGCTTCGGAGAATATAAGCTTTTTTAAAATTAATTTTTATTTATAATTGACACATAATTGTACATATTTATGGGGTACAATGTGATGTTTCAGTGCTTGTATATGTAGTATAATGATCAAAGTATATTTACTGCTTTAAACGTGTCATTTCTTTGTGGTAACAACATTCAAAGTCTCTTTTAGCTATCTTGAAATAAACACTACATTACTATTTGCTGTATTCACCCTACTGTGTAACAACACCAGAATTTATTCTTCCTAACTATAACTTTGTACCCATTGAACAACCTCTCCTGGTCCTCCCCCTGTCCTCCACCCTCTTTCATTGGTAAGCACTATTCTACTCTCTACTTTTATGAAATCAATTTTTTTAGATTCCGTGTATGAGTGAGTTCTTACAGTGTTTGTCTTTCTGTGCCTGGCTTATTTTACTTAATATATTATCTTCTAGGTCCATCTGTGTTCCTGCAAATGACAGGATTTCATTCTTTTTTGTGGCGGAATACTATTTACCTGTAGATGGGCATTTAGGTTGATTCTGAGTCTTGTATAAATAAACTTTTGATTGTTTTCTTAAGGATAGATGCCTGGAAGTGAAAATACTGGGTCAAAAAGTCTAAACTTTCTTATGACTCTTGATGTATATGCATATAGTCATGTTGCTTTTCAAAACTACTATACCAATTTAAATTGTTTACAATACTTAAATGTGTAAATTCCATCTTCATTAGCAGAGTATCACAATAAATTTGTTTTCTAATTCTGTAGGCAGAAATAGTATCTCTCTCCTTTTTTTTTTTTTTTCTTTTTGAGATGGAGTCTTGCTCTGTCACCCAGGCTGGAGTGCAGTGGCACGATCTCGGCTCACTCACTGCAACCTCCGCCTCGTGGGTTCAAGCAATTCTCTTGCCTCTGCCTCCTGAGTAGCTAGGATTACAGGTGTGTGCCATCACCCCTGGCTTATTTTTAAATTTTTAGTAGAGATGTTTCACCATGTTGGCCAGGCTGGTTTTGAACTCCTGACCTCGAGTGATCCGCCTGCCTCGGCCTCCCAATGTGTTTGGATTACAGGCGTAAGCCACTTGCGCCTGGCCAGAAATAGTATCTCATTTTTCGGACCATGTCAAAAGAATGATAACATCTCATTTTAGTATATATTTTTTGGATTACTGATTAGATTGAACATTTGATCACATTAATTTTTGTAGGAGATAATTGGTGTATAAGTTTCTGGCATTTTCTTGTGATAATAAGTAAATTATAAATGAAGAACAGATGTAATTATGCAGATGTCATGACATTTTTAATTGTGAGATTTATTTTTTCCCTCATAGTAATATAATAGCTGTATATAGAGATATTTTTTGAGATGGAATCTTGCTGTGTGGCCCAGACTGGAGTGCAGTGGGTCAATGTCGGCTCACTGCAAGCTCCGCCTCCCGAGTTCATGCCATTCTCCTGCCTCAACCTCCCGAGTAGCTGGACTACAGGCGCCTGCCACCACGCCTGGCTAGTTTTTTGTATTTTTAGTAGAGATGGGGGTTTCACCGTGTTAGCCAGGATGGTCTTGATCTCCTGACCTCGTGATCCACCCACCTTGGCCTCCCAAAGTGCTGGGATTAAAGGTGTGAGCCACCGTGCCCGGCCTAATAGCTGTATTTTTAATTGTAAAGAATAATTGATGCAGTTAGAAAGTTTTGGAATCCTGTGAATTTCTAATTTTGATCTGTTGCTCAGTTGTTGATTTTTAAGGTGAGATTTAATGTTTTAAAGAATTATGACTTCAATATGTATAATGTTTGTTGTCTTTTTAATGCTGGGATAAAATTTTAATGATTTCTAACCAGTGTAAGGCTGTGAAACTTGATTATCTGAAAATTATTAAAATTATAATAGTATATCCTAAAAATGTAATAATATGTGCTATTCCAAGTGGTTAAAAAAATCGAGACTTAAATGATAAAACAAAGATTCTGCTATATTCCTTTTGTCTTAAGTTTATTCCATTAGTAAAAAGTACTCGATCAAGGAGACTTTGACTTTTTTCAACTGATGTTAAGAATGAAAAAAGATATCTTGATTTTATGTCATAAGGATGTGTTTGAATACTTGTGAAGCAGAAGCATTTGGCATGAACAGTTTAAAATTGTTACTATTTATTTGTGAACGTTTTAAAATTGTTTAACTTGAACAATTTAAAATTGGTTACTTCTGAGCTACACTAATCCTAGCTATTTTAAACTGGCTTTCAGCAATATATATTACAGTGCATACTTGAATCATTTTTTTGGAACAGAAAATTGGATGTTAAGTAATATTTATTAAAACGCAGAATTTTTCTGTGGCAAAATATTTCTACAGTGGGCTCTGATAGAAACAGATTTTTTAAAGAAAGTAGAGGGGTTGGCACAGTTCAGTTGACAGCCAGTTGATGGACAAAGAGGAGCCTTGTCCTAGTGCTCTGTTATGTGGCTATGGATGAGTCACTTAAATTTCCTGCCTGTTTTTGTTTTTGGAAATGAAAACAATAACACTGGTTATGGATTGTTCATATTATAAAAACAGTTAAATTCTGATGTTCTGCCGAAAAATTGGTTCATCAGTCGGTTATAATTACTGTTGCTACTTGGTTCTAAGTTTTTAAGTTTTAGATTAAGATGGATTTCATGGCTTGATCCAGTCCAGCACATTTTAAATGATTTCACTTTATAGATATTAATTAGTTACCCTGGATGATGAGAAGGGGTTATCAGTATCTTGTTAACAAAAGAAGCTGTTAAATTATTCTCAAGAATATAAGGTGGACTGTATACTTATTTTTTACAAAGGGAAAAAAGGGGAATTTGTGCCATGGAAACTAAAGATCCCATTTATTTTTGTCATTATGCCAAAAAATAACAACAGTGTTTTCTCTCTGGCTTATTTAGAGTGGTAGAGCTTCTTTGACGTTTCCTATTTCTACCTCTGCTTGTATCGAGCTGTAGAACTCTTCATTTAGAATATAACATTTTCAAATATTGAAAAATTACTTTTTTTTTTGTGGGATTGCCACTAGGTGGTGGGTATAATATGTGAGGAATGATCAGCAGTAATAATAGTTCTGATAGTTTCGGGTACCTATATTTTTACATTGTTGTGCTTTTTCATTATTGTGTATATTTGAACATTTCTGTGAAACTTAGTTTCTTTTCATAATTATTTTGTTTATTTTCTTTAGAGACAGGATCTCGCTCTGTTGCCCAGGCCAATGTGTGGTGGTGTGATCATAGCTCACTGCAGCCTTGAACTCCTGGGCTCAGGTGATTCACCTGTCTTAGCCTCTCAAATGGTTGGGATTACAGGTATACACCACCATACCCAGCTAAATTTTTTTTTTTTAATTTTTTTGTAGAGACAAGATCTCGTCATGTTGACCAGGCTTGTCTTGAACTCCTGGCCCCAAGTGATCCTCCCACCTCAGTCTCCCAAAGTGTTGGGATTATATGCACGAGTCACTGTGCATAATGATTTTAAAATTTCAGAGATCTCAAAAGATGTTACTGTACCCTGGGATTAGTCCTGTTTCCCCTTAGGGAAAATATTTCCAATTTTATAATGAAAGTTAGAATACAAGTCAGTGACAACATAATCCACTTACCTGAAATGCATTTTACAGCAAACTTTTAAAGATTAAGTTACAATTCTTATATAAGACAATTATATTACTAAGGATTGAGGCTTAAAAAATGATTAAAATGGGCTGAGTGTGGTGGCTCACGCTTGTAATCCCAGCACTTTAGGAGGCCAAGGCGGGTGGATCACCTGAGGTCAGGAGTTGAGATCAGCCTGGCCAACATGGTGAAACCTTGTTTCTACTAAAAATACAAAAATTAGCCAGACATGGTGGCGGGCGCCTGTAATCCCAGCTACTTGGGAGGCTGAGGCAGGA
The DNA here is from genome assembly GCF_000001405.40 of Homo sapiens. Classification (NCBI taxonomy): domain Eukaryota; kingdom Metazoa; phylum Chordata; class Mammalia; order Primates; family Hominidae; genus Homo; species Homo sapiens. The sequence continues at coordinate 75,793,514 of NC_000006.12, forward strand.
GAATTGCTTGAATCCGGGAGGCAGAGGTTGCTGTGAGCCAAGATCGTACCACTACCCTCCAGCCTGGGCGACAGACACTTTCTCAAAAAAAAAGAAAAAAAAATTAAAATGAGAAATGTAAAATTGTCAGATTAATAAACTTTATTAAACATTCCCAAGGCAATGATGAAAATAATTAACAGTGAATTATTCTATAAAGATGTGTTTCCTTGTTAAACATTGGACTTCTTGATAAACATGGAGAATGTCTACGTACATTTATATCTTCTTTCTCTTCTGAAACATCATTAGAATGATAGTATAGGAATTAAAAAAAATTACATAGTTGGGAACATCCCTACCAAAAAGTTAGATGTGCCCAGTTACTCTAGAATGAAGTCATAGGTCTCCATGTACTTACATCGAGCTGCTGGTTAGCTACTTAGTGACTTTCTAAATATGAATGGAAAACAAGTTGAGAAAAGCCTTTCCATGAGAAAGAAAAAAGCAATAGAAGGAGAAAAGCAGCCAGAAGTAATCAGAGACAATGGAGGGAAAGTAAAAATGTGACTGTAGAAATAAAATTTTCTGTGGAAGGGTTAGAAAGTCAAGTGGAGGACATTCCCAAGACGGTGGAATAAAGGGATAAATATATAGGTAATAGAAGAGAAAAGAGGCAAGAGTAAGAGTGGCAATCTTATAGAAGGAGAACATTAAATTATAGACCTCAGAAGGCAAGAACTGAATAGGAAGACATCTAAAAAATAGAAAGAATATCAGAACATTCCTCATTGTATGATTTGTGCTTCCAGACTAAACATGTTCTTAATGTATGTAGCACAATGAATTCAAGCAACACAGAGCCATATTATCATGGAAGTTTAGGGCACCCAGGATTAAGGCAAGATCCTTCAAGCTTTCAAGTAATAGGGGTGAAATAAAAAGGGGTACGAATAATCAGGAACCTAAAAGGCATAGCAGTTCTGGATGCTAAAATATATGTTCTCAAAATCTTGAAGAAAAATGACTTTCAACCCAGAACTCAATTATATGTGTGTGTTCAATCAGTAATTTAAGTATGAAGGTAGAACAAAGACCCTATTGAGCATGAAAGGACTCAAATACGTACCTAGGAGCGAGCAGTGAAGGGAAGCCCCAGAATAATAGCTGGCAGTAGTTTCAGAGAGCAGCCAAACAAGGGAAGGAGGGGTGGGAGGCACTGTTGTTGGTTATATAAGCAAAAAAAATAAAAAAAATAAAAAAAAAAATAAAATGTGCTCTTTTATCACCTAATAAGAAAATTAATATAAAATGCGTCTTTGTGAATCACTGTTAATATTGAATGGACCTTGTGAGAAGATTGTAATTAATACTACTTCATTGTGAACAACTAAACTGAAGAAAAAAAGGCTTAAGCCTTCAATGCAAAGAAATTCATCCTTCATGAAGAATTCTCAGTAGTTCTAATGGATTCTATTCCAGGATGGTAATTCTTGTGAAGTGAGACCAAATTGTAGCTGAGTTGAATTTTAATTGTTGAATAATCACTGTGTAATTAATTCCAGAGAATGACTGAGATTATGAAATAGTAACTGAGTACTTGAACTACTCTGAAACTTTAGATTTATCTGACCTTAATGCCTACGGACTTAAAGTTGTTAGTGTAAAGACTCGAGAATGAATTTTGGTGTAGGCGGAAGGCAGCAGCTTTAAAAGAAATCATCCTATGTTGGTGGTTAGGAGTCAAGGCAAAATGCCTGCAGCACCGTAGAGGAGAGGGTTTTTATTGTGAGATCTACTTTAAAAAAAACCAAAAGTTTGCTTACTTTTAACTCCGGGGAAACTGAAGCTTTTTAACCCATAAATAACATTCCTTTGAGATATTGCCATGCTTTATGAGCTGGGAAGGTGTATGGAGCTTTGGATCATATAATCAGTATGATCGATTATTTTTGTTTATGAAAAGTTAACTGTTTGAGTAACTTTTTAAGTGCCTTGACAAAACCATTATGGTTTTATCAGGTTTTATAGAGGATCTCAGTAATGCATAAATTGTGTCTGTCTCAAGTCTTTGTCTGAAAATTAAAAAATCCAGGCATACTATTCCACTGGGAGACATTCCCATTATAATGTTTGATTTATTGGCTACTTAGCAGAATTTTATAGAAATCTACTTTAAAAGAAACCTGACTCCCACCTAAACTTTGCCAACTGTTTGGATAAACTTTGTATTTTTATCCATGTTTTGAGAATCTGTTATATTACTGTATTTCTTTAATTTTACTAATCCGGCACATTTGTGCAAAATGTTAAATTGGAGGGCAAGTGATGAATAGATCTGATTTGAGGGTATTTACATTCCAACAGATTGGAACAGTCAGAAAAATCTAGTTGCTGAGTAATAGCATTATTAAAAGATGATTGCTCTACTGAATTTGCTTTTTAATGGGTTTATGACACAAAGTCCCATAAGATCTATGGATACTCAACAATCTGTATACATAAAGAATTAAATCTCTCATAGGTATGAAGTTTTCTTTTAATTTTATTTGAAATACCCAGTCAGTTATTAAATTACTTAATTCCTTGTTTATGAATTCACTAATTATTTGCTATTATCTGGTGCCCTGCTTTTGGTGCTTTTTTCCCACATCATATTAGATTATTGCCTACCATTCTGTTCTACCAGAGACCTTTCTAATATGGTCAGTGACCTTTCTAATATGCATATCTAATTAGGTGACCCTCAGTTGTCTGTAGAATAGAGTTAAGGCTGTTTACACCTTGGCATAGATCTGCCTTTATCTGTCAGGCTTTGTCTTCCACCATACTTTTTTCCCCCTTCTTCCTCTCAGTACACCCTCCAGTCTTACTAAGTAACATTTATGTCCAGTATTTCAGCTTTTAATTTCACATCTTTGAGTTTTTTTTTGAAAATTATAATTTCACCTTTTATTTTAGATACAGGGGTACATGTACAGGTTTGTTACATGGGTATACTGTGTGCTACTGAGGTTTAGGGTATAGATGATTTCATCACTCAGGTGGTGAGGACAGTACCCAATAGGTAGTTTTTTAGCCCTTTCCCCCTCCTTCTCTGCCCCCTCTAGTAGTCCCCAATGTCTATGACTCCCATCTTTTTTTTTTTTTTTTTTAATTGAGACGAAGTCTCACTATATTGCCCATGCTGGTCTTGAACTCCTGAACTCAAGCAGTCCTCTTGCCTTGGCCTCTCAGAGTGCTGGAATTACAGGCATGAGCCACCACACCTGGCATTGGCTCCCATCTTTATGTCCATGTGTACTCAGTGTTTAGTTCCCACTTGTAAGTGTGAACATATTGTATTTGGTTTTCTGTTCCTGTGTTAATTTCACTTGGGATAATGGCCTCCAGCTGCCTCCATGTTGCTGCAAAGGGCATTATTTCATTCTTTTTAATGGCTGCATAGTATTCCATGGTGTATGTGTACTATATTTTCTTTATCCAGTCCATTGTTTATGGACACCGAGGTTGATTCCATGTCTGTTGTGAATAGTGCTGTGATGAACATACAAGGGCATGTGTCTTTTCTTTTTCTGTGTGTGTATTTATTTATTTATTTAATTTTATTTTTTTGAGACAGAGTCTTGCTCTGTCACCCAGGCTGGAGAGCGGTGGCACAATGTCGGCTCACTTCAACCTCCACTTCCTGGGGTCAAGCGCTTCTCCTGCGTCAGCCTCCTGAGTAGCCGGGATTACAGGCATGCACCACCATGCTTGGCTAATTTCATTTGTATTTTTAGTAGAGACGGGGTTTCTTCATGTTGGTCAGGCTGATCTCGAACTCCCGACCTCAAGTGATCCACCCGCCTTGGCCTCCCAGAGTGCTGGGATTACAGGCGTGAGCCACTGCGTCCAGTGTGTGTATTTATTTTTAAGCAGGCATATTATGTTCAAAGAATGCATGTGTCTTTTTGGTAGAACGATTTATTTTCCTTTGGGTATATACCCAGTCATGTAATTGCTGGGTCAGATGGTAGCTCTGTTATATGTATTTTTTTTTAGTTTTTATTTTTTTTTGAGACTAAGTCTCACTCTGTTGCCCAGGTTGGAGTGCAGTGGCATGATCTTGGCTCAGTGCAACCTCCACCTTCTGGGCTCAAGCCATTCTCCTGCCTTAGATACCCGAGTAGCTGGGATTACAGGTGCCTGCCACCACGCCTGTCTAATTTTTGGATTTTTAGTAGGGACGAGGTTTCACCATGTTAGCCAGGCTGGTCTCAAACTCCTGACCTCAAGTGATCTGCCTGCCTCAGCTTTCCAAAATGCTGGGATTATAGGTGTGAGCCACTGTACCTGGCTGGTAACTCTGTTTTAAGTTTAGAAATCTCCAAACTGCTTTCCATAGTGGTTGAATTAATTTACATTCCAACCAACAGTATATAAGCATTCTCTTTTCTCTGCAGGCTTGCCAGCCTCTGTTGTTTTTTTACTTTTTATTAAAAGCCATTTAATTAGGTCCCACTTGTCAGTTTTTGTTTTTGTTGCAGTTGCTTTTGGGGACGGAGCCAAAAATTCTTAGCCAAGGCCAGTGTCAAGAAAGGTATTTCCTAGGTTTTCTTCTAGATTTTTATAGTTTGAGGTCTTATATTTGAATCTTTATAATCCATCTTGAGTTGATTTTTATATATGGTGAAAGGTAGGGGTCCAGTTTCATTCTTCTGCATATGGCTAGCCAGTTATCCCAGCACCATTTATTGAATAGAGAGTCCTTTTCCTATTGCTTGTTTTTGTTGACTTTGTCAAAAATCAGATGGTTGTAGGTGTGGGGCTTTATTTCTCTGTTCTCTATTCTGTCCCATTGGTCTGTCTGTTTTTGTACCAATACCATGCTGTTTTGGTTACTGTAGCCTTCCGTATAGTTTGAAGTCGGGTAGTGTGAATATACTGTGATCTAATAGGCTTTTATTCCTGGGATGTAAGGGTGGTTCAACATATGCAAATCAATAAATGTGATTCACCACATTGACAAAATTAAAAGCAAAAATCATTGGATCATCTCAATAGAGGCAGAAAAAGCTTTCTGTAAAATCCAGCATCCCTTCATAATAAAAACCTTCAACAGACTAGGCATCAAAGGAACATAACTGAAAATAATGAGTTGTCTATGATAAACCCATAGCCAACATTGGACTGAACAGGCAAAAGCTGAAACTATTCTCCTTGAGAACAGGAGCAAGACAAGAATGCTTACTCACACCACTCTTATTCTGGAAGTCCTAGCCAGAGCAGTCAGGCAAGAGAATAAATAAAAGGTATTCAAATAGGAAAAAAGAAGTCAAACTGTCTATCTTTGCTGATGATACATTCTATATGTGGAAAACCCTGAAGTTTCTCCCAAAGACTCCAAGAACTGATAAATGACTTCAGTAATGTTTCAGGACACAAAATAAATGTGCAAAAATAAGTAGTATTTCTAAACAGCAGTGACGTTCAAGCTGAAAGTCAAATCAAGAACACAATCCCGTTTACAACAGCCACATAGACAAAACGAAATACTTAAAAATATAGCTAACCAAGGAGGTGAAAGACCTCTACAAGGAGAACCACAAAACACTTCTGAAAGAAATCAGAAAACCAGGCGCGGTGGCTCATGTCTGTAATCCCAGCACTTTGGGAGGCCAAGGCGGGTGGATCACCGGAGGTCAGGAGTTCCGAGACCAGCCTGGCCAACATGGTGAAACCCCATCTCTACTAAAAATACAAAAACTAGCCAGGTGTGGTGGCAGGCCCCTGTAATCCCAGCTACTAGGGAGGCTGAGGCAGGAGAATTGCTTGAACCCAGGAGGTGGAGGTTGCAGTGATTCGCGATCTTGCCATTGCCTTCCACCCCGGACGACAAGAGCAAAACTCTGTCTAAAAAAAAAAAAAAAAAGTATTTTACTTTGGTCCTTGATTTATGTGACACACCTAGGTTAAGGAAGAACAAACATGTTTGTAGGCAAGAGAGTCTCATTTTTGTAATTCATCATCAACTTTTGAAATGTTAAAATTAATATTTAAAAAGTATTAGCTCTAGCGAGTCAATAAGGCAAGCAAATATATAGACTTGTTTGTAAAGCAAGAAAATATTTACTTTCTTTTTTTCCCTTTGAATTTACTTACTACAAGGTAGGGTTTGTGTGTAGCCTAGAGTTTGAACCTTCATTTCAAGGAATGAAATGAAACAAGATGGCTCTTGTTTCTTGATTTTTGCCTGTTTTTTGAGCCTAAGTTAGTGTTCTCAAATGGGGAAAAGATGAGAAGGAGAGGGTAGGTGTAGACTAACTTTACCCATGTTACAGTGCTTTGGGATAGAAGCATAGCACTGCTTCTCTGAGTATTTCCTGCTTCCCCCCAGGCATTTGAGTACCTGGGATATTATCACTTTAGTTATTCCCCTTCCCCCAATAATTAATTCCAATTCTTTTAATGGCAGTGGTGGTAACTTTAAGACTTTAGGAGTTTCTAGGATCTTATTTCTATGTGTGGTTTAGTTTTTTATTTAGAAAGAATGTGCTTTTCTTTTTTGTTTAGGATGAAAAATACTAATTTTTTTTCTGGTGCTATGCCTGACACATATTGGGAATTCAATAAATGTTTGTAGAATGCATTTGTAATAATTTCACTTCATGGTTCAACCCCCCTCCAGACTCTACTCTCCCCAAACAGTCCCGTAATAAGAGTGAGCCCTTACTTTCACGAAAGAAAATTCAAAATTGGTATGCGGCTGAACAAAGGTAAGTGAGTCAACATAATCACTCAGAAGCACCATACAGTGTGTTTCCCAACACAATTAAGAGGAGACAGGACCTGGGAGCTGCCGAGAAGTACAGAGGCTTCCATCTCAAGGGCCTTCAGTTACAAGTGGATGTCCTTAATGTATTTTCAGTATTTCACAAAGCCTGATGGAGGGTTTATATTTGCTATGATTAAGCTGAAGTAGGCTAAGGTGTCAGATTTCTTACTGGAGTAATACCCAGCCTGGGTGACAGAGTGAGACCCTGTCTCAAAAAAAGAAAAAGAAATTGTCATTTAATAAGAAGAGGATCACTATGAACGAAACAAATTTAAACGGGGAGCTAGGAGGTCAGTTTAGGATATGAAAAGTTTGAGATGGCTGTTGATTTCCTAAGTAGTGATATTGAATAGGCTATGTGCTCTAGATGTCTGGAGTTAGGAGAGAGGTATAAGTTGGAGATAGAAAATGGGGCATTACTATTTTTTTGAGACAGGGTCTCACTCCATTACCCAGGCTGGAGTGCAGTGGCACAATCTTGACTCACTACAATCTCCATCCCCCAGGTTCAAGCAGTTCTCGTGTGTCAGCCACCTGAATAGCCGGAATTACAGGTGCATGCCACCACACCCGGCTAATTTTTGTATTTTTAGTAGAGATGGGATTTCCCCATGTTGGCCAGGCTGGTCTTGAACTCCTGAGCTCAAGTTATCCACCTGCCTCTGCCTTCTGAAGTGCTGGCATTACAGGTGTGTGAGCCACCGTGCCTGGCCACATGGGGCGTTATTAGCATATTAATAACATTGATGCCATGATTAGCCATATGGATAATGTTTAAAGCCGTAAGACTAGATGTATTACTTTGTTTTCACACTTTATAAAGAACTTCCCTGAGACTGGGTCATTTATAAAGGAAAGAGGTTTAATTGACTCACAGTTTTGTATGGCTGGGGAGGTGTCAGGAAATTTACAATCATGGCAGAAAGTGAAGGGGAAGCAAGCACCTTCTTCACAAGGTGCTTCACAGAAAAGAGGAGGGAGAAAGAGAAGAGCGGGGAGAGGAGGGAAAGAGAGGGACGAGAGGAGAGGAGGAGGAGGGAGGAGAGGAGAGGAGGGGTGGTTGTTCTTGCATGGCTTAAGAAGGAATAGGATCTGGTGGGTGAGTAGCGACTGGTTTTAGATAGGAGTAAGAATAATTTGGACTTAGTAACAGAATGAAAGGAAGACTGTATGGGCACAGATGCAGCTTGATATGTAGAGGTGGTGGTGAGAGCTTAATTTTTTTTTTTATGAGAAAACTTGCATTTGCATTTTCAGAGATAGTTTAGTAGAATACTGTCTTCAAAGCATGTTGTGGAGTGGAGTTGAAAGTTAAAGTGGCCCTTGGAAATCTGAAAAAATAATTTGAGGGCTGGGCACAGTGGCTCATGCCTGTAATCCCAGCACTTTGGGAGGCCAAGGCGGGTGGATCACCTGAGGTCATGACCTCAAGACCAGCCTGGCCAACCTGGTGAAACCCCGTCTCTACTAAAAATACAAAAATTAGCTGGGTGTGGTGGCAGGCGCCTGTAATCCCAGCTACTCAGGAGGCTGAGGCAGGAGAATCACTTGAACCTGGAAGGTGGAGGTTGCAGTGAGCTGAGATCACGCCATTGTACTCCAGCCTGGGCGACAGAGCAAGACTTCATCTCAAAAAAAAAAAAATGTGATTCTCATCTTATAGAATATCTGAATATACTTATTGCATAATTTGTATGTCAATTAAGAAAGAATAATATATTTTATAATTGATTCAAGAAATGAAAAATTTCAGTGAAAATTTCCAATTCTTTTGATTGTCTCTCTGATTCTCAGGGAGTCATTTAAATGCAATACTAAGCGGAAGACAAAATTAACTCCCTGTAAAAAGCATGTTTACCTTTTAAAAATATTTCTTTGGCTGGGCATGGTGGCTCGTGCCTGTAATCCCAGCATTTTGGGAGGCCGAGGTAGGCGGATCATCTGAGGTCAGGAGTTTCAGTCCAGCCTGGCCAACATGGTGAAATCCTGTCTCTACTAAAAATACAAAAATTAGCTGGGCGTGGTAGCGCGTGCCTGTAATCCCAGCTACTTGGGAGGCTGAATCAGGAGAATTGCTTGAACCCGGGAGGTGAAGGTTGCAGTGACCCGAGACTGCGCCACTGGACTCTAGTCTGGGTGACAGAGCGAGACTCAGTATCAAAAAAAAAAATTTTTTTTTTTTTTTTTTTAATGAGACTGAGTCTCGCTCTGTCACCCAGGCTGGAGTGTAGTGGCATGATCATGACTCACTAGCCTCAACATCCCAGGCTGAAGTGATCCTTCCACTTCAGCCTCCCACCACGCCAGCTGGGACCACAGGCATGCACCACTTCACCCAGCTAGTTTTTGTATTTTTTGTAGAGACAGGGATCTCACTTTGTTGCCCAGGCTGGTCTTGAACTCTTGGGCTCAAGCAATCTCTCCAGCTTGGCCTCTCAAAGTTCTGGGATTACAGGCATGAGCCACTGCACCTGGTGGAAAAATCTCTTAAACCTAGCACAAATTACAGAACTAGGTAACTTCTGGGTGTATCATTGGATAATAAACAAGATTAGTCACAGCATATGGAATATTTAAATCACCTGGGATGAATATCTTGCTATTATATTCTGATACTTTAATATCTGTGAAAGAAATTTTGACTAGGTAAACTGGGATGTTTAGTCTCTTAAAAATACAGGGCTTTTTCTGAAAAAGTCTACTTTTTGTCCATATTATTGTAATAACGATTGCATATATTATATGAATTATGTCTAAATCCAAATCTGTCTTGTGATGGTAATTTACGCAGGTGTTTATATTTGAAATATAGTTTATGATTTCTTCTCTGAAAATCTGTAAGAAAATCATATAATCAGTTCTCACAATTCAGATTGTATTGTATTTATAGTAATTTTCCTGGTATCAGTTCCAAATCACGTATTTTAAAATATTTCATAGTAAGCTTATTAATGACATACTTGCTTTTTTTTTTATCCCCTTTTTTTGTTAGCACATCAATCTTAACTATACCAGTTAAGTTAGTGGTGGTGTTCACTGTTTTAAGAATCAAGTGATAGCAGACTTAGCTTTAAGCATTGATTGCTACATTGGAGTTTCCTAGGTTATACTTGGAAGTCACTTTGTGAAAAGGTCATACATCAGGACCAGGGCCATAATCAACTAGACTTTCAGAAGGGGTGTCATAGCTGGAATGGACATTTGTCTTATTTTGAGAAACAGTTGATCTGCGTATTTTGTCATCAGTATCTCAGCCTAAAGCAGTGCCTGGTACTTAGCAGGTGCTCAGTAAATATTCATTGAAAAAAAAATCAAAATTACTTCTTAATTAAATTGTGGTAGTTAATTTTTAGATATTGTTAATGTTCAGATATTTTCTTCTTTGTCCCGAGTTTGGACTTAGTGATGGGTCTTTTCTTTCCATTGTTAATAAAAGTTTATTGCTGATAAAACCAAGATATTCACAATAAGTTCAGTACTTATGTTCAATTAATACTATATCATAGCAATAAAAAACCCAAATTTTGTACAACTAGCTGAAGATTAACTTGGATATATTTTCTAGGGAGGCTTTTTCTTTTTGTTTTTTGTTTTTGATTTGTGACACAGGATCTTGCTCTGTCACCCAGGCTGGAGTACAGTGGCACGATCATGGCTCACTGCAGCCTTGGCCACCTGAGCTGAAGCTATTCTTCCGCCTCAGCCTCTTAAGTAGCTGTGACTGCAGGTGTGTACTGACATGCCTGACTAATGTTCATGCTTTTGGTGGAGACAAGGTCCCACTATGTTGCCCAGAGTGGCTTTGAACTCTTGGACTCAAGTAATCCTCCTGCCTTGGGCCTTTTCAAGGTAATTTACTGACTAAAGGGAACCCTGCTGAAATGTTTTTGAGAATGATTCAATTCCTGAACTTTGGTTCGGGAACCGAAATGCTTGATAAAAGATTGTGCTAGGTGCACACAAAACTTACTAGCCACAGCCAACTGTTAACCTTGTGCCCCATTTTCTCACAGTATCTGGATACCAGGGAAGCTAATAGCCTTAGGATACACTGATAGAGGTGAGAGGAGTTGCCGGTTTAAAACTTGTATGCCAAAGGTGCACATAACATTGTTTTGAGCAGCAAGGCCAGGGCTTGGCCAGATGAAAGAGTAATCTTTTTAAAGGCAAACTTGATAGATCTACCCCACCCCTTCATACTCCCCTCCACTGGAATTTAAGATCCCTGAGGGCAGGGATTTTGCCAATTCTGTTTACTCTTCTATTCTAACTGATTGTTTTCCTATTAGCTAGAAGGCTCCCTGAGGCCAGATACCTTGTCTCTTTTTGCTCACCTTTATACCCCCAACACCTGGCAGTATGTGGTACATGGTAGGTGGCTAAATAAATAATAGTTAACAGAATAAATGACTCCGTAAGGCAGTCTTGGAAGGATTCTGTTTGCCATATGCTTTCTCCTTTTTGGTGTCTTATTCTAGCACTTACAGCCAAAACCCAAATTACTTTTAGTTGGTACTTAATGTCTAATACCCTAACATATATATACACATATATATGCGCATATATATATACACACACACACATATATATACATATATACACACATATATAATATATACACATATATACATATATACACATATGTACACATATATACACATATATACACACACATATATATATACACACACACATATATATATATATATATATTTTTTTTTTTTTTTTTTTTGAGACAGAGTCTCACTCTGTCAACCCAGGCTGGAGTGCAGTGGCATGATCTTAGCTCACTGCAACCTCTGCCTCGTTGGTTCAAGTGATTCTCGTGCCTCAGCCTCCCAAGTAGCTGGGATTACAGGTGCAGCTAGAATGCCTGGCTAATTTTTGTATTTTTAGGAGCAATGGGGTTTCACCGTGTTAGCCAGGCTGGTCTCGAACTCCTGCCTCGGCCTCCCAAAGTGTTGGGATTACAGGTGCGAGCCACAGTGCCCGGCCTTAACCTAACTATATTTCTAAAAGGGTAACTTTTGAAAATAATGGTGACATGGCAGGCAACAGCTCATGTTTTGTGATATGAATCTGCCTATTCTGCCTGTAGTATTTAATACATAGATGTTATTGGAGTTATCATTGGAGATGCAGATAAAAGAGAATATAGTGGTGTATGTTTTTGTTACTCTTGCCTGCAATAAGTTTGCTCCCCAGGGAGCCTCCTGGTGATATACTTTTAACCTTTTGACACAGAAGAAATGAAAAATTAGTGTAGTAGCTTTGAAAAGCCACGATTGCCTTCTGTGGATTACATGGTGCTTCTGTGGATTACTTCTACACATTACTATAGTGTTTGCATTAAAAATACATTATCAATTGTCAATTAAGTACTAAAAGTAAGATAATTTTCAGTTGATGATGGGGAATTATCTCTCTTAGAATAACTAAGAATTTCCAAGATTTAAAATTTCCTTAACCCCAATAATTCTTATTATTTTTTTCTTTTAGTATTTGTGCAAAGTATATGTAGTTAGAAAGTTAGAATGTGTTTAAGACTTCTAGTACAATAGCACTGGGAATTGAGACTGTCTTAAAAATTTCCCTTATAGTGAGTGAGTATCTTTTTAAGTACTCTTCATATGCAAACATGTTTAGTTAGAATGAATATTGACCACATGGATTTTCTGAAAGATTTTTCTGGGAACAGATATTAACATATCTGAAAGAATTTTGTCATCTTTGGTGGGGTGAATAAATCAGACTTCATTAATGAAGGATAATTTGTATTTAAATATTTAGGATTCCAAAAACAATTAAATGAAGACATTAAAAAAAGAGGTTTATTCTAGTGAAAACCTTGCACTAGATACAAAGTAATACTTAATTTAAGCCTGGGCAACATGGCAAAACCTCTTCTCTACTAAAAATACAAAAAAATTAGCTGGATGTGGTGGCACATGCTTGTAGTTCCCAGCCATTTGTGAGGCTGAGGCATGAGAATTGCTTGAACCTGGGAGGCAGAGGTTGCAGTGAGCTGAGATCATGCCACTGCACTCCAGCCTGGGCAACAGAGCAAGACTCTGTCTCAAAAAAAAAAAAAAAATTAATAGAAGGGGGAAGTGAGTGTCCATGGCTTCTTCCAGGCAGAAGTACATCATTATCACATAGAATAAGACATGTTCAGATTGTTGGGAACAAGCGCCCCAAAATCTGGCCATAAACTGGCACCAAAACTGGCCATAAACAAAATCTCTGCAGCACTGTGACATGTTCATGATGGCCATAACGCCCATGCTGGAAGGTTGTGGGTTTACTGGAATGAGGGCAAGGAACACCTGGCCCGCCCAGGGCGGAAAACTGCTTAAAGACATTCTTAAGCCACAAACAATAGCATGAGTGAGCTGTGCCTTAAGGACATGTTCCTGCTGCAGATAACTAGCCAGACCCACCCCTTTATTTAGGCCCATCCTATACTTTTAGTTAATCTAATGTCTGTAGAAACAATGCTAATGACTGGCTTGCTGTTAATAAATACGTGGGTAAATGTCTGTTCGGGGCTCTCAGCTCTGAAGGCTGTGAGACCCTTGATTTCCCACTTCACACCTCTATATTTCTGTGTGTGTGTGTGTCTTTAATTCCTCTAGTGCCACTGGGTTAGGGTCTCCTGACAGAGCTGGTCTCAGCACAGATAAAAAACTGAACTGGGCCACAGTCATTTGGGCAGTGACTGTCTTTGATGACAGTGCTCAGCGTGGCTGTCTCTTGGATCATATTGTTCCAATCTGGACTGGGAGTTTGCCTCTGTATAGAGTTCTAGGTTAGAATTAATTTTCCTCCAGAATTTTAAAAACATTGTTTTATTTACTTACTGCTTTGAGTGTTGTTGAAGCCATTGTGATTAATGATCCTTAGAAGGACCTGTTCTTTTTTCTTCTTTTCTCACTAATCTCTCTGGAAATATGTAGCACATTTTATTTATTTCTGGTGTTCTGAAATTTGACAGTGGTGTCTCTGTGTGTCTGTTTTCTAGTACACTGTTGAGGACTCCATGGAAATTTTGACTAGACTCTAGAAAATCATGTCTTTTGGTTCTGGTATATTTTCTTTGGATATTTCAAAGCCTTCTTCCTCTCTCTTTGGGGAGTGGGCATGTGGAGGGATTTTTTTTTCCTGGTATTTTGATGCTGGATTATTTTTACTAGTCTCATATTCACATTTTATTTTCCTTTTTATCTTTTCCCCCTATTTTCTATTGTTACAGGAAAGGGGTCCTGATCCAGACCCCAAGAGAGAGGGTTCTTGGATCTCACACAAGAAAGAATTTCAGACGAGTCCATAAAGTGAAAGGAAGTTTATTTAGAAAGTAAAGGAATAAAGAATAGCTCCTCCACAGACAGAGCAGCCCCAAAGGCTGCTGGCTGCCCATTTTTATGTTTATTTCTTGATTATACTACCAGAGATCTCTCTTGTTGCCATCTTGGTTTTGATGGGTTTTAGCCAGCTTCTTTACTGCAGCCCGTTTTATCAGCAGGGTCTTTATGACCTGTGTCTTCTGCTGACCTCCTCTCTCATCCTGTGACTTAGAATGCCTTAAATGTCTACAAACCAGTAGGTTTTAGCCTTATTTTACCCACCTCCTATTCAAGATGGAGTTGCTCTGGTTCACATGCCTCTGACGCTCTTCCATTTTATCTTAACTCTGAAAGGTTGCCTCGTCTTTATCTTCTATAGCTTCTAGTGAATATTTCATTTCTATTATTATGTTGTTAAAGAAAAATTATTCTAACACTTGTTAAAACAGCAAGGAATACTTTATTCAAGGACTCTTGTGGTAGGGGTGGTATTAGTCTGCTAGAAGTGTAGACTGCTCAGGCTGCCGTAATAAAATACCACAAACGTTTGTATTCTGACACAGAAATTTAGTTTTTTCACAGTTTTGTAACCTGGATATCTGACGTCAGTGTGTCACCGTGGTTGGGTTCTGATAAGAGCACTTTTCCTGGCTTATAGATGGCAGCCTTTTCTCTGTGTGTTCCCTTGGCCTTTCCATGGTGCATGTACTCGGACAGAGATCTATTTCTCTCTCTTCCTCTTATTATATGGCCACCAATCCTATCTGATTAGAACCCTACCCTTCTGACCTCATTTAATCTTAATTACCTCCTGAAAGCCCTGTCTCCAAATACAGAGACATTGAGGGTTAAGGCTTAAACATATGAATTTGGGGGGAACAAAATTCAGTCCATAGCAGTACTTTCAGTTCATATGAAGGGGTATTGCAGTAGGTGGGAGAGATGGGCCTCAACTCCTGAATATGGCAGAGACAGCTGGGGATTGTGAACCCAGAATATCTAAGACAGGTCTCAACCAATTTAGAAAGTTTATTTTGAAACCAATTTAGAAAGGTTAAGGATGCACCTGTGACTCAGCCACAGGAGGTTCTGAGGACATGTACCCAAGGTGGTCAGGGCACAACTTGGTTTTATATGTTTTAGGTAGACATGAGACATCAATTAATTTCTGTAAGATGTACATTAGTTTCATCTGGAAAGGTGGGTAAACTCAAGGCAGGGGGAGGGGACTTCCAAATCATAGGTAGATAAGAGACAAACTATTGCATTCTTTTGAGTCTCTGATTAGCCTTTCACAGAATACACAATTTACAGGTGAGAGGAGGGTAGAGGAAATAATCTTATGCCCTAGTCTGGCTTAGTGAAACAATATGGCAGAAGAAGCAATGAGATATGCGTTTGTCTCACATGAGCCTCAGCGAGATGACTGAGTTCTGGCTGTCCTTCATCCACAAGGAATTTCCATGTGGGCAAATTGTGAGGGAGGCATGTAACTTTTTAAAAAATGTTTGTAGCTATCTTGTTTAGGAATAAAATGGGAGGCAGGCCTGCCTGACATAGTCCCCAGCTTGACTTTTTCCTTGGCTTAGTGATGTTGGGGTTCCGAGATTTTTTTCCTTTCACAGGATTTACAGCCAAGGAACAGAGCGAGTGGATCAGTGGATGGAAAATTATTCATGGAGACATCAAGGGCATGGAAAGTCTTGCCATACTGACTTAACAGGATTTTTGCTGAAGGCAGGTCAAGGACTTAGAGTGTTAATGGAAAAAGCAAACTGTAAAATATTTAAAGAGGTTTATTCAGAGCCAATATGAACGACTATGGCCCGATGAACAGTCTCAAGAAGTCCTGAGAAAGTGTGTGTGAGGTGGTTGGGTTATAATTTGGTTTTATACATTTTAGGAAGGCAGGAATTACAGGCGAAGACATAATACGTGGAAGGTATATATTGATTCTGTCTCTGCCTGAAAACTGGGAAATCTCGAAGTGGGGGGGTGGTGGAATGGGGAGCTTATGGGTCATAGGTGGATTCAAAGATTTTCTGATTGGCCGTTGAAAGAGTTAAGCTTTGTCTAAAGACTGGAAGTCAGTAGAAAGAAATGCTCGAGGTAAGATAAGGGGGATGTCAGCCCGGCGTGCTGGCTGAGGCTTGTAATCCCAGCACTTTGGGAGGCCGAGCCAGGTGGATCACTTGAGGTCAGGAGTTCAAGACCAGTCTGGCTAACATGATGAAACCTTGTCTCTGCTAAAAAAAAAAAAAAAACAAAAAAAAAAGCAAAAATTAGCTGGGCGTTGTGGCAGGTGCCTGTAGTCCTAGCTCCTGTAGAGGCTGAGGCAGGAGAATTGCTTGAACCCTGGAGGCGGAGGTTTCAGTGAGCCCAGATTGCCCCATTGCCCTCCAGCTTGGGCAACAAAGTGAGACTCTGTCTCAAAAAAAAAAAAAAAAAAAGATCCATAGATGTTGAGGTTCTTGTTATGTAGAGAAGCTTCATAGGTAGCAGGCTACAGAGAGAATGATGGTAAATGTCTCTTTTCAGACCTTAAAAGATGTCAGACTTAGGTAATCTCGCCCAGATCCATCCTGGAAATGCCTGGCTGCATTAATTACTATGAAATTCTCTACAGATGCAAATTTCCTCCACAAAAGACAGCTTTGCAGGGCCATTTCAAAATATGTCAAAGAAATATATTGTGGAGTAAAATATTTGATTCTCTTCAGGGTCTGATATCTGGCATGTGATGCTGTACCAGAGTCAGGTTGAAATGTGTCTTATTGCTGCAAAGAATCTGTTTTGTCAGTCTTATGATCTCTATTTTAATGTTATTATTTGTCAGTTGTGCCTAAATTCCAAAAGGGAGGGGGGTATAATGAGGCATGTCTGACCTCCCTTCCTGTCTTGGCTGGGAATTCAGTTTTTCAAGTTCCTCTGGGTTTCCCCCATCCAAGAGGGATCCCCATTCAGTTGGTTAGGGGCTTAGGATTTTATTTTTGGTTTATGACATGAAAGGTGGGGGATGGGAACTGGATCAAGTATCAGGGGTCGGGGAGTCTATCTAAATTGATTTAGCAGGATTCTTGCTAAAACTGGGCTGTGCAGGCCTGTCAAGAGATAGAACGGAGTTAAGGCCAAGGTTGAGGCCTAGCCTAGTTGAGGAGAGGCCTCAGAGGAGCCTAATTAAAGTTGGTTGGTCAAGGAGAGAGTCTTGGCCAGGTGCAGTGGCTTATGCCTGTAATCCCGGTTACTCAGAAGGCTGAGGTGGGAGGATTGCCTGAGCCCAGGAGTTCGAGGCTGCAGTGACCTATGATTGTGCCATTGCACTCCAGCCTGGGTGAAAAAGTGAGACCCTATCTCCTAAGCAGTTTTGTTTTTTTTTTGGCATACCCATAATTGTTTTTGGTGTTTCTCATTCCAGAGTCTTCTCCAGAGAACAGGTTCTAGACTTCTCTTGGTGGGGGTGGTGGGGATTGGGGTAGGGGGGCAGTTTTTCCATCAATATGGAGTTTGTGTGGTTGGTGTGAGGAAATCTCTCTCAGAAAACTTTCACCTAGTTTTCCTTATTTTAGATTTCTTTTCACCCTTGTTCTGGAACCTTGTACTGAATTTCTTGTATCTTTTGAGGATTCTGTAGTATAATTTGGGTTGGTTTTCATATTTTCGAATTCATGCCTTGAAATTCAGCTCTCTTGTGGTTGCTGTTGGTTGCCTCTCAACCATTTGCTTTCCAAATTAGAAAATGCTTCTGTTTTCTCCTTTTTGCTTCTCTCCATCCTCATGGGCTGATGTGTTTGTAAAGAATCCCTGTACTGTAGATAAAGGGCTTTGATGAAGGAGCAATGTTAGCTGTGTGTGTGCCTTTAAATTTGTTACCTTAACTGGGAAGTCATAGTTAACAGTTGAAAATAGGAAAGTAGTTCGAAGTTTAATTTGCCATTCTTTTTTGGACTTTGGGAGTTTTGCTTTGCTGTGATTTTTCTTTTCTTTTTTTTCACTGTCACAAATTTTACACACAGTGATTTCAGGTAATTTTTCCTAAATGATCCCTCCTGTCTATTCTGTAATTTCTGTTTGTATTTAAAATTACCACAACTATTGTCTTGAAACTGACTGGTGGCTTCAAACAAGGGATATAGTGGGGAAGGAAAAGAGAAAGGGGGAGGGGTATGCCTAGTATCTTTTGGGTGCCAGTAGAACAGTGATCTCAGTTTTATGTCACTTAATCCTCACAGCAGTTCTGAAAGGTAAGTGATATCCCACCATATGGATAAGGACAAAGATAAAAATCGAAGAGGTTAAATAACTTACTTAAGAGCTTGTTAGAAAGTGGTGGAGCTGAGTTTCAAGCCTAGGTTTTTTTTTCTGTTTTTTGTTTTTTGTTTTTCCAGAGACAAGGTCTTACTCTGTCTCCCAGGCTGGAGTGCAGTGGCACAATGATAGCTTACTGCAACTTTGAACTCCTGGATTCAAGTCATCCTCCTGCCTCAGCCTCCTGAGTAGCCAGAACTACAGGGCTATGCCATCATTCCTGGCTAATGTTTAAAATTTTTGATTTTTGTAGAGGTGGAGTCTTGCTGTGTTGTTCAGGCTGGTCTTGAGCTCCTAGGATCAAGTGATCCTCCCACTTCGGCTTCTCAAAGTGCTTTTTTTAAAAATTAAATTTTTTTTGTGTGTGTTGATACATAGTAGGTGTGTATATTATGGGGTACATGAGATATTTTGATACAGGCGTACAGTGTGCCATAATCACATTGGGGTAAATGAAGTACCCAGCAACTCAAGGATTTATTCTTTCTTTGTACCACAACGATCCAAGTATACTATTTTAGTTATTTTTAAATGACAGTAAGTTACTATTGACTGTAGTCACCCTCTTGTGCTATCAAGTACTAGATTTTATTAATTCTAACTATATTTTTGTACCCATTAACCATCCCTACTCCCCACCCCACTACCTTCCCAGCCTCAGGTATCATTCTACTCCCTATCTTCATGAGTTCAATTGTTTCAGTTTTTTTTTTAGCTCCCACAGATACGTGAGAACATGTGAAGTTTTCCTTTCTTTGTCTGATGTGTTTCATTTAATGTAATGACCTCCAGTTCCATCCATGTTGTTGTAAATGACAGGATCTTTCTTTTTCATGGCTGAATAATACTCCACTGTATATATGCACCATGTTGTCTTTATCCATTCTTCTGTTCATGGGCACTTGGGTTGCTTCCAGATCTTGGCTACTGAGTATAGTGCTGCAGTAAAAATGGGAGTGCAGTTATCTCTTCAATATACTGATTCCTTTCTCTTGAGTTCCTAGCAGTGGGATTGCTGGATCATATGGTCATTATATTTTTAGTTTTTTAAGGAACCTGCAAACTGTTCTCCATAGTAGTTATATTAAATGGTTTTACAATTATAGTTTTAGAATATTCTGTGTACTTACTATTACCAGTGAGTTTTGTACCTTCAGATGATTTCTTCTTGTTCATTAAGCCCTTTTCTTTTGGATTGATGCCACCTGGGAGGCAGGGCCTGGAATCAAGAACCTTAGAAATCTATCTGCTGCTGTATTCTGAAGCTGAGCTGGCACCCAAGCCACAGATCAAGTTCTTCCCACTCTTTTCTCCTCTTTCCTCAAGCAAAGAGTCTCTCTGCATGGCCACCACCATCCCAAGCCCATGGCAAGTACAGCCTGGCTACTGCCGATGTTCACTCAAGGCCCAAGAGTTCTCCAGTCAGTTCGTGGTGGATGCTGCCAGTGCTGAATCTCCTGCTTTAGAACAGTGGGCTCCCCTTTGGCCCAGGGCACATCCAGAAATGCCATCCAAGAGTCAAGGCCGGGGATCAGGGACCCCAGGAGCCCGCTTGGTGCTCGTTAACCCACTCTGGCTGAGCTGGTACCCAGGCTGCCAGACAAAGTCCCCCTTACTCTTCCCTTTCCTTTCCTTATTCAGAGGCAGTCTCTCCCCATGGCCACCACAGCTGGGAATGTGCTGGGTCATACCTGAAGCCAGCATAGCTCTCAGTCTCACCTGTGACCCGTGGTGAGTATTGCCTGGCTACCACTGCTGACTGTTCAGGCCCCAGGGGCTCTTTAGTCAGCAGGTGATGAATTCTGCTGGGACTGGGTTCTTCCCCCCAAATCAGTGAGTTATCTTCTGCCTAGGATGTGTTTAGAAATGCCCAGGAGCTAGGGCCTGGAATGGGGGCCTCAGGACCTGCCCTGTTCTCTATTCTACTGGGACTGAATTGGTTGGTATCCAGGTTGCAAGACAAAGTCCCCTTTACCCTTCCCTCTTCGCCTCTCAAACGGAGGGAAGGAGTCTTTAATAGAGCTGTGAGTTGCACTCCTGGCCGCCCAGCTGGTGTTCTCACTAGGTCACATGCTCCCCAAACCCGGTGGCTCTGAGCCTATCATAGCACCAGGACTTGCCCAGAAAATGCAGTCCTTGTGGTCTAGACTGCTTTTCAAGTTTATTTAGGACCCCAGAACAATTTAGCCTGCAGTGGGGCTTGCTGAGATGAACTATTTGCCTCTGGCTAGGGCTTCTGTAAATGCTCTGTTTGTGATCTCTCCCTCCCACAAGCCTGTAGATTCTCTCACCATACCACCATTGCTGCTGCCAAGGGGTGGGGAGAGAGAGGGTGGTGCTGAGAGTTGAAGACTGGTTTTGCTCCCCTCTCCAGTGCCTCTTTCTTTGATGTGATGTTAAAACCAGGGACTGGTTTTAACTGGTACATTGCTCACCTGATTTTTTGTTCTTATGAAGATGCTTTTTTTGGGTGGATAGTTGTTCAATTTGGTGTTCCTGAAGGGGAAGTGATTGCTGGAGCCTTCTATTAAGCCATCTTGCTCTGTCTCCTTACCCTAAAGTGTTTTGATTACAAGTGTGAGCCACCGTTCCTGGCTGAGCGTAGGATTTGAAGATATTTCAGGATGAGCACAGTGGCTCACGCCTGTAATCCCAGCACTTTGTATGGTTGAGGCAGGTTGATTGCTTGAGCCCAGGAGTTCGAGACCTGCCTGGGCAACACAGTGAGACCCTGTATATAAAAAAATAAAAATTACAAAAATTACCTGCATGCACCTGATGGTCCCAGCTACTTGGGAGGCTGAAATAGGAGAATGTCTTGAACGTGGGAGGTCAAGGTTGCAGTGAGCCATGATTGCATCACTGTGCCACTGCACTATGGCCTGGGTGATAGAAAGACCCAGTCTCAAAAAAAAAAAAAAAAGATATTTCAATTCTTCTAAGTCTACACCTGCTTTTACTCTTCCAAAACTGTGTGAACAATTCATTCATTTACCAGTGAATATTGAGTTGCTTACTGTGTGCTGGGCCTTAGGGACACAGAGAGGAGTAGTCCAAGTCCTGATGAAACAGAAATGAAATGATTAGATTTACCTTTTGGTAGGATTACCAGTGATATGTGTGAAGTGGCACGAGTAGAAGCAGGCAGCTGAGTTAATTACAGAAGTCCTGGTAAAAGATGATGTTCATTTGAACTAAGACGGTAGAGGAGATGCAGAGAAGGAGTTGGATTTGTGATCCCTATTGGAGGTAAAGCTGACAACATTAAGGAAGTGATATGAATTTGGAAGGAGCTCAAGGGATTGGGGATGATTTCGGGTTTGATTTGAAGGAGTGCTGTTAGTGCCTTCACTGATACTAAGGAAGAGCAAGCTGGAGTGGTAGACCATGGCAATAATAACATAATAATTATGTTACACCTATTAGATACATTCATGAAGAGGTGTCCAGTAGACAAGTAAACATCTGGGAACTCAGTGGAGGTTTCGGCTAGAGCAACAACTTTGAGCATCACTCATACATAAATGGTATTTAAAGCCATGGGACTAGATATGATTAGGGAAAGAGTATAGATGTATGTGTGGTAATATAAGTCTGAAGTAGTGGTATTGATTCACTTCTATGAAGACTCTTCATCTAATTTGTCAACTTGGAATTGTACATAAACCTGATAGCGTTTGCTGGATAGGGAAAGCAACTCACTTTGTAGCCACTGCATAGACGACATCAACCAACAAGCAAGTTGCAAACATGCCAATAGTTAGCTGCTTTTGAATGAACTGTATGCCAAACGTCCTTGACTTTCATGAAACTACACCTGAGAGCATCCACATGAGGATCCACATTTGAGAATGCCACACAAAAGGAGGATTATGGCACATGAATCAGCTTTTCTTTTTAAATATAGATAAGTAGTGAAAAAATAAGTGCCTGTCAAGATGACATCTGGGATCATTTACCAGATGATCCATTGTTACATTTTAGTCTCATAGCATCCAGGCTCATTAAAACAAAATATTTTGCATGTCACGGATTGTTTTGGCTACTCTTTAGAGACAGATATGAATGTTAAATCTCAGAATGCTAAGTATGAAAGAAACCATACAGGGGTAATGGAAAAATTAGGTTAGAATTCACCTTAGGCAAAAACTGTAAACAATCCAAATATTCATCAACAGAGCAATAGGTGAACAACTGTGGTATAGTCATTCATTGGACTAGTACGCACTACAAGGTTAAATATGTTGAAAGCAAAAACAGTTTGTTGAATGAAAGAAGACAGACATGAAAGAATACATACTGTATGATGTCACTTATATGAAGTTCAGGAATAGGCAGAAACTAACAGAACAGTAGGAATGCCCATGGGGAATGGTTATTGACCAAAAGGAGTCATGAGACAACTGTTTTGTTTTAGAAACAGGGTCTTGTTCTGTCACCCAGAATGGATTGCAGTGATACAGTCATAGCTCACTGTAGCCTCAAGCAGTCCTCCTGCCTCGGCCTCTCAAAGTGTTGGCATTCTAGGCGTAAGCTACCACTCATGACCTTGATTGGAGTGTTTCATAAATGGCTATATCCATTTGTCCATATTCGTCAACTTGTATACTTAGATTTGTACATTTCACTGTATGTCAGTTTTACCTCAGTGGAAAATAAGAAAACAACAAAAATGGCATACTGAGTAGTTCCGTGAGGATGAGCTTCGGGAGCACATCAGTCCATTCTCAGAGAGTGAGGGAAAGTTTCCCAGAGATAATAATCTCTCTTTTTATCCTTTTACTTCCACAGTTGATTTATTTTTTTCAACTCTTAGCTACCTCCCCACAATAATATCTATTCCTATGACTATTTAATTTATTGTGCAAATGCAGAATACTTTAGGGAGCAAAAAGGAGTGCTGGTATAAATTACACTCAACTGGTAAAAACTATCATTGTTTGCTTCTGTTCTAGTCAGAGGGTTGTACTCTACTGCAGTCATACCTGAAGGAAGGCAGTAGTAGAGCAGGTGTACCTGAGGGTGGAACAACCTCTGCTTGGCCTCATCTAAAAGTAGATAAAGGGGGCCGGGCACGGTGGCTCACGCCTGTAATCCCAGCACTTTGGGAGGCCGAGGCAGGCGGATCACGAGGTCAGGAGATCGAGACCATCCTGGCTAACACGGTGAAATCCCATCTCTACTAAAAATACAAAAAATTAGCTGGGTGTGGTGGCAGATGCCTGTAATCCCAGCTACTCGGGAGGCTGAGGCAGGAGAATGGCGTGATCCTGGGAGGCGGAGCTTGCAGTGAGCCAGGATTGTGCCACCGCACTCCAGCCTGGGTGAGAGAGTGAGATTCCGTCTCAAAAAAAAAAAAAAAAAAGTAGATAAAGGGGGCAGAGTTCAGCAAGAGGCAAGGGAGGAGGTGGGGATTTTATGTGGCATGGGCAGATGTGTTTGTTAGTTGGGACTTACATGTGAACTTTTGAAAAAGATACATTATTTGTTTTATATATATTTCAAAACTGATTCATGTTGCTGTATTTGTTCCTTTGAAACAGGTGACAGTGGATAGTGGAAACAGGAGATCGTGGATCCTCCTTCAAAAATGGAGGATGGAAAGCCCGTTTGGGCGCCACACCCTACAGATGGATTTCAGATGGGCAATATTGTGGATATTGGCCCCGACAGCTTAACAATTGAACCCTTGAATCAGAAAGGCAAGGTGAGTTTCTCAGAAAGATGTTGAAATATGATTTCTTTCAAAAATAGGTGTTTTTTTTCACAAGAGTAAGGTCTGTCTTCTTAATGAGGTAGATATTTGGGAAAGCATATTTCTGGTAAGTGAGTCTGTTTTCTCCTGACTTCTTTGATTAAATCAGAGGTATGTGCCCTAGGGAAAAAATGGTGCCCTATGATAAAATCAGATGGAAATTTAGTGAGCCTTTCATTCTTTGTTTTTTTCACATCCCTTTGATCATCCAGTTCTTAGCCTTTCATTCTTAAGAACTAGCTGTATGATAAAATCTAAACAATAATGACATTTTAATTTCTTGTGCCACATTACTAAAGTTATTAGTGTGTCTGTGATCGACATGTCACAAAGTAAAAATATGAAAAGTGAATGTGGAGATATCAGATTTTGCTTTTTTGCCTTAGCTTCTATTATAAAGTCTTTTTTTAAAGTTTTTTGTTCACTTAAAATTATTGCTATCATTTTTGTAATAGATGCTTTAATTCTGTACACATGGTATTTATTTCTTTGCATGCTTAGACATAAACTAGACAGCATTACAAAATGAAAGTCTGAGGGAAAAGTGACTAGGAGTTGTGACTCGTTTACAGAGAAGGCATCATTGTAAATACCTGTTTCAGTCTTCATGGAGACTGATACAGTCTGTTTTTGTGGAACTTCACTCCATTCTCAGAGAGTGAGGGGAAGTTTTCCAGAGGAAATAATCTCTTTTTATTCTTTTGGTTCCACAATTGGTTTATTTTTCAACTCTTAGCTCTCTTAGCACAGTAATATCTTATTCCCATGATAGATGTCCACAATTTTTAGTTTAATAAGTATGCCTGTTAAACAGTTCTTCTGACTAAATTAAATTTTGTAGGTGTCATTTCTGTTTACTTTAGACTGAAAATGTTCATGAATAATTTATATTCTATGATACATGGCTAACTAATGCCATATGACTACCATCCTTCTGGGAACCTTAGAAAAACAAGGTGGATCTCTCATGAGGTCTTTTCACAGAGAAAACTATTCTGTTACTGTAAACAACCCAGGGACTGAAATGCATAATGTATAATGTGCCATGTTAGAGGAGGCCAGTTAAAGATACCCTCAGGACAGGAAAGACAAAGTGTTTCTGGTTTTTCCTCTTATTAGCAGGTACCTATTTGTACTTAAAATTCAGTACATGTTTAAAAAAAAAAGCTCAGTTACTTTACATATTTGAAGGCTTTTGATTTTTGTTTAACATATTTTATAAGCACAGTAAATCAGAAGACCAAAATGAAATTGAGAGTGTATTTCCTAGGTGTTTATATATAGTTGTTATGTATATTTTGTTGTATTCACAGGTGACAAAACAATTCAGTTCAATTATAGAAGAAACTTGATTTAAGTGGATATACTTTTTCATATTTTAAATATTTTAATATGCTTTACACTCTTATTCAGGTACATATGTAGAACCAATAAAAACTGTTTACATTAGGGAGTGATATAAATTTCATGGATCTGTAGATAATTCTGTGAACTAAAGTGTACGTTTTTTCCACAAAGTTTTTTTTGAGGATTAACAAGTTCTCAGAGATTACCTTTAATCTTAATTTTCCTCCCTACTTTCTGATCAGGTTCTTAATAAACATACTGCTGTAATAACCAGACAGTTAAAAAGATCCTTAAGAGAAGCAATCTTTTGCTTAGCTCATTCATTGCCTAGAGATAATCAGCTTCAAAATAATTATTAAGGAATTAAGTACATAAAGGGGTGGACTGGTCATGCACACCTTTGTGCAGTGTGTGCGCAGTGGAAGTACAGTGGAAGTGTAGATGAGGGAGTGAGGAACATGTCTTGATAGCAATGGCTTTTCAAGGTTTTTGTTTGTGACCCATAGTAAAATAGATTTCACATTGCATTAGCTATGTGTATTTATGTGTGTGAATTTATAAGAAATAAATTTTACATTTCAACAACTGTGTGTGTAGTGTTTGTGTGTGTTTACTTATAAATGAAACAGTTGATCAAAAGAAACATTCTTAGCACATGCTATGCATTTTGATAATTTCTAATAACTTTTATTCTTTTAAAAATGCTGTTTTAGGCTAGCTGCAGTGGCTCATGCCTGTAATCCTAGAACTTTGGGAGTCCAAGGAGGGAGGATTGCTTGAGCTCAGGAATTTGAGACTAGCCTGGGCGACATAGTGAGACCTCATCTCTACAAAAAATTTAAAAAATTAGCTGGGTGTGGTGGTACATGCCTGTTTTAGCTACTCTGGTGGCTGAAGTGCACTTAAGCCAGCAGGTCAAGGCTGCAGTGAGCTGTGATTGTGCCACTGCACTCTAGCCTGGGTGACAGAGTGAGATCCTGTCTCAAAAAAAAAGAAAGCTATTTTAATCCACTAAATTGGTTTCATATTCTGTATTTGCAGCAGTGGTAAGAAGCCGCTCTGAAGCCTTGTAGGCTGAAGCCCTAAATTTATGGCATAGAAGGGTCTGCATTTTCTTTTCCCTGTCTGCTTTGCTGGTCTTCTGTTGTGTCAACCAAGTCTCCCCTTCATACTCTTACTCTTGTGTGCCTCTTTCTCCTTCTCTTCTGCAAGTATTAAGTCCTTACCATACCCCAGGTGATGTTATGTGCTTTGTGTCATTGCTAACATTGCTCCTGCCTGGAGTGCCACTATCCATACCTGCTCTTTATTTTATTTATTTATTTTTGAGTTGGAGTTTTGCTATTGTCGCCCAGGCTGGAGTGCAGTGGCATAATCTTGGCTCACTGCAACCTCTGCCTCCCGGGTTTGGGCGATTCTCCTGCCTCAGCCTCCCGAGTAGCTGGGATTACAGGTGCCCACCACCATGTCTGGCTAATTTGTTGTATTTTTAGTAGAGATGGGGTTTCATCATGTTGGCCAGGTTTTTCTCAAACTCCTGACCTCAGGTGATCCACCTGCCTGGGGCTCCCAAAGTACAGGGACTACAGGTGTGAGCCACCGCACCTGGCCAATCTCCATATCCTTTTGCTTAGAAACTACTTATTTTTCTTTTAAGACTCTGATTGAGGTCACCTTGTTTATGAAGTTTTTCTACAGATACCCAATCTCTCCCTCCCCCCCATTCAGTAGAATTGACTGTTGACTACTTTTTCCTTTGAGGAGTGGTATAAATTCTTAGCTTTCCTTTACTCTTTGTTGGAGATAATTGTTTACTTTGTCTCTCCCTCCCTACTAGACTATGTAATCTTCTCAAGTGCAGGGGCTATTTTATTCTGTCATTAGAGCTTGATGCTCTGTATTTGACTTGTGGTAGGTGTTTAATGCTGAGTGATCAAGATATGTTTTTAGCAGAAAAAAGCCTCCTTCTTCTAAGAGAAAACAATTAATGAAACATTTTAAGGAGAGAGGAAGATGGGGTGGTGATAATTTAAAGAATAAAGAAGGAGGGAGAGAAAACACCTTTCAGGACTCCTTACTGGCCTTTTAGCCTGCTCTTAACTTTCTCATTCCAGCAACTCTTTGTCATTGGCCTCCCCTCATCCCCACTCCCCTCATCATCTAACTTCTTGGAACCTTTTTAATTTGACATGGCTCCTACCAGGCAGAGCTAAACCCTGAAGTCTGGGGAGCCCGTAACCCTCTTGCCATGGCTGTGAAAGTTGGGCACATACATATATGACATTAGCAGTTATTTCTGAATGCATTTTCCTATAGAATCATTATTATAAATTGTGGCTTGTTTTATATTACCATTAATATACTTAATGCACATGATGGGTTAATTTTGCTTTTGTGGCCTGTCCTACAAACTTCTCCACATTTATAACATTAACAACATGTGTACTGGGTTCCAAGTAATTAACTTCCAGAGTTTCTATGGCATAACAGTTTTCTACATTGGGTGTGACTTAGAATTGAGGTAGTCCCAGCAGCGTGGATTTTACTCATTATAGTTGTAGCTTTACACACACACACACAAACACACACACACACACCCCTATAAATATTATTTTAAAATAATTGAACCATTTTTCCCTGCAGTTTTCTTTGATACAATTAGAAACTTCAGCCACAAGAGTAATTGTCATTGTTTGAGAAGTACTGTATCAGCTTATAAATAACTGTGAGAATGGCATGGATTAAAATTTAATTCTCTTTGGATGTCATTTGAGATCATTTGTTCTCTCTTATGAGATGTTATCTTAATTCTGCAGTGTTACTCTAGCATTTAAGTGATAAAATAAATATAAGTATTCATGGATACTTGTAATTTTACAGACGAAATATTTTTTGGTATTTTTTATATTTCTGACAGATTTTTGTACAGGAGTTTGTGTCAAATATATTTTACTGAAACAATAGCTATTAATATAACCCTCTGGTTATCTGATTGAATGTTATTTTTTTCTGTCTTTTTTTTTTGAGATGGAATTTTTTTCTGTCTTTTTTTTTTGAGATGGAATTTCACTCTTGTCTTCCAGGGTGGAGTGCAATGGCATGATCTCGGCTCACTGCATCCTCCACCTCCTGGGTTCAAGGGATTCTCCTGCCTCAGCCTCCCCAGTAGCTGGGATTACAGGGGTGCTGCATCACGCCTGGCTAATTTTTGTATTTTTAGTAGAGACGGAGTTCTACCATGTTGGCCAGGCTAGTTTCAAACTCCTGACCTCGGATGATCCACCCGCCTCGGCCTCCCAAAGTGTTGGGATTATAGGCATGAGCCACTGTGCCCGGTTACTTTTTCCTTTTTTAAAACACTGAAATTGCTGTATCTACCACATTAACATTTTATTTAAAAAAATTTGTTAAATAGCATATGTATGTAAATTTAATATTAATATACCTCTTTTTTTGTCCTTCTTTAGGTGTTGGAGCCTAGGATACTTACTTACTGATTTTTATTGTTGATTTCATGTCCACAGTAATAGTAGATAATATTTTTGAGTAAAGTTATTGTTCTGTTTTGGGGTTAATGACTTGTTAAATAGTATTATCTGTATTATATTTTAATAAAGAGCATATTGTTGCCACTATTACAGTGTATGCAACCAATTAAGCCCTTCTATTGTTCTTACTATTTAAAAGCCTTGAGTTTAATGAGCATTTGTTTTGCTTGTTAGACATTTTTGGCTCTCATAAACCAAGTGTTTCCTGCAGAAGAGGACAGTAAAAAAGATGTGGAAGATAACTGTAAGTACCAAGTTAAAAATTAACTCTCCGCACAGAAAAGGAGACTGTTCTTTTAAAAAAATAAATTAGTGGTTATATAACTGATACACTGTGCGGGTTCAGAAACAATCTAGTCTTTTGACATGAATATTCATGTGAATGAAGGAACTCGAGTCCTCCATGTTGTCTCACATTTGCATTTTGGTGAAAGAGTCTTGAGTGTTCTTTTGGTGTTATTTGAGTTGCATAAATGTGGGGAATGGTAATTACTGTAAGGCTTGAACTAAAAGTCTCTTGTTAACAGTTTTGAAAGTTATTGAACCTTATTTAGAGTCAGGTGGTTTTTATTGTAGTATATGTGGTTCAGTAATTTGGAAGTTGAGTCAGTAGGAGTCATTTAACATCACCGTTTGAAGCAAACATGCATTTAAAAAAATTCTATATAATTACTAATTGAAAAATTAATTTCAGAACAATTATATTAAAACACAGCATTAATTTGACTTATAACATCTTTGCATGTTTGATGAAAAAAGCTCTTCTCGATGGAACAGGCCAATGTTTATTCTTACATTTTTAAGATTAAGCAGTAATCATTTCATATTGGGGGCAGCAGTGTTAACAATTATGTACACTTGTCATGGATTTCATTAAAGGTACTTGACACTAACAACTCTCCATTTAACAAAAAAAGGTAGTGTTAACAATTATGTACAGTTGTCAAGGTACCTAATACTAAAAACTCTCCATTTGAGAAGAAAAGGTAAGAGAAAGGAATAGATGTGTTATTATTGATTTTCTCTGGAATTCACATTTGAGTAAGACTATAAAACCCCCATATGTAGAATGGTGGCAGCATAGACTAGTGGGAGTAATGGGGAGCCATGGACTGTAACTGTAGAGTTAGGCAAGCCTAAATTCTGATTCTATGTTGTTAGGAGGCTGTCTGCTCGTGGGCATTTCGTCTCTCTTCTGAAATTCTCATCTGTAGAATGGAAGTAATGTGTATGTTGTATGATTAGAGATGATATAAAGTGCTTTGCACAGCATCTAATGACTCTTAATAAATGGTAGCTGTTTTTATTAGGTGCAAGAGATTGAGGAAAAAAATGTAGAATTCCCTTCCTTTCCAAAATTGCTGGAGAGTTTGTCTGATTAAATAATACATTTTTGAATAGCAATCAGAATAAAATAATAAGGAATGAGACTGTACCATATCTAAAATACAAATTTTTGTGCTGTTAAAACTTGCTAGGGTGTGCAGAACTGGGAATCAATCCTTTTCATTTATTAATGTGTATGTCTCTAAATGTGACAAATGGTTTTGAATAGTTTTTAATCCATTTCTTAAATTAATATTTTAAAACATTCTCTCTCCATTTGCTTTGTCTTGCTATGCTTGTCTAACTTACAAATTTTTGCAACCTCAGTATTTGCTGCCTCTGGCAGGTGGTTTCCTTGGTGATGCCAGATGGCAGCAGTGTTAATGTGTGGGTGTTAACTATTCTCATAAGATAGTAGCCCATCCCTACTGAAGACACTTTTCTGAAACCACATTATTAACACAACTTTGGTTGTTGAGTTTAGAATGTAGGGTTTCCAGCTGCAGTGGTTCTGTCACTTAGTACTTTCATCTGAGGCATGCCACCATACCACTGTCCTCTGCTGAATGACACACTGTAACACAAAGCTATAGTGGTAGCTTTGTGTTATACACTTGCACACACACACACATGCACACACACACAGGGTCTCACATGCATATTTCTAAAATTCTTTTCTTCTTTATATTATGGTAATGTGAAGATTAAATGATTGATGCCTGTAGAGAGTGTTCTGAAGTATGTGTTGAAGGTTCTACTGAAACAGAAGTAGTGCCTTAACAGTGCCTTAACAGTGTAGCAACACTTATTACCTACTTTTCGGTCTAAATTTTTTTTTTTTTTTTTGAGACAGTCTCGCTCTGTCACCCAGACTGGAGTGCAGTGGTGTGATCTCAGCTCACTGCAACCTTCGCCTCCCGGGTTCCAGCAATTCTTCTGCTTCAGCCTTCTGAGTAGCTGTGACTACACGTGTGCACCACCATGTCCAGCTAATTTTTGTATTTTTAGTAGAGATTGGGTTCACTATGTTGGCCAGGTTGGTCTCAAACTCCTGACCTCAGATGATCTGCCTGCCTTGGGCTCCCAAAGTGCTGGGATTATAGGCGTAAGCCACTGCACCGAGCTATAGCTCTGAGTTTTCTATGTGAAGGGTTTTATATGTAGAAATTAGTATGTTAATTTTGCTGTTTGACTGTTGCTTATTGTCACAAGAATAGGAAAATTGGGCGTGTGAAGTCAGTAATTAAAAGGAAAATAATAGCATTTTTCCATGCTGATTTTGAGCTACCATGACTTTCATGGCACATAATGTTCTTCGTGAATTATTGTCTATTAGATGTTGATAATAATAAAGTATAGAGTATAAAATTGGAAAGAAACCGGGCGCAGTGGCCCACTCCTGTAATCCCAGCACTTTGGGAAGCTGAGATGGGTGGATCACCTGAGGTCAGGACTTTGAGACCAGCCTGGCCAACATGGTGAAACCCTGTCTCTACTAAAAGTACAAAAATTAGTTGAGCATGGTGGTGGGCGCCGGTAATCCCAACTACTTGGGAGGCCGAGGCAGGAGACTCCCTTGAACCCAGGAGGCGGAGATTGCAGTGAGCCGAGATCACGCTGTTGCACTACAGCCTGGGTGACAAGAGTGAAGCTCTGTCTCTAAATAATAAATAAATAAAATTGGAAAGAATTCTAAAAGTTGCCTCAGTCTCTTTTTCTGTAATGGAATGACTTCTACAACAACATATATTTAGAATTGATTGACTTCTGTGTTGAAGTTGTTTGTGGGTTCTTTTTTTCTTTTAGTGAGCCAGAGCTGTAATGATTAAACAGGATCTTAAATGCTCAGATAACTCTCTAGTCAGATATCTAAATTTAATAATGAAGTCATACCTAATCTTCATTAGAAACTTTTGTATATGTTATATATTTATTTATTAAAACAGTGTTTATAAAGAAACTAATTGTTTATTCAAATATTTTGTTATATGTCTTATGTTAAATTGTTTCAAAATTTTAATATTCTTTTGGGTATAGTTAAATCTGTTAATAATTAGGCATAAAAGGTAAACAGTTTACATAAAGAGTTGCATGTAAATAGCCAAGCCAAGTAATCCTAGGACTGACTACTAGGAAAGGACAGGAGGAAGGAATTATTTGGTAGAGCAGGAAGTTATTTGTGAGGCCCTTGTGGACATACCTAGGTCATACCTTTAGGGAGATGTAGGCAGTTGGGACTTAGCATTTCACATTCTGGCAAGACAGGGTTGCAAATATTTTCCTCTCCCTCTCTCTTTTTCTGTGTCTTCTTGAAAATGGAATGGCCTGTGTGGCATGATTTCAGAGGAATACCCTCCTGTCCAAATTCTTATTGTCATCAGCAGATACTTCATCAGTTAGGAATTTATTTGGTTTAATAAACACACATCCCTGAAAAGGTAGGTGGTGAGTGTGGAAGGAGTAAAGATAGGAGAGCAAGTAGTAATTCCCATGTCTGTGTAGGCTTATATGATTAGCGTTCACAGGGGAAGCGTACTGTAGGATTACGAGTTTTTACTTAGAGGAAGCAGTGACAACATCATGCAACCAGGTATTTCAGAGGAAAGTGAGAGAGATGGGGAGTGGTTCAACAGAGTGCTTTGGGTAAAGAAAGAGGAACGTGTAGACCAGGCTCCAGGGGACAAGGATGGAAGATTAGGGATATAGAAAGGTAGGTGACCTCATACCCAAACCAGATATATTAATACCTCTGCTGCCTAACCCTCTCTATATCCTTCCTTAATTCAAAGGAAAGCTGCCATTCAGCTGTTAGGAGCCTCTACCCACTTCTTACTCTCTTTTATTCTGCCCTAAGTGGCACTAGAAAGCAGTGAGGTGACTGAGGCAGGAGAATCGCTTGAACCCAGGAGGTGGAGGTTACAGTGAGCTGAGATCGTGCCACTGCACTCCAGCCTTGGCAACAGAGTGAGATTTTGTCTCAAAAAAAGAAAAAAAAAAGCAGTGAGGTGAAAGTGAACTGGCTGCATTAAATGATTATAGATGGATGGGCAGTCTGTGGAGGTAGTTATGGCAAGAGGCTCTTGTTTGACACCATTGGTTAGGTGTTGAATAGTATGTTAGACATACATGCAGTGTAGGCACATGAGCAGTTTCAATGAGGGATCAAACAAATGAATCAGGCAGCATCTTGCCCCCAAGGATCTGATTTAGTAGACAAAACCAGATATGTAAAATTATCATAATAACACTGGCAGTGTGTGGTAAGAACCATAAAGAAATTGCAAAGATAGTAGTTGTAGTGGTGGTGGTGAGAATGGGTAAGTGTCATTTGTAGGGTAACCTTTGTACTGACCTTAAAGAGTAGGTAGGTTTTTGACACCTAGAAATGTAGAGGATATTCTACATGGAAGCCGATAGATGAATGATACCTGCATCTAATAAATAGTTCAGTCTGTCTATGAGTTAGTATTAAGGTGAATTGTGGAAAATTATATGAAAAGGTCATGAATGTAGGTTTATTAAGAGCTCTGATCAGACATGAATTTGGATGTTGATAGAGACCCAGTGATGATTTTATGGGGAGAGAGATTTGATGAGGGCTCTACTTTAGTTAATGTGCTGAGAAGTCTGGATTAGAGAGGAGAGAGACTGAGGCAATAGGTAAATAAGAGGCTACCATGATCACAAAAGAGGTAATGAGAACTAAACTGGTATTGGAGCAGTAGAAATGGAAAGAAAGGAGATAGGTTGAGAGATTCAGATTATGCTTTGAGTACCTGCCATGAGCTGGCACTGTGCTGTACTTTCTTACATGGCATAAAGATTTGGAAACTGGTTTAGAATAAGGAGGGAGAGAGAAGATGATTTTAGTGTTGACTAAGGTTTACAATTTCAGTGACAGAGAAAATGGTGGTGCTAATAACAGAAACAAGGTGGTTGAGAAGAGGAGTGGTTTTTGTCTACTCTAGCAAGGCATAGAAATGGAGCTCAGGAGATTGAAGGACTTGGAGAATAGATTGGGAGTCAGTTCTGACACTTCAGTAGAGCAGATGTCACACAAACAAGATTTATCTGTTCAAACTCTCCCATTAATTAGCTTCATATTCTCAGTTAAGACATACATAATTTCTCTAGGAGTCTTCATTATGTCAGTTGTGAAGGACTCCCTGAATGATTTGATGGTCTGTTCCCATTCTAAAATTTTATCTTTTGTGTTTTATCTGTGAAATTCTGAGTATCAGATTGGATTGGTGTCATCACTTTGTTGTGTCAGAAGTATATTAAAATCAGAGCTATCTATTGTAGTACTTTTTTCCCTCTTGAATTGTGCTTTTTAATCAACCTTCATTAATGAGTACTCACTAGGTTTACTCTTTTAGTTGAAAATTCATTACTTAAAAATATCACTGTAACACACATGTAAACTGAATCGCTTTTAAATCAGCTTCTAGGGTTTACATCAGCCAGGGTTTTAAAAAAGATGGAGTTAAATGTAACCTAACAATTGATTTTTAGGATGAGTCAAAGTGATTCAGATTAAGATAGTATTGCTTTATTTTATTTGTTTTCTTCAATTCTCTAATGACATATAAATTTTATGTCTTAGGTTCACTAATGTATTTAAATGAAGCCACACTGCTCCATAATATCAAAGTTCGATATAGTAAAGACAGAATTTATGTAAGTATTTTACCTGTAGTGTAAGTTTTTGTGGAGATAATTATTTCATGTGGTACTCTTTGATTTTGTCACGCTTGAAATTGTCTAACAGAAAATCATGCTTGATCTGAGCCTCTTGAATAGAGTGTGAGGTTAGTGAGGACAAAGATTTTTTTCTAATTTACAACTCGAACTCTAGGAGTTAAAGCATGCCTGGTACACAGAAAGCACTTAATCAGTATTTGTGGGATGAAATAATGAATTCAGAGTGTCGTTTAATATCTTTTGGACTTAAAAATGTCCAGTTTGAGTATTTTTAAAAGCACTGTAATGGTTTTTGGTTTTGATTTTTGACTTCTGGTATGTCTGTAGATATGTTTGATTCACTTTCCACATTGTTTGGAAGACAATGTAAGGCAGCCTATAAGGAATGTATATTGAAATTAAAAATTTGAATGAGGAAAAAAATGTAAATCAGAATAGGAGGTAGTATCTGAGGAAATACTAAGAACACAGGAATGCTGACCATAGAGCCTAAATAGTTGCTGAATTTCATTAGACCGTAGGTACTCTACCTTGAAAGTCCAGAATATTCAAAAATGAAAGAAAATGCTTTCAGTGTAAATAGTCAAGGTTTACACCAAATCATTCAGATGGATACTTAACCTAGTATGTTTTAATTATAATTATTCTTTGGGCATGCATGAGACTTTATTCCAGTATCACCTAACTGTGTAGTCCTTTGGTGACTGGAGATAAATTACCCCACTGTAGTTCTCCTGTTATAAAGATGGGGCTGTTCATTATTTTTGAACGAAGAAAACACATGGCTTCTTTGACACTTACTAGATCAAATGACAGTCTTAATCTATTATATCACTATCAGTTTGCCTAATTGTACTTACTTAATTCTGACTAAATTACATTTAGTCTCTGCCATCTGTCCAAGTAGTGACAGCTGGGAGATAGAACTTATTTATTCTATTCCAAAAGAGTATACTTGCCATCTTCTAGTTATATGTAGTTTTAAGACTTTTCTCCCTGATTTTTTCAAAATCAACTAAATAAAGAACATATTTAAGTTTAAATGTGGCTATTCTTGATTAGAAATATATTTAGAGGCAAAATTTACTCAATCAGCTGACTCATGTTGAGTATCTAATATGTGCTAAATTCCAAAATTAAAAGCAAGCTTAAGTTGCTCATTAAACATTTAACCCATAAATGTTCTAGGCAATGGTTAACATATATTGTTTGGAAGAAATCTGGGACCAAATGGTCACTACAGAGCTAAATCAATCCTTGGCATTCAGTGATAGGGATGGGCCCAGAAGGTGCTACGAGCTGTATTAAACTCCTTAGTAGCAGGGTGAATACAGTAGGTAAGGAATACAAATGACTAAAACTTAGCGGTAGGAGATTTCATAAGTAGAGTCAACAGGAGAAGGCTGAATGAGATAGAGCTAGAGACTCAGATTTCTGTCTGTGGTGACTTGGTGGTGATGCCATGTCCCTGAGGAAGCACATGGAAGGATAATATTTTCTTTGAGGCAGAGGTAGGTGGGAAGAGATAATCTTGAGTTTGGATATGCCGAACTAAAGGTGCCTATGGGTTGGTAAGATACAAATATTTATTAAGAATTGGAGAAATATGGGTCCCTATAAAGATCAGGGAATACTCAGGGAATATTTAGGACTGATTTGGGAGTCTTAGTTATATAGATAATTGAAATTTTTTGTATTTTATTTTTTCTATGAGCTTTGTTTATCTTTAAATGAAAATAGTAATTGGAATATTTTATGTTTATGCTTTTCGTATTTAGACATATGTCGCCAACATTCTGATTGCAGTGAATCCATACTTTGACATACCTAAAATATATTCTTCAGAAGCAATAAAGTCATATCAAGGAAAATCTCTTGGGACAAGACCACCTCATGTCTTTGCAATTGGTAAGTGATTTTAAATGTATTTTAATTCTTGTCTTTCTTTATATTGTACAAATTTACTCAATTTTTCTTTTGGATTAATAAAAGATACCATAAATTGAATATATATTTTGGAGAAACTGTATACCTCTTGGATATATCAACATTGTTAGGAGCAAGTATTTTACACAGGGTGAGGAAGAATACTTTTGTAGTCAACTAATGGGGCAGGCTTACCATACATCATTATCTGTGTTAAATGCCTGTGTCCTCTAAGAGATGTCTGCCCAGGTGAAAGCAGGATATAATAAAAGCTGACCTAATGGTACTTTTAGACTTTTTAATACCATCAGCTCCATCTTAAAATTGTCCTCCTTCACAATTTTGAGGTTCTGGCCTTCATCTCTTACCCAGCTCATCCCTTATGAGTGTGTTACTTGGGCTAGATTTCAGCTGTAAGAGCAGACTTCTGGGCATCATCTTGCATCAGGGGTTTATAAAATTAAAGGATTAAAAGTAGTATATGCTTCATACCACTGGAGAATCTATGTGGGAAGACAGTAGTGTCTCTTTGCCTTTCTCAGCCTCTTTTATTTTGAAGTCCTCCAGCTCTGAGTCATAGAGGTTGGAGGTTTTAGATCAGAATGAGCAATTACCCCTCTTCCCACCAAATGCGGAGGTGTTAGCTAACCCTTTGCATTCAGACATAAAGCAGCTAAATGACATGTATTGGAACTAGTTCGTAGTGCATCCTGTTTCTCTTTGGGCTTTCCCTTCATGCTTGTGTTTTGGCCTAACCAGAGTTCACTTCCAGATTTGGTTGACCTGTATGTTGTCTGCTACTAGGTAGAGTGAATATGGCTGACATAATTACTCTACCAGGGCAGCAGCAGATTTACTTTTGGCTTGAAGAAGCTATGACAGGCATCGTTGTGTTGCAGCCTGCAAAACGGTGCCCCATCCCTTAGAACCTGAATACGAGCAAACATCACTGGAGAAAAGTTACATGTTTAAAATGTAAATAAACTAGCTTTTATTTTTAGCTTTTTACTGCGAAAAAACAAGTGTTTGGAATGATTCTTTAAAAATGTGTGGAGGATGGGTGTGGTGGCTTATGCCTGTAATCCAAGCACTTCGGGGAGGGCGGATCGCTTGAGCCTGGGAAGTCAAGACCAGCCTGGGCAAACATGCAAAATCTTGTCTCTATAAAAAAAATGAAAAAATTAGCCGGGCATGTGCTTGCCTATAGTCCCAGCTACTCTGGAGGCAGTGGTGGGAAGATCGCTTGAGCTCAGGAGATCGAGGCTGCAGTGAGGTGAAGTCATGCCACTATACTTCAACCTGGGTGACAGAGAGATACCCTGTCTCAAAAAAAAAAAAAAAGAAAAAAGCGCTGCTGATAAATTGGACAAAGGGATGTGTGCGCTCTTGTATATGGTTTGCATTCTCCCCTTAGAGTAAAAGCCGTTTCTGAAGTCTTCTTGGCACATGTCTGAGGTGAGAAATAGTTGTCTTATAGAGCCAAATTGTGATGACCTAGTTTTGAATTAAAGTTGTCTTAATTTGAGACTGCTTTAACAGCATTAAATTGCTTTCAACTTGTCTGTGTAGTCTTAACATTTAATACAGTTTATAGCCTAAATTGTTGGAGTCTAATGAAGATAGTTAAAAAATATATATGTAAACAGAGGCAAATCTAGGAAATTTAAAGCTGTTAATTTTGCCTAGTTGTAAAATGTTGACAAATTGTAAATTTAATAGTTGTATTAGAGGAAAAAACCCCACAGATATAATCTAGGAAATTTAAAGCTGTTAATTTTGCCTAATTGTAAAATGTTGACAAATTCTAAATTTAATAGTTGTATTAGAGAAAAAAACCCAAGTTGCCATTATGTATTTTTTTTTCCAGCTGAATTTTTGGTTGCTAGATTTCTTAATTGGAAGCTCATTAATTCTTGCTTTTCACTGGGGACTTCATTAGTTATGCATAGTGACCATTTTTTTAATCCCTCTGCAGATCAGCTCTGGAATTAGGAAGAGATGAGCCACAGCCCATAATATCAAGACATTCTGTCAGAAACTTAAGAGTTGTTTATTTGGATTTCATATTACTTAACTTTTAGGATAATAAGATAGAACATTTAAAGTAAATACTTTTAAAATGATTTGAACACTTTTGAATGACTTTATTTTAAAATTTCATTAACATTGAATAGACATTTATGATTTCTTTAAGAGTAAGTGGTCCTAAAGTGAACTTTCTATTATTAACTTTATATTTAATATATTGCTCATCATTAATGTCTTATTTTGACCCTAGCTGATAAAGCTTTTCGAGACATGAAGGTGCTCAAGATGAGTCAGTCTATCATTGTATCTGGAGAATCAGGAGCCGGCAAAACAGAAAATACAAAATTTGTTCTAAGGTGAGTATTCAGCTAACTTGAAGTATTTGAGTAGGTTGATCTTTTTTTTCCCCCCTTGAGATAGGGTCTTACTGTGTCACCCAGGGTGGAATGCAGTGTCACCACCACAGCTCACTGTAGCCTTGACCTCCTGGGCTCAAGCCACTGTTCCACCTCATTCTCCCGAATGGCTGGGACTATAGGCACATGCCACCATGCCCTGCTAATCTTTTACTTTTTTTGTAGAGATGAAGTCTTACTGTGTTGCCTAGGCTGGTTTCGAATTTCTGGGCTGGGCTTGAGCAACCCTCCTGCCTTGGCCTCCCAAAATGCTGGGATTATAGGCATGAACCACCATGCTTGGCAACCAGGTTGACTTTTTTCTGGTAAAAAAATACTTAAGTAAAAGTTGTCAACCATTTCTAAGTGTATAGCATAGTAGCATTAAGTATATTCACGTTGTTGTGCAGCCAATCTGTACCATCTCCAGAACTTTCATCTTGGAAAACTAAAACTTGACCCATGCAACAACAACTCCATTTATCCACTCACCTAGCAACCACCATTCTACTTTCCAGTTTTTCTGTGAATTTAACTACTTTAGCTATTTCTCATGTAAGTGAAATTACACAGTATTTGTCTTTCTGTGACTGGCCTATTTTATTTAACTCAACTTAAGATTCATCCATGTTGTAGTATGTGTCAGAATTTCCTTCCTTTTATTTTTATTTTTTAGTATTTTGGATCCCATCCTTCCTTTTTAAGGCTGAATACTATTTTATTGTAGATCTGTGGTACATTTTGTTTATCCATGCATTTGTCAATGGACATTTAGGTTACTTCCACCTCTTGGCTATTGTCAATAGTGCTGTTATGAACATGGGTGTGCAAATATTTCTTTGAGAATTTGAAAAGGTTGACTTTTAATACCTTTGCATACTTCATGACATAGTTTGGAATGGTGGGCTCTATCCTTTTTAAGATACAGACATCTTATATGGAAGCTAGTCTATAGATTACTGAAAGCCAGCTCTGACATGTTATTCACACGAGGATCTTGGAGGATACTGGTACTGGTTAGACAAAGGGTGATCTAGAAATATTCCTTAAGAATCTCACATTTACGTTCTGTCTATATTTCTGTTGTTAGCATGGTTAAAACCATTTTTTACCTTAAGCTTACGATAATTTGCCTCCTTATTTCTATTTCCCTATAGTCTGCCTCCTAATGTGTTCTCTTTGCTGCCATTAAATTAAACTCTCTGCATTGTGTTTTTTTGTTTGTTTGTTTGTTTGGTTTGGTTTGTTTTTTTTTGAAAACAGGGTCTTGCTCTGTTGCCCAGTCACCCAGGCTGTAGGGCAGTGGTGCAATCATAGCTCACTGCATCCTCGACCTCCTGGGGCCAAGTGATCCTCCTACCTCAGCCTCCCAAGTAACTGGGACCCACAGGCATGTGCCACCATCCTGGCTAATTTTTTATTTTTTTGTAGAGACAGGGTTATGCTATGTTGTCCAGGCTGGTGTCCAGCTCCTGGACTCAAGTGATGCTCCCACTTTGACCTCCTAAAGTGCTGGGATTACAGGCATGAGCCACCATGCCTGGCCTTACACTTTGTTTAGAATTATAGCATTTTAAAAATGGAAGGAATCATAACACTCATTGTAGTATAGTTCTTTTAATTTACATACCCATGAGGTTAGATCTAGTGGTTGAACTACTGCTAGGAGCAGCATACTCACCAGTGTTACTCCCACAGAATTATAGTTCTTAGTTGATTGCTGCATAGTGGTACTATGAAAGTTTGCTATTCATTATGTAAATATGTATGCTGTTCAGAGTTATTTATGTAAAATCAATTGAAGAGTTTGTTAACAGCTGTTATATATATGTGTATATATACATACACACAATTCTGGTTAAGTGAATGCTTCCCAGTATTCTTGGATTCTAAGTGTTTCAATTTCTTTTTCTTTCTTTCCTGTATGTAATAGTCTATATGAGTCTATGGTTAATGTATGAAAATGAACAAAAAGTTAAGGAGTTATAAACTTATAATATGAACTTACATTTTAAATTAAGGATTGCTCTTTATTTTGAAATGTGCCAGGCAAATAGTTATTTCTCTGTGTTTCATATTTCAGTGAAACAACATGAATAGTGATAACTTCCCAGTTGTTCGGAGGCAGATTGCCTCATTTTCTGTAGCCAAAGATTGAATTAATAGGCTCTCACAAAAGGCTTTGACATCTCCTATAGTTTATGAATATGATATATTTAAAATCAAATAGTTGGATAAAATCAGAACATTCCCAAAACAATTTAAAAAACAATGTCAATTAGATGTTAAATGCAATACAAATAGAATTTATTTTTCATTTTTATAATTTCAACATTTAGATTCAGGCCACACATGTGCAGGTTTGTTATGAGTATATTTTGTGACACAGAGGTTTGGGGTGTGAATGATCTCATCATTGAGGTAATGAGCATAGTACCACCAAATATATATATATATTTTTTTGAAACGGAGTCTCACTCTGTCGCCCAGGCTGGAGTGCAGTGGTGCAGTTTTGGTTCACTGCAACCTTGGCCTCCCAGGTTCAAGCGATTCTCCTGCCCCAGCCTCCTGAGTAGCTGGGATGACAGGCGCATGCCAGCATGCCTGGCTAATTTTTTGTATTTTAGTAGAGAAGGGGTTTCACCATGTTGGCCAGGCTGGTCTCGAACTCCTGACCTCAGGTAATCCACCCTCCTTGGCCTCCCAAAATGCTGGGATTACAGGCATGAGCCACCACACCTGACCCCAAATAGAATTTTAAATAAATTTAAAAAGCTATGACAGAATAGTTGCATTTAATTACACATTTGTTATAATGATGATCTAGGTTTCAGTTTTATATGTACTAGATAATTATAAATTATTGTACACCATATTATTGTCATCAACATTTTTTATCCTATATTTTAAACAGATACCTGACTGAATCCTATGGAACAGGTCAAGATATTGATGACAGAATTGTTGAAGGTATTGCTAATTTTTCAGTTGTTACGCGTGTACTGAAATTAATTTACAAGACTTCTTTTAGTGGTCTGGAATGTTCTTCTCTCAGAGATGCAAAAGACTCTCTTATCTCCTACTAATCATTGCTCATATATCATCTTGTTATTTACCTAATATCAATTGTTTCTGCCCCCACCCGCACCTCATGAAAACACTAAGAAGGCAGGGATTTTTGTTTCATATTCCAAACCCTTAGAATGGTAACTGATACAGAGCATAAATATCTGTTGAATGAATGAAAGAATACAGGAATGTCTTTAGCTTCCAGTTTGTTTTATGGAGCTTGTTTTGTGTAAAGGAAAGAGGAAGAAGGGTTATTTGGCATTAGGTGCTTTTTTAGAGAAGTCATTTTTTAACGAAGGCCGTAGTGTGTAAATTGATTTCCTTAAGCTATCCATGCTTGTATACCTTCTTAGAAAGTCTTCTTGTACCTCAGTTTGGAGACTGCTGGCCTAGACTACCATTATGTTGAATCTCCTGCATGATGCCCTCCTGCATCATAGACTCCTGTTTTGTCTCTTCACTTAGATTCTTACTTCTCCTTAATCCAGTCTCTGTATAGAATTTGGAATAATTTCTTTTTCTTTTTCTTTTCTTTTTTTTTTTTTGAGGTGGAATCTCACTCTGTCACCCAGGCTGGAGTGCAGTGGCTTGATCTTGGCTCACTACAACCTCTGCCTCCTGGGTTCAGGTGATTCTCCTGCCTCAGCCTCCCGAGTAGCTGGGATTACAGGCGCCCACCACCACATCTGGCTAATTTTTGTATTTTTAGTAGAGATGGGGTTTCACCATGTTGGCCAGGCTGGTCTTGAACTCTTGACCTCAAGTGATCCACCCGCCTTGGCCTCCCAGAATGTTGGGATTATAGGGGTGAGCCACCGCGCCCAGCTGGAATAATTTCTTTTGCTTTAAATAATCTGATGGCTTCATATTGCTCTCAACATCATGCCCTAGATTCATAACATCACCCACAGTGCTCTGTGTGGTCTGGCTCCTGCCTCTTCTGAGCTCACCTGGAGTCATGTTTCTTCTGACTCCTTATGCTTTAATCACATTGGGCTCCTTGTAGTTCTTTGAGCTGTCTTAAACAGGCTTCTCTGAACACTTTTTCTCCTTCTCCCTGTCTTACTTTCCCCCACTATGTACTCAGTAAGCATTTTTTAATAATAATGGTGGTAATAACATATATGGGATGTATTAGGCATTATCTCATTTGTTTAAAAATCTGTTATGTAATTTAAATCTTCACAGAATGAATTAGAAACTATTTTATCCCTACTTTAAAGATGATAATATTTAAATATGCTGAAGCTCATATAGTTCATCAGTTGTGAAATTCGGATATAAAGCTAAGCATTTTAACTACATGCCGTAGTAAATGCATATTTTAACACTCTCTTGGCATTTTTTGTTTTTAAATTAGAGACAGCATCTCACTATGTTGCCCAGGCTGGTCTCAACCTCCTGGGCTCAAGCAATCCTCCTGCCTCAGCCTTGTAAGTAGCTGG
Organism: Homo sapiens; assembly: GCF_000001405.40. Taxonomy (NCBI): domain Eukaryota; kingdom Metazoa; phylum Chordata; class Mammalia; order Primates; family Hominidae; genus Homo; species Homo sapiens. The sequence goes on from NC_000006.12 coordinate 75,837,501, forward strand.
GACTCTAGGAGTGCAATACACATGCTCTTGACATCTTAAAGAAAAATGTTGGTTGAACAAAAACTTATTAGGGGCCTTGTATGTTCATGCATTTTGCTAGATCATAGCAAATGATATGTGCATTTTTCACAATGATGTAAAATCTGCATGTAGATCAATCTAAATACAACTCTAATAAACATTTTTAAAGTTGAGCACCAGTAAAGTTTTTTTTTAATATAAAGAATTTCCTAGTTTCATTTACAGTTTTTATGTGGTGTTGTAACATACCCAGATATGTACTTATCTTGTAAGTAATGCTTTATTCACAGTAAAGTGCCTTACTTTAGCGAGGGAGTCGTTCTTAAAAACTGAATAAATTAATAAAAAAGAACAAATTATGGGCTACCTCAGTAAAAGACTAATTAGTATTCTGATTTGCTCACTTGAGGTGCACACTCACTTAATAATTGGATATACACCCAGTTTCTTCCCCAGTAATGTGCTGTACAGTATGTAGTGTGTTATAGTGGAGACAAGTTGGAAAGTGTTATTCCAAGTGCTTCTATAGCTTCTTTTTTTTTTTTTTTTGAGACTGAGTCTCACTCTGTCGCCGAGTCTGGAGTGCAGTGGTGTGATCTTGGCTCACTGTAACCTCTGTCTCCCGAGTTCAAGTGATAGCGCTGCTTCATCCTACCGAGTAGCTGGGATTATAGGGGTGTGTGCCACCACGCCTGGCTGATTTTTGTATTTTTTTAGTAGAGTCGGGGTTTCACCATGTTGGGCAGGCTGGTCTTGAACTCCTGACCTCAGGTGATCTGCCTGCCTCAGCCTCCCAAAGTGTTGGTATTACAGGTGTGAACCACTGCACCCAGCTCAATAGCCTCTTAATGGAGAATAGTAAATGTAACTAGAAGGGTATAGCGTCTTTTGATCCCATCCTTAATAGAAGTTTAGTTGCTGGTTTTGGAATGAGTATATTATTAGTAGCATTAATATGATTTTCTGTTGGAGAGGTTCTTATCCTATTTTGGGATATTTTACTTGTATTAAATTCTTCAGCAAAAACTAGTAGATTATCAGTAAGGGAGTTGGGGAGACCTGTAATTGAGTCCTCTTTTTGTTAACACAGCCAGTTATGTGGACTTTGAAGAGTGAGTTGACCATGGTTTTTTTTTTTTTTTCTTCTTGTTTTTTTTTGAGTTGGAGTCTCACTCTTTCACCCATGCTGGCGTGCAGTGGCAAGATCTCGGCTCACCTCAACCTCCATCTCCCGGGTTCAAGTGATTCTCCTGCCTCAGGCTCCTGAGTAGCTGGGATTACAGGTGCCCACCACCATGCCTGGCTAATTTTTGTATTTTTAGTAGAGACGGGGTTTCACCATGTTGGTCAGGCTGATCTCAAACTCCTGACCCCATGATCCGCCCACCTCGGCCTCCCAAAGTGCTGGGATTACAGGTGTGAGCCACCGCGCCTGGCTGACCATGTTGGCTTCAGTTTTTTTATCCCATCTGAAACATGAGGGATATATGTTAATATTTCTTTTAGTTTTAATGTTTTCTTATTTTGGCATGTGAAATGGCTGGGGAATGATCTTTAAAAGAGTTTAGAGACTAGTTAAGCATTCTACTCTAGATAGAATAGGAGAAATCTGCTTGAAAAGGCTTCATAAGAAATATGACTTCATGTTTATTTTTTAATTTATTTTATTTTATTTATTTATTTTTTTGAGATGGAGTATCGCTGTCTCCCAGGCTGGAGTGCAGTGGCGCGATCTCGGCTCGCTGCAAGCTCTGCCTCCGGGGTTCACGCCATTCTCCTGCCTCAGCCTCCCATGTAGCTGGGACTACAGGCACCTGCCACCACGCCTGGCTAATTTTTTATATTTTTAGTAGAGACGGGGTTTCAACGTGTTAGCCAGGATGGTCTCGATCTTCAGCCCTCGAGATCCGCCTGCCTCGGCCTCCCAGAGTGCTGGGATTACAGGCATGAGCCACCAAGCCTGGCCAGCTTCATGTTTATTATAGGAAGAACATGCTTCATAAAAAAAATTTTAACACTGAACATCATGAAGCACTTTAAGTTTGTTGATGGAGAATATGTGTGTAAGATTAACACTAATTTGGTATGTTTGTAATTGAGATTTAGATGAGTATAAGAGTAGAATCTAGTAACTCTTATCCAGTCATGATATGTGTATAGGTGATTATAAAATAACAGTGAAAATATTATATTTGTTCACTAGGATTTTAAAACCCATTATTCTGAGAGCCTTAGGTAATTCTGTAAACTCTTAATTTGTTAAATTTCACTGGATATACATGTAAAAATGTTAAATATGGAGACTATTAATATGTGAAATGTTTTAGAAAAGTAAGTCAAATAATACATCTCTTGCCTATATTTTCTCACAAGAGGTTTGCTGTTTTATCTAAGTACTGTTGTGGGCCTGATATACTAGATAAAACAGTAAAATTTTTAGGGAAAAAATTTTAAAGTCTAGTTATAAATTTTGTAACATAGTGGCTTAAAAATTTAGTCTTTCCTATAACATTTATATTTTCTTGTTATATATTTGAGAAATTTTCCTATCTCATGGACTTGAATAGTGCCTGAGCATAGTGGGTAATCAATAAATATTTGTGGAATTTGGCATTACATGTGAATTCCTTCATGTTAATTTTTTTTTTTTTTTTTTTGAGACAGAGCCTTGTTCTTGTCGCCCAGGCTGGAGTGTAATGGTGCGACCTCGGCTCATCGCAACCTCCGCCTCCCGGGTTCAAGTAATTCTCCTGCCTCAGTCTCCCAAATAACTGGGATTACAGGCATGCACCTCCACGCCTGGCTAATTTTTGTATTTTTTAGTAGAGACGGGGTTTCATCATCTTGGCCAGGTTGGTCTCGAACTCCTGACCTCGTGATCCACCTGCCTCGGCCTCCCAAAGTGCTGGGATTACAGGCATGAGCCACTGTGTCCCGCCCATGTTAATATTTTTTAGAACATTTTTTTCTAGACATATATATTAACAAATGGAGATATACCATGCATATTTTGTAATGTTCCGTCATGCTAATTTTTTGATGGATTTTTTTGTTTCTCAATAGCTAACCCACTCCTAGAAGCCTTTGGAAATGCGAAGACTGTTCGCAACAATAATAGCAGTCGATTTGGGAAATTTGTAGAAATACATTTTAATGAAAAGGTAAGTGAGAGTAAGCTTTGGAATGATATTTTTGGGGAGTGTTTGTGAAAATGCAAGGGTCAGTTGGTGCTGTATTTGCACTTAATGGTAAATACCTTTAAGTTTCATTGTTACTTTAGATGGTTGCAGGAATATATGTGTCCACTATGACCATCTAAAAGCTCCTTTCACAATCTAAAACCCAGATGCTGAATTTGACTTCAGCATTGAGTATTACTGTATAGCTAGTCATGTAAGATATTCTAGCACCTGTGTTGAGGTACGGTGCAAGGTCAATTGTGATTCTTAGGAGGCTCAAAACTTAACAGGATTTGGGTAGAGACTTAAATGGGGATGTTTAAAATGAAGGATGACCATTATAAATACTCTGTGCTTACGTTTAGTTATTTGTTTTTTCCCCTTTATTTGGTGAATATTATAACCTCTTTGATAGACAAATGGTATTAGAAAAGGTAAATAATTTAACATTGGTTAATTATATTTTAAGACTTTAAATGCAAAAATATATTTTCTCTGTGTTTTGTTTTTTAGAGCTCAGTTGTTGGAGGATTTGTTTCACATTATCTCCTAGAGAAATCTAGGATCTGTGTTCAAGGCAAAGAGGAAAGAAATTATCATATCTTTTATAGGTTGTGTGCTGGTGCTTCTGAAGATATTAGAGAAAAACTTCATTTGAGTTCACCAGATAATTTTCGGGTAGGTCAGAAGAAAAGAAATTTCATATAGCCAGGTGCAGTGGCTCATGCCTGTAATCCCAACACTTTGGGAGGCTGAGGCGGATGGATTGCTTGAGCCTGGGAGTTCGAGAGCAGCCTGGGCAATGTAGCGAGACCCTGTCTCTAAAAAAAAAAAATACAAAAAATTAGCTGAGCATGGTGGCACTCACCTGTAGTTCCAGCTACTCGGGAGGCTGAGGTGGGAGGATCACCTGAGCCCAGGAGGTTGAGGCTGCAGTGAGCCATGATTGTGCCACTGCACTCCAGCCTGGGTAACAGAGCGAGACCCTATCTCAAAGAAAAAAAAATTTTGTATAATTTTTGAAAATATAATTGCCATCAAGCCTAATACTTATTTTAGTGAATTTTGAAATCTACTTGTTGTGTGTATGTAACTTACATTGGATCAAGTATAACATGTTAGAATGACCACTGTACTGAGAAGATCTCTATTAAGGTGTACTGCTGAGTTTATAGTATAACACTGTATGAGGAGGCACATAATGGAATAGATAAAAGGATAGATGTTAAACCCTACGTCAATTTAAACTCAATTAGAAATTGATAATAGCTCTGTAATACTAGCTTTAAAGTTACCTTTGACTTATCTGTAAAAATGTTTGAACACTAAATTAATATTAATAAAGGACACATGATTGAATTTCTTAATTTACTTCAACAACAAATATTTATTGCTTGCCCATTGGGTGCCAGGCATTGGGCCAGGATTAAAAAGATAAATAATACACAGTCCCTGCTCTTGATCAACTTAGATGTGGTGGGAAACGCACACACACACACATGCACACACACACACACACACACCTGAGCATTACAAGCGAGTAGAGTTTCTAGGAGCGGTGACTGGGGATGGTTTGGTTAACACAATTTTCAGATTCTCAGGTTAGAAAACAGTGTACTTGTATGGAGTATGGGAATGTAGTTTATACAAAGGAATGCAATGTGAGTAAGGAATGTCGTCTGTATAGAGTTCCCCAGCTGATTCTGATAGTCTTTTTTGGTCAGAAAGCCTCCATTTGAGAATCATAACACACATAATTACTGCTCTGTGGTTGTGTGTGTGCGTGTGTGTTTGCAGACAGCTTTTCTTTTACTTCAATTTCTTTTAATGTGTGTTTGCAAATTTTAAAAGTCTGTTGTCTTAAAACACTTTATAAATGTATCTCTTTATATACTTCTAAAATGTCCAGTCTTTTCTAGAGCTCTCCAAATTAATTGGAATTTGAAGCTAGTTGCCCACATTTCCATGAAAGTAAAGGAAGCATTTCTTTTTTACTATGGTTTTTAAAAAAGGAATAAATTACTAGGAATTACATGAAATATAATAATGATGATACGGTTTTGTCAATACTTAGCTGACAATAAAGTGATGTGACTGTTCTGGCCTTAATCTAGCATTTCTTCCTGCTTGGAGGCTTGGGAGTATAGTATTTTTGGGTTTCAGAATGTACAGCCTTTCCTGGTACAATGGCAGGCATCCTGAAAGGGCAGCTATTGAAATATATCTGGTCAGAGGATTTCCTGTTTCTGCAGTGTGAACCAGGAGGCCTGATTTCCTTTCTTACAGGAGAGTCCTTGTGATGGTAAGAGGAAGAGTAGGGGAACAGCGTTGCATACATCTGCCATCTTGAATATTCCTCTCATATGCAGGCACAACACACCCACTACTATATCCACTTCCCCCAAATAATTCTGCCTTAAAGTCACTTGAAAGTGTGTTAGTGATTTCATCAGGTTTTTCTGTAGTTTAGCCCTCTGGTTATAATTGAGAGATCAGGTTTTAAAAACAAAGGGGAAACCTGCAGTAGGTTGAACACTTGTAAAATTGTTGAATTTTTTTGGTCACTACTCTATCAAAATTAGTATGTAAAGAATTGTGGATGTATACCTGTCTGTAAACATTTTTATTAACCACACATATACTTTAAAAAGTAAAAGGTTTAAAAATGTTTGCATTTAGACATTTCAAATATTTCTGCACATGTTTCTGGAGCCAATTGCTGTAATCATGGATAGATCCTTGAATGTAAAGAAGGCTTGGATAGAAAAAGAATAGATGGCCGGGATAGTGTTCTAGTTACAGAAAAACTAAAAGGACACGTTTCTATCCAAGGTTGTAATATTAGGCCCCACTGTCCAGAAGCAAAGTATTTGACAAAACAATTGGAGTGAGGAGACAAAGTGCTTGGTAGCAAAGAACATATTTATTTTGGCTCTACATGTTTAAACTATTATTCTGCTAAGTAAAAGAGCTCTTATTTGAAACAGTCCATTGAAAATGCTTACCAACATTGTCCCTGCTCCCTTCTCTTTTATTTTTTTCCCAAAGATTCTAGGGTGGAAGAAAAAAAAAAACCATGTATATAGTTGTCTTGTTTTTACTGTATTTTAGCATTTAATTATAATGGAGAAGGAAAGATAGAGGCATTGATTGTCTAAAATATTAATTTATCCCCAAATCATTCAAATTTTTATAAAATTTTTTTTGGTATGTGTATGATGAGGTGTATTTAATTTGGGAATTCATGCCATGGTACAATAAAATCATAGCAACCTGATTTAAGAGAAGCTGAGATGTTTAAAAAAACTTGTCCATCCTGTTCTCTGTGTACATCCTTTCTGATCAGATTTGCCCAATTCCATCTAAATGTCTTTAGGCTGTGTGTAATTTTCAGAAAAATGCAGTACTTTTAGTCTACCGTATAGCAAATATGTTCATTCACTTTTTATTAGAAACAGTTTTTAAATGAAGCAAGCCTTCAATTGTGAGACTAATAAATGGGAGCAGTAGATTCTTGTTGATACCAGTAGATTTTCTTTTTTTGAACTACTCCTCTTGTTCTATATTTTGGAAGCATTTAGCTTTTGAAAGCCTTTGGTAAGTGAAGTAAATCACTGAAATAAGAAAACTTTAAATTATTTGATCCATAAAGCATAAAGCAAGTAGTGTAATTTATGTACAGTCATTGTTAGCTTTCAATAAATGTGAAAAGCATGTTTTAAAAAACTGACTCTAAAAATCAAAAATTAAGAAAATCAAGGATAGAATTTCTTAACTTCTCAGAATTTAAAATATTACTTGAAAAATTAAACCATACTATCGGTTCTTACTTGAGATTCTACATATTTAGTAGGAAGGTGATTTTCATGATTTTATACACTATGTTTAGATTTTTGATACTGAAAAGATATAAAATTGTTGCCCTTTAAAAGTAGAAAACTTTTATGTCATTGATTTTTAATCATTTTATTTAATCTATGCTCAGAGATTAGGATTTTTAATATTCCTGGTTTTATTAGTAGGAAGAAAATGCTTATAAAATATAGAAGTATTGATTTGAATGGTGAGATTATACAGTACTCAAGTTGTGTTTAGAAATTCTTCATGGTTGGCACTATTTGGTAAGTTGTGTTTTCTCCTGTATTATTTCCCTGTGGATCATATATGTTAATTATGTTTAATTTGTTTTGTCATAGTATTTAAACCGAGGCTGCACTAGATACTTTGCTAACAAAGAAACTGACAAACAGATTTTACAGAACCGCAAAAGTCCTGAGGTATAGTAGACCATTGTTCATAAAATCTTTAACTTAAAAAAAAACTCATGCTGAAAGATGTGTTATAATTTTTATTTTAGAGCCCAAGTAAGAGTTCTAACTTTTAGGCTTATACTTTAAAAAATTAAATATTCATCTAAGTCTCTGTCACAGTGTAATACTTTATACCTCTTGTTGTTATCTAGTGAAGTGACAGGTTCTGGTTCTTCTGGTTGGGCATCACTGCATTGCTCTCCTCTCATTCTGTTTTCAAGCATGAAGGTATTAAATTGCCTAAGAATCATTCTCTTCTAGCATTTTTGAAACTTGCTCTTATATTACCCACTTGAGCTTAAGTATATGTCTTTTACAATTTATTGTCTATTTCAAGGCTGACGTGAGGTTTGATGTAGACAGTAAATAGATTAAGCGTTCTTGGGAAGAAATGCTTATAGGCTAGGCGTGGTGGCTCACACCTGTAATCCCAGCACTTTGGGAGGCCAAGGCGGGAGGATCGTTTGAAGCCAGGAGTTTGAGACCAGCCTGGGCAACATAGTGAAACCCCATCTTTACAAAAAATAAAAAAAATTCACTGGGTGAGGTCGTGTATGCCTATAGTTCTAGCTACTTGGGAGGCTAAAGTGGGAGGATTGCTTGAACCCTGGAGGTGGAGGCTGCAGTGAGCCACGATCATGCCATTGTACTCCAGCTTGGGCAACAGAATTAAAAACAAACAAAAAAAAGCTGGTCAGGTGGAGTGGGTCACGCTTGTAATCCCAGCACTTTGGGAGGCTGAGGCAGGTGGATCATTTGAGTTCAGGAGTTTGAGACCAGCTCGGCCAACATGATGAGACCCTGTCTCTACCAAAAAATTACAAAAATTAGCCAGGTGTCGTGGTGTGTGCCTGTAATCCCAGCTACTTGGGAGGCTGAGGCAGGAGAATCGCTTGAACCCAGGAGATAGAGGCTGTTGTAAGTGGAGATCGCACCACTGTACTCCAGCCTGGGCGACAGAACGAGACTCTGTCTCAAAAAAAAAAAAAGCTTATATATTATTGTAGTTCTGTTTAAAACATCATATTTATGTAATATATTATGAAAAATTTATATATTGGTTTCAGTAAATTATATTTCTAAGAATAATTAGATATAATTATACCATTAAGTATTATTTTTAACACATTAAGTTCTTAATGTAAAAATTTACAACCCTTATAAATTTTAATATGCAGTGTTTAATAAGTGATATTAAGTTACACGTACTCAAGGGGCTTAAGTTATGAAATACTAAAGTAAGGATTAATGATAGATACTGGTTAATGTTACTTTTATTAATTTTATTAAATATTTAAATTGAGTAATCGAACAAGTTTTTATAATAGTCAGTTTTTAATGCTTCTACATTTGTAAGCCCGATATTTTTTACTCTTCTTAAAATGAATGAGATGATTTATATTTTTAGCATATTTATATAAAAGGATAGAAAGCAAATAAAATATTCCATTATTTAAAATTCTAAGCAGACAACCCTACAGTTAATTTTTGTTTAATTTGGCATTTTATATATCATTATAGATACAGAATCTGAATTACAAACTATAAACTTTGCTATAGCCATGGTTGGTACTTTTAAGAAGCAACATTAATATTTATTATTGTATCTTTCTTTGTCTTGATAAGACTATGTTTTTCTGAGATATCAAAATATAGTAGCTATATTCCTTTCACTAAGATAATGGAGACCTTTCCTAGTGGGACATTTCAGCAGTTCTGAAGGGGGGAAAAAGATATAAATTTGATCATTTGCCATGGAAAAAAATGGAGTAGAGAGGAAAGAAAACGAGTTTACTCTCCAAAGAGTAGCATGTACTCTCCAAAGAAGAAAATTGCCCTCTTATTCTAGAGTCAGTATACTCTTTCAGAAATCTTATTCACATTGAGTGTGCGTTTATATGTACAGTTAAATAATGGATTAATATGTTTAAATTACTTTTTATGTCTTCTTTATCAGGAGGATGAGGTGATCATTTTGACTAATTAAACCCTTTGCCCAATTCCATCTGAATGTCTTTAGGTTGTGTGTAATTTTTAGAAAAATGCAGTATTTTTAGTCTGCCATACAGCAAATATGTTCATTAACTTTTGATTAGAAACAGTTTTTAAATGAAGCAATTCTTTGACTGCAAGACTAAAAATTCTGCATGATGTGTGTTTTCTGCTGAACAGTTTTGGCTGCATGTGATTGTTTCCTTTGCTTCTTTTAAGAATAAAATTGAATTTTATTGTCTTAGATATTTTCCAGAAATGTTACACATTCATAATTGAACATTTTAAATAATTTTGTGGAAAGACAATTATAGCTTGAGCTGGGAATCATTTGTTTACTGGGAGGAAAAAATATCCATCTCCAGGAGGCATCTTTAATGATCAGTTAATCATGATCCTGTTATTTAATGTTTAACTTGTATATTCTCAAGTTCTGGAAAATTTCTAGTACAATCTTTTCGTGTCCAGTAACTTTTATGTTTCTCCTTCTAGTTTCTGCAGTCCTGACTTTCTTCTTTTTTTCTTCTGAGTTGGTATAGAGTCTAACAAATGAGCACATTAGATGCAAGTTCTTTTAGGAGAGAAAACAAATTTTCTTCTCATTTTTTCTGAAATGTTTTAAGTCATTGTGTAAATTATTAGAGTAAGTATAATGCTTACTAATATACTTTACCATATATATATATGCATATAAAAAGGTTTAAAAAAGAATTCTAAGGCATGAAAATTGTATCAGCCTGACCCCTATTTACTACAACTTAATATTGGTGCAGTTGGTGGCAGTTAACCTAAAGGAGTCATACTGATTGTCACATTTAAATTTTTTATTGCACCTTTTAACTTACTTTTTCTTTTTTTAATTAACAAGAATAATGTATATTTATACAGTACATTGGAATACAATGTAATGTTTGATACATGTATACATTGTGGAATAATTAAATGAATATATTTATCATTACCTCATTTAAAAAAACTGTAATGTTGATTCAAGTATTGATATTCCCTCCTTTTTCACTCAATTTTTGTCTTTTTCTAATATGCTAGGATTATAAGACTTTAGAGCGAAAATTGTAATTTAATTGAAAAACATCTAATTTCATTATTTTAATTGAAATTTTTACGGATAAGTGTAGATTCACATGTAGTAAATAGTGAAATAGAACAGAGAGATCCTGTGTATACTTTTCATGGTCATTTAGTTTTTGAATGTTAGAATAGTAAAGATTTTCCCATTGACAGATTTTATTTTTGCATGTTATATAGTGCATTAATTGACCTGGTGTAGTAGTTTTAGTGTACTTAAATAATGTAACGATCAGTTAATTGGTGTCTTCTTGTTTTGTAGTACCTTAAGGCAGGTTCTATGAAAGATCCTCTGCTAGATGACCATGGTGATTTTATTAGAATGTGCACGGCTATGAAAAAAATTGGTTTGGATGATGAAGAAAAGCTTGATCTCTTCCGGGTAGTAGCTGGCGTCCTGCACCTTGGAAATATTGATTTTGAGGAAGCTGGCAGCACTTCAGGTTTGCTTTTTATTTTTTTAAGAGGAAAAAAATTAAATAGAATTTCTGTTATTTATTTGTCATATGAAAATTGTCTCTTTATATGCAGTTTGCTTAAAAACTTTAAGAAATATCTAAAATATACTGAGTTAAATGTTGAATCTCCCAAATGAAGAATGTTTCATTATCAGTCATTCTGAGCTCTGTTTTGAACAAATCAGTGATATTGCTTAGGAATAAACCTCTCATTTTTGAAGTATAAATAACTGACTATTTTATCCTGATAAATTTAGGGTAATTTTTAGTTAAATTTTCCAGTTATATTACACTTTTCCAATAGGTGAGAAGATTAATTCTCTATCATCTATTAAGGCATTTTTGAAAATTTTCAGGATCATTGGGTGAATTAATTAGGGCAATTTAATATATAAAAGCCCATGTACTTTATTAATGAGAAATGAAAATAAATGAAAATTTTAATCTTATGCAGATTGAAAAGAGTATTTAAATACATGGCAAAAGCAACTTTTCAACTCCAGTGTTTCAGTCTGTACATGAACAGTAGGACTTTGCATAATTCTAAATTTGATCTACGAATACAGGGAATGGCAAACTATGAACCACAGCCCAAATTTGACCCACTGCCTGTTTTTGTAAGTAAAATTTTATTGGAACAATGCCACACCCACTCATTTATGTGTGGTCTATACCAGCTTTTGTGCTAGTGTCAGAGTTGAGTAGTTGCAACAGAGGCTATATGTCCTGCAAAGCCTAAAATATTTACTATCTGGCCCTTTAGAGAAAAAGATTGTCAACCCCTATATTAAGACATTATTGTACGATCTTATACCAAGGATGAGTTAAGGAAAACCTACAGCACCATTTAATGTAGTAGTCAATAATGGGCTTTGGTGTTAGATCCCAGAGGCTCTCTGAGCTTTGGTTTCCTCACTTGCAAGATTAAATAAACCATGAGAAGGACTTTTAAAGTACAGCCAGTACCTAGTGTAATGCTAAAGGTTCTTGCCTTAGCCATGCCAAAGAATTGGTGTGGTGGCTGCCTGCAGTGAGTGATGGAGACAGGGACCAAGAGAAAAAAAAGCCATAGACTTTATTGAGCAGAGTGACAGTACAAAGCTTTCACAGTGTGGAAGGGGTCCCGAGTGGGTAGCCAGAGTTAGATTATGCAGTTTCCTTTTAAACTCTTCAAGGCGGGAAATACGTGCAGGGGGAAGATGTTACCAGAGCGAGAAACAAAGGCAGTAAATTATTTTGTGATGTGTTTTAGATTTTGAGGAAAACCGGAATTGCAACTTAGGTTTTATTTACTTTATGACCTTGCAGCGGCTTGGCAAAGGAGACGGGAATTTACGGGACTTTACAAAGTATGTTTACAAGGAGTTGGAATTAGGAGCATAGATAAGGCCCACTGGTCACAGAAAAATGGGCATTTAACATTTCTTTTAGTTTCAGGGGAGGGGGAAGGGAGAGAGGGAGAGAGGACATAGGGAAGCTTATGGCAAAATTTTTGCTGTTATAGCTTTCTTGGGGAAGAAAACACATGCACAAATCCTGGTGTTAGGAATATTTTAAGCACATATCTTTAATATTATTCATCCAGGACCAAAGTAAGTCCTGATACAGGAAATGAGTGAGTTTCACAGCTTCCTGAGCCCCTACTCGACCCAGGAAGGCCAGCGGGCACCTCCTCTCACTAGCAATAGTGTGCATATAGGGAAAGAGCACAAGAAGACAGGAAAAAAAAGAAGATTAAAAAAAGTGTTATATGCAAGACTCTTCTTATTCTGCATTTCATCATAAACATCGTAATTGTAATCTGTATATCATAAATATAATGAGGTAGGGGATATTATCTCCATTTTACAGAAGTGGAACCTGTGTTGAAATGATGCATGTGGTTATTGATGAAGTTGTAGATGTGAGAGCTGGTTCTGCTCATGTCTGACTAACACAGAGGCTTGTGATAATTGTCCCTTCTTTCTCCCAGGCCACTGAAATTTGTCATCTATGAATGAACAGACTAAAACAGATGTCTTAATGATTTTCAGATCTAATGTTCTGTAATGCTGTGAAATCAATAATGTGAGATGCAACATAACATAGTGGATGGGAGCACGTGCTCCTGATCCAGATGCTTTACCACATACTGTCTGTATGACCTTAGGCAGGGAACTTAGCCTTTTCGTGTCTTAGTTTCCTCACTGTAAACTGAAGATAATAGTACCTACCTCATGTTGTAAAGAGGAATACGCGAGTTAAATATTTGTAAATGATTTGAGTACTTGTGTCTGGCACATAGTAATCATTATAAGTGCTTTAAATGAGTAAGTACAATTAAAATACAGATTGCTCCCAATTTAAAATGAAAAAAAAAAATTCAAGCAAAATTAGATATGTTCTTAATGTGCATTAAAATTTTTTGTTTTTTTTTGAAGGATTGGAAAATTTGTTTTGAAAATGTAATGAATGTTAGCATACATTTCATTTGCTCTCTAGCATTGTTATACCAAAGGAGCATATGTGGGAGATTCTAACACAAAAAAAAGTCTTTACAATAATTAATACACACTTTAGAAATGTTGTTAGAAGTGATAAATGGCATCTTCACACCTCTTATTATTACCCTGTGGTAGAAGATGCAGTTGTATAGAGTATTATAAGTGTTGCATGATCAAGTTATTTGAAGAGTATGAAATGCCCAAAAGGTAATGCTATTTGCGTTATCTCTTATTTTTCTTCTCTAACTTCCTTCTATTGAGGGTAAAGTGAACAGAAATCAGGGAAGATTGGAAAGAGACAGGGAATCAATAAGATTAATATGTGATTCAATTAATTATTTTAAAAGCTAAGATTTTATTATATTTGTCTTCATCCTTCCTATGACTCTTCCTATAGATCCAAATGGTTTCTTTCTAATTAGAAGTGATTTCTTTTTTCCCTAGGGAGCTTAATTTGGCATGTCTTAGCAATTTGAAAAAATGTTGGTTTTGGCAGGATATGGTGGTTCTTGCGTGTTATCCCAGCATTTTGGGAGGCTGAGGCGGGAGGGTTACTTGAGCTCAGGAATTCAAGACCAGCCTGGGCGACATAGTGAGACCCCATAAAAAAAAAACAAAAAAACCCCCAAAACACACACACAAACGCACACACACACACAAAATAAATTAGCTGGGCATGGTGGTGCATGCCTGTAGTCCCAGCTACTTGGAAGGCTGAGGTGGAATGATTGAGCCCTGGCGGTCGAGGCTGCAGTGAGCCATGATCGCACCACTGCACTCCAGCTTGGGAGAGTGAGACCCTGTCTCCAAAAAAATTTGGTATTTTTATAATTATTCTACTGGAAAGATTATTCTCCAATAAGCACTTATAGGACTCTTAACTGTCATAAAGAAGTTTTTGCATGATGAAAATGCAGAAAACTGCATTGGGACTGCCTATGTTTTTAAAATTCCACATAACAGATAAAATGTTATTATAAGAAACTTTAAAAATGTTTGAAGAAGTTCTTTTTTGGAAAGAAGTGATATGAAAACTTTACATGATAGTATTTTGCCTTTTAAGACTTATTAAAAATCCTGTTTTTTTTTTTTATCTTAGCCTTACATAATTTTTGGAGGTGTGTAAGAAACTTTGCGATATAGTAAAAAAGAAGAAATATTTAAATGAATTATTTGATGGTCAATTTTTTGAGAGCTATATAATTTTAGGCAATATGTATATGTATAGAACCTACACGAGTAATAAGCACATTTTCATAGAATGAAACATTCAAAATATTCTCAAAGTATCTCTCTTTTTTCTTTTTTTTTGGTAGGAGCTTTATTGAGATCTAGTTAATATACCATACAGTTCACTCAATTGAAGTGTATATTTCAGTGGTTTTCAGTATTTTCAGAGTTGTGCAACCATCACCATAGATTTAGAACATTTTCATCACCCCACAAAGAAACCCTGTACCCATTAGCAGTCACTCCTCATTGCCCACTTCTCTCAACCCTAGGTGACCACTAATCTACTTCCTGTCTATAAATTTATTCTGGACATTTCATATAAATGGAATCATACAATATGTGGTCTTTTGTGATTGGCTTCTTTCACTTAGCATAATGTTTTCAAGGTTAATCCATGTTATAGCATTTAGCAGTACTTCATTTTATTTTTATTGCCGAATAATATTTCATTGTATGGATATACTACATTGTTTATCCATTTGTCAGTTTCTAGACATTTGGGTTGTTTCCATTTTTGGCTATTATGAATAATGCTGCTGAGAACGTTTGTGTACAAATTTGTGTTTGGATGTGTTTTCATTTCCCTTGAGTAAATACCTTGGAGTGGAACTGCTGAATCACATCATGGTAAACTCTGACCTTTTGAGGAACTGTCAGACTTTTTCAAAGCAGCTTTTCCACTTTACAAAGCTATTCCCATCAGAAGCGTATGAGGGTTTCAGTTTCTCCATATCCTCACCAGTACTATGTGTATGCTTATAGCAATCGTACAGGGTGTGACGTGTTATCTTTTTGTGGTTTTTATTTGCATTTTCCTGATGGCTCAAGATGCTGAGCATCTTTCTGTGTGCTTACTGACCATTTGTATATCTTTTTTGGAGAAGTGCCTGTTGAGATTCTTTGCCCATTTATTAATTGGGTTGTCTTTTTATTACCAAGTTGTAAGAGTTTTGAAAATATATTCTAAGTACAAGTCCTTTATCAGATATATAATTTGCAAATCTTTTCTCCCATTCTGTATGTTATCTTTTTACTCATTTGATAGTGTTCTTTGAAACTCAAATTTTTATTTCAGTGAAGCCTAATTTATCTGTTTTTTCTTTTATTGCTTGTGATTTTGGTATTATATCAAAGACATGAAGATTTACTTTGTGATCATGAAGGTTTATACCTAGTTTTTTTCTAACAGTTTAATAGCTTTAGCTCTTACATTTAAGTCTTTGATTCCATTTTGAGTTAATTTTTGTTTATGGTTGAGGAAGGGGTCCAGCTTCATTCTTTTGCATGTGGACATCCAGTTGTTCCAGTACCTTTATTGAAGAAGCTGTTCTTTCCTCAGTGAATTGTCCCAACATCTTATTATTGTAAGGTCTCATTTTTCACATTTTTTTCTCATATATATTCTAAGATTGGTATGTTAAGTAGTTTATGAATTTGTCATAAAATTGTCATGATTTTCACACATTCTTTGTAGTTTTTAATTAGGTAGTCTTAGAATATATCGTTTATTAATATTAATCTGAAAATATTTGTAAAATGCTATTTTTTATTATAATGCAAATAAATATAAAGAATAGTTAATCGTTAGTACTTTCTCTGTACCAGACACTATTCCAAGCATTTCACATACATAACCTCATTAATCTAAATAGCAACCATGTAAGGTAGGTAAAGTAATTATCCCAGTTTTATGGACGAAGAAACTGTGCACAAAGAGAATAAGTAACTTATTCAAGGTCACATAGCTAGTAGTTGTAGAGCCTGATCAGCCCTGAGACTAAAGCACTTTCTTTCTTTATAGTACTTTTTAAAGCAGCCCTTATAAATAGAAATCTGTAGATATGATGTACTAAGGCAAAAATGACCTGCCTGGCCACCTTCTGCTGCAATATATCTTTTCCTCACATACCCCTGTGCAAGCACACAAAAAATAAAATGGCACACGTGCAGGCTGGATGTGCCAATGGCAGATTTCTCAAAATGCCCACATGGGTCAAGACCTAACTGCATTGCTTTTTTTTTTTTTTTTTTTTTTTTTTTTTTTTGCTATTCTCTGCTCTGCAGTGTAAAGATATTGAAAATGTCAAAAAGGCTTGCAGATACCCCTAAGGGTAACAGTAAATAAGGAAAAGAGGAAGCATTTGTACTGATCTCTAGCACAGAAAGTCAAGCTGTTGGAGGAACTGGACAGGGGTATACATGTATATTAGTGTGTATATGAAACATAAATGAATTTTGTGTTTCGAATTCAGCTCATCATGTATATGCAGTTATTCCAAAACTGGAAAAAATCTAAAATCTGAAACACTTTTGGTCCCAAGCATTTCAGTTAAGGGATACTCAGCCTGTACAGGTAATAGTAAATGTCTCTTCACTCCCTTCGACCCCAAGCAATATGAGTACATGCTTATTACGTATATGCATAAACACATCCATAGACAGATATGTACATCCAAATTGATCTATTTAGGTGCCTTACAGCGTTTGCACTAAAATTACTCCTTGAAATTTCTTGAAGTCATATGAATTTTAATGATGAGATACTCTATTTCTCTAAAGAGTTAATATATTGAAAAGGATTATAATCTATCAGTGTAGTTTGCTTATAGGGTCAAAAAAAATGAAACAGTGACAGTTTAATATTGATGTGCTTAAAGGATTATACCATGGACTTCCCCAAGGGAGGATCTTCTGTTGATCTTAGCAGTACGGGTGTTTGACAAGGATAGTGAAAAAGTGAGGTAGATTTAAAAGTTACAAATAAGCCTTGCCTATTATATGGTTTTTTGTAAGTGAAGTATAATTCTAAGAAATGGGTCTTGAAAATCTGGTTTATATAATACTTATTAATTTCAATGAAAATATATTTCTATTAGGTGGTTGTAATCTGAAGAATAAATCTGCTCAGTCTTTGGAATATTGTGCTGAATTACTGGGTTTGGACCAAGATGATCTTCGAGTAAGTTTGACCACAAGAGTCATGCTAACAACAGCAGGGGGCACCAAAGGAACAGTTATAAAGTAAGTTCCTTAAGTAATTGCACTGCAAAAATTTTGCCTTGCAGTTTGTCAAGGAAAAACATAAGTTACATTCTGTTTAAAACCTGAGCTTGGTAGATCAAAATTCTCTACATCTCAGTGTAGTAATCCACCATATAAATAAATGGAGTTTAACATAGCTCTTAAAGTTGTTCCTTGCTGATATTTGGAATTCATAAGGTAAGAGAGAGGTTTACTTTTCTACAACTATGAAAATATGAGCTGATGGTATAAATCAATATATGACAGTTTTAGGCAACAGATCATTTTACTTTAAAAGTAATTTTTTTATGCCAATAATGTGTACTAAAACACATCTATTAAGCAGATCTCACTTCAGCAAAATACTTAGCAAATGACACTTTCCTTATGTTTAGGATTCTTTATTTGGGAGAAATTACAAATGACGAGAAATAAGGGCTTAACCAAGATTTTAAAAATCAGTAACCAAGAACTTCTAGATTGTACCTGGATGTTTTTATACTTTTGTCTCCATGTCCTATATTTTATATATTTTTGGTTTTGGTACTGTAGAATAAAATTGACATTCAGCCTTGTCATTCTGAGGCACTGCAGGATCTTCATTTGTGGAGGGAAGAAGACCCTTTATCTCTTACTAATAAGATAGGCAGTGAGCTCTAGTGACATATTTCCGAAAAAGTTGCAACAAATTTAAACAAAGAATTTTTTGAAAAAGCTTTTAGCCTCTCAGAAAATTGGCTATCTCTTATTCTTTTGAAAATTTTAGCAAGGTATGCTTAGCCTGATTCTTTGCTAAGCAAATTCAAAATTGTTCTTGTTATAAAGAAAAACTCTGGAAGAAGTTTGTAGAGTACCACCCTACAGCCTACAGTTACTTGGTTCCTTAGAGATATCTCTGCGGCCCAAGGGAAAGCCCATAAATGTGCAGGTGGGTGGTTCTCAGGCATTGCTTCCTCCATTTTCCCATTTTCTCCTTGTTCCAAAGCAGTTTTTTGTTGTTGTTTCCTTTTTTCAATCAATGCCATTCCAGAATCCAAAGCAGCTCTTTTATGTACTCTATATATAGCGTGTCCACATGAAACTTCAAGAAAGGGTTCCATTGCAGAAAATATAAGTGAGAAATCACTGTTTAGAGAGGCTTAAGTATCAAATGTCAGGCTGATCTGAATGACTTATAATTCTACTTCCAAATTTGACTTTCTTTTTTTTTTTTTTGTGCTCTCTTGGTACCCCATGCTTATCTTTATGATAGTATTTAGCATGGTGTTTGGAAATTCTCTTCTGTGCCAGTCTCTCTTCATCAGACTATCATTTTCTTGAGGACAATGGCTCTGTGTCTGTACCTGCAACATTTAATACTATTATACCATATAGTCAGTTATATTAAATAGTAGAATGGGACAGTTCAAATTTTAAGATGTAAACATTTTATCCTAAACAGTGTAAAGAAGTTACCAAACTTTAAAGTTATCCTGAATTAAACACTGTTTCCTTTGCATTTAAGGAAAACCAAAAGGGAGGTTATTCCTTTGAATAATTTTGTATGTATTCAGGATGTAAATTAAGGTCAAAATGATTTTTTAAGCCTAATTTTTTTTACCCCAATAATAGACTTTTGATCTAATTTTAGGTAATTCCATTAGTTTTCTTGTAGCAGTTTTCTACTTAGCCCCATTTATCTGTGCCTATTCTCACATGACCTTTGGTAACTCTTTATTTTGTTCTTCTCTGTGTGTATGTTTAGGTGCACTCTGTGGCATTTTCACAGTGCACTATTATAAAGAATTTTTACTAGCATAGTTTTCTTTTATAGGGTACCTCTGAAAGTGGAGCAAGCAAACAATGCTCGTGATGCCCTGGCAAAGACAGTGTATAGCCATCTTTTTGATCATGTGGTAAACAGAGTAAATCAGTGTTTTCC
This sequence comes from Homo sapiens, assembly GCF_000001405.40. Classification (NCBI taxonomy): domain Eukaryota; kingdom Metazoa; phylum Chordata; class Mammalia; order Primates; family Hominidae; genus Homo; species Homo sapiens. The sequence continues at coordinate 75,857,205 of NC_000006.12, forward strand.
TTTTGAAACATCATCCTATTTTATTGGAGTCCTAGATATTGCTGGTTTTGGTAAGTAGAGTTTCTTTTGTGAGTATATATTTGTTTCATATTTTTTCACACATTAGAATTTGTTCTTAAATCTTTTCTCCTTTGTAACTCATTTTACTTGATGTATGTGTAATTATATGTCCACACTCACATTTCATAATATGACCTAGATAGGGAGCTGATACTTTAAAGAGAAGAGGAAAGACTCGTGGGGATTAGTTTTGATGATACTAATGCTAAAATTAAAACATTGATTGAAACTGCTAGAGTTAAGGATATCTCTATACTCTAAAAGGAATACAACTGAATAAAGGTAAATCCTTGTGTGCTACTAATAAAGATAATACATTCACTGATTAAATAACAAAAAAAGATAAATAGAGTCACTAAAACCATTTACTAATTTGTAGAGCTGGGGATAGGTTGACCTAACTTACAGGCCAACCTCATTACTATGTTTAGAAATTCATTGCTGTTGCTGTCAGCAAGTAGCTATATTTTCCATCAAATTAATAAGATATCAAGGTAAGTAGTTAAACAACTGTAGAGCTGTTCAACCAGAAATGAAATGGGTCACCAGCATGTGAATGCTGCTTTGCTCTGAGTGACAAAAATATAAAAATCTTGAAATGTAAATCTAATGGGTTTTGTATTGGGCTTTATCAATGTGGGCATTCTTTCTGACTGTGAAGGAGTAGTGTCTTCTTTGTGGTTTTTGCCAAAGAAATGTATGAGTGTTTACATTTGGGGAGGGATGGAGTTTTGCTTTTGATGTAATACGTATTTTAAACTTTATAATTCTCTACCTTTTGTTCAAAGGTAGAGAATTATTATTATTATTAATTTTTTTTCCTTTTCTACAACAGTTTTAGCATAACACATACAAAGGATTATAAAATTGTAAAGCCGAGTGTATCTTAGACATCATGCAATATAATCTCTTGATTTTAGAAATGAATTGGTATCCACAGCATTTTTGATAAGTAATTTTACAGATTATGCAGAAAAAAATCTTCTAAAGCACTTGTATTTTAAGTAATTTTTGTGCTTAATTTAGATTGCTTTAATACCTGTGCTTTAAAAAATTGTTGGCCGGGTGCGGTGGCTCATGCCTGTAATCCCAACATTTTGGGAGGCTGAGGCCAGCAGATCACTTGAGGCCAGGAGTTCGAGACCAGCCTGGGTAACATGGTGAAACCCTGTCTCTACTAAAAATACAAAAATTAGCTGGGTGTGGTGGCACATGTTTGTAATTCCAGCTACTTGGGAGGCTCAGGCATGAGAATCACTTGAACCCGGGGGCGGAGGTTGCAGTGAGCCAAGATTGTAGCACTGCACTCCAGCCTGTGTGACAGGGATCCTATCTCAAAAATAAATAAATAAATAGTTAACATGTGGCTTACATTTTATATCTTTTAGTATACAACATTTATCTCATTTGAGAAACACCTTATTTGTCAACTGAAGCAGGGTATTTTTAATACTTTTAATGCCTATAAAGTTTTGTCTTGAAATGAGAACATTTGGGAAGTATAGAACAAATATATATAATATACAAATTTAACCTAATTTTAAATTAAGCCATTATTACAATTACATTTTATCCTATGATAAATTTATATGAAGTTGATCTCATAATGACTCTTGGTTCTGGTTTTATATTTTCAGAGTACTTTGAGCATAACAGTTTTGAACAATTTTGCATCAACTATTGCAATGAAAAACTTCAACAATTTTTTAATGAAAGGATTCTGAAGGAGGTAATTGCCATTATAAGTTTAATTTAAGATCTGCATAAAGCTATTTTAAATTTTAAGGAAGAGATATGCTGCAGTTACCCTGATTGGTGTGGATGGATGGTGTATAACGGAAGGTGGCTCAGGGAATCTGGGAAGCCCAGCAGAGGCCCCGGGGCTCAGGCACGTCAGAAGTGTTAATGGTTCAGCTGAAGTTTAGGGACCCGATAAAAACCCTTAATAGGGGCTTCCTCAGAAGTGAACATCTGTTTTTAGTAGTGACTTTTAATGGACTTGAAGCTCTGTTTCTTTTTATGATTTTGTTGTCTCTACTTCTTTTTTTTTTTTGAGATAGAGTCTCATTCTGTTGCTCAGGCTGGAGTGCAGTGGTGTGATCTCGGCTCACTGCAGCCTCCGTTTCCCGGGTTCAAGCGATTCTCCTGCCTCAGCCTCCCCAGTAGCTGGGACAACAGGCGTGGGCTACCATGCCCAACAAATTTTTGTATTTTTAGTAGAGACAGGGTTTCACAATTTTGGCTAGGCTAGTCTCGAACTCTTGGCCTCAAGTAATCTGCCTGCCTCATCTTCCCAAAGTTCTGGGCTTACAGGCGTGAGCCACCGCGCCTGGCCTGTTGTCTCTACTTCTACCACACCAAACAACCTTCTACCCGCATCCCTGCCTTTGGCATCTCCCACTCTTTTTTTTTTTTTTTTTTGAGACGAAGTCTTGCTCAGGCTGGAATGCAGTGGCGCGATCTCGGCTCACTGCAACCTCTGCCTCCCAGGTTCAAGCGATTCTCCTGCCTCAGCCTCCTGAGTAGCTGGGACTACAGGCACGCGCCACCATGGCCGGCTAATTTTTATATTTTTAGTAGAGATGGGGTTTCACCATGTTGACCAGGCTGGTCTTGAACTTCTGACCTCAGGTGATCTGCCTGCCTCAGCCTCTAACAGTGCTGGGATTACAGGCGTGAGCCATCATGCCCGACTGTAGCTCCCCTTCTTCAGGTCTCTCTGCTTCTGCCTACTCTGCTGCTGGCTCACCTTTCCCTGTCTGGCAGCAAAGCCATCAAGTCAGGAGATTTGATGCATCCATTGTCCTGGAGTGCCTCTGGGCAGTACTTTCCTTGTCATGCCACCTTTTGGACTGTCAGCTGCTTCTACTTTATCTGGGCTGAAATGTGCAATCATTTTATTTCCTATTTCCATCCTTTCTATCTTTTCCCACATTTTAATTATGTTTATGTTTTTGTGGGCTTCCCAGCACATTCTAGCTTTTGTACATTTTACTTACATTCTGTAGTTAAATGAATTCTGGCATAAACAAACAGGTAAAACAAGTACTTACCAGTAAGATAATTTCTCTGAAAACGTTTATCCAGTCACATTAGTTCTATTACCATGTGAAGTTTTACCTTCATGCCTCTAATTTAACATAAGCTAATCCTTCCCTTCTACACCAACCTACCAAAAAACTTTATCTAGAAATATTGTAAAAAGGAGACTGTATTTTGATTTATGTTCACCTTTTTAATATACTTTAAAATAAATGTGAATTTCAAATTGAGTTGTGTTTAAGTGGACAGTGCCTTCTAGAATGTCAGAAATCTTTTCTAGTATCTCATGGGAGGAAATATTTAAACACTCAGGAAACAATGTTAAAACATATTTACTTAAGTTCATTGCATAGTTTATCCATCTATGATAAAATCCCTTTAAAAATTTTAAGAAGACACAAGACATATTTGAGGACTCAAATTTGATCATATATTGTTCTTCTAAATTACACTTATTTTCCCCAAGTGATGTATCATATATATTATATCACTGTGTTGGTATTAGAGCCCATTTGCAGTTAATTGCTATTTCCTTACCTTTAGTGCCTGTCTGCAAGTGTTCAAAAATCTGTTATGTTTTTGGAAAACCATTTAAGGCTATACCAGTTTGTATAAACCTTTGCATTCTAATTAGCAAATGTTATGTTCAGAAACAGTGCAAAATTCACTATTGCTCAGTATTGCTGTATCTATGATTATGATTATTTCATTTTTAGGAACAAGAACTCTATCAAAAAGAAGGTTTAGGTGTTAATGAAGTGCATTATGTGGATAATCAGGACTGTATAGGTATGTGTTTTTTAACTCCACCTTTGAAAAATATAGGAAGATGTAGTGAATGTGTTTAGTGCTTTTTCTGTGCTTTTTAATTGACATTACTTGTTATATGACTTGAAACTGGTATTTGAGAGAAGGTTACTTCTGTATTACTGCCTGGAAGTTATTTTTTCCACCAAGACTTCAAAGGTATCTTTGTTGGAAGTTTTCTATAATCTCTTCTATTTATTTTGAAGGATGTTTTCCTATTTAAATAGTTAGCATGTGAATTGGTTAAGGGGGAAACTTAATTGCCTAGTCAGTAAAGACATTTATTCACCTGAGGAAGTCCATAGTTAGGCCAGGCTCCAGGCAAGTTTGTCAGGGTTTGCCCTGCTTTTCTGTGATTCTCTTGTTTCTGCTGTATTCTGTGCATTGACAGCATCCTCTAACTGGTTGCGAGCTGGCTTCATGTGTCACAGCCAGATAACACTGCGCAGCAAGAGAATAGAGGCTCTGCTTTCATTTTAGTGGTAAAGAAACCTTTCCCTATAGCCGCACAGCCAGTTTTCAGTCTTCCATTTCTTTCCCACCCCATCTCTAAAATAAACTGTTGGGCAAACCTTGTTTTTAAAACAGTTTGATAATCCTGTCAGTAACTGATGTGCTGGATTTGAAAAACATAGTATAATAATAATACTACTTTACATCAGTATAAATTTTCAAAGCACTTTCACATTTCACTTGGTCCACTCCACATTTCCTTAACACACGGACCCTTTCTAACCTCTGAGTCTTTGACTGTGTGGTTTGATATGGCTGGAACTCTTCCCCTTCCATTTGTCTTTCAGCCCACTTTCACCTCATGCTACATCTATCAAAATACTCCCATTTGTAGCTTAGTTCAGCATGCCCCTCCTGCCCTACCACTAATTACCCAAGAAGCATCATTTTCTCACTAATGTAGTTAGAATCTTTCTCTTCCTATGTCTTATAGCTTTGTTCCACTTAATCATTGTTATATACTGTATTCAAGCAGTTTACATTTTATAGTTAGTTTTGGACAGGAAGGAATTTCAAACGAATGGAAAGAGCGTAAAAATGTGTTGTTACAGATTTTGTTTGAAAGCGTTTACATCAGTTTCTAAAAGTATTATTAAAAAGCTATGCATGTAGAAGTTTCTGTAGTTTTACTTTACTTTGAATATAGCTGTCATTTCGAAAAGGAGGAATTTCCAATTCCTTAGCCTCTTCTCCTGGTTTACAAATGGAATGGTTATTATAGTCATTTGCTTTCTTTATGTAGTAGCTTTTCTAAAACCTATATTAAATATATACTGTTACTTTTTTATAAACGGCCAGATTTGAAATAAAAATCCGTCAGCTCTCTATAACTTTTGAGAGAACACATATAGAATCACATGCTATGTTGTTTCTGATCAGTCCTTGAAATCTGTGATTAGTGAATTGTTCACATATCTTTAAAATGTTATGTTTTTACACTATTGTGAGTGTTTTCATTTTTTGAAATAGATTTAATTGAAGCCAAATTAGTGGGAATACTGGATATTTTGGATGAAGAAAATCGCCTTCCCCAGCCAAGTGATCAACACTTTACATCTGCAGTTCACCAAAAGCACAAGGATCATTTTCGACTCACTGTGAGTTTTGCCATTCTGAAATTGAGACTATGGTGGGACGAGACATTATTAAAAAGGTGCATTAGCTATTAGATATTACTAGATAATTAGAATAAAAATTATGGCGTGTATAGAGCAACTATATTATATCCAGCACAGTATCTTCCTTAGATGGATGGATATTTATATATGATTTTTATGTAGTCAAGAGACTTTTTCTCTGATGAAAAGTACATTTCACCTGTCTAATACGTACAATGTGCCTGTAGTCTGAGATACTAGGGAAGCTGAGGTGGGAGGACAGCTTGAGCCTGGGAGTCGAGGCTACAGTGAGTTGTTAGCATGCCACTGCACTCCAGCCTGGCCAAAAGAGCAAGATCCTGTGTCAAAAAAATAAAAGTACAATGAGAATTACCTGCTGTCTTCATGGTCTCCCTTCTGAGCTAAGTGGGTATCAGTTGCTTTGTTTTGTGACCTTAATCACATTCCAGGAGTTGGCACTCGGAGTCGCAAGCAGCCATCTGTCTGCTTATTTGTAAGACCAGCAGTTAAGGTTGTGGCTTAGAACTCTTGACTGGTGCAGGCAATACAAATTAGATAATGATCAGCCAATTCATTTTGACCCTCTTTCCTAAGGAGTTTTGAGTGGAAAATACACTCAGAGAGGGAAATTGAATCTGAAGCAATAGAGAGATTAGGTAGAGTAAAGAGAAAAGCAGACAGACAGCAGTAGAAACAAATGAGAGGTGCACTCTAAAAGGCCAGAAGACCTGGTTTCTGTTTTCCTTTCTTTTTTTTTTGAGACAGAGTTTCGCTATTGTCACCCAGGCTGGAGTGCAATGGTGCGATCTCGGCTCACTGCAACCTCCGCATCTTGGTTTCAAGTGATTCTCCTACCTCAGCCTCCTGAGTAACTGGGATTATAGGCATGCACCACCACGCCCGGCTAATTTTTGTATTTTTAGTAGAGACGGGGTTTCACCAGGTTGGCCAGGAGAGTCTCAATCTCTTGACCTCATGATCTCCCTGCCTTGGCTTCCCAAAGTGCTGGGATTACAGGTGTGAGCCACCGTGCCCGGCTCAGAAGACCTGGTTTCTGAACTGCTGTTAGGTCGCAGAGCTGTGCTTGAGTCTTTAGAGCCATTTTCCATGAGGGTGGACTGTGTGGCTATTGAGATGTTTCCTGTGTTCACCTCTTCTGAACCTGTCTTTTCATTCAGCCATTGTTACCTGAGGTAATAAAAGCACAGCTCCATCCTTGTACCCAGAAAGAGCCTGGCTAGCACAGACAATGTGCTAGCCACACAAATGGATGTCAGTTTCGACCACAAAGATAGTTGCTGCCTCATCTCATAGACAACATCATTAACAACAACAACAACAACAACAAACAGGAGAGTGAAAAAGAAAAGCCGTTTAGAGTTGCCTAGTGGAATTAGGGAACTAATAGGCAAAATTGCCTCTCAAACAAACTGTATATTATTTTGAGATTGTAACATAGTATAATGATTATTGCTTTGATGAATCCAGAAACTTAAGTGAATGGTAACAAGTAGTTTTGTTTCTATTCATCATTAACAAAATCAGTGGTAAATAGGTGAATTGGATTTACCTGAAAAGCTCATGTAATTGTGTTAACCTTCACTAGGGACTAAAATCTCACATCCACCTGCTCCATTGACTTGCAATTCTTCTGTATCCCTATATATTTCTTGTAATGTGGAATCTATTTCTGTTACTTCAGTGGAGATAGAAATAAAACAATATGTATCCTCAACAAAACTTCTGCTAAAATTGAAGATATATATCCAATCCTATTCCTTAATAGCTCGCTGGTCTTTGTTATGACCAGCCTATGGATGCATGATTACCTTTACCAGGAGTTGGCACCTAGAGTCATAAGCAGGTGACTTACCAGGGGCACTAATTGCTAGTCAACAGAATTGTCACGAGTGTCTCAGAGGCATGTGACTTAAAAGACAGTAAACTGAAGCATCAAGAATGGACCTTGGCTGCTTTTGTCAACCAAGAACAAGAGTAAAGCAGTAAATCCTATTTTATATAGGTTATTCCTTTTGTTGTATTTTTTGAAAATAAATAAAATAATCATTTATTGAACACTTAGATGTGGCAGGCACTATTCTAATGTTTTTACTTGAATTATTTAATCCTGTTAGATGTGTATGCTACAGATGAGACATACAAGGAGAGGTTAAGTGACATGCCTAATATGGCATGTAAAGAAATGGTAGGTTGGGAGTCAGGCTAGGCACTTTGGCTGCAGAGCCGGCACTCTGACTTGTCCTGGTGTATTGCCTCCCACAGGGAACAGCCTCTCTGTTCTGCTACCTCTTTAACCTTGAGCAAGCCTCTAAGGTTCCCAAGTCAGTTTTCTCAATTTTATTTTTTTGATTTTTCTTTTTCTTTTTTTTTTTGTAGAGACAGAATTTTGCTGTGTTGCCCAGGCTAGTCTTGAACTCCTGAGCTCAAGCAACCCACCCGCTTCAGCCTCCCAAAGTGCTGGAATTATAGGCATGAGCCACCGTGCCTGGCCAGTACTAACTGGGCCTGACCCTGCTTAGCTTTTGAGATCAGATGAGATTAGGCGCATTGAGAGTGGTATGGCGGTAGACTCTCAATTTTAAATGATGTCTTTTTTTTTTTTTTTTTTTTTTTTTTGAGACAGGGTCTGGCTCTGTTGCCCTGGTTGGAGTGCAGTGGTTCTTTCTTGGCTCACTGCAACCTCTGCCTCCCGGGCTCAAACCATCCTCCCACCTTAGCCTCTCGAGTAGCTGGGACTGCAGGCCTGCTCCACCATGCCTGGCTAATTTTGCATATTTTTTATAGAGATGGGGTTTTGCCATGTTGCTCAGGCTGGTCTCAAACTCCTGAACTCAAGCATTCCGCCTGCCTCAGCCTCCCGAAGTGCTAGGATTATAGGTGTGTGCCACCACACCTAGCCCAACATCACTTTTCTTACCCTTAGGTTATTTCAAGGGTCAGATGTGATCTTGTAAGTGAAAACATTTTAGAAACTTTATGATATACATGTGAGATATTATGATTAAATGGTACAACCTAAAATGATTTAGTTTTCTTGAAATAGATTCAGGCTCCTTGTGTAAATATGTTAGGCTATATTATTTGAAACGGTAGGAGAGTCCCTTTGCTGATGTCAGGTGTTTCTTTGACTGGCTGCACATGGAAATGATTTGATATAAATGGTATGGGCTTTGGGATGTTTAAAAGTTCTCCAGGTTGATCCTTTTGTAGTTCATAAGCCTGATGATTGGATTTTCATGCTCATGTGTGCGATCTTCCTCCCTCAGCCTTGTTAATGTGTTGGCACATTACTCATCTGACGTGATAAAGATAGATTTTAAAAAGTTATCCAGGTAATTCTAATAGAGCACCAAGGTTGAGAACCACTGCTTTAGAAATAGGTGGTTAACTCTGTAAAATGCCAACTGGGTTTTGCATGTGCTTTTAAAAAAAAATTTTTTTATTACAAGCATGTTCTTTTAAATTGTGTTTTTTTTTGGGTCTCTTTCTCTCCGTCTCTGTCTCTGTCTCTGTGTGTGTGTGTGTGTGTGTGTGTGTGTGTGTCTTACACCTATTTTCTTTCCTAAGAGATTATACCAAATATTTGCTAGATTTTATTGATACTTTAAGGCATACTCAATACATAAAAGCAGTATAATTGTGAAAAGTGTGAAAATTTCCTGTATAATTTTAAGTGTTTTACATCTCAGTTGTTTTGTAAAGAATGATTATGTAATATATTTTTGATCATTTAATAACTCATATATGTATTGTTTTTCAGATTCCCAGAAAATCTAAGCTGGCAGTTCATAGGAATATCAGAGACGACGAAGGCTTCATTATCAGGCATTTTGCGGGGGCAGTGTGCTATGAAACAGTGAGTATAACTTTTACAAGGAGAAAACCATTTCATGTTGAAGCTGCACTGTACAGTATGATAGCTTCTAGTCACGTGGTTATTAATTATTTCACGTGGTTATTTAAATTAAGTAAAATTACAAGTTCAATTCCTCAGTACACTAGCCACACTTCAGGTGCCCAGTGTCCACACTGACTAGTGGTGACGGCGTTGGACAGTGCAGATACAGAACATTTCTGTCATCACAGAAAGTTCCTTTGGACAGAGCCATGTTAAGTGATGTTATCACAAGATGGACAGAAACATTCCTGTTTGATTTATTTTTCAGACCCAGTTTGTGGAGAAAAATAATGATGCTTTACATATGTCTCTTGAATCCTTAATATGTGAATCCAGAGATAAGTTTATACGGGAATTATTTGAATCATCCACAAATAACAACAAAGATACTAAACAAAAAGCAGGAAAACTTAGCTTCATCAGCGTGGGAAACAAGTTTAAGGTATTTGTGTTATTTAATTTTTTTTTTACTATATTTAAAATGAAATTATTGTTTTATATTCTAAAATGGATAATGTAGATCACTGTCAGAAATCTCACAGTGAAGTTCAAGAGCAGACCCTGCATTGTTGATATTTGTATGTAAAATATCATAATGTAGGCCTAGTAATTGAACATACAGAAATGCTTGTAATTATCTGAATGTGTTCATTCTTGGTTCTTAACATATCTGATTGCCTCTCCTAATGTTCTTGCTTCTGCATACTGTCTGGTTGACCTTCAAACCTTCTCTTTCCCATGTGTTTTCTGTTTCCTTCCTCATTCAGCGGTTTTGTTTTAGCTGGAGTAGTCCAGCTCGGGATGGCTAGAGAGGACTAGTTGAGTTGAGAGAGGAAAGCAGGCACAGCCAGGGGCTTCAGGTAAATGATCGCCTTCATGGACTCCTATTTATAAAGTGGCTGCCATGTTAAAAAGAGCCCATCTGAAGTTAATGATTCAGTTTGTAATTCATTTTCAATGTGTTTCTCTCACAATGGCATTTTGGGTGTGCATATTACACTAAAATTTGATTAAAGCTTTTAATAACTTCTGTTAAAGATAAGCACTTAGGTGTGGCAAACTCTTCAAACTGCTTATTTAACATGGAAGAATATTTCATTTGTTTTATTAATTTTGGATCAGGAATTTATTCTTCAAGGTCTGACATGGAATGGCACAGGGTTTGTCTTAGAACACTACTAATTGGTTCTAGTTATTGAGGAGTGTAGAAAAAAAATGTTAAAATTTGTGAAGTTATGAGTTTAATGAATGACAAACTATAGTATGTAGAACAAAAAATGTATACGAGAGAATTAATTTCTTATATATTTCTACAGAGTATTATTGTTATATTTATAATAAAACTCTACATTTGCCTTTCACTATATGTACTTTAAATATTTAAAATAATGTAATTAGGAAAAAGATTTAAGTGTCTGAATGTTATGGTACTGATAATATAAGCCTCCCCAAATTTATTTTGGATTGAAATGGGCTCTAAATAACTAAATTGATAAAATATTTATAAGAGCTAGTTTTTTTTTAAGCTTAAACATAAATATAGGGAAAAACCTCATAATACATTTTTAGGTAACTGAATAAAAAGCCTTGAATTTTGTTATAAGTTATATTCATTATTATGAGTTTCTGATTCAGTGAACAATCTTTTTTTTATTTGAGTATTCTTCTATTTCTGAATCGACATTTGATAGCAGATTGGTTTAAAAATAGTATATTTGCCTATATGAAATGGATGTCATTCACTATTTTCCTACTCTAATATTATTGTAGTATTGCTGATAAGAGCATACTTGAAATTTTAGAAAATATAAATAAAGACATTCTTACAGTTTTTCTTTGGATTACATAATCTTTTATGTTGAGCCTTGAAACTTCTTATAATTGCTTATATTTAATACAATGTATTTTTTTACATTAAGCCACTGAAAGTGATAGCTGAATGATACTAATAATAAAATATTTCACGTTTTTCTCTGAGATACCTTGAAATGAAATAGGAATAGATTCCTAGTTTTAAATATAGTAGAATAGCTCATTAAATTAAAATTGAAGTATATAAGGCAATAAACACAAAACAGGCTATCATTTACAGCAATACTTCAGTTATCCAGCATCCCTGGAAACCAGAAATTTTCTATTGGAAAGTGCCTTTTTCAGGTTATTGAAACATAAACCCTTTACTGTTAGTGTTTTAGAAAAAGTCATCCTTTTTGATGGAAACATAATTCTATTATAAGAATATTTGTATGTTTTCAAATAAAAATACAAATAAAGCATGAGTTGCCTGAGGCTTTTTACTCTTAAGCCTTATGGTCCTTGGCTGTTCTTTGATAGTTGACTTTCTTCCCTCTTTTCTCAGCTGCTAAGAGTTTATTTTGATGCTTCTGTTCTTTTGACTTTATCTCCATTTTTTTTTTTTTTTTTTTTTTTTTTGGAGAATACTGTGCTTAGTCTGTGGATGAAGGAGTCTGGACTTTGCGACAGTTATTTTCTTTCCAAATTAGTCACTTTAATACTTTTCAGGCATGGTGGTTCAGATTGATTACGGTTGTCAGAACTCTGTCAGTGAGATAAGTGGGATACAACTGTATTTCTTTAATTCAATGACAAATCCATTCCATTTTAATAACTTAAGCTTCTCAGTATATGTGATGTATACTGTAATAGTATCACTCACAGGAGAATGAAATTTGGTGTCAGGCCGATGTTGGAATCATGACTTTGCCATTATTAGCTCCGTAACCTCGGGCAAGTTATTTATTTCCTTGGATTGTCATGTTCTATCCTTAATTAGATTAAACATAATAACTCCTGTGAAAAGCTTTGAGCAGTACCTGACTTATAGATGACATTCAGTAAACTATACTTACTAATTATAGCTATGATTAATACAATGTTAGTTTAAAAATTAACATTAGTCTTTTGTAAGTAGTTTAATAAATACCTCAGTATAAAATCCAGATAGAAAAATTTTACATAATTAACTTATTTTGCAGAGTAGTAAGGCAAATAAATGATTTTAATACACTGAACCACACCACATCATAATCAATGTTATAAAAACAAGAAAGCATAGTAACTTGTAATGTTCATTGTCAATTTTTTTTGAGAAAATTGTCCAAGCATTTAAAAATAACTGAAATGTAAAATGTTTTAAAATGTTAAAGAGGCAGGGTGCGGTGGCTCATGCCTGTAATCCTAGCACTTTGGGAGGCTGAGGCGTGTGGATCACGAGGTCAGGAGATCGAGACCATCCTGGCTAACATGGTAAAACCCTGTCTCTACTAAAAATACAAAAAAATTTGCTGGGCGTGGTGGTGGGCGCCTGTAATCCCAGCTACTCGGGAGGCTGAGGCAGGAGAATGGCGTGAACCCGGGAGGTGGAGCTTGCAGTGAGCCTAGATCATGCCACTGCACTCTAGCCTGGGCGACAGAGCAAGACTCCGTCTCAAAAAAAGAAAAAAAAAAAAGTTACAGAGGATTTCTATAGCTAGGCAGGACAATTTTGTTTACACTAAGTGTTCCATAAAACAATCCTAATATATACTATTAGTGTATATTTTAAACATGTCTTCATTCCTAATGTGTGTGACACAAACTACAGTTTGCCACATTCAAAGACTGTGCTATTGATCTCTTATTAAATGCATCCTCACTATTTTCATTTACTTCCTTCATTGCCTGTACATTTTTTCCTCATTCATTCCATCTGCAAATATGTGTGTATGTTTTTAATATTGCTAATTTTCAGTCTTTTAATTATACAACTTCTGTGTAAGTTATTGTTCTTGCATTACATTAGCCATTTTGCATGATGCTGTCTGTTAAAGAATTTGTGTACCAGGAGGTTGTTAAACTGGAATGTGTTGTATTTGGATGTTATTGCATGTTATTTTATTCCAGTACTGGAGAGCTAATATTAACTCATGACACTGTGTACTTTGGCTTTTTGAAATAATAAACTGATTTCCTTTCTTTCACAGACACAGTTAAATTTGCTTCTGGATAAACTTCGAAGTACTGTGAGTATGCTTAAAAAGAAAACAGGTTTTTATGGGTCATCTAAAACTATTATTAGTAATTATGCAAGTAGGCATAGTAACCCTGTACTAATTAAAAATACATTTTAAACTTTATTCTCTTATTTTAAAAAATTAGTTTTTTTTCTGAAGAAAGGTCAAATATATATGTGAAGTCAGATTATTTTATAAATATATAGAATTCTTGACTATTTAAAAATTAAGATTATCTTACAGTTTCAAGAAAGTGAAAATAAGTGGTAATAGTGGAGAATTTTTCTTAGGATTAAAGATTAGTTATGAAATTCAATCTTATTTTATTACTCTTACAGTAACATTCTCCAGACATGGCAATGTTGATGTGGAAAAAATGGACAAAATATTTTTGTGCCCTGCTATAGAGACAAAATTTATTAGAAGCCTGTTTTTTAACTATACATTTTAGTAATTCACCCCATTTTCTTAAATGAGAAAAACATCATAGAAAGAAATTATATGTGGTTTATATAAATGAAGCATGATTCCAAAGTAAGACTTATTTTTTACACAAATCCACAGAACTTGAAATTTTGTTTTTGTTTTTGAGACAAGGTCTCATTCTCTCTCGCCCAGGCTGGAGTGCAGTGGTGCAATCACAACTCGCTGCAACCTCCGCCTCTCTGGTTAAAGTGGTCCTCCCACCTCAGCCTCCCAACTAGCTGAGACTACAGGCATGTACCACCACTCCTGGCTAATTTTTGTATTTTTTGTAGATATGAGGTTTCGCCATGTTTCCCAGGCTGTTCTTGAACCCCTGGGCTCAAGTGATCTGCCTGACTTGGCCTCTCAAAGTGCTGGCATTTCAGGCGTGAGCCACGGCACCTAGTTAGAACTTGCGTATTCTTTTTCAAATAGTCATTTTGAATAGCTAGACATTTATTATATCAGTATTATTGTTGCTTAACTTACTGTTAGATTAATTTTTGGAACCATTAAAAATCTTTTTAATATCCTCTTTGGCTGCAAATATCTATCTCTTAAGGCCATGTATATTTAAAAACCAAATCTGATGAAGAGAGTATTTTTATTTCTTAGATAGGGTGCTGCTCTAAAATTATGAGATTACTTTGTGATTTATAGAAAAAAAAGCATTTCTAAAACGTGTTCTAGAAGTGTCTGTGGGCCGGGTGCCATGGCTTATGCTTGTAATCCCCAGCACTTTGGGAAGGCTGAGGCAGGTGGATCACCTGAGGTCAGGAGTTTGAGACCAGCCTGCCCAATATGGTGAAACCTCGTCTCTGCTAAAAAAATACAAAAATTAGCTGGGCATGGTGGGGCGCACTTGTAATCCTAGCTACTTGGGAGGCTGAGGCAGAAGAATCACTTGAACCCAGGAGGCGGAGGTTGCAGTGAGCCAAGATCACGCCACTGCACTCCAACCTGGTTGACAGAATGAGACTCTCTCTCAAAAATAAAAATAAAAATAAAAATAAATGAATAAATAAATAAAAGTGTTTGTAGGGAGCTTCATTGTTGAAATAATTATTTGCAAGGTAACTACTTTGAAGAGAAACAGTTATTTGGATGTCTATTAGCTTCAGTACTCAACAATACGTTTCATTGTATACATAATCAGTATTCTTTCTACCTCATTCAGCATAATCTGATAATTGATTCCAAATGAATGCCTTTAAGCTTTAAAAAATATTGTTTGACAAACAAATGTTAAAATGTACAACAGTGCAGCTTAGGGACCTACTGTATGTTTTTGAAATAGAATGATTGAAAATATTGTTTTGTTTTCTTTTACACTTTGGCCTAAGTCTTAAGGGGCATAATTTTATTTACTCCTTTTGTCATAGGGAAATTTCCTTATCATAGAAATATGGCATACATAAATACATTTAAATATAGAAAAAAATCACATGTACATCAGCCTGCAAAGTGTGTTGTTTAAATATGTTAAACAATTAAATGTGTTAAACTTTACAGTGAAAGACTTCTCTTTTTACAGTTTTTGACATTCAAATCTAAAATGTAGTATTTTTGTAATATTATTAATTAGTAATTCAAAAAGTCATTGTAAGCTTTAAAGCAGAAAAAGTATGCTTGTAAAATTTTGAGTTTTTTTTTTTTTTGACGGAGTCTCACTCTGTCACCCAGGCTGGAGTGCAGTGGCGTGATCTCAGCTCACTGCAACCTCCACCTCCTGGGTTCAAGTGGTTCTCCTGCCTCAGCCTCCCAAGTAGCTGGGATTGCCCACCACCATGCCTGGCTAATTTTTGTATTTTTAGTAGAGATGGGGTTTCACCATGTTGGCCAAGCTGGTCTTGAACTCCTGACCTCAGGTGATCTGCTCATTTCAGCCTCCCAAAATGCTGGATTACAGGCATGAGCCACTGCTCCCAGCCTTGAGTTCTTTAGTAATTACTTTTACAGGTTCATATGTTAATGTTAATATGCTTTGAAAGTTGCAGGTATTCATAGAAACAGAAAACTAAGAATGCTATATGTATTGTAACAAAAAGTACCTTTATTTTCCTAGGGAGCAAGCTTTATTCGTTGCATCAAACCTAACTTAAAGATGACAAGCCACCACTTTGAAGGTGCTCAAATTCTGTCTCAGCTTCAGTGTTCAGGTATTTTCATAATCTCTGTCAGTGTGTGTTAGTAGTCATAGCTCAAATACAATTTAATAGGTTCAGTATTTTCAAATAATTCACCATTATCTTGATTATTTTACAGTGCAATAAAATTTTCATCTTATATTTTCTTTAATTATAAGAAAAGTATAGAGCCACATGTGGTGGTGTACACCTGTAGTCCCAGCTACTTGGGTGGCTGAGGCAAGAGGACTGTTTCAGCCTGAGTTCAAAGTCAGCCTGGGCAACATAGCAAGATCTGTTTTAGAAAAGAAAAGAAAAGAAAAGCATAGATGGCAAATTATTTGAGCAATATTGAGATGTTGTTTATTGTGAAATAAACAATTTCACATTAAACATTTATGAAAACTCTCTAACAGCAAAACTGGATCTTCCTTAAGTGGGCAGCTTTCTCAATCCAGCAGTAGTTCATTTCTCATTCCACACATGATGGTCAGAAGGTAGGTTTTGTTGTCCTTTCTTCCCACTCCACGACTTGTAAAGAAAATGAAACACGATTCCCTCTGCATCTGTGACACTTCATCCATTTGCTTAAACTATCACTTCCTACCCCTCACCCTGCCATGTCTGACCTTGCTCAGGCACCAGGCTTGCTCTGTTTGCTTTATGCCTTGCCCATCCTCCCTTCTCACCAACACTACCCCTAATTTTTCCCAAGGTATCAGCCTTCTCCTTTCTTGTTTACCTTTTGATCCAACTCAGCTTCCTGACACTTCCTTAAACTTTCTTCTCTGACTCCTTATTTTGCTCTTTTGAGAGGTAGATTTACTATGAAGCTAAGATTACTTAAGCTTCAGGGTCCTTCATTTAAATAAACCCCTTCCAAAGCCCTGCATGTAATTTTCTGCTTCGCTAAAGGCCTCTCCCCAACTATATAAGCTTCAGCCCCCGCCTCACAAATCTAGATCTACCCTTGACCTCTCTCACAAAACCATAGCTATTGAGAAATCTAATTCTGTTCTTTCTTATTGTCTGCACAGGGTTGGTAGACAAGACAGGATGGCACCAGTTAAATTCATCGTCATTATCTTTAAAGGGCTCTCAAACCTGTCCTGCCAAGTTTTCCTGGTCAGCATGTTCTGTTTCTCATCAGAGACTGGTCAGACCCATCCTGCTTTCCTCAAATCTCTGCGCCTCTGCTGTCAGATGGGCTTACCTCCTTAACTAAATATCCTAAAGCTTCTCTTGTCTGCTATCAAGCACTTCTGCCTACCACTTAACCTTCCCTCTTGTTGAGAAAGTAGGGGTTGCCTCTCTGCCTGGTTGAGGCTTATAGTTCTTTGAAAGCCATCTCTTCCTAGTTTTTCATGGATCTTCAGCATTGTTTATGTTTGTCATACTATTCCCTTTCAGATGGATCTTTCCCATTACCATTTAAACATGCTGAAATCTCATCTCTAAGCCACATTTCTCTTACAGCTACCTCTTCCTCCTTATTTTTCTCCAGTTCCTTTTCTCTCCAAGAATAGGTTATTGTTGCTTTTTCAGTTTCATGCATTCTACTTACTCTTTAACTCCAGGATAATTTAGCTCCCACCTTGATGAGGTCACCAGTGATTGCCTTGTTCTGAAGCAAATGTCCCTTTTGCAGTCCTTATTTTAGTGGACTTCATAGCCACATTTGACTCTGGCCAACCCTTTTAACATATCCTTTTCTTGGTTCCTGACATGGCGTATGCCCCTGCTTTTCTTTTGAATTCTCTGACCATTCCTGATTCCCCTGCAGGCTCATTTTCTTCTACCTGGACATATGTTATCATTTTTCAGGATTTAAGTTAGGCCTCTTTTTCTTCTCATTCTATGTCAGTACTGTCCAGAAGACCTTTACATGATGATGGAGATTTTCCATATCTGTCAGTTTAGTAGCCATGAGACACATTTGACTCCTAAGTACTTGAAATGTGGCTAAGAATGAGTGAGTTACTAAATTTTAAATTTTGTTTAATTAAAAATTTTTTTTTGGTTGGGAGGGGCAGGGTTTATTCTGTTACCCAGGCTGGAGTGCAGTGGCACAATCATGGCTCACTGCAGCCTCAACCTCCCAGGCTCAAGTGATCCTTCTGCTTCAGCCTCTCAAGTAGCTGGAACTAGAGGCATGTGCCACCACGCCCAGCTAATTAAAAAAAATTTTTTTTGTACAGACAGGATCTCACTGTGTTGCTCATGCTGGTCTCCTGGTCTCAAACTCCTGGGCTCAAGTGATCCTCCTCCCTCAGCCTTCCAAAGTGATGGGATTATAGGCATGAGCTGCCATGCCTGGCCTTAATTTTAATTTTTAAAAATTTAAATTTAAGTAGTCTTATGTGGCTAGTCCCGCTGTAGAGCATGTGGCTAGTGACTGCCAAGTTGAACAGCACAGATGTGTATTCCCTTAGGTAGGCTCCCCAGTTCTGCTATTGTAACCTTCTAAATAGTGAGTCCTGATAGTCTCTAATCCAAGCTGTCACCATCTCTTACCTGGATTTTTGCTGTAGCTTCCTAAGTATTCTCCTATCTCTTCAGTCTGTTTTTCACATGCATCCAGAATTATCACTCCACAACTCATCTCTAATCATCATGTCCTTTTACTGCTTAAAATGCTCTAATGGCTTCAGATGAGTATTAGGGTGAAGAGGTCCCATAGAGCCTGGCCCGTGTGTCCCTAGCTTCATTTGTTTACACTCTCTCCCTCCCTTCTCTCCTTCAGTCACCCTGACTTTCATTTTCATTCCCTAAATGCTGCATATTTCCTCCCAGCACAGGACCTGTGCACATGCTGCCTCCTCTGTTTGGGATGTTCTTGCTATACTTTTTCCTTTATCTTTCACATCTCAGCTCTGTCATCACTTCATATGAAAGCTTTTCTTGATATTCCTGACATGGAGGGGAGCCTGAATTTGGGGTGCTGAGCTCAAGTGCCTTTATTTCACAGTTGTAGTTACAAATTTTATACATATTTGTATAATTATTTTATTTTTCCCTCCTTTATTCCATAAGCCCCATGAGGGTGGGAACTGCATCTGTTTTGGCTTACACATACATTCCTATTTCCCTGGCATATACTAGACTCAGTAAATATTTGTTGAATGGAATGAACAGTGTAGAAAATATGAAGATTTATTTGTGACTAATGCTAACAAATACTGGAAAATTAAGTAATTCATGTCTGTTGTATTCTTCCATAAAGTAGAGATGTATTTTTGTAATATTCAAGTCCATTTTTTTCCCCATTGGAATTCCTCTTTATTTCCTAAGTGAACACCTAGTGTCCTGGCAAGTTGCACCTGTTTAGATTTAGCTATATATGCTATCAGATTAGTGGAGAGGGTATAGGCTACTGATGAATGCTTTAGCTAGGATTCCTCTTTCAATAAGCAGTATATTTCAACATCTTAAGACATGTTGGCACTTTAACAGATAATACCAATTCATTATACTTTGATTTTTTTAAGTATCAATAATAGATATCATAATAGTAATAATGATAATGATATAGAATTTGTTCCAGTCATGTAGCTAGGTGATGAGAAAATGCAAAAATCCATAAGTTGTAGAAATAAAAATATTTACGAAGCTTTCTAAAATAAAGATATTTAAGATTTGAATTGTACTTTAACTTTCCATTTTCATTTTAAAGAGAATTAATAAATTTAAGTCACCTTTTACTAAAATTACTATTTTTTTTTTTGAGACGGAGTTTCGCTCTTGTTGCCTAGGCTGGAGTGCAATGGTGCGCTCTTGGCTCACCACCGTAAGCTCCGCCTCCCAGGTTCAAGCAATTCTCCTGCCTCAGCCTCCCAAGTAGCTGGGATTATAGGCATGCACCACCATGCTGGCTAATTTTGTATTTTTAGTAGAGATGGGCTTTCTCCATGTTGAGGCTGGTCTCAAACTCCTGACCTCAGGTGATCCGCCTGCCTCGGCCTCCCAAAGTGCTGGGATTACAGGCATGAGCCACCGCGCCTCGTCTTTTTTTTTTTTGAGACAGAGTCTCACTCTGTCGCCCAGGCTGGAGTGCAGTGGTACAATCTTGGCTGACTGCAACCTCTGCCTTCTGGGTTCAAGTGATTATCCTGCCTCAGCCTCCCCAGTAGGTGGGATTACAGGCGCCCACCACCACACCCGGCTAATTCTTGTATTTTTAGAAGAGACTGAATTTCACCATGTTGGCCAGGCTGGTGTCGAACTCCTGAGCTCAAATGATCTGTTTGCCTCGGCCTCCTGAAGTGCTGGGATTGCAGGCGTGAGCCACCATGCCCGGCCTAAAATTACTATCTTCTGATTGGCAAATACCAGGGCAAAGTAGGGGAAGGTGAAAGAAGGCAAGTTTTCTTCTTCTGTAACCTTGGGGCTGTGCTGCCTGTCTTGTAGCAAAGAGGGGTGCCAGCTCTGCACCGAGAAGCCACTCATCAAACTCCAAGAGTAAAAGCCAGTTCATGGAAATGTTTAGAAGGCAGAGTATTTGCCTTAGTGGTTAAAAAAAAAATTTAAGCTTCAAAACATCTTAAGAGTAAACTAGCTGCAAGTGCTGAGAAAGCAGTTGTAGGCTTGGTAATTTGTTAAGCACCATGAAATTCTTAATGAACTGTGAGCCAGTTTATAGTTTGCAGCTACAGGGCAAGCCAGGAGACTTAGATGCATACATTTCCAAAGGTACTTGTTTATTTGATACAAGTGGGCAAAAACTGTGATGATACTAACCAAACTTTACTTTTCTTTCTCCAAGCAAAGCCTAGAGCTAAATCTAGTTCTGGAGATTTTTTTTCCCCATACGAATGATTTCTTTAATGTGTTTCATTAATTAATATTGAAAATTCACAGTAACAGAAATTAAATAGTACAGAATAATATAAGTAACAAGAAATCTCAGCTCTTAGGGGTGACCACTTAACTCTACGTCTTGGGTATATTTTTTATGCTGGTTAGATTAAGCTCTGCTTTATTCTTTTAAATATGTCATATCCCATCATATGGTTGTAACATAATCAATTGAGATTTTAGTTTTTTTCTGGTTTTTTTTCTATTACCAACAGTGACCCAGAGGACATCTGGACATTGTCCACATGCATATCTTTGCCCACAAGTGTGAAAAATCATAGAATAGATTTACCGAGCCAAAGGGATATTTCCAAATTGCCATCCAAAATTGTTACACTGGCTTACTTTTCTGCTAAGAATGCATCTGTGTGTTTTCCTACACTGTCATCAGCTCTGAGTACTAGTTGTTATCTTATACCTTTGCCAGTCAAATGGGTTAAAATTCAATCTGACTGTCTGTAAAGGCCATCTTTCCTGTGAGATTACTTTAAAATAAAAATTCACTGGTTTAAAAAGTCTTAGAGTTTGTTTTAATTTAAATTTTTGGCTAGCAGGAATTTATTTTGGTGTAAGAAGTGAGACAAGGATCTAGTGTTGTTTTTGTTTTCCAAATGGCTTGCCGTTTGTCATAATACTATTTATTGAATAATCTTACTTTCTCCGTTGATTTGAATAGTCCCAGAGACTGAAATCTAGGTCTTGTAAATAAAAGTCCTGGCATCACTTATAGCTCAGCCTTTCCCTGCCTATCTCACACTTTTTCTGACCTGAAAAGCTCACATTGACTCAAGACTCAGATTAACCACTTACTAGAGTTATACTGAAAATAGATATTTATCCAATAGACTAATCATCCCAGTAGTCTAGTTGCTTTGAGAAGTGAGTGAAAGGCAGTCTTTATAGTGAAACAGTGAGCTCTTCTTTCTTTTCCATTTGCCTTATGCACTGATGATAACTTGGGAATGTATCTACTTTTTGGAGTTTCTTTCAGGAATTTTGTTCTAAAATTCACCTCAGGCCTTTGAAAGTGGTTTAATGCAGGGCTTTGCCTTATATACTGTGTTTGTGACACAGAGTCTTCTAACAGAAAAAAAGATACAAACTAGACTTGATCTTTCCTTAGTTTTGTTTTGTTTTGTTTTGATACAGTGTCTCACTTTGTCACCCAGGCTGGAATACAGTGTCCTGCAAGGCTCACTGCAGCCTCCACCTCCTTTGGCTCAGATGATCCTCCTGTCTCAGCCCCCTGAGTAGCTGAGACTGCAGGCATGCACTAGCATGCCTGGCTGATTTCTCTATTTTTTTTTTTTTTTTTTGTAGAGATGGGGTTTTGCCATGTTGCCCAGGCTGGTCTTGAACTCCTAGGCTCAAGCAGTTTGCCTGGCGTGGCCTCCCAAAGTACTGGGATTATAGGCATGAGCCACTGCACCCAGTTAGACTTGATCTGTCTAGAGACCAATAATTTGCCTCTAGAAAAGAGTCTTATTGGGTTTACAGGAAATTTGACTATAGTAGTTTTAGGTGGTGGATAAGTTGGGACATAATGAGCATAAATATTTTCCTATATAATATTTAGTTGCTGATAATTCTCATAAATTGCCCGTTTCTAAACAGTATCTTACAAAAATGATCATTCACAAATTATTTTGGACTTCCGAACAGTGATTGACAGTGCTTTGTGCTTGTTCGTGAATCTAGGGATGGTGTCTGTTTTGGACTTGATGCAGGGTGGTTACCCATCACGAGCTTCATTTCATGAACTCTACAACATGTACAAAAAGTATATGCCAGATAAACTTGCAAGATTGGATCCAAGACTATTTTGTAAGGTATAAATGCCACCCAAATTGAAATTTCTTAGCTATGAACTTGTCTTTTCTATTAATAATTGACATTTAACTTTTTAACTTTTATTTTTCAGGCTTTGTTTAAAGCTTTGGGCTTAAATGAAAATGACTACAAGTTTGGGTTAACCAAAGTATTTTTTAGACCTGGCAAGGTAAATATACATTTTTTACTTTAAACTGTAACATCATGAAAACAAATAGTTGGGGTTAGTGAATATCTTAAAGTATTTAATAATTTGTATTATTCTTGAATTATATGGTCACTAACAACATGAATTGCTATTTTCCATACCATTTCTCAGAAAAGAAAAAAAAGTTGAGAGGAAGATAATTATATATAATGTTCATAATTTGTTTAGCTTTACTCATACATATTTATTCTAAACTCCCCATTTATTTTAGAGCACAGGTGTCCAGTCTTTTGGCTTCCCTGAGCCACATTGGAAGAAGAACAGTTGTCCTGGGCCACACATAAAATACACCAACACTAATGATAGCTGATGAGCTAAATAAACAAAACAATTGCAATAAAAATCTCATAATGTTTTAAGAAAGTTTATGAGTTTGTGTTGGGCCTCATTCAAAGCTGTCCTGGGCCACATGTGGCCCATGGACTACAGCGTGGACAATCTTGTCTTAGAGCTTTAATAATTATTTGAGAACTAATAGTCTCATAGAGAAAGCACTTTTTCTTGTTTAAACTCCTGAAAAATTAGAAATATTTATTGAAAGCTTAAGACAAAGATTTAAATATCTTTTCTCTCGTTATGTTACCTTTAATTTAATTTTGACTATAAGAAGCCGTTATATTGGTTGATGGGTTTTTGACATTCTTAATATTATAGTGGGTTATTTGGTAAAGGATTGAAATCATTATGGAATTTTGTGGTATATAGTGGAAATAATGTATTTTATTAGTTAAGAACCTACTAGCTGTTTTATTTGTGTTGTCTGTCACTTAGTAGCAAAAATTTCTCATCTCTGTTTAAAATGGAAATGGGGGTTGGGCGCTGTGGCTCACGCCTATAATCCCAGCACTTTGGGAGGCTGAAGCAGTGGGATTGCTTGGTTCCAGGAGTTTGAGACCAGCTTGGGCAACATGGCAAAACCTCATCTCTACAAAAAAATACAAAAATTAGCCGGGTGTGGTGGTGCGTGCCTGTAATCTCAGCTACTTGGGTGGCTGAGGTGGGGAGGATTGCCTGAGCCTGGGAAGTTGAGGCTGCAGTGAACCAAGATTGCGCCACTGCAAAAAAGGTTGGGGGTGGGTAATGGGAGTTAGGAGAGACAGAATAATTTTGGCGGTACCTGGTATTATATAGCTAATATGCACTTATCAAAAGCTCCATAAGGATATCTGAGAATGTGGGTGAGCCAATTCAGAGATACAGTAGTCCTTTTTCATTCTTTTCTTAATAAAGTCTTCTCGCTAGCCATCTGTAATTTAAAAGTCATCCCCCCCCCCCACTTTTGTTATTGAATATGCTACCTAGCATTAAGTAACCTCCTTACCTCCAAAAAAGCTCCTGAAGAAAGAAAGGAAGCAAAACGTGGCCAAGTGTGTTTGTGTTTGTTGTATTCTCTGCCAAGGCCTATGTAATTGACATGTGACCATTTTCAGACAGTTAGATTTTGGATTTGAATTCTGTTTACATCATGTCTTTATGTGTTCAAATGCATTTATATTTTAATACTGATACTAAATTATTTCACTTCCTAGTTTGCAGAATTTGATCAGATCATGAAGTCTGACCCTGACCACTTAGCAGAGTTGGTTAAAAGAGTCAATCACTGGCTCACATGCAGTCGCTGGAAGAAAGTTCAGTGGTGCTCACTCTCAGTCATCAAATGTAGGTGTTTTCCTTTACACCTATAGGATCTTTCATTGTTTCAAGATGGTTTGTGGAGTGTTGTAAAGCTGTCTCAGAGGTGATGCTGAGCAACAGAGACTGAGACTTGTTCACACTGGGTCCCAGGTTCCTATTTGTAGATGTTCTTTCTTTTTTTATTTTTTGAGTGTATGATATTTATTTTCTTTATTCAAATGTGTTATAAGAGTGTCAGTTTCATAGTGTCCTAACAAAACAGAATTCACTATCTTGATCTCTCGTCCCCGCACCCCTCACCATCCCCTAATCTCTCAGACTTAAACCAGAACTTTTCTTTCTGCCTGCATGGCATCTACAATACACATACCCCGAAAATTCTAATTGTAATTGATTTTCCTTTCTTATCCCTGAAATATTGTCAGTCACCAGATCCTGTTGATTCCTTCTCCAAATACTGTACATTCCTTTCTTTTTCTTGCCAGTGCCTTAGTGAAGTCCTTTTCCACCTTTTGCATAATAATTCCATTAGCTCCCAGACTGGTTTTCCTGGTTTCTTAGAGATATCTCTCTAAACTAGAAGCCTTTTATAACTTTCCTTTCATAAAAGGTGAAGTCTAAATTATTTGATGTCTTTCAAGATCATGTAAAATGGTGTGTCAGTTTTTTGTTTCAGTCTCTTCCCCCACCATCCCCTCTTAAATCCTGTTTTTTGAACGGAAGTCTGTCATAATCCTGAAAGACACTGTCTTGAACACCATAATCCCAAATGTTGAAATCTTAAAAGATGAAAGTCCCAAAACTAGGATTCTGTAAAAATAATAAAAAAAGATATTTATTTACATTTTAAAAAGGGGATTTGAGAAACGTATAAAAACATGACAGAACTCTTCATAGGCCACTTTTCACAATAAAATAGGCAATAACATATATATAGGCAATAAACATATATGTTTATTGAAACTATAAACACATATACTAACAATAGTTGCATGGGTATAACAGGAGCAGACAAACCGTATTCATAAAGAATAGGGCGAAAGGTGAAATGCATAAACACATATTATTGTGGTTGGTAATTGTGCACCCAGCTTTGTTACTGCAGTCATCTGAAATACTGTGATGATGAACAAGCTGTCTTTTGATGAGATCAGTCAAAAACCATAGTGAGTCACCACTGCATTTGTAGTTGCCCAGAGAACTGAAATCTTGAGAAATTTTATCTTTTACAAGTGCAGATGTATGATAAAGGACATCTGTTCATTGATTAAGTTTCAGTGTTTTTATATACATACACAATGTTTACCCAGAAAGTAAATGTTGTGGTAATGCATTTTCATGGAGTTAAATTTGCAAAAAATGAATACAGTAAATTAGAACTCTCCAAAAATTTCTACATAATTAAAAAATGCTAACAATTTAAGATAGTGAAAATAAAAACAAAGAAAAAAAAAACACCCAAAACTAAAAAGGAAGTTTGACATAAAAAAAAGTGTATCACAGGGACAGATTATAGGCAGTTGCATGGAGATAGTCCATAGAGCTGGCTGTCTTTCTCAGTCATTAACTATATTTTGAAGTCTTGTACCACGAATAATAGGTGCTTTTTTTCTTTTAGGACATGGTTCTTGGAGAATATGTTCATATTCATTTTCTTCATGAGATTGCTCTTTTTGGAATTCTTCTGTGATTCCTCTGATTGGGATTTTTAGGATTTTTGATGTTAGGGATTTTAATCTAGGAATTTTGATCTTTTGGGATTTCAACATTTGGGATTATGGCTTTTGGGATTAGGAATTCAAACCCCTTTGACATACTGGGCTAAGCTGCTTTTATGTGTGGTTTGGCCAGGTCATAGCAGCTACATAGCTGGCCCAAGACAAAAGTGAGGGACAGAACATTTTGGGGTTACCTAAGGATCTGTGGCAAACCTTTAATTGTTGGGAGCTGTGTAGGAATCAGTAACTTGATTACATTTACAGTTGCCCCTTATACTCATCAGAGTACCTGAAATAGTGCTAGGTACATGAAAAGGATCCAGCGAATTTTTCCTTATCAGTAGAAAAGGAAAATTCTTTTGGCCTAATGAAAAAGAATCATGCTAACAAAGATTATTTTTGAGGTATTTTGTTAGACAATTGTGAATATAGATAAAAAGAGAACTATTAATATAAAAAGAAAAAAGATAGCAGAATCTTTTCCCCATCATTTTCCAAATAAAATACAGAAACATCTTTATTACTGTAGTTTAATACGTTCAGCTTTACACATTGCATTATGATAGGAAACACATTATAGTAAACTCATCTGTTACACCATTCATTTGTGGACTGTGTTCTACAGTGGTACCGAAGTCAGTAACCGGGCAGGGATCTTTGCAGAATGTTAATAGGAAACTCTGAAAAAAAAGTTCAAGGTCAGATCATCCTAGGAAATTGTGAGTAACTGAAGTTAAGTAGATTTCTTTGCTGTAGGATTCTCAGAGGCTTCACTCAGTATGTTCATTGTGAACCTCCATACAGAAGTATAGTGTACAGCTTTTCATAAACTCATTTGACAGGTAAATCCTTTTTTCAGGACATACCTATTCACATTTCATAGAACAAATGTTGCCTAAGACAGTTTGGGAGGTAGCAGTGTAGCATACTAAGGAAATAATGCATTTAAAATGTAAGCCTAACCAGATACATGATATTGTAACTGCCCAGTGGGTTCTCCTTGCCCACTACCCAGACAGAGCTGATTTATCAAGATAGGAATTGCAGTAGAGAGACAGTAATTAATGTAGAGTCGGCTGTACGGGACACTGGAGTTTTATGATTACTCAAATCAGTCTCTCTGAAAACTCGGAGATCTGAATTTTTAAGGATAATTTGGTAGGTAGGGGCTTGGGTTGGAGATGAAATCATAGGGGGTCAAAATTGAGTTTTTCTTGCTTGCTTCTGTTCCTGTGTGGGAGCACAGAACTGGCTGGGCCGGATTACCTATCTAGGTGGCATCAGCTGGTGCATTGGAAGGTCTGCAAAATATCTGGAGCACTGATTTTAGGTGTTACAACTGTGATGTTATACCTGGGAGCAATTTGAGGAGGTTCAGATTCATGCAGCTGGAGGCTGTGTGGCTCCTAAACCGTAATTTCTAATCTTGGAGCTAATTTGTTAGTCCTACAAAGGCTGACTGGTTCCCCAGGCAAGAAGGGGGTTTATTTTGGGAAAGGGTTATTATCATGTTTGTTTCAAAGTTAAACTTTAATAAACTAAGTTCTTTCCCAAGATTAGTTCGGCCTACACCCAGGAATGAACAAGGACAGCTTAGAGGTTAGAAGCAAGATGGAGTTGGTTAGGTCAGATCTCTTTTACATAATTTCCTTGGTTGTAATTTTTGCAAAGGCAAAATTACATCTTTCAACATCTTTTTATTTTTAAGAAGAATAAGAAATTATAGAAATGTTAAAACTGGCTGGGCGTGGTGGCTCACGCCTGTAATCCTAGCACTTTGGGAGGCTGAGGTGGGAGGATCACTTGAGGTCAGGAATTCAAGACCAGCCTGGCCGACATGGCAAAACCCTGGCTCGAATAAAAATACACAAATTAGCCCAGCATGGTGTGTGCCTGTAGTCCCACCTCACCTACTCAGGAGGCTGAGGCATGAGAATCTCTTTTTTTTTTTTTTGAGATGGAGTCTTGCTGTGTCACCCAGGCCGGAGTGCAGTGGCACGATCTCAGCTCACCGCAAGCTCCGCCTCCCGGGTTCACGCCATTCTCCTGCCTCAGCCTCCCATAGCTGGGATTACAGGCGCCCGCCACCATGCCTGGCTAATTTTTTGTATTTTTAGTAGAGACGGGGTTTCACCGTGTTAGCCAGGATGGTCTCAATCTCCCGACCCTACGATCCGCCCGCCTTGGCCTCCCGAAGTGCTGGGATTACAGGCGTGAGCCACCGCGCCCGGCCGAGAATCTCTTGAACCTGGGAGGTGGAGGTTGCAATGAGCCAAGATCATGCCATTGCACTCCAGCCTGGGTTGAGACTGTCAAAACAAAAACAAACAAAAAAGGTGTTAAAACTTTGTTTTTGATGTCTGATATATAATAATATGGTCGTCAAGATTTCATGTTTCTTGAGCATTACTTTGTGAAAATGAGTTTTTTTAATATATGTTAGATTTAAACTGAATAATTTTCTATCATTTTATTTTACTCTTACACATAGTGAAAAACAAAATAAAATATCGAGCTGAAGCCTGCATTAAAATGCAAAAAACTATTCGAATGTGGCTTTGCAAGAGGAGACACAAACCTCGGTAAGATGAATAGTTCCTAAAAAGAACTCTACAAAACCTAGTTACTGTAATACAAAATGACAATAAAGTCATAATAAAAAGCAGTTTGGATACTCAGGTTTTCTCATGTTCTTTGTAAAATGATGTATTAGTCTTTTATTTGTAATATTTATTTGAAGTTAGTTAATTCATTTATTACCTTATTACTTGCCTCATTCTATAAAAGGATTTGAAGTGGCATACAAAAATGTGTAAAGACTATAAAACAAGAAGTAAGTAGTTGAGAGAAGCTCTTTTATTCTGATTATTTTAGTTATTTGAGTTTCTTGATAATGTCAAGGTGACATTTTTTAAAAAACATCTCACTAATATGTTTACATAATTTTCAAGATTATCTGTAGGAATTACATTGTCCCATTATAAATTAGTGTATTTCTTATTTGAATCTTTCATTTTTAATTTACACTTTTAAAAATTGGAAGTCTGAATATCTCTATTGATCCATCACACCTTTTCAAAGAGACTAGATTAATTTCCTCTGTGATTTGAATTCTCAAAGTTGTAGAAGGCTTTAATCCCATTGACAGGCATCAGTGTCATTCACACTCATATTTGATTTTTTTTAGCCTTCAACAAGAGATCTGAAAAAGAGAATAGTAGATAATATTGAAAACAGAAGTGAAATACCCTGTTTAGCATTTTATAAATGAAAAATCTGCCAAAAGTACTAAAGGATGAAATTAAGCTCTAATGAAGTATTATTTTTACAGCATTGATGGTCTGGTTAAGGTGGGCACACTGAAAAAACGACTTGATAAATTTAATGAGGTAGTCAGTGTGTTGAAAGATGGAAAACCCGAGATGAATAAACAGATCAAGAATCTGGAAATTTCTATTGATACTTTGATGGCCAAAATTAAGGTATGTAATTTCAACCCGAATGACTTTGACTTTTTATGTAATTTAATATATTTTGTTATTGGTATTGAAATTGTATAGAAAACGTCCTTAGTTTTTCAAAATTACAAAATGTGTTGAGACTCAATGATGGCAAGTACATGCTCATCATTATTACCTCTACTCTTTATGTTTGAAAAATTTCATAGCAAAAAGTTAAAGAAGACAATTTTTATGCCATTTCTTCTGTTGCTAAGAAAGATATCCCTCGCAACTTAATACCTAGGTGATGGGATGATCTGTGCATCAAACCCACCATGGCACACGTTTACCTGTGTAACAAACCTGCACATCCTGCACGTGCATCCCTGAAATTAAAATAAAAGTTGGAGGCCATACATGGTGGCTCATGCCTGTAATCCCAGCACTTTGGGATGCTGAGGCGGACGGATCATGAGGTCAGGAGATCGAGACCATCATGGCCAACATGGTGAAACCCTGTCTCTACTAAAAATACAAAACTAGCTGGGTGTGGTGGCGTGCACCTGTAATTCCAGCTGCTTGGGAGGCTGAGGCAGGAGAATCGCTTGAACCTGGGAGGCGGAGATTGCAGTGAGCCAAGATTGTGCCACTGCACTCCAGCCTGGTGACAGAGTGAGACTCCATCTCAAAAAAAAAAAAAAATGAAAAAAGAAAACTAAAGTTGGAGCAAAAAGAAAATGGCCGGGCACGGTGGGTCACGCCTGTAATCCCAGCACTTTGGGAGGCCGAGGCAGGCGGATCACAAGGTCAGGAGATTGAGACCATCCTGGCTAACATGGTGAAACCTTGTCTCTACTAAAAATACAAAAAAAAAAAATTAGCCAGGCGTGATGGGGGGCACCTGTAGCCCCAGCTACTTGGGAGGCTGAGGCAGGAGAATGGAGTGAACCGGGGGGGCGGAGCTTGCAGTGAGCCGAGATCGCGCCACTGCACTCCAGCCTGGGTGACAGAGCAAGACTCCGTCTCAAAAAAAATAAATAAATAAAAATAAAAGTGGTGGGGCATGGTGGCTCCTGCCTGTAATCCCAGCACTTTGGGAGGCCGAGGTGGGCGGATTATTTGAGGTCAGGAGGTTGAGACCAGCCCAGCCAACATAGTGAATCGCCGTCTCTACTGAAAATACCAAAGTTAGCCAGGTGTGATCGCACGCGCCTGTAGTTCCAGCTACTTGAGGCAGGAGAATTGCTTGAACCCAGGAGGCAGAGGTTGCAGTGAGCCAAGATTGTGCCACTGCACTCCTGCCTCAGCGACAGAGTGAGACTACGTCTAAAAATAAATAAATAAATGATAAAAGTAATATAATACTATAAAAAATTTGGAGGCCAGATGTGATGGCTCACACCTGTAATCCCAGCACTTTGGGAGGCCCAGGCGCAGGGATCACCTGAGCTCAGGAGTTAGAGACCAACCTGATCAACATGGCCAAAACCTGTCTCCACCAAAAATACAAAAAATTATTTGGGCATGGTGGTATGAGCCTGAGGTCCCAAGGAAGCTGAGGTTAGAGGATTGCTTGAGCCTAGGAGATGGAGGTTGCAGTGAACAGAGATTGCACCACTGCACTCCAGCCTGGGTGACAGTGAGACCCCTGGCTAAAAAAAAAAAAAAATTGGAGAAACCACCAAAAACCTCTTAATACCTCCACATTAACAAATTCAGTTAGTTACTGTTATTTTTACAGTATAATTTTACTTGTTTTTACTTTACCTTACATTCTCTTTTATGCATACATTTTT
This sequence comes from Homo sapiens, assembly GCF_000001405.40. Classification (NCBI taxonomy): domain Eukaryota; kingdom Metazoa; phylum Chordata; class Mammalia; order Primates; family Hominidae; genus Homo; species Homo sapiens. The sequence continues at coordinate 75,888,749 of NC_000006.12, forward strand.
ACAGTTCTTATCATAATATACATTTCAATTTCTATCTCTACCATTGTTATATACTTGTCCATGTTAATACATTATCTTCATAGATACGATAATGTAATTAATTTTGTGAAAATAGCAATTTCCTCTCCAATTTTGTAGGAAAAAAATGGGATCCCTTATTTTGTTTTGATTTTTATTTATTTGATTACTAGTGGAGTTGAAGACTTTTCTATATGCTTGTTAATTATATTTCATATTTCATTAATTACATTTCATATCTTCTCATTATATTTTAGAGTTTTAATGCTTTTTCTCAGTTTCATAGGTCAGTGCAAGTATGTGGGATATAATGAATATCTTAAAGTGAGCGTTTTATATTTTCTGCAGATATTTTATGTAAACAATGGCAATCTTGGAGGTAGAAAGGAAAAAAAAGATCTGGAGGAAAATGAAAATGCTATAAATAGACTCAGCTGATTTTATAAATCTGTCAAGGGCCATCTTTGTTTATGTGGTATCATTATAAATTAAAATTAACCCACCCACATTTTTTGAAGGCTAATTTTAGAAATCCAATAATTTTGGATATATTTTGTAATTTTTAAAATATTCTCTAGGTACTATTTGAACATTATTCTAAAATAGTAGTAAACTATTGCTAAATTAGCTGATCATTACTTAAGAAATAATTCTTTTTGAGATAAGAGGCTTGCTCTGTTGCCCAGTCTGGAGTGCAGTGGCATGATCTCGGTTCACTGTAACCTCCGCCTCCCGGGTTCAAGCAATTCTCCTGCCTCAGCCTCCCGAGTAGCTGGGACTACAGGTGTGTACCACCATGCCCAGCTAATTTTTGTATTTTATTTTTATAAGAGACAGGGTTTCACTATGTTGGCCAGGCTGGTCTCGAACTCCTGACCTCAGGTGATCTGTCCACCTTGGCCTCCCAAAGGGCTGGGATTATAGGTGTGAGCCACTGCACCCGGCCTAGAAATAATTTTTAACTGCAGTATATTACCTTATCCACAGATTACCTGTCTAATTGATGTGTAATACTTGTGTGCAGAGATAACATAAAACATTTTTTGAATAGTATTTAATGTACAAACAGTATAGTAAAGATAACGGACGTATTGCTTACCATCTTACCTAGTTTTTGCTGTATTTGCATATTGGAGTAGTTTTTTATTTTAAATTGTAAAAAACAATAAAAACATTAAAATTTATCTTAGCCATTTTTCAGTTTATAATTCAGTATTGTTAAGTATATTCACATTGTTGTGCAACAGAAGAAATAAGCTTTTACGTACCTATTTATTTTATTTTTTAAAGTCCACTATGATGACGCAGGAACAAATCCAGAAAGAATATGATGCACTGGTTAAAAGCTCAGAGGAACTCCTCAGTGCATTACAGAAAAAAAAACAGCAGGAAGAGGAAGCAGAAAGGCTGAGGCGTATTCAAGAAGAAATGGAAAAGGAAAGAAAAAGACGTGAAGAAGACGAAAAACGTCGAAGAAAGGAAGAGGAGGAAAGGCGGATGTGAGGCATTTATATTATTTTGAATAAGAGACTTAAAGAAATAGTGAATTCTTGGTATTGACAGTGGTTAATGACAATTATTTGTTTTGTTTTGTTTTTGTGACAGGGTCTTGCTCTGTTGCCCAGGCTGGAGTGCAGTGGCGCGATCTTGGCTTACTGCACTCTGCCTCTCGGGTTCAATCGATTTTCCTGCCTCAGCCTCCTGAGTAGCTGGGATTACAGGTGCGCACCACCACGCCTGGCTAATTTTTGTATTTGTAGTGGAGACGGGGTTTCACTATGTTGGCCAGGCTGGTCTCAAACTCCTGACCACAGGGGATCCACCCGCCTCGGCCTCCCAAAGCGCTTGGATTACAGGCGTGAGCCACCGTGCTCGGTTGACAATTCTTAAAACTGTGTTCTTATTTTAATGAACTAATTTTGTAATAAGTTTGAAAATTGAGAGAATAAGGTCATTTTATAATAGTGATACCATAAAATAATTTTAACTATAATCTGAATTTGTTAGCCTCTTACACCTGAGGATTTTCTTCTTTTTAAAACTATGATTTGTTTATTGTTTTCTAAGCTAGATAAATGACACTTCTACTTTTCTGCAGTTTTAAAACTGATAACATTTTGAAAGATTGCCATGATAGGGTAGAGAGAACAGATGAGTTGTTGACTTGGAGAGGGACTAGAGGGAAGCACCTTTAATCAGGACCTTACAGCCAGGCTTTGTAACCACATTCATCTAGAGATGTTAAAAGTTATAGAATATAATTATATTTGTTTTATTTAAGAATTATTGTCAATAGAGTTAAATTTTATTTTATTCAAAATAAGTTGATGTATGTGGCCAGGAGGTTAATTTGCATTCCCAATCTGTTACCTTTGTTTATTATTAAATAATAGTTAAATTGCCTTCTGAAGGATTCTTTATTTTCTGTTAAATTTTTGAAGAGTTTTCTATTTTTTATTAGGAAACTTGAGATGGAAGCAAAGAGAAAACAAGAAGAAGAAGAGAGAAAGAAAAGGGAAGATGATGAAAAACGCATTCAAGTATGTACTTACTGGGTTGAATTTCTATTAAAATGGAACCTACAGGCTGGGTGTGGTGGCTCATGCCTGTAATCCCAGCTCTTTGGGAGGCCGAGGCGGGCGGATCACGAGGTCAGGAGATCAAGACCATCCTGGCTAACATGGTGAAACCCCATCTCTACTTATACGAAAACAAATTAGCCGGACATGGTGGTGGGCACCTGTAGCCCCAGCTAATTGGGAGGTTGAGGCAGGAGAATGATGTGAACCCAGGAGGCAGAGCTTGCAGTGAGCCAAGATGACACCACTGCACTCCAGCCTGGGCAACAGAGCGAGACTCCATCTCAAAAAAAATAAAAAATAAAAAATAAATAAAATAAAATGGAACCTATGAAAGAAGTGAAAATGAGATCTTGATTTGCTAGATAAGCTGTCACTAGTTTATCCTAGAGACCAAAGGCCAGTTTTTGAAGTGGTTATGGGAATGGACTTTGGAGCTAGGGAAGTGGGTTCAAATCCAAGATCAGTCACTGACAGAAATTGTGACATTGTACACATTATAGTGAGGAACTATGGGTCACAGTTGTCTCTCTGTAGAATGTGGATAAATAATAGTTGCAAGCATTTGACAGTTAATACATGTTAAAGCATTGTGAACACTGTGTAGATCAATAAATATTAATAATTGTTTTTATACCTAGGGGAAAGTCAAATGAAAATTCACTTAAAATGTTAAGTTTTAAAATATCATATAACTTTGTAGATACTGGAATTAATAAATTAGGATTAAGAGTCTCTCTCCACCCCTAGTTTTTAAAAAGTCCCATGTTGAGAATAAATTGCTCATGTATTTGAATTTCTGTTTGTCATGGCTTTCATAATATATCCTAAGCATAACCAAAACTTTAAATTCCTGACATCTGCTCTCTAGGTGTTAGTGTTAATGGGATGCCTAAGATACTCATGTGATGTTTGGGACACTAATATTTGTAGTCATAGAGTTATGGAGCTGTGGTTCTTCTACCTTCTCTTGGTCTTGGGAAAGAGGCAAAATGGGGATGTGTTTGAAGCATTAATCATAATAGAGAAGAAAGTAGAGACTGAAGAGATCTGTGCTTAAGCAATTCTTTAGTAAAGAACTTGTATGGGGGCAGTTATGCTTTCCCTTTATTTTAAGTAATAAGGGGAGTGATCAAGTAAACAAGTGAAGAACTCTTGGTGAAATAGCTTTCTGCCCTTGTCAGGCTGAAGTGGAGGCACAGCTGGCCCGACAGAAGGAGGAGGAATCCCAACAGCAAGCAGTTCTGGAGCAGGAGCGCAGGGACCGGGAGCTGGCCCTGAGGATTGCCCAGAGTGAAGCCGAGCTCATCAGTGATGAGGCCCAGGCCGACCTGGCGCTGCGGAGGTACTGGGGCCCCTGGGTGGGGTATAGCGCTCTCTCCTTTGCTTTCTCTACCTCTCTGCCTCTCATTTCCATGCAGAAGGGAATAGGAGAAAATAATATTCTGAAGGCCCTGATATATTTGAGCTAAAATAATTTTAAAATTATTTGTATCGACTTTCATACTCAAGTGAATGAGATAATTGATTTTTCATCATATTATTAAATTGTTGACAAATAAGACTAAAATTTCACTAATGAGTACTCTATTAAGAAAATATATCAACCTTTACCCTGAAATTGTTTAAGAGTATAGTATATTAGGTAGACACCTAATTTCTAAATACCTGTCATCAAACACTGGCATTGAAATAAGTGACTGTGTTATATAATGCAGTGTAATGTATTTGTAGTTGAGATTTTTCTAATGCAAAAAAATTTAATGTATTAAATATCCTGTCAGTTGAAATGAGAACTCTACTCTGCAATGCCTCAGAATAAATGAGTTTCCCTTTACAAGAAGGGAGGGTTAAATTCATTGAAATATTTTGGCTTCTTGGGTTTCTGAATTATCTCTAAGCACTCCACTATAGTGGAGTGTATAGGAATGTGGAAGCTCTTATTAAAAGTTGCAGAAAGGTTTAATAGATTCAGTTTAAAAAAATTTAGTATGTAGAGGCATTAATTATTTTGATTATTTATAATAACAAAACTAATTTGTAAGGTTCCTTTGTATGTAGGTATATATATGTTGTATATATACTGAGAGGCACATAGACACATGTAACCATGCTTTTCCGAGCTTAAAAGCAGTTTATGACAAAATATAGAGTACAACCACTAGATGGCGATGTTTCCTTGTGAAAGGATCAAACTGCAATGTAATGGAATATTTGGCAAAAAAACAAAAGACGGGGAAGGAAAAGGGCATATTGAGTTGCCTTCATGCTTTTTCTATTAGGTTGGTGCGAAAATAATTGCGGTTTTTGCCATTGGGAAAACTGCAATAACTTTTGCACCCACCAAATAGTATGTGATTGTATTGGGGAGCTCTGGGACTGCTTGTATATGAAAGTACATTATATTGTAAATGAACTGAATATGGCTATATGAACAAAAGATGTTATAATTATTAAGCTCTTGGGTTTGAGTCCAATATTTGGGCTCTTTATTAAGATTTCACTGTAATTAAAATATTTTGGCCCAGATAGGGCTTTTATAAATGCAGACTCAGCTCAGCTGCTGTTCTGTTCCTTCCACCTGTGTTGCATCAGAATGATTGGGAGTCTTTATGTGTAACTGACTAGCCGCCTAGGGCAGGCTCTTAAACGAACCAAACTCTTACAGCTGCTATCCCTGATGTCTGTGAGGAAGTACTGCAGTTGACAGAGTTGATTTTATTATGGCAGAAGTCAATTTCTAAGGGACTTGTTAATGGAGTCATTGTTGGTACTCATCATCAAGCTTTATATTTATGCACTTGAAATGTTAAGCTGTATCCAGTGCCATTCCATATACTGTATACAAGATACTGTCTCATATGTGGACCCCTTCCCATCTTCAGAAAGGTACATGTCTTCCAGGTTGAGAAGAGTGGATCGTTTAGGACCTTTAACATAAACAAGTTACCTGTAATTTAAATTAAGCAGAATTAGCTAGGTAATGGGACCATATTAAGTAATGAGGAGATATTCAAACCCTTATGACCTGAAAGGCAGAAGAGCTAGTTTTAGTTATGTGGTTCAGGCCTAGGGGTGGTATGAAGAATGCCCTTCAAATCCTTTCTGTCAGCTCTCCAGGAAGCTTTCCCTGACCCTCAGGTCCTCATGAGCTCCTTCCCTTCTGGTCGTCGTGGTTATTTTATACTGTGAACTACAAGCATTAGCACTTCATTATGAATGATGTTCTATACAGATATCACATGTTTGATAGTTTAATCTTACTCCATGGGCTATAGCTAAATGTTTTTGAATGTTTATTTTACCTTTGTTAGCACTGAGTTTTTTCTCTAACAAATTTATGAGTAAGAACTAAGTAAACTGTTCTTAATCTATAGCATGATGTTGTTGGGTTCTATGCTGTGTTAAAAAATGTATATATTATAGATAGATTCTGCTTCAATAAGCAATTTTAAGTTACTTTTCCAGCTTGGATTCCTATCCGGTAACTTCTAAGTAAGAATTGTTTTCTATGTATGTCATATGTTCTGAAATATAATTTCAATCAATTACACATATGATTCTTGATGCAAAGAGATGGTTTCAAATTACCTAAAATTGTAAAATAATATCCAGATTCTATTAAAAACAAACCTCACAATATATGAATTTTCTAATCTAGATGTAATGTATTTGCTCTTTAATTTTCACTGCATGCCTTATTTTCCAATCATTTTTAATGAATACTTAAAAATATATTAAAATTCTGAGTGATCTCATGTTGATTACAAATAATTGAGTTTTTAAAATCAATGAGTAAAGTAATTGAAACACAAATTTGCACAATCCAGATTTTCACAGTTCACAATTGGTTACGATATTAACTAAAATATATTCTTTTCACAGAAATGATGGAACAAGACCCAAAATGACACCGTATGTCACTTACCTTTACCTTTTTAAAAATAGGTTGTAGATACTTTTTGGGAGTAGTTTTCTCATTGGAGTAAATTTTAAATTATTTTCTTCTATTGAAAGGTAATGAGATAACCTTTTTCATATTTTTCTTGTCTAGGAAAGTTTAATGCTCTTGTATGGTGCTCAATCACAGTAGCTCATGATTTGGTTTCCTTCTTTGTATTGTCTGTTTAAACTATAATGTAACACCTATTTTGTTTTATGTATATATATGAATTTTTTTTTTTTTTTTGAGACAGAGTTTCGCTTTTGTTGCCCAGGCCAGAGTTCAGTGGTGTCATCTGGGGTCACCATAACCTCTGCCTCTCGGGTTCAAGCGACTCTCCTGCCTCAGCCTCCCAAGTAGCTGGGACTACAGGCACGCACCACCACACTCAGCTAATTTTTGTATTTTTAGTAGAGACGGGGTTTCACCATGTTGGCCAGGATGGTCTCAATCTCTTGACCTCGTGATCCACCCGCCTCGGCCTCCCAAAGTGCTGGGATTACAGGCGTGAGTCACTGTGCCCGGCCTGTTTTATGTATTTTTTTTAAACTGCCCCTTACCTTACTTCTTTATAGAAGCAGGTGTGGAGGCATAAATAATAATAAAATATTTGATTTTCAGTATATATGGTAGTTCATTCTGCTATATCTAAAATAATTCATCATCTGAAATTGTATATGTAGTGCTAACTTTGGTGCTAATGTATCTTTTTCATATGAAAATCTACCCACAAAGAATCCAGGTAACATTTGGAATATACATTTTGTTTATATAAAATATAAAACATATTTTGTATGTATGTTATGTATACTACATATAAGGATTTTGGAATATATATAAAATCTTTATTTTAACAGCTTTAAGGACTCCAACTTAACATTTATGATGAGGATTCTCAACTCTATCAGGCTCCAGTCCCAATAACAATTTTTTAATAAATGATGCAACCTATGTAAACAACTCTCCAAACAATATATGTAAAGGAGAAATACAAGGATAGTCATTTATAATAAAATGTTTATTTAATATGAAAGTGCTTCTGCATAACTGTAGTAGAAGACATGATAAGCGATCAGATGTTTTTGCTTACGTATAGAATCACCACGAATGCTGTATCTACAAATACAAATTGATATAGGAATGTTGTGTTGGGCATTCACATGCCATGAAATTGTGAACAATCCTTTGTGAAGTTCTGAACAGAGCCAAGTACAATATTCTCTCAATTACACAGTATTTGCGTAAGCCCTAGACAAATTCTGTGAATATTAAAGGCATGCAAAAAATACGATGTTTACATGTATAACTTTGTTTACATGTAAAATATGTGTTTGTATGTGTTTTTCACCTCTGTATGTCTCACAGACATGTTAAAGTTAAATGGGGCATGGAGTAGTTCTTCCTTGGGTAGGACATTTGGCATTCCTTTCCCCTTACCTCAGCAGATGCCAGGAGTATACTCACACATTGTTGTTACCACAATACTGCCCCAAATTTTGAAAATATCTCTGAGTGGGCACTCTTGCCCTCCATTGCCACAACTGCTTTATAGTTACCATTTGAGCTTGAATTAAATAAGCCCGCAATCAGTGTCTAAGGTGAAATTATATTTGCATATAGTTTGGTAAAATCAGAAGGAAGAAAGCACCTGGGTGCAGGAACCATTTCTGTCTGGCAAATTTGTTGCAGTGTATTGGTCTAGGTCAGGTGTATCTTGATGCAGGGTCAGGGAGGATAATGCATCAGTAGAGATTGCCATCCATTGTAGTGTCAGAGCATGCAGAAAAACACCTGTGTGATCAACAGACCCAGTGGTAATGAGATTTGAAAGTCCATAGACTCCCTTAAAACCTACCATGGGAAAAGAAATGGAGGAAGCTTTAGGAGAAAAAGATGGTAAAAACAGATGCTCTTGAATCCTGAGACAAAAACCTTGAGGTGGAGTGATAATAGAATTAAACATACTTATCAAAATCTGCTGCATTTAAAAGTGAGACGATTCTGAGAAACTACTAGCTTGAAGAGAGATTGATAAATGTATTGCTCAAAAGATAATTTTTATTAGATTGTATTTGTGTTATATTTTGTTTTTGCTGTCCTTCACTGTCAGCTTTGAAAGATATCTTGTTCTCTGACTGTGCTTTCATAGACCTCCATCCATACATAATTGTAGACAGTGTTCATTACGAGAAAAGAGGAATACAGGAGTGTTCTACTCCTTTAGTCAGGGTCCCAGCTCTTGGCAGGCATTCAGGAAATTGCACCTGGAAGCAAATACACCCATCTTCTTTTCTTATGATTTTACTGATTTGGAAGGGTTTGAGGTTACTAGAGTTTGATGAGTAGAATGAATGAGAAAATAATTACGAAGGAAAAGAGCAAATAGGGAAATAAGTTAAAGAAGTGTTGATGAACACTATGAAACTTCATTCTGTTTTAAAGAATTAAACAAAATTTGATAAAAGTTACACTCTTCTGGGTAACAAAAGCAAAATAAGTTTTTTGCCTTTGGCAAATGTTTATCCCTGGAAAATCAGAATGCCTCAGATCTTTCATTAGTCCATTTTGATATTCTTTTTCTTAAAAGCATGCTTTGATTTGGAATTTTTAGAGCTTTGAATACATCAGATTCTTTTTAAAACTCTGACGCTGTCAAATACATCAGCTTGTGGTTTTCACCATTGTGCCTTATCTAAGTAATATTTACTAAGCAACTCTGGTGCAAAAATCCTCATATGGAATCTATATCTTGCCAAGTTTCCTGTATGGATTTAGACCATGTTATTTGTATTCTATATGGAAAAGAATACCATAAAAGCTTTCCTGAGATTTTATCTAAAAGTTGCTACTGCAAAAATGGAGAGACATTCAAATAACTTGAACTGGATTTAAACAAAAATTTTTCTGTGTGTTACGGCTAGATTTGTTGAATAGTATATTCTAGGCATTAACAAAGTAAAACAGTTATGAACAGTTGTTAAATAATATTGAAAATATATATTTTAATTATACTTTTAGATCTTTTAATTAATTTATGTAGTATGACTTTTATGTAACCATATTGTATTATCGTTTTTCTTGTAGGGAACAAATGGCCAAAGAAATGTCAGAATTTTTGAGTAGGTTAGTGCAGTGTAATTGGGGGAAATAAGTGTTCACCTCAAAATCATATTTTTAAATTACTTTTGATTATTTGGACCAGAACCTGTTACATGAGTAGCCTAGTCTTTCTATGTAAAGTGATATTTCTTTCTGTACAAGAAATATCACTTCTCCCTCACCCCACCCAACAAAGAAAAAGTTAAAAACCAGTATTCCTTCAAAGTCATGGGGATACCATTGGCATTTTGAATGGGACAGTTCCCTTGGCAGTGGAACTCTACTGCTTATCTCTGGCCTCCACCAACTCAGTCTCAGTAGGGGACTTCTTCCCCTCATCATGACAAAATGAGTATTTTGCAACTCTCCCTGGGGTGGTGCTGCCCCTAATTTGGGCACCACTGTGCGTCGTTGAAGAGGAGGTAGAGGAAGAACATGACTCTTGAGGGGCTCTGCACTGTGGCACATGGTTTGAAAACCACTGGTGTAAATTGAGCCACCAGCAGGATCTGGTCCATTACTTTTATAAATGGATATGATTCACTAACATGTTAATTCTTAATTTTGAAGTTACAAAGATAATTAAAAGTGTTAATATATTAACACTTAAAAATCAGTTTGCTACTATTGTATTCTTTACATGATTGTCTTTATAGCAAGTCTGAATAATCAGCAAATTACCCCTTTACTATTTTAGTAACTCCAGAGATGGGGGTGGGGAAACATTTAAATGTGTTGCATTGATGTACTTCTTTGGATGCTATGTTTTTTAGTAGATGTACTTTTGTTTGAGGTAATAGGAATGAAAAGTTAGGGATATTAAAACCATATTTTAAGCAATAATCATTTGAATTTAATGTAATTTTTAAAAGTATCAAAACACATTTTACATATATTCTAATACCTTATATACATTCTGACAATTATAAAACTGTATATTATGTCAATTTACCTCTTCTTTCAAAAGAAAAGATAACAACAAAAACAAAACTTAATAATTTTCAGCTGCCCTCCTAGAAAAGACTCCCAGAACAGCTTAAAAATAAAAGGATTTTTTTTGTTTATTGATTGGTAGTTTAGGGATGTAGAAAAGACAAATAATATTTGAATAAATATAAAAGCATAATTTATTGTTAAGGAAATGAGAGACCTTGCTGATACACAGCTGGCCATTTTTGAGCAAAGCAATTAAGACCAAAAAGCTACATGGAAAATTGCCACTTAGACCGCTTATGAAAAGTATAGATTCTGCAACAAAGCTAAAACAGATTTTAATCATAAAAATACGGGAAGGACTAATGGCCACACATTATTCTTTTTTTTTTTTTTTCTTCTGGAACATTTTTTTAAAAAAATTATTATTATACTTTAAGTTTTAGGGTACATGTGCACAATGTGCAGGTTAGTTACATATGTATACATGTGCCATGCTGGTGCGCTGCACCCACTAACTCGTCATCTAGCATTAGGTATATCTCCCAATGCTATCCCTCCCCCCTCCCCCCACCCTACAACAGTCCCCAGAGTGTGATGTTCCCCTTCCTGTGTCCATGTGTTCTCATTGTTCAGTTCCCACCTATGAGTGAGAATATGTGGTGTTTGGTTTTTTGTTCTTGCGATAGTTTACTGAGAATGATGATTTCCAATGTCATCCATGTCCCTGCAAAGGACATGAACTCATCATTTTTTATGGCTGCATAGTATTCCATGGTGTATATGTGCCACATTTTCTTAATCCAATCTATCATTGTTGGACATTTGGGTTGGTTCCAAGTCTTTGCTATTGTGAATAATGCCACAATAAACATACGTGTGCATGTGTCTTTATAGCAGCATGATTTACAGTCCTTTGAGTATATACCCAGAAATGGGATGGCTGGGTCAAATGGTATTTCTAGTTCTAGATCCCTGAGGAATTGCCACACTGACTTCCACAATGGTTGAACTAGTTTACAGTCCCACCAACAGTGTAAAAGTGTTCCTATTTCTCCACATCGTCTCCAGCACCTGTTATTTCCTGACTTTTTAATGATTGCCATTCTAACTGATGTGAGATGGTATGTCATTGTGGTTTTGATTTGCATTTCTCTGATGGCCAGTGATGGTGAGCATTTTTTCATGTTTTTTTTGGCTGCATAAATGTCTTCTTTTGAGAAGTGTCTGTTCATGTCCTTTGCCCACTTTTTGATGGGGTTGTTTGTTTTCTTGTAAATTTGTTTGAGTTCATTGTAGATTCTGGATATTAGCCCTTTGTCAGATGAGTAGGTTGCGAAAATTTTCTCCCATTTTGTGGGTTGCCTGTTCACTAGGATGGTAGTTTCTTTTGCTGTGCAGAAGCTCTTTAGTTTAATTAGATCCCATTTGTCAATTTTGGCTTTTGTTGCCATTGCTTTTGGTGTTTTAGACATGAAGTCCTTGCCCATGCCTATGTCCTGAATGGTAATGCCTAGGTTTTCTTCTAGGGTTTTTATGGTTTTAGGTCTAACGTTTAAGTCTTTAATCCATCTTGAATTGATTTTTGTATAAGGTGTAAGGAAGGGATCCAGTTTCAGCTTTCTACATATGACTAGCCAGTTTTCCCAGCACCATTTATTAAATAGGGAATCCTTTCCCCATTGCTTGTTTTTCTCAGGTTTGTCAAAGATCAGATAGTTGTAGATATATGGCGTTATTTCTGAGGGCTCTGTTCTGTTGCATTGATCTATATCTCTATTTTGGTACCAGTAGCATGCTGTTATGGTTACTGTAGCCTTGTAGTATAGTTTGAAGTCAGGTAGTGTGATGCCTCCAGCTTTGTTCTTTTGGCTTAGGATTGACTTGGCGATGCGGGCTCTTTTATGGTTCCATATGAACTTTAAAGTAGTTTTTTCCAATTCTGTGAAGAAAGGCATTGGTAGCTTGATGGGGATGGCATTGAATCTGTAAATTACCTTGGGCAATATGGCCATTTTCACGATATTGATTCTTCCTACCCATGGATCTTCCATTTGTTTGTATCCTCTTTTATTTCCTTGAGCAGTGATTTGTAGTTCTCCTTGAAGAGGTCCTTCACATCCCTTGTAAGTTGGATTCCTAGGTATTTTATTCTCTTTGAAGCAATTGTGAATGGGAGTTCACTCGTGATTTGGCTCTCTGTTTGTCTGTTATTGGTGTATAAGAATGCTTGTGATTTTTGTACATTGATTTTGTATCCTGAGACTTTGCTGAAGTTGCTTAGCAGCTTAAGGAGATTTTGGGCTGAGACAATGGGGTTTTCTAGATATACAATCATGTCGTCTGCAAACAGGGACAATTTGACTTCCTCTTTTCCTAATTGAATACCCTTTATTTCCTTCTTCTGCCTAATTGCCCTGGCCAGAACTTCCAACACTATGTTGAATAGGAGTGGTGAGAGAGGGCATCCCTGTCTTGTGCCGGTTTTCACAGGGAATGCTTCCAGTTTTTGCCCATTCAGTATGGTATTGGCTGTGGGTTTGTCATAGATAGCTCTTATTATTTTCAAATACGTCCCATCAATACCTAATTTATTGAGAGTTTTTAGCATGAAGGGTTGTTGAATTTTGTCAAAAGCCTTTTCTGCATCTATTGAGATAATCATGTGGTTTTTGTCTTTGGTTCTGTTTATATGCTGGCTTACATTTATTGATTTGTGTATATTGGACCAGCCTTGCATCCCAGGGATGAAGCCCACTTGATCATGGTGGATAAGCTTTTTGATGTGCTGCTGGATTTGGTTTGCCAGTATTTTATTGAGGATTTTTGCATCAATGTTCTTCAAGGATATTGGTCTAAAATTCTCTTTTTTGGTTGTGTCTCTGCTAGGCTTTGGTATCAGGATAATGCTGGTCTCATAAAATGAGTTAGGGAGGATTCCCTCTTTTTCTATTGATTGGAATAGTTTCAGAAGGAATGGTACCAGTTCCTCCTTGTACCTCTGGTAGAATTCGGCTGTGAATCCATCTGGTCCTGAACTCTTTTTGGTTGGTAAGCTATTGATTATTGCCACAATTTCAGATCCTGTTATTGGTCTATTCAGAGATTCAACTTCTTCCTGGTTTAGTGTTGGGAGAGTGTATGTGTTGAGGAATTTATCCATTTCTTCTAGATTTTCTAGTTTATTTGCGTAGAGTTGTTTGTAGTATTCTCTGATGGTAGTTTGTATTTCTGTGGGATCGGTGGTGACATCCCCTTTATCATTTTTGATTGCGTCTATTTGATTCTTCTCTCTTTTTTTCTTTATTAGTCTTGCTAGCGGTCTATCAATTTTGTTGATCCTTTCAAAAAACCACCTCCTGGATTCATTAATTTTTTGAAGGGTTTTTTGTGTCTCTATTTCCTTCAGTTCTGCTCTGATTTTAGTTATTTCTTGCCTTCTGCTAGCTTTTGAATGTGTTTGCTCTTGCTTTTCTAGTTCTTTTAATTGTGATGTTAGGGTGTCAATTTTGGATCTTTCCTGCTTTCTCTTGTGGGCATTTAGTGCTATAAATTTCCCTCTACACACTGCGTTGAATGCGTCCCAGAGATTCTGGTATGTTGTGTCTTTGTTCTCGTTGGTTTCAAAGAACATCTTTATTTCTGCCTTCATTTTGTTATGTACCCAGTAGTCATTCAGGAGCAGGTTGTTCAGTTTCCATGTAGTTGAGCGGTTTTGAGTGAGATTCTTAATCCTGAATTCTAGTTTCATTGCACTGTGGTCTGAGAGATAGTTTGTTATAATTTCTCTTCCTTTACATTTGCTGAGGAGAGCCTTACTTCCAAGTATGTGGTCAATTTTGGAATAGGTGTGGTGTGGTGCTGAAAAAAATGTATATTCTGTTGATTTGGGGTGGAGAGTTCTGTAGATGTCTATTAGGTCCGCTTGGTGCAGAGCTGAGTTCAATTCCTGGGTATCCTTGTTGACTTTCCGTCTCGTTGATCTGTCTAATGTGGACAGTGGGGTGTTAAAGTCTCCCATTATTAATGTGTGGGAGTCTAAGTCTCTTTGTAGGTCACTCAGGACTTGCTTTATGAATCTGGGTGCTCCTGTATTGGGTGCATATATATTTAGGATAGTTAGCTCTTCTTTTTGAATTGATCCCTTTACCATTATGTAATGGCCTTCTTTGTCTCTTTTGATCTTTGTTGGTTTAAAGTCTGTTTTATCAGAGACTAGGATTGCAACCCCTGCCTTTTTTTTGTTTTCCATTTGCTTCATAGATCTTCCTCCATCCTTTTATTTTGAGCCTATGTGTGTCTCTGCACGTGAGATGGGTTTCCTGAATACAGCACACTGATGGGTCTTGACTCTTTATCCAGTTTGCCAGTCTGTGTCTTTTAATTGGAGCATTTATTCCATTTACATTTAAAGTTAATATTGTTATCTGTGAATTTGATCCTGTCATTATGATGTTAGCTGGTGATTTTGCTAGTTAGTTGATGCAGTTTCTTCCTAGTCTCGATGGTCTTTACATTTTGGCATGATTTTGCAGCGGCTGGTACCGGTTGTTCCTTTCCATGTTTAGCGCTTCCTTCAGGAGCTCTTTTAGGGCAGGCCTGGTGGTGACAAAATCTCTCAGCATTTGCTTGTCTGTGAAGTATTTTATTTCTCCTTCACTTATGAAGCTTAGTTTGGCTGGATATGAAATTCTGGATTGAAAATTCTTTTCTTTAAGAATGTTGAATATTGGCCCCAACTCTCTTCTGGCTTGTAGAGTTTCTGCCAAGAGATCCACTGTTAGTCTGATGGGCTTCCCTTTGAGGGTAACCCGACCTTTCTCTCTGGCTGCCCTTAACATTTTTTCCTTCATTTCAACTTTGGTGAATCTGACAATTATGTGTCTTGGAGTTGCTCTTCTCGAGGAGTATCTTTGTGGCGTTCTCTGTATTTCCTGAATCTGAATGTTGGCCTGCCTTGCTAGATTGGGTAAGTTCTCCTGGATAATATCCTGCAGAGTGTTTTCCAACTTGGTTCCATTCTCCCCGTCACTTTCAGGTACACCAGTCAGACATAGATTTGGTCTTTTCACATAGTCCCATATTTCTTGGAGTCTTTGTTCGTTTCTTTTTATTCTTTTTTCTCTAAACTTCCCTTCTTGCTTCATTTCATTCATTTCATCTTCCATCGCTGATACCCTTTCTTCCAGTTGATCGCATCGGCTCCTGAGGCTTCTGCATTCTTCACGTAGTTCTTGAGCCTTGATTTTCAGCTCTATCAGCTCCTTTAAGCACTTCTCTGTATTGGTTATTCTAGTTATACGTTCTTCTAAATTTTTTTCAAAGTTTTCAACTTCTTTGCCTTTGGTTTGAATGTCCTCCCGTAGCTCGGAGTAATTTGGTCGTCTGAAGCCTTCTTCTCTCAGCTCGTCAAAGTCATTCTCCGTCCAGCTTTGTTCCGTGGCTGGTGAGGAACTGTGTTCCTTTGGAGGAGGAGAGGCGCTCTGCTTTTTAGAGTTTCCAGTTTTTCTGCTCTGTTTCTTCCCCATCTTTGTGGTTTTGTCTACTTTTGGTCTTTGATGATGGTGATGTGCAGATGGGTTTTTGGTGTGGATGTCCTTTCTGTTTGTTAGTTTTCCTTCTACAGACAGGACCCTCAGCTGCAGGTCTGTTGGAGTACCCGGCCGTGTGAGGTGTCAGTCTGCCCCTGCTGGGGGTGCCTCCCAGTTAGGCTGCTTAGGGGTCAGGGGTCAGGGGCCCACTTGAGGAGACAGTCTGCCTGTTCTCAGATCTCCAGCTGCGTCCTGGGAGAACCACTGCTCTCTTCAAGGCTGTCAGACAGGGACATTTAAGTCTGCAGAGGTTACTGCTGTCTTTTTGTTTGTCTATGCCCTGCCCCCAGAGGTGGAGCCTACAGAGGCAGGCAGGCCTTCTTGAGCTGTGATGCTTCCCAGTTGGAGCTTCCCGGCTGCTTTGTTTATCTAAGCAAGCCTGGGCAATGGCGGGCGCCCCTCCCCCAGCCTCACTGCCGCCTTGCAGTTTGATCTCAGACTGCTGTGCTAGCAAGAGACTCCGTGGGCGTAGGACCCTCCGAGCCATGTGCGGGATATAATCTCCTGGTGCGCCATTTTTTTAAGCCCGTCGGAAAAGCGCAGTATTCGGGTGGAAGTGACCCAATTTTCCAGGTGCCGTCTGTCACCCCTTTCTTTGACTAGGAAAGGGAACTCCCTGACCCCTTGCTCTTCTGGAGTGAGGCAATGCCTCGCCCTGCTTTGGCTGGCACACGGTGCGCGCACCCACTGACCTGCGCCCACTGTCTGGCACTCCCTAGTGAGATGAACCTGGTACCTCAGATGGAAATGCAGAAATCACCCGTCTTCTGCGTCGCTCACGCTGGGAGCTGTACATCAGAGCTGTTCCTATTCGGCCATCTTGGCTCGTGCCTCCACATTATTCTTTAGCTAGTCTTATATGTAACTAAGAATCACTATGTCAAAGAATTTTAAGTATGTAGGATGAAGTATGCTATTTTTTATTTTCTAGAATGAAAGCATACAGAGACCTTTTAAAGAAGCAAGGGCACCTTATTTATTTCATTGTTAAGCTTAGTATTGAAAGAATAATTTCCTTTACTTCAGGAAGAAAGTGACATATTCTCAGACATCATTTTTCAATTAAGTATGTGTCTTCACTGCTTGCCAGGATGGCTGTTATCTTTCAAAATGTAAAAGACTGAGAAAATACATGTTTATTTTCAGGTATTATATCTTGATCAATCCTCTTTAAGAGGAAGTATATTTTAGGTAGTAGGTGGATAATGGAGAATTTCCTTGTGTCACACCTAAGAAGCAATATTTTTGTTCTTTAATAGTTAGTTAGTTTAATATTTTGTGCCACCTTCTTTTCATGTCTTGAAATGTGATGTATTTAAACGCTTCTCGTTACCTTGAGCTTAAAGTCTTGCAGCTTATTCTGAGTGTCTGCTATTTGCAAGTGTAATCTTTTGCTGAAAAATAAGTTTATTATTACAGAAAAGAAATTGTTCCCATATTTTCTGATTAATGATCTCAAATTATATGCATAAAAGTCTTAAAGGCCAGGTGTGGTGGCTCACGCCTGTAATCCCAGCACTTTGGGAGGCTGAGGTGGGCAGATCACTTGAGCTCAGGAGTTCGAGACCAGCCTGGGCAACATGGCAAGACCCCATCTCTACAAAAATTATAAAAATTAGCCTGGCTTGTTGGTGGGTGCCTGTAGTCCCAGCTATTTAGGAGGCTGAGGTGGGAGAATTGCTTGAGCCCGGGTGGTGGAGGTTGCAGTGAGCCAAGATTGTACCACTGCACTCCAGCCTGGGTGAAAGAGCCAGACCCCTTCTCAAAAAAAACAAAAAACAAAAAACAAACAAAACGCAAAACCAAAAAAGCAGGCCTTAAAGCACTGCGTAGCACTGTTTTGAAAAAGTTGAATTTATTTCATTTTATTGACTGCTTTGGATTTTATTTCTTTCCTCTTTCCCCATATGTGCTACTAAATGAGTCATGATACAGCACTTGTGCCCTTTGAAATCTCTGTTATTTACCTCATGAGCTAAAACCTCTTGAATTTACTAGTTTTCTTATTACTTATGAGGGTGTGTTTTTTGTGTGCTTATAGAACTTTTCTAAGTGTTCTTATAGCAGTGAAGCCTACAAAGTAAGAGTTTCCAGATTCCATCCGTTCTTTTAGCTGACTTGAATGACTCTAATGCAGTGGGTTGCAGGTTTGGCTACTTACCTATGTACTCTGTAAACATCCAGAGGCCCAGGGATATTCTGAGCCACTGTGTGTGAATGGAGTTTGGCCATCTGTAGATTTCCGCAGTCTCTCCAGGTGATCGCACTGTGCAGCCTCATTGCTCATAAACAAAACTTTAATATGCTTTTAATGATCTTTCAAGTGTGTTGAGGATTTCTTTCTTGATTTTGAGGAATATATGTCAGTATATTTTTCAACTTTAAGTGTTCGTATATATATTAGTAAAAACATTGAAACTGAAGTCTGGGGGAAGTTTGTGGAACTAGAATATTAGAATCAAAAGTTTGGATTTAAAATCTAATGTGACTATCGAGTGGCATGCTGGAAATTTTTAATTTATTTGGCCATCTTTTAGTATGCCATTCTTAATCTCATCTGTCAAAGAAACAAAAATTATGTTTTTCTAGTAGCTGTTTCCGGTTTTCAAACTTATGCATGCTTTCTTGCCTCTTTAGTCAATGTTTTCTTCATGTTTCTGGTTTAAACATGCAAAAATGTGTAATAATTACAGAGGTCCTGCTGTACTAGCCACCAAAGCAGCTGCTGGTACTAAGAAATATGATCTTAGTAAATGGAAATATGCAGAACTACGTGATACCATCAATACTTCTTGTGGTAAGTGTTTGGAGAAGATCAAAAATAGAAAATGTTCATAGTGATAGGTGATAAATACCTAGATTAGGGTGAGGTGTGTGTGTGTATGTGTGTGTGTGTGTGTGTGTGTATGTGTGTATGTACATATAATACCTATATTATCTGAATCTTTTGGTCCATGAATGCACAGTAACAAATGGCAATGCAGTGCTTTCTTTTTAAGGCTATTTTTCTTCCCACAGAACAATTAGAGTAAAATACTATATCCAGAGGATCCCACATAGTTATGTTCTTATTTAAATCACAGTGTTTGAGTTCAGAAAACTATGAGTAGGAACGATGAATTCAGAAAACTATGACTAGAAACAAAAGTATCATAATTGTACATAATTTCTCACTACACTTTCCTCCATTGAGTATATCTGCATAATTATAAAAAATGTCTTGCTTGTAAATCTAGTTTGTATTTTATCACAGTGACTTTTTATTCTATTGTCAAGACTTGTTGCCTTCGACAAATTGCTTAATGTTTCTGATGCAATTCCTTCATATAAAAGACCTGTTTAGTTCAGAGTTCTTCTGTGGAGCAGATGATATAAGATAGTAACACTGTGTAAAGAAATGATCTGTGAATTTGAACAATAATATTATAAAATGCTTATCCTTATGAATAATTAGCTTACTTTTGATTTTGTACCATTAATTTAAAAATAAAAAAATCTCCTTATGCGACAGAATAATTATATCATTATGTTAGACGAATAAATTAACATGTCAATTTTTTTTTTTTGCTCAATGTAATCAATAGATATTGAGCTCCTGGCAGCTTGCAGAGAAGAATTTCATAGGAGACTAAAAGTGTATCATGCTTGGAAATCTAAGAACAAGAAGAGAAATACTGAAACAGAGCAACGTGCTCCAAAGTCTGTTACTGATTATGGTAAAGAGAAATCTGTACTTTTGAACGTTTTAAAATATATGTATATAAATGCATGTATCTGTACTTAAGACATGGGTAAAATGTCCCATATAAATTTTCTCCTATTTTAGAACTGTGAGCCATTGAACCTAATACAGCCTTGATGGCCTATCTTTTATAGCGTTATTTTTATGAGTATGTCTTTAAACTCATACTTGTTAAGATATATTGAATTTACTATAATTGAGACAAGAATTTTCTTGTCTGAAGAGGGTGTGCATGCATAATTTTCACACACACAAACACGTGCACACACTCACAAGATTAAATGTGAAAATGTCAGGATTGCCATGCATCTTTTACCTTACATGTGAAATGAATTTTACATATGAAAATGAGTTGCTAAAAAGGATGATGGTTAGTTTTTATTTTTAAATTTTCTATAATTTTTATTTTTTAAATAAATAGAGATGAGGTCTTGCCATTTTATCCAGGCTGGTCTCAAACTGCTGGGCTCAAGCAATCCTCCTGCCTTGGCCTTCCAAAGTGCTAGGATTATAGGCATGAGCTACTGCTCCCACCCCTTTTTCTAATTTTTAAAATTTAATGTAGCTCAGTTTTTAGAAATAGTTCCCTGAAATACCCAATATTGTTATCTTTTTTATTTGTAGGTATAAGTACTTTTCTGTTGCTCCCAGAATAGGGTTATAGCCTGGAAAAAGAAAGGAATTGATTCATGCATTGTCCATTTACACTCTAATTCCTTTGTTTCAAAAATAATTTTACTGCAAACATTATTTTACAATACTGCAAATATATAAAAGTGAGAAATATTACCTTGCTTCAGACTAGTGTTTTGCCTAGATCAAGATTTGATTTTTTGATTGGGATCCTGAACATGGATTTTGTTACTTTGTTATGCAAAAGGCCAAGGTGTATACTTGAAATTGGAAAGTAGAGTAGAAGAGATGTAACCTAGTACAAGCATGCATGAGCTTTAACATTAACTGAGAATACGTGTGATATGCGAGTTGTAATTTCAATCTTTAAAGCAATAATTGGACTTACTGTGTTCAAATTGGCACAATTTATTCGCTTAATTCTGGTTAACATCAAGGTGACAGCAGATTCAATATTTTGTGTGTTTTTTTCCCCTAAGCGGTATATTCCCAACAGTTGATAGTATAGTTTAGCAATGCAGGACCCAAATTGACTTAAAAAATGAGTTCTTGGTTATATTTTGCTTTCCTCACTACCTTCCAAGTAAATAAAAGCAGTGTTTAAATAAAGTCAATTTAATAGTGGAATTCTAGTGTTTCTAAGTTGTTGCAAAGAATAGATTGAGTGAGGGCAATATTATTATTAATAGGGGTAATATTAGTGCCAGTTATTGCTCCAGGGGTGTCAGTCAGAATACAGGACTATGCAAGGGCAGTGGGAGATCACTTGTAACCAAGAAGTGGCAGGTGGAAGCCCCACTAAATATTGTGACACTGCTCTCTTCTCCAGTTTCATATTTTTCCTCTTCTAATTGAACACAACAAAATGATTACATTAGCTGTTCACTGTCTGTGTAGTGAGTTCTGACCACAGATTACCTTTGTTTTGCAAAAAATGACAGTGAGCTGTTCTTTTTAGCTGTAAATATTATAATTACTAACTTTAGCTTGACAGACTTTCATTATATTGTATTTCAAAATTAATACATCTGAGTGATCACACTTCTTAAAAAGAGGTTCATGTTGTAATATTTGGCACACACATTTTAAATTAATGTACACATATTTATTGTATTTGTGACTCAAACTTTGATACCTTATTCATCTAGCTTTACCCAAAAAAGTTGCAAATAATACGTGGCTCACCTTGCTGGTTCAACTACTGTTTCTGTTTGTAATATATTATTTAAGAAAACAAAAGAGTAGATTAGGAAAGCTTCCTAAGGGTTCTATCAAGGTTTATGGACAAATTTAGGAATTTATGTGAACACAACCCCACACATACATATTAAGCCTTCAGAGAACTTGATTATGAGTCATTTTCAGGATATATTTTATCAAATGTAACTTCTGCTCTGAAAAGTACTTTTTTTTGCTTTTCTCTTTCTCTTTATGTTCTTCCTCATACAAAATTCATCTTGACACAGGAGCATAGCTAAAAGCAAAGGTTAAAGAGCACCAAGAAGCTCAATTGAGAAAATTCTATACTTAAATGATTTCCTAATGTGGCAGCTAAACACCCTTTAAAAGGAAGTGCTGTGTAGTCTAATATTTAGAAGGAACAATTCATTAATTTGAGAAAATAAAATGATGACAACTTATGATTAACAAAAATGTAGCTTCGTATTGTTGACTTAAAGAGTAATAGGTTGACAGCTAATGGTAAACTCTTAAAATAATGCATAAGGAGCCTCAGACCCTCTTCCTGGTACAGTCCTGGATGAGCATACTTTCATCTCATTTACTGCAGAGGGAGATTTTTTAGAAATAATTTTTTGGTCAGTGGCAAATCACCTAGTAAATATTTATAGTAATTAATTGTTTAAAACAATGATTTTGGAAAGTAGTTTTATTTTATAGTTTATAAAATAAAAATGGCATGAGTTTAAGATTTAGAGAGTTTAAAAAAAGCAAAACATACTGTTACCAAAACGTAGTAACGTTTTTACTCCTGTAATGTATATAATTTTTTGATGAATTCTCATTATTTTCTATGAAAATTCTAGTAATGTATGAAAGGTACTATAATGTCTATTAAGTCATTGTATTAGGTTTTTGTTTGGATATGTGTTCCAAAAATCACAAATGAAGTATGATTTTTTAATTTTGGTCCTCTTTATATGTGCTTCAATCAGAATTTCCTAAGCCTAATGAGTCAAAATAGCCTTTTAAAAAAATCAGAAAGCAGCACCTGCTTTTAGGTAATTCTGAGAATATTTGGCTTGTGGATAGGATATTTACTTTTCAGTCACCACCTCGATTGGAAGGCTTTATAAATTAGAAAAATGCTCATTTAACAGTTTTGGCATTTTTATCTTTTCTTCAACATAAAATATTTGTTCACAGATTTTGCACCATTTTTGAACAATTCACGTAAGTCAATGGGTGGTAACTCATGAGCTAACTGGAAGATGGGTTAAAATACTTTACAAAGTACTAACTTCTATTAAAAGTTGTTTTGCTACAATTTTCAGTGGAATTGTAGTGTGTTAAAGTTGTTATATCCATACTAAGATATATTTTAATTTGAGATGATGCTTTATTTGGATCACTCCAATATGTATATGTATTACAAAAAATCTAGTGAAATTAATGTTTTATCAAATTACTTGCATTAAGAAAATGACTAGCATTTTAAACTGAGAGTATGTACAATTCTTATTGTAGCAAAACTCTTAACATAGCAGCTGACCTTTTAGAATAAAGACTAACTTTTAGGTGCTGGTTTTTGGTTACTGTATTTTCAAACACTGATGGTGTCTGCATTTCTGCCAAAGGTATTTTAGTTTTATAGATAATGTGATAGTGTATAAAGGTTTAATAATGATACCTCCTTAAATAGGAAGAGGAGATTATTCTGTTACGTTTATAGCCTCTTATGATACACATTCTTTGATAATTTAAAAGCTTTGAGTCACCTTAGTGCACAGTAAATCTCTTGTAGAATTAGTTGATTAGTAATGATTTGGATATAATGTCACATTCATTTGCCAACTGGTTGGACCTGATGTTTTGAAGTGCTTCTTATAATTTATAAGGCTGTATTTGAAGATTACACAATTGAATGTGAAGGAAAGTTATTTAGAATATTAGTTTCAAGCTTTTAATGTCTGTGTCTTTGTGTTTTTCCAGATAAGTATTCGTTTCTAGTCTTCCCCAACAAAATTTCAGTTCTCCTGTTAGTAAGAAAAGCTATCAAAGACTTTCTATTTAGTTTCTGAATTTTATCCAGTATCTTAACTTACAGGAGACTTACTTCAAATTAAAAAGTAGGTTAATTAATGAATGACTATCAGTATCATGGTAAATTTCCTGTAAACTGGACATTAAATTCTAATTCACTACTTTAGATGGAGGGAAGGTTTTTAAATTCTTAGTTTTGAATTAGTACATTTTCAACAATGTAGGGAGTTTTGAAAACTTAAAAGTAGAAACACTGAACTGTAAGTAGCTCTGGGAAAACAGGAGCAAAAGAATAGATAAGCAGATGTCTGTTAATATGTGATGCAGCTTTTAAAGTTACTAACAAAACCGGGCCTCTCGTTCCTTCATAGGGATATATAGCTTTGCTAACTGCTTTTTGCTTTCTCTGGTTTGCAAAGAAATAAATTCAACTGCTATAAAGCTTTTGCTATTTCTTGGTGTAAAAAGTAGAGTAAGAGTATTTTCATCCTTTCAGTATTTGCAAATTCTTACAGAAGCCATGTGGCTCTTCTTGGCTTTATATCATATGTACATTTTACAATATTTCTTTGACACACTTGGATTTTCATAGTGAGACTCTTAACTGAGCTGCTGTAAATGGTTGTTCCACTTTTGAAGTTCTGTGAGTATAAAACAGATTAAACAGGCTAACCAAAATTATGCTGCTAAAGATGTAAAGTCATTGCCCCAGGGAAATGTTTACATTTGCAGATAAAAGAAAAACCTAATTGTTAAGTAATGAAAATTGAGCTAGGAATGAAAGATTGATATGAATGAAATGCCCAGTACTAGTAGAAAAGCAAGGATTTTTCTTTTCTTTTGGCAAGGAGAATCAAATGTTACATACTTTGCACTTCATTGGATTTTATTCTAAGAGAAATCTGATTTCAGAGTAAGTAAATATCTTTAAGGGAAAGTTTATGCTTACTGTTATAAGGTTTTTTTTGTCATATGGTTGTCTAAATGTTGTTAATATCTATGTCATTGTGGTCATTTTAAATCCTAAAATTTGTTGGCAAAAGAAAAAATTTTTATATGGCTTCTACTTTTTGTGGAAATAGTGATTAAACTGACAAATGTCTACATCCTTCAGATTTTTGAAATTACTGTTTATTTTGTTCTATCATAAATAGTTGAATAAAAGTTACTGTACAAATTTGAACTCTTTACAGGAAGAATATAAATCTAGTAAATAATAGTAGTTTGTTTTCCTGCCGTGTGAGTTTATTTTAGGTTACTGTTACAGTGATTTGTGGGAATCTGACAGGGGTTTGTTGCTGGTAGTGGTGGTGGTAGTGGTATGTGTGTGTTTGTGTTGGCAATGCTAAGAAACATCTTAAGGGAAAGACAATTCTAAGAAGTAACACTCTGAATTTTATTAATTTGTAGGCAATAAATATTTTCATTTTGTTTTAAATTTACTATTAGGGACCTTTCTTCTTTTTAAAAAATTATTGGGGTATATTTTAGGATTAAAGGCTCTTTTCTTTTCCCTTGAGCTGCTGGTATAACTTTCCTTGTTCTGTGTAATAGCTCAGCAAAACCCAGCAGCTCAGATTCCTGCCAGGCAGCGGGAGATTGAAATGAACCGACAGCAACGCTTCTTCCGCATCCCATTCATCCGCCCTGCCGACCAGTACAAAGACCCTCAGAGTAAGAAAAAAGGCTGGTGGTATGCCCATTTTGATGGACCATGGATTGCCCGGCAAATGGAACTCCATCCTGACAAGCCACCCATCCTACTTGTGGCTGGTGTGTATGATTCACATGGAAAACAAATTATAGAACAAAAAAGATCATAAACTCTCTGAATGAAACATTCTAATGTATAATATAATAATTTATTACATTTCAGGGTTGAGGGATGGAGTCTTGCGGTTAAATCACATTTCCAGTTCAGTGAGGATTAACTCATTTATAATGTGAAATTGCTTGGATTAAATTATGTTCTTAGCACATAGAAACTTGTCTGTATCCTAAAAACCTTTCCATTTGTGTTTCATCATATCCATTGATTTGTAGTGGCTTGAGGAAATGTAGCATTTTTATTAACTCTGGTAACTTGTTTGATCAATAGCAGTGTTTATTAATATTGAAAGGGTCCTTGATGGGGGACAAATTTTAATTGTTTCTGGTGATTTTATTAAGCAGATTTCCATCTTAGAGAAAAAGTCTTAGGAAGTTTTCAAATCTATGAGAATTAATAGGTATTTCAGGCATACAACTGGTAAGAAATGGTCCTGAAGAGAGAGATGGTAATTTTCTGATATCTCATGAATACAGGTAAGGACGACATGGAGATGTGTGAGCTGAATCTTGAGGAGACTGGCCTGACTCGGAAGCGTGGTGCTGAGATCTTGCCAAGACAGTTTGAAGAAATCTGGGAACGCTGTGGAGGCATCCAGTACCTTCAGAATGCGATTGAGAGCAGACAGGCTCGGCCCACCTATGCAACAGCCATGCTGCAGAGTCTGTTAAAGTAGATGTTGCACACCAGCCTTACAGCTGGGAGCCTTTGCCATGGTACTTAGGTAGGGTGTGTGCCCCCAGATTTAACCATTCCATAATCATGTTAGAGTTACTTCTATAAAGTGAACAGATTTTATTAATCACGGCTTTTGGTGAATTTGTTTAAGGTTAATTATGGTAGCAAATTTTGGACCTAAACATTATTTTTCTGTATCCCGCTGTAATTCCCAAAACTCTCATTATTCTCTAACTATTACACATGGGCATATTCTGATGTTTCTCATCCTTTGCCAGAAGACTACCTTACATCCATCGTAATTGTTCTCTAGGAAAAGAGAACTTTTTTCAAAATTCAAAATACTTTTTAAGGATGGCACAGTACCATATAACTGGAGTAATAAAACATGAGCTTACATTCTTACAATAACTAAACCACTTAAAATGATCAAGGCACTAATGTTTTGGTCTGAAAAGCTGTGTACTTTATAGACATTTTCAGACATTTTTGGAAATTTCCATTAAAGGTGGAAAATCTATTTTTTTCCTCCTTTGCAGTGTCTTAGTTTGAATGAAACACTTCGAAGTTCTAGAATTCTAGAAAGAGCCTTAATGTATTTGATGTATTCTGTGATAAGAGGTACTAATAGTATCCAGCACAGATTTGCTTTTCTTTGCTAGCACAATGTGTGTTGCTGTCAGAATATTCTTTTTATATTCTGTGGAAAAATAAAGGAAATTCAGATTGTTTAAATGCCTAAAAGTTTTGAGATAAGTTTTGTTTCAATTAGAAAAGGAAATAGGTTTTAGGTGGCATAGTGGCTTAACTGGACTGAATTCAAATATTCTTTCAACTTCATCTCAATAGTGATTTTTGTATCAGAATCTTGTCCAAGTTGTTTCATTGATTTAGTAAGTGTTCTGCTTCCAACATCTTTCTTTTTAAGAAATTCCTAGTGTCTTTTTTGGCCTTTGAGGTTTTGGTAATTGTAGACCTGTTTCATAAGCTTTGTAATTCAGAAATCCTTGTATTTAGTAAGTGCTTGTTTTACATAACTGATAATTTTAAAATGTTTTCTTTGTGTGCTGTTAGTATTGATTCAAATGTCAGCAGCTTTAAGCCTAATATTTATGACTTTCACATTTGGAATTTAAAGACAAAAATACATCAAGGAGTTATGCTGACATAATTCTAAGGAGTTTTGTTGTATTTTAGAATAAAATTATAAAGTAAAATGATTCTCTGTACTGCTTTTTCCCCCAGTTTTTAGAGACCCTAACCTTTGAAATGAAATTCCAGTGATTTCTTTTTTCCCTAGAAAGATTACCTCAGTTAGGGAAGTATTTCCCAGCTGACTAGTGTTTGTGAGCCACAGACACTGTCTTCAGAATTGCTTCTCTCATGTCTTAGTAGAGAAATATTTATTTATTATGATACATTCAAATGATTGTCAAGTTAAATTAAATGGTTGTGTCTGTGCTATTGAGAATGCAAATGTGATTATCTTTTGAAGGCTGTATTACTGCATAGCTTCACCCACCCTCGGGTCATTTCGTCCCTGTGATTGGGGACAGAAGGTGTAGCTACTGAAGTAAATGACCTATTCTCTCTCTTCCATCTCTCGCCTTTAACTGGTGTTTTTATTTGTGTAGGATAGTGAATGATAAGCTTTTTTCCTAACCAGTAGTGAGTAAAGTTCTTGAACAAAATTTAGTAGCCAAATTGTTTTTTAATGACATGTCTCTTTAGTACAATAGTTTTGTGTATCTTTTAGATACATTAATAGGCACTAGATGGAAAATTAAAGAGTTAAACATATTTAAATGAGAGAATCTAATGTTTCAGAAATTTGTAAGAAATGTATCACAGCAAAGGGTTGTTATAAGTCCTTAGTTTTTGACTCTAATAGTTAATACAATTATAGTTAATCTTAAGCCATAATGTTTCTAATCATGTCACACAGCTGTCCTAGAACTTATCTATTTAAAATAGTTTCCTGAGTTAATTTTGGCCAGCAGGGCAACTGCCCTAATTCAGATAGATTTACAGTAACCTACGTACAGTAGATGCACATACACACAGACACCCCTTTGCTGGAGAAACTTAGGACCCTGTCAGCCTTTTAAAGGAAACAGCAGGAGTGGTGTCCTAAATGATGTTCATGCAGCTGCTTTACCATGTTCACAGTCAAGCCCATGCATGCCAGGTTAAAACTGTGGAAATCAAAAGTAAATTCACTCATATTTTAATCATTTTAACTGAGATTTAAAATTAGAAGTTTAAACCACTATATATAAAGAACTAATCTTTTCTTAATACCAGTTCTTTCCATAGCATATGCTTTGCAAAGGCAGCATGCATAAAATATTTAAAATGAGAGGACAGAATGTTTTCACATTTGATTCAATTTTAATATAATTCCTAATTGTGGTAACACAGTTGAGATATGTATTATGAGTTATGGGAACTAATTGAGAAAAGGAAGTTACTCTAATCCACGTATGTTAAGAGAATATTGAGTTTTCTTAGTTGTAAAGTTGGGGAGATGGCACCTTCTCAGAGGATTGTGAAAATATGAGGAAGAAACAAAACAGTGCATGTAGGAGCACAGGGCCACACAAAGGCATTCTATTGTTATGCTCATTCTGCTTCTGTAATGACTTTTCATAGGTCATTCTTGTGAACCATTTTGTTTTGCAAGCAACCAAGGAAAGAACATCTTAAGTGGAAAATCAGTGGTGGTTGTGAACACTTAGAGAATAGCAATCCACAGGCAAGAATAATGGTATTGTTTGTAGAGCTTTATTAATTGGATATTTTTTAAAAGACATTTTCATTCACAGGTCATTACTATGGTTCTCAGCGATCCAAATATGTAGATCATTGGTTTTTTTTTTTACCTGAAGTAGCTTAAGAGTACTTGGATCAGTAGAATAAATATTTATTGAATCAATCAGTCAGCCAATTAATATGATGTTAGTGATAGACCTGCCTCCTTTTATGGAAGAGGTAACAGATCCAGAGAGGTCAAGTAATTTAGTTGTAGACTGAAAAATATATCAAAGCCTTTGCTGCAATCATATGTAACAAAAAGAACCAAAACAAACACTTTTTAGTGGCACCTGTGGATTTACAAAGGGTTGCCTCTCTGTCATTCCACAACTTCAGAAGGTGTGACAGGTTTTCCCTATTTATCATTACCAATAATAACAAGTATTGAGAGTTTTAAAATTTCTCCCAGAAGATAAACTAACAAGGATGGAAGGGGAGGGCAAAGGATATCTAAACATGAGAATAAGGACATGTTAGAGGGGGGGAAACAGTTGTAACAATAAGGAAAGAGAAGAGCAACAGTGGAAGAGACAGGTTGTGTGCCCCTAAAGATTCTGCACCCCCAGTTTGGAAACACTGATACATTTTAGGACACAGAGCACTCCTAGATCTCTACGAAATTTTAGAATGAATAATGTGTAATTTATAGGATCAGAACGTATGGTTATTAAAACTTGGATCAAGATATGCCCGGTGTATACATTCTTAGCACATAGGAATGGCACTGCCATACTGGAGAAGGTCAGCAGTAAATAGGCATTCTGTACATAAGCCTCATGGAAGGGTAAGATGGAGAGACTGGCAGAAGTAGCACCTACTCTGCTGGGAGCACTTCTCTGAGTACGCTTTAGTTCAATTCAAATCACTGTATTCTTTCCCCATTGCTAACCTAATATATGAAACAAGCTTAGCTGTCTCAGAAGTTTTTCAAGAGATGATCAGGAAAAATTAATGCACATTCAAAAGGAGAATCTTCAGTACAAATTTGTTTTTTTAAAAATAGATTTAGGGCTGGGCGCGGTGGCTCACGCCTGTAATCCCAGCACTTTGGGAGGCCGAGGCGGGTGGATCACGAGGTCAAGACTTCGAGACCAGCCTGGCCAACATGGTGAAACCCTGTCTCTACTAAAAATACAAAACATTAGCCAGGCGTGGTAGTGGGTGCCTGTAATCCCTGCTACTTGGGAGGCTGAGGCAGGAGAATCACTTGAACGCGGGAGGCAGAGGTTGCAGGGAGCCGAGATGGCGCCATTGCACTCCATCCTGGGCAACAAGAGCGAAATTCCATCTCAAAAAATAAAATAGATTTAGGGGGTACAAGTGCAGTTTTGTTACATGGGTATATTGCATAGTGGTAAAATGTGGGCTTTTAGTGTACCTAACACCCAGAGAAGCATACATTGTGCCCAGTAGGTAATTTTTCATCCCTAAACCTTTTCTCAGCCTCCCACTTTCTGGAGTCTCCAATGTCGGTTATTCCACTCTTTATGTCCATATCTACACATTCAATCCTAATTTGTACCAAGTAGCATCTCACCTTTAAATCACAGGCTTATTAGTTGGGTGTTTTCTTTTTACTTATGAAAATTCATCTAGTCAAACTGTCAATTAATTTTTCCTCATTTCATTAAAAGTGTATATCTAATGCTTTCTCTAAAAATTGATGTACTGGAAATACAAATAAATAAATGCTCCCTGTGTAGAATTTCCACTTGCATCTTGTGCTTTTAATACCATTACAGGGTGTCATGAACAGGTTGTAAATGTTGCACTTATTGCCGTGTTTCAGATGGAATAAGTTGGCGAATTCTGGGCTCCTGAAGCTTGATCCAGTCGCTAGGGCTGGAAGCACTGTGTTAGGTGGCTGCAGGAAGAAGCAAGGAACTCAAGGTGATTGAAACTTCTTTGGACATAGGCCCCAAATTTCCTATGTGATCTCCATCCAGGAAACAGGCAGGATTCTGTGTGAGTGACAGCTACTCATTTTGTAGAGATTAGAGACACACCAAATTTTGGCTGCCTTTCTCCAGACCGTTACTAATCTGTGAGAAGACACAGGATGTAAAAACTGGGGACCAAAAGAAGGCTCCTTCTCCCTAAGGCCTTGAATATAGCTGGTCCATTCCCTGTGTCAAGAACCTACCATGATCCTGCTGGGTCCTCTGAGAGTGGAAGGAGACTCTGTCCATCTCACCTCATCAGCTCTTCCCTGGCTGGTTGGAAAAGACCAACCCAAAAGAGGGGTGATCCAAGGAGTGAGAGACACTTACCACAAAATGGGACCCTCCCCACAGAATATAGGGCTTTTACCTCCTTCTCTTTCTCCATAGAAAACTACATTTCCTATACTAGTTAGAGCACAAGTAGTATAGGGAATGTAGGGGGTGAGGACTACATTATACAGGAGTGATAGTGATAGATCCTTGTTTCTCCTGATGAAATGTTTTCATGTACTTTTGGTCAGCCTATCATGCTTCTATCATTTGTTTTCCTTTGTGAAGTTCCAGGGATATGGAAGTGGGTAGGTAACCTCTTGCCACCATTCTTTGTTCTGTGGCACCTTGTCATCATATTTCACCTTGAAGTCCTTGTCTCACATTATAGATCTTCACTTTGGTATGCACACACCAAAGTTAGTGTGAGGAAGTAGTCATTGAAGTTATTATAGGACGACATTGTTCATCTGTGGTGGAAGACAGGATTGGTATGGGAATGGTGATGAAAGCTAGGTGTTTGTGAGGGTTTGTAACCCTCATGGGGCACTACCACTTCCCAAAAAATTGTCTCCATTATTAAGAACATTTTGTTTTTATGTGTGTGTGTGTATGTGTGTGTGTGTGTTTGAGACACAGTCTCACTCTGTTGCCCAGGCTGGAGTGCAGTGGCGTGATCTTGGCTTACTGCAACCTCCACCTCCTGGGTTCAAGCGATTCTCCTGCCTCAGCCTCCTGAGTAACTGGGACTGCAGTCACGTGCTGCCACACCCAGCTAATTTTTGTATTTTTAGTAGAGACGGGGTTTTGCCATGTTGCCCAGGCTGGTCTCAAACTTGTGACCTCAAGTGACCCACCTGCCTTGGCCTCCCAAAGTGCTGAGATTACAGGTGTGAGCCACTGTGCCCAGCCTGTTTTTATTTTTGAAGCTTAATGTTATATGTTGCTCTTTGTGTTTACTATTTTGTTGTCTTTTGGCAGCATTAAAATTTTCATGCTTAAAATCATTTATTGAATACATAAAACAAATCTAAAGACTATCTACTAAAACAAAGGCTCATTAAAAAACCTATGAGTATATCACTTTTACTTTATTGAAATTAAGGTTTGTAGCAAATATATCTGATATTAGAACATTTGAAAGAGATAGAGACAGATTCATTTTCATTAAGCAGCACATAAAAAATGGACTGAATTGGATTACATTGATGCCAGTCTAGGTATACACACACTAAAGTTGGTGTGAGGAAATATTCTGAAGTTATTATAGGAAGACATTGTTCATCTGTGGTGGAAGACAGGAATTGATTATGTCATATAGTACAACTTCGCCCTTCTCCCAACATAGCATCTTCTTTAAAATAGCTTTGTGTAGTAACAAGAAAAGTAAGATTTTTCCATGGTATGTGTATCTGAACCTCAGTTTCTTTTAAAGAACAATTCAAAGATTATTGGCAACAAAACAGTCTACTATGTAAGCAGTAGTTGCGTATAAAACTAGTGTGCCTAATAACTGAATACTGAGGTTTGTGTTTATCAGACGTAGTGTGGAGCATATATACACTCACTACAGTGCCTACACACTACATACATTCATGCGTTTAGAGAGACCTGCATCTCCCTGCGTAAGTAGTCATCTTTTAAATGTACTTTCTAGCATATAAAGAGTTTGCTTCCCAATAAATTGTTCAGTCCCTAAACAATAAGTAAGCTATGCTTGTTGCAAATGATCTGTGAGTAAAATTTTCAGGGAAGGTGGAAGCAAACCTGGCTTATGATCATTTTGACTATCATCCAAGAATAGTAAAAATATGTTTCGCTGATTGCATTTGGGGTTTTAATAATAAGTAAGTGTCTTTTTCTTCAGAATTTACTGGTTGCCAAGTACATGACTCTTCTATATTTGAAATATGGTGTGTGCTGATTCTCAGTGTTGACTGTATGTCTGGATTTTGATGACCCATGAATATGCCTGTCTCCATTTTCCTTGAGAAGGCAAATCATCTCTCTTGAGATAGCCTAAATGATAATTGTACATTTTCAGTTTTTAATTTCCTTCCCAATCTTGATGGTTAAATTCTTCATATTCTACGGTCAGTAATTCAGAATTTCTTTTACTGATTACCTGAAAGAGAAATAGTTTTAAGAACTTAAGAAATGCCACCCAAGGTCAAACCAATGGTTCATTCCAATATTACTGCCACTGGTAGATAAGAGGATGTGCTTGCCATTTATGACATCTTCTTTGAAATGTTGAAGATGGCCTCAAAATATTCTTAACTTTATAACCTACTAGAAATGTACTCCATGCCCTCTTAAGCCTATTTAGATTCTCAGGCTGACCCATCTCATAGAGCAGGAGTGGCAGATAGTCTGTGAATGAGTCACCATTTTCCCATCCAACCATAGTAGACACCATTAGTGTATTATAGCATGCTTCCTCAGGGAACCCATGTGTCCTCTGAATGTCTGTCAACACAGAAATCCACATAGCCAGGAATAATCAGCATTGATACTTGTTCTGGCCTTGAACTAAGATGTAGTTCTTCAAGTTTACTTCCTACTGTGAAAATTATCACTTCCTTTTATTTATTTGAAATGTGATCCATAATTCTATCTGGTACTTCGGGATTTAGTTGGACATTTTGTCAATATCAGATCCTGTGTCCTATTGTCATTTTATGGCCCTAGTCTAAACTTTTTCTGTTTTTCCAATTTTCTTTGTTTCAGGAAACCAAAGTGGCACACATTCCCAGTGTGCACTTGGATACATAAAATTATTATTAGCATTTGGTGTGATTTCCCCAGTATCCTTATCATATATTAACTATGATAACTTTTGTAGGTGCAAACTTTGAGGCATTTTTTTTTTATCCAGCACTGTAGACTTTAGATAAAGTAGACATTGGCTGATTATCACCAATTGTTTCTATCAAAGACTATAATTTTTGAAAATGGGTAGTTTTAGGCTAAAGATTGTCCAAGGTTTTTTCCCCCAAAGTTATTTTAAAAAACTATGTCAACTATATATAAATTGCTTATAGACAAGTTATTTTCCTTTGTAAAATAAAATTATTTTAGTAAAATAAGTTGATTAAGTGAATATTTTAAGAGATGTCTTGGACACTGAAAAACATCTGAAGATGAACTTTTACGAATTTTTGAAGTTACTCATTGTTCACAAATGATGTTTCTTCATATTTTCTACATATTTTTCCTTTAGCTGATTATTATTTGAAATTGAAAGTATATAAAATTATTCAATGCCAGGAATATAAATTATTACTGTAAAGATTTCAACCTTAAAATACATTTGATAAATTACCTGTATATTTTTATAAGAAAAGATTGGAAATATTATAAAATACTTGGATTGATTTTGTTATTCTGTTGTTTTATCTACACATTTTGGTTAATCCCAGCCTTCTGACTCTATCCTTGCACTAGAAAATGTCACCCCCTTAAAACAGTAAATTAAAAATAAAAAGTATCTTGCTTATCTCTATTTAAAATAAGAGGGACATAAATGTTTTTAATTTCCTTCAAAAGTCAAGTTTAGTAATTGCAACCAACTTAGAAAGTATGATTTTACCTTGTTATTTTGTTGATTTTGGAACTTTTTAACACTAGTTTTGTATGCTTGATTTTCAGAGTGATCTGGCAACCTACAAAAGAAAGCAAAAACATAGTATCTTGTTTCTTGGGCTTATCAACATTAATAGTAACTACATCTTTCTACTGTTTTAGTTTTAACATCATGACAAGTGAAAATAGATAGCATATTTTTGCAGGTGTCTTCCGTTTGAGTTGGAAGAAGTGTGCTTTCAGCATTTCCCCTGACTTTTGCCTTTTAGTTGGCTTACTATTTCTTAGGCAGTGGTCTCAGAAGGATGGAAGGATTACAAAACATAGATTTATTTCTCAAGTCAAGTTCTGAGTTGTGGTTGCTGAAAAACAACTCTGTAATGGCATATTGTTAATAAAATTTAAACCACAA
This sequence comes from Homo sapiens, assembly GCF_000001405.40. Lineage (NCBI taxonomy): Eukaryota > Metazoa > Chordata > Mammalia > Primates > Hominidae > Homo > Homo sapiens. Next base: position 75,924,039 of record NC_000006.12, read on the forward strand.
TAAACTGTCACCTTATTCCAGTTAGAATGGCTATTATCAAAAAGCCAAAAGATAACAAATGTTATCGAGGATGTGGAGAAAAGGGAACCTTTATGCCCTGATGGTGGGAATATAAATTAGTAGTCATTATGGAAAACCATCTGTAGGTTCCTAAAGAAATTAAAAATAGGACTACCATATGATCGAGCAATCCCACTACTGGATATCTATCCAAAGAAAATGAAATCAGTATATCAAAGAGATATCTGCACTCCCATGTATATTGCAGCACTATTCATAATACTCAAGATTTGGAGTCAACCTGTTGTTCATCAGTGGATGAATGGATAAATTGTGATATATATGTATTACATATATAAAAAATTATATATAATTATATATAATATATAATTAATATAATTATATAATATAACATAATTATATAATATAAATATAATTATATATTATAATATAATATAATTATATAATATAATTAATATAATTATATATTATAATATAATTATATAATATAATTAATATAATTATATATTATATATAATTAATATAATTATATATTATATATAATTAATTATATATAATATATAATAAATTATATATTATATATAATTAATTATATATAATATATAATAAATTATATATTATATATTATATATAAATAATTATATATAATATATAATATATAATATAATTATATATAATATATAATATATAATATATCATATAATTATATATAATATATATAATAGAATACTATTAAGTCATAAAAAGGATGAAATCCTGTTATTTGCCACAACATGGATGAACCTGGAAGACATTATATTAAGTGAAATAAGCCAGACACAGACAAATACTGCAAGCTCTCACTCGTGGAATTTAAAAAGCTGATCTTATAGAAATACAAAATAGAACAGTAGTTACCAGAGACTGGGGAGGGGAGGGAGGAGGGTATCATGGAGAGAGATTGGTCAGTGGGTACAAAGTTACAATTAGGTAGGTGGGATAAGTTCTGGTGTCCTATTGCACAGTAGGATGACTGTAGTTGTATATTTCAAAATAGCTAGAAGAGAGGATTTTGAATGTTTTTACTACAAAGAAAAGATAAATGTTTGAGATGATGGGAATGCTAATTACCCTGATTTGATCATTGCACAATGTATACATGTATTGAAATATCACATTGTACCCCATAAATATGTACAATTGTGTGTCAGTTAAATTTTTTTAAATAAAATAAATATTTTTAGACCTTTCTATATACATAATTTCTGTTGATAGTGTATATGCATTTTGCATTTTGTGTTTTTCCTCTTTGCATTATAAAATGGGTATAATATTTAGGAGCTATCTTCCTATATATATATATTCCCTTATTCAACTTTTTTCTTTCTCTCAACATCAATTTATTACAATTTCAGGGAAATGGAGAAGGACAGAAAATTTCAGTCCTAGTGCTCATGGGAAGAAGGCAGAGGAGAGAGGAGGAAAAATATAGTTTAAGGAGGTTGAGGCCAGGTGCGGTGGCTCATACCTATAATACCAGCACTTTGGTAGGCTGAGGTGGGAGGATTGCTTGAGCCAAGGAGTTCGAGACCAGCCTGGGCAACACAGTGAGACCCTATCTGTGTTTTTTATTTGTTTGTTTGTTTTGAGACAGTCTCGCTCTGTCACCCAGGCTGGAGTGCAGTGGCATGATCTTGGCTCACTGCAACCTCCATCTCCCAGGTTCAAGCGATTCTCCTGCCTCAGCCTCCGGAGTAGCTGAGATTACAGGCACATGCCACCACGCCCAGTTAATTTTTGTATTTTTAGTAGAGACAGGGTTTCACCATGTTGGCCAGGATGGTCTCGAACTCCTGACCTCAGGTGATCACCCACCTCGGCTTCCCAAAGTGCTGGGATTACAGGCGTGAGCCACTGTGCCAGGCCTGTATTTATTTATTTGTTTAAAGGAAGTTGAGTAACAAGTTCCTTGTTCCCCATCCCACCACCTAAGGCAGCATTTTCGGTTCCTATTTGTCCTGGTTGGGAGATTTGGAGGCTTTGAGAATGCCAGGGAAGGGGCAGATGCCTGGGATCAGAACTAAGAGATCACAGGTGAGGGGAATATGGAACTAGAAAACTTCCAGGAGAACTGTCAAGACCAGGAGAGCCATACCTCACTGTATGTTCCAAGCGAACTGAGTTGTCTAAAGTGATTGCTCAAATTATTAATCAGGTGGAAGTTTGAACTACATTAAATTGGACTATATAAAATTCCAACCCCTTCCTCCTACAAACCTCCCCCGTAACCGAACCTTCCCACTATTCAGTGGAGAAAGAGCTCCAAAGGGAGTTGGTAACAACTATCCAGAGGGAAAAAAACTAGACCTCCTTTTCTCCATTTGAGGTGTAGCATGTGAGTGAACCTGTGACTTTGCTGCGGTTACAACAAGCACTTTGATATGATTAAAACATCCTCATAAATGTCACTGTGTACCATCATTTACTGAAACTGTCCCCTATATTTAGAAACAATTTTCATTATTATGAGTAATGTCACAGCATAGTAGGCCTATGAAATTAAAGGACAAAAGTGAGAATGTTAAGGCCTGAGAAGGAAAAGTCAGAATCTACTCTGTTAGATTTAGATTTGCATTTTTTGTGTATGTATACTGATAATTGTGAGTAATAAAAGCCTAACTGATTACACCAAAAAAAGGAAGTTTGAAGTAAGTTCCTAGCATGGCAGAATCTATGTATACAACATCTAAACTTGAGGGAAATGTAAAAATATATGGAGTATAGTTACAAATATTGGATGGAGGAAAAGAATAGAAGGAAAAATAAAGGTGAAAATGTAATGAGAAACAATGACAAGTAACTGAAGCAATGGAAACTGCTCTTTGTGTGTCAATGGTAGTCTTCTCAGGAGGGCACCTGCCTTCAGTATCATTTCCCTATCTCATCACTTTCAGGTAGAATAACAAAAACGCAGCTAAATTTACAGTTCTTTAGAGAACGCTGTTTTCAAAGTTGCAGCACTTGGTGTTCTCATGGATTTGCTTCTGAGTTTAGGTTTAAGTGCCAGGTAGGGATTCTTAGTTTTTCCTTACAGGGCTGCCCTTTGTTGACAGAAACAGCTCCAATAATGCTAGTAGTGAGTAGCTTACACTGAGGGGCATCTAATTTATTCCTTACCAAAAACCATGAATTTATTCCTGTTATTCCCATTAGATAGATGAGAAATTTGAAGCTTAAGGGCAGGGGGTGGGGAACTGGCTTAAAGTCATACCTAGTAGGGGGCAGAGCTCTTAACTTAAATTTGGGTCTAACTTTAAAACCTCTAATTGTAACCAGGGTCTAATCTATGGTTGATTGGGTTTTAATTTGTCAGCTAATCCTTATATAAATAAATTTCATCACATAAATGATAGCATCTTGGGATGAACAGAAATAACTGATGGGAGGAGAAGCAGGTCACGGAGATGCACAAGGGACCCTCAGAGCACTGCTGTGGTCCCGTTTCTTCACTGAGAGTCTGTCTGAAGTAGCTCATAGGGGCAACGGGTTTGTCCTCATGCTGAGGGTATCAGGGGTTAATACTTAACATTTAAAAAGGAATATTCAGGAAGTTGAAAAGGGCAAAATTGGGGTAATAAGGGCATTTCTCCCTTCTTCCTGAAGAAATTAAGCATCTTTCCCTCCCTCCCTCCCTCCCTCCCTTTCTTCCTTCCCCACTTCCTCTCATCTATTGCCCAGCATCTAGCAGGGTGCCTGGCACATGGTGCTCAAAAATGTTCATTTCATTCCATTAGTCTAAGGAGCGTCAATTTTTCAATGTATTTGAATCCCTCAAGTCCATGTTATGCCCCAGAGACAGGCACAGGTGGAGGAAGTAGAGCACCACCAACCTTTTTGAGAGGTGTTTATTTCCAGATCACCTTATGCCTTGCTTTACTGATCTCACTTACGACAACCTAGAATTAAAGTGATCTTTCTCACTAAAGAAAGAGAAATGTTTAAAATTACGAATTGTACAGCCATCTGAAATAGCAAATAGGGCTGATTAAAATGAAAACGGAATACATTCCTGTTCACAAAAGCCGCATGCAACCCTCTTCTTATTCACTTTAATCCAGCCTGTTCATTGGCCCTTTCTTCCCACCCCTCAACCTTTCTTTCTTTCTTTCTTTTTTTTTTGAGATGGAGTCTTGCTCTGTCGCCCAGGCTGGAGTGCAATGGCGTGATCTTGGCTCACTGCAACCTCCACCTCCTGGGTTCAAGTGATTCTCCTGCCTCAGCCTCCAGAGTAGCTGGGATTACAGGCATGCGCCATCATGCCTGGCTAATTTTTGTGTTTTTGTAGAGACAGGGTTTCACCATGTTGGCCAGGCTGGTCTCCAACTCCTGACCTCAGGTGATCTGCCCACCTCGGCCTCCTGAAGTGCTGGGATTACGACTCCCAGCCCAACCCTTCTTTTAAATTACACATGTTGGCTGGTCTGAACATAGTGAATTCTCTCAACTGATTGTTTACAGTCAATTGCAGATGGAAATGCTTGTGCTATTTCTTTCCCTCTTCTTACTACTGTACTTGACTAGCCTAAAAAAAATGTACACAAGTGATACATGAACAGATTCTCATTATTAAAAATCCTGGACCTCAATTTCACTCCATTCCATTGTTAACTGGAGTGATAGTTGTGTATCTATTCCACATTTTTATTATGAATTTACTTACATGTTAGATCGAACTATACAAAACTGCCAATATTTGATGATTTGTGACTGACAAAATGGCAGTGCCATATGGTTGAACCTAATATACTTACAGTATTGTTATTAATTTATTACATGTACGGGATCTTTTATGCTGCAATTTGCTTTCTCATTTAATGATATGTTATTTTTCCGTCTATGGCAGCTCCAGTAGAGTTATATATATTATTGCCTTTAGCTGCCATGTTTCACAGTAATGTACTGTACTCTAACCATTTCCCTATTGATGGGCTATACAATTGTTTCATGACTCAAAGCAGTAATGCTGTGAACATTTTTGTAAGCATATCTTGGTGCACAGGTACAACTATTCTTGTAGAAATAATTGTCTAAAAGTAGAGTACCTGAGTCAAATTTAAAATTTTATAGATAATGACAAATTTCTTTTGAAAAAAGGCTTTTCCAATTTGTACATCCACCAGCAATGCTTGATGGATCTAGCTTTCCTCCATATTCCCACACTGAGTATCATCAATCTCCTTTTGCCAAATTCAAATGATATCTCCTAATTGTTTTTGGATTTCCCTGATGATAGTGAGATCCAGTATCTTCTGTATTTTGCTGGTCATGTGGGTTTCTTCTATGAATTGCACCTCTGTATTTTTTGCTCATTTTAATATTAGGATGTTTGTCATTCTCAGCAAACTATCACAAGGACAAAAAACCAAACACTGCATGTTCTCATAGGTGGGAATTGAACAATGAGAACACATGGACACAGGAAGGGGAACATCACACACAGGGGACTGTTGTGGGGTGGGGGGAGGGGGGAGGGATAGCATTAGGAGATATACCTAATGCTAAATGATGAGTTAATGGGTGCAGCACACCAGCATGGCACATGTATACATATGTAACAAACCTGCATGTTGTGCACATGTACCCTAAAACTTAAAGTATAATAATAATAAAATTAAAAAAAAGAAAAACGGGAAATAAAATAAAATTAAAGTAAATTAAAAAAAAAAGGGTTTCATAATCCTAGCTGGACATTTAGGCCTTTGATCTATTTTGAGTTAATTTTTGTATGTGGTGTTAGGGGTCCAAATTCATTCTTTTCACGTGGATATCTGGTTGTCACACACAGGACCATTTGTTGAAAAAGACTATTCTTTCTCCACTCAATTGTCTTGGCACCCTTGTGGAAAATTAGTTACCTCATTAATGAATGTATGAGTTTGTGTTTGAAAAAAAAATTAGGATGTTTGTCTTTATTAATACATGTGGATGTTCATCCTTTGTCTGTAATATAGGTTGCATTATATAGAAACTTTCCTGGTCCCTTTCTGCTCATAAGGCCACCTTCATAACACTCTAAAGTCTGGTTCCTGAATAGAGAGGCCTTTGTATCTTGCCTCCTTTTCCTCCTTCTCAAAAGCTTCTCTTACCCTTTCTGTCTGGAAATGAAGGAATGATTAAACACATCATAACACATCTAGAGAATGGACTGTTATGTAATCACTAAAAATGATGCTACAAAAATATTTCATGACATGGGGAAACATTCTAAGTTAAAAAAAGAGGACTATAAAACGAGAAAGTCTGTTTCTATTGTGCTTTAGAAAATTCCTTATAAATCAATTGTACATAAACATGAACACCAAAAGATAACTGTTAATGTGTGGAATTAACTGATTTTCATTTTTATATAAACAGGAACACCAAAAGATAATGTGTTGAATTAACAGGATTTTTATCTTTTTTTCTCGTAATTTTCTATATTTCCCAGCTTTCTTATGATGAAAGCTATTATGTTTGCTAACAGGAAAAATCAAATTTTATGCACAAATACATCCCCAATTAAGGTAGTAGACCAAGTATTCAGTCTTTTAAAACTGATACAGGTTCTTTCTTCCTTCCCTATTGGTCTTAAGGAACCCTTGCCGGGAAGCCTAGAGCAGGGTTCTCAAAGTGGGGTCCTAGGACCAGCAGCATCAGCCCTACCTGAGCCCCATCCAGACCTACTGAATCAGAAACAGGGCATAGTAGGGTGCAGCCATGTTGTTTTAACAGGCCCTTTTCTGGGTGATTTCTACACTCACTAAAGTTTAAAAACCATGGGTTGAAAGGACCATATGAATTTACTCTAATGATGGGTTTCTCAGAAGTGTAAGTAATGAGTTCTTGAGTCTGTGACGTTAGCATGCTTGACCCACCTGCATGGAGCTCCCTTTCCCTGGAGGACCTCGCATTCCTTTGTGCCAGGGCCACAGAGGCCTGGTTCCAGACCGTCCAGGCTCCCCTGGCTGTCATATCCTGGTTTGCAGCGACACTCCGCTTCCTCAGTCCGTTCGTTCTTTACACATTGGGCAAATTCGCCGCAGGCCAGGAACTTGCAGGGATCTGCTTGATCAGCTGTAAGAAATGGGGCAGATTTTAACGCATGTATGAATAGCTAAGCAATGGAACTGGCAGCAGTCAAAGGCAAGAGACCAAATACATTTGCTATTACCTCATTTTGGAGTGGGTTGCACAGTTGTGATATCAGACTGGAGGGAAAAGAACCACATTCTGTATCTTTGAAAAATGAATTTACAGACACAAGTGATATTAGTTTAGCTCCAAATGTAATTATTTACAACCTTTAGTGTGCATCAGAATCGTCTGGAGGCCTTGTTAAAACAGATTCCTGAGCCCCACACTCAGAGTTCCTGTGCAAGCAGCGTGGAATGGGGACTGAGTTCTGGCTCTAAAGCAGTTCCCGGTGATGCTGATGCATCTGGTCTGGGGAGCACATTTTGAAAACCACTGCATTAGAGAATTAGGAATGTTTTGTTACTTAGTTTTTTTTTTTTAAGTAAGCATTTATAAAGCATTAAGTCATCATTTATGTGAACAGTTTTGAGAACTCAGGATGATTTCCTGATTTTAAATATAAATTTCTCTTGGTCTCTTGCTAAGGCCCTAATGTTAGAGAGTCATTCTTTTGGATTAATTATTTCTTCCCTATTAACATTTAGACTCACTTCTTTCTTGTCATTAATTGTTCTATTTTACTCCATTCCTAATTCTATAGGGTTGTCTCCAATTCTTTGGGAAGTGGATTAGAAATCAAGAGAATCTCAGATATTTAGCTCTGGAAGGCCAGTGGCCCCTGTTTGCCCTTCCTTATCCTTATAGAGCTGAGCACATTGAGCTCTCAGTAGAGAAGCAACTGACCGGAGTCCTCAAGGGCTGATGGCAGAACCAGAACAGGCCTCTTGTCATCAGACCACTGTTGTTTCTGCCCCAGAAGGTCTCCTGTTCAACCATATCAGCCATTTACTTTTCAGATTATTCTTTAACCAAATAACTATTATGTGCAAAGAGCTAGGGAACAGGCAACAGTAAAGCCATTCTTCCAAGAAATTTAGGGGAAAATGCGTACAGATAATGCTATACAGTCCTCTGACTGGTCTCACGGCCATCCCTTCGTGGAATGTGTGAGAAGTTCCAGGGAAGGGCAGAGCCCCAAGGGGGAGCTATTGGACCACTTTGCTAATATATTGGCCCTCTTTGCTAATACGGCAGGTGAAGGCAATTAGAATTAGAGTCAAAACGAGAGAATTTATAACAGTAATTTGTAGAGCAACTCACACTGCTTCCACTCTTATTACCTTAAAAATATTTTCCCTAGGTATTTTGATGACCCTCTTTACTTTCATGTAATTTTTCAAGGAACACCCAAAACTTTAAGCTTTAGGCAAAGACTGAAAAATGGATGTGGGCTGATTCTGGGGAGACAGAGCCATGGAAGGGATAGAAAAGATTGGCTCTATGATAGATGAATGAAAGTTTAACTAGTAGAACTTTTGTAAGCAAAATTTTCCCTATGTTGTTATCATTTTCTTTATCTGCCATATCCCAAAGACATTTTTCCTTAGAATAATGAACTTATTCATGGGTAGGCCATACCAATATTTGTTTCTTCCTTTTTTTTTTGAGATGGAGTCTCGCTCTTATTCCCTAGGCTGGAGTGCAGTGGCGCCATCTCAACTCACTGTAACCTCCGCCTCCCAGGTTCAAGCGATTCTCCTGCCTCAGCCTCTTGAGTAGCTGGGCCTACAGGTGCCCTTCACCATGCCCAGCTAATTTTTGTATTTTTAGTAGAAACAGGGTTTCACCATGTTGGCCAGGCTGGTCTCGAACTCCTGACCTCAGGTGATCTGCCTGCCTCGGCCTCCCAAAGTGCTGGGATTACAGGCGTGAGCCACCGCGCCTGGTCTCTTGTCTCTTTCTTAATACATCCCAGAGCACATGTACAAGACAAATTAGTTTGAACTTCCTACTCTTTGCTATTGATTTGATCAATAATAATCTATATGCTATGCTGCAACAACTGAAAATGTTTTGTTCTGAATGTGGTCGAAAGCTTGGAAAGAAGGGGGCAAAGAGACTTGAGATCAATAGCAGATTCAGGAGAAAAAAGTAGATGCCATTGTCTAGAAGAATATTTTCAAGTCATGATCAAATTGTGTTTGGGTCTGAGGAAGTGAAATCCTCATGATTGGTGTGTAGACAAATTGGTCTATAATTGCCTTCACTGCCTGGATTTGTTTGAATTCCCTTCAAACCATTTATTTTTACTGTTGGTACTATAGAGAGATTTCACCATGATCCTGTACCACATTTAATAAATACATAATATGGTTTGGGGCATTCACTGGGCTTACTATAATTGCTTGCTGGCAAAATGACTTAGCTTTCTATTCTTAAGCCATGAGGATAGCTCTTCTACACAGCATATTTGACAGTCTCTCCACAGAGACAGTCCAGGGCACTTGACCTCGGCAAGCTGAACAGTGTCAGTGGCTGCTCGTTAGCAGTTGGTGGGAAGATCCAGGTCCAGCCTGGCCAGAGGTCCGGGCCTAGTCTACTAGCATCCCAGTAGATTCTGGCTGTATTCAGAAGAGACATGTCGTTGCATTTCAGGCCCTGTCCCTGGAGTGACCCTGGGGATCATGACCCTGAACCTCCAGCTTCAGTGGAAAGGGCAGTTATTTACATAAACAGGGAGCTCACACTTATCAAAGGCCATTATGTGTTTGGCACAGTGCCAGGCACTTTCAACATGTGTCTTCAATAATATTCACAGCACCTCTCAAATCCATATGGATATTGCCGACATCATTTTCATCGGTGAGAAAACGGAAGCCCATTTTAGCTAGTAAGTATGATCCAAGATTAACATTCATATCTGTTTACAATGTTTGGCTTTTTAAATAATTCTAGAGGTTTTCAAATATGGGGTTTCCAGGAGACACCACAGGACTCCAAGGGGCTCATAAGGGATGAGGGAAAAAGAGTGAGAGCCCCCCCACCCCACCACATCTTCATTGCCATCCTCACTGGCAGACATATCAGACTTCCATGAATGCTTTCCTTTGAATAAAGGTTCCCTTAACTAAACAAAAGCTCAAATCCATTGTCTGCTGCACCCTTTCATGAGGCAGAATGTTTCTTGTAGAAAGTACAGTCTGACACTACAGTGGCTCCAATGTTTTTTCCTGTTGTTTAAATGTGACAGCAATGAACATGTCTTGAAATAAGTGAGCTGCCATGTAGGGCTTGGAAATATTTGTATCATTCTGAGATTTCCAGTGTAAGGGCATCGGATGTATCAGTTTCTTCCCTGGATTTGCTTACATAATGTCTTCTGTGTGCATTTCAAAGGTACTGAAAAGCAATCCCAATTGGTGACTGAGGAAGTTTGTTTCCCAGCTCTCCACCGTGTGATCAAAAAGCATTTAAATGATGTCCCCTGCCTGCAGGGAACACCTTGAGGCATTTTACAGTCAAAGTTAAAAAGATCATGGTCCTTTTCATCAAAAAGTTTATAAATTCATGGAGATCATAGGTCCCTGTTGGTCCAAGACTGCCTCTTTTTCAAGCCTCTTGTTTCTGGTCCCAAGTGCACTCATGTTTGTCAGGCCTGAAAATAGGCCTTCCCTCTCTGCCAGACCTCAGAAGGTCTCACTCCTTTTTCTCCAACTCAAGATCGTGCCCTCCGCTACACCCCCCTTCCCGTCCCGCCCCTCAACCTTGTCCTGCTCTTGCCGCATGTCCTACTGGCTGTGTGCTGAGTGCCTTATCTCCCTAACATTTATCATATCATCTCCTGCTTTTGCGCTGTCCCATTTTACTCACGTGTTGGACAGAAAGTGATACATCTCCTTTGATTGGATCCTGTCCAAGGGCAAGGTTTCAGCTCAGCTTGCCTATAAAATTCAGGCTTCACCTGGGCTGGCTGGGCTGAGGTCCCGTTGGGTCTCTCTTTCGTGGACGTTTTTTCCAATGCGATGAAACCTAGTTCTCGCTAGATGGCGCTCAATAGCAAAAGAAGCAAGAGTAGACTTCGGGAATGACATTTTAAGCACCCCAGCTGATTTCTGACTTTAAAAACCACTGTGCCTTGCGCGTTGGTGGAGGGAAGCGAGGTCTGCAAGGGATTCACGCGGTAGCAGGAGCAGCTCCAGGGGACTGCTGATAGAGCCATTATTACTCCGTGATTACAGCGGCAGATCGGGCCTGCCTGGCGGGGGTAATGTGGTGAAAACTCCTGGATCATCTTTTCCCATTTCAAAAAGGCAGAGCTAAGACTCTGGAATCCAAACGCTTCCCGCGCTGCCACGCCCTGGCGCCCAGCGTGACAAAGCTTCACGCCTGAACAAAGTGACAGATTTTTGGTTGCGTCGGCGCTGGGGGGTCGACCCCGCCGCACGTTCGCTCGCTCCTGCTGGCTGCTGCGGGCAGCTGTGGGGCCTCCTCGCCCTCCCCTTCCCCACTTACCACCAAGGCTTTGTGGTCATGGTTTTGTTGGTGGCGAGGAGGTGAAGGGGTCATTCCTTTGCCTGGGGCATCAGAGAAAGGCAAACTTACGCATCACAATCAATAGCAATCTGCAGGAGGCACAGCCTGGGGGCCCGCCATGCTTTTAGGAGCCCACAAAAATGTTTTCTTTAAAATCAGAAGAAAAAATTAATGCAACCCGTACTGGATTATATTCATTTTTGTGCTCACGAAGTTAAGGTATAATTTTAATATTCTTTACTAATAGTCATGAAGGCAAAGGGCCTAGAGCCCAGGAAGTCTTAATGAGGCCCTGGTAGTCTGACAGTTCTCTTCTCAATGTGTGAACATCACTTTTACATAGCGCTTGGGGCTTCGAGTTTAGTAATTTGAATAAATACGTCCCTGTACTGAGGGTTCATCTGAGATGTTACACAGGGACCTCACAGCTTCCACCAAGTCCTGAGAAGGTTGTGAGATGTTTGTACCTTCAGAGAGAGTGGACCTGCTCATCTGTTCTACCAGTGAAGAAGCCTCAGGACAGTGCCCTAGCGGGGAAAGCCTGGCTTCTAGAAATTGTCTGTGGTCTTGGGAACATAGGTTAGCATCTCTGGCTCTCACTTTTCTCTTCCATAGAATGGAGTGTTTAAATCAAGTGATCACTAATGTCCCTCCAACTCAAACATACGTCTCCCATTCTGCGTGTTCCACGGCATAAAGCCAACGGAGGTGGCTCATGATACCTCCAGAAATGCTGATGCAGTTCAGTGATTCAAAGAAATCTTAAAATATATATGTTTAAGTTTTTGTTGATCGCTTATTTTATTGTTATAAAATGTTTGGCTTATGGCTTATTGCTGAAAGGTAGATTAGAGTGAGAATATTCAATGATAAATAGCACATAGCACAGCACCATGCACATGTTTGGAGCTTAATACACATTTGTGGAATTAAGTTAACAAGAGTTCTTTCTGGTTTAAAGTGGCAAGTAATGTGATAGACTTTAGGTTTCATTTCAGTTCTCCACCACTCTCAAGAAGCACCACCACAGCTGACTCTCAATAATCCTTTTTTGTGTGAGTGGATGTGTGAATACCCACACACATCTTGCCCTGGATGTGAGGTTGAAGAATTGTCTCAGCTTTCAGCCATTATTATTATCTGCCAAACAGAGGTGTTCTGGATGGATTGGCACTAGGGTGGTGGCCAATTGTCCCAGGATCAGCGGGTGGAGGGAGAATTCTGACACTGGGGGAGCTGGGAGGAGGCCCTGCAGCTGGGCTAAGCCCGGACTTGTGTGGAGGGCTTTGTGTTAACAGGTTGGCCAAACAGCTCCAGGAGCCTTTTAAGGAAGCTCCATGCAGTGGTTGGGGTGTGGAATGAGGGCACAGATTGAAACCCTGGAGAGAGGTGAAGTGTGTCTGGCAGTCCAACCAGTGTTGGGGCCTCTAGTGAAGGCAAATGTCAAACAGAAAATCTGCAGTGCTGCGTGTCCCAGGAGGCAAAGGGCCAGCAGCATGACCCCAGGAGACAGGGCCAGGGATGTAGGAGATGATGGGGCAAATGAAGAGGGGAGAGGCTGAGGAGAATCACCTGGAAGGAGAATTCCTATGACTGCTCCAGCTGGAAGGGACACTCCTAGCAGTGCATATAAAGGGGACTCTTGGGCACTCAGGACTTTTGTTTCTGAGAGTAAACACTTTTTTTTTTTTTGCATTCTAAGACTATGACAAAATATGATAAGAAATTTCATTTGGCGAAGTGTAGAAACTAACAGAATTCATTTAGGATTAATAAAACTGAAGTGTGTTGTCACTTTTTCTAAATAAACAGCCTCTATAACCCAGTTAGAAGGGCTTATAAGATTCCTTTTTGTAAAGAAGTTATAGGGTAGAGTTGAAGATGGCACACAAATCTGGCTTTGAATTCCATCTGCAGCGTTTGGTAATAGTTTGACCAGCAAAAGACAAATTACTTATTCTTCTCTGAAACACAATTTCTGCAGCTGTACAGTGGGGGGAAATAATATCTACCTTGCATATTTATTAAGATTAAAATTTGTGTCAATAGTAACTATTATTGACATTAGTTAATAGTAACTATTATTATCATTATTGTGATGAGTGACATATACCACTTTTTCAGAGATGTCGAAGGTCTTACAAATTATGCCTTTTCCAGGGAAAACAAGCTCGTTGAGCCACATTTTTGTAAATGCATCCTGGATGTCAGACTGTAATTAATTTCAGTGTTTACCATTTACCGGCCTTGAGGGCTGTCCATTTTTGAGGAGGCTTCTTAGGAATTCAAGGAGAGAATAAGTTATATGTGGTTTTGCATTTTTGAAATCTTCAGCCTGCACAACTAACTGGCATAAAAGCCCTACATGCTTCTGAAGAATTTTCACAGCAGCCTAAATGAAAGACGACTCTAGTTGCTGGAGATGCTGGCAGAATACTGAGCAAGCTGTGACTTACTCGGTTTTTCAGTTGATAAATCACAGAAAGTTCTAACACTGGCTTATACTTTTTATATCACAGATTCATTTATCCAGGGGTTTTTCAAAAGGGGAATGGCACACCTAGTGCAGTAATAACAGCACATTGCTTCTCCTACATGCCTGCACCTCTGCAGATGTTATTTGGCCTAATGGATTGCTAATCCTCATTTAGAGGATGCATCCAGGAGTTCACATGCTGATCTGAATGTGGAATGATATTAACTAAAAATCCCATGAGAGTTTTCAAATTCTCTCTTCTCCTTAGTTCAAAAGTGGTTGTGGAATAATGTTATCTCTCTCCCAGTATTGTGACCACAAACTGCTTTCTACCCTGACATTAAGCAAAAGAAAAGAGAAAGACTTAATTGGAATTTGTTTTAAATTTTGCAAATGATACTAAATAAATTATCTGGGCATTGCCTGTAAATACAATAAAATTGGGGCACAGACAGCAAATACTATTCTGGGCCAGATGTGGTGGCTCATGCCTGTAATCCCAGCACTTTTGGAGGCCAAGGCAGGTGGATCACTTGAGGCCATGAGTTTGAGACCAGCCTGGCCAACATGGTGAAACCCCGTCTCCACTAAAAATACAAAAATTAGCCAGGCATGGTGGTGCACCCCTGTGATACCAACTGCTTAGGAGGCTGAGACAGGAGAATCACTGGAACCCGGGAGGCGGAGATTGCAGTGAGCTGGGATCGCGCCATTGCACTCCAGCCTGGACGACAAGCCAGGCTCCATCTCAAAACAAAACAAAACAAAACAAAACAAAACAAAACAAAAAAATACTATACTGACCAAGACAGCCTTAATATTCCCCTCAGCTTCACTAAACTTTTTTTTTCCCCAAGACAGTGTCTCACTCTGTCACCTAGACTGGAGTGCAGTGATGAGAGTAACTGGGACTACAGGCGTGTGCCATCACACCCAGCTAACTTTTGCTTTGTGTGTGTAGAGACAGGGGTTTCATCATGTTGCCCAGGCTGGTCTTGAACCCCTGGGCTCAAGCAATCCACCTGCCTTAGCCTCCCAAAGTGCTGGGATTACAGGCGTGAGCCACCGCTCCCAGCCTTCACTAAACTTAAGACAAACTTCTTCCACAAGGCTCTCAACTTCCTTTTTCTTTTCTTTTCTTTTTTTTAAAATTATACTTTAAGTTTTAGGGTACATGTGCACAACGTGCAGGTTTGTTACATATGTATACATGTGCCATGTTGGTGTGCTGCACCCATTAACTCTTCATTTAACATTAGGTATATCTCCTAATGCTATCCCTCCCTGCTCCCCCCCACCCCACAACAGGCCCCGGTGTGTGATGTTCCCCTTCCTGTGTCCATGTGTTCTCACTGTTCAATTCCCACCTATGAGTGAGAATATGTGGTGTTTGGTTTTTTGTCCTTGCAATAGTTTGCTGAGAATGATGGTTTCCAGCTTCATCCATGTCCCTACAAAGGACATGAAATCATCCTTTTTTATGGCTGCATAGTATTCCATGGTGTATATGTGCCACATTTTCTTAATCCAGTCTATCATTGTTGGACATTTGACAACCTCCTTTTTCTTACAGCAGTTAGTTAAAAGAACTTGTAATTGCAAATTCTATGTTCCTTTGAGATGTAAACCTTTTAAAAACCCTCTTGCCACCTTTACAACTCTGGAATGTTATGCTCCAGGTCCTGGGCGCCATCCCTTTAAAATGTAAACCTCAAGGAACTTAGCAACTTTCTCCCTGTCTCTGTGGAAAGGTAGGAGCCTAACATTGGAGGGCGCCTTGCTCTAAGTTGTAAGACAAGAGGTAGACAGCCTGTGCTGACGTTGTCCGTTTCCATTTCATTCTAGCCTCACTGAAGTCTGGCCTCTCTGCCCTTGCTATTCCATTTGCTTTTGTAAAGCATTCTGATGACCTTTGAACTGTCCACTTAAGTGCCCTCTACTCTTTTCACTCACAGCTGCTAAAGAAGCTCCCTCTTCTGCTCTTCTGTTTTGTGACTTTCTGCAACATTGTCTCTCACCTCACTGACTGCTATTTCTTGGCTCCCTTTACTGTAATTTTTCTATTTCCCCATTAACTGTTGGGGTTATTCAGAGTTCCATTCACAGCTCTTCCTCCCATCCTACACATTGCCCCTGGCCATTTTAAAAAATCTGTTCTCTGGCTTCAGTTGAAGTTTCCCAAATGTATACTTTCAGCCCTGGCTTTCCCTTGGCCTCCAGACACCTACTTCATAGGCTAGAGTCAATCTATCTTGTCTATTTCCTTAGAACTGGTTTTCTTTCAAATATTTTTGGAGTCTTTTAAAAATATTTAATGGATTTTATTAATTTTTGCCTTATTTATTGCATTTAAAATTAAAAACAAATTAATATACGCACCACCCTTTGTACCTATTTTATATTTTTCCTAAGTTTTTCCAAACTTGCAGTATTGTATGAATGATAAACTGTTTTATTTTTATTTTACTTGAGAACACTTTAAGGACTGTCTAGCACTTAGTTGGAAAACGTTTTGAGCTTTCCAAAATTTTATTAAAGTTTAATTTTAAAAGACCATAAGTCATAGGAAACAAAAGAAAAAGAAAAACAAGACACCAAAAGTGGAAGCAAATAGATTTGACGGGCATTTTTAGACAGCCTGGCTTTAAGTGAACCGGCTCAGCCTGGCTTTCCCTTCCTTCCAATCTGAGCTATCTTCGCTCCCTTCACTCCCTGTTCTGTAAATAAAGCTGTCATCACTGTGGAGTAACTGAAGAAACCTGGCACTCCCAGAAATGTCTGCATTTTCCTCTTGCATCTTCTGGAATAGTCCCTCACCCCCTTTCTCTTCCTGGGCCCACCACCATCATACACCAAGACCCAGCTCAATATCACTGTCTGTATATGCCTGCTATGATATCCCTTCACCTCTGTAGAATTAATTGCTCTCTCCTCATTACTTCATAAGATTTCTTTCTGCTGACATCCTGATTCCAGTATTTAACAGACTCTATTATGTCTTTTTGTATATGCTTCCATTTTTCTCATTAGTTATTTAGCTCCTTGGGGGCAGAGATGGGGTCGATTCATCTTTTGGTCCTTGTGGCTATCATAGTGTCTGACTCATGGCAGATAATCCATAAATGTTCACTGCATGTATGAGTGAACAGGTACCCAAATCATGATTACATTATCATTTACTTATCTAACTTTTCTGTAACAGCAAAGATAAAGGCCAGGGAGAGGAACAGGCTTGAGTAATTGTTGATGGTTTAAGAAAAATGATCCAATATTTGGAAATAAGGAGAAAAGTTGACTGTGTGACCTTCAATGTTATATTAGAATATAACAATCCCATCCAGTAAACAGAGACCACCTGTGGGTCAATCTGACCAGCTGCCTGCTTTTGTACAACAGGCAAGCTAAGAATGCTTTTTAAATTTTTAAATGGTTAACTTTTAATTAGTTATGTAAGTACCTACATAATTTTTGCCTTTTGGCTTTCAATGCCTAAAATATTTACTGTTTGGCTTTTAAAGAAAAAGTTTGCTGATGCATGGAAAGCAATAACTTTGTTTGACTCACTATTTACTATGGATTATGGTCCAGACGTTTTACAACTCTATAAAATTAGAAATTAGTGTAGAGAAAATTGATGATGCAATGATTGTAGTTTCTGTTTTACATTTACCAATCTCATTTCATCATTCTCTCTTGTCCTCTGGCTACCTAAAATTCCAATTTTTCATATTCTCTTTAAACCAGCTTTGTCATCCTACCAATTCCCTTATTTCAAAATTAAATAGGACTTTGACATGTGCTCAGTATCTCCTTTATGACAATTATGGTTTTTACATTTTGAGGGTGATTCTTTGATAAGGGTTAGGGGAGGCAGGAGTGGGTAGGGCTGGTGTTTCTGGAGGCTGGGGGGACACTGGACCTGAGGTGGGAGGACCTTCTTACCCTTCAGTGTTGCGGACCACTACCTCTAAACTATGTCTACTACGAAGGTGGTCAGGGAAGGGTGAAAGGGTAAGAAATCCAGTAATGCAGTTTTGCTATAGTTGACTATCCTGGCTGGGAAAACATTGAAATGATAGGATGCCTTCTCTATTTTCCAAGGATAGATTCTTGAGATTCTCTCCTAGAGACAAAGCTAAGTATTTATTCTTGATATACAGAATTTCCAGCAGCTGCCTTTTTTTCTTGTCAAAGATTTCTCCCTTTTAATTCTCTTTCAAGGAGAATTTTCTCAGCAGATTGGATCATCATCATTGAGTTCAAGTAAATACTTGAAAGATCAAAACCTGAATCAGGGCCGTTCCTGTATTTGCTTAAGTGACCTTCTGTTATCATCAGGGATTTTGAGCATCATTTTCTCTTGGGTCTCGCTTACTACATGCTGGAGGATGGGCACTGTTGTGTATCAGCCCAAGCCTTCTGTAACTGAAAAGTCCACACCAGCAATAGAGCCAAGAGCTGTGTAAATTGGAATTTGAGTCCTTCTTTTCTAGGAATCTGAAGTAATTATCTTCACTCCGGATCCAGGGTCCTGAGAGACAGCACGATCTGCTGGTTGCACTGGTTGGTTGTACTAGGGACATTTTAATCAGCTCACCCGTCAGTCACCATGATGGCTTACACGCAAATATCCCACCAAAAGGAGAAAATTTGGATCAGCCAATCGCACTGAAAAACTAGGAGCAAAATAGCTGTCATATTGCTAGATTTAAAAAAGAGGAAGAAAATGATTGAAAATCATCTGCACATTTTCCGTTAATGTGTTTTAAAATTTAGATATGCATTTCTCTTATAATAATTTTGTATGTATTTCCTCAGACTAAAATTGTATAGGAGTACTGATGCTAGAAACAGTTTTCTGTAACTGTACAGGCTTTTTTTTAGAACAGTATTTTAAATTTCATGTTCACAAAGTTTTATAAGATACGCAGATTCATAGAATTAAGAAGTTAATTAACTCTATTCAAAAGCAATGGTGGTGAGAATTTTTGGGTTTTAGTACTGTCTCCTCCCTGGATTGGAACAAGGGTTTGAATGGAAAAAGGAGGTGTGAGTGAGGGTGGTGTTTGTGAATCTGTGTTTGTGCACCTGACTACCACGTGCTTTGGGGTCGCTATCTCCTCCTCTTCAGCAGCCTCACCCCCCAATGGTAGCTCGTACTGCTGTGTGCCCTGCATGGTTAGTGGTCCCCTCTGAATCTCATATTAAAAATCTGATCTCCAATGCTGGAAGTGTGGGCCTAATGGGAGGTGTTTGTGTCGTAGGGGCAGATCCCTCATGATATGAGTAGATTAATGTCCTCCCTGGGAGGGAGGGGTGAGTTCTTACTCTGTGAGCTCCCACCAGCACTGGGTTGTTAAAAAGAGCCTGGCATCACCCTCTCCTCTGCTTCCTCTCTTACTGTGTGATTTCTGCACATGCTGGCTCCCCTTTGCCTTTTGCCATGAGTGGAAACAGCCTCAGGCCCTCACCAGAAGCAGATGCTGGTGCCTGCGGAAAGATGAGCCAACTCTTTTCTTTACAAATTATCCAGCCTCAGGTATTCCTTTATAGCAATACAAACAGAAAAAGACAGCTGGTATTCCATCTCCCCAGCCCTGGACCTTAGTGGCTGCAGCTGGCTGCTTAGTTCTGGCTATCCCCGGCCAAAGGCTGTCTCATTGACCAGCCTGGAGGGACTAGAGTTCTTTTCATTTATTTCTACTCCTACATTCTCTCTTCTGTTCAGGCTTGACAAATGAGACTTAAAGAAAACTCAGTGCCCTCTTCATTATGGGACCATCCCTTAGTGATGCCCAAGCCCACAGGAATTTGTAGGAAGTCTGGCACAACAGAAACTTGTCCTTAAAAAGTCTTTTGGAATGAAAAAGATGTAGTTTTGATCCCAGCATAGTTCTAAGATGTCCCTTTTCTACTACAGTGCAAATTCCTTTGGGCAGGGATGGATTTTCATGCATTAGCATGTTATATGGTGGTGGATGAATGCTGTTTTGGATTAAGCATGTAGAAGATGGTCAATGTCCTGATCATCAGTCCAGTGCCCACTTCCTGATTACATGGGTGAACCCAGCCTTCGCCTTTGGTGAAATATCTAAACCAGAATCCCCAGCTGTGCATGAAGGAGCCCACAGAGTCAGTGACTATTCCCTGTGCCCCCCTCTATTCCTTGCCTGCTCCTCCCTGCCTGCTGGTACCTTCCTCCTTCCCCTCACTGTTGACTGGAAGGAAAACCTTTGAGGGCGGTTTAGCACAGTGGCTTCTAGCTATGCATAGCGTAGTATAATTAGGAACCATGCTGGATATTGGATTTACCCATTTGGATTTACATAGATGAATCCATACAGTTCATTGATTATTTTTAACTTATAAAATCCATATTTGACTTACTAATTCTGCTGTCCTCAAACACTTTGATTGAACCATCATCATTTGGTTGATGCTTAATGATGTTCTAAGCATCACTTAAGACAAGCATCACTATGTCCTAACTGGTGCAACATAGCCAGTTTTTGGCAGCCCTCTTGCATAGAGTTATTATTTTATGAGTTTTCAATGTATATAAAATTTAGATTTTGTCACTCTCCAGGTATCTGGTAAGGAATAGAGTATGAACTATAAGTTCACCGAAGTGCTTAGTGTAACATTCAGTGGCTTTTGCAAAGTATCTCCCTTGTAGTTACCATGTGTAGTCATTCAACATTCAACAGCTTTCATTCAGATTCACTGCTTCTCCTGGCTTTACATGTTAATTTCTTCAAAAGTATTTGAGTTGGTGCAGGCTCAGGGTTGAACTACCTCTGGAAAGCAAGCAAGTAATTTCCCAGGTTGTCCAGCAGGCACTGGCTTTCCCCTACTTTTTTCCACCACTAAAAATAAGAATTGGGCATGTATGCCATAGTTCACTGAGTAGGCTGGAGGTATTCTTAGGTAGCTCAGCATAAATGTGACTCTGCTGGGAGTGAAACTGACGTTAGCACCATCTCATGCTTACCACCTTTGGCTTCTTGGAAGAAAAGCTGCATAGCAGAACTATTCACAAGAAATCAGTGAAAATAATTTCAGTTCCACCCCCTCCACAAATACCTTGTCACGCTACTTTTTACTGTTTTTGCTGGTACCTTAAGCAGGTCACAAATTGATAGTCAAGTTAATTATGACAATGTTGCAATAGTAACTACTAATGTTTATTAAGTAACTAGAATTTGTCAAGTGCTATATTAAGTATTGTAAATATTCTTTCAGTTAGTTCTCATAATGTTACCATCTCCATTTTCTTTTCTTCTCTTTTTTTTTTTTCTTTTTTTTTTTTGAGAGGAGTCTCTCTGTTGCCCAGGCTGGAGTGCAGTGGGGGCAATTTTATCTCACTGCAACCTCTGCCTTCCGGGTTCAAGCGATTCTCCTGCATCAGCCTCCCGAATAGCTGGGATTACAGGTGCCCACCACCATGCCAGGCTTATTTTTGTATTTTTAGTAGAGACAGGGTTTTGCCATTTTGGCCAGGCTGATTTCGAACTCCTGACCTCAAGTGATCCACCTGCCTTGGCCTCCCAAAGTGCTGGGATTATGGGTGTGAGCCACCACACCCGGCCAAAATTTCTCCATTTTCCATTTGCAGAAATTGAGTGCTGCAGTTACCACACAAGATTCAACATTTAGGGCTGGGGATCCCCAAGACCATTACTATGCTGTGCTTGCTTCCAATATCAACAGTGTCCCTTATACAGCCCTGGCAGTGCACTCACAGCTTCCCACCCTCTTTCTAAGACACTACTTAAGTGGCATCTACATTGAGAAGCTGCTCCCTACAGCCGCACACCTGGGTTATCCCTTGCCTCAACTTGGCTCCTCACGTTGACCTTCTTGTGCTGGTGGATGGGTCCCTAAGTAAGCTGTCAGCTCCCTGAGGGAGGAAGGAAGACAGGGGATTGTGCTATGACTTCTTCAATGCTTTCCAAGTCCTGCTAGCTTAATCAATTGGCTGAAGAAATTAGCCTTCTGATCCTAACTGGCAAAGACCCCTGGTTCCTTTTCAGTTCTGAAGTAGTTTTCCGGGGAAGAGGCAGTGTCTTACTGGCATTTAGGAGGTGTTTGATTTCTTAGGGGAGCCACAGGGCTTACTCAGCTGCTCCTGTTTAGAAGTAAGTGCTCCCAGGCTCAATGCCTACAGGCGGTCTGTCTTTTTAAGGATCCTGTTTACTAAGGTACGGAGGCAATTTGCTTAAAGTTGCTCAAAGCACTGCTCTATCAAATATAAATGTCTCCCACTGAGCCTTTTTGGTTTGCATTTTGCCCATGGCCTCTTCCTTCTGCTTTCGTTGTTAGTCCACAGAGAGCCAGAGAGGGTGTTAAAGATTCACTCCACTAATTCATAGCCAATTAGGAAGCTTTGTTTTGAATTTGACTGGGAGGTAGCTTTGGCAGAAATCAGGAGCCCTCCCTGACTTTTACCCCAGGGAATAAAGGACTTCTTTCAATTGGTTAGAAAACAGAATTTTGAAACTAATGGTAAAAACAGTTCCCAATTTGGTCACAGCTGGTTACAATGGTGCACACTCTTTGCTTTATTATCAGAGCAAATGTTTGCTTTCTCTTGTGTGGCTTTGGGCTAAGCTCCCATGTCTTTAAAAGTTTTCTCCTTGTCTAACTCTTTGCTTTAATCTTCACATGGAAGCTGATCTGTAGTATACAACCAAAAAGCAAATTTATTTTCTTCTTTTTTTTTGTTGATGGCGAAGTGACTTTCTCCAAGTTTGAATTTTTATCTAATGATTATTTTTCTTTCCTTAGAATGCTGTCTCTGATCCTGAATTACATGATGAAGTAGCTATTCTGATAATGAACTGTGATTGAAAGATTGCTTAGGTAGGAAGCCCCGAGGTTGTTGCAGAGCACTGAGAAAGTGCTTTTGACTTCTAGCAGAATGTAAATTAGCTTGGCTGTGGGCTACATTAAAAAAAACTCTTAAACACAGCAAAAGTTTTGTTCTGATTAAACTTAAAATTAAAGCTCTCAGATTGTGCAACAAGAGGTGTGCTTGTTCATTGCTTTTTGATACAGGAAAATGTTAACTTGCATGTCTTTGGACTCTACCTTTCTAATGATGTGCTCCATAGCTTCCAAAAGGTTATTTCATCTGGTATCATTTCAGTTTGATTTTTGTGGCCTAAAGATTGAAACGTGTGCTTAAAAACAGAACGAAATTAAAAAAATGAACAAAACATCTCTACCACTTTCTGGGTTGGATTCTTTTACCTGGTTCAATGTTGAGAGAGTAGCTGTCTATTTCCAGATGGAGTTGTTGGGCTGCAGCAGAACGAAAATCCTCCAAGACCCCGTGCACAGCCTTGGTGAGGTTATACGGCACTGACTTAGCAAACTTCATTTTGCTATTCACAATCACACTCCCGTTTCTGAAGTTAAGTATTTCAAGTTGCTTAAATCCTGTAAGATTGGATCGTAGATATGGAACCAGCTGCAAAATAAAAGATGGTTTCCTCTTAACTGTGTTCTAAGTGCTCAGCTGCTGCTAATTCCACTTACACTCACTTTTCATTAACCGAGACATATATTTTAGTTCCTTTTTATTATTTTGATTTTTGTTTTTGGATTTAATGTGAGACCAGAATGCCACTACTTAATGGTTGATTTGCAGTGATTAGTCCCATATTTCCACCTTTCTATCTGTGTATTGAGATGGATGGCTGTGATTTTTTTCATGGTGAATTGTGAGAACAGATGATTTTTAAAAACCTGAGCCAATGCTATTAGCAAAGCAGGAATGCCAAGTTCAGTTATTAAAAAAAAAAAAACCCAAGTAAATAAAAATATGTTCCAAACTGAGCCCAGGAGCAGACTGACCTGTGTCTATGTAAATGGGACATCTATTTGGATGCAGCCAATTTGAAATGACCTATTAAAACAAACAACAACTTAAACATCAGCATGTCTCTCTACGCAGTAAATATTTCCCGGCCAACACAAATGTGGTGTAGTGGAAACAGCAGGAAACTGGCAGTTAGGAGACTTGGGTGCCAGTCCTAGAACTGTCCCTAACTAGCCATGTGACCTTTATCAAGCCCTGTAACCACTGTGTTGTACCTCAGGGCCCTTATCTGAATTGTGAGGAAGAACAAAAAGTGGCTCCCAGCGAGCCGTTTCCAAACTATCATAATCTCAACAGTATGCCCCATGGCATTGTGTTTCAGGTTCCCACATCTGCCTCCTGTGAGCCACGCCATCCTAGAGATCATTTTTCAGAAATGTTTGAAACTCAGTGATGTTCACCTTGTCCTTGGCTCTGAAAGTGAGCCTCCTCATTCATGAATTGTACTGTGAACCCAGAAAGCATAGAGATGCAAGCGCCGACCTCCTAGGTGTGACCCACACCTCCTTTTTATTTGCCCCTGTCCCCACCCCACCACAATTTTGACTCTGACCCAGTCCCACATTCTGTTACTTCCCTCACAAGGTTTTTGTGTGAGTAAAATGAAATTTTAAACAAATCGTGGTACTTCCCTTTTCAAGTTACTGTCCCCTGATGAGGACAGAACTTACTTGACTAGCCTCATTCTTGGTGTCTTAGCATTGCTTTGGCCTGGGGTAGAGATTCCCTGTCTTCACCTACTGTGCAGATAGCTAGGTGCTGCTTCTCCCAAATCCATTTTCCTATTTCTCATAGAAAGAGGCTGCTGATCTAGAAAGCACATTTTCCAGCCTCCCTTGTGGCAAGGATGGCCATGTGACTAGTTCCCACTAATATGATGTGGGCAACTTTGGTGTCTTTTGCTTAGGAGAAAATTGCTTTCCCTCAGCTTCCTCTCTGCTTCTCACAAGTGGAAACAGGGATGTACCAATGACCCAGCTTTGACCATGTGAATGAGGAAATGCCCTTGGTATTGGCAGAGCTATAGGATGGAAGAAGTGTGGGTCCCTGAATGGCATCATAGAGCTAAGCTGTCCTACCCATCAAGTGAAAGAGAAATAAACTTGTACTGAATGAAAGTCACTATATTCTTACCTCTTCATTATGGCAGCTTAGCATGAACCCTAATTAACATGCCATGGTTAGTTTGTCAGAGGCAGGTGAACCAGCACAACTCCATCTTGAATAGGAGCTGGGTAAAATGAGGCTGAAACCTACTGGGCTGCATTCCCAGACAGTTAAGTCACAGGATGAGAAAGGAAGTCGGCACAAGACACAGGTCATAAAGACCTTACTGATAAAAGAAGTTGCAGTGAAGAAGCTGGCTAAATCCTACCAAAACCAAGATGGCCATGAGAGTGACCTCTGGTCGTCCTCACTACTACATTCCCATCGGCACCATGACAGTTTACAAATGCCATGGCAATGTCAGGAAGTTACCCTATATGGTCTAAAAAGGGGAGGCATGAATAATCCACCCTTTGTTTAGCATAGCATCAAGAAATAACCATAAAAATGGGCAACCAGCAGCCCTCGGGGCTGCTCTGTCTATGGAGTAGCCATTCTTTTATTCCTTTACTTTCTTAATAAACTTGCTTTCACTTTGCACTGTGGACTTGCCCTGAATTCTTTCTTACGTGAGATCCAAGAACCCTCTCTTGGGGTCTGGACTAGGACCCCTTTTCTGTAACAGGTTCACAGGGACTCTGTTCCCTGAGACTCTCCCAATATCTACTCACCTCATTATAAATGGTGTGGGGTGGGGAGATAGCCCAGATAAAGTCTTACTTTAAAGCAAATGTTCACTTGAGAAATTGGGTTTCATGTGGATTTTAATTTGTGTAATAATTTAACTTATATGAAGTATAAAATTTTTTATTTATTGTCAGACATTCTGCCATCTGTGTGATATGTACAATTTATTTTAATTAACCATGAATGTATAGAGGTATTACATAGTTCAACATTTCTTATTGTATATGTATTTCTTATTGTATATGTAGAAACAAAATAAACGTGAGTTTGGGAGTATCTTATTATCAAAGATATATGTCATAATAATTATCTTTTCACTTTCTTTGTTAGGGACCAGGAATGATAAACCACTTAGTCATTTTTTAGGTTTACAAGAACTTAAGGGGAACTAAGAAAGGAACCCTTACTCCTGAACTCTCAGCCTCATCTGTGCTGGACCATTCTAACTTTGTACCCTTTCATGAGATTGATATAATTTAGAAAATGTTCACTCTATTTTTAGATTCCATGTTCAGTGCTTGAGTGTTATGTATTATTCCTGGATTCACTAAGTTAGGGAGAATTATAATGAAAAGAGTTTAAGAACAAATTTGTTCTTACAGATTGGGTGGCGGTGTCTTCCCATTTGTCTATCACAGAACTCACTTCCCCAGTTGGATCTGAATTCATCTCAAAATTCTAGTTGAATGTCTTCAGCAACAGCTGGCTTGGCGGTTTGTTTCTACTAACACTAATTGCTCAAGACAGCCAATAATTATATTATAAAATAACAACAAAGAAAGAAGAGACAAAGAATTGGGAATTGTGAGCAGTGCCCACTCACCAGCTGTGTGAATTGTTGCTCCAGAGCTCGGTACTCCAGAGAGCTCTTGTTGAACAGGTCGTTGGAGAAGGCCATGTTAGCAACACGCAGACTGAAGAACACTACCAGCTCTCGGCCCTTGGGGGCAATGGTCATAGAACTAGTGGTGATATACTGTAAAGCTGAGACAGGAGTGGTATCCTCCAAGAAATGATCTGGGACAGAAACATATTCGCTGAGCTCTGGTACCTCAGATGGGGCAGGAGTGTCAGACAGATCCATTTCATCTAGGTGTCTGACCATATCTTCGCCACCTGCACTTGATCGGCTGTCATCTGAAGATGCAGGTGGATGTGAAATTCCCAGAGCCAGTTGGCTGATTGCAGAATAATCACTGGTGGGGATGGTGAGCCCTGGTACTAGCATTGTCTGGTCAGTGGCCATTGTATCTGTGGTGCCTTGATCAGTCAGAGAGAAGATGCTTGATGCCATAAAGAAAGGTGGAGCTTCTGACAGGGAGGTAGAGGCCATAGCAGGTGGAGACCAAGAAGTGTCTGTGGAGGAAGTACAATTTCATTATGTCCAAGTATTCCCCAAAGAATAGAAAGTGAAAAAAAGAAAATCCAAAATTAAGCTTAACTTAAGAAAATACATAGCATTTGCGTAGATCATTTCAATAGTCATTTTTTTTTTTTTAAAGAAGAGAAATTGGAACAGAAAGGGCAGGCAGCACTATGTCCCAACCTAGGGAGACAAAGAGTGGATCCCTGTACCCATTTTATTCAGGCCCAGTAGTTCTTGATATATGAGACTAAAAGAGCACCAGTTAACTAGAATTTCTGGAATTACTGCCTAGTCAGACACGATACACTTGGGAACCAAGTAGTACAAACTGACTAAGTCACCAATTGGTGCCAAACTGCAGCTGGCATTGGAACAGATTTAGATCCCTCATCCCCGTATAGAACTCCCAGACAACTAGGTGTGCAGTTTTGACCCAGAAATTTTATTCACTTTCCAATAATGCAAGTCTGCATTTTATGCAATTGGATTTTTTTGGTTACAATAATGATGTTTTGGTATTTTTACCACTTGAAATTTAAATTATGCTTTTCCAAAATTGAGTAATCTAATTGAATAGCTTGTCAATTTGCAAAATGATACTGGGAGTATAAAGGTATTGGTGAACATATAATTTGAATGTTACATTGACCATACAACTTGCTGTTTATTAATATTTAAAACCTCTCAATTAGCTGGGTGTAGTAGTACACGCCTGTAATTCCAGCTACTCAGGTGGCTGAGGCCCAAGAATCTCTTGAACTTGGGAGGCAGAGATAGCAGTGAGCCGAGATCATGCCACTGCATTCCAGCCTGGGTGACAGAGTGAGACTCTGTCTCAAAATAATAATAATAATAATAATAAAATACAGTAAAAAACCTTTGCCACAGTTACATTATTACGCTCTGACAATTTCTACCACCATTTTGCATTGCTACCTTGGGTAAGTACACATTGAACTATCAAAACCTACCCCTTTTTTGGTACAAAATGAAAATAAATATTTCTAAACTGAGAAAGTGGTGGGAACTTTCAGATAAACAGATTGTTGAATTATTAAAATATTCCAATAAACCTAAATCCAGAGCCACTGATGATATTTAAGGCATTAAGTGAACAAAACAGGGAGCTTTTTGTGATTTCTTCAGTGGCCTTTTGGCAAATATGCAGGAAAGCTCTGTTGAAATCCAAATGCTAAGCATGATAAATGGACTGTCTGGATGCAGATATAATCTCTGGACTCTCAGTCAGCTAATTTACTACGGTGAAATTACTAAAACCGAAACTCCAAGTGATAAACAGCTCTGAAAGTTGGAATCATATTAGTTTTATTACTTTCTTAAAATAAAACCTGTCTGTTGGTGAGTTATGCCAGATTTCAGAGAAGCACCCTCTTTTCTCTCACCTGGGGAGGGTACCTGCGTGTGTCTACTCATAATTCACTCAATTGTGAGAAATAATGTTACCTAATATCTAAGATCTCTCTGGAGATACACTTAAAGTTTTATTAAAATCTCCATTGCTATGGGCTGAATGTTTGTGTCCATGCAAAACTTGTATGTTCGGGCTCTAATCCCCAATGTGATGATATTTGGACATGGGTCTCTGGGAGGTAATTAGGTCATGAGGGTGGAGTCCTCATGAATGGAATTACTGGTCTTGTAAGAAGAGACTCAAGAGAGATGATCTCTCTTTCTGCCATGTGAGAATATAGCAAGAAGGCAACAAACTCCAAACCAGGAGGAGAGCCCTTGTCAGGAATAAAATCTGCAAGCACCTTGATCTGGCATTTCTTGGTCATGAGAACCGTGAGAAATATATTTCTATTGTTTAAGACATCCAGTCCATGATATTTCATTATGGAAGTCTGAGTTGACTAAAATATCCACAAACAGATCTGGGATGATAAATTGAAAGGATTTGATTTGACTTTTTTTGTGTCATGGGAAATGCATTTGATTCTGTGTTCTTATGATGTGATCTCTGCTCCTGCGGGTGATAAGAGTTGGCAAGAAGCACAATGATAGATGTCTTCATTTTGCTCTTTCACCAGCATTTCATTACTCACACCTTTCTTACTATGTAGACTTTAACCTGTTTAAAATAGGCTTCTACATTATGTCATCAATCAACAAAAATAAATTTCTGGCCATTTCCCTTTGTGACATCTTTTTAAATTTTATACTTTAAGTTCGAGGATACATGTGCAGAACATGTAGGTGTGTTACACAGGTATACATGTGCCATGGTGGTTTGCTGCATTCATCAACACATCATCTATATTAGCTATTTCCCCTAATGTTATACCTCCCCTATCCCTCCCCTACTGTGCGACAGGTGTGTGATGTTCCCCTCCATGTGTTCTCATTGTTCAACTCCCACTTATGAGTGAGAACATGTGGTGTTTGGGTTGCTGTTCCTGTGTTAGTTTGCTGAGAATGATGGCTTCCAGCTTCATCCATGTCCCAGCAAATGACATGAACTCATCCTTTTTTTCCCTTTTTATTATTTATTTATATTTTTATTATACTTTAAGTTCTGGGATACATGTGCAGAACGTGCAGGTTTGTTACATAGGTATAACTGTGCCATGGTGGTTTGCTGCACCCATCAACCAGTCATCTACAATAGGTATTTCTGCTAATGCTATTCCTCCCCTAATCCCCCACCCCATGACAAGCCCCAGTGTGTGATGTTCCCCTCCCTGTGTCCATGTGTTCTCATTGTTCATCTCCTACTTATGAGTGAGAACATGCGGTGTTTGGTTTTCTGTTCTTGTGTTAGTTTGCTAAGAATGATGGTTTCTAGCTTCATCCATGACCCTGCAAAGGACATGAACTCATCCTTTGTTATGGCTGCATAGTATTCCATGGTATATATGTGCTACATTTTATTTATCCAGTCTATCATTGATGGGCATTTGAGTTGGTTCCAAGTCTTTGCTATTGTGAACATTGCCACAATAAATATACCTGTGCACATGTCTTTATAGTAGAATAATTTATAATCCTTTGGGTATATACCCAGTAATGGGATTGCTGGGAAAAATGGTATTTCTGATTCTAGATCCTTGAGGAATCGCCAAACTGTCTTCCACAATGGTTGAACTGATTTACACTCCCACCAATAGTGTAAAAGTGTTCCTATTTCTCCACATCCTCTGCAGCATCTGTTGTTTTCTGACTTTTTAATGATCGTCATTCTAACTGGTGTGAGATGGTATCTCATTGTGGTTTTGATTTGCATTTCTCTAATGACCAGTGATGATGAGCTTTTTTTCATATGTTTGTTGGCCGCATAAATGTCTCCTTTTCAGAAGTGTCTGTTCACATCCTTTGCCCACTTTTTGATGGGGTTGTTTGTTTTTTCCTTGTAAATTTGTTTAAGTTTCTTGTAGATTCTTGATATTAGTCCTTTGTTAGATGGATAGATTGCCAAAATTTTTTCCCATTCTATAGGTTGCCTGTTCACTCTGATGATAGTTTCTTTTGCTGTGCAGAAGCTCCTTAGTTTAATTAGATCCCATTTGTCAATTTTGGCTTTTGTTGCGATTGCTTTGGGTGAATTAGTCACGAAGTCTTTGCCCATGCCTATGTCCTGAATGGTATTGCCTAGGTTTTCTTCTAGGGTTTTTAAGGTTTTAGTTCTTACATTTAAGTCTTTAATCCATCGTGAGTTAATTTTTGTATAAGGTATAAAAAGGGGTCCAGTTTCAGTCTTCTGCATATGGCTAGCCAGTTTTCCCAACAGCATTTATTAAATAGGGAATCATTTTCCCATTGCTTGCTTTTGTCAAGTTTGTCAAAGATCAGATGATTGTAGATGTGTGGCATTATTTCTGAGGCCTCTGTTCTGTTCCATTGGTCTATGTATCTGTTCTGGTACCAGTACCATCCTGTTTTTGTTACTGTAGGCTTGTAGTATAGTTTGAAGTCAGGTAGCATGATGCTTCCAGCTTTGTTCTTTTTGCTTAGAATTATCTTAGCCATACAGGCTCTTTTTTGGTCCCATATGAAATTTAAAGTGTTTTTTTCTAATTCTGTGAAGAAAGTCAACAGTAGCTTTATGGGGATAGCATTTAATCTATAAATTACTTTGGGCAGTATGGACATTTTCAAGATCTTGATTCTTCCTATCCATGAGAATGGAATGTTTTTCCGTTTGTTTGTATCCTCTCTTATTTCCTTGAGCAGTGGTTTATAGTTCACCTTGAAGAGGTCCTCCACATCCTTTGTAAATTGTATTCCTAGGTATTTTATTCTCTTTGTAGCAGTTGTGAATGGGAGTTCACTCATGCTTTGGCTCTCTGTTTGTCTATTATTGGTGTGTAGAAATACTTGTGATTTTTGCACATTGATTTTGTATTCTGAGACTTATCAGCTTAAGGAGATTTTGGGCTGGGATGATGGGGTTTTCTAAATATATAATCATGTTATCTGCAAACAGAGACAATTCGACTTCCTCTCTTCCTATTTGAATACCCTTTATTTTTTTCTCTTGCCTGATTGCCCTGGCCAGAACTTCCAACACTATGTTGAATAGGAATGGTGAGAGAGGGCATCCTCATCTTGTGCCAGTTTTCAAAGGGAATGCTTCCATCTTTTGCCCATTCAGTGTGATATTGGCTGTGGGTTTGTCATTAATAGCTCTTATTATTTTGAGATAGGTTCCATTAACACCTAATTTATTGAAAGTTTTTAGCATGAAGGGCTGTTGAATTTTATTGAAGGCATTTTCTGCATCTATTGGGATAATCATGTAGCTTTTGTCATTGGTTCTGTTTATGTGATGGGATACGTTTATTGATTTGCGTATGTTGAACCAGCCTTGCATCCCAGGGATGGAGCTGACTTGATCGTGGTGGATGAGCTTTTTGATGTGCTGCTGGATTCAGTTTGTCCGGATTTTATTGAGGATTTTTGCATCAATGTTCATCAGGGATATTGGCCTGAAATTTTTTTTTGTTGTGTCTCTGCCAGGTTTTGATATCAGGATGATGCTAGCCTCATAAAATGAATTAGGGAGGATGCCCTCTTTTTCTATTGTTTGGAATAGTTTCAGAAGGAATGGTACCAGTTCCTCTTTGTACCTCTGGTAGAATTTGGTTGTGAATCCATCCAGTCCTGGGCTTTTCTTGTTGGTAGGTTATTAATTACTGCCTCAATTTCAGAACTTGTTATTGGTCTATTCAAGGATTCAACTTCTTCCTGGTTTAGTCTTGGGAGGGTGTATGTGTCCAGGAATTTATCCATTTTGTCTAGATTTTCTACTTTACTTGCGTAGAGGTGTTTATAGTATGCTCTGATGGTAGTCTGTATTTCTGTGGGATCAGTGATGATATCCCCTTTAGCATTTTTTACTCTGTCTATTTGATGCTTCTCTCTTTTCTTCTTTAGTAGTCTGGTTAGCGGTCTATTTTGTTAATCTTTTCAAAAAACAAGCTCCTGTATTCATTGATTTTTTGAAGTGCTTTTCATGTCTCTATCTTCTTCACTTCTGCTCTCATTTTAGTTATTTCTTGTTTTCTGCTAGCTTTTGAATTTGTTTGCTCTTGCTTCTCTAATTGTTTTAATTGTGATGTTAGGGTGTCAATTTTAGATCTTTCTCACTTTCTTTGGTGGGCATTTAGTGGTATAAATTTCCCTGGAAACACTGCTTTACCTGTGTCCCAGAGATTCTGGTACATTGTGTCTTTGTTCTCATTGGTTTCAAAGAACTTATTTATTTCTGCCTTAATTTTGTTATTTACCCAGTAGTCATTCAAGGAGCAGGTTGTGCAGTTTCCAGGTAGTTGTATCATTTTGAGTGAGTTTCTTTTTTTCTTTTTTATTTTTTGAGATGGAGTCTTGCTCTGTCACCCAAGCTGGAGTGCAGTGGCATGATCTCAGCTCACTGCAACTTCTGCCTCCCGGGTTTAAGCAATTCTCCTGCCTCAGCCTCCTGAGTAGCTGAGATTACAGGAGCTGGACACCATGCCTGGCAAATTTTTGTATTTTTAGTAGAGATGGGGTTTCACCATCTTGGCCTGACTGGTCTTGAACTCCTGACCTCGTGATCCACTCGCCTCGGCTTCCCAAAGTGCTGGGATTACAGGCATGAGCCACTGTGCCCAGCCGTTGAGTGAGTTTCTTAATCCTGAGTTCTAAGTTGATTGCATTGTGGTCTGAGAGGCTGTTTGTTATGATTTCTGTTCTTTTGCATTTGCTAAGGAGTGTTTTATTTCCAATTATGTGGTCAGTTTTAGAATAAGTGCTATGTGGTGCTGAGAAGAATGTATATTCTGTTGACTTGGGGTGGAGAGTTCTGTAGATGTCTATTAGGTCCGCTTGACCCAGAGCTGAGTTCAAGTCCTGAATAGCCTTGTTAGTTTTGTCTTGTTGATCTGTCTAATATAGATAGTGGGGTGTTAAAGTCTCCCATTATTATTGTGTGGGAGTCTAAGTCTCTTTGCAGGCCCTAAGAACCTGCTCTATAAATCTGGTTGCTCCTATGTTGGGTGCATATATATTTAGGATAGTTAGCTCTCCTTATTGCATTGATCTCTTTGCCATTATGTAATGCCCTGCTTTGGCTTTTGATATTTGTTGGTTTAAAGTCTGTTTTATCAGAGACTAGAATTGCAACCTCTGCTTTGTTTTTGCTTTCCATTTGCTTCATAAATATTCCCCTATCCCTTTATTTTGAGCCTATGTGTGTCTTTGCATGTGAAATGGGTCTCCTGAATACAGCACACCAATGGGTCTTGAATCTTTATCCAATTTGTCAGTCTGTGTCTTTTAATTGGGGCATTTAGCCTGTTTACATTTAAGGTTAATATTGGTATGTGTGAATTTGATCCTGTCATTATGATGTTAGCTGGTTATTTTGCCCGTTTGTTGATGGAGTTTCTTCGTAGTGTCTATGGTCTTTACAATTTGGTATGTTTTTGCAGCGGCTGTTACCAGTTGTTCCTTTTCATATTTATTGCTTTCTTCAGGAGGCCTGGTGGTGACAAAATCTCTCAATATTTGCTTGTCTGTAAAGGATTTTATTTCTTCTTCGCTTATGAAGCTTAGTTTGGCTGGATATGAAATTCTGGGTTGAAAATTCTTTTAAGAATGTTGAATATTGGTCCCCACTCTCTTCTGGCTTGTAGCTTTCTGCAGAGACCTGCTGTTAATCTGATGGGCTTCCCTTTGTGCATAACCCAACCTTTCTCTCTGGCTGCCCTTAACATTTTCCCCTTCATTTCAACTTTGGTGAATCTGATGATTATGTGTCTTGGGGTTGCTTTTCTCGAGGAGTATCTTTGTGGTGTTCTCTATATTTTCTGAATTCAAATGTTGACCTGTCTTGCTAGGTTGGTGAAGTTCTCCTGGATAATATCCTGAAGAGCATTTTCCAACTTGGTTCCATTCGCCCCCTGCATCACTTCCAGGTACACCAATCACATGTAGGTTTGGTCTTTTCACATAGTCCCATATTTCTTGGAGGCTTTGTTTGTTCCTTTTCATTTTTTTTTCTCTAATCTTTTATTCATTGAGTTGATCTTCAACCTCTGACATCCTTTCTTCCGCTTGACCGATTCGCCCATTAATGTGTATGCCTCACGAAGTTCTCGTGCTGTTTTTTCCGGCTCCATCAGGTCATTTATGTTCTTCTCTAAACTGGTTATTCTAGTTAGCAATTCCTCTAACCTTTTTTCAAGGTTTTTAGCTTCCTTGCATTGGGTTAGAACATGCTCCTTTAGCTTGGAGGAGTTTGTTATTATCCACCTTCTGAAGCCTTCTTATGTCAATTTGTCAAACTCATTCTCCGTCCAGTTTTGTTTTCTTGGTGATGACAAGTTGCGATCCTTTGGAAGAGAATAGGCATTCTGATTTTTGGAATTTTCAGCCTTTTTTGCACTGGTTTTTCCTCATCTTTGTGGATTTATCTACCTTTGGTCTTCGATGTTGGTGACATTCAGATGGGGTTTTTGTGTGGACGTCCTTTTTGTTGTTGTTAATGCTATTCATTTCTGTTTGTTAGTTTTCCTTTTAACAGTCAGGCCCCTCTGCTGCAGGTCTGCTGGAGTTTGCGGGAGGTCCACTGTAGACCCTGTTTTCCTGGGTATCACCAGAACAGCAAAGATTGCTGCCTATTTCTTCCTTTGGAAGCTCCATCCCAGAGAGGCACCTTCCAGATGCCAGCCAGAGCTCTCCTGTATGAGGTGTCTGTCGACCCCTGCTGGGAGGTGTCTCCCAGTCAGGAGACACAGGGTTCAGGGACCCACTTGAAGAGGCAGTCTGTCCCTTATCAGAGCTCAAGTGCTGTACTGGGAGATCTGCTGCTCTCTTCAGAGCCGGCAGGCAGAAACGTTTAAGTCTGCTGAAGCTGCATCCACAGCCCCCCCTTCCCCCAGGTGCTCTGTCCCAGGGAGATATGAGTTTGATCTATAAGCCTCTGACTGGGGCTGCTGCCTTTCTTTCAGTGATGCCCTGCCCAGAGAGGAGGAATCCAGAGAGGCAATCTGGCTACAGCAGCTTTGCCAAGCTGCAGTGTGCTCCGCCCAGTTTGAACTTCTTGGTGGCTTCCGCTGTGAGGGGAAAACTGCCTACTCATGCCTAAGTAATGGTGGACTCCCTTCCCCTCACCAAGCTCAAGCATCCCAGTTCAACTTCAGACTGCTGTGCTGGCAGTGAGAATTTCAAGCCAGTGGATCTTAGCTTGCTGGGCTCCATGGGGGGTGGGATCTGCTGAGATAAACCACTTGGTTCCCTGGTTTCAGCCCCTTTTCCAGGGGAGTGAACAGTTCCCTCTCGCTGGCGTTCCAGGCAACACTTTGGTATGAAAAACAAACTCTTGCAGCTAGCTCAGTGTCTGCTCAAACGGCTGCCCAGTTTTGTGCTTGAAACCCAGGGCCCTGGTGGTGTAGGCACCTGAGGAAATCTCCTGGTCTGTGGGTTGTGAAGACCATGGGAAAAGCGTAGTATCTGGCTGGAATGCACCGTTCCTCACGGCACAGTCTCTCATGGCTTCCCTTTGCTAGGGGTGGTAGTTGCCCAACTTCTTGTGCTTCCTGGGTGAGGTGATGCCCCACCCCACCCTGCTTCAGCTCACCCTCCGTGGGCTGCACCCACTGTCTAACCAGTCCCAGTGAGATGAGTTGGGTACCTCAGTTGGAAATTCAGAAATCACCTGCCTTCTGCATTGATCTTGCTGCGAGCTTCAGACCAGAGCTGTTCCTATTCGGCCATCTTGCCAGCCGAAAAAAAGATGTTTTTTGTGACATCTTAATATTAATCCCTCACATTCACAATAAACCTAACCAAGTTAATTCATTAAAGGAACAATTTGCTATTTAATTATAGGGTTGCTTGATAAAATACAGGATGCTCATTGGAACATACGTTTACTAAAAATTATTATTTTTAATCTGAAATTTAAATTTAACTGGACATTTTGTATTTTTCTTTGCTGAGTCCAGCAACCCTATTTAAATGTGATTTTAAAAGACTCCTACTCTCTTTTGTTTTGAGATTGAAGCTTCTAAGGTTATAGTCAATTCCTTTGGAAAAATATTATCCAAACCTTATCACTATTTGTAAGTGTATTTTAAATAATCATGTTTTCATCTAATTCATATGAAAAAATTAGACATAGTAGTGACACAGACCAGTCCAACATTGTATTTTTGCACTACAATAGGAAAGTCAAACACTAAAAGCCAAGGCCATTCATTTCACTCTGAACTATGCAAAATGAAAAGATTTAAAATAACTGTTATGCTAGAGTGCGTGTGTGGGTCTGTGAGGGTATGGAGTGTGTTTACGTGTATGTGTATGTGGCAGTCCATTGTTTCTAAGTCCAGCTGCCAAATGTAGAGTATATAGCTATTGTGGTCACTTTCCAGGTTGGAGTTCTGTCCAAAGGCAAGGCCACAAATGATATGGTCCAACCCAAAGTAGATGAACTCAGGTCCATCTGAAGCCCAAAGTGAGGTATGTGGGTGGGAGATGCCAGAAGCCCCATTAGTAGCCAGAAGAAGACAAAGCAGAAGATGAACAGTGTGTGAGGAACAAGTACAGATGAAAGGCTATTTTAAATGCTACTAGAAAGGGTCACATATATATGCTGAACCATAAGCATCAAGTGGTTGCTTATTCATGTCAAAAACTCTCAAAAGAAGAGATTCCATCCAACTCCTTTATATCTTTAAGGGGCATGACCAGCAAATTCTTAATTTTATATCAAACAAATCCATTCTTATTTATAATAACAAGAAAGTTATTATCTTCCTTTTTGGAATATTATAGAGATAGAAAATGTTAATTATCCACTCATTCAACAAATAGACATTGATAGCCTAGTATGTGCCAGGCATTATTCCAGGTGCTAAAATATATAAGTGATCAAAGATAAAATTCTGGCCCCAAAGAGCTTACTGTCTAGTGGTGGAAGACAAAAAACAAAACAAAAACCAAAACAATACAAGGAAAAATACATGGTACGCCAGGTGGTGATAAGTGCTATGGAAATAAAATGAGGCAGAAAAGGGGATGGAAGTACAGGGTTTCCAATTTTATACAGTTGTCATTGAGAATATAATATTTGAGAATAGACCTGAAGGAGATGAGTTAGCCATGCAGCAAATGCAAGTGAGAAGGCCAAAAGAAGAAGAATGCCTGTCATGCTCAGGGAGCAGCTAGCTGGGAGAACAGCATGGCCACAGTGGAATTCTATACTATCAATCAAGTGTCAGGGTGGCTAAAGACATTTTCAAGCACACAGTCTTAAAATTTTTTCCCAGGCACCTTTTCTTAGCGTGTGTTTACCTAAAATGAGGTTGTAAACCAAGAAAAAGAAAGAAATGGGATACTGAAAAATGTTCAGGGAAAGGGAAATCTCCAGGAAATGGTAAAGGGGACTTTGAAATACACAGTTACCCAGGTGTAAAATGCAACCAGTTAAAAACTGGATTCATCTCAAGAGACAGGTACATTGAATGCATCTTTCACCAAGACTTCTGCAATTGTACCAATTTTTAAAAGATTTCTTTGCCATTTTGTTTTTTGAGACAGGTTCTTACTTTGTCACCCAGGCTGGAGTGCAGTGGCATGATCACGGCTCACTGCAGCCTTAAACTCCCTGTCTCAAGCACTCCTTCCTCCTCATTCTCTTGAGTAGCTGGGACCATGTGCATGCACCACCACACCCAGCAATTAAAAAAATTTTTTTTTTATGTAGAAATGGGGGTCTCTCGATGTTACCCAGGCTGGTCTCAAACTCCTGGGCTCAAATGATCCTTCTGCCACAGCCTCCCAAAGTGTTGGGAGACATGACCCATCATGTCCAGCAACAATTTATTTTCCAGCTTTATTAAGGCATAATTGACAAATAAAAGGTGTGTACCAAATTTCTTAACCTGACAAAACTACTGGATGAAATGTTCCACAGAACAGGAGAATAAACCCAGAGGGAGAAGGGATCAAGGAATCCAAACTGGGAGAAAGGCCAAGGAAAATCCAAGATAGCAAAACAGGTAGCAAAGGGAAGACCCAGAAGACAGCGGTCCAAAAGTCCTAGAGAGTAGCTGTCCAGAGAGAAAGAGGTGGTATATTACAATTGCAATGGAAAGTTTGAGAAGAATTAGTAATAAGCACAAAGAAAACTAAGTGAATAATAATAATAAATAAGCCTGATGCAGTGGCTCATGCCTGTAACCCCAGCACTATGGGAGGCTGAGGCAGGTGGATCATCTGAATTCAGGAGTTTGAGACCAGCCCGGCCAACATGGTGAAACCCCAACTCTACTAAAAATACAAAAATTAGCCAGGTGTGGTGGCACGTGCCTGTAGTCCCAGCTACGTGGGAGGCTGAGGCAGGAGAATCACTTGAACCTGGGAGGCGGAGGCTGCGGTGAGCCAAGATTGCCCCACTGTACTCCAGCCTAGCCTACAGAGTGACTCTCTGTCTCCAGGAAAAAAAAAAAAAATCACAGAAAACATTAACTCCAGGAAAACAGAAAGGAAACACAGCAGATTGATTGGCTGAGAATATTTACTATAAATACTGAATACTAATTTAATAATAAAATATCACTATATTGGGAACATTGAAGAGAGAAAGAGGGGATGGTATTGCAAGAAACTTAACTCTTTACCTACAATAATGGAACGTCAATAAATGATGTATGAAACGATGAGTCAAAAATGCATATTATTTAAAAATATGGGGAAAAATAAATGTCAGACAAAACAGCTGAGTTAAAAGGGACTGAGTTAAAAGACATTGTTTTTGGTGAGTGTTACTGCACAGTAAAGAGGTGTGAGATAGTAAAATGCTGTATTTGTCATGATTTTGTTAATATGATTTGACTTTAAAAAATTAAACTTTTTATTTTGAGATAATTGTAGATTCAAACGCAGTTATAAGAAATAATACAGAGAGTAACATCTGTGAAAATTGCAGAGTTAGACGCTCCAAAAGTCTGTCCTTTCAATAAAAAGCTGGTGAAAAGTGTCGGAATTGACTTTTTCAGAATTCTGGAAACTAAACAAAAGCTTGCAGCAAACAAGGGAATGCTTAATTAAGAACAACAGCTAAATCTCAGTAAGAACAGTGAACTTTGTGGCATTTTTAACTTACCCTGTTATCCCCCACTCCCCAGCTCAGTGGTAGCCTTGAAAATAACAGCCCTCATTTCCAGTAGCAGTACTCCAGGGAGCAGAATGGACCTCACTGACAAAGAGTTTTACTTATTTGTTTCAACCTGACTCCCTGGAATACCAACTCAAAAGGCTGGCCTTTATCTTTCCTAACTAGGAACTCTCCTGATGCTAAAATGGTTACCTGGGGAAAGTTTGTCAAAAACACCCAGGCAAATGCACTAATTGCTACTGTGTGAGGCAATGGATAACAGCTGGGCACACAATAGACTAAGCAAAAACTTGGGAGGAAAGGCTGGGGAATGAGATGCTTTGGGGAAAAAGCACTTTCAAAAGCTCTGACATATTTTGGGGAATCTAGAGGGCCACTTTAATGCCCAGGGCTGTATGCATGCTCCGTAAGGACCTAAGAATGCATATAGTTCTGGGCATTAAATTCTCATCTCTGTCTGACCTTCAAAGTTCTGCAAAAGCACGAAGAGAAGGCTAATCGGGAAGTGGCTGCTTTCTGGTTATGGGGGTTCTTTTGGAGATGATGAAAGATTTCTGGAATTAGACAGTGCATAACATTGTAAACATATTAGAAACCACTGAATTGTCTACATACAATGATTAAAATGGTGAATTTTATGTTATGTGAATTTTATCTCCATAAAGAAAAAATAGGCTGGGCACAGTGGCTCACGCCTGTAATCTCAGCACTTTGGGAGGCAGGGGCAGGCAGATCTTGAGGTCAGGAGTTCAAGACCAGACTGGCTAACATGATGAAACCCCATCTCTTCTAAAAATACAAAGATTAGCCAGGTGTGGTGGCGGGCGCCTGTAATCCCAGCTACTCAGGAGGCTGAGGCATAAGAATTGCTTGAACCCAGGAGGCAGACGTTGCACTGAGCTGAGATGGCGCCACTGCACTCCAGTCTGGGTGACAGAGTGAGACTAGTCTCAAAAAAAAAAAAAAAAAAAGAGAGAGAGAAAAATGAAAAAATAATATAGAGAGAATTTGCATACTCATTACCCCTAATAACATCCTGCAAAACTATAGCATAATATCAAACAATGTTGACATTGATAATCTAGAGACAATTCCCATCATCACAAGGATTCCTTCATGTTGCCCTTTTACAGTCACCTCTACTCTCCCACCCATACCCTTCTTAACATCTGGCAACCACTAATGTGTTTTTTATTTCTATAATTTTGTCATTTCAAGGATGTTATATAAATGGAAAAATACAGTGGGATTGGCTTTTCTTACTCAGTATAACTCTGGAGATTCATCCAAATTGTGTGTATCAATAATTTGTTCCTTTTTATTGCTGAGTAGTATTACATTATATAGATGTACCACAGATGGTTTAACCATTTACTCTTGAAGGACATCTGGGTTGTTTCTAGTTTTGGGTTATTTAACATAAAGCTGCTATAAATATGCATGCACAGGTTTTTATGTGAGCATGTTTTCTTTCTCTATAATAAATGCTCAAGAATGAAATAGCTTGCATGGTAGCCGTATGTTAAATTTCTGGAGAAATTATCAAGCTATTTTACAGAGAGGCTGTACTATTTTACATTTCCACCACCAGCAATGTATAAGTGATACAGATCCAAATGCATTTTCCAGCATTTGTTGTTACTTTTTTTTTTTTTTAATTTTAGCTATTCTGATCAGTGTTAATGATATCTCATCGCGGTTTTAATTTGGACTTCCCTAATAAATAAAAATCTGAACGTCTTTTCATGTGCTTATATACCATCTGTATATGAGGTAAAATGTCCCTCCCTATTTGGTAAAATGTCCATTCTTATCTTTTGCTCATTTTCTACTGGAATTTTTAATTGTTATGAGAATTGTTTATATTTTCTACATACTTGTTCTTTTTTTTTTTTTTTTTTTGAGACGGAGTCTCGCTCTGTCGCTCAGGCTGGAGTGCAGTGTGGCCGGTCTTGGCTTACTGCAAGCTCCGCCTCTGGGTTCACGCCATTCTCCTGCCTCAGCCTCCTGAGTAGCCGGGACTACAGGCGCCTGCCATCACGCCCAGCTAATTTTTTGTATTTTTAGTAGAGACAGGGTTTCACCGTGTTAGCCAGGATGGTCTCGATCTCCTGACCTTGTGATCTGCCCGCCTTGGCCTCCCAAAGTGCTAGGATTACAGGCATGAGCCACCACGCCCAGCCACACACTTGTTCTTTACCAGATATATGTTTGCAAAGATTTTCGCCAGTCTGTATCTTTTCTTCTCATCCTCTTAACAGTGTCCTTTGCAGAGCCATTATTTATTCAACTACTTTGTTCCGTCTAGGATATACGAGACAAAAATAAAACTCAGGAAACTCACTATCATGTCATATTTTAGGCCCTAAGGTTCCTAGTTAGTCCATCTTCTTCTCTTTACCTTTCAGAGCCTTCTCATATTTGTTTTGTATATAATATCAGGGTATTTAGATACACTTAGGAGGAAAAGTACATTCATTTCATCTTCCTGGGGGTGGAAATCTACTTGAATTTTTAAATGATGTCCTTATTTTATTTATTAAAAAACATTATTAAAAATATAGACTAAATATGTACTGTTATTTGAATGTCCCCTCTAAGACTCATGTTGAAATTTAATTGTTATTGTGGCAGTATTTAGAGATGATTAGGCCATGAGGACTCCCATGTCATGAATGAATTAATGCCATGATCATGCAATTGGGTTGTTATAAAAGGCAGTTTGACCCTCTCGCTTTCTTGCTCTCACCCCCTCCTGCTCTTCTGCCTTCCATCATGAAATTATGCAGCCCAAAGGCCCTCACCAGATGCAGGACCCTCGACCTTGGACTTTCCAGCCTCCAGAACTATAAGCAATACATTTATTTTCTTTATAAATTACCCAGTCTGTGGTATTTTGTGACAGTAACATAGAATGGAATAAAACAATTTGACTGAAGACAGCCAGGTCAATACTGACAGGCTTTAAGAAATCATTAAAAATGATATGAAAAAGAACAAAGTTCAGAAACTGATCATAGAGGACAGGATAAAATGTAGAAGAAAGACAAAAGAAAGCCTACATTTATGTAATTTGTGTCCTTCAATAAGACAACAACATAACAAGTGAATTAGGAAAAGTCCTCAAACCTATGACAGGAGAAAAATTTTTCTGATACATTAAAACAAACAAGGCCGGGCATGATGGCTCATGCTTGTAATCCCAGCACTTTGTGAGGCCGAGGTGGGCAGATCATCTGAGGTCAGGAGTTCGAGACTAGCCTGGCCAACATGGCGAAAACCCATCTCTACTAAAAATACAAAAAAT
Source organism: Homo sapiens (assembly GCF_000001405.40). Lineage (NCBI taxonomy): Eukaryota > Metazoa > Chordata > Mammalia > Primates > Hominidae > Homo > Homo sapiens. The sequence goes on from NC_000006.12 coordinate 75,967,031, forward strand.
TAGCGGGGTGTGGTGGTGCATGCCTGTAATCCCAGCTACTTGGGAGGCTGAGGCAAGAGAATCACTTGAACCGGAAGGTGGAGGTTGTAGTGAGCCGAGATTGTGCCATTGCACTCCAGCCTGGGTGACAAGAGCAAGACTTCTTATAAAAAAAAAATGGAATTTAGAGGCCCAAACAATATCAAGAAATGATTCAAAATGGAATTATCCATGGCAAGTTATCCCTTGCTATGGTCTGAATGTTTGTATCTTCCCAAAATGTATATGTTGAAATCCTAACCCCCAAGATTATGATTAAGAGGTTGGGCCTTTGGTGGGTTGGGGGTGAGAAGGGCATGATTAGGATTAGCATTCTTATAAAAGAGACTCCAGAGAGCTAGCTAGTCTCTTCCAACACAGGAGGACAAAGTAAAAAGGTGCCGTCTGTGAGGCGTGGGTCCTCAACAGACACCTCATCAGACACAATGTCAGCTCCTTGATTTTGTACTCCCATGACTTCAGAACTGTGAGAAATAAACTTGTGTATAATCACCCAGTATGAGGTATTTAGTTATACCTCATGAACTAAGCCCAAATGAACGAAGACACCCCTCAAGAAAGAAAAGTCTTGAATCTCAAGGATTAAAACAAAGGAAAGCTAAAGAAAACAAAACAAAACAAAAAACATGTGGGTATCTAGTTAGAAAAAGGAAGCCATACAGAAATTGCCAGAAAAATCATGCTAGTGTCATGTTTATTGCAGCTGATCACATAGCTGAAGACAAGGGAGCAAAGTTGTAAGTGAAAGAAAGAGTGGTTCAAGAATTTGATATTTAGCCACATTGTCCTTCACATTTGGAAGTTACAGGCAATAAGTAGTTGAGCCCTCAGGAGCTATGGAACCCATGAACCCTTTTTGAAACAATTGCCTGCTGGTATATTCCAGCCAACCAAAAGATAAATCAAACAGAACTCAGGAATGGAGACGCTGTGGGATAGAAGGTTTGAGGGTGAGACCTAAATCTATTTAAATATGAAAATCTGTCCAAGAAGCTGTGGGAGTTGTTGTAGAAGCAATTCTAAATTTGTAAACCTTGACAATGGTAAAATACAAACCTAATTACCAAAACTTGGAGTGTGGAGGAGTGAAGATGGGTAGACTACCAGTGTTCTGATAATTTTATCTTTCATAGCATTACATAAAAAATTCTATCTACTGTTAAAATGTGTAGTGTAAATCATAATTACATGAAATTAATATTTTAGGTGGTTTTTCTTAATTGCTAGAGATCTTTTAACAATAAATACCTTATGATATAAGAAAATACTTATCTGCAATTCAGCAATTTCTTTGGTGTTATTTCAGTTCCTTTTTTATTCTGTTAAAGTCAAGTGAAATTAAATTTAGTAAATTTTATTAGAATAGCAATGTAGAAAAATTCTACTTTTGTGAAGATACTTCTATCTATCCTTTTATCTTTTAAAATGCTAAATACCTCTTTCTTTTTAGATTGTAAGATATCTAAAATGATAGATATTATTTTATTATTTCTGAGTAGCAAAATTTTAGCCTTTTTTTTTTACTTTCTCCATCATTTACTATTTTTCACTTTTAGGGAAAATAACACTAACTTAAAAAAGGCTTATTATTTAGCCTCTCAACATATTAAGTTTTCTTCATAGATGTTATTTTTAGATTTTTTGTAAACTTTGACACTCCCAAGTTTATTGCAGCATTATTTATTGCTTTCTTGCTGTCACCCTCTCTTGCTCTTCTGCCTTCCACTATGAGATGATGCAGCCCAAAGGCCCTCAACCAGATGCAGGACCCTCGACCTTGGACTTTCCAGCCTCCAGAACTGCAAGCAATACATTTATTTTCTTTATAAATTACCTAGTCTGTGATATGAAATCAAATCAAGTGTTCATCGATGAATGACTAAAGAAAATGTGGTATATATACATAACAGAATGCTTAAAAAAGAAGAAAATTCTGTTATTTTTGACAACATGAATGAACCTGTTCAGTGAATAAGCCAGGCATAGAAAGACAAATACTGCATGATCTCACTTATATGTGGAATCTACAAAAGTCAAACTCATACAAGTAGATAGTAAACTGGTGATTACCAGGGGCCAGGGGGAGGGGCTGTGGTTTGGAAAGATGTGGGTCAAAGGATATAAAATTTCAGTTAGATAGGAGGAATAAGTTCAAGAGATCACGTGTATAACATGATGACTATAGTTAATAGCAACGTATTGTATTTTAAAAATTGCTAAGAGAGGGGAATTTGAATGCCCTCACCACAAAAAATGGCAAGTATGTGAGATAATTCATACATTATTAGCCCAAATGAGCCTTTCAAAAATTGAAATATGTGTACATATTTCAAAATATCATGTATGTGATATATATAATTTTTATTTGTTAATTAAAAATAGTTCTGTGAGGCTGGACATGGTGGCTCATGCCTGTAATCCTAGCACTTTGAGAGGCTGAGGTGGGAGGATCACTTGAAGTGAGGAGTTTGAGACCAGCCTGGCCAACGTGGTGAAACCCCATCTCTACTAAAAATACAAAATTAGCTGGGTGAATGCCTGTAGTCCCAGCTGCTCAGGAGGTTGAGGCAGGAGAATTGCTGGAACCCATGAGACAGAGGCTGCAGTGAACTAAGATCACGCCACAGTACTCCAGCCTGGGTGACAGAGACTCCATCTCAAAAAACAAACAAACAAACAAACAAACAAACAAACAGCACAAAAGCTTCTTGGTTACTTGGAAAAAATATGAAATTTCAAACGTATCTATATTCTAAGAAAAGGTCTTAGGCAGAACCACTATAGAAGAAAAATATTTTACCACTATCTTTCTATTATTAATAATAACATTAAAAAACATCTGGAGTAAAACTAAAACTGGTAATAAATTTAATTCCTAAGCCCTGGGAAACTTCATTGTGTTTTCTTCCTATTTTAGTTAGATGTTTCTATGAGGTTACAGTCTTAAAATCCACTTTTAGAATCTTGGGAGGCAGAATTGAGGATGGGATAGAAGGATAGGATAATAAACTATTATTTATTTGGCACCTTTATGTTCTAGACACTGTACAAAGGATATTTTAAAAAAATTCTCCATTTGCCCCAAGCCACTTTATAAACTCTCTGCACTTCCTACTTGATGTTAATTTTTGGAGTCCTTGAAGTATTTTTAAATTATGCCTTTTCTAAGTGATTAAAATGCGTAATTAAGAGAGGCAGCCCAAGGCTACAAAGATGGGTGTTGCCTTGAGCAGTGGTCATCATTAAAATGAAATTCAAACTTCTTTTTTTTTTTTAATATGCTGCATTTCCCTTCTTAAAGCACTAAAGGCCATTTTTCCAGTCTAATTTATTACACTTTCCCTCACTAAACAAACGTGCTGAATCTGTGAAATCTTATTAGACTTAAACATTATCTCATATAATATAAAAACTAAAGAGCTCAGTCCCAATCATACCTTGTTACTTTCTGTCTTCATTTTGAAAAACATAATCACTAATTGCTTTCAGTTTATAATCAGCCCTTATATGAGGAAAGTGTGAGTATGCATTTGGAAAAGAGCCCATTCATGTCACTTCCTGGTTTCCTGGTGGCCTTAAAATTCGTAATTGCCTTCTCTGGAGAAGAAAATTTTGGGACAAATGAAGTAATTGTAATATGGATTTGACATGCAATAATGTAATTTTTAATAGTATGATCAAAGTTCAATTCTGGATAGCATCTGAATTATTTATTCCAATACTATTGAAAAGGTTGTGTTTTTCCAGCTCTGATTTGCAAAGCAAAATAATCGACACATTCTTCTATCTATTAATAACTTCATATGTAAACTAGTTCAACCATTGTGGAAGTCAGTGTGGCGATTCCTCAGGGATCTAGAACTAGAAATACCATTTGACCCAGCAATCCCATTACTAGGTACATACCCAAAGGATTATAAATCATGCTGCTATAAAGACACATGCACATGTATGTTTATTGCGGCACTATTCACAATAGCAAAGACTTGGAACCAACCCAAATGTCCAACAATGATAGACTGGATTAAGAAAATGTGGCACATATACACCATGGAATACTATGCAGCCATAAAAAATGATGAGTTCATATCCTTGGTAGGGACATGGATGAAGCTGGAAACCATCATTCTCAGCAAACTATCGCACGGACAAAAAACCAAACACCGCATGTTCTCACTCATAGGTGGGAATTGAACAATGAGAATACATGGACACAGGAAGGGGAACATCACACACCAGGGCCTGTTGTGGGGTCGGGGGAGGGGGGAGGGATCGCACTGGGAGATATACCTAATGCTAGATGACGAGTTAGTGGGTGCAGCGCACCAGCATGGCACATGTATACATACGTAACTAACCTGCACATTGTGCACATGTACCCTAAAACTTAAAGTATAATAATAATAAAAAAAAATCATCTCTACTTTCATAAGAGAAGTGATTTTCTGAAATGACAGTTAACTCTTAGTAGTTCAAAACAAAATTTAACCTCCCCTTAATTTACACATCCATTGCATTCCTAGAAAATTCAGGTTTATATAAATTTTGAGAAATATACTTTACAAATCACATGTAAGTGCAAAAAGGAGTGTCAGGAAAAAATGTGAAAAACTTCAGTGTCTTATCTAGTGCACCTTCCAGGCTAACTGATTCATAGGGACCTCTGCCTTCTATATTGTCTTTGCAACCTCTTAGTGGTAGAATATTTACAGTAGTGCAAATTATTCTTGTTCATAGAAATGCAAAGGATTTTCATCAGGTGGAATGTAATTGATTATTTCCTTGTGGATACTGACCAGCTTTGTATCTACTTGTATATTTATTCCCTCATTTCTTTTTGCTGATTGTGTGTTTGAATTCTCCTTTGAACTGGTTGTAATATCTTACTTGGTTCCTCATTAATTAGTTTATTAAACATGACCTTTGGCACGTATTCATCTTATAATTGCATGACAGCTGTAATTTTACCTTTTAATAAAGTTTTACTTTAACAAGAGTTAGTCTAGGCTTGAAAAGTTGTAGTTTTTATCTTCACATACAAGAATGTCCACTTATATATATAAATCTTGTTGCAAGCAGATGAATTCTTTGTTGTGCAGTACTGTCCTGCATATTATAGAATTACTCTTCCCACTATATATTAGCAGTGTCCACCCATTACTGTAGGAACCAAAAAGTGCCCAGCCCCGTTCCCTCCCAACCAACATGCAAGATACGTACATTCTGTAAAGAAGTATCACTTCTATCAAGAATTGTTCCTGACAATGTTGAACTTTACCTGAGCTTTATCAGAAAATAGCTACCAAGAACACCCACGCCCACCCACCCATAACCCATCCCAACCCTTTTGTTTTCTGAAATCCTCTCTCCCCTTTTTTTTGTTCTGGGAAGGAAGGGCTAATTACAAAGAAGCACCCTTCTTCATATGACTTAATAAGACCTGCTGTCCACTCTTTCTCATGACCTCCGTAAGACTTGTGGGTAACTCCCTTGTTTACCTGCCTCTATAAAATGCAGTCCATTTCTTTGAGACATGCCTAATTAATGAACAGTCTCCCAATTTTAATAGTCTGAATAAAACTGTCCTTCCTTGTCTGATACATTTTGTTTTTTACACTTCTGTTTTATACTCGAACTTTACCAAATTATATCTACATATCCATTCTTCAGTCATTCTTTAAATCAATCAATTTTCAAACATTTATTGAACATCTACTATGTACCAGCATAAAATAGTAATTTAAGTCAATTGCTAGAGTTGCATTTATGGCTATCTTATTGGTATTGAGGCTTAAAGTCAAGGACTGGAACAGTAAACCTGGAGAAGAGAAATTTTTCACTAATCTAATGATCATTTTTTATAGAGAATCAGTGGAATCAGTGTTTAATGGCTTGCTGGAATCCTGCTCTTTTCTTTTTTGAGACAGGGTCTCATTCTTTCACCCAGGCTGGAATGCAGTAGTACAATCATGGCTCAATGCAGCCTCGGCCTCCTGAGCTCGAGCTCGAGTGATCCTTCTGACTCAGTCTCTAGAGTGGCTGGAATTACGGGGACATACTATCATGCCTGGCTAATTTTAAAATTATTTTTGTAAAGACGGGTTCTCACTCTGTTGCCCAGGCTGGTCTCAAACTCCTGGCCTCAAGTGATCCTTCCACTTCGGCCTCCCAAAGTGTCCGGATTACAGGCATGAGCCACTGTGCCTGGCTGCAATCCTACTTTCCCCCCCGCCCAAAACTGATCTTTCTGTATATCCAAGAGTAGAAGGAGAGGAAAATGGCATTGGATTTAGACTATTTGAATGTTTGATTCAATTCTGCTTTTACTTTGCTCATTCATTCATTCATTTAACAAATATTTATTGCCTGTTGACTTTGTGTCAGGAATTTTACTAGATGATAAAAACAGCTCTCATTTTTTGAGTACTTGGTACATGCTAGGCATAATTCTAAGCATTGTACATATTAACCCAATCTTCACAAGAACCCTATGAATAAGTACTATTATCATTTCATAGATGGAAAACTGAGGCACAGAGAAAGGTTAAGTAAATTGCCCAAGGTTATAAGTTGTTGGGCTGGGGTTTGAACACAAATCAGGGCACACAATCAGACTCCAGAATTTACTTCACTACACTACTGAGGCTAGGGTGGTGAACACAACAGACTTAGCCTTTGTCTTCAGGGAACTTTGAGTCTTGGAGCATTATGTTATTTAATTGAAAGCATGCCAAGTGCTGCTAAAGAGGACACATAGGGTACTTTGGGAGGCATAAAAGGGAGACCTAACAACTCTCATTAGCTGATGGATCTGCATTTGTGAAATGAGGCTGATAAGATCTGCCATGTCTGCTTTAGGAATGTGGTGAGGAGCAAAGCCAAATATATTAAAAAAGCAAAAATTATCAAGTGCAGTTATCTGTATTTTGAAGAACCACAAGCTGTGATCATTTGTAGAAATCAAACATGTGAATGTTAGAGATGCAGCCTGGCTTCAAGATAGTCCCTTCAGAGAATGACCTTAAATAATTTTGACTGTGAACTGCAAAGATCAAAGCAACAAGAGCTGTTTTTAAGATAATGCAAACATTTTAGTGCAAATTTGGAAAATTTTTTACTCTATAAAAGGCTTTCATAAGAATATTACAAAAACACTGAAGGTATTTTTAATGAGGACTTTCTTTCTTTCTTTCTCTCTCTTTCTTTCTCTCTCTTCTTTCTTTCTCTTTCTTTTCTTTTCTTTCTTTCCCTCTTTCTTTCCCTTTCTTTCTTTCTTTCTTTCTTTCTTTCTTTCTTTCTTTCTTTCTTTCTTTCTTTCTTTCTTTTCTTTCTTTCCTTCCTTCCTTCCTTCCTTCCTTGCTTCCTTCCTTCCTTCCTTCCTTCTTTCTTCTTTCTTTCTTTCTTTTTCTTTTCTTTTTTTTTTTTTGAGATGAAGTTTCGCCCAGGCTGGAATGCAATGGCGTGATCTTGGCTCACTGCAACCTCTGCCTCCCAGGTTCAAGCGATTCTCCTACCTCAGCCTCCCGAGTAGCTGGGATTACAATCTGCAACCATGCCTGGCTAATTTTTACATTTTTGGTAGAGATGGGGTGCCTGCAACCATGCCTGGCTAATTTTTATATTTTTAGTAGAGATGGGGTTTCACCATGTTGGCCAGGCTGGTCTCAAACTCCTGACCTCTGGTGATCTGCCTGCCTTGGCCTCCTAAAGTGCTGGGACTGCAGGCATGAGCCACCACACCTGGCCGGGATTTTCTTAATTGCAACAAATATTCAACAGTTTAAATGAAAATAAAGGTTGATTTAAAAGTCAAAGATAAATTTTAGAGAACATTCAGAGGCTTGGTTTTTATGCAGTGTTGTTTTTCTATCAGTAAGTGAAAGAAATGCAGTATAAGTAGGCTTTTAGAAGAAGAATGATTTTCTTTTGGGAAAGTAGGAAGTTATAAAATCACAAGTGAATCAGAACTAAAATGGATGTATCTGTTGACTTGGATGTGCCTGTGCCAGGAACATATATGCTCCCTGAAGGCAGAGCCTGGGTCTACATCTTGGTAGCCCCTTACACAGAGTACTTTGCAACATACCCAGTAATGATTTGTGTTTGGTCTGTGAATGAGAAGCTCACAGTGAAGGATCAGTCAGTGGTGCTCAGTCACTGGCATGTGCCAGGCTTCTAGAGCAGGCAGAGAAGATGTGTTATAAAGCAGATATGGGGTCCGGTCATGTCCCAGACATACCTGGAACAAAGTCAGTTCTGATCAGGACATATCTCTGATGTCCTGAAAAAATTAATGTAGTTTAGTTTGTCTCCGGAAAAAATTGTGAAAGATTATGAAATGGGTTTAAAAGATTACTAGGTGTCTTTCCAATGGAATGTTGAGTATCACCTAGCATACCTTTGGCAGTTATCTAATTTTAGACAATTCTGTGCTTTTTGTTGTCTCTCACTGAGCTATTTTACAACTCCACAAACTATAAAAAGCTAATGGTAATGCAAATAATTCAATGCAAGTGAATTTTGTCTAATGGAGATGCCATCGATTTTCCTTCTGTGAAAGAGACAATTTCAACATTACATTTTATTGCTGGGTGGATTTTAACCAGTTTTGCATGAATTTGCAAATTTGTATCACCATTCCTGATTGCTTATATCAGAAGTTGGCAAACTTTTTCTGACAAGGGCCAAACGATAAATATTTTAGGCTGTATAGACCATGTGCTCTCTATTGCAACTACTCAACTATGCTGCTGTAGCTCTGAAGTAGCCATAGGCTATACGTAAGTGAATGGGCATGGCTACATTCCAATAAAAGTTCATTTATGAGCACTGAAATGGAATTAAATATAATTTTCATATGTCAAAAAATATTATAATACTTTTGATTTTTTGGAACCACTGAGAAAAGTAAAAAGCATGCCTAGCTTGCGGGCTGTACAAACGGTAGGTTGGATTTGGTTTTCAGGGCTATATTGTGCTGGTTCCTGGGTTATGTTTGGTCTGTTCTTTGGATTATTTTTGGAACCAATGATAACATCTTATTGGTTTCCTCATTAACTAATGAGGTAAATAAAATCTTCAATATGTGTTCATTTTACATTTAAATGAGGGTCATTATTTTACCCCTTAAAAGTTATTTCTTAACATTTGCCAAAGGTAGTTAATGGAATTCAGTTGAGGTATTTGGAGACCGTGAATCAAAAGGCTGAGAGAGGCTGGGCACGGTGGCTCACACCTGTAATCCCAGCACTTTGGGAGACCAAGGCAGGCCACTTTGAGCTTAGGAGTTTAAGACCAGCCTGAGCAAAATGGTGAAACCACGTCTCTACCAAAAATACAACAATTAGCCAGATGTGGTGGCGCATGCCTGTAATCCCAGCTACTTGGGAGGCTGAGGCAGAAGAATCATTTGAACCCAGAAGCGGAGGTTGCAGTGAGCTGACATTGTGCCACTGCACTCCAGCCTGGGCGACAGAGCGAGACTCTTGTTTCAAAAATGAAAAAACAAAACCAGCAAAAGGCTGAGAGATTCTTTGTCCTGAGTGAATATTAGAATCCTTGGCCAGGTGCGGTGTCTCATGCCTGTAATCCCAGCACTTTGGGAGGCTGAGGCGGGCGGATCACAAGGTCAGGAGATCAAGACCATCCTGGCCAACACGGTGAAACCTCGTCTCTACTAAAAAATACAAAGAACTAGCCGGGCGTGGTGGCAGGCACCTGCAATCCCAGCTACTCAGGAGGCTGAGGCATGAGAATGGCATGAACCCAGAAGGAGGAGCTTGCAGTGAACTGAGATTGTGCCACTGCACTCCAGTCTGGCAGACAGTAAGATTCCGTCTTAAAAAAAAAAAAAAAAGAATCCTGAGGAGTTTCAGAATGTCATCAATTAAAGTAGGACCTCAGGAGAGGGCCTTGAATGGGTGTGTTTGAAAAACCTTCTAGGTGATTCTAATGTGTAGTCATGATTGAATACCGGTAAATTTGAGGAAGTGGTATTTAAAAAAATTTCTTTGTATATTGAAGGACAGCTGTTACTTTAAGATATAAAACATACAATAAATAATAGCTAGGACATCTGTGATAATATCAATAATGTAGTTTTTTAAGTTTAAAGCATGATCGAAAGATCCAATTATATAAATGAGAAGACTATAAATTGCTTTAATTAATCTTTTCTTACAGTCTTTCTAATTGCTAGGAACTTGGCAGATTAAGATTGCTGCTAAAGACTTAAGCCGCCAGGCGCGGTGGCTCACGCCTGTAATCCCAGCACTTTAGGAGGCTGAGGCGGGCAGATCAATTGAGATTGGGAGTTCGCAACCAGCCTGACTGATATGGAGAAACCCCGTTTCTACTAAAAATACAAAATTAGCCGGGCCTGGTGGTGCACACCTGTAATCCCAGCTACTCGGGAGGCTGAGGCAGGAGAATCGCTTGAACCCAGGAGGCAGAAGTTGTGGTGAGCCAAGATTGCACCATTGCACTCCAGCCTGGGCAACAAGAGTGAAACTCTGCCTCAAAAAAAAAAAAAACAAAAAAAAACCCCCAAAAAACAAGCATACATTTTATTTATTTAAACCTCATTTCATTTCATAAAGAACTCGAGGTGGACTAAAGACCTATCAGTGCTAACAACAAACTTTGAAGTGTTATTATTTTCCATTTTCTCAGAGTGGTTTATGGATGGGCAGACTTGGAGAGTCTTTTCTAAGCAGGAACTCTAAATTATCTGAAGTGACTTCATGGTACACTCATTAAATGTGATACCTTAGCTACAAAACACCAAGTAATTTCACTCTTTGAAAAATAATAAAATTTTATACCTTAAAAAGTGCTTCCATATATTTTATCCATTATTATTATTTCTTAGAGATGGGGTCTTGCTTTGTTGCCCAGACTGAAGTGCAGTCAGTGACACAATCATAGCTCACTGCAGTCTCCAACTCCTGTACTCAAGCAGTCCTCCCGCCTTAGCTTTCAGGGTAGCTGGGATTATAGGGGGAGCTATGGTATCCATTATGATCCCCAAAGGTTTTAGTAAATATTATAAATATTTACATTATATACAAATTTATATTTCCCACAATAAACCAAAACTTTTCCCATTATTTGATTCAATGTCAATTACTTAATACTCGAAAACCTTTCTTTGGCTTTTTGTCTTGGTTCTCCCTCTTCTGCTTTGTGTGTTGTATGTTTGGCTCCATTTCACGCTGCACCTTTGCTGCACTAGAGCATCTTTGTACCCAAGATCATGCATTTTTGTGTTTTCTCTATCTTTGCTTTTAATAAGTTCCAGCACACTCTTTTGTTGTTGACGTATTTTGCTATTGTTTTCTTTTCTATATGCTCTTTATTTCATTTGTATCTATTAATGCCCCTCTGAGAAAGGCAAGGTAGGCATTGTTAGCCCATTTGCAGATGAAGCATCTAAAGCTCAGAAAAATGAAAACTCCTACTCAAAACTAACTATGGCAGGTTCAGTACTAAAGTTCAGTTTCCTTAACATACCCCTTTTATTTCCACAAAAGAGCCAAAAGCTGTTGTTTTCCTCTTTGCCAAGGCTTCATTCATTCATTTGGGTATGGATTCTTATATTTGTTAAACAAAAATTATTGAATATCTACTATTTTCCATGTACTTGCAAGTCACTGGGGCAATAACAATAAATAAGATAAATATATTCCCTTCCTCAGGTGATTACAGTAGTTAAAAATACTGCAACAACTCCAATTTATTGAGCACGTTTGGTGTACATTATACCTAAATGTCACAGCCAATTTATAAGGTATTATTATCCCCGGTCTGCAGATAGACAAACTGTGGCATAGAAAGATAAACACTTTTTTGGGGGGTGGGGAGGACAAGGTCTCTGTCTGTTGCCTAGGCTGGAATGCGGTGACATGAACATGACTCACTGAAGCCTCCACCTCCTCGGGCTCAGGTAATTCTCCCACCCCAGCCTCCCAGGTAGGTGTGACTACAGGTGTGTGCCACCATACCTACCTATTTTTTTTTTCTACTTTTTGTACAGACAGGGTTTCACCCTGTTGCCCAGGCTGGTCTCAAACTCCTGGGCTCAAGGAATCTGCCCACTTCAGCCTCCCAAAGTGCTGGGATTACAGGCGTGAGCCACTGCACCCCACCAAGATTAATAAACTCTTAATATAGTATCAGTGATGAGGTCCTCAATAAGGCTGACATTGGAGCAATATACTCATAGTCTCAAAAGACAGTTGGTAGCTTGGCAAGGTGCTACAGCCAATATATGTTGTGTAGAGGTGGATGGAAAAGGGGTGTGGAGAGGGGACATCCAATGAAGTGGCAGTGCTGAACCTTTGTGAATTAATGCCACTTGTTGCACAGGACAATGGCCCTGCTGATCAGGGGCATGTGGATTTCCTAACACATTATATGAAAGAAAGGACAGTCTTCTATTGTCAATAATGGATCTCAAAACCACTGTTATCTCATTTCCCAAGTGGTATAACTGTCTTGAAGTGCTGAGAAAGGCAGGTCTACTAACAATCTCCTTCTCACCCCAGTTTGGTTAGGGAGAGTCCAGAAGCTGATATTTTAGTAAACGCCAAGCAAGGAGTCCAGATATTCATTTTTGCAATGAAAACACAGACTGTAGAAGTTTTGAGTTAAGGAAAATTACATCAGGGATATTTTAATGATAGCAATTCTGCCAATTTAGCAAAAGCATTGTTTATATTCCTCATAAAATTTCACAACAAAAGAGTAACTGTATTTATTAACAATGAACTTTGTCTCAGAAGAGCCACTCACCCTGTTAAACCACAGGCCTTTGTGAGGCTAATGCTGAAATTAATAAGGCAAATGGAGAAATTGAAAGACTGAAGAGTCAAAGTATTTGAAATAAGAAAAAGCAGATTGAAAAAAGGATGAGAAATGAAAATCTGATTCCACACTGTATTGTATTGGGGGATTAGCTACTCGGGTACCACCTGAAGAGTAGGTCTGATCAACTATGCCTAATATGCTTCAAGCAGGATCGTTTCGGACATGATCACACACTTACGGAATGGTGGATATTTAAAAAGATGTGCCACAAAATGTGAAAATTTGAAGGAGAAATTGGATTTATGAATATGAAATAGAGGGCAGTATACATTAGGTATATATAAAAGATAATCCATCCTGATTTACTGTAAATTAAACTTTATGAAACATTTTTCTGAAAAGACTTAAACATGAGGTTTAAAGGTATATCAGGAAAGGAAAATGGCGTGTGCAAACACATGGAAGACAGTAGGATATTAATAATATACAGGTGTGATAGTTAACATTGTCAACTTGACTGGATTGAAGGATGCAAAGCATCGTTCCTGGGTGTATCTGTGAGGGTGTTGCCAAAGGAGATTAACATTTGAGTCAGTGGGCTGGGAAAGGCAGACCCACACTCAATCTGGGTGGGCACCATCCAAAAACTGCCAGCGTGGCTAGGATAAAGCAGGCAGAAGAAGGTGGGAGAAGCTGACTTGCTGAGGCTTCTAGCCTTCATCTGTCTCCTGTGCTGGGTGCTTTCTGCCCTTAAACATCAGACTCCAAGTTCTTCAGCTTTTGGACTCTTGGACTTGGGCTCTCAGGCCTTTGGCCACAGACTGAAGGCTGAACTGTTGGCTTCCCTACTTTTGAGGTTTTGGAACTCGGGCTGTCTTCCTTGCTCCTCAACTTGCAGATGGCCTATTGTGGGACTTCAATTTGCGATCATGTGAGCCAATTCTCCTTAATAAACTCCCTTTCATATATGCATATATCCTATTAGTTCTGTCCCTCTAGAGAACCCTGTGTGTTGGAAATGCAAATTTGTCCTGACTCCAGACCTACTAAGTCAGTAAGACTGAAGGTAAGGCCCAGAAGTCAGTGTTTTAAGAAGCCCTCTGGGGGATTCTGATTCATGGAAGAGTTTGAGAACACTGGTAGAGGAAAGGTTCCACAATTTGTCATGGGGAAATTTAGTGATGAAGCACTGCGATGCAGCCCTGGTCCTGATCTGCCCCTGTGGAGGATATACTACAGCATTTTTCTTCTGCCCTCAAGCCTCTTACATCCTAATGATCCACAGGTGTCTTTTCATTATAGATAGTCTGCTGGTAAAGTCTTAAGTCAAGAAGAACCACACAAACATTCTATGCTTAATACCAAAATCTAGTAAAGTCCATAAAGAGGAAATGCTGCTTTAGAGTTAATTTAATTAAAGGGAAGAAAATTCAACTTTAGTCAGTAGCTTTGAACTCCGATGAGTAAAAAATCCATAATGTGATCACATTGAAGTTCCTTTAGAGGCGTTCTTCCATTTGACATTTAAAATGCATTTTACATCAAGGAGTGTCATTTGGGAAAAATAAATGACTTTTTCTGCTGTATAGCTGAAGAACTTGTTAAAAAGCAAATACATGTGAAAAATCATGTTTGAATTTCCAGGTGTTGTCAGTCTAAGCTAGTCAACATCTTTCTTTGCTTAGATGTTAATGGAATATAAATCCCTCATAAAAAGAGAACTGGTAAGATAGTTTTTAGTGCTTTTGCCAAGTTACAGTCATAGAAGACATTTGTATTTCAGCCACTTCAAATAATCACTTCCTGCGTCAAAGCATTCTGTAAGTTGGTTCTGTAAATACATGTTTTGAAGATGTTGCTACAGCACATCACATTCTATCAGCTAGAGGGAATTGTTGAGTGCAAAGAAGGAAAGAATGCAAGAGACTAATTCTAAATGTCTGTTTTTAAAAGATAGTTTAGAAGCATCAACTTTTTGGGGGACACTTTAGTAGTTCCAGAAGGAGCTATTTCAAACCCAAATTTCTAAGTATTACTCATCCTCAAGTGATTTACAAAAGGTACTTGAGCTGCCTTTAGTGCATTACATGCCTGATTAATTTCAGGCCCTTGGAACAGACAATTCTATTTAAAATATGATATTTCTTCCACTTTTATTTTACAGAAGATTTTGAGAAATTTTCAGGATTAAGGAAAACAAACTGTATTTGAAGAAATCATAGCCTAATCATATATTAACATTAAGCCATTAAAAATTCAGCTTTATAGGATATATTGTAGGATGAAGGTGGTGGTGGGGGAAGAATTTATAGCATTCTGCAAAGCCTGAATGCTGAGGTCATGTGAACGTTAAGAAGAAAATCTGAATAATTCAGGCAACAGACTGTTATTTACCATCTGAATAAAGAAAATGTATTCCACTTTGGGAGGCCAAGGTGGGTGGATCACAAGGTCAGGAGTTCGAGACCAGCCTGGCCAGCATAGTGAAACTCTGTCTCTACTAAAAGTGCAAAAATTAGCCAGGCATGGTGGCACATGTCTGTAATCCCAGCTACTCAGGAGGCTGAGGTAGGAGAATTGCTTGACCCGGGAGGCGGAGGTTGCAGTGAGCTGAGATCGTGCCTGGGTGACAGAGCGAGACTCTATCTTAAAAAAAAAATGTGTATATCTATCTATCTATCTATCTATATATCTATATAGATATATATAGATATATATATGTGTGTGTATATATATATGTGTGTGTATATATATATGTGTGTGTATATATATATTCAAACAACTCTCCTCACCTGCAACAAAGAATGCCCAAATAATGACTATTTTTCTGAGCAAATCACCTCTTTTTACTTTTAATGTAACATTTTAACTATGGTTTGAAGAGAAAATGTTACATTGAGGAGGTTCACATTTTGTAGCTATGATTCTGCATTAACCATAGCACTTTATATAGTTTCTACTGTCACCAAAAGAAAGGGTGAGGAACACCCTCATCTTTAAAATCTAGTGACATAATCATTATCATTAACATCCATTCATCTGCTATCATCCATCCCTCCATCCATTTAGTCAGTCATCCCTTCATCTAGAGAATGTCCCTGGGGCAGAGGAAAACAAGAAAATGGGTAAGAGTTAGTGTAAAAAGATAGAGTGAAATTGCTGCAATTCAAGTGCAGCTAAAATGGATAACTACATCCAGAAGATGTCAGCACTAAATGGGAACTATCTCAAATGATTATGCAGTTTAGTACTTTATTGAAACTGATAGATTTGGGTGCACAAGGAGATATATCCCTGGTGCACCCAAATCTATCAATTTCAATAAAATACTAAGCAATATAATGAATAAGCAATCCTATAGCAACTTTAGAATTAATACAGAGGGAGAGAGCCTTCTCTTTTAATTAAGTGCAGCTAATAAAGGGACAGTTTTGAAGTACAATGACCTGTGTATTTGTGCTATAGTAATCAAAATAGCATGGTACTGGCATAAAAACAGACATACAGACCAGTGGAATAGAATAGAGAGCCCAGAAATAAAATGCACACATTTAAGGCCAATTGATTTTTGACAAGGTTGCCAAGAACACAGAATGGGGAAAGGACAGTCTCTTCAATAAATGGTTTGGGACAACTGGCTATCCATCTGCAGAAGAATGAAATTAGACCCTCATCTCACACCATATACAAAAATCAACTCAAAATGGATTAAAGACTTAAATGTAAAACCTGAAACTCTAAATCTACCAGAAGAACACAAGGGAGAAAATCTCCATGAAAATGGTCTGGGCAATGATTTTTTTGGATACAACTCTAAAAGCACAGGCAGCAAAAGTGAAAATAGACAAACAGGATTACATAAACTAAAAACCTTCAGCACAGCAAAGGAAACAGAGTGAAGATAAACCTAAGAAATGGGAGAAAATATTTTAAACCATATATCTGAAAGGCAATTAATATTTAAAATATATAAGAAACTGAAAAAACTCAATGGCAAAAAAGCAAATAACCTGACTAAAAAATGGCAAAGCACACAAACAGATATTGCTCAAAAGAAGACACCCAAATGGCCAACAGGTATATGAAGAACTGCTCAACGTCATTAATCAGCAGGGAAATGCAAATTAAAACCACAACGAGATATTACCTCATACCTCTTAGAATGGCTATTATCAAAAAGACAAAGGGTAAAAAGTGCTGGTGAGATGCGGAGAAAGGGGAACATTTGCACATTGTTCTTAGGAATGTAAATTAGTGTAACCATTAAGTAAAGCAGTACAGAAGTTCCACAAAAAATTAAAAATAGAACTACTATGTTATTCAGCAATCCCACTAGTGGGTATATATACAAAGCAAATACAATCAATATGTTGAAAAGATATTTGCACTCCCATGTTCTTTGTAGCATTATTAATAAAAGCCAAGATATGGAATCAAGCTAAGTGTCCATTAAAACAAATGAATGGATAAACAAAATTGTCCACACAATGAAAAGCTATTCAGTCTTAAAAAAGAAGAAAATGCTACCATTTGTAACAACATGGATGAACTTGAAGGACATTATGTTAAGGGAAATAAGCCGGGCACAGAAAGACAAATACCATATGATCTGACTTACACTGTATGAGGAATTTTTAAAAAGTTGAATTCTTACAAGTAGAGAGTGTTCTTACTGCAAATAAATGATAAGTATGCAAAATAATGCATATGTTAATTAGCTTGATTTTGGTATTACAGAATGTGTACATATTTCAAAATATCATTTTTGATATAGTTTGGATATTTATCCCCTCCAAATCTTATGTTGAAATGTGAATCCCCAGTGTTGGAGTTGGGGTCTGGAGAAGGTGTTTGGATCATGGGGACAGATCCTTCACGAATGGCTTAGTGCCATCCCCTTGGCTAGGATTGAGTTCTTGCTCTGGTAGTTCATGTGAGATCTAGTTGTTTAAAAGAGCATGGCAACTTCCCCTACCCTTGCTCCCACTCTTGCCATGTGACATGCTTGCTCCCACCTCATCTTCCACCATGATTACAAGCTTCCCTAGACCCTCACCAGAAGCCAAGCCAATGTTGGTGCCATGTTTGTACAGCCTGCAGAACGGCAAGCCAATTTAATCTCTTTTCTTTATAAATAACCCAGCTTCAGGTATTTCTTTATAGTAATGCAAGAACAGCCTAACACAATGTTGCACACAATAAATATATACAATTTTTGTCATTTAAATATAAACAAATAAAGATAAATTTCTTTTTTTGTAAACAATAGTTTGAGCCATTTGAAATTCCTGATATTTGTGATTTTGGTCTGGAATATGGCAACCTAATGTCTGAAGTGGTTTTGTTTTTCTGGTTAGATTCTGAATGATATGGATCAACTAAGGAAGGGAACCTTCCCACCAAAAAGGGACTTTAAAATGCTGCCCCTGGCAGAGAGGATGCAGTAGGCAGAGAACAAGGGTGTCCCAGACACCACATTTGTATGGTTAAAGAGGCAGAGAAAGGCAGAACTGTCTGGCTAGGGAATACACACAGGTAGCCAGCATTTTCCAGGTGGGACCAGATCAGAGATCATAACTTTAAACAGATTGGCTGAGTCATTAGAGAAGAAAAAAAATAGAAGCCAATTGCAGAATTCTGCTAAAAAGTATTTATATTTCAATCAATACATGAAAAAAATTAATAAATTTCTCATCTAAGAGAATGCTTTAGTGACTTAAAACAAATCCTTTTGTCATCCTCATAAATACTCTGTATCTATTGCTTATGTTGTTTTATGGACTATTTCAATCCTACTATTCCATTATCTGGCTCCAGGCTGGACAAAGCTTGGAGAGCAGTTCCTTTATAGGACCTGGTTTTAGTGAGACTTCCTTCGGTTTGTGCTGAGCCATACTGAATTCTGAGGCAAAAGGGAAACTGTGCACCTCTATATGCACTTATCAAAATATTCTCTCATATTTTGAACCAAAAAGAAAAAGTTAATAAAAGTGCTAATGCATTAATAAAAGAAAACATAACAATATATGAAGTCTCACATTGCCTGATCTGTTGGTGCCCATGTCAACCCTTATAAACCCACCTGAAGAGGGATGAAAGAGCCTCACAGGCCAGGAACCATGGGCAGATTGGAAATGACTGCTCCTGTCACAAAATAGTGCAATAAAACAAACAACAGCCTATCCTTATTTACAATTTTGACATGTGTTCATCATGGTAAATGATGAACCATGTACCATGGGTTTTTTTTGGTACTTTGGTACTTTAATTTTTAAAAATATTACATTTACATATTATCTTGAGTCCTGAGGTTTTGGCTCCTTTTAAATTTTGCACCTGACACTAGTGCCTTACTTGCTTCACTCTAATCCCAGCCCTACTTGGGTGGTGCACGTTACACACAAGGTGTGTTGAGATTAGGTGAAGAGGAAGAAGAAAGAGAGTCAGGCAAGTCTGCATAGGAATTCATGAAAAAGTATTCTAAGAATTGAAAAAAAAATCCCACTATGGACTGAAGGTCTTAATAACTATTATAATAAAGATTGAGGGGAGAAAAACAGATACATCAAATCATGGGCAAATTGGTTTTGAATTGATGGAGGACACTGAAGGCTCAGATCTAGAAGGGGATCTGCAGAAAGATACTTTATTGCTGAGCATGAATTTGTGAGAAAAATTTGAAATTGGGAAAATGGCCGTATAGGAGAATGATGCTGGTAATATAACTTGTCCTTATCAAGCAAAGTGGTTATCAATAATGAAGGCTGAAATATATCATTACTGGAATATTACCATAAACTGCATAAAGTGTCAAATTGGATCTCTTGCCCAGCCTGCATAGGAGAAAGCAGAATATGTTAACAATGAGGAAAAAAAAAATGAGACTCCCTAGGGGAGAAATGAAATGAGAAATACATTAGTTTGTATGTGAAGGCTGCAAACTTAAAAGCAAAAAGAAAACAAATAAAACAGGCAGTCAAACCAACAAAATCTCAGATGATTCTAATGAAACAGGAGAATTTTGTACCTTTCATATATAATGAAACAATATATCAAATTGCACCATAAATGAGACTTTTAACTTATAATTACATCTCAGGAAACTTTTCTCACAATCAGTTTTTTCTTTTGTTTTTAGCCTAGAATGAAGGGCACTCACAGTTGAGTCATGCCAAGCAGCAGGTTCCATTTTCCATATTGAATAGGGCAGTTAAGGCCTAGGTATTGCAGTACTAGTTTCCTGTGTTTCCTTGGCGAGGCCTAAATTCCTCTTTGCCTAAGAAAGAAAAAACCTCACTGGGAGGGGTGTTCAGTGAAAAGATTGACCTGAGCTGAAATTCAGCCAAGGCCTCCTACGACTTTTTATCCTCTGTCATTGCCCAGGAAGATGGGAAGGATCGTTGAACTTCAGTCTGACACACAGTCTTTTTTTTTTTTTTTAATTATACTTTAAGTTCTAGGGTACATGTGCACAACGCGCAGGTTTGTTACATATGTATATATGTGCCATGGTGGTGTGCTGCACCCCTTAACTCGTCATTTACATTAGGTATATCTACTAATGCTGTCCCTCCCCCTCCCCCCTGCCCCCACCCCACCACAGGCTCCGGTGTGTGATGTTCCCCACCCTGTGTCTAGGTGTTCTCATTGTTCAATTCCCACCGATGAGTGAGAACATGCGGTGTTTGGTTTTCTGTCCTTGGCGATAGTTTGCTCAGAATGATGGTTTCTAGCTTTATCCATGTCCCTACAAAGGACATGAACTCATCACTTTTTTTTTTTTTTTGAGACAGGGTCTCACTCTGTTACCCAGGCTGGAGTGCAGTGGTGCGATCTCCGCTCACTGCAAACTCCGCCTCCCGGGTTCACGCCATTCTCCTGCCTCAGCCTCCCGAGTAGCCGGGACTGCAGGCGCCCACCACAAGGCCCGACTAATTTTTTTTTGTAATTTTACTAGAGAAAGGGTTTCACCATATTAGCCAGGATGGTTTCGATCTCCTGACCTCGTGATCCACCCACCTCGGCCTCCCAAAGTGCTGGGATTACAGGCGTGAGCCACCGCACCTGGCCAAACTCATCCTTTTTTATGGCTGCATAGTATTCCATGGTGTATACGTGCCACATTTTCTTAATCCAGTCTATCATTGATGGACATTTGGATTGGTTGCAAGTCTTTGCTATTGTGAATAGTGCCACGATAAACATATGTGTGCATGTGTCTTTATAGCAGCATGATTTATAATCCTTTGGGTATATACCTACTAATGGGATGGCTGGGTCAAATGGTATTTCTAGTTCTAGATCCTTGAGGAATCACCACACTGTCTTCCACAATGGTTGAACTAGTTTATAGTCCCACCAACAGTGTAAAAGCATTCCTATTTCTCCACATCCTCTCCAGCACCTGTTGTTTTCTGACTTCTTAATGATCGCCATTCTAACTGGTGTGAGATGATATCTCATTGTTGCTTTGATTTGCATTTCTCTGATGGCCAGTGATGATGAGCATTTTTTCATGTGTCTGTTGGCTGCATAAATGTCTTCTCCTGAGAAGTGTCTGTTCATATCGTTTGCCTACTTTTTGATGGGGTTGTTTGATTTTTTCTTGTAAATTTGTTTAAGTTTTTTGTAGATTCTAGATATTAGCCCTTTGGTGTTCTCACTCTTATTTCTATGGGATACCACTGAAAATATTCAGCCCCTTGGAGCAATGTGGAAATCATGAGTGAAACTTATAAGAAAGATAGCAGATTACAGGTACACAGCACAATAGCAGTCTGGCTTTGTCCAACTTAAAAGATGAACCTGCTTCCTTTAACTAGTTCTGCTTGCCTCCTTTCCCTGAACTAGCAGGTCCTCTTTCCCACCTCAGGTTCTTCATGAAACATTACTCTTTTAAATCGCTTCTCCCAGGGAAATGCCCAAGTTGCAGTTCCAGTTTCCTTTCCAGGAAGCCACTGTGTCCCCAGCATTGATGTTTGTGTCTTTTATGGATGTCTTGCTCAGTACCCCTCACTACTGGTCTACCTCCAAGGTCTTAAGCCTTGTTCAACCCTCTTCTGTTGCCCTTCACATCCAATGATTGAAATAAATGTTTCCCACCATTAAAAGGCCCTTTTAGCGATTTCAGTTTTGTTCTATCTCACTTTTCCTTCCTCTGGTCTTCTTCCTCCTTACCACTGCCAGTTCTCTCAGCTGTAACATTTCTGGCATTTTGTTTTTCCTTTTTAGAAACAAGGTCTCACACTGTTGCCCAGGCTGGAGTGCAATGGCATGATCATAGCTCACTGCATTCTCCAACTCCTGGGCTCAAGCGATCCTCCTGCCTCAGCCCCCCGAGTAGTAATTACAGGCATGTGCCACTGTGCCTGGCTAATTTTTGTTTCTCGAATACTGTACAGCATCATGTACAACTAAATCTATTTAAATTTAACACACATAAGATGCTTAAAACAAAAAGGGAGGCACATAATTTGCTTCCCTTGAGATACTCTGGCTTTCCAAGTTGAAGAAATTTACTGAAAGATCATTCAAGAATGTCCCAGATATAAAGTCTGACAAAATTATTGCAAACTCTCATGAAAAGCCCTTAAATCAATGGCAAACTTGCTATCCCATAGAATGAAGATTGGTTTGAGGATCTAAAGAGTATATTTTCTTAAACTCTAAGCATATGCACATCTTGGCCGGGTATGGTGGCTCACACCTGTAATCCCAGCCCTTTGGGAGACTGAGGTGGGCAGATCACTTGAGGCCAGGAGTTTGAGACCAGCCTGGCCAACATGGTGAAACCCTGTCTCTGCTAAAAATACAAAAATGAGCTGGGTGTGGTGGCGTGTGCCTGTAATCCCAGCTACTAAGGAGGCTCAGGCAGGAGAATCTCTTGAACCCATGAGGTGGAGGCTGCAGTGAGCTGAGATCGCTCCACTGTACTCCAGCCTGGGTGCCATAGCGAGACTTGGTCTCAATAATAAAATAAAATAAAATAATTATATGTAGATCTTGTATTCTTAGCACACACCCAAAACAGGTAACTATGTGAAGAGATAGAATGTTAATTAGCTTGACTGTAGTAATAAGTTTACTATATATATGTATATTAATGCATTATGTTGTTACCTTAAATATATACGATTTATGAAATAAACCAAAAACCAATAAACATATGGTCATTCAAAGCAAATAAACAAACTTACAAAAACAAATAGATGTATTCATTTACTTCTCTGAAAGTGCTTTCATTTGTTTCATCCCTATCAATGAAGTATGGCGAGTTTTGGAAATGCTGACTTTAGATGATATTTAGTAAGCATATTATTACAATTCTGTGGATTAGCACTTGTTCCAGCATTTCAAATTGCATAAAGCTCCTGCTAAAACACATTATTTGGCAAGGATTTTACTTAACCTGACAATACAGAGAACGGGCCAACTAGCAATGAAGAGTTATTTTTCTATCTCATTCATTGCCGTGGAAGAAAAATAGAAGAAGAAGCTGAAAATCCTCTTATCTTTTGGTTTACTCAATAGTCAAAATGTTAAATTCCCTCTGAGATTGATGGGACCTATTTAAAGATGAAACTCTCATTTTCCCAGGCCAGGCATGGTGGTTCATGTCTATAATCCCCACATTTTGGGAGGCTGAGGCAGGAGGATTGCTTGAGCCCAGGAGTTTGGGAACAGCCTGAGCAACATTAGGAGACCCCACCTCTACACACACACACACACACACACACACACACACATACACAATCTCATTTTCCTGCCTTTTACATATTTAAGGTCAGATGGATGATGTGACCCGTCACTTTGAGCAGAAGTGCATAACAATTCCAGAAGGTTGCTTAGTTGCCTGTGTAGACTCCCCTCCTGTAAACTGACAACTGCATGCAACTTGCAATCTACTGACACCTTCACAAATGCTGTTTCACTTTCTTAAAATGTAAAAACTGAAGGAGATTATTCACAGGAGTTTCTATCCATGCCCCCCAATCCATTACAGATATTCTTTTTATTTCTACCTTAGGACTTCGAAGATGTCACTTTCCCTCAAAGCAAGAACTACTTCTCTGATTAAAATGCTGATCACATTGTATACCTGTACTAATGCAATTCCCTACAATGGAACCCAAGGTGACATTTCTTCCTCATAGTCTCACAGGTGGCTTTGTCTGTGGTTGGTTATTCTCTGGCCTCAAACCATTTGCATGAAGGATGCTTCTCACTTTCTGTAAAAATGGACACGGTGGTTCACGCCTATAATCCCAGGACTTTGGGAGGCCGAGGTGGGCAGATCATGAGGTCAGGAGATTGAGACTATCCTGGTAACACAGTGAAACCCCATCTCTACTAGAAATACAAAAATTTAGTTGGGCATGGTGGCACACTCCTGCAGTCCCAGCTACTCAGGAGGCTGAGGCAAGAGAATCGCTTGAACCCGGGAGGCGGAGGTTGCAGTGAGCCAAGATTGCACCACTGCATTCCAGCCTGGGTGACAGAGCAAGACTCTGCCTTGGAAATAAAAAAAAAAAAAGGCAAAAGAGGCAGACACACTTGACTTCTCACCCTAACTGTGATGTTACCTCATTTGAGTCCAGATAAGGGAACATGATACAGAAACCCTTGCAGCTATGAAAACACCATGTCTCGATCACTTGAGAAGTGATTAATGGGAGAATGGAAAATTGTGGAACTGGTTAGATGCCACTTTGACCACCTAACCTATGCCAGCCCCCTTCTGAACAACCTTCTCTCTATTCTCTTTCCATTATTGAGTGCATATTTCCTGTCCTCTCTTCTTCTGCTACGAGCTCCTTCCAGTTCCTCAAGAATGGACACCTATTACCATCAATGACAAACACATTCTTTTATATTATAATTAAGTGCATCCTGTCAGGCAAACCTGCTTTCTCTTTGCACCAGACAGATTGTTGAATTGTGACTTGATTTTGTCTGTTCCAGTTCTGTCTTTGCATATATGGTACTGACATAACGTATAAGGCACCTTGTTTTTTTCCGACTGTGCTGAGCTCATTCAAGACATACTGTGATGATTAATTTGATGTGTCAACTTGGCTAGGGCACAGTACCCAGATATTATTGTATATGTTTCTGTGAAGGTATTTTAAAAGATGAGATTAACATTTAAATCAGTGGACTCTGAGTAAAGCAGATTACCCTACATAGTGTGAGTGGGCCTCATCCAATTAGCTAAAGGCCTCAATAGGAAAAAGACTGATGTCTGCAGAGGAAAAGGGAATTCTGCCAGCAGATGGCCTTCGGACCATCGACTGCAACAAGAACTGCATCAAAGTGCAACTTTCCCTGGTTTTCCAGCCTGCCACCTGCAGGCTTTGAACTTTCAGATTTTGAACTTGCCAGCCTCCACAATAATATGAGCCAGCTCCTTAAATAAATCTCTCTCTCCCTCTCTCTCTTTCTCATTGTGTTCCATTCCAGCATGAAATTCAACAGCAGGTGTTCAACTCCAGCATGAAAAGAAATTTGGTGTCTTGTGTATAACATAGATGACCATGGGGGTGTTTCATTTCATGGTGATCCAGACTCTTTGACCTATCCTTCTCCATCCACCATTATCCAAAGTAGTCCCTGGTTTATTTTACTTTTTAAATAAAATATCTCTTGTATCATCTTCCTTCCTTCCTTTGTATCCATGCCCCCAAAGCTTCACACCAAATACAGAACAAAATCCTCCACTTTCCTACTTTTCACCTACCAAGCTGTAGGCAGACAAACTTTCCCTAAGCCCCATTTTCATTACCACCTTCATTTTCTGAAAGCCCAGAACAAACTCCTTTTTCTGACTTTTAAGGCCCTGCTTGATATATATCCTTCCCCTACTTATTTCTCAGCATTCTTCCCTGAAACTCACTCCAGTCTCTGCAGCTTTGCTTATGAAACTTATTATACTTGGAGGGTCATCTCCTTTCTCTTCACGAAAGTCCTTTATACCCTTCTCAACCCAAGCAAAGCTCCATGAGTGCTTTCTTTGATATCTCTGCTTCTCACTGTTTTTCTCCTCTTCTGAACTAAAATAATTATGTACCTCTGTTTAGTCTATGTAAAGTTAAAGTAGTATTTATATTTTATACATAACATCTTACATTGTTCACTATTTCATATGTGTAGGTCTTGAATAAAGGAAATAGATGGGAAGTGTACTGAGGTCTCTTGTGAACTTAATCTTCCTTTTCAGAGCCAGACTTTGTGCTTGTTGAACAAAGAATAGTGAATGTGGAAATTCTGGTGTTGTTAATTAGTTATTAACAACTATTAGTTGTTAATAGTTCTTAATATGAAATTTCAATTTACCCCCAAATTTAGGCCTCGGAAACATCACAGACATATGTAACGGGGCATTGGTATTTAAATTGGGATTACATCTTTGACAGCTGTCGTAACAGAATACCATAGATCAATGACTCAAACAATGGATATTTATTTCTCACAACTCAGGAGGCCATGAAGTCCAAGATCAAGGCACCAGAAAAACCAGTGTCTAGTGAGGTCACTCTTCTTAGTTTGTAGGCAGCTGTCCTCTAGTTGTATCCCCACATGGCGGAAAAGGAGAGAGAGAAAGAGAGAGAGAAAGGGAGAGAAAGGGAGAGAGAGAGAAAGAAAGAGAGAGAGAGAAAGGGAGAGAGAAATCATCCCTCTTTTGTCTCTTCTTATAAGGGCTCGGCCCTCATGACCTAATTACATCCCAAAGGCTCTTACCTTTGACCTAATTACCTTCCAAATACCATCACAGTGGGGATTTAGGTCTTTCTTCCTTAAGTCTTACAGTAACCTTTCTCAAAAAACGTTCTCAATTTTCCACACATGATAACTGAGTGATATATTTTTAAGATTTAAGATTTTTGTTAAAATAGTCACAGTGGCTTAATTTTGAAAAGCATTTAAAAGTTTATTCAAGCAGGGCTGTTCTCCTTGTCATTAGAGCTGTTTACTACTGAGGGATGATCAGAGAATAGCGCTCAATAGGTTTGTCCTAACTGTTTCAGTGCCAGCAAGTGTGAAAGGAAACAGAACCAAGCCAGCTTCCAGGTAGTCTGTGAGGGGCTGCAGAGCTCTGTGGCATGGTGCAAGCCTCTCCTCCTGGCCTGAGCTGCTGTGTGCTGGTTTTCTGGCACTGGTGAGGTGCTAGCACTTCAGCTAGAGTTAGCAGGATACAAATACCACTCCTGCAGTGTGTTAGGGTCCACTTGAAGAAACAAGAAGGGGTAGAATACAGATGCTAAATCCAAAGTGAAAAATATGCCAAACACCCAAAACTGAAATTGGGAAACAAAACAAAACAAAAGTCACTGGGCCGTTGGAATGAAACCTCTAAATCAGGATGTGTAGGAGGACAAAGCATGCATAGCTGCCTCTAGCTCAATAGATTTAAAGTAATCTGGGTGACAGTTTCCTAAAGAAGGTCTGAGATAGAAATCTTGAATCCCTAGAATCATTCCATTTACCTATTTATCTATTTCCTGTGTTTATCAACCTCTGCTTTTTTCTGTAAAATACTGGATAGTTCAATGAAAAGTACTGCTCATAATGGATACTGTATTAGTCTGTTCTCATACTGCTCATAAAGACATATCTGAGGCTGGGTAATTTATAAAGGAAAGAGGTTTAATGGACTCACAGTTCCATCATGGCAGAAGGCAAGGAGGAGCATGTCACGTCTTACATGGATGACAGCAGGCATAGAGAGAGAGCTTGGGCAGGGGAACTCCTTTTTATAAAACCATCAGAGTTTGTGAGATTTATTCACTATCACAGAACAGCACGGGAAAGACCCACCCCCATGATTCAATTACCTCTGGGTGGGTCCCTCCCATGACACATGGGAATTGTGGGAGCCACAATTCAATATGAGATTTGGGTGGGGATACAGCAAAACCATATAAACCATATTAGATACTTACCAGTCTTTTCCTTTGTATGGATGTGAGCTAACAAAAAAGGATGGAAGCAAAAAACTGACCCTGTCAAAGACCTGAGAACTAGCAAAGGCTAGCATCTCCTAGGATGTGCTCACTAACCACTGACTAAAAAGAGGTAAGAGGAGGGCAATATTTGAACACCTGAGAGGCACGGCTAAAACCAGTTCACTGACCTGGTACAGAAACTGCAGACACATATATTACCACTTTCTGTTAATGAGCCTGTACAGACATTATTCATCAATCAGGCCAGCCTTTCTTGCTGAATCCATTCATGGATTCAGAATTTATGTTGGTTTTAATTTTTAAATACCAATAAAATCAATTCACTTCTATTCATCTCTCCTTCCATCACCAATGTCCTAGCTATCAACATTTCTAGACTGAATTACCGTTAAGACTCTTCTAATTGATTGCTTGCATTTGCTGACCTCCAGCCAGTTCTCCACAATATAGTCAGAAGGATCTATTTAAACCTAAATTTGAGGTGTCATTGTTTTTCTTAAAACCTTTTAGTGATTCTTTGCAGGGCTTATAAAGCTCTATGCTTCTAGAGCTTCACCATTTTCTCTCCAAATTCCTGTGCTCTAGCTACGATGGCTTTCTTCACTTTCCTTCAATGTGCCACACCACTGCCAGCTTCAGCTACTCCCCTCTGCTGAAAATACCCTTCACCACCCCTCCTCAGTTTTTATTTTTTGCCTTCTTGTCGTTCAGATCTCAGTTTAAACATTGTTTCCTTAAGAGAGTCAATTGGCTACATAGAATTTATAATAAGGAATACTGTGTATTTTATTATTTGTAAATTGTGTTACATATCCTCTGTATCAGCAAAATTTTATAATAAACTTCTCTATGCATATATATTCCACATTGTTTTTAGATTGGCTGTTAAGCATTTACTAGCACATCACTGACGAGCTTCAGTGGTCACGGGGTAATTGGTTGTATTGGTTTCCTTCTTTTCTGCACTTCACTTCTCCATTGCCTT
Organism: Homo sapiens; assembly: GCF_000001405.40. NCBI lineage: Eukaryota > Metazoa > Chordata > Mammalia > Primates > Hominidae > Homo > Homo sapiens. Next base: position 75,995,825 of record NC_000006.12, read on the forward strand.
ACTGAATTTACTGGTATCATCCCTGAAATAAACTCCTTGTAATTGAATCCTTGTTTCGGGGTCTGTTTTGGGGGAACCCAAATCATGACAGGCATAAAGTATATCTGCCTTGTTCACCAACTTATCCCCTGTGCCTAATAAGCACCACATAAATATTTGTTGAATGAATAAATGAATGATCACAGCATCCCAGAGAGCCACTGGTAATTAAGGTAATTCATTGAAGTCCTTTTTACTCTGTGGTGTCCTGGAACATAAAGAGTTTGCTTGAATCTGTGGCCTACAGTGCCCCTGGAATTCACCTGTGATGGAACGGTTTCCCATCTAAAGATGTGCAGAGAATCTACATGGGACCCCTGGGGAAATCAACGTGCACTAGTGGCATATGGGGCAAAGCCAGAGAATGGACTTACATGATATAAGGGAGGTGAGGGAGAGAACTCTCCTGAGAAAGAAAAAGGAGAAACAATGGCTTCAAGGTGAGATAAAGTCACCAAGAGTTACTGAAAACTGCTTGGTACACACTATTATCTGAATATGTACCTGTATTCATGTGAAGGAGTATCAGCATGGAAGGAAGAGAAAGATGCAATTTCTAACTACAACCACCGTTAACTGCTTTTATCCCCGCATAAGAGGCAGGATTTATCTTAGAAACAGGTGATCTCTGTTCAGTATAATGTTGGAAAGAGATTAAACAGATCACTACTCTTCATAAAAACTGGACTGTAACTTGGGAAAGGAGTTGGGAGCAGCCTGGAAAAAGGGTGGTCATGAGGAGGGCTTTGAGGGAATGAGGGCTTAACATCATGATGCAACAGGGAATGACCAAGATAGCACTGGCTAGGGAGAACTTTCCAGCAAAGGATGTGACTGACATGTCAAGACAGGACAGCTATGTAATAACTTGAGGTTGGTGACTGGGTGGTGCTGCACTATGGCTTCCTCCTGTCCTTATCACCTCAACCCACAATAAAGTTGATCTACTCATAGAAATATCATCTCTGAATGGTGATGAGGAATAATTATGGAAATCTAGACTGTTCACCTCCAGAATGAAGAGGGAGTGAAAGACGGGAACAGATTCAAAAAGGCAGATGGAATAATATCTCTTCACTAGAGGGCAGAAAGTCAGAAAAATTTTCTTGGGAATTGCCAAAATTTGAGGGAGGGTACTGAATTTCCCAAACTGAAATTCTGAAGGACATATTAAGTCACCTGACATTTCTAGGCTAAATCTAGAAGTACCAAATTTGAGAGTTGAAAGAACTTTGATTCACTTTTCATCTTTTCCTGGGCATCATAAAGATTGTATCTAGGGATGAGGTGAAATTGGAAGTCTTAGTTGAATGGCCATTCTTTCTTTTCTTTAGATGACATTTTTCTTGTAGACCTCTCTGAATAATTTTTATAAGCAATAAACTTCTGTTAGGAAAACCTTGCTCCCTGGTAAGAAAGAACAGGCAAAAATATTGACCACTGTTGCCTAAACTCAGTTCGGCTGAGTTGTTCTTAAAACTCTTTCAAGTCTTACTTTTACCCTTTCATCCTAAAGTGGAGCAATTTAAATAACATCTTTGCCAAGCCTTCCTGATTGAGTTAGGAAGTGTACATTTTTGGGCTGGGAGAGAGGCTAACTGCAAATTTCTTTCCCTGCATACCTACGTTTAATCAATGTGGTAGTGGGTACATCACATGAGGTGGAGCTGATTAAATTTCTTCAGCACTCTTATTTTGATGAAAGTATTTACCAATAAGGGACATTGCCTTACACGTGAGGCTGTCTGAGGAGCTGCGTGGGTACCAGCACAGGGAGGGCACATATCCTCCAGGCATTTACTGTCTGAGATGATAGTACTGATAGGCCCAACAAGGTCGACAGCAGTGACAAATAGTTATGAAACTGCAATTATATGCCAGCCACTGTGCTTAGCACAGGAATTTTAAAAAAAGGAATAAGAACATATCTTTTTACTTCAGGAATTCAGTCTTGGAGGGATTCCAGACATGCATAGCAATACTTTCAATTCTGTATTGAATTGAAATGTTTGATGGCAGTCTAGATGACTTTTTGCTGTGGAATCAGGGAACAGATGGTAATTATAAATCCTTTTCAGGGAGCCGTTGGGGAAAACTTCACAGAGAAAGTAGCATGTTAGCTGAAACTAAAATATGAGTTGGAGGTCATCAAGCTGCAAGAATGGAAGACTATTACAGGCACAAGAAAAAATAACTGTGTAAAGGCACAAGAACGTGACAATGAATGACAAATTTTGGCAATGGTGAGTGGTGTGACCAGAACTGATGGCCAAATACTGCTTCTAGAACATTGATTTGGCTCTAAGCTTTTTACTAGACAGATTAAAAAGGGAACTAGATTATTCCAATAAAGTCTGACTTTCATGGAGATATTGTAATACAAATTCATTCATTCACTGCTGTAATTCCTTTAACATGTATTAATTTTTAATATAGCATCTGGCTGGACACTGCCAATATAGGAATGAATAGAGACAGACGGCTGTCCCTGACCACATGGAACATTAGCAGCTTGGTTTTACATTGAGATCATTCAGTTTAGCTCATGTCACGGATTCCTTCTGATGGAGTCAAAGGCTGAGATGAGACAAAGAAAAGTTGGAAATGTGCTAATTTTAACATATTACCTAGATGGGCAATAAAAGACAAAGCAATGTCCAATAGTACAGTAGCTCTGCTTAAAGTTTGCTTCTTCACTTAAAATACTGCAATTTATTAAGAGACCTGGTTTCTGTCTTAAATGGAATATGTTGCAAGTGAAAAAGTCTGCAATTTGGGAGGGAGGACACTAAAGAACTTCTCTCCTGATAGACCAGATGATCATTCTAATCAACTAAAAGAGAAATGTATTGCCGCCTACACGTCTAAACCAAACCAAACCACAAAAAATTTTTACCCTGTGAATTAATACTATTTTTGAACAAGTTGGATACATGTTGTGTGGAGGACAGAATATCAAGTTTCTCCTATATGTGGATGACTCATTTTTATGAAATAGGAGTGATCTTTTTGAGATGGAGTCTTGCTCTGTCACCCAGACTGGAGTGTAGTGGAGCGATCTTGGCTCACTGCAACCTCTGCCTCCCAGGTTCAAGCAATTCTCTTGCCTCAGCCTCCTGAATAGCTGAGATTACAGGCATGCAGTACTACTCCTGACTTATTTTTGTATTTTTAGTAGAGACAGGGTTTCACCATGTTGGCCAGGCTGGTCTCGAACTCCTGACCTCAAGGGATCTGCCTGCCTCGGCCTCCCAAAGTGCTGGGATTACAGGCATGAGCCACTGCGCCCGGCCGATAGGAGTGATCTTAACAGATAACTGGCTCTACAAAAAAGAATGGCTTGGGATCAGCTACTACAAAAAAACAGTAACAATAGAAGACCCCACAATTCTATACAACATACCAATTCTTTTAGTGTCCTAGATGCATATTTTGCAAGAACTTTATCTCAGAATTAACTACTAAGTTAAACTGCTGAAGCTGAAAGATTTCTTTGAGTGCTTTACAGAGATTTTAATGGCCTGGTGGGTGTTTGGTGACACTAACCTTAAAAATTTTCCAGGCTAAAATTATCTCAGTAATACTGTGGTGCAGGATTTTGGAGCCCTAATTTTCATTTTACCTGTACATGGGAAAAGGCCAGAACTGTTTTATGAGGGAGGGAAGGCTTGCTCTTGTCCAGAGTGCCCCTGCACTTTTTTTTTGTTTGTTTGTTTTCTGTTTTCCGTTTTCCATGTATAACTGTCTTTTTATCACGAATGTTTCCCAGTTAGGGTTTCCATTTTTCATTAAGATATGTCATTTCTACTCCCATTTGGGCTGATTATGAAAGCATATGGATCTGCTCTTGTCAATGTGGAATATTTGCACTCTAGGTCCAGGTCAGCAAATATAACTCTTCTTGCTCAATACAAATCACAAGCTCAAATATGAGATATAATTTCTACTTATAGAGCATTGACTGAAGGTTAGACAGCACAGCTATTCCTCTAAATAATGCAAAATCAATTCTTGAATTAAGGCAGACTGTCAGCACCTAGCCCCTCCTGGAACTTCTGTAATGAACTTGGCTTTGGCATTCATTGCACATGTCCAGGGAGGGCCTTAAAGGAAACACTTGACACTGGTTTTACACAGCAGGAAGGTTCATGTGGACAGGACATGGTACTATAACCGAGACTGTCCTCCTTATGAGAATTCAGCAGATAAATTTTTCTCCTAAGCAATTACCATGCTGTAAGCATGCAGATCTATATTAGGTGACTAATTGTATTTTCCTCTTTACACAGCCTGTTAAGAAGCTCAGAGTCAAATCATGAAGCATCTAAAGCAAACCTACTGAACTCTATGATGTTTATTTTGTATATGATTTTTCCTACAGAGTTATCTTATTTTAATAAATTTATTGATGTGAAACTTATAACACATAAAATTAACTATTTTAAGGTAAATGATTCAGTGGCATTTGGCACATTCACAATGTTGTGTGATCACCACCTCAATCTAGTTCCCAAACACTTCCATTTCACTAAAGGAGTAATCTTTGTTTTATTTTCTCTTCCATTTTTCTTTCCATTCTTTAAAACAAAATCTTTTTGTATGGATCCATGTCTGTAAATCGCTATAAATCTTTTTTAAAATGATGTAGGATTTTAATAAGCAAAATTAAAAAAATTTAATGATAAGCCACACTGCAGGATATGGAGGAGTAGTAGGTAGGGTATATGAGAAGAACCAAGAAGGAGTCACTTTGTGGAAGCCCAGATGTAGGAGTTTCAAGAGCGGGGTGGTTAACAAGAGTCACGTGCCAGAAATGTCAAATGAAAAGAGGATGGAAATGAGACTGCTAAATTGATCAATTAGGAAGTCATCTGTGACTTTTGTGAAAGTTACATCCCTGCTTTATGGGTTAGAGGTGAAACCCTGTGGTGATTAGGAGGTGACATAATAGAGACTCAGAAGCCTAGACAATTTAGAAAAATTGACAGAGTAGTGAAATAGAGAGAGAAGAGGCTGTGGTTTGAGGGCAAAGCAAGTTTGAGGTTATGCTTTTTGCAAAGGATGGAGCTACTTAAGCCAAACATAGTATAATAGATGTAGAAAACTTGAATAACGATCCTGGCTGTGCCGCAAGCTATGATATGACCTTGAACACGGCACTTCACATTTCTAGCCTTGGCTTTCTCATTTGTGAAACACAGAAGCTTAACCAAATTATCTCTAAGATTTCTTCCAGCTTTAGTGTTCTATGGTATATTCATGAGTAAAAGGAATGTATAAATAAAATGGAAACAGTAAGGCAATTTGGAAATAAGATAATGCTTTCATCATAGATATACTATTATTTTTATTAATCTACCTGAAATGCTAATCTTATAAGAAAGTTTTATGATAGAATGAAAGAAAAGTATTCAGTGAGTGCTTAAGATCAATCATTTCATGAAAAGTTTTGTTTTGTTTTGTCCAAACAACTCTTAAAATAATTTGGATGTCAAAATAGTGGTTGATATGGATTGTGGTTAATTATAAATGGCATAAATTCTTCCATACTTCTCCCATCAAGAGAGAAGCTCTATGTCCCCTCCCTTTGAATCTAGATGGGCTCTGCAGCTGCCTAGCAATTGGAATGTGAGGAAATGATGCTGTTTTTAGGCCCTTAAGATATTAGAATACTGACACTCTGAACTCAGCTACCATGCTGTGGTGAAACCCAAGCAACCCTGTGGAGAGACCTGTGTAGAGAAGAAATGAGGCCCCCAGCCAACAGCTTTGGGTGAGCACTGATTTGCCAGCCAGTGAGTGAACCGTTTTGGAAATGGATCTTCAACACCAGTTGAGATATTCCAGCTGACACAACATGGAGCAGAGAAAAGCTGTCCCTGCTGATCCCTGCCAAAATTACAGATTTATTGGCAAAATAAATGATTATTGTTTTAGGCCACTAACTTTAGGGATGGTTGTAATGCAGCAATAAATAACCATGTCAAGAAGTTAACATTTATTCACTGATAATCATGTAAATGAAATCCAATTTGTATAATTAATTCTGCTATCATACCATATATGTATTCCTGAAATACCTTGCATTCTGTAAAATGGCATACTAATTGCACAGTGTTTATGAGGAAAATACAGTTAAGATAGTCCACTCAAAACTTGTAGAATGTAGAGACCTCTAACTAAAACAATAGTAATCTTATTAAATATACCAGTCATTGCAAATCTCCAATGGCATTTGTACTTATAATCACAGTACATTCTTATCAGCCTAGTATCCTGGGGCTTGTGTTTTTTACTTGTAGTTTTACCACAGGGCTCTATAGAGTGGAAAGAATAGGGGTTCTTGGAGCCACTAAATCAGCTATTTTTTGCACTAAAAAAGGCTCTCTGCAAGATTTTTAGTTGTTTTCTTCCCTAATGTCTTCATATGTTGCTAAATATTTCTCTTTAACTGTGAAAAAGTTTGATACTATTGCCTCAAAATTAACCTTCTTGGAGATTCAAAAGTGAATCACTAAGACTTCAGTGTTTACTGATATTCTTTTTTACTTACACATGTGCTAATTTACACTAAAGAAACACATGTAGCAGAACAGCCTGTATCCATAGTCAGCATGTAAAAGGCACAGGAATACATATAGTGATTGTAAAGGCCCAGTCCACGGTTGACATGGCTGCTTGTCATGGACTTGGGCCTTAGGACCTACCTTGTCCTCATGGACTCTCAGTTTCCAAGCCCAGAGGAGATTGTTGTTCTGGGTGAGCAGCAGTTGGTGCTGTTTTGCTTTCAGCCTCCTTGACCAGTTCCATTAGAAAAGGGCTGCCGGTGCTGGCTGTAGGACTGGGAACTAGAGCTGAAGGAAGGATGCTGTGGATGTCCTCCTCTGCAGAAAGGTTAGTTCAATGGACTGCTTTTCTGTTGGAAATGCTGGTGGCAGTGAACCTTTTCCTGGGTTCGGGATGGCTTTGTCACTGGTCTTTGAGGCAGTATCATAATGGGATTCCTCAAAGCATATGTTGTCATCTAACATAGACTTTGTGAGGGGAAACTTACCAGGTAGACCATGCTCTGCTCCGTCCACTGTCTCAAGCTGGGGTTCAACAGGAGGAAGTTCTGGACTCAAAGTAGCATCCTGAAGAATGAATTTTGCAAGACAGATGTTGAGAAAGGATGTTTGTATGTATATGAGAAGGGCTATACCCATATTTCAAAATTTTCATTTAAATTTAGGCAAACTATTTTGTTGTTGACTTGAATCTACTATGGAGGAAGGTTCTGATATAGAAATATGTTCTAAAAGGATAACATCCATTGATACAGTGGTAAAATAAGATCTATTGCTTCTCGGATAACTGAATCTGCCTGAATAGACTTAACTAACAGCTAAGATACTTTGATTTATGTCAATCATGTTATGAATTATTTCATTTTAGGAGGGAATAAAGCTTAGTCAGCACTTCTATTTATGAACACCCCAGTGACAACTTCTGGCATAAATTAAATAAACATAGGTTTAAATTAAATACAAAAATTATTACTGAATTTATTATTTACTTTTAAAGACATTAATTTGTATTTATCAAACCCCCATAAATAAATACATAGGTAAATCTTTAAGTCATAAAAACAAATTTATAAAGTATGATCATGTTTATATATATTTCTGAAAGTCAAATAATATGTTCTGCTTTAATTATTCTTTTCAGTTCATGAAAATTTGTTTGTTTTATTAAAAACAGAGCCCATCCTGATTCTAAATGAAACAAAAATCTAACTAAATTGAAGGAAACTTTGAACTTTGAGATATTTAAAATGCAAGTTGTATTATATTTTATTAATACGGATACTGAAAGTGGGTTAAGCAAGTGCTGCTTGTAAAAAACAGAAAAGAATTTAATTAGCATTGCAAAGGGGATTTTGCTCTGTTCATTTCTTAAGCTGATTTGTTCTTTGGTGGAAGGTTTTGAGACTTTGTTCCTAGTTAAAGAACAAAAGGACAACAAACTTACCTCTGTTATAACAGCAAAAGATGTGGGCAGCTCTGATTGGGTGTCAGGACCAAAGGCTGGCAGTGATCCAGCAATTTCTATGGGTAAAAAATCACAAGATTTGAATGTATCTTTCCTTTTTCTTTTGTGGTTGGGACAATAAAACAGTCCAGGTTGAAATATGCGGAATAACCAATCCTTAAGGAGTAGTACAACAAATCATTAGGAAACCAGAGGCATAGAAAAAAGGTCATTAATCTGAATGATATATTGAAGGACAGTTGCAAAGGGTGCATCTTGCATGTTTATGTGATAAGAATAGTTATTAGGGTGGATTTTTAGGGTGCTCAGTTTTATTCTATAGATTTGGACCAAGCAGGCTGGCTAATTATCTAAACCATTAGGGATAAAAATATGACTAAACTGATAAGAAACAAAATGACTAGAATAAATACTGGAACCAAGGATCATTTGTGGCAAACTTTCAACCTAAAGCCTGATTCTCAGAATGACACAGAGGGCTCAAAAGGGACAAGCCCCGAGTATCAGGTTGTCTCTGAGACACTTGTGAAGTTGACCTTTTCTTGCCTATGAATTTCCCTGGCCCTTCGTCTTGTCTCAAGAGACCTTTATGAAGTTTTCTAGTGTTAAGAGTGCCTATCTTAGGCAGAAAACAGAACTGGCAGAAAATGACAGTTTCATGCCATGTTGTACTAAAATGGCATTTCCAGTGTCCATCTACTTTGCCATTTACTGAACCTACTGAGGACTGCCCTCTGAGGATCCTAAGTGTGCCTGATGATCTTGTTGACTTCTCTAGATCCACTCTCCCCTCCCCTCCCTGCTACTTTCTGCCCCAGAAGGTTGAATAATATGGACTATATCAATGGTTCCTTGGGCTCTGTCTTTGGCATGGCATACAACATTAGGCAACACTTCAAGTCTGGAGATAGTAATGAGGCTTGCTGCTTCTAGCCTCAGGGAACTCTCCTAATCCTTTGTGTACAGACAAACCTTTACAAATGGTCCCTTTATTAAACTCTCCTCAAATTATACTAATTTGAATGTGCCATCTGTTTCTCGCTGAGACCTGACCAATTGACTACATGAGAGAATATGTTTTGATTGTGCCAGGGTAACAGAACTGTCTGTGGGTTCTTTTCTCTGCCTTCGTTCTCCGCAGTTGACTTGGACTGAACTGAAACCTTTGGATTCTCCTAGAACTATCCTTGGTAAGAAGTGGGTACCAAAGACTCATCAAATGAGACACAGGAAGGAGTGAGAAAAGCTAGAAATGATACCATATGTATTCCTGTCACAGTAATGATCGACTTTAGAAGACCCAAGTTAAAATGACAGTTTCCATGAGACATTCACATTCTTAGTCTCTGCCAAAATGAGAATAAACTCAGAACTAAGCAATCATTAACTGACCATCAGTGAACTGAATTGTCCCCACATCCAAAGATTGTTCTTCCTCTAGTGCTTTGCTGATCAGCCTTTTGAGGTCTGTAGCTGTGAGATAGATTTCTGGTTGCTTGTCCTCCTCCATGGTTCCATGATAGACTTCCTCACTTTCAATTTTGTTGGAATCAAAAGACAGGAGGTCACTTGCAGGGCTTTTTGCTTCTGCACTGTGTCTCTTAAAGATGGCCGTAAGTTGCATCTCTGTGGAGCTTGAGCTGTAGATAGCAGAGGACACATTCCCCACCCAAAGCCATTGTTACATGCCTTGCAAAGAGAATCACTAGATTGCTACAAAGCTTCAGGATAGCTTCCACCTCTTTCCTGATGGGCTCGGAGAGAATATCCCACTTTAAAACATTTCAACATTTATCAGAAACTTAAAATATGAAAAAAGAATAAATATATCTTTTAGTTCTAAAATAGAATGGCAGGAGGGAGGTCAGTCCACCTCAAAGAAGGATTACTAACTGAATCAAGTGACCATAGATTTTTACTTTAGGTTTTTTTTTTTCTTTCTTTCTTTTATTTTTTTTTTGCGACAGGGTCTCACTCTGTTACCCAGGCTGGAGTGCATTGGCATGGTCATGGCTCACTGTAGCCTTGAAGTCCTGGGGCCCAGGTGATCCTTCTGCCTTATCCCCCAGCATAGCTGGGAACACAGGAAGGAAGTGGGCTAATTTTAAATTTTTTTGTAGAGACAGAGTCTTGCTGTGTTGCCCAGACTGGTTTCAAACTCATGGCTCAAGCGATCTGCCTGCTGTGGCCTCCCAAAGTGCTGAGGTTACAGGCCTGAGCCACTGTGCCCACCTAGGTCTTTTTGAAAAAGTGCTTTTTGTCAAAAAAGTTGCTGGTATTGACCACTATTTTTTGTGATCTTATAAGTCATGCCGTGCCAATCAGGAAGAAGGATGAATTATCCTTTCTTCTACAAATAGCCTCCTTTAGGAAGGTCTATGAAATAGCAATGTAAGATATAGCAGTAGGACAATAGTATATATATATATGTATATTATATATATGCACACAATATATATATACTATTATGCATATACACATATATGTAAAATATATATATATAGTATATATATGTAAAAAAAGTCCAAATTACCCATCCATATACCCATATATGGGTATGTGTGTATATACATATGTATATAGGTGTATATATACACACATATATATACACCTATATACATATGGGTATATATACGTGTGTGTGTGTGTATGTGTATATATATATATACATATGTGTTGTAACCAAGTCAAAGGTTCAGTTCTTAAGGCTATTTCTTTTCTACTTTTTTAAAATAAGTATTTTTTAATTAAAAAAATACAACTTTAAATGATACATAATACTCTTTTCCCTCAAGCTGCTTTTAAAATAACATCTTAGAAGGAAGGTGTGAGAAAAGAGAAAAATAAGCAGGACATAGGTAACTGTATTTATTATCCTATTCATTAACTCAAAGCTTTTTTGCATGCAAAAATGAAACAGGATTCTCTATGTCTCTGTCCTCAGGAATTAGGTTTTACCTTTAGTTCATGTCATAAATCTAGACAGAGTGATGTAGAAGTGTTTTAAAGGCCACAGAAACTGATCACGTGTATTCTTGGTGGTTTTTCAGATGACACAATCATTTAGAGTCTATCGTTTGTTATTTCACTAGTCAATTACAGAGCCAAAGTTGATTCTTATTACTGAGCTCTCCAAGGTATAGTGGGCCCTTTTCTCAGTTCACATTGACCTTGGAAAGGAGCAAATTAGTTTCTCTGCTTTATTCCAGACTTAGGTTGATTCCATGTATGTGTGTGCTTTCAGATAGACAACTGCCCATTACAAATGGCATTTAAGAAATAAATTATGCTTGCAGCACAGATAGTGTTTTTATGTTTTTCTAACTATACCTTGAGTATGATAAAATCCTGTTCAGCTGACCAAGGAAATATTTACCTGTATCCCACATAGTGACTTTGATAAGAGAATTTTTTTTTTTTTAACTACTGGACAATTGTTCAATTACTTCCATTTAAATAAGAAACCATCAAAAAGTAATGGGCTTATCCAAGACATTATATGTAAAAATTATTTGTGCAAAATCAGTATATAAATTTGGGGGAGACGGGAATGTACTATATTTCAAAACTTAAAGTCCAAATTACCCATCTTTTTCTTTCTTTGGTCTTCATTTCATCATGCACAATGGAAACATGAAAAAGAGAAAAAAATTTAATGACATTTATTGAGACATTCAATGAATTATTTTATATACAAAAGAAAAAAATATTTCTTTCCATTGTCTCTTTTGTTTGTTCAGAGCTTTGAAAGATTCATATAAACTGCCATCAGAATTTGAATGGAAACTTTGAGAGAGATATGAATCTAAGAAGTAAACATCATTATATGTTTCTGATTAGGATTTGAGCCTTAGTTCAAAGATTATCTGCACTTTTGGTCTTCTTCTTACATTCCTTAATTTCTTCATATTCCATCTAAAAAGGCTGGAAATCTATCCTACATGTTTTACATTTTGGGGGGTACTGGTGCCAGAACATTTTAAAAAAGTATTTTGTAAATGGATTTCTCAGCTCTTACTGGCATTAAATGATTAGTTTATTCCTGAAGATAATTTATCTGAGGCAAAACCGTGGAACTGGTGTTTTCTTGACAGATTATGTTTTGAATTGTTGCTATCAGTAAGCTTTGAGGGATTGATCCAATTCACCATGGGACAGCTTGCAAGAAAAACCACCACCTGTTTACTGGGTGAGTGGTCTGTACTAAACAATTTACATGCATTCTCATTTAATCTTTTCAGCAATGTAATCCCAGCTTCACAGAAAAGGGAACAGGCACATAGAAGGAAGTGTCAAATGGGAATTGCAGGGTTGAAATCCTGGCCTTCCTGACCTCAAGCCTGGCTCATTTTTCCATGCTACCACCTGCTTGTGCATGAAAAAAGACCATTTAGTCACCAAACTGATGAACACATTTTGCACTCCTTTGGACACATGTATGAATTCAGTTTAGTAGCTATGTCCAGCTTTCTCCTTTTACATTTCAAATGGTAGTTGCTGCCAAAGACACTCTACACATGTGATGGGATTGGGGTTGTTGCCCTTTCTGCCTGGACTATATTAACTAATGTAACTTTCATCCCCAGATATCATATGACTGAAATGTACATGCTACAGGCATGCCACAACCCTCCTTCTGCGGAGGCAAGGAAGAATCTAACTAGTGCTGCTGTATGGGTGAGACTTCCTTCTCTACCAACCAGACACTCATCCTCCCTCTTGCTTGTTTTCAGCAATAGTTTGTAATCCATGAGGTTCTGTAAAGAGGCCAGGCTTCCTGGGTCAAGACCCTAGTCCTTTTAATTTTTAAATAATTGTTTTGTTGAGGTATCATTGTGATAAACAAATGGGACATATTTATGGTATACGATCCAAGAATTTTGATGCCATACACCTGTCAAACCATTACCACAATCAAGATAGTGAGCATATTCATCAATCGCAAAGCTTTACTCATCCTACTGTGCGATCCTTCCCCTTCTATCCCTATGTGCCTCACCTTCCTAAGCAACTGCTGATCTGTTTCCTGTTACTATAAATCAGTTTGCATTTTCTAGAGTCTATTATAAATAAAATCATGATGTACTTTTGTTTGGCTTCTTTCACTCAACGAAGTTATTTTGAGATGCACCCATGTTGTTGTGTATTCCAATAGTTCATTTCTTTGTTGAGAAGTTGTTTATGGCAAGAATATATGACAATTTGTTGCCCTGTTGATAGACACTTGGGTTATTTCCAGGTCTTGGCTATTAAGAATAAAGAGGCTTTGAACATTTGTGCACAAGTATTTGAAGGAGTATACCCTCCAACAAGACTGCATGATTGTTAATAGTTTTCCACCTTTGCTGAGAGATAAAGCAATATTTAAAGTGGCCCTTTCATTGTTCATCTTCATAATTGTGTTAATGATACATGTCCTAACTACTTCCCAGTCACGTTGAATTCAATGAAGTCACTGATAAAAAAGTACTTGTTAAATTGTAAATCAACCTTTATACAAATGAGCTGGAGGACAGTCAGTACCAGGAGACTCACAGGGTTTTTGGTCTTCTTCAGGGATCTGGCCCACAAAAAAGCAATTTCCTTAATAACATGTTTACTTTATAATATTCTGAGCATCATTATTAATGGTTACAATTTTGCCACTGTCATGAGCACATTATTTATTGTATTCAAGGGCCAAAATATTTTATGGTGGACTAAATCTTCATGTCATCATGGAAATCACTGGGAAAATGTGATCAAACTTACTTTGTAGGCATCTTTGGCAGAAATAATAATAAATCCTTACAAAGATAAGCACTTGGTAAAAATTCAGTGTCAAGAGATATATCTTTAAAATATTTACCTTGTAAAATTTCATCATCTAACATTTTGGTTTACTTCTAAAACAGATTTTTTAAACCTTTGTTTTTCATTTATTGAAGGGAGGTGGATAATGAACATTTTAATATTCACCAAAACAACTGTTCCCATCATTTCCTTCAGCTTTAAATTAAAAATTTGTTCTTCCACTGCAGTGGTTTATTCAGAAAACCTTTGCATTTATGCAGAATATTTTTCTATCAACTTTTATTTTTCTCTAATCCATCTGATTTCACAGAAAATACTACCGAGCAGCATCTTGAAATAAAGAAAAATGAGTCTGCTTTGGTAGATATTAAGGGTTTCATCTTTTATAACTTTCACTTTTCAGTATTTCCTTTCTCTGGAGTTATACAAATCAGAGGGGCCTGATAGCTTTGAAAGAAATAAACCATGAGAGCTCCCTGCAAAGCTATTTCTTTTTCTGGGCCTGTGGAGCCCTTGCTCTGTACATCTTCTTGCTTTCAGACAGTAGGCAGTGAAGGAGCCAGAAACACTTCTGGGGGAGCCCACGCTCCCTGGTTTACAAAGCTCGTTTGGGGCAAGAAATCTCATTCTGTTCATACCAGGGCTGATATTTACCCTGTGGCACATTTTAAAAATAGCATATTATGAGTTCATCTGTAGACGTTTTGAAAAATGAGAACTTACAAAAAAAGATTTAAAAATTATTTCCCCCAATCATGAACCCACATGAGAGTGTTGGGATGCTGAAGGATACAGCCCTCCTTGTGCCAAAGATGTGGGAATATGGTTAAACCCTCTTTAGTGTGGCACTATCTTATGATCTTATTTTTTTATTTAAAATTTTAATTTAGTAATTTTTGAGTGGTAATAGATTACTATGAATCAGATGTCAAAATGACATAAAAGGTATATTTTAGAATGTCTTGCTTATGCTCCTATTCCTTTCCACCCCATTTTCCCAACTCTCCTACCTGGATAGCTATGACTTTTTATTGTTCACTTGTCTCTCTTGGGAAGCATGGTTTGTTTAAATAGTGATGTTATTTAGCATCCCATAGGAAACCAGGCAATCAGACACCTGGTTAAAAAGGTAGGCAATTAATGTCTACCTTTTTTCATCTGTCTCTACTGAGGTATTTTCCTAAGAAGCTCATTCATAACCACATGACCAAAGACAGCAGATGAGCTCTCTATAGAGAGCACTATTTCTGATTCCCAGAAGAAGGAAGGAATACAGCTCCTGTGTTACCCCTTAAGAATCACCTAGAGTCATGTTCTAATTAGACAGTTCCTTTATCTGAAACGTACTCCGTTTCCAGGATTTGGCAGAGCTAAACAACTGGGGAAAAAGGACCTTATAATCCTTATGGCATTGTTTTTACAAAAGGATAGGAAGAAAGTAATTTAAAAATTGAGAAGAGTTTGATTCTCTTACTTACCTAAATCCTAACACATGGATTTTTTTGAATCCTGGAAGTTTCTTAAATATCTTTTGCATCTGCAGAGAGAAAGAAATTTGTAAAATACTCTTTGGTTCTGCTGGGTCAGTTCTTGCCTAACTGAAAAACCTGAACACTTTTGATGAGTTAGGGGAACAGCTGAAAATGGAAAATGATTATTTTTTCTTTTAAAAAAACTCTCCAAATTGATCAGATGAAAAAGAAAAATTGAAACAACTAAGGAGGCCAAACTCTTTGTTCCTAGTGATTTCCAAAACCCAGAGGAAAGTGTTTTGCTATTTATTTAAAAGCTGTAACTGGATAGTTCTGATCTGCTCTTACGGTTACTTTAAATAAAATATAAAATAGCTTTAAGGTGGTATTTGAAGGAAACTTTTTTATTTTATTTTATTTTATTTATTTATTTTTTTAATTACACTTTAAGTTTTAGGGTACATGTGCACATTGTGCAGGTTAGTTACATATGTATACATGTGCCATGCTGGTGCGCTGCACCCACTAACTCGTCATCTAGCATTAGGTATATCTCCCAATGCTATCCCTCCCCCCTCCCCCCTCCCCACCACAGTCCCCAGAGTGTGATATTCCCCTTCCTGTGTCCATGTGATCTCATTGTTCAATTCCCACCTATGAGTGAGAATATGCGGTGTTTGGTTTTTTGTTCTTGCGATAGTTTACTGAGAATGATGGTTTCCAATTTCATCCATGTCCCTACAAAGGACATGAAAACTTTTTTGTCTACAGGAGTTTTACTTATACACATAGGGTAATATTTTCTGACTATAATTATAACTAGAGTTAGCTATAATATTTTAGCTATGATATTTTCTGAATTAATGATATGGTTTGGAAATTATCTATAATGTGAAAGGGATGATTACATTCAAAATGGCTGCTGTACTTAAAGTGGTAGAAATAGATTCTAATCTAATAGATTAGATTTACTCTTAGATTCATATGGACTTCACAATAAATTTTCTTAATTAATTTGACCTTACTAATGAGGCCTGTTATAATATTTTATAATTGCTGTACTAACTAATCCTTAAGCTACTACAGCCTGGCCATTCTCTCCAGGCCACTGTCTCTCCAGCTCTCTCTAAATCCAGTGGCAATTTCTGTTCCCCCTCTACAGTGTCCCTGCTCTTTCCTGGTTCTTCTTCCACCTCTCTGACCACTCTCTCCATCTTCATTGCTCCACCCTATTTCTGTATTTACTTTCTACTTAAACATAAGGAGCCTTCGAGTTTCCATCTTCAGCCTCCTGCTTCACTCAGTCACTCTCTCTTTTCTTCTGGAAGCTCGACTGTAGATGCTGTGCTAGGCTCTGGGGACACCGTCACATGGACAAGTACTGCCCCATCCAGCTTTCCTGTTGGAGACTGGGAGGCAAGAGAGACTGAGGAAGGGATAGTGGTTGAGTAGTGAAGCTTGGGAGAGAGAGCAGGGTGAAAGGTGAAACTGAACAGGTGAGCAGACACCCATCCCTTTCCTCTCTTCCCTGTCCCCTCTCTCCTATCCTTGTCCCCGGGGGATATCATTTTCTCCCATGGCTTAATTGATCAGTGATACGCAGCCTTGAGTTCTCCACATAAATATCCCAACATTTGCCACTAAATGAATCTGCCCAAACCAGAGCCATTCTCTTCTTCCCAAGTCTGCCTTTGTCCTCAGCCTCTCTGCCTCAGACAGGGTCATGAACCCCGACTGTCTTCCATTCTAGAAAGCGCAGCATCCCTAGATACCTTCCCTCCCACCCCCCACATGCAGCCACCGACTCTGGTTGGTTTGAATTCCACAAGGTCTTTTGTTTTCACCATGTTCTCATTCACAGGTCTGGCATACCCTCCCTATCCCTACTCCTGCACTGCTGAAATGGGTTTATGTGTGTGAGTGGGCAGAGAAGAAATGGTTTTCTGGGTGTGTTGGGAGAGGAGGAAGGAGAAGGTATCTCCTTGACTACATTTATTCTGAAGTTAATCTTTTTACTAAGAATCTGTACTAACAGTTCATTGCTGGACCCATTGAACAAGATCCAACTGTTTAGAATGGCATTTAAGACCCTCCAGAATCTGCACCCCACCCCCAGGTACCTTACCATTCACTTCCTGCCATCATTATCCCCTTGGCCAATATCTTGTCCTTTACTGACACTAAACTGACCCCTGTTCCTTCCCACATACAATATACACTTCTATGTCTTCAAGTTCCTATGAATTATTTTCTCTTCAATTTTTCCACCTTCTGCTTATTAACTTTCCCTCCTCCCCACACTGCACCCATTTTCAAAGCCAGCTCAGACATCTTCTGTACTGAAAAGCATTTGTAGAGCCCCAAAGTCAGGTTCAATTATTTCTTCTCTCTACTACTCTAGAGTTTATTGCAGTATACCCCATAAAAGTCTGTGAGGTACATGTCAGTTTCCCTCACCGAGATCATGCTCCTTGGCCATGTCCTGTTTATTCATTTTTCTTTACCTCCCTCATTCCATCTAGCAGATTGTCATACACATAGTAGGGACCCAGCACATTTTGTTTAATTCAGTTGAGTGCATCTCTTCATTCTCTAAATTCACTACCATTCCACTGTGTTGTCACCACATCAAAAATTACTGCCAACTTTACATTGTTCGTGTGAAGGACTAGAGCAGTGATACACAGATAATCCCCAAATCACTTACACTGGGCTTTAGACTGCATTACAAATTTTTTCCCCCAGCAGACTGATTTACCTTCTAATTATATACATATTTTTTGTGACAATATTAAAAGCAGTTTCATTCCCTGAACATAAGAGGAATCACAGTGATGAAGGTAGCTCAGCTTTTGGGTGATCCGGAGCTCTTTGTACGGGATGGGGTTTAAATATTGGTTCTGCTACTTTCTAGCTGCAAGATCCTGAGTTTATTGCTTAATCTCTCTGAATCTTGGTCTCCTTACCCAAAAAGGAATAACAATGACAACTAATAAGTAACAAGTGCCTGGTACACAGCTGGGCAGTTAGTGATTTGTATTATTTACTTTCTTATTCTCTACTTCTCCTGCTGGATTGCCAGCTCCTGAGAGCCCATTTTTCTCTTACTCCCCCAAGTGAGCACACGGCATGGAGCCTGGAAAGAGCAGAGCAAGTCTTTAGTTAGTCATTTTTGAAACTCAGAGGGAGGAAGGACAGGATGAGGGTCCCTGTAGAGGTCAGGGGCAGAAGGCCTGGGGAGCGAGTTTCTGTGTCTCCACCCACACCCTGCCATGGGCTCAACAGAAATCTAGGAGGTTGGGTTCTGCAAAGCTAGTCTTTATTCTGAGGGCAGGCAGGAAGGTCTGTGTACATGCTTCACATCTGCTGTGGCTTCCTAGGACAAACAGCTTTGGGGCCACAGGGAATTTGCCATGCTATTTCAGTAACAGCTCCAGGGATTTAACATTTAAACATGAGCTGCAGTTTCTGGAGCAGCAGATTCAGATCCTGAATCATCCATTTTTCTTCTCCAGGATACCAGAGATGCTGTTATATACATGAAAACAGTCAATCGACCCTGGGACTGGCATTGTAGATGCCTGCAGCTGCAGCATCAGCAACAGGGAGCACTGCGGGGGAGAGCCCTCCTCCTCTCCAGGAGGGCTCCATGGCATTGGCTTGGGTGGAAGGGATTTATTGTTTATGTCCATGCCCTCTTTGTGAACCTATCTGGGATTGATTAAGAGTCAGCTTTGTTTAGGAGTGTGAGGAAGGCATCTAGGGAGGATATGACAAAAGCCTCAGTTAATTCTGCTAAATAATCTTCTGGGGACCTTCTAGTCATGGAGCACTAACCACTAAATTGCTAATTAAGTGCCCAGTTAACCTTATTAATAATACTAAATGCACAGGGGCCTCCCTGATTCTGCTGGAATGTATGTTAACTGGGCTATAAAAAGGCAGCTGTGTTGAGTTTTCATGAAGGTTTGCACAGGAGAAAGCATTCAGACAACAACTAAATGATTCCTTTTGACATTTGTATTAAATTGCTCATTAGGTTTATTGTGGAAATTAAATTACTGCGAAGCACTGTCCATTAATTCCTGATTAGGCCTGAATGTGCTAATGCAGGCATTGGGCTGTGGTGGGGCTGATTAGTTATCTGATGGCAGGCTGTGAGGTGGTTGGGGCCCTGCTAGGGAGCCTGGGGAGGGAACAGATGTTGTAAGCAGAGGGGTTCAATCTTAGAGAAATCAGTGACGACTGTGCAAATGGAACCAGCAGCACTGACGCCAGGGGTCTCTGGAACAAGATTGGGCAGGATGTACTCTTCTTTGGCTTATAAGTTTTTCAGAGGCTAGCAAGACATGCCCATTTGGCTGGGTGCGGTAGCTCACGCCTGTAATCCCAGCACTTTGGGAGTCCGAGGAGGGTGGATCACCTGAGGTCAGGAGTTCGAGACCAGCTTGATCAACACGGTGAACTCCTGTCTCTACTAAAAATACAAAATTAGCCAGCCTTGGTGGTGCCTGCCTGTAATTTCAACTACTTGGGAGGCTGAGGCAGGAGAATCGCTTGAACCTAGGAGGCGGAGGTTGCAGTGAGCTGAGATGGCACCATTGCACTCCAGCCTGGGCAACAAGAGTTAAACTCTGTCTCAAAAAAAAAAAAAAAAAAAAAAAAGAAAGAAAAAGACAAAAGACATGCCCATTTGATGATGATACAATAGTCCCTTCCCACAAACATTTATCTGGGAAAAATAGGAGGCATGACATGGTGGTTAAGAGCAAGAGTTCTGGTGCCAGGCTGCCTGGGTTGGAATCTTGGCTTTGCCAGACAATAAAAGTGGCACCGTTGGACATATTAATCTCCTTTCCTCAGTTACCTCTTACAAAAAGAGGAAATAATATTACTCACTTACAGAATTGCATGAAAAATTAAATGAGTTAGTACATATAAAGCATTAAGAAAAGTGTTAGCTATTATGTCTATACACAGCAGTTTAGACTTGGAAAGGAACTCTGAGGTCATCTTCTACAATTTCTAAGCAAGGAAGTTAGGCCAGGGATCTCCAATTTCTCAGAGCTAATTTTTGGCAAAAACAGGACTAGAACTCTGATTTTTTAAAAATCCCAATATATTTGCATTATTCTACATCAGATTGTTGTAAGTGTTTAGAAAATTGACAATAGATCATCAAAAAGTCTATGGCCAATTATCCTACTTTGAAGATACTCTGACTATACTAAGGAATTGCCAAAAAGAATGTTCCAAAGAACAAATGGAAATGTTAACAAACTATTCTTTAATTCATTTGGTCTAATAATCCATGTCTGAGTAGTTTTCTGGTTCATAAATGCCCCATGCTGATTCTTTTACTTTGACATTTATAGAAATAATTCTTTACATTTTATTGGCTGAATGCTGATGCAGAGAGAGGCTGGAGGTTAAGAATGTTTCACTTATTCATCTCCTCTCAGGGTGAGAAG
The DNA here is from genome assembly GCF_000001405.40 of Homo sapiens. Classification (NCBI taxonomy): domain Eukaryota; kingdom Metazoa; phylum Chordata; class Mammalia; order Primates; family Hominidae; genus Homo; species Homo sapiens. The sequence continues at coordinate 76,016,631 of NC_000006.12, forward strand.
AGGTACGTATTGAATTCTCCAAGTATGAGAAGGGGGCCTGTTTGTTCCCTGGCCATGCTGAGTAAGATTCGTGTGCACTCCTGTTGTCCACATTGTAGTTCTTGGTTACGTAATCTCATGGATGCTTCTATTTTCAGTTGCATTTATACAAACAATTACTGAGTAGTTAACTGCATCCCAAACTCTGTATTAGAAGGTTAGGCATCAGAGATTAAAAGAACAGCTCCTGTTCTCTAGGAGAAGCTCATAGCCTGGTGGTGATGAGTGGGGTGAATGAAGAGGAAGGAGTAGAGATAGCAAAGGCCATAGACACATAAGCAAGCAGTCTCAAGAAAGGGTGTTGTGAAAGCAATGAGTGAGCCCAGGAGAGACACTGGATGCAGAATGGATAGAGGGAACTTTCCATGTTGAAGTATGTAAAACAAGACTTGGAGAAGGGCATTCTAGACAGAGCAGACAGCACATGTAAAGGCTAAATGGGGGGACAAATTGGAAATAGTTTGCATTCCTGGAAACTAGAGTGAAAAGGAGGGGGATGATAAGGAACTGGTATATGGTGAGGCTCAAAAAAAAAAAAAAAGGCAGAGATCTTATTATGGTATATAGATGCCACACTCAGCATAGTAGCTGGATTTATCCTGCAGGGAATTGAAGAGATTTGAATTTAATTAGAGACAGACAGATATAACAAAGGTCAGAGATGGAAGAGACATCTTGGGAAAGCTCCTCAGTTTATTAATTGATGACATGGACAATATAATTGCCTTCCTCTTATCACCCATGAAAAATATTGTGTCTTTAAATTGCATCAAACTGTAAAAATAGAAATATTATATAAAGACAAAGTATTATGAATTAATAATTTATACTTTAACCCAGCATCTTCTCTACTTGGTGCCTACATAGTCATTTTGTTTTATTTAAATCTACTTTATTGAGGTATAATTGACATATCAAAAGCTGTACATATTTAATATATACATCTTGATGAATTTGTCTATAAGTATATACCAGTGAAACCATCACCATAATGGTCATCTAGGCATAGAGCAGCTGCATAATGTCTTTCAGTTCAATGAGATTTTAAAACCTACTAATTTTTATTTATTTATTTATTTTACATTTGTTTACTTATCTTTTGAGACAGAGTTTCACTCTTTCACCCAGGCTGGAGTGAAGTGGCACGATCTTGGCTCACTGCCACCTCTGCCCCCCGGGTTCAAGCGGTTCTCCTGCCTCAGCCTCCCGAGTAGCTGGGATTACAGGCGCCCACCACCACACCCAGCTAATTTTTGTATTTTTAGTAGAGACGGGATTTTGCCATGTTGGCCAGGCTGGTATCGAATTCCTGATCCACCCGCCTCAGCCTCCCAAAGTGCTAGGATTACAGGCATGAGCCACCGCGGTTGGCAAAACCTACTAATTTTTGAAGAAAGATAAATGTAAACACAGTGGTCCCTTTTTATCCTTGGTGGAGGGTATATTCCAAGACCCTATGGATGCCTGAAATTGTGGAGAGTACCTAATCCCATATATACTACATTTTTTTTCCATACACACATACCTATGATAAAGTTTAATTTATAAATTAGGCACAGCAAAGGATTTACAACAATAACTAATAATGAAATAGAACAATTGTAACAATACACTACAAGAAAAGTTATGTGAATGTGGTCTCTCTCTCTCAATATAATGCCTATGTGATGAGACGAAGTAAGGTAAATGGTATAGAAGTTGTGACATATGTTAGGCTACTATTGACCTTCTTAATGAATTGTTTATTTCTGGAATTTTCAATTTAATATTTTTGGACTATGGTTGACAGGGTAACCGAAACTGTGGATAGAGGGGGCAGGTGGGGACCACTGCAAGTTTTGAGAATAGAAAGGCTGGAATGAAAAACTTTCCTGGAGATCCATTTGTTCTAACATGTTAGGGCCCATTGTAATTTTGGTTTTCTTTTAAATGGTTAAACATGAATGCCAGGAGAAGCTGGAACTGTTCGCCGTAAGGGTTTATGTCCTATCGGCTCCCACCTCTCAGTCACAGCTTGAGGTGTGGTTGTATGGGCCGGGTCTACTCACCTGAAGTTGGGACTTTCCTGCTAGCTCCTGGTAATATGGGGACTGGGAGTCAGCGAGCTCTGCCTTGAACTTCTGGTTTACCAGAGAGACGCTGAGCTCCACCCTCTGCTCCTCCAACACAGCGAATTCTGTTTCTCTTTCCTGAGTTTAAAAAAAAAAAAAAGGACTTCTGTTAACCTAAACCACAAATAAATGGTTATTTTAGATAATATATGTTGATACTGTCTCAAGAAGTGGATTATGAAGGCTTAAGTGTTTTGCAATCAAAATCCTTTTAACTAGAACTTAGAGAAGAGCCTAGACTGGTTTAATGAGAAAATTTGTGCTTAAATTTCACATTGAAACTAGTTAGAAAATACTATCAAGCCAAGAGAAAGTTTGAAATTTCTCTCAGAAGGAATGATGTATTTGGGCCACCTTTGGAAGCAGGTGGCTAAGAACGGAGGCATGGTTCTGAGGATCTGGACTTGGTCTCCATCACTAAGGGCCAAGAGGTCATCCTTCTTGCCTGTTGGTCTGGAAACCAGCAGGGGTTTCTCATTGCTCTGAATTCATATGGGCTTCCAGGACACAGAGCAAGCCCAGAGCTCAGTTTCAAACTTGGGTTTGACAGAGTTTTCAACCTTGGATACCCAGAAGATACTAAGGCCCATTAGTTTTCTTAAAAAAGTAAAATTATCTCTGCGGAAAATTGAATATCTCTGGTTACGTACATGGTCTCTTATAGTGAAATCAGAGTTACAGAAGCTGAAAGAAGAGAACAGTTAATGGAAATTGCCCTGAGGGACAGAGCTCAACTGGATAAATGGTAGCATATGTATTTCCTCCTCATTTCTTGTCACAAACTCCCCTCCACCATGGGCATGGACAATACTACAGCCTCTCTCTAACTTTAGTAGGACACAAGGAGGATGTGGATTCACATTTAAAAGACTTCTGATGTTTGTTTAAAAGACTTTCATTCATTCAAAAAAACACACATTGAGCATCTGTATGGGTGTAGCATGGTGCTAGGATCAATGGGACACTGAAAAGTCTGACATGCAGTATTCTTTAGAAGTATTCCATTTTGTTAGGCAAATTGGAAGTTTCATGGAACATTTAAATGACTGTGAAATGAAATATTCTGGGGATATTTAACCAGAGAGAAGAACTTATATTAGCTTTTGAAGAAGATGGGACAGAGGGGTTGTGAGAAAAGAGATGAGAGATGAGTTGTCTTAGAAATTTTATAGTGAATATATACTGAATTATGGTCAACAATTTTTTCCAACAGTACTTTTCACTGTTGAGGGAAGAACATTTTTCAGAAAAATACAATATTTTATTTATTTCTTTTATTTATTTATTTTTTTGACACAGAGTCTCACTCTGTCACCCAGGCTGGAGTGCAATGGCGATCACAACTCACTGCAGCCTCAACCTCCCGGGCTCAAGCAATCCTCCCTCCTCAGCCTCTCAAGTAGCTGGGACTACAGGCATGGACCACCATGCCCAGGTAATTTTTAAATTTTTTGTGAAGATGGGGTCTCCCAGTCTCGCCTAGGCTGATCTTGAGCTCCTGGGCTCAAGTGATCCTCCTATGTTGGTCTCCCAAGGTGCTGGGATTACAGGCATGAGCCACCATGCCTGGCCGAAATACAATATTTTCATTCTTTATTCATGCCAGCAGTTCAACCAAAACTGGAACCATGTGGCCTAATGGGCAGATAGGATGGCCAGCAAGGTCTAATCTCTGATTTATCTTGTAGAGCTGGTGAGGCTGAACTTTGTGCCTTTGCCCTGAAGCTTTGACCTGTGCCTTGGAGAGAGGTTGTAATGAAGGGGAAAGGGTTAGAGGAGTCACCTCTCAGGCCCCAGGGGTGGTAGGTCTGGTGGTAGTGGCAGTGTGAGATGCCAGGTTCTAGTCTGCCACTCCTTATACTACTGCCTCCTTTGGGGCCTACTGCCTACTTTGTGCAGCCAAAGCTCTACACACATGGCTAATGAGTGAGGACTAAGCTCTGAGTTTTTCTTATCTTGCCCAAATTCCTATCTAAGGGGTTTGGGGAGTCATGCCCTACAAACCATAAATTCTCATCAGATGGGTTTTATTTAACCCTATATATATAGTGTGACTTACTTTCCAATCTGACTCTGGCATAACATTATGTGACAAAGAAGAAAATCAACTTGTTTTTACTCCAAAACATGTCTCTTTGCCATATTTTGAAATGGCCATGCAAAGTCATCCTTTGTGGGTAAAAATTTGCATCTGTAAAGAATCTCTATTAACATAGCTAGATCATTTTCTTTCAGGCCCTCCAAATCCTGAAGAGAATAACTGAGAGTCTAGCACATTTTAAAGGTCTGAATAGGGAACACTTGTCATCTATTGTCTCTAAGGGCAGCCACTATGAAACTTCAAAAGAACCTTGGTCTACACAACCTTTTATCTTAACCGGAACATTTCCTTTCTATTGATCCCAGGTCTTTAGACAAACTGAACCAATTGTCAACCAGAAAATGTTTAAATTTACCTATAGCCTGGAAGCCCTCCCCACTTCAAATTGTCTCGCCTTTCTGTACCAAACCAATGTACTTCTGAAATGTATTTAATTGATGTCTCATGCCTCCCTAAAACGTATGAAACCAAGCTTCACCCTGACAACCTTGGACACATGCTCTCAGTACTTCCTGAGGGCTGTATCATGGACCATGGTCACTCATATTTGGCTCAGAATAAATCTCTTCAAATATTTTACAGAGTTCGACAATTTGTCGACAATGAGGACAGTGTTTCCCTTCTTCCACAATTAAATTCTGTAACCATCCTCTCATCCCACATACCTTCACACTCAGAGTGGTGGCCAGTGCTCCTCTTTGCCTTAGAACACTGTGTTTATTTTTCCCTAGTTTTACACACAGGATTTTGATCATTTTGATATCTATTTGACCTATTCATCCCGGACATAACTGAGAACAAAACCTTCACTCTTGTTGTCAATGTGGAATTATACTTCAGTGGTGAAAGAGCTTCATGATTGATTGATTGATTCATTCATTCTAACACTTGGAGAGCATATATATATATATATATATATATGGTTTTGTTATATATATATATAAGGTTTTGTTAGGTGCTGGGGAAAAAGAGCCCCAGCACTCCACAGCTTATAATTAAATTGTTTCTTGTAACTCCTCCCCTTTTATTCTAGGTCTTAATCTATGCTTCCCCCCTCAGTACCTAGGAAGAAGTGAGAATAAAGAATAGAACAAAGTCACTGACTCTTAACCAGAGTCACAAAAATACAGCACTAATATTATTTAAAGGATGGTTTATCCATTCTCTTTTCCTGTTTTGCTAAAGAACAAAAACAGGCACATGAAGAGCTAGATCAACTCTAGGAACTTCTTACTGTTGTAGGCATCTTGGTGTCGTTGAGTGTATTATCGAGAATTTCATTGAGGAGGGTGTCATCAGGAGTGAGAGGGAAAGGCCCAAGTGAGACGTTGGCAACATCTGTGAAAATTTTAAAAATTAAAGACACAAAAATGAGAATGGAGGAGTTTAAATTAGAACGAGGTCAAAATTCAATATGCTTTTTCTGTCATTCTGGAATTTACAGATATTAGGTGCCTTCTGAACTCATCTTTTTAAGATCACGTAAATATGTTCTTGAAAAAATATGACTCATACTCTGTCCTAAATTCTTCATTCTTTCTCTTAAGGACCCAAATTTGGTGCTTCCCTGTATGTGTTATACTTAAATGCTTTTGCCAGATGAGACCTGATTAATTTTTTCTTAATGACACTATATAAAGGACACATAGGCAGATGTTTACCTTGAATTTGCTCTTCTGAGGGTTTTCTTAGAATACTGCCCAAGTCTTTAAAATGTAGATTGCTTAAGCAATCATTGAGGAATAAGATTTTAATCAGAAAATCCAAGAGATGAAAGAACATTTAAGATGCTATGAATTTCACTTCTTTTAGAACAGATCACCATAAACCATTTCAAATATGTGGCAAATGTTTTGATATTTTTAAAGATCTTCATAGAGTGCAAGTCTGGGTTCTATTCAAGCAAAGAAAAAAGCGTTATTATAATACAAATGCATTTCTATTTTGTAATAAATTATTATTTAAAAAAATGCTCAGAGAAAATAGTGTTATAGTTAATTGGTTTATATTTAGCCAGAAACAACTTTCCATTTCAACCTTAATTAGGCAAAAACATAGAATGCCTTAGTTTATTCTTGTGTTTTAGAAAACAAGATATACTGAAAAATGATTCAATCTTTCCTTACTCCCTGAAGAGTATGTGGTACCTGGGAATCTGCGGTCACAAGTGGTTACTTGTCACTGTGAGGCTCTGTGAAGTAATTGCCCTGGGTGTGGAATTGTGCTTCCTAGTGGGGGCGTGAGAGTGGGTATCAGAATCATCTAGGCAAGGCAGTTTTTTGGCTAATAAAGTACATACCCTGTGGCATATCAGAACCTCAAAGGATGTGGTCCCTGGCATCTTCCCCTTCTGCCCTCATTGAAGAATCCTGCTGTGAGCAATTGGGATGGAGGTGTTCTGTGCTCTGGACTTCATCAGACTATTACCAATGTAAGGCACCTTCAAACTTTGTAATTCTATGAATAATCGGTTTATGCTACAATTTTTGTTACAATAAAAAAGTACTTAGCTGGTACCCTAGAAGAACAAATTTTTATTTGGCTATCCTTCCATTTTATTGCCTTGAAAAGATAAATTATTCACATACTTACACCTAAAAACAATTATTAGGTAGCCTGGGTTTGTCTTCGAGCACATTCAGCCTCTTTTGGAGATTTCTCACTCTTCCTTCACACCTAGGCACCTAGTAACATTTCCCAATCAAAATCTAATCTTAACTGTTCTGTGTGTATACTTCAACTGGAGGTGTCCAGAAGTACTGGGGAAATAATTCTAAAACATTTGTTGCTAGAACTTAAATATATGGTGATGATATATCATATTATATTATAATATATGAATTGTCCACTGATCCCTCAAAGTTTTTATTTAAAAAAATGAAAAATAATTTATAAGAAAGGGGTCATATTAACTTACTCTAACTTACTAAATCTAATCTTGTTATTACAAAAGTTTCTATCAGCTAAAGTACATTACCTTCAAGTTTAAAGTAGAAATACAAATTTCAATTCTCTTATTAATTTTGTTTTCCCATATTAAAATGAAGTCAGTACAAAACGTCTTTTTACATGTTTATATGCTCCTCCTCTAAATAATACCTTTTTGAATAAGACTTGATATTAGGTGTCACAGGTCAAATTTGAGCTGTTTATATGGGGGAATTAACTATGTAGCTCTTCTTTTTATTGTTAAAAATGCATTTTACTGTCATTTTATAATTAAAATTCAACTAGGCTTGTCCTATTATTAGCTACAAGTCAGTCCAGAAATGATAAATTAGCTGAACTTAGGAGAAAATTGAAATATAGGCACAGCCGGCTTTCTCTGAATGTCAGTAAAGGAAGAAATGGGAAAGTAATATCATTTATTTACAAATATCTATTTTCTCAATTTCTACATTTTAAGTCATGAAAAATTAATTTCTTAAAACATTATTCACATTACCAAAAATCAAATGAACTGGGGAACACATTGCCCAGAGAATAGTTTTATTGTGTATATTTAAAAGTATTCTTTTATGTGAAAATGGGAAGACTGCAATAGAAATATACATGAAAGAGAAATTTCAAACATCTAATAAACACAGGAGAAATGATTTTCCTCTGCCTTTTGGCAAACTCTAGAATAAATAGTAATATTCAATATTGATAAGTGCTGCAATGAGACAGGTTCTTGTCTTTTCTGCCAGTGGGATATTTAAATTGTAACAAAATTTCTGGAAAAAAAATTTGGCAAAATTTATTAAAAGCCTTAAAATCCATAGTGTTTGACTTAGTAATCTATTTTGAGAAATTAGTGATTTGACAAAGATTTATGTTTAAATATCTTAATTAAAACACTATTTGTAATGTCAGATACAATGATGCAATGGTTAAGTTGATGACATCCATATGGATGCAACAGAATGTTGCAAGTCATTAAAATGATAACTTTGAAGAAATTTTAGTGAACTATAAAATATCCTTTACATCAGGTTAAGTGGAAAAAATGATACAAACTCTAAGTAAATATGGTCTCAGTAATATGTGTATATAATAGAAGAAAGAAGGCAGAAAATAGGCAGTAAATGTTCATGATGGTTGTTTCCAAACTGTAAGATATTGAATGGTTTGGTTTTACCTTTATTCTTTTCTGTATTTTCCAAGTTGTATGCAATAAATTTAAATTATGTTATAAAGTTAGAAATATAAGCTAGTTTTGAGAAAGTACATTATAAACATTATCTTTAATTAGGAATTGTTTTATAAATAACATGCTATCATGATGATTTGAATGAAAGTTGAGAAGCAAAGAAATTAGATCTAAGCTTACCTGTTGAAATGACAATGGTTTCACCAGGCTCTCCCAATGTCTTCTCTGCAGATATTTCATCTTTTCTATTAGTACAATAGAAAAGAAGGAAGAGGTGGTGAAAGAGAACTTGATGACAGTAGAGAACATACATTTAAATTTCTTATACTGAGTAAACCTAAAAGTTATAGGAAAAGCATACTTTAAAACTAGATTGACCTATTTTTAAACTACAGAAGTAATATTTGAATATATTCTCATTGAGGAAAAATGCAAAAAACTCTCCAAAATGGTTATGTTTGACTCCAGTGTTTTCCGTAAGCATCCTTTTTTTTGTGGTCCTGGGGTTCTGTGGTAGGCAAAGCTGGTCTTTGGGGTCTAATGTTGTAGTTCCATTCCACTTACACTGTGTTCTTGACATCAGAGATAATTGATGACATGATCTGTGACTGAAATATTCTTGCTAAAATCTCAGACCCTCAAGCCTGCATATCCAGAGTCATTAAGCTTATCTAATAAAGTAACTCTTGTGGTTACAGTAATGGGAAAGAGATAGATTTCTGGGTAATATAAATTTACTAAATCTGTATTCTGGGCACAGCCACTGTCTGTAATGGTAACTAGCCAGGAAGTTGGGGGTAGGTTCTCAGTGCCATGGAATGATGATGTGGAAGAGATTCTAGGAGCAGATCCAAGGTCATGGTGGTAGAGCTATTTGTGTATAATATTGGCCCATTCTAACAAGCTTTACTTAGAAAGGAGTAGTGGTGAGAGAGCCAGGTGGGAGGAGGTCCCCCCAAAAACTCCAACTGGCCTGCCCTCAGGGATGGAGCCTTGGGAAGTTTGTGCAGTTTGCAGTGGGGAGGAGCCTGGCCCCTCCTCTTCCTGTGTGGAACCTGGGATTCAAGCTGCATGCGGGAAGCACTCTAGCAGGGACTCTGTGCGGGAAGCACTCTAGCAGGGACTCTGCGCTAGCAAGAGTCCCTATTTTCCCCTTTTCTTCCTTTTCACCCAATAAAACCCTGCTTTACTCACCCTTCAAACCATCTGCAAGCCTAAATTGTCATGGCTGTGGGACAGACAAGGACCTTGTCTTTAGCTGAACTAAGGATAAGTCCTGCAACATTTTTTGGCGCCCAACGTGGGGCTCGAGAAGTGGTGAGTGAAATGGGGACTCAAATCCTCTCGCTGTTGCTTCTAAGCCTTTTCATCCTTGGACTTCTCAGGGTGGGGGAAACCATGCCCCCATACCCCATTGCTCCTGGGCCTTTTCATGGCCCTTTCCTTCCATTCTCAGGGTCAAAAAAGGAGCAGTGAGCAGCAGCTCCCCGCTGCTCTCCCCTCCCTGCTGGGGCTGGGACGTATGGTCCAAGGGTCCCACACAGCTGGCTGGCTTGTTCCCAGCTATGCATCACCACAGCAGCCTTCTGCTTCCCTGGACAAAGGGTTCAGCTCCATCGGACAGTAATTAAACTTTTCTCCCTGGTGGAGGAACTTGCATAAGAGTAAGAGGTTCTTCCCCAGGCATTTTTAAATGTTTTTTTTTCTTTTCTCTTCTCCACCCTGTCTGCAGTTAACCTTTAAAGTTCTTTTTCCCCTTTAGCAGGCCAGACCCCCACCCCCAACAACTATCACTGTGTTCTCTGCAAAGTTTTGGTTGTTAAATCAAGCCTCCATTTTGTTATACATCCTGAGGGCATGGCTTGTAACTCCAGTGGCAAGACTTTGCCTTATGGAATGAGCCCTTTCTGGTTCAATATCTGCATGTTTTTCTAAATCTGTCTCTTAAATAGCCCCATTCAGTGACTAGGTTTTCTTCTGCCTCTCTGTGTGTGTACTGTGTGTAACGTCTGTCAAAGAGCTGTAATTAATTTGGCCTAAAGAAAGACAAGCACTTGGATCTAATTTTTTTAAGGGAAGTTAAAAGCTGTAGTACCTTGCAGTGCATGTGACTTTACTCTTTAAGAAATAAAAACAGCCTTAAAGATTATTGGTAAAATGAAGGTGTCATTAAAATGTAAATAGGTGAACTAAACTATGCAGGTCAGATGCAAGGTTTGCTAAGTGTTTTGAGGTTATAAACTGCTTTTTGGGTTTTGAGAACTGTCTGTCTTGTTGGCTTCACAATAGGTAAGGCCTGGGGACATATGAAATTAATTACACCCTTAACTAAAAAGGCAAACCTCGGCTGCAGTCAGCACACAATTAAAGTAACTTACCAGGTTTTACCTTAAAGTTAAAAATTGTTAGGAGTTAACATTATACCATGTAATTGAAACTACTGAAATTAGATTTACATGTAAGGGGTGTAAGAATAGTAAAATGTGTTTTTATAGTAAAAGGTTATAAGAAGGCATGGAAATGTAAACTTTGGCCTAGGGTTAAAGGATTGTATTAAATTATATAGAAAAAAGCTGAAGGTTCAAAGAAGTGCTGGAAGAATTGTGGAAATTACTCTTGCAGAAGAGGTTCTTTGTGTGAACATATTGACTATTCAAAAAAAGGTATTATATGGTTTTTTCCGTAAATTGAGCATTGAGATAAAACCATAACAAAATTTTCTTCAGGCACTAATCTGCTCTTTGGCAAAATTTGTAAAGGGTTATAAAAGGTTTTTGCTTCTTTAAGATTTTGGAGTCATCATTTTGGCACAATAAATAATTTATGGCTATCTGGAATTATGTTTCATAATATCAAGTGCTTTAGACATATTTAAAAGGCTTCTCAAAATCAAACTTCAGTTTCAAAATTGTCCTTCCTGACACCTGGCTTTTTGGATAGTCCAGAGAGCCCCTAGAATGTCCAGAAAAGAGGTAAGCAGGATTATTCAACATATTTAGGTACCTGGGATTGTCAAAATCATGTTCACTCTTCTTTAGTTCATATCTTGGTAAATAATGCTAATCTATGTTCCAAAATTCTATGGGATTTCAAAAATTCTAATATCTAAATGTATGCTATCAATCATAATTAATGTTGTTAAGTTATTGTAAACCATGGAGATAACCAAATTTGTCAATTGTGTTCCTAACTGTAACTACACTGGACGTTTTGCTATTCACAGACAATTGCTGTCTTGTTTTCATCCTTTTCAAAAGATAGTTTATAATAAGCTGCAGGACTTTAACAGGTGCTCGCAAATACATGATTCTGTTAACTTTGGAGATTGTAACATTGGAATAAAGGAAAATGTACAGGACTCATGAGGAGCTGAAATGCTCACGAATATCAAACCAAACAAGAGTTAATTAAATGGACAGAACTCAGAAAGCTGAAGCAACTTTTGACTTTTTCTTGGAATACTGCTGATCCTTGTTTTATTTTTCAGAGTCAAGGAAACTTATTTTGAACTATTTATAGCCTTTAACAAGTAAGGGCCGGACACGGTGGCTCACGCCTGTAATCCCAGCACTTTGGGAGGCCGAGGCGGGTGGATCACAAGGTCAGGAGATTGAGATCATCCTGGCTAACATGATGAAACCCCGTCTCTACTAAAAAATAGAAAAAATCAGCCAGGCATGGTGGTGGGTGCCTGTAGTCCCAGCTACTCAGGAGGCTGAGGCTTGAACCTGGGAGGCAGAACTTGCAGTGAGCCAAGATCGTGCCACTGCACTCCAGCCTGGGTGACAGAGCGAGACTCCGTCTCAAGAAAAAAAAAAAGTTAAGTAAGGTATACTCCTGGGGTGAAAATTTGGAGCATGCTTGTTTCTCTCTGCCTGGTTCCTTTCGAATTTGGAAACTATCTGTGAGTATTCTTAACTTACGGCAATATAGTTGTTTGCATCAGTGCAATAAGAATCCATTTTTCTTTTGCAACAAGACACAATTGGAAAAATTGGGTATTTTATCAAGGGTTTGACTGAAAGTGTATGCTTCCCTTTAAGGAGTCAATCTCAACTTACAGAACTAATAAAACTCAGTGGGGAAACTGGCCTAATACCCTTGTCTATGCAGTCCCTGTACAGGGTTCTTGACCTATGGTCAGTAAAGAATGTCACTTTCTAACAGGTCCAGGAGCTCCAAGTTTATCTTTGGACCTTAAGAGGAGGGGATCACCCAACTCACAGGCATTTGAGGATACAAACCCAGAGCTGGGATCAGCATTAAAAGGTCTCACCTGAGAGTCCTCGTGGAACAGACTTCCATCAAAGCCAATCCAAAAGGCTTATGTAGAAATAATTATTCTTGCTGCACTTTATGCAAATAATTAGGCCAAGTTTAAAACCAAAGTCTATTTGCAAACAACTCAGTCCTATTATGATTTTGTTTTTAACAAAAATGAGGACTGGAGAGAGGGAAATTATGTTTCAAAACTTATCATACATTTGTCATTAAATTCTAAACTCATTAGTTGTTTTTAAGATTTTGCCTATATTTTAGACTAACCCTGCTTGTTCCTGTGAACCAACCAGCAATCTCTGGCTGCAGCTCAGAAAGAACAAGAGGGATGGGTAATGTAGAAATCTGGATCAATATTCTGGTTCTGAGCAATTATCCTGCAAATCCTGCCAGGTGATGGAATAAATAGGGAATAAATAGGGTGCCCATCACCTGGAGGTTTCATTTTTGGGGAAGTAAAGACCAAGGGAACTAACCAAAGCCAAGCACCATGCACCTAAATTCTAGCAAGCATAACTATAGCTACCAGTTATCTTGGTGTGTCACAAGACATCCTTTTCTCTCCCTTGTTGGAGGACTCACTTCCACAGTTTCACCTTAGCATTTGGCTTTTGATAAGGAGTCCATGTAACCCCCCGAGACATATTTTTGTCCCAAACTCAATTCCAAGCTTTAGGTAAAAGCCCTAGGAAGGAAAACTGGATCTGAGGTATCCAGAGGCAAATTACAACGGAGGTTAAAAGGCACAGTGCAGGTGAGCATGGCTGATTCCTGTCGATTAAGCCAACCCCAAGCTTCCTGTTTCATGGATAAAGGGCATGTTAATATCTATGGTATAAATGAGGTCTAGGGAATTCCAAGGCTACTGACAGTAGCAGGGATAGAGACATAAGGGAGAGCAGATCATTCTTATTCTCTAAGGCCCTCCCTGCTTGATGGGTGTAAGCTGCTTTGGCACTCATGGTGGGACCTGACAAGGTCACTGGGATTCGGGGATGCAAGGATGGAGGAGGGAAAGAGGATGCTTTTCATTCTCTCTCTCATGTATCTTGGGCATATGTTAGGAAGAGAAGGAAACCAGAGATGCTTGCTCCCCTCTTTCTAGATGGGTAGCCATTCATCTTCAGTCTGTACCCCTTTCAAATGCATCCTGAACCCCTGGGAATCCTTTAAAAAATGCCTTTTTCTCCTTTCTCCTCCTCTGTTCTCTCTTCACGGATAGGTAATACGCTCCCCTGAGATGCATCCTCCAAACTGGAAAGAGTTAATTTCCCAAGCCTTAAACTGGTTGTCTTAGGATTGGGCTCAGGGGAAAGGAACCCAGAAGCCCAACATGCTGGCAAAAAGGGCCATCAGACTCCAAACAGTCATGCAACCAGAGCCTCGGACAATGGCCCCTTCTGCTGGGAATCCTTAAATAGGCCTCTGAGGAAGCTCTGACTGCTTTTCCCCAAATCAGCAGCCCCTGTCAGCAGGAAGCAGTTAAGATTGGTCTTTGTCTTTATTCTTAATCCAACAACTGTTAGATGTACTTCTTTAGAGTGGGGAATGAGACAGCCAAGTGGGGAGGGGGTCCCTGGAAAAACTCCATCCAGCCTGTCCACTGGGGTAGAGCCTCTGGAAGTTCATGACATTTGCAGCGAGGAGGAGCCTGGCCCATCCTCGTTTGGTGCGGAACCTGGGATTCAAGCTGTGGGTGGCAAGCAGTCTAGTTAGGTGAGTGTCCCTGCTTCCCCCTTTTCTTCCTTTCCACCCAATAAAACCCTGCCTTACTCAGCCTTCAAACCATCTGCAAGCCTAAATTTTCATGGCTGTGGGACGGACAAGGACCCCAATTTTAGCTGAACTAAGGAAAAGTCCTGCAACAGTGGTAGTAATATCTTCTAAAACTCACTGAAAGGTTTGTTACTATAAGCAAGTAGGTCCCAAAGCATTGTGTCTGTGTTAGTATAATATAGTAGCAGTTGACCATTATATTTGATCTAATTTTCTGTGGCTCATGATGATGGGAAGGCCAAGGGTAATGGCTAGGTGTTCTGTTGTTTTACAGTACAGTTATCTAGAATTAGTCATAGCCAATAGTATCATGTACATATTTCTGCCACACCCAATTCTGCCATATTGTTAATGTGTAATATACAAAATATTATTAATCAGCCTGCCACAGGCTCTGGCCAATCAGAACAGATGTTAGTTGTAAACACAGATGACTACAGTGGTCCACACAGGCCAGATAAAAATTTTGCTGCTATAGTGGAATTTGAAATTAGCTATTCTTGTTATTTTTTTCTGGTATTATACTATGTACTTAATAAATGGTTTTTATGTAGACCATATTTAACAACTCTCGTTATATCAAATATTATAGCACTTATAGCCTAGACAGTTTGTTTTTTACTTTACAGATCTTTGTTTATAGTAAGATCTCCTTCTTGTTAATATCACTTTCATCTCCTTCCCTGTCTTGCTGTAAAAAAAAGTAACCAAGAAGAATAGTTAGTAAAATCCTGGCTATTGCATTAGTTACAAGTCAACAGTCCATTTTGTGCAGGACTCTGTGGGATGACGTTTTCTTGTCCTTTACTAAAAGATGTCATTCTGCCACTAAACTGGCAATCTATACCATCACCGAGGATCTGTAATTTGGGAAGCTGAGCTACTCAGTTCTTCCACTGGCTTTTATTTCAAAGTCATTTGAAACTGGCAGACTTACGGGTTAGTCAGGTGAGAAAATTTTGTTTTGTCTTCTTGGAAAGGTTTAAAGTAAAAGATAATTTCTTTTCTTTCTTTTTTGAAAACAAATTGGTAAACATAGCTAATGTAAAATATTTGTTTCATGTTCCTTTCTTTCTCTCCAGAAATGCTGGCAGGCACAGGAGTAGATGAAATGCTTCTATTTCCTTTTCTTTCTGGCTTGGGTAATTGTTTCTTATAATTTTTAATGGTTGTCTGTCAAGGTTTGGTACATTCTGTTGATTTTTTTTTCTTATGGATGGACCCTGCGTTGCTTTCTTTGTATTTTTTTGAAAATGGAAGAATCAGTAAAGTATTATCCTATATTTAAATGAGAAGAATCAATATGTCTGTGTTTTGTGAGCAAAGGTAATACTCTAGTACTAAGATTTTCCTTAGTCACATTATTTCTCCTGGCAATATCTTTTTAAAATCTATAAAAGAGTGGCTTGATAGACATAATTGATTAACAAAATATATGAGGATTTTGCTCAGTTCTGTATAGTAGGTGGGAAAGTATGAAACAGTTCCTGACCTTGAGGAGTTTATACTCCTACAGGAAAACTGGAGAAAGCAAGAGACTGTTCAATAAAAATACAAGTACCAAACAGAGTACAAAGTTCAAAGCAGGAAGAGATTGCTGCAAACTCAAATAGTCTGTTAAGACATCCTGGTGAGGTGGGATTCCACCTGGAGCTTCAAAGAGAGTAGAATTTGGATAGATGGAGTGGAAAAGGCAGATTCTTCCAAGCAAGAGGGAAAGGCTAGGGTCAGAATCCGAGTGAGTAGGGTGTGGTCGATATGCAGTGAGGAAGAGGCATGGTGGCAGCCGCGGAATCATGGATAATAATAATGGGGGCCAAGTTGGAAAGGTCAGGAGGTGAAAGGTCTGGATTAGTTAGTTTGGCTTCTGCCTCAGTGAAAGTTCTAGCAAGAAACAGATGACTCTCTCATAGTAGGGTAACTTGTGCAAAGTTCACTAAAGGGATTATTTATGAAGTTGTGTGAAGAGTATAAGAGCAACCACAAGGGAGAGTGTAGTACCCCAGAGGTTCAGTAACAGTGGGGTGCTAAAAATATCCTTGGGGCCAGAAGGGGTGAGAGGAGACCAGGAGCCAGACACAGAGAAGGCCCTGTGGAAAGAACAGTCAGGCAGGAACTGAGCTGAAGCTGAAGAAGGCCAATAGGCCTTAAAGACTCTGCAGGTGTGTGTGTAAATTTTCTGCCAGCATTCTCTTCTCTCTCTGATTTCTTCCTCCTCACTGGCTGGCCATAACCAGAAGCCAGAGGCAAGGGATGCCACTGATGCAGTTCTTACCACTCAGCCTCCTGCACACAGACACGGAGGTGGGCTGGAAAAGGTTGGGAGTGGATATTCAGAATGGCAAGAGGAAGATGTAGGAATCTTTTGAAAGCCATTGAACAAGACTCAATGTAATAAAAGGAATATTTCAGACATAAATCTAACAGCAGTTGTGCAAGTTGAGGAGAAGAGGTTAGAAGCAAGGAAATCTGTCAGGGAGATCAGATTAGACATTTTTCACAGAGTATATTAATAAGGTCCTAGACTAGGTTAGTGGCAAAGGGAATAGAAACAAAGGGATAAATGTGTAAGGCATTGTAAAGTATTGTCAGTAATTCATATGGCCAAATTTGCGTCTCTCTTTGTAGTATTATCTTCAGATTTAGACTTCTAAATGTCATAAGATGTATGTAATTTGTGAGTTTAGAGTTTGACAACATCTCTCTTCTTTAATCATTTAATCTAATGAAGTTTTCCTTTTCTCTTTATTTTGTTTTTTGATTTTCTTATTTGATATTCAGTTCTTGTTGAGGATATAACTTAGAGCTTTAGTAATTTAGTTTCAGAGTTATTAACACTTCACAGAATACCAAATGAGAGTTCAAAATTCAAGTTGTTCTTTGATTGTATTAAATATTTTCTTGATGTAACTAATAGTTTACCATAAATTCTAAAAATCAAACTAGTTTAATTTCTCTATTTCTTATAAGTGAAGGTGCACATTAGATACATATCACATAGCAATAAATTCATTTTATGTGCAAACAATGCAAATGTCTATCTAAATCTATAAGGTCTATTTATTTTTGTTTTATGTACTGATTTATCTTCAGTACATTATATGCAGGAATTGTCTGTCAGAATAATCTACACAGCTCTTAGTGGCTGACATAAAATCCTACAGGTAGAATAGCTTAGTTTCACTCCATTATATGATCTTTTTAAATTCAAAAGCACACACACACACACTCTATTTTGGGTACTTGCCTGTCAGGGAAACTTCTCTGTTTTATTCTCTGCAAAAAGATAAAGATAAAATGTAATTTTACCAGGAGATAATGCCAACCGAAGAGTTAAAGTCAATTTTCATTCCCTTCTCCCTTAACCTACACTTCAACCTGACTGTACCATATTATTTTGCAAGAATAAAATTTCTATTGGCCTAATCAGATACCTCCAAGCACTTCTTCAATTAACCCTTACGTTGTGGAAACCAATTCAAAAGGCCTAGGGGCTGGAGCCTGGGAACTGTTCGTGCAGTGTTCCAAATAACCATGTGGTGTTTAGGCTCACCTGCTGGAGAAGATCCAGGTGCTCCTGGGAATTGCTGAAGTTTTTTCCAATGTCAAAGAGGCAGAAGGTCTCCTGCTGGCAGATGCTGACCCAGTCCTGATATTCCCCTGTGTCAGGGATGCGATCCAGAAAGATCCGATATGCTTCCCATACTGCTTCCTGACACACTGTAATACAGAGTCATTAATGGCCATGCCCTAAGAGGGTCCCCGTACCCAATCCCAAGCAAAGTCTAATAACATGGAAAATTATTTCATGGCTTATGTCGACACACTAATTTACAGTCTCTAAAAGTTAATTCATTTAACAAATATTTATTGAGTACTTACTATATGCTATGGAGAAAAAGGAAAGCAAGAAAATAGGGAATATTATGTGCGTGTGTGTGTGTGTGTGCGTGTGTGTGTGTGTGCAAAACTGCAGTTTAAAATAGAGTGGTTGAGGAAGACCTCACTATAAAGGTGACTTTTGAGCCATTTGGGAAAAGTAAAGTCTCCCAGTTTGTGGAGTGCTAGGGGCACTGAAGGAGCAGGGAGGATGTCACTGTGGCCAGAGCAAGGTTGAGAGTAATAGAGGATGAAGATAGAAAGATGTGGCGAGGGCCAGGCGTGGTGGCTAATGCCTGTAATCCCAGCACTTTGGGAGGCTGAGGTGGGCGGATCACCTGAGGTCAGGAGTTCAAGACCAGCCTCAACATGGAGAAAGCTCGTCTCTACTAAAAATACAAAATTAGCTGGGCGTGTTGGTGCATGCCTGTAGTCCCAGCTACTTGGGGGGCTGAGGCAGGAGAATTGCTTGAACCTGGGAGGCGGAGGTTGCGGTGAGCCGAGATCGCGCCATTGCACTCCAGCCTGGGCAACAAGAGCAAAACTCCGTCTCAAAAAAAAAAAAAAAAAAAAAAAAAGAAAAATGTGGCAAGGTGAACACAGATTGTGTAGGGTTTTGCAGACCAGCAGTCTCCAAACTGGAGTGCAGGTCCCCTGGCTGTCCTTGAAGACTTTCCAAGTGATGAGCAGGCACACAATATTTAAAGAGAATCAATTTCCAGGTGTCCATTTTCCTGTGCAGGCTTTCCTAAAATTGGTCTCTCTAAAGACACACCTCTTTGTTAGTACTTCCCTTTTGATCACAATCCTTTCCCCATTCATCCATCCCTATTCTTATTGTGGCACGGTGCCTCTAGGTTATCACACCAAGGAGCAATTTGCAGTAACAATACTGAGTTTGAGAAAGGGAGTGAACTGAGTTGAGGGACAACACACATTTTGGCAGTCTAGGTGATTTATGATTCTTTGCTTTCAACAAATTAAAAGGAGTCCTAATAGGTTGACAGCTGATTGATAGATCATTAAAAATAATGATGACAGATCATGATGTGATTATTGGCATATAATGACAAAGGAATTTAAAGAATAAGAACAGTGCTGTAACAAAACTCCATCTGTTCCCATCTACTTATTTATGTAAAGAAGTTTTCTCAACACCTAACTGAAACTAAGTAAAATAATAGGGATAAAATTGATGTTAAAGTTTTCTCAACACCTAACTGAAACTAAGTAAAATAATAGGGATAAAATTGATGTTAAACTTTGTCTCATTTTAGCAATGCACAATATAAATAACGACTAATTGTATATGAACAATTAGAGGAGCAAAACCAAAGCAATCACTTTGATCCAGAGGCAGAAGCTAAGGAAGCATAAGCTACAGATCCTTTTTTAACACTGATTTCTTCCAAAGCCCTGTTTAGAATATTGCATTTGCAATTTTGTATTTACAAACATTAACACCCACAAAACTTGAATCTCACTCTATATCCATCCATCAATAAAAACTAAAACTATATGTGTTTAGTTTTAATTGATTATATATTTAAAATGATAAATGCAACTGAATCCAGAAGAAATTTCTTTTTACATATAAATCTTATAGTCACAAGAAACAACGTAATTTTAATTTATGTTCATATTTTTGTTACAAAAAAGTATTTTAGAGCAATCAATAACAAATTTTCAAGGATAAACATAAATTACATTAAAATGAGACTCTGAGGAGAAAAGTAGAATGGAAATGTGAATGTGTGGAGAAAAAGTAACCATGTGACATTTCCTACTGTTAAGAAGAATTTGCTCACGTATCTGTTAAAAGAATTTGATGGTAAATATTGAGTGGCTATGGTAGATTCTACTAGATACATGAGAAAGATCCAATTCTAGTTTTATTTTAAATATCAATATTTACAACTCACCAAAAATTACATCCTATTTATTAATTTAAACTTGACAAAAAACTAGATGTCAATGGAAAAGCATGCGAGGGGATTATATAGCTAAAAATTGTTTTAGGGGATTAAGAGAGCAAAAAATGTTGGAAGCCTCCCTATAAGCATTTGTAATATGTTGATTTTTAACTCTAGAGCAATGGAAACAATTGGAGCCTTTAGGGCAGAGGCTGACACCATCTGACTTACTGAAGAAACACTTAAAGAAACACTGCTGTGCTGAGAAAAAGGACCGTGGGGAGGAATAGGGTGAGACGAGACCAATCTGGAGACTCTTATGCCTATATGTTATTCCTTCCTCCCCACTTATTCCATGTCTGGATTTCTCTTAGCTTTCTGTTTTAAGAAGAAAATTCCAGATCAACAGAAGCTCAGGTCATTTACCAGCAGCAACCTGACCAGAACCTTCAAGGTAATTGATCTTTTAATGAGTAACCCACAAAGACAGGAGAGGGTGCAGTCCTGACCACCTCAAATGTGCCATCTGGTTTCTCACACTGGGGGAAATAACAGGGTGTCAACACGTGGGAAGCAATGGAATACCTCACCTTGCAGAATTCATTTTTGTGAACTGTCTACTGCCAGGCAAGGATCAAGAAGTTTTAATGCCTTTTCTGATACAAACCAGCAAGCCGTCTCTGACCCTTCATCTCTGGTCAATAGTCTACATAATATACAAGAAGGAAACAACACTTGGATGTTTTCAGATTTGTCCAGACCCTAACAGTTGTATGTCCAGTCTAAGCAAACCAGCTGCCTTTGCTAGCCTTCTTTCTTACATATTCCACACTCTCTCTGGGGATGTTATTTTGTGGCTACTTCAATTCAAAACCAGTATAAGTGTCAGAGATACAACAATACATAAAATAAACTAGCACTGTCTTTGGTGACTTTCATGGACAATATCTAAGTGTTGGTGACTTTCATGGACAATATCTGTGTGTGAAACATCGGGGAAGATATTATGTGACAATCTCTTCTGTTTACAAGTTAGGCACAACCTTGAGTGTGTTGCTTTTGGTCTCCGATTAAGACTTGCTTTTATTTCATTCCAATTTAAGTCTTGAACTAATTGTGTTCTTCGTTGAGCCTAGCTGCTCCCAGTTGAGCCCAAACTCAGACTGGCAGGCATCATAACTGATGCAGACAGATGTATACAGAAGTTCATTTTCCTGGGTGCTATGTAGCCTGAGGATGCATCATCAGTTATGCAGAGATTTCTGCAGGCAGTCCCTGTCATATGGCTGCGGGGACTGAGGTTGAGCAGTCAAATAAGAGGTACTATTTTTGTTGTGTGCATCTTCCTAGTTCTGCTCCTTTCCCTGATGTTCTTTCTCCTACCACAGGACACAGAACTACTCAAAACCTTCCATAAGGGCCCTGAAAGAATCTTCTTTCTAGAGCATAATGTCTGAAGTTGCTTGAAAAATTATCTCCCTGTGACATTGTAGTTTATGGGAATCATAATGTTAAGGATGAAATCTCAGACTCTTTCTGAGGGGCAGGCTTTCTTTTTTTGTGGCTCCTCTGATGTTATTTTTCTCTTGGAAGCTTCTCACAAGCCAGGAGGCATAGACTCTTTCCATGATTGGAATCACCAGCCCACTTACCCACCAGGATAGTCCCCCATCCTTACTGGGGAAGTATCAAAAAAACCCTTGAAAATTGAGGCATCAAAGGACCTCAGGGCTGGGAGGGACCTGAAAACTTCTCAAAATTGGATTTTTGTAAACCTTTGATTTACCTGTTCTGTACTATCCTCCTTTGAACCTGCTGGGAGGGACTGCCACAGTGATTCTAGAGAAATCCAGCACCTTGGCCTCACTCCCACCCCAGTCTTCCCACAGTTGCCGGCCAATGCCTGAAATCTGATCACAGAACATCAGCTTCTCTGTCAAAGGTCATATCCTAAGTCATTTGATGATGCAGGAAGAACCCCAGGGAGCACATACCCTGGAGGCCAGGCATGGCAGTCTGTAATTGGAAGTCCTGGCCTGCAGACAGTTATTCGCAATTAGTATTGTTAGACCAATGGTATGTGAAAATGCACAGTACAGGGTTGTGCACACATTAGAGGGTGAAATAACACACTGAAATGGGAATCAGGACACTGAGTTCTACCCCCGTTCTGCTGCCAGCTGTTCCCCTGAACATGCCATTTTACTTCATCAGATCTCAGTTTTCTTATCCGTACAACGGGAGTGTTGGCTAGATGTTCTCTAGATTAGTGCTTCTAGAACTTTAAAGTACAAATGAATTTTACCTGGGGAACTTGTTAAAATGCAGATTCTGACAGTAGGTCTGGGGTGGGATGTATGATTCTGCATTTCTAACAAGTTTCCAGGTGGTGGTGATGCTGTTGATCTGCAGACAACATGGAGTAGAAAGAACTAGGACCCTATCCATCTTTAACCTTCTCTAAGGCACACTTAAATGTGAAAGAAAGATCTAGCTGTTTTTTTTTTTTTTTTTGGGACGGAGTCTCACTATGTTGCCCAGGATGGAGTGCAGTGACGTGATCTTGGCTCACTGCAACCTCCGCCTCCTGGGTTTGAGCGATTCTCCTGCCTCAGCCTCCTGAGTTGCTGGGATTACAGGCGTGCGCCACCATGCCCAGCTAATTTTTGTATTTTTAGTAGAGACAGGGTTTCACCATATTGGCCAGGCTGGTCTTGAACTCCTGACCTCAGGTGATCTGCCTACCTCGGTCTCACAAAGTGCTGGGATTACAAGTGAGAGCCACCCACCTGGCCAAGGCCTAGCTTTTGATGTTGGGTATGGGAGGCAGAGAGGGAGGGAAATAGAGGGAGAGACACAGGTGAGGTGACGGGGATCTGAAGGGAGGCATCTGTATAGCAGGAAATTTGGCTGGGGCACAGAGTTCAGCCTGTAGATTAGCAGAAACACACTTGCCTCTTTTGCATTTGGGCTTTGAGATAAGCACATTTATGATTCTACCACAAAGCTCAGAACATTTCACTGCGTTGCTTTTAAGCCCTGGGAAATGAAATAATTCAATGTTCCATTTGATTTGGGAATATGAGTGCTTTCTCTCCTAAGTTTGAAAGATGTCAATGGATAATTTTGTAAAAGTAGCAACAAGAACAGTAAGTGGGTCTCTCTGTCAGAGGAAAACCGCTTTGTAGCTGGGTCTTATTTCTTGTTTCTTTGTGAACCAATTTGTTCGACTTAAGAAACCCATGCTGATGAATAGTAAAATTTCATATTACCTAGGGGCAGCCATAAAGATAATGGACTGTCATTGCTGTGGGGAGAAAAACAATGGTTTGTTTCATCCAGGGAAACAAGAATGAAAGAGGCAACCTAATCAAGAATAAAGAGCTGAGAATAAAAATTCAGAGCTAAAAATTTTGTTGCAGCAATAAATAGGGTATTCCAAATACTTCCAGTGAATCCTATTTGTGAATGTTGTAAAGAATTAGAAGTTATGTGAAAATAGGAATAGTTGCATTCATATTCAGTGTGATGCAAATACTGTATGTACGTCCATCCCTGAGCAAACGATATGGAATTTACCAGGGTCATTATCTGATCAATGTGTAGGCACACTCGAAATTAGTAATTTACTCATGTCACTGTCTTTTCTCTATTTTCCCAATGGGCTCTTTGCATTCTGTGTCCACCAACAAGCATTGGCTAGTACCTGCTCTGTGGAGATGCCCTTCTAGGACCTTAGAATAGTAATATAGTGCCCTTGATTTTCTACAGTGAGAGTCCTCTTTCAGACTGTGATCCAGTAGTTTTCACTTTTCTATGGGTGTGGCTTCTTTCAGAAAGTGAATATCTTTTTACTTCCACAGAAAATGAGACACATAAGGAATATAAGACTTGATATTTTTGAAACTGTTAGTTAATTATGCTTCCAAAACCCAATAATAACTCTTCAGATTAATTTAACTTGGGCACATCTAACAAAAATAGACATCCAAGAAGTTTTCTGGATGTTGGTATTGTGAAATGGGTACTCAGTTGTCATAGTGTACAACACATCACAGGCTGGAATTGAACAAGCTTGCTCCAGTAGATGGGCTTTAAATAAAGCAGGGTGGCTCTGCTTTTTGCAATGGAAGCAAACATCTAGTGTGATCAAGATAGAAATCAGTAAAACTCTCAACTTTCGCATGTAAGATAAATTGAATTTAAGACTCAGAGAGACAAGATATTTTGCATTATTTGGAGCCACCTGGGGAATTTTAATAGTAGCTACCAAAGATTTGTTTTTTTTTCTTTTAAAAAAGAAGCCATGAGAATTTTGTCATCCATAGGAAGTTAGTGAAAAGATAGTCACTGATGGCTGTGCTGTGATTAACTCCTTAATGGTTTCTGGCAATGCCATCAGAATCCTGTGAAGCAGTCTTGGGGTAAAAAGTGGACTGTGACTCTGCTGGAAACCACTGTAATTGTGTTGTAAATTCTGCTAACACTCTTGCATTATATCTTGGTAACCACTCTTTATTTGTTTCTCCTCTGCACTTCAATGTGCCTCTAGGTTTCCAAACTTTAAAAGTTTCTGCTGGATCATCAATACACAAACTTATAAGAGGATCTGGATTGTAATGTTGCTTTTGAAAAATGAAATCTTAAGTCATGAATCAATTTGCTTAGATTCCTGACATTGCAATCATCCTGTACTTCTTACCCATATGAACAACATTAAAATGGAATATTGAGCATTGGCAAAAATAAAAAATAAAGGGGTAAAATCTGGATGCCAAGGTTTTCTGGTGATTTCTAAATGCCCTATTGGTTCTATGCTGCACAAGATATTATTTTAAACCATAAGAGCTGATATCTACCATAGTTTTGAATGTTTATTATTCATTACTATCAGATTATCACTAGGTTGATTTTTATAATTCTTGTGGCTAAATGACAGAACTGGAAGTTTTAGGCTAAAGACAACCTATGGATGAATGAAAGGGAAGGGATGGAAATAACACAAGGCTAAACGGTTTCATCTCTTTCCTTACCTCTCAATCTATAATAAGCTTGAAGACTGTCTAAAATCTGTTTCATGGATTCCTGTGGACAGACTTTAACCCCCGTTGGGAAAAATGCGGATCTTTTTGTTCGATGCTTTGCCAAATCGAATATTCGTCTCATAGTTGACATTTTGTACATTTTTTCAGTACTTTCAGTTGTTTCATTTCTTGGGGGATTGTCTATGTCTTTAGTTTCAGAATGGTATATGTTAATGGAGATATCTGTAAAAGAAAGATTGATATCCTGGTGAATATATACATTTATGTGTTATATGTGACATATATGGATAAATGACTGAAATAAACTGAAAATTATAATCCTTTAGTTTATGAAATTTCTACCGTGGTGCAACTGCTAAACGTAATATTCCAAATGACAAGGCATTTTCAGAAATAAGAGAATAGTATAATGAGCCGATCAAGCGTATTTTTAAAAAGCCAATGTCTCAAATCATCTTGCCTTTAGGAACTGCCAAATATTGAAACCATTTCCCACACATCTTTCTAAAAATCACTCCCCACTTAGCACTCAAGCCTCTCAAGAGATGTCTCTTATGATAGATAATATAATTCAAGCAGGGAACGATATAGCATTGTGGTGCCCAGAGGTGTACTGTTGAGGAAGTGGAGTGCTTCTAAAAACCTAGCGGAACAATGCAACAAAATAACCTTCCTGCCTATTAGTGGTAGCCCTAGGAATTCTATATGGGCAGGGCTCAGAGCATGGCAATCTGGCTGAGAGTGGATTGGAGCAAGGATGTATCTTATAGTTGCATTTATAGTACAAGCTTTGCCGTTTCATGAAGGATGGTGAGAGGAAGGATAAAGGGGGAGGCTTCACCCTTCCCAACAAGGGGGAGGCTGGCAGAGAATGTAACTCTCTTCTAAGCCATTTCATCCTGCTGGCATGGCTGGTATCTATTAGGGTTAGGTCTAGACTGCATTTTTAACTTTCTGGACCTCTCATAATAACTTAGATTCATCAAACACTTTTTAATTTTGAATTTTTATATGTATTACCTCATATCCTCACAAAAGCTTTACTACATCGATGAAACATATCATTTTTCTCAGTTCATCAGCATTTAGGGTACTGAGGCTCAGAGTGGCAGTGTGTGTTAACAGTGTAGTAAGATCTAAGTTACATATAAATGTGAAAGAAAGACCTAGTTTTTGATGTTGGGCTTGGGAGAAAGAGAGAGAGAAGGAAAGAGAGAGTGGCAGAGAGTGTTAACAGTGTAGTCAGATCTCAATTCTTCCTCTTCTACTCCATCTCTTTCCTTTTATCCATTCTACCATTAAAAAAAAAATTACCGATGAACAGTTGGGACCTCTTACTATGGCCTCTTGAGACTCCAAACATGGGGCTTATAGAGATTTATAATCCCATTTTACTAGGGAAGGCTCTCAAACCCATATCTTCTGAAATGTGATAAAAGGGGAATCCAAGCAGGATAGCTGAAGAGCAATTTAAATCTTGCTGTAAAGCATAAAAGTCCCTCAATATTGTAGAGGGTGGAGAAAGTCCGCCTGGGAACACATATTCCTGTCACTTTGAGAAGTCTCAGAGTGCCCTGTGTTCCTCTTGGGCAGAGGTACATTCTTAGGAAAGAATCTCCAGGAAGGGAGGAAATTTATAGATTAATTGGCTCACCCAGCGACACACTAGACCCATAAATCATAATCTCTGTGTAGAATACGGGCATCAGCAAATTTTGAAAATCCTTGGGTAATTTCAACATGCAGGCAGGTTTGGGAATCACTATTTTATAGATCTACTAACATGCTTCCAGATAAAGAATCAAGATGGGTGCATCTCAAACTGGCTTACACAGTAAGAAAGTTGTCACCTCCAAAGGAAAGCCAGAGGCAGGGAATGCCTGGTGGAAATGGAGGTCTGGCTCTGACTTGTCTGGTTCTGTCCCTTCATGTGGTGATGTCATCCTCGGGCAGGCTTCCATCAAATTCCCCTGATGATGGCCAGCAGCAACTGGATCACCACCTTGACTCTCATTCATGTTGAAAAATAGCCTTTCCCTTAGGTTTGGCTGACTTAAGCCATGTGCCTGGAGCAAGACCAGTTGCAAGGCATATGCCAGTGCTATCGGCTTGATCTGAATAATTACAAGGCAGGGAACTGGGATTACTTGAAGTGGCTCATTCTAACCATGGAGTTGGAACCAGTTTTTCGTGAGTCAAAATGGCTGCATGGCAAAGTGAAAGGTGCCCATTCAATCTAGGGGCAAAGTGCAAGAGAGGGATAGGAGCCGAGCACACAGCTGTTAGTACCCATTACAGTTAGTAAAATGTGAATTTTTGTTTAGGAATATTAATTTTAATAATCCTTTCAAGCAGTTTATAGATTGCAATAAACTTGTCATAGTAAAAAGTAAGTTTTTGTTATATTTGAATTGCCATTTAGAATGGAAGAAAAAGCTGCCTCATTGGGTACTTCTAGGTCTAGGCAGTGTAACACAGACCATATTTAGGGAGACTGTGCCCCTACATGCCTGCCCTTCTCCATTCTTCTCACTGTGCCTGCCTGTAATGTGTGGGGTCCTGCTATCGGCCTGGTCCTGTTCCGTACCTTGTCATCACCACAGTCTTTGTTCCTTTGGGGCTGGTCCTGTTCTTACTGCCTAATGTTATGCCCTGTAGAACTCTATGAGTAACTTGGCTTGGGAAGAGTATCTACTCTACCCTGGCTCTGGGAACAATGTTGCTGTCCTGGAATTTTTTTCCAGGTGGATCCTTTTGGATCCTAACACTTTGCGCATATCCAGGCTCGCTGACAGAGATCCTATTTGATATGAGTCTTTAGGTTTCATCCTATCAGGGTAGGTAACTTGACTTGGGAAGAGTATCTACTCTACCCTGGCTCTGGGAACAATGATGCTGTCCTGGAATTTTTCCCAGGTGGATCCCTTTGGATCCTAACAGTTTGTTAATATCCAGGTTCACTGACAGGGATCCTATTTGATATGGGTCTTTACGTTTTATCCTATCGGGGTAGGTGCAGAAGCAGGGGCGAGAAGGTCACAGATTTGCCCTGTTTCTCAGCACGTCCATGAGCTCCCACTTTTCCCTTTCCCCTACTAGGGTCAGTATTTCCCTATTCTCCACATGTCAGCAAGTACACACAGCTGGGGGTCTACAAGGGTGAATTAGGGTAATGTGAACCCATTTGCCTGGGATACCCCAGTTTATAGCTGTTATTCTTTCATTCTCAAATGTGTCCCTGTTTGGGAAATAAATTATAAGGTCACCCAGTTTTAAATATCTCCTGCTGGAGAAGACCCAAGACAAATGTTCTACAAATGGTTGTTTCTTTCCTCTAGGATGTACCATGTTCCACTTTTGAGTATCTCCACTTAACAAATTCCTTCCTTTGGGTTGAAAATTACTTTCTGATAACTTTCACATCAGTCCTATTTCTGTCGTCTGGTGCAGCGAACACCAAGCTACAACTACTTCCATAAACACTTCCTCATATTTTTCCTACTTTAGGTTCTCTTGGCTGAACAAACAACCTCCATCTTTTTTTTTTTTTTTTTTTGGTATAACACAAATATTAGATACCTTGACTACTCTGTTTCTGTGACACAAAACCAACCACAGAGAACCCCCCTGTGATGATGCTACAGCTTGAGCTGGGATTAGAATCTTTTGTCTATGCCTCTGCCCCATCCTCACTAGAGATGAGGTGAGAGATCAGGAACTTAGGATCACTTGAGTCCAAGGATGACAGGCCACAGTGACAAAGTCTGTTTGTTACAGATTTCAGTGAAATAAAAAGAGCTGATAGTTGTTGGAGCTAATGAAAGCACCCTTGAGTAAGGCAATTAGACCAGATCAGATGCTGTTCTCCAGTCCTGCATAAATTGTAATGTTGTTACTGAACTGAACTTTTAAAGATTCTTTGGGTCACTTTTATGAGTTTGATATTTTTGGTTTATATAAGTATTTGAAAAGAGGAGGTGAAAATTTAATGAGAATGAATTGATAGTTGGAAGACTTGCTACAAAATAGAGTATATTTAATAAAAGACTGGAAATTTTTTTGAGGCAGGAAATCTCTAAGATGATGACAAAATGAGTGTAACCTACTTGATGATGAATTGGCTGCCATCAACAACTGTTTCTGAATAAAATTCAAAGTTACAAAGAGAAGGGCAAAGTGATTTCAGAAAAAAAAAAATAACCACCTTTACTTTAAGTTGAAAATTACTTTCTGATAACTTCCATATATCAGTCCTATTTCTGCCCTCTGGTATAGCAAACACCAAGCTACAGCTACTTCCAGAAACACTTCCTTATATTTTCCCTACTTTAGGTAGTTCTAAAAAGCGTATTGGAGTAAAATAATATTAGAACAGTTTAATTAAATAAATTATGAATTAAGAAAAAAATATAATTGTACTATTTTAAATTATAGATTAAACACTAGGAAAACAACCTTTAAGCCAATAGGTTTTGGAAATAGTCATATCATTGAATAAAGAAAAGATAGAAATGGAAAGTAATACATTTGAATATTCAGAACTTCTAAGTACAGATGAGGAACAGCTGTAATACACATGGTGCTTACTTTCTGAATTTAACTTAAATATGTTCATTACTTATGAAAGAAAAAGGTAGTAGCAGCACAAATCATATAATGTCACTCAACTATTCAAAATGTTTTCATAGAACCAATGGTACACAGGGCCTGGAGCTGTCACTAGTTGTATAATGTGGGTGTACTTGACATCCAAGTACATCCTGAGTTTCTTCACCTATAAAATGGGGAATAATAATACCTCCCTTACAGGGTTTCTGTGATATTAAATGAGTTATAACATGGGCAGCAGCTAAAACAGTGTAAGACACAGTGTAAACGCTCAATAAGAACTCCTTTATCAGATAATCGAGACATTTCACTTGCTGGTATCACTCTTCCTTTCCTTACCCCCCTTTTCTTTTAGTAAGATCTCTAAAGCTTTATTCAAAATTTTCATTAGTCAGTAGAATAACATTTTATAAATCAGTGAAAACCTGTACCTACAAAAATTATAAAATAAAATATCAGCAATAGCATGAAATCACACAGTGTAAAATTAGACATATTTAGAACTGGTTTGTGGGAAAAATGCACCTCACAAGTTTTCTTAATATGTCATGGGTTAGATAGAGTGTTTTTGTTACCAGCATAGCTTAGCTCTTATTCCCACTCTGCCCTACCACTCTTCTTTTCTAACATACCCTTTCACTGTGCTATTCCTCAGTCCTCAGACAGAACTATGTCTATGCCCTGAAGTCTTCCTGCTTCCACACTGCAGTGCTCATCTTGTGTTTGTCTTTCATATGGGAGGGCCCTTCTCTTCCTTCTCTGTTGTTTTCCTACTTTTCTTTTAAGAGCCAGTGAAATGTTACATTCTCCACTATGCTTTCTCAGATCCCACATTCAGAATTCATTCATTGCTCCCTCCTGTTCCTCCAGGGTGGTTCATATCTCTATGGCATTCACTGATTCACCTGTATTCACTAAGCGACTACTGTTTCAGGTCCACTATGGGACATAGCTGTAAATGAGATAAACAAATGCCATGAAACTTGTGTTGTAGTGCTTCCTTTGTCCTGTCTTGAATACTAATTTGTTGTAAATATATGAGTTTCTCCCTTTAGACTGCAAATACCTTTGGGATCTGTATTGTAATCTTGCCCTCCCCTCTCCAGTTCACCTTGGTGCTTGCCTAGTACAATGTTTTGTACATGACAGAGATGCAATACATATTAATTAAGTGAATTAATGAAAAATGTGTGTGGAAATATTAATGGGATTTTTAGAATATATATATGAATTAGATTTGTTTTAAAAACCATTAGACTATGAAAAAATGCTTCATGTCTTGCCCGCATCCATTATTGCAACTCCTCTTTGAAATTTCTGTCCTCTTTTTAAGTATCTAATATCAGAGGCTTAGGACACAGTCATCTTATTAAAGATAATATCCTAAGTGAAAAGGCAAATAAAAATTCTTTTCTAAATAAACACCAAAAGACCAGAAAAGAGATGGTTTATATATAAAGTATATTTTAGTACAATCTGCATTCCCAGACACTTTCAATCTTTCCATAAGTAAATAATCAATGGGACCAATTAAATATGTGGAGATCAATGAGGAAGACTATCATTATTACCTGGCTCTTGAGGATGGCAACTCCCTTGCCCCTCAATTATTGTACTTGACAGGCAAAGCCATAATCATGGTTAAATTCAACCCACTGCCTACCCCTTACCTGAATCTTTGTATAGCTGATCATGGCTGGAGAAAAACAAGCATTAGAACACACTTTAAATTTCTGGTCCTTAAGTAAAATCACACTATATTTCTCTAGTCTGACTCAGTTTTGTACTGTCCTGGGGAGCTACACACTTTTCTCAGATTTCTGGTACCTTCTTGCTGATTCTTTCTCTTAGCTGATGAGTTTGCTTCACATTTTACTGAAAACAAGAGGAGCCAGAAGAGAACTTCCCAAGCATCCAGCACAGCATCTGCTCACTGATCACTGGCTGCGTCTGTGATCATAGTCTATGCTTTGCCTCCTGTGACTATTTGATGATTGGTCTGTGCTCCTACTTAAGACCAACTCTCCACTTAGGCAGCAGGTCCCATCCTTTTTCACCTTTCAAGAACATTCTTCCAGAAACTCTTCTCTCACTTTCCTACATCATTTTCCCTTTTGCTATTGGATTATTTCTAGAAGCACACAAACACGCTATTATTTTACCTCTATTAAAAAAATCCTCTCTCTATAGCATGTTTCCTCCAGATACTAGCTCATTTTTCTGTTTACACTGACGCAAAACTATTTAAAAAGATCTGGCTTTTTGGTGTGGCAATTCCTCAAAGACCTAAGGACAGAAATACCATTTGACCATTTGACCCAGCAGTCCCATTACTGCATATACCCAAAGGAATATAAAGCATTCTGTTATAAAGGCACATGCATGCGTATGTTCACTGTAGTATTGTTCACAATAGCAAAGACATGGAATCAACCTAAATGCCCATCAGTGATAGACTGGATAAAGAAAATGTGGTACTTATATACCATGGACTACTATACAGCCATAAAAAGGAATGAATTCATGTCCTTTGCAGGGACATGGGTGAAGCTGGAGGCCATTATCCTTAGCAAAGCAATGCAGGAACAGAAAACCAAATACTACGTGTTATAAGTGGAAACTATATGATGAGAACACATGGATACACAGAGGGGAACAACACATGCTGGGGCCTATCAGAGAGTGGAGGGTGGTTGGAGGGAGAGGATCAGAAAAAATAACTATAGGATACTAGACTTAATAGCTGGGTGATGAAATAATCTATACAACAAACCTCCATGACACTGTTTTCCTATATAATGAACCTGCAAATTTACCCCTGGACCTAAAAGTTAAAATAAAAAAAGATTTGTCTTTCCCTCCTTTTCCAAGACAAAAGCAAGGTCCTAGTGAGTGAAGATTTCCTCTGATACCACATGCATAGATACCAATACCTGCCCCCTACCTTTATTCTCTCTCTCTCTGTCTCTCTCTCTTTCATTCTCTTTATATTTTAGTATTTGTGATGTGCTTATAGAGCCTGGTGTATTCAATGTGTGGATATGACACTTCACCAGAAGGTGTGACTATCTAACACACAATATACAGAAAGTGACAGTAAACTAAAACTCCACTGATCGCTTCTGTGAATTTGGATATTGACATTTGTTGATAGGGGTGGTGGTGAGGGTGGTGGTTTTGTAACAAAACAGACAATTTGGGAAAAGGCAGAGATCTAGCACAGTAGGATGGGCTCCCTTGAGCTGGGAGGGTCTTATGAAAGACCTGGCAGGTAGAAAGTATTTAGGGGGGCATAAAGGAGGACAAGATATTGGTGGGCAGGGAAACTTCTAGCAGACTAAGGAAAATGGTTGGCACCGAAGGCTTAAGTTGGGGAGGTTGGTGTTATTTATTTATTTATTTTCCTTTTAAAATTTAGCCACTCTATCCTGGAGCTGACCTAGATTCTGCAACCCAGTGTAACTATGATAATTTTGGAAATTTCCGAATATATAGACAGGGAAATTAAAGGAACAACCACTGAATTTAAACACTTTCAAACATTACTTTATCCTAAAAAACAGTCAAATCTGCCCAAGGATGTGAGTGGCAGTTCTGAAATACTGGGCTTTTGACTCTTCGTTTATAGTTTAAAAATTAGGTTTGGGCCGGGCACAGTGGCTCACGCCTGAAATCCCAGCACTTTGGGAGGCTGAGGTGGGTGGATCACTTAAGGCCGGGAGTTCGAGACTAGCCTGGCCAACATGGTGAAAACCCATCTCTACTAAAAATATAAAAAAAATTAGCCAGACACAGTGGCGCACCCCTGTAATCCCAGCTACTTGGGAGGCTGAGGCATGAGAATCGCTTGAACCTGGGAGGCGGAGGTTGCAGTGAGCAGAGATCGTGACACTGCACTCCAGCCTGGGTGACAGAGTGAGACTCCTTCAAAAAAAAAATTAGGTTTGGATCACCTAAGCATGTTTATTAGCTACTGTGAAAGCCAGCCCTTTGGTCAAAGTACCATTTTCACTCTAGGTTGAAGGCTGATGGCCATGTGACCACAATGTTGACTGGCATCCCTGAAGACATAGGCCACATCATCTCCTTGTCATATCACTGAAGAGCTTATTATTTTTTTCCTTCCAGTACCAAAGTTGGCTTCTAGACATAGGCTGCTTACAAAGTTTCTATTTCAGGCTCAGCTTTGCCCACAAGTCATTCTCTTTCTTGGCTACATATTCAAGTGGATACTTACCAACCTGTTTGGACCATTCCTCACCAAACTCTTCTAGAGGAAATTTTTTTTAGCTATTTAACCTTGTAGGCATACAGAGGCTTACTGTACACATACAGTGGCAATAGTAGACATCAGGGATAAGAGAATCAGGCTTTCATGGTAGCATTGCTATGAAAGCAACAGCCATTGGTATAAGCACTTAGCAAACCCATTATGTCTTCCTAGGGGAAAAGGTCTCAATGTCTTAATGAATAAATTAGCACGACCAGAGACAAAATTCACTGTAATTTCTACAGAACAAAAATCATAATTTGAGGAACAGAACTCTATAGAGAGTAAGTAGGTAACATTTCAGCACCAATTCAATGACTGGAAGTTAAAAAAAAAACACAATTTAATCTTTCCCAAATTTTTCTAACCTTACTAAAAAAAGTGAGGGACTATGGTGTTTCTGCAAATGTTTCTCTTGTTTGAGATTCATTATGCCCTGGTCCTCCCACTACATTAGTAGATTCTCAATTACACACCTGAGAAATTTTTCCCAAAGAGCAAAAGCAATTAAATACAAATCGTGCTTAACATACCTGAATATGTATCAACAAATTATGCAGGTTTTCTGAATACCTTGTTCAGTCTATCCCAGAAGACTGCATGGATTTTAAGCATACTGTTTTCTAGGCAATAAAATGGAGAACAGAGAAGCTTCTACAACTTGCTGTCCCACTTGCCCTCCTACAGGTAGTTCTCAACAAACTTATACAATGCCAGCCCCAATCTGTGGCCTTAGAGGCAAAAGTTGTTGGAATAAATGATGCAAAAGAAGATCATAGAAAGTAAGGAAACTTGTAGTTATTTCTTTTAATGAATTAGAAAGTAAACAGACTTTCACAATCAGCATGCATGCTGATTATCAATAATGCATGGGGTGGATGTTATACCATTTCCCTCTCTGTAGCTTTTGAAAATTGGATGCCATCACTGTCTTTTTTACCTCCCAAACTGGCATTTGTTCAGCAGCAGTAATCCCTGCTGAGGATAAAAATCAGCAGTCTCTTATCTCAAATAATTAGAGTGGTTGCATTATTTTTTCTCTTCTTGCAAAAATCAGGTTTAACCATCAGACTTGCTATGTCAGAAGGAAATGGTTAGGACCTTGGCAAACCCTTACAAGAAATAAGAGGTTGCTAGTGCCTACCTTCTATTCCATACGTGTACATATGTACTGAGCCCTACCTCATTGCACACACACAAGAAAAAAAAAAAGAAAGAAAAGGAAGAACTAAATCTATTGGTGGCATGCTGAGTTACAAACATAGGCACTTCTTGCTGAGGGCCTATGCAGTGTAGTGAGTGGGTAGGAACAGAACTGAAGTTGAAGGGAGAGGTGGAAAAGGAAGTTGCCTCTTTCGTGCCCAGAGGGGATGACCCTCTGAACAGGTGGAATTGCCAGCTGTTTAAGTCTGGTAAATGTCAGGGAGTGAAGAGGTAGGAGTCTAGCAGGGCCATGTTTTCAACTGTACCCAGAACAGAAATGTGTGCAAACTCATCATCCGTCTTAGTAGGGTGAGAGGGCAGGGCATATTGAGAAGAGGAGGAGTGTTCTTTCTCAAAGCTGACTAGTTTCTGTGTCCTGGGAAAGGAGAGAAACACATTGCAAGAAAAGATAGTACACACTGCCTCCATTTAAGGCATGAAATCACTTGATAATGCAGCCTCTCGAATGACGTACATTAACATTTAGCTGCCACCTGCAGAGGTGCTGTTCCTGCAAGTTGAGAACTATACTTCTAGTAATGGGGGAATGCCTTTGCCTCTCAAATAGTGGTACAGGCGCCCTCAAGGTATGCAGTACTGTGCCAGGGGTTGTGAGAAACCATAGGATCAACACATTGCTTCTTCATGGAGTACTAAATTTACTTTGGCAATTTTAGCAAACATTTAAAATGTTGAGGACCACCTGAATACATAAACAAAATCAACAAATCCTTTCTCTACAGATGAGTCAATCTTAGAAAATATGAGAGTAGGATATTTTTATAAGCTGTGATTAGTTGTAAAATGCATTATCACTTTGAAAAAAATGGTGAATAGAGTTGGATTAATGCTGAGGTGAAGTTGGAGTAAACAGAATGTGAAACTGAGGTAAGAACAGTTACACTAAGATTGTCAACCAGCTTGGTGAAGATTTCATACATGGCTGCCTAGTTTTCAGGGGCTGACACAAATAAACCAGTCCTTTCTCCTGCAGCTGGACTTTTCCATACCCCTCCATCATCCTGCTGCCATCTCCTCACATGTATAGGTTCAGGCTGATTAAGCCACTCCTAATCATCTCATCTTTACATTAACTGAAGTTCCACTAACCTTTTTTACTGCTCTGCCTCCCAATTCTTAATTATGTGTACTTTTTGGAAACCATCTCCATAAGTTTCAGAATGTGGAGTTTAAATAAGTACACAGGTTACCATAAGAGAATCTGCATGGAATTGTACAAGTAAATCTGAGATTGTGATTGTACCTCACAAATGTGAGCAACACTATGCTTTCCAGAGCACTGTTATAGCCTAGGTTGACACAAAGTTTGGAAACCAAGGGGTTATGCCAGAAAGTGCCAGGTAATGCATGAGCCGGAGGAAGATTCAGCCCATGATATTTGAAGCTGACTTGGAGGTGGATGGGGACAACAAGTAACAAGAATTCAGAGACCCACTAAGAGCTTATAAAACAAATTCCAAAAAATTCAGGAGGAAGCTAACTTCAGAAGCTGAGGTGTACTGAGGAAATATTAGGGGAAAGGAATGTGGATTTACTTATGAGACATAATGATTTGTGCCAAATATCCACTTTACTTCTGGTTCCAGCTGTACTGAGGTGCTGAAACACAAGGTATCTTTCTTCCTGTGATTGCTAAGAGTGCTACATATTTGGGGACAAAATTTGTATCATCCGATTCCTATCATATCTGAAGTACTTATATCAGAGTCGGCTCTAATTTAGCCCAGCATCTCTGTTTTCTGGAAGTTTGTGCTGTCCATGATTATAATTTTACAAACCACACACTACTCTTTGGTTTTATTGCTATCATGTAAACTTAATCTTGGAGTATGTTGGGAATTCTCAGTAAAGACAATTGCATATATATAGATTGTTGCATATATTACAAAAAAAGAATGATATTCTAACTACTCAAGCAGAGCAGAATTGGAGCAGATCAAACAGAAACAGCTGTATATCTTTGCCTGTTAACTTTTGGATGGATAAGGACCTATCAGTTCCTGCAGAAAAGTAAGGTAAACTTCATTTTGGGTACTTGGAGACTGAAGCATAGGAAGAGCACTCTGCCACTTCCTCAATTTGGGCAAATAATTAATTTCTATTTGCTCTGGTTTGTAACTTGAAAAGTAGATAATAATATTTCCAACACTATAGTTTTTGATTAGTGCTTGCTTATTATGTAGTTGTATTTTGAAAATTAAATGAGAAAATAGATGTTACTGTTTTGCAGAGAGCCTGGCACATTGTTACCTGTTATTATGATCTAGTGCCACTCCATTCTGAGGTTTAGTGCTAGGCCTGGTAGGAATTGGATTGCCTGATTTAGCAAATAAAAATATAGGACCAAGTCAAATTTAAATTTCAGATAAATTTTCAGTAAAAGTATGTCCCATGGAATATTTGGGACATAGTAGATGCATATGGACGAAACGCACCTGTTAAAAGACAGTGATTGTCAGACTACATTTAAAAAGGTTCCCATGATTTGCTGTTTTAAGAGGCATATTTAAATCAAAAGACACAGAGGTTAAAATGAGAAGAATGGAAAAAAGTTATAATAGAAGAACACTAATCAAAAGAAAGCTGATATATTAAAATCAAATGAAGTCAGAGCGTTGCTGGTAAATATTAATAACCAGCTCTGGGAGATGGGTGAGATTTGTCTCATCTGCTGCTTTCTGTGTGTTAATACTCTTTCATGACTGATTTCAAGCCACCAATGTGACATAACTGAACACTGAGTTTGGAAAAGATGTGGCCAATTGGCTCTTGTTAGTACAAGCCAGTTCCAGCAAACCAGTGGACAAAGTTCATTATTAGGCAGAAGACATTACAAAGGCAAAGACAGACAGGTCACAATGATAACAGTTTAAAAGTCATAGAAAGTTAAAATTCTATGCACTTAATAATATATAAATATATAATACAAAGGTTGATAGACAATACAGAAAATAAAATCCAGGATAATAGTAGGTACATTTTAAGATATCTCTCTTAATTGATGGAATGAACAAATAAATTCAGTAAGGGTAGGGAAGATTTGAAAAACATGCTCAAGCCTGACCTAATGGACATGTATGAGGCATCATATCTACAAGCTATAAAATATGCCTTCTTTTCAAGCAGAGGGAAAATAAACAAACATTGGATATATACTGTACTAAAATTCAAATCTGAATACATTGAAAAGGACTGATAACATATGCATCATGTTCTCAGACTAATAGAGAAGTAAGCTAGAAATTAGTGTGAAAAACAAATGGAAAATCTTTATGTATTTGAAAAAAATTATTCAAAATAACCCATATGTCAAAGAAGAAATAATTATCGTTATTAGAGAGTATTTTTCTGAAATGATAAAATTACTATGTAATAAAACTTGTGGAATGAAATTAAAGCAGTTCCTAATGGTAAAATGATATCATCAAAATGTTTATTTTAGAAAAAGGAAAAGCTAAGTATTAATGACCTATGCATCCATCTTAAAAGAGTGGTGTAAGAAAACAAAATAAAACCAAAGAAAATTAGAAAAAACAAAGATAACAGAGAGTAATAAAATGTGAAAGAGATCATAAATATAAATGAAAAAAAGAAATATAAAAGTCAAACTTTTTTGGAAAATACTGATAACAAAAACAGGTAAACAAACAGATGAGATTGATCCAATAAAGAAGACAAAATTAACTAATATCAGAATTGAGAAAGAAGAACATTATGCTTTCTACAGACTTTCTACAAAATGTTCTATAAACATAAAAAAGTTAACAAGACGATATAATGAATAATGTTTTATCCATAAATTTGAAGTTTGATATGAAATGCATAAATTTGTAGAAACGTGTAACTTACTATAACTCAAAAAGAGGTAGGATAATTAAATATTATCATAACCTTAAAAAATTGAGTAGTCAAATATCTTTCTATGAATATCTTTATCTGGCTTTAACAGTGGGTACTATCAAACATTCAAGCAAAATGTAATTCCATTTTCCTACGACTCTTATAAAACTTGACAAAACGAGTATGAGAAAAAATTTATGGTCCGAGCTTGCTTATGAATATGAGTGTAACAATTAGAAAAAAAAATAGTAGCATATAGAATCCAGCAATGTATATGCAATGTATGACCCAGTTTGATTTATCTCAGGAATGTAGGGTTGGCTTAATATTTGAATATTGATTAAGGCAATTTATCACATTAATGAATCAAAGGAGAAAAACTATTTGGCAATCTCAATACACATAGAAGAAACAATAAATTTCTATGTTTATTCATGATTAAAAACTCAACAAATTAGAATTAGAAATTTTCTTTACTTGAAAATTTCTTTACTTGAAAAAGAAGTTGTTACTTCTTTACAAGAAGAAAACAAACAAGCAAAAAAAGCTAAAATAAGCATTATACTTAATGATGGAAATGTGAAAATAGTCGATGGATATTTGAGTTGTTCCCATGTCTTGGCTCTTGTGAATAATGCTGTAATCAGCATGGAAGCACAGATATCTATGGGGTGCTTATTTCATTTTTTGGGCATGCACCCAGCAAAGGAATTACTGGATAGTATGGTAATTCTATTTTTAATTTTTTGAAGAACTTCCATACTGTTTTCCAAAATAGCCGTAGTAATTTATATTTCCACCAACAATGTTCAAAGGTTCCCTTTTCTCCACAACCTTGCCAACACTTATCTGTTGTCTTTGATAATTGCCATCCTAACAAGTGTGAGGTAATAGCTCATTGTGGTTTTGATTCACATTCCCGTGATGATTAGAGCACCTTTTCATAGCTGTTGGCCATTTTTATGTCTTATTTGGAAAATTAACTACTTGGGTCCTTTGCCCATTTAAAAATTGGGTTGTGTTATAACAAAGACATAGAATCAATGTAAATGCCTATCAATGATATAGACTGGATAAAGAAAATGTGGTACATATACACCATGGAATATTATGCAGCCATAAAAAGGAACAAAATCATGTCCTTTGCAGGGACATGGATAGAGCTAGAATCCATTATCCTCAGCAAACTAATTCAGCAACAGAAAACCAAATACCACATGTTCTCATTTATAAGTGGGTGCTAAATGATGAGAACACATGGATACATGTCGGGGAACAACACACATGGGGGGCTGTTGGAAGGTGGGAGGAGGGAGAGCATCAAGAAAAATAGCTAATGAATGCTGGGCTTACTACCTAGGTGATGGGATGATCTATGCAGCAAACCACCATGCCACATGTTTACCTATACAACAAACCTGAATATCCTGCACATGTGCCTCTGAACTTAAAATAAAAGTTGGAAAAAGAATCCAAGTACCAGACCTGCACAACCCATATGCAATGTGATGAGGCATGTAGCAGTGGGGACCGGGGTGCTTGTGCACCAGAGGTTGGGATGTGCAGTGGGGAAGAGATTCAAATCTGCTTGTGAGGTGTGATTATATAGTAGTCATGTAGTGCTTCCTCAAAGTGGGGCTTAAATTGCATACCAAAGACAGAGTATAAGCACCCCGGCTAGACAGCCTAATATGCTATTTCATAACAAATTTAAAAGAAAGACAAAGGAGTCTTCTGTGGGTTTTGTCCAAATGGGAGGGGTAAAATTCCCTCTTAAGGGTATTGCATTTGCACATGCCTGGGGTTGACCAGAAGGACTCCATCTGGGTTATTACTCATGAGTGCTTAAGTGAAACCCATAGGTGGGGGGGTGGCTAAAACCACAATGCTAATGTTATGTTAATGACATTATAATGAGCTGGGCTAAATTAAGGACATTTATGTACCTATATGTTTCAAAATTGAGATCATATTGTTTGTAAAATTTTTAATATAACATTGTGTCATCTTTCCAAGTCACTACTAGTCTTTGAAAACTTTTACTTTAAATAGCTGCATGTTATAAACTTTAATAATCATTTAGATTGTTTCTATCTTTTTCTAAATAAAGGTGTGCTTCAGTAAAAATAAAATAAAATAAAATAAAATAATAAAATAAAATAGGGTTGTGGTTTTTTTCATTGTTTGATTTGGTTTGGTTTCTTTGCCAGTGAATTTTGTGAGTCCCTAGCATATTTTGGACATTAACCCTTTACAAGATACATGGTTTGCAAATATTTTCTCCCAATCCATAGGCTGCCTTTTCATTTTGGGAAGGTCTCATGGAAATTGATTGTAAATGGAGTTAAAGTCATAGGTAGATAGAAATAACATTAGCAAAGACATGAATTCATTTTACTCTCTCTGAAACAAAGAGAGTGAGTGTTTGGATAAACTCAGAGAAACTTTGAAGTAGAGAGAAGATACTTCAAATGAAGTCAAATGACTTCTATTTTCTCAGTAAGTAGAAGGAGGTGATAATAGTAACAGTGGTAGTTGCTATAGCCATCTTAGGAGTTAGCACTTATTGAGCATCTTTGTAGCAGATACCTCGTTAAAAACTTTAGCTCTTCAAGGCAGACTTGGCTATTATTATTTTTATTTTATAGGCAAGAAAACCATAAAAGGGAGTAATATTTGAGATTGAACAATTTGCCAACGTAACAAAATTAGTAAGTGGCAGAGCTGTTCTGTGCAGAATGAAGTTCTGTGCAAGCCTTACAGCTTCTGCTCTTAACTACATTGTTATCACTGCTTCTGTGAATGAAGGGAAATCATGCTGCAGGCTCAACGGTAGAGGGAAGTTTTGGAAATCTGGCTAGGGGACTAGTTTAGGGAATCAGATATAAATATGACTATGGAATAGCTTGTAGGGCCTAGCTAACTTTATAGTGCAGGAACTTGTTTTGTGGCAACACTCCGTTTGAGTTTCTCTAATAAAACTTGTAGGCTCAGGAATGAGAGTAGAAAAAGCAAAAGCTAAGTTTTCCTAGAGTGAGATTAACAAAGCCAATGGGACAGAGGTCAAAGAGCAAGATTTCTATTGTACCATCAAGAAGACTGTTGAGAGTGGTTCAGTGGCAAACTATATAGGACTTAGGATTTATGTGAGCCTATTGAGGCCTGGAATAGCCTGAAGAATCGGACAAAATGGCAGAGGCTGAGGGACTGATGTTTTGATAACAGGATCAGATCCAATAGAAAGAAGGCAGGGAAATTATTGAAAAGGGGGTGTTTCAGAATCTTATATCTCCAGAGGCTGAAAAGACTGCAAATCTGGAGGTGAAATTTCAGTGTTTTGATAGTGGGGTGGAGGGAGTGATATTTTTGAGGGGGGTGGTTTTGAAGAGATTTTCCCATTGTGTCAAGTTACACCCATTAAGCAATGTCCTGCCTTTAGATACATAACACACTGCTAAATAAGCTACTTACTACTAAACTTAGAGTTTGGTCATGGGCATTTAAAATGACACTATCAATAAACAACTCCAGTTCTTTGAGTTCAAGACGTTACACCTTTTTTTTTTAAGTGAAAAATAGAAACCCTAAGATAGGTTCCTCCATTTCTAGCACAGAGCTGAAGGATCTGACCAGCTATTCTGAGATCAGTTATGAAAACAGATGTTAGAAATGGCCCAGAACCAGCAGTCATCTGGTAGTGTTAGCAGAGGAAAGTTGGCTTTTGAGTTAATAGTAAAAACCACACTAAGTCCTCTCATCATATTATAGTGGACTGATTATTATTAATAGATTAAGTAGATGTAAGATACAACTGGATACAGGTCACATCCCAACTTTGGTTCTAACCCTCTCACCTCAAATGATTTCAGAAATATTACTTGGCACTCTCTGCCTTAGGTTTCCAACCATAAATGAACGCAAATTAGTTTGAACTTTTATTTAAAAAGATATGTTAATCTAAATGATTGTTAACATAATTACTGTCCGCAAAGTGTTTTGATCAGGTCTAAACTGATCTGGGTACAATGGGTTAATAATAGTGTCATAGTATTTCATAGTTCAACTTAATTAAATGTATCATTTACTTGTTTATAAATGCAGCAGGAAGCTTAAGACAGACAAATTAGTTCTACATGTGTTATTTTCTTCATGTAGTTAAAATATTTCTGAAGCAGAAACTTTTCACTAATTTTGAGGTTCTGACTTTTCTCCACAAAATTTCTTTTGGTTTAGTTTTCCTTAACTCTTTTCCTGGGGGCAATTATGAAAATAGATGCTGGCTATGGTGAAGAGAATTAAGATGGCTGAATGAAGAAAATGAAGTCGGAATGAATTAAGATGACTTTACAAAGGCACACAGAAAGACATTGTTTCCTCAAGAATGAGTGAATGTAAATGGGAAAATATTTATTGACTGAATACAACCATATGCTTCGAGGCAGCATTGCTGTTCCTTAGCTCTTTCATATTCTTCTTACATTCCCTATGGCTGGAAGAGAGGAGCAATAGAGGGAGAATATTCTCCGTAAATAATTACAGCGGCACATTCTGCTGCTAGTTCAGAGCTTGACAGCAGCATTTCCATATATGAATTCTCATTACCAGGGCTGTGCCAATCAACCTCATCAACTCATTGTGAGATAAGCTTGGAAGTTGCGTTGGACTCAAAGCAGAGTGCACCCTCCTCCTTTATTACAGGTTTCATCTGCCTTGGTGCTCTTGTTTTGTGAGGCTGAAATCCTAGCCTTGGATGAAATGATCTTCTTAGACAGAGAACTTAGGTCCAGTGGTTGCTGAAAACTGTCCACTGTGGAAGATTAAAACTCACATTTTGGTCAGGGTTCTTTTCTTTCAGCAAATTGCTTTGTGTT
Source organism: Homo sapiens (assembly GCF_000001405.40). Classification (NCBI taxonomy): domain Eukaryota; kingdom Metazoa; phylum Chordata; class Mammalia; order Primates; family Hominidae; genus Homo; species Homo sapiens. The sequence continues at coordinate 76,060,718 of NC_000006.12, forward strand.
TTTCTAAGGCTTGGTACCACAAGTTCCTTCCCCACGACTGCAGAGGTCTTTTCTACCCTTAAGCAAGAAGGGGCGGTGTGGATGGAGACCTCACTTACCCCTGAGTGTGATACTTTATAATATAGTGAGGAGGTCAGGACTTTTAGTATGGTCATTACAACATGTATTCTCAATTAAAATATAAGCCTAGAGACTACTGTGAAAAATAAACTTTCTTGCTTCAGATGAATTATTTTAAAACAATAAAATATATGAAAATGATAGTGGCACCAAAGGTATAGAGAATCTGAATTTCCAGACATAATTAGTATGCAAATACAGCTGATGTTCAAGGTGGTTGCATTCTCATGATTAAACAGAAACGGCTAAGAAAGTAGTAGGTCATTTCAGCCCTGTTTAATTAGCTCTCACATGCAATAGTCCCTTAGTGACACAAGCCTAAAGGGGCCACAAGGCAGCAAGTGTTTTTTATTACTAAAGCAAATATATAATCTAATAAATGGTTTCAGGTGTGCTGCCACAGATTGTTCATTTGTACATGAAGTATCTTTAATTTACATAGTTTCAACTTTAAGGACATCCTCTTAGACACAGTTGAACAAGAAAGTCTGTCTGGGACCTTTGAATGACACTGACTTGAGACTAGCACAGATGAACAAAGTATAGGGGCTGTACAGTTAATGTGCCTACCATTAGGCAGCTATCTCAGGTATGTTCTCTGTTAATGAAGCCACAATGAAGCAAAATACCTTTTGTGTAATTTCATGAAATGAGAGCATACACCAATAGTAAAGGATTGGCAAGAAGTGGAGTGTCTTAAAATGCAAATTCCCTGACATCTCACAGCTACTAAAATAATTATCCTATCTTGGTGAACTAATAATAACTTAGTTAAAGGTTTCATTTAGTATAACCAAATGTAATGTAAAAGACACATACTAAGATAAACATTATTTCCATTTTAGGACTTGGCAAGGGTAAATTTTCTTTTTTCTCTTTCTCTTATACATTGAATGTCACAAGCAATTAAATGAAATTATTTAGGTGAAATGGAAAAGTAAGAACATAAAAGCAGTGATGCACATATCAGATGCAACTGGTATTTCCATTATGAACCTCAAAGAAAGGAGCCTTGGTGTCTTTTTGAAGTAATTGTTCTTTGAGCTCTTCAACTGTCTTTTTTTGTGCTAAAACAATTTTATTTAATGAATATTTTGAAATCAAAGCTATCTCACCTTTATGTATCTGTGAAAAACTACATTCAGAATCTGCAAAACTTAAAAGAAGCCTTTTGAAATATTGGCATGTCTTTAAATCATTGTATATTCTGTATCTAGCACAGTATTGGGTATATGGTAAGCATTCTGTAGAATCAAATTGGTAAAAAGTCATCTAAGGGCATAGGAAAACTTTTGAGAAACAATTTGGCAATATGAATCAAATACCATAAAGCTGTTTACATTGCTTTGACTCAATAATTTTACTTCAGTGAATTTATGCTGAGTCTTAAATACTGAGGCTTATGTGCAAAGCTCTTTATTGCAATGTTATTTGCCATAACAAAATAATTAGTAACAATTAGTTTTCTTTTGTTGAATATTTAGATAAAGCAAATCTTGACACATTTACTGAAAGAAACATTATGCAGCCAATAAAATGATGCTTGTCAAAATTAGATGGCAATGTAGAACATTTATATGACATAATAAAACTACAAAAAGGCTGATATAAAATTTGTGTGTGGTAGAACTGCAATTATGTAAAAATTAAATACACATACCTAGAAAAAGTAGTGCTGGCATAGGTTGTGTTTGGATGGAACTACTATTGGTAATTTTCATCTCCTATTTTTTCAAAACTACTCATCTTTTAAAATGAAACGTTGAATTTAGCTAAACACCCAATCGTTATGCTTACCAGCTAGTTGTGTTGAATTGAACCTTTCTTTTCTCTCCCCAAACACTTTTCTATGTAAATACACTCATGGTGGTTAATTGGTTACAAATAAGAAACCAGTTGGCTGAGGTAAAACTTTAATTAATATAGACCTCAATAATTGAAGATTAACATATATTCACAGATCTAACACATCTAAGATACTTATGAAATAAAAAGCCCTAAATGAGTAGCAAGTTAGGTTTTTTTTTTTTTTTTTCCCCTAGTATGGCTAACTGGAGAGAATGGATGCCAGTTCTCCTTAGAAAGAAGACTTGGGGTGGCTCACGCCTGTAATCCCAGCACTTTAGGAGGCCGAGGTGAGTGGATTATTTGAGGTCAGGAGTTCGAGACCAGCCTGGCCAATATAGTGAAACCCTGCCTCTACTGAAAATACAAAAATTAGCCAGGCATGGTGGCAGGCACCTGTAGTCACAGCTACTTGGGAGGCTGAGGCAGGCGAATCGCTGGAACACAGGAGGCAGAGGTTGTAGTGAGCTGAGACGGTGCCACTGCATTCCAGCCTGGGTGATAAAGTGAGACTCCATCTCAAAAAAATAAAATAAAATAAATAAAATGAAATAAATTAAATTAAAATAAAATAAGAAAGAAAAAGAAAGAAGACTCAAAGTTACAGTTGAATGATTTTACACAGAATTTCAAGAGGAAAGTGCTGGAGCCTAGAGGAGAACTCACCAGAAGAAACTAGGGCACAGGAAAAGAAGGAAGCAAGAGGTTGTCAGAGATGAAACCCAGAGGGGCTTGGTATTTCATGAAAAGGATTAGCGGGAGTGTTTTTGTTTCTCCTTGCCCTGGTGGCAGATCCTTGGTATCTGAAATGTCAGAGAGCTCCTCTGTCCTCATGAACCCAAACACTGGTGTGGCAGTGATTTGGTGACTTCTTGAGGGCATTGCACTAGTATACCAGCATGTACAGGGTTGCTTGTCCTCCTTCTCTACCCAAACTGCAGTGGCAGGCACGATTCTTGGGCTGCATCCATTGAATGACTGAGTTCTGCCCAGGAAATCTCAGCCCTTGTGTTTCCACATTGCCAATTCCTCACAGGCATTCCCCAGCATCTGCTAAAATTGCAGCAGCCACATAGGGCTGGGTGACTCCAAGAGAGCTGCAGTATTCCTCTTGTTCCAGCCCTCAGGGAGTGCTGCTCCTAAAGGAAAAGAGTGCAGTGCACCAAGGGAGCACCCCTTTGCACAAAGGAACCCAGAGTGTGTGCTTTCTGGTGCTCAAGAGCTTCCCGCTTATGGACTGAGAGTAACTGCACTGCTTCTAGAGGAGATGTGGGTGTTGTGTTCAGCCCTATGGGGAAGAGTATGGTCCACCCCAGCAGTCAGGCAGCCTCAGTGCTGAGGCACAGGAATGGAGAGGGGGACTACTCATCTCCCTACCCCACCCACTGTTGTGGATACAGTTGTGGATACAGGCTGCTCTTCCTGAAGGTTACGGCATGTGTAATCTTGCTAGAATAAAGGACAGCCATTCTAGGGGTAGAATGGAGGACAGCCATTCTAGGGCTATTGGGAATTACTGCATCCCTGCTGGCTATGTGCCTACCAGGCTGGGGCTTGCAGGAAAGGTAAGGTGTCTCCCCTTCTGTCATGGAGTGGCAGTGTTCCTGTTGCATAGAACAGGGCTGAGGGAGGAGGTTCTGCACCACAGACATTTTAGTGGAGAGCCATGGGGCAACCATTTTTTTTTCTTTTTTTTTTTTTTTTAATGGCCATTGGCTAAATTGGAGCTTGGAGATAGGCAGTGGTGTCTGTACAATCTGAGTGTCCTGAGAGCTGGGCCAGGAATATGACAGGGAAGAAGACTGTGTTTCTGCCTGCCCAAGCCATGGAGCTGAGGTAGCTCCCTCTCCTCACTGGGGAGACCTCAGCACATTTCACCGGGAGCTTCCCTTGCCACCCCTCTTAGGGCTTGTTTGTGCCTGCCATTGGGGTATCCAAGGGTGGGCTTGGCAGTCCAACTCCACACAGCATTGTCTCTCACTTAGGTGCTGAGGGAGCTCAGGCCACTGTGCATTCCATAGATCAGCCCATTGCCTGGAACAATGGAGAACCTCTCCTGGTAAACAAAGATCAAGCATATACCTATCAGCTTCTGCTTCAGCTGGCTCTTACCAGTAAGTAAGTACTACCTGCTGGCCTGGAGATGGAACTGCACAACCTAATACACAATCTGCTGGCACAAGTGCACAGTGCTGGCTTCCTGAGACCTCTGCCATATTGGCACCATAGGAGACAATGAACTTGCTCACATGCCTAGTACAAAGGCTACCTACAACTAAGGAACTCATATAGAGTCATTGCCAGTGAAAGCACCCAGAACCAAAGCCAAAAGACTATTTTTCTCCCTTCAGGATGTAACTATAATGTATATACAACATACATTATAGTTACATCCTGAAGGGGAAAAAATCCTGTCCAAATGCAAATAAATTCAAAAATGAAAGAAGAGGTAGTTTATGCAGATAAGAAGAAACTCTGTGAAACTCTGGTGAAAAAACAGAGGGTTACAGGATCCCCAAAAGATTACACTAGCTCTCCCACAATGGATCTTAACCAAAATGAAATCTTTGAAATACCAGATAAAGAAGTCAAAATATTAATTTTAAAGAAGCTTAATGAGCTCTAAGAGAAAGTTGAAAACAAATACAAAGAAATCAGAAAAACAATTCAAGAAGAAATTTACTAAAGAGATAAATATTTAAAATAAAAAACCTGATAGGATGTCTGCAAATAAAAAATTCATTGAAGGAATTACAAAATGCTGTAAAAAGTTTTAACAATAGACTAGACCAAGTGAAAGAAAGAATATCAGAGCTTGAAGGCAGATTTTTGAATTAACCCAGTCAGACAAGAATAAAAAAATTTTAAAAAGGACAAAGCCTTCATGAAGTGGGGGATTATGTAAAACATCCAAACCTATATGTAATAGGTATTTCTGAGGGAAAATAAGAAGTAAAAGGATTGGAAAATATAATTTAGGAAATTCAGGAAAACTTCCCTAATTTTACTAGAAATTTAGACATCCAGTTATAAGAGGCTCAGAGAACTCCAGAAACATCCATTGCAAAATGAACTTCACAGAGATATATAGTCATCAGATTATCCAAAATCAGTGTGAAGAAAAAAATCCTAAAATCAGCAAGAGAAAAGCCTCTAATCACCTATAAGTGAAATCTCATAGTATTAGCAGCAGACTTCTCAGCAGAAACCTTAAAAACAGAAGAGACTGAGGTCCTATTTTCAGACTGCATAAAGAAAAACTGTCAACAATAAATTTTGTACCCTGAAAAACTAAGTTTCATAAATGAAGGGGAAATAAAGTCTTTCCCAGACAAGCAAATGCTAAGAAAATTTGTCACCTCTAGACCACCCCTATGAGAAATGCTCAAGGGAATTTTAAATATGGAAATGAAAAAACAATATTTGCCATCATAAAAACAAACATAAATACAATACAGGTGTTATAAAAGTACACAACTGAGACTACAAAGCAATTAGGTAACAGTTAACAGTATAACAGAAAGAAAACTCCACATATTAATATTAACCTTGAATGTAAGTGAATTAAATGCTCCACTTAAAACTATAAAAATTGGTGAAATGGATTAAAAAACAAGGTCCAATGATGTGCTGCTTATAAAAAACTTGGTAAAACACTCATAGACTGAAGCTAAAGGGGTAGAAAAAAAATTCTATGTAAACAGAAACCAAAAGTGGGAAGGAGTAGCTATAGTTACACAAAATAAAACAGACACTAAATCAACAGCAGTAAAAAGAGACAAAGCAGGTCATTATATAATGATAACGGGATCAATTTAACAAGAAAATATAACATTTCTAACTACATATGCACTCAAAACCAGATTCATAAAACAAATTCTACTAGACCTAACAAAAGAGGCAGCAATACAATAATATTGGGGGCCTTTAACATTCCACTGGCAACACTAGACAGCTCATTGACACAGAAAATCAACAAAGAAACAGTGGACTTAAATTGTATTGTAGACCAAATGGACCTAACAGACATTTATGGAACATTCTACTTAACAACTGCAGAATATACATTCTTCTCATTAGTGCATGGAACATTTTCCAAGAAAAACCGTATGTCAGACCACAAAACAAGAATCAATAAATTTAAATAAATTGAAATTATATCAAGTATCTTCTCAGAGCATAGTGGAATAAAACTAGAAATCAATCCCAAGAGGAACTCAAAACAATGTAAGTACATGGAAAGAAATAACCTACTCCTGAGTGATCTGTGGGTCAATGACAAAATTAACACGGAAATTAAAAAAAATTGAAACTTACGAAAATAGAGACACAACATACCTCTGGGATACAGCCAAAGCAGTGCTAAGAGAGAAGTTTATAGTGTTTTATGCTTACATGAAAAGATAGAAAGATCACAAATTAACAACCTAATGTCACACATCAAGGAACTAGAAAAACAAAAACAAATCACACCCAAAGGTAGAAGTAAATAAATAACAAACATCAAAGGAGAACTAAATGAAATGGAGACTAAAAAAAAAATAAAAAGCATCAATGAAATGAAAAGTTGTTTCTTCAAAAAGCTAAAGAATATTGAAAGACTGCCAGCTAGATTAACCAAGAAAAAAGCAAGAAAATTCATATAAGCACAATCACAAATGAAAAAGACAACATTACTACTGATACCACAGAAATACAAAAGATCATCAGAAACTTCTGTGAGCATCTCTACCCTCACAAACTTGAAAACCGAGAGGAAATGGATAGATTCCTGGAGACATACAACTTCTCAAGGTTGAACCAGGAAGAAATAGAAATCCTGAATAGAACAATAATGAATAGTGAGGTTGAATCAGTAATAAAAAAATCTCCTAAGAAATAAGAGCCCAGGACCAGGTAGATTTACAGCTGATTTCTACCAGACATACAAAAAAGAATGGGTACCAATCTTACTGAAACTATTTCAAAAAATCAAGGAGGAGGGAATCCTTCTTAGCTCATTCTATGAAGCCAGTGTCACCCTGATACCAAAGCCAGGCAAGGACGCAACAAAAAAAGAAAACTAAAGACCAATATCCCTGATTAACATAGATGCAAAAATCCTCAACAAAATAGTAACAAATCGAATCCAACAGCACAAGAAAAAGACAATAACCATAATCAGATGAGCTTTATTCCAGGGATGCAAAGACGGTTCAGCATATACAAATCAATAAATGTGATTCACAACATAAACAGGATTAAAAACAAAAACTATAAGATCATCTCTTTAGACACAGAAAAAGCATTTGATTAAATATAGCATCACTTCACAATAAAAGCCATCAAGAAACTAGACATAGAAGGAACATACCTCAAAATAATTAAAGCCGTGTATGACAAACCCACAGCTAACATCGTACCGAATGGGGGAATATTTGAAAGCATACCCCTAAGAACTGGAAGAAGACAAGGATGCCCACTTTAACCACTCCTATTCAACATAGTGCTGGAAGTCCTAGCCAGAGTAATCAGGCAAAAGAAAGAAATAAAGTATTCCAAATTGGAAAAGAAGGAGTCGAATTATCTGTTTGCTGCTGATGATATGATCTTATACGTAGAAAATCCTAAAGACTCCTCCAAAAGACTCCTAGATTTGACAGATGAACTCAGTAAAGGTTTGGGATACAAAATCAGCCCATAATATCAGTAGCATTTCTACACACCAATAATGATCTACAAGGAGAGTTACAGAACACTGCTGAAAGAACTCAGAGGTGACACAAACAAATGGAAAATCATTTGATGGTAATGGCTTGGAAGAATCAATATTTTTAAAATGTCCATACTTTTTTTTTTTTTTTTTTTTTGGAGACAGAGTCTTTCCCTGTTACCCAGGCTGGAGTGCAGTGGCATGATCTCAGCTTACCGCAATTTCCACCCCTGTTGAGTTCAAGTGATTTTCCTGCCTCAGCCTCCCAAGTACCTGGGATTATAGGCACCCATCACCATGCCTGGCTAATTTTTATATTTTTAGTATAGGTGGGGTTTCACCATGTTGGCCAGGCTGGTCTTGAACTTCTGACCTCAAGAGATCCGCCCACCTCAGCCTCCCAAAGTGCTGGGATTACAAGCGTGAGCCAACGCACCAGGAAATGGCCATACTTCTTAAAACAATCCCCGAATTCAATGCAATCCTATCAAAATATCAATGCTATTTTTCACAGAATTAGAAAAAACAATACTAATATTCATATGGAACCAAAAAAGAGCTCATATAGAAAAAACAACAAAAGAACAAAGCTAGAGGCATCACATTTATATTATACTACAAGGCTATAATAATCAAAACAGCATGGTACTGATATAAAAAGATATATATAGAATGGAACAGAGTAGAGAACCCACATACCTACAACCAGTTCATCTTTGACATAGTCGACAAAAATATACACTGGGGAAAGAAGACACTATTCAATAAATGGTACTGGGAAAATTGGATAGCCATATGGAGAAGAATTAAACTGGACCAATATCCCTCACTGTATATAAAAATTAGCCCAATAGAGATAAAAGACTTAAACATGAGACCTTAAAACTCTAAACATTATAAATGGAAACCTAGGAAAAACTCTTCTGGACATTAGCCTACACAAAGAATTAGTTACTGAGAACTCAAAAGCAAATGTAACAAAACCAAAAACAGACAAATGGGACTTAATTAAAGTAAAATGCCTGTGCACAGTAAAAGAAATATTCAACGGAGTAAATAGATATCACACAAAATGGAAGAAAATATTGGCAAATTATGTACCTAACAAAGGGCTAATATCCAGAATCTATAAGGAACACAAACAACTCAACAGAAAATACTAAATAACTTCCTCAAGAAGTGGTCAAAGAAGACTTCTCAAATAACTAAAAACAGAACTACCATTTGACCCAGCAATCCCATTACTGGGTTTATATCCAAAAGAAAATAAATCATTCTACCAAAAAGACACATACACTTGCAAGTTCATCACAGCACTATTCACAACAGCAAAGACATGGAATCAACCTAGGTGCCCATCATTGGTTGATCAAAAAAAAAAAAATGTGGTATATATACACCATAAAATACTTTGCAGCCATAAAACAAACCAAAAATGAAATCATGTCTTTTGCAACAACATGAATAAAGCTGGAGACCGCTATCCTAAGTAAATTAATGCAGGAACAGAAAACCCAATACTGCATGTTCTCACTTATAAGTGGGAGCTAAACACTGGGTCCCCATGGACATAAAGATGGCAACCATAGACATTTGGGACTACTAGAGGGAAGAGGGCAAGAAGGAGACAAGGGTTGAAAGTCTTCCTCTTCAGTACTGTGCTAAGTACCTGCATGATGGGGTCAATTGTACCCCAAAACTCAGCATCATGCAATATACCTATGTAACTAACCTGCACATGTATGCCCTGTATTTAAAATAGAAGGTAAAATTATTTTAAAAAATTAACAAAGAACATGAACAGATATTTTGCAAAAGGAGACATACAAATGGCCAACAAACATATGAAAGAAAGCTCAATGTCACTAATCTCAGAGGAATGCAAATTAAAACCACATTGAGATACTATCTCACATAAGTCAGAACGGCTATTTTTCAAAAGTCAGAAAATAACAGATGTGGAGAACAGTAAATGCTTATGCACTGTTGGCAGAAATGGAAATTAGTACGACCTCTATGGAAAACAATATGGAGATTTACCTAAGAACCAAAAATAGAACTACCCTTTGATCCAGCAATCCCACTGCTGGGTATCTACCCAAAGGAAAATAAATCATTATATCAGAAAGATACTTGCATTTGAATATTTATTGCAGCACTATTACCAATAGCAAAGATAGGGAATCAACCCTAGTGAACGTTAACTAATGAATGAATAAAGAAAATATCGTTATATATTAATGGAATGCTACTCAGCCAAAAAAATGAATGAAATAATGTCTTTTGTAGCAACCTGGATGGAACTGGAGGCTGCTCTCTTAAGTGAAATAACTAAGAAACAGAAAGTCAAATATCACGTGGTCTCATTTATAAGTGGGAGCTAAATAATGTATACACAAGAAAGACATAGAGAGTGGAACAATAGACACTGGGCATTCAAAAAGATGAGAGAGTGGAAGGGGAATGAGGGATGAAAAATTACCCAATGAGTACAATGTACCCTATTCAGGTGATGGTTACACTAAAGCCCAGATTTCACCAGTGTGCAATATATGGGTGTAACAAAACTGCACTTGTACTCCCTAAATCTATATTTAAAAAAAACAAGTAACATGTTAGGATTTTTTATTATGCAATTACTGGACATTGTTTCCTAGAAGTAAGCATATAACAAATGGCAGTTTTCTTGATAAGCTTATTTCATTTCAATTCCTATATGTATAATATATTACATATATTAAATTATATGTATATGTAATACATTAGAATTATAATTATATGACATATAATTGTTATATATAAAAATTATATATAATTATATATTTGGAATTGTGTATAATAGCTGATATGCAATATATGAAAATAGAAAAAATCGTTAAATTAACAGAATTAATGTAACAAAAAATTTAACACAGCTGAATTGCTTGATCAAGTCTACGAAATAGTCAAATTGGTTTACTTCATCAGATTCAGTTCAGAATATACCAAAATCTCATTATTTATTTCTAATTAAAATGATTTTATAAATGTAAATATTTATATATAATTGATAATTTAATGAAAAAGTAAATAAATTTTGCTTCTTTCACTATTGTGAAAACATGAAGAAATCTTTTCCAGAAATTTTTTTCTCCCTCCAAATGCAATCACTGAGAAGTTTCATATAACATGACTGATGGAATCACAGTTATTTTGTGACTTACACATGCAATGACTATTAATTTTACTTTTTCATGGATATTCCAAACCAATACTTTAGTTAAAATGTTTATCATCATGAAGCTATGTCATTCTTAAAGAAATTCTTAACCTTATTGACTTCAAATGTCTTAAAAAGATTGAGTATATTATGATAGGTAGGCTTATCCTTATATAAAAAAGTCAAACTTTCTCCAACATGTGTGTTTCTTTTTTAAAACACACATTATTTTTCTTAAAACATCCTGTTTGTGGCTTATTTTAATTTCATATTCAGATGCAGATTTGCCATAAGAACATACATTGCCTAGTTCTTTTATGCGTACAACTTCAAAAACAACCAAATTTTGAAGTGGTTGTCATCATGAACCCTGAAGATGAAGAATGTTTGCTATTTTCTAAGGGAAAGCAACTCATGATTTCATTGTGAGAAGGTAAGAAATACTTACTTTTTTTTGTCTGACCATAAATGACTTAAAACATTACTTTTATCTTTAGGTTTTATTTGTTGAATTTCGGTGGATAAATGGAGTTAGTTTCACAGATCTACTAATATTATTTACATTAATAATAAGAATTTTCAATGAATGTTTTAGAACAGCAAATAGGATGCATTCATCTCTCCTATTTTGTTAATCTTCACTGCACTTAAGACCATGTAGTAAATATTAAATCAAGTGAAAATCATTTCTGATAGTTAATTATTCAATCAATCAAGCAATATTTATTCAAGGCCTACTATATACTAGCCCGTGAGATCAATTGGTAGCCTTGTTGGTTCTAAATATTCACTTCTATCGGTAGATTTTATAGATAAGCAATTTAAAAGTAAACATTTAAGTAACTTACCTTTGGTTCCTTGAACTTGGAGAAAAATCCAAAAAACAAAAATAGCTCTTCTAGTTTCCAAATACATTCTGGCTTTTGTGCATTGGTAATTCTGATAACAATCACAGAACAACCTCAAATCTCATTAAAAAGTAACAGAAATGTGAAAAATAATTATATATTGATACCAGATGATTGAGGATAACCTTCTTGGTTTACCTTTATGAGGGTGTTAATTTATGAAGAACATGTAGCAGTGTCTGTTTCTGGAATAATCTGCTTGTCTTTCCCTCAGGTGTAATCTCTGCTTAAGGGCCAGCTGGAGGAACCTTTATCTCATTAACCTTCTGGAGGAGCATCTGTCAGCCTAGCTCCAGGACCCTGAATGCCATTATAAACAAGTGTCTACAGACACAGTTTTTTCTTAGTTATTCACCTGTTACAGTGACACAGAGAGCCAGGGGAAGTTCTGCCAAACAGAGAATAAGGCTGACAGTTAGGGTCAGATGTTTTCTAAAATGACATGTACAAGAAACATCCATTAAAAGAGCTTAATTTCTGTCCCTGAAAGTATATGGTTATCCAATATGTATTAGTCTCCACAGATAGCGAAACTGTCTCCATTCTCTTCTATGTTCTGCTTTATAAATTGCTTTTGATTTGGAATTACATACAGGTGGCTTTTTTGATTTAAGTCTGGTTTTAATGTTTAAAATCTGTATGCACTGTGTTTAAGGGGTCAAATACTTTTTTTCTACAAAGTTTGTAAGAAAAAATTGTGCCTTTCTTCTACCCATGCCTTCTTTCAAAGGGGAGCCATTTTTACTTCATCAACCTAATTCTTCTAGTAGTCTCATTTGCACTTCTAAATAACATGCCTCTATTACTATTTTGGAGGTTTTCACTTTTAGGTATTATCAAATAATAGATATTGAGAATAACTTCACTTCCACACATACCCTTTCTACTCATTGTAAACATCTTTCCATCTTTCTTCATCAGTATTATTGTAATTTCAGTTTTTGAATATTTGATTTTATATTATTTTGACTATACATGCTACATATTGCTGAGTCATGAAACACACTGCAACTACTACTGTATATGGAGCTCTTGTGTTGTGGATAGACATTGTTCTTAGAGATGTCCATAGATTATCCATAGATTCCTCAATATGACAATATAAACACTGTTAATACTATCTCTTTTAAATTTGAGGAGAATAAAGTATATGTGGCAGAGCTAGGATTTAAACCTAAAGAGTCTGGTTCAAAAGCCTACACCCTTTTTTTTTTTTTTTTTTTTTTTTGAGATGGGGGTCTCACTCTGTCACCCAGGTTGGAGTGCAATGGCGTGGTCTTGGCTCATTGGCTCATTTCAGCCTCAACTTCCATGGGGTCAGGTGATCCTCCCACCTTAGCCTCCTGAGTATCTGGGACTGTAGGCAGATGCCACCACACCTGGATAATTTTTTGTATTTTTTGTAAAGATGAGGTTTCACCATGTTGCCCAGGCTGGTCTCGAACTTCTGGGCTCAAGTGATCCAGCAGCCTTGGCCTCTCAAAGTGGTGGAATTATAGGTGTGAGCCACGCACCTGGCCAAGAGCCTATACTCTTCACCACTATCCTTCTATGATACTTTTTGCATAGTCTCATTAAAAAAAACTTTTTTTAGTTTCTAAATACAAAATAATAAATTATCCCCAAATATTCCCCTGGATATGTAAATCTCTTCACATAAACACTTCAAATAGTCTGTCTTTCCCAGGGCTTTCTAACCCTCTCCAGTCTGTATTATTTAATTTCTTGTCATTGTTCATAGCAGTCATCTGGGGATTGCCCTTCACAGTCATCCTGAGGATTCCTTCAACCTCTTTCTTGTGTTGGATCTTGTGATTTCTGGATCCTGTATTGTCTTCTTTCTTAACTTAATCTCTTGTTTTAGCGGAGCAACTGCTCTAGTACATTACTGAAAGTTTGTGGTAGGTAAATTTAAAATCTTACATGTTTGAAAATGGTTTCCATCTGCCCTCATACTTGTTTGATAGTTTGGCTGGATATAGAATTCTGGGTTGAAAACAACATTCATTTAGATATTGAAAATGTCAGCTGTAGAAATTCTAAAACTTTATTACTGTTGTCTTCTTTCTCGTGGTTTGTTGTGGCTTTATACTTAAAAAAATTCCTTAAATATTATTTTCTTGGGGTATTCAGAGGTGGTCAAAGGGAATGGATTTTTAGCTCTTACCTTCAACTACAGATTATTTTGGTAATATTTAAAGAAAACTACCATCAATCGGTATATAAGCCTGCTTATAACAATGTATTTGAAAATGAGAAATGAACTAGGTGGAAGATGAATCTATTTTTCCCTAATTATATGTAGAAAAAATGATATTAGAATGCAATAGACTAGATACATACTTATACATAAGTATTTCTAAAATACATTCATATTAGTTGAAGAAATACTTCTCTCTTGGTTTGCTATATAGTTCTATGTTATACTTACATTTCTAACCCTGTTATGAAACATTTCTTCTTTCTCTAGGAAAGAAACCAACAATTTCAATTTCCGAAAACAATTTCCTCTTAATAGTTTTCTTAATGAAATGTGTTGCTTAAAGAAAAATATAGGATAGACTAATTTGTGTTCAAGAAGGTATCCTCTATCATAGATATGAATATAAAAGTATTTAATTTGTTTTAAAATAACAAATATTTAAAAGTTTCTCTTGATGGCAGTACCTTATGCATTTTTCCTACTTTTGATGAAAAATCTGGGTAACTAATGTTGATAACTCCCACTTAGATAGCAAACAAGAATGATAAGCATTCATTATTCCCAAGACCATGCTTTCTGGGACCATCAAGTTGTTCTCTAATTACTGTTGTGTTTAATTTTGGGTCACTGTTAATTAATCCAGAATTGCTTCTTCAAGGTGGTTGACTGTCAACTATAATTGTATATTCTTAAAGAGATAGGCTTTCCCCTGTATTTTCTGGCAGAATTTCAGTGGTGCATTTAAAATGTACAAGGTAGAGTGGAAAAGGCAGTGTATCTTTGCAGATATATTCCTTCATCTGAAATCAGTAGATATAAATAATAAGTTTTATATTAGTAAATTTTCACACTGCTATAAAGAACTACCTGAGATTGGGTAATTTATGAAGAAAAAAAGTTTGACTAACAGGCAGGCTTAACAGAAAGCATGACTCAGGGGTTGCAGACAACTTACAATCATGGTGGAAGGGGAAGAAAGACCTGTCTTCTTATGGCGGCAGGAGAGAGAGAGGAACTGGGGCAATGCCAGACTTTTAAACCATCAGATCTTGTGAGAACTCACTCGCTATCATGAGAACAGCATGGGGGAAACTGCCCCCATGATCCGATCACTTCCCACTGGGTCCCTCCCCTGAAATGTGGGGAATACAATTTAAGATGAGATTTGGGTGGAGGCACAGAGCAAAACCATATCATGTTTACCAAAATGAATAAGTTAATATCACAAAGAAATGATTCCTTTTGTTAATCAAAATAGACATAATTTTTTGAGTTCCTATTAAATATAAAACTCTCAATTAAGTGCTTTATATGCATAGTATGACATTTTCTCAGCACCCTCATGAGGTAAGTACTATTTTTTAATTAAATTTTATTAGAGATTTTTTATTTTTTTGTAGAAATGGGGTCTCACTCTGTTGCCCAAAGTGGCCTCAAACTCCTGGATTCAAGTGATGCTCCTGTCTTGGCCTCCCAAAGTGTTGGGATTACAAGTGTGAGCCACTGCACCCAGCTCTCAAGTACTATTTTTATTTACATCTCACAGATGAGAAAACTGAGAGTTAGAGATGGTGAGTACATTATTCAACTATGCAACTAATAAAACTGAAGCAGGTTTTCCACCCAAGATCTCTCTACTTTCAAAGCCTATGTTCTTTCTACTGCTCCTCACTATGTTCTCTCTACAGGGAAAACATGCTGAGAAAGTAACTGATACTCACTGGACAAGTTAATGACACTGAACAGAAGAGAAGCCATTGAAAAGGCAGGGTCCTATCAAAAGTTCACTGTTTACATTGATCTTTTCCTTCACATTACATCTACTGACTTAAACTTAGGTAAGGTGACTACCTAGGAATCTAGAAAGTTTCTGTCTCTGGAATGGTGTAGTCTTTTCTTTGGTAGTAGGACTAATGTCCTCTTACTGTTTCTAGGTTTCTCTTTGCTCACATTATTGGCTGTTTATTTGTCTCTCCAATCCAGGCAGGCACAGGGGACTCTTGAAACATTTCTATCACCATTAAAATGTGTAATTAGTCAGGAGTAGCTGAACTTCTCATAGAAGTAATCACTACTAGGAGGAGCAGTTAGGCACTACCATATGTATGAAATCTGTAATCTGGAAGGAATAGGTTCTATTAGTTATGAAAAAACCCTAATGTCCTCACCTGTATTTCTGGATGTTTTGAAGAAATGCCTTTCTTGTTAATAGAAGATTCACTATCTGTAGCTCAGAGAGTTTTCCCTTCATTATTATTCGTAACTTAGAAATTAGGGATATACTACACAGAAACACAAGGGTAACATTAATTGGGATGTCATCTAAGGTAGGCTTCCATCCCTTGAGTTTACCCTCTGGATCCATCTCACTTTGGCTGTCAGCTAAAAACTACAGGATTAAACAAAAAGCGATTTCTCAGACATAATGAGGGAGAAGGAAGGGATGGAACCTACCAAAAGCTGACTGCACTAGAGCAAGAATGAAGGGAGGCAACCATAGAGCCTCAAGATGACAGTTTTAGTGAGGATGAGATTGATAGCAGCCCAGGTACAGAGGTCCTGCATCCTTATCCACATTCATTATCTTCTCAGAGGCCTCTTTAATTAATCCCAGTGTGGGAAGGGTTGAATGACCCCATCCTCTTGTGGAGAAAAAGCAGGTCAGCCTTCCTCCAAGGGCTCCTAACATAGGGTTCTTTCCTGTCTTGCTTCCTTGCCCCTCTCCAAGTTCTTGGTAATAAATACAGCAAATACAGAATAAACTGATTTAGTCTGTTGGTAAACATAATCATAAGCCACACACTAGAAAAGCACACAAGCAGGTAACATTTTTTAAAATCTTAAATGTGTCAATCTGCGTGTATTTTGACATGCAGATTTTTCAAAAATAATTAGCCACAACTGCTAAGAGAATCCACGTTTGGTCTCAGCAAGTTACATATATTCCCTTCTATATGTGGTTGAAGAAGTCATGATAAATGTTGCACATTCTAAGAGCAGAGTGACTTGAATTGAGAGACATTAAAACCCAGTTTAAATGATGCTGCTGAAATATCTTTGTGGTTTGCATTCCTCCAGTGTTTATTGTCTGAGCACTTAGGCACACGGCAAGGAAGAGTGAATAGTTAGCAGAGTCGAGGGCTGAAAAGAAAATCAAGAAGATTAGTGCTGAGGAAACTCTGTTAAAACTGTGATAAGGAGGAATCTGTGACCTTTGAGAGGCCATTTCAGTAGCTTAGTGGGGAAGGAAGTCAGCCTGCAGTACATTACAGATTAATTGGATGGTGAAAAAGAGACAGTGAGTGAGACTTCTCTTTATATAGTCAAACAGCAAAAGATGAGAGAGAATTAGTTTAATAAGCTAGTCAGGAAAAAAAACAAGTTTTTTTTTTTTTTTTTTTTAAAGTATTGTTTAGAGGTAGAGCAAGAGGCATGGTGGAAGTGTGTAGCACAGCTAAGGGAGAAAGAGAGAGAGAGATGGAGATCGAGTTCGAGATCTGCTAGTGCAAGATTTTGTCTGCTTAACAAGCACTTGCTTAAAAAGAAGTTCCTGAATTGCTTCACGTCGTAGGACTCAAAAAAGTGTTAGAGCATGAAACACATAGACATATGCTCTGCAGGGGCATACAATCTAAAAGTGATACAATGCATATAAAGATGATGAAATGGGGTTACCAGCTCAGCACCTTTCAAAGTGATGCCACACAAAAAATGCTAGCCAAACCACTTTAATCATAATAACAAATATTTTTTGAGTTTTAAGCCCTTCAGATGTCTTTAATTTCTATATTAACCATATTAGGTGATTACTATTGTCATGTTGCATATGAGGACATTAAAGCTATGGGAGGCTAAGGAAGTTCTTACTGTCTCATAGCTAATAAGTGATTTAAGCACAGTCCCTGATCACAAGTTAGAACCCTACACTTATTAACTACAGTCAAAATGAGTGAAATGCATGACCTCAAGTCTCAAATAGAAATTCAGCAAAGAAGCCACACTCCAAACATGCTACTACAATCTTCAATGACTTTTAATTCTGATTAACACCACAGTTTTAAATACTAGCATAATGAAGGATAGAGTTGGGCATTAATTGGTGAAATTAGTGGCTTGTTAATTAGATCATGGAAATGGGCATGTACTAAGTGAGATTAGCAATAGTTAAAATTTGTGAATTGGTTAAAATATTTTAGAAAGATTTCCTGTTCTGACACTAGTCTATTGCATCACTCTTCATTTTTAGGATGAAGTTGGAAGCTTGTTCCTTCAAGAGTCCTGTTGCCTAGTCATATCTTTGGAGGATGATGAAAATGAGGTCACTTAAATTTGCCTCTAGACTGTCTTGCATTTGTACCAAAGAAAGCTCACGTAAGGCATGGTTGGAAGGACTTCAATTTTTTTTTTGAAACCAAAGTGGGATTTCATTGAACTTACAGAACAGGCAGTATGGTCTACTTGAGGACTACTTACTAATATGTGCTAATTTAACAATAGTTTGCATGTGTGGAAGATTGTTGTTTGATTCTTTCTTTTACTGAAACCTGGTAATAAGGTTGTAGGAGAGCAGCTATCTCTAAACCACTTCCAACTATTAGGGCCCATATAACGTACTAAACAACCTGTCTGTATTTACCTAAATTGGCCTAGATCAATTTAACACATAACTTTGTGAGTTTTCTCTATAAATTAACTTCCCAGTTTACAAAAAAACCATTCTTCACCTTCTTCTTAATACTACCATCCTGATTATTACCTTCCCAGACTTCACCTATCTGCCCTCTAGTTTTACTGAGAAAATAGGTATAGTCAGGAAGTCCTAGCAAGAGCAATCAAGAAAGAGGAAGAAATGAAAGACATCAAAATAGGAAAAGAAAGCAACTTGTCTCTCTTCACTGATGATGTGATTCTATACCAAGAAAACCCTAGACTCTGCCAGAATGCTCCTGGGATGGATAAACAACGTCAGTAAAGTTTCAGGATACAAAATCATTGTACAAAAATCTAGTATTTCTATACCCCCAAAACATTCAAGGTGAGTACCAAATCAAGAATGCATTCTCATTTACAATAGCCACACACACAAAAATGAAATATCTAGGAATACATCTAACCAAGGAGGAGAAATATCTCTACAAAGAGAACTACAAAACGCAGCTTAAAGAAGTCAAAGATGACAAACAAATGGAACAATATTCCATGCTCATGGATGAGAGAAACCAATATCATTAAAATGGCCATACTGTCCAAAGCACTGTGCAGATTCAATGTTATTTCTATCAAAATATCAATGTCATTTTTCACAGAACTAGAAAAACTATTCTAGTTTTTCGATTCATATGGAACCCTAAGACAGCCCTAATAGCCAAAGCCATGCTAAGTAAAAAGAACAAAGCAAGAGGCATCATATTACCTGACTTCAAACTATAAAGATAGTAACCAAAACAGCATGGTACCAATACAAAATCAGACATATAGACTGGAACAGAATACTCCATTAAAAAGTGGGCAAAAGAAATGAACAGACGCTTCTCAAAAGAAGACATACGAACAACCAAGAAACATATGAAAAAATGCTTCACATCACTAATCATCAGAGAAGTGCAAATCAAAACCACAATGGGATATCATTTCATACCAGTCAGAATGACTATTAGTGAAAAGTCAAAAACAACAATGCTGGCAAGGCTGTGGAGAAATGGTGACACTTACACACTGTTGATGGGGATGCAAATTAGTTCAGCCACTGTGGAAATCAGTTTGGAGTTTCTCAAAGACCTTAAAACAGAACTACTATTTGATCCAGCAATCCCATTGCTGGGATTTATATCCAAAAGAAAATAAATCATTCTACCAAAAAGATACATGCACTTGAAAGTTCATCACAGCATTATTTAAAACAGCAAAGACATGAAATCACCCTAAGTGCCCATTAGTGGTGGACCGGATAAAGAAAATATGGTATATATATACCATGGAATACTATGCAGCCATATGAAGAATGAAGTTATGTCCTTTGCAGGAACATGGATGCAGCTAGAGACCATTATCTCAAGCGAATTAATGTAGGAACAGAAAACCAAATACTGTATGTTCTCCCTTATAAAGGGAGCTATAACATTGGATACTTATGGGCATAGAGATGGCAACCATAGACACTGGGGATTACTAAAGGGGAGAGTGTGAGAGGGGGCCAAGGGCTGCAAAACTAACTTCTGGGTATTTTGCTCACTATTTTGGTGATGGAATCATTCCTAACCCAAACCTCAGCATCATGCAGTATACTTATGTGAGAAACCTGAACATTTATCCCCTGAATTTAATGTAAATTTGAAATTATAAAAAAATTTTAAATACAAAAATAGTTGTAATCAGATGGATAGTCCTTCAGCTTTCCTCATCTTCCATCATCAACTGTTAACTCTTAACCATCAACTATTAACCTGGATTTGGTGTTTATCATGTCTATGCATGTTTATATACACTAATGCACAAATATATATTTGTATTATTTTTATGAGTTTTCAAATGTTAAATAAATAATATATTGTACATGTCATTTTACAACTTCTTTATTCCACATTATGTTCTTGAGATTTATTTATATTAATTTATTCATTTCAATTTTGTTTAATATTTCATTAAATAACTGCTGTCAAGTTTATTCTCTGTTGATGGGTATTATACAAATTTCCATTTTTACCAATGATAAATGAGAAGTTCCTATTTTTCCACATTCATGCCAACTTGAATTGTCAGACTTTTTAATTTTGCCAAACTGAAGAGTTTAAAATGGTGTCTCATTATAATTTTAATTTGTATTTCCTACGTATTAGTCTGTTCTCATGCTGCTATGAAGAAATACCCAAGACTGGGTAATTTATAAAGAAAAGAGGTTTAATTTATTTTTATTTTTATTTTTTTAGATGGAGGCTCACTCTGTCACCCAGGCTAGAGTGCAGTGGTACGATCTCAGCTCACTGCAACCTCTGCTTCCTGGGTTTAAGCAATTTTCCTGCCTTAGCCTCTTGAGTAGCTGGGACTACAGGTGCCCACCACCATGCCCGGCTAATTTTTGTATTTTTAGTAGAGACAGGGTTTCACCATACTGGCCAGGCTGGTCTTGAACTCCTGACCTCATGATCCACCCACCTCGATCTCCCAAAGTGCTGGGATTACAGGTGTGAGCCACCACGCCAGGCGAAAAGAGGTTTAATTGACTCACAGTTTCATGTGGGTAGGCAGGCCTTAGGAAACTTACAGTCATGGTGGAAAGAGAAGAAAACACTTCCTTTTTCACAAGGCAGCAAGAGAGAGAAGCACCAGTAGGGGAAATGCCAAATGCTTTCAAAACCATCAGATCTTGTGAGAACTCACTCAGTGTCATGAGAACAACATGGAAGAACCTGACCCCAAGATCCAATCACTTCCCACTGGGTCTCTCCCATGACATGTGAGGACTATGGGAATTATAATTCAAGGTGAGATGTGGATGGGGACATGGCCAAACCATATTATTCCACCCCCAAATCTTATGTACTCACATTTGAAAACACAATCATGCCTTTCCAATGGTCCCCCAAAGTCTTAGGTCATTTCAGCATTAACCCAAAAGTCCAAGTCCAAAGTCTCATCTAAGACCAGGCAAGTCCTTTCCACCTATGAACTTGTAAACTCGAAAACAAGTTAGTTATTTCTGAGATACAATGGGGGTAGAGGCATTAGGTAAACACACCCATTTCAAATGGGAGAAATTGGCCAAAACAAAGTGGATACATGCCCCATGCAAGTTCGAAATCCAATAGGGCAGTCATTAAACCTTAAGGTGCCAAAGTGATCTTTGATTGCATGTTTCACATCCAAGTCATGCTGATGAAAGAGGTGGGCCCCCATAGCCTTGGGGAGCTCTGCCCCTATGACTTTGCAGGGTACAACCCCCCTTCTGGCTGCTTTCATGGGCTGGCATTGAGTGCCTCTGGCTTTTCTAGGACTACAGGACTACGGGTAAATCATTGGATTTACCATTCTGGGGCCTGGAAGATGGTGGCCCTCTTCTCACAGCTCCACTAGGCAGTGCCCCAGTGGGGACTCCATATGGGGGCTTGAACCCCACATTTCCCTTCTGCACTGCTCTAGCAGAGGTTCTCCGTGAGGGCTCTACCCCGCAGCACACCTCTTCTTGGACATTCAGGCGTTTCCATACAACCTCTGAAATCTAGGTGGAGGTTCCCAAACCTCAGTTCTTGCTTTCTGTGCAGCCACAGGACCAACACCTTGTGGAAGCTGCCAAGCCTAGGGGCTTGTACCCTCTGAAGCAGTGGCCCAAGCTTTACCTTGGCCACTTTTAGCCATGGCTGGAGCAGCTGGGACTCAGGGCACCAAGTTCTGAGGCTGCACAGAGCAGGGGAGGGGGTCCTGGACCTAGCCCAGGAAAACATTTTTCCCTCCTAGGCCTCCAGGTATGTCATGGGAGAGGCTGCCATGAGGATCTCTGACATTCCCTGGAGACATTTTCCCCATTTTCTTGGTGATTAACATTTGACTCTTGGTTACTTATGCAAATTTCTGCAGCTGGCTTGAGTTTCTCCCCAGAAAATTGGTTTTTCTTTTTTACTGCATTTTCCAGGCTGCAAATTTTCCCAAATTTTATGCTGTGTCCTCTCTTGAATGCTTTGCTGCTTAGAAATTTTTTCTGCTACATACCCTAAATCATTTCTCTCAAGTTCAAATTTCCACAGATCTCTAGGGCAAGGGCAAAAAACCTCCAGTCTCTTTACTAAAACATAGCAAATGTGACCTTTACTCCAGTTTCTAAAATGTTTCTCATCTTCATTTGAGACCACCTCAGCCTGGACTTCATTGTTCATATCACTATCAGCATTTTGGTCAAAGACATTTAAAAGTCTCTGGGAAGTCCCAAACTTTCCCACAACTTCTGGTCTTCTTCTGAGCCCTCCAAACTGTTCCAACCTCTTCATGTTACCCAGTTCCAAAGTTGCTTCCACATTTTCAGGTATTCCTATAGCAGTACCCAACTCCTGGTACCAATTTGCTATATTACTCTGTTCTCATGCTGCTTTGAAGAAATACCTGAGACTAAGTATTCATAAGGAAAAGAGGTTTAATTGATTCACAGTTCCATATGGCTGGGGAGGCCTCAGGAAACTTATAATCATGGTGGAATGGGAAGCAAACACTTTCTTCTTCACAAGGCAGCAGGAGAGAGAAGTGCCAGCAGGGAAATGCCAGATGCTTATAAAACCATCAGATCTCATGAAAACTCACTCATTATCATGAGGACAGCATGAAGGAAACCACCCTCACCTCCCCCCACAACCATGATCCAACCACTTCCCACCAGGTCCCTCTCATGACACGTGGGGATTATGGGAACTACAATTCAATATGAGATTTGGGTGGGGACACAGCCAAACCATATCACTCTGATATCTAGGCATATAGAACAGATTTTCATATGTTTATTGGCCATGAGTTTTTCTTTCTTTCAAATCACCTGTTCATATCTTTTGTCCATTTGTCTTAGCATTATGAATGAGTAGCCCACCATTTCTCCACTGCTTTGTAAAGCCATGTGTATTTTATATGCACAAATATATATTTTGTATATTTATATACACAAAAATATGTGTTTCCTGGATCTCTATGTTGTTTCATGGGTTTAAGACTTCACTTGTATAATTCTCTTATTTACTGTAGTTTTATAATAATTTTTGATATCTGATATACCATATCTCCCAGTACTTTCTTCAAAGTATTTGTAGAAATTTCTAGTACTTTGTATTTCCATATTCATTTTAAGAATATTATGTCAAGATCATGAAAACCCTGAAGACATTTTCACTAAATTTTGTTAATTTGTGGACAAAATTAGACAGAATTGAAATATTTTTTGAGTCTTCTTAATCCGTAAATATGGCATATATTTTATTTCTCTTTAACTTATTCTAATCAGGCTTCTTTTCTTAACAATCCATTGAATATCGTTTGATTGGCAGGATCATGAACAACCTGAACTTGTCAAATCCAGTGGCCACTTCTCTGTCCTTTTCTTGCTTGACTCTTCAGTAGCCTGAAGATTTTTCCACCAGCTCAGCATCTCTGTAGTCTCAGTTTAGATGTCACCTCTTTAGAAAGTTATTTTCCCATTATGCAATTTAAAGTGGCCATACAGTGACTTCTTCCACATAACTTTGAATTCTTTACACACTGCTTATCTCTATCTAATATGGCCTCTGTCAACATCCTGACTTATCTTACACCACTTTCTCTTTCGCTAATTATGTTTTTTTTTTTTTTTTTACTTTTTTCAATACATCAAACTATTCCTCACATTAGGGACATCCTACTTATTTTTCTTTCTGTCCAGAGCTCTTGTCTCTTAAAGATATTTATGTGACTCTCTCCTCATCATCTGTCACCTCCAAAGAGGACTTCCTTGACAACCCAGTCTGAAACCACTCTCCAATTATCACCACACAACCCAGTGTATTGTTTTAAAAGTTTGGCCTCTGATTGGAAATTATCCTGTTTATGCATTTGCTTGTTTATTATTAATTTACCCCTAACTCCATCCCACAGAATATATGCTACATAAAAGTAGTAACCTTGTTTATTTTGTATACATTAATACTCAGAACACTGCCTAACACAGAGTTGGGGTTCAACAAATATTTAGTGAATAAAATAAGCCACTTAATAGCCTAAGACTTATGAAATCCAGTTATTTGTTAAATGAAAACACTATTATCTATGAATTGAAAGGAAGAAAGGATGTAGGTCTCAGGTCTAACAAAATAAATTATTATAGTTGACATCTGGCCTTGGTAAATTAACAAATAATTGTTTACAAGTAGCATTTGGATGAATGAAATATAAATCATTATTTTAGATATGAAATAATTTTCAAATAAAAAATATATATAGGTAAGTTTTGTATTTACTGTTTATACAAATAAGTGAAAAGATAAAAGATTAACAAAATTAAGATAAGGGCAGATTAACCTGGAATAAAGTTAATACCCCAAACTCATGTAGAGTGGTTGAAAAATTCATTTCTAAACATTACAACAGACCCTCCAAAAGGAAACTATGATCAGTTACATGACTCATGCTGTCCATAAGAAAACAAGACAGTAGATCAGGGGAGACTGGAATGTTTTTGGAGCTGAGTCCAGAGAGACTTCTTCAATGGGTTGTCACAACATAGTCTTTATCATCAATATTTGCATAGCTAATAAGATGTGGAGTACCTTAGAGCTCTTCCTCATAACGTTTTCCAATAAATGTTAAAGATATAATGCCCAAGGGCAGGTGAGTAATTGCTGATATGAAATGAAACAATCATATGGCCTGGTTCTTCAGTGATCTGGCTTAGCAGAGTCTTGTAAGAATGACTTCTTTCTAAGAAGGATGGTTGGAAAATTCTTCAGGCAACCCTGTGTGTCATTTTCACAAATGATCATATCATGGGCATTGGGCAGAAGAAAATCTGGTTATACTTCTTGACAGGTAAGGAGAGTACAGATATTTGTGTTATTGAATAAAAACAACCCATGTGCAACAACTATTGGCTGACTTGGGAATAGGTTAACTTTCTTTTATGAAAAGTGAAGCACCTAATGAGGATATACACCTGATTAAAAAAAGCTGCCTCCAGAAAAAGAAAAGTCAGGGCTTCTCTTACAAAGCAGTCCTGGTTCTGGTCTGACAAAAGAATGAATGGATATCTTACCCCTGAGTTACCTCTGCACCACAGGTAATGCCTATATACTCATAATCCTACATCCTGGATGCATTATTCACTGGGATTCTGAAGCCAAGGTAAGGTCAGATGTATCATCACAGATTCAGACTTAAGCAGTTTTAGATACTTCTGCTTTCGTTAGGCCCATATGTACCTGGACCCTGGCCAAGGTGTCCCATCCAGGAGTCAGGCTTTCCTAAGCAATATTAGCTCCTCCTGGTTTCTGCAGATGCAGAGGTCTTCCTCTTTTTTCAAAGACTCCTTGAATACCGCTCAGGCTGCACATTGTTTTCTCTGGCTATTACTATCTAACATTGGCTTGTTCCTTCATCCAACAAATATTTATTATGCTTTGCAGGGTATCACATCTTCAGGCAGAAGATAGTTATGTTTTGCGATTCCCATTAGACAACCAAGTTGTGTTGTTGTACAGGCAGTTGGATAGACAAGTCTGAGGTTGACTGCAGGCCAGGGCCACAGATTTAGATGTCATTTTTGAAGCTTGGGATTGGATAAGGTTATTTAGGAAGTGAGAACAGATATATAGGGAGAATAATATCACCAAAGCCCCAATTTTTTTTAAGCAACATTGAATGCTTGGCCTTAATCATAAGACTCTGATGGGTTTCTGCTTTCCCCCTCCTCTGCAGGCTGTCAAGCACTTCTCTGCCCAAGCACCATTTTTCCTGCTTAAAATAGGCCTCCAAAGTCTTTAGATATCAGTCAGACTAGTCTTCGGCCTTGGGTTAACTCATTTAATTGCTTTATTTGATGCATGCTGAACATACATGAGAAGAGAGAGGACTCCGAAGCTCTTAAAACCCCAATTCAAATCTAGCATGTTATATATACATTTTTTGAGTTCCTTGCAGAATAATTCTCCATGATCAGTTCCCCATTAGGACTTTTAGATCAGGAAACCAGACTCATCAGGAAGTGTCTCTGGCCTATAAAAATCCTGAGTTTTATACCTTTGTAGGGGTCAAAACTAATACCCCAAAATATGACACTTTGTAAATGCTGAACTAAAAAAAAGAGTCTCAGGGTCTGTCTTACTACATCCATCTCTTCACCCACTCTGTCTCCAACAAAGCATAGGATCCTCTGAAGTTCCCTTATCTGGCAAAAGTCTGGATCCATTAAAGTAGTAAACAATTACTTCTGGTCCCTTGCCTGACTTTTCATGAACTAAACCCATATTGCAGGAAGGAAGACTAGTCTATCAACAAACCTAGACGAACCATTGTCTGCTCTGTGGGCCAAACATTGTCCTAGACCATTGTGTGTTCTTCAAGCCCATTGAATTCTCCTAGTAATCATTTGTTTCCTCTTGAGAGACTTCCCCTTCTTGCCCTTCCCATAACCTATTTTGTCAGAGTCCAAGCCCCCATTCTTTCTTTTTTTTTGTTTCTTCATTTCTTTATTTTTATTTTCTTCTTCATTTTTTCTTTATTTTGTTTCTTCATTTCTTTATTTTTATTTTTTATTTCAATTGGTTTTTTGGGGAAATAGGTGGTATTTGGTTATATGGATAAGTTCTTTAGTGGTGATTTCTGTGATTTTGGTATACCTGAGAAGTGTACACTGTACCCAATGTGTAGTCTTTTATCTCTCACCTTCCTCCCACCCTTTCCCCCAAGTCCCCAAACTCTATGTATCATTCTTATGCCTTTGTGTCCTCACAGCTTGGCTCCCACTTATGAGTGAGAACATCCAATATTTATTTTTCTATTCCTGAATTACTTCACTTAGAATAATGTCCTCCAATTCCATCCAGGTTGCTGTGAATGCCGTTATTTCTTTCCTTTTTATGGCTGAGTATTATTCCATGGTGTATATATATAACACATTTTTTAACCCAGTCAGCTGATGAGCACTTGGGATGGTTCCATATTTTTGCAATTGCAAATCATGCTGCTATAAACATGCATGTGCAAGCATGTTTTTCATATAATGACTTCTCTGGGTAGATACCCAGTGGTGGGATTGCTGGAGCAAATGATAGATCTACTTTTAGTTCATTAAGGAATTTCCATTCTGTTTTCCATAGTCATTGTACTAGTTTACATTCCCACCAGCAGTGTGAAAGTGTTCCCTTTTCACCACATCCACACAAACATCTATTATTTTTTGTTTTTTTTTTTGATTATGGCCATTCTTGCAGGAGAAAGATGGTGTTGCATTGTGGTTTTGATTTGCATTTCCCTGATCATTAGTGATGTTGAGCATATTTTCATATGTTTGTTGGCCATTTGTATATCTTCTTTTGAGAATTGTCTACTCATGTCCTTATGCCACTTTTTGGTGGGATTGTTTGTTTTTTGCTTGCTGATTTGTTTGAGTTCCTTGTAGATTCTGACTATTAGGCCTTTGTTGGATGCATAGTTTGCAAATATTTTCTCCCACTTTGTGGGTTGTCTGTTTCGTCTGCTGATTATTTCTTCTGTTGTGCAAAAGCTTTTTAGTTTAATTAAGTCCCGTTTATTTATCTTTGTGTTTCTGTTGCATTTGCCTTTGGGTTCTTGGTCATAAAGTCTTTGCCTAGAGCCAATGTCCAAAAGAGTTTTTCTGATGTTATCTTCTAGGGTTTTTATGGGTTCAAGTCTTAGATTTAAGTCTTTGATCCTCCTTGAGTTGATTTTTGTGTAAGGTGAGAGATGAGGATCCAGTTTCAGTCTTCTACATTGGGCTTGCCATTTATCCCAGGACTATTTGTTGAATAGGGTGTCCTTTCCCCGCTTTTGGTTTTTGTTTGCTTTGTCGAAGATCAATTCGCTGTTAAGTAATTGGCTTTCTTTCTGGGTTCTCTCTTCTGTTCCATTGGTCTACATGTCTATTTTAATACCAGTACCATGCTGTTTTGGTGACTGCAGCCTTATAGTATAGTTTGAATTTGGGTAATGTGATGCCTTTGGATTTGTTCTTTTTGCTTAGTCTTGCTTTGGCTATGTGGGCTCTTTTTTGGTTTTATGTTAATTTTAGGATTGTTTTGTCTAGTTCTGTGAAGAATGATGGTGGTATTTTGATGGGAATTACATTGAATTTGCTGTTTTGTTAACTGCAGCCTTATAGTATAGTTTGAAGTTGGGTAATGTGATGCCTTTGGATTTGTTCTTTTTGCTTAGTGTTGCTTTGGCTGTGTGGGCTCTTTTTTGGTTCTATGTTAATTTTAGGATTGTTTTGTCTAGTTCTGTGAAGAACGATGGTGGTATTTTAATGGGAATTACATTGAATTTGTACATTGTGTTTGGCAGTATGGTCATTTTCACCAAATTGATTCTACTCATCCATGGACATGGAATGTGTTTCCATTTCTTTGTGTCATCTATAATTTCTTTAGCAGTGTTTTGCAGTTTTCTGTCTAGAGGTCTTTCATCTCCTTGGCTAGAAATATTCCTAAGGTTTTTTTCTTTTTTGCAGCTGTTGTGAAAGGGATTGAGTTCTTGATTTGATTCTCAGCTTGGTTGCTGTTGATGTATAGCAGTGCTACTTGTCTGTGTACGTAGATTTTGTATCCTGAAATTTTACTAAATTTTCATTTGTCAGATCTAGGAGCTTTTTGGATGAGTCTTTAGGGTTTTTGTGGTTTTTGATTTTCATTTCCCTGATCATTAGTGATGATTACATGATTTCTAGGCATATGATTATATCATTGGTGAATGACTGTTTGACTTCCTCCTTACTGATTCAGATGCCCTTTATTTTTTTCTTTTGTCTGATTGCTCTGACTAGGACTTCCAGTACTATGTTGAATAGAAAGTGGTGAAAGTGGGCATCCTTGTCTTGTTCCAATATTCAGGCAGAATGCTTTCATGTTTCCTCCATTCAGTATAATGTTAGCTATGGGTTTGTCATAGATGGCTTTTATTACCTTAAGGTATGTCACTTCTATGCCAATTTTGCTAAGGGTTTTAATTATAAAGGGATCCTAGATTTGTCAAACCCTTTTTCTGCATCTGTTGGGATTATTATGTGATTTTTGTTTCTAATTCTGTTTATGTGGTGTGTCATATTTATTGACTTGCATATATTAAACATCCCTGCATCCCTGGTATGAACCCACTTGCTCATGTTGGATTATCTTTCTGATATGCTGTTGGATTCGGTTAGCTAGTATTTTGCTGAGGATTTTTGCCTCTATGTTTATCAGGGATATTGGTCTGTAGTTTTCTTTTTTTGTTATGTCCTTTCCTGGTTTTGGAATAAAGGTGATACTGGCTTCATAGAATGATTTAGGGAAAATTTCCTTATTATCTATTCTTTGGAATAGTGTCAATGGGATTGGTACCAATTCTTCCTTGAATGTCTGATAAAATTCAGACATGAATCTATCTGGTCTTGGAGTTTTTTTTTTTTTTGGTAACTTTTTAATTACCATTTCAATCTTGCCACTTATTATTGGTCTGTTCAGAGTTTCTATTTCTTCCTGGTTTAATCTAGGAGGGTTGTACATTTTCAAAAATTTGACCATATTTTCTAAGTTTTCTAGTTTGTGTACGTAAAGGCGTTCATAGTGGCCTTGAATAAATTTTTGTATTTCTGTGGTATCGGTTGCAATATCTCTTGTTTCATTCCTAATTGAGCTTATTTGGATATTCTCTCCTTTTTTTCTTGGTTAACTTTGCCAGTGGTCTATCAATTTTGTTTATCTTTTCAAAGAAACAGCTTTTTGTTTCACTTATCTTTTGTATTTTCATTTTGTTTCAATTTCATTTAGTTCTGCTCTGATCTTTATTATTTCTTTCCTTTTGTTGAGTTTGGGTTTGGTTTGTTCTTGCTTCTGTTATACCTTGATGTGTGACCTTAGATTGTCTGTTTGTGTTCTTTCAAACTTTTTGAAGTAGGCATTCAATGCTATGAACTTTCTTCTTAGCACCACTTTTGCTGTATCCCCGAGGTTTTGATAGGTTGTGTCACTACTGTCATTCAGTTCAAAGATTTTTAAATTTCCATCTTGATTTCATTGTTGACTTAATGATCATTCAGGAGAAGTTATTTAATTTTCATGTATTTGCATGGTTATAAGGCTTCCTTTTGGAGTTGATTTCTAATTTTATTCCACCGTGATCTGAGAGAGTTCATATAATTTCAATTTTCTTAGATTTATTGAGACTTGTTTTGTGTCCTGTCATATGGTCTATCTTGGAGAATGTTTCATATGCAGAATAATAGAATGTATATTCTGCAGTTGTTGGGTAGAATGTTCTGTAAATATCTGTTAAGACCATTTGTTCTAGGGTGTAGTTTATGTACATTGTTTCTTTGTTGACTTTCTCTCTTGATGACCTGTCTAGTGCTAGTGGAGTACTGAAGTCCCCAGTATTATTGTGTTGCTATGTATCTCATTTCTTAGGTCTAGTAGCAATTGTTTTTATAAATTTGGGAGCTCCAGTGTTTGTTAGGTGCATATATATTTAGGACAGATATTTTCCTGTTGGACTAGTCCTTTTGCCATTATATAATGTTTCTCTTTGTCTTTTTTAACTCTTGTTGCTTTAAAGTCTGTTTTGTCTGATATAAGAATAGTTACTCCCACTCGCTTTTGGCGTCCATTCACATGGTATATCTTTTCCACCTCTTTACCTTAAGTTTGTGTGAGTCCTTATGTGTTAGGTGAATCTCTTGAAGACAGCAGATACTTGGTTGGTGAATTCTTATCCATTCTTCCATGCTGTATCATTTAAGAGGACCATTAAGCCACTTACATTCAATGTTAGCATTGAGATGTGAGGTACTATTCTATTCATTGTGCTAGTTGTTGCCTGAATATCTTTTTTTAATTGTGTTATTGTTTTGTAGATCCTGTGAGATTTATGCTTTAAGGAAGTTCTATTTTGGTATATTTCAAGGATTTGCTTCAAGATTTAGAGCTCCTCTGAGCAGTTATTGAAGTGCTCATGCCCCCATCTTTCTGTAACCTTGAGGTGATATATAAGTTTCTGTACCCCACTGGAGGGGTTGGGTCTTTATTCTGAAGGCTCCCATGTATACATGTTAAATAAATTCGTATGCCTTTTCTCCCATAAATCTAATTTTTGTGAGCTCATTTTTCAGTGAACCTTCAGAGGGCCAAGGTGAATATTCTCTTTGGTCCTTATACCTTTTTAACTGCTCTTCCTGTCATTTGATAAATAATGCAGGAGAGCTTGCTCTTTGCTTTCCTATTTACCAATCGTGAGAGAAACATCATCTCTTTAAGACGTGTAGTCCAAAGTGTGCACTGATCCTCATATTCTGCTCTAACCTATGGCAAAGCTCCCACAGAACAATTTCTATTTTGCCAGCATCCAATCAGGTGTGAGAATGTACTGTAGAGGAAAGTTGTTGAGCATGGTGGAAGACACTTTATGGAAATGTAAACAGTTTGCAAAAACAGTTATAAGTGGTGCTTACTTTGGCAATACATATAATAAAATTGGAATGATACGGGGTGGATTAAAATGGCCCTTGTATAAGAATGACATGGAAACTCATAAAGAGTTCCATATTTTTACATAGAGACAAAACCTATGACTCACTGGCATCCCTGAAAGAGTAAGAGAGAGCAAGCAATGTGGAAAACATATTTGAAGATATAGTCCATGAAATTTTCCCCAATCTTGCCAGAGAGGTTGACATTAAAATTCAGAGAATTTAGAAAACCCCTACAAGATATTATACAATGCAACAATCCCTGAAGCACATAGTTATCAGATTCTCCAAGGTCTGCAATAAAGAAAAAATATTAAAGGCAGCTAGACAGAAGGGAAGGTCACCAGCAAAGGGAACCTCATCAGGCTAACAGTAGAGCTTTCAGCAGAAATCCTACAAGCCAGAAGAGATTGGAGGCCTATAATTAGTATACTTAAAGAAAAGAAATTAAAAACAAAAATTTTATATTCAACCATCTAAATGTCATAATCAAAGGAGGATAAAATTCTTTCAGGCAAGCAAATGCTAAGGGAATTTGTTACCATCGGGCCTGACCTGCCTTACATGAGGTCCTTAAGGGAATGCTAAACATGAAAATGAAAGACCATTACCAGACACCACAAAAACACACTTAGGCACGTAGACCATTGACAGTATAAAGCAACTACACAATCAAGTCTATATAGCAACCAGCTAACAACATGATGATAGGATCTAATTCACATGTATCAATATTAACCTTGAATGTAAATGGGCTAAAAGCCCCCACTTAAAAGTCTCAGAGTGGCAAGTTGGACAAAGAAGCAAGACCCAAACATATGCTGTCTACAAGAGAGACCCATCTCACAAGCAATGAAAGCTTTAGGCTCAAAGTAAAAGGATAGAGAAAGATTTATCAAGCAAATGGAAAACAGAAAAAAGCAGGACTTGCTATTTTTATTTCAGATGAAACAGACTTTAAACCAACAAGGATAAAAAAGAACAAATAAGGATATTACTTAATGATAAAGGTTCAATTCAACAAGAAGCCTTCATTATCCTAAATATATATTCCCAACACTGGAGCACCCAGACTCATAAAACAAGTTCTTAGAGAACTACAAAGAGACTTAGATGAACAACAATAACAGTGAAAGCCTTCGGTACCCCACTGAAAGTATTAGACAGATCATAAGGTAAAAAAGTCACAAAGATATTTAAGATCTAAACTTGACACTTGAGCAAATAGGCCTAACAGAAATCTACAGAACTGTCCACTCAACAGGAGAATATACATTCTTCTCATCTGCACATGGCACATACACTAAAATTGACCACACAGTCAGCCATAAAACGACTCTCATCAAATGCAAAAAACCAAAATCATAGCCACCACACTCTTAGATTGCAGCACAATAAAAATGGAAACCAATACCAAGAAGATCTCTCAAAGCCATATAATTACAAAGAAGTCAAATGATCTGCTCCTGAATGACATTTGGGTAAACAATGAGATTAAGATAGTGATATGGTTTGGATCTCTGTCCCTACCTAAATCTCATCATGAATTTTACCCCCATAATTCCTATGTGTTGTGGGAGGGACCTTGTGGGAGATAATTGAATCATGGGGGCGGTTTCCTCCCCATACTGCTCTCATAGTAGTGAATAAGTCTCATGAGATCTGATGGTTTTATCAGGATTTCCACTTTTGCATCTTCCTCATTCTCTCTTTGCCTGCTGCAATCCATATAAGATGGCACTTGGTCCTCCTTGCCTTTTGCCATGATTGTGAGACTTCCCCAGCCACATGGAACTGTAAGTCCAATTAAACCTCTTTTTTTGTAAATTGCCCAGTCTTGGGTATGTCTTTATCATCGGCATGAAAATTGCCTAATACAGGCAGAAAGTAAGAGATTCTTTGAAACTAATGAAAACAAAGATACAACATACCAGAATCTCTGAGTCATGGCTAAAGCAGTATTAAGAGGAACGTTTATAGTGCTAAACACCCACATCAAAAAGTTGGAAAGAGCTCAAATTAACATACCTAGAGGAAATAGAAAAACAAGAGCAAAGCAATCCTACAGCTAGCAGAAGACAAGAAATAACCAAAATCAGAGCTGAACTGAATGAAATGGAGATGAGAAAAACCATACAAGAAAATCAATGAAACCAAAAGTTAGTTCTGTGAAAGACTAACTAAAATTAATAGGCTGCTGGATGGACTGATAAAGGAAAAAAAGAGAAGATCAATATAAACCCAATCAGAAATGACAAAAGGAACACTACCCCCAACCCCACAGAAATACAAAAAAGAAAACCCATCTATTACAAACACGTCTATGCACACAAACTAGAAAACCTAGAAGATTATGAATAAATTCCTGGAAACATACAGTCTTCCAAGATCGAACCAGGAAGAAATCAAAACCCTAAACAGACCAATAATGAGCTCCCAAATTTAATCAGTAATAGTAATTTTTCAAACAGACAAAGCCCATCAACCAGACAGATTCACAGTTAAATTCTATTAGACATATAAAGAAGAGCTGGTACCAATCCTACTAAAACTATTCCAAAAAATTGAAGAGAAAGGACTCCTCCCTAACTCATTCTATGAAGCCAGCATCATTCTGATACTAAAACCTGGAAGTGACAAAACAAAAAAAGAAAATGACAGCAAATATCCCTGATGAACATAGATGCAAAAATTATCAACAAAGTACTAGCAAACCAAACCTGGCAGCACATCAAAAAGTTAAACTACGATGATCAAATAGGCTTTATTCCTGGGATATGAGGTTGGTTTAACATATGCAAATCAACAAATGTGATTCATCACATAAACAGAGCTAAAAAAAAAAAAGAAGATAATCTCAATAGACACAGCAAAGGCTTTCAGTGAAATTTAACATCTCTTCACATTAAAAACCCTGAAGAAACTGGGCATTAAGGGACTATACCTCAAAATGATATGAGCCATCTATGACAAACCCACAACCAACATCATACTGAATAGGCAAAAGCTGGAAGCATTTATTTCTTTTGACAACTGGAACAAGACAAGGATTCCCACTCTTGCCACTCCTATTCAACATAGTTTTGGAAGTGCTAACAAGAGCAATCAGCAAGAGAAAGAAATAAAAGACATCCAAATAGAAAGAGAGGAAGTAAAACTATTTCTCTTCACAGATGATATGATCTTGTACCTAGAAAACCCCATAGTCTTCTCCCAAAGGTTCCTATATTGGATAAACAACTTTAGCAAAGTTTTTGAATACAAAATCAATGTTGAAAAATCAGTAGTATTTTAATACACCAGTGCTGCCAATGAGAGCCAAATAAAGAACAAAACCCCATTTATAGTAGCCACAAAAAGAATAAAATACCTAAGAATACAGCTAACCAGGGAGGTGAAAGATGTCTACAAACAGAACTACAAAATGCTGCTAAAAGAAATCAGAGCTGACACAAACAAATGAAAAAACATTTTATGCTAATGAATTGGAAAAATCAGTATCATTAAAATGGCTATACTTCCCAAAGCAACTTACAGATTCAATACTATTTCTATCTAACTACCAATTACACTATTCACAGAATTTGAAAAAAAATTTCTAAAATTCATATGGAACCAAAAAAGAGCCCAAATAGCCAAAACAATCCTAAGAAAAAGAACAAAACCAGAGGCATCACATTAGCTGACTTCAAACTATACTACAAGGCTACAGTGGCCAAAACAGCATGGTACTAATACAAAAACAGACACATAGACAAATGGAACAGAATACAGAAACCAGAAGTAAAGCCACACACCTATAACCATCTGATCTTCAACAAAGCTGACAATAACAAGCAATGGGGAAAAGACTCCTTATTCAATAAATGATGCTAGGATAACTGGCTAGCCATATGCAGAAGATTGAAACTGGACTTATTCCTTTGTACTATATACAGAAGTCAAGACAAATGAAAGACTTAAGTGGAAAAACCTAAAACTATAAAAATTCCAGGAGAAAACCTAGAAAATACCATCCTCAATATCAGCCTTGGCAAAGATTTTGTAATGAAGACTCTAAAAGCAAATGCAACAAAACAAAAATTGACAAGTGGGGCTTACTTAAAATAAAAAACTGCACAGAAAAAGAAACAATCAATACAGTAAACAGGGAACCTACAGAATAGGAGAAAATATTTGCAAACTATGCAACCAACAAAGGTCTAGTATCCAGAATCTATAATGAACTTGAATCAACAAGCAAAAAACAAACAACCTTGTTTTAAAATGGGCGAAGGACATGAACAGACACTTTTTTAAAAAAGACATACATGTGGCCAACAAACATATGAAAAAATGCTCCACATTACAAATCATCAGAGAAATGCAAATCAAAACCACAATGAGATAGCATCTCATGGTAATCAGAATGGCTATTACTAAAAATTTTAAAAATAACAGATGTTGGTGAAGTTGTGGAGAAAGTGGAATGCTTATATACTGTGGGTGGGAATGTAAATTAGTTCAGCCACTGTTGAAAGCAGTTTTGAGATTGTTCAAATAACTTAAAATGGAAGTATCATTTGACCTAACAATCCCATTACTGGGTATATAACAAAAAGAATATAAATTGTTTTACCATAAAGACACATGCAGAGGAACGGTGCACTCTGGGCCAGATACTATGCTTTTCCCATGGTCTTCTCAACTCACAGACCAAGAGATTCCCTTGGGTGCCTATGCCACCAGGGCCCTGGATTTCAAGCACAAAACTGGGAGGCCATTTGGGCAGACACTGAGCTAGCTGCAAGAGTTTTTATTCATACCCCAGTGGCACCTGGAATGCCAGCAAGATAGAACCATTTACTCCCCTGGAAAGGGGGTTGAAGCCAGGGATCAAAGTGGTCTAGCTCAGTGAATCCCACCCCCATGGAGACCAGCAAGCTCAGATCCACTGGCTTGAAATTCTCGCTGCCAGTACAGCAGTCTGAAGTCTACCTGGGATGCTTGAGCTTGTTAGGGGGAGGTGCATCTGCCATTACTGAGGCTTAAGTAGGTGGTTTTCCCCTTACAGTGTAAACAAAGCCACCAGGAAGTTTGAACTGGGCAGAGCCCACTGCAGCTCAGTAAAGCCACTGTAGCAAGACAGCCTCTCTAGATTCCTAGTCTCTGGGAAGGGCAGTTCTGAAAGAAAGGCAGCAACCCCAGTCAGGGGCTTATAGATAAAATTCCCATCTCCCTGGGACAGAGCACCTGGGAAAGGGATGGCTGTGGGTGCAGCTTCAGCAGAATCAAACATTCCTGCCTGCTGGCTCTGAAAAGAGCAGCAGATCTCCTAGCACAGCACTCGAACTCTGTTAAGGGACCGACTGCCTCCTCAAGTGGGTCCCTGACCCCAGTGCCTCCTGACTGGGAGACACCTCCTAGCAGGAGTCGACAGACATCTCTTACAGGAGAGCTCTGGCTGGCATCTTGTGGGTGCCTCTCTGGGATGAAGCTTCCAGAGGAAGGAACAGGCAGCAATTTTTGCTGTTCTGCAGCCTTCGCTGGTGATACCCAGGCAAACAGGGTCTGCAGTGGACCTCCAGCAGACTCCAGCAGACCTGCAGCAGAGGGGCCTGACTGGTAGAAGTAAAATTAACAAACAGAAAGGAATAGCATCAACATCAACAAAAAGGATGTCCACACAGAAACCCCATTTGAAGGTCACCATCAAAGACAAAAGGTACATAAATCCATGAAGATGAGGAAAAACCAGCATGAAAAGACTGAAAATTCCAAAGAACAGAATGTCTCTTCTCTTCCAAAGGATCACAACTCCTCTCTGCAAGGGAACAAAACTACATGGAGAAAGAGTTTGATGAATTGACAGAAGTAGGCTTCAGAAGGTGGATAATAACAAACTCCTTTGAGCTAAAGAAGCATGTTCTAACCCAATGCAAGGAAGTTAAGAACCTTGAAACAAGGTTAGAGGAATTTCTAACTAGAATAACCAGTTTGGAGAAGAACATAAATGACCTGATGGAGCTGAAAAACACAGCACGAGAACTTCATGAAGAATACACAAGTATCAATAGCTGAATCGATCAAGCAGAATAAAGGATAGCATGGATTGAAGATCAACTTAATGAAATAAAGCATAAAGACAAGATTACAGAAAAAGAATGAAAAGGAATGAACAAAGCCTATAAGAAATATGGGACTATGTGAAAAGACCAAACCTATGTTTGATTGGTGTATGTGAAAGTGACGGGGAGAATGGAACCAAGTTGGAAAATACTCTTCAGAATATTATCCAGGAGAACTACCCCAACCTAGCAAGACAGGCCAACATTCAAATTCAGGAAATACAGAGAACACCACAAAGATACTCTTTGAAAAGAGCAACCCCAAGACACATAATCATCAGATTCACCAAGGTTGAAATGAAGGAAAAAATATTAAGAGCAGCCAGATAGAAAGGTTGGGTTACCCACAAAAGGGAGCCCATCAGACTAACAGCTGATCTCTCTGCAGAAACCCTACATGCCAGAAGAGAGTGGGGCCCAACATTCAACATTCTTAAAGAAAAGAATTTTCAACCCAGAATTTCATATCCAGCCAAACTAAGCTTCACAAGTGAAGGAGAAATAAAATCCCTTACAGACAAGCAAATGCCAAGAGATTTTGTCACCCCCAGGCCTGCCTTACAAGAGCTAATCATCAAAAGGAGCAACTGGTACCAGCCACTGCAAAAACGTACCAAATTCCAAAGACCATCGACACTATGAAGAAGCTGCATCAACTAATGGGCAAAATAACCAGCTAGCATCATAATTACAGGATCAAATTCACACATACCAATATTAACCTTAAATGTAAATGGGCTAAATGGAAAGCAAAACCAAGCAGGGGTTGCAATCCTAGTCTCTGATAAAACAAACTTTAAACCGACAAAGATCAAAAAAGAAAAAGAAGGGCATTACATAATGGTAAAGGGATCAATGCAACAAAAAGAGCTATCTTAAATATATATGCACTGAATACAGGAGCACCCAGATTCATAAAGCAAGTTTTTAGAGACCTACAAAGAGACTTAAGACTCCCACACAATAATAGTGGGAGACTTTAACACCCCACTGTCAATATTAGACAGATCAACGAGACAGAATATTAACAAGGATATTCAGGACTTGAACACAGCTCTGGACCAGGAGGACCTAATAGACATCTATAGAACTCTCCACCCCAAATCAACAGAAGATACATTCTTCTCAACACCACATCACACTTATTCTAAAATTGACCACATAATCGGAAGTAAAACACTCCTCAGCAAATGCAAAATAATAGAAATAAGAAGAAACTGTCTCTCAGACCACAGTGCAATCAAATTAGAACTCAAGATTAAGAAATTCACTCAAAACAGCACAACTACATGGAAACTGAACAACCTGCTCTGAATGACTGGGTAAATAACAAAATGAAGGCAGAATAAATAAGTTCTTTGAAACCAATGAGAACAAAGAGACAATATAGCAGAATCTCTGGGACACAGCTAAAGCACTGTTTAGAGGGAAAATCATAGCACTAAATGTCCACAGGAGAAAGTGGGAAATATCTAAAATTGAACCTTAATATCACAATTAAAAAAACTAGAGAAGCAAGAGCAAACAAATTCAAAAACTAGCAGAAGACAAGAAATAACTAAGATCACTGCAGAACTGAAAAGAGAGACACAAAAACTCTTCAGAAAATCAATGAATCTACGAGCTAGTTTTTTTTTTTAAGATTAACAAAATAGAATGCTAGCCAGACTAATCAAGAAGAAAAGAGAGAAGAATCAAATAGACACAATAAAAAATTATAAAGGGGATATTTCCACTGATCCCACAAAAATCAAACTACCATCAGAGAATACTATAAACACCTCTATGCAAGTGAACTAGAAAATCTAGAAGAAATGGATACATTCCTGGACACATACACCCTCCCATGATTAAACCAGGAAGAAGTCAAATCCCTGAATAGACCAATAACAAGTTCTGAAATTGAGGCAGTAATTAATAACCTACCAACCAACCAAAAAAAAAAAAAAAAAAAGCCCAGGAACAGAGGGATTCACAACCAAATTCTACCAGAGGTACAAAGAGGAGCTGGTACCATTCCTTCTGAAACTATTCCAAACAGTAGAAAAAGAAGGACTCCTCCCTAACTCATTTTATGAGGCCAGCATCACCCTGATACCAAAACCTGGCAGAGACACAACAAAAAAAAAAAAGAAAATTTCAGGCCAATATCCCTGATGAACATTGATGCAATAGTCCTCAAT
This sequence comes from Homo sapiens, assembly GCF_000001405.40. Classification (NCBI taxonomy): domain Eukaryota; kingdom Metazoa; phylum Chordata; class Mammalia; order Primates; family Hominidae; genus Homo; species Homo sapiens. Next base: position 76,101,150 of record NC_000006.12, read on the forward strand.
AAAATACTGGCAAATCTAATCCAGCAGCGCATCAAAAAACTTATCCATCATGATCAAGTCAGCTTCATCCCTGGGATGCAAGGCTGGTTCAACATATGCAAATCGAAAAATGTAATCCATCACATAAACAGAACCAAAGACAAAAACCACATGATTATCTCAATAGATGCAGAAAAGGCCTTTGACAAAATTCAACAGCCCTTCATGCTAAAAACTCTCAATAAACTAGGTATCGATGGAACGTATCTCAAAATAATAAGAGCTATTTATGACAAACCCACAGCCTATATCATACTGAATGGGGAAAAGCTGGAAGCATTACCTTTGAAAACTGGCACAAGACAAGGATGCCTCCTCTCATCACTCCCATTCAACATAGTGTTGGAAGTTCTGGCCAGGGCAATCAGGCAAGAGAAAGAAATAAAGGGCATTCAAATAGAAAGAGAGGAAGTCAAATCGTCTCTGTTTGCAGATGATGTGATTGTATATTTAGAAAATCCCATGGTCTCAGCCCAAAATCTCCTTTAGCTGATAAGCAACTTCAGCTAAGTCTCAGGATACAAAATCAATGTGCAAATATCACAAGCATTCCTATAACCAATGATAGAGAGCCAAATCATGAGTGAACTCCCACTTACAATTACTACAAAGAGAATAAAATACCTAGGAATCCAACTTATAAGGGATGTGAAGGACCTCTTCAAAGAGAGGTACAAACCATTGCTCAAGGAAGTAAGAGAGGACACAATCAATGGGAAAACATCCCATGCTCATGGGTAGGAAGAATTAATATTGTGAAAATGGCCATCCTGCCCAAAGTAATTTATAGATTCAGTGCTATCCCCAATCAAGCTACCATTGACTTTCTTCACAGAATCAGGAAAAACTACTTTAAATTTCATATGGGAGCAAAAAAGAGCCCGTATAGCCAAGATAATCCTAAGCAAAAAGAACAAAGCTGGTGGCATCACATTACCTGACTTCAAACTATACAAGGCTAGAGTAACCAAAACATCATGGTACTGGTGCCAAAGCAGATATACAGACCAATGGAACAGAATTGAAACCTCAGAAATAACACCACACATCTACAACAATCTGATCTTTGATAAACCTGACAAAAACAAGTAATGGGGAAAGGATTCCCTATTTAATAAACGGTGTTGGGAAAACTATCTAGCCATATGCAGAAAGCTGAAACTGGACCCCTTCCTTACACCTAATACAAAAATCAACTCAAGATGGATTAGAGACTTAAACTAAGACCTAAAGCCATAAAAGCCCTAGAAGAAAACCTAGGCAATACCATTCAGGACATAGGTATGGCCAAAGGCTTCATGACTAAAATGCCAAAAGCAATGGCAACAAAAGCCAAAATTGGCAAATGGGATCTAATTAAACTAAGAGCTTCTGCACAGTAAAAGAAACTATCAGAGTGAACTTGCAACCTACAGAATGGGAGAAAATTCTTGCAATCTATCCATCTGACAAAGGGCTAGTATCCGGAATCTACAAGGAACTCAGACAAATTTACAAGAAAAAAAAAAACAACCTCATCAAAAAGTGGAAAAAGGAAATGAATGGACACTTCTCAAAAAAAGACATTTATGTGGCCAACCAACATATGAAAAAATGCTCATCATCATAGGTCATTAGAGAAATGCAAATCAAAACCACAATGAGATACCACCTTACAGCAGTTACAATGGCAATCATTAAAAAGTCAGGAAACAACAGATGCCAGAGAGGATGTGGAGAAATAGGAATGCTTTTACACTGTTGGTGGGAGTGTAAATTTGTTCAACCATTGTGGAAGACAGTGTGGTGATTCCTTAAGGATCTGGACCAGAAATATCATTTGACCCAGCAATCCCATTACTGGGTATATACCCAAAGGATTATAAATCATTCTATCATAAAGACACATGCACGTGTATGTTTATTGTAGCACTATTTACAATAGCAAATACTTGGAACCAATCCAAATGCCCACCAATGATAGACTGGATAAAGAAAATGTGGCACATATTCACCACACAATACTATGCAGCCATAAAAAAGGATGAGTTCATGTCCTTTGCAGGGACATGGATGAAACTGGAAACCATCATTCTCAGCAAACTAACACAGGAGCAGAAAACCAAACACCGCCTCTTCCCACTCACAAGTGGGATTTGAACAATGAGACCACATGGACACAATGTGGGGAATATCACACTCTGGAGCCTGTCAGGGGGTGGGGGGCTAGGGGAAGGATAGCATTAGGAGAAGTACTTCATATAGATGACCAGTTGATGGGTGCAGCAAAACCACCATGACATGTACATACCTATGTAACAAACCTGCATGTTCTGCACACGTATCTCAGAACTTAAAGTATAATAATAATAATAATAAAGACACACATGCACCTATATGTTAATCATAGCACTATGCACAATAGCAAAGACAAGGAATCAACTTAGACGCCCATCAGTGGTGAGCTTGATGAAGAAATGTGGTATATATACAACATGGAATAGTTTCACTCTAAAAAATGAAATCATGCCCTTTGCAGCCACGTGGATGGAACTTTAGGCCATTATTCAAAGTGACTTAATGCAGGGACAGAAAATCAAATACCACTTCTTCACTTTCAAGTGGAAGCTAAACATTGAGGATACTAGGACACAAGGAAGGGAACAATAGACACTGGGGCACACTTGAGTGTTCAGGTAGCCATTATTGAATTTTCTAGAATAATCATGTCTAAGCATTTACTTATTGAAACACACATTATTTTTCTATAAATTACTTTTCATTTCTTCTTTATATTACAGTTATTACATTAAAGTGTCTTGGTTGGTAGCATTATATATGAATTTCATTTCAAGATGTTTAAGAGGAAGTGAATAAATATTTGTAACAGAGAGTGTGTTGGATTGAGAACTATTGATTTATCCTCACGACAGCCCCTTGATGCAGATAATTATAGTTTTCTCCATGTTCAGATCAGGAAACAAGCGACTAGCTCAGGTCGCATAGCTGGTAAGCTAGGGAGCCAGGGTCTGGATTGAACATTGTGGATCTTAGAGCTACACTCTTAACACTGTTTTTCTTCTTCCTATCAGAGGAGGCCATTAGAAACATCAGGCAAAACAAGGACAGAATTCTAGTCATGTCTTAAGAGTTAGGGAGTGAATAGTTTTAAAAATGCAGATCCATGCAGAATTGCCATGCAGAGTGGCTTGTACCAGGACTACCAAGGGAGACTGAGAGACTTGCTGGCTGTCCCCATGGGTTCCAAGTAAAGGCAAGATGGCCTCCTGATGCTCATTCTGAGTACATAGAAAGAGTAGAGCTGAGAAGACTGTCAAGGCTAGTTTCCCCAGGGTTGCATGGTCTCCTCATTTCCCCCAGGAAACAAAGGATGAATCACTCACTGATAGTTTAGAACACATAGCGGTGTGCCTGCCACACCCCTACTGGAATCTATAATATTACTCAGTAATACATTCAGCATTTAGTTTTTATTAAGCATGTAGCATCATGGCCCTGTGTAAGGTTAAATAAAAGCTTTGACTAAATTCTTTCATAATTCCTTAAGCATGCGTTTGAAAATCACATCAGCAAATAGCCTTGGTTTTTCTTCCAGTCTGAGTTTATCCACAGATATTTCCATATGTTAATATTACATACTGAATTTCTTCTTCATTGGTTGTGAGTGTCTCATAAATATAGATTGCTGTATCTTGAAAATGAAGAGATGTTTTCATGTGGGAATACATACACTTTTAACAACACTATTTCAGAGTGGTCCAAAAATGCTCAACGTGGCCTTTGCCGATGAAGAATAAATAGATAAATTTAAAAATGTCCCTGTCTGGATTTTTAAAATGTGAATCTGAATTGCCCTGCTTAACTTTTCATTTTTCCAGGAGATAAGATCATGATGAGCACAGCTCTAATGAGCTGGAAACTTCTTCCTCAGCTACTGTTTTGACAGGTTGTTTAACTTGGAGAGACTCTTATTGAGGTTAAATAGAAGAGACACAGAATCCAGATAAATCTGTAGGTTAGTATATTAAAATGTACCTGCTTCTCTTGTTTTAAAGTAACTGCTCTGGCAGTTCTTGGCCTATTTGTTGAGAAATCAGTCCAGAATGACTTAGACAGGAGGCAGTGGCATGCACACTTAAACTGGCTGCTCTTGCCCCAAAAACTTCATCAAAAATTTATCATTGGTTTATTACTGTGAACTCAACATGCTATAATTATCCTCTTAATGCATTCAACTTTCAGGTATATTAAAAACCATGAAATATACACAGATGCTAAATACAAAACATTTTTATATATCTGTAGGATTAAAAAAGAGAGAAAAAGATAGAAATGGATTTCAAATTGAGGCAGCATGGTAGTGACAACCTTATTCGAGGTTTTCAATTTTTTAATTTTTAATTTTTTTTTTCTCTCTTTGTCTCTCTCTCTTTTTTTTTATTATACTTTAAGTTTTAGGGTACATGTGCACATTGTGCAGGTTAGTTACATATGTATACATGTGCCATGCTGGTGCGCTGCACCCACTAACTCATCATCTAGCATTAGGTATATCTCCCAATGCTTTCCCTCCCCCCTCCCCCCAACCCACAACAGTCCGCAGAGTGTGATATTCCCCTTCCTGTGTCCATGTGATCACATTGTTCAATTCCCACCTATGAGTGAGAATATGCGGTGTTTGGTTTTTTGTTCTTGTGATAGTTTACTGAGAATGATGATTTCCAATTTCATCCATGTCCCTACAAAGAACATGAACTCATCATTTTTTATGGCTGCATAGTATTCCATGGTGTATATGTGCCACATTTTCTTAATCCAGTCTATCATTGATGGACATTTGGGTTGGTTCCAAGTCTTTGCTATTGTGAATAATGCTGCAATAAACATACGTGTGCATGTGTCTTTACAGCAGCATGATTTATAGTCCTTTGGGTATATACCCAGTAATGGGATTGCTGGGTCAAATGGTATTTCTAGTTCTAGATCCCTGAGGAATCGCCACACTGACTTCCACAATGGTTGAACTAGTTTACAGTCCCACCAACAGTGTAAAAGTGTTCGTATTTCTCCATATCCTCTCCAGCACCTGTTGTTTCCTGACTTTTTAATGATTGCCATTCTAACTGGTGTGAGATGGTATCTCATTGTGGTTTTGATTTGCATTTCTCTGATGGCCAGTGATGATGAGCATTTTTTCATGTGTTTTTCAGCTGCATAAATGTCTTCTTTTGGAAGTGTTTGTTCATATCCTTTGCCCACTTTTTGATGGGGTTGTTTGTTTTTTTCTTGTAAATTTGTTTGAGTTCATTGTAGATGCTGGATATTAGCCCTTTGTCAGATGAGTAGGTTGCGAAAATTTTCTCCCATTTTGTACGTTTCCTGTTCACTCTGATGGTAGTTTTTTTTGCTGTGCAGAAGCTCTTTAGTTTAATTAGATCCCATTTGTCAATTTTGTCTTTTGTTGCCATTGCTTTTGGTGTTTTAGACATGAAGTCCTTGCCCATGCCTATGTCCTGAATGGTAATGCCTAGGTTTTCTTCTAGGGTTTTTATGGTTTTAGGTCTAACGTTTAAGTCTTCAAACCATCTTGAATTGATTTTTGTATAAGGTGTAAGGAAGGGATCCAGTTTCAGCTTTCTCCATATGGCTATCCAGTTTTCCCAGCACCATTTATTAAATAGGGAATCCTTTCCCCATTGCTTGTTTTTTTCAGGTTTGTCAAAGGTCAGATAGTTGTAGATATGCGGCATTATTTCTGAGGGCTCTGTTCTGTTCCATTGATCTATATCTCTGTTTTGGTAACAGTACCATGATGTTTTGGTTACTGTAGCCTTGTAGTATCGTTTGAAGTCAGGTAGTGTGATGCCTCCAGCTTTGTTCTTTTGGCTTAGGATTGACTTGGCGATGCGGGCTCTTTTTTGGTTTCATATGAACTTTAAAGCTGTTTTTTTCCAATTCTGTGAAGAAAGTCATTGGTAGCTTGATGGGGATGGCATTGAATTTGTAAATTACTTTGGGCAGTATGGCCATTTTCACGATATTGATTCTTCCTACCCATGAGCATGGAATGTTCTTCCATTTGTTTGTATCCTCTTTTATTTCCTTGAGCAGTGGTTTGTAGTTCTCCTTGAAGAGGTCCTTCACATCCCTTGTCAGTTGGATTCCTAGGTATTTTATTCTCTTTGAAGCAATTGTGAATGGGAGTTCACTCATGATTTGGCTCTCTGTTTGTCTGTTGTTGGTGTATAAGAATGCTTGTGATTTTTGTACATTGATTTTGTATCCTGAGATTTTGCTGAAGTTGCTTATCAGCTTAAGGAGATTTTGGGCTGAGACAATGGGGTTTTCTAGATATACAATCATGTCATCTGCAAACAGGGACAATTTGACTTCCTCTTTTCCTAATTGAATGCCCATTTCCTTCTCCTGCCTAATTGTCCTGGCCAGAACTTCCAACACTATGTTGAATAGGAGTGGTGAGAGAGGGCATCTCTGTCTTGTGCCAGTTTTCAAAGGGAATGCTTCAGTTTTTGCCCATTCAGTATGATATTGGCTGTGGGTTTGTCATAGATAGCTCTTATTATTTTGAAATACGTCCCATCAATACCTAATTTATTGACAGTTTTTAGCATGAAGAGTTGTTGAATTTTGTCAAAAGCTTTTTCTGCATCTATTGAGATAATCATGTGGTTTTTGTCTTTGGTTCTGTTTATATGCTGGATTACATTTACTGATTTGCATATATTGAACCAGCCTTGCATCCCAGGGATGAAGCCCACTTGATCATGGTGGATAAGCTTTTTGATGTGCTGCTGGATTTGGTTTGCCAGTATTTTATTGAGGATTTTTGCATCAATGTTCATCAAGGATATTGGTCTAAAATTCTCTTTTTTTGTTGTGTCTCTGCCTGGCTTTGGTATCAGAATGATGCTGGCCTCATAAAATGAGTTAGGGAGGATTCCTTCTTTTTCTATTGATTGGAATAGTTTCAGAAGGAATGGTACCAGTTCCTCCTTGTACCTCTGGTAGAATTCGGCTGTGAATCCATCTGGTCCTGGACTCTTTTTGGTTGGTAAGCTATTGATTATTGCCACAATTTCAGCTCCTGTTATTGGTCTATTCAGAGATTCAACTTCTTCCTGGTTTAGTCTTGGGATAGTGTATGTGTCGAGGAATTTATCCATTTCTTCTAGAATTTCTAGTTTATTTGTGTAGAGTTGTTTGTAGTATTCTCTGATGGTAGTTTGTATTTCTGTGGGATCGGTGGTGATATCCCCTTTATCATTTTTTATTGCATCTATTTGATTCTTCTCTCTTTTTTTCTTTATTAGTCTTGCTAGCGGTCTATCAATTTTGTTGATCCTTTCAAAAAACCAGCTCCTGGATTCATTAATTTTTTGAAGGGTTTTTTGTGTCTCTATTTCCTTCAGTTCTGCTCTGATTTTAGTTCTTTCTTGCCTTCTGCTAGCTTTTGAATGTGTTCGCTCTTGCTTTTCTAGTTCTTTTAATTTTGATGTGGAGGTGTCAATTTTGGATCTTTCCTGCTTTCTCTTGTGGGCATTTAGTGCTATAAATTTCCCTCTACACACTGCTTTGAATGTGTCCCAGAGATTCTGGTATGTTGTGTCTTTCTTCTCATTGGTTTCAAAGAACATCTTTATTTCTGCCTTCATTTCGTTATGTACCCAGTAGTCATTCAGGAGGAGGTTGTTCAGTTTCCATGTAGTTGAGCGGTTTTGAGTGAGATTCTTAATCCTGAGTTCTAGTTTCATTGCACTGTGGTCTGAGAGATAGTTTGTTATAATTTCTGTTCTTTTACATTTGCTGAGGAGAGCTTTACTTCCAAGTATGTGGTCAATTTTGGAATAGGTGTGGTGTGGTGCTGAAAAAAATGTATATTCTGTTGATTTGGGGTGGAGAGTTCTGTAGATGTCTATTAGGTCTGCTTGGTGCAGAGCTGAGTTCAATTCCTGGGTATCCTTGTTGACTTTCTGTCTCATTGATCTGTCTAATGTTGACAGTGGGGTGTTAAAGTCTCCCATTATTAATGTGTGGGAGTCTAAGTCTCTTTGTAGGTCACTCAGGACTTGCTTTATGAATCTTGGTGCTCCTGTATTGGGTGCATATATATTTAGGATAGTTAGCTCTTCTTGTTGAATTGATCCCTTTACCATTATGTAATGGCCTTCTTTGTCTCTTTTGATCTTTGTTGGTTTAAAGTCTGTTTTATCAGAGACTAGGATTGCAACCCCTGCCTTTTTTTGTTTTCCATTTGCTTGGTAGATCTTCCTCCATCCTTTTATTTTGAGCCTATGTGTGTCTCTGCACATGAGATGGGTTTCCTGAATACAGCACACTGATGGGTCTTGACTCTTTATCCAATTTGCCAGTCTGTGTCTTTTAATTGGAGCATTTAGTCCATTTACATTTAAGGTTAATATTGTTATGTGTTAATTTGATCCTGTCATTATGATGTTAGCTGGTTATTTTGCTTGTTAGTTGATGCAGTTTCTTCCTAGTCTCGATGGTCTTTACATTTTGGCATGATTTTGCAGCGGCTGGTATCGGTTGTTCCTTTCCATGTTTAGTGCTTCCTTCAGGAGCTCTTGTAAGGCAGGCCTGGTGGTGACAAAATCTCTCAGCATTTGCTTGTCTGTAAAGGATTTTATTTCTCCTTCAGTTATGAAGCTTAGTTTGGCTAGATATGAAATTCTGGGTTGAAAATTCTTTTCTTTAAGATTGTTGAATATTGGCCCCCACTCTCTTCTGGCTTGTAGGGTTTCTGCCGAGAGATCCACTGTTAGTCTGATGGGCTTCCCTTTGAGGGTAACCCGACCTTTCTCTCTGGCTGCCCTTAACATTTTTTCCTTCATTTCAACTTTGGTGAATCTGACAATTATGTGTCTTGGAGTTGCTCTTCTCGAGGAGTATCTTTGTGGCGTTCTCTGTATCTCCTGAATCTGAACGTTGGCCTGCCTTGCTAGATTGGGGAAGTTCTCCTGGATAATATCTTGCAGAGTGTTTTCCAACTTGGTTCCTTTCTCCCCATCACTTTCAGGTACACCAATCAGACGTAGATTTGGTCTTTTCACATAGTCCCATACTTCTTGGAGGCTTTGCTCATTTCTTTTTATTCTTTTTTCTCTAAACTTCCCTTCTCACTTCATTTCATTCATTTCATCTTCCATCGTTGATACCCTTTCTTCCAGTTGATCGCATTGGCTCCTGAGGCTTCTGCATTCTTCACGTAGTTCTCGAGCCTTGGTTTTCAGCTCCATCAGCTCCTTTAAGCACTTATCTGTATTGGTTATTCTGGTTATACATTCTTCTAAATTTTTTTCAAAGTTTTCAACTTCTTTGCCTTTGGTTTGAATGTCCTCCCGTAGCTCAGAGTAATTGGATGGTGTGAAGCCTTCTTCTCTCAGCTCTTCAAAGTCATTCTCCATCCAGCTTTGTTCCGTTGCTGGTGAGGAACTGCATTCCTTTGGAGGCGGAGAGGCGCTCTGCTTTTTAGAGTTTCCAGTTTTTCAGTTCTGTTTTTTCCCCATCTTTGTGGTTTTATCTACTTTTGGTCTTTGATGATGGTGATGTACAGATGGGTTTTTGGTGTGGATGTCCTTTCTGTTTGTTAGTTTTCCTTCTAACAGAGAGGACCCTCAGCTGCAGGTCTGTTGGAATACCCTGCCGTGTGAGATGTCAGTGTGCCTCTGCTGGGGGGTGCCTCCCAGTTAGGCTGCTCAGGGGTCAGAGGTCAGGGACCCACTTGAGGAGGCAGTCTGCCTGTTCTCAGATCTCCAGCTGCATGCTGGGAGAACCACTGCTCTCTTCAAAGCTGTCGACAGGGACATTTAAGTCTGCAGAGGTTACTGCTGTCTTTTTGTTTGTCTGTGCCCTGCCCCCAGAGGTGGAGCCCACAGAGACAGGCAGGCCTCCTTGAGATGTTGTGGGCTCCACCCAGTTCGAGCTTCCCAGCTGCTTTGTTTACCTAATCAAGCCTGGGCAATGGCGGGAGCCCCTCCCCCAGCTTCGATGCCGCCTTGCAGTTTGATCTCAGACTGCTGTGCTAGCAATCAGTGAGACTCCGTGGGTGTAGGACCCTCCGAGCCAGGTGCGGGTTATAATCTCGTGGTGCGCCATTTTTTAAGCCCGTCGGAAAAGCGCAGTATTGGGGTGGGAGTGACCCGATTTTCCAGGTGCCGTCCATCACCCCTTTCTTTGACTCAGAAAGGGAACTCCCTGACCCCTTGTGCTTCCCAAGTGAGGCAATGCCTGGCCCTGCTTCGGCTCGCGCATGGTGCACGCACCCACTGACCTGCGCCCACTGTCTGGCACTCCCTAGTGCGATGAACCCGGTACCTCAGATGGAAATGCAGAAATCACCCATCTTCTGCGTCGCTCACGCTGGGAGCTGTAGACTGGAGCTGTTCCTATTCGGCCATCTTGGCTCCTCCCCATTAATTTTTAATTTTTGTCTTTTGCTTATGAGCAAGGCATTTCTATTCCTTGTTTATGGTGTGTTTAGTCAGATGCTGTGCCCTGGCCTCAATCCAAAGGCTAGCAAAGGTTATTAAATTTTATGCATGAGTGATAAACATTTATCTTACTTTAAAAATGAAAGTACTAGATCCCTCTTAAAGTCTTTTCCCAACTTACAGATGGCCCATAATTCTGATATTTCTTAAGTTAGCTATTTGGAACTTAGATATCAGTTGATAATATGATGGTATTTGTTTTTTATAGGTTTAAGAACACCTATGATATACACCAGGGGTGACCAACTTTTTCTGTGAAGGGCCAGATAGTAAGTATTTTGGGCTTTGAATATCATACAGTGTCCATCTCATATTGCAGTGTGAAAGCAGCCATAGACAGTGCATGAACAAATGAGTATAACTGTATTCCAATATATTTACTTATGCAATTAAAATTTTATATAATTTTCACATGTCACAAAATATTCTTTTAATTTTTCGACTATTTAAAACTGTAGAAACAATTTTAGCTCACTGGCTGTACAAAAACAGGCGGCAAGCCATATTTGACCTCTAAGCAGTAGTTTGCAGACTCTGGTATGTATGTATGTAACTGCATGTATGTTAAAATACGTAAGGAATTTGTGGATTCTGCAGGAAAAAACATTTTATATTTAATTGGAAATGTCAAGAACACATCTGTTACAGAATTATCTAAGCCAAGTTGGCAGTGGACAATGAGTAGATTTTTACTGGTAGATGGAAGACCTATTATTATTTGGATATAGGTGAGGGCTGTAAGTCTCTCTCAATTCCACCTTCATATCCAGTAGATGAGTTATAGGGTAAGCAAGTCTGACACCAGATTATATGTGTTTATAAATATTAAATAGCAAGTGGCACAAACACAGTTATACCACCTGTTCTTGAAGTCTCACTCTTACACACCCCTAATACCTTGCATGAAATGTACACTAGAGGAAGATAACATTCTGCAGCCAGGATTCAGATAAACTAGGAACTGGGTGACGGAATTCTCTGTTAATGGCAAAACCAAGGAAATAAGATGGTCCTAGGCTAAGAATGCCATTCAAAGGGAGTAAGCTGCTGGGTGGCCAGATTTATACAAATGTAATTGCCAAGGTACTCATATATCTTTCTAGCAATCTGTGTCGATTATTGCTAAATTCCCCAAATCACAATAGAACTGATGCTGTGATGAAATTGTGGATGATTCTTTTTACTCTTCTATAGTTTTCCCCCCTATAAAGTATAGCATTAATTAGAATGTCATCGAACTGTGATCCTTCTTAGTTCTTCTTTCTCTACAGCCACATCTTAATAATTTTCTTTTCATTTAAATACTGTGGAATATGTAAAACATAGCCAGAAATAAAATGGAACTCATGGCCAATCTGGTTTCAGCTATATCTCCAACTTGATTTCCCCAACCCCATACAATTTTCAAGAAAATCCTATATGTTTTCATCTATAAATATTGTCATTTGTATTTCTAGGAGATATGGGCTTATTTTAAAAAACCAGAAATCTAATATTACAAAAAATTAACAATTATTTAGTATCACCAAATAAATAGTGTTCTTATTTATAAGAGCCACTCATTCCAACTGAATAATATATCATCTACATCTCTTTTAATCTATAATCTCTCTCCTCATCTCCTCTCTCTTTTTCTTACAATTTGATATGTGAAGATTTTTTAAAAAATATATACTTCAAGTTCTAGGGTACTTGTGCATAACGTGCAGGTTTGTTACCTATGTATACATGCGCCATGTTGGTGTGCTGCACCCATTAACTCTTCATTTACATTAGGTATATCTCCTAATGCTATCTCTCACCCATCCCCTCACCCTATGTCAGGCCCCAGTGTGTGATGTTCTCCATCCTGTGTCCAAGTGTTCTTATTGTTTAATTCCCACCTATGAGTGAGAACATGTGCTGTTTGGTTTTTTTGTCCTTGTGATAGTTTGCTGAGAATGATAGTTACCAGCTTCATTCATGTCCCTAGAAAGGACATGAACACATCCTTTTCTATGGCTGCATAGTATTCCATGGTGTATATGTGCCACATTTTCTTAATCCAGTCTATCATTGATGGACATTTGGGTTGGTTCCAAGTCTTGCTATTGTGAATAGTGCCACAATAAACATACATGTGCATGTGTCTTTATAGCAGCATGATTTATAATCCTTTGGGTATATACCCAATAATGGGATGGCTGGGTCAAATGGTATTTCTAGTTCTAGATCCTTGAGGAATTGCCACACTGTCTTCCACAATGGTTGAACTAGTTACAGTCCCACTAACAGTGTAAAAGTGTTCCTATTTCTCCACATCCTCTCCAGCACCTTTCCGCATTTCCTATTTTTGTCAGGTTTGTCAAAGATCAGATGGTTGCAGATGTGTGGTATTATTTCTGAGGGCTCTGTTCTGTTCCATTGGTCTATATCTCCATTTTGGTACCAGTACCATGCTGTTTTGGTTACTGTAGCATTGTAGTATAGTTTGAACTCAGATACAGTGATGTCTCCAGTTTTGTTCTTTTGGCTTAGGATAGTCTTGGAAATGTGGGCTCTTTTTTAGTTCCGTATGAACTTTAAAGTAGTTTTTTCCAATTCTGTGAAGAAAGTCATTGGTAGCTTGATGGGGATGACATTGAATCTATAAATTACCTTGGGCAGTACGGCCATTTTTACAATATTGATTTTCCTATCCATAAGCATGGAATGTTCTTCCATTTGTTTGTATCCTCTTTTATTTTGTTCAGCAGTGGTTTGTAGCTCTCCTTGAAGAGGTCCTTCACATCCCTTGTAAGTTGGATTCCTAGGTATTTTATTCTCTTTGAAGCAATTGTGAATGGGAATTCACTCATGATTTGGCTCTCTGTTTGTCTGCTATTGGTGTAAAAGAATGCTTGTGATTTTTGCACATTGATTTTGTATCCTGAGACTTTGCTGAAGTTGCTTATCAGCTTAAGGAGATTTTGGGCTGAGACGATGGGGTTTTCTAAATATACAATCATGTCATCTGCAAACAGGGACAATTTGACTTCCTCTTTTCCTAATTGAATACCCTTTATTTCTTTCTCCTGCCTGATTGCCCTGGCCAGAACTTCCAACACTATGTTGAATAGGAGTGGTGAGAGAGGGCATCCCTGTCTTGTGCCAGTTTTCAAAGGGAATGCTTCCTGTTTTTGCCCATTCAGTATGATATTGGCTATGGGTGTGTCATAAATAGCTCTTATTGTTTTGAGATACGTCCCAGCAATACTTATTTTATTGACAGTTTTTTAGCATGAAGGGTTGTTGAATTTTGTCAAAGGCCTTTTCTGCATCTATTGAGATAATCATGTGGTTTTTGTCTTTGGTTCAGTTTATATGCTGGATTACGTTTATTGATTTGTGTATATTGAACCAGCCTTGCATCCCAGGGATGAAGCCCACTTGATCATGGTGGATAAGCTTTTTGATGTGCTGCTGGATTCAGTTTGCCAGTATTTTATTGAGGATTTTTGCATCAATGTTCATCAGGGATATTGGTCTAAAATTCTGTTTTTTTTGTTGTGTCTCTGTCAGGCTTTGGTATCAGGATAATGCTGGCCTCATAAAATGAGTTAGGGAGGATTCCCTCTTTTTCTATTGATTGGAATAGTTTCAGAAGGAATGGTACCAGCTCCTCCTAGTACCTCTGGTAGAATTCGGCTGTGAATTGGTCTGGTCCTGGACTTTTTTTGGTTGGTAGGCTATTACATATTGCCTCAATTTCAGAGCCTGTTATTGGTCTACTCAGGGATTCAACTTCTTGCTGGTTTAGTCTTGGGAGGCTGAATATGTCGAGGAATTTATCCATTTCTTCTAGATTTTCTAGTTTATTTGCGTAGAGGTGTTTATAGTATTCTCTGATGGTAGTTTGTATTTCTGTGGGATCAGTGGTGATATTCCCTTTATCATTTTTTATTGTGTCTATTTGATTCTTCTCTCTTTTCTTCTTTATTAATCTTGCTAGTGGTCTATCAATTTTGTTGATCTTTTCAAAAAACCAGCTCCTGGATTCACTGATTTTTTGAAGGGTTTTTTGTGTCTCTATCTCCTTCAGTTTTGCTCTGATCTTAGTTATTTCTTGCCTTCTGCTAGCTTTTGAATGTGTTTGCTCTTGCTTCTCTAGTTCTTTTAATTTTGATGTGAGGGTGTCAATTTTAGGTCTTTCCTGCTTTCTTTTGTGGGCATTTAGTGCTATAAATTTCCTTCTACACACTGCTTTGAATGTGTCCCAGAGATTCTCGTATGTTGTGTCTTTATTCTCGTTGGTTTCAAAGAACATCTTTATTTCTGCCTTCATTTCATTATGTACCCAGTAGTCATTCAGGAGCAGGTTGTTCTGTTTCCATGTAGTTGAGTGGTTTTGAGTGAGTTTCTTAATCCTGAGTTCTAGTTTGATTGCACTGTGGTCTGAGAGACAGTTTGTTATAATTTCTCTTCTTTTACATTTGCTGAGGAATGCTTTACTTCCAACTATATGGTCAATTTTGGAATAAGTGTGATGTGGTGCTGAGAAGATTTGGGGTGGAGGGTTCTGTAGATGTCTATTAGGTCCACTTGGTGCAGAGCTGAGTTCAATTCCTGGATATCCTTGTTAACTTTCTGTCTCATTGATCTGTCTAATGTTGACAGTGGGGTTTTAAAGTCTCCCATTATTATTGTGTGGGAGTCTAAGTCTCTTTGTAGGTCACTAAGGACTTGCTTTATGAATCTGGGTGCTCCTGTATTGGGTGCATGTATATTTAGGATAGTTAGCTCTTCTTGTTGAATTGATCCCTTTACCATTATGTAATGGCCTTCTTTGTCTCTTTTGATCTTTGTTGGTTTAAAGTCTGTTTTATCCGAGACTAGGATTGCAACCCCTGCCTTTTTTTGTTTTCCATTTGCTTGGTAGATCTTCCTCCATCCCTTTATTTGAGCCTATGTGTGTCTGCACATGAGATGGGTTTCCTGAATATAGCACACTGCTGGGTCTTGACTCTTTATCCAATTTGCCAGTCTGTGTCTTTTAATTGGAGTATTTAGTCCATTTACATTTAAGGTTAATATTGTTATGTGTGAATTTGATCCTGTCATTATGATGTTAGGTGGTTATTTTGCCTGTTAATTGACTCAGTTTCTTCCTAGCATCGATGGTCTTTACAATTTGTCATGTTTTTGCAGTGACTGGTACCGGTTGTTCTTTCCCATGTATAATGCTTCCTTCAAGTGCTCTTGTAGGGCAGGTCTGGTGGTGACAAAACCTCTCAGCATTTGCTTGTCTGTAAAGGATTTTATTTCTCCTTCACTTATGAAGCTTAGTTTGGCTGGATATGAAATTCTGGGTTGAAAATTCTTTTCTTTAAGAATGTTGAATATTGGCCCCCACTCTCTTCTGGCTTGTAGAGTTTCTGCCAAGAGATCAGCTGTTAGTCTGATGGGCTTCCCTTTGTGGGTAACCCGACTTTTCTCTCTGGCTGCCCTTAACATTTTTTCCCTCATTTCAACTTTGGTGAATCTGACAATTATGTGTCTAGGAGTTGCTCTTCTTGAGGAGTATCTTTGTGGCATTCTCTGTATTTCCTGCATTTGAATGTTGGCCTGCCTTGCTAGGCTGGGGAAGTTCTCCTGGATAATATCCTGCAGAATGTTTTCCAACTTGGTTCCATTCTTCCCGTCACTTTCAGGTACACCAATCTGATGTAGATTTGGTCTTTTCACATAATCCCAGATTTCTTGGAGGCTTTGTTCATTTCCTTTTACTCTTTTTTCTCTAAACTTCTCTTCTTGCTTCATTTCATTCATTTGATCTTCAATCACTGATACCCTTTCTTCCAGTTCTTCCACTTGATGAAATTGGCTACTGAAGCTTGTGCATGCATCATGTAGTTCTCGTGCCTTGGTTTTCAGCTTCATCAGGTCATTTAAGGACTTCTCTACATTGGTTATTCTAGTTAGCCATTCATCTCATCTTTTTTCAAGGTTTTTAGCTTCTTTTGGATGGGTTCAAACTTCCTCCTTTAGCTTGTAGAAGTTTGATCGTCTGAAGCCTTCTTCTCTCAACTTGTCGAAGTCATTCTCCATACATCTTTGTTCCGTTGCTGGCGAGGAGCTGCTTTCCTTTGGAGTGGGAGAGGTGCTCTGATTTTTAGAATTTTCAGCTTTTCTGCTCTGTTTTTTCCCTATCTTTGTGGTTTTATGTACCTTTGGTCTTTGATGATGGTGACGTACAGATGGTTTTGGTGTGGATATCCTTTCTGTTTGTTAGTTTTCCTTCTAACAGTCAGGACCCTCAGCTGCAGGTCTGTTGGAGTTTGCTGGAGGTCCACTCCAGACCCTGTTTGCCCGAGTATCAGCAGCAGAGGCTGCAGAACAGCGAATATTGCTGAACAGCAATTGTTGCTGCTGGATCGTTCCCCTGGACGCTTCATCTCACAGGGGTACCCGGGCGTGTGAGCTGTCAGTCTGCCCCTACTGGAGGGTGCCTCCCAGTTAGGCTACTTGGGGGTTAGGGACTCACTTGAGGGGGCAGACTGTCCATTCTCAGATCTCAAACTCTGTGCTGGGAGAACCACTGCTCTCTTCAAAGCTGTCAGACAGGGACATTTAAGTCTGCAGATGTTTCTGCTGCCTTTTGTTCAGCTATGCCCTGCCCCCAGAGGTGGAGTCTACAGAGGCAGGCAGGCCTCCTTGAGCTGCGGTGGGCTCCACCCAGTTCTAGCTTTCTGGCCAGTTTGTTTACCTACTCAAGCCTCAGCAATGGTGGGCGCCCCTCCACCAGCCTTGCTGCTGCCTTGCAGATGGATCTCAGACTGCTGTGCTAGCAATGAGTGATGCTCCATGGGCGTGGGACCCTCTGAGCCAGGCACGGGATATAATCTCCTGGTGTGATGTTTGCTAAGACCACTGGCAAAGTGCAGTATTAGGGTGGGAGTGACCCGATTTTCCAGGTGCTGTCCATCACTGCTTCCTTTGGCTAGGAAAGGGAATTCCCTGACCCCTTCTGCTTCCTGGGTGAGGTGATGTCTTGCCCTGCTTCAGCTCATGCTTGATGGGCTGCATCCACTGTCCCGCACCCACTGTCTGACAAGCCCCAGTGAGATGAACCCGGTACCTCAGTTGGAAATGCAGAAATCACCTGTCTTCTGCGTCGCTTATGCTGGGAGCTGTAGACTGGAGCTGTTCCTATTCGGCCATCTTGGAACTGCCCCCCATGAAGATACTTTTGTATTCAGACATTTTCCCAGAATCTGGGTTTTGCTGATCATACTTGATTTTGAGAATGATCCTTTATTTCTTAATATTTTCATTATAAATGCAATAGATACTTGCTGAAGGATATTTTGACTGTTCAATTTTGAGGACAGTCCTGCCACTAGATCTCTTTCAATTATTGAACTAATACTGTTGGCATCATCCCTTCTGTGTCCCAACACATATCTTCCCTCTCCCCAACCCCACATTCAAGAAACCAGTGGTTCTTAGTGAGATAATATCATCCCCAAAAGCTATTTTGGAAATTTTTTTGATTATTTTAGTTATCAAATGACTGAGAGAGACATGGAGGAGTTAATGGACCCACTGAAGAATTGTCCCCCATATTGTACTGCTTTTGGCTGTTACCCTCAAATTCATATAGGTGTAATATTCTTTATCATTATCTGAGACTGGAACTCAATTCTGTTTTACATATAATCACCAAGAAATTTTTTTACGTTTTTACTATACCCTGAATTTTCTACCAATACAACTAGTGAGTAAGTTGAGGAAAGATGGAACTCTGTTTGGCTTGACATTTTCTATTACAGAAAACCAATTAGCAGCATTGCCACTCATAGTGCTTGAGTTACCAACACAATATGCCTGCATTAGTGTGTTTTTGGCTATTGCCTTTACAGGGCTGATTACTTCGTCATGCTTTTTTATCCAGGCCTCCAAAACTTTAAAGTTTGTAGCCTGCCCAATTATTTATGTTGTGAAATACCTTTTTTTTTGTTTAACAATTTGTAATATATTTCACTTATTATAGTTAAGGCATTATATAAATTATTTTGCAATTCTGTACATAGGTAGGTTTTGTCACCTATGGATTTTATTTAAAGAGGGAAATTATTAATAAAGAGGGTGTTGAGTATGATGGTTTTGAGCCCCACAGGCTTAGGCCACTGGGGAAGGTCAAGACTAAGGGACCAGTGAGGGACAACTGAGAAGTGAAACATGTTAACAGTGGAGTTTGCATAATAATAGCTGACACTTATGTAGTGGTTATGTAATATGCCAGGAACTCTTCTGTGTTTCTAAGAAGCGCCTTAACAAATCCACTTCTTCAATCCTCACAACAGCTGCAGGAGGTCAATGGGAGCTATTACTTTTCCCATCTTATAAATGAGAAAACGAGGGACCCAGAGGTGCATAATTTACCCAAATTCACACTAATAAGTGCCAGGGCTGGAAAAAACTGAGGAAGTGGTGATACGGAGTCTATTCTCTTAACCACTGCCTTTGATTGCTTTTCTTTTGAAGCATAATTCACTGAGCACAAAGGAAAGAAAATCAAGTGTATTGGCAGAAAATACATGGTGATGTCAAATTCAAAGGGAAAATGAATATGCAAATCAGTGCCTTTTAGAGACTAGGTGAGCTGAGTGGGTGGTAGGGTGTGAAGTAAACATTTGAAATGCATACTAGCCTCTGTAGGGACTCAAGATATATTTGAGTGAGTGAATGAAGTGCCTTCCAGAGGTTTAGGCCACAGTCACCTTAATAAGACCTTTGGAATGGAGAGTGATTTGGATGGCTTCTTAGTTATGCAAATAAATGGCAAATAGATCCCCATTGTCCTAGGAGAGGGGTAAGAAGTATTCCCCCAAGACCTCCTCTAAGCAGAGCTCTTTAATGGTTAGAAGTTAGATCACTGTGTATAAGAAGGCCAAAGCCTTCAAGAGGAGAAAGGAGAATCATAGCCCTTGTTTTCCATGATACTGATCTGGAGGACACTAGTGTGGTGGGCCAGGTAGCCTTGACCTGCTGGTGAGAAAGGATACCATAGTCCTCCAAAGGGTCCTGCTGGAAAGCAAGAGGGAATCTGGGCTGATGAGTTCCCACATGAACAGGACTTTTGAAGAATAGAGAATAAAATTGTGGAAGAGTCTCGAGGTTAACAAAGAAAGCAGAACAAACATTTGGGCATCTGTACTACTACACAAAGGACTGAAATGGCTGCTTTCACAAAAGCAGTGTAACACATCTAGCCAGGAGGCCTTAACAAGAAGAATTGGATAATGGGAATTGCCTGATTTGCCCCTTCAAGACCACAGAATCTTAATTACTATTGTTAATTAGGATATACCTGGTTCAAATATTCATTTTGACACTTTACAGCAGGGGCTAGGGTGAAAGAGGGTGCTTTGAATAGACTTTTTTTTTTTTTTGAGACAGAGTCTTACTCTGTCACCCAGGGTGAAGTGTAATGGCATGGTCTCGGCTCACTGGAACCTCTGCCTCCCGGGTTCAAGCGATTCTCCTGCCTTAGCCTCCCAAGTAGCTGGGACTACAGGTACGTGCCACTACACCTGGCTAACTTTTGCATTTTTAGTAGAGACAGGGTTTCACTATGTTGGCCAGGCTGGTCTTGAACTCCTGACCTTGTGATCCGCCCGCCTTTGCCTCCCGAAGTGCTGGGATTACAGGCGTGAGCTACAACGCCCGGCCTGAACAGATATTTTTGTATAAATTGACAGAATTCACATTATATAGCAAACCATATATATCTTACTGAAAAGTTAACTTAATTACGGAAACAGATTTACTCCACTCTCTTGTGCACAAGAATTCAGCAGCACTATTATTTAGAAACAGCTCCAACAATCCTCTTTGTCCTGGTCTTACTGAAGTCCTCATTGGTTCATCCTTTGATCCTCTGCAGTGTCCTTTACAAGTCTGGGTCAGATGCCAGCCTTGTCTGAATGACCATTTCCCTTCGTCTGCGTCTGTCTGATACTGGCCAATGTTTCAAAGTCTAGACTGCAATTAAGTCAGTTATCTGCACATATTAAGTACCCAACAAAGGCTTGTTGAGTTTAAAAAGTATCCTCTTTTGAAACGAACACACATTGAGAAAGGCTTAGAGAAAAGCAGTTGAGCATTCATACCTGTTTGGTGATTCTGAACTAGAGGTCCCTAGGAGTCTGTAAGATGGTAAGTGTGGTCCTTGAACTTTCTGTATTTTAGTATGCCTGATGAAAATCATACCTTTCCCTGTAATGAGGCTGGGAAGCTAACTAAAATGTCCAGTTTCTTTATTTTTGTTTGTATTTATATTATATTAACTCTGTAACAATAGCATTAATCTCTTAGCCTAGGATTGTTTAGAGGCAAGTACCAGAATATATTCAAGTGAGTTAAAGGTAAAGAAGAAATTTAATATTATAATATAGGGGTATCTTGTATAACCTCAAAGTAGAAAGTACAACTAGGTCTTAAAAAGAATTGAAGCCAGTATGAGGGAAATCACCAAATTGCAGCTATCTTGAGAGTTGTCTTTCTGGAGTCCCCCATGTCCTCCTTCTGCTTCTGCCTGCATTAGTTCCATCCTTCTTTCTGCAGACTGGGTACTTGGGCACTGCTAGCACGTGCCTATTATAATATCTGTAAATTATATTAAAACACTTTAGTGAAGATGGTATGTATATATGTATACATATACATATATGTAGATACACACATATATACACACATACATATATAGGTATGTATATGTATACATACATCTGTATATACATAGTTGATCTGTACCTGAAGGATCATTAGTTAAGATTTGAAATATCCAGTCAGGTGCTCCTCTTGGGGAGGTGGTAATTGGCAATATATACTTGCTTCTTAGCATTTGAAATAAGGAGAAATCTACATTCTGAAGACAGTTACCACAAGTTTAAGCCATGTTTATCTCAGATTGGCTTTAGATCGTTTAAAATTAGCATGAAGTGCATTAGAAATGACTTTTCATTAGTGAAATGTGTGACGTTCAGGAATTGGATTGGCTTGAAATACATGTGCAACTCTTCTCTCCTAGAAAAGGTGTAAGATTACATTTTTGGAAGGGCATTTCTTGTCTTAAGACTCAGTTTGGCTCTGTTTATGGATTCTGTCATTCAGTTGTGATAAGAATTTTCTCTGAATTGTGATGCTAAAATATTGTTGCCTCTGCCTTCAGTGAAAGAACCAATAGTTTTAAGTGATCATCTTATTTTAGGCCAGTTTTTTCAATGGGGAGATACCATGGTCACTCCCAAACTGGTCCCGTCTCAGCCTTTAGGTCCACATAAATATATAAGCCCTTAGATTCCAAATGACTGGAGTCCCTTGGTTCTATTCCCAGTTTCTCTGGAAAAAGCATTGATTCTTTCAGCTTGGATAAGGTGTTCTAATTCAATCCACTTTGCCCAGTGAAGTTTCTGAGTTGTGTAGTAGTCAGCAGTTCCAAAGACAGCCTCTCAGCAGGAGGTGTGGCAGTGCACTCTCTCAAAATGGGGAGCAGGCTGGGTTGTGGGTGAAGGGTAGATTTCATAGAAAGGGCTATCAGGAAGGTAAGTATCTTGAGATCTCATGTTCATCAGATTCAAAGTTGTGTGTGTCTTTGATCCAGAAAAAGATATTATTCTTTAAAATTCAGCATTTTTTAGACAGGTTAAATCTCACAAAAAATAGAGTTGATTGGTAAAATAATAAAAGGGTTCTTGATATGACATTACTTTTTTAGTTTATTCAACAAATATGTATGTATGTTTGTGTGTATTTATTCACTTATTCTGAGACAGAGTTTTGCTCTGTTGCTCAAGCTGAAGTGCAGTGGTGCAATTTCAGCTCACTGCAACCTTAGCCTCCCAGGTTCAAGTGATTCTCCTGCCTCAGCCTCCAGAGTAGCTGGGATTACAGGCACATGCCACCATGCCCAGCTAATATTTGTATTTTTAGTAGAGATGGGGTTTCACCATGTTGGCCAGGCTGGTCTTGAACTCCTGACCTCAAGTGATCCACTTGCCTCGCCCTCCCAAAGTGCTGAGATTACAGGTGTGAGCCACTTTGCCCAGCCACAAATATGTATTTAATCCCAACTATATACATGGCACAATGCTGGGTGTCTTTTCTTTTGAATAGTGTTATTAGTGATGTAAATTTTCCAGTGGAATGGCGACTGATCATTGGTAGAAGGAGGCATTTCCATGGGGGGCAGGAAAATGAACTACTTGTTTGTGAGACCAAGATCTCCAGTAGCATAGAAGAAGGGAGAAGGATAAGAAAACAAGAGGGCAGGACTTAGCTGGCAAACTTAGACTATTTCCATATGTATACCCAAGGCCAACTCTGACTGCTTACAAGGCAAACACCAAACAGTCACCAATTAAAGTTTTTTTCCTCCACAGAGAATGATTCTGACATGGAATGTGATTGTGACAAGGCCGTGGAACAGAGCAAGTGTTTGCTGTGCAAAATTTGTTTTGACTAGACCAACAAGGCTGTTCCTATGGGCCATCTGCTGAGACCTAGAGCTTTGTTACTCAGAATCTTTGTTTAACCTGCTTCCATGAAAAAGAGTTTGCTAAGTAAATTAATAGAGTAAACAAGGAAAATGTTATGCTGATTAAGAGTGAAGGCCTTCAGCTGAAACATTTGTACTCATACAATGGCTGTACTAATTGTAAATAATGCTATCAGTTAAAACACCTTCACAGCTTGCCTTCTGCAACAGTGGTTTCACTGCTTTTTCCTAGAGTGTTTTGAAGCCTGATTTTTTCTTCTTTTTTTTAATTTTACTTTAAATTATGGGATACATGTGCAGAACGTGCAAGTTTGTTACATAGGTATACATGTGCCATGGTGGTTTGCTGCATCTATCAACCCGTCATCTAGGTTTTAAGCCCCACATGCATTAGGTATTTGTCCTGATGCTCTCCCCACCCATGCCCCTCACCCCCAAGAGGCCCCAGTGTGTGATGTCCCCTTCCCTATGTCCATGTGTTCTCATTGTTGAAGCCTGATTTTTTGTCGTGGAAGAAACATTTTCTTCCTCAAAATTTCATTAAGTGAAAGTGCCCCTTTTTCTCCCAATTGTGATAAATTAGAGTTTCTACTACACTAAAAAATCTTGAATCTCAATGTCAGCAAGTTTCAGAGATTCAATATGGTGGCTGGAAAGAAAAGAGTGGGAAGAGTTAAATAGGAAGTGATAAAGGAAGGAGCTTGGCAAAGGGAGCCCAAACTGAGGAAGATAGAAAGGTGGAGAGAAGGAGGAGGAAGTACTAGAAAAAAATGATGGGCAGAAAGAAAGTGGGATAGAGAGAAGCAAGGAAATTATAACTAAAAATAAAATTCTAAGCTCTCCAACCAACTCAGTGGAGCCCTGTTGGCCAGGTGGACCCTAGAGAAACCTTAAAATATTAAGTTCCCAGCCATAACGGGTCTGGAAGTCAGGCACAGCTCATTATCCGGCCTCTCTTTTGCAATTTAGACACAACAACTGACCAGCATTAATGTTAAAATAGAGATCGTAAGACTGACAGAATGAAATATTTGTAGCGATAAGATACCAACTTATAAACAGGATGCAAGACCATGCCAGGCAAGGATAAATCAGGCACTCTGACACTTAAAGAATAAGCTGTTTTCTGACTGTCACAAGGTTTTTCATTTACTCTAGCAGCTAGACAAGCACTGGGCAGAGACAAGCAATATTAAAATAAGGATGGCTCATCCACCACCAGATGCCAACAAACGGATCCTCGTGCTCCACCTGTCATAACCACATCTTTGATTGAACAAGAGACTGATTTCAGTAACTTTCTTCTGATAAGAGAACACTGACTATGGGCTGGTTCTGGCCAGTTTACAGAATCTGTGCATTTGAATGCCTTTGTGTCCCTGCTTCACATTTTGACATATGGAGCTTAACTGTAGTACATTTAAAAGTTAAGTCTCCACTTCACAGTGAACATAGGATGCATGTAGCATGCAAGTTTGCTTTTCATGCATGCACATGTGTCTTCTTCATCAATATTCATAGCTCTTCCTATAACCTGTTGAATATGTATCCTTGGCCAACCCATTCAATGTAAATCCCTATTTCACCCTCCACTCCCTTGAAGTGCCTGCTTCTGGGCTCTACTGGAGGCTACATTTCCCAGTCTGTCAGGATGGCCACCCTGCAGGCTGTAACTCTTTGTATCACATAAAGTCTCTTGTTAAATGTATACATTTGTACTTTTTCAGTTGACAGCAGAAAGAACTAGGATGTGTTAAGAAGGAAGACGAAGGAAGGCAGAGGAAGAGAGGGCAGGTCTGGAAGAGAGGGCAGACCTGGAAGAAAGGGTGCAGTGTCAGGGCACGTAGAGTTTGTTGAGAATGACTGAATTATAATACTTATTAATGATGTGGAGGTTAGTCAAATAGAATTAGCAACAAACTCAGAGGGAAGAAAGTTGTTCAGACTTGACCCCACCCCCTTACTACTATAGGAAACATCAGAAGGGTATTGAAAGAGGTATCTGCAGAAAGACTGCCTTTTGTTCTGTCTTTCCCAGCTAATTGGTTTAGCTATGTCTATTCAGACTGAGGACCCCAGCACAGACTTCTGTTAACCAAGCTTACTGTGGGCAAGGTGATAGGTACTGGCTGATTTGGATGTGAAAGGAATGATGTCACCTTGGCCAAAGGGCACATGTTTAGGAGCAAACTGTCTCTCCTAATGTTCTCTCTGCTGCTTCTCTCTCTCCCTCTTCCCTGTGCCACCCCCCATCCCACACACACAATGGATACAGAGAGTACAGAGTTTCATTAGAAGAGGAATGTTCTTGGTGAAAGTACCAAAGTCCCCAGAGTTCAGCTTACATACCTTATGAAAAAATCTCTTTCTTAGACTTAAACAGGGACACAGCATGTTCCCTAGCCTCTGTCATATCTGTGCATTTTTTGATGGTTGTAATGTTAGTATATTATTTTCCTCTTTACATAACAATGGTTAAAGAGTTAAAGGCAGTTTTCATGCCACCTTTTCTCCCCCTTTTTCCAACCTGGCTCCAAAGTTGAGGATAACTAGGCAGAGGGCAAATTCTCTTTGTCCATTGAGATTGATTTCCTGGTCATGAGTTTTCCAGGGAAACTTCTGCACTTGAAGAGGTCACTTGGAAGCAGAAAGTTAATGAGAACCTTTCTTATTTTTCTTGGCAACTCTGAGAGACCATGCTTTTTGGTGGATTGGGGCTGTTAGTGGGTCCCTTTACATCTACTGTACATTTTGCATTCATTGCATTGTACTTGGACTCTGGGGCCCATTTTGCTAATAGTGCTTGTTTTCTTGCCTCACTTACATGTCAAAGATTTCTCTGAAGCTGGTTTCATTATAATTTAAAAAATACCATCTGTCTATCTAAGAGTTTTTTCCTCTCTTTTTTGGACAGATTTGTATCTGATTTCTTTCATGCAGTTCTATTGAACTTTTCCAGGTGCAGAGAATAGCCCCTATACGGCTTCTGTCCAAAGTCATCTTTTCTTGTATTATTGCTGTGCTGCTATTGGTGGAGTTTGTCACTATTAACCTTGGGCTTTTGTTGCAGCGATTAAGATCTTTTATTGGTTTGTCTAGCATGACACTAGCATAATTTAAATCACATCCTTGTCTACGTGCAGTTAATTGCCTTCACCTCTATATCTGCGCATAGTTTATGGATGTTTTCCCCCATCATAGCATCTTAGAGAGATGTCCTTGGTCCTTTGTGTTTTGCACCTGTATGTTTTTCTGCCTGTGATATTCTTATTTACTTATGCATGACATGTACTCCAATGACTATGTACTATTTTGTTGATATTAGCAATATTCACAATGGCTCCAGATATATTGTTTAGGAGCCTTTTTAGCTATGAACATTTTTGGTAGTGATATCTTGGAAGTAAAACATCAGAAATATGTAGCCATTTTCTGGGTGACCATTTTATTCCAGTTTCTTTGGTTATTTCCTCTGAAGATTTTTGCTTGCCTGTAGTATTTTTTCCGTTTAATAATCATTGCTTCTTTCTAATAATTTCACTCATTCTCATACTGTAGGGTCCCCTAATTCTTCCCCCTTTCTTTCTATGTCCTGACTGAGAATCAGAGACTGCATAGACTGCTCTGTGACCTGCCAGCTGCAGGTTTTTCCCAGCAGGCTTGAACCCAAACTAGGACCTTGAACATTCCTAGCACTGATAAAGGTATCTATGTTGTTGCCCAAAACACTGAAAGAAATGGGCCCCAGCCCTAAGCCAAATTCCTTAAATTCTCATAAACTTTATACTCTGCCCCCCACACACTGTGGACATCCCTATAGGTAAAACACCTTTTTTCTTTCATTGTCACAATGATTGCTGCAGCAATCCTAAGCTTCCCTAATAAATGCTTTGCACTGATCGCCCTGGCAGTTAGTGTCTCTTGCTTTGGAATCCCAACTGGTCCCACCTAGGGATGGTGAGGAGCATTCCCATGTAGGTATTCCCCTGCCCTCACTTTTTTTTTTTTTTTTTGAGATGGAGTTTTGCTCTGTTGTACAGGCTGGACTGCAGTGGCGCTATCTCGGCTCACTGCAACCTCCGCCTCCTGGGTTCAAGAGATTCTCCTGCCTCAGCCTCCTGAGTAGTTGGGATAACAGGCACCCACCACTATGCCTGACTAATTTTGTATTTTTAGTAGAGACGGGGTTTCACCATGTTGGCCAGGCTGGTATTGAACTCCTGACCTCAGGTGGTCCACCGGCCTCGGCCTCCCAAAGTGCTGGGATTACAGGTGTGAGCCACTGCTCCCGGCCTAAAAAGTGTGTTTGTACGGGATGCTGTTACTTTTTCTTTATTAACAGGAGCACATATGTTAGCTTTTGTATTGTCTTCTTGCTTTGTCTTTTCGTTATTCTGATTTTAGGAATCAGAATATTTGTAGCCCAAAGAATCTGTTTGCTTCGTGTGATGGTCTCCAACTGATGAGCTCCCTCCAGACTGACTCGTTTCTTTTTTTTTCAATTTTTATTTTTAATTATAAATGGACAAATTATAATTATAGATATCAATGGGGAACAAAGTGATGTTATGAATTATCAATACAATATGGAATAATTAAATCAAGCAAACACATCTGTCACCTCAAATACTTTTTTTTTGGTGAGAACATTTGAAATGTACAGTCATAGCAATTTTGAAATGAGCGATTTACTACATTCACCACAATGTACAATATATCTCAAAGTAAAACAATGACAACAACAATGTATTCCATCTAATTGAGACTTTGTACTCTGACCATCAACCATTTCTGATTTTAATTCTTTTCCAGCTTTATTGAGGTATAATGGACAAATAAAGACCTATTTATTTTTAATGCTTCAAACCAAGCAAAGTCAATGTCATAATGTGGGGATGGACGACTATCTAGAAGTCATAATATAGAGGATGCATCGCTATTCTTCCATTCATCAAATTTTTTGGAGTGCCTTTTATATTCCTAGCATTTGTTGTAGAAAATAGATGCCACAAAATTCACCAACAAGACTTCCCTGTTTACACAGCTGCATTGCAGGGAGGAGGAGGGAGCTCATCATTTGGGGACCATCACACAAAGCAAACACATATATCACCTCAAATACTTAATAGCTCCTTAATATGAAAAAATGATAGGCTGTCTATGATACTTGAGGATAGTTAAAACCACCTCCAAGATTTGCTCTGTGGTCAGCAGGGGAGAAGGAACCTTCAGGACACTCAGGGATACATCAAGATGCTCAGCAGGGGAGGTTAAAGTGAATTTTGTTATTATGTTACCATCCTTTGAAAATGCTCTTTGAAAACACTTGATGGCAATATTGAAAAAAAAGGTCACTGCATTTGTCCAATATCATATTTAGGATCTGTAAAGGGGTTATACCATGTGTCAAGAGAAGTGAGACATGATATCGTCTTGTTAGTTGAGATCTTTCCCTTTTAGAAGACATAATATGAGGTTCTGTTGATTATGAAGGGTTGATTTCTCGTCACATTGTACTAGGTGCTGGGGTATGATGGCAAGCAGAATGCATGGTCATGTTCTCAGGAGCGTTATCTCAGGGACTTATGTGTAAAAGTACAAAATAAAAGTTTATCAATGTTTCACTTTTTGAAAAGTGCAATATTAAACCTTAAACAATATTAAATTGCTTGTTGCCAAATCCAGGGGTCCTCTACCTAGTTATTTTTTCTCCTTATTGAATATCTTAGAAACACCTCCCCGTATAAAATGTTTTAAAGTATTTCCCTCTCTTCATTTTTCTCTGTCTCTGTCTCTCTTACCTTTCTTCCTGTATGTCTCCCGGTTTCGATAATTTTCCCTGGTGCTGAATATAAACCCTGTCCAAGGGTTTGCACTAAGTCCTCAACTTTTCTCTTTTTAATCTGGATTCCCCATTGATCACCAAAAATTCTGGAGACCATTAGAAAAAAAATCACCTCTTACTTTCTTCCTTTAATTCCAGTGCTTACTGGCATCATTGCAGATGATTGTAACATTCTCTCTATTGGCTGTCTTTATTTCATATTTCCTCACCCCAGATCAAGAGGCAAATATTTGTCAAGTAAGGCTTCAGAGAAAACCACACTTGTTACTTTATTGTCTTGCTCAGGAGTCTATCTTGCTTCTCTATTACCCAGTTTTGGACCTCTTTGTTAGTTCCCTCTGAATCTGCCTCTTTCCTTCAATCCCTATCCAACTACATTTTCACTGCTGTTCCATATACACCCTATACTGCACCTAGCCTTAGCATATGCTATACCAACTCTGTGTCTCTTATTTGGAAAAACCTCCTTTATTCTCCATGTAGACATAGTCTCCATATAAATGCCACATTTACCCATGTAAACAAAGAGGTTGTCAAGCCCTAACTCTTCCATGATATTCCCTCTGATTACCCTAATCTTTCCTTGTGGAAATTCTGAGACTTTCCTTATATAAGGGATTAAAAGTATAAAGTAAGAGCAGATTGAAGAGCTTATACCAAAGAGGAATTTTGCCCTGATTGTGAGATAGGTTGGATGGCTGATTTTTCTTTTACTTTTGAATCCCTTAGGCTAAGTCAATAGTTGATGTTAATTGATTTGTATTTTCTTTTCTGTAATTTTATTTGAGTTTTATTTGGAAGCTTCCTGCCAATTCTTCTGAATTAAGACTCCACTAATATGTGGACTGCATAATCTTAACCCATTCATGCAGGACTAGCTACTTAATTTGCAGGGCCCAGTGCAGAATAAAAATTCAGGACCCCTGTTCAAAAATTATTGGGAATTTCAAGGTCATGATAGCAAAGCATTAAACCAAGTGTGAGGCCTTTTCAAGTGCAAGACCCTGTGAGACTGCACAGGTTGCATACCATGCAGTTGACTCTCCCTCAGGCCTAAGGATATTTGACCAGTTCTTTCCTTATTAGTAGAATATCTCCTTCTCATGACTAATGGCTCCAAATCAATGCAAACATTAAATATGTTTATTTTATTGAGTTTCTAAATCCATAACTTTGAACTAGTGAACCATGACATAATGTGAACATTTTGTTTATTTATCTATGCATTATTCATTCATTCATTTACCTCTTAGAAAAGTTTATTCTCTTTTTCTTTCTCTTTTGTTCCCTCTTCACTATTCAGTTATAATTGAAAAATAAAACTTGTATATATTTACCATATATGATATGGTGTTTTGATATAAGTGTATATTGTGAAATCATTACCCCAATCAAGCTAATTAACCTATCCATCATCTCACAAAATTACTTTTTTTTGTGGTAAGTACATTTAAGATCTACTCTCAGCAAATTTGAAGTATACAACACAGTATTAGCCTTAGGTTGGTGCAAAAGCAATTGCAGTTTTAGCCATTACTTTTCATTGTTTTTGCACCAACCTAATAGCTATAGTCACCATGCTATACATTAGATTTCCACAACTTCTTCATTCTACCCTATTGAAAATTAGTACCCTTTGACCTAATTCTCCCAGTAGCACATAGCACATAGCATGTGTTAAGGTTTAAATTCCACAGGTGAGTGTGAGAGATCATAAAGTCTAGAAGGCAGAGGTCGATTGCAGCTTTGAAATTCTAATAGTAAGTTCAACCTTTTACATAATGAAGCAAAATAGATAATTGTGGAGGAGCAATAATGTGGATTGTCTTTCTGGGCTCCACACCAGTGTGCTAGAGGCTTCTGTAGGAAATCAGCTGTAGATATTGAGATATTAAAGTGTTTTGACAGAAGGAATCTGCTCCAATTGAGGGATAATGTCTGGGGATAATAAGAAGATACCCTGACGCATAATCCAGACTTGTCCAATGGCAATTGCTGTGGCAATATTTGGACATTGAGATCAGGGTTTGGGGAGAGCAGACTGCAGGGAGGAACACCCAGGGCATGAGGCTAGTAGCCGTCAGTTAAGAAGACAGTTGAGATTCAGGAATGGAGGCCAGGGACTTGGATGATCTGTTATCCAAAAGGTTTGAGTGATCTTGGAAGGATAAGGGGGGAAGTTTTATGACAACAAAATGCTGCTTCTACTGCAATTCCATTTTTATACCTACCACCTTTGCCAACCACGTGGTCATCATCGCTACCTTTGTGCCCATGGGTCTTTCACTAGCCCTGGGCCCTGCACTGTGGCATCTGTGCTTGAGATATTGCAAATGGTTTTGTGCTTGTCTGCACCTGAGTGGCAGCTAATGAACTGCTCTGTCCTAACGTGGCCTGGGACTATTTTTTATTCCTTCTAAAAATATTTATTATTTTTCAGATTCCTGGCACCTCATTGGCTGGGGAGTGAGGAGGATTCTCTCCTATCTCTCCACCATTGGCTCTGTGTTAGGAAGTGCTCCCTGGGCCTTTGCTCTCCACCTTCCATCTCCCAAAGGCCACCTGCCCCAGAGCTCAGCACAAAAGTAGTGATGACTATGTAGATGGTGGCAGTGAAAGAGGAAATTGCAGTGGCTTTATAGGCAGATTTAGATACCCTTGTCTTGGGGCCTTTTCTATTCAGGAAACTTAGGAGAGCCAGTGGTCAAATTAATTCCGAAGGGGAGCTGTGAGACTAACCTCAAAGATGGTTCTGAATGAATTGGAACAATGCTGTTATCTTATTTCCAGGATACTTCAGAACCCTCATGGGTGATTTGCATTCTGAAATTCATGACTGCTGACTGTGGCCAATTATACTGAGTGCTCCTGATCACAGACAGAGAAGGAAGTAATTGTGAAACTTTACCTAGGGGAGATCTATAATTCAGTTCCCTAGGACTGATGCTGGAGATTATCCAGGTAGTTTTGAACATTTCTCCAAAACTCTTGTTGAGAAGGTCATAATCATTGGAACCTTTTATTATGTTGACCTACTTCCAGAATGAACTTGAGCAAATTGATTTTCATTTCCTCAAAGCATAGATTCAAACATTTCCTCATGTTTTGATAGAGTCAGCTCTCTTCCAGTTATATAAACTTAGTCTCATTTATTTTATTATTATTTTCCCTAGTATAATGAAAGCGTCATGAAGGCATGAATAATATTAATGTTTATAAAAACCATTGCATCCCTAGCATCTAGCAGAATCCCTGGTAAATAGGTGTTCAATAACACTATTTGTTGAATGAATAAATGAGTGAATTTTAGTAAACTAGCAGTGCTTTGGATTCAGACAAGGTAGGGCATGTCTAGAAGACTGGAGACAGGCCTACCTCATTCACCATAGGATAAAGAGAGGCCTACCTTAGCCACTACAGGGAGGAGAAACCTCTTTGGAAGTGCTCAATCCAAGGAAAGAAAACATCAAGACATGTTTTAACTTTGGTGAAAGGAGTGTGTGGACCAGTGTCTTAAAAGAGAAGGGACTTTTGAGAATTCAAAATGTTATCATTCATGTTGTATTCTGATGCAGCCTCTATTGGACTGGGCTCTGGGGGGTAAGAGACATCCAATTAAACTTGAGTGAAAACTAAAGGAACTATAAATCAAATATCAGCTGCATTGACACCAATAGCTTTTACAGTGACAGCAGACAGCATCTGTGTCTCTGCAGGGATGGCAGATGGCACCCCTGTGACACAGCACAGTTAGCAGATTCACACTGTCAGCACAGGGATGGACAGCACCTGCATGGGTGTTAAGGACACTGACAGGAGTGAGCAGAGCACCAGAGGTGCCTGCAATACCAGGCCTGAGGAACAGGCAGCAAGAGGAAATAGAGAATGCCAGGAACAGCTGAGACGATGCCCATCCTCTGCCATGAAATGCCCGATTGACGCCACTGGGATGTTCAGAAATGTTTGTTGATAATTTGAGGAGGAATGAATGTTTACAGGTTAGGTCTGGAGGGAGGGAGGGAGGGAAATTGTGATTTGCCTATTGCTCTTCCTTCCTCTCCCTTTCCCCTAGGTTGGTATATCCTAGGAAACATAAATTAATAAAGAGAAGCTGATTAGGGCTGGCATATTCCCTCTCTGCAGTTTCAGCACCGGAGGCTTTACATCCTGTTCTGGGATCCACGATGTCTTGAAATCAGGAAACCTAATTTACTCCCTCACTCCAGATAAATGCAGCCTTTTATTGAAAGAAAAATCCTCTGATTATCACAACTAGTAAAAAAAAGTTTTTCTGACAACCTCCTTTGTTTACCTGCAGAAAAATTGAACAGGTTCTTTGGTTAAGCAAAACATGCACATACAAACAAAACATATACACAATGGGCAAATGTATAATCATTTATACTAATAACCTTTCCACAGTCATAATTTTCCAACTTCTTTTCTGCTTGAACTTACTTGTGTTGTTCATTTGAGTTCTAATGTGTAGACACCCTCCTCTCCCCACAATTGAGAATCTCACCAAATTGAATTCCCTCTTTGCCACACTACTCTTTTTTTTTTTTTTTTTACCTAAATGTGATCCCCTTTCAAGTTTTCATTTTATCCCAGAGCCCAGTGTTTAGCCCCATGCACATCCCGTTTCATTCTTATCAATGTTAGTATACTCTCAGCCTGGGGAGCTTGATAACTTCTCCCAGAAGCCTTGGCTATGTTAGCTGAGAGAGTCTATAAATTCTCCCAGCTCGAGAAATTGGTCAGGTGCACTCTATTCACCAAGCTTGTCAAGCCCTGTCAGAGTTGGCAAATCAGAAACTGTAGGCACATTCAACTTTAACTTACAAAAGGCAAACAGCTGCATATTCCCTGATTCTGTCAGCTCAGAATGTTTCTGGAAATAACAAAAAAAGAATTTTATCTTGAAATTTGGCAAGGCAAGTAAACACACTGGTGCTCACCTGAAATTTCCCCCTTCCCTTCCCAGGGGAGTAAACATGCTCTCCTTACAAGTCACCTAAATTTTAAAGAATAAATTACCTTTTTTTCAATATCTTATGTTTCTTCTCCATGATTTTGCCATCAGACAATGAAGTCAATGACTCAAGGGTATCAGTCTTACCTATTATTAATTGTTCGTTATATTTGACACTCTATATCACTGGTTGAAAGTGATGGCTTCTCCTTTCATCCCAATAAATCATCCCTCAGTATTAAGCCCTTTGGGTTTGACAGCATGCAGAATTAGAATGCTGTGGTGGGAGGTTCAGGAAGCTCAGAGACAGTGGATGCCTTTGGCTCTGTCAGCTAAGCCCTACAGTCCGAGGAATACTCTATCCTTTGCTATGGCTGCTTTTTATGTGGTACTTCTTTATTTTTTACCTGCTAAAAAACTAAGCAGACTGCTATCAGAAAGGAGTGAGTGAGAGAGAGAGAGAACATCAAATTTGGTTCTTGGGATTTTATGATGTGGTTCCTAGAAGAAATAATAGGGGTTTCTAATAAAGTTGTGGTAAGGAAGTAGTGAGTGCTAGGTGACTAGAAAGGTTGTTCTGCATTGTTGAAACTGGATCACATGTATGCTGAGAATAAGCCAAATATTAAGGTAGCTCTGTTCAATCTGATTAGACTATATACTCAAGCATGAGCCAAAGGAAAAAGTATGAAATGAGCTGAATGTGGTGAAGTGTAGGGGTGTATGTATTGCTGATGGCTTTATGGCCCTGTTATCTAGGGAAAAGCATGTAAGAACGCTTCCTAGCAGCTTGTTCATCCTAGAGGACCATCTCTCTGGATTAATAGCTGATGTGTCAGACTCCTGAGGAAGGATGGGAAGCCTGCAGGTCCGAGAGTTCCTAAAATAGTACTCTGATTTTCCTTCTACACATATATTCTTCTAGCCATGTGGATAGGTTAATAGTGCTAGCTGCTTCACCAATAACTTCCAAATGTATAAACTCACACATGATAGAAGCTTATTTTTTATTTCCTAGGAGTTGATCCTTATTGATGGATTATGCTCTCCTAAGCAAAGGCCGAGGATCCAGACCCTTTCTGGAGATGATGCCCAGGTCAATGTAGTTTGAAAAGCTCTACAGATGAATCTGATGTTCAGCTCCAGTTGGCTAACAAAAAGGCCAACGTATCCAGGAAACAGCATTTTATGTAAGAGATTTTGAAACATTTTTCTTACCATGAGTTCAAATTCTTTCAATATCAGTTATTCTATTACAATTTATGTCTTCAGTATAGACTCTACAAACAGAACACAAAGAATGGTCTTTCTTGTCTTAAAACATGCTAATCACCCACCTCCAACATTAAATGTACATGAGGATTCTGAACAGCTTCTCAGCTTCTCAGATGTTCACAACAACTTTTTCTGAGGATGTTGTTGATTTTTATAATTTGTCTTCTTGCCAGAGCAACAGGGATGATTTAGTTTTAACAACAGTTCCATAACTCATCATAGTTTTAGTGTTCTGCTTCACCTCAATAAGAATAAATATACTTTTAATAGCTTTTGCTGAGTTTTTATTGACATTTGATTTCATAGACAAAAATTTTTTATGGATTGAATTATGTGATCTCTCTATGTATTAAGATTTTTCAGATTTTTTTTCAGAGACTCTTGAGCAAAAGTAGTTCCAGGGTCAAACCAGGTAGGAATTACCTCTGCTAAGGAAAACTCTCACTTTAAATACAGTAAAACAGTGCTGTATCTTGCCCCATTCTTCTAAACTTGTTCCTGAACAATCTTAGATAAAATGTGCAAAAACATCCTGCAAATAGGATTCCAAGTGTTTCCTATGCTGATAACATGAACTGCGTTTCATATTACACTAGCAATTTCAGGAATTAGCTTAGCCTTTTCAGGAAGAACATCTAAATATTAATTGTTTTAAAACCAAAATCAACATTTTAGGCAGATGCTTTCACATAGAGGAAGGTTACATTTTATATTATATTTTATAATATTATGCAACAGGAGATTTTATTTGATAAATTGGGAGTCCATTTGATTAGTATCTTGTGAGACTGGATTCAATGCGGTTCAAAATTGTTTTTGTTTGGGTAGGTCAAAGTTCCACAATTGTAAAAGTGGTAACTTCCGTTTTCAAAATCTTCTAGGCCACTGCCATTTTATCCATATTTTAGAGAGTGATATTCAGTTAAATACACTGTGAGACATTTGATCAGCACTGGAGCTTGGAAAAAGGCTTGAATCCAACTTGTGGGTTGGATTCAACCCACTTGAATCCTACTTTCTTTTAGATCTGCAATGAATTAAGACTGTACATCAGACCCAGCAATGGCCCTTGTAAAGCAACGTCTTTGTTCGGTCTACTCCAGCTGTCCAAAGCCAAGCAATGAATGTTCTTTCAATCAATATCATAGAATGCTGACTCTTCAGGAATCATTAGTTGCTACAGTTCTAATCATCATCTAATACCAACTTTTTTTGACAGCTTAGCTGGGATAACTGATCCTTAGGAGGGATAGTAAGGGACAAGTTAAGCAGTCATCTTGTAAACTTCTTGGAACTTTATGCATTAAAGCCAAATCATCAGAATGCAGCATACTTAGATCATATCACCATGTCTTGCCCTTCATTTGAATTTCTTTTAAAGGATAAAAATTTAACCTTCTATCCTCAGCTTTCACAAAGATCTGAAATTTAAAAAAAAACCGTTTGTGGAGGTTTGTTGTGGTGATTTTTTGTTAAATAGCTTTTGAGAATGTGTCCACTACACAACTCATAGTCTCCTACATAAATATCCTTAAGAAAAAGCCTTCTTTTCTTTTTTTTTTTAACTTTTTTTATTTTTTATTATACTTTAAGTTCTAGGGTACATGTGCACAATGTGCAGGTTTGTTACATATGTATACATGTGCCATGTTGGTGTGCTGCACCCATTAACTCATCATTTACATTAGGTATATCTCCTAATGCTTTCCCTCCCCCCTTCCCCTACCTCACAACAGGCCCCGGTGTGTGATGTTCCCCATCCTGTGTCCAAGTGTTCTCATTGTTCAATTCCCACCTATGAGTGAGAACGTGCGGTGTTTGTTTTTTTGTCCTTGCGATAGCTTGCTGAGAATGATGGTTGCCAGCTTCATCCATGTCCCTACAAAGGACATGAACTCATCCTTCTTTATGGCTGCATAGTATTCCATGTAGTATTTGTGCCAAATTTTGTTAATCCAGTCTATCATTGATGGACATTTCGATTGGTTCCAAGTCTTTGCTATTGTGAATAATGCCGCAATAAACATACACGTGCATGTACCTTTATAGCAGCGTGATTTATAATCCTTTGGGTATATACTCAGTAATGGGATGGCTCAGTCAAATGGTATTTCTAGTTCTAGATCCTCGAGGAATCGCCACACTGTCTTCCACAATGGTTGAACTAGTTTACAGTCCCACCAACAGTGTAAAAGTGTTCCTATTTCTCCACATCCTCTCCAGCACCTGTTGTTTCCTGACTTTTTAATGATCGCCATTCTAACTGGTGTGAGATGGTATCTCAATGTGGTTTTGATTTGCATTTCTCTGATGGCTAGTGATGATGAGCATTTTTTCATGTGTCTGTTGGGTGCATAAATGTCTTCTTTTGAGAAGTGTCTGTTTATATCCTTCACCCTTCGCCCACTTTTTGATGTGGTTGCTTGTTTTTTTCTTGTAAATTTGTTTGAGTTCTTTGTAGATTCTGGATATTAGCCCTTTGTCAGATGAGTAGATTGCAAAAATTTTCTCCCATTCTGTAGGTTGCCTGTTCACTCTGATGATAGTTTCTTTTGCTGTGCAGAAGCTCCTGAGTTTAATTAGATCCTGTTCATCAATTTTGGTTTTTGTTACCATTGCTTTTGGTGTTTTAGACATGAAGTCCTTGCCCATGTCTATATCCTGAATGGTATTGCCTAGGTTTTGTTCTAGGGTTTCTATGGTTTTGGGTCTAACATTTAAGTCTTTAATCCATCTTGAATTAATTTTTGAATGAGGTGTAAGGAAGGGATCCAGTTTCAGCTTTCTACATATGGCTAGCCAGTTTTCCCAGCACCATTTATTAAATAGGGAATCCTTTCCCCATTTCTTGTTTTTGTCTGGTTTGTCAAAGATCAGATGCTTGTAGATGTGTGGTATTATTTCTGAGGTCTCTGCTCTGTTCCATTGGTCTATATCTCTGTTTTGGTATCAGTACCATGCTGTTTTGGTTACTGTAGCCTTGTAGTATAGTTTGAACTCAGGTAGCGTGATGTCTCCAGCTTTGTTCTTTTGGCTTAGGATTGTCTTGGCAACATTTTCACAATATTGATTCTTCCTATCCATGAGCATGGAATGTTCTTCCATTTGTTTGTGTCCTCTTTATTTTATTGAGCTATGGTTTGTAGTTCTCCTTGAAGAGTTCCTTCACGTCCCTCGTAAGTTGGATTCCTAGGTATTTTCTTCTCTTTGAAGCAATTGTGAATGGGAGTTCACTCATGATTTGGTTCTCTGTTGGTCTGTTATTGGTGTATAAGAATGCTTGTGATTTTTGCACATTGATTTTATATCCTGAGACTTTGCTGAAGTTGCTTATCAGCTTAAGGAGATTTTGGGCTGAGACGATGGGGTTTTCTAGATATACAATCATGTCATCTGCAAACAGGGACAATTTGACTTCCTCTTTTCCTAATTGAATACCCTTTATTTCTTTCTCCTGCCTGATTGCCCTGGCCAGAACTTCCAACACTATGTTGAATAGGAGTGGTGAGAGAGGGCATCTCTGTCTTGTGCCAGTTTTCAAAGGGAATGCTTCCAGTTTTTGCCCATTGAGTATGATATAGGCCATGGGTTTGTCATAAGTAGCTCTTATTATTTTGAGATACATCCCATCAATACCTAATTTATTGAGAGTTTTTAGCATGAAGGTTGTTGAATTTTGTCAAAGGCCTCTTCTACATCTATTGAGATAATCATGTGGTTTTTGTCTTTGGTTCTGTTTATATGCTGGCTTATGTTTATTGATTTGCATATATTGAACCAGCCTTGCATCCCAGGGATGAAGCCCACTTGATCATGGTGGATAAGCTTTTTGATGAGCTGCTGGATTCAGTTTGCCAGTATTTTATTGAGGATTTTTGCATCAATGTTTATCCGGAATATTGGCCTAAAATTCTCTTTTTTTGTTGTGTCTTTTCCAGGCTTTGGTATCAGGATGATGCTAGCCTCACAAAATGAGTTAGTGAGGATTCCCTCTTTTTCTATTGATTGGAATAGTTTCAGAAGGAATGGTACCAGTTCCTCCTTGTACCTCTGGTAGAATTCGGCTGTGAATCCATCTGGTCCTGGACTTTTTTTGGTTGGTAGGCTATTATTTATTGCCTCAATTTCAGAGCCTGTTATTGGTCTATTCAGGCATTCAACTTCTTCCTAATTTAGTCTTGAGAGGGTTTATGTGTCCAGAAATTTATCCATTTCTTCTAGATTTTCCAGTTTATTTGCATAGAGGTATTTATAGTTTTCTCTGATGGTAGTTTGTATTTCTGTGGGATTGGTGGTGATATCCCCTTTATCATTTTTTATCGCGTCTATTCTTCTGTCTTTTCTTCTTTTTTAGTCTTGCTAGCTGTCTGTCAATTTTGTTGCTCTTTTCAAAACCGCAGCTCCTGGATTCATTGATTTTTTGAAGGGTTTTTTGTGTCTCTATCTCCTTCAGTTCTGCTCTGATGTTAGTTATTTCTTGCCTTCTGCTAGCTTTTGAATGTGTTTGCTCTTGCTTCTCTAGTTCTTTTAATTGTGATGTGAGGTTGTCAATTTTAGTTGTTTCCTGCTTTCTCTTGTGGGCATTTAGTGCTATAAATTTCCCTCCACACACTGCTTTAAATGTGTCCCAGAGATTCTGGTATGTTGTGTCTTTGCTCTTGCTGGTTTCAAAGAACATCTTTATTTCTGCCTTCATTTCATTATGTACCCAGTAGTCATTCAGGAGCAGGTTGTTCTGTTTCCATGTAGTTGCGTGGTTTTGAGTGAGTTTCTTAATCCTGAGTTCTAGTTTGATTGCATTGTGGTCTGAGAGACAGTTTGTTATAATTTCTGTTCTTTTACATTTGCTGAGGTGTGCTTTACTTCCAACTATGTGATTTGGGATGGAGATTTCTGTAGATGTCTATTAGGTCCACTTGGTGCAGAGCTGAGTTCAATTCCTGGATATCCTTGTTAACTTTCTGTCTCATTGATCTGTCTAATGTTGACAGTGGGGTGTTAAAGTCTCCCAGTATTATTGTGTGGGAGTCTACGTCTCTTTGTATATCTCTAAGGACTTGCTTTATGAATCTTGGTGCTCCTGTATTGGGTGCATATATATTTAGGATAGTTAGCTCTTCATGTTGAATTGATCCCTTTACCATTATGTAATGGCTTTCTTTGTCTCTTTTGATCTTTGTTGGTTTAAAGTCTGTTTTATCAGGGACTAGGATTGCAACCCCTGCCTTTTTCTGTTTTCCATTTGCTTGGTAGATCTTCCTTCATCCCTTTATTTTGAGCGTATGTGTGTCTCTGCATGTGAGATGAGTCTCCTGAATACAGCACACTGCTGGGTCTTGACTCTTTATCCAATTTGCCAGTCTGTGCCTTTTAATTGGAGCATTTAGCCCATTTACATTTAAGGTTAATATTGTTACGTGTGAATTGGATCCTGTCATTATGATATTAGGTGGTTATTTTGCCCATTCGTTGGTGTAGTTTCTTCCTGGCCTTGATGGTCTTTACAATTTGTCATGTTTTTGCTCTGGCTGGTACTGGTTGTTCCTTTCCATGTTTAGTACTTCCTTCAGGAGCTCTTGTATGGCAGGCCTGATGGTGACAAAATCTCTCAGCATTTGCTTGTCTGTAAAGGATTTTATTTCTCCTTCACTTATGAAGCTTAGTTTGGCTGGATATGAAATTCTGGGTTGAAAATTCTTTTCTTTAAGAATGTTGAATATTGGCTCCACTCTCTTCTGGCTTGTAGAGTTTCTGCCAAGAGATCTGCTGTTAGTCTGATGGGTTTCCCTTTGTGGGTAACCCGACCTTTCTCTCTGGCTGACCTTAACGTTTTTTCCCTCATTTCAACTTTGGTGAATCTGACAATTATGTGTCTTGGAGTTGCTCTTCTCGAGGAATATCTTTGTGGCATTCTCTGTATTTCCTGCATTTGAATGTTGGCCTGCCTTGCTAGGTTGGGGAAGTTCTCCTGGATAATATCCTGCAGAGTGTTTTCCAACTTGGTTCTATTCTACCCATCCCTTTCAGGTACATCAATCAGATGTAGATTTGGTCTTTTCACATAGTCCCATATTTCTTGGAGGCTTTGTTCATTTCTTTTTACTCTTTTTTCTCTAAACTACTCTTCTCACTTCATTTCATTCATTTGATCATCAATCACTGATACTCTTTCTTCCAGTTGATGAAATCGGCTACTGAAGCTTGCGCATTCGTCACATAGTTCATGCCATGGTTTTCAGCTCCATCAGGTCATTTAAGGACTTCTCTACATTGGTTATTCTAGTTAGACATTTGTCTAATCTTTTTTCAAGGTTTTTAACTTCTTTGTGCTGGGCTCGAACTTCCTCCTTTAGCTCGGATAAGTATGATCATCTGAAGCCTTCTCTCAAGTCGTCAAAGTCATTCTCTGTCCAGCTTTGTTCCATTGCTGGCAAGGCACTGTGTTCCTTTGGAGTGGGAGAGGTGCTCTGATTTTTAGAATTTTCAGCTTTTATGCTCTGTTTTTCCCCCATCTTTGTGGTTTTTTTCTACCTGTGGTCTTTGATGATGGTGATGTGCAAATGGGGTTTTGCTGTGGATGTCCATTCTGTTTGTTAGTTTTCCTTCTAACAGTCAGGATCCTCAGCTGCAGGTCTGTTGGAGTTTGTTGGAGGTCCACTCCAGACGCTGTTTGCCCGGGTATCAGCAGTGGAGGCTGCAGAACAACGAATATTGCTGAACAGCCAATGCTGCTGCCTGATTGTTCCTCTGGAAGTTTTTTCTCAGAGGGATACTTGGCCGTGTGAGGTGTCATTCTGTCCCTACTGGGGGGTGCCTCCCAGTTAGGCTACTTGGAGGTCAGGGACCCACTTGAGGAGGCAGTCCATCCATTCTCAGATCTCAAACTCTGTGCTGGGAGAACCACTA
The DNA here is from genome assembly GCF_000001405.40 of Homo sapiens. Lineage (NCBI taxonomy): Eukaryota > Metazoa > Chordata > Mammalia > Primates > Hominidae > Homo > Homo sapiens. The sequence continues at coordinate 76,143,239 of NC_000006.12, forward strand.
CTCTCTTCAAAGCTGTCAGACAGGGACATTTAAGTCTGCAGAGGTTTCTGCTGCCTTTTGTTTGGCTATGCCCTGCCCCCAGAGGTGGAGTCTACAGAGGCAGGCAGGCCTCCTTGAGCTGCGGTGGGCTCCACCCAGTTCGAGCTTCTGGGCCTCTTTGTTTACCTACTCAAGCCTCAGCAATGGCAGGCACCCCTCCCCCAGCCATGCTGCCACCTTGCAGATGGATCTCAGACTGCTGTGCTAGCAATGAGTGATGCTCCATGGGCGTGGGACCCTCTGAGCCAGGCACGGGATATAATCTCCTGGTGTGATGTTTGCTAAGACCACTGGCAAAGTGCAGTATTAGGGTGGGAGTGACCCAATTTTCCAGGTGCCATCTGTCACCCTTTCCCTTGGCTAGGAAAGGGAATTCCCTGACCCCTTGCACTTACCAGGTGAGGCGATGCCTCACCCTGCTTTGGCTCACGCTTGGTGGGCTGCACCCACTGTTCTGCCACCACTATCCAACGAGCCCCAGTGAGATGAAGTACCTCAGCTGGAAATGCAGAAATCACCCATCTTCTGTGACGCTCATGCTGGGAGCTGTAGACGGGAGCTGTAGACTGGAGCTGTTCCTATTCAGCCATCTTGGAACCACCCTCAAGACAAAGCCTTCTTGGGAACTAGCTGTTCATCCATCCTTCAGTGAAACCATGCTGTTATTAAACTTATTTTAATAAATTATTTAGTTTGACTTCCAGGATATTTAAATTTTAGCCAAGTTTTGATATTTCCTTAGTTAAGTTCTTCATAATTATTTTATTTCTTTTTACCTTTCTCCATTTTTTGATCTGAGATTTTTGCTTATATGTTACTAGTCCAAATGTTGAATTTCATATTTTTTTATGTTGTATATTACTCATTGTTTCAACAAATACTTTTTGAGGTCCTGCTATGTTCCAGGCACAGTGCTATGCCTAGGGGTGGTTAGCAGTTAGAAAATGGAATAAGATATTCTTTGTGTCTTAAATAGTTAAGGAGTTTACAATCTTTATTTTTATTATGAAGTGTCTCAAAATGTTTTGGTGGAATTTAAATACAAATCTGTGCCCCATCTTTATCTGCTACTGTGATACTTTCAAGTCCCCTGCTCCTGCAAAAATCTCTCCAGTTAGACCTCAAAGTCTGCAGAGCATGTGTGATTATTGCTTCTGGGTATGTGCTTTCAGGTACTTGTGTCTTCTGCAATATTTTTCCTTTTCTGACTTCCTTTACAAACTGGTCCTTAGAGCCTCTTGAAGCATCTTTCTGCTGCTATTGTTCCTTCTTCTGTGACTGTTGCTTTCTGTTCCCGATTGCATTCCTCTCTGAACTATCCTGCACCAAGGCCTCTGAACCAAACTGCTCTGCTAACATGAGTGGCATCTCTTACCCTCTCTTCCCCCCTTCTCACCTCATTCTGTCTAGATAAATCCCAAAATAGTGTCTTGCATGCCCAGTGTTGTATAGGGTTTCTAGAACACCACCACCTCTTTGGTTTGTATTTGCATCTCTGGAACTCTGACTTGAATCCTTGCTTCTGGCTATCCAAATCCCTCAGAGCTTCTAGTCCTTCCATCCTAGGTTTGTATTTTTTGTTGATATATTCACTATATACTATTAACTAAATGTATTGAATGAGGATAAGCTGCTGGGGGACTTCAGAAATTTCCCTCTGCTGTTGTCAAAAGTCTTTCTATTAGCCTCACCCTCATTGGTCAGCACTTCAAATAGTTTGGATGGTGACATTTTCTATTACAACTCTGAAACCATAGAGGAAAATTACACTTAATGGTTTAGTGACTCATGGAAAAGAATACCTGATTATCTTTCCAAAGCCCTTATTTATTTATTTATTTATTTTTTTTTGTTGATCAAGAAGACAACTACTGATTTTTATTGATGAGCTGGATTTTGCCAACTCTGTTCTGGTAATTATCATGACAGCACAAAAAAAGGTAGTTAATATTCTCTGTTTCTAATACATGGTCAATAAGACAATTAATTACCTGCAAGCAAGTTGAGAAGACTTGTCATGTTAGCGTTTTAGTACAGGGAATTAAGCATTATACCAGGAAAAGGAGAAAAATTCAACTAACATGAGCAGTGAAGAAAATAAACTTGTTTTGTAGAAAGAGAAACATTTCAAATCGTCTTATATTTTTTTGGTCATCCATTCATAGCTCCTTGGAGACCTGCTAGAGCATTTTGCTGAATTATTCATTAATTTACTGTCAGAGGTGCAACTAGGATTGCATTTTGTAGCCAGATCAGAGTACTATGCTAATGATTTGGATAGGAATATGCTGAGAGCTGAATATGTCTTAGACATGTGAGAAATCACCATGAAATGTGCCTAAGAAATGATTTAGTATAGCATGTAGCAGTTCTTTCTAGGATTCTATAAGTCTGCTTATTTTTGGAAACACCAAAGAGACTATGGTACCTTTATTAGTCAGGATAGTAGGGCCATTTTGAATTTTTGAGATGAGGGATTTTTAAGTAGGGACTAGACTGCAGGTAACTATTGGGGGGCTGGGAAGTGAAGTTTTGCAAGAGACAGTCAGAGGAGTCACTAACCAGTCTTCCTGGTGTACTAGCATGAGTGGACAAATTAGAATTTGCAGGGAAATCTGCAAAGCAAAGCATGTCTGGCTGCTGAAATGAGACTGTGAAGGAACAGCTCACAGAATGGTCCATAGGAAGCATCTGCCTCTGTATAATTACTTCCTCCATGCAGCCAAATGTTAGGTGGCCAGCAGAACCAATGACTGGGAAGACAAGCTGGTTGAGGGGAAAAGAGTTGAGATCTAGCAGACACTTCTGTGTATGCCCATAATAGTGTCTTACCACAAAGACTTCTGAAAGTAATAGCTCCATTTCATGTCTGCCTTCCAACCTTGTGCAAATTCCTCTTTGGCAAACTCTAACTCAGAAATATACAAAGAAGGGAAGACTGGGAAATGCAGTTCCCAGTTTAATCAAGTTGACACAGCAAGATCCAACAAACTCTTTCAGCCATAATGGTGCTCTCATCTTTGTCCAGAGGATGGAATATAATGGAAAGAGTTCCGTTATTCACTTCTACTACACTTGAAGCTCCAAAAGGAGATGTTCGGGTACACCTGTTTCATAATGGTAACCCCTAACAAACAGCTATTATAATGCCTGCCTCAGAGTAGTTGCATAAATACATATTGAATGAAAATAATTGACTCTAATTCAGAAGTCCTGAGTTCAGTTCTGTTTCTGCCATTGTGTCAGGTCTGTTGGCTGTCAGTTTGGTGCTTGACCTCTAAATCTCCTTTGTATTGCATATATGGAAGTTTGAAAGCCATATTTCCTGGAAACCTTTGACTCAGCCAGTGGGAGAGCTTGTATAAGATCATAAGGTGGGAGGAATAGATAAGCTGTTTCTGTTTTTGTTTATTCCTTCTTCTGGCTTCAACAGCTACAGGAGCAATAGCAAGTGACTGTGGGCTCTTGAAGAGAAATAAACTAGTCCAGAAGCTTTAGCAAAATGGCTGGCTCCAGGTTTCCTGTCAGGAGGCACTTGGCTCCCATATTTCTGCTTAGTGCTGCAGTGTTCATTGACTCTGGAAAGCACCACTTTTTCTTGTGTTCCTCAAACCCTAGGGATGGGAGTTGTTTCTGTCATTACTGATTACCTTCTTCTTTCTTCTCCATTAGCCCTTTCAACACTTTAGTAACCAATTCCTTGCATTAAATCACCTTAAATTGAAGTAATGAGTGTGGTTGCTGTTTCTCTGGCTGGATCCACATTGAAGCAACATTCTACTAGCTTTGGAATCTTCAGCATTTAACTCTCAGTTACCTGGAAAATGATGGTGATACTTTCCATGCCATTGCAAAAGTCCAAAGCAACATTATTGATAAAGGTGCCCTGAATACTATAAACTATTTTGCATGGATAAATTATTATCAGATAACACAATTTTTCGGGAGGGAGAGTAGTATAGTGTTTGAATGCATGGGCTCTGCCTAGGTTCATATTCACTTTAGCTACTGACCAACTGAGAGTTCGGGTAAATAGCATACTTCTTCAAGCCTGAGTTTTCTTATGTGTAAAAGGTAATAATAGCACTTATTTCATGAAATAGGGGGTACTAAATGAGATGTCACATGTAAAGTGATCAACTTAGTGTCTGACATATTGTAAATGCCTGTCATTATTATTATTGTTATTATTCTACGTAATTGGAGTGGGCAGTGACTAGTGTACCTGGGGGAGAGCTGTAAGATGGATCTAAGGGAGAACTAGCAGAGAATTTGAACAAACGATATAGAATAGGTTAACATAGAACCAATTTACTCTTGTAATCTAACAGACAAAACAAATGAATCAACTTGTATGGTTTCAAGAAAAAGAAGTGAAAGCCATCTCTTCAAATCGTAAAATGTCAAAACATTGATTTGTGTTAACCTTTAAGAACATTTGTAATTTATTCATCATTAAAAATGTAGTGTGCTCACAGCCAGTATCATACTGAATGGGCAAAAACTGGAAGCATTCCCTTAGAAAACTGGCACAAGACAAGGATGCCCTCTCTCACCACTCCTACACAACATAGTATTGGAAGTTCTGGCCAGGGCAATCAGGCAAGAGAAACAAATAAAGATATTCAATTAAGAAATGAGGAAGTCAAATTGTCTGTGTTTGCAAATGTCATGACTGTATATTTAGAAAACCCCATCATCTAAACCCAAAATCTCCTTAAGCTGATAAGCAACTTTAGCAAAGTCTCAGGATACAAAATCAATGTACAAAAATCACAAGCATTCCTATACACCACGAACAGACAAACAGAGAGCCAAATCATGAGTTCATTCCCATTCACAACTACTACAAAGAGAATAAAATATCTAAGAATCCAACTTACAAGAGGTGTGAAGGACCTCTTCAAAGAGAACTACAAACCATTTCTCAATGAAATAAAATAGGACACAAACAAATGGAAGAACATGTTCATGGATAGGAAGAGTCAATATCATGAAAATGGCCATACTGCCCAAAGTAATTTATAGATTCAATGTTATCCCCATCAAGCTACCAATGACTTTCTTTACAGAATTGGAAAAAACTACTTTAAAATTCATATGGAACCAAAAAAAAAAAAAAAAAAGCCCATATAGCCAGGACAATCCTAAGCAAAAAGAACAAAGCTGGAGGTATCATGCTACCTGACTTCAAACTATACTACAAGGCTACAGTAACTAAAACAGCATGGTACTGGTACCAAAACAGAGAGATAGACCAATGGAACAGAACAACCCCATCAAATGTGGGCAAAGGATATGAACAGACACTTCTCAAAAGAAGATATTTATGCAGCCAACAGACATATGAAAAAATGCTCATCATCACTGGTCATCAGGGAAATGCAAATCAAAACCGTAATGAGATACCATCTCATGCCAGTTAGAATGGTGATTATTAAAAAATCAGGAAAAAACAGATGCTGGAGAGGATGTGGAGAAATAGGAATGCTTTTACACTGTTGAGAGTGTAAATTAGTTAAACCATTGTGGAAGACAGTGTGGCGATTCCTCAAGGATCTAGAACTAGAAATACCATTTGACCCAGCCATCCCATTACTGGGTATATACCCAAAGGATTATAAATCATGGTACTATAAAGACACTTGCACACGTATATTCACTGTGGCACTATTCACAATAGCAAAGACTTGGAACCAACCCAAATGTCCATCAATAATAGACTGGATAAAGAAAATATGGCACATATACACCATGGAATACTATGCAGCCATAAAAAAGGATGAGTTCATGTCCTTTGCAGGGACGTGGATGAAGCTGGAAACCATCATTCTCAGCAAAATATCACATGGAGAGAAAACCAAACACTGCATGTTCTCACTCATAAGTGGGAGTTGAACAATGAGAACACATGAGACAGGGAGGGGAACATCACACACTGGGGCCTGTTGAGGGTAGGGAGCTGGGGGAGGGATAGCATTAGGAGAAATACCTGATGTAAATGACGAGTTGATGGGTGCATCTAACCACCATGGCACATGTATACCTATGTAACAAACCTGCACGTTGTGCATATGTACCCTAGAACTTAAAGTATAATAATTAAAAAAAAAGAATCTGGTGTGTTCATTGTATATACATTTAAAAATACACAAGCATAAAAAGAAAAGAATAAAATATTCTAACTCTAGTACCGGAATATGACTATGTTAATATCTTGTTATAAGTCATCCTGCTCTAAACACTGTTTAGTGGCAGACACTTACATATATGACAGATGTATTTTCAGCAACATTTGTCTCGATTATTTATGAAATGTTTGGTTCTTTAAAAATGCATGCATAATCCAGAAAAATTGTTTAAGTGCCCACTGAGGACACAGCTCTAACCTACTACCCTGTCCTCAGACTTAAGGTCATATATATATATATATATATTTTTTATTATACTTTAAGTTCTAGGGTACATGTGCACAATATGCAGGTTTGTTACATATGTATACATGTGCCATGTTGTTGTGCTGCACCCATTAACTCATCATTTACATTAGGTATATCTCCTAATGCTATCCCTCCCCCCTCCCCCCACCCCACAACAGGCCCCGGTGTGTGATGTTCCCCACCCTGTATCCAAGTGATCTCATTGTTCAATTCCACCTATGAGTGAGAACAGGCAGTGTGTGGTTTTCTGTCCTTGTGATAGTTTGCTCAGAATGATGGTTTCCAGCTTCATCCATGTTCCTACAAAGGACATGAACTCATCCCTTTTTATGGCTCCATAGTATTCCATGGTGTATATGTGCCACATTTTCTTAATCCAGTCTATCATTGATGGACATTTGGGTTGGTTCCAAGTCTTTGCTATTGTGACTAGTGCCACAATAAACATACATGTGCGTGTGCCTTTGTAGCAGCATGATTTATAATCCTTTGGTTATATACCCAGTAATGGGATGGCTGGGTCAAATGGTGTTTCTAGTTCTAGATCCTTGAGGAATCGCCACACTGTCTTCCACAATGGTTAAACTAGTTCACAGTCCTACCAACGGTGTAAAAATGTTCCTATTTCTCCACATCTTCTCCTGCACCTGTTGTTTCCTGACTTTTTAATTATCGCCATTCTAACTGGTGTGAGATGGTATCTCATTGTGGTTTTGATTTGCATTTCTCTGATGGCCAGTGATCATGAGCATTTTTTCATGTGTCTGTTGGCTGCATAAATGTCTTCTTTTGAGAAGTGTCTGTTCATATCCTTCGCCCACTTTTTGATGGGGTTGTTTGATTTTTTTTCTTGTAAATTTGTTTAAATTCTTTGTAGATTCTGGATATTAGCCCTTTGTCAGATGAGTAGATTGCAAAAATTTTCTCCCATTCTGTAGGTTGCCTGTTCACTGTGATGGTAGCTTCTTTTGCTGTGCAAAAGTTCTTTAGTATAATTAGATCCCATTTGTCAATTTTGGCTTTTGTTGCCATTGCTTTTGGTGTTTTAGACATGAAGTTTTTGCCCATGCCTATGTCCTGAATGGTATTGCCCAGGTTTTCTTAAAGGATTTTTATGGTTTTAGGTCTAACATTTAAGTATTTAATCCATCTTGAATTAATTTTTGTGTAAGGTGTAAGGAAGGGATCCAGTTTCAGCTTTCTACATATGGCTAGCCAGTTTTCCCAGCACCATTTATTAAATAAGGAATCCTTTCCCCATTTCTTGTTTTTGTCAGGTTTGTCAAAGATCAGATGCTTGTAGATGTGTGGTATTATTTCGGAGGGCTCTATTCTGTTCCATTGGTCTACATCTCTTGTTTTGGTACCAGTACCATGCTGTTTTGGTTACTATAGCCTTGTAGTATAGTTTGAAGTCAGGTAGCGTGATGTCTCCAGTTTTGTTCTTTTGACTTAGGATTGTCTTGGCAATGTGATTAGGGCCCTATTTTTAACCAGTTTTTCAACTAGAATTTTAAAAATTTAGCATCTTTGTTGAAATTTAAACCATTGATGCCACATCTCTTCTGAGGCAGGGACGGCTGGCAGGGATGGATACCATCCACTAAAGACTCCTGCTCCTAGTTTTAGCAAGAGGTTGCTGCCCAGGCCAAGACTACATTTCTCAGCCCCTCTTCCATCCAAGGTAGAACCCCTTGTATGACTGGTTCTTGTTAATGTAAGATAAATGGAAGTGATGTCTGTTGCTTTTGTCCCAACATAATTGAGGAATGAGTTTGCTTTCTCTATCTGTTCTTTTCTCTCTGGACCCTAAGGGATGGTGGAGTCATAAGATGAAAAAGTGCCTAGATTTCTGAATCATCACATGGAGGACATCTTTTTTAGACATGCGTTAGACTTGTAATAGTAATAAATAAATTTCTATTGGGTTAAGCCACTGAAATTAGTATTATCTTAATCACATATCCAACCCCACATTCAATGTTTCCTCTTTATCTGCCCCTTTCTTCTCAATCTCACTCTTGTATAAGTTCATCTTTGTATTTTCCACACCCCTTAACACACAGTGTCTTGACCATAGCAGGCACTTAATTAATGTTCATTAAAATTAGACATGGCTCCTGGCTTGACATGAATTCCTAAAATGAGCATAAAAATAATTTAAGGCAGCATATTTAAGAATGCAATATTCTTAAGATGTAGTGTAGGCCAAGTAGAAAAACACTTTTATTATAACTAGGGAAAGAATCTATAAAAATAAACTGAAATGGAAGATTTATTCTCTATTTCCAGAGGCACTTAAAACAGAAGATTGAGAAAGGTTGCATTTTCTTTCCTTTTTTTTTTCTTGTAGTAAGGCAGGTCTTAAAATTGAGATTGCCTTCTTTTTAAATCATCTTTCTTACTGATCCCTTTTCTTGCATTTCTCCAAACTTTTTATGCTCTTTTAAATAGTAGAACACCAGAGAGCTCTCTTCAATTAACCCAAATACATGCAACAGGCTTCTTTCCAAGTGTTATGTTCCTGTGTTTAATAGGTAAATGACAGTGGTGAATACTTCAAACCCTGGGGAAAGCACTGTCATGCCTGGCCCACATGAAAGTGTTGTTAACCTGATGGGCCTGCTGGCATCACTCACATCACTCCAAGCAGGCCTCTTCCTTATGAACATGCAAAGATTTTCATAAAGGATCCCATCTAACAAAATCATGCTTCGAAAACTCAGCATGAAGCTTCTGTGAGGATCAATCCCAATTTTGAAACTGACCTTGAACAATAGGAGGAACTGTGAGTTCTATTTTGCTTTCTTTACATAATATGTAATAGCTTTTAGTTCTAATACTTTATATTTAATTCAGTACAATCAGACCTCCGTATCCACAGATTCTGCATCAGTGGATTCAACCAAACTTGTATTGAGAATATTGAAAGAAAAGGATAGTTACCTCTGTACTGAACATGTACAGATTTGTTATTTCCTAAACAATACATTGTAACAACTATTAAGGTAGCATTTACACTGTATTAGGTATTATAAGTTATCTAGGGAGGATGTGCATAGGCTGTATGCAAATACTACACCATTTTATATAACAGATGAGCATCCATGGATTTTGGTATCCATGTGGGTTCTAGAACCAATCCTCCCATAGATACTGAGGGATGACTGTAATGACTGTAATCAAGTAAAACGTTTGTTTTTCCTTCTGAAGAAACTCCAAAGAATTACTGAATTGGACTGATGACATAAAGAGTATTGTTAGAAAACACGAGTACTTCTGTGACTTCATATAAAGTTTTAATAGGTGATAGTCATCTAAACAGCACTATAAAAATTTAGATCTAGGGTAATACTGAGACTTTTGCTTGCCTAATCAAGTTTTAAAGAATTAAAAAAGTTTGGAAATTACGATCGCCAAACATGTATTCTGTAAAAACAGTAATTTTCTTTTGTGTATCTTTGCCTATTTAATAGTTTAGCTAAGGTGAAGAAAACTTTAAGATACTATCACCAGTTGTGCAGCTAAATGCTTAAGCCAGAAAGACAATGGCTGGCTCCTGTGTGTGGAGAACTTTGAGCAATTGTATTGAGCTAGGAAGACAGTATTTCAAATAATGTGTCTAATAGCTTTATAATAATTGACTTTCTTGAGGCCTGACAGTGTGTGTGTATATTTGTCTTGCAGGGTATGAATCATGCCTTCTTCAACCATCTGTCTCTACTGCTTTTTAGCGAACTTAGAAAATAGTAGTGGGTGGCTGGGCGCGGTGGCTCAAGCCTGTAATCCTAGCACTTTGGGAGGCAGAGGCAGGCGGATCACGAGGTCAGGAGATAGAGACCATCCTGGCTAACACGGTGAAACCCCGTCTCTACTAAAAATACAAAAAATTAGCCGGGCGTGGTGGCGGGCGCCTGTAGTCCCAGGTGCTCAGGAGGCTGAGGCAGGAGAATGGCGTGAACCCGGGAGGCGGAGCTTGCAGTGAGCCGAGATCACCCCACTGCACTCCAGCCTGGGGACAGAGCGAGACTCCGTCTCAAAAAAATTAAAAAAAAAAAAGTCTGTTAAGTAACGAACTTGGATTCAGAAATTTTGGGTTTAGTTTCTTGCCTGCTGCTCATCATCTGTGTACAGTTTTTCATTTATTCATTCTTTTATTTTTTCTTTCATTTTACCAATGTATACAGAGTTCATATCGTATGTCAGACATTGTATAAAATGCTGGGAATAAAGAGATGAATGAGAAATTGTTATTGGTGCTCACTCAGCATCTCAATGGAGGAATAAGTTTAATGCTATGTGATATAAATTTATGGAGTGAGCACAGAAGGAGGCAACCTGTCTTTGGAGAAGGTGAGGAAGGAACAATCAGGGACAGTTTCTTTTAGGAGATGGGATGCTTAAACTGAGTCTGGAAAAATGTGTAGGAGTCTATCAAGTGGACAAGAGTTAGACTAGAGGAAAGGTGTTTTATGAAGAAACCACCTATGCAAAGACATGGGGTATGGTACATTGGAAGAAAAGGGTGTGATGTGGTGAAAGGCATGTGTAAAGCCACGACAAGAGTAGTGTCCCTGGGAAAGTTGAGGGAGTTAGATTGTGAATTGCCTTTATGCCATGCTAAAGGGACTAAACTTTATCCTAAAGATGATAAATGAAACAATTTAAAGTGTGTGTGTGGTTGTACGTAATTTATGTTACTTAACCTGGCAAGACTTTTTTAAAAAAATCTGCAAAATATGGAAAGTATGAGTTACCTCTAAAGATAACTGAAAATTTGATCGAATGCTAAGCTTGAGAGTATCTTTTAATATGTGACTGAAATGTTAACCACTGTTGTTAATGCTAACAGCTCACATTTATTATGCACTTATTTATTTAAGTACTCTATGGGGATTAAGTAATTTAATTCAATCAACAATCCAATTAACCATGAGAATATAAGTGGGACACTTGCTATGAGTTGTTTCCCTAGTAGCAATGCTGGATTTTGACTTTATTCTCATTTAAAAATTCATTTCCCTTGAAGATGGTTCTAGAAGGCCTCTAAACGAATCAGAGTGATGATAAAGGGGGAAAGTCTTTTTTTTTATTTCCAAAACCACCTACAAGTAGCTGTCAAAATAAATTCTCTGACACTTATATATTTTTGAAATGGTGAGCTGGGCAAAACCCCCCATTTATAGGGTAAAGAAGATAAAGAAATAAGTGCTGTTAGTGAATTTCTCTCCTGTTTCAAGACAGGACACTCCCACAGTTTATGGCATGTAGCTGGGAGCAGATGTGGCTCCTCTTAATCACAACTGGGCTGTGAGGAGCCTCTGCCCAAGCTACTGGTCATAGACGGTTGTGAGGATTGGGTCAGTTCACAGGCCATCATCTGAACAGGAAGAAAATGTCAATCAAATAAGACCAACCTTGTGCCTAGGTTCTATACTGTGATAGTGTTTCCCATCTATCAATCAGAAGCAGATTTCCTCATTGTTTTATCTTCCCTGCAGTTGATCTATTAGAAGTAGTTGATTATCACATTTATTTCTTGTGGTAGTTCAGAGAAGTGAAGTCTATTATTGACTCGACAGCTTTCTTGTCAGAAATAAAATGAGAATCTAAGAGCAAAATATTCTATGTCTGAATACTCTATAATATATATATTTTTCTTTTTTCCGCCAAGCTCAATTATAACAATATTCCTTAGGAAATTCTACAAAAAGCAACAGCATTTTCTAAGTAAGCACTTTTGTTTACGTACTATCTCTATATCAGATATAAGCATTTACTTAAGGTGATGTTTATGGGAATCAAACTTTTAATCTTATGGGAATCAAACTTATGGGAATCAAACATTTAGTCTTAGCTCCAGAAGCACAAACCAAAAACAGTAGCGAAAAGGACTTTCAAAACTGGCATCAGCCTCGTGTGGTGGCTCACACTGTAATCTCAGCATTTTGGTATACTGAGGTGGGAGGATTTTTTGAGGCCAGGAGTTTGAGACCAGTCTGGGCAACAGAGGGAGCCCCTGTCTCTGAAAAAAGTAAATTAACAAATTAGCTAGGCATGGTGGCACATGCCTGTAGTCCTAGCTACTTGGGAAACTGAAGTTGGAGGATCACTTGAGCCCAGGAGGTTGAAGCTACAGTGAGCCATGATTGGTGCCACTGCACTCCAGCCTGGGTGATAGAGTGAGATGCTCTCAGAAACAATGGCAAAAACTTGCATTAATTAATTAACTAATTAAGAAGGAAAAAAACAAAAGAGTAGTGAAGTCAAATTTTCTTTTGTCAGAATATCTGCCCATAATTTGTTGTTCTCAAATAATATAGAGCACAACCTAGCTTAATCTTTTAAAAAAATGTGGTCAATTAACTTGCATTGCATTGTGAATAATGGTAATTATTTGTCAACAGCATCCAGTCTATGAAAGCAACAAACATTTAAAAACGAAGTTATAATTTTCAGTTGCATTTGTATAAATAAGTGGCAACACCAAAAGTTCATTCAGACTGTGGGTCTTCAATCCAAATTTTAAATGAGAAAATTATATTTATAATGAAAACTGTTATTGGTGGTGAGCTTCTATATAAGGAAATTAAGAAGTGGAGTGTGTCTATTCTGCATTTTGCTATAATTTTTCTAAGTGGCTATTAAATTACTCATGGTCATTTAAAAATTTTGGACTTGCTTCAACTGTAAATAAAGATGATGAAAGTAATACTTGTCATCTATTGTGCTTGGTTACTTGGTTTCCATCCTTCAGCAGTATAATGAAATTTGATTATCTTTCTTTTCCAGTGTCCACTGACATCTTTACAGAGATTTCAAGAGAATAGAATTAACAATTAATTTTCTTGCTACTTCTCTGCAGTCACTATACATGCTTTGAATTTTCTCACCCAAGGTTTTGAAATAGAAGCTGTTTAACAGAGGTTACAAATTTGCATATAACAGTATAAAATAAACTTTTGATGAAGAGAAATTGACTGCACATGAAAGATTGATAAAGAACTGGCCTCACTGCTTCACCTACAAACCTTATTGAACAAGAGTATTCTCCAAGCCATGAATAATCATGTAGACCATTTATCTCAGCAATGCTACAAGGGAAACAAAAAGTAAAGCAACTAAGCTGTTTGAAGTCTGGACCATCTGTTAGGAACCACTAATCTCTTTATGACACATAGCCCCAGTGCAGATATGTGTCCAGTGAATGTTTCAACACTTTGCTGATGGATAATTTGCAGCAAAAATAGAAACTTGCTGACTTTCTTAAGAGGTGAATTTTTGAAGGTGAACAAGCTAAGTAATGCTTGGTGTTTATACATTTAGCATGTAGTTACATAAATTTTTCCCTCACTTTGAGTATTAAATACAGGCAGAAAGGTTTTTCTCTCTCCCTCTTTTTTTCTTTTTTAAAATTATTATTATTATTATTTCAATAGGTTCTGGGGAACAGGTGGTGTTTAGTTACATGGTTAAGTTCTTTAGGGGTGATTTCTGAGAATTTGGTGCACCCATCACCTGAGCAGTGTACACTATACCCATGTGTAGTATTTTATTCCTCACCCCACTCCCAACCTTCCCCCCAAGTCACCTTTGTCCATTATATCATTCTAATGCCTTTGCATCCTCATAGCTTAGCTCTGACTTATGTGAGAACATACAATGTTTCCTTTTCCATTCTTGAGTTACTTCACTTAGAATAATGGTCTCCAGCTCCATCCAGGTTGCTGTGAATGCCATTATTTCATTCCTTTTTATGGCTGAGTAGTATTCCATCATATATCTATATCTATATCTATATCTATATCTATATCTATATCTATATCTGTATCTATACACCACATGAAGATTTCATGGACATTTATCAGTTCCTTAATAATACTCTTATAATTTCTTATGCCTGTCTTTACTTTAATCTCTTAATCCTGTTATCTTCGTAAGCTGAGAATGTACATCACCTCAGGACCACTATTGTACAAACTAATTGTAAAACATGTGTTTGAACAACAGGAAATTAGTGCACCTTGAAAAAGAACAGAATAACAGCAATTTTCAGGGAACAAGGGAAGACAACCATGAGGTCTGACTGCCTGCGGGGTCGGGCAGAATACAGCCATATTTTTCTTCTTGCAGAGAGCCTATAAACAGACGTGAAAGTAGGAGAGATACTGCTAAATTCTTCTCCTAGCAAGGAATATTAAATATTAAGACCCTAGGAAAAGAATTGCATTCCTGGGGGGAGGTCTATAAACAGCCGCTCTGGGAGTGTCTGTCTTAGCAGTTAAGATAACGACTGAAATATGCCCTGGTCTCCTGCAGTACCCTCAGGCTCACTAGAGTGGGGAAAAAACCCCACTCTGGTGAAATTGAGGTCAGATTGGTTCTCTGCTCTCAAACCCTGTTTTCTGTTAAGTTGTTTATCAAGATGATATGTGCACAGTGGGACATAGACCGTCATCAGTAATTCTAATTTTGCCTTTGCCTTGTGATCTTTATTGCCCTTTGAAGCATGTGATCTTTGTGACCTACTCCCTCTTCATACACCCCCTCCCCTTTTAAAATCCCTAATAGAAACTTGCTGGTTTTGCGGCTCACAGGACATCACGGACCTACTGATATGTGATGTCACCCCTGGAGGCCCAGCTGTAAAATTCCTCTCTTTGTACTCTTTCTCTTTATTTCTCAGACCAGCCAACACTTAGGGAAAATAGAAAGAACCTACCTTGAAATACTGGAGGCTGGTTCCCCGATAGGTACCAGTACCATGCTGTTTTGGTTACTCTAGCCTTGTAGTATAGTTTGAAGTCAGGTAGCGTGATGCCTCTAGTTTTGTTCTTTTTGCTTAGGATTGTCCTGGCTATATGGGCTCTTTTTTGGTTCCATGTGAAATTTAAAGTAGTTTTTTTCTAATTATATGAAGAAAGTCAATGGTAGCTTGATGGGTATAGCATTGAACCTATAAATTACTTTGGGCAGTATGGCCATTTTCACAATATTGATTCTTCCTATCCATGAGCATGGAATGTTGTTCCATTTGTTTGTGTCCTCTCTTATTTCCTTGGGCAGTGGTTTGTAGTTCTCCTTGAAGAGGTCCTTCACATCTCCTGTAAGTTGTATTCCTAGGTATTTTATTCTCTCATAGCAATTGTGAATGGGAGTTCACAATTTTTTTTGAAATTCCATCAAAAAAAAAAAAAGAAAGAAAAGAAAATGAAGTCAGCAGTTGTTCTGATTATTCTTGTTGAATATCTGATGGTGTCAAAAGCTGGACCACTCCTGGCTGGAGACAGATGGCTGAGAAATGTGAATTTGTCTCACAATGCACAGGAAGTGTGTTTTTGCAGGTCAAGAGCTGTAGAGAAAATCTTTGTAAAATTTTGTTTGGAGACTCAAAATTTAAAGTCATTTTTGCTTCACGTAGATACACAAAAATATCTGCAAAATAGGAACATAAGAAAATAGTTTGATTTCTAAACAGGTTGAAAGTGTAGAACACAGCTTTTAAAAAAGTCTTGGCTAGAAAGAGGACAGCAGAAGCAGTTTTTCTAATTTATATGAAAATCTAAGATGCCTTATTGGCCTTATAAGTTAGAATTCAAATCACTTCTGCAAAGCCATAACCTGTTCATTTATATAATGGTCAGAAGGAATATAAAGGCAATCTGATAATAAGAAATGTTTTGGGAAGTGCATAAAATTCTATAAACATTTCAAAATGTAACTTTTGGATGTGTGGATGATTCAGTGTGACATCTGAAATGATGGTGATAAAACAGACAGGCGTATTATTTATTTTCCTGGCTTTCTGTGGCTGATGGCATGAATTTTCTGAGCTGTGAAGAGCAGGTAAGCAAATTTTCTTGTGTCTTGTGCATGTGTAGCTTATGTAGCATACATAAATAGAAAATGTCTGAATATGCAGTGCTCTGTAACCAAGGCTCAGTGCCCAGTTTGTCTATTCTGACAGCTTATCTGAGTTCTGACTGCAAGAGTCAGGAAGAATCTTCATTTTAGCTCTCTATCTGTGGCTATATTTGGGGATATTTTTTACTGGGAAAGTTATGGGGAAATAGAAGAGCCTTTTGGACAATACCTAAATTCTCACTGTTGGATGAGAGCTGCTTTTATGTAGTTAATTGAATAATAACTTTTCCACTGCAGAGTAATTCCAAGTCTTCTGTCCCAAAGAAATGTTAGACAATACACCAACTAAAACAAAATAAAACAAACAAAAAACTCCCCACTTTTAGCCAGTTTATTCCAATCTGTTTCTGATTCTTTTTCTTTTTGTACTGTCAAGATGTTCTGTATTTTTCTTATGTTCCATGCAGTTTCCAACATGTGCCATACTGAACTAAGTTTCCACTTCCTCATATTAGAGACTAGGTTATATTAGAGCCCAGGGCTGCTGTAACAAAGTAATGCAGACTGAGTGGCTTAAAAAACAAATTTATTTCTCACAACTGTGAAGGCTTCTAAGTCCATGGTCAAGATGTCAGAAGGGTTGATTTCTTCTGAGGCTTCTTTCCTTGACTTGTAGATGGCTGTCTTCTCTGTATTTTCACATGGTCTTCCCTCTGTGTGTATCTGTGTCCTAATTTCCTCTTTTTCTCTTTCTTTATTTCCAAATATTTATCAAGCACTTTCTTTCTGACATTGTTCTAAACCTGAGAATACAACAGTAAACAAGAAAATCCCTGTCTGTGTGGGGCTTACATTTTAGAAGGGGAGGCAGGCAAGAAACATACAATACACTCTCAGAGAAGGATGAGTCTAGTTAGGACATAGAGCAGGGTAGATAATGACTCATAGAGCAGGTGCTAGATAAGATGGCCAAAGATGGCTTTTTTTTCTTTTTCAGAAGTGAAGTAGCCTTTTAATAGAGACCTTAATGTCAATGAGTTAGTCATGGGGAAGATCTTCAAGGCAGAGGGAGTATCAAATGTAAATGCTCCGAAGTGGAAGCAAGCTTGGTGTAACCAAGGCCCAACAAGATGGCCAGGGTGACTACAGAGTAATGATGAGAGAACTTTGGACCAGAGAAGTAGGCGAAAGCAAGATTGTGTAGGCTTTGTAGCTAGCTCGTGATAAGAAATTTGGATTTCAGCCTAAATTTATTAAGAAGTCATTGGAAGGCTTTAGGTGGGGAAGTGGCAAGATACACCTTCTCACTAAGTCGAAACTAAATCCACTCAGAGTCATCCAAATAGAGTATCTCAGAATATATGCATGTATTTAGATTATTATCATGAGAAAAATTGTTTCCCAAAACACATTGCAAAGAAATAAAGAAAAGGAAAATAAGGAAAATGTTAGCACTAATATGACAGTAATGTTGCTTCTCTTTCATTTACTACATTTGTATTTATCTTATACGCAAGTCACTACTTTATATTTTATAACCTATATTAGGATAAACACAGACCTTACCCCATGAGTCCTTTGGTATACTTACCTAAAGATGATGGCCCTAATTTATCAACAGAAACTTTCAGTAGTTTTGCAGTGGACATGGTAATCTATTACCATCCTTCTTCTTGGTTCCCATGGTGGATAGCGGCATGCAGCAAAATGAACTGGTAAGGGATGACTTGTGGCCAGGGAACACAGAGAAGTGACAGGTCACAGAAGGCAAGTCAGTGAACCTTGGAATCATGAGAAAAAAGTCCAAATCAACCAAGCCATAGACAAATGAGTTTCTAAATGCCTTGAATAGCAACATCTCAGCTAAGATTAAACTTTCTCTGTCAGTATGTGTCATAGTAATATCACATTGCAGAGACTTTTAAACTGCAAAAAGTTTACATGTGATTTTCAAACTATGTGATATTATGGGAAAAGCTTAGATTTTTATAGTTTGGGGAGTTCAAAAGCTCAGGTCTTTTCTGAGTTCTACCATCAACTGATTCATGGTTGTGCTAGAATATACATCTCTGGGGCTCAGTTTCCCCCATCTGTCAAATAAGGCCATCATTGGACTCTTCTTTAATATCCCTTCTAGGGCTAATGTTTAAGGCCTTCTAGGGCTAATGACTTGATAAGACTAAGAATTTCCTTTTTTGGATAGACCTATATAAATGACAGTAAAACCGAGTAAGAATAAAACCAAAAAAGCTTCTGCCATTTTTAACATGATAAGAATTATTGAATTGGAGAAAGAGAACTAATGAAACTTAACAGGAACTCTTGATTCTGAGTGGGTTTGCTGCATCATTTTTTTTGGTCTCTGACATTTATCTCTAATGACCATGAAAAGGACAGGATGAATCTGTGATGACACAGAGCCAGCTATGTAAAGACTTAGCCATATGGATGGCTAAGGAAGTGGGTTTGAGTTTACAGGGATATTTACAAAAACCAGTAACTACTTCAAAATGAGATTCCTTTTTGGCTTGCTGATAATGGTGGTAAGGTAATCTTTGGCTTGTTGAAACCATTGTCCATTTAGCTAACTAAGCCTATGTTAATTAAGCCTTTTGGGAATTCTTACTAGTTCCTAATACATTACCTTCTAGTTTTGAGCCATTCAAGCCATTCACTTCATAAGGTATTGGTTTTATAAACTTTATTTGCCAATCTTACAAATACCAACACGTAAAGCTTGATCTTTTTGAAACTATTCATCCTTGCAACTGCCAGTTCACCTCATTCTTGTACATAGCATCCACAAAGCCACTGTTTTTTTTTCAATTCTACTGCAGTGGAAAGACTGTGAAGTCAATGGAGTCAGCAGAAAAACTAATCCAGCTTCAAATACAGGATTTGTGATTACAGAGGCTAAGAAGCCCCATATATTAGTTCATTCTCACACAACTGTAAAGAACTACCTGAGACTGGGTAATTTATGAAGAAAAGAGGTTTAATTGACTCACAGTTCCATAGGCTGTATAGGAAGCATGGCTGGGAGGTCGCAAGAAACTTACTATCATAGCAGAAGGCAAAGTGGAAGCAAGCACATCTTATCATGGTGGAGCAGGAGAGAGAGAGAGAGAAAGACAGAGAGAGAGAGAGAGAGAGAAGGGGGAAGTGCCACGTGCTTTAAAGTCATCAGATTTCATGAGAACTCACTCTCATGAGAACAGCAAGGGGAAGTCCGTCCCATGATCTAATCACTTCCCACCATGTCTCTCCTCCAGTTCAACATGAGATTTGGGCAGGGACACAAATCCAAACCATATTACCCCATGACAGGCCACTTGCAAGCAGGAGACCCTAGGATGCTGGTAGAGTAGCTTAGTTCATGCCAGAAAGCCTCAGAACCAGGGAAGCTGATGGTGTAATTCTGTCTGAAGCTGAAGGCCAGAGAATGTAGGGGGCTGCTGGTATAAATTCCAGAGTCACAAAGTCAGAGAATGTGGAGTTCTAATGCCTAAGGGCAGGAGGAGAATATCCTAGCTCCGTGAGAGAGAGAATGAGAAATCACTTTCTCTCCTTTTTTGTTCTATCATTGCTCCCAGGCCTATTGGATGGTTAATTTCCTAAATCTATGAGGGCACCAGTCATATTTGTTTGGTTAGGGCCCAACTCAATTAACCTGAATTACCTTAATTATCTTTATAAAAGCCTTATGCTCAAATATAGTCATATTCTGAGGTAATAGGGTTAGGTTAGAACTTCAACATTTGAATTTTGTGGGGACACAGTTTATCCCATAACAGAAACCTTTTGTGGAAGTAGTAGAAAAGTGATCAGTTCTGCGTATGTAATTACTCACAATTTACTTTAAATATTTTGTCTCTATATGGGGTGTTTGTAAGAAAGCATTTTGTTAAATGCCCGCTATTAATTACTAATGGCCTTTGCTCTTTGTTTTCTAAAACAGCATTTTTTCCAAACATCTTTTTAATTATGAATCAGCTCAAAATCACATTTTGCATTGTGATCTCTTATATAATGTATGTAATATATTCATGTAACAAAAGTAAGTTGATGAGGTAATATTTTCATCATTATGATGTACAATGCACTCATTTATTTTTCTATTCTAGTCTCATCTATTTTATTAAAAAACATAGTTTGGACCCACAAAGTTCATTTTATCACTCATTGTAAATCAAAAGCCTCAATTCATAAGCAAGTGCTTAAAAACACTCTTTGCCTTCTGACTACTCTCCGTTCTTGAGCTATCTGTCCTCCCATTGACCACGATTATGGAGTCTCATGAGTTCATTCTTTCTAGAGTTGGGTCTGTGTTGAAAAATGGTTCACTCTTGACCATGGAACATGCTTTGAAATTTGCCATGTATCCTTCTAGGAAATACTTTAGTATTCTCAACAGCTCAAAGTTTAGTTTGAACCATTCACCCTTTCTATTGTTTTATGGGCTCCACATGACTCTGACATATTTTCCCATTTTCTGACAATGCCCTGCTATGGTCATGTTGAGTCAAAGATGTACATGCGGCATGGTAGGTTAACGTGCTTTAGATTCCATTCGGACTTTTAAACCTTAAGCCATCATAGATGATACCAGGGGAGAACATATTTTTTTAAAACTAGCATAGTCTAGTACCTACCTTTAGAATTCCCTGTCCAGCTCACAACAACCATGTGATTTCTCCCAGTCCACAGTGGTGGCTTCTCATATCCAGTATAGACATTAAGATCCTGCTCTTCCCCTCCTTCCTCCATCTCCATTAGTCACAGAGCCTAGGCATCTAAGCCAAGGTGACAGTTGCATAAACGTTTGAATTAGTGCTGGGAGAGAGCAAAGAGAAATGAGAAAGACTGCAAGAAGGCCAATGTGGCTGGAACATGGACAGTGAGGGAAGGCAAGTGTTAGATAAAGCTTAACAGATTATGTTAAGGATTTTGGTTTTTATTCACAGAGTGATGGAAAACTGCTGAGATGTTTAAGGAGATAGGACTGGAAAGGGTGTGTGTGTGTCACCAGTTTTGCATGGTGAAAAGGTCAATTGGGCTACAGTGTGAAAACTATTGGAGGAGGCCAGAGGATGTGGTAGTTGGCCATGCAGAAGCTTAATTTCAAGAGTCCATGTAAGCTATCAGAATTAGAGAGGTGTTAGAATTAGAGAGGTGTTGGTGGAGATGAAGAGAAATGGATGCATTGGCAGATTTTTAAAAAATCAATATCATCATTGTCATAAATTTTCTTGAGTTGCTCGAGCTATTTGTTTTTTTTTTCTGGAAAGATTTGTTAAAGCTCAGGTTGGGGAAATTTTCACAATATAAAACAATATTAAGTTTAATTCAGTAATTGTAACAAAGACATTAAAGTGGATATTCAATGTATGCTATAAAGATGAGCCTCATTTTGCCTTAGAGATGATGAACTAATCAGTGTATTTACATCTAACAGACGATATAGTCACACAGAGGAAGAAATACAGATTTATTTTAAGAAGAGTGAGGTCACTTAGATGCTGGCTTCCAATATGTTAAAAAGATCAGCCCCAAAATATATAGCTATTTTATTTTAAATTGAAGACTCATTTCACAGGTCATGTGTGACTCTTCTAAATTATAAGATATCAAAATACGTATTTTAGATTGAGAGAAGATGGCTGACTAGAAGCTGCCAGTGTGCACGTTCTCATGGAGAAAAGCGTGGCCAGATCATCCGGGTGGACACGTTGGGATTCATGAAGGAAGCAACACGACCCACAGAGAACAGAGAATAGCCAGACAGGACAACCCCTAACCCGGGAGGGAGTGGAGCCAGGGGAAGTTCCCACCACTGGAAACAGTGAGTGAGAGTCCTGGGGACCCACACTGGGGACCCATGGACCTCTGCAACCTTGGGCTCAGGAGATGCCCCTCCAGCCCCCAACCACGAATGGGGCCTTCAGCCTGACATGGGGAGCTATGTGGAGTCTGGGCAGAGCTTCTGGTCAGGCACGTGCGGAGTCCTAGGTGCCTGGGGTCCCCAGGCACACGTGGAAGGCCAGATTCCCTCGCATGCCCCTAGGAAAGGGGCCACATCCGCAGCCTGGTCTCCACCGCGCCTCACCAGACAAGGCCCATTGGCCTGGAGCCTTAGCATGCTACCCCAGCCACGCCTGAGCTCTAGGCGAGTGGCAACCCTGCACTTCCCTGGGATGGGGCTCCCGGAAGTAGCAGATGGGCCCACTAGTTACGCTGCTCCGTAGCCGTCGGTCTTGCTCACCTCAGGCTCCGGAAGGAGTGAAGAGATTAAGGACTAAAGCAAGTCTCCAGCACAGTGAAGCTGCCTCACCCAAAAGCGACCAGACTGTTTTCCATGAGGGTCCCTGCCCCAGCTACTTCTTACTGGGCAGGGCCTCCCGACCTGGGACCCCAGCAACCCCTGCCTGGGCTCTCCGGCTGGTGGTAGCTCTGCCTTTCCCTGGGACAGAGCTCCCCAGAGGGCAGCAATGTTTGCTGCTCCGTTGCCCTCACTCCTCTTGCCCTCAAGCTTCGGAGGGAGAGGAGAGATTAAGGAGGAAAGTGGGTATCCGGAACAGCTCAGTTGCCTTACAGAAAAGCGGACAGAATGTTTTCCACTTGGGTGCCTGCCCCTTTTACTCCTCACTAGGCAGGGTCTCTTGACCTGGGTCCCCAGCACAACCATCCTGCCCTGCCTGAGGACTTCAGTGGGTGGCGCCTCTGCGTTTCTCTGGGAAGGAAATCCTAGAGACCAGCCACAGCCCCTCTGCCATTGCAGCTGCAGTGGTACCTCTCTTACTGCCCTCGGGCTGGAGAAAGAACAAAGGATCTAGTCAATATGCTGGCACCTGCAGCCCGCTGCAGCCAACATACAGAGAGGAGCCCCTACCCCTAACTCTTTACCAGGCAGGGCCCGCTGGCTCCAGACCACAGAACAGCTGCTCTGTCTGGGGCTAAGCACTCCCACTAGTAGTGCTCTGTGTTTCCCTGGGGTGGAGCTCACAGAGGTCACTGCAGGCACCTCTGCTACTGCCACTGCGGCCAGACTAGGGAAGGAACAAAGAGCCTGAGGGCTTTACCCACATATCCAGAAAGCAGGTGCCCTAAGGAGAAGAGGCTGGCCTGTCTCCCTTGGGAGCTCCCCACCTCCCAAACCCGCTGCTTGTCATCCACCTTGGGCCCACAAGGCAGCTGCCTCAATCTGGACTGATCACATCAATTGGTAGAGGCTCTGCATTTCTCAGGGGTGGAGACCTAAGAGACAAGTGAAAGGCCCTCTGCCACAGCCACTGCCAAGATCCTTTCTCCTGCTGCCTCCAAGCTGAGGAGGGAGCATGAAGTCTGAACTCACCCCAAGGCTGTGGTGTGCAGCCTGGGAGTGCCAAGCTGAGATCTGTAGCTAGCATTTGAGTGAGAGAGGAGCCCACACTCTCAGAGCACTGAGAGGGAGCACAGATGCAAATGTGAGGAAATACAGAGGAGTCACATGGCTGAGCAGGAGCCTACCTACTGGCTATGATGCTTAAGTGCCATCTACTGGATCACAGTCCAAACTTCAACACCAAAAATACTTTGCTAATATACCCCCCTTGTAACACCAAGGACAAAAAATCAGCTACAAGTAAAGACCCTGCACAAAGCCACGGCCCTCTGAAAACATTCAGAAGTCTGCTGACTATACTCAATGTAACCACACTTGAAGGAACATCAACTCACACAGATGAGAAAGAAGCAGAACAAGAACTCTGTCAACTCAAAAAGCCAGAGTACTTTTTTCCTCCAAATGACTATACTAGTTCCCCAGCAAGAATTCTTAATCAGGCTGAAATGACAGAAATAGAATTCAGAATATGGATAGGAATTAGGCAAGGTCTCACTTTGTTGGCCATGCTGGAGAGCAGTGGTGCAAACATGGCTTACTGCAGCCTTGACCTCCTGGGCTCAAGTCATCCTCCCACCTCAGCCTCTTAAGTAGTTAAAACTACAGATACACACCATCATGCCTGGCTAGTTAAAAAAAGTTTGTAGAGACAGGGTCTCACTATATTGCCCATGCTGCTCTTGAACTCCTGGGCTCAAGCAATCCTCCCTCCTTGGCCTCCGGAAGTGCTGGGATTACAGGCATGAGCCACCACACCTAGAACTAGTGCCAATATAAAGCAGTGATACAAACAAGTCAGTGTAATAATCCGTTAAGGATACTATGACAGGATCAAATCCACATGTATCAATACTAACCTTGAATGTATATGAGCCAAACCACCCCAATTAAAAGGCACAGAGTGGCAAACTGGATAAAGAAGCAAGACACAATGTCTTCAAGAGACCTATCTCACATGTAATGACATTCATAGGCTCAAAATACAGGAATGGAGAAAAATCTACCCAGCAAATGGAAAACAGAAAAAATCAGGGGTTGCAATCCTAATTTAGACCAAACAGTCTTTAAACCAACAAAGATCAAAAAAGACAAAGAAGGACACTATGTAATGGTAAGGGTTCAATTCAACAAGACCTAACTATCCTAAATGTACGTGCCCCCAATGTAGAAGCACCCAGGTTTAAGCACCCAGGTGCTTAGCATCTACTAAGCAAGTTCTTAGTAGGAGACAACAACACCTCACCGACAGTACTAGACACATCATTGAGGCAGAAAACTAACAAAGATATGTAGGACCTAAACATGACATTTGATCAAATGGGCCCAATAGATATGTACATAAATTTCCACCCAAAACCAATAAAATATATATTTTTCTCATCTTCACGAGGCACATACTCTAAAATTGACCACACAATCAGCCATAAAACAATCCTCAGCAAATTAAAAATAAAACAAAACTGAAAGCATACCGACCACACTCTTGGACCACAGCACAATAAAAATAGAAATCAACACTAAGAAAATCACTTAAAGCTATATTATTGTGTGGAAATTAAACAACCTGCTCCTGAATAACTGGGTAAACAGAATTAATGCAGAAATAAAAAAAAATTTTGAAACTAATGAGAACACAGATACAACATACCAGAATCTCTGGGACACAGCTAAAGTAGTTTTAAAAGGGAAGTTTATAGCCCTAAACACCCACATCAAAAAGTTAGAAAGATATCACATTAAAAACCTAATATCACACCTAAAGGAACTAGAGAAACAAGAGCAAACCAACCCCAAAGCTAGCAGAAGACAAGAAATGATAAAAATTAGAGCTGAAGGAAATCGAGATGTGAAAAACCATACAAAAGATCAATGAATCCTGGAGTTGGTTTTTTGAAAGAATGAGTAAGATTGATAGACGGCTAGCTAGACTAATACAGAAAAAAAGAGAGAAGATGCAAATAAACACAATCAGAAATGACAAAGGGGACATTACCACTGACCCCACAGAAATACAAAAATCCCGCAGAGATGACTATGAACACCGCTATACACACAAACTAGAAAACCTAGAAGAGATGAAACATAAAACTTCCTGGAAACATACAACTTTCCAAGATTGAACCAGGAAGAAATTGAATCCCTGAACAGACCAATAACAAGTTCTAAAATTGAATCAGTAATAAAATCTTACCAACCCAAAGAGTTCAGGACCAAATGGATTCATAGCCAAATTCTACTAGATATATAAAGAGTGGATACTGTTACTACTATAACTATTCCAAAACACAGGAGAAAGGATTCCTCCCTAACTCATTATAAGAGGCCAACATCATCCTGATACCAACACTTGGCAGAGACACAACAAAAAAGAAAAACTTCAGGCCAATTTCCTTGATGAACAGGAATGCAAAAATCTTCAACAAAATATTAGCAAACAGAATCCAGTAGCATGTCGAAAAACTAACCTACCATAATCAAGTAAGCTTTATTTCTGGGAAGTAAGGTTGTTTCAACATACTCAAATCAATGAATGTGATTTATCACCTTAACAGAACTAAAAACAAAAACTACATGATCATTGCAAAAGGCACAGAAAAGGTTTTCCATAAAATTCAACATCTCTTCATGATAAAAACCCTCAAGAAACTAGGCATTGAAAAAAAAACATACCTCAAAATAATAAAAGCCATCTATGACAAACTCATAGCCAACATCATACTGAATAAGCAAAAGCTAGAAGCATTTCTCTTGAGAACTGGAACAAAACAAGGATACTCGTGCTTGCCATTCCTACTCAGCATGGTACTAGAAGACCTGGTTTGACTAGCCAGAGCAGTCAGAGAAGACAAGGAAATAAAAGGCATTCAGATAGCAGAGAGGAAGTCAAACTGTCTTTCTTTGTGGATGATAATTCTATACCTAGAAAACCCCACAGTCTAGGCCCCAAAGTTCCTATATATCTAGTAAACAATGTCAGCAGTTTCTGGATACAAAATTAATTAGTAAAAATCAGTAGCATTTCCATACACCTACAACATCTAAGCTAAGAGTCAAATCAAGAATGCAATACCATTCACAATAGCCACAAAAATACCTAAGAATACAGACAACCTGAGAGATGAAAGATCTCCACAATGAGAATTACAACACTGCTCAAAGAAATCAGAGATGACACAAACAAATGGAGAAACATTCTATGCTCATGGATAGGAAGAATCAATATCATTAAAATGGCCATGCTGCCCAAAGCAATCTACAGATTCAATGCTATTCCTATCAAACTACCAATGACATTCTTCATAGAATTAGAAAAAACTATTTAAAAATTCATATGGAACCAAAAAGGAGCCCCAATAGCCAAAGCAATTCGGAGCAAAAAGAACAAAGCTGGAGGCATCGTGTTACCTGCCTTCAAACTATACTGTAAAGCTATAGTAACCAAAACAGGATAGTGGTACAAAACCAGGCACATATACCATTGGAACAGAATAGAGAGCCCAGAAATAATGCTGCACACCTAAAACCATCTGATCTTTGACAAACCTGACAATAACAAGCAATGAGGCAAGGACTGTCTACTCAATAAATGGTACTGTGATAACTGGCTAGCCATATGCAGAAGATTGAAATTGGACCCCTTCCTTACACTATATATAAAAATCAACTCAAGGTAGATTAGAGACTTAAATGTAAATCCTAAAACTACAAAAACTCTGGAAGATAATCTAAGAAATTCCATTCTAGACATAGACCCCATCAAAAATTTCATGATGAAGACACCAAAAGCAATTGCAACAAAAACAAAAATTGACAATTGGAACCTAGTTAAACTAAAGACCTTCTGTACTACAAAAGAAACTATCAATAGAGCGAACAGACAGCCCATAGAATGGGAAAAATTATCTACAAACTATGCATCTGACAAAGGTTTAATATTCAGAGTCTATAAAGAAGTTAATTCAACAAGCAAAAAACAAACAATCCCATTAAAAAGTGGGCAAATACATGAACAGACACTTTTCAATAGCAGACATATGCATGGCCAATAAGTGTATGAAAAAATGCTTCACATTACTAATCATTAGAGAAATGCAAATCAAAACCACAATGAGATACCATCTCACATCCATCAGAATGGATATTATTAAAAACTCAAAAAATAACAGATGATGGCATGGTTGAGGAGAAAAGGGAATGCTTATACACTGCTGATGGGAGTATAAATTAGTCCAGCCATTGTGGAAAGCAGTGTGACAATTCCTCAAAGAACTGAAAACAGAATTACCATTTGACCGAATAATCTCATTACTGGGTGTTTACCTGAAGGATTATAATTTGTTTTACCATAAAGACACACGCACATGTATGTTCCTTGCAGCACTACTCACAATAGCAAAGACAGGGAATCAACCTAGATGCCTCTCAGTGATGGACTGGATAAAGAAAATGTGGTATATACACACCATGGAGTACTTTTTTTTTTTTTTTTTTTTTTTTTAGAGATGGTGTTTTGCCATGTTGGCCAGGCTGGTCTTGAACTCCTGACCTCAGGTGATCTGCCCGCCTTGGCCTCCCAAAGTGCTGGGATTACAGGTGTGAGCCACCATGCCTGGCCTACACCATGGAATACTATTTAGCCATAAAAATGAGATCATATCCTTTGCAGCCTTGTGAATGGAGCTGGAGGCCATTTTCCTAAGCAAATTAAGACAGAAACGGAAAACCAAATACCACATGTTCTCCCTTATAAGTGGGAACTAAACACTGAGTACACATGGAAACAAAGAAGGAAACAACAGACATGGGGGCCTACTTGAGGGTGGAGGGTCAGAAGAGGGAGGATTGAAAAACTAACTGTCAAGTAGTATGCTTATTTCCTGGGTGACAAAATAATCTGTATACCAAACCCCCATGACATGCAATTTACTTCTGTAAGAAACCTGCACATGTACCCTTGAACCTAAAAGTTAAAAATAGTAAACAACCCCCCCCCAAAAAACCCCTCCCCCAAAACACACATGTAATCTGCTCTGTAATCTCGGTAATATCAATACACTAAAACATATAAAAATAAATATGATACTCACATACATTTAACCAGTTAAATGGTTTTTAAGATATGATTGTCTGCTTTTGTAGTTAATTTTTACTTTCAATATAAAAAGAAATACATTTTTTTCCTTGGTGGATCGGAGACTTTCTGGGAAAACTCAATAGGATAAATAGAAATCCCTTGTCACAAGAGGAAAGCATTTCACTCAGGGTCTGTTCTGCTCTTAGCAGAAAACGTTCCTGGGGTATTTTAAGAGAGAATCCTAAAATTAAGAGATGTATCATTTTCTTCCCACTCAAGTTATATGACTGACTTAACTGATCAATTCTTGTACCTTTCACTGTCCAAACTTTGGTGATTTTGTTTTGAAATTGATAGTAGTGATTGAATGAAGCAACCGATGACAGCTCTCTCTGTGGTATGTAAGCCATTCCCTCAGATATTCTAAAAATTTTAACTTCACCTGTTAGTGGACATTAAAAGACTCTCTTAAGGAACAAAAACTCAGAGCCCAATATTGTACCATCTCTATGCTTAGCCATTACTTTACAATAAATTGTGTGTTTAGAAATTGTCAGCAACTATTTTTATGCAGAACAGTGTATCTTTATCCACTGTTAATGAAAAATGAATGAGTGCTATAGAGACTAAAACAGATTTCAAAAAAATTGTATTTAATTAAAGTTATTTTGGTATTCCATGCTCATTTTTGATTCTGATGAAAAAATTTTAGACATTTTTCTACTTAACTATTGAAACAAAATAGTGAAGGCATTTTTCATAACATTCAAGATAAAATTATTTTTTCTTGGTAACTTACAATGTCTCAATTTGTTTTTTAAAGAATAAATTTAATATTAGCACTTTAAATGTATTTGTGGTCTAGAGTTTAGTAGCCGAAGTGAGACAAAAACAGGTGAAATTAGTTTAATTCCAGGGGGAGATTTCCTATATAATTAAAAGTACACTTTTTAATCATTTAATATTGAACTTTTAAGTGGGAGATCATCAAATAATCAGTGATTGCAACTCCAGAGGATAACTGATCACTGCTGTGCTAGAGGCCTGCACATGGTATAATGCGAGAAGGAGGAGGGTATACATCTGGACTGAGGAATGTATAGGTGGAGCATGGGCTTAGATAACCGTATTGGAGGAGTTAGTGCCTGACTTGAAGGATGCGTGGATTCTGGGCAGAATGCACAGGAGTTAAGAGAAAACTTGTGGACTTGCCCAACAATTGGTACAAAGAGCACAGAGTGCAGAAGGCTGAGAGATGGACCTGCTCAGAGAGCAGTGGTTAGGCCGTGATAAGTCCTACATGCCACACCAAGAAATTAGAACTTCACCTTGGAACATTTAGGTCGGTGAGTAAAATGACTAAATTTGTACTTTAGAAAGATGCATTTCCATACTGTTTGAATGATGATAATTATCATCATCATAGCAGAGATTCTTTTATTGAGTATTTACTGTGCCCCAGACTGTAATTTTTATGTAATCCTAAGGCAATATTAGCCTATTTTCAGCCTAGAAAATAGGCTTTGAGTGGTTCAGCTGTTTGCTCATGAGTACAGAAGTGAGAAGTGGCTGAGGGTGGTTGTAGACGTGGATATAGCTGATTGTGTAATACTATCTCCCTAAATGATTTGCGGTCTGGCTTCCATAAATTCCAAAGAAATCAAAAGTTAAATAGACTAAAATAAATGAATTTTCATAAACTCTCAGATATATTAATTTTGAGTTCTTTTATTATCCATCATATTCTCTTAGACTTGACCAATTACCTGCGTTTTTAAAGTAAATTTTTCTGAAAAAAATTCTGGAATATCAAGGAAAGTTTAGAATTTATTGATATGTTGAATGCCAATATAATGATACATTGTCAACATGCAGGAAGAAGAGAAGATTGTGGAAAACAGTAGGAAGGACATGTTCTTGGGGAAGAAAGACTTCAGCCAAGAACCAACTAAATTTTTGCGTTGAGACCTTGAGGGAGAGAAACATAAGCTTCTTGAGCCTCCATTTTCTAGTTGTTAACACAGAAATAATAATAGCTATGTTTCAGGGTTATTACAGAGATTAAAATAGATAATGTACGTAAAACCCCTGATTTAGTGCCTGAATAGACTAATTCCTCTAATCTGTGGATATTGATTTGGAAATATGGGACACCTTGGGGAAAGTACCTTAATATATTTGGAGAACATAAAGGTGCTATAACAGTTTGTTCTATTCAGGGACATTGATAGCTGCATTGAAACTTTCAGAAGAAGTGATAATAATATGTATACAACCTTTCGTTACCCAATGGTATGTCAATTATAGAGACCTGAGTGACTTTTTATTGTGATGTGTCTATGAGGATTAATATAAAATTGTCATGAGAGACGTTACTTATTGGAGAGTGAAAGAATAAAAGAAAGTAGTAAAGAGAAGCCATAACCAAACAACTATTATACAATTGTAAAATTTGTAGAACAAATAAGATGAAAATAGCATACTGTGGCATTATCAAAGTTTAAATATGGGTTAACAAGTGGTGGTAGAAACCATGGAAAATGACTCAAGACAAGGACATAGTTTTACTATTCTATAGCAGTTGATGCGCAGTTCCTCTATTTGTGCAGCATTGCTTAATTGATGTGATCCATCAACCAGAGATAGAAAAGGGTTTTGTTAGGCATGCAATACCTTTGGGTTGAAATTTTTTAAGGGACATTTACTTGTATTACTTTAACAAAAACTGTTTGTGGCTCTAGGGATTTAGAATTGTTATATTTAGATCAATCAGTGCTTTTCTCCAAGTATAATATTATAATTGCTTTATGGAGAACCAAAAGAAGGCAGATGGAAAGAGGAAGTGGGCAGATGAAGCACCACATGAACAGACCGTGAGCATAGCCCAAGGCCCTATGTGACCAAGATGAAAGGATTTAGTTGAAGGCTTACAACCCAGACTGCCTCTAGAGAGGAATCAGTCAGTCTCAGAGAGGGCACTCATTACTTGTGAGCCAAAAATATTAAGTTTCAAATAGCTACTGGTCCTTTAGGCAGAAATTTGAAATTAGAATATTATTTGTAGGTTTTTAAAAAAGCATTGAATATGCCTTTTAAACATCAAAAGGACAAATCAGAGTTTACCATTATATGCCAACTCTTATGAATCAATCACTCCATCCCTGTTTTTCTCATTCTCCTCCAAATGCAATTTTTTTCTAAGTCACCCATGCAAAAATTTACATTACTGTGTTGTAGTCTATCATGTGTTGTTTCTTAACTCATTTTTGGTTTAGATTAAAGAAACATTGATAGACTCTTATGTTTTCCTTCCTTGTTTTGCCAAACAGATTACAAGTTCTCCAAGAACTCTTATTGCTCTTTGAGATACTAAAGCTCTGATGTAGATATCCAGATACAAGAAATCCAGAGAACTCTGGAAAGATACTATACAAAACAAACACTACCAAGGTATATAGTTGTCAGATGGTTCAAAGTCAATGCTAAAGAAAAAATATTAAAGGAGTTTGAGAAAAAGGTCAACTCATCTACAAAGGGCTATTACCCCATCAGGCTAATAGTGGGCTTCTCAGCAGAAACCTTACAAGCCAGGAGAGATTGGGGGCCTATTTTCAGTATTCTTAAAGAAAAGAAATTTCCACCAAGGATTTCGTATCCCACCAAGATAAGCTTCATTAGTGAAGTAGAAATAAAGTCTTTTCCAGACAAGCCAGTGCTAAAGGAATTTGTTACCAGTGACCAGTCTTACAAGAGATCCTTAAATACATTCTAAATATGGAAACAAAAGAATAATACCTGCCACCACAAGAACACACTTAAGTAAATAGTCCAGTGACCCTATAAAATAGCCACAAATAGAAACTACAAAACAACCAGCTAACAACTTCATGATAGGTTCAGAACCTTACATATCAATATTAACCTTGAAAATAAATGCCCTAAATATCCCACTTAAATGGCACAGATTTGCAAATTGAATAAAAATTAAGACCCATTTGTCTGGGTCTTGATTCAAGTGATCCATCTCACATTTAATGACACCCATATGGTCAAAATAAAGAGGTGGAGAAAGATCCATCACTCAAATTGGAAACAACAAAAAAAGCAGAGGTCACTATTATGTCAGATAAAATGGACATTAAACCAACAACAGAGAAAAAGGACAGAGAAAGGGAATTACATAATGATAAAGGGTTCAATTTAACAAGAAGTCTTAACTATTCTAAATGCATATACACTCCAACATTGGAACACTAAGATTCATAAAGCAAGTACTTCTAGAGCAACAAAAAGACTTAGACGGCCACACAGTAATAGTGGAAGACCTCAGCATCCCTCTGAAAGCATTACATATATGATTGCAGCAGAAAATTAGCAAAGAAATTCTGCACTTAAATTTGACATTTGACCAATTGGACCTAACAGATATCTACAGAATGCTACACCCATCAACCTCACAATATACATTCTTCTCATCTGCACACAGAACATACTCTAAGATGAACCACATGCTCAACCATAAAGCAAGTCTCAATAAATTCTAAAAAAACTATATCATACCAACCATACCCTTTGACTACAGTGGAATAAAAATATAAACCAATACCAAGAAGATCTCTTAAAAACACACAATTATACAGAAATTAAACAACTTGCTCCTGAATGACTTTTGGGTAAACAACAAAATTAAAGCATACCTCAAAAATTTGTTTTAAAGAAATGAAAATGGAAGCACAATGTAACAAAATCTCTGCAATGCAGCAAAGGCAGTTTTTTTAAATTATACTTTAAGTTTTAGGGTACATGTGCATAACGTGTAGGTTTTTTACATAGGTATACATGTGCTATGTTGGTTTGCTGCACCCATCAACTCGTCATTTACATTAGATATTTTTCCTAATGCTATCCCTCCCCCAGGCCCCCACCTCCTGACAGGCCCTGGTGTGTGATGTTCCCCGCCCTGTGTCCAAGTGTTCTCATTGTTCAATACACACCTATGAGTGAGAACATGTGGTGTTTAGTTTTCTGTCCTTGTGATAGTTTGCTGAGGATGACAGTTTCCAGCTTCATCCACGTCCCGCAAAGGACATGAACTCATTCTTTTTATGGCTGTATAGTATTCCATGGTCTACATGTGTCACATTTTCTTAATCCAGTCTATCATCGATGGACATTTGGGGTGGTTCCAAGTCTTTACTATTGTGAATAGTGCTGCAATAGACACACGTGTATATGTGTCCTTATAGTAGCATGATTTATAATCCCTTGGGTATATACCCAGCAATGGGATCACCGGATCAAATGGTATTTCTAGTTCTAGATCCTTGAGTAATCACCACACTGTCTTCCACAATGGTTGAACTAATTTACACTCCCACCAACAGCGTAAAAGCATTCCTATTTCTCCACATGCTCTCCAGCATCTGTTGTTTCCTGACTTTTTAATGATTTCCATTCTAACTGGAGTGAGATGGTATCTCATTGTGGTTCTGATTTGCATTTATCTGATGATCAGTGATGAAGAGCATTTTGTCATGTGTCTGTTGGCTGCATAAATGTCTTCTTTTGAGAAGTGTCTGTTCATATGCAAAGGCGGTTTTATGAGGAAAGCTTATAGTGCTATATGCCTATCTCAAAAAGTTAGAAAGATCTCAAATTAATGATGTGACATCACACCTAGAGGAACTAGAAAATTAAAAATAATCACAAAGCTAGCAGAAGAAAAGAAATAACTAATATCAAGGCAGAACTGAACAAAATTGAGACCCAAAAGTTCATATACAGAATCAATAACACCAACATTTGGCTATTTGAAAGGATAAACAAGATCGATAGACAGGTAGCTAGATTAGCAAGGAAAAGTAGAGAAAAAATTCAAATGAACACATAAGAAATGACAAAGGGGACATTACAACTGATCGCAGAGAAATACAGAAGATCCTCACAGACTATTATGAATACCTAAATGCACACAAACTAGAAATTCTAGAGAAAATGAATAAATTTCTGGAAGCACATAACCTCCCAAGATTGAATCAAGAAGAAATTGAAACCCTGAACAGACCAATATTGACTTCTGAAATTGAATCAGTAATAAAAAAAGCTACCAATCAAAAAAGCCCTGGATCACATGGATTCACAGCAGAATTCAAAAAAGCCCTGGATGAGATGGATTCACAGCCGAATTCTAACAGATGTACAAAGAAGAGCTGGTACCAATTCTACTGAAATTATTCAAAAAACAATTGAGGAGTAGGGACTCCTCCCTAACTTATTCTACGAAGCTAGCATTACCCTGATACTCAAACTTGTCAAAGACACAACAAAAAAAGAAAAAGAACAGACTAACATCTCTGATAAATATAGACACAAAAATCCTTAGCAAAATACTAGGAAACCAAATCCAGCAGTGCATCAAAAAGCTAAAAGCTAATTAACTGTATTAGTCCATTTTTGCATTGCTGCAAATAAATACCTGAGACTGAGTAATTTATAAAGTAAAGAGATTTAATTGGCTCATGATTCTGCAGGCTATGCAGGAAGCATGGCTGCATCTGTTTGACTTCTGCGGAAGCCTCAGGAAACCTACAATCATGGCAGAAGGTAAAGGGGAAGCAGTCACATCCTACATGGCCAGAGCAGGAGGAAGAGAGAGGGGGGGAGGGGCTACACACTTTAAACAACCAGATCTCATAAAAACTCTATCACAAGAACAACACTAGGGAGTTGGTGCTAAACCATTAGAAACCATCACCATGATCTAATCACCTCCCACCAGGTCCCACCTCCAGCATTGGGGATTTTATTTCAACAAAACATTTGAGAGGGAACATGGATCCAAACTATATCATTCACTGTGATCAAGTAGGCTTTATTCCTGGGAGGGAAAGTTGGTTCAGCATATGCAAATCAACAAATGTGATTCACCATATAAACCAGCATTAAAAATAAAATCATATGATCATCTTAGTAGACACAGAAAAAGCTTTCAATAAAAGCCAACATTCTTTCATGATAAAAACCTCAAGAGACTGGAAATTGAAAGAACATACCTCAAAATAATAAGAGCCCTCTATGACAAACCCTCGCCAACACCACACTGAATTGGCAAAATCTGGAAACATTCTCCCTAAGAATAGGAACAAGACAAGGAGGTCCACTCTCACCATTCCTATTCAAAATAGTACTGTTCAGGTGATGGGTGCACCAGAATCTCAGAAATCATCACTAGAGAACTTATTCATGTAATCAAACACCACCTGTTCCCCAAAAACCTATAGAAATAAACAACAACAACAAAAAACAAAATAGTACTGGAAATCTTAGCTAGAGCAATCAGGCAAGAAGAAGAAATAAAAAAAAACGTGAACAGGAAAATAAGTTCAATTGTCTGTCTTCACTGATAATATAGTTCTACTTAGAGAACCCCAAAGACTATGCCAAAAGGCTCTGGAACTGATAAACAATTTCAGCAAAGTTTCAGGACACAGAATCAGCATATAAGAATCAGTAGCATTTCTATACACCAATAACATTCATGCTGAGAGCCAAATCAAGGGTGCAATCTTATTTAAAATAGACACAAAAATACCTAGGACTGCATCTAACCAAGGAGGTGAAAGAATTCTGTAAAGAGAACTAGAAAACACTGCTGAAAGTAATCAGAAATGACATGAACAAACGGAAAAACATTTCATACTCATGAATTAGTAGAACCAATATTGTTAAAATGGCCATACTCCTCAAATCAATCCACAGATTCAATGCTATTTATATCAAGCTACCAATGTCATTTGTAACAGAACTAGAAAAAAAAACTATTCTAAAATTTATATGGAACCAAAAAGGTGCCCGCATAGCAAAAGCAATATTAAGCATAAAAAGAACAAAGCTGGAAGCATCACACTACTTGACTACTATACTACAAGGCTACAGTAACCAAAACAGCATAGTATTGATATAAAACAGGCAGATAGACCACATTTTCTTTATCCAATCAATTGTTGATGAAAACCTAGATTTATTACATGTTTTTGATATTGTGAATAGTGCTGCATGTGGCCTATGTGTCTGTTTTTGTACCGTTACTATGGGCCAATGGAACAGAATGGAAAACCCAGAAGTAAAACCACACACCTACAACCATTTAATCTTTGACAAAGTCAACAAAAATAAGCATTGGGGAAAAGATTCCCTATTCAATAAGTAGTGCTTATTGGTGCTGGGATAACTGACTAGCCATATGCAGAAGGATGAAACTGGACCTTCTACTTTTCATCATATACAAAAATTAACTCAATCCTCAAAAGCATATGCAATAGAAACAAAAATAGACAAATGAGACCTAATTAACCTGAAGAACTTCTGCAGAACAAAAGACATGATCAAGAGAATAACCAGACAACCTATGGAATGAGAGAAAATACTCACAAACTATGCATCCAACAAAGGCCTAATATCCAGAATCTACAAGGAACTTAAAAACAATTCAACAAACAAAAAACAAATAACCTTGTTAGAAAGTGAACAAAAAGCATGAACCAACACTTTTGTTATGACTTTTTATTTTGAGTTCAGGGGTACAAGTGCAGGTTTGTTATGTAGGTAAACTTGTGTCATGGGGCTTTATTGTAAAGATTATTTTATCACCCAGGTATTAAGCCTACTACCCATTAGTTACATTTTCTGATCCTCTCCCTCCTCCCATCCTTCACCCTCCACCCTCCAAAAGCCCCAGTGTGTATTGTTCCCCCGATGTGTCCATGGGTTCTCATTATTTAGCTTCCACTTGTAAGTGAGAACACGTGATATTTGGTTTTCTGTTCCTGTGCTAGTTTGCTAAGAATAATGACCTCCAGCTCTATCTATGTCCTTGCAAAGGCCATGATCTTGTTCTTGGTATTCCATGGTGTATCTGTACCACATTTTCTTTATCCAGTGATGGGCATTTAGGTTGATTCCATGTATTTGCTATTGTGAATAGTGTTGCAATGAACATACACATGCATGTGTCTGTATAATAGAATGATTTATATTAGAGATATTTCTTAAAAGAGGACATACCTGTTGCCAACAAACATATGAAAAAATGCTCCACATCATTAATCATCAAAGAAATGCAAATCAAAACTACAATGAGATATCATCTCACATCACTCAGAATGTCTATCATGAAAACATCAAAAAACAACAGATGCTGTCAAGGCCGTGGAGAAAAGGAATGCTTATGTACTGTTGGTGGGAATGTAAATTAGTTCAGCCACTGTAGAAAAGCACTTTGGAGATTTATCAAAGAACTTGAAGCAGAAGTATCATTTGACCCAGCAATCCCATTACTGAGTGTACATCCAAAGGAAAATAAATCATTCTACTAAAAGGA
This sequence comes from Homo sapiens, assembly GCF_000001405.40. NCBI lineage: Eukaryota > Metazoa > Chordata > Mammalia > Primates > Hominidae > Homo > Homo sapiens. Next base: position 76,181,416 of record NC_000006.12, read on the forward strand.
CACATGTGCTTGCCTGTTCATTGCAGCACTGTTCACAATATCAAAGACACGTAATAAATCTAGGTGTCCATCAACAATATATTGGATCAAGAAAATATAGTATATATACGCTATGGAATACTATGCAGCCATAACAAATAAAATTATGTCATCTGCAGCAACTTGGTTGCAGCTGGAGGTTATCATCCTAAGTGAATTAACATAGGAATAGAAAACCAAATACTGTATGTTCTGATTTATGAGTGGGAGGTAAATACAAAAATGGCAACAATAGACACTGGCGACTACTAGAGTGGGGAGGGTGAGAGGAGGGCAAGTATTCAAAAACTAACTATTGGGTGCTATGCTCAGTACCTGGGTGATGAGATCAATCATACCCCAAACCTTAGTATCACGCAATATACCCATGTAACAAACCTGCACTTGTACCCTCTGAATCTAAAAAAATTAAAAATAAAAAAATAAAAAAAAAGAACAACGGTGGAGCTACCTTAGTGAAAAATGAGTGGAGTCTGTCCAGAGGCTAGTAGAAGGTTGATCTTTCCATGGCCAAAGCAATGTGAAAAATTAAGCTGGAATCTGTTGAGTTCTACATAAAAATAAAATGTTTAAAAGACCAAAACCAAAAAAAAAAAAAAAAAAAGGGAGAGAGACTTTATAGTTCCTAGCACTGTGGATAAGAGTTCTTTATTTTTTTAATGTCAGAAAACATTTTATTTATAAAATTGTGTATATTTATTATATACAACATGGTGTTTTGAAATCTGTATATGCATTGTGGAATAGCTTAATCGAGCTAATTAACATATGTCTTACCTCACATAGCTGTCATTTTTGTGGTGAGAACTCTGTAAAGCTACCGTTTCTTTTTAAGCATTTTTCCAGAATACAATACATGGTTAATGAACTGTGTATGGTCACCATGTTACATAATATGTGACCTGTAATTTGTAATAATTTTTGATTAATTGAAAATTAGGGTAGTTGACTTTTAGGCTGCAACTCCAATACAAGTAATCAAAATTTTTGAAACAAATTAAATCCAAATTATGAAAAATTTTATATAACACATGTACATTCTCAGTTGAATTTTAAAAGAGTGAAGATATGAGAATTCTGATAAATAATATACAGTGTATATTCATTTACCATCATCCTAACTAACAAATGTTATGTACAAGCAACTGTTTTTCCAAAATATGGTTCTTTTTCTCACATAGCACAAGGTAATTTATTCCTAACCTAACTGAGTTTACCTTTTTATGTCAGTCCTTGTTGAATTGTCTCCAGTGATTGAGCAAGTTTCTGATCTTTTTGATTCAAAGACTTTAACTGAAACAATCTTATTTGGTTCCATATACCGTAGTGATGCTGTAAGTATGAGGTGTTAGAGATGGAGGGGGTATCAAGCTTACCTTAAACAGCAGAAAATTAATACTATAGGATGACATCTTAAAGGTAATTTCAAATACTATCTCTAAGAAGAAAACGGCTTCTATCAGAGAAAAAAAAAGTTTTATTCCCCTTTTTTGGAACGAGTCCATTTCTACATTTCTCTAGGGTTAGCAGTTGCAGTTTGGCCTAGATCAGCATGGAATATCAACAATAGTACGTTTTAACTATTGTTACTGATTAGAGAGAGCCATGAAATGTCTTGGTAATCAGCGCTGCCTGGTCATCTGCAGTGGCCTCTTAATTGGTCCCCTTGCCTCTCTTGTCACCAAACTCAGATCCATTCTTCACACCTCAGCTAGAATGTTCTTTCTAAGAGGATAAATACTGCATAATTGTTTTACTTTTCTGCTTACACGTAAGTAGCAGCATCTTAGCACGGTATCTGAAGCCCTGGCTGCTTCCCTGGGCTCATCTCTTGCTACACTCTCTCTCATGCTTTATGGTCCAGTGATCCTAAACTACTTAAATGGCCCAGCACAGCAACCTGTTATGTACTGCAATGTTTTCCAATACTCTCCTCTTTCTGGATGCTATGCCATTTCTCCCTTCTTTTCCTGTTCAATGCATTTCAAAACAAAGCTGATATATGTAGGTAAAATGTCAATACAATTTTTACTTAAATAAAAACACAGCTTAAGTGTTACTTCTTTTCAGAAGCCATCCTGGCCTCTGCAGACAAATGTAATCACTTCTGGCTCTCCAGCTCTGCTGTTTGTCTGTATTTTTTCATCTTTCTAAAAATCATTGTCAATGTCATATTACATTTCAATGATCAGTGAGGAACTAGAGGGCCGGAATTGGCCTTCTTTTAAGAGTGACCCTATGGAAGCTAATTGATCTGAACTGAATATCAAAGAGTTATAAGCTACTAGATTTGTAAGGGGTTTGAATTGGGGCAATGAAAAAATAGGGGTCCAAGAAGGTAGAGGGTCAGTTACACTTTTTTAAAAAAAATTTATTTTAGGTTTGCAGGGGGGTACATGTGAAGGTTTGTTACACAGATAAGCTTGTGTCATTGGGGCTTATGGTACATATTATTACATCATTCAGGTATTAAGCTCAGTGCCCAATAGTTATCATTTCTGCTCTTCTCCCTCCTCCCACTGTCTTCCCTCAAGTAAACCCCAGTGTCTGTTGTTTCCTTCTTTGTGTACATAAGTTCTTATCATTTAGCTCCCACTTATTCCTGCCAAAGACATGATCTTGTTCTTTTTTATGGCTATATAATATTCCATGGTATATATGTAACACATTTTCTTCATCCAGTCTGTCATTGATAGGCTTTTAGGTTGATTACATGTCTTTGCTATTGTGAACAGTGTTGCAATGAACATTTGTTTGCATGTGTCTTTACGGTAGAATGATTTTTATTCCTCTGGTCTCCTTTTCTCTGAAACTTTGCCAGTATCTGTTATTTTTTGACTTTTTCATAATAGTCATTCTGATTGGTGTGAGATGGTATCTCATTGTGGTTTCGATTTGCATTTTTCTAATGACAACAAACAGTTACACTTTTTTTGACAGCAGATTTAGCTACCTTATCATTTGTGATGTGTCTTTTAAAGATTTTTTTGTATTATTTTAAAATCGACATAATATTATATATATTTATTGTGTACAACATGATATTTTGAAATATATATATATAATTGTGGAATGGCTACATCAAGATTAACATTTGCTTTACTTCACATGGTTGTCATTTTTGTGGTGAGAACTCTTAAAATCTACTCTCCTAGCATTTTTCCAGAATGTAATATGTTATTATTAACTATAGTCACCATGTTCAAATTATTCCTTCAAATTATTCCTCCTCAAATTATTCCTCCTATCTAAATGAAATTTTGTATCCTTTGACTAATATCTTCCCATGCTCCTGTCAAAAACACTGCTCCAGCACCGGGTAACCATCATTCTTCTCTCTACTTCTGTGCAATCAACTTTTCCACACGAGTGAGATCATGTGGTATTTGGCTTTCTGTGTCTAACTTATTCACTTAATATAATATCCTCCAGGTTCATCCATGTTGTCACAAATGACAGGATTTCCTTGTTTGTAAAGGCTAAATAGTATTCCAGTAGGATACTATTGGAATACTACTCTATACTATTCCAGTAGAATACTATATGTAGTATTCTATTCCAATAGAATACCATATATACACATTTGGAAAATGTGTATATGATGGCCTGATAAGCAAAAACATATGATTCAACAAAGATTATAAGGTAGGTAATCAAAGGTCAATAATTAAATGTGACTAAGGACATTTTTGCTTAACAAATATTTGGGCAATACCTACTGGGTGACAGGCACTTTGGGAGATGTTGGAGATAGTAGAGACAAGGAGACTGACATGGTCTCTGACTTCTCAGAGTGTGCTGGCAAGTAGGGTTTTCAGAAGGTAAACAATAACTTGTGATCCACTGAGAAAGAAACAGTCATGTGGGAGGTGCAGGTTTTTATAACTCTTGCAGACTTGGGGTCAGGGCAGGCTTTCCCGAGAAAATAAAGAAAATTGGCTGGGCATGGTGGTATATGCCTATACTCCCAGCTGCCCAGAGGCTGAGGTGGGAGGATTGCTTGAGCCCAGGAGTTTAAAGCTACAGTAAGCTATGATCATACCACTGCACTTCAGCTGGGACAATGGAGTGAGACCCTGACTCTAAAGATGCTATCAGGCAAGACTTGGGGGTGTGGTATAAGAAAAGTAATAGAAGCATATTTGTCTCCATTGTCATACTGCATCATTAATATTTGTTTTAATTTCTAGCTGCCATACATTAGGTTGGAGAAATTAAAGTTCAATATATGCTTGGTGTCTTACTCTAGGTAAATATCATTTGTAGTGTATATATATGCACTGAAAGGCAATAAATAGACTTGCATCATCCATACTTTGGATATCTCATTTAAAACAATTTTTAGGGCATCAATTTCTTTAATGAATATTTTAATAAATCATAAGCCATCATTTAAATAATACTAATGATATTTTTGCCTCTTTTGCCACAAGACCTCAAGAATAGCACAGAGGAAGGGGGTTAGTTACTGTCATGGTTCTTTGCTATGTGAAACTGAGATGAGAAAGATTTACCTTGCAACACTTAAAATTAATTTTTTTTCTTTTTTTCTAGTTTTCTTTTTATCTCTTATACTTACAAAAATCATAAATTAACATTAATTTTAATATCACAGTCACATTTCAGCTATATACTGTGTCAACATATATATATATGTATATATATATATTTTATTATACTTTTAAGTTCTGGTGTACATGTGCAGAATGTGCAGGCTTGTTACGAAAGTATACACGTGCCATGTTGGTTTGCTGCACCCATCAACTCGTCATTTACATTAGGTATTTCTCCTAATGCTATCCCTCCCCAGCCCCCCACCCCACGACAGGCCCTGGTATGTGATGTTCCCCTCCCTGTGTCCATGTGTTCTCATTGTTCAATTCCCACTTATAAGTGAGAACATGTGGTGTTTGGTTTTCTGTCCTTGTGATATTTTGCTGAGAATGATGGTTTCCAGCTTCATCCACATCCCTGCAAAGGACATGAACTCATCCTTTTTATGGCTGCATAGTATTCCATGGTGTATATGTGTCACATTTTCTTTACCAGTCGATTATTGATGGGCATTTGGGTTGGATCCTAGACTTTGCTATTGTGAGTAGTGCTGCAATAAACATATATGTGCATGTGTCTTTATAGCAGCATGATTTACAATCCTTTGGGTATATACCCAGTAATGAGATTGCTGGGTCAAATGGTATTTCTAGTTCTAGATCCCTGAGGAATCGCCACACTGTCTTCCACAATGGTTGAAGTAATTTACACTCCCACCAACAGTGTAAAAGCCTTCCTATTTCTCCACATCCTCTCCAGTATCTGTTGTTTCCTGACTTTTTGATGATCGCCATTCCAACTGGCGTGAGATGGTATCTCATTGTGGTTTAGATTTGCATTTCTCTAATGACCAGTGATGATGAGCATTTTTTTCATATGTCTGTTGGCTGCATAGATGTCTTCTTTTGAGAAGTGTTTGTTCATATCCTTTGCCCACTTTTTGATGGGGTTATTTGTTTTTTTCTTGTAAATTTGTTTAAGTTCTTTGTAGATTCTGGATATTAGCCCTTTGTCAGATGGATAGATAGCAAAAATTTTCTCTCATTCTGTAGGTTGCCTGTTCACTCATTTTTAATTTTAATTTTAATTTTTTATTCTATTAATTTAATAAAAGATTCATTGACTAAGATTTCTGCTGATACATTTTATAGGAAGAAAATAAAAAGCAAAGTTGGAAAAATAATGGTCATGCACTTAGGAAGGGGCCTGAGAAGGCACAGTTTGTACAGGTCTAGCTTTCTGTGGTCAGCTTCTCTTCTGCTCCAATTAGCTAGGGTTTCTCTCTTCCCAGTCACAATATTATTAGCTACAACATTATAGCAAAAAAGTCATGTTTGGTCTATTTCAGTTATTGTTTTTAAATTATGCCTGTGGCTGCTAATTGCCAAGTTTATGGGCATAAAAATTACATTTTTAAACTAACCTAGGCTAGATGTGTGCTCTTGTCTTAAAGGATTGAAAAGATTTTCCTTATGACCTCATGTTGACATTCAAGTTCTCCTTGCAGTCAGTCTGCTTTCCAAGTCCACTTTGGCATTATAGGTGACTAACTTAGGACTTGAGATGGCAGCCTAGATCTGCATACTGATGCCTTGATGGAAGAGAGCAAGGAGAAATTCTGGATGACTGCTGGCTAATAGAGTAGGCTTGTTCTGGACTTGTGGTCTCTTCTGCTTCCTCGGCACTTTGAAGTGTAATTACTCTGCAGTGTTGGGGCCCTTCATAAAAGGAAAATTTTTAACTCTTTGAATTTTTATTCTTCTCTCCCAAAGAATGCTAATATACATTTTTTAAAAGATTATTTTATTAAGCATAACTCACCTGGGAAATAAGTTAACGGTAAGAATGTACTGGTATTTGGCTTCTCTCCAAATACCAGGTCTCTTTCTTCTCATTCTTCTAGAAATTTAACAAGGGGCAAATATCAGTTCCCCTAGGATTTATTGAGAAGCTCTTGCTGGTGCTCTGAGTTTGCTCGTAAAGTTTTCCAGAGAATAATTCCCCCAGTGTGAGTGGTGAGAAGAGACAATTTAACTCACTGGATGCCTTTGGATATTTAATGAGGAGTAACTCTCATTTTTCAAAATTATACCAATTGTGTGGGAAAAAAAATCAAGAGTCCAGAGTAAAATGACAGAGAGGCTGGGCACAGTGATTTATACTTGTAATCCCAGCACTTAGGGAGGCTAAGGCAGGAGAATTGCTTAAGGCCAGGAGTTCAAGACCAGCCTGAGCAACATAGCAAGACCCCATCTCTAAAAAGTATGCTGGGCATGGTGATGCACACCTAGAGTCCCAGCCACCCAGAGGCTGAGGTGGGAGGATTGCTTGAGCCCAGGAGTTCAAGGTTACAGTAAGCTATGATCATACCACTGCATTTCAGCTGGGACAATGGAGTGAGACCCTGACTCTAAAAGAAAAAAAAAAACAAACAAAAAACTAAAAACAAAAATGACAGAGATTTTGTGGTCATGATGGCTCTGTGAAGGTGGAGGAGGCATCCTGTTCCTGAGGATCTAAGTGGTCTTTATTATTCCTCAGGAGCCTCCTGACATCTATGAGGCCCAGAACAAGAGTACAGATGGATTCTCACATGTCCTAGTCAAGATTATTTAAATAAAACTGAAATCTTTAAGTTACTTTGAAAAATTTAGTTAAATTTTATTTAATATTTATGAGTCTATTTATAATTCTATAATGCCCAGTTAGTTGGCAATAGAAAAAAATGCTATTAATTTTATGGAGCCTATCCTTGAAATTTCAGAATAGATGAAATGAGTATGCAGATCACTGACCATCATGTTTATCATGATAAAACATATGAATAAGTAAATACTTTGAAAAATATTTCATGCTAGGAAAGGTAAAGTAGGCCAGGTGTGGTGGCTCATGCCTATAATCCCAGCACTTTGAGAGGCCGAGACAGGCAGATCACTTGAAGTCAGGTACTCAAGATCAGCCTGGACCATATGGCGAAGCCCCATCTCTACTAAAAATAAAAAAATTAGCTGGGCGTGGTGGCGAACACCTGTAATCCCAGCTACATGGGAGACTGACACAAGAGAATTGCTTGAACCCATGAGGTAGAGGTTGCAGTGAGCTGAGATTGTGCCACTGCACGCCAGCCTAGGTGACAGGGTGAGACTCCATCTCAAAAAAAAAAAAAAAGTAAAGTAGTATTTTTGTGTACATACGAAATCTGAAAGCTCATGTCTAACTATAATAACATGGCCAACAAACATGTTTTAAAAAGCTTAATATCACTGATTATTAGAGAAATGCAAATTAAAACCACAGTGGGATACCATCTCATGCTAGTCAGAATGGCAATTATTAAAAAGTCAAGAAACAACAGATGCTGGCGAGGTTGTGAAGAAATAGGAAGACTTTTACCCTGTCGTTGGGAATGTAAATTAGTTCAACCATTGTGGAAGATGGTGTGATTCCTCAAAAGACCTAGAACCAGAAGTACCATTTGACCCAACAACCCAATTATTGGATATATACCCAAGGGAATATAAATAATTCTATTACAAAGATACATGCATGCGTATGTTCATTGCAACACTATTCACAATAACAAAGACAGGGAATCAACCCAAATGCCCGTCAATGATAGACTGAATAAAGAAAATGTGATATATATCATGGAATCGTATGCAGCCATAGAAAGAAACAAGATCATATCTTTTGCAGGGACATAGAAGTACCTGGAAGCCATTATCCATTATCCTCAGCAAACTAATGCAGGAACAGAAAACCAAACACAACATGTTCTTACTTATAATTGGGAGCTGAACAATGAGATCACGTGGACACAGGGATGGAAACAACACACACTGGGTTTTTTGTGGGGGGTGGGGTGGAGTTGGGAGAGCATTAGGAAAAACAGCTAGTGCATTCTGGGCTTAATACCTAGGTGGTGGGTTGATAGGTGCAGCAAATTACCATGGCACACATTTACCTAAGTAACAAACCTGCACATCCTGCACATGTACCCTGGAACTTAAAATAAAAATAAAAATTAATAAAAAAAGAATAAAAAGAAAGTTAATAACATGATTGCAAAGTTTAGCTAAAACTATCAGAGATCTAATAATAATATAATTCTCTAATATTATACTCATAAATTTATAGTACTTATGGAGATTAATCAAAACTCTTTTTCATAAATCATACCATAATTATAACTTAAATTTAACTTAAACATAGTTACAGCTATCAACGAGGGGGTTCAACTTTTCTTCATTTGGCATGAGAATGGAAGGGAAAATAAGGAAGTATTGACATAAGGATAGTTCCTTTAGATTAGACCCTGAGACAAGAATTTGAGTGTAGGTAGTTTTATTTGGAAGGCGATCCCAGAGAACATTGTTAGGAAGGTGTGGTGGTTAATTTTATGTGTCAAATTGCCTGGGCTAAGTGATGCCAAGATAGCTGGTAAAACATTGTTTCTGAGTACGTCTGTGAGGGTATTTTTAAAAGAGATTAATATTTGGATAAATAGATGGAATAAAGAAGATTGCCTTCACTAACCTGGGTGGCATTATCCAATCTGTCAAGGACTGTAACCCATTTGTTTTGGCCAATTTCTCCCATTTGGAATGGATGTATTTACCCAATGTCTGTACCCCTATTGTATCTTGGAAGTAACTAACTTGCTTTTGATTTTATAGGTTCATAGGCAGAAGGGGCTGGCCTTGTTTCAGATGAGACTTTGGACGGTGGACTTTTGAGTTAATGCTGAAATAAGACTTTGGGGGACTGTTGGAAAGACATTATTGTGTTTTGAAATGTGAGGACATGAGATTTGAAAGGGGCCAAGGGTGGAATAATATGATTTGGCTGTGTCCCCACCTAAACCTCATCTTGAATTGTAATAACCCCACATGTCAAGGGTGGGATCAGGTGGGGATAATTGAATCATGGGGGCAGTTTTCTTCATACTGTTGTTGTGATAGTGAATGAGTTCTCACAAGATCTGATAATTTTATAAGGGGTTTCCCCCTTTGCTTGGCTATTCTCTCATTCTCCTACCTGCCACATTGTAAAGAAGGATATGTTTGTTTTCTCTTTTGCCATGAGTGTAAGTTTCCTGAGGCCTCCCCAGCCATGCTGAACTGTGAGTCAGTTAAACCTCTTTCCTTTATAAATTACCCAGCCTTGGGTATTTCTTCATAGCAGCATGAAAGCACATTAATACAACTAGCCTTCCTGGTTCTCCAGCTTGCGGATGGCAAAGGGTGGGATTTCTTGGCCTCCATAATCCTGTGAGCAAATTCCTATAATAAATCTTTCTCTTTTCTCTCTTCCTTTATCTCTCTGTCTGTCTATATTTATGTCTCTCTCTCTCTGTCTCTCTCTCCATTCATGCATCCATCCATCCAATTGATTTTGTTTATCTGGAGAATCCTGACTAGTACCAAAGAAAAAGAAGCTAGTAAGTGCATCAATGGGCAGACTGCCATTGTGGGCAACTGGAGTTCAATGCCAATGGGAACCTCTTGGGCACTGTGTATGGCATATATTGGTTGTCCCCATAAGGGGACAAGCAAGCCCTGTGACTTTTTATGTTTAACACATAAATAAGTCAACTTCATAAGTTTCAAAGAAACCAATATTAAATTGTTTAGAAAGCCAAAATAATTATATTTTAGATCAATTTACCTGAAATGACTCTTGTGATGTTGTAATTTGTCACCAGACATATCTGTTGTCCAACATAAGTGATAATAAAAAGAGATGTCAGTGAATCTATTTAAAAAAAAACTGAGAATTTTGAAAACTAATTGGTTCATTTTATGCAGTTAGTTTATTATTTATTAAGGTCTGTATTGTCTGTGATAACCTAATTATCATGTACCAAAGTAGGTCAAATAAGGCATTTTGAATGTTATATTCTTGGTTTTGGAAGAGCTATGGTGATGTTTCAAATTGAACAGTATTATTTTTGAGAAAGATACCATTTCAATGACAGAAAATAATTTTCACTACTTAGGGCAAATTTTGGCATTTTCTTTTCAACTGCAGAAGTCTGAGTATGGCTTAAGAAAAGGGCAAATCTGCATGATGAAGTTTAGTAAGGCCATGGAAATGCTGCAAGTCTGCTTAATAGTTTGTTCCTTTTAACTGTTGAGCCTTTCCAATAAAAAAGTTTCAAAGAATATTATGAATATTAAAAACTTAGAAAACATGATCCTGGAAGCATTCCCTTTGAAAACTGGCACAAGACAGGGATGCCCTCTCTCACCACTCCTATTCAACATAGTGTTGGAAGTTCTGGCCAGGGCAATCAGGCAGGAGAAAGAAATAAAGGGTATTCAATTAGGAAAAGAGGAAGTCAAATTGTCCCTGTTTGCAGATAACATGATTGTATATCTAGAAAACCCCATTGTCTCAGCCCAAAATCTCCTTAAGCTGATAAGCAACTTCAGCAAAGTCTCAGGATACAAAATCAATGTACAAAAATCACAAGCATTCTTATACACCAATAACAGACAAACAGAGAGCCAAATCATGGGTGAACTCCCACTCACAGTTGCTTCAAAGAGAATAAAATACCTAGGAATCCAACTTACAAGGGACATGAAAGACCTCTTCAAGGAGAACTACAAACCATGGCTCGATGAAATAAAAGAGGATACAAAGAAATGGAAGAACATTCCATGCTCATGGGTTGGAAGAATCAATATCGTGAAAATGGCCATACTGCCCAAGGTAATTTACAGATTCAATGCCATCCCCATCAAGCTACCAATGACTTTCTTCACAGAATTGGAAAAAACTACTTTAAAGTTCATATGGAACCAAAAAAGAGCCCGCATTACCAAGTCAATCCTAAGTCAAAGGAACAAAGCTGGAGGCATCATGCTACCTGACTTCAAACTATACTACAAGGTTACAGTAACCAAAACAGCATGGTACTGGTACCAAAACAGAGATATAGATCAATGGAACAAAACAGAGCCCTCAGAAATAACGCCGCATATCTACAACTATCTGATCTTTGACAAACCTGAGAAAAACAAGCAATGGGGAAAGGATTCCCTATTTAATAAATGGTGCTGGGAAAACTGGCTAGCCATATGTAGAAAGCTGAAACTGGATCCCTTCCTTACACCTTATACAAAAATTAATTCAAGATGGATTAAAGACTTACATGTTAGGCCTAAAACCATAAAAACCCTAGAGGAAAACCTAGGCGATACCATTCAGGACATAGGCATAGGCAAGGACTTCATGTCTAAAACACCAAAAGCAGTGGCAATGAAAGCCAAAATTGACAAATGGGATCTAATTAAATTAAAAAGCTTCTGCACAGCAAAAGAAACTACCATCAGAGTGAACAGGCAACCTACAAAATGGGAGAAAATTTTTGCAACCTACTCATCTGACAAAGGGCTAATATCCAGAATCTACAATGAACTCAAACAAATTTACAAGAAAAAAAAAAACAACCCCATCAAAAAGTGGGCAAAAGATATGAACAGACACTTCTCAAAAGAAGACATTTATGCAGCCAAAAAACACATGAAAAAATGCTCATCATCACTGGCCATCAGAGAAATGCAAATCAAAACCACAATGAGATACCATCTCACACCAGTTAGAATGGCAATCATTAAAAAGTCAGGAAACAACAGGTGCTGGAGAGGATGTGGAGAAATAGGAACACTTTTACACTGTTGGTGGGACTGTAAACTAGTTCAACCATTGTGGAAGTCAGTGTGGCAATTCCTCAAGGATCTAGAACTAGAAATACCATTTGACCCAGCCATCCCATTACTGGGTATATACCCAAAGGACTATAAATCATGCTGCTATAAAGACACATGCACATGTATGTTTATTGCGGCACTATTCACAATGGCAAAGACTTGGAACCAACCCAAATGTCCAACAATGATAGACTGGATTAAGAAAATGTGGCACATATACACCATGGAATACTATGCAGCTGTAAAAAATGATGAGTTCATGTCCTTTGTAGGGACATGGATGAAATTGGAAATCATCATTCTCAGTATACTATCACAAGAAAAAAAACCCAAACACTGCATGTTCACACTCATAGATGGGAATTGAACAATAAGAACACATGGACACAGGAAGGGGAACATCACACTCTGGGGACTGTTGTGGGGTGGGGGGAGGGGGGAGGGATAGCATTAGGAGATATACCTAATGCTAAATGATGAGTTAATGGGTGCAGCACACCAGCATGGCACATGTATACATATGTAACTAACCTGCACATTGTGCACATGTACCCTAAAACTTAAAGTATAATAATAATAATAAAAGAAATAACTAGGATAACAGAAAACAAACAAACGAACAAACAGACAAAAATTTTAGCCCCTGTCCTAACAATGTCATTTTTTCCGTTCAGGTGCAGGATACAAATTGGATGCCTTCTCAGGGCCTCTTCATTCCTCCCTCCTCCTTGACTCCTTGGCTGATTCCCATGGAAGCGAAGAGGAAGAGCAATTTAATAGAGTTATTCTATTACCTTTTAAGAATTTCATACTTTTTAAAGAAATACTGAATAATGGGTACATTTTATTTTATTTTTTTAATTAAATTGTGGTAATATATATAAATGACATTTTACCATCTTAACCATTTTTAAATGTACAGCTCAATAGTAAGTTCATTCTTATTGTTGTGCAGCCAATCTCTAGAATTCTTTTCAACTTGCAATACTAAAACTTTGTGTTCTTTAAACAACTCCTCGTTTCCCTATCTCCCATCCCCCGGAAACCATCCTTTCACTTGTTGTCTCCATGAATTGACTACACTAGGTATTTCATATCTGTGGAATCATACAGTCTTTGATTTTTTTGGTGACTGGATTATTTCCCTTAGCATAATGTCCTCAAGTTTCATCCATGTTATAGCATGTCAGAATTTTCTTCTTTTTAAAGGCTGCATAAGAGTCCATCGTATGTACATACCACATGTAGTTTATCCATTCGTCAATGGACATTTGTGTTGCTCCTACCTTTTGGCTACTGCAATTAGTACAGCTTATGGGCATAGATATAAAAATATATTTCCAAGATCCCACTTTTAATTATTTTGGGTATATACACAGAAGTGGAATTGCTGGATCATATGGTAGTCCTATTTTTAATTTTTTGAGGAATCTTCATACTGTTTTTTTAATAGCAGCTGAACCATTTACCTTCCTACCAACAGTGTATAAGGTTTCTAATTTCTTCATATCATCACAGCACTTATTTTGTTTATCTGTTTGCTTTTTGATAGCAGCCATCCAAATGGATTTGAGGTGTTATCTCATTATGGTTTTGATTTGCATTTTTTCACGGTTAGTGATGCTGAGCATTTTTTCCTGTGCTTGTTCTGATTTGTATCTCTTCTTTAGAAAAATATCTATTTCAGTCTCTTGCTGAATCAAGTTTTCATTATCATTGAGAAGTTCTTTATTCTGGATATTAACCCTTATCAGATATATAATTTGCAGGCATTGTTTTAATTCTATAGTTTGCCTTTTCACTCTGGTGATCATGTCTTTGATGAACAGAAGTTTTAAAATTCTATGCATTTTATTTTTGTATGTTTACTTTTGTTGCCTGTGCTTTTGGTGTCATGTTCAAGAATTCATTGTCAAATTCAATGTCATGAAGTTTTCCTCCCATGTTTTCTCTTAAGAGTTTTAGAATTTTAGGTCATACATTTTGGTCTTTGATACATTTTTAGTTACTTTTTAAATATTTTTTAAGGTAATGGCCCAACTTCATTCTTTTGCATTGTGGAAAGCCAGTTTTTTCCAATACCATTTGTTGAAGACTGTCCTTTCTCCACTGACTGTTCCTGGCACTTTTGTAAATAACCATTAACCATATATACGAAGTTTTATTTCTGGGTTCTCTCTTTATATTCCAATTATCTTTATGGCTATCTATAAGGTACATTTTAAAATATATTTTATGTCTGAAACATTAACAAATATCATCAAAATTAGCTAATAGTTTGGCTGGTCATAGAGTGATTTCCTTTCATAATTTGAAAGTCATTGCTTCACTACTTCAAGCATCCAGAATTGCTGTTTAAAATCATTAAGTTGGGCATTTGGTGTAATTTTTTAATCTGGAAACTCACATTTTTTCTTTATGTTAAACTTTCCTTTAGCATTTCTTATATGATTTTCTTCCATTTCTCTTCTCTCCTTTTTGAACATATATTATCTAGATGTAGTATAGTATAGTAATTGAATCACATATCATAGAGATATATCTAGAAGAATTTTCAGTCTTTCATTGACATTTAAAAATTTCTGCTGTATGAATTGAATTTCTAAGGGCTGTTTTATTGCATTTTCTACAGTTTTATGGCATTAATGTCTCCTCACATCTCTTCAAGGAGATGGAAACGATATTTTTGAAGTTTATTCTCCCTCCATGTTTTTTTTTGTATTTCTTAAAGTTTTATTTGGAAGCATGAAATCTATCTTGTTTAACTGAAGGTTTTCCTCATATTCATAATTTTATTGAATTATTTATTTATTTATTTATTTATTTTTCGGTTTTTTTTGAGAGTGGTAATTGCATTTTCTCAGTTTTATTTTATTTTATTATTATACTTTAAGTTTTAGGGTACATGTGCACAATGTACAGGTTAGTTACATATGTATACATGTGCCATGCTGGTGTGCTGCACCCATTAACTCGTCATTTAGCATTAGGTATATCTCCTAATGCTATCCCTCCCCCCTCCCCCCACCCCACAACAGTCCCCAGAGTGTGATGTTCCCCTTCCTGTGTCCATGTGTTCTCATTGTTCAATTCCCACCTATGAGTGAGAATATGCGGTGTTTGTCTTTTTTTTTTGCAATGGTTTACTGAGAATGATGATTTCCAATTTCATCCATGTCCCTACAAAGGACATGAACTCATCATTTTTTATGGCTGCATAGTATTCCATGGTGTATATGTGCCACATTTTCTTAATCCAGTCTATCGTTGTTGGACATTTGGGTTGGTTCCAAGTCTTTGCTATTGTGAATAGAGCTGCAATAAACATACGTGTGCATGTGTCTTTATAGCAGCATGATTTATAGTCCTTTGGGTATATACCCAGTAATGAGATGGCTGGGTCAAATGGTATTTCTAGTTCTAGATCCTTGAGGAATTGCCACACTGACTTCCACAATGGTTGAACTAGTTTACAGTCCCACCAACAGTGTAAAAATGTTCCTATTTCTCCACATCCTCTCCAGCACCTGTTGTTTCCTGACTTTTTAATGATTGCCATTCTAACTGGTGTGAGATGGTATGTCATTGTGGTTTTGATTTGCATTTCTCTGATGGCCAGTGATAGTGAGCATGTTTTCATGTGTTTTTTGGATGCATAAATGTCTTCTTTTGAGAAGTGTCTGTTCATATCCTTCGCCCACTTTTTGATGGGGTTGTTTGTTTTTTTCTTGTAAATTTGTTTGAGTTCATTGTAGATTCTGGATATTAGCCCTTTGTCAGATGAGTAGGTTGCAAAAATTTTCTCCCATTTTGTAGGTTGCCTGTTCACTCTGATGGTAGTTTCTGTTGCTGTGCAGAAGCTCTTTAGTTGAATTAGATCCCATTTGTCAATTTTGGCTTTTGTTGCCATTGCTTTTGGTGTTTTAGACATGAAGTCCTTGCCTATGCCTATGTCCTGATGATAACACCTAGGTTTTCTTCTAGGGTTTTTATCATTTTAGGTCTAACTTTTAGGTCTTTAATCCATCTTGAATTAATTTTTGTATAAGGTGTAAGGAAGGGATCAAGTTTCAGCTTTCTACATATGGCTAGCCAGTTTTCCCAGCACCATTTATTAAATAGGGAATCCTTTCCCCATTGCTTGTTTTTTTCAGGTTTGTCAAAGATCAGATAGTTGCAGATATGCGGCATTATTTCTGAGGGCTCTGTTTTGTTCCATTGATCTATATCTCTGTTTTGGTACCAGTACCATGCTGTTTTGGTTACTGTAGCCTTGTAGTATGGTTTGAAGTCAGGTAGTGTGATGCCTCCAGCTTTGTTCTTTTGGCTTAGGATTGACTTGGTGATGTGGGCTCTTTTTTGGTTCGATATGAACTTTAAAGTAGTTTTTTCCAATTCTGTGAAGAAAGTCATTGGTAGCTTGATGGGGATGGCAGTGAATCTGTAAATTACCTTGGGCAGTATGGCCATTTTCACGATATTGATTCTTCCCACGCATGGGCATGGAATGTTCTTCCATTTCTTTGTATCCTCTTTTGTTTCATTGCGCAGTAGTTTGTAGTTCTCCTTGAAGAGGTCCTTCACATCCCTTGTCAGCTGGATTCCCAGGTATTTTATTCTCTTTGAAGCAATTGTGAATGGGAGTTCACTCATGATTTGGCTGTCTGTTTGTCTGTTATTGGTGTATAAGAATGCTTGTGATTTTTTACATCGATTTTGTATCCTGAGACTTTGCTGAAGTTGCTTATCAGCTTAAGGAGATTTTGGGCTGAGACAATGGGGTTTTCTAGATATCCAATCGTGTCATCTGCAAACAGGGACAATGTTTTCAATTTTTTTCTTTTTTTGTATACTTTTTTTGGACTGCAGAAATTTATTAAGAATGAAAGACAATGTTTAATCAATCTTCCAGGCCATAGAAATTCATCAGGCTGCCTATAACAAAGATCACTGGGAGGCTGAGGATTGCTTGAACCCAGGAGTTTAAGGGTGTGTGAGGTATGATAGGGCCACTGCACTCCAGCGTGGGTGATAAGAGCAAGACCCTGCCTCAAAAAAAAAGTCAATTTTAGCCAGATTACCATATTTCAATTTAATTGGCACTTGGGGAATGGTGAATATCAGACCTTTTATTGTCATTGTATACTATTTTTAAAATCTTCCAGGTTACAAGTTTTCCTCAAATTTCTGATGATTCTTGGCTGCCTGCTCATGGTTAAGAATGGGAGGACAAATGGAATCGAATTAAACTTAAGAGAGTTTTGAGTTATTGTCAAATATTCAAAGAGCAAGTGGACACATACATCTTCCCAAGACTCAACTAAGAAGAAATTGAATAGGAGAATAGACCAATAAAATGTTCTAAAATTGAGGCAGTAATTAATAGCCTACCAACCAAAAAAAGCCTAGGACCAGACAGATTTACAGTTGTACTCAAAGGTACAAAGAAGAGCTGGTACCATTTTTACTAAAACAATTCCAAATAATTGAAAAGGAGAGACTACTCCCTAACTCATTTTATGAGGCCAGCATCATCCTGATACCAAAACCTGGCAGAGATACAACAAAAAAACAAAACTTCAGGCCAATATCTCTGATGAACATCCATGCAAAAATCCTCAATAAAATACTGGCAAACCGAATCCAGCAGCACATCAAAAAGCTTATTCACCACGATCAAGTCAGCTTCATCACCAAGATGCAAGGCTGGTTCAACATATGCAAATCAATAAATGTAATTCATCACATAAACAGAACTAAAGAGAAAAACCTATGTGATTATCTCAATAGACACAGAAAAGGCCTTCGATAAAATTCAACTTCATGTTAAAAACTCTCAATAAACTAGGTGTTGATGGAACATACCTCAAATAAGAGCCATTTATGACAAGCCCACAGCCAATATCATAGTGAATGGGCAAAAGCTGGAAGCATTCTCCTTGAAAACCTGCACAAGACAAAAATGCCTTGCTCTCTCACCACTTCTATTCAACATAGTATTGGAAGTTCTGGCCCCGGCAATGAGACCATTTCTTAAAGAAACCCCAACCCCCTTGCCTTTTCCTGTACCCTCTTGGGCTGGTCAGATTTCCAGGAAAAAGCCTTCTAGTCACTTGCCTAAAGGGTACAGGTTTGGCTGTCAAATTTCTGACAGCTAATGGGAGAAGGCTGTTGGTGATTACCAATTCATATTAGTAAGTATAGTCTGTTATTTCCCATTGTGCAGACGTGATAAATATGACCCCAACTGTTTACAGTATCTTCTAGTCCAGAAATTCTCTTTTTTCTCTCTCTAAAAGTAAACTTTCTGTCAGGATGGGGGTGGGTGTGTTGAGGGAAACAGGAGATTTGAGATTGTACATACGCCTTTAAAACAAAATTTTTCTTATTTTATCTCAGACCACCAAACTATACCAAAAGTACCTGGTATTGCCTGTTCCTAAACATTTTAGAAATTCTGTGCTGTAAATTGCACAGCTTCTTG
The DNA here is from genome assembly GCF_000001405.40 of Homo sapiens. Classification (NCBI taxonomy): domain Eukaryota; kingdom Metazoa; phylum Chordata; class Mammalia; order Primates; family Hominidae; genus Homo; species Homo sapiens. The sequence goes on from NC_000006.12 coordinate 76,200,211, forward strand.
GCTTTCACTGTTACTGGTTTGAGATGATCCTTCTTGGCTAAGCCTTTTCTGCTTTCAAAATTCTATTGTTGTGCTCTGCAGTATATTTGTAGGATTATTCTTTATTGAAATTTTTTCTTTAATGTGGTTTCAGGAGAGAGGAAATGTAGATGTACGTTTTCACATTTTAACCCAAAAGATTATATTTTTGTTTTTAAGACTTTAGAAATATGAAATAAAATTTGATCTATTAAAATGATGTCTCACCACTCCTATTCAACATAGTATTGGAAGTTCTGGTCAGGGCAATCTGGCAAGAGAAAGAAATAAAGGTATTCAAATAAAAAGAGAGGAAGTCAAATTGTCTCTGTTTGCAGATGACATGATTGTATATTTAGAAAGCCCCATTATCTCAGCCCCAAATCTCCTTGAGCTGATAAGGAACTTCAGCAAAGTCTCAGGATATAAAATCAATGTGATAAAATCACAAGCATTCCTATACACCAATAATAGAGAGCCAAATCATGAGTGAACTCCCACTCACAATTGCTAAAAGGAGAATAAAATACCTAGGAATGCAATTTACAAGGGATGTGAAGGGCCTCTTCAAGGAGAACTACAAACCACTGCTCAAGGAAATAAGAGAGGACACAAAAAAATGGAAAAGCATTCCACGCTCATAGATAGGAAGAATCAGTGTCATGAAAATGGCCATATTGCCCAAAGTAATGTATAGATTCAATGCTATCCCCATCAAGCTACCATTGAATTTCTTCACAGAATTAGGAAAAACTATTTTAAATTTCATATGGAACCCAAAAAGAGCCTGCATGGCCAAGACAATCCTAAGCAAAAAGAACAAAGCTGGAGGCATCATGCTATCTGACTTCAAACTATAGTACAAGGCTACAGTAACCAAAACAGCGTGGTACTGGTAACAAAACAGATATATAGACCAATGGAACAGAACAGAGCCCTCAGAAATAACACCACACATCTAAAACCATCTGATCTTTGACAAACATGACAAAAACAGGCAATGCGGAAATGATTCCCTATTTAATAAATGGTGTTGGGAAAACTGGCTAGTCATATGCAGAACACTGAATTTGGACCCCTTCGTTAAACCTTACACAAAAATTAACTCAAGAAGGATTAAAGACTTAAATATAAGACCTAAAACCATAAAAAACCTAGAAGAAAACCTAGGCAATACCATTCAGCACATAGGTATGGTCAAAGACTTCATGACTAAAACACCAAAAGCAATGGCAACAAAAGCCAAAATGGACAAATGGGATCTAATTATACTAAAGAGCTTCTGCACAGAAAAGAAACCATAATCAGAGTGAACCAGCAACCTACAGAATGGGATAAAATTTTTGCAAATTATCCATCTGACAAAGGGCTAATTTCCAGAATCTACAAAGAACTTAAACAAATTTACATGAAAAAACAAACAACCCCATCAAAAAGTGGACAAAGGATATGAACAGACATGTCTCAAAAGAAGGCATTTATGTGGCCAACAAACATATGAAAAAAAGCTCATCATCACTGGTCATTAAAGCAAATCAAACCACAGTGGGATACCATCTCATGCTGGTTAGAACGGCAATCATTAAAAAGTCAGAAAGCAACAGATGCTGGAGAGGGTGTGGAGAAATAGGAACACTTTTACACTGTTGGTGGGAGTGTAAATTAGTTCAACCATTGTGGAAGACAGTATGGCAATTCCTCAAGTTTCTAGAACCAGAAATACCATTTGACCCAGCAATCCCACTACTGGGTATATACCCAAAGGATTATCAATCATTCTACTATAAAGACACGTGCACACGTATGTTTATTGTGGCAGTGTTCCCAATAGCAAAGACTTGGAACCAACCAAAATGCCCACCAATGATAGACTGGATAAAGAGAATGTGGTGCATATACACCACGGAATACTATGCAGCCATAAAAAAGGACGAGTTCATGTTCTTTGCAGGGACATGGATGAAGGTGGTAACCATCATTCTCAGCAAACAAACACAAGAACAGAAAATCAAACACCATATGTTTTCACTCATAAGTGGGAGTTGAACAATGAGAACACATGGACACAGGGAGGGGAATATCACACACTGGGCCCTGCTGGTGGGTGGGGGACTAGGGGAGGAATAGGATTAGGAGGAATACCTAATGGAGATGACGGGTTGATGGGTGCTGCAAACCACCATGGCATGTGTATACCTATGTAACAAACCTGCATGTTCTGCACATGTACCCCAGAACTTAAAGTATAATAAAAAATAAAAAAATTATTTTATAAAAATGATGTCTGACTTAGAAGGGTGAAGTTCTAGGAAAAAATTATTTGTTCAATTTGTAAGTCTGCCTTCTTGTGTTTAGCATATGTCAGATAGGTAGGTATATTGGGTGAGTAAGTGTGATTTGAATTGTCTAAGGGAATTTGACTAATTATGTATGTAAGTGGTATTAAGTGTTTTAAAAGGATTTAACCTATTAAACTTTTGAGTTATTATACAATATTCAAAGATAATATTGACTAATTTTCAGTTTCAAGTGAAAGCAAGGTTTCATTTTTAGTCAAAAGTTCAGAAATAAAATAAAAATTTTTAATTGATGTATGATGTTAAGTAAAGCTATCTTTTATTTATTTATTTTTCAATTTTAATTTTATTTTTCCATAAGTTTTTGGGGTAGAGGTGGTATTTGGTTATACATGTAAGTTCTTTAGTGGTGATTTGTAAGATTTTGGTGCACCCATCATCCATGTATAAACTGCACCATATTTGTCGTCTTTTATCCCTTGCCGCCTTTCTTTATTCCCCTCAAGTCCTCAAAGTCTATTGTATCATTCTAATGCCTTTGCATCCTAATAGCTTAGCTTACATATATCACTGAGAAAATATGATATTTGGTTTTCCATTCCTGAGTTACATCACTTAGAATAATAGTCTCCAATCTCAGCCAGGTTACTGCAAATGCTGTTAATTCATTCCTTTTTATGGCTGTGTAGTATTCCATTATATATATATATGTGTATATATATGTATATATATGTATATGTGTATATATGTGTGTATACATATGTATATGTGTGTATATATGTGTGTGTCTGTGTGTATATATATATATGTCTGTGTGTATATATATATATATATATATATATATACACACAGACACACCACAGTTTCTTTATCCACTCGTTGATTTATGGGAATTTGGGTTGGTTCTATGATTTTGCAATTGTGAATTGTGCTGCTATAAACATGCGTGTGCAAGTATCTTTTTCGAATAGTGACTTCTTTTCCTCTGGGTAGACACCCAGTAGTGGGATTTGTGGATCAAATGGTAGTTCTACTTTTGGTTCTTTAAGGAATCTCCACACTGTTTTCCATCATGGCTGTACTAGTTTAAATTCCCACCAGCAGTGTAGAAGTGTTCCCTGTTCACCACATCCACATCAACACTTACTGTTTTTTGATTTTTTGATTATGGCCATTCTTGCAGGAATAAGGTGGTATTGCATTGTGGTTTTGATTAGCATTTCCCTGATCATTAATGATGTTGAGCATTTTTTATATGTTTATTCACCATTTGTATATCTTCTTTTGAGAATTTTCTATTCATGTTCTTAGCCTCCTTTTTGAAGGGATTGTTTGTTTTTTTCTTACTGATTTGTTTGAGTTCATTGTAGATTCTGGATATTAGTCCTTTTTCAGATGTATAGATTGTGAAGATTTTCTCCCACTCTGTGCATTGTCTGTTTACTCTGTAAAGCTATACTTTAAAAAGTATAATTTTAATAAATTAAATATTAATCAAAATATAGAAAATAACAGAGAGAGAATTTCTTTCCATGCATGAAAGCCTGCTCCTCTACCTCTAGACATTAAGAGATCACCAAAAATTCTTCTGTCACAGATAGTATTCAACACTGTATTTCAATAATCAAGAGGTGGAAAAAAGAAGCATAAATATCAAAAAGTATAAAGAAAGTTATATTGTTTGAGAATAATTCCATTGCCCATATACAAATACAAGATAACCAAAAGAAAAGCTATTAAAATAGGAAACAACACAATTAAGATACAAAAGCTAGGGCAGGGCAAACTAGTATTGAGGGTTTGCAGTAGTTCAGGAGTAAGTGGGGTTAGAATGGATTGGAGTGTGAGCAGAAGTCATAAAGAGAATGGATGGAGAAACTTTTTTTTTTTTTGAATCATCAGTCCTAGGTTACAGGTAGGATATGGGACATAGGAAAAGTAACTTTCATGGATGGCTCCAAGGTGTATGGGATAAGCAAGTTTGAAGAAGGCAGTGCAGTTTACTAAATGTAGGAAAACTAGAGGAAGACTAGATTGACTGTGGTTGAGAGTTGGCCCTTAAGAACTCAGTCATAGAAATAATTTTTAAAGGTAACCTGTTGGGCATCTACATGGAAATATTGAGCAGTATGATATAGACATGGAGCCCAGAAAAATTGTCTGGGCTGGCAATAGATAACTGTTTTAAATCTTGTTGTGAGCTCCATCATGAAAACAGAAAAGTAGAGGAACAGGAATAGAAAGCCACTGTTTAGTTGTCACACAAGATGGTAAATTAACTCATAGTCTGTAATAACTATAAAACTGTTTAGTCTTACAGAATGGATTTAAACTGTATTTTGAATTTTTAGACAACATAGATTATTTTGATGTATCAGAAACATTTTTCTTTATTTAGAGACCATTAAGCCACTTCTGAGTATGGCACTATGCTATTAATGTGCTGTATAAACTAATCTAAACAGGGGCAATTTGTACTTTCTGTCAGATTTAAAATATTCTCCCCCTTCCTATTCACACATAGAATTTAAAAGCCAGAAAAGAACTCAAGTCCACAGAGTTCCAGCCCCTGTCTCCTGCCTTGATGTCATACATGATATTTCTGACAAGTGGTGGCTGACCTTCTGCTTGAGCACCTGCAGTGACAGGGAGCACTCACATTCCTAAGAAAGTTCATACAATTTTTAACATCTTTAATTATTTTAAATTTTCCTTCATACTGATCCAAAACATTTTTCCCTATATTTTACAACCATGATTCTTACCGTGCTTTAATAGTCATCAGAATATAAATCTTTCAAGTATTTCATGACCACTAGGTGAATTTTCTGATACACAGTCATAGCATCAGTGTTCAATGTGGCAGTTTTCTGAGTTCTGTCCAGTAGTCTGCTCACTTCTGTCATCATTTCTCTAAATTCAGGGAATTCCCAGTACTCTGGATATGATCTGAGTAGTGCAAAGTCAGTCCCACTATGGTCCATCTTGTTTGTACACTGAATTTCTATCAATACAGCCCAAGATGACTTTGAGCTTTTTTGAATGGAGCTACATTACAATATCATCTCATGTTGGAACTTGAAATTTATTGAAATCTTTTTATGAACCAGCTGCTAACCATGTCTGCTCCCCTCAGAACTGGTACATTTGATTTTTAAAACTTAGTTGTATGGTCTTGCTGTTAGCTTATGAAATTTGATCTTGCTAACTTGACTAATCCTTTCAGCTAATTGATAATTTTTTGAAGCCTGGATTTTCTTTTTTAGATGGAGTCTCGCCCTTGTCACCCAGGCTGGAGTGTAATGGTGTGATCTCGGCTCACTGCAACCTTCCCTTCCTGGGTTCAAGTGATTCTCCTGCCTCAGCCTCCCAAGTAGTTGGGATTACAGGCACTTGCCACCATGCCCAGAAAAATTTTTTTTTGTATTTTTAGTAGAGATGGGGGTTTCACCATGTTGGCCAGGCCAGTCTCGAACTCCTGACCTCAGGTGATCCACCTGCCTCTACCTCCCAAAGTGTTGGGATTACAGGCATGTGCACCACGCCCAGCCTGAAGCCTGGTTTTGTCCTCTAGTACAGTATAGTTGATATTACTTGAAATTCTATAAACAAAGTTGACATTTGTGCTCAAGGCATTTTCACATATGTTGTTTTACTTAACACTCACAACACCAGGTGGAGTATTTTTTGATAGGTCTTTTCAATCCCTGCAGACAGTGTAGCACATATAGGTAGGAGAGAAAAGTGGGGTCTGAATTCCAGCACAACCACATTAGCTGTGTAGTCTTGAAAAGTTTCATTCCTTTCTTTGATTCTTTTTCCTTATCTGTAAAACAGGGATAATTATAAATACATTACCGATTTATCATGAGAAAGAAATGGAATAATTCCCATAAACTACTTAGCACAATGCCTGAACATGGTACTTCTTCAATAAGTGTTAGCGTTTGGTTTTAGTGATTCCTTTCCATTAAGGCAAATGAGATCTGGCAGGTCAAGCTTACTTTCTGTGGGTCACAAGCCAGAGAATGAATCAGGGTTTGATGATTGGTCTCTGGCCGTATGGAATTTTGTCCACAGGCAGTAAAGTTAGAAATCATTGGATTTGAACTTTGCTCTTGTCATTTGCTAGTTAGATGACCTTGCATCAGTTATTTAAATCTACTTAATGTCAGTTTTAGTTTTCTTATCTGTAAAGTGGAGAATTTAGTATTTCCATCAAAGATTGTTAGGATAATTTAATGAATAATGTTCACAAGACCGTAACATATGGCTCCACAAAGGATCCTCCTCTTTCCTTTTTTCCTTGCTTAATCTACCTCTTTTTTCCTTCCACTAAACCTGTGGGGTTTAAATGAGATAAGATATGAAAAGCCCTTAGTCTATAGCATGGCATACAAAATGCATTGACTAAATGAGAGCTAATTTTACAATATTTTATACCCATGGAACTTGAGGAAATGAGAATATATTTGAATGCTCTATTTATTGTGTCTAATATAAACCAAGATACAATCTTTACCTTTGATATAATCTCAAATTTATTTAATTTTAATTTTTATGTGTTTTAACATTTAGATGTTTTGGATTTAAAAATATGTAACAATCTGAGATAGTGGAATCAAGTGATATTCAGATTACCTAGGTCTTACAAGAGTTGAGGAAAGTGAAGGGGGAAAGTTGACCGGTATAGTCAGAAGATTTATGAAGAAAATTCCATTCAGGATGCGCTATAAAAGATGGATAGAATTTGAGGAATTATGCCATAAGAAGAACCTATGAAGAACGAGAAAGAAAACTACTTTGCCTCTGACATATAGAGGCAGTTATGAAATTATGAAAGGGTTGTTGAGGAGAAACAGACCTGAAAGAGAATTTGAACTTTATTGGTTAAACAGGTACCTGAAAAAGATAGATTTAAATGGATTTTAACAAAAATATAAAATAAGTTACATTTCTGTACCCATTCATACTGTGTCTAATGAATATTTACTATTTACTGGGCACCATACTGTGGATATATTTAATGTTCACAAGAATCTATGAGAGAGATAAAAATATTGTTTTCATTTTACATGTGGGGAAACAGAAGCTCAGAAAGACTAGATAACTTATGTGAGGTCATATGATCAGTACATGATAGAGCTTAGATTGACTGAGAGAGTTGGGTTCAAGAGACTCTGCTCTCAGCTATCTAGTAGTGGGAGAGATTCATACCCCTGACGGTCAGTATCTCACCAGTTCTGGGTTTTGGGCATTCTTTAATCCAGTTGTGATGGTGTCATTCCTTTAACATAAGTTATTGAGTGACCCTTTGGGAATTTTTCCACCTGTGATGTATCTGCTATGTCTGTTTTGGTATAGTAGTTCGGGTGGGAAAGGGCACAAGATATTTACAGATAATAGTTGTCCTGAATTTTTTGTGCATGATTCTCAAAGCTTTTCTATTTGTGGCTTAATCTCCTGCAAAATGTAACTCAGTTGTCTCATTTTTGACATTTCTTCAAGTTTTTCATTTCTGTGCTAATTTCTTTGCCTTCCCTTTCTGTCCTGCTGAGTCTCAGGCAGCATGTCGAGAATTCGAGTCAGCACTGTGCAGTAGGCAACCAGGTTGCTTATAGACAGTCTGTCATTAGGCCCTTGAAAAAGGGCCCCTTAAAGTTGGAAAAGCCTACACGGGTACAAAATATGTTGCCTGGCACCAGATGTAATCAGAGTTTAAAAAGCAACTGTTAAGAGAAAGGTAAACTTTTCCTTTGAACTAAGCATACTGCTTAATTGATGCTACACAGCAGCTGTCATCAGGTGAAGGCAATGAGACTTACTTCAACCTCATTTCATGTGATATAAAATTAAAGCAAAACAAATGAAAAGCAAGCAAACAAACAAACTTACCTCTTCTCTGCTTTGTATTGAAGAGACACTGTGAACAAAGGTAGCATTATTATTAACCCATATAAATAAAAACATGAAGACTAACCTTTACTGATAAGACTAGCTCTTTCAGTTTGTAACATTACCTTGTTGCCTCTTGTAATGTTTTTCTGCATTGACCTTCTTGATGGAAAGATATGCCTACAGTATATAGTCCCAGACAAATAGTCTGGGAACTATTTGATAAAAATGGCAAACCGACTTTATTGATTTATGGAAATCTGGGACAATTAATGAGTTTACAATAGATTTTATAACACTTTTTATAAAATATTTAATTATTAATGATCATGTAGTAATATAAGTAGTAATAGTTTCTTGTTGACACTTCATTCTTTTAAGAAAGTATTAGTTAATAAAAAAATTAGCTGGGCATGGTGGTGCGTGCCTGCAGTCCCAGCTACTTGGGAGGCTGAGGTGGGAGGATCGCTTGAGTCCAGAAGGTGGAGATTGCAGTGAGCTGAGATCACACCACTGCACTTCAGCCTGGATGATGGAGTGAGACTCTGCTTTAAAAAAAAAAAAAAGAAAATATTAGTTTTATAACCTAGTGTCATTGATAATTAATTATGGTAACCACTAAAGCTGTGAAGAAATGTTTGCATACTTTCATCAGCTGAAGTCTTCATTATCTCCTGGGGCAAGATTCTGATGACACAGTGGATATTTTTTGTTTGTTTGTTTGTTTGTTTAAAAGTAGCTTTTTATGATAGAAAAGTTTTAGGTTTACAGAATAATTGCAAAGGTGTACGAAATATTCCCATATACCTCACACCCAGTTTCCTCTATTATTAACATATGGTACATTTTTCACAATTAGTGAACCATTATTCATACATTATTATTAACTGAAGTCCACACTTTATTCAAATTTGTTTAATTGTCACATGGTTTCCTTCTTCTGTTCCTAAATCCCATCCAGATTACCTCATTACATTTAGTAGTCACATCACTTTTGGTCCCTCTCAGCGACACAGCTGATATTTAAGCAATACTTTGTCAGAGAAATAATACATCTATATCTGTTAAAAAGATCTCACATATAATTCTTAAAATGACTCATAGCTTTTGTATAGTCAGAATACAAACAAAAGAAATAGCAAGGAGATGATAAATGTTAACGAGGATGTAGAGAAAAAGGGAAATTTTGTGCACTGTTTGTGGGAATGTAAATGGGTACAGCCATTATGGAAAACATTATGAAGTCTCCTCAAGAAATTAAAACTAGAACTACTATGTGGCCTAGAAATCTCACTACTAGGTATACAGTCAAAGGAAATGAAATCACTATGTCAAAGAGATAGCTATATTCTGATATTCATTGCAACATTATTCACAATAGCAAAGAATGGAAACAACCTACATGCCTATTAACATAAATGGATAATGAAAATGTTATACATATATATACATAATACATATATATATAATATATGTATTATTTGGCTATATAAAAGAAAATCCTGTTACTTGTGACAACATGGATGAACCTGGAGAACATTTTGCTAAGTCAAATGAACCAGACACAGAAAAATAATAATATATGAGCTCACTTGTGTATAGAATCTAAAAAAGTTGAACGCATAGAAGCAGAGAGTAGGACAATGCTTACCAGGGGCTGGGGGAGTGGGATATGTTGGTCAAAGGGTACAAACTTTCAGTTATAAGATAATAAGTTATGGGGATGTAGCATACAGCATGGTGACTATAGTTAAAAGTACTATATTGTTTATTAGAAATTTGATGAGAGTAGATTTTAAGTGTCCTCACCACATACATGTAGATGCAAAAAATGGTAACCATGATGATGATAAATATGTTAATTAATTTGACGGTGGTAATCAGTATACAATGGATATATATGTATATAAAATCATGTAGTACACCTCAAACAGTTATTATTTATCAGTTAAGAACTGATACCATTCCTTCTGAAACTATTCCAAACAATAGAAAAAGAGGGACTCCTCCCTAACTCATTTTATGAGGCCAGCATCATTCTGATACCAAAATCTGGCAGAGACACAACAAAAAAATAAAATTTCGGGCCAATATCTCTGATGATCATCAATACAAAAATCCTCAATATAATACTGGCAAACTGAATCCAGCAGCACATCAAAAAGCTTATCCACCATGATCAAGTCGGCTTCATCCCTGATATGCAAGCCTGGTTCAACATACACAAATCAATAAACATAATCCATCACATAAACAGAACCAATGACAAAAACCACATAATCATGTCAATAGATACAGAAAAAGGCCTTCAATAAAATTCAACACCCCTTCATGCTAAAAACTCTCAATAAACTAGGTATTGATGGAATGTATCTCAAAATAATAAGAGCCATTTATGACAAACCCACAGTCAATATCATACTGAATGGGAAAAATCTAGAAGCATTCTCTCTGAAAACCGGCACAAGACAAGGATGCCCTCTTTCACCACTCCTATTCAACATAGTATTGGAAGTTCTGGCCAGGGCAATCAGACAAGAGAAAGAAACACAGGGGATTCAAATAGGAAGAGAGGAAGTCAAATTGTCTCTGTTTGCAGATGACATGATTGTATATTTAGAAAACCCCATTGTCTCAGCCCCAAATCTCCTTAAGCTGATAAGCAGCTTCAGCAAAGTCTCAGGATAAAAAATCAATGTGCAAAAATCACAAACACTCCTATACACCAATAATAGACAAACAGAGAGCCAAATCGTGAGTGAACTCCCACTCACAATTACTACAAAGAGAATAAAATAACTAGGAATCCAACTTACAAGGGATGTGAAGGATCTCTTCAAGGAGAACTACAAACCACTGCTCAAGGAAATAAGAGAGGACACACAAAAAAATAGAAAAACATTCTATGCTCATGGATAGGAAGAATCAATATTGTGAAAATGGCCATGTTGCCCAAAGCAATTTATAGATTCAGTGCTATTCCCATCAAGCTACCATTGACTTTCTTCACATAATTAGAAAAAACTTCTTTAAATTTCATATGGAACCAAAACAGAGCCTGCATTACCAAGACAATCCTAAGCAAAAAGAACAAAGCTGGAGGCATCATGCTACCTGACTTCGAACTATGCTACAAGGCTACAGTAACCAAAACAGCATAGTACTGGTACCAAAACAAATATATAGACCAATGGAACAAAACAGAGGCCTCAGAAATAACAGCACACATCTACAATCATCTGATCTTTGACAAACATGACAAAAACAAGCAATGCGGAAAGGATTCCCTATTTAATAAATGGTGTTGGGAAAATTGGCTACCAATATGCAGAAAACTGAAATTGGACGCCTCCCTTACACCTTATACAAAAATTAACTCAAGATGGATTAAAGACTTAAATGTAAGAACTAAAACCATACAAATCCAGGAAGAAAACCTAGGCAATACCATTCAGGACATAGGCATGGGCAAAGACTTCATGACTAAAACACCAAAAGCAATGGCAACCAAAGCCAAAATTGACAAGTGGGATCTAATTACACTAAAGAGCTTCTGCACAGAAAAAGAAACTATAATCAGAGTGAACAGGCAACCTACAGAATGGGAGAAAATTTCTGCAATCTATTCATCTGACAAAGGGCTAATATCCAGTATCTACAAGGAATTTAAACAAATTTACAAGAAAAAAACAACAACCTCATCAAAAAGTGGACACAGGATATGAACAGACACTTCTCAAAAGAAGACATTTATGCAGCCAACAAACATATGAAGAAAAGCTCATGATCACTGGTCATTAGAGAAACGCAAATCAAAACCACAATGAGATACCATCTCATGCCAGTTAGAATGGCGATCATTAAAAAGTCAGGAAACAAGAGATGCTGGAGAGGATGTGGAGAAATAGGAATGCTCTTACACTGTTGGTGGGAGGTTGGCGGGAGTGTAAATTAGTTCAACCATTGTGGAAGACAGTGTGGCAATTCCTGAAGGATCTAGAACCAGAAATACCATTTGACCCATCAATCCCATTACTGGGTATATACCCAAAGGATTATAAATCATTCTACTATAAAGACACGCACACATATATGTTTATTGCAGCACTGTTGACAATAGCAAAGACTTGGAACCAACCCAAATGCCAATCAATGATAGACTGGACAGAGAAAGTGTGGCACATATATACCATGGAATACTATGCAGCCATAAAAAAGGATGAGTTCATGTCCTTTTCAGGGACATGGATGAATCTGGAAACCATCATTCTCAGCAAACTAACACAAGAACAGAAAACCAAACACTGCATGTTCTCACTCATAAGTGGGAGTTGAACAATGAGAACACATGGACACAGGGAGGGTAACATCACACACTGGGGCCTGTCAGGGGATGGGGGGCTAGGGGAGGCATAGCATTAGGAGAAATACCTAATGTAGATGATGGGTTGACTGGTGCAGCAAACCACCATGGCACACGTATACCTATGTAACAGACCTGCACGTTCTGCATATTTATCCTAGAACTTAAAGTATAAGAAAAACAATAAAAGATAAAAAATAAAAAATAAAAAACATGAATAGGATACAGTTTTATAGCAAGCTTTAATAGCAAAATGTATTTTATAACAATAATATATGATCACTGGAGACATTTTGAAAAAAAAATACAGAAAACTTAAAGAAAATAAAAATTACTGACAATCCCACCACTCAGAAATATACTTTGCCACTTTTGTTATTTTTGAAAATTTTTGAATATAATCTTCCAGTCCGTTTTTATGCTCTTTGCTGTGTACTTTGTGTGGAACATGTGAGTAACATGATGGATATGTTTTGTTTTAAAGGAGGTCTGTACCTCATCACACTGGAAGTAGTGAAATGGAGAATGAAGACAATATTCACTGAGGCTCCTCTAAGTCAGAGTTCCCAGACCGTAATTCACTTCTATCTTCTTGTTAAACTTCATGAATGAAGAAACTGTCTGCTCACCTATTTTTTAAAAATCGCTTTCTTAAACAATCTTGTTCCATTTACTTGACTCTAAATATAATGCAGATTTATCTTTATGGGTGAAACAAGGAGACCCAATGGCCAGTGGAATAACCAAAGGGAAAAATTGTTTTTGAAGAGTTGTGTAATTTTAGCTGTTATGATTACAGTTGACACATCTTAACACAAACATTGGCACCTGGATGACAAACGAAGTCATTTGGATGTGCTATTTAGAATGGCAGATCCAGAAGAGTGACAGAAAGCTCACTGCAGTATAGTTTTATAGTTTGTAACTTTGTATGAGCTAATTCTCAGTATTGGGGAACTCAGTTTTCATATATAGAAAAAATAGTATTAAGATCTGTATTACATTTACAAATGGGAAGAATCAATGGGCAATAGTTTGTAAAGTGCTTTTGCTTACCTGTCACCAACTTGGAGCTTTTCCTGTCTAATATGGATGATTTGTAGAACAACATTGTCTAAACCCAAAATAGTTTGGTTAATGTTAAATAAAGTGGAATAAAAATGCAATAAATCCTTTCTGAGATAATTTAAAAATATTGAGGAAGTCTAATTACATTATATGAATATTTAAGTGTGGATTTTTTTCTTTAAACCTTGTATCTTTGACCAGAAGTATCAAGACCCTATAACATGAATGGGCCTTGTATAATAGATGAATACTAAAGAGAAAAAAAGTAAACTCTAGCACTCGGTACCTCCTCTTACTCCTTCCATTTTCTTCCTTTTATTGGTGAACTATAGGCTTGGTGTAATTTTTACAAAATCTTAGGACTGGGCGTGGTGGCTCACACTTGTAATCTCAGCACTTTGGGAGGCTGAGGCAGGGGGATCACCTGAGGTCAGGAGTTTGGGACCAGCCTGGCCAACATGGTAAAACCCCATCTCTACTAAAAACACAAAAACTAGCCAGGTATGGTGGCAGGTGCCTGTAATACCAGCAACTCGGGAGGCTGAGGCATAGAATTGCTTGAACCCGGGAGGTGGTAGTTGCAGTGACCCGAGATCGTGCCACTGCACTCCAGCCTGGGTGACAGAGTCAGACTCCATCTCAAAAAAAAAAAAAAAAAAAAAAATCTGGACTGAGGTCTTACAGTGTACATTCAAAACAGAATAAATTTAATCTTTCCCAGCGTTCATTTTAACTTGCCTTTTGCTAAATTACAGTCAGAAAACAAACTGTTCTGGACAGAATTTCAGGAAACGTGACAGAAAATTATGTATCTACTGTTTTAAAAACTTCCTTGAAGTTAAATTATGGTACAAAAGAAGGACTTTACATATGTTCTTAACGTTTTAACATGATATGTCTAGAAGTTATTGCATAAATACTAATTACAACATTGCAGGGACTTTTTGGCAGCGAAGAGTTACATTGCAAAAATAGACCAAACTCAGCCACATTACTTGAAAAGAGGCTTAGTCTGATTATGTTAAAATAATAACTTTTCTAAATTAAGTTGCAACATGTCATTTCTTTAGACAGAAAAAGGTTTATGTCTTGGAACGTATAGCAAGGTATATACAGTCATGCATCACTTACCAACAGGGATACATTCGGAAAAATGTGTTGTTAGGTGATTTTTTATTGTATGAACATCATAGAGTGTACTTACACAAACCTAGCTGGCTTATCCTATCACATACCTAGGCTATATGGTAGAGCCTATTACTCCTAGGCTACAAACCTGTGCAGTATGTTACTGTATTGAATGCTGTAGGCAGTTGTAACACAATAGTAACTATTTATATACCTAAACACAGAAAAGGCATGGTAAAAATATGCTATTATAATCTTATAGGACTACATATATGTGGTCTCTTGACTGAAATGTTATTATGTGGCATTATTATTAAACGTGTGTGTATTCATATATGTATTAAGATTATATATATGAAAGTAAAACTACAATTAACAGTGTTGTATGAGGATCAATAGAATCTTTTCTGAGTTTATTTCTTAAGTGAGATTTCTATAGCATCCACACCAGGCTGACCATCAGTATGCCTTGACTTAGCTCCTTTAGAGCAGTCCAAATCATGTCTCCAACATATCTTCCCATGTGCCTCTTTTCCTTCTCGCAGATTTATCTTTTGCTTCACTCAGGTGACTGCCTGTTCTACTTTGGAGAACCACCTCTGCTGCCCCAATTTTCTTGCTCCCCAAATGACCTTCCCTTTTCCTTCAGGTCAAAGTCAAACCTTTTTCGAAAACTGTCTCAGTGCTTTGTTTTTTTGTTGTTCTCTGCACTTTCTAGCACACATTATTTGTATCATAATCATAATGTGGTTGAAATGTTTTTTACTTAGTAGATTCCTAGTGTGCAAGAATCTTAAGGCATCAGGACACAGTATTGTGTATATAGTACCATTGCAACTATATGTAGAAAAATGCATAAAAAGGGACTTGAGAAAAGATCAATTTAATTTTTTCATGTATATATATGCAAGTATGTCTTCATGCTCATATATATGTATATCTGTAGATGTGCTTGTGTGTATTTACATGTATTTAGATACAGTTTTCTAGAATAAGCATATATTTTCATAGGAAAAAGGAGACTTCCTGGACAACGTCTAATCATGAAATCTTGCTGTTTTATACAATAGGAGTAGGCAGTTGATTTAAAAAAAAACTTGATGAAAAAAATAGCATAGTTTTTGATGAATTTTCAAGAAAGCAAGTTAGGTATTTTTATTAATATTGTTTCATGTTGGTGAAATTAGGAAGCATAGTTTTTCTTATTTCCACACAGATGATTCTAGCTACTTTAAAGAGATGAGTTTTATTTCTATAACCTGTGACTAGTTGCATAAAAAGCAGGTTATTTTAATTCTACACTCTCTCTTTACAGTGACTTTAGGGGAAATGAAGGCTGAAACCCAGGTGTCTGCTGGCTCCTCCCTGCTACAAAGGGTGAGGCATGAAGGGCCTTTGCCAGAGCATTTTAATGAATCTTTGGGTATAAAAAGGCAGCTCTAGAAAAGAGTGGGAGGTGGGATGTAAATTGTTCTGCATAATAAACTGAGAAAATGGAGCTTCTGGAAGGGAAGAGAAAAACCAGGGGGCGGGTGGGGGGCAGTGGGAGATGTGAGAAGACTCTGTAGGCTCATTGCTTTAGCCCACAAATATTTATTGAATTATTAAAATGGGGTAGGCACGGTTCTAGGTACTGGAGATTCACTGATGCATAATAAAAATCCTTGCCCTATTGGAGTTAATATTCTAGTAGGCAGGAAGCTTGAGCCAGTGAGATTTTTGGGGAGATTGGGGGCACTAGAGGACTTTAAGAGAAGAGATGTCTACTATTCAATGTTGTTTTACTCACTGCTGTAATGTAACTCCATGTTGCCCTCAGGTTTACAGCAAAGGTACAATATTCACAAATGCTGGATGTAGAGGATTAGGGCTGACAGCTTAGCTGTACACCTTCACAGAGTGTGACCCCTCTTTGTTCTTATCATCAGCAGTACCTCCTGCTGCACCCTACCCTCTCCTGCTGCAGTGATGTGCTGAGCCCTCCAGGAGCCAAAGCTGCATGGGCTTTGGAAAAAGACAGCCCTCTCCTCCCTTTATGTTCTAGAGAGTTGTCCAACTACCTTGCTTATGCGGAAGTATTTTTCAAGGTTTACCTTGAAACATAAAATTGAAACAGCTGTTTCAATTTTTTTTTCTTTTTTTTTGAGACGGAGTCTCACTCTGTCGCCCAGGCTGGAGTGCAATGGCATGATCTCGGCTCACTGCAAGCTCCACCTCCTGGGTTCACGCCATTCTCTTGCCTCAGCCTCCCAAGTAGCTGGGACTACAGGAGCCTGCCACCACGCCCGGCTAATTTTTTTTTTTTTTGTATTTTTTAGTGGAGATGGGGTTTCACTGTGTTAGCCAGGATGGTCTCAATCTCCTGACCTCGTGATCCGCCCACCTTGGCCTCCCAAAGTGCTGGGATTACAGGCGTGAGCCATTGCGTCCGGCCAGCTGTTTCAATTTTAATTTATGACTTTTGTCCCTTTATCTCCTCGATTAAAACTTTTTAATGGCTTTGTATTACCCCCAGGTTACAGGCCCAATTCCTTAAAACAAGATATAAGAGCCACATAATACAGTGCTCTGACCCCTACTTTGGTCTTCCTGGAGCTGATCCTCCAGGGCTTTGCACAATTTAATCTCTCCACCCTTCACCTCTGGACCCTGCCTGTCTAAATCTCAATTTCATCGTCTCTTCTCCAGAAACGCTTCCTTTGACTTCCTTAGGTTAGGTCTCTGTCTTAGTCCCTTTGGGTTGCTATAGCAAAATGACATAGACTAGGTAATTTGCAAACAACAGAAATGTGTTACTCATAGCTCTGGAGGCTGGTACTTCCAGGATCAAGGTACCAGCAGATTCAGTGTCTGGTGAGAATTTGCTCTCTACTTCAAAGGTGACACTTTGTTGCTGTTTCTTCACATGGCTTAAGGAGCCAGGGACCTCCTTCAAGAAACTTTTATAAGGACACTAATTCCATTTATGAGGATGGAGCCCCAATGACTTCCCAAGACCCTTCCCAAAGGCCTCAGCTCTTAATACTATCACATTGAATATTAGATTGCAACAAATAAATTTTGGAGGGAAACCAATATTCAAACCATAGCAGCCTTCCTGTTGAATACTCTTACAGCTCCCTGCAGTCCCTCACACATTGATCTCACTTGTAGCACACTGTGTAGTACCTAGCTTCTGTGTCAGATTTTAAGTTTCAATAGTTCAGTAAGTATACTCCTCTCTCTCATCTCCGTATTTTCAGAGATAAGCCTAGTAGGTCCATTGATTGTAACAAATGTACCACTTGGGTAGGGATGTTTAGGAGCTTGACAGTGCAGATAGGAGTCCGCAGGAGCCTGGAGACCAGTTGGAGTGGTGGACTCCAGGTTATCCTCAGAATCTACCCCCTTTTCTGGTGACCAGGGATCTTTGTGCCTGGGTAAGCTTCTCTTTCCTGGGATGGGTTTGCTCTTAGAGGCGCTTTATTGCTGCAAAGTTATAGATTTCTATCTAGCTTGTTTGGTCTCAGGATGGACCTTGGGTGCAATCTTTTGGTAAACATTTAGCGCGAGCACGCGCGCGCACACACACACACACACACAAACCACAGGAAGCCAAAGGAGATACACAGATGGCAAATAAGCATATGAGGCTGGGCGTGGTGGCTCAGGCCTGTAATCCCAGCACTTTGGGAGACCAAGGCAGGCAGATCACTTGAGGTCAGGATTTAGAGACCAGCCTGGCCAACATGGCCAAACCTTGTCTCTACTAAAAATACAAAAATTAGCTGAGCATGGTGGTGCATCCCTGTAGTCCCAGCTACTTGGGAGGCTGAGGCACGAGAATTACTTAAACCTGAGAGGCAGAGGCTGCAGTGAGCCAAGGTCCCACTGCACTCCAGCCTTGGTGACAGAGAGAGACTGTGCCTCAAAAAAAAAAAAAAAAGTGCATATGAAAAGATGCTCCACATCAAATGTCATCAGGGAAATGCAAATTAAAACAACAATGATATACTACTATATGCCTATTAAAATGGTCAAAATCCAGAATACTGACAACACCAAATGCTGGGAAGGATATTGAGCAACAGAAAGTCCATTCATTGCTGACTGGAATGCAAAATGGTACAGGCACGTTGGAAGACAGTTTGGCAATCTTTTACAAAACTAAACATATTCTTACCATACGAGATCCAGCAATCATGCTTCTTGGTATCTGTCTGAAAAAGTTGAAAACTTATGTCCACACAAAAACCCGCACACAGATGTTTATAGTGGCCTTATTCATAATTGCCCAAAATTTGAAGCAACCAAGATATCCTTCAGTAGATGAATGGGTCAGTAAGCTCTGGTACATTCAGACAATGGATGTAAAAAATGAGTATCAGGCCATGAAAAGACATGAAGGAAATTGAAATGCATAGTTCTAAGTGAAAGAAGCCAATCTGAAAAGGATACCTACCATATGATCCTAAAATATGACATTCAGTAGAAGGTAAAACTATGGAGATAATAAAAATATCCATGGTTGACAGGGGTTGAGGGAGGAGTGATGAGTACTTAGAGCACAGAGGATTTTACGGGCAGTGAAACTACTGTGCATGATGCTGTAATGGTAGATACATGTCACACATTTGTCTAAACCCATGGCATGTACCACGCCAACAGTGAATCTAATGTAAACTATGGGCTCTGTGTGACAATGATGTGTCAATGTAGGTCCATTGATTGTAGCACATGTACCACCTGGGTGGGGTTGTTTATAGTGGAGAAGGCTGTGTGTATGTAGGAGCTGGGGATATGTGGGAAATCTCCGTACTTTGTGCTCAATTTTGCTTTAAACCTAAAACTGCTCTAGAAAAGAGTCTACTGAAAAAAACCCCAGACAATTCAGGATATCCACGGAGATAAAAGTTAGTTAACCACAAGGGACCAAAGCTCTGCAAGAGTAACCAGTAGTGCCCAGATAATAACTGACTTGTGTTTTTACTATTCTCAGAGCAAGAAAAGTCACTGATTGTAATAACTCATAACTTTGGCCTTGGTACTTTGGCATTGTTAGTGTGTGAGTAAAAATTACTTATATTCTGGTAAGACCCTGAGTTGTGTAACCTATGTAGTTTTCTTTACTTGCTGTATTTATCCCAAATTCCGTTACTCAGTTTGATACATGCTGTTCTGTTTATTCGTTACAGAACTGACTTCAAGAGTGTCAAACACTTCTCTCACAGTTCTTAACTGCTCCTTCTCCTGATTTCTATACTTCGTTTCCCCCTGGCTTATCATCTCTGCCTCTTCAGCAGAGATCAGTGACAACCCCCAGGCCCTTTTATTTTTATTTTATATTTATTCACTTTTGTCAGTCCACATTTCCACAGAGGGATTTTGTCATTTTTATTTAGATTCTGGCCTTGACTCTATTTACTTATCAAAGGCTTCAGAATCCTTTGGGATCTATGAGGCAGAGTGGAGAAAAGTCAACTGTAAGAAAAGCTACTTCAACTGCACAGTGAAGGGTCCTTGTCTGTGAGCCCAGTGAGATCTCCATGTCAATCATTTTGGTTTTACCCACACATACTGGAAGCCGTGCTGGGATCTAATTTTGAGGACATTATGTGCTGACAGATAGCAAAACACATCTACATAAAATCCTTTCTTCTTGCTACCTCATAAATTTGAACGAAGTGGGTAAAACTAGGTTCTGGTTATCAGAGAATAATTTGGATTAGTCTCCTTTTTACTAAACACTCACATCCAGTGTTACATCACTTCTGTTTTATATTCACTGTCAGGCTATGCTACATATGCCAATGAAGCTTATAAAATTGAATTTGATAAATTATTTTATCTTGTACAGAGATGTTTTTCTGGAGCAATTAACCTATGAGAGAAAAGAAATCGGAAAAGTTACACACTTCTTTCTTTTTTCTTGAAATGGATCATGAAATCTAATTTGAATAACAACTTTAAGAAATTACATGCTGTTTCTACTTGATGTTATACAAAAGCTTTGCCTCTTTTCCTTTTTGGCCACCTCTGTTGTCATGACAACGAATGTGATTTCACAGATGCAGCAGTGCATTTGTTGAGCAGGAAGAGTGGGCCACTGTTTATGAGAGTAATTATTTAAGAACAGGTGTCATTAGCATAAGATTCATTGTCAAACTCGTTAGAAAAAGAACAAAGTGGAATATTGTTATCACATAAAATCAGGAAAATATTAGAAGAAAAATAGCAAAAGTGTATAAGACACTTGAGTGTACACAGCATTCTTGTGGGTGAATTCAGTATAAATATGGAAATGCATATAATATAAACATACGGTCATTGAAATATAGCCCTGGAAGGGACCCTGAAAATAAATCTAGTGTAAACTCTTGAGTTGTTATAATGAAAAAAATTAAAAAATCAGACTGTTCTTCAACAAGATGCATGTATAATTTCTTGTGGGAAATCAATGAACACTAGAAATATATGTTGCTATTGGGAGAAATGCAGAGCTAATTTAAGTGGATATTACATGGTTTCAGATTCACCTCTGTATTAATGAAATAAATATATTTTCTTATAATCTCTGAGAAGCTTCTGATTTGAGTCCATGGTCTTATGGTAATGCACCATTACATCTAGGGAGGTAATCCCAATTGAGCAAAGTAATTGAGTTTTCAATATAATTTTTTTTTTTTTTACAAATGTGAGATAATGAAATACTTCTCACTGAAAATGAAAGTGAAGTTGAGTCAAATTGTTATTCTTGAAAGTGAAAGAGTGGCTTTGAACTAAAGAGCTAAAGCTAACATCACACTTCCATTAAAATGCACCCTTCATAAAATTCCTCCCCCATTCATTTTCATATACCTACGATTTCTATAACCACTAGCCATTTCCAAGTATTGTATGATATGGCTGTTGAAGCAACATCCTTTAAAATCCATTTAATCATTTCAGCCCATTTCATGATTTAACTGGTGCAAACTGCCCTGTTTTTCTTTTGTCATTTTTCTTTTTCATTTTTGCCATTACAGTTGAAATTTGTAAACAAAGTGATGCACTCACCTGGGTAAAACAAGTTGTATGCTGATAACCATCTAAACTCTCTTATTCATCCTCAAAATTCATCCAATAAAATTTTTCTTTTGGGATTACTTGAAAATAAATGGGCAGGGTAAGGGTTTTCCAATTTCAAGAGAACTCAGGATTTAGGAGAAGGGCTAATGAATATTTGTGAACCAATAGTAAGTCTGCCCACAGCATTAATAATGTCCCTGAAATCCCATGACATTTCTCTTCTCAAAATGTGATGATTATAAGGTTGTACTTTCAGTGACTTCCCAAGGTTTAAGCTCTTCCTTCTCCAACATTTATAAGACATTTCTCAACATAGCAGGGACTATTAGATTTGTCAGCTTCAGAAAGTAATTGATATTTTCCTGTCGATTGCTGTTGTGGAAATCTGTCAGCTATCTCTTGGCGTTATTTCCAAGAACACTCTTCATTCTAAATGTGTAGAATTTCACCTTACTGATAGAGATGAGGACAAAAGTGATATATAAATTGTTGGATCAGATTAATTTAAATAATAGGATTCAATTTTTAGATATAAAAACTAACAGGAAATTATGAGTTTAGATGCTTTTTATTTTGTTTTGGATCAATGGAAATGCTTACTTTAAAAGAAACATATTTAGTATATAGAACCATTGGCACCAATTGAAATTTCATTGCAGAGTATGGCTGCTGTGAAAGGCAGGGAAATTTTTGAACTGTGATATAACTATATAATGAAGGAGTTTGCACATGTTTAATATTGTGGCAATTGTGACACCAAATATTTAGTTGATGGGTGCACTAAAATGAACAACTCGGTTTAGCAAAAACTCTCAAAGGCCATCAATATAAATGACCTATGGACATGTCAATAATTCTATGGTTAGCTCAGCAAACAGTTATGAAGATTTTAAGCTGGTGAAAAGAAACATTTGTGTGTGCCTGAGTATATAAGAACCATGCATGCACAAAATGCAATAAAATATAGTGGCTAAAAGAATGAGCTTTGGAGTCAGAGTTCTAATCCCAACTTGGACTCTACTTGTTGTGAAACTTTAGATAAGTTAAAGTCCTGAAACCTTAGTTTTGCTGCTATAAAATGGGGATAATAATTTCTTACTCATTGTGGTGGAATGTGATAAAAATTATCTTGCACATAGTAGGTACTCAACAGTAGTACTAATGATTACTCTTTTGATAGGCTTATTGAGTCTGTGTAGTAAAGGTAAAATATCATTAATCATTTTTATTTTAATTAAAAATACTTTCGTTCTAGGAAATAAACACAGATGAATTATAACTCAAGTATTAAAAATTTTGAAGTAGACTTTGAGATTATTACACAGATGCTTATTGTAACCCCTATAAAAATGTACATTTTATTGTTTACTGTCTAATGAACCTTAAAGAATCAGTTGTAAACTTAGCTATATAATGGTTAATAAAGTATTTTGGGTGGAGTAACATGAATAGCCTAGGCAGTCTGCGATAAAAGGCCCCAGCTACATAGTGTGGTGCCATTTCTTTGAAGGAATTGCAGTGCTGGCTTCTAAATTAGAATGCTCTTATATGGATTGCTGACTCTGTGCTGTACTACATGCATTGGTGTGCTGATAAACTGTCTGTTTCAATGATCACAAAAACAGTGACAACAACAAAAGCCCAGACTTGTAGCATTTGCCTGTTTTTAAGGCGTAAATAATTCCATCATACCTGAGATAAGCTGTAATTCTTAAATATTTAACAATCAGCTCTTGCAGAAAGGAACTCCTGCACTCCACAGTAGACATTCTATTATGCTGATCCTAGTTACAGATTTCTTGATGACCACTCTGGTGAGGCTATGCCCGTCTGCTATCAAAAACTTTTTGCCTCCATCCTGCCTGTGAGAGACAGGCTTACTGGACCATAATGGGTCTCAATTTGAGAAGCAAATTTGATCTTCCTCTCTAAATTTAAGGTCCATGGGAGGAATTAATGACAATTTCCTTAATGGGATGTTAAAGTGATTACAAATACTTGGGCACAAACTGGAAGGATCAACACAATGATAAGGTCAATTGATTACCTTTTTGGACCTTACATGATTATAGGCACTCACAGAAATTCAAAAGGCAAAGGCATGATTATATAAAAAAGATTTCTTTTTGGGTATTTATGGTTCTGGGAAAGAAGCAATTTATCTACACACCTAGACTCTCTATACACAGACATTATCTATCTATCATCTATCTATCTATCTGTCTATCTATCTATCTATCTATCTATCTATCTATCTATCTATCATCATCTATGTCCATAATGTTCTTGATAATAACTGGATTAACAATAAAGACACAACATTACCAATCAGATAACTTTATCATTCTTAAATTTATAAATACCATTAAATAACTTGCAAATGTTATTTCATCATTTTTAGGTTAAAGTTTTGTAATTGATACTATTTTAGGGAGCAAATTTGTACTAAATTGCAGATGTCTGATGTGAAAGAATGTTCATTTTGAAAAGAGATGAAATTGAAATAATTGTACCTTTTATTGTAGTCGAATTTTCTTCTTGCCTCTTTCTTTTTAGTGGTAATGGTAGATTACACAATTAATTCCTTTTATATTTGGTGGTTTGATTACATTCCCTTAAATATTATAGAAAGAGAATTTTAAAAACCTCAGTTTTTGTTAAGCCCTAGAATTCACTTTCTCACTGTGGTTTCTTCCTAGGCTGGCTTAGTGGGAAATGTAGGATCATGGATTTGAATTACTGTTAGAGAAGAAAGCTTAGTCTATGCTCTTCATGCAGGACAGAATCATGAATTATTTTAATCATCATCCACGAACCTGGATTAAACACCTACATTATGCAGAGCACTGGCTGGAAATTTGGAAGTGGGTGTCATCAGCAGTGTTTGGGTATTTACTCCCCCTCAAGAAGTCTTGAGCTATGTAAAATAGCCATGCACACAGATTTGTGGCTGTTATCTTGTAATCCCACAATTGCTGTTGGAGAACTTCACCATATGTCAGATCTTCCTTACTTTGCTAGGTTTAGCTATGCCAAGTTATTTTGAGGAACGGATTGATGATTAATAGCAGAACTTCTGGGTGAGTCTTTAGGAAGAAAAAACCCTGTGTCCAGGCATTTGTCTCAGTGCCATATAGGAAACAGAGGAAATCAGAACTGAGCCCATATGGAGAGAGGTCTTGGAGTCTAACATGTGTTATGCATTTCCTGTGTCAGTTTTCCTATCTCTGTGATAACACAAAGAAACTGCAGCTTAAAGAAGGAAGACAAAGGTTATAAATGTACAGCATTAAATAGCCAGAACACAGTTAGGACTTCAAGATGAATTCATGTTAATCTCCCTGGGAAAGAGCAGTTTCCACAACTTCGTGCAGGTCTCAGTGTGAATTGAAGAAACAAAACATTGCAAAAGAGTGAGGGAGAGAATTATTGATTTAGTGGGGTTGCTAATAGCGTAAATGAGCTTCCTTTGAAGCAAAAGGCTCTGCCACAGGAAAGAAAGGCAGCATCTCTGCAAATAGAAGTGAGAGGCATTCAAGTATAAAAAGAAAGCAAAGATTCTGGGGTATTTTTAATTTGATTTTTGGGAGTCTGGATATCTGTGACTCTTGCAGATATAGCTTTAGTTAAGTGACAGGAAAGAAAAACAGAGAAAGAAACTAGAAGTCTATTATTAAACCCTTTTCAAATATTATTTTTTTCTTCAGTATTATTCTTTGGTCTATAGATTTTCTTTCTTTTTTGTCATTAAATTCAAGACTGTGTATGGATTATAATGCAATATCCTAGTCCTGAACTTCAAACTGTAGAAGAATTTTAAGGTGAGATGAGTTGTTTTAACTAATATGTTGCCGATTTAAACTGAGATGTAGTAATTCACAAGGCAAAAAAAAAAAAAAAATTCATCATTTGCTCAGGCCTCTAAGGAAGGCGGCAGGCGCCAGTGCAAACTCACTTAAGTCATTTATTAAAATGTTTTCAAGGCCAATGATCAAATCTAGGGAAGAGAACTAACATTTACTGAGTACCTACCAGATTCTAGTTACTGTGATAAGCACTGATATTTCTGAACAACTCTATGAAGAAGATCGGGAAATCTCAGTTACAGAGAGGATGAATTAGTGTTCAGAGAAGTGAAGCAATATACAAGAGACTATATGGCAATCCATATGGTTCTTACTGCAAATGCCAGCATTGCCCACTGGAAAGGACCTTCTAGCAGAGAAACATTGTACATGTGTGAATTAATGGGACAACATTTGGTTCTATATTTTTATTTTTTGAATGAGGAAACTGAAGCTTGCTATAGTTATATAACTCACTGTAAGCTCCAAGTGGCAGAGCTAGGTGCTTGGATTCTGATTCATTAATTGTTTGGCCACTGCCATATTTACGAATCTACGGGTGCTCTTTAACAGCACATGTCATCAAAAGCAAAGATCACAAGGTTTCCTGCCCATTAAAATCTCAGGGTGAATGTATTTCCTTAATTGGCTTTTCATCACCTTTATTTCTGCCTTTTTTCTTTTCTTTTTACACAGTTCCCAAAGGATTTGACTGATGTAGCTTTCATTTTAAGCCAGCACTATGATCCACCTGGGTTTTTGGTTTTGAGAGCCACCATGAAACTTAACATGCAGCTTTTTCTTTTCCTTCAAAATTAACTCCCAAATATTATTTTATCTTTACAGGAATGTTACTGCTAGTATCTTAAAGAGAAAGAAAAATACTGGTTAATTCAAAAAAGCAAATACCAAGGAAGCCATAAGGTTGAAGATATCTTTAAAAACAGAATCCTAATTACAACCGGACTTAGCTCTCTATGAAATGTGAATAGTACTGTGTCTATTACCCTTTAGCCCCCTTCTGTGATTCTCTTCTAGATAGCTTCCTAGAAGGCTTCATTCTTTCATTATTTGTCATTTCTCACACTGGGGTCCTCTACACTCAGTGTTTCCCTTCATTTCTGGTCTTGTAGTTGGTTATCCAAGGGTGTCTGTGAGCCCCAGCCTCCAAGTTCTCCATTTGTGTAAGCAGTGGGGCATTAAGCCTTGCCTAAATTTCAGCCAAATATTTGTGACTGGAATGCTAGAAAGAGAGATGGCTGAAGATGTCTAGAAAAGGAGATAACAGAAAAAATGTGATGATGCCATGGGAATGGATACAATTATTTTGACTATCCTCAACCTCTTTCTCTAAACCAGTGGCTGACAACAAAAGTATGAGGTTGAGGGAAGATGAATTCTGGAAGGGTCAATGCAAAGCACTTAGAATTTCTAGAGAAGGAGAACTGGGACCATGACACATATATCCTAGAGATAGGATGCCTTAGAATGTGGGAACTGAAACAGGAAAACTCTTCATCTCTCCAGTCATTAAATGTTAAGGATGAGGTTAAAAGAATGATCTTTTACAAGATTTAGTTTTCCTTTGCAATATTTTGGCTTAACATTTATTATTTATAAATTTTTTATAAGCTAATTTTCAGTTCAGGCCTCCCACCCTCAAGATATATAAACTTGACTTGAACTAATAACACCATGGCTTGTGGAAGCCACAGGTCTTTCAAAACATCAGAAACATCCCAAGTTTTACCTGTTATGGTCTGTCTTCTCCATCTATGAAATCTTTATTGTTATATGTGGCCTGATTTATTATGTTTTGAATTGATATAAATGTTTACTTATTTTCAAAAATAAGCCTTGCTATAGTTTGAGTGTGATCTTTCCAAAAGGCAGGGTTTGCCATATGATACTAAGAGGAGGGACCTGTAAGAGGTAATTACGCCACGAAGCCTCTTCCCTCATTAGTAGGATAAGATGCTCTTATAAAAAGGCTTGATGCCACAGCATTCTTCCTCTCCAATGGATGCAGCCCTTACCAGACAACTGAACCTGCTGGCGTCTTAATCTTGGATTTCTCAACCTCCAGAAGTGTGAGAAAATAATTTTCTGCTCTTTATACATGACCCAGTCTCAGGTATTTTGTTATATTAGTGCAAATAGACTAAGATAGCCCCTCACCAACCCTTTGACTTCTACTTTGTCTCTTCTGTCATTTTCTCTCTTTTCTTTTTTCTCCTTCTCCAGACACCACAAATTTCTTTTTGTGTCCAAAATCTTCACATTAGCAGATAGTCAGGCTTTGCACAGATTCTTACTCCAAGATAAAGACTTTTATCAACAAAAGTGGGTTTCTGCTTAAGGGGATTTCTTGTATTTGCAGCTCCTAGAAGAATAATATTGTCTTTATATTTTAATAACATTAAATTACTTTAAAAATTTTGTCTTTAGAAACTACAAGTGAGAATTATCTAGTTTAATCAATCTTTTCTTCCAAAGTTATTGTGACCTATTATTTTGTTCTCAAATAGTAAAAGCTTTTTGTGAATACATTTGTTTGTCATGACATGGGGACAAATCTGTGAATATGAGAAAGTTTTTCCAAGTGTCATGCCCCAAAGAGGGCTATATTAGTTTTAGATTTGTACAAGAAGGAATTTGGGCCAGAAGCAAGTAGAATTTAGCAGGACACACAATCCCCCCAATTTCTGTTACATATTCAAATATGTCACATTCTTCTTTTTCCATCCTGAGTAAGGCTTCAATATTGTAGCAGTCCCCTTCCTTCTGAAACCAGCATGCCTGGAAGAATATTCTCTAACCAGGCTTGAATATTTCTTCCCAGATAACTCTTCATAGGGAGTCCCAGTGACGATTCTTTGACTATAACTTCTACTTGATGCTGGAGTGCTACTGACTTTCCCTAACTTTATAGGTTGTTGGATCAGACAATACCAAATTTGTGAAGGGGTCTCAAGTTGTATCTACAGGAGCTAGTAACGATCTCAAGACTATTTCTTAAAAGAATAATTTAAAGAAAGATAGTTGCTTGCTGAAGAGGGCCTCTTATGTGATTCTTGTACCAGGGTTCAGCTCAGGATTCATACAACATCTTGACCTGCCACAGACATTATATGCAGTATTGTATTTATCAGGGCTTGGAAAGAAAGTGGCAGAAAGACTTCTTTAGAAGGAAAAACCCACTAGAAAGTTATCTTTTGCTCTCAAAATCTGAGAAATCTTACAGCTTACTTAGTAATATCCACATAGCTTACATGCTCTTTTTAAAATCTAAAGAGGCCTAACAAGTACCCTATCCTACTGGTAGGAGATACAAATTTGGCTTCTTTTATTTTACTATGGAGAAGACATATTGATACACTTCATAGGACTGGGCCTCCAAAAATGTCAGTGAGCACAGAAGTTCTTTGATTTTGTGGAATTTTTGTCTTATTCTCTATAAACACATTTTCCCAGGGCAAACAAAGTAACTTTTTTTTTTCCTATCCACCAGGTCCTGCCAGGAGGATAGTTGAACATATTTGTGTCCTCGGGGATGGTGAGGGACCAAAGGGCCTAAGGATAAATTATGGCATAGAGATTAAGAGCATATATAGCCATGCCAAGTAAAAGCAAATCTACTCTGTATTTTCTGTTTATTGCAAAAAGAAAAGAAAGGATAGCTAGATCAGTAGTTATATACCTTGTTCCAGGGGTTAGATGGACTTGTTTTAGTAAAAGCACCCACCATCTCTGAGAAAGTAGGTAAAATTGAGGCAGTTAATATTAATTACCAAACAAAATTTGCTTTTCTCCAAAACCCATCTGTCTTTTGAACTACACAGACAAGTTAATCAGGGATATGATAAGTTCACTATTACTACATCTTTCAAGTATTTGACGGTGGCTTTATACTTATGATCTCTACTTGACGTTGGAGTGCTATTGATTCCCGCAAGGACATGGTATTGCTTTTGATCAGTACTCTAGTAAAATGTGAGGGAGGAGCAACCAGGGCTTCTCCTGGCCCTTCCAACCAAACAGTTCCTATATATAGTTCAGAGAACCATTGTGGGGGTCCCTTCCAACTGTAGTCTTAGGAAATGGGGAAATAACACAGTTTGGACTCACAGTTTGAGTGCAGTGGTGCGATCTTGGCTCACTGCAACCTCTGCCTCCCAGGTTCAAGCAATTCTCCTGCCTCAGCCTCCCAAGTGGCCACCACACCCAGCTAATTTTTTTTGTATTTTTAGTAGAGACGGGATTTCACCATATTGGCCAGGATGGTCTTGATCTCTTGACCTTGTGATCTGCCCACCTCAGCCTCCCATAGTGCTGGGATTACAGCTGTGAGCCACCGAAACTGGCCTTAAATAGATTTATTAAGGGACATAGAGAGCTCAGCATGAATAAACAGACGATAGGCTGTGTGATGGTTATTTTCCACTGCTATCTACCTGCTCACTACTGCCCAATTCTTCTTTGCCCTGATGTGCCCCAGGACATAGACTTTCATAGACTTCATGAGCTGGGCTCTTAGAACCTTGGCTTCCAGTTGGGTTCATCCAATAGGAAGCATAATTAAAAGAATCAGAATTCAGAAAGAGATTAAGTGTTTATTCCTTGCCTGTGGTTCTGGCAATGGCTGGATTCCTTTAAGCCTATATTTTCTGTCAGGTGGTCTCTTTCTGGCCTCAGCTTTCCCTGGGATCCAGGAATTCTATTACCTTTCTTGTCCTTTCAGACCTAAGGGTGGTTAGTCCCTGGCTGCTTAACCAGCCATTTTCATTTCCCTGAAATTTTTCCATATTTCTGCAATAGTTTTTCTAATAAATTCTCCACAACTAAACCTTTCTGAGTGTATCAACTGTTTTCCTATTGGGAACCTAACTGATACAGGTTGAATTTCCGAGACTGACAGAACCATCTGCTACCTCTGCAAAGACCAGGAAGTTTCCACTACCACACCAGCTGTCAGCTCCAGAAGCATGTGATGCCTTTCATGACCACTAAGCTGCTGAATCAGGAGCTGTTGCAATACCTGGGGACTCCAGGACAGCACAACACAGCTGTTATCCACCTAGCTAGATGCTGTTACCATCTCTCCGTGTACTTCAGTTCTAAATTAAAGTCTTTCACAAGTGCATCTAATGGTGGGATTTAAGTTATCTGTCATCACTTAAGCAATAAGAAAAGATGAATAAAATAGTGTTTGCATTTTTATGTTTGGGAGGAAGAATTCACAAACATTTCCAAAGGTGGAAGAGGTATTTAGAAAATTTGGGGCATGTGACAGACGTTCACTTACTACTATCTCTCATTCCCTTTTACCTTTGACTACCATATTTGTTCAACTGTCTCTACCCGTATTTAATTTTATGCTTTTTTAATTCTTCTATCCTGATTTCCCTTTATTTGATTTTATTGCTCATCCTTCAGTGCTTTTTTTTCTTGCTTTAGAATAGTTTAAGTATCCTCTATGATATGGTTTGGCTGTGCCCCCACCCAAATCTCATCTTGAATTGTAGCTCTCATAATTCCCATGTGTTGTGGGAGGGATCGTGCAGGAGATAATTGAATCATGGGGGTGTTTTCCCCCATACTGTTCTTAAGGTAGTGAATAATTTTCACAAGTTCTGATGGTTTTAGAAGGGATTTCCCCTTTCACTTGTCTCTCATTCTCTCTTGCTTGACACCATATAAGAAGTCCCTTTGCTCTTCCTTTGTCTTCTGCCATGATTGTGAGGCCTCCCCAGCTATGTGAAACAGTGAGTCCATCAAACCTCTCTCCTTTATAAATTACTCAGTCTCGGGTATGTCTTTATTAGCAGTATGAAAACAGACTAATACACTCTACTAACCACCATTTTAGAATTTTTCTTCAAGCTAGAGATAACAGCCCCAGTATGGTTGAGGCTGGCCTCTCCCTTTATTGAGGATTCAAGACTGCTCTTTCCTGGTCAAGGAAAGTTGGGATTCCTTTGAAGAGACAGGTTAAACACCTAAATCCAAAGCCGAGGGAATGTGCACAGCAGTGGTTTCCAAAGTGTGGTTTGAGGACTCCTGGGAGTCCACAAGCTCCTCTCAGGAAGTTTATAAGATTTTTCCTTTTCCATTTACATAGCTCTGCAAGGCTGGATTTTCTCCATTGACTTCAACAAAAATACTATATCACAACATGTTGAATGGTGAAGCAGATATGAGACTTCAGCTGACTTCTGTTAAGTCAGATAATAAAGTTCTGAAAAACAGAAATCAAATGCTGTTCTCACTTTTTTGTTTTAGACAATATAGAGATTTCTGTATTTATTGTTATTTTAAAATTAATAAACATTTGACAATAATTTATGTTATAATATTAATAGTAACAATATTACATAACAAATATTAAAGTAGTAAGTATTTTTAAACTTCTCAGTTTTACTTTCTGGATGAGATTGGGCATGTTTAGGGTAGTATGGCCATAGACAGTTTTACTTTCTACTACAGTAAAAATCAATAAATGAAATCCACGTG
The DNA here is from genome assembly GCF_000001405.40 of Homo sapiens. Classification (NCBI taxonomy): domain Eukaryota; kingdom Metazoa; phylum Chordata; class Mammalia; order Primates; family Hominidae; genus Homo; species Homo sapiens. The sequence continues at coordinate 76,232,385 of NC_000006.12, forward strand.
AACACAAAGCTCTTTGGGGTATTCAATTTTTAAGAGTTTAAAAGGGTCTTAAGACCATGTGTTTAAGAACCTCTCATGTAGAGTGTATCTGTAGGCTGATTTGTGTATAACGCAGAAGACAGTTGGTGAGATAAAATAGGTCTTGCTATGACTATTACATTTTGAAGGCCCATTAATGATTTAAAATCCAAATTTATTTTCATCAGTGACCCATGTACTCTAATTTTTTCTCATTTATTCATTTTCTAAATCCTTAAAAGATAGAAGTAACCAATCAAGAAATTTCAGAAATCTCAAATTCCCTAATCAAATCAAGTACAATGATAGATATACTATACCTTTTTACTGTGACAATTTATCTCTTCTATATTTTCAGTTTTATTAGTTACCCATGGGGGGTAGTGACTGTATTGATGTAGCTCACTCTCCCACTTCAGGCCTGAGGGTATTGACTCTGTTGGTCTAGCTCACTGCTCTACTCCCACCATTTAGCACAATGGCTGCCACCCAGCTAATTCTCAGTAAATACTTAATTGGAATACAGTGAATTGATCAGAATTACATTCTCAATAAATTCCTCTTGAATGATTAGAACTCACTTATCTGGGAGAGAGCTCATTATTTAATAAAATAAATATGAAACTCAGGTTCAAAACTAATTTTAATTATGGTCCGACTGAAGATTTAACTGTATTCTTTTCTTGAACTTTCATGGCCTCAGGACTTAATGTCTGCTTCCCATTCTCCCCATATATTGGTGGTAGCTGGAAAAACAAATTTAGATTTTTATTTCTGTGGCTGATAGGTTGAATACATAGAACCATAGCATTTAATTAAGCTAATCATTAATTTTTCCTGCATCCCTATTTTCCTTCTCTAAAATTAGAGAATTGTATAGCATCAGTTTGTCATTTCTGGAGGGGATATTTCTGTTGGTCACTTGAGCTTTTACTGCTCAGCCTCTGTGGGGCTTCATGTGGCAGAGGAAGGTGTGAAATACGGAATTCTTCAGGTTCTAGTCTCTCGATTTTGGGTTTAATACTTGTAGTCATGACTCAGGCTTGCACACATATAATGTCCTTTATTCTCTGTGAGTGAATTCACCTTACCCCTGAGCCCTGTCTTGTGTGGTCCCTGTGATTAATCTTTCTCTTTAAAGGTAACAGTTCTTCCACTTTCCTCAGTCCTATCCAAATTACCTCAGACTTTTTTGAGTAAATAAATACTCAAGCTTTCAGGGTTTCTCTCTCCCTAATTTTCCTTCTGATTCTGGATACAGGGTGCCTTTACTCAACAGGTCACATTGTTCTTATTTAACTCCATGGCATTAGGGGAGGAGCCTCTGGTCCATTTGCTGTCCTCAGTGCCTTGCTGCCCTCCACTGAGGATCCCCTCTTGCTTGGCATATGCGTAGCTTCCTCTGTGTTGCTGTATCTGCTGTCACCATGTTGCTCCTGCAATGTTAATGCTGTCATCTGGGGTTTGTTCTCTTAGCCTTGTCAGTACACAGTGATTCCTTCCCACTGGTTTTCCCTCTGAGTTGCCTGCGATCTTGCTGTGACTCCTATGTGGCCCCTCCAATGTTTGAATATGTCTTTTCCAAAATTCAGATGTTGCCAATGTGATAATATTAAGAGGTGGAACAGGACCTTCATGAGGTGATTAGGTCAGGAGGGCTTCTCTCCTTATTAATGGGATTAAGCCTATAAAAAGGCCTCATGCAGCCATGCACCCAGCTGGTTTGCCCTTCTACATTATGCCAAGTAAGAACACAACCTGTCTCCCCTCCAGAGGATACAGCCGTAATTAGACAACTGAACCTGCTGGCAACTTGATCTTGGACTTCCCAGCCTCCGGGATGGTGAGAAAATAAATTTGTTTTTAATAAGTGACCCAGCATCAGGTATTTTCTTTTAGCAGCACAAACAGACTAAGGCAGCCCCCAGCTGGGGAAGCTTACATCGCCAGCTGCAGGGCCACTCCATCTGTGGTGACTAGCTCACTAGGAGATTCTTTGGGTCACTGCATGGAGGCAGAAAGAAACTCCAGGTATATTTGTAGTATCCCAGGCCCTCTCTCTGCCTACATCTGCCCTGGTACCATTGCTCCTCTACCGTGGCCACCTTAGCTTAGTTTGGGATATACAGGGAAACTGCCTCACAGTAAAAAAAAAAGTTATAAAATAGATGAGAGGTAGTGAGTTAGCAACAATAAGTACAGACAACTAGCAAAAATAAGCTGTAAGGGAGCGTAGAAAAATAAGGCATTGAAGGAAAGGAGATTTGGTCACTGAAGTTAGTAGGTTGGAGAGAGAAAATGTGCTGTCCCTGACATCTTTTTTTGGTTTTGTGTTATTTGGGGATCTCTTCTGTGACTATGTTGGTTTATATTTAATTTATGCTTTCAACAAATGTTTATTTTAACCTTGTCACATGCCAGGCCCAAATCTCCCATCTTTTCACATTTTGAAATATTTAGCTTGTTTTAATGTATACTTGAAAAATAATATAAAATTGATAATTTATCCAATGGCTTCCCTCCCAGATATGTGTTTATTTTTACTTTAATCTGATCATAAGAATTAAATGTTTATACCTTCCTCATCACCAATAGTCATATAGTTGTCAACTTAATTGGAATAATAAATTGGAACATGACTGGAAACTGTGTGGGAAGGAATAGATCCAAATTACGTCCAGGTATGAAGGAAATGAAGGCCAGTACTTCATTTTGGATATTTTCTAGCAATTTGGAGATTTTTCAAAGAACTAAGAGTTGAACTACCATTTGACCCAGCATTCTCATTACTGCATATATACTGAAAGAAAAATAGGTTGTTCTACAAAAAGAAAAAATACAGCACCCATATGCTAATTGCAGTGTTATTCACAATAGCAAAGGCTTGGAATAAATTCAGATGCCCATCAACAGTGGACTGGATAAAGAAAATATGGTATACATATATACTATGGAATACCACACAGCCATAAAAAAGAATGTCGTGTCCTTTGCAGCAGTATGGATGCCACTGGAAACCATTATTCTAAGTGAACTAGTGCAGAAACAGAAAACCAAATACCTCATGTTCTCCCTTATCAGCAGGAGCTAAACACTGGGTACATAGGGACATGAAGAAAAGAACAATAGACAACTGGGGAATACATGAGGGAGGGAGGGTTTGAAAAGCTGCATATTGGGTACTACGCTCACTACCTGAATGATGGGTTCATTTGTACTGCAGTTCTCAGCATCACACAATATACCTTTGTAACAAACTGGCACATGTTTCCCCTGATTCTAAAATAAAAGTTGAAAAAAATAAAGCAAATCATTAAAGGGAGAAAAAATAAAGGAAACAAACAAAAAAAGCTGCTATCTTAATAATTATGGGGCTCATTTCTGGTAGGGTTTGCTAGCCATCATGAAAGAAGAGGTGGTTAAAGTTTGGCAAAATCACTATTGCCCCATACACACTTACTTTTGATGTTTTTCTCTTTCAAATACATTCAGTCTCTCAAGGGGAAAATGGTCCCTTACAACCTTTGAGAGAGCTAAGTGAATGTGCATCCAAACTAAAGTTATGTTGTATATGGTACCAACAGTTGACGGGAGGCAAAAATCTTTAATCAAATAGATTTTAGAAAAGATTTTTCTTTTTGTGATGTAAAAAGTGATTTTGGAAATGAATTTTTAACACTCTGGACATTATGTTTAAGAAAAGAAAAAAGTAGGGTTATTTTGAAGATACCTAGAAAATCCTACTTAAAACATAGGAAGGTAGAGCAAGGAGAATACCAAAGCTTTTATTTTACAAAATATCAGAGCTATGAAAACTTTCTAAATGGCTTTGTTCACCATTTAGTTAATAACCGAATATTAAAATATGAGCAGTAGGAAGTATAAAGAAACTGTTTTATTAAGTTATCAAAATTCTAAAAGTAGATTTCAACATCTTGATATGTAAAATTATATAAACAAGGTTGAATTAAACGCACTTAATATATTAATGGCTTTCATAGTCTGAAACCTACTTTATGCACTTAAAATAAATACCTCATATGAGTGCAGTTTAAGGAGATAATTCATGCCTTAACCTCTTTTCCTTCCTACTACCTCAGGTATAAGGTTTCCTTCCTCTACTATCTCACGCATTGTCCATAGATGGTAGAGCAACAAAAACTTTATAGGAGAAATAAAGTAGGAAAAACAGGTTTTATCATTGTTATTCAGAGATAACAGAATAAAATCTATTGAGAACAAGAAAGAATATATCTAAAGAACAGAAGAGCTTATATTCTGTTCTTTTAAAAAATTTTGCTAAGTGTAAGAAAGCAGAAAATTGGATCTCTAGTATCCTCCAGCTCTCAAGTTTTCAGTCAGTGGAACTCAACATTGTAATAGGTTTTAGAATTATGTCTTAGATAATTGAATTTTAGATAATAGGAGATTAATTTTCAAGTGATCTGTATTAGGCATTAAACTACACATATGTGAATTGCTTAGAAGCAGATAAGGAAAAAATGCAAAGAAGAAATCAAAAGAGAAATTAAGAAATACCTGGAGACAAAAAAATGAAAACACAACATACCAAAACTTGCGGGATGCGGCAAAACTAGTACTAAGGGAGAACTTATAGCAATGAAAGTTGCTCCTACATCAAAAAAGAAAGATCTCAAATATATAAATTAGTGTTCCACTTAAAGGAACTAGAAGAAGAAAAACTAAGCCTAAAGTTGGCAGAAGGAAAGAATAAAGATCAGAGTAGAAACAAATGAAATAGAGTACAGAAAAACAATAGAAAAAATAAAAAAAATTGAGTTTAGTTTTTGAAAATATAAACAAGGTTGACAAACCTTTAGCTAGACTAACTAATAAAACAAGACAAGACTCAGGTAAATAAAGTCAGAAATAAAAAAGGAGACATTACAACTAACGCCACAGAAATAAAAAAGATCATAAGAGACTATTATGAACAATTATATACCAATAAATTGGATAACCTAGAAGAAAGGGATAAATTCCTAGACATATACAATTTACCAAGACTAAATCTTGAAGAAATAGAAAATCTGAACAGGCCTATTACTAATAAGAAGATGGAATCAGTAATGAAAACCCTCCCAAAAAAGAAAAGCCCAGACTAGCTGACTTCACTAGTAAATTCTACCAAACATGCCAAGAATTAATGCCAATCCTCAAACTCTTCAAAAAGATTGAATAGGAAGAAATACTTCCAATTCATTTTACAAGGCCAGCACTATCCTGTTATGAAAGCCAGACAAAAATACCACAAGAAAAGAAAACTATAGGCCAAAATCCTGGATGAACATAAATGCGTGCAAGGGATGCAAGGATTGGTTGACATAAAAAAATAAATTAATGTAATACATCAGATTAATAGAATGAAGAATAAAAATCATATGTTTATCTTAATAGATGCAGAAAAAGGATTTGACAAAATTCAACACTCTTGAAATGATAAAAATTCTCAATAAACCAGGAATAGAAGGAAATTACATTAACATAATTGAGGCCGTATGTGAAAATCCCATAGCTAACATCACATTCAATGGTGAAAAAATAAAAACTTTTCCTCTAAGATAAGAAAGAAGACAAACATGCCCACTTTCACCACTTCTAGTCAACATAGCACTAGAAGTCCTAACCAGAGCAATTACGGGGAAACAAAAGGCATCCGAATTTGGAAGGAACAAATTATATTCTTTCTGTTTGCAGATGACATAATCTTATATGTAGAAAGCCCTTGCTAGGCGAGGTGGCTCACGCCTGTAATCCCAGCACTTTGGGAGGCCGAGGTGGGTAGATCACAAGGTCAGGAGATTGAGACCATCCTGGCTAACACGGTGAAACCTGGTCTCTACTAAAAATACAAAAAAATGAGTCAGGCGTGGTGGTGGGCGCCTGTAGTCCCAGCTACTCGGGAGGCTGAGGCAGGATAATGGCGTGAACCTGGAAGGCAGAGCTTGCGGTGAGCCAAGGTCATGCCACTGCACTCCAGCCTGGGCGACATAGCAAGACTCCGTCTCAAAAAAAATTAATAAGTACAGTTGCAGGATAAAGATTAGCATACAAAAATAAGGAAATTAAGAAAAGGAAAATTAAGACAAGGAAATTAAGAAAAGAAGGAATTAAGAAAAGAAAAACCCCCCAAACTTAAGAATAAACTAAACTAAGGAGGTGAAAGATTGCACACTGAAAATTACAAAAATTTGATGAAACAAATTAAAGAAGATAGAATAGAAGTAAATGAAAAGCCTTCCCTGGTTTGTGTATAGGAAGACTTAGTACTGCTAAAATGTGCATATGACCTAAAGCAATCTATAGACTCAATGCAATCCCCATCAAAATCCCAATAACATTTTTTTAACAGAAAAAAAAATCTTCAAATTCAGATGGAGCCACAAGGGACCTTGAACAGCCAAAACAATTCTGAGGAAGAAGAACAAAGCTGAAGGCCTCACTTCCCTATTTTAAAATATATTGCAAAGTAACAGTAAGTAAAACAATATGGTACTGGTATAAAGACAGACATATACACCAATGGCACAGAATAAAGAGCCAAGAGATAAACACACACAGTTAACTGGTTTTCAATAAGGGTGCCAAGAATATGCAATGAGGGAAAGATGGTCTCTTTAACAAATAGTGTTGGGAAAACTAGACATACACATGCAAAAGAATGAAATTGGACCCTTGTCTCACACCAGATGAGTCCTGTCCAAAAAAATCAACTCAAAATGGATAAAAGACTGAAACATAAGACCTGAAACTGTAAAATTGTTAGAAGAAGACATGGTAGAAATCTCCTTGATATTGGTCTTGGCAATAGTTTCCTAAATATGGCACCAAAAGCACAGCCAACAAAAACGAAAACAGACAAGTGGAACGACATGAAACTAAAAACTCCTACACAGCAAAGGAAACAGTCAACTGAGTGAAAAAGCAATCTACAGAATGGGAGAAAATATTTGTAAACCACACATCTGATAAAGTGTTAATTTCCAAAATATATAGGAACTCATACAACTCAATAGAAAAAAAGAAAAAGAAAAAAAAAACCAAAACAAAAACAAAGACTTAGAGAAAACAAAAACAAGAACCCTGAACACTGGCAACCTGATTAAAAAATAGGCAAAGGACTTGGCTAGATATTTCTCCAAATAAGACATACAAATGGTCAATAAGATTAAACATAGTGCAAAGTATTTTCTTTCAATCTGACAAATGTCTACAAAAATGGGTAGGGTGGCCATTTCCTATTTTTTTTCGAAATGTCACCTGGTTTGCCTTTTGCCAATTATGTGTTTTTGTAGAAGGAATGCCTATAGCTGGAGAATTTAAATGCAGACAACACACACTTTTTATCTATATGAAACTAACTGAAATAGACAGGAATCCATCTTATTTCAGGAGGCACTATGTGGAAGGAGATGTATCCAAATTATGTCCAAGTATAATGGAAATGAAGAAAGAGCTATCTTAATAGTTATGGGGATAATATAACATTTTAAAAAGCACCTCACTCATAACATTAATCCTAGGTTGATCCAATAAGGTAAAGTATTGTAAGACCTATATTCTTTCTAAGGACAAATAAACAGTAGTTACAAGTGAAAAAGTCCATCAGAAGATCTGTAAGAGCTTGAATAGTTTTCCTGAATTCTTTGTTTATTTTAATTCCTGTTAAGATTTGAATTTCAGAGTCTGGGTTTTGTTGGCTACAAGTTTTTGGAAAGATAGTGTTAGCACTGATACCATCTATGGATGGCCCATTTAAGGAGTTACAAAGTCATCATTTACCCTAAAATATTCCCTTCTGCATCTGTCATTGTGTCTAAAAATTCCTGTCATGAATCCATTTGTTTAAAGCAATGAAGGCTGCTGTTGGGCTCATTCTGTCAGCATCACAACTATAATGCCTGTTAGTGATTGACTGACTCTCTTTTAGATAAAATATCTGATTTGATTGAATTGTCATCAGCTATATGACAGAGTTCTAAGGTAATGAGTGGCAGAACAGGTTTTTATTGGGGGGAGGTCTAGATTGTGAGGTTGGGCTTAATCATGAGGCAAATATGAAAGAATGAAGACTGTCAGTGGGAGACCGGGAAGGTTTTGTGGTATTAAGAAGGCTTCCTTTGGGACAGAATACTTTTGCTGAAGTTTGAATAATACACAAGATTTAATATGGACGTGAAGTGGAGGAATTTCCTGGTTGAAGAAAGAAACAGGAAAGACAAGGAGGTGTGACTCTGTTTTTGTGTACATTATCTAAAGTGTTCATAGAATAGAGGCAAATTTAGTTTTCAATTGGGCAACACAAAAGTAAAATTTCTTCAGATTACATTTTATATAATATTAGATAATGATATATTCTGTTATTTCTTAAAACTTTATTATGAGGTTAACTACTTTGCAAATGAACATTTCATTCATTTCCCCTGGGTGAGGGGGAGGGAAATTGTGAAGGTATACTCAACTTACACAATATCAAAATACCATGATCATGGTAAGAAAATGAAAACAGAAGGCCAATTGCCATTTACAAAACATATTATAAGATAAAATTGGATTGCTACAGTAAGCTAGTGGGTCCCATTCATAACGCCAAGTCAAACAAAGTGAGATCATATCTTGGAGGGAACACATGAGTAAAAGAGAGGTCTTGAGGGCTGGATTGAAACAAGAATATTTGTTCTTAAGGAAATGATATTGTATCACTTTTTGGGACATTTTGCCATTGGCAATAATTAAAAAGTCTTCAAAATGTGTGATATAATGTTACACAATGCAAGAGTTCCTTTATTTTATAAAGCATCCTAGTGACATCATTCTTTTATAATAGCAATTTTCATGAGGGTAAAGCTAGGTGATTGCCATAACACGAGGCAGGTAGCAGGATGTGTCTCCTTTGGGATATTCATACTGAAATGAAAGAGGCTAAACACAGGCAGATAAAGAATAGGCAGGTAATATGGTTTGGATCTGTGGCTCCACCCAAATCTCATGTCGAATTGTAATCATAAATGTTGGAGGTGAGGTCTAGTGGAAGGTAATTGAATCATGTTCATGGATCGTTCATGAATGGCTTAGAACCATCCCTTTGGTGCTGTTATCATGATGGTTAGTGAGTTCTCACAGGATCTGGTCATTTAACAGTGTGGCAATTCCTCAAGGATCTAGAACTAGAAATACCATTTGACCCAGCCATCCCATTACTGGGTATATACACAAAGGATTATAAATCATGCTACTATAAAGACACATGCACACGTATGTTTATTGCAGCACTATTCACAATAGCAAAGACTTGGAACCAACCCAAATGTCCATCAATGATAGATTGGATTAGGAAAATGTGGCACATATGCACCATGGAATACTATGCAGCCATAAAAAAGGATGAGTTCATGTCCTTTGTAGCGACATGGATGAAGCTGGAAACCATCATTCTCAGCAAACTATCGCAAGGACAGAAAACCAAACACCACATGTTCTCACTCATAGGTAGGAATTGAACAGTGAGAACACTTGGACACAAGGTGGGGAACATAACACCGGGGCCTGTTGTGGGGTGGAGGGAGGGGGGAGGGATAGCATTAGGAGAAATACCTAATGTAAATGATGAGTTGATGGGTGCAGCAAACCAACACAGCACATGTATACATATGTAACAAAACTGCACGTTGTGCACATGTACCCTAAAACTTAAAGTATAATAAAAAAAAAGAAAGAAAGAAAAAAAAAGATCTGGTTGTTTAAAAGTGTGTAGCACCTCCCCCTTCTCTCTTTTCCTCCTGCCAGGGCCATATGAAAATGCCTGTTCCAGCTTTGCCTTTTGCCACGAGTAAAAGCTCCCTGAGGGCTCTCCAGCCATACTTCCTGTACAGCCGGTGGAACTGTGAGCCAATTAAACCTTTTTTTTTTCTTAATACATTGCCCAGTCTCAGATATTTCTTTATAGCAATGTGAGAACAGACTAATACAGCAGGTCACTAAAGCAGACTTGGAGAAGCCCAACTGGAAAGAAAAGCTATCAGCTGGAGCTGATAGCAAATCTAAATAAGCATGAGTGTAAGAACCTGAGGTGAAGAGGCAATCTAGGGTCAGGTGGAGGAGGGAGCCAGGTGAGGAAACTTGTATAGGTATCTATTTGTCTCAGCTGAAATTGGAGCACCGGGGTGGAGCAATCTCAGCTGAAAGCCCTCAGAGAACCTTCCTAGTGGGGTAGTTATCATCAGTTTGAATAAAGTCGAGCCTACTTTTACAATTTTTAGAAACCTCAACTTGTGACAAATAGGCAATTTTGAATACAATATTCCTCCCAGGTTAGTTTTGCACAGATTTCTTTGGCATTCCATCATATATTTTAGCTTAGTTCTCTAATTTACGAATTTGTATTTGCCTTGGAATTTCTACTTTTATCTCAATGTTCTTTTCTAATATGTCAACGTGGCATCAACATGGGATATTTTTATAAGTTCTTGTCATTATTTTCCAATACTTTAAAGTTTAGCCTCTCTAGCGCTTCTCACCAGAGTTCTAGTTGACCTGTGATCTGTTCCAACAGGTAGGAATTAAAATACACTAAATTGTGGAAAAATGTAAAATCTCCATGATATAAAATGCCTTAGTTAAGTGATAAGCTAGACATAAACACAGAGTATTTATAACTTGAGTTTTAATTCTATTTCATTCAATAATAATTTTCTGTCTCTCTCTTTTTTTTTTTTTTAGATGGAGCCTCTGTCACCCAGGCTAGAGTGCAGTGGCACGATCTCGGCTCACTGCAACCTCTACCTCCCAGGTTCAAGCAATTCTTCTGCCTCAGCCTCCCGAGTAGCTGGGATTACAGGCATGTGCCACCATGCCCGGCTAATCTTTGTATTTTTAGTAGAGACGGGTTTTCACCATGTTGGCCAGGTTGGCATTTTCTTCAAAACAATTAAGAAGCCCAATTGAAAAACACGATCAAGCTTTGCATATATTAATTATTCAAAGGTCTGAATTTGGAAGTAGCTAATTCAAAATCCTCTAAATCTGAAGAACTCTAAGATTGTGAATTGGTTGCAAGGAAGAGTTAAAATTTGGTGAAACTTTCTATTTTTTTTTTTTTACCTCATTTCTCTCTGACTTTCAATAGATGAAGATTGTTCAAGTGGAATAAATGAATGACAAATAGCTAAAGATGTTCAGAAATGTTACCCACACCTACACTTGGTATAAATTAAACTATAATAGTCTCAAATCTCCTATTTTGTTTTTAATAATGTGGATGTGTGTGTATATGCTTTGGTGACAGTTTTAATGGGAGGGACCATTTGGTCTTTCTGTTCTGCTGCTTATTGCGTTTTCAGGAAAGCACAGACTAAACTGAAGACAAATAGCCTTGGAAGATGGAAACTCAATCCCATGTCTTCCATAGAAAATAGAACTAAATTGTCATCCACCCTAATAGAATAATACTTTGGAAATTTCGAGGGTCTGTGAGGATGATAGTACTAATACTTATGTTTACCTCTGTCTTTTGTTGCTTTTTCCTACAATGACTCTGAAGGTTGTCTGTACTTTCAAGTTAATCCCTTCATCAGGTGCTTGTAATTTATATGTAAAACCTAGGCATATATTCATGAAACAATCAGATAGTAGCAAAAAAAAAAAAAAACAAAAACCGAAGGATGGAGTTGACATTGTTAGGCTTTGTGTACTCACCCAAATCTCATCTTGAATTGTAATCAAGGGAGGGACCAGGTGGAGGTAATTGAATCATGGGTGCAGTTTACTCCAGGCTTTTCTTATGATAGTGACTAAGTTCTCACAGATCTGATAGTTTATAAGGGGCTCCTCCTGCTTTGGTCGGTACTTCTTCTTGACACCTTGTGAAGAAGGTGCCTTGTTTCCTCTTCGCCTTCCGCCATGACTGTAAGTTTCCTGAGGCTTCCCCAGTCATGCTGAACTGAGTCAATTAAACCTTTTTCCTTTTTAAATTACCCAGCCTTGGGCAGTTCTTTCTAACAGTATGAAAATGGGCTAAGAAACAGCTATAATTCAAGTATTGGTAAATGAGGTTGGTTTGGAAAGCTAAAGAAGTCTTCAAGAACCAGAAGATCTTTATAGTGAACTATAAGGATGCTTAGAATTTGATCAGATAGAGAGAAGGGATTGTACATGGGGCTGGGGAGGGAATGGAAATAAATACTAACCAGTACTGGTACTGTTGGGGCGTTAAGAGAGGATGTGGACTGGATAGTTGAAGCTGTATTGTGACGATCCTTATAAGGACACCTAAGCCTCCTGGATTTCATCTTAAGGTCAGTGAGAATACTGGAAGTTTTAAGCAGCAGAATGACAAAGTGAAAATAATATTTTAGGGAGAAAAACTTAGGCTTATAATAATTGCCCTAACTTACTTTCCTATTAATGGTTGCTCAGAATACATAATGCCAGAGAGAGGGAAGTGGGTTGCCAGAAGACTTAATTCTTATTCAAAGACATTTTCTTTTAAGGAGAGGAAAGTGAATTTTGAGTCAATTGCTTAGGGAATTCAAGGCCATAGAGTTATGACTAAAATGTAAAGTTATAAAGAGAGTAAGTTGGTGGTTAGGACCCTCAGCCAGCTCTCTCAACTCTGCTTAGTGCTTCTTCTACTCTATTAAGTTTGGTTTAGTTGTGTCCACAACTCCCTACAGTCCTCCCACTATCCTCACCAATGTCTTAAAACTTACATAATCTTAAGCATTTACTTAACCAATTCTAGCAAGACCAATTTAGCAAGACCTTTTATGCCCATGTCTTCAGTTTGGTATTTCTGTCAGATAGTAAATACATTTAAGCTGCCAAAAATATCTAGTTCCAGGATTTGATAGTAAAGGCTGGAAGCTTCTGTTTTCCTGAAAATCCAAAATAATTTATAATGGTCTTTGCCTAAAGAGTAATAATAAAGCAATTAAAGCACTATGGTGTTTTAAAATACGTCATCTCATTTGATTCTCATCATGGCCTCTGTGGCAGGCAGGTCAAATATTAGTGTCACCGGGAGGAAACTGAAATCCAGAATGCTTGTTTTGTTCAGCTGTAGTGAAGAGTGGAACAAGGACCTGTGATTCCTCATTTTATGTGTGTCAGACTCTTTTGCAAGTAGTCTATTAGCTATATGTTATATTTGACTTTGTTTAAATTGTACATATGCTTTCCTTCTTTCATCGTAAAACTGAGATTATATTTATTTCCTTGATTTCAAGGATTGCATAAAACATAAATATTATGTGATGAACTTAAATGCAAATTCTGTATAGATAGATCTCACTGTTATTGCTATTTCCCAATCAAATAATTTTGAAAGCAGAACATCTTGAAGGAGGTAGAATTTTCTTCAGAAAGTAGACAGAGTAGATTTTTCTGGGAACCGGTCATAGAGACAAAGACATCAGAAAGGAACTTTAAAGTAAGGAACATAAACATAAACAATTTTAGGGCCCAAAACCAATTTTGGAAATCATTTTTACCTAAGATTTTTAAAAAGACACAAGTTTTGCAGTGTAAGAAGAATCATTTTGTAAAGGTCTTGTCTGTTGTTTGATATATTTTTTTTTGGTTCAGAGAGAAAATGGTTGTTTCATCTCATAGCTGACCTCACATATAAGAGACTAGAAGCTTGTCTAAAGTAGTGTAATTTAAAAATTACCTTCCACCCCAATAGGAATATGTATAGACATATAAACATGAACAGATATATAAGCTCTTTAATTCTGGCTGCTTCATTATCACCTATCCATACATCTATCTTTTTATCATCATGTAAAGTTTGCACTTGGACTATCACAATCTGTAAAAGCTACTACTAGACAGTTGGCATTTTAAGTTTCAGAGTTATTTAATTATTTACATATAAATGTAAACAGTTAAAATATTACTGGAGATAGTACTCTCATATGTGTATGAAAATTGCTATAATCAGAAGACAGTTAAGAGGTACTGAAGGAGCCATGTTTGATGAGTTGGACAGAGATTTCATAACATTTAGGGAGAAGCTAGCCTTGCTTCTAATGTCTTCTGTAATTGTCGTGAGTCCCTTCTTTCAATTGGGCCATTATTGACAACTAATGCTTTCTGTCATAATCCTGTATTCAATAACTAAATATATGTATGTGTTATGTTTTGTATTTGTGATTGATATATAAACACAAACAAGTTATATATCTAGCCTGAGAAGTCAGCCACCATCACTGTATGTCATTTGATATGAGAAGAATATATATTGAAGTATATTATTTATCTGAAAAAAGGAAATGTACCATTGACTTTCTGTTCTCAGAAGGCCATAAAAGTTGACAAAAGTTGTTGCTATGCAAGAGAAGAGATGATCTGGAAAGAAAGATGTTGAGGTTTTTTTTCTTCCTCTCTTGGCAGATAGCTGGTCCTTAAGTAACCCACAGATTTTGGATTGTGTCTTCTGACCTCAATAAATGCAACTTCTGCAGGGGTTTTGTGAGAAATATATTTATTTTTTATATCATATTTCTGTATCTTCAAGCTAAAACCTAGCAGTACTTCTCGATTAAATATTTCTCAGGCTCACCTTAATATTACCTAAGTCCCATTTTAGCTCAGTTTTCTTCAAAGTTAGGTAGCTGTTAGTCAATCAAAGTGTAGTTTTTAGTTGCATACAGAGACACTTGGAATCAGATGTCTTTCAACCTGAGAAACGTCAGTTTCCCTGAGGTGTGAACTTTGTCCCAAATAGGAAGCAGGAACAGAAATGTGACCTAAAGGACCTGGTTTTGCTAAGGAGAGATTTTCCTGAAGACTCATAAGAGGCATGCCTCATATTTATGTATTGCTTTAAAGTTTCACAAAAAGATGGTTACGTATATTGTCTTACTTTTTACTTACATGTAAAGTATCACCGGAGAGAATTATTTGGTTTTGCAGCTAAGGAAATTGAAGGTCAAATGCACCAAGCTAAGAGTTGCTTAGCTGAAAGGTGGCACTGTTGGAGTTCACATTGTGTCTTCTGATACTGTGTCCAGTATTTTCTCGACAGGCTTTCACTGTATGACCCACCAATGCTTGTCAAAGTGTTTTATGTTAAAATGATTATTTTCAGTTCAACTTGTTACATGTGATATGTAAGCTTTACCCATATTAGAAAGTCAACAAAAATTGTTTAGTGTTAATTAAGAAATGGGGTCAAAGACTTTTGGGTGCTATGTAGGGAAAGTATGTTTCTTTCATGCTCAGGTGGACAATATTGAGAAGCAACTTCATTAAGAAAAGCAGCTCTGGGCCCCTGCTGCCAGACTCAAGTCAAGACTCAGGAATGTGGAGAATGAGACATTTCTGGGGGAGCTGATAATACCCTGAAAAGCCTGAAAGAATTAGCACGTGGAGTGTGAGAAAATAGTCGGTGGGATGATCAATTAATTCATTCACCTTTCTCTGTTTTAGTCTCATATCAGGCAAAAAAGGGTGAGCATTTTGGTTGCAGTGATTTGTTTTCTTGTAAAATCTTCTGAAGTTTTACACTGTTTAAAATGTGTTTAAATTTTAGGATGGTATTTAATATTGACTTTGATGGAATTAGCCAACATTCTGTAGCATTGTTTTACATAATTTTAGTGGATTTCTAACTCATGAAAATAATTGGTAACTTTAATTTTCAATGATTTTCTTTAAATTCATAGATTCAATCATAAAGTATAATTAATCAAATAAGCAATATTTTGTTAATAGGTAATTGTCTTTTGTGAGCACAAAAGTATGTCTTATGGCACATTCCTACATACTGGCATTACACGAAGAGAAATAAACCAGGCACAGAAAGACAAGTACTACATGATTTCACTTATATATGGAGTCTTAAAAAGTTGACAG
Organism: Homo sapiens; assembly: GCF_000001405.40. Classification (NCBI taxonomy): domain Eukaryota; kingdom Metazoa; phylum Chordata; class Mammalia; order Primates; family Hominidae; genus Homo; species Homo sapiens. The sequence goes on from NC_000006.12 coordinate 76,248,279, forward strand.
AGAAGCAGAGAGTAAAACGGTGGTAACCAGCGGCTGGGGGTGGGTTAGGGTTGGGGCGATGTTAGTCAAAGGATACAATCAGTGAGATAGGAGGAATAAGTTCAAGAGATCTATTATACAATATAGAGACCATAGTTGTTATAATAATAACATCATACTCTTGAAAATTGCTAAGAGTAGATTTTAAGCCTCCTTATCACATGCCATTCCACAATGTATACATGTTTCAAAACATCATGTTGTACCCAAATATATACACTTTTTGTTTGTCAATTGACATAAATAAATATAAAAGATTTTATTTTTCATTAGAAAACTAGAAAAATAGGATGGATTTCACATTAGTTACATGACATGGTTGAATTATTACCCTTTCAACTACACAAAGCCAGAGCACATGGCTTTGCATTTGACTGAATGAGGAAAGCCAGTCCTTTCACAGATAAAGAATACTTAAATAATGTGATGGAAGATCTTTTATTGAAAGCCATTTTTCATTCTTCAAAAAGTGAAACTTGGTGACAGTTTTTGGGTGGTGCTTGTATTTGAACTCAGCTAAGATGAAATATCTGATTACTAATCAAAAGCCAAACAACTACGTTATTGATAGTAAACCTAAAATGCACTGAGTTCCCTCAAAAGCAGAAACTGATTCAAGAAGGCTGGGGCTTTTTTATGAGGTTGTTAAACAGTGTGGCATCTAAATACAGGTCAGTTAATGAAATAAAGAAATTGAATGTCTGAATAAAAAGTTTAGACTTTATTTTGTAATGGGAAGTTATTGAAGGCTTTCAAGGGATGTTTTAGAAGATCCTGGCTTTGTATAAAACAGAATGTAGACGGAGAAAAATAGAAGCAGGGAGGCAATTTGGAGACTGCAGCAATGGCACATGAGGATGGGAAATCAGGAGGCCCTAAAGTAAAGTAAGATAGTGGTGATAAGAATAAAGCAAGAGGAAATGGATGTGATAGTTCTTATGAAGGCAGAATGAATATTGATTACATGTTGGCAAACCAGGGAAAGTGAAGTGTTAAGTGTGTGAAAATGTTTTCACTGTAGGGACTCGGGGATGGTGTCCCCTTGAAAGAAGAAATATATTGAGTTCAGTTAAAATTGTGGGGCTGACCTTGAGAGATAAGTAAGAGCTGTAAATAGATATATAGAACTTGTCAACATCAAGGGAGTATTTGAAGTCGTGGGTCTAGATGAGACTGACGAAGGAGAAAGCATTGAAAGAAGAGAAGAAATCTATAGACTGTATATTTAGATTGGTGCCAGGAGACACAGAAGACGGGTGGGGATGGGAGCAGAAGAGCCTCTAGTGAACCAGAAGTAAGAGTTTTGATACAAGAAAACTGTTGACACAGTTGAAGGCTGTATAAAAAGGTGAAATGAGCAAAAGGCAATGAACATATTTGATGGCTAGAAGATCATTGCTGGCCTTGTCAGAGTAGTTTTCGCGGAGTAGATAAGAATACATGTTGGATTTTAGTAAAAGGAGAAAAATGTATAGGAAGTTAACAGTGTATATTCTTTTTGGCAGAGAAAAGAAGACAATAAGATTATAGTTTATGAGAAAAATAGTTAAGAAATGAAAGGAAAGGTTATTGCTTAAGAAGAATGAATATGCACATGTTTATAAGCTAAGGGCAAATGTCCAATGAGGGGAGAAGAGATCATTCATGAGCAAGATCCCAGAGAAGGTGGGGAAAGGTTACATCTAGGGCATATTTGGAAATATTATCTTTTTTTTCCTCTAAAATATAAGACAATACAGAAGATTTGGTTCAGATAGGGGAATGTTGGCTTGTTCTTGCCTGATGATCTAAAACTTCACAATAAAATACGCACTACATGGCAGATGGATTTTATTTTTTCTGATTTTACTCTTAATATTCTTCAATAATGTGAGGTAAAATGTTATTAATAGACTAAATTAATAGATCATTTAATTACATGGTTTAATATTAGTTGTTATTAAGTAGATGTCCCTAAATTTTAATAAGTGTATGCATTTTTTAAAAGTCATACATCAGAACATGACTAGTAGTATAAAATAAAATGAAGGTAGATCAACTTTACTCATTTATTGGTAAGATTTTGGGCTAATAAATTTGAGTAATGAGTTGTGATTATTATTAAAACACACTTAAGTTAGGATGTTTTCTTGGTTCCCCAGCCTGTCCTCATTTGCTTGAACTGCCCTCACCACTGACTCTTTGACATTTCCCCTTAAATATCTCAAAAGCCCCTCAAAATCAACCCATCCTTTGCTAAACTCACCATATGCCCTCTGTGGATAACAGCCTCCAAGCTGGCCTTGAATAATTTTTATTTCTTGGTGTTCACCCACTTGTGTATCTTCTCCCCACCACACATATTATACTGGGGTTGGTCACATAATACCATATGACAGAGGTAATGGTATGCCACTCCTAATATTAGTTTAAATGTTCTGCAGCTTCCATCTTGAATATTTTCTCTTGCTCGTGTTCTCTCTTTTGGACTTCTTGTCTGAGGGTAAGCAAACTGCTGTGTCATGAGCAGTCCTAGGGAGGAGCATATGTTGCAAGAAACTGAAGCCCCAAGTCAATAGCTAATGTGGAAGTGAGACCTGCCAAAAATCACATTAGTGAGCTTGGAAATGTATTCTTCAGTTACAATAGAACCTTGAGATAACTGCAGCACTGGGTGGCAGTTTGGTTGCAACCTTGTAAGGGACACTTGACCAAAACCATGCAGCTAATCTGCTCCCATATTTCTAACCCTCAGAAAATCTGTGAGATGATAACTGTATGCTTATTGTTTTAAGCTGCTAAATTTTGGAGTAATTTGATATTGAAGCAATAGAGAACTAATACACCTCTGTTCCAGTTTTTTCTCAGATTTCTAATCTCAGTGAAATTGCACCAATATCTGCCCATTCCCACAAGCCAAGATCCTAAGAGTCATCCAGGATACCACTTTCTCCTTCGATCTCTAAGTCAATTATAGTTATACATTGGTATCCATGGTGGATTGATTCCAGGAGCTCCCTTAGATACCAAAATCTGCAGATGTGCAAGTTCCTGATATAAATGGAATAGTGTTTGCATATAACCTATGCATATCCTCCTGTATACTTTTAATCAACTCTAGATTGCTTATAATACCTAATATGAGTTAAATACTATGTAAGTAGTTATACTGTGTTATTTAGGAAATAATTACAAGAAAAAGTCTGTACATGTTCAGTACAGACATAATTTTTTAAAAATATTTTTAATCGGCTGGGCATGGTGGTTCACAGCTATAATCCCAGCACTTTGGGAGGCCGAGGCAGGAGGATCACGTGAGGTCAGGAGTTTGAGACCAGCCTGGCTAACATGGTGAAGCCCTGTCTTTACAAAAAAAAATAGCCAGATGTGGTGCCCTCCTGTAGTTCCAGCTACTCAGGAGGCTGATGTGGGAGAATCGCTTGAACCCGGGAGGTGGCGGTTGCAGTGGGCCAAGATTGTACCACTGCACTCCAGCCTGGGTGACAGAGCAAGACCCCATCTCAAGATTTGCCTAGGGTTAGTGATAGGAACTGTGAAAAAGAAAGCAGGGTGAGATAGAAAGTAGTACTGGTAGGGTCTCATTTACGCAGGAGGGCCAGGGACAACATCTACGGCAAAGTGTCACATGAAGAGAAGCTGAAGGCATTCTGAAGAAATTCATGACATCCACGTGGATGTTACAGAGAAGAGAGGTACAGACAGTGGGCATCACAAGTGCCACGACCATGAGGTAGAAGCATGCTTGATGTGTTCGAGGAACAGCAAGGAGGTCATTGTTGCTGGGGCAGCAGGAGTGAGGAGGAGTGTAGGAGGGAATGATATTTGAGAGATACTGGATGACCTTATAGAAAAGATTTTTGGATTTTACTCTACATTAGTTGGGAGGCCATTGAAATGTCTTGATTACAGGAACGACAAAATCTGGTATAGGTTTCAACAGGATCAGGATGGATACGGTGTGGAACACAGTGTGAGGGAGAACTGGGAGTGCAAGAGAGAGCAGGAAAAAATGATGGTGATGTAGACTAGAGTGATGGAATTAGATGTGGTCTGACGTGGCCAAATTTTAGATATGCTTTGAAGGCAGCATGGACAATTAGCTGATAGATTTGATGTAGGTGTGATAGAAAGTGAGGAATCAAAGGTGTTTTCACATGATGTTGTGATGCTGTCATGGACCTGAGAGGTGGCTTGTGTCAAGTTTATTTCCCAATTCTTATGTCCCCTGACCATCACTCCTCCCTACAAACCACCATCCCATTCCTCACTTACTCCAGGTAACTCGCCAGAACTCCCGAGTGGATTCTTTAGAGCCCGTTCAAAAATGACTGTTCTGGTAATATTGGTCAGAAACTCTGACAATGTTGATTTTTGAGGTTAAGCTAGATTGACTCATATCCAAAGTTATATTAGACACTATATTCTAATATACTGTATTCTGCATAAGTGATGAGAGCTATAGTAGTTCATATATATTGAATACTTTACATAGATTTTTTTTTAACTCCTTACAGCAACGCTGTGAAGTAGCTGCTGTTATTATGATAGTTTTACAGTCAAGAAAACTGAGTTTGAAAAGTTAAAGTAGTTAGTTTTCACTCACACAGTAACTATGTGGTGGGAACAGAGATTATATATAATTGTGCCTTATTCCAAAAGCGCTCTCTGGTAGAACTACATTCCAATGACCTATCCTTTATAAATTAAATCAGTTTGTCGAGAGTTATCTCATATTAATTGCAATATGATTCACAATAGCAAAGATGTGAAATCAAAGATGTGAAATCATCATTGGATGAAAGGATTAAAAATTTTACACACACACACACACACACACACACACACACACACAATATCGCTCAGCCTTAAAAACATGCTACTAATCGGCTTTAAGAAAAGAAGAAAATTCTGTCATTTCTGACACCATGGAAGAACTTCAACATTACGTTAGGTGAACTAATTCAGGTACAGAAGAATACTACAGTATCTCACTTATATATGGAATGTAAAAATGTTGAACTCAAAAGTAGAGAATGGAATGGTGGTTACCAGGCCTTGAGAGAGAGGGGTAAAGGTTGGTCAAAAGATGCAAAATTTCAGTTAAGAGGAAGGAGTACAAGAGATTTATTGTACATCATGGTGACTATAATTGATAACAATGTGCTTTTTTCTTGACAATTGCTAAGAGTAGAATTTGTTTATGGGCACCAAGCTTGATTCCAAGTCTTTGCTATTGTGAATAGTGCTGCCATGAACATGCAAATGCGTGTGTCTTTTTGGTAGAATGATTTGTTTTCTTTTGGATATATACCCACTAATGGGATTGCTGGGTCAAATGGTAGTTCTAAGTTCTTTGAGAAATCTACAAACTGCTTTCTGTGGTGGCCAAACTAATTTACACTCCCATTAACTGTGTCTAAGTGTTCCCTTTTCTCCATGTCCTCACCAGCATCTGTTGTTTTTTTGACTTTTTAATAATAGCCATTCTGACTGGTGTAAGGAGGTATGCCATTGTGGTTTGATTTGCATTTCTCTGATTAGTAAAATGAAGCATTTTTTGTATGTTTGTCAGCCATGTATATGTCTTCTTTTGAGAAATATCTGTTCATTTATTTTGCCCACTTTTAAATGAGGTTATTTGGTTTTGCTTGTTCAATTGTTTAAATTCTTTATCGATGCTGTATATTAGACCTTTGTTGAATGTGTAGTTTTGAGAATATTTTCTCTCCTTCTGTAGGTTGTCTGTTTACTCTTTTGATAGTTTATTTTGCTGTGCAGAAACTCTTTAGTTTAATTGGGCCTCATTTGTCAATTTTTGCTTTCGTTGTACTTGCTTTTGGTGACATTGTCACAAATTCTTTCCTAAGGTCAATGTTCAAAATGGTGTTTCCTAGGTCTTCTTCTAAAAGTCTTATAGTTTGAGGGTTTACATTTAAATCTTTAATCTATCTTAAGTTAATATTTGTATATGGTGAGAGAAAGGGGTCCAGTTTAATTCTTTTGCATATGACTAGCCAGCTATCCCAGCACTATTTATTAAATAGGGAGTACTTTCCTCATTGCTTATTTTTGTCGACTTTGTTCAAGATCAGATGGCTGTAGGTGTGTGGCTTTATTTCTGGGGTCTCATTCTGTCCCATTGGTCTATGTGTTATATCAGTATCATGCTGTTTTGGTTACTGTTGCCTTATAGCATAGTTTTTATTTTATTATTTTATTTTATTTTATTTTACTTTAAATTCCGGGATACATGTGCAGAATGTGCAGGTTTGTTACATAGGTATATGTGTGCCATGGTGTTTTGCTGTGCCTATTGACCTGTCCTCTTAAGTTTCCTTCCCTTGCCCTCCACCCCACAAGAGGCCCTGGTGTGTGTTGTTCCCCTCCATGTGTCCATGCGTTCTCATGCCTCAACTCCCACATATGAGTGAGAACATGAGGTGTTTGGTTTTCTGTTCCTGTGTTAGTTTGCTGTGGATGATGGCTTCCATCTGCATCCATGTCCCTGCAAAGGACATAATCTCATTCTTTTTTATGGCTGCAGCCTTATAGTATAGTTTGAGTCAGGTATTGTGATGCCTCTGACTTTGTTCTTTATGTTTAGAACTGCTTTGTCTATTGGGGCTTTTTATTGGTTCCATTTGAATTTTAGAATAGTATTTTTCTAATTCTGTGAAGAATGGCATTGGTAGTTTGATAGGCATAGTGTTCAATCTGCAGATTGCTTTGAGCAGTATGGCCACTTAATGATATTAATCTAATCCATGAACATGGAATGTTTTTCCCTTTGTTTGTATCATCTCTGAATTCTTTCAGCAGTGTTTTATAGTTATCCTTGTAGTGACCTTTCACCTCCTTGGTGAGATGTCTTCCTAGATATTTTATTTTTTTGTGTGTGGCTATTGTAAATGGGAATGCATTCTTGATTTGGCTCTCGTCTTCAACACTGTTGTTGAACAGAAATGCTACTAATTTTTCTACATTGATTTTTGTACACTGAAACTTTACTGAAGTTGTTTATGAGTTTCAGGAGCCTTTTTGGTATAATCGTTAGACTTTTCTAGGTATAGAATCATATCATTGATGAAGAGAGATATTATGACTTATTATTTTACTATTTGGATGCCTTTTATTTCTTTCTCTTGACTGATTGCTCTGGTTAGTACTTCCACTACTATGTTGAATAGAAGTGGAGAGAGTGTTCATCTTTGTCTTGTTCCAGTTCTCAAGCTTTTGACCGTTTAGTATGATGTCGGCTGTGGGTTTGTCATAGATGGCTCATTATTTTGAGGTATGTTCCTTCAATGCCTAATTTCTTGAGTGTTTTCATCATGAAGGGATGTTGAATTTTATTGAAATATTTTTCTGTGTCTTAGATGGATCTTATGGTTTTGTTTTTAATTCTGTTTATGTGATGAATCAAATTTATTGACACATATGTTGAACCAACTTTGCATCCCAGGAATTAAGTCTACATGATCATTATGAATTAACTCTTTCATGTGCTGCTAGATTGAGTTTGCTAGTATTTTGTTGAGGATTTTTCTGTCAATGTTCATCAGGGGTATTGGCCTGTCATTTTCTTTTTTGTTCTGTTTTTGCTCAGTTTTGGTGTTGGAGTGATGCTGGCTTCATGGAATGAGTTAGGGAGGAATCCTTCTTCCTGAATTGTTTGGAATAGTTTCATTAGAATTTGTACTAGCTCTTCTTTGTATATCTGGTAGAATTTAGCTGTGAATTCATCTGGTCCAGGGCTTTTTTTGGTTGGTAGGTTTTTTTTTAAATTGATTCATTTTTGGAACTTGATATTGGTCTGTTTAAGGTTTCACTTCTTTTTCCTGATTCAATCTTGAGAGGTTGTGTGTTTCCAGGAGTGTTTTAATTTCCTCTAGATTTTCTACTTGTGTGCATTGAGGTCTTCATCATAATATGAAGATCTTTTGTATTTCTGTGGGATCAGTTATAATGTCACCTTTGTTGTTTCTGATTGTGCTTGTTTGGATCTTCTCTTTTTTCTTTGTTTATCTAGTTAGTAGTCTGTTGATCTTGTTTATCCTTTCAAATAACCAACTTTTGGTTTCATTGATTCCTTGTATGAATTTTTGAGTCTCAATTTCTTTCAGTTCCACTCGGATTTTAGTTATTTCTTTTCTTATGCTGGCTTTGGTTGGTTGTTCTTGTTCTCCTAGTTCCTCTAGGTGTGATGTTAGTGCATTAATTTGAGATCTCTCTAACTTTTTGAGGTAGGCATTTAGTGCTATAAACTTTCCTCTTAACACTGTTTTTGCTGCATTCCAGATTTTGGTATGTTATGACTCTATTTTCATTTATTTCAAGGAATTTTTCATTTGTGCCTTCATTGTTTACCCAAAAATCATATATGAGCAAGTTGTCTAATTTCCTTGTAATTGTGTGGTTTGAGAGATCTTCTTACTATTAATTTCTGTTTCTATTCAACCAGGATCTGAAAGTATGTACGGTATGGTTTGACTTTTTAAAATTTATTGAGACTTGCTTTATGGCCAAGCATATGGTCAATCTTGGGGATATGTTCCATGTGCACATGAGAAAAGTACATTCTGTGGTTGATGGCTGGAGTATTCTGTACATGTGTATTGAGTCCAATTGGTCAAGTGTTGCATTAAGTCCAGAATTTCTTTATCAATGTTCTGCCTTGATCTTTCTAATGCTCTCAGAGGGACTGTTGAAGTCTCCCACTACTATTGTGTGGCAGTCAAAATCTTTTCATATGTCTAGAAATTCTTGTTTTATGAATATATGTGTTCTAATTTTGAGCATGTATATATTTAGGATAGTTAAGTCTTGTTGAATTGAACCCTTTATCATTATGTAATGCCCTTCTTTGTCCTTTTTTACTGTTGTTGGTTTAATGTCTATTTTATATGATAGAATAGCCATCCCTATTCTTTTTTGCTTTTTAGTTTATGTGGTAGATCTTTCTCCAATCCTTTTCTTTGAGCCTATGAATGTCATTATGTGTGAGATGGGTCTCTTGTAGACAGCAGATGGATGGGTCTTGCTTTTTTATCCAAATTGCCACTTGGTGCCTTTTAAGTGGGGTATTTATATCATTTACACTGAAGGTTCATATTGATATGTAAGGTTTTGAACCTATTGTGAAGTCGTTACCTGGTTGCTTTGTAGTTTCTATTGTGTGGTTGCTTTATAGAGTCTGTGGGATATGTACTCAAGTGTGACAAACCATAATTTAGAGAAGTAAACAACTAACTGCTGTGTACCTACTAACTGGTTTAAGAAATAAAGCTTTACTTTTTGTTAAAAGAAGATCTATAGTAATGTACTAAGAACAGACTATAACATTGCTCTATTGTCTAAATGTTTATTCCCCAAAAATCTAATTTGCATGAGAACTTATATGAGGCTCATCATGGATACTGATATGGAAATAGCTCTTCCATTCGTGAGTCACGAACATTGAGTAATGTGACATTTCCCTTTTGAACACCTATTTTCTAAATTGTTATGTTGTCTTAAACTTATGCTGGTGTAACGTACATTATGAGCTATAAAAACACCATCAATTGGGTATTTTTATAGAGAAAATGAAGTTCAGAGGTCAAAATAAGAGAAATGCCTGGGTCTTTCTATATTTCTCAGATGTTTAATTTTCTCAACTTTTAAAAAATTTTGGATTTGTGCTATTACATTATCAAAATAGTGATAGTAATTCTACTAGTCTAATAGTCCATTTGCCTTTTTTATTATAAAGTAATGTTTCACAAGTATTTTAAACTTCTTGGAAGAAAATCACTATTACTTTAATAATGATGATTGCTACTATATTTGTGGCATTATTTTTCTTTTCAGGATATGAAGAAAATGGGAAAGTAGAACTGTCTATACTATTTATCATATAAAATCAGGAAGAGATGCTGTTACTTTTCAAAAATCCATTGATAGAGTAGTTAAAAGCATTTTCTGCTTTTAAAGAAATTGAGGACTTTCATTAATAACTCTGGTCACATTTTTTTAAAGCAAACTGGCTTTTCTGTTTCAGTCCTAATATTTCTCTAATGTAATTAAATGTCAAATCCAGACAAAAGTACTTTAAAAAGTCAACTTAGACATAATGAGTTCTAATATTCTTTTTCTGGGTTTGAGTACTTGTAATTCCACGAAGTAAAAGAAGGAAGTCCAGGTGGTACAAAATTGGCCTTAGGGGTTATATTCCAATATTGCAGATTTTCACTCCTTTGATTCCTCTTCTCCAAGTTTGACATACACAGAAAAATTCCTTTTAGTTGGGTCTGAGTTGAGTTCCACTACTCATTTCTCAAAGATCTTTTCTTGATGGATTGCATTATGTAACTATTTCAAAGACCAAGGTTTGACTAGCATATTTTAGGGAAATTCATTATCTCTGTAAGTTCCAGAAGAAAAGCTGAAATACGGATCCTACATTTACACCTTTTTCTTCTTTTGATTTATCTCAGGAGAATGACACAGAAATGGAAGGGTGTTTAGTTGCACTAGCAGAAGATTTCAATGAAAGGTGAATATATGCAAAACATGAGGACTTTTTGTGCATCCTTTTTGTTACACTGTTCTAGTCCATGTTCTGCAATAACAGTACCTGAGGCTGGGTAATTTATAAGAACAGAAATTTATTTCTCATTTTCTAGAGGCTTGGAAGCCTAAGATCAAATGCCAACAGGCTCAGTATCTGGTGAGGGCCTGGTTTCTGCCTCCAAAATGGTGCCTCATTGCTGCATCCTTCAGAGAGAACAATGTGTCCTCATATGGCAGAAGAGCAGAAGAGCAAAAGGGCCTATGCTAGTTATCTCTGCCCCTTATAAAGGTCACACCTCTTAATACCATCACATTGGTGATAAAGTTTCAAAACTTGAATTTTGGGAGACATTTAAACCATAGAATATATTTATGCCATAAAATTTAGATTTGGAAGAAATGACTCTCTGTAACTCAAAAAGGACTGTAGAGTCTTAAGGAGTATGTATTGTTGTGTACATCTATATAGCTCACACTTATGTAACACTATGTGCCAGGCACTATTCTAATGGCTTACATATATTGCCTTATTTAATCCCCATGCTAACCTTATAAGGCAAATACTGTTGTTATCCCCAGGGCAGAAGACTGAAGTCAGGACCTGCTTAATGCACCAGTAACCTGTGCAACTTTAGGACGTCTGAGAGGCACTGCATTTGGTTTAATGCTCGCTGTCACTTTCTTGAAATTTTTAATAATTTTGAACAAGAAGCTCTGAATTTTCATTTTGTAGTAGGCTCTGCAAATTATGTAGCTGATGGAGGAACTGAGAGATTAATTTTCCCCGTGGTCACATAGCAAGTGGTCTGATTCCAGACTTCATGTCCTTAACCATACACTATATAGGTGATTAAGAATGATGATTTATATTCCATGACCATCTACTGAAGGTCAACTAAATATCTTCTCACTGAACCCACGCAGTGTGACTTTATGGCAAATAGTTATTATTTCCATTAAACAGATGAAGAAACTGATAGAGCAGGAAGTTAACCGACTCAAGGAAGGCCAAACCTCCAGTTCAGTACTAACACAAGAAATATTTCTTATCAGACTCTCAGTTTTCACGGAAAACCCTATTAAGCCTGAATGCTGTTGTATGAAATTAGCAGAATAAGTTAAGAGAGACACAGTAGAAAATATCTTTTGCTTTGGTCAGTTAAACTTTTTATAGTAGATTTCTTTGCTTTTATTCTTATTTTTATTCATTTAGTTATTTTTGTGTGTATTGAGTGATCAGAATTAGATTGATTTTGTAATGCAGACTTTTAAATTCTGAGAAAGCCATTTTGTGCTATTATAAGATCCTGTATTAAAGCATTGAGCACTTTAAAAGCATGAACTTTATTTTTTAACTTTTATTTTAGGTTCAGGGTTACATGTACAGGTTTGTTATATAGATAAACTGCACGTCACAGGGGTTTGGTGTACAGAAAATTTCATCACTCACGTAATAAGCATAGTACCCAATAGGTATTTTGTTTATCTTCTCCCTCCTCCTATACTCCACCCTCAAGTAGGCCCCAGTGTCTGTTGATCCCCTCCTAGTATTTGTGTGTTCTCATTGCTTAACTCCCACTTATAAGTAAGAACACGTGATATTTGGTTTTCTGTGGTTCCTGTGGTAGTTCCTGTGGTAGTTTGCTTAGGATGATGGCCTCCACCTCCATTCGTGTTGCCGTAAAGGACATGATCTCATTCTTTCTTATGGCTGCATACTATTCCATGGTGAATATGTACCACATTTTCTATATCCAGTCTTCCATTGACAGGCATTTAGGTAGATTTCATGTTTTTGCTATTAAAAAGTGTAAACTTCTTAATAAGAAACTTTTTGCACCCTCTGAAGCAATGGCCTGAGTTGTACCTTGGCCCCTTTTAGCCACGACTGGACCTGAAGCAGCTGGGATGCAGGGTGCCATGTTCTGAGGCTGCACAGTGTTATGTAAGTGTGAGCTATGTAGATGTACACAACAATACATACTCCATAAGACTCCACAGTTCTTTTTGAGTTATAAAGAGTCATTTCTTCCAAATCTAAATTTTATGACATAAATATATTCTATGGTCTACATGTCCCCCAAATTCAAGTTTTGAAACTTAAACACCAATGTGATGGTATTAAGAGGTGTGACCTTTAAAAGGGGCGGAGATAACTAGCATAGGCCCTTTTGCTCTTCTGCCCTTCTGCCATATGAGGACACAGTGTTTGTCCTCTCTGAAGGATGCAGCAATGATGTATCATCTTCTGCTTTATTTAAATGGTACCATGAGCAGCATTATCAAAAGTCTACAGGTTACTTGGGTCTCACTGAGTAGTTGGAACTGCAACATGGACTCACCCATGGGTGGTGGACAACCTGTGTTTTTTAAGCCCAATAGCACTTACAAAAATGACTAGTGTCTTGAAAATTGAGTAATTGTATTTCTGGGATACAGTAGTTAAATTTTTCCCCATGACTCAGACTGTATGAGGCAATTTTTAAATTCTTAACAAAACAGCCAATTTTGCCATATTATACACTACATTAGGATTGCTAAATATAATTCAATTCAACAGACATTTATGTTTCTTCATGTAAGATATGGTTTGGCTCTGCATCCCCACTCAGATCTCATCTCTAATTGTAGTCCCCATAATCCCCACATGTCGAGGGAGGAACCCAGTGGGAGGTGACTGGATCATGGGGCAATTTCCCCCATGATGTTCTCATGATAGTGAGTTCTCATGAGCTCTGATTGTTTTATAAAGAGCTCTTCCCCCTCCACTCCTCACTCTTCTCCCTCCTGCCACCTTGTGAAGAAGGTGTCTGCTTTCCTTTTGCCTTCTGCCATGATTGTAAGTTTCCTGAGGCCTCCCCAGACATGTGGAATGGTGAGTCAATTAAACCTCCTTTGTTTATAAATTATCCAGTCATGGGTATTTCTTTATAGCAGTGCAAAAACAGAAAAATACAGTAAATTGGTACCACAGAGAGTGGGGTACTGCTATAAAGATATCTAAAAATGTAGAAGTGACTTTGGAACTGGGTAATGGGCAGAAGTTGGAACAATTTGGAAAGCTCAGAAATAAACAGGAAATGTGGGAAAGTTTGAACTTCCTAGAGACTTGTGGAATGGCTATGACCAAAATGCTGATAGTGATATGGACAATAAAGTCCAGGCTGAGGTAGTCTCAGATGGAAATGAGGAACTTGTTGGGAACTGGAGCAAAGATCACTCTTGCTATGCTTTAGCAAAGATATTGGTGGCATTTTGTCCCTGCCCTAGAGATCTGTGGAACTTTGAACTTGAGAGAGATGATCTGAAATTGGAACTTATGTTTAAAAGGGAAGCAGAGCATAAAAGTTTTTGAAAATTTGCAGCCTGATGATGTGATAGAAAAGAAAAACCCATTTTCTGGGGAGAAATTCAAGCCTGCTGCAAAAATTTGCATAATTAATGAGGAGCCAAATGTTAATCACCAAGACAGTGGGGAAAAGGTGTCCAGGCATTTCGGAGATCTTGGTGGCAGCCCTTCCCATCATAGGCCCAGAGGCCTAGGAGGAACAAACGGTTTTGTGGGTTGGGCCCAGGGTCCTGCTGCTGTGTGCAACCTCAGAACATGGCACCCTGCATCCCAGCTGTTTCAGGTCCATTCATGGCTACAAGGGGCCAAGGTACAGCTCAGGCCATTGCTTCAGAGGGTGCAAGCCCCAAGCCTTGGTGGCTTCCATGTGATGTTGGGCTTGTGGGTGTACAGAGTCAAGAATTGAGGTTTGGGAACCTCTGCCTAGATTTAAGAGGATATATGGAAATGTCTAGACATCCAGGCAGAAGTTTGCTGCAGGGATGGAGCCCTCATGGAGAACCTCTGTTAGGACAGTGTGGAAGGGAAATTTGGAGTTGGGGCCCCCACACAGAGTCCCCACTGGGACACTGCCTAGTGGATCTGTGAGAAGAAGGTCACCATCCTTCAGACCCCAGAATGGTAAATCCACTTTCAGCTTGCACTATGTGCCTGGAAAAGCTATAGGCACTCAATGCCAGCATGTGAAGGAGCTTCCCAAGGCCATGGGAGCTCACCCCTTGCATCAGCATGCCCTGGGTGTGAGACATGGAGTCAAAGGAGATCATTTTGGAGCTTTAAGATTTAATAATTGCCCAACTAGATTGCAGATTTGCATGGGGCTTGTGGCCTCTTTATTTTCACCAATTTCTGTCATTTGGAATGGGTGTATTTACCCGTTGCCTGTACCCAAATTGTATCTTGGAAGGAACTAACTTGTCTTTGACTTTTTCCATAGGTGGAAGGGACTTGCCTTGTCTCAGATGAGGCTTTGGACTGTGGACATTTGAGTTAATGCTGAAATGAGTTAAGACTTTGGGGGACTTTTGAGAAGGCATGATTGGTTTTGAAATGTCAAAAAGATGTGAGATTTGGGAGGGGCAAGGAGTGAAAGGATATGATGTGGCTCTGTGTTTCCACTCACATCTCATCCTGAATTATAATCCCCATAATCCCACCTGTTGAGGGAGGAGCCCAGTGAGAGGTGATTGGATCATGTGGGCAGTTCCCCCATTCTGTACTTGTGATAGTGAGTTCCTATGAGATTTGATGGTTTTATAAGGGGCTTTTTCTGCTTTGCTCCTCACTCTTCTCCCTCCTGCTGCCATGTGAAGAAGGCGCTTGCTTCCCCTTTGCTTTATACCATGATTGTAAGTTTCCTGAGGCTTCCCCAGCCATGTGGAACTGTTGAGTCAGTTCAACCTCTTTCGTTTATAAATTACCCAGTTTGGGGTATTTCTTTATAGCCGTGCAAAAACTGACTAATACACTGTGGTAGGCCTTATGCCAGCAGTTACAGACTCAGATGAATTTGACATAGTCCCTAATTTTTTAAGGAGTTCACTGGAAGACCAACAAGTAAGCAAAGAGGAAGGGGTGACCTAATAAGGGATCATGGAGACTTCTAGGAAGAACAGAAGAGTGTTCTGAATGTGGACATTTGACATTTGGGGAAAAGGAGAGGGCTGCATCACCTAGGCACAGAAAAAGTGTGGGCCAAGGCATAGAGATGGAAAATAGTAAAAGCGCTTGCTGCTGAACTATGTCTTGTTAGGTGGGTGTGGCAAGAGTGGAGCTGGAAGATTACATAGCCTAGGGTTCAGGTTTCATGTGTAGGTGATGATGGGGACAGCAGGATTTAAATCATGAAACATAAATGTGTAACTAAGTTGGAAATATTTCTCATATGAACATACTGTTAAGTATGTTACCATTTGTCTGAACTCATGAATAATATGGAAAGCACACGAACAAAAAACAAATACAGCCACATACTCAGAATCTTTCATCTACATGCGAAGTGCACAGAGCCATAATACAAAGTCTTTTTCAAAAAACTTTTAACTTTAATCTATTAGAATACATACCGGGAAAATAATTACTGAATAAAACAAAATGAAAAAATACTAGAAATTATTCTCTCATGGGATCATATTTACTTGACTTTAGAAAATTTAGTAGTGTGTTCTCCATGAACAAAACAAACTTTTATCTAGGAAAACAAACTTTTCCTAAATAATCGTATTCAATGCAATATCTTTATATATTCTCTGTATGTGCCAGAACTCCCAAATTCACATTCTGATTCAGAGTTCACTACTGAGTTAGAGATTTGAATATCAAACATCTCTTAGGATGGCTCTCAGGCACTATGAAGAACACATCCAAAAGAATCCTTAATTATCCTCTCCTGAAACTCTTCCTCCCCCACTCTACCCACTTAGGAGCATGTCAGCCTCTGGCAGCCTTGCAGTTGCTCATGCCAGTGAGTCATCCTTGACACTTCTTCCTCACTCCCTACGTCCAATGTATTACCAGTTCCTTTCACTTTATACTTAGTATCTATCCATATTTCTTATTTCTGTTGCTGTCACTTCTGACCAAGCCACCATCATTTCTTACCTGGACTATTGCAGTAGCTTTTATAACAGTCTGTCTGCCCATTTTCTTGCAATTCTTCTACATATTGTAGCCAGAGTAACCTTATCTCATGTCTGTCCCCCCAGCTCACCAAGATAGCCACACTACCCTCATTACAGTTCCAGGAATGTGCCAGACCCTGTCCTGCCTTGGGCCCTTGGGCCCTGGTACAGACTGAGCTCCCTCCCCAATGAATACATTTCTGCAGAGACTACCTAATTCCTACTCATCTTTTAGAATTCTGGAAGATATAACTTTAGAGAAGTCCTTCCTCACACTTCAATCTAAAATAGATCCCCTTGGTATTCTTTCTGTAGGAATCTTGTGAGTTTCAATTATGGTTTGTTTAATGTCTACTCCTCCTGACAGACTATAAACTTCATGAAGGCTAGGTCTTACCTCTTGTTCACCTCCATTCCTAGGGCTTAGCACAATGCTTGATGCACAGAAATAATAAATATTTAATAAGTAAAATAGGGTTTTAACGTTGTCGCCTTGTGTACTTTGTGTGCATTGTGCTTGAAGCTTGCCTTTGGTGGACTGCCTGCACATCTTCACCTTCCTTTAGATGTCTTTTGCCTTTTTTCCCATTCTGGTACTCCTGCCACAGTGTTTCTTCCTTAGAACTCCTCATTTCTGATGAACTGCTCACTACTCAGGGCCTGAGGTAGTTTCCACTAAATACTACCCACAAATGGTGAGGGGAGGTTGGTGAAGGGTGTATGGGAGTGTGGAAAGGGAGCTCCAGGAACATGCACCAGATGTATGCCACACACATGGAATTGCTTTGAATTTCTTAAAGGTATATGTGCATCCTACTTTATAATTATTTTATATGTTTTACTATAAAAAGTTGATGTTTGCTGTCACTTTTGTGACTTGCACAAAATCGCTGACTTAGGTGTCTTTATGAATTTTCATTGTTTTTATTCTTTTAAAAAAATTTCAACTTTTATTTTAGATACTGGGGGCAGATGTGCAGGTTTGTTACATGGGTATATTGTACCCAGGTAGTAAGCACTCAATAGGTAGTTTTTCAACCCAGGACTGCCTCTCTCTCTCCCACCTCTGGTGGTCCACAGTGTCTGTTGTTCCCATGTTTATGTCTATATGTGCTCAATGTTCAGCTCCCACTTATAAGTGAGAACACATGGTATTTGGTTTTCTGTTCCTGTGTTAATTCATTTAGGATTATGGCCTCCAGCTCTATCCACATTGCTGTAAAGGACATGATTTCATTCCTTTTTAAACAATTTTGGCATTTTTAAATTTTAGTTAGTCTGCTGTGTCTGAGCCAGCTGAGTTTTCTAAAGTTTCCTCCTCTCTAATAGTGGAGACCTCCTAATAACTATAAGATATTTATGTCTTGCCCCCTACTTTTCTGATATTCTTGCTCTGATTTACTACTTTTTGTTTTTTAATCCCACCTCCACCTTACTTCTCCTTCCAGTAATTCTCAGTGGACTGCTGTTTATATATTCTGAAAAAATTCTTTATCATGCTGGACTGTCCTGTAATAGATATCCTCACGTTCCTCCACAGTGTAGAAAGTTTAGCCTTTCTACAATGGACTCCACCTACAGACTGTCCATAGCACCCACAGTTATTAACAAGCCAACCTCTCATCATATTTCCAAATACCCATATGTGGGTGGTTCCTCTGTTAGTTGAGAGCCACTTTTCAGATTGTCTATCTACCCTTTACACAAAATCCAGAACCTTCTATTTGATAATATATTTAGAGGTAAATAATTATTTCATTCATTAAAGATTCAGACAACTATTAAATGCCTGCTCTATGCTAGGCACTATCCTAGGCAATGAAGATGCAGCAGTGAACAGACTCATCCCTAACGTTTATTGGGTGTGTTTCTACCAACTAACTTTTTTGGCTTGTTTCTGAAAAGAACAAGGTTGTTGTCATCCATTGTGTCATTAAATTATCTTCATTATGTCCTGATGATTTCTTATTAGAAAGTTTTAAGGACATTTGCACTTACTGAGAATAGAAAAAAATTGACCAAAACAGTAACAAAAATAATTTTTAACACCCCTTTGAATCTAAGTGATCAGTGCCTAATAGATAAAGCATTAGAAAAATATTAATATTTTATACATAGTGTACATTTTAAAAAGGAATTTTAATGTTGAATAATGTAATTTCTATAAGAATTTCTGCTGCAATTTTCCTCCTTTTTGGCATATGTAGCTCATTTTAGCAGCAGTGACTTTATTTGCTGTATGTAATTACTTAATTTTACTGGGTTTACTCACATTGTTATGCCATTGTAACAAATTTATGTATTCATTCATGTGTAGCTGCACAATATTTAAAGAAGCTGCCAAATGCTATCAGAAGCAACACAGACCCCAGGCCTAACAAATGAAGCAGCCTGGTAAGATAGAGGGGCTGCTGGCAGATGTGATACTGCTCTGTGGGAGAACAATTGGCATGGATGTTTGCAGATAAAGCAAATAAAGCAAAGTGACATGTGCCTGGTATCAGTGGTTAATAAAAACAGGTACTGTATGCTCTATCTGCTAACATTACTTGCAGATTTCAAAACTTGTAGTGACTAGAAAATATACTTTTATATCACTTTCTATGGGTCAAACACTGTTACAAATATTTTATATATGTTATTTGTTAAATTTTTACAACAAAGATGTGAGATAGATCCTTCATTATCATCACCTCTGTTTCCCAAATGAGGATAGTGAGGTACTTGGAGATTAAGTGACAGGCAGCATCAGAGATGGGCTCCAAACCCAGACAGTGAGCTCTAAGATAGGTAATATGGTTTAGTTTTGCATCTTGTAGCTTCCATAATCCCCACATGTGGTGGGAGATAATTGAATCATGGGGGTGGGCTTTTCCCATGCTGGTCTCATGATAGTGAATAAATTTCACGAGATCTGATGCTTTTAAAAATGGGAGTTTCCCTACACAAGCTCTCTCTCTTTGCCTGCTGCCATCCATGTAAGATGTGACTTGCTCCTCCTTGCCTTTCACCATAATTGTGAGGCTTCCCCAGGCATGTGGAACTGTAAGTCCATTACACCACTTTCTTTTGTAAATTGCCTCATCTTGGATATGTCTGTATCAGCAGCATGAAAATGGACTAACACAGTAGGTAGTTAACTCCTACACAGTAACAACTCTGCTAGGGCCAACAATATTGAGAGTTAAGTCGCATGACCCTGTTGTTGGGCTTGATAAAGCTATGTGCCCTCCAATTATTATAATTGAAATTTAATTTTAAGTAACTTATTTTAAATTTAACTCCTGATTTGTATGTAGGGGGGAGAATTTCTCAATGTTAATACAATTAAACGTTTTACTCCTTTTTAAAAAAAGGCATTGTTTTGTAGAAAAACTTCTGTACAGTGATATAATAATGAGATTTTATTTCTCTTAATTTTACCTTCCCAGAAATAGGCAGCTGAAGTGAAAGCACAATTAGTTTCAAAAGGAAATTATTAAATCCAGAATAGGTTATCATCTATCAACTAATACCTGTGTAAAGACTGCCAAAATATAACTATCTAAATTTTTTTTCTTCTCCTATACTTTGTCATGTTTTATTTCTACTCTTGAATTTGAGAGAATGTTTTACAAGTCTTACTCCTTTTGTAGTTTCACTTACTTTTTTGCCAAACTTGACAGTTATCTCTAGAGACCTCAACCACAGAATCCATGATAAAGACATGGCTGAATGGTTCCTCACTGACTTGCCTCATCCAATAAAATGTTTTGTTTCTGAGACAATTGGGTCAGTATGAAATACCTGGGAATACAATACGTCTATGAACGGCTCTTAAGTAGTTTATATAGTTACGCTATTTGCCAAACACAAAATATCCATTGTTAGACCTTAACTGCTGTGTTCTTTTTGTTAATTCAAAAGCAGATGTTTCTTCTTTTTTTAAACTCATCTATTTCTGCCCTTTCATTTCTAAGTTTATTCTTTCATCTGGCCACCATTGCCATTCTGATAGCTGTTTACACTGATAAGAGACCATCTGCTTGTCTTTCATGACTGAGGGAAAGAAGTAGGAAAACTACATTTCCATTCTTCAGAGAGTATTTTGTTTTGCTAATTACTTAAAAGCACTAAGGAAATGTATCCATTTGGCTTAATATTTTTGAGGACAAAAAATAAAGAGGTTAGAAAAATACAGTAGCATTTGTAACATCAAAATCTTTTAATTAAACATCTGTATTTATGAGAATAATGAAATGTTTTTTTTAGGATATCACCCCAAGTATCCTGGGACATGAGAGATTCATGGAAATGGTTCAAATAATTTCAATAATTCAGTGTTATTGAAATGTGAATTGATGTGCACATGTTTAGTCAATGTAATCAAATTTAAATAGAATAATGTACAAATGTGAAAAATCCCAGTTGTCTGCCTATCTGCTAAAAGTTGCCTTTTGTACTTTGAAGTGTGTGTGTGGGAGAGTGGTTGTACATGAGCAGCCCTCCTTCTTTGAGAACCTTCCCTCCCTGTTTCCTAGTTACATTTACATTACTTGACCCTGCATCCCTCCCTACCCTATTCCCTTGCATAGGGACATATGGTAAGGGTGGAGAGATACCTGATTTCATTCAGGTCAACCATTAGATTCTCCTATCAAAATTTCTACTCTAGAGATCAAGTCTGAAGCTGAGCACTGGGTTGTTACTAGCAGATTAAAAAAAAAGATGTTGGGGAAATATAATTAAAAATAAAATCTCCCATATCAGAAAACCTGTCCACTAAAGTACTATAGAAAAACAATTTTATTATTGAATAAGCTTTAAACCAGCATGTGATTCATATCACAGGCAATATGTTAAGAGATTACAAAGACAGAAAGAAATGTCACCCTTACATATAACCAAACTATAATCCATTCTATACATTCCATACATGTTCTCATGATAAACAGTAACTAGTCTCTAAGAGGACTTGATTGTACCATTTGTCACATAGAGTTCATTCTAAATTCACCTAGTAATTAGCGTGACCATCTGTGTTAGATAATTGGCTTTATCTAAAGGAAAAATAAGCTTCTCTTAATTTTATGCCAAGAGGTAGTTTTGCCACTTTGAGCAAGGTATCCACTGAAGTTAATTCCCACTCTTCCACAGAAACTGGGAAATAGGGGCCTATTCTTTTTGATGTTTACATTTCACAGAGATGGCTCCCAGTCCTTGAGAAATAACTTCATGGCTCATAAAACTGATTAAATGCCAATTTTAATCTTCAAAAGGATTTAAATACATTCCAGAGAGAAGAGAAAGTGCTAACAATTAATAGTTTTCTGAGGTAAATGCTCTAAGAAAAAGGAAGAGAGGGAAATCTCTTCACTTATTTTCAAGGGAGAATTAAGTCAGTCTCTCTTTTTAAAATATTTGATGGATTTTATTGTAAAAATGGAAGTTCTAGCCAGAGCATTTAGGCAAGAGAAAGAAAGAAAGGGCATTCAAATTGGAAAAAAAGTCAAATTATCTGTTTGCCAGTGATATGATCTTATATTTAGAAAACCATAAAGACTCCTCCAAAAGAGTCCTAGATTTGATAAATGAATTCAGTAAACTCTCAGATTATAAAATCAATGCATGCAAATCAGTAGCACTGCTAAAAACCAACAATGGCCAAGCTGAGAATCAAATCAAGAACTCAAACCTTTTACAATACCTACAAAAATGTAATACACTTAGGATTATCCTTAACCAAGAATGTGAAAGATCTCTATGAGGAGAACTATGAAACACTGATGAAAGAAATCAGAGATGCCCCAAACAAATGAAAAAATATTCCACATTCATGGGTTAAAAGAATCAAAATCATGAAAATTACCATCCTGCCCAAAGCAATCTATGGATTCTATATAATTCCAATCAAAATATTAATGTCATTGTTCACAGAGTTAGAAAAAACAATTATAAAATTCATATGGAACCAAAAAGGAGCCTGAATAACCATAGCAATTCTAATCAAAAAAAACAAATTTGGAGACATCACATTACTTCAAATTATACTACAAAGCTATAGTAAACAAAGTAGCATGGTACTGGTATAATAGTAGATACATACACCAATGGAACAGGATAGAGAACTCAGAAATAAAGCCAAAACTTACAGCCAACTGATCTTTGAAAAAACATACAAAAACATAAACTGGGGAAAGGATTGCCTATTCAGTAAGTGGTTCTGGGAAAATCGGATGGCCATATGTAGAAGAATGAAACAATCCATTTCTCTCTCCGTACACAAAAGCTAACTTAAGATGGATTAGAGGGTCAAATCTAAGACCCGAAACTGTAAAAATTCTGGAAGAAAACCCACAGAATATGGGTTTTTAAAGTGGATTATTAGACTTTTTTTTACAGAGTTTTTTGAGCTCCTTATATAATCTGGTTATTAATCCCTTGTCAGATGGATAGTTTGCAAATATTTTCTCCTATTCTGTGGGTTGTCTCTTCACTTTGTTGATGGCATCCTTTGCTGTGGACAAGAATTTTCATTTGATGTGGTTGTTTGCCTCTTCTTGTTGCTTGTGCTTGTATTACTCAAGAGATTTTTGCTCAGACCCATGTTTTGGAGAATTTCTCCAGTATTTTCTTCTGGTAGTTAATAGTTTGAGGTCTTAGATTTAAGTATTTAATCCATTTTGATTTTTGTATATGGTGAGAAATAGGGGTCTAGTTTTATTCTTCTACATATGTATATCCAGTTTTTCCAGCACCATTTATTGAGACTATCTTTTCTCTAGTGTATGTTCTTTGTACCTTGTCAAAAATGAGTTCACTGTAGGTGTGCGGATTTGTTTCTGGGTTGTCTATTCTGTTCCATTGGTCTATGTCACTGTTTTTATGCCAGTACCACGCTGTTTTGGTTTTGATAGCTCTGTAGTATAATTCGAAGTTAGGTAATGTTATTTCTCTAATTTTGTTCTTTTAGCTCAGGATAGCTGTGGCTATTCTAGGTCTTTTGTGGTTCCATATAAATTTTAGAGTGTTTTTTTCTGTTTTGGAAAGAATGTCATCTCAGTGAGTTGTGTTGGTATTTTGATAGTGATTGCATTGAATCTCTAGATTGTTTGGGGTAGTATAGACAATTTAACAATACTGATTCTTCCACACCTGTGAACATGGAATTTCTTTCTTTCTTTCTTTCTTTTTCTTTCTTTCTTTCTTTCTTTCTTTCTTTCTTTCTTTCTTTCTTTCTTTCTTTCTTTCTTTCTTTTTTCTTTCTCTTTCTTTCTTTTTCTTTCTTTCTCTTTCTTTCTTTCCCTTTCTCTCTTTCTCTCTTTCTTTCTTTCTTTCTTTCTTTTTCTTTCTTTCTTTCTTTCTTTCCTTTCTCTTTCTTTCTCTTTCTTTCTCTTCCTTTCTCTTTCTTTTTTCTTTCTTTCTTTTTTTGGCATGTGTCCTTTTCAATTTATTTTGTCAGTGTTTTTTTTTTTTAACAGTTTTCATTGTAGTGATTTTTCACTTCTTTGGTTAAGTTAATCCTAGGTTTTCAATTTTATGTGTGGCTACTGTAAATGGGATTACTTTTTTGGTTTTCAGATTGTTTACTGTTGGCATATAGAAATGCTGCTGATTTTTGTATATTGATCTTGTATTCTGAAACTTTACTGAATTTCTTCATCAGTTCTAATAGTTTTTTGGGGGAGTCTTTAGATTTTTCCAAATATAAGATCATATAATCTGCAAACAAGGATAATTTGACTTCTTCCTTTCTAATTTGGATGTCCTTTATATATTTCTTGTCTGATTGCTCTAGCTAGGACTTCCAGTACTATGATGAATGAACTTGGGTAAAAGTGGGCATCCGTACTGTGTTCCAGGTCTTAGAGGAAAGACTTTCAGTTTTTCCTCATTCAGTATGATACTATCTGTGGGTCTGGCATAAGTTGCTTTTATTGTGTTGAGATATGTTCCTTCTATACACAGTGTTTTGAGGGTTTTTATGGTGAAGCATTGTTGAACTTTATTAAATGCTTTTTCTGCAGCAATTGAAATGATCATGTGGTTTTTATCTTTCATTCTATTGATATGATGTATCATATTGATTGATTTGCATATGTTGAACTATCTTGGCATTCCAGGAATAAATCTCACTTGGCCATGATGAATTATTATTTTAATGTGTTGCTGAATTTGGTTTGTTAGTAGTTTGTTGAGGATGTTTGCAATAATATTCATCAGAGATATTTGTTTGTAGTTTTTTAAAAATCATGTCTTTGGTTTTGGTATTAGATTAACTGTGGCCTTGTAGAATGAGTTTGGAAGTGTTCTATTCTCCTCTAGTTTTTGGAGTAGTTTGAGTAGGATTGGTAATAGTTCTTTCTTAAATATTTGGTATAATTCAGCAGTGAAATCATCAGGTTTTGGGCTTTTCATTGCTGGGAGATTTTCTATTATAGCTTTGATCTTATTACCTGTTATTTATTTGTTCATGTTTTGGATTTCTTCATCGTTCAATCTTGGTAGGTTGTATGTGTCTAGGAATTTACCCATTTCCTGTAGATTTTTCAATTTATTGGCATACAGTCGCTCATAGTAGCCACAAATGATCCTTTGAATTTCTGCAACCTCAGTTCTAATATCTCCTTTTAAATCTATGATTTTGTTTATTTGGGTCTTTTCCCTTTGTTCATTAGACAATAAGCTTCTTGTACTTGGGTATAGATATCGTTCTCTAGGTTTGGAAAGTTCTCTGTTATATCCCTTTGAATAAACTTCCTACCTCAAACTTCTTCTCTAACTCCTCTTTAAGGCCAATAACTCTTAGATTTGCTCTTTTGAGGCTAGTTTCTAGATCTTGTAAGTGTGCTTTATTCTTTTTTTTTTAAATCTCCTCTATGTATTTTCAAATAGCCTGCCTTCAAGCTCATTAATTCTTTCTTTTGCTTGATCAATTCTGCTATTAAGAGACTTTGGTGCATTCTTTATTATGTATAAAATACAATTCTTAATTGTATTTTTTCAACTAGAATTTTTGGTCGATTCTTATTATTTCAATCTCTTTAATTTTTTCTGATAGAATTCTAAATTTTTTCTGCATCATCTTGAATTTCTTCAAAAAGCTATTTCGAATTCTCTGTCTGAAAGGTCACATATCTCTGTTTCTCCAGGATTGGTCCTTGGTGCCTTATTTAGTTTATTTGGTGAGGTTGTTTTTTTCTAGATGGTCTTGATGCTTGTAGATATTCATCAATGTCTGAGCATTATAAAATTATGTATTTATGATAGTCTTTGCAGTCTGGGCTTGTTTGTACCGATTCTTCTTGAGGAGCCTTTTTAGGTATTTAAAGGGACTTGAGCCCCATGCCCAATAATGCTGTGTTTTTTGCAGACTCATAGAGATACCACCTTCATGGTCTTGGATAATGTCCAGAAGAAGTCTCTGGATTACCAGGAGGAAACTCTTGTTATTTTCCCATACTTTCTGCCAAGCAAACTGATTGTCTCTATTTGAGCTGCCTGAAACTGGGGGTGTAGTGGCACAAACACCCCTATGGCTACCACGACTGGGACTGCACTGGGTCATACCTGAATCCAGCACAGCACTGGGTCTCATCCAAGGCCTTCTGTAACCACTACCTGGCTACCCCCAATGTTCTCTCAATGCTGTAGGGCTCTGTGAATAGTAAACGTCCTTGCCTTCAGGCAGCATGTTCTTCCAGGTCCCAGGTACGTCCAGAGATGCTGTCTGGGAGCCAGGAATTGAAATTAAAAACCTTAGAATTTACCTGATGTTTTGTTCTCCTGCAGCAAGCTGGCACTCAAATCATAAGGCGAAGTCCTTCTTGTTCTTCCCTCCCCTTTCCTCAGGCAGCGTAGCCCTTTACTATGGCCACCCACCTGCAATGGCCCACAGGGGATTCTTCCAGTCCATCATGAATGTTCACTTAATATCCAGGGGCTCTTCAGTCAGCTCATCTTGAATGCTGCCTGGCCTGAGACTCACCCTTCAGGGCAATGGTCTCCTCTCTGGCCCAGGACTGGTCTAGAAACACTGTGCCAGGAGCATAGGCCTGAATTGGGAACTCCTGCTTGTTGCTTTACCACATTGTGGCTGAGCTGTTTTCTTCTGTTTTCCTTTCTTGTAATGTTTCTGCTAAGAATTTGCTCTTAGCCTAATGGGGTTCCCTTTGTTCATGATCTGATCTTTTTCTCTAGCTGCTTTTAAGATTTGTTCTTTAGTGTTACTTTACACAGTCTATTGACTATATGTCTTGGTGATGTTCATTTTGTATAGTATTCTGCAGGTATTCTCTGGGTTTCTTATATCTGGATGTCTACCTCTCTAGCAAGATTAAGGAAATTTCCTTGAATTATTTCCTCAAATATGTTTTCCAGCTTTTTAAAAAAACATTCCCTCCTTCTCTCTCCAGAAGGCCAATAATTTGTAGGTTTGTTCACTTTACATAATATTTCTCAAAGACTGTTCACATTTAAAAATTCTTTTGGTCTTACTGGGATAGTTTGAAAGATCAGTCTTTAAGCTCTGAAATTCTTCTGCTTGGTCCAATCCATTGATAAAGCTCTCAATTGGATTTTTAATGTTTCTTAAGTGAGTTTTTCAATTCCAGAAGCTCTGATTGATTTCTTTTAAAAATATTTTTCTCTTCTTTCATTTTCTGGATTGCTTTAGAAGCTTGTTTGTGTTCATTTTTAATCTTGTTTTGGATCTTGTTGAGCTTCCTTGCAACCCATGCTTTGAATTCTTTATCATTTCCAAGTTTTTATTTTGGATAGGAGCATTGCTGGAGAGCTAGAGTGATACTTTGATGGTATCACTACATTTGGATTTCTTATGGTTTCAGAATTCTTATGCTGGTGTCATCTCACCTGGAGATGCTGGCACTTCTAATTTTTGTAATTATTTTCATGTCTGTAGAAATTTTTTGTCCTTTCATTCCCTTTAATATTGCTGATTTTTTTCCTTTCCCTTTCCCCTCCTCCATAGGGAGTGTAACTGTAGAGAATACTGAATACTGGGTAGTCTTTTGGCTTTGCTCCTGTAGCCTATATTGTGCTGTGTGGTTCCACCTATAAACCAGTAGATGGTGCTTATGGGTAAGAGCTTGGCTGTGGCCAATGAAGTAGGGTATACACTTGATGCTTGTTTTCTCGGTGAAGCCATCTATTGCCTCAGGCAATGGGTTGATCTGTAGAGTGCACAGTGATCTGAGCTCCCTGTTCAGCTCCAGTGATGGGGGTGGTGGTGGCCAAGATGGGTGGAGCTGGACTAAGCAGGTCTGCCTACAGGTTCCTCAATGGCAGGCACAAAGACCAGTGCCAAGGAAAAATCCAGTTGGTGGTCACCAAGTACCCAGAAGTGTGCCTAGACATGGAGCTGGGAAACTTCAACCTCACATTTGGTGCATGCAGTTAGGGAGCATCCTAAATAACTAATCCAAGTGAGTGGGTACCCCAGACTCCTGGACATCTGTCTACGTATGGATTTTAGAGGGTCCCACTTCACCACAATCACTGTACAGAAAGGCCGGGTGGCTCAGGATACTGATCTGGGTGAGTAGGTACTCTGACTGCCTGAGAATCTGCCTGGGCATGGAGTAGAGAGGGTCCAGCTGCATCAAGGTGTCTGCACAGGAAGTATGGCAGCTCAGGCTACTGACCCAGGTGACTGGGTGCTCCAAATGCCTGCAGATCTGCCTGGGTATGAAGCAGAGAGGGCCTCCCTGCACCCAGATCTCTGTACAAGAAGGATGGAGGAACTCAGGCTGCAATCATGCAAGCAGGTGCTCCAACGTGCATTTTACTTTTTTTAAAAAATTGCCTTCAGACTGTTAAATATGAATCAATTTACATGTTTAGGAGTCCTCCCTGTGCCCTTTCCCCTCACTTCCCAATTTTTATTAGTCAGACTTATTTTTGCAGTGTTAGAATTTGTAATATTTATGTTTTATTCTTTTGTTTTTATTTTTAAGACCGAGTCTTACTCTGTTGCCCAGGCTGGAGTGCAGTGGCACGATCTTGGCTCACTGCAACCCCTGCCTCCTGGGTTCAAGCGATCCTAATGCCTCAGCCTCCCGAGTAGCTGGGATTACAAGGTGAGCACCACCACTCCTGGCTAATTTTTGTATTTTTAGTAGAGATGGGGTTTTGCCATGTTGGCCAGGCTGGCCTCGAACCCCTGCCCTCAAGTGATCCATGCACCTCAGCCTCCCGAAGTACTGGGATTGCAGGTGTGAGCCACCACGCCTGGCTATATTTTATTCTTTAACCACAAATTCTAAAGCTATTTAAACTTAACTCTATCTTTAAAACAATTCAAAACTCATCTGTAATATTTAAAAATTTTTCAATTTTCTTCTTTTTAAAAAAATGTTTAATTTTTATGGATACATAATGGTTGTAGATATTTATGGGTATACCTGATATTTTGATGCATATAACATATAACACATACAACGTATAATGACCAAATCAAGGTAATTGGGATATACATCACCTTGGGCATTTATTATTTCTTTCTAATCTTTCAATTTTTATGTTATAGATCCTATTTATCATTGCTTTGTGTTAGGAACATTCCGAGTCCACTCTTTTAGTTATTTTCAAATAAAGAATAAATTATTATCTCTAGTTACCCTATTGTGTTACCAAATACTAGATCTCATTTCTTTTATCTAATTGTATTTCTTTTACCCATTAACCAACCTCTCTTCATCTCCCCCTCCTCTCTACCCTTCACAATCTCTGGTAACCATCATTCTACTCTCTAGCTCCGTAAGTTTAATATTTTTGCCTTCCACATATGAGTGAGAACATATAATATTTGTCTCTCTGTGCCTGATTTATTTCACTTAACATAGTGCCCTCTGGTTCCATCCATGTTATTGCAAATGACAAGATATTAATTTTTGTGGTGGAATTATATTCCATTGTACATATGTACCACATTAAAAAAAACCCAATTTTTTTGTTGTTGATGGAGACTTAGGTTGATTCCACAACTTGGCCATTGTGAATAGTGCTGCAATAAACATAGATACACAGATATCTGTTTGATATGTTGATTTCCTTCCTTTTGTGTGTTTACCCAGCATTGGGATTGCTGGATTGCATGGTAGTGCTAATTTAAGATTTTTTTAAAAGGAACCTCTTATTATTTTCCATAGTGGTTGTACTAATTTACATTCCCACCAATAGTGTACGAGAGTTCCTCTTTCTCCACATCTTCTTCAGCATCCAATATTGCCTGTCTTTTTGAAAAAAGCCATTTTAACTGGGGTGAGATGTTATTTCAATGTGGTTTTGATTTGAATTTCTCTAATAATGATGTTGAGCATTTTTTCATATACTTGTTGGCCATTTGTATGTCATCTTTTGAGAACTGAGTTTTCAGATCTTTTCATTTCTTAATCATATTATTTGATTTTTTGCTTTTTAGTTTGAGCTTTGCATGTATTTTTGCTATTAATCCCTTTTTGGATGGGTAGTTTTCATATACGTTCTCCTATTTTGTGGGTTGTCTCTTCACTTTGTTAATTGTTTCCTTTTCTGTGTGAAATCTTTTTCACTTGATACAATTCCATTTGTCCATTTTTGCTTTAGTTGCCTGTGCTTTTGGGGTATTAGTAAAAAAAAAAAAAACTTTGCTCAGACCAATGTCCTGGAGCATTTATCCAATGTTTTCTTCTAGTAGTTTCATAGTGTCAGGTCTTAGAATTAAGTTTTTAATACATTTTATTTGATTTGATTTCTCTATATGGTAAGAAATGGGGTCTAGCTTCTTTCTTCTGCATGTGAATATCCAGTTTCCCCGGCACCATTTATTGAAGAGACTATCCTTTCCTCAATGTGTGTTCTTGGTGTCTTTTGTCAAAAATGAGTTGACTTTAAAAACATGGATTTATTTCTGGGTCTTTTATTCCATTTCATTGGTCTATGTCTCTATTTTCATGACACTCATGATGTTTTAGTTACTACAGGTTTGTAATAGAATTTGTAGGCAGAGGATGTGATTCTCCAGTTTTGTTCTTTTTGCTCAGAATTGCTTCAACTATTCTGGGTCTTCAGGGGTTTTATATAAATGTTAAGACTAATTTTTCTATTTCTGTGATGAATGTCTTTTTTTGGGGGGGATTGCATTGAATCTGTAGATTTCTTTAGCTTGAATATTTTAACAAAATTGATTCTTCCAATTCACACACATAAAATCTTTCCTTTTTTGTTCTTTTTAATTTCTTTCATTAATGTTTTATAGTTTTCATTGTAGGGATCTTTCACCTTTTTGATTAATTCCTAGGTACTTACGTATTTTTGGTTATTGTAAATGGAATTTTTAAAATTTTTTTTTCAGATTGTTCACTGTTGGCATATAGAAATGCCACTGATTGTTGCATGTTAATCTAGTATCCAGCAACTTTACCAAATTTTAAAATTTCAGTTCTAATAGTTTTTGGTGGAATCTTCAAGTTTTTTCAAATATAAGATCATATCATCTGGAAACAAGGATAATTTGACTTCTTCATTTCTAACTTGGATGTCCTTTATTTCTTTCTCTTGTATGACTCTCTTGGCTAGGATTTCTAGTACTATATTGAATAAAAGTGATACAGGTGGGCATCCTTGCGATGTTCCAGATCTTAGAGGAAACACTTTCACGTTTTCTACATTCAGATGGTTCTCCCTGTTGGTTTGTCATTTATGGCCTTTTTTGTGTTGAGGTATGTTCCTTCTATATGCAGTTTGTTAGAAATTTTTATAATGAAGAGATTTCTGGCATATGTTGAAATGATTATAAAGTTTTTGTCCTAAAGTCTGTAAATGTGATGTATCACCTTTATTGATTTGCATATGTTGAACCATTCTTACATTCCTAAATAAATTCCACTGGGTCACGGTGTTTTGTTTATTTGTGTAATCTCTTTTTTTCTTAATTAACCTGCCTAAAGATTTGTTAATTTTTTTTAAACCCATGTTTGTTTTGTTGCTTTTTGAATTGTTTTTTTGAAGTCTTAATTTCATTTATTTCTGTGCTAATCTTTATTATGTATTTTTTCTACTGATTTTGGGTTTGATTGGCTCCTGCTTTTCTATTTCTTTAAGATACTTTAGCAGGTTCTTTATTTAAATATATATTTTTAAATGGACTCTTTATTTTATTTCATTTTTTAAATTATACTTTAAGTTCTGGGGTACATGTGTAGAATGTGCAGGTTTGTTACATAGGTATACATATGCCATGGTGGTTTGCTGCACCAATCAATCCGTCATCTACATTAGGTATTTCTCCTAATGCTATCCCTCCCCTAGCACACCCCCCACCCCTTTGACAGGTCTTGGTGTGTGATGGTCCCCTCCCTGTGTCCATGGGTTCTCATTGGTCAACTTCCACTTATGAATGAGAACATGGAGTGCTTGGTTTTCTGTTCTTGTGTTAATTTGCTGAGAATGATGGTTTCCAGCTTCATTCATGTCCCTGCAAAGGACATGAACTCATCCTTTTTATGGCTGCATAGTATTCCATGGTGTATATATACCACATTTTCCTTATCCAGTCTATCACTGATAGGCATTTGGGTTGGTTTCAAGTCTTTGCTATTGTGAATAACGCCACAATAAACATATGTTTGCATGTTTCTTTATACTATATACTCAGTAATGGGATTGCTGAGTCAAATGGTATTTCTAGTTCTAGATCCTAGAGGAATCACCATACTGTCTTCTACAATGGTTGAACTAATTTACAGTCCTGCCAACAGTGTAAAAGTGTTCCTACTTCTCCACATCCTCTCCAGCCTCTGTTGTTTCCTGACTTTTTAATGATTGCCATTCTAACTGGCTTGAGATGGTATCTCATTGTGGTTTTGATTTGCCTTTCTCTAATGACCAGTGATGATGAGCTTTTTTCATATGTTTGTTGGCCACATAAATGTCTTCTTTTGAGAAGTGTCTGTTCATACCCTTTGCCCACTTTTTGATGTTTTTTCTTTTTTTCTTGTAAACTTATTTAAGTTCTTTGTAGATTCTGAATATTAGCCCTTAGTCAGATGAATAGATTGCAAAAATTTTCTCCCTTTCTGAGGTTGCCTGTTCACTCTGAAGGTAATTTCTTTTGCTGTGCAGAAGCTCTTTAATTAGACCCCATTTGTCAATTTTGGCTATTGTTGCCATTGCTTTTGGTGTTTCAGTCATGAAGTCTTTGCCTATGCCTATGTCCTGAGTAGTATTGCAGGTTTTTCTCTAAGGTTTTTATGGTTTTAGATCTTACATTTAAGTCTTTAATTCATCTTGAGTTAATTTTTGTATAAGGTGTAAGGAAGGGGTCCAGTTTCAGTTTTCCACATATGGCTAGCCAGTTTTCCCAGCACCATTTATTAAATAAGGAATCCTTTCCACATTGCTTGTTTTTGTCAGGTTTGTCAAAGATCAGATGGTTGTAAAAGTGTGGTGTTATTTCTGAGGCCTCTGTTCTGTTCCACTGGTCTATGTATCTGTGTTGGTACTAGTACAATGCTGTTTTGGTTACTATAGCCTTGTGGTATAGTTTGAAGTCAGGTAGTGTGAAGCCTCCAGCTTCATTCTTTTTGCTTAGGATTGTCTTTTCTATATGGGCTCTTTTTTGGTTCCATATGAAATTTAAACTAATTTTTTCTAATTCTGTGAAGAAAGTCAATGGTAGCTTGATGGGGATAGCATTGAATCTGTAAATTGCTTTGGGCAGTATGGCCATTTTCATGATATTGATGTTTCCTATCCATGAGCATAAAATGTTTTCCATTTATTTCTGTTTTCTCTTATTGCCTTGAGCAGAGGTTTGTAGTTCTCTTTGAAGAGGTCCTTCACATCCCTTGTAAGTTATATTCCTGGGTATTTTATTCCTTTAAAGCAATCATGAATGGGAGTTTACTCATTTGGCACTCTGTTTTTCTGTTATTGGTGTATAGGAATGCTTGTTATTTTGCACATTGATTTTGTATACTGAGACTTTGCTGAAGTTGCTTATTAGCTTAAGGAGATTTTGGGTGAGACTATAGGGTTTTCTAAATACACAATAATGTCATCTGCAAACAGAGACAATTTGACTTCCTCTCTTCCTATTTTGAATCCCCTTTATTTCTTTCTCTTGTCTGATTGCCCTGTCCAGAACTTCCAATACTATGTTGAATAGGAGTGGTGAGAGAGGGCATCCTTGTCTTGTATAAGTTTTCAAAGGGAATGCTTCCAGTTTTTGCCCATTCAGTATGATACTGGCTGTGGGTTTGTCATAAATAGCTCTTCTTATTTTCAGAGATGTTCCATCAATACCTAGTTATTGAGAGTTTTTAGCATGAAGGGCTGTTGAGTTTTGTTTGAAGGCCTTTTCTGCATCTATTGAGACAATCATGTGGTTTTTTTCATTGGTTCTGTTTATGTGATGGATTACAACCTTTCTCTCTGGCTGCCCTTAACATTTTTTCCTTCATTTCAACCTTGGTGAATGTGACGATTATGTGTCTTGTGGTTGCCCTTCTCGACAAATATCTTTGTGATGTTTCTGTATTTCCTGAATTTGAATGTTGGGTACTCTTGCTAGGTTGGAGAAGTTCTCCTAGATAATATCTTGAAGAGGGTTTTCCAACTTGGTTCCATTCTCTCCATCACCAATCAAATGTAGATTTGAACTTTTTCACAGTCCCATATTTCTTGGAGGCTTTGTTCATTCTTTTATGTTCCTTTTGTCTAATCTTATCTTCTCCATTTATTTCATTAAGTCAGTCTTCAATCTCTGATATCCATTCTTCCACTTGATTGATTCGGCTATTGATACTTGTGTATGCTTCACGAAGTTATCGTGCTGTGTTTTTCTGCTTCATCAGGTCATTTCTGTTCTTCTCAAAACTGGTTATGCCAGTTAGCAATTTGTCTAACCTTTTTTCAAGGTTCTTAGCTTCCTTGCATTGGGTTAGAACATGCTCCTTTAGCTTGGAGGAGTTTTTTATTACCCACCTTCTGAATCCTACTTCTGTCAGTTTGTCAAACTAACTCTCCATCCACTTTTGTTCCCTTACTGGTGAGGAGTTGTGATCCTTTGGAGGAGAAGAGGTGTTCTGGTTTTTGGAATTTTCAGCCTTTTTGTGCTGGTTTCTCCCCTTCTTTGTGGATTTGTCTACTTTTGGTCTTTGATGTTGGTGATCTTCGGATGGGGCCTCTGAGTGGACATCTTTTTTGTTGCTGTTGATGGTATTCCTTTCTGTTTGTTAGCTTCCTTCTAACCATCAGGCCCCTTTGTGGCAGGTCTGTTGGAGTTTGCTGGAGGTCCACTCCAGACTCTGTTTGCCTGGGTATTACCAGCAGAGGCTGCAGAACAGCAAAGATTGCTGCCTGTTTCTTCCTCTGGAAGCTTCGTCTCAGAGGGTCACCCACCAGATGCTAGCCAGAGCTCTTCTGTATGAGGTGTCTGTCAGCTCCTACTGGGAGGTGTCTCCCAGTCAGGAGATACGTGGGTCAGGGACCCACTTGAGGAGACAGTCTGACACTTAGCAGAGCTTGAACACTGTCCTGGGAGATCTGCTGCTCTCTTCAGAGCTGGCAGGCAGTGGTGTTTAAGTCTGCTGAAGTTGCACCCACAGTTGCCCCTTCCCCCAAGTGCTCTCTATTTAAAGATTTAAAACGTTTTTTTATGTTGGCATTTCTTGCTACATAATTCCCTATTAGTATTGCTTTTACTATATCCCATAGGTTTAGTATGTTGTAATTTGCATTTTCATTCATTTTAAGGATTTATTATATTTATATTTTATATTTATTTCTTAATTTCTTTATTGACCCAATGATTGTTCAGAAGCATTTTGTTTAATTTCCATGTGTTTGTATAATTTCAGATGCTCATCTTGCTACTGATTTCTAGTTCTATTCCATTGTTGTCAGAAAAGATACTTAATACAATTTTAATTTTTTTGACATTTTGAGACTTGTTTTATGGCCTAACATATACTTTATCCTTAAAAATGTTCTCTGTGCTGAGAAGATGAATGTGTATTCTGCAGCGGATTGCATGGAATATTCTTTAGATGTCTGTTAGTTCAAATTGCAGATTAAGTTTTATGTTTCTTTGTTGATTTTATGTCTAGATTATCTGCCCAATGCTAAAAGTTGGGTGCTGAAGTCACCGACTATTATTGTATTCTTGTCTATCTCTACCTTTACCTCTAATATTTGTTTTATATATCTGGGTACTCTGGTGTTGGGTGTGTGTATATATATATAGCTACAATTGTCATATCCTCTTTTTGGATTGACTCCTTTATCATTATATAATGACTCCCTTTGTGTCTTTTTACAGTTTTTGTCTTTAAATCTGTTTTATCTGATATAAGTATAGCTACTCCTGCTCTTTTTTGTTTACATTTGCAGGGGATGTCTTTTTCCATACCTTTACTTTTATCCTTTGTGTCTTTATAAGTAAAGTGACTTTGTTTTAGGCAGCATTTAGTTCTTGATGCCTTTGTCAAAAATGACTTGACTGTAAATGCATTAGTTTATTTCCAGGTTCTTTATTCTGCTTCATTGGTCTATACACCTATTTTTATGCCAGTTAAAAAAAATTCTATTCAGCCATTCTGTGTCCTTTGGCTGAAGTATTTTGTATATTTACATTCAATGTTGTTGTTGATAGACATGGAGATACTACTCCTATTTTGTTATATATTTTCTTATTGCTTTGTTAGTTCTTTTTTCTTTCTTCATTTCTGTTTTCCTTTGTGTAAAAGTGATTTTCTCTGGTATTATGTTTTAATTTCTTGGTTTTATATTTTGTGTATCTGTTATAGGTTTCTGTTTTATGGTTACCATGAGGCTTACAAGCAACATCTTAAAAATCACTTTAAAATAAACTGATGACAACCTAACTCTGATAATAAAGAAAAGAAAAAAAGACAAGCAAAGGGAAAATAAAATACTTTACAATTTAATTCATTCCCCCTGCTTTTTGATTTTTTAAATCTCCATATATGTCTTTTCATACTGTGTATCTCTTAAAAACCTGTAGTTTATTATTTTGATAGATTTGTCTTTTAGTCTTCCTACTAAAGATATGAGTGGTTTACACACTGCAATTACATTGTTAGATTACTCTGTATTTGTCAGTGTATTTACTACTATCAGCAAGTTTTATGCCTTCAGATGATTTCTGGCTGTTCATTAACCTCCTTTTCTTTCAGACTAAAGAAATTCTTTTAGAATTTTTTTATAAGACAAGTCTGGTGCTGATGAAATCCCTCAGCTTTTCTTTGTGTGGGAAAGTCTTTATTTTTCCTTCATGTTTGAAGAATAATTTGCTGGATATAATATTCTAGGTTGGCATTTGTTTCTTCAGAACTTTTGCATATGCACTCTCACTCTCAATCTGGCCAGTAAGATTTCCACAGAGAAGTTTATTGCCAGACATATCGGAACTCCTTTATATGTTATTTGCTTATTTTCTCTTGTTTCTTTTAGAACCCTTTCTTTGTCCTTAACCTTTGAGAGTTTATTATGTGCCTGAGATATCATCTTACTTGGTTTGAATCTTCTTGATGTTCTTTAATCTTCTTGTACTTGGATAGTCATATTTTTCTTTAGGCTTGGAAAGAAATACTTGGAAAGTTGTTATTTTTTGAATAAAATATGTACCCCAATATTGTTATCTACATTCTCTTTAAGCAAATAACTTTTAATTTTGTCCTTTGGAGGCTATTTTTTATATATTGTAGGTTTACTTTGTTCTTTTTTTTCTTCTGTGTGTATTTTTATATATCCTGCCTTTGAACTCACTTTATTCTTTCTTCTGCTTGATCAATTTTGCTGAGAGATTCTGATACATTTTTTAGTTTGTCAATTCAATTTTTCAGCTCCAAATTTCTGCTTTATTTTATTATTTCAATTTCTTTGTTAAATTTCTCTGGTAGAATTCTGAATTCTATCTTCGTGTTTATCTTAAAGTTCACTGAGCTTCCTTAAGACAGCTATTTTGAATTCTCTATTTGAGAGGTCATATTTCTTTATCACTCCAGGATTGGTCACTGGTGCCTTATTCAGTCCATTTGGTGAGGCACTGTTTTCCTGGATGTGGTTGATGCTTGTGGAAGTTTGTTAATGTCTGGGCATTGAAGAGTTAAGTATTTATTCCAAACCTTGCAGTCTGTGCTTATTTGTACCCATCCTTCTTGAAAGAAGTTTCCAAGAATTCAAATGGGATTGAATATTGTGACCTAAACCTGTGGCCACTACAGCCCTTTTAGCACTATGGTCAACAGGTAGTGAACCCTGCTGGGAATGGGTCTGTCCTACCAGGGCAGTAGATTCCCTTCTGGCCCGGGGGTGAATCTAGAGATGCTGTTCAGGAGCAAAGGCCTGAAATCAGAGGCTTCAGGAACTTGTCTGGTGCTTTATTATACAGTGGCTGAGCTGTTATCCAATTTTCAAGACAAAACCTTCTATATATACTTCCTTCCTTTAAGCAAAAGGAGTTTTTCCCCATGCTGCACTGCTTGAAGTTGTGGGAGTGGTGACATAGGCACTGCCATGGCTGCCACAGCTGGTGTTGCAGTGGGCCACACTTCAACCTCACTACCTCCAAGAACAGCACAGCACTCGGGCTTTCCAAGGACTGCAGTCCTTCTGACCGGACTGCCATTCAAAATTATTTAGGGCTCTAGGCTACCTTATAGCTGCTGGTGAAGCTGGCCAGGTCTTGTGTTCTTCTAGCTGAGGTGGAAGATTCCCCTTTGGCCCCAGGCTGGTCTAAATACTCCCTCTGTGATCAATGGTGGAATTCTGCCCAGTGTAGTGTTCCACTGTGTGTACCACACTTGCTTCACTCTCTCTCCTGCAAGCACACAGATTTTTCATGCTGTCCTGCCTGGGGTTGGAGGAGAGGTGGCATAAGCGATGAAAGAGTGTCCTTCCTACCCTCTTCAATGCCTCTTTCTTTGTTATTTGTTAAAACCTGGTACTGTGATTGTGCACACCTGATTTTTGGCTCTTATGAAGGTGCTTCTCCCCCAACTTCCCCTGTGGATAGTTCAATTTGGTGTTCCTGCAAGGCAATGATTGCTTGAGGGTTCTATTTGGCCATATTGATTCACCACCTCCCTCAACTCTCTAATTTTTTTAATTTATCCTTATAATTAGGGTACCTTATATTCTATAGCACTTCTTAGTTTACAGCAGGTTCATGTATATCATTTTATTTGATCTTTACATTTTCTCTGTGAGCACAACTATTACCTTAATTTTGCAGATAGACAAATTGAGCCTCCAGGTTCTATGGCTGGTTAAAGAGTGAGTCTGAGTCTGTATCCAAGTGTTCAAGACTAAGTCCAATGATCTAATATATTGTTTTTCAAATATTATATTTTTTGCATAAAAATGCACTTACATGGTTGCATTGAAGTTTAAAATAAAATGATTAATGCAGAGTCCAGAGTTCTTTACAATAACCGAGGTCTTTTATGAACAGTGTTGTCTACTGCTTTCCCTTTCCTTGCACCCTTTGCTGGATCCCATGCCTTCAGAACTTGGCTTTCCTCCCTGCTGAAATTGCTCTTGCAGTAACTGATAACCCCGTGAAGAATAGATTCTGTAATGTTTTCTCTGTTCTCATTTTCTTTTTTTGTTATTGCAGTACCTAACATAAACCTCTTTACCATTTTAACCATTTCTGGGTATATAGTTCAGTGGCAGTAGGCACATTCATATTGTTTGCTATGCAATCATCACCATTCATCTTCAGAACTTCTTCATCCTCCCAAACTGAAACTCTGTACCCATGAAACAGTAAGTCCCCATTCCGCTCTCCCACCAGCTCCCAGCAACCACTATCCTACTTTCTGACTCTGTGAATTTAACTACTCTAAGTACCGCATGCAAACGAAGTACCATATAAAAGTCATGCAGCATTTATCCCTTTTAATCTAGCTTATTTCAATTAGTATAATGTTTTTAAGGTTCATCAATGTTGTAGCATGTGTCATAATTTCATTACTTTTTATGACTGAATAATATTCCATTGTTAAGTATATATTACATTTTGTTTATTCATCTGTTGATGGACATTAGGGTTGTTTTCACATTTTGGCTATTGTGAGTAATGCTGCTACGAACACTGTTGTACAAATATCCCTTCAAGACACTGCTTTTAATTCTTTGGAGTATATACCCAGAAATAGAATTGTTGGGTCATATGGTAATTCTAGGTTTAATTTTTTAAGAAACTGCCATACTGTTTTCCACAGTGGCTGCATCATTTTTCATTCTCACAAACAATGCACAAGGATTCCAAGTTCTTCACATCCTTACCAACACTTATTTTTTTCTTTTTTTTTGGTGGGGGGGCGGCAATACCATCTCAAGGGGTGGGAAGTGGTATTTCTTTGTGGTTTTGAGTTGCCTTTCCCATTGAATAGCGATGTTGAGCATCTTTTCATGTACTGACAGCCATCATTGGCATATTTTTAAAACGAACACCAGGAATCAGATTTTTTTATTGTGATCTTCCCAAGTTCATTTTGTTCTATTTGTTCTTTTATTGGCCAACAATCTTTAGCATCCTTCCAGTACCTTTCTGGCTTAAACTCACTCAGCTTGATTTCTATTGCTTGTAAATAATACTTTTAATTCAGCTTTGTTTTTTTAAACAACACTTTTAATTTTAACAAGTAACTATATTCCTTTTTGGCTCCACTAACTTTGCAATGAACTGCAGCACTTGGTTCACCCTGCTATCTTTGCAAAGTGTTTCTGCTACATTCCTACTATATTTTGATGATTTCTAAATAAGAACAATTATTAACCACGGCAAAGAAGAAAAATCATCAAAATGTTCCTTTTTAGCTTAGTGTAACAAATACAAGAGGAACACATTTAAAGTGTACTTTTCTCTCCACATGAATCACAAAGGTACATGTTTATTATTGCCCATTGTGTTTGTGTTCTCTCCTCTGCAGAGGTGTCAGGGTGATAGTGGTCTATGCTATAGCAACCAGTCAAGCAAATTTCAGAAGGCAGAGGGTCAGCAACCTGGAAGGGGAGGCGGGTGCAATGGTGGGGTAGGAAAGTGAACAGCATGGGGTCAGAGGACTAGAGTTTGCTTAGGTCTCTACATTTCTAGCCATGAAAATCTACAGCATTCCTGTTTTAGAATCTCATAAGGCAGAGTGAGAATTAAATGGTATTATCTATGCACAACACCTCATTGTAATGGAATTTAGTAAGAATTAAGTAAAGGTTAGCTATCTTTCCCACCCCAAAGAGCTATTTTTGTATCAAAATTTTAAAATTATCTTTATTTCTAGTGAGACTTTCTCCTAGCTGGTATTTAAGAAGCACAGGATATAGACATTTTTATCTCTTCTTAAATTAATGTCTTGCATTTATTGTAACAAGATGGCTTTCTAATTGTACAGACATTAAACTTAAAAAAAAAGTCACAGTGGGAAAGGGGCATTAACCGTGCTATTATTGAAATGTGGAATGAGGATAAGATCAATACCTTGATTTTCTATAAATAAGAGTCACATAAAATGTCATTTTTCTACACTCTTTCTACTGTCAGGGTTTCTGAAGAAATGAAGAGGAAAAAAAGCTGTAGCGTATTTCACTGACACCTTAGAAGATCTGAATTAATAGTCTTTAAGAATCTACACAGTTTTACTAAATAATAGTTCAGCTCCAATTAAAATGGAAATTGCAGTAATAATTTTCCTCTGAGAAAGAACTCCTTTGTCTGATATGTCACTGTATCATCATTTATTATTCTGTTATTAAAACATTCATTCAGTTGTATTTTCTTCTTTAGGGTTAATTACAAGCTTAAAGATTGGCTATCAACTCTCTCTCCAATGGCATAGTTATATGCTGGAACATATTGTCAGAATTCTGACAAAGAAGGATGTTGGATACATGTCTATCTTCTCTGTCCAGATTTTGGAAGAAAAGTGAGTTAAAGTGACTGCATAATTTACCAATAGTAAGAAATCATCATGCTTACACTTTTTCAGACTTGTGCCTTTTTTTTTGGGTAAAGAATTTTACATTGTGTTTTGCCAGAACCACCAATAGAGATCTGAAAAAGCTGTGTGGTTGTCCTTGGTCAGTGGAAATGACAGAGCTCAAGCTTAATATTGTGCAGTGCTTCCAAACCCTGTCAGACATGATTACAGTTTCTGTTTATAACCATTCAATTTCTTAAACTGTGGACACTTTCTGCTAT
Source organism: Homo sapiens (assembly GCF_000001405.40). Taxonomy (NCBI): domain Eukaryota; kingdom Metazoa; phylum Chordata; class Mammalia; order Primates; family Hominidae; genus Homo; species Homo sapiens. The sequence goes on from NC_000006.12 coordinate 76,290,046, forward strand.
CCCTCTTTTGAAAAATGTTTGTGTTCTCTATTCCTTTAACACAGGGGTTAGACTTCATGAGAAGACAATGATCCATCAAGACTTCAATGTCCTTGTTTCCCTTGACCCTAAATATATCAAAATGTTATGTTTATGGTTGTTAGAGTGCCACTGGCCAACCTCCATGCAATTGCATCTGAACCATGATACGATTCCAGTTAATGCGTTGAGAATTCGATGTGGTGTTTTCATTTGTCTCACTAGTAAATGGATATGATATTTTCTAGTCCAAAATGTGTAGTCTTCTCTGCTGTAAGCGGCTCCTATAGGTATCTTTGAATATAGGAATGATATAGTATTTTAAAATTAGACACATGACTTCACACATGAAACACAAAACAGACTCTCTATTGGAAAGAAACAATTCTTGGACATCGACATTAAAAACAATAGAAGCTCAATGATACAGAATGCTGAAAAGCCTTAAGTCTAGTATCATACTAAAAGCAGTCACACAGTGGAAACTCACTGTAACATTCTTGAAACTCAGACAGTATCTGTTCCATTCTGCCTCAAGTATTGTTTCTATTAGAGGTTGTAATCTTTACATTGTAAAGATTTGACACATTTTCATACCAACTTCATCATTCCTTAACATTTTATCTCACCTGAGAAAAAACTGTGACTGAATGCTCCCATGTCAGAGTGATGCCTTATTCACCTGCATTTCTCCAGCATGCTATGCGGTGCCTGATCTTTAGTGCAGCTCAATAAAAATAACTGCTGAATGAAAGAGGAGTTTTTTCTTATATTATGCTTTTTCATAGCTTGAACTTCCTTTTACAGATACCATTGCCTGACGACATTTGACAATGTGTTATAATGTTTTTGGTAGTACATGGAGCTGTGGCCTCCATATCTAAGAGGAGCAAGAAGGCTCCATTCTTTGAGTAAAAATAATGTAATTAAAAAGTCATTTGTGATTTTTGTCTTCTTTATGGTTTTTGGAAGTCTCTCAAGTTCTCACTCTTTTCTGTCTACTTGGCTATTCTACCTATGTCTCATGGATACCTAAAACTCATATCTCCCGAGCTGAATGCATCTTTTCATCTTTAAACCTATTCCATTTTGCTGCTTCTGTTAATACCAGCACATTTATTGCAATTATTATATCCAGTAATTTGACATTGTGCTTGACATCTACCCTTTCCTGCCTCTAATACACATAACTTCTGATCTGCTGCCCTGCCCTGCCAATTCTATCTTCCCAACATCATTTACATCTGTCTCCTTCTCTGTGTACCCAACTTCTACTTGCTTCATGAAATCATCTATTCTTTTCTTTTTTTCTTCTTTCTGCCCCTAGTCCCTCCTTTTTTAAATAAAGAATCATCATATTGAAACAGATTTCTAATCATGTCATTCAGTCTTTTGCGTTTTGTCTTAAAGCCTCTAACTGCTTACAGAAAAAAGTATGAACATTTTAGCTCTTGGTTTTAGAATAGCATTGTGTAATAGAACACAATGCAAGCTGCAACTTGGAGGATATAATGCTAAGTGAAGTAAACCAGAAAGACAAACACTGCATGATCTTACTTACATGTGGAATCTAAAAAAGTCAAACTCATAGAATTAGAGAGTAGAATGGTGGTTATCAGAGGTTGGGTGGAGTGAGAAATGGAGAGATAATGGTCAGAGGGTATAAAGTTTTAGTTAGACAGGAGGAATAGTTTCTGGGGATTTATAGTACAGCATGGTGATTACAGTCAATAATAATGTGTGTTTAAAAATTATTAAGAGTAGATTTTAAATATTCTCACGACATGCACACAAGTATGTAAGGTGATGTCTACATTAATTAGCTTGATTCAATCATTTACAATGCATACATATATCAAAACATCACATAGCCTGAAAAATTATAGTTTTGTCAATTCAATAAGAAATTGAACATAAAAAAATTTGTAATAGCCATTTTTAAAAAGTAAAATGCAAGTACTATATTTTATTTAAACCAATATATTAAAAATATCATTTCAAAATGTCAGTATAAAATATTAGATATTTTACATTTTTTTCTACTAAATCATTGAAACATTTTTTGGTTTCATTTTCTATATCTAAATATATGTAGTTTTCAATGTAGACTTCTTATATATTTCTAAGTATTTTATTTTTACTTTATTATAAATGGTGTTTTATTTTTTAAAAATTATAATTCTGAAGTGAAATGCAGAAAATGAAAACCCACAAATTAAATGTATGGCTTAATAAATTATAATTGGGCAAACTGTACTAAGTAAAAAAACAGAAATAAAATTGTATCATTTCAGAAGCCCACTATGTGCCCCATCCTAAACACAACTCCCTCCTTCCTGTCATATTGATTATTATACTGCCTTTACAGAAGCCACTTTTTTCACATTTTTATTTTTACATTTTTATCCACCAAATGAATATCCCTAGACATAATAGTCTAGTATTTCTCACTTTACATTATAACTTTTATTTTCTGGGGTAAATCCTACCTGGTGATTTTACATTTTCTTTGAAAATTATATATATTTATATAGATTCTTTTAAGATATTCCTTAATTCATATGATATTTTTTATGTTTTTTTAACCCAATAGTAAATAACCAAACTATTGCTGAATTCAATCTGCTAATACTTTGTTAAGATTTTTGTGAAAGTTAGGAAGCGTTCCCTCCTCTATTCTCACTTCTCTTTTCATCTGGGATTTGTATGCTTGCTTTCTTAATAGATACAATCAACCATCAGGCCTGAAGTTTTGTTTGTGGCTTTGTTTTTCAACCAATTCTTTTTTGACCTGGGATTTTTTTTTTTTTGTCTTTTTATTCTTTAAGTTCTAGTGTACATGTGCAGAACGTGCAGGTTTGTTACATAGCTATACACATGCCATGGTGGTTTGCTGCACCCATCAACCCATCATCTACATTAGGTAATTCTCCTAATGCTACCTCTCCCCTAGCCTCTCACCCGCTGGCAGGCCCCGGTGTATGATGTTCCCTTCCCTGTGTCCATGTTTTCTCATTGTTCGACTCCCACTTATGAGTGAGAACATGTGGTGTTTGGTGTTCTGTTCTTGTGTTAATTTGCAGAGAATGATGGTTTCCAGTTTCATCCATGTCCCTGCAAAGGAAACGAACTCATGCTTTTTTATGGCTGCCTAGTATTCCATGGTGTATATGTGCCACATCCTCTTAATCTAGTCTATCATTGATGGACATTTGGGTTGGTTCCAAGTCTTTGCTATCATGAACAGTGCCACAATAAACGTATGTGTGCATATGTTTTTATAGTAGAATGATTTATAATCTTTGGGTATATACCCAGTAATGGGATTGCTGGGTCAAATGGTATTTCTAGTTCTAGATCCTTGAGGAATTGCCATGCTGTCTTCCACAATGGTTGAATTAATTTTGCACTCCCACCAACAGTGTAAAAGCATTTCTATTTCTCCACATCCTCTCTGGCATTTATTGTTTCCTGACTTTTTTTTTAAATTATACTTTAAGTTTTAGGGTACATGTGCACAACGTGCAGGTTAGTTACATATGTATGCATGTGCCATGTTGGTGTGCTGCACCCATTAACTTGTCATTTAATATTAGGTATATCTCCTAATGCTATCCCTCCCCCCTACCCCTACCCCACAACAGGCCCCAGTGTGTGATGTTCCCCTTCCTGTGTCCATGTGTTCTCATTGTTCAATTCCCACCTATGAATGAGAACATGCAGTGTTTGGTTTTTTGTCCTTGCAATAGATTGCTGAGAATGATGGTTTCCAGCTTCATCCATGTCCCTGCAAAGGACATGAACTCATCCTTTTTCATGGCTGCATAGTATTCCATGGTGTATATGTGCCACATTCTCTTAATCCAGTCTATCATTGTTGGACATATGGCTTGGTTCCCAGTCTTTGCCATTGTGAATAGTGCTGCAAGAAACATACGTGTGCATGTGTCTTTATAGCAGCATGATTTATAATCCTTTGGATATATACCCAGTAATGGGATTGCTGGGTCAAATGATATTTCTAGTTCTAGATCCCTGAAGAATTGCCACACTGATTTCCACAATGGTTGAACTAGTTTATGGTCCCACCAACAGTGGAAAAGTGTTCCTATTTCTCCACATCCTCTCCAGCACCTGTTTTTTCCTGACTTTTTAATGATCGCCATTCTAACTGGTGTGAGATGGTATCTCAAGGTGGTTTTGATTTGCATTTCTCTGATGGCCAGTGATGATGAGCATTTTTCCATGTGTCTTTTGGCTGCATAAATGTCTTCTTTTGAGAAGTGTCTGTTCATATCCTTCGCCCACTTTTTGATGGGGTTGTTTTTTTTTTTCTTGTAAATTTGTTAGAGTTCATTGTAGATTCTGGATATTAGCCCTTTGTCAGATGAGTAGATTGCAAAAATTTTCTCACATTGTGTAGGTTGCCTGTTCACTCTGATGGTAGTTTCTTTTGCTGTGCAGAAGCTCTTTAGTTTAATTAGATCCCATTTGTCAATTTTGGCTTTTGTTGCCATTGCTTTTGGTGTTTTAAACATGAAGTCCTTGTGCATGCCTATGTCCTGAATGGTATTGCCTAGGTTTTCTTGTAGGGTTTTTATGGTTTTGGGTCTAACATTTAAGTCTTTAATCCATCTCGAATTAATTTTTGTATAAGGTGTAAGGAAGGGATCCAGTTTCAGCTTTCTACATATGGCTAGCCAGTTTTCCCAGCACCATTTATTAAATAGGGAATCCTTTCCCCATTGCTTGTTTTCATCAGGTTTGTCAAAGATCAGATAGTTGTAGATATGCAGCATTATTTCTAAAGGCTCTGTTCTGTTCCATTGGTCTATATCTCTGATTTGGTACCAGTACCATGCTGTTTTGGTTACTGTAGCCTTGTAGTATGGTTTGAAGTCAGGTAGTGTGATGCCTCCAGCTTTGTTCTTTTGGCTTAGGATTGACTTGGTGATGCGGGCTGTTTTTTGGTTCCATACAAACTTTAAACTAGTTTTTACCAATTCTGTGAAGAAAGTCATTGGTAGCTTGATGGGGATGGCATTGAATCTATAAATTACCATGGGCAGTATGGCCATTTTCACAATATTGATTCTTCCTACCCATGAGCATGGAATGTTCTTCCATTTGTTTGTATCCTCTTTTATTTCATTGAGCACTGGTTTGTAGTTCTCCTTGAAGAGGTCCTTCATGTCCCTTGTAAGGTAGATTCCCAGGTATTTTATTCTTTTTGAAGTAATTGTGAATGGCAGTTCACTCATGATTTGGCGCTCTGTTTGTCTGTTATTGGTGTGTAGGAATGCTTGTGATTTTTGTACACTGATTTTGTATCCTGAGACTTTGCCAAATTTGCCTATCAGTTTAAGGAGATTTTGGGCTGAGATGATAGGGTTTTCTAGATATACAATCATGTCATCTGCAAACAGGGACAATTTGACTTCCTCTTTTCCTAATTGAATACCCTTTATTTGCTTCTCCTGCCTGATTGCCCTGGCCAGAACTTCCAACACTATGTTGAATAGGAGTGGTGAGAGAGGGCATCCCTGTCTTGTACCAGTTTTCAAAGGGAATGCTTCCAGTTTTTGTCCATTGAGTATGATATTGGCTGTGGGTTTGTCATAGATAGCTCTTATTATTTTGAGATACGTCCCATCGATACCTAATTTATTGAGAGTTTTTAGCATTAAGGTTGTTGAATTTTGTCAAAGGCCTTTTCCGCATCTATTGAGATAATCCTATGGTTTTTGTCGTTGGTTCTGTTTACATGCTGCATTACGTTTATTGATTTGTGTGTGTTGAACCAGCCTTTCAACCAAGGGATGAAGCCCCCTTGATCATGATGGATAAGCTTTCTGATGTGCTGCTGGATTCAGTTTGCCAGTATTTTATTGAGGATTTTTGCATCGATGTTCATCAGGGATATTGGGTCTAAAATTCTTTTTTTGTTGTGTCTCTGCCAGTCTTTGGTATTAGGATGATGCTGGCCTCATAAAATGAGTTAGGGAGGATTCCCTCTTTTTCTATTGATTGGAATAGTTTCAGAAGGAATGGTACCAGCTCCTCCTTGTACCTCTGGTAGAATTCGGCTGTGAATCTATCTGGTTATGGACTTTTTTCGTTGGTAAGCAATTAATTATTGCCTCAATTTCAGAGCTTGTTATTGGTCTATTCAGAAATTCAACTTCTTCCTGGTTTAGTCTTGGGAGGGTGTATGTGTCGAGGAATTTATCCATTTCTTCTAGATTTTCTGGTTTATTTGTGTAGAGGTGTTTATAGTATTCTCTGATGGTAGTTTGTATTTCTGTGGGATCGGTTGTGATATCCCCTTTGTCATTTTTTATTGCATCTATTTGATTCTTCTCTCTTTTCTTCTTTATTAGTCTTGCTAGTGGTCTATCAGTTTTGTTGATCTTTTCACAAAACCAGCTCCTGGATTCATTGATGTTTTGAAGAGTTTTTTATGTCGCTATTTCCTTCAGTTCTGCTCTGATCTTATTTATTTCTTGTCTTCTGCTAGCTTTTGAATGTGTTTGCTCTTGCTTCTCTAGTTCTTTCAATTGTGATGTTAGGGTTTCTATTTTAGATCTTTCCTTGTTTCTCTTGTGGGCATTTAGTGCTATAAATTTCCCTCTACACACTGCTTTAAATGTGTCCCAGAGATTCTGTTATGTTGTGTCTTTGTTCTCATTGGTTTCAAAGAACATCTTTGTTTCTGCTTTCATTTCGTTCTCTACCCAGTATTCATTCAGGAGCAGGTTGTTCAGTTTCCATGTAGTTGAGTGGTTTTGAGTGAGTTTCTTAATCCTGAATTCTAGTTTGATTGCACTGTGGTCTGAGAGACAGTTTGTTATAATTTCTGTTCTTTTACATATGCTGAGGAGTGCTCTACTTCTGACTATGTGGTCAATTTTGGAATAAGTGTGGTGTGGTGCTGAGAAGAATGTATATTCTGTTGATTTTGGGGTGGAGAGTTCTGTAGATGTCTATTAGGTCTGCTTGGTGCAGAGCTGAGTTCAATTCCTGGGTATCCTTTTTAACTTTCTGTCTTGTTGATCTGTCTAATGTTGACAGTGGGGTGTTAAAGTCTCCCATTATTATTGTGTGGGAGTCTAAGTCTCTTTCTAGGTCTCTAAGGACTTGCTTTATGAATCTGGGTGCTCCTGTGTTGGGTGCATATATATTTAGGATAGTTAGCTCTTCTTGTTGAATTGATCCCTTTACCATTATGTAATAGCCTTCTTTGTCTCTTGATCTTTGTTGCTTTAAACTCTGTTTTATCAGAGACTAGGATTGCAACCCCTGCCATTTTTTGTTTTCCATTTGCTTGGTAGATCTTCCTTCATCTCTTTATTTTGAGTCCATGTGTGTCTCTGCACATGAGATGGGTTTCCTGAATACAGCACACTGATGGGTCTTGACTCTTTATCCAATTTGCCAGTCTGTGTCTTTTAATTGGAGCATTTAGCCCATTTACATTTAAGGTTAATGTTTCATGTGTGAATTTGATCCTGCCATTATGATGCTAGCTGGTTATTTTGCTCATTAGTTGATTCAGTTTCTTCCTAGACTTGATGGTCTTTACAATTTGGCATGTTTTTGCAGTGGCTGGTACTGGTTGTTCCTTTCCATGTTTAGTGCCTCCTTCAGGAGCTCTTTTAGGGCAGGTCTGGTGGTGACAAAATCTCTCAGCATTTGCTTGTCTGTAAAGGATTTTATTTCTCCTTCACTTATGCAGCTTAGTTTGGCTGGTTATGAAATACTGGGTTGAAAATTCTTTTCTTTAAGAATGTTGAATATTGGCCCTCACTCTCTTCTGACTTGTAGAGTTTCTGCCGAGAGATCAGCTGTTAGGCTGATGGGTTTCCCCTTGTGGGTAACCCGACCTTTCTCGCTGGCTGCCCTTAACATTTTTTTCCTTCATTTCAACTTTGGTGAATCTGACAATTATGTGTCTTGGAGTTGCTCTTCTGGAGGAGTATCTTTGTGGCATTCTCTGTATTTCCTGCTTTTGAATGTTGGCCTGCCTTGCTAGGTTTGGGAAGTTCTGGATAATATCCTGCAGAGTGTTTTCCAACTTGGTTCCATTCTCCCTGTCACTTTCAGGTACACCAATCAGACATAGATTTGGTCTTTTCACATAGTCCCAGATTTCTTGCAGGCTTTGTTCATTTCTTTTTATTCTTTTTTTTCTCTAAACTTCTCTTCTCACTTCATTTCATTCATTTGATCTTCCATCACTGATACCCTTTCTTCCAGTTGATCTAATCAGCTACTGAGGCTTGTGCATTCATCATGTAGTTCTCATGCCTTGGTTTTCAGCTCCATCAGGTCCTTTAAGGACTTCTCTGCATTGGTTATTCTAGTTAGCAATTCATCTAATTTTTTTTTCAGTTTTTTAACTTCTTTGTGTTGGGCTCGAACTTCCTCCTTTAGCTCGGATAAGTTTGATTGTCAGAAGACTTCTTCTCTCAACTCATCAAAGTCATTCTCCATCCTGCTTTGTTCCATTGCTGGTGAGGAGCAGCGATCCTTTGCAGGAGGAGACGTGCTCTGATTTTCAGAGTATCCAGATTTTCTGCTCTGTTTTTTCCCTGTCTTTGTGGTTTTACCTACCTTTGGTCTTTGATGATGGTGACGTACAGATGGGGTTTTGGTGTGGATGTCCTTTCTGTTTGTTTGTTTTCCTTCTAACAGTCAGGACCCTCAGCTGCAGGTCTGTTGGAGTTTGCTAGAGGTCCACTCTAGACCCTGTTTGGCTGGGTATCAGCAGCGGAGGCTGCAGAACAGCGGATATTGGTGAGCAGCAAATGTTGCTGCCTGATTGTTCCTCTGGAAGTTTTGTCTCAGAGGAGTACCCGGCCATGTGAGGTGTCAGTCTGTCCCTACTGGGGGGTGCCTCCCAGTTAGGTTACTCAGGGGTCAGGGACCAACTTGAGGAGGCAGTCTGTCCATTCTCAGATCTCCAGCTGCGTGCTGGGAGAACCACTACTCTCTTCAAAGCTGTCAGAGAGGGACATTTAAGTCTGGAGAGGATTCTGCTGCCTTTTGTTTGGCTGTGCCCTGCCCCCAGAGGTGGAGTCTACAGAGTCAGGCAGGCCTCCTTGAGCTGTGGTGGGCTCCACCCAGTTCGAGCTTCCAGGTGGCTTTGTTTACCTACTCAAGCCTGGGCAATGGCAGGCACCCCTCCCCCAGCCTCACTGCTGCCTTGCAGTTTGATCTCAGACTGCTGTGCTAGCAATGAGCGAGGCTCTGTGGGCATAGGACCATCTGAGCCAGGTGCAGGATATAATCTCCTGGTGTGCCGTTTGCTAAGACCATGGAAAAGTGTAGTACTAGGGTGGGAGTGACTCAATTTTCCAGGTGCCATCTGTCACCCCTTTCTTTGACTAGGAAAGGGAATTCCCTGACCCCTTGTGCTTCTTGGGTGAGGCGATGCCTTGCCCTGCTGTGGCTCATGCTGGATGTGCTGCACCCACTGTCCACCCACTTTCTGACACTCCCCAGTGAGATGCACCCAGTACCTCAGTTGGAAATGCAGAAATCACCCATCTTCTGCATCGCTCAGGCTGTGAGCTGTAGACTGGAGCTGTTCCTATTCAGCCATCTTGGCTCCACGTGTTTTCTGACTTTTTAGTGATTGCCATACAACTGTGTGAGATGGTATCTCATTGTAGTTTTGATTCGCATTTCTCTAATGACCAGTGATGATGAGCTTTTTTTACATATGTTTGTTGGCCACATAAATGTCTTCTTTTGAAAAGTGTCTGCTCATATTCTTTGCCCACTTTTTGATGGGGAGTTTTGTTTTTTTTTCTCGTAAATTTGTTTAAGTTCTTTGTAGATTCTGGATAGTAGCCCTTTGTCAGGTAAATAGATTACAAAAATTTTCTCCTGTTCTTTAGGTTGTCTGTTCACTCTGTTTATAGTTTCTTTTTGCTGTGCAGAATCTCTTTAGTTTAATAAGACCCCATTTGCCAATTTTGGCTATTGTTGCCATTACTTTTGGTGTTTCAGTCATGAAGTCTTTGGCCATTTCTATGTCCTGAATGTTATTGCCTGGGTTTTCTTCTAGGGCTTTAGGTCTTACGTTTAAGTCTTTAATCCATCTTGAGTTAATTTTTGCTTAAGGTGTAAGAAAGCAGTCCAGTTTCAGTTTTCTGCATATGGCTAGCCAGTTTTCCTAACGCCATTTATTAAATAGGGAATTCTTTCCTCATTGCTTGTTTTTGTCAGGCTTGTCAAAGATCAGATGGTTGTAGATTGTGGGTGTTATTTCTGAGGCCTCTGTTCTCTTCCATTGGTCTATATATTTTGCGAACAGTACCATGCTGTTTTTGTTACTGTAGCCTTGTAGTATAGTTTGAAGTCAGGTAGCATGATGCCTCCAACTTTGTTCTTTTTGCTTAGAATTATTTTGGCTATGCAGGCTCTTCTTTGGTTCCATATGAAATTTATAGTAGTTTTTTTCTAATTTTGTGAAGAAAGTCAATGGTAACTTGATGGGGATAGCATTGAATCTATAAATTGCTTTGGGCACTCTCGCCATTTTCACAATATTGATTCTTCATATCCATGAGCATGAAATATTTTCCCATTTGCTTGTATCTTCTCTTATTTCCTTGAACAGTGGTTTGTAGTTCTCCTTGAAGAGGTCTTTCACATGCCTTGTAAATTGTATTCCTAGGTATTCTTTTCATAGCAATTGTGAATGGGAGTTCACTCATGATTTGGCTCTCTGTTTGTCTGTTATTGGTGCGTAAGAATGCTTGTGATTTTTGCACATTGATTTTGTATCCTGAGACTTTGCCAAAGTTGCTTATCAAAGCTTAAGGAGATTTTGGGCTGAGACGATGGGATTTTCTAAATATACAATCATGTCATCTGCAAACAGAGACAATTTGACTTCCTCTCTTTCTATTTGAATATGCCTTATTTCTTTCTCTTGCCTGATTGCCCTGGCCAGATCTTCCAATACTATGTTGAGTAGGAGTGGTGAGAGAGGGCATCCCTGTCTTGTGCCAGTTTTCAAAAAGAATTCTTCCACTTTTTGCCCATTCAGTGTGATATTGGCTGTGAATTTATCATAAATAGCTCTTATTATTTTGAGATATGTTCCATATAACCTAGTCTGTTGACAGTTTTTAGCATGAAGGGGTGTAGAATTTTATTGAAGGCCTTTTTTTTTTGGATCTATTGAGATAATCATGTGGTTTCTGTCATTGGTTCTGTTTATGTGATGGATTAAGTTTATTTATTTGTATATGTTAAACCAGCCTTGCATCCCAGGGATGAAGCTGACTTGATTTTGGTGGATAAGTTTTTTGATGTGCTACTGGATTTGGTTTGCTGGTATTTTATTGAGGATTTTTGCATCCATTTTCATCAGGGATATTGGCCTGAAATTTTATTTTTGTTGTGTGTCTGCCAGGTTTTTGTATCAGGATGATGCTGGCCTCATAAAATGAGTTAGGGAGGATTCCCTCTTTTTCTATTGTTTGGAATAGTTTCAGAGGAATGGTAGCAGCTACTCTTTGTACCTCTAGTAGAATTCGGCTGTGAATCCGTCTGGTCCTGGACTTATTTTTGTTGGTAGGCTATTAATTACTGCCTCAATTTCAGAATTTGTTATTGGTCTGTTCAGGGATTTGAATTCTTCCTGGTTTAGACTTGGGAGGATATATGTATCCAGGAATTTGCCAATTTTGTCTAGATTTTATTGTTTATTTGTATAGAGGTATTTATAGTATTCTCTGATGGTAGTTTGTATTTCTGTGGGATCAGTGGTGATATCCCTTTTATCATTTTTTATTGCATCTATTTAATTCTTCTCTCTTTTCTTCATTAGTCTGGCTAGTAGTCTATTTTGTTGACCTTTTCAGAAAACCAGCTCCTGTATTCATTGATTTTTTTTTTTGAAGGGTTTTTTATGTCTCTATCTCCTTCAGCTCTGCTCTGATCTTAGTTATTTCTTGTCCTCTGCTAGCTTTTGAATTTGTTTGCTCTTGCTTCTCTAGTTCTTTTAATTGTGATGTGAGGGTGTCAATTTTAGATCTTTCTTGCTGTCTCTTGTGGGCATTCAGTGCTATAAATTTCCCTCTAAACACTGCTTTAGCTGTGTCCCAGAGATTCTGGTACATTGTGTCTTTGTTCTCATTGGTTTCAAAGAACTTATTTATTTCTGCCTTAATTTTGTTATTTACCTAGTAGTCATTCAGGAGCAGGTTGTTCCATTTCCATGTAGTTGTGGGGTATTGAGTGAGTTTCTTAGTCCTGAGTTCTAGTTTGATTTCACTGTGGTCTGAGAGACTGTTTGTTATGATTTCTGTTCTTTTGCATTTGCTGAGGAGTATTTTACTTCCGATTATGTGGTCAATTTTAGAATAAGTGCGACATGGTGCTGAGAAGAATGTATATTCTGTTGATTTGGGGTGGAGAGTTCTGTAGATGTCTACTAGATCCACTTGGTTCCATAGCTGAGTTCAAGTCCTGAATATCCTTGTTAATTTTCTGTCTCATTGATGTGTCTAATATTGACAGTGGGGTGTTAAAGTCTCTTACACTATTATGTAAGAGTCTAAGTCTCTTTGTAGGTCTCTAAAAACTTGCTTGAATCTGAGTGCTCCTGTATCTGGTGTGTATATATTTAGGAGAGTTAGCTCTTCTTGTTGCATTGATCTGTTTACCATTATATAATGCCCTTCTTTGTCTCTTTTGATTTTGTTGGTTTCAAGTCTGTTTTATCAGAGACTGGGATTGCAAACCCTGTTCTTTTTTGCTTTCCAGTTGCTTGGTAAATATTCCTCCTTTCCTTTACTTTGAGCCGACGTCTGTCTTTGCAGGTGAGATGGGTCTCCTGAATACAGCACACCAATGGATATTGAGTCTTTATCCAATTTGCCAGCCTGTGTCTTTTAATTTAGACATTTGGCCAATTTACATTTAAGGTTGATATTGTTATGTGTGAATTTGATCCTGCCACTATAATGCTAGCTTGTTATTTTGCCTGTTAGTTGATGCAGTTTCTTGTCATTTGTTCTTTTATGTAATGGATTACGTTTATTGATTTGCATATGTTGAACCATGCTTGCATCCCAGGGATGAAGCGGACTTGATCATGGTGGATAATCTTTATGTGCTGCTGGATTTGGCTTGCCAATTGACTGCATCTAAGTGTCACTGGTCTTTACAAATTGGCTTGTTTTTGCAGTGGCTGGTACTGGTTGTTCCTTTCCATGTTTAGTGCTTCCTTCAGGAGCTCTTGTAAGCAGGCCTGGTGGTGACAAAATCTCTCAGCATTTGCTTGTCTGTAAAGGATTTTATTTCTCCTTCACTTATGAAGCTTAGTTTGGCTGGATATGAAATTCTGGGTTGAAAATTCTTTTCTTTAAGAATGTTGAATATTGGCCCTCACTCTCTTCTGGCTTGCAAGGTTTCTGCAGAGAGATCCACTGTTAGTCTGATGGGCTTCCCTTTGTGGGTAAGCCACCCTTTCTCTCTGGCTGACCTAACTTTTAAAAATAGATATAGAGCTATTCAGATTTTTCCATTTCATCTTTTGATAGTTTTGGTAAATTATGTTTTTCAGGGCATTTGTGCATCTTATCTAAGTTGTAAAATTTATCATCTTAAAATAATAATAACATATTTCATACTGATTCTTTTATTTCACTTTTTCTTTCCAACTTTTATTTTAGGTTCAAGGGGTACATGTGCAGGTTTGTTACATGGGTAGATTGTGTGGGGGTTTAGTATACAAAACAATTTGTCACCCATGGAGTCAGCCTAATATCCAATAGGTAATTTTTCAATCCTCCCCTTCCCTCCTCCCTCCACACTCAAGTAGGCTCCAGTGTTTATTAGTCCTTTCTTTGTGTCCATGTGTAACTCAAGGTTTAGTTCTCACTTATAGGTGAGAACATGTCATATTCAGTTTTTTGTTCCCTTGTTAATTTGCTTAGGATAATGGCTCCGGCTCCATTCATGTTTCTTCAAAAGATATGATTTCATTCTTCTTTATGGCTACATAGTATTCCATGGTGTATATGTACATTTTCTTTATCTTGTCTAGTGTTGGTGAGCATCTAGGTTGACTCCATGTCTTTGATATTGTGAATAGTGCTGTGATGAACATACACATGCATGTATCTTTGTGGTAGAATGATTTATATTCATTTGGGTATATAACCATGAAACATGTTTTTATCTACAAATGCTCAACAGCCATGTGCGGCTAATGGCTACTGTTATGACAATACAGTTCTAGAACTTTCATTGTCTTTTACAAACCTGCTTCTGACTCTGATTTTCTTTCCTGTGTATATGCTCCATGCAGCAGTCAAATTGAACTCTATTTTCATATTTGTGAATCATCCAAGTTATTTTGCTACCTTCTCTTTCTCCTGTCTTATATCCATGGAATGCTATTCTCTCCTTTGCGTTTCCAAATTCTGCAAGTGCTTTTGGGCTTTTTTCAAATGCCATCTGACCCACGAGATCTTATCTTCCATAACATGAAGTAAACTTTCACCTCTCTGACTTTCTATAGACTATTTTCTATGATGTCACTTAGCAATCTTAATTTTTGTACACATCCATCATATCTTCTTTACTAGGTTGTAAATTCTTGAAAGCAGGCACTGTATTTTCTTCTTTGTGCCACACATAAATCTTAACCTTATACCTTGCTCATGAATGTGTTTACAGAATGCTTAATGAATGATATGTTAAATTCTTTGTGAAGGTGATTATATTAACTGAGCTGAGAAATGATTGAAAATAGTTAAAAATGAAAAAAGTGCAATTGTTTGTGTATTATTTCTGAATTTATGTAACATTGAAAACAGTGCTTTTAAGTTAGCAAAAAATATTCCTTTACCAAATGCGACATACTCATGGCTTATGTAAAGAATTTATAAGGACTTAATAAGAGCCAGGAGAATACTTTCATAGATTACTTCGCAATCACCTTGATTAGCTTTTTATTGAAAGAGGATGCTGCAGGATGTTACTTTTATTTTACTTAATAGTTCCTTGCTAAGGACCACAGGAAATCAGGAAGAACCTCCCTGCCTCTCCAGACCCCTCTGTGGGCTATAAAACTATGCTTTCTCTTTTGTTTTACATTATTATTTCCTTCAAGGTGACAGGAAGCTTGATATTGGTGTAATCCTTTCATGATAGTGTCTCTTCATAAATTTTCTTTGGACTTATTCTTACCTTGTAAAATAAATTTTTTCTAACAGAAAAGCTTAAGAATCTGTTAATCCATGCACCAAGTTTTCATATTCTAACCCAGCTTCTTTCTTTCTCTTGGACATAACTTAAGGAAAATTTCTCTTTGGTCACTGAGTATAGCAGATACCGTCAGTGCTTCATCCATCTCCCTTGGGATCCCCTTACCATTTTCAACCATGCCAGCCTACTTTCAACATCTAGGACCTTTGCACAGCAGGGTGGAAGTACCTAAAAATTAAAGTACTCCTGAGGGCAGCCCCTACTCAATGACTGATGGATGTGGGGGCAAATATACTCCAGCTTCCTCAACCCTTTGCTGGGAGGCCTGCGTTGTACACTGTCTTCTAGAACTTCCCCCATCACCCACTTGAGTCGTGTACTATGCTTGCTGCCTTAATAATGCTTCCTTTATTGTTTGCTTTCCCTGTGTCACCTGCTCTGTCCAATGTGGGCATCCCTACCCTTCTTAAATCTAGATGCATTCAATCTCTGACCCAACCTCCACTTCCTGGAGAACTCAAATAAGACACTGAGCTATCAAGGATTTAAAGTCATTAGCATGGTTTCTATTCTCACTACCTCTCTTTCCCTCTCCTTCCCCACTCTTTTCTGCTTCCTTCTCTTTTTCCTGTGACTTTCTTTTCCTTGTCCAATATACAGTATATACAGTATATAATTTATGCCAGTCACTGAATAATAGACATGAAAGGCAGTTTCCTTGTCCTCAAGAATCTCAGAATCTATTCATGGAGACAGAGCAGTAAAGAAAATATTACAATGCAGAGTGGTAAGTATGCTAAGATAGAGAGAAATAAAAGGTGTTACCAGAATGAAATACAGAGAGAAATACAGGGCATCAGAAAAGGAGTTGATGCCCAGATTGTTTTAAAGTAGTTATTCTCAAACTCTGGTCCCTTTTACTAGCATCAGCATCACCTGGGAACTTCCTAGGAATGCATATTTTCAGAGCTAACTCAGACCTACTGACTCAAACTCTGATGGTGGGACGTAGCAATCCATATTGCAACAAACTCTCCCACCATTCTTAGGTATTTATTTCACTTCACCAGTGGCTCTTGGAATCACCTTCCAAATAAACATTTGCATAGTCTCAGTCAGCCTCTGGAGGTACCTAAATTAAAACAGCACTCTTGAACTACTGAAAGTTTTAATTACCTGGGGCTGTTTTGGATTATTGCAGTCTAGTTACATAGCAGGTTTTCCATTGAATTATGTTGAATTATATTCCACTGAATGTAGCATGAAATCTCTGGTTTGGCTCTTTTGTTTTTTTTATACTTTCCTTTTTAACTTCTAAAAAAAAAAAAAACTATTTCAGCCTACTGTTGATTGTGTTAACACTAGTTTTTAGTGTTTGACCTTTTTTTGAGTAACAAAAGATTCTACCGAAGCTTGTTTCAACTTATTACTACAAATATCCTCATCAGACTGAATGAAGAAAATGATGTTGGTTTTGATAAAACACCTGTGAAAGCCATTAAGAGAAAGTTATTTATTCCAAATACTTAATTCTAAATTTGAAATTACTGAAGCTCATGCACAGGTTTGGTCATGTTGATACTAGAAGACAAATTTTTACGTGGACTGCTGTCGGGTAACCTTCCACTAATCAAGAACCACCCCACACAATATGAATCTAGTGGGAGAAAAAAAAATAATCTTGAAGATTTGGAGTGGCATCAGAACAACACATGGCTGATTACTTAAGAAAAAATCTCTTATGATTGTTTTATCATTTTAAGTTTACAATGAAAAAACCTCCTTGGTTTGACTGGTCATTAAGTGGTTTCCTCTTTATTATATGAGGCTGGCATGTCATAATAAAAATATCTCAGCAATTTGTACATAATACTGTAAATCCCAGCAGTAAAAGTGTTTGACAGTCTCATTACCAACATCATTAGAGAAGAATAAATAGAAACACATACTCAAACATAAACTACTAGCAGAGTTCTGAATGATTTCTTATATTCTTACAGTTTTACTAATCTTATTTTCTAAAGTGTAAAATCATGGCGTGATCATTCTATGGAGATATACTCATCCCTTTTTCATTTTATACTCAATAATTTTTATTACACACAAGACATGTAGACCAATTTAATTTGCATATCATAGGAACAGTTAGTTGACCTAAATTATGTAGATTTAGATTGGTCTCTCCCCAAACTAGATTCCCTCCTTATCTTCCTATATACAGAGTTATTATTACTTTCATGGGAATCCAGATTGAAAATTAGAGTTTTATCTTTGACCCCATCTGTCATAGCCAGCTCTGCTTGCCATAACAAAATACCATAGACTGTGTGGCTTAAACAACAGAAATGTATTTCTCACAGTTATGCAGGCTGGGAAGTCTAAGATCAAGATTCTGGCAATGTAGGTTTCATTCTGAGGCCTCTTTTCTTAGCTTGTAGGTAGCTGCTACTACACTGTGTGTTCACATGACTTTTTCTTTATGGCTGCTGGGGGTGGTGGAGAGAGAGAGAGAGAGAGAGATCTCGTGACTCTCCTTATAAGGGCACTAAATCCCATTATGCCCCTCATGACCTTATCTAACCCTAACTATCTCCCAAATGTCCCATCTCCAAATACCATCACATTGGGGTAAGATCTTCAATGTATGAATTTAGTGGTAGAGCGGGACATGAACACTCAGTCTGTAGCAACACCCTTTTCTTCTCAGTTACCAAGTTTTATCACAAAGTCTTTATGATAATGCATTCTTCTGGCCCTTTCCATTCTGATTATAAGCATTTGAATTCAGAACCATTATTACTTGGTATCTGGGCTGCTGCACTAACTTTTAAATGACAATTACCTTTAAAAAATTTTTAATCTACCCTTTTCCCCCAGTTTTCATATCAATCTCTTTAAAATGACTTGTATTATGTCAGTGCTAGCTGAAAAATGTCGATGATCCCCCATTGTCTGTAAGGTAAGGTGAGAGTGCTTGGCCTGGCCAAAGACTCCTACAATCATTCCACATATCTTCCTTTCCAATCCCATTTCCCTCTGTTCTCACCTTCCCTCTGTTCAGACATATTAGTGGCCCATGGAACAAATAACCCTATGCTCCTGTAAGTCTCAGTCTCAGTTCTACGCCTTTCACACGTGGCAGTCCTCCCACGTCCCTCCCCACCTGTCTAAATTGCAGTTCTACATCAGCTGGACTCCTTCAAGAATCACGGCATTCTTAGGCAAATGTGTTCTATACTTGTCATTTGGCATTTTTACCCTATTATGTAAATATAAGTAAATGCACCCAAAACAATACATAGTATCTCTGTGTATATTTCTTAATTTAAGTGAATGAAATCACTCCATTCTTATCATCCCACAACTAGGTGTTTGTTTTGTTTTTAATTCAACTATTCATCAATTTGCTTTTCTTCAGTTTTATTTGCATGGATTTACTTGATTCTCTTTATTTGTATATATGTCACTGTATGACTATATTATGTTTTAATATTAGTCTCTTCCCATGCATTTTATTTCCAATTATTTGCTAACCAAAAATGTTTATTAAATTTCTTGGTACATGTGTTCTTAGACATATCTTCTGAAAGTTATGTTCTACTAGATTATGTATAGGTGCATTTTCAATTTTGCTACACATTGCCAACTGATTTTCCAAAATAGCTGTATAAATTTGTACTAGTATCAGTATGAAAGTTTCTGTTTCTGAAAGTACTCATCAGCTTTATTTTTTAACCAACATTCTGGTTGCATATGTATGTCTTGTTTTAAATCATAATTTTCTTGATTACTCATGAAGCTGAGAATCTATTCATCCTTATTTGCCACAAGTGTTTCATCTTCTATGAATTGCCTAGACATATCTTTTGGCCACCTATTTCCTGTTTATATTTTCTTAGTAATTTGAAAATGTTTCTCGTGTATTCTTTAATATATACACTGTAAATATCGTCTACAATTTTATTACATCTCTTTATATTGTTTGATGTCCTCTGTCATATATATTTAAATTTTGATGAAAAATCAATTTAAAGTAATTCTCAATTATAGCATTTATCACAATCTGATGTTTTATTTTTCTTAAATTTGTTTATTACCAGTCTTTATTCACTAGAATGTAAGCTCCATGAGACCAGAGGCAACTATCTTGAAATGGTGAGAACTTCTCATGACACCTAAGAGATGCTCAGGAAAGTTAATTGCATGAATGAATAAATGGATGAAAGAGACTCTTCATTGGAGAAGGAGAGATGGAGAGACTCATCATGGCTACTGAGAATGCCTAGGTCTCTCAGTATAGTGTTGGTTCTTGTATGCTTTCACTACAGTTCTGGCTCTTGGGTTTTTCAAGATATTTCTACATTCTTGTAATAATTCACTCCCCTTCCCCACTCTACCTGCCTCTTAATCTGGTTTGAGTGGATTTATTACTTTCAACCAAAATAACTTGGACCAAGATGCACTTCTTTAGAGGGTAGCTTCATGGGTTAGGAATATATCTAGTCTATTCACTATCCTCAGTACTCAGAGGAATGTCTGTGATACTGGAGGATCTCAATTAAATGTTTAATAAATGAAGATGGAACCTGTTGAAATTTTTATTACATTGCATTTGTAAATTAATTTGGATAGAATTGACATCTTTATAGTCTTCCTAGCCATTAACATGGCATAACTCTCCATTGATTTAAGCATTATTTCCTGTTCTTTAATGATTTTAGCTGTGAAGAAATTGACATACATTCTTTGATTTATAGTTAACTATTTTATATTCTGATTTTTATTTAGAATGGGATCTTTATTTTAAAAATTTTTTGAATTGAACTTTGCTAGCTTTAGAAATATTAATTTTCTCTGTTGTCTTATCCTAACAACTTTCCTGGATTCTTGGAATTTTTTTCATAATTGAAAATAAGAGTAACAATATTGGTCACTTTTTGCATACCAGGCTCAGTTCTAGGCACATTATATGTATTAACGCCTTTATTTCTCAGAAAAACACTATGAGAACGTATTACTAACACCTTATTTTACAGATAAAGAAACTGCTGCACAGAAAAGTAAAGTAACTTGCCCAAGTTCATACACTAAAAAGCAAAATCAGGATTTGAACTTATTTGGGCTGGCCTCAGAATTTGTTCTCATGAATATCATGCAGTACTCTATATTTATAGTCATTTTATTTGCATATAATGCTAATTTTATAAATTTCAGTCCTTATTTCTAATTTATTTTCCTTGTATTATGATGTTGGGTAGGCTCTTTAGTGCCATATTGAAGAGCAGAGGGTGACTTTCACTGTAAATTTTAGATAGGTGTGGCAGCCAGCCTCCAACTGACCCCCAATAATCTCTATGCCCTTGTATTTATCCCCTTGTGTAGTCCCTTCCCAATTTGTGCCAGAGTTTGTTTGTGTGGTCAATAGAATGTAGTAGAACTGATGGTATGTCACTTATGAGGGCACGCCATAAATGGCATTGTGACTTTTCCCTTGCTTTGCTTGCTCTGGATGAAGTTGGCTATCATGTCATGAGGAGCCTTATGGAGGGGCCCATGTGGTAAGAAACTGAAGCTTCCAGCCAACAGCCATGTGAGTGGACCATCTTGGAAGTAGGTCTTTCGTCCTGAGTTAAGTCTTCAGAAGATTGTAGCTTCCACTGACATACTTGATTGCAATTTCATGAGAGACCCTAAGCTGGAATGACCCAGCTAGGCCATTCCTAGATTCCTAGCCCATGGAAACTAAGATAATAAATGTTTGTTTTAAGTCAATTAATTTTGGAGTAATGTATTATGCAAGAATAGATAACTAATATGGTAGGGTAAGTTTATTGAAATCTAATATGTTACTTTCTGTTCCTAGTTTGCTGAGTTTAAAAACATTATATCTGGTTATTGAATTTAATATATGCTGCTTCTCTTCTCAAATATATTGATATCACAATATAGTTTTTCACCTCCTCTATTACTTTAATAGAATCTTGCTTGTGATTGCATCACTTAATATTACTGGGGAATTTGATTTGCTATGTTTTATTTTGGACATTTTTCATATCTCTATTTCTGGGTAAGATTGGATATATATTTTTCCTTTTTCTTTTTGAAATTATCCTTTTTAGTTTTAAATAAAGATTTTGGTAGCCCCCAGCTGACTTCCTGATGCATATCTTTTTTCACATAGTTAACTATACTCCCCATCTCTTCCACTACCTTTGCCTTATCTCCACTTCCTTTAGTCCCTTGCTTTATAACTTTGTATTACTTTGACTTTGTCATAGGTGTAAACTTACAAGTTAATTTTGTGGGTTAATCAGCAGCAAGTATGGAGATTTTGTAACTGCAGTCTCAGTAGATGAATTTAGTTTAGAAAAAATATGAACAATAATGATGATTCTGCCTTATGTAATTGAGTGACCTTTACCATGACACTGAACCTCAGCTTCTTCACCTATAAATGGGGATAATAACTCCTACTTCATATAGAAATATTCATATAGAAATATATATATGTGTATATATATACACACACACATACACACACAGTAGATTACTATTTGGCCATAAAAAGAATGAAATAATATCATTTGCAGTAAGATGAATAGAACTGGAGGTAATTATGTTAAGTAAAATAAGACTGGCACAGAAAAACAAATATATGTTCTTACTCACATGTGGGAGCTAGAAAAGATGATCTCACGAAGGTAGAGAATAGAATTGCAGATATCAGAAGCTGGGAAGAGTGTGTAGTTGGGGAGAGATAGAGAGAGGTTGGTTAATGAAGCACAAAATACAGTGCGAAAGAAGAAACAAGTTTTCATTTTTCTTTGACTTTTAAGTTTAAGGTTCATGTGCAGGATGTGCAGGTTTGTTATATAGGTAAATGTGTGCCATGATGGTTTGCTGCACAGATTATCTCATCACCTAGGCATTAAGCCCAGCATCCATTAGCTATTCTGGTTGATGTTCTCCCTCCCCTGAATCTACTCTCCGACAGGCCCCAGTGTGTGTTGTTGTCCTTCATGTGTCCATGTGTTCTCATCATTCAGCTCCCACTTCTAAGTGAGAACATGTGGTGTTTGGTTTTCTGTTCCTGCATTAGTTTGTTGAGGATAATCCCTTCCAATTCCATCCATGCTCCTGCAAAGGACATAATCTCATTATTTTTTATGGATGCATAGTATTCCATGGTGTATATGTACCACATTTTCTTTATCCAGTCTATCACTGATGGGCATTTAGGTTGATTCCATGTCTCAGCTATTGTGACTAGTACTGCAATGAATATATGTAACCAAGTATCTTTATGATGGAATAATTTATATTCCTTTGGGTATATACTCAGTAATGGGATTGCTGGGTCAAATGGTATTTCTGCCTCTAGGTCTTTGAGGAGTCACCACACTGTCTTCCACAATGGTTGAACTAATTTACACTTCCACCAACAGTGTTGAAGCATTCCTTTTTTAGGAATTCCACCACTGTACCAGCATCTGTTGTTTTTTGACTTTTTAAGAATCGCCATTCTGACTGGTGTGAGATGGAGTGTCATTGTAGTGTTGATTTGCATTTCTATAATGATAAATCATGTTGAGCTTGCTTATTATAATATGTTGGCCTCATGTATGTTCTTTCTTTGAGAAGTGTCTGCTCATATCCTTTGCCCACTTTTTAATGGGGTGGTTTGTTTTCTCTTGTAAATTTAAGTTCCGTGTAGACTCTTGATATTCGACCTTTGTCAGATGGGTAGATTGCAAAATGTCCTCCCATTCTGTAGGTTGTCTGTTCACTCTGATGATAGTTTCTTTCGCTGTGCAGAAGCTTATTAGTTTAATTAGATCTCATTTGTCAATTTTTGCGTCTGTTGCAATTGCTTTCGGTGTTTTTGTTATGAAATCTGGATGGTAGAACAAAATAGAAGAAACTGGAGAAACAGTCTTGTTGATGAAGAAGTCCCCACAGAAACACAAATTGTTTTGGTAACTGCTCACAACAAGAAACTCTCAGCATTTGGAAGAAGAAGTCATGGATCAGTAGGACTGTTGGAGAAGATCACGCTGTGCTGGTCAGACCACACACGTGTAGGTAGGTACATCCTCAGACCACAAACTCAACTGAGCAGTAAATATAATCTTTCTGTAACCAAATGTAATTTCAATTTTGAGCTCTTATCTTTCTGATTAGTGGATATTTGATCTCAATCACTTTGGGTTTTGTTTTCTTCCTCCATAAATTGGTGCTTATAGAATGTGAAAGGTGGTGGTAGGTGTGAGAGGAGCACCTGTTCCTAGATGTCCACACCTGAATGGTAGTGGACAGGAGTGGTGATGGGATGATGAGTAGAGTGAAGCTGCTCCATCAGAAATTACCACGAATGCAAAGCGTACCGGTTAATTTGTCAGTGTTATCTCATTACATGTTAAAATATTTTAAATCATTTATGAAGAGCTTTCCTATAAAAAACCAGATTTCTGACTTCTGTAGAAAAATCAAATGATATTACTAGTCCCATATTCCTACAACACTCAATTATTTCTGAATCTACTAACTTCTATTAGCAATCATGCTCCGAGGTTTGATTTTTGCACCTCTTGATGTTAAAGAAGAGCCTTGGATTGAGTCTTGAGGGAAAGGAGGGTATTTAAACAATAATGGAAGAGCATAAAATACATTTAAGCAATGCAAAGGAGGAGGAGGATAAAGGGGGTATTTGATACACAATAAGCAGTCAAGTTTAAATATAGGGTAAGTTCAGGCAAAAGTGGGTAGGACATAAGATTGTAGCGATAAGTAGGGGTCAGACTGGGAATTTGGGATTTTGTCCTGTAAACTATGGAAAATCGCTGAATTTTAATTGATAAGTTAACAAATGTTTTGGTAAGTGTATTATGAACATGGTTTATAGAACAAGTCAGATGAAAGAGAAAAAAGGTAGAAAAATGAGTTAAAATTGAATTGGAGAATTCTGTCTCAAATTACAGCTTTTGTGAGCACCTAGTAGGAGAGAAATTTTATTTTAATATCTAAAATAATACTTCAGAGTGTTAGAGGCTTTTAAGTGTGTTGCTGCTTTTTGTGGGGCCTGTGTTCATTAGACGGCTGGTCAGTATTTGCCATCGACTTTTGCATACATTATTTGGTTCTGATTTTTTAAACTTTACATTTCATTTTGTTGAGTTCAGAAGGCTTGTGTTTAGTGACTGTGTAGTACAAAGAGCACAGTAGATGGCAAGCTTTGGTGAAACTCTGCTGTTGCCAACAAGGTCAGCTTTCAAACAGCATCATCTACAGTGCGGGGTGAAGGTCCACTGAGTATCAATGGTCTTGAACCCCAGTCTGACTTGGACTATTACCTGCTGTTGGTATGAAACTGACTATTATAGAATTGCCACTTAGGTAACTCAGAAACAGCATGTTCCTTAGATTTTTGCTGCTACTTGCTGTGCATGCATGTCTAGAACTGACTTAGCTTCAAACAGATTTAAAAAAAAATCTGAACTGCATAAAGTGCTATTTAACAATGGCACTATTTTTTTAAGCCAACATTCTCATCAGTTGCTTGGTGCATCTGATCTCTGTTAGAAAAAAAAATTAAATATGTTCTATTAATAATCTAATGGTCAATATCAATTATGCAACACTGAAATTAATTACGATAGCTATGATTTACTGTGCAATGTATTAGGTGCTGGATACTGGTGCTATAGATTTGATCCGGATCTTTTAAAAACTCTACAATACTACAAGAAACATGTTTTTATTCCTATTTTGCAAATGAGAAAACTAAGGTCCAGAGAGATTGGGAAATTTATTCAATATAACAAAATTAGTAGATAACAGAGTTATTTACATTATCATTTTATACCCTAGTAGTGTCACAGATATGAAAGCAATCTGAGAACTAGGAAACGTAACACAATTAAAACTACCATGATAGCGAATTGTACTTTAGTTAATGACAAATGAAGATAATGTAGTGTTACATCAGACGGTATGAAATTTACCTTGGAAAAATGCCTTATAAACATAAAATGTAGAGGCTGGGCACTGTGGCTCATGCCTGTAATTCCAGCACTTTGGGAGGTTGAGGCAGATCACCTGAGGTCAGGAGTTGTAGACCAGACTGGCCAACATGGCAAAACCCCGTCTCTACTAAAAACATAACACTTAGTCGGGCAGGGTGGCACGTGCCTGTAATTCTAGCTACTCGGGAGACCAAGGCAGGAGAATTGCTTGAACCTGGGAGGCGGAGGTTGCAGTGAGCTGAGATCATGCCACTGCACTCCAGCCTGGGCAACAAGAGTGAGACACCATCTCAAAAAAAAGAAAAAAAAGAAAAAGATGTGGAGATATTTGCTTTGTTTTATGGAAAGATGATTCTACTGGCACAGTATTAGTAAGTCTTTTCTAAAGTGATGATAGGTTTTTTGCTAACTCCACTATACTCTTTCTTATGATTGATTTTTGCAATGGATGATACACATCTACAAGGTGGCTGCCTTCTCTGAGAATCCAGGGTTGCAAGGTGATGTCATTACCTTGTTAGCTTAAACTATTGAAATAGTATCTTTCCAGTTAGAAAAGTTTAAAATCTTTATGGAATTTTCCTTTTCTAATTTACTTAAAATTATTGCATGTTTTGCTAAGACAAGTGCTTTTTTTAAAAAATATCATTAGCCATTAGTTATTAGAAGGATTTTCACCTCAGATATTCAGAAGGTATTTTGGTCTGACAATTTGTAGACTCATACAAGTGCCTAGAGATCAGAAGCCTTTTGAACATTCAGGGACTTTCTGATGAGTTTCAACCCAATGTTTACAAAATCAAGAAATAATCTTAATTTGGGGCAATTTGAATAATTTCAGTCAGCTAATTGATCTCAAGATTCCTTTTTAAAAATTTTTGTGAAGGAATCTCTTGATAAAAGATACTAAAATATTTTTTAGTTCATGCTATTATAACAAAAATACCATAGACTCGGTGGCTTAAACAACAAACATTTATTTCTCACAGTTCTAAAGGCTGGGAGTCAAAGTCAAGGTAGTGACAGATCCAGTGTCTGGTGAAGGCTTGCATCCTGGTTTACAGAAACCATCTTCTTGTCGTATTAACATATGGCTGAGAGGAAAGAAAGCTCTAGTCTCTCCATTTCCTATAAGTGCACTAATTTCATTCATGAGGGTTCCACCCTCATGACCTCCCAAAGGCCCCACCTTTAAGTATAATCATATTAGGAAGTTAGGCTTTAACATAGATATTTTCAGGGTGAACTCAGACAGTCCACAGCAATTTCTTTTATACTGTAAGCTTTTTTTTTTTTGAGACAGAGTCTCACTCTGTTGCCCAGGCTGGAGTTTAGTGTTGCTATCTCAGCTCACTGCAACTTCCGCCTCCTGGGTTCCAGCAATTCTCCTGCCTCAACCTCCCAAGTAGCTGGAATTACAGGCATGTGCCACCATGACTGGCTGATTTTTGCATTTTTTGGTAGAGATGGTGTTTCACTATATTGGGTAGGCTGGTCTCAAACTCCTGACCTCATGATCTGCCCGCCTCAGCCTCCCAAAGTGCTGGGATTACAGGCGTGAGCCACCACACCTGGCCTTATACTGTAAGCTTTTGATAGGACTGAGACCCAATAATTGATATTCAAAAATGTAAGAAATTGAACTCATAAAGTAGATATACTAGAGCTTTTGTATAATGAGATATTTGTAAATTTGTTAAGCTGTTGGTTATTATGCACTTGTGGAAAATGTGTCAAATAACTGTCCAGTGATACGTGAATATGTTAGGAGCTATATAATGCAATATAATGTCTTAAATTAGTAAATTACAATACATTATTCTTCAAATGTAAGACATGTTGTGACTAATATCAACAACAACATTTCAGAAATAATCTGTTAACGCTCTTGAGTCTTAGTTTACAGTGTACTTAAGCATTTCCTCTTATAAAATATTACTAATAAACTTTTAAAGTAATGTAATTGGAATACGCTTTATTACTTTTTAAGAGTCCTAGTTTGATACTTTCGGTGCTGTGATTTGAAGGCCTTCCTCTAATACAGTTTATTTGCAAACACAGTTTAGTAACAGTAATAGCATACAGAGATTCAAATTGGAGAAGTACGTCATTCCTTGCATTTATCAAATTATGTCAGTTCAATCCCCAATTGTGCAGAAACCTGCGAAAACTTGGCTGGTATATTTCTTTGTTTTCTTATATCAAGCAGTTGTTTTTGCAAACAAATGGGAGGGGATGTGGGTTTTGTTTGGGAGTATAAATTGGTGTAAGCTTCCTGGACTTTTTTTTGTCACATGCATTAGAAATCCAAAAACAGTTATATCCTTTCACAGAGCTGTTACAATCTTATGGATTTATGCTTAGGAAATAGAGACATACATGAGGATGTTTATGATCTTTTTCTTTCCTTTATTCCTTTCTCCTTTCTTTTCTCCTTCCCCTCTTTCCCTTCTTTTTCCTTTTCCTTTCCTGCCTTTCTGTCGCCCAGGTGGGAGTGCAGTGGCTCAATCATGGCTCACTACATTCTTAACACCCCTAGGCTCAGGTGATCCTCCCACCTCAGCCTCATAGGTAGATGGAACAACAGGTGTGTGCCAAAACACCTCACTAATTTTGTATTTTTGGTAGAGATGGTGTTTCTCCATGTTGCCCAGGCTTGTCTTGAACTCCTGGGCTCAAATCTGCCTGTTTTGACCTTCCAAAGTGCTAGGATTACAGGCATGAGCCACTGTGCCTGGCCTATGGTCTTTTTCTTTATGATAGTGAAAAACTGGAAATATTTAATAATTAGGAATGAGTTAATTATATTTTCTATGCAAAAAATTATATGTAGCCATTAAAGCATGTATAATATTAATATTAATGATTGTATTTAGTGAATATTTACTATGTACCACTTCATGCGTTTATAATACAATTTTAAATTTAGTCCTCATAACAACCTAATGCCTGAGAAATATTGCACAACACCTAAAAGCCACATATCTAGAAAATGATTGAAATTGGACTCAGACACAGGTGTGACTATGAGGCTCAGCCACATCAGATGTTATATTTAATTACATACAGAAATGCACATTATTTGCTAAAGGATAGAAAGTATAATATATAGTGTTATTACATTAAAAATCTTTAAATATATGGAGAAAAAAGCTAGAAAGACATTACTACAGGGAGAATAGTTACTTCTGGGTGGTGGGACTACAGACAATTTTCCAACTTTTACGCAATGAACATATGTTGATTTTATAATTTAAAAAAGGTGGGTTTCTTCCTCCCCCAAATCTCCCTGCCCCAAAATGTTAATTGCAGCATTATTTATAAGATAATGTGGAACAACTTACATCATCTCTAATAACAGAAGAATTGTTTAATAACATATTGTTCAATTCAATGTAGTAATATAAAATGATTAAGTACAAGCAGCAAATTATGAAAATATTTATTAAATTATGTTCTGTAAAATAAGGGAGAATAGAAGTTATTTACACTAAGATTACTGTGATTTACACTATGATTAGGATGTAAATTCTGTATACACACAGTAAATGTCTAGAATGTATACAGTAATAAATGTGATTGTGGTGTTGGCAGGGTGAAGGAATGATACATTTTCTTCTGTGTTTTAACTGTGAGTAATAATGTAAAAATAAAGAATAATTTGGTTGAAAAGAACTGGATAGATAAAAGTAAAGGCATCTAAATGAAATACTTTGGTCTATTTTGCTACTGTGTAAAAGAAGTTTACTTCTCAAAGGGCAATACAATTATACAGGTATGGTTTGACTTCAAAGTATCAATTCTCTTTAACATTTTTCAGCATCATCAAAAGTGATACAGCTACAAAGGCAGAGCAGCCTATGCTCTTTTTTCCTCCTCTACACTTACCAGAATTATTCCTAAAATTGCTGCCATCTCAAATTAGAAAGCAACCTGAATAAAAGTTCCCCAGACAGGTTGTCTTGGCTGCTTTGACAAATGCCATGTACTCTATCCCTGAGGTCATGGCAAATGACAGGATGGGAAAAGTGAATAGAAAATGCTTTCCTGGCACTCTCTCATCTCTGGTTTGCTGAGTAAGATGGGCAGTGTAGAAAGCCTGTAGCTTCTAACTGTGCTTCCAGGGGGGACGTCCACAAAGGCAAATATGTCTCTCCTGCCTGAAAGTGGATATGTGACCTCTGAGTGTATCTTGCCTCTGGAATACTGGAATAAAAGCTGGCTGCTTGCTGGTTTTTGGTTTTCTTTCAATGGCCAGGTACAGAGGAAGCCAAATGTCAGGCTTCTTGTTTCTGAACCAAGTGACTTACCTGTCTCCTTCCCTTCCCTGCAGCGTGATTCCTATGTGAAGATTGTCACTGGTAGATAAAAATGCATTATTCCAGTTACTCAGTTGGGTGCCAGAGACAGTGAGCATAGCTACTGTAATTCAGTGTCAGCCAGTATTGTTAGATTTAAAGATTTCATTTTTAAAAAAAACATTTTAGCATTCTATCAATTTTTCATGAATTATGATTGTATTGTAGAAGTGTGGTTGGTCTTCTTATGCTGCTGTGACAGGTCAGGGATTGATTTTCATGATTCATGGGATTGCCTAAAGAAACAAATAAATATAATGCAAGAGCTCGACATTGCTTATTGGGACATGTAAATCCCAAGTTCAAAATATTTGTAGGGCTAGGAGTTACTCAAGTGATCATGATTTTCAGCGCTCTCAATTTAGAGTGTTTGAACTGGAAATATGATTTTCACAAAAAAATTTGCAAATCATTCTTGAGACTGAAAACATCTTGAGGAATTCTGATCTAAGGAACAGTTAAAGGGCATGACATATGGGGAAACAGGTAAAGTTTGTGAATCTATATATGATACTCCTTGGTATCCCCAACAGCAATTTTTAATATCATCAGTGCAAGGTCAACTAGAAATGCTTATATCTGAGGTTTTGGATTGACATATAATGTTAAACATAAAAATTTGAGAAGCATTATAATTTTAGGAAATATGAATGAATGCTATCCCTGAAAAATAACCTTTTAAAATACCATAGAAGTTGGTAGTCTTTAATGGACTGCATAGCTCTTAACCATTAAAAAAGGAGGGTGGCTGCATTTATACAAAAAATTCAAACCAATTCAAAATGGGCTTTGTGGTGTGCCTTATCATACCTATTTCCCTGCTATTCTACCAACAGTAGCCTACTTTTCCAACCTGTTTCCTTTTGTAGAATCATTCCCTTCCATTCTTAGTCATATATTTTTGGGATAGGATTTACCCATTCTTACCTTCAGGGTTGAATTCTGGTCATCTTATATCAAGCAGCTCATCCCATCTTTCCAGTTATATAGGTTTGAAATGAACACATAAACCAATCAAAGGCACTAAGATGGGATGAACTAAAGTTTCTGGAAAGGAGAAGCTTCCACTTCCTTCTATAACAGTTACTGAAAGATAAATGTGAGTCTCTCAGGTTTATAACTATGGCATCCATTTGGCTATCTCACTACAGGTACTGTGTGTGTGTGTGTGTGTGTGTGTGTGTGTGTGTGTGTGTGTGTGTGTGTGTGTTGCTGGGAGGGGTCCATGGGCATTCCGTAGCCCCTGTAGATGAAACAGATACCACAGAAGGCAATGCAGAGAAATAGAAGTTGAGTTTTGAGCAACATTTTTTAAACTGTATGATCAGCCACTGCCTGAACTAAGAACTACTTCTGATTACAGACTATTTTAACAAGCTCTTTTGATTTGTGTTTTTGATTTTTTACAACATAAATAGTCCTGATACAGAATCTCAAGATTTTTGTAATGGAAAATTCAGCCATATGTTCAAAGAGATGAAAATTCATTTTCTTAACGAGGTGCAATTTATTTGTTATAAAATGGCACACTGTTATTATTTATCTTAACTCACTACATTCTGGAAAGCAGTGTTGCAAGGAGTAAGTCCAGGGTCTTAGTCCCAGGTGTCCCTGTGTTGTGGGAACAGCGTGAAATCTTGACTCACATTTCCTTACATTTTGTCATGATTTGAAAGAAGGAGTGGGTCAGTTTAATTCAGATCAACAAACATTTATTGAATGCCTAAGAAGGTGAACTTTTTGCATTCATTTTGACTGGCCAGAATTTAAACCCACTTCCTATGAACATATGGAAAAAAAGCTAGGTATTTACTTTCTAAGTCTCCCTTGCAAGTAGGGCATAGGCACTGTTAATCAGCACACCTACTGCAGAACTTTGGGTCAAAAGCTATTGACGTGAACGAGCAGAATTTGTATGGAATCCACTCTGGTTGTGGGTGGTAATGGTAGCAACTCTAACTAAATCTATTACCTAGAGACAAAACTGGCAGCAATTTTTGTGGTAGTGCCCTTTGTCAGTTTTGTCAAAGGTATAAGATGTTGCGTATATTGTCCAGACCAATGGCAGTAGTGCTTTTTCTTGATCATTTATTTGGATCTTTGGCTGATTGGTTGGCCCTTATGACCCAATGACTTCTGAAGTGTCTAGACAAATCAGAATTCTACATAGATTCTTTTGTGCTAAGCTCCAATCAGAAAATAATAGTAATAATCTCTAGAACTTTAAAGCAAAATTATACTCTTTAGCAAACAATTCGCTTTCTTTTGAGAAAGAGCTCTTGCCTTGCTACTAGACCCTGGGAGAGACAAGAAACATTATAATTTATTGGGTGATAATGAAACAAAAGCTGCCAATTAATTGATATATCAAGCTATACATTTGGAGCATACCAAAGTAAAACTCGCTTCTCAGATGGTAAGGGAAATATGGGCTTAGGTCTGAGCAGGTCTTGAAGTCACAAATAAGATAATTCTCATATAGTTGACTCACACTTAGTGCCTTCTCCTGTTATCCCACAGCTTTGGCTGCATGGTCAGGTTGACTGAGATGGATCAGCCCAAAGTGTAGTGGTCAGGCATTGCAGTCCCCTTAGGCGTGGTCTTCAGGACAGCAGAGGAAGGCAGTCATCCTAGTAGGTAGAAATGCAAACTTCGTCTATATTTTCTGGAAGGAGAGATACTTAGAGACATAGATCTATCTCAGTTTGTAGAGTGTGACAGTTTGATTAGATGGTGAGGAACTTGAATGAGGATGCTTTGGGAAGAGTGTTGTTAGATGAACCTCTCAGCATGGGCCCAGAGTATGAGAACTATTGCATCCCATGTGAATGCTAACCAAAAGGCTCTCCCTATAATTAATTTACTTGAATAGAAAATTTCACTAAAAATATATATATGGAAAGTAAATATCAGGAACTATGTTATACTTCATTAATTAGCAAAAAAAAAAAGCAAAACAAATCTCCAGTAAATTCCCACAGAACACCTAATAGAATGGCTGAAATTAAGAAAATGCTGTTGAGATGTCAACTGTCACATGTTGGTAAGAATGTGGAGCAACTAGGACAATCTAACCCTGTTAGGCGAAGTACAAGCTGTAAATTTCCACTTTGCAAAAATGGTTTGGCAGTATCTACTAAAACTTAAACTTATGCACACTCTTTGATGCAGTAATTCCATTCCTAGTTACATGCCCAAAATAATTGTGTACATATGTGCATCAAAAGACTATTGCAGAAGCCAAATAAAAATTTCTAAAAGCCAAAGTCTGCAAACAACCAAATTATCCACTAGTTAGAATACATAAAGAAATTGTTTCCTCTTTAGACAACTGAATATTAGATAGCAATGAAAATGAAGGATTATTGCTACATTTAACATGAGTAGATCTCACAGACATAATGCTGAATGAATGAAGCCAGATGAAACATATTGCATGAATTCAGTCATGGAAAGTTCAAACACAGGCAAAAATAAGAAGGATTAGGGATAGAAGAAGGGATAGTGACTGGAGGAGGACTCCTGGGGGTGTTAGTAATGCTTTATTTCTGGATCTGGTTGGCATTACATGATTGTATTTATTTTGAGGACAGATCAAACTGTTCAGTTTGGCATACTTTTCTGTCTGATGTTATAGTTCAATGAAATGTTTGTTTAAATAAAATATAGAACAGATATGATCACAGAATATATGATAGCATTTTAAATTAAAAAGCATTAATTATGGGAATGAGTTGAAAATTATCAGATATATAACATTTTTGAGTTCACAATAACAATACAGTAGTCTCCTCATAATCCACAGGAGATGTGTTCTGAGAGACTCAGTGAGTACTGAAACCATGGAGAGTACCAAACCCTATATCTACAGAGTTTTTTCTACAAATACATATGATAAAGTTTAATGTATAAGTTATGCACAGGAAGATATTAACAACAATAACTAATAGTAGAAGGAAACAAATACAACAGTATGTCAGCGTCACTACTCTTGTGTTTTGGGGCCATTATTAAGTAACATATGGGTTACTTGAACATAAGCACCATGATACCATGACAGTTGATATGATAACAGAGGCAACTACTTAGTGACTGATGGGCAGATTTTGTGTACAATGTGGATATAATGGACAAAAGGATGATTAACAGCCTGAGTGGAATGAAAAGGGATGGCATGAGATTTCAACATGCTACTCAGAATGGTCCGTGATTTAAAATTTCATTTATTGTTTATTTCTGCGATTTTTCATTTAATATTTTAGGACCATGGTTGACCTCAGGTAACTTAAATCCCAGAAAGTGGAAGATAAGGAGGAACTACTGTAATAACAAAGCACATTGGTCTTCTTTGGTCATCACTAGGGCATCAATATACTTTTCATGAATTCTGTTTTGGATTAAATCCAACAGACTTGATTCTCACTTGCAATTATAATATGCCTACTGTATGCCAGGGATCAGGTTAGATCCAGGAGGTTCATGATGAATAGGTATATCAGCCTCTTAAAGTTAACCTTCTGACCTGGGCAGTCTGCATGACATCTAGCTCTGGGGACCTAGGTTACTTGAAGGCTGCTCTTTTTGGCTGGCTGCTTCCCCTCTTTTATCTGCTCATCTAAGGTGGCTGGACATTTACCATTTTATAATCTAATTAAAGCCAGAGAAGTTTGTAATTTTTTGCATATGTTACATGTCTTGTCATGTTTAAATACTGAACTATAGATATCCAAATTTAGGTATTTCTGAAGCCACTAGTCACTAGCAGAGAGGGAGGATTCCATGGCCTACATGTTGCTGGGTAGCAGTGGGGCTACTACCCATGAGGGAGAGAGTGAATGTCCCCCACCATTTAACCTGTAGTTCTAACTTCTGGAGAAAAAAAGAAATTGAAGAGAAGGGTTTGAAAAAGGGTTTGATGAAAAAACCTTGAGATTATCTAAGAGATTTCTTAGGACGTTGATGCCTACTTACCTACAAATCTTTATTTCACTTGTTAATCAGAAAGGAGACTCATATAATTTTTATTAGCTCTTTCAGATGCCTCCCTAACTATTTAAAACTCCACCATTTATACGCTGGCCCAGAACTTAGTCAAGATATGGGGCCATGAATTTGAAAATTAGTTACTACCTTTTTTGACCTTGGATAAATTTACGCCATCTCTCTTTGTTCCCTCATATTGATATCATAATACCTGAACTGTGTTTTAAATTAAGGGAAGAGCTGTCTTGCTTGGAAAAATCATTTTAAATTCTCTGAGAAATAACCAGGAATAAATAGATGTTTCAAATGTCTTCACCTCCCTAGAGTTTATCAGACAAAAGACTTGCCAACCCCAAACATAATAGTTAATGTTTTCTCACAGGGAGAGTCCCTAATGTTTCTACTTTTTGTGCAGCAACATTAATCTTAAGCCTACATGGAATTAAAGCTATTTTAATTAAGCATATAACTTGATACTTTCTAACCTTAAATTTGAAGATGATAAAGCATTTTATAATGGTCAATGAATTAAGTAACCCTGGGGCTTTCATAGACATGATTAGAAAGGGTAACTATCCAATTATTCTAGATGTAGCACTGAAAGAGCTGCGGTAGCCAGCCAAGGAGTTTGGACTCTAAAGAGCTTTATTTCATGAAAATATGTGTTCACAAAGTTGCTGAGCCAAGAAGAAGTATTTATACTGCTGGAGTGGAAGTTTATATTTAATAATTCATTCAACAAATATTTATTAAACACCTGCTGTATACATTCTTCTGAGTACTAGAGATACAATGGTGACACAGTCATTGTTCCTATAGACTCACATTCTATGGAAGGAGAGAGAACAAATAGGCTACATTCTTGGTTAGGGCAGACCAGTATTTCAAATAAAATATCCCACTGAGTTTTGTTAGAAAATCTGGACACACAAAAAGTCTGCTGGAAATTATCAGGGTGCCAAAATAATTATGGGGCCAGGATGGAGGAGAGCAGGGGGCTCTGGGCAGTGAGACTTGTGTTTAAGGGGTTAGGGAGGGAGAGCTTATCACAGGTTCGGATTAACCTTGGTTGGGGGACATTTACTGACTTTGACAGGAGGCTGAGAGTGGAGCTTTTGATTGCTTCATAGACTGGGGGCACAGTGATTAGACAGAGAAAAGCTGAACAAACCATTAGCAATCTTGACCTAATGAACATATTTACAATAATGCTTCTCCCAAATATTCTTTTCAAGGGCATGTGGAACATTTACAGAAATTGATTATATATTGGGCCAGAAAGTAGCTCTCAATGTAGTTGAAAGGATTGAAGGCATACAGAATATGCTTTATCATAATGTAATTATCTTAGAAACGAATTGCAAAAAGACAACTGGAATATCACCATATGCTTTGAAATAAAGAGATACATGGCTGATGGGTCAAAGAAAAAAAAGAAAACTAGAAAATACTTTATAATAAAAATAGTAATTATCAAAAACTATGGGATACAAGCAGAGCTGTACTTAGAGGAAAATTTATAACCTTAATTGCACATACTGTAAGTGAAAAAACTGAAAAAAATCAATGAACACAATAATCATGGCAAAAATTAGGACATAATATTAAACCCAAAGAGAATAGAAGGAAGGAAATCAGATTTAGAAAGAAGTTATGGAAATAGAAAACATATAAGCAATAGAAAGCATCAACAATAATCAATAAGCTCTTGGTGAGACTAATCAGAAGAATTAAAGCATGCACAAATAACCAATATCAGAAATGCAAGAGAACACATTTCTACAGCGCCTACAGACATGAAACTGATGAGACTATTGTGAACAACTTAATGCCAATATATTTAAATGTTTCAACGAATTGACTAACTTAGTAAAATGCAGCATAGTTGCATTTGCATAAGCAAAGTTGATTATAATAAGGACATTTAAAAAATGAATAGTTCTATTTTTATTGAAGTAATTAAGTCTGTAATTTAAAACTTCCAACAATGTAATTTTTAGGCCATTAATGGCCTTCTTCTGTTCTCAAGCATCTCAAATCTTTATGAAAGCCAGTATTAATTTACACCCAATATTGCTACAAGAAATGGAGTGACACATTTTTTAGTTGTAGTCAGAAAAATAAAAATATTGCTATTGATTTTCCTGAAGCCTTAATAGAAACTCCAAAACATGAAAAATATCTTTGTTTTATTCTATTAATTTAACCATAACGGTGTAGGTTTAATTTTCACAATAGCATTATAAAATAGGTGTTACTATCTTTTTAAAAGTAGATAAAGAAATTATGTCTGAGAGAGGTAAAGTAATTGTTGAAACCAGCTTGCAACCAGTCTGTCCGAAACAATCAAACTTTTCTCCACTGTGTCACATTGCCCTCTTGTTTTGCAAACTAAGTTTGAAGGATATGAATAGGGAAGCCTAACGTTAACTCATCGAGACCCTCGGGCATTGTGTTTCATGGAGAGAGACACAATGTGGACTCATAGTTGGAAAAAGTTGGGTTGTTCCACTTGTTAGCTATGACCCTGAGCAAATTCACATAACTTCTTTTTGCTTTATGTTTTTAAATTTGTTAAGATGCTTTTTATGATACCTAACACACAAGATTATGGTGAGAATTAAATTATGCATATGAGTGTTTTTATAATTACCACCTGGTACTTAAGTATGTGGATCTACGCTTTAAATATTTCCTCATACTGTTTTTATTCTCTTATAAAATGTCTGAGTAGTATCTTCTAAAATACAGGTGTTTTCTGCTCTTTTAAAATTGTCTCTCAAATCTCATATGATTCCCAAGGAGAGAAAAGCTCATCTTTAAAAACATTCTGACATCAGTCTGGGGACCTAGATGCTAATGTGATAAGTACCTCTGAAATAAATATTTTAAATAAGATTTTACTGCCTCAATAAACCCTTTTCCTGCTGCCCTGATTTCTCATTTTGATCATCAACATAAGAAAACTCCTAGAGCAAACTGTCAAGTGTCATCCATCATCAAAAATGAAGTAAGAAATCTCAATAAGAATCTCTAGAAACTTCCAGTAAATCAGTTGTTTCTTTAATCATGCCTCTGTGTCTTTTTTCTAATATCTTTCAAATTTGATGCTGACATCCTGAAAGAAAAAACGAGAAAGTAGTTAACTTTACTAAATTCAGGATGAGGTTAAGAATAATGCAACTTCTCATACCATTGTTTTTTTTCTTTCTCAATAGTATTTAAAGCATTAGTGAACACAAGAAAGGCATTAGCCATGAAAAAAACTCTATAGATAGTGATTAAATGAGTGGGGAATTCGTCAGCTAAGTTTCAAGTATGAAATCATGAAAATCTAATTTTTCAAACTCTTCTTGACAGAGCAAGAGCATCACCATCTTGGACAAACACCGCCATTTTAAGTTCCCCTTGATTAAAAACTGCCTAAATCCAGCCCAAAAAACATCAGCCTAATGGCTAATGTCAGCATGACCACAAACTGTAAATGACACCTCTGACCAGAAACATTTCAACCCTGCAATAAAATTCTCATCCACCCAGAAATAATCCGAACCTGCGATAAGCTCTCCCTCCCTAACCCCTTAAATACCCTTAGTCTGTAAGAGAGAATGCTCCTGATCTGAATCAGCCAGAAAGCCCTCTCAGGTTTATTCTCCCAAATAAACCTGTCTTTGACTGTTGAGCCACTTTTTGTGTTTCTTCTTTCTTTAGCCCTTACAATTATAGTTAATAATGCTCGCAAAACTTCTGAATGTGATTGTACTTTCTTAGTCCTTGATAACAGGTAAGGGTAAATTAGCAAAAAATTAATGTTTATTGTTTCTCTGTATATACATTAGGGAGGTAGTTCTAAAACAGCTAAAAAAAAATACCTGTTTTTAGTTGAAGAAATCTGTGTTGAGGCCCTAGCTCTGCCACTTACTTATTAATCACGTTAAGCCTTAGTTTTCTCATAGTTTCCACTACTAAAGAACTAACATGGTGACCACAATGTTAAGTACCATTACAGTGGCAGAGACAGTGTCTATTATTACCTTCACAACTTATCTCTACAGCCTACAATCTTTCCACTAAGCCTTGCATGGATAGAAGCTGGATATAACGCAATCTTGGGAAATGGTGGGACTTGTAGACCCTCAAAATGTTCTTTTTGAAAATGAAGCTATATTGTAAAGTACTGTAGTTATAGATTGCATGAAAAATTGGGCTTCAGGGTCTCCTACAAGTTAAAGGAAATTCATTTTCTTTCCTTTGTTTCTTTCCTTTTTGTGGAGAGCATAGGAAAATAATTTTATTTGTTGGAATTCTGGTTGTTTGGTTTCTAAGAATTCTAAAGAGATTTTAAAATTGTATTACAAATTCTAAACTAGTCAGTTCTGAATTAGGTTGAAATTGGATTTGCATTTTCTTTTTCCTACCAGTTGGATGTAAAATCATTAGTAATAATTGTGAAGAATCATGTATGTTTCTCTGACTATGGTGATTTGCTGGAAACAAGAGAGAATAACTTTTAAACACAGAGCAGTTTTTTTACTAAAAATTTCTATCATTTGTAAGGGGCTGAGGTGTCTGTTTAGACATTTAAGGGGCTTTTACATTTCTCCTCCTCGGTACTTTCCTAGTCCTGGTTGTGGTTGAAAGCCAAATAATTATCAGTATATTAGAGTAGCAAAGCTTTTCTCATGTTAAATTGAGGTATGAATATAATAGAGCAAAACTCTTTCTATGGAAAAACAACAGATTCACTGACTTCAGTTTGCATATGTGTATGTAGTCAGCTCATGATTCCAACCAATGTGCAAGTCCCCAGGAGTGTGTGAGTTTACCAAAGAAGCACTATCAATGGCATTTTACATTTGTGTGGTTCTTGGACTGAATGAAGAATCATAACCTTGAATAAAATGCGAATCTATTGTGCATTGTGTGGTTTCACTTGCTTTTTCTCATTCTTATCCTCGTTAACCCTGTCTTCCACCTGCCAGTCTTCCAGTCTAGAAAATTGTCTAGTTACTTAGCTTTCGCATGAAGCATGTTTAGCAGGTTCAGTGTATTTACATGGGAGTGTATGTGAATATATATATCTGTGTGTGTATATATGACTGTATATATATGTGAATATATATGTGTATGTGAAATATATATATATATTAGAATTGTGGGTTGGATATCTTACAACAACACTACCACTTTAAAAAAGTCTAAAAAATAATCCCTGGAAAATATAGAGAAGAAATCTTTTCAAATGAGCTGATAAGCTGGAAAGTTAGTAAAGAATAATGTCTCAAGATTGATTTCAAGACCAAAAATAGGATATGGGAAAGGTAAGTGCAACACTGAAGCCAGATTTTATTTTGAGAGCATTTACCAAACCCAATGAATTGGATCTTATTTTCAGTCTGTTAAAAACTGCAGCCAAATTAAATTTAAAGGAGTTTACTTGAGCAATGAATGATTTGTGAATCAGGCATTCCCCAGAAACACGGCAGATTCAGAGAGACTCCAGCGCTGCCACTTGGTGGAAGATTTATGGACAGCAAAAGGAAAGTGACATGCAGAAAATGGAAGTGAGGTACAGAAACAGCTGGATTGGTTACAGCTTGGCATTTGCCTTATTTGAACACGATTCAAACAGTTGGCTACATCTGACCAAAACTCAGTGATTGGCACAGGTGTAGGCTACAGTCAGTTTAAACCTCCACTTGTTATAGTTCACGATGTACAGAAAAACTTTTAGGCCAAACTTAAATATGTAAGAATGCAGCTTTAGGCTACACTTCATTTAACAAGTCTCACAGGTACAGAAGTGACAAGTGGCAAAGATTAGGGACCACTAATAATAGTGAACAATATCTCCCTCTGTATAAAGTTGGAAAACCAGAACAATACACCTTCAGCGTAAGGGTGAAATAAACATGCTTTTCCCACCCATCCCTAAGGGTCTTCATGGAAAATTACTGGATTTGAACCTTGGTACTAAGTACAGGGAAAGAATCTTCCTGTGAATTCATAACTGACAGCTTTGAACTGGTTTATAGCCTGTATTCATACCACCCAGGTGGTCTGGAAAACAATAAAATTACTCATTTAGTTTAACAGGATTCTGAGCTAGTATCCCCAGGTACTGGCAGAAGTAAATGCAGATCATCTCTAGAAAAATCTACTTTCAGCACAGGCCTCAGAAATTCTCCACAGAGGAAATTTCAAGAAATTGTGACCTCTTCATTGAAAATCATGAGGCCTGACATGATGCCACAAGAAAGAAAGCAGAAACAAGAAAATCTTCAAAGGATTGGCATGTTGGCATTATCAGACACATAGTATATAAATTAGATGCTTAGTATGTTTAAAGATATAAATGATGACAAAAGTATGTTAAAAATGGTCAAACATTTAAAAATTAAGGAGAACTCCTAGAATTAAAATTAGTTGAAATTAAAAATTCAATAGGTAATTTTGACAGCAGATTAGATACATTTAAAATAAGAATTAGTAGAATAAAAGACACATTTGAAGATATTAAAATGTGTACTGAAAGACAAAGAGGTAGCAAATTTGAAAGAGAAGACTCATGGAATATAAAATGAAAAGGTCTAAACATATTTAATCATGTAGAAGAAAGAGGGAGGTCATATATAGCAGAGGAAAATCCCAAGAGCTAATAATCAAGAGTTTTCTCAAATAAATGAAAGATATGAATCCACAAACTCAGAATGTGCCTGAAATACCAAGCAAAATAGATGTGTATCTGGACATATGTAATAAAACTATAAAATATTTTTTAACTGTAGAATATTTTAATAATCAAAGAAAAGGGCTTAAGAACAGCCAGAGACAAAACAATTACTTTAAACTGAGTGACAAGTAGACTGACAGTGGCTTTCTTCACAACAATAATAGTAGAAATGGAATAATATCTTAAATGAGCTGAGAGAAAATACTGTGACAATTGCAAATTTGGTACACAATAAAAAAATTGTCAATAACAAGGTGAAATAAAGACAGTTTCAGATAAAAAAGAATTGGGGCATTTACAACCAACAGAGAGTCACTTCCAGTGGAAAAGACATTATCCTAGTTGGAGGAACTGAGGTGAAAGAAGGAATGAGAAAAACAGGTATTAAAATCAAAATAAACATTGACTGTATAAAAGCAACAATCTTCTGGGATTTAAAAAAACAGAACTAAAACATACAATAATAAGTCTGAGTTGGATGACTGGGGTTAATTCTAAAGTACTTGTATAGTTTGGGAGAAGGTAAACAGTTAAATATGTTTCGTGCTTTGATAAGTTTCATATAATATCTAGGTTTCTAGGTAACCAGATGCACAAAAAAGAGAGCTAGAGTATATATATAAAATATCCTTACTAGAGGAATAAAAAAGATAAAAAATCGATTTATTTCTTTTTTCATTTATCACAATAATATATTAATATATCTTATAATATATATTTATATACATTATATTTTTCATAACATAATATACAATATACATTACATTAATATATTTTTTCCAGACCAGAATTCAATCTAGGATCATGCTTTGCAATTAGTTGTCATATCTCTGTAGTGTCATTTAAGCTATAACAGTTTCTTCAGTTTGTCTTTGTTTATGACCTTGATACTTTATTAAATTTCTTTAAAAATGTTTTTATAATTTTTTTTAAATTTTTAAAAAAAATTTGTAAATTTCAATAGCTATTGAGGAACAGGTGGTGTTTGGTTACATGAATAAATTCACCTGTGATGATTTCTGAGATTTTGGTGTACCCATCACCCAAGTAGTGTACTCAGTACCCAATGTGTATTCTTTTATCCGTCACCCACCCCACCATTTTACCCTAGTCCCCAAAGCCTATTGTGTCTTTCCTATGTCTTAGCTCCCACTTATGAGTGAGAACATATGATGTTTGATTTTCCATTTGAGTTACTTCACTTAGAATAATGGTCTCCAATTTTATCTAGGTTGCTGCAAATACCATTATTTTGTTCCTTTTTATGGCTGAGTAGTACTCCATGGTATATATATACCACATTTTCTTTATCCACTCATTGATTGACAGGCATTTGGGCTGGTTCCATATTTTTGCAATTGTGAATTGTGAATTGTGCTGCTATAAACATGTGTGTGCAAGTTTCTTTTTCATATGACTTATTTATCTCTGGGTAGATACCCAGTAGTAGGATTGCTGGATCACTTATTTACCTCTGGATAGATACCCAGTAGTGGGATTGCTGGATCAAATGGTAGTTCTTTTAGTTCTTTAAGGGATCTTTGCATTATTTTCCATAGTGGTTATTCTAGTTTACATTCTCACCAGCAATGCAGAAGTGTTCCTTTTCACCACATCCACACCAAAATCTATTATTTTTTTGATTTTTTGATTATGGCCATTCTTGCAGGAGTAAGGTGATATAACATTGTGGCTTTGATATGTATTTCCCTGATGATGTTGGGCATTATTTTCATATATTTTTTGGGCATTTATATATGTTCTTTTGAGAAATTTCTATTCATGTCCTTATCCCACTTTTTGTTGGGATTGTTTGTTTCTTGCTTGCTGATTTGTTTGAGTTCCTTTTTGATTCTGGATATTCGTCCTTTGTCAGATGCATACCTTGTGACTATTTACTCCCACTTAGTGGGTTGTCTGTTTTCTCTGCTGATTGTTTCTTTTGCTGAAGGTTTTTAGTTTAATTAAGTCACACCTATTTATCTTCTTTTTGTTGCATTTGCTTTTGGGTTCTTCATGAAGTCTTTGCCTAAGCCAATGTCTAGAAGGGTTTTTCCCATGTTACCTTCTAGAATTTTTATGGTTTCAGGTCTTAGGTTTAAGCCTTTGATCCATCTTGAGTTGATTTTTGTATAAGGTGAGTTTTTTTTTTTTTTGTATAAGGTGAGTTTTTTTGTATAAGGATCCAGTTTCATTCTTCTACATGTGTCTTGCCAATTATTCCAGTACATTTTGTTGAATAGGGTGTCTTTTCCCCCTTTATGTTTCTGTTTGCTTTGTCAAAGCTCAGTTGGCTGTATGTATTTGGCTTGATTTCTGGGTTCTTTATTCTGTTCCATTGGACTATGTGCCTATTTTTATACTGTATTGGTGTATTGGTGACTATGGACTTATAGTATAGTTTGAAGTCGAGTAATGAGATGTCTTCAGATTTATTCCTTTTATTTGGTCTTGCTTTGGCTATGTGGGCTCTTTTTTAGTTTCATATGAATTTTAGGATTGTTTTTTCTAGTTTGTGAAGAATGATGTTGGTATTTTGATGGGAATTGCATTGAATGTGTAGATTGCTTTTATCAGTATGGTCATTTTCACAATACTGATTCTACCCATCCATGAGCATGGGATGTGTTTTCATTTGTTTGTGTCATCTATGATTTCTTTCAGCAGTGTTTTGTAGTTTTCTTTGTACAGGTCTTTCACATCCTTAGTTAGGTATATTTCTAAATATTTTATTTTTGTAGCTATTGTGAAAGGGATTGAGTTCTTGATTTGATTCTCAGCTTGGTCACTGTTGGCATATAGCAGGGTTACTGACTTGTGTACATTAATTTTGTATCCTAAAACTTTGCTGAATTTATTTATCAGTTCTAGAAACTTTTTGGATGAGTCTTTAGGGTTTTCTAGGTATACAATCATGTCATCAGCAAACAGCAACATTTTGAGTTTGTCTTTACTGATTTGGATGTGCTTAATTTCTTTTTCTTGTCTGATTGCTCTAGCTAGGAATTCCAGTGCTATGTTGAATAGAAGGGTGAAAGTGAACATCCTTGTCTCGTTCCAGTTCTCAGGTGGAATGCTTTCAACCTTTCCCCATTCAGTATAATGTTGGCTGTGGGTTTGTCATAGATAACTTTTATTACCTTAAGGTATATCACCTGTATGTTGATTTTGCTGAGTGTTTTAATCACAAAGCAATGCTGAATTTCACTAGATATTTTTTCTGCATCTATTGATTATAATCATTTGATTTTTGTTTTTAATTCTGTTTATGTGGTGTATCACATTTATTGACTTACCTTTGTTAAACCATCCCTGCATCCCTGGTATGGAATCCACTTGATCATGGTGGATTATCTTTTTGATATGCTGTTGAATTTGGTTAGCTAGTATTTTGTTGAGAATCTTTGCATCTGTGTTCATCAGGGATATTGATCTGTAGTTTTCTTTCTTCGTTATGTCATTTCCTGGTTTTGGTATTAGGGTGATACTGGCTTCATAGAATGATTTAGGGGGGGATTCC
The DNA here is from genome assembly GCF_000001405.40 of Homo sapiens. NCBI lineage: Eukaryota > Metazoa > Chordata > Mammalia > Primates > Hominidae > Homo > Homo sapiens. The sequence continues at coordinate 76,334,914 of NC_000006.12, forward strand.
CTCTTACTCTATTGTTAGGAACAGTGTCAACAGGATTGCTACCAATTCTTCTTTTAATATCTGATAGAATTCAGCTGTGAATCCTTCTGGTCCCGGAATTTTTTTTTTGGTAACTTTAATTACCATTTCAATCTTGCTGCTTGTTATTGGTCTGTTCAGAGTTTCTATTTCTTCCTGGTTTAATCTAGGAGGATTGTATAATTCCAGAAATTTATCCATATCCTCTAGGTTTTCTAGTTTATGCATGTAAAGGTGTTCATAATAGCCTTAAATGATCTTTCATATCTCTGTCGTATCAGTTGTAATATCTCCCATTTTGTTTCTAATTGAGCTTTTTGGATCTGCTCTCTTTTTTACTTGGTCAATCTTGCTAAAGGTCTATCAATTTTATTTATCTTTTCAAAGAACCAGCTTTTTGTTTCATTTATCTTTTTGTTTGTTTCCATTTTGTTCAGTTCTGCTCTGATGTTGGTTATTTCTTTTCTTCTACTGGGTTTTGGCTTGGCTTGTTCTTGTTTCTCTAGTTCCTTGAGGTGTGACCTTAGTTTGTTTATTTGTGCTCTTTCAGACTTTTTGAGGTAGACATTTAATGCTATGAACTTTCTTCTTAGCACAGGTTTTGCTGTATCCCAGAGATTTTGATAGGTTGTGTCACTGTTATTGTTCGGTTCAAAGAATTTTTAAATTTTCATCTTAATCTAATTGTTGACACAATGATCATTCAGAAGCAACTTATTTAATTTCCATGTATTTGCATGATTTTGAGGGTTTCTTTTGGAGTTGACTTTCAATTTGAGTTCACTGTGGTCTGAGAGAGTACTTCAAATAATTTCAATTTTCTTAAATTTGTGGAGACTTGTTTTGTGGCCTATCATATTGTCTATCTTGGAGAAAGTTCCATGCACTGGTGAATAGAATGTATATTCCGTGATTGTTGGGTAGAATCTTCTGTAAATATCTGTTAAATCCATTTGTTCTAGGGTATAGTTTTAGTCCCTTGTTTCTTTGTTGACTTTCTTTCTTGATGACCTGTCTAGTGCTGTCAGTGAAATATTAAAAGTCCCCCACTGTTACTGTGTTGCTTTCTGTCTCATTTCTTAGGTCTAGCAGTAATTGTTTTATAAGTTTGGGCACTCCAGTGGTAGGAGCATATATATTTAGAATTGTGATATTTTCCTGCTGGACAAGGCCTTTTATCATTATATAAAGTCCCTCTTTGTCTTTTTTAACTGCTGCTTTAAAGTTTGTTTTGTCTGATGTAAGAATAGCTACTCCTATTCATCTTTGGTGTCTATTTGCATGCAATATCTTTTTCCACCCTTTTACATTAAGTTTATGTGAGTGAGTCCTATGTGTCAGGGGAGTCTCTTGAAGAGGGCAGATACTTGGTTGGTAAGTTTTTATTCTTTCTGCCATTCTGTATCTTTTAAGTGGAGCATTTCGGCCATTTACATTTAATGTTAGTATTAAGATGTGAGTCACTGTTTTTTCATCATGCTATTTGTTGCCTGAATACCTTTTTTATTGTGTAATTGTTTTATAGGTCCTGTGAGACTTATGCTTTAAGGAGGTCTTGTTTTGGTGTATTTTGAGGATTTGTTTCAAGGTTTAGATCTCCTTTTAGCCATTCTTATAGTGCTGGCTTGGTGGTGGTGAATTCTCTCAGCATTTGTTTGTCTGGAAAAGACTGTATCTTTCCTTCATTTTTGAAACTTAGTTTTGCTGGATACAAAGTTCTTGGCTGATAATTGCTTTATTTAAGGAGGCTAAAGATAGGACCCAAATCCTTTCTAGCTTGTAAGTTTCTGCTAAGAAGTCTGCTGTTAATCTGATAGGTTTTCCTTTATAGGTTACCTGATGCTCTTGCCTTACAGTTCTTAAGATTCCTTCATCTTGACTTTAGATAACCCGATGACTATGTGCCTAGGAGATGATCTTTTCATGATGAATTTCCCAGGTATTCTTTGAGCTTCTTGTATTTGGATGTCTAGATCTCTAACAAGGCCAGACAAATTTTCCTTGATTATTTCCTCAAATAAATTTTCCAAACTTCTAGATTTTACTTCTTTCTTGGGAACACCCAGTTATTCTTAGGTTTGGTGGCTTAATATAATCCCAAAATTCTTGGAGGCTTTGTTCATTTTTTTTTTTTTTTTTTTTTTTTGAGACGGGATCTCGCTCTTTCACCCAGATTGGACTGCAGTGGCACTATCTTGGCTCACTGCAAGCTCTGCCTCCCAGGTTCACACCATTCTCCTGCCTCAGTCTCCCAAGTAGCTGGGAATACAGGTGCCCGCCACCACACCTGGTGAATTTTTTTGTATTTTTAGTAGAGACGGGGTTTCACCATGTTAGACAGGATGGTCTCAATCTCCTGACCTCGTGATCCACCTGCCTCAGCCTCCCAAAGTGCTGGGATTACAGGCATGAGCCACCGCACCCGGCCTGTTCATTTAAAAAAAATTGTTTTTTCTTTGTTTTTGTCAGATTGGGTTAATTTGAAAGTCTTGTCTTTGAATTCTGAAATTCTTTCTTCTACTTGTTCCATTCTATTGCTGACACTATTCTGTTTATTTTGCATTTCTCTAAATGTGTCCTTGATTTCCAGAAGTTGTGATTGTTTTTTAATTTATTCCATCTATCTATTTCACTGGAGATATTTCCATTCATATCCTTTTTTATTTTATTTTTTTAAATTGAACTTCACCTTTCTCTGGTGCCTCCTTGATTGGCTTAATAATCCACCCTCTGAATTCTTTTTCTGGCAACTCAGAGATTTTTTCTTGGTTTGGATCCATTGCTGGTGAGCTAGTGCGAGCTTTTGGGGATGTTAAAGAACCTTGTTTTGTCATATTACCAGTTTTGTTTTTCTGGTTCCTTCTTATTTGGGTAGACTATGTCAGAGGGAATATCTGAGACTCAAGAGCTGCTGTTCAGGTTTTTTTTGTTCCTCGGGATGCTCCTTTGATGTGGTGCTCTCCCTCTTCCCCTAGGAATGGGGCTTCCTGAGAGCCAAACTGTAGTGATTATTTTTCTTCTGAATCTAGCTACCCAGTGGAGCTACTGGGTTCTGGGCTGGTACTGGGGAGTGTCTGCAGAGTCCTGTGATGAGATCCATCTTCAGGTCTCTCAGCAGTGGATACCAGCAACTGCTCCAGTGGAGGTAGCAGGGGAGTGAAGCAGGCCTTACGAGAGTCCTTGGTAGTATTTTTGTTAAGTGTGCTGGTTTTTTGTTGGTTGGCCTCCAGCCAGGAGGTGGCGAGTTCAAGAGTGCATCAGCTGCAGTAGTGTAGGGAGGATACAAGCTTGCCCCCCAGGGTCTTCTTTGGATAAGTGTTCTGGTTTCTCAGGTGGAGGTTCTCTGGTTCTCTATGGGCAGGGCCGTAGAACTCCCAAGAGTTTTTGACCTTTGTCTTTGGCTACCAGGGCAGGTAGAGAAAGACCATCAGGTGAAGGCAGGGCTGGGTATGTCTAAGCTCAGACTCTCCACGGGCGGGACTTGCTGCAGCTGCTGTGGGGGATGAGAGTGTGGTTCCCAGACCAACAGAGTTATGTTCTCAGGGGTATTTTGGCTGCCTCTGCTGCATCACACAGGTTGCCAGGGACGTGGGGGAAAGCCAGGAGCCACAGGCCTCACCCAGCTCCCATGCAGCTGGCAGCCTGAAAGACAGGTCTCACTCCCACTGAGCTCCCCCAACAGTACTGAGTTTAATTCCAGAGAGTTGGTGACCAGGGCTGAGTACTTGCCCCAGGCTACACTCCTCCCAGCTGAGAACAAGCTGACATAGTTCCTTGGCTGTCCTATGGAGCTTGAGGTGCCATTCTACCTCCTTCAAAGGGTCTGTGGATTCTCTTGGCTTTTCTGGTATGTTCCTGAAGTAGTTCTTGGAGCAAAAGTTTACAGCGTGAGTCTCCATATGCTGCTCTGTCCATCCGAATGGGACCTGCAAGTTAGTTTTGCCTCCTATCCGCCATTTTTCTCTAAGTCTCCCCCCAAAATCAATGCAGAAAGAAAAAAGAGCAACAAAAATATGGAAGAAAAATGATTAAAAAATAAGTACCAAAGTTAATAGTATAACACATTAATAACAATGATAAAATTAAGTGGTTTAAGTGCTCCTCTTAAAAGCAAAAGGGTATCAGACCAATAAACCTAAATCCGGTTTCATAGAACTTGCAAATGACCTATCTGGAATGTTAGGATATAGAATAGTTTGAAAATCAAAGAATATGAAGTCATGTATAGGAAAAATACGAAAATAAAGCTGAAATTGCTATAGTATTATTAGTCAAAACAGACTTTAAGAAATATTACTGAGGATAAAAATCAATTTTATAATGATAAAATCTCAATTAAGCAAGAAGCTATAATAATCTAGACTTCTAAGCACCTAATATACAGCTTGGAAACTATATAAAGCCAGAACTGACCAAATACAAATAAAATTAACAAAACAGTAGCACTGTCAGAGATTTAAACACACACATTTTAATGACTGATAAAATTTGTAGACAAGCATATCAATGATAATAGCGTGTTTTAACAATGTAATTTATCAGCTTCAAACTGTAGAAGACATATTCTTTCTGAGCAAGCAAGTGGGCCACATAACACATTTCAAAGGATGAATTTCATATCCATTTCATTCTTTAACTGCTATATATTCAACTTATAATAACATGTATATAATTGAGTAAAAAAGATAATTCAAAGAATTTGCTCTAAAAACTTCATTAAAAAACTGTTAGAACTAATATCAAATTCAGTAAAGTTGCAGGATATAAAATCAACATAGACAAATCAGTTGTTTCTTTACATCAGTGACAATCTATTGGAAAAGGAAATTTTTAAAAATCCCATTTAGACCACATCAAAAAGAATAAAATACTTAGGGATAGGTTTAACCAAGGAGGTAAAAGACCTGTACATTGAAAACTATAAAACATAGATGAAAAAAACTGAAGAAGATACAAATAAGTGGAAAAATACTTCCCATTCATGGATTAAAAAATTAATATTGTTAGAATGTCCATACTACCCAAAGTGATCTACATATTCAATGCAATCCTTCTCAAAAATTTAATGGCTTTTTTCAAAGAAATAAACACCTTAGAATTTGTATGGAATCAAAATAGGCACCAAATACACAAAGCAACTTGAGAAAGAAGAACAAAGTTGAAAGCATCATTACCTTACAAGCTGTAGTAGTCAAAATAGTATGGTGTTGGCATAAAAACAGACATATGGGACAATGAAGCAGAATAGAGAGCACAGAAAATAAACACATGCATATACAGTCAACTAATTTTTGATAGGGTCACCAAAAGAACACAATGGGGAAAGGATAGTTGTTTCAATAAATGATGTCGGGAAAACTGGATTTGCACATGCAATAGAATGAAATTGGACAATTATACCATATACAAAAGGAAACTCAAAATGGGTTAAAGACTTAAATGTAAGAACAGAAATTATAAAAACACTAGAAGAAAACATGGAGAACAGGATCTATGACATTGGTCTAATGATGATTTTTTTAATATGACCCCAAAAGCACAGGCAACAACAAAAAATAGACAAATGAAGTTACATTGTATTTAAAAGTTTCTGTAAAGCAAAGGAATCAATTAACAGAGTGAAAAGACAACCTACAGAATGGAAGAAAATATTTGTAAACCATACATCTGATAAGGGGTTAATATCCACAATACATAAGGATTTCAAACAACTCAATAGCAAGAAAATAACCTGATCAAAAAATGGGCAAAATATCTGAACAGACATTTCTCAAAAGAAGACATACAAATGGTCAGAAGGTAGATGAAAAAATTCTCAACATTACTAATCAAGACGGAAATGCAAATTAAAGCCACAATGAAATGCTGCTTCACACCTGCTAAAATGGCCATTATCAAAAAGATAAAAAAGTGTTGGCAGGGTTTGGAGAAAAGACAACCTTTGTATGCTGTTGGTGGGTATATACACTGGTACAGCCATTATGGAAAAACAGTATGAAGTTTCCTCAAAAAAATTACAATAGAACTAGTATGTGACCCAGCAATCTCTCTTCTGGGTTTCTACCCAAAAGAAATGAAATCAGTACCTCAAAAGGATCTTTGCACTGTCATGTTCATTACAGCATTATTCACAATAGCTAAGATATTGGAATCAACTTAAGTGCTCATCTATGGATAAGCAGATAAAGACAATGTGGTGTAGAAACACAACGAAATGTTATCCAGACTTAGAAAGGAAATCCAGTCATTTGTGACAACATGGATAAACCTGGAAAACATTGTGCTAAGTGAAATAAGCCAGAGACAGTAAGGCAAATACTGCATGATCTCATTTATATATGAAATAGAAAACAATTAACATAGAAGTAGAAAGTAGAATGGTGGTTACAAGGGGCTGAAGGTTGAGAGAAACAGAAAGACGATCAAAGATGATCAAAGGGTACAAATTTGCAACCACATAGGAAGAATAAGCCTAGAGATCTAATATATAGAATGATGATAATAGTTAATAATGTTTTATTGAAAATTTGGAAATTTGCTAAAAGAGTAGATATCGGGTACCTTCACCACAAAACAAGCAAACAGAAAAAGCAAAAACCAAAAAATTAATTATGTGAGATGCTGCATATGTTAACTCTCTTGACTTAGTAATTATTTCACTATACTAAATAGCATGTTGTACACCTTAAATATATAGAATTTTTATTTTTTAAAAGAGCAGAGCATCCTTACACAGCCCTCTGCGCACTGAACTAGTCATTTACCACTCATAATACAGGTTGAGCATTCTTAATTAGAGAATCCAAAATCTGAAATATTCCAAAATCTGAAACTTTTTGAGCATGAATGACACTACAAGTGGAAAATTCCACACCTGAGCTCATGTGATGGATTACAGTCAAACTGCAGTCAAAACTTTGGTGTACAAAATTATTAAAAATATTGTATAAGGCTAACTTCAGTCTATGCATATAAGGTATATATGAAACATAAATAAATTTCATGTTTAGAGTTGGGTTCCATCCTCAAGAAATTTCATTATGTATATGGAACTGTTCCAAAATCTAGAAAAATCTAAAGTCCAATATATTTCTGGTCCCAAGCATTTCAAATCAGGAATATTCAACTCTTTGCCCTCAATTCAGCCACTTCCACAACTCACTCTGACAAACTTTATTATAAAACCTCATGTTCCTCCAATTGCTTGACACAAGTTCAACTTGATGGGGGATGATAAATTGGGGAGAGGTTGGTCAAAGGATACATAATTACAGCTAGATAGGAGGAATAAATTCAAGAGGTCTATTGTACAACAAGCTGACTATAGTTAATAATGATATATTGTATCCTTGAAAAATGCTGAGTGTCTATTAAGTGTTCTCACCACAAAAATGATAATCCTGTGAAGTAATGCATTTATTAGTTGCTAGATTTAACCATTCCAAAATGTATATGTACTTCAAAACATCATGTTTTACAAGGTAAAAATATACAATTAGATGTTAATTTTAAAAGATAAGTATATTTGAATAAGAAAGTTGAATTTGAAAAGTTTTCCTTCAGTGTAGATTTTCTTTATGTTTCCAGTTAATGATAAAAGTAAAGCTTGTCCCAGCCTGTGTGGGCTTGGCACTCAAGATAGTTTGGGATCCAAATAAAGCACTAGGGTAGGCATGGAAAATAAGAATAAAAGAGAAACAATTAGGAGCCAGAAAAATAGGACAGCCCACACAGCTGTTTCCTGTGATGCATGTTTAGGTATCCTTGCAGAACCTGGATGACATCTGAGGTGGTCTTTTTTTCCAAGGGGAATGATCTGATAAGTGAGGCAAGATAATGTTTGCTAAACAGTAGCAAGGATCAACATTTTTGGTATTGGGTGGTCCTGTGTTTTCTGGTGGTTAGTTTGAAGGATGGTTGGAGCACATTGTTGGCAGCTGTTGAGCTGTGGGAAGAGGTGAAATTGCTGAGAGAGGACATGTGACTCTCTGAAAGTTGCCTGGCCCAGTTAAGGAATGTAGTGTTCAAAGCAATGCTTCTTTCCACAGCAATGAGGTCACTGGACTATAGTTGGAAATTGAGTAAAGTGCAGTCATAAGGAATTTATGGTCCTAGTTGGGGAGAGTGATGTAAGGTGAAGATCCATTACCAACGGCTGACAGGTGCCCTGAATTTCCCACAGATACAACTAAAAAAATCCCATATTTTCATAAATTTAGAAACATATTCCTAAGTAATTCACAAGTTAAGTAATTATAAGAAAATATCTTGAACTGAGAAATAATAAACTACGTTGCCTTTAATTTGGGGGATTTAGGTAAAATGATACTTAATTATTTGTATTGTGAAAGAAAAGCCTCAAAGCTAATGACCTAGGCTGCTTACTTAAGATGAAAAAGTATAATGATGTAAACAAGAAGAAAGTACTGGGAAGAAGGAAATGATATAAAGAATATAATAGAAGGCAAACATATAATAGAGTAGATTGACAAAGCCAAAAGATTCACTTGGAATGACCTAATAAAATCGAAAAACCTCTGTCAAGGTTGATCATAAAAAAAGAGTGAAGACACAAGTAAACACTATGAATAAAAGAGACAATTATAGAAGTTACAGAGATTTAAAAACAATAGAATAATATGAATAACTTCATACTAATAAATTTGAAAGTTTTGATGAGAGGACAAATTTCTGAGAAAAAATATATCTAACAAAAATGACTAAAAAAACCCCAGCAACCCTTAATTGTCATATAGCTACAACAGAAATTGAAAGAACAATTCAAAAATATTCCCTCAATGAAAATATCAGAACCAGAGAGTTCTTATCTATGTGTTCTGTTAGCACTGAGAAAACAAATGATTTCAATGTTGTGAATCTTGTATAATATAGACAAGGAATGTGTTCAACTCCTTTTATATGTGAAACCTAGTCTAGGACTGTTCAAGGAAGGAAAATTACAGGCCAATCTCATTTATGAGCATAATTACAGAAATCTTAAAATAATATATTAGCAAAGTGATTATCATAAAAAGATAATACATGATTAATTGGAGGGTGTTCCAGCGTTGCAGATTTAGTTTGAAATTATGAAGTAATTTAATTCACCATATTAGCAGATTAAGGGAGAAGAAGAATCTTGTGATCTCAGTAAAGGCAGGAAAAGAAGTTATCAAAATTCAATATACATTTATGATAAACTCTTAGGACACTAGCAATATAATGTACTTCCTGAATTCAAGAAAATATACCTATAGAAAAACTATGGTAAACATACTTCTTGTTAAAACATTGAAAGTATTCTTTTTATGATTAGGAATAAAACAAAAATGTCAGCTATCACCACTTACATTTAATATTATACTGGAAGTCCAAGTCAATTTGGTAAGGCAGAAGTAATTAAGGGATTAAGATTGAGAAAGAAACAAAACTATTCAGAGATGGCATGATCATGGAAAAACAAAACAAATCTACCCACAAGTTATTAAGATTATAAGAGTTTATCTAGATATAAAAATCAATTGTATATTTATTTACTGATATGGTTTGGCTGTGTCCCCACCCAAATCTCATCTTGAATTACCACATGTTGTGGGAAGGACCTGGTGGGAGGTAATTGAATCATGGGGGTGGGTCTTTCTCATGATGCTCTTGTGATGGTGAATAAGTCTCATGAGATCTGATGGTTTTAAAAAATGGAATTTTCCCTGCACAACCTCTCTTTCTTTGCCTGCCACCATCCATGTAAGACATGACTTGCTTCTCCTTGCCTTCTGCCATGATTGTTAGGCCTCCCCAGCCATGTGGAGCTGTAAGTCCATTAAACCTCTTTTTCTTCCCAGTCTTGGCTATGTCTTTATCAGCAGTGTAAAACAGACTAATACGTTTACTGACAAACAAAATTGTATATATTTATCATGTATAACATGTTGTTTTTAAATATGTCTGTATTGTGGAATGGCTAAATTATGCTAATTAACATATCCATTGCCTCCCATACTTTTCTTTTGGTGAGAACACTTAAAATCTACCCTCTTAGCAATTTTCAAGAACACAATATGTTGTTACCAACTATAGTCACCGTGTTGTACAGTAGATCTATTGAACTTATTCCTGTCTGAGGCTTTGTATCCTTTGACTATCCTTTCCCTATTCTTCCCAGTCCTCAACCTCTGGTAACCACTGTTCTACTCTCTGCTTCTATGAGTTCAGCTTTTTAAAATTTAATATATTCCACATATAAATGGGATAGTTTAACATAGTTTCCTTCAGATTCATCCATATTTTCACAAATGATAGGATTTCCTTCTTATTTAAGGCTGAATAGTATTGCATTGTGTATAACACTATATTTTCTTCATTTATCTGTTGATGGACATTAAAGTTGATTACATATCTTGGCCATTGTAAATGATGGTGCAGTGAACATGGGAGTGCAGATGTCTCTTTGACATACTGATTTCATTTCCTTTGGATATACACCCAGAAGTGGGATTGCTGAATCATATGGTAGTTCTAAAAAAATCAATTTGTATTTTTATACACTGTGGGTAGAAAATTTCATTCAAAAGTAATTTTAAATGATACCACTTAAAAGAGCATTAGAATGTAAAATACTTTGGAATAAATATAACAAAGTATAAGCAAGAACGTCATGGAAAAAATAGTAAAACTCTACTACTAGACCTCATACCAAATTTAAATAAATGACATACAAAGACTCAATATTGAAAGGCTAATTGATCTATAGGTGAATCTATAGCATCATTGTAAATTGATCTATAACGTTAATGTAGTTCCAATAAAAATATCAACAGGTGCTGTGGTGGAATTTGAGCTGATATATATATATATATATAAAATATATTGCATACATATATATATTTGCATTTCCATAATATATATGTATATGTATATATTATGGTAACATATATATGTACATACATATATATGTGTATATTACAGAAGTTACAGAGATTTTAAAAACAATAGAATAATATGAGTAACCTCATACTAATAAATTTGAAAGTTTATTTATATATATATTTCCATAATATATATGTGTATGTATGTGAAAAAGTCCTCAAAGGGCCAAAACACCCCTGAAGAAGTATAAAGATGGCAGCACTTGTCTCAGGTAAGACAAAACTCATAGAAAATTAGACAGTGTGTGGTCCTGGTGCAGAGACAGAGAAGATGACTGATGGAATTGATTACAATGGTCCCCCAAAAGAAGCATACTTATGTGGAAATGTAATTTTGCTTGAATCTAGTACAGCAGCTAAGTGGAGAAATAAGGACTTTAAAAAATTGTGTGGAAGCAATTAGAAACCATATGAAAGTTTAAACACCTATGTGAAAGGCAAAACTATAAAATTTTACAAGATAACATGGGAGAATATATTTATAACTGCAGGGTAGAGAAAAGTTTCTTAAACAGGACCCAAAAAGTACAAATCTCAAAGGGAATAATAGATGAATTTCACTACGTTAAAAATCTGTTTATCAACACTTGTTTTAAAACAAGAAGAAACACAAACCACAATAGGGAAGGAAATATTTGCAATATACAAAACCAACAAAGAATTCTAATTCAACTCAATAAATTTAATAACAAAAAGAAAACTCAGAAGAAAAATGGATAACAGACATGCATAAATATTTGACAAAAGAAAAATGCATGACAAACATAAAAATGTGCTCAATCTCATTAGCAATTATGGAAATGCAAATTAAATCAAGGAAGATCCCATTTTACAGGGGCTTGTAATTTTAAGTGTTGATGAGCATGTGGAGTGATGTGGATTCTGAAGGCAAATCTCATGTGAGAGACTATGGAAGAGACTTGAATGACTCTTGCATGTGCTTCTGGAGACATGGCCAAGAATGTTCAGAATAGATAGTTGAAGCCATTCAGAAGCTCATTAGTAAAATGAGTAAGTAAATCATGGTACATTAACATTCTAGAACACTAGAGAATTGTGAATAATAGAGAATTTTAGCTATTAAGTACAAAAATGACTCTCAGGAGCATATGTGAGGAAAAAAGCAATTTATTTAAAAATTTTGTGTGACACTATATAACATTCAAAAACCATGTAAAACTAAACAATACTATCTTAGGTATATAAAGCATATGTGGCAAAACTTTGAAGAAGAGCAAAAGAATGATGCATTCAGAAGATTGTTCTTCACTGTGAGCAGGAAGGAATTGAAGGGACTTGAGAAGGCCCTCCAAAAATGGAGACGGGGCATCCTTTTGCTTAAATTAGGTAGTGAGTACACACACATTTGCATAACTTTCCTTCATAATTCACATGCATTTTCTAAATATTCTTTTGTATCTAGTCAATATTAAATAATAATTAAAAAACTAAAACTAAAGCAGAAGAACAGTTTTGGAATGGTTGCCCCAATCTTGATTGTCAGATAGGATGGACATCCACAGATGTAATTACCTCTATTGTTTTTAAAATCTCTGTAACTTCTGTAATATATACATATATATGTATGTACAAAAACCCAGGATGCCTGAGTCAAGGTAATTACATTGGTTTTGTGTGCCTATGGACTACCAGGCTACTGATTAGCCTAGTCCTCCTGGCTGAAGTTTCTCTGAGAGTTCTTAATCCTATTTTCAGTTATAAGATGGTTTTTGGCACATTAAGTTAACAGGAGGTTGACTCTACACTGTCATTTCTTTTTTGACCAGAAGAAGAGGCACTTTGCACAGAATGCATGTCCAAGTGCATTGCTATGGGATTCTCACATCTTTCAGCATACAAGGCATTCACTGTGTCCTGGAGCTGTCCATCCATTGGTTCTGACCCTGTGTATTTCTCTCTTTGGAGTAGCCAGGGCTTTCATTTCAGACAAGCATGTACAGTAACTGCAAGGGACATTTATCACTCTCTTCTACTTTCATTTGTCTTTTAGCTTAGAAATAGCAAAACAACAAACAAATGAAAACATTAACAAAAAGCTACAAATAACAAGTGATATGGTTTGACTGTGTCCCCACCCAAATCTCATCTTGAATTGTAATAATCCCCACGTGCCAAGGGTGGGGCCAGGTGGAGATAATTGAATCATGGGGGTAGTTCCCCCCATACTGTTCTCGTGGTAGTAAATAAGTTTCATGAGATCTGATGGTTTTATAAATGGGAGTTCCCCTGAACAAGTTTTGTTGCCTGCCTCCACGTAGGATGTGCCTTTGTTCTTCCTTCACCTTCCACTGTGATTGTGAGATCTCAGCCTTGTGGAACTGCGAGTTTATTAAACCTCTTTCCTTTATAAATTACCCAGTCTCAGGTATGTCTTTATCAGCAGCATGAGAACTGACTATAACAACAAGGACTAAATGAAACAAACTAATCCTAACCATCGCTAATGAGGGAAGGCAGAGCCTACATCTATTTCACAGGAGGTTTTATTAAAAGCACCTGTCTGTGTGGGGCGCTTTGGGCTCTGGTTTCTGCTCTGCCACTAAGCACCATTGTGCAATATTGTATAAGCCATAAACTCTCTGAATCAAAATTTCTTGGTCTTTTGATTATCTATAATAGACTGGGTATTTTAAATAACATATCTCCAATCCTTCAAACAACCCTGTAATGTAGAAATTATTATTTCTACTTTATAGATGAAACAATAGAGGCTCAGGTCAGTTAGGTATTTCAAGGTCAAGCAGCTTCTAAATGGCATAACCAGAACTTGAACCCATTCCCTATAGCTCCAAAGTCAGACAAGTCTTTTTCATTTTTTTCTCCTTCTTCCTGGGAGCCATGAAAGAGGGGTTTGGGATAAATCATTGCTGTCTTCATGGTTTCTTACAGCTCTAAACATTTATGGTGTACGCTACTATCCTCATTTGACAGTAATTAATATCAATGTTGTATATCATTTTCTGTCTCATTGTAACTGAACACAACCATGAACTCAGGCATTTTTTTCACTGTAGAATTTAGTTTCCAGACTGAGCTATAAGCAAGCAACTTAGCTGTTTTCATTCTGAACTTGAAGAACCCAGAAGAGGTCTAATATTTCCAAATCAAGAAAGATTTTCATGGTGCAGTTTGGTGTTGAACAAAAAATAATTCGGGAGATAGACTTTGGTCACCAAAGAGCTGTTATCTGTGACATCAATATTTAATTGAGAAAAATCAAAACTATATTTGAAATTGAGATTTTGTTGCAAGTTTCATTCAGACATCTTTTGCGTTGGAAAGATAGGGCTAGCAAGGGAAGAGAGAGAATTCTCAATGCTAATATGTCTGCTTCTCAGGTTTTTCTGAGGGCGGGGGTGGGGGGTGTCTCTCAGAATGGCATCTTTGTCATGTAGTATATACTACAGACAATTTCCATTTGTTAGATTAATTTTTAGGTGTATGATATGCCCAGAAATGCTTTGAGTTTCCTACTGGATGGAAAATAGAACAACTCTTCTTCGATCTCTGTCAGAGTGATTTCTTTAAAATATCATTCTTAAAAACATGTACTGCTTCCCATTGAAATACAGATGTTTATTTGTACTTCTAAAGGAGTAGTTAACAATTTAAATAAATAGTATGGTTTAGAATCCAAGAGTCCAGACTCACACTCTAGTTCTGTGACCTCACATAGATAAGCTCCCCTCTCTGAGCTTCTTTTTGAGTCTGTAACTTTGATGTGCATGTGTCTACTTTTTAGGATTTTTTCCCAAGGCTAGATTTAGAAAATATTTGCAAAGTGTTTATCATGCAAGAAGCACCCATTAAAGGGTTGCTGTTATTATCATTATTATTATGTTATTATTATTATTGAATTGCACCCCTTCTCTCAGGAATGGCATTGTATGTTTCAATATCAACACCAGGACAGTGATGAGTATGTGGGTCATAAAGGCTTCTCTGGTTGACACATATTTTGAGAAAGGGGTTTTAGACTATTGTATGACCCTATATTACAAAGAAGGAGATGTCAGCAATGTAAGAGGCCTGTGATTCAACCACTCCTACATTCTTGCTGGTCTTTAATGTCAGCTTTTGCATTAATTCAAAGAAAAGCATCTGCAGGATTTTCTTTTCTGCTGGCTTCACTGCAGTAGTTGGGCGAATTCTCTTTGTCTAGTCTGTGTGATTTAAAAGTCACATTTCTTTTGAATTAGACTAAGAAATAAAAGACCATTATTATAAGAATTTCAGGTTGTGTCTGTAGTCTACTCTGCCACTGTACTTTCTCAAAACAATTTATATTTTGTCCATAATAAAATGGACTGATATTTTAATTATCTAAAAAAATGGGAGTTGGACATATTTGAAAGAGAAGTGGTGTGGAAGATTTTCATAAAATGTATATATATCTCTATAACCACACACATACATACATATTTAACATATGTAAAATATCTTTTGATCCCTTAAATATTATGGAGAACAATCATCCTAAAAATAATATTGACTTTAAAATAGCTAAATATACTAAAATAGAGGAAAAAATTGCTGATGATTACTTTCAGGAGTAAGCAAAGCAAAGATATTTACTAATAATTACATTTCAGGAGTAAGCATAGAGGTTCTTCAAGTTCAAAATGATTAGCACAGTGAGAAAAAAGAAAACCTTTAAGAGGTAGCTGAAAACAGTTAAGTTGGTTGCTTATAGCTCAGTATGGAAACTGAGTTCCTCCATTGAGTCGGTGAAATGGATACAGTGGTGAAGAAAGAACAAAGAATAAAATAAAATTCCACTCAGTTCAACAAGCACTTTCTAACTGAATGCAAATGTTTCATAAATGTAATACTTGCTTTCAGATGTGTCTAATATAGAAGAGGAGACAAAATTGTAAACCAATAAGGTAAAATATGGGGGGTAATGTAAGTCAGAGAAAGACTTCTACTGTTGCACTTATCACAAGATAAGCAATCACAACACAGAGAAGAAAGTGGTAGACTCTATAGTGTGGTGGAAGAAAGGGGTTAAGCTTTCTTGAAACACGGATATTTGTCCAGTAGGGAAGATGGAAGCATCTTAGGAACTTCCACTTTCTGGTCTTCAAATTGGTCACCTATAAAATAAAAGTTCAATGCAATGACGTCTAAGGTCACTTTTCGCTTTAATAACATTGTTCTGTGAAATAGGAAAGGTAAAGTGAGCCACTGATGACTAACTTAATTGTCGTAAACTCGATTAATTCTGTTTCAGTCCCTGTTTTTTAGAATTCCAAGTAAATTTCTTAGACCTGCTTTTATAAGTTTATGAACAAGCCTTAAAGACCAAATTAAGTGTGAAATAAGATTCAGACCATTTAAATTCAGTCTTTACATTAAAATCCACTTGGGATAATGCAAATAGCCTGAAATTTAAAGTCAGGAATATCTGGATTCAGTTCCTACCTCTACCATTTATTGGGGGAATAAACAAAGTCTCAAAGTGGGGAATGTCTGGATCTGCACTATCACTAGGGAACTTAAGAGTCTTGCACATTCTCAGGCCCCATTCCAGAGTTCCTAAATCAGTAATACACAGGGCAGAGCTCTGCAATCTACTTTCCAACCAGCTCTCCAGGTGATACTGGTGCCCCCTAGAGTATCAGAACTGCTGGTGTAAAACATGGGATTGGTAACTCACCTTTGTATGTGAAATGAGAATAATAATTAGCATAGTGGCTGTCAGTATTATTTGGCACATCATAGGGCCTCACTAAATGATAACTATTATTTTTATTATTTTACTAACCTAACAATAACCATTGCTATCTCCAAGAAGAATTGAGAACTATATCTAGGTTTAATACTCCTTTGTACTGCTTACACATTTAAATCTAAGCCTGTTAAATAAGTTAGATTTCTTTGAAAGTAGATGTCATATTTGGTGAAGCAAGTGAGTTATTATCCAGAGGTGCTTTCTAGAAATCATAGTGTATTTGATGATTGTTGAGACTTTCATTTTATTGGTGTGGAGCTCTGAGCATTTACAACATATGTGAATCCCTTTACCTCATGATATTATGCTGCGGCATAGAGAACCCATTGAATGAATTGGGAGTTCAGTGTTCAATGTCATCATTTACTAATCATGACTGTAAGCAACTCCTGGAGTATCAGTGAACCTCAGTTTTCTCATCTATAAAACTCCCACTGGGTAATTGAGATTATATAATGAGATAAATATTTAGGTTGAAGTCCTCTGTAAAACACATTGGCTGGTACATCTAAGGTCAACTTTGACATTCATTGAATTTAACAAATATTTATTAAATACCTATACTACGGTAGGAAATGTGCTAGAAAATATTGCACAGTGACAGAACCTGCCTTTCAGTTAAGTGGTGGCATGCACTTTGATGACTCTTTCATTCGTGAAGCTAATGAATACTCAATGTAGAAACTGATGTGTTACAGGTCTGTGTTACTCTTAGAAAAACTTAACTTTAAAAGTCTCCAAATTTGATGAGGGTGACTAGAAATGAAAATTCATAAATATAACTTGGTACAACTTTTCAGGAAAGCAGTTCATCAATATGTATCAAGCCATTTAAATTACATCTTTGACGCATTAATTTCACTTCTCTGACTCTCAGAAGCTATTCTAAGAAAATAATCAGAGATGTAACAAAGATTTATATAAAACATGCTCATTATCACTCTATTTGCAATAGTGAACATTGAAAACAATGACTAACAAGGGAATGACTGAGTTATGTTAATGAGCAGGAGGTAATATCACAGACATTTAATATTTAATAAACTGTTAAAATCTCCACAATGGAATATTAACTAAAATCAAACCATAATATATTCTGAATAATTCTAATTAAAGAAAGGGTATTCAAAGAATAAAGATTTTAGGGAAGTACACCAAAGTAAGTTCATGGATAATGGCAAGGAAATAGATCAAAATAGATCCTTTGATGAATTACTTTATACTTGATACTTTACAGCATTTTCTAAATTTTCTAAAATGAGCATATTTTTCTTTTGTTTTCAGAAGTTCCCTGCAAATATTCCTTTCACTGGATATATGAGAGCAGCATTATCTCTTGGCTTTCCTTGGCAGCTTTTAAAGGTACTATCAGGAACTGCAGAAGCGATGGTAGCAGTTAGTATTTGGCAGTGATTACGTTAATGGAACATACCTCTTTTCATTTAGCAATTGAGTCAGTAACTCAAAGAAGTTACCCATTTTGGCAAATGTCATCTATACCTTTACAAATACAAAAGGTCCCCACAAAGGTGGGTTTCAGGCTAGGTTGTCCTTTCTTAAGTCTGGACTGAAGCTGACTAGTTTTCCATCTTTGCCCTCCCTGTGGTTTCCTGGTGTTGCAGTGTTATCCTACAGGAGAGTCTGTTAGTGAGAATGTGCCAAGATCTTTGGGCAATCCCTTGGGAGGATTATTTAGGCACAACAAGATAGAATAGTGACACAATTTATCACAATAACTCACCTTGTACACATGAATTTTCGGTGCTCTTAGCCTTTGGAGTGGATGTAGTGAAAACTATTCCTTGCAAAAGCACTAAAAATTTCAAAACTTAAAAAAGTATAATTTAGCAAATAAGTCACTAGACTTATTTCTGTGTTTTTTGAGGTTCATTTGATGTTAACATTTAAAATGTTTATTTTTAGGCAATGTAGCATAATGAAATAACCATAGTTTTTGAGAAAAGATTCTGGTTTAAATCTTATCGATCTTATTTAAGATCTTTGACAAGTTCATTTTTTTGTACCTCAATTTCATCATGGCTTAAATAGGACTACTAATACCTATCTCACAGAGGACTATTGAGAATAAACTGCTCATTAGAAGTATAAATGTTGAGTGTTTTATTGCAAAAAAATTCCTTAGATATATTACTTTCCTGTCTTCTGGTGGTTGGTAAATGCCTGTATCATTATGATGAGAGCCAAAATATCAACTCAGACACAACTGATAAATAGCAATGCCATCTATGTTCTGTGTCATCTCAAAGAGTTTGTGCTGCTCTGGACATTTAAATGCCCAATTTACTTATCCTCTCCTCTGAAAAATCCTCTCTGTATATTCTTCAACTCAGCTCAGGAGTTTTATTATTTTACGTCTTATAGAAAACCTTAGCCAGAGGAAGGGAAAACAAGACCTTCAATAAGCTTTTGGTGCCTGTGAAATAGATTTTGAAACTATCTCAGCAGTCTGCCTTTTCTAGCATCTCACTGCTCTTCTCTAATATATCATTTATGAACACACACACACACATACACACACACAATATTTTCAGCTGTCAGGGGAGTATGAAGCTGTAAACATGAGTCTCAGGTTGAATTCCAGTAAAAAACATGCCAACAAATTGTTCCAGAAACTAATTTGTCCCTATTTGTGAACTCAAGGAATCTGTGAACAGAGTCTTGGATGCATTTGAACAACAACAACAACAACAAAAATGAAAACAAAAAACATTCTAAAGTATTTTACCACTTGAAATAAAAAATGCAAATATATTAGTCTTATTAAACCAATATTTATAGTTCTCTGATGAAGTTATCTGATTCATTCTTTGCTCTTTATATTTACAAACAGCCCTGCTTACAGGGAGCTGGAACGGGGTTTGACAGCCACACTGAGCTCTGGATACACAGTAGATGGGGAACAGGAGTCACCTTAATGCAGATAATGCCGTGATTTTCACTTCAGGCCATTGTGAAACAGAGCAATCAGAAACTCACAAGGCTGGGTGTGAAACTGACTCAAATGTTCACTTGGATCCCAAGCCTTGGATAAAAAAGATAAATACTGGCCCTTTTTGCTATGTACAGATGACGCAAATTTCATCTTTTATTTCTGTTTCTCAGAGGCTGCAATTACCCTACGATGTTCAAAACTGGTTTTCATTTTCGGACATGTTTGCCAGAAGTCAGCATATTTTATATTATCACCAAGCGCCAAGGACAATAATGATGGTAGTAATGTTTATAGCAAATTTTAAAGGTTCCAAAATGCTTTTGCAGATGGTTTGTCATAGTTGTTGCGATCATTTTCCCACAATGCCCACTTAAGAGCATGGTGTGTTTTGCATTTCAAACTTGGTCTAAATGTTAGGCCCCTCACATGACAGAAAGGACAGTAAGTAGTTATCCAAAGAGGAGCTAATTTTTGTGATGGTGATTTTTCCCCCCATAGATAATTTTAATAAAACTGGCTAACACCTGCCAACTTTTGGCTCTCAGGCTTTTGGTCTGTGTGTGGATTTCCATGGTATACTCGCAAACCTGATCATTCTTCAGGTTAGTTGTCAGTGTGAGTGCTGCACAGACTCTACAAGGCTGTGCTTGATCATGTATGTGTCTTCATGAAATTATTGCTTTCCAATACTCCCATTATCTAACATGTTATCTTCCTTTTTCCCTTCATAATGTCTCTTGAACTCTTCACTTCTATTCTTAATTTCTGTTGCCATCTGAATAGCCCAGGCAGCTTCCTATTATGCTACACTTAGAGCAGCACTTGTCCAGATGGCCTGAACCAGGGAGAAGATGGGGCCTTTTTTCTCCATGTATTCAGACACACATGCCCTTGGCCATAGGAAAAGAAGATCTCCCCAGAAGCAAGGGAAATTTATATTTCCCAGCATGAAAGGCTAAAACCTGCTGTTAACCATAAAGGGACCCATTCTTGATTCATTTCAAAATGTGTTTATTTATTTTCATATTATGTTGTCTTCCCGCTTCCTTTTCCCTTCACCCCAGGGAACCTTCCTTTTCCAGCTGCCTGCTTCCATGCCTGGTTGGGACCTGCTGCAGCCTGCAAAGCATTAGGCTGTGGCTGCTTACATTCAGCCTTGCAGGTTTCTGATTGCTCTGTTTCTGATGCTGTCCAAAGTTACAGAGCCAGTCAGTCAGAAACTCTCTCCTGTGCCTTCTGCTGCTGGAGGATTTCATGACCTGCTCTCGTCTTTCCACTGTGGTAGCTGCAGAGATGTTTTTAGTGGTGGGATTGTGAGAGAAAAAGTAAGAATCGGTCTTTTTCTTAAAAATTAAAAATATCTTCTGAAGTCTTTCCTTTGGCCAGATTGCCACCTAATCAACAAGAGACCAGACATTGTTCTTTCTCTGGGCCATGTTTGCAGAAATAGCCATGCAGGCAATCTGTAAAGAACCTTTAGAAACTTGATTTGATTTAAATCATATAAATTACTGTATTACACTTGTATTCTATTTTGGTTTATTGTAATTAGTACATTTTGTCTTAGAAGAGCATAACACTAGATACTTTTTAGTTTTCAACAGATTTGAGTAGTCTATATAATCAAATCACAGTTATTAATTGTAATGCTGTTGCAACCTGAGGCTAGGAAAAGTCTTTGTTTAACTATATTGAAACATTTCCATCACAAGGTGGAGGCCACACCAGAATTTACCTTATTTTTAGCTGTATTTAGAAGGCAGCCCTCAGTGTCCTTGTTTAGAAAGCAGGGGCTAAGAAGACAACCCATAATTTCCTGGTCAGAACATTCTTATTGGGGTCCTTTTGAGACTGAGGGAAATATTTGGCCATATTTGAGATTCATATTTGCTGTCATGGAGCAAATAAACCACAAAGCTCTGCCTACGCAGGACCTTTTTTATGTCCTCAGATAGCCAGTGTATTAAGACATGGCTTCCATCAACCAATTCAAAAAACATTGATTGAATATTGGCTTTGTGTGAAACGCTCAGATTCATCATACATAACCTAACCAAGTTAATTTTTACAATGCTGCCTTCATCAGCCCATTAGTATGTACTCATGAATTCATGCTGATCCAGAATAGTCCAGGTTGGTTTTTGTTTGGCCCTCAAGTCCACACTTCTGTCTTTTCTCTTCTATCCTCTTTTATCTTCCTCAGTACATCTCCCAACTCACTTCATTTTGATGTCCTCGTTTTCCTTGTGCCAAACTCTCACTTTTGCCTCCTTGTTTATAGTCTCGCTCTTGCTGGAAGCCCTCCTTCCTAGCCCATGCATCTAACTCCTGTCTTTTGGAATGTACCAATTTCACCACAAGTTCTAACTACTCCATGCAGATGACTCAATTCCTAATCCCATGCT
The DNA here is from genome assembly GCF_000001405.40 of Homo sapiens. Lineage (NCBI taxonomy): Eukaryota > Metazoa > Chordata > Mammalia > Primates > Hominidae > Homo > Homo sapiens. Next base: position 76,356,970 of record NC_000006.12, read on the forward strand.
GGTGTCACAAACTCTAAAGAGCGCCTTTAGCTGCCTAGCTCACTGGAGCACCTGAGAAGATAGAAAAACCATTCCCAAGTAGGCTTCTTTAGCTTTGGGAAACCACAGGGCTTGCTTTTTTCAAATGCATCAAAGACCAATGTTATCAGATACTGACAGGCTGGTCTCTGTAGCTTGTGGGTCCCCAGTGCAAAGCCTTATTTATGTGCTCTTTTGCCCTCACCTGCTGTATGATTCTACTAGATTCCAAGCAGGAAGCAGAATGAAGCTTACCAGGGTATAATTCTCATTATATTTACTTTCTAACTCCCTTCCTGGATTTCCTGTGGGGGGAAATGTGTGGGTTTTGGGCATGTACTCACAGTTACATGTAGGGTCTCAGTTCCATAACATCTAGCCCAGCACATCCATTACAGAGGGACTACCATAATACACCTGCTATCTTGGATTTTATGTATTAAAAATTTTATCAGAATCACTTTTTATTGTTCCACAAACATGCATTACTACATTTTAGTTATAACTAAATTTAATATCAATTATAGATAATAGAGAAAATAAAACACATCACTCACAGACTGATGTAAAACCATGGTTTTACTGATTATCTACTTCCAGCACTTTCGTAGGTATAATTTACACAATTTTGGAGAACATACAATCTTGCGATTGTTTTTTATTTAGCTTTATATATTTTACCGTTTTTCATATTTGTAGTCCCTTCTAGAATCATTGTTTTAAATGATGCATTATATTCTATTAAAAAGATGAATACTGTTTATCTAAATTTATATTTCTATTGTGCCACCATTCTATTTTTCAATATAAATAGTGCTACAATGAACACCCTCATAGACATTGATATTTTCATCTTTTACATCCCTGATTCTGTCCATTTTTGTGGATGTTTTAAGGCAACTTGTCTCAACATCATGAATATTTGATTTATGTGGGGCTTTTTGTCTTTTCGTTTTTTTTTTTTAAAAAAAGCTGATGTCTGAGTCCTATCATAGAGATTCTAATTAAATTTGTCTGGAGTGGAACTTGGGCATCAGAATTTTATAATCTCTTCTGACAATTCTAGTGTGGAATGTTGAGAAGAACTCTTTGAGACTTTATAAAAGTATAATTAAAAAATTTTGTTGTGCATACTTAATACATATAACATGGTATAAGATACATATAGAGAGTAAAATGGTTACTATAGTGGAACAGATTAACATATCTATTACCTCACTTAGTTACCCATTATCTCTCTGTGGCAAGAATAGCTGTAATCTCACGCATTTGGCAAAAATGCTAAATACAATACACTATTATTAATAATACTCCTCATTGCACACATTAAAGCTTTTTTAAAAATCAGCAATTGGGTGGCTCATGCCTGTAATCCCAGCACTTTGGGAGGCCAAAGCGGGTGGATCACTTGAGGTCAGGAGTTTGAGACCAGCCTGGCCAACAAGGCAAAATCCCATCTCTACTAAAAATACAAAAATTAGCCAGGTGTGGTAGTGCACGCCTGGAATCCCAGCTACTAGGGAGGCTGAGGTAGGAGAATTGCTTGAACCCAGGGGGCAGAGGTTGTAGTGAGCTGAGGTTGTGCCACTGCACTCCAGCCTGGGTGACAGGCTGAGAGTCCATCTCAAAAATAAATAAATAAATAAATAATTTAAAAAATCAGCAATTGTCACTGGGAGTGTGGGAAAAGACCCCTAATGAGGGATGATCAGAACCAGGTGAAGGAGTTTGTGTTTAAATTATGTTACCTTTCTCTAACATTCTGATTTATCACCCCCGGTGGAGTTGAGCCACTGTTACTGATGGGAGCAGGTGGCATCTCCCAAGTGTACGGGGGCAGTAAAAATCCTGAGAACTCTCTAACAACATAGTGCTTGGTGTGTAGAAGTGGAATATGTGGTTCAGGTAGCTGTAACAAATGTCCTTTAAGTATCTATTATACTTGTGTCAGGTGAATACTGGCTTCACTACTACTAGCTCTAGCTCTGCAAACCTGGTTGAGTAAAGGGGCCTCTGTGAGTTTTATTTCCCTTACTGTGGAAGAAATGGTAGTTGTGTTATCATAATGATGTCTGCCATATAGACTATTGTAGGGTCAAATGAGATAGTATATTTGAAAGCACTTTATAAAACATAAACCTTTATCTACACTATATATATAACACTATAGAGTAGCATAAAGTATATTCATTTTTATTTAATAACATTTCTATCAGTTATAAAATTTGGTTATAAACTATAATTGTATCATGTGCTAGTAAGCTTTAGTGAATTTCAGCTCTGCTTTAGTTTGCAGTTTCCTTTTTAACCTATAATCTTGTACAAGTTGTTGTGAACTGGTCAACTGAACCATGTATATCAAAGGACCGTTCTTCACTGAAGCTCTATTTGCTATAAGCAGTTAACCAACTATTCTTTGTTTTTTGAGCCCTAGATGAATGCAGGTGATTTTCATTGGTTTTCATTACATGAGAGTCACAAGAAACAAGAGACTTCCAAAGTTTATAAAGAAAGTATAATATGAGATTATTCATGCATAGACTTCAGTTCACCTTGTACAAATAAAACCTAAGTATTTAGTGTTCTCACATAGTATTACATTTGTTGGATTATTTTGCTGACAGATTCAAACCTATACATTTGCTTGAAGTGCATTATATATTTTCCTCCATTATCTACCTTTTAAAATTATTTAGGCTCTACCACTTCTGGGCTTTTAAAGGCATTGTTACAAGGAAATAAATGCAGAATTATTGCCAAGCGGATTTCCAGGAAAATGCATGTCGGTTGATAATATATATTACCCCTTGGTATATTCATCTGGAAAGAATTTAGATAAATTCTGACTTGGACAAAGCATCATCTCTTTTTTACAAAAGTGCCTAAAATCCATCAATTTCATACATGCTTCTGGAAATGCTGTAGTAATAAAGGGTCATCACAGTTTTATATTTTTAAGCCCAATATGGGAGAGAATGGAAATGTTTACTTCACATTAAATTTATAACCTGGCAAGCTAGAACTAGAACACTGAATATGACCAATTCCATTAAACTATAGTAAAAAAGAAGCATTCTATTCTTATACGTAGTTGATAGGGGTCTCAATATCCTTATGCATCCAGTGCCGTAGGGTGGACAGTGCCAGAGAGCACAGACTGTGGCCTTAGAACTAGGTTGGAATTCTTGGTTTGTCATAATGAGGCCCAATTTCCTCATCTGTACAATGAAGTGTTTGCCTTTAAATGAAATATTGTATATGAAACACCAATGTCTATCAAAAAAAGAAGGCACTTAACAAATGGCAGATGTTTCTTTCCTGAGAATTCCCAATAAAATCGTCATTGTTAGCTCTAGGGTAAAGATGAGAAAGTCATGTATATGTGTGAAGGAACAGCATCCATGAGGAGGAAGGAGAGTGAATCTTGAGTGGCACCTGCTGAGCAGGATCACTGTTCAAGAAAGTACCACTGTTTTCCCTTCTTCCGACCAGATGTGAGAACTCCTTGTCTGTGATCCAGTGGGTACTACCGTTGATAGTTGTTGATGTAATCTGTCTGGTTAATACATGAAAGCAAGTGATCTTCCTGTTTGTCATTCAGGGAAACAAAGTGGGACTATAATTTTATGCCCATTTATTTTCAAAATTCAGCTGAAAATAATCAAATGTAATGGCTCAATTCGCAGAATTCACAGTGGCATGATTTGAAATCGCCCAGTCTAATGGGAACTCTGACCTATCTCTCATTAGATCTAGTTGGTTCAAGAAGTTTTGAAAGTTGAGGTATCATTATTGATCTTAGTGCTTAAAAGAAACCTTTTAATTTTCAAAGAAAAAGTACTTTTTCAAAAGTTTCAAGATTTATCTGCAGATTGAGAAGTACTGGTTGTCGTCTTGGCTCTTATGCTTGGCAATTGTTGTTGTTCATTATTGTAGAAAATTGCTCCATAAGAATAGTGTGACATGGTATGGTAGGATGGCTCTCCACATCAGTGGGGGTGAAACCTTTAAGAGGAGGAATTATTAAAGGACATATTTTAGCATGTTCATTGTAAAGGAATGGAATATTTTCCATTTTAAATGAAAGTACATTTTAAAAAGAACAGAATGGGCCGGGTGCGGTGGCTCACGCCTGTAATCCCAGCACTTTGGCACTTTGGGAGGCCAAGGCGAAAGGATCACCTGAGGTCGGGAGTTTGAGACCAGCCTGACCAACATGGAGAAACCCCATCTGTACTAAAAATACAAAATTAGCCCAACATGGTGGCGCATGCCTCTAATCCCAGCTACTCGGGAGGCTGAGGCAGGAGAGTCACTTGAATCGGGGAGGCGGAGGTTGTGGTGAGACAAGATCGTGCCATTGCACTCCAGCCTGGGCAACAAGAGTGAAACTCCGTCTCAAAAAATAAAAAAATAAAAACAGAATGAAAATTTCTATTTTAATGAATTGTAATGTAAAATAGAAAGAAGTATTCATTGCTCATTTTAAGACGACTGACATATATAAGCTTTCTAAATTGTTTGTTTTGGAAGGCTGCAATAAAATGACTAATTTGCTTGCATTTAGCTACAGCACAGTGCTTCTTTATACTCTTCAGTTTAATTTCAAAAACTAAGTATGTTAAGACAAACACAGGATGAAAACTTTGGGTCATTCTTGGCTTCAGGTATAAAAATCCTATATGTATTAGATAATGTATTAGATAACATTTCTACCAAACAGGCTGTTTCATATCTAGACTATGATGTAATAATAGTTAACATTTATTACATGCTTACTGTGTTTCAGACATTGTCTCATTTAATGATCAGTCTTATGAAGTATCATCTATTCTACATTCTAGGTGAGGAAATTCCTTCTTAGGAAGTTAGATAACATACCTAGTGAGTGGCCTGTGTGAAATTCCAATCCAAGTTTTTCTAGTTCTAAGTTAAAGTTTCTTACGACTCTTCTATGTTGCTCTGAAACCTGCTCCCACTTGCCCAGATGGTTATTGTTCCTCATGCAGAGATGTTTCAGGTACTCAAATAGCTAAGTAATTTCCTACTGAAATTATTTAATTTTATATGTTTTTGTTATCTATTCTATTTTCTTATTTTTATAATAGTTTGTAGATTCTTAAAGGACTTTTTGTTTCTAGTCTTAACTTTTATACCTGTTCTATTGCAGAAACCTTTCAATTGTACTCTCATTTGTAGTCTGTACTCAATACCTGATCATTTTCCATGTTGCCACCAGAAGTTTTCTTTTTTTTCTTTTTTTTTTTTTTTTTTAAGACATCAATTTGAGGCTTCATTTAAAGTCCTGCTTTGGCTTGTAACCACTTTCATGAATCTTCCCTGGCCCCTCATTCCTCACTGCCCAGGAAGGAATGGCTTTGTATTCTAGTATCATATAACTTTCTCTATATAAATGGTAAGTTAAGCTATCAGATTAATTTACTATCAAATGTAATTATTGTATATACATCTATGTATCCCACTGGGTTATATAGACAGACATTGCATATTATATATAGTTTTTTATCCTCAACTCTAACTCATTAATAGGAATTTAATATGGATTTAATGAATATTTTATTTAACTACAATGTACTATAAATTTTGAGAAAGGGCACCATATGTATCAATTTAAAAAGCTTGTCTTTTAATAATTAAGTATGATCAGCATATTCTTTGATCCATGCACTTAAAAAAGAATTAAACTGAAATATTTGGTTGAAGATAAAAAAATTAACATATGGAGTGTTTATTTAGATACATTTAAATATGTTTATTTTTGGCAAGAAAATATAACCACATTTTTATTTTTTATTATATATTATTTTTATTATATTTTTAGATTATATTTTTATGATATATTTTTATCGTACTTTTAGTTTTCAGTTTTGTGTGTACATAGTAGATATTTATAGGATACATGAGATGTTTTGATACAGACATGCAATGTGAAATAAGGCCATCATGGAGAATGAGGTATCCATCTTCTCAAGAATTTAAGCTTTGAGTTACAAACAACCCAGTTATACTCTTTATTTAAAAATATACAATTAAGTTATTACTGACTATAGTCACCCTACTGTGCTATCAAATAGTAGATCTTATTCATTCTTTCTTAACTATTTTTCTTTTAACCCATTAACCATCCTCACCTCCCCACAATCCCACTATCCTTCTCATCCTCTAGTAACCATCCTTCTACTCTCTGTGTCCATGAGGTCAATTGTTTTGAAATTTAGATCCCACAGATCTAAGAACATGCAATGTTTGTCTTTCTGTGCCTTGCTTATTTCACTTAACACAGTGATCTCCAGTTCCATCCATGTTATTGAAAACGACTGGATCTCATCCTTTTTATGGCTAAATAGTACTCCATTGTATATAAGTACCACATTTTCTTTATCCATTCATCTGTTGATGGACACTTAGGTTGCTTCCAAATCTTGGCTATTGTAAACAGTGCTGCAACAAACACAGGCATGAAGGTATCTTTTTGATGTACTGATTTCCTTTCTTTTGGGTATATATGCAGGAGTGGGATTGCTGGATCATATGTTAGCTCAATTTTCAGTTTTCTGAGGAACCTCCAAACTGTTTTCCATAGTAATGGTACACTAATTTACATTCCCACCAACAGTGTACAAGAGTTTTCTTTCTTCCACATCGTTGCCAGCATTTGTTATTGCCTGTTTTGAATATAAGCCACTTTGATTGGGGTGAGATGATGTCTTGTAGTTTTACATTTCTCTAATGATCAATGATGTCAAACACCATTTTTTTATTTAACTTTTACTTTAAGTTCAGGGGTACATGTGCAAGTTTGTCATATAGGTAAACTTGTGTCATGGGGGTGTATTGTACAGATTATTTCATCATTCAAGTATTAAATCTAGTACCCATTAGTTATTTTTTCTGATTCTCTCCCTCTTCCCATCCTCCACCCTCCAATAGGCCCCCTGGTGTGTTGTTCCTCTTTATGTGTCCATGTGTTCTCATCATTTAAATCCCACTTATAAGTGAGAACGTGTGGTATTTGGTTTTCTGTTTCTGCATTAGTTTGCTAAGGACAATGGCCTCCAGTTCCAATCACGTTCCTGCAAAGGACATGATCTCAGTTTTTTATGGCTGCATAGTATCCATGGTGTATATCTACCACATTTTCTTTATCCAGTCTACGATTGATGGGCATTTAGGTTGATTCCATATCTTTGCTATTGTGAATGATGCTGCAATGAATATACATGTTTTTGCCATTTGTATGTCTTTTGAGAAATGCCTACTTTTTGAGTGGATTATTAGATTTTTTTTCTAGAGTTGTTTGAGCTTCTTATATATGCTGGTTCTTAATCCCTTGTCAGTTGAGTAGTTTGCAAATAGTTTCTCCCATTCTGTGAGTTGTCTCTTCACTTTGTTGATTGTTTCCTTTGCTGTGCAGAAGATTTTTAACTTGATGTGATCCCATTTGTCCTTTTTTTCTTTGGTTGCCTGTGCTTGTTGGGGTATTGCTCAAGAAATTCTTGCCCAGGCCAATGTTTTGGTGATAATCTGCAATGTTTTCTTGTAGTTTTATTGTTTGAGGGCTTAGATTTAAGTTCTTAATCCATTTTGATTTTATTTTTATATATGGTGAGGGATACAGGTATAGTTTCACTCTTCTGCATATGGATATCCAGTTTTCCCAGCGCCATTTATTGAAGAGACTGTTTCTCTTCCACCCCTACCCCACCCCCCAGTGTATGTTCTTGGCACCTTTGTTGAAAATGAGTTCACTGTAGTTATATGGATTTGTTTTTGTTTTTGTTTTTTTTTATTCTGTTCCATTGGTCTATGTGTCTGTTTTCATGCCAGTACCATGCTGTTTGGGTTACTATAACTCTGTAGTATAATTTGAAGTCAGGAAATGTGATTCCTCCAGTTTTGTTATTTTTGCTTGAGACAGATTTGGCTATTCTGAGTCTTTAGTGGTTCCATATAAATTTTAGGCTTGTGTTTTCTATTTCTGTGAAGAATGTCATTGGTATTTTGATAGGGCTGGCATTGAATCTGTAGATTGCTTTGGGTAAAATGGACATTTTAACAATATTTGTTCTTCCAACCATGAACATAAAATATTTTTCCATTTGTTGTGTCCTCTTCGATTTCTTTCATTAACATTTTATAATTTTCATTATAGAGACGTTTCACTTCTTTGGTTAATTCCTAAGTATTTAATCTTATGTGTGGCTATTGTAAATGGGATTACTTTTTAATTTTTTTTCACATTGTTAACTGTTGACATACAGAAATGTTACTGATTTTCATATATTGATTTTGTATCCTTCAACTTTACTAGATTTGTTTATCAATTCTCATAGTTTTCTTGTGGAGTCTTTAGGTTTTTCCAAGTATAAAATCATATCATCTGCAAACAAGGATAATTTGACTTCTTCTTTTCCAATTAGGATGCCCTTTATTTCTTTCTCGTGTATGATTGCTCCAGCTGGGACTTCCAGTACGATTTTAAATAACAGTTGTTAGAATGGACATCCTTGTCACGTTCTGGATCTTAGAGGAAAGTCTTTCAATTTTCCCCCATTTAGTGTGATACTAGTTTTGGTTCTGTCATATATAGATTTTATCATGTTGAGGTGTGTTCCTTCTATCTCCAGTTTATTGAGGGTTTTTATCAGGAAGGGATGTTGAATTTAATCAAATGCTTTTTCAGCATTAATGGAAATGCTAATATGTTTTTCATCCTTCATCCTGTTGATAAGATATATCACATTGATTGATTTGTGTATGTAGAACCATCATTGAATCACAGGGATAAATCCCACTTGGTTATGATGAAGGATCTTTCTAATGTTTTGTTGAATTCAATATGCTAGGATTTTGTTGAGGATTTTTGCACCAATAATCATGAAAGATATTGGTCTGTAGTTTTCTTTATTTTTTTGATTCATCTTTGTCTGGTTGTGGTATCATAGTAATACTGGCCTTGTAGAATGAGTTAGGAAATATCCTGTGTTTTTTGGAATGGTTTGAGTACAATTGGTATTAGTTCTTCTTTAAATGGTTGGTAGAATTCAGCAGCGAACCCATCAGGTTCTAGACTTTTCTTTACTCGAAGAGTTTTTATTAGGGCTTTGATCTCATTACTTTTTATTGGTCTGCTCAGGTTTTGGATTTCTTCCTGGTTTAATTTTGGTAGGCTGTATGTGTCTAGGAATTTGTCCATTTCTTCTAGATTTTCTAATTTATTAGCATAATATTGCTCATAGTAGCCACTGATGACCCTTTGAATTTCTGTAGTATCATTTGTAATGTCTTCTTTTTCATTTCTGACTTTATTTATTTGTATCTTCTCTTTTCTTAGTCAGGCTAAAGGTTTGTGAATTTTGTTTAAGTTTTCATGAAACCAACTCTTTGTTTCATTGATCTTTTGTATTTTTTCATTTGAATTTCCTTTATTTCTGCTTCAATTTTTATTATTTCTTTCCATGCACTAATTTTGGATTTGGCTTTCTCTTGCTTTTCCAGTTCCTTAAAAAGCATTGTTAGATTATTCATTTGAAGTTTTTCCCTTTTTTGATGTAGACATTTATAGCTGTAAACTTCCCTCTAAGTACTGATTTTGATCTGTCCCATAGGTTTTGGTATGTTGTGTGATATGGGTTGGCTCTGCATCCCCACCCAAATCTCACCTTGAATTGTAGTAATCCTCATATGTCATGGTAGGGATTTGGTGGGAGGGAATTGAATAATGGTGGGGCAGGTCTCGTGATAGTGAACAAGTCTCACAAGATCTAATGATTTTATAAAGGGGAGTTCCCCTGCAAATCCTCTCTTGCCTGCCGCCATGTAAGACATGACTTTGCTCTTCCTTCACCTTCCACAATGATTTTGAGGCCTCCCCAGCCAGGCTGAACTGTGAGTCAATTAAATCTCTTTCCTTTACAAATTACCCGGTCTCAGGTATGTTTTTATTAGCACCGTGAGAACGGACTAATACATTGTTTTCTTCATTATCATTTGTTTCAGAGAGTTTTTCAGTTTCCATCTTAATTTCCTCATTGGCCCACAGGTCATTTAAAAGCATATTGTTCAATTTCCATGTATTTGTATGGTTTCCAAAATACTCTTGTTATTAATTTCTAGTTTTATTCCATTGTGGTCAGAGAAGCTGCATGATATTATTTCATTTTTTAAAAAAGTCAAAAAACATTTTGAGACTTGTTTTGTGACCTAACATATAGTCGATCCTTCTGAATGATCCATGTGCTGAGAAAAGAATGTGTATTCTGCAGCTCTTGGATGAAATGTTCTGTAAATATTTATTAAATCCATTTGGCCCATAGTGCAGATTCACTCTGACTTTTTTGTTGATTTTTTTTTTCTTTATTTCTTCTAAAAACGAAAAAGGGATATATGTGCAGAACATACAGGTTTGTTACATAGGTATATGTGTCCCATGGTGGTTTGCTGTACCTATTGAGCCATCGTCTAAGTTCCCTCCCCTCATCCTCCACCACCCAACAGGCCCTGGTGTGTGTTGTTCCCCTCTCTGTGTCCATGAGTTCTGAATGTTCAACTCCCACTTATGAGTGAGAACATGTGGTGTTTAGTTTTCTGTTCCTGTGTTAGTTTGCTAAGCATGATGGCTTCCAGCTTCATCCATGTCCCTGCAGAGGACTTGATCTCATTCCTTTTTATGACAGCATAGTATTCCCTGGTGTATATGTTCCGTGGTGTATGTATATGTTCTTTATCCAGTCTGTCATTGATGAGCATTTGGGTTGGTTCCTTGTCTTTGCTATTGTAAATAGTGTTGCAATAAACATATGTGTGCATGTGTCTTTATAGCAGAATGATTTATATCACTTTGGGTATATACCCAGTAATGAGATTGGTGGGTCAAGTGGTATTTCTGTTTCTAGTCCTTGAGGAACCACGATACAGTCTTCCACAATGGTTGAACTATTTTACACTCCCACCAACAGTGTAAAAGTGTTTCTATTTCTCCACAGCCTCACCAGCATCTATTGCTTCCTGACTTTGTAATAATCACCATTCTGACTGGCATGAGATGGTATCTCATTGTGGTTTTGATTTTCTTTTCTCTGATGATCAGTGATGTTGAGCTGTTTTTCATATGTTTCTTGGCCACGTAAATGTCTTCTTTTGAGTAGTGTCTGTTTATATTCTTCACCCATTTATTGAAGGTTTTTTTTTCTTGTAAGCTTGTTTAAGTTCCTTGTAAATTCTGGATATTAGACCTTTGTCAGATGGGTAGATTGCAAAAATTTTCTCCCATTCTATAGGTTGCCTGTTGACTCTGATGACAGTTTCTTTTGCTGTGCAGACGCTCTTTAGTTTAATTTGATCTTATTTGTCAATTTTGGCTTTTGTTGAAATTGCTTTTGGCATTTTTGTCATGAAGTCTTTGCCATGCTTATGTCCTGAATGGTATTGCCTACGTTTTCTTCTAGGGTTTTTTGGTTTTTACATTTAATTCTTTTATCCATCCTGACTTAATTTTTGTATAAGGTGTAAGGAAGGGGTCTAGTTTCAGTTTTTTTGTGTATGGCTAACCAGTTTTCCTCGCACCATTTACTGAATAAGAGATCCTTTCCCTGTTCCTTGTTTGTGTCAGGTTTGTCAAAGATCAGATGGTTGTAGATGTGTGGCGTTATTTCTGAGGTCTCTGTTCTGCTGCATTGGTCTATATGTCTGTTTTGGTACCAGTACCATGCTGTTTTGGTTACTGTAGTCTTGTAGTACAGTTTGAAGTCAGGTAGCGTGATGCTTCCAGCTTTGTTCTTTTTGCTTAGGATTGTCCTGGCTATATGGGGTCTTCTTTGATTCCATATGAGATTTAAAATAGATTTTTTGTACTTCTGTGAAAAATGTCAATTGTAGTTTGATGGGAATAGCATCAAATCTAAAAATTACTTTGAGTAACATGGCCATTTTTACAATATTGATTCTTCCTATCTATGAGCATGGAATGTTTTCCCATTTGCTTGTGTCCTCTCCTATTTCCTTGAGCAGTGATTTGTAGTTCTCCTTGAACAGGTCCTTCACATTGCTTGTAAATTGTATTCCTAGGTATTTTATTCTCTTTGTAGCAATAGTGAATGAGAGCTCATTCATGATTTCACTGCCTGCTTGTCTAATGTTGGTGTGAAGGAATGCTTGTGATTTTTGTACATTGATTTTGTATCCTGAGACTTTGCTGAAGTTACTTATCAATTCAAGAAGTTTTTGGGCTTACATGATGGGATTTTCTAAATATAAAATCATGTCATCTGCAAACAGAGACAACTTGGCTTCCTCTCTTTCTATTTGAATACACTTTATTTCTTTTTGTTGCCGGTTTGCTCTGGCCAGAGTTTCCAATACTATGTTAAATAGGAGTGGTGAGAGAGGGCATCCTTGTCTTTTACTAGTTATCTTTTTTTAAAAATTTTATTATTATTATACTTTAAGTTTTAGGGTACATGTGCACAAAGTGCAGGCTTGTTACGTATGTATACATGTGCCAGGTTGGTGTGCTGCACCCACTAACTCATCATTTAGCATTAGGTATACCTCCTAATGTTATCCCTTCCCCCTCCCCCCACCCCATAACAGTCCCCGGTGTGTGATGTTCCCCTTCCTGTGTCCAGGTGTTCTCATTGTACAATTCCCACCTATAAGTGAGAACATGTGGTGTTTGATTTTCTGTCCTTGCGATAGTTTGCTGAGAATCATGGTTTCCAGCTTCATCTATGTCCCTACAAAGGACATGAACTCATCCTTTTTTATGGCTGCATAGTATTCCATGGTGTATATGTGCCACATTTTCTTAATCCAGTCTATCATTTTTGGACATTTGGCTTGGTTCCAAGTCTTTGCTATTGTGAATAGTGCCGCAATAAACATACAAGTGCATGTGTCCTTATAGCAGCATAATTTATAGTCCTTTGGGTGTATACCTAGTAATGGGATGGCTGGGTCAAATGGTATTTCTAGTTCTAGATCCCTCAGGAATTGCCACACCAACTTCCACAATGGTTGAATTAGTTTACAGTCCCTCCAACAGTGTAAAAGTGTTCCTATTTCTCCACATCCTCTCCAGCACCTGTTGTTTTCTGACTTTTTAATGATCGCCATTCTAACTGGTGTGAGATTGAATCTCGTGGTTTTGATTTGCATTTCTCTGATGGCCAGTGATGATGAGCATTTTTTCATGTGTTTTTTGGCTGCAGAAATATCTTCTTTTGAGAAGTGTCTGTTCATATCCTTTGCCCACTTTTTGATGGGGTTGTTTGTTTTCTTGTAAATTTGTTTGAGTTCTTTGTAGATTTTGGATATTAGCCCTTTGTCAGATGAGTAGGTTGCAAAAATTTTCTCCCATTCTGCAGGTTGCCTGTTCACTCTGATGGTAGTTTCTTTTGCTGTGCAGAAGCTCTTTAATTTAATTAGATCCCATTTGTCAATTTTGGCTTTTGTTGCCATTGCTTTTGGTGTTTTAGACTTGAAGTCCTTACCCATGCTTATGTCCTGAATGGTATTGCCTAGGCTTTCTTCTAGGGTTTTTATTGTTTTAGGTCTAACATGTAAGTCTTTAGTCCATCTTGAATTAATTTTTATATAAGGTGTAAGGAAGGGATCCAGTTTCAGCTTTCTACATATGGCTAGCTAGTTTTCCCAGCACCATTTATTAAATAGGGAATCCTTTCCCCATTTCTTGTTTTTGTCAGGTTTGTCAAAGATCTGATAGTCGTAGATATGCAGCATTATTTCTGAGGGCTCTGTTCTGTTCCATTGGTCTATATCTTTGTTTTGGTACAAGTACCATGCTGTTTTGGTTACTGTAGCTTTGTAGTATGGTTTGAAGTCAGGTAGCGTGATGCCTCCAGCTTTGTTCTTTTGACTTAGGATTGACTTTGCAATGTAGGCTCTTTTTTGGTTCCATATGAACTTTAAAGTAGTTTTTTCCAATTCTGTGAAGAAAGTCATTTGTGGCTTGATGGGGATGGCATTGAATCTATAAATTACCTTGGGCAGTATGGCCATTTTCATGATATTGATTCTTCCTACCCATGAGCATGCAATGTTCTTCCATTTGTTTGTATTCTCTTTTATTTCATTGAGCAGTGGTTTGTAGTTCTCCTTGAAGAGGTCCTTCATGTCCCTTGTAAGTAGGATTCCTAGGTATTTTATTCTCTTTGAAGCAATTGTGAATGGGAGTTCACTCATGATTTGACCCTCTGTTTGTCTGTTATTGGTGTAGAAGAATGCTTGTGAGTTTTGCACATTGATTTTGTATCCTGAGACTTTGCTGAAGTCGCTTATCAGCTTAAGGAGATTTTGGGCTGAGACGATGGGGTTTTCTATATATACAATCATGTCATCTGCAAACAGGGACAATTTGACTTCCTCTTTTCCTAATTGAATGCCCTTTATTTCCATCTCCTGCCTGATTGCCCTGGCCAGAAATTCCAACACTATGTTGAATAGGAGTGGTAAGAGAGGGCATCCCTGTCTTGTGCCAGTTTTCAAGGGGAATGCTTCCAGTTTTTGTCCATTCAGTATGATATTGGCTGTGGGTTTGTCATAGATAGCTCTTATTATTTTGAGATATGTCCCATCAATAACTAATTTATTGAGAGTTTTTAGCATGAAGGTTGTTGAATTTTGTCAAAGGCCTTTTCTGCATCTATTGAGATAATCATGTGGTTTTTGTCTTTGGTTCTGTTTATATGGTGGATTACGTTTATTGATTTTCGTATGTTGAACCAGCCTTGCATCCCAGGGATGAAGTCCACTTGATCATGGTGGATAAGCTTTTTGATGTGCTGCTGGATTCGGTTTGCCAGTATTTTATTGAGGATTTTTGCATCAATGTTCATCAAGGATATTGGTCTAAAATTCTCTTTTTTTGTTGTGTCTCTACCAGGCTTTGGTATCAGGATGATGCTGGCCTCATAAAATGAGTTAGGGAGGATTCCCTCTTTTTCTATTGATTGGAATAGTTTCAGAAGGAATGGTAACAGCTCCTCCTTGTACCTCTGGTAGAATTCGGCTGTGAATCCATCTGGTCCTGGACTTTTTTTTTGGTTGGTAAGCTATTAATTATTGCCTCAATTTCAGAGCCTGTGATTGGTCTATTCAGAGATTCAACTTCTTCCTGGTTTAGTCTTGGGAGGGTGTATGTGTTGAGGAATTTATCCATTTCTTCTAGATTTTCTACTTTATTTGCATAGAGGTGTTTATAGTATTCTCTGATGGTAGTTTGTATTTCTTTGGGATCGGTGACGATATCCCCTCTGTCATTTTTTATTGCATCTATTTGATTCTTCTCTCTTTTCTTCTTTATTAGTCTTGCTAGCGGTCTATCAATTTTGGTGATCTTCTCAAAAAACCAGCTCCTGGATTCATTGATTTTTTGAAGGGTTTTTTGTGTCTCTATTTCCTTCAGTTCGGCTCTGATCTTATTTATTTCTTGCCTTCTGCTAGCTTTTGAATGTGTTTGCTCTTGCTTCTCTAGTTCTTTTAATTGTGATGTTAGGGTGTCAATTTTAGATCTTTCCTGCTTTCTCTTGTGGGCATTTAGTGCTATAAATTTCCCTCTACACACTGCTTTGAATGTGTCCCAGAGATTCTGTTATGTTGTGTCTTTGTTCTCATTGGTTTCAAAGAACAACTTTATTTCTGCCTTCATTTTGTCATGTACCCAGTAGTCATTCAGGAGCAGGTTGTTCAGTTTCCATGTAGTTGAGCGGTTTTAAGTGAGTTTCTTAACCCTGAGTTCTAGTTTGATTGCACTGTGGTCTGAGAGATAGTTTGTTATAATTTCTGTTCTTTTACATTTGCTGAGGAGTGCCTTAGTTCCAACTATGTGGTCAATTTTGGAATAGGTGTGGTGTGGTGCTGAACAGAATGTATATTCTGTTGATTTGGGGTGGAGAATTCTGTAGATGTCTATTAGGTCCGCTTGGTGCAGAGCTGAGTTCAATTCCTGGATATCCTTTTTGACTTCCTGTCTCGTTGACCTGTCTAATGTTGACAGTGGGGTGTAAAAGTCTCTCATTATTATTGTGTGGGAGTCTAAGTCTCTTTGTAGGTCACTAAGGACTTGCTTTATGAATCTGTGTGCTCCTGTATTGGGTGCATATATATTTAGGATAGTTAGGTCTTCTTGTTGAATTGATCCCTTTACCATTATGTAATGGCCTTCTTTGTCTCTTTTGATCTTTGTTGGTTTAAAGTCTGTTTTATCCGAGACTAGGATTGCAACCCCTACCATTTTTTGTTTTCCATTTGGTTGGTAGATCTTCCCCATCCCTTTATTTTGAGCCTATGTGTGTCTCTGCATGTGAGATGGGTTTCCTGAATACAGCACATTGATGGGTCTTGACTCTTTATCCAATTTGCCAGTCTGTGTCTTTTAATTGGAGCACTTATCCCATTTACATTTAAGGTTAATATTGTTATGTGTGAATTTGATCCTGTCATTATGATTTTAGCTGGTTATTTTGCTCATTAATTGATGCAGTTTCTTCCTATCCTCGATGATCTTTACAATGTGGCATGTTTTTGCAGTGTCTGGTACCGGTTGTTCCTTTCCATGTTTAGTGCCTCCTTCAGGAGCTCTTTTAGGGCAGGCCTGGTGGTGACAAAATCTCTCAGCATTTGCTTGTCTGTAAAGGATTTTATTTCTCCTTCACTTATGAAGCTTAGTTTGGCTGGATATGAAATTCTGGGTTGAAAATTCTTTTCTTTAAGAATGTTGAATATTGACCCCCACTCTCTTCTGGCTTGTAGAGTTTCTGCCAAAAGATCAGCTGTTAGTCTGATGGGCTTCCCTTTGTGGGTAACCCGACCTTTCTCTCTGGCTGCCCTTAACATTTTTTTCCTTCATTTCAACTTTGGTGAATCTGACAGTTTTGTGTCTTGGAGATGCTCTTCTCAAGGAGTATCTTTGTGGTGTTCTTTGTATTTCCTGAATTTGAATGTTGGCCTGCCTTGCTATATTGGGGAAGTTCTCCTGGATAATATCCTGCAGAGTGTTTTCCAACTTGATTCCATTCTCCCCGTCACTTTCAGGTACACCAATCAGACATAGATTTGGTCTTTTCACATAGTCCCATATTTCTTGGAGGCTTTGTTCGTTTCTTTTTATTCTTTTTTCTCTAAACTTCTCTTCTCACTTCATTTCATTTATTTCATCTTCCATTGCTGATACCCTTTCTTCCAGTTGATCGCATCAGCTAAGGCTTTTGCATCTGTCACATAGTTCTCATGCTGTGGTTTTCCGTTCCATCAGTTCCTTTAAGGACTTCTCTGCATTGGTTATTCTAGTTAGCCATTCGTCTAATTTTTTTCAAGGTTTTTAACTTCTTTGCCATTGGTTCAAACTTCCTCCTTTAGCTCAGAGTAGTTTGATCTTCTGAAGCCTTCTTTTCTCAACTCATCAAAGTCATTCTCCATCCAGCTTTGTTCTGTTGTTGGTGAGGAGCTTCGTTCCTTTGGAGGAGGAGAGGCTCTCTGATATTTAGAGTTTCTGGTTTTTCTGCTCTCTTTTTTCCCCATCTTTGTGGTTTTATCTACCTTTGGTCTTTGATGATGGTGACGTACAGATGGGGTTTTGTTGTGGATGTCCTTTCTGTTTGTTGGTTTTCCTTGTAACAGTCAGGACCCTCAGCTGCAGGTCTGTTGGAGTTTGCTGGAGGTCCACTCCAGACCCTGATTGCCTGGGTATCAGCAGTGGAGGCTGCAGAACAGCGGATATTGGTGAACCACAAATCCTGCTGCCTGATTGTTCCTCTGGAAGTTTTGTGTCAGATGAGTACTCGGCCATGTGAGGTGTCAGTCTGCCCCTACTGGGGGGTGCCTCCCAGTTAGGCTACTCGGGGGTCAGAGACCCACTTGAGCAGGCAGCCTGTCCATTCTCAGATCTCAAGCTGTGTGCTGGGAGAACTGCTACTCTCTTCAAAGCTGTCAGACAGGGACATTTAAGTCTGCAGAGGTTACTGCTGCCTTTTGTTTGTCTGTGCCCTGCCCCCAGAGGTGGAGCCTACAGAGGCAGGAAGGCCTCCTTGAGCTGTGGTGGGCTCCACCCAGTTCGAGCTTCCCAGCCACTTTGTTTACCTACTGAAGCCTCGGCAATGGTGGGCGCCCTTCCCCCAGCCTCGCTGCTGCCTTGCAGTTTGATCTCAGCCTGCAGTTTGATCTCAGACTGCTGTGCTAGCAATGAGCGAGGCTCTGTGGGCATAGGACCCTCCCAGCCATGTGTGGGATATAATCTCCTGGTGTGCCATTTGTTAAGCCCATTGGAAAAGTGCAGTGTTAGGGTGGGAGTGTCCCGATTTTCCAGGTGCCATCTGTCACCCCTTTCTTTGACTAGGAAAGGGAATTCCCTGACCCCTTGCAGTTCCCGGGTGAGGTGATGCCTCTCCCTGCTTCAGCTCATGCATGATGTGCTGCACCCACTGTCCTGCACCCACTGCCTGGCACTCCCCAGTGAGATGAACTAGGTACCTCAGTTGGAAATGCAGAAGTCACCCATCTTCTGCATCGCTCACGCTGGGAGCTGTAGACTGGAGCTGTTCCTATTCAGCCATCTTGGCTCCAGCCCATCTTTTACTAGTTTTCCAAGCGTATGATATTGGCTGTGGGTTTTCATAAATAGCTCTTACTTATGAATATCAATATCTAGTTTATTGAGAGTTCCATCAATATCTAGTTTCTGAGAGTTTTTAATGAAGCGATGTTGAATTTTATCAAAGGCCTTTTCTGCATCTATGGAGATAATCATGTGGTTTTTTCCTTTGGTTCTGTTTATGTGGTGGATTATGTTTATTGATTTGCATATGTTGAATCAGCCTTGCATACCAGGGATGAAGCTGACTTGATCATGGTGGATAAGTTTTTTGATGTGCTGCTGTATTCGGTTTGCCAGTATTTTATTGAGGATTTTTGCACTGATGTTCATCAGGGATACTGGCCTGAAGTTTTCCCTTTTTGTTGTGTGTCTTTCTGGTTTTGGTATCAGGATGATGCTGGCTTCATAAAATGAGTTAGAGAGGAGTCCCTCCTTTTCAATTATTTGGAATAGTTTCAGAAGGTATGGTACCATCTCCTGTTTGTATTTCTGATAGAATTCAGCTGTGAATCCATCTGGTCCTGGGTTTTTTATGATTGGTAGACTATTAATTACTTCTTCAATTTCAGAACTTGTTATTGGTCTCTCCAGGGATTCAACTTCTCTCTGGTTTAGTCTTGGTAGGGTGTACACATTCAGCAATTTATCCATTTCTTCTAGATTTTCTAGTTTATTTGCATAGAGGTGTTTAGTATTCTCTGATGGTGCTTGGTATTTCTGTGGGATCAGTGGTGATATCCCCTTTATCATTTTATTGTGTCTATTTGATTCTCCTCTCTCTTATTAGTCTAGCTAGTGGTCTATTTTGTTATTATTATTTTTTTTAAACAGCTCCTGGATTTGTTGATTTTTTGGAGGGTTTTTCGTGTCTCTCCTTCAATTCTGCTCTGATCTTAGTTATTTCTTATCTTCTGCTAGCTTTTGGATTCAATTTCTCTTGCCTCTCTAGCTCTTTTAATTGTGATGTTAGGGTGTCAATTTTAGATCTTTCCAGCTTTCTGATGTGGGCGTTTAGTGCTATAAATTTCCCTCTTAACACTGCTTTAGCTGTGTTTAGAGATTCTGGTATGTTGTCTCTTTGTTCTCATTGGTTTCAAAGAACTTCTTGATTTATGCGTTAATTTCATTATTTACCTATGAGTCATTCAGGAGCAGGTTGTTCTATTTCCATGAAATTGTGTGGTTTTAGGTGAGATTCTTAATCCTGACTTCTAATTTGATTGCAGTGTGGTCTGAGAGACTGTCATAATCTCAGTTCTTTTTCATTTGCTGAGGAGTTTTACTTCCAACTATGTGGTTGATTGTAGAATAAGTGCCATGTGGCACTGAGAAAAAATATATATTCTATTGATTTGGGGTAGAGAGTTCCAAAGACATCTACTAGGTCTACTTGATCCATAGCTGAGTTCAAGTCCTGAATATCCTTGTTAATTTTCTGTCTCATTGATCTGTCTAATACCGACAATGGGGAGTTAAAGTCTTCCACTATCACTGTGTGGGAGTCTAAGTCTCTTTGTAGGTCTCTGAGAACTTGTTTCATGAATTCGAGTGCTCCAGTATTGGTTGCATATATACTCACAATAGTTAGCTAATCTCGTTGAATTCTTCCCTTTACCATTATGTAATGCCCTTCTTTGTCCTTTTTGATCTTTGTTGATTTAAAATCTGAACCCCTGCTTTTTTTTGCTTTCCATTTGCTTGGTAAGTTTTCCTCTACCTCTTTATTTTGAGCCTATATGTGTCTTTGCATGTATGATGGGTCTCCTGACTACAACACACCAATGGGTCTTGACTCCTTATCCAATTTGCCAGTCTGTGTATTTTAATTGGGGCATTTAACCCATTTATATGGAAGGTTAGTATTGTTATGTGTGAATTTGATCCTGTCATCATAATGCTATTTGGTTATTTTGCATACTAGTTGATGCAGTTTCTCCATAATATCATTGGTCTTTATATTTTGGTGTGTTTTTGCAGTGGCTGGTACAAGCTTATCCTTTCCATATTTAGTGCTTCTTTCAGGAGCTCTTGTAGGGCAGGCCTAGTGGTAACAAAATCCCTCAGCATTTGCTTGTCTAAACAGGATTTTATTTTTTCTTCGCTTATGAAGCTTAGTTTGGCTGGATATGAAATTCGGGTTGAAAATTCTTCTCTTTAAGAATGTTGAATATTGGCCCCCAATCCCTTCTGAGTTTCTGCTGAGAGGTCTGCCGTTAGTCTGATGGGCTTTGTATGTGACCTGGTCTTTCTCTCTGGCTGCCCTTAACAGTTCTTCCTTCATTTTGACTTTGGAGAATCTGATGATTATGTATCTTGGGGTTGATCTTCTTGTGGAGTATCTTAATGGTGTTGTCTGTATTTCCTGAATTTGTATGTTGGCCTGTCTTTCTATGTTGGGGAAGTTCTCCTGGATAATATCCTGGAGTGTGTTTTCCAGCTTGTTTCCATTCTTCCCATCTCCTATTGGTACTCCAATCAATCATAGGTTAGATCTTTTTATGAAGTCCCATATTTCTTAGAGGCTTTGTTCATTCCTTTTCATTCTTTTTTCTTTATTCTTGTCTGCATTTCTCATTTCAGTAAGGTGATCTTCAAACACTGATATCCTTTATTTCACTTGGTCGATTCAGCTGTTGATACTTGTGTATGCTTCATGAAGTTCTTGTACTATGTTTTTCAGCTCCATCAGGTCATTGATGTTCCTCTCTAAACTGGTTATTCTAGTTAGCAATTCCTCGAACCTTTTATCGAAGTTCTTAGCTTCTCTGCATTGGGTTAGAACATTCTACTTTAGCTCATCGTAGTTTTTTATTACTCATCTTCTGAAGCCTACTTCTGTCAATTCATCTATCTGATCCTCTGTGCAGTTCTGCGCCCTTGATGCAGGGATGCTGCAATCATTTGGAGGAGAGGAGGCACTCCAGGCTTCTGGGTTTTCAGCACTTTTTTCGTGGATTCTTCCTCATCTTCATGAGTTTGTCTAGTTTTGGTCTTTGAGGCTGCTTACCCTTGATGGGGTTTTTGTGAGGGACTTTTGTTGTTGTTGTTGTTGATGCATTGTTACCACTTTCCACTTGCTTGTTTTTGTTTCAATAGTCAGGTCCCTCTTCTGCAGGGCTGCTGCAGTTTGCTGGGGGTTCACTTCAGGTCCTGTTCATCTGATTTGCTTCTGTGCCTGGAGACATCATTCAAGAGGCTGGAGAGCAGTAAAAATGGGTGCCAGCACCTTTTCTGTGACTTCTGACCTTGATGGGCACCAGCCTGATGCCAGTAGGATTGCTCCTGTATAGGGTATCTGACAACCCTTGTTGGAGTGTCTCACCCAGTTGGGTGGCACAGGGAGCAGGACCTGTTTAACGAAGCACTTTGTCCCTTGATGGAGAGGGCATGTTTCGCTGGGGGAAAACCCACTCATCTGGGCTGCCCGGATTCCTCAGAACTACCAGGAGGAGAGGCTAAGTCTGCTGGTCTGCAGAGACTGTGGCCACCCCTTCCCCTAGGGGCACTGGCCAAGGGAAATCTGAATTCTGTCCCTGAACCTCTGGCTGGAATTATTGGAGATCCTGTGAGGAAGCCCCACTCACTGAGAAAGGATGAATCAGGGTTAGACCTGAGGAGGCACTCTGGTGGCAGACTGCCACAGCTGGTGTCATGGGCTGTAGGAACAAATCTTGGGACCAAGCCATCCAGCCTCCCTGGCTCCAGCAGGGGAAAAGTGCAACCTGAAGCTGCAGAAATGGGTGCTGCCCTTTCCTGCCCAGGGAGCTTAGAATGTTAGGCAGTTGAGAGTCCCAGTGCTGGCTGCTGCCCCTCCCCCAAGCAGCTCGAAGGGCTTAGACAGCAGGCAGTGGTGGCTGGCTCTGGTCACCCCTCCTCCAGCAGTTTGGTGGGCTTAGGCAGATTCCAGCTGAGAGGCTGCAAGAATCTGTGCGTTCCACGTTTGGGATACTAGGTCCTGGTGATGTGGGTTCACAAGTGGGATCTTCCAGTCCATGGGTTGTACAGTTCCATGTAAAAAGCACAGTTTCCCCACTGGGTAGTGTGCTCACTCACTGCCTCCCTTGGCTGGGGCTAGGGAGCTCCCCTTCCCCTTGTGGCTTTCAGGTGGGCTGCCACACCACACTGTTCTTCCTTCTCTCCATGGGTCACACCAGCCTTCTGGTCAATTTTGATGAGAGAACCTGGATACCTTGTTTGGCGTCTGGAATATCTGTCCAATGCTGAAAGTAGGCTGTTGAAATCTTCAGCTATTGTGTTGGGGCCCATCTTTCTAGTTAGCTTTAATAATATTTACTTTATATAGCTGTGTGCTCCAGTTTGGGTGCATACATATTAAAATTATGTCCTCTAGCTGAATTGATACCTTTATCATTATATAGTGGCATTCTTTCTCTTTTCTTAGAGTTTCTGTCTTGATGTCTATTTTACCTGATATACGCTTAGCAATTCCTGCTCTTTTTTGATTTTTATTCACATGGAACATCTTTTTTTATCCCTTTATTTTCAGTCTTTGTGTATCTTTATAGGTGAAGTGTGTTTTTTCTGGGCAACAGATAAATGGTTCTTATTTTTTCATTTATTCAGCCAGTCTATGTCTTTTGATTGGATAGTTTAGTCTATTTACATTTAATGTTATTATTGATAAGTAAGGACTTACTCCTGCCATTTTATTATTGTTTTCTGGTTTTCTCTTCCTTGTTTGGTTCTTTCTTGTCTTCTTCTAGTGAAGGTGATTTTCTCTGGTGATATGATATAGTTTCTTGCTTTTTATTTTTTGTGTGTCCATTGTGTGTTTTTTGGTTTGAGGTTACCATGAAGCTTGCAAATGCTATACAACCCATTATTTTAACCTGATAACAACTTAACAACTATTTGTATAAACAAACAAGCAAAAAGAAAACTAATAAAAACTATGTCTTTACTTGGTCAGCCTGCTTTTAAATGTTTTTTTGTTTCTACTTATATCTTATTGTACTATGTCTTGAAAGATTGTTGTAGTTATTATTTTTGTTTGGTTCATTGTTTAGTCTTTCTACTTAGGATAAGAGTAGTTTACACACCACAGTTACATTGTTATAATATTCTGTGTTTTTCTGTGTATTTACCACTCTTTAATGTCCTTTTCTTTCTGATTGAAATACTCCCTTTAATTGTCCTGCATTTTTTGTAGGACAATTCTTGTATTGATGAAATCCCTCAGCTCTTGTTTGTCAGGGAAAGTATTTCTCCTTCATGTTTGTTGGATATTTTCACTGGATACACTATTCTAGATTAAAGTTTTTTTTTTTCCTTCAGCACTTTAAAAATGTCCTGCCACTCTCTCATGGCCTGTAAGGTTTCCACTGAAAAGTCTGCCACCAAATGTATCAGAGTTCCAATATCTGTTATTTATTTCTTTTCTCTTGCTACTTTTAGGATCCTTTCTTTATGCTTGATCTTTGGGTGTTTGATATTAAATGCCTTGAGATAGTCTTCCTTGGTGTTCTATAACCTTCTTGTACTTGGATATTAATATCTTTCTCTAGGTTTGGGAAGTTCTCTTTTATTATCCCTTTGAATAAACTTTAGACCTTCTCTTTCTCTACCTCTTGTTTAAGGCCAATAACTCTTAGATTTGCCCTTTTGAGTCTATTTCCTAGATTCTGTAGGCATGCTTCCTTGTTTTTTATTCCTTTTCTTTTGTCTCCTCTGTCTGTGTATGTTCAAATAGCCCATCTTCAGGCTCACTAATTCTTTCTTCTGCTTGATGCATTCTGCTATTAAAGGACTCTGATGCTTTCTTCATTATGCTAATTGCATTTTTCAGCTCCAGAATTTCTGCCTGATTCTTTCTAATTATTTTAGTATCTTTGTTAAATTTATGTGATATAATTCTGAATTCTTTCTCTGTGTTACGTTTAATTTCTTTGAGTATCCTCAACACAACTATTTTGAATTTTCTGTCTGAAAGGTCACATATCTGTTTTTTCAGGATTGGTCCCTGAACTAAGTTTACTTAGTTCTTTTGGTGAAGTTATGTTTTCTTGGATGGTGTTGATCCTTGTAGATATTCTTCAGTGTCTAGACATTGAAGAGTTACGTATTTACTGTAGTCTTCACTGTCTGGGCTTATTTGTAGCCATCCTTCTTGGGATATTTGGAAGTACTTGGGTGTTGTGATCTAACCTGTATCTGCTTTAGGGGGCGCCCCAAGCCAGTAACACTGGTTTTTCCAGACCCATAGGGGTACTGCCTTGATGTTCTTGGACCAGATCTGAAAGAATTCTTTGGATTACCAGGCAGAGACTCTTGTTTTCTTTCCTATTTCCTCCCAAACAGAGTGTCTCTCTGTCCTGAGCCACCTACAGTTGGAGGTGGAGTGACACAAGCACCCCTGTGGCCACCACCACTCTGACTGTGCTGGGTCAAATCTGAAGCCAGCACAGCATTTGGGTCTCACCCAAAGCCTGGTGTAATCATTCCTGGCTACTGCCTATGTTCACTCAAGCCCCTGGTGCTTTACAATCAGCAGGTGACAAAGTCAGCCAGACCTATGTCCTTCCCTTCAGAGTGGCAAGGTCCCTCAGATCCCAGGTGGGTCCAGAGGTGCTGTCTGAGCATTAGAGACTAGAGTAAAAAACCTTAGAAGTCTACTTGGTGTTCTATTTTATTGTGGCTGAGGTGGCACTCAAACAAAACACCGTCCTTCCCACTCTTTCCTCCTCTTTCCAAAGGCAGAGGCTTCTCTCCCTGTAGTCACCACCACCCCAGGCCATGAGGAGTACTGCCAGACTACTAGCTATTGCTCCCTAAAGGCCCAAGGGCTCTTAAGTCAGCCTGTGGTGAATACTGCCTGGCCTGGGACTCACATTTCAGGGCAGTATGCTCCCCTCTGGCCCAGGGCATATCCAGAAATGCCATTTAAGAGTCAAGTCCTAGAATTGGGGTCCCCAAGAACCCACTTTATATTCTACCCCCTGTCACCATGCTGGTACCTGAGGTGCAAGACAAAGTCCCCTTTACTTTTCCCTCTGCTTTTCTCAAGCAGAAGGAGTTTTGCCCCATAGCCACCACAGCTGATAATATGCTGAGTCTCACCTGAAATCAGCAAGTGTCAGAGGCTCACCAAAGGTTCTGGACATAGTACCTGTGTATTGTTGCTGGTTATTCAGGGCCCAAAGGCTCCTCAGTTAGCAGGTGATGAATGCTGCCAGGACTGTGTCCTTTCCTTTAAGGCAGCAGGTTTCCTTCTGGCTCATAGTGTGTCTAGAAATGTTATCTGAGATCTAGGCCCAGAACAAAGGCCTTATAACTGACTGGTGCCCTTTCTTGCTGTGGCTGAACTGGTAACCAAGATGCAAGACAATATCTTACCCACTCTCCCCTCTCCTATTCTTAAGTGGAAAGACAGGGACTCTTTTGGAGCCATGAGCTGTGCGGGCTGGGGTTAGGGGAGAGATGATGCCTGCACTCTTTTGGCTGCCCCAGCTGGTGTCTCAGTATATCGTGTGCCCCCTGAGTCCACTGTCTCTGGCCCTAGGACTCATCTAAGAGTTGCAGTCCTTATGGCCTAGACTGTCTTTCAAATTTATTTGGAGACACAGAGCACTGTAGACCACCACGGTGATGTTTACAGGCACTCAAGTTAGGACCACTAGGATTGGTGATTCCCCTCTGGCTAGGGCTCTCTCTGTGGGCTGGCATCAGCTGAGTTTGGTTGCATTTTCCTTTCTGCTGTAACAGGACAGCACTAAGTTCAATGCCTCACAACTGCTGTGTTTTCCCTCCCCTAGTTCCTAGAGACGCTTTCAACACCATGCTGCCATTGCCAGTGGGGATAGGGAGTGGAGGCAGTGTTTCAGGACTTTAAAAAATCTCTTTAGTGCTTCCTTCAGTGATACGAAGTTAAAACCAGGTAATATGAGTGCTCACCTGATTTTTGGTTCTTAGGAAGGTATTTTTTTCTGTGTAGATAATTGTTTTCTTGGTGTCCTTGCAGTGAGGGGACAATTGGTGGAGCCTTCTATTTTGCCATCTTGCTCTGCCTTCTCTCTAAATATGTTTTTATTTACAAATTGTAGGCTCAGTGTTTTAGAAATAAAGCGTTTAATATAAACTATGTTTTTAGTCCACATGGTCAATATGTACTATGTCTATAGTATGCTAGTCATACTACTAGGGAAAAATTAAGAATATACCTAGAGAAACATAATCATTAAAACAAATGTGTTTGGATCATGATTATGAACTCAAGTGTGAGTGCTTAAGTTTTATTTTATTCAGGATGTTTATGTAGATTATGTAGAAAGTATGAAAGATTATTCATAGTCTATTTTTAAACCAGAAGCAACTGTATCAAGTTAAAGCCTAGAATTGTAATTTCAATTGGAATATCACCCTGTCTAATTAGGAACATTTCTTCCTGGTTTGAAATACTCTTCCAGTATATGTTGTAATGAATGAGAAGAGCTGTGGTTTTCACTGATGCTCCTGATATTTGTTGGAACCACCTTACATAATTGGAGGATTAGGCAGACAGGATTAATCAGGAACTTTGAGTTCTGATTTGATTCACGTCAAGATAGATACAATCTGAGGGTCATTAATTGAAAGTTCTTTCTTACAGATTTTTAAGTTTTATTTCTCCATCTCTAAAGCAACAAGTTCTTAAACCAGACGAAAATGTCCTATAAACCACAATGTTCAAAATATTTTCTACACTTTGTCTTTCTTTAGGTCATTGAATAGAAAAGAATATTATCCTTCTGTACCTTCTTAGGTTGATTTGCTGAAAGCAGATGTGAATCATTGGGCTTGAGATATACTCCTAATAAAACAAAATACAATATGTAGCTGATCTGAGGAAAAATAATTTATTGAACTTCTTCAGAGTTTCCAGTGCTTCTATTTCCATAATGTATAACATTTATGTTTACCAGTATGTTTGAGACTTGTGGTTTTTTACTCAATAGCCATTTTCATCATTAAAAATACTAACAGATTGCTGACTTTTCCAGGCAGGAATGTGCTCAGCTAAAATATCATATTTCTCAGTCTTCCTTGTAGCTGGGGTGACCAATTACATGCTAAGAGAAGTTGTTGGATGGTTTTAAGGATCCTTAAGGGAAAAACAGATAGCTGGCCTATGTTGTTTTTTATTTCACCTTTCTCCTTCCTGCTGCCTGGCAAGTGATCATGATAATTGAACTCTAGCAACTATTTTGGACCAAGAAATGACCTTTAAGATGAACATGATGTATGTTGGGTTATGGGAAAGTACAAGACAAGCTTTCATCAAGACTGCCTCAATGTTTCCCTCGACTAAATTTTAGAGGGTTTCTTCCTGCGTTTAGGTCTGTGACCTACTTTTTTTTTTAGAACATTGACTTGGAGAAAACTTTCTATTGTAATTTTTTACTCTTCCTCTTTGATATATAAATCTTCTTCCAGCTTCTTGTCAGTTTTACAATACAGAAGTGTTATCCTCAGGGACTTGGAGGTCAACCATTGAAATGTAATAATCAAGAAAGATAGCTTTCCAATCTCCCAGTTTCTGTGGGAGGGTAGGAGCCTACCTTTGACAAGCAACACTTAGCAAACACAGATAACCAATCACATTGGCCAACCTTCTCCCTAACATCTTCCAGTTCTTTGTGTTGCCTCACCCCAGGGCTTAAAACTCCTCCCACTTTTTTTTTTCCAGAGTTGAGTTCAATGTCCGCTCTATTGAAATAGTCCTATAAGTTTTCCTTGCCTATATAACTCTATTCAGTGAAACTTTTCTTTGACACCCTGGAATATCTTATTGTGTGAGATGAGTCTATCTTTATAAAAGAAAGCTAGTTAATAAACGAAGAATAAATGAAAGAATTAGACAACTGTCATGCTGTGACCCTCAGTGTACTAACTATTTAGCCAAGAACTATCAATGGATGCTATAATCATTAGGTGAAAGGTTATAGGGGAACAGAATATATCAGCAGGGTGCCTAAGTAGTAGCATTCAGGTCACTTATTCATTGTAAGAATCAAAGTATCATTATAATAGAGAGATCTAGTTGTTACTAATTTAACTAAATGGTCTCCCTTAGTGTTGTAGTGTCACTAGTAAGAAATAACCTGACATTATGTGTCTCCTGATATGAGGTAATATAAAATATGACACATTGCCTCTGAAATTTCCTTGTCAAAAAATGTTTTCCTAAATCCTTCCAAGTCTCCAGAGTTAAGTACCAGTTTATAGGAAGCCATTGTATTTATTTAAATAAAAATGCTTCTCTTTCAGACGGCAGATAGACTAATTAGAGGAATGAATATTTTTCTTTGGTCTTCAAGATTAGAGGATGGTAGAGGCCCAAAATAGGAGGAACCTGAAGAACCAGTTTCCACTTGGAACTGGTATAGCTTGACTGCAAAATTGTGGACTTGTTTTTATGTGAATATAGAAATGAACTTCTATCTTATAGAAGGCAGTGTATTTTAGAGTTTCTATTATATGAAATGAACACTGACATAAACAGAAAGTTTGAGAACCTGAATTATGGTTCATTTAAATCAGCAAAATTGTAACTTTCTCTGCCACATTGAACAAACCTTGCTATCTGCATTAAAGTGGCAGAGCCACTGCAAGGATGGAGTGAGTAGACAAAATCTATTTATATGTATTTAAAACAGAACAATCCAAAAGTATGTAGGTTGTATATTGACCACCTAATCAAAAAATATAATTAGCATCATGTGAAAATAAAATATGAAAAATAAGTAGCTAAATGTCCTTGAAAACAAAATCTTAGAAATATAAAAGGAACAAAAAACTTAGTCCAAACTTTTCTTCCTACAAATGTGAAAACTCATTTCCAGAAGGTAGAGTGACTTCTCCAAAGTTATACAGTTCATTAGAAGCACAGTTGGACCTAAAACTCAAGCCTTCATATTCTTAAGAGTGTTCTCTTTCCACTGCCAGCTAAAACCAGGGGAAAAGTGAACACGTTCTAAGGGAGTCTAGGCCACTTTAGAAGTTTCACTGAAGTCATAGAAAAGGATCATAAGTTAAGAGAATTTCCCTGTGGGTTAGATGGTATTTAAATGGAGGTTTTAAAAAATCGCTTGAACCCAGGAGGCAGAGGTTGCCATGAACCCAGATCATGCCACTGCACTCCAACCTAGGTGACAGAGGGAGAATCTGTCTCAAAAAAAAAAAAAAGATAAAGAAAAATGAATTTCAACATTTAATCAGAATGTTTTTCATCACTTATTAAAAAAGGACCAATACATTAACTGAAGATGTGGCAGCACAAAAACATGTCTTCCCGATGTTAGAATAAAGAGCTACTCTATTTTGATCAAACAGAAAATTGACAATAAATGGATACTACCTGGTTTTTAAGAACAAGTTGTTTTTTATTTTAAAAATTGACAGATAAAATTGTGTGTATGTACCATAATGTTTTGAAGTAGATACATTGTGGGATGACTAAATGTAGCTAACTAACATATTCATTACCTCACATAGTTATAATTGTTGTCATAAGAGCATGTTATATCCACTCTCTTTGCAATTTTCAAGAATATGATAAATTATCAACTACAGTTAACATTATTAACAAGCATGTTGTACAATAGATCTCTTGAACTTATTTTTTAATATAACTGAACTTTTGTATCCTTTGACCAACTTCTCCGCAAACCCTCATCCCTATTAACCTTACCCCGATAACCAGTGTTTTACTCTATTTTTGTGAGATCAACATTTTTAGATTCCACATATGAGTAAGATGATTTAGTATTTGTCTTTCTGTGCCTGACTTTTTTCACTTAACATAATGTCCTCCAGGTCCATCCATGTTTTCACAAATGACAGGATTTCATTCTTTTTTAAAATGACTGAATAGTATTCCATTGCATATATATGCCACATTTTCTTTATCCATTAATTCACTAGTAGACACTTAGGTTGATTTCATATTTTGGCTACTGTGGACAATGCTGGAATGAACATGACAGTGCAGCTATCTCTTCAACACAATAATTTCATTCCCTTTGGATTTGTATGCCATAGTGGGATTGCTGGATCATATGGTAGTTCTATTTTTAGATTTTTGAGGAAACTCCACACTATTTTCCATAATGGTTGTACTAATTTACCTTCCCACCAACAGTGTGTAGGCATTCGGCAACAATTATGTTTTGTCTTTTCTTATAATATCAATTTTTACAGGTGTGAGCTGATTTCTCATTGTGGTTTTAATTTGCATTTGCCTCATGTTTAGTGATTTTGAGCCTTTTTAAATTTGCCTTTTGGACATTTGTATGTCTTTTGAGAAATGTCCGTTATTTTCTTGCTTCTGAGTTCTTTTAGTTCCTTATGTATTTTAGATATTCACCCCTTCTCAGATGTACAGTTTGTAAATATTTTCTGTAGGTTGTCTCTTTACCTTGTTTCCTTTGCTGTGCAGGAGCTTTTTAGTATGATGTAATCCAATTAGGGACAAGGAAAAATTTGATGATGCATTTCCTACCCAATGATCACCCTATGTGCTATTTATTTTCTGGGAACAAATTTGTCTGTCAAACCTTACAAACAGCCACTCGAATACCTCTAAAAATCTACCTGTCCTCCGCCCTTACCCAATTTCATGTTTATAATAAATATATTAATAAACAATGGCTTAAATGTTATGCCTATTATTTTGGAATTGTCAAAGATTTATTATTTGGGGATAAGGTTTACTTTGGAATAGATATTTCTATAAAATCAATCACATGTACTGTGACCTGGGAACTTTCACCATTTACCAGACGTTTGTATAGCACATGGAAAGTTCTCTTCAACCATTTATCCCAGCCTTTTCCCACAATATTATGATAGTTTTCTGTAGATGTCTTTATTCTGGGCATTGATAATTATAAATTAAAATTTCATATGAACAATAATGTAAGGCATTAAGACATATTCTACAATATGGAAGAATGAAATGATGTTGAAACAACAAACCAGGAACAATGAAAAAAAAAAGGTGAGCATATAAAACCATGAAAGAAAAATACCCAGGCACCAGAAACAAAGAGAGAACTCTGTTAGAGATGTGCACAAACTTTGGAGATGGATGACTTGCAGGAATATTAGAGTCATTCTTTGTAGATAGTGTCCATAGCCTAAGGAAGACAGGGACTTCAGGGAAAACAACTACTGCTGAAGATGGTGTCTAAAATATGAACCAGATGAGGCTGAATAAGCATTGGAAACATATTAAAGCCTTTGAGTTAATCATGTCACATTCAGAGAAATAAAGACATTGATTCATGAGCAAGAGCATAAATGAATAAAGTACTACATAGAAATTCTAAAATTAAAAAATGCAACCAATGAAATTAAATGGATAGGTTCAAAGTATATTTGATACATATCTGGAAGGGATTAGTTAATTGGAAGGTAAATCTAAGGAAACAGACTAGGCCAGTGCTTCTCTACATGAGGTCTGTGGACAAGTGTAATTCTATCAACTATTATCAGACTGAGAAGAGGTAACTATAGAAATTGATAGTAAGCATTTAGAATATTTTATAACAAGTTGACAAAATAATTTTATATTTTTAATCTAAGAACAAAAAGATTGAGGCTTGTCTTTTGTCTCATTTCATTTTTTCTAGTAACTTATGTTTCTAAAAGTTCCATCTACAGTAGATTGGAAAAAATAAAACTGGTCTTTTACCTTAAATAGTTTAAGAAGAGCTCAACTAAACTATAAGAGATAGAGATAAAGGGGCGGAAGTAATAAAAGAGAAATTTTGGAGGCATAGGGAATTAACAATCGATTAGGCCTTGAATTGGTGATACCCAAGGGACTCATATAATGCCGTTGTAGTAAATGTATCTTCCATATCAGGTGAGGGGGTTATTTTTAATTTTTTGCACCATAATTCATATAAATTAGAATCATTCCAAGGAAAACAGCATGTATGATCACTCTTCTAATGCTCTATTATGATAGTGATATGTTCTAAATGAACAAACAGATAATTACCTTAATACAGAAGGAAAGTGGGAGAAAATTATTTTACACAGTGTAGCCCAAAGCAGCTTCTCTTTTTCCTTTTTCATTCCATTGTCATCTAATTCTAGTGACTTTTACTCAACATCTTATTTATTTATTTATTTTTTTGAGACGGAGTCTCGCTCTGTCGCCCAGGCTGGAGTGCAGTGGTGCGATCTCGGCTCACTGCAAGCTCCGCTTCCCGGGTTCATGCTCTTCTCCTGCCTCAGCCTCCTGAGAAGCTGGGACTACAGGCACCTGCCACCACGCCTGGCTAATTTTTTGTGTTTTTAGTAGAGGCGGGGTTTCACCATGTTAGCCAGGATGGTCTCAATTTCCCAACCTCGTGATTCGCCCACCTTGGCCTCCCAAAGTGCTGGGATTAGAGGCGTGAGCCACCGTGCCCAGCCTCAACATCTTTTATAAAACAACATTTCTGGCATATTTAAAATTGAGGTTAAAAAAGTATTGTATTATTGCAAAAATATCACCCTAAAAATGCTGCCTTATATACATATAGTTTTGCAATTTACAGTTTCCTAATGGTTTTAAATTACATTAACTCCTTAATGCTAAACGTGTAACTTTGAATAATTTTGTAGTATTTCCTTTAAGCTATTAAGAGCTCTATGGACAAAACAATCAGCCAATTCTAGCTTAATGGAATTTTCCATTTTAGTTTTCCTTTGCTCATAAGAGGGACAAAACAATTTATTTCAGATGTATTTAGAGCTATATTCAACCATTCTTATTCTGTTGTTACTGAGAAAAAATAGTGAGTATTCCAATAGAGATGAGAATTGGAGCCTCATAAAAGACAATAATCATCAAATGTATCCAGTGTGTTCCTTCTCTGCACTTGGTGTCCACACTACTGACCACAAAATGGCACAAAGATGGCGGGTTTTGATTCAGGTTCCAAGATGGCCAAATAGGAACAGCTCCAGTCTACAGCTCCCAGCGTGAGCGACATAGAAGATGGATGATTTCTGCATTTCCAACTGAGGTACTGGGTTCATCTTGCTGGGGACTGTTGGACAGTGGGTGCATCACACCGACCATGAGCCAAAGGAGGGCGAGGCATCGCCTCACCTGGGAAGCACAAGGGGTCAGGGAATTCCCTTTTCTAGCCAAGGAAAGGGGTGACAGATGGCACCTGGAAAATCGGGTCATTCCCACCCTAATATTGCGCTTTTCTGACGGTCTTAGCAAATGGCACACCAAGAGATTATATCCCGTGCCTGGCTCTGAGGGTCCTACACCCACAGAGCCTAGCTCATTGCTAACACAGCAGTCTGAGATCAAACTGCAAGGCAGCAGTGAGGCTGGGGGAGGGGCGCCCGCCATGGCCCAGGCTTGAGTAGGTAAACAAAGTGGCCCAGAAGCTGGAACTGGGTGGAGCCCACCACAGCTCAAGGAGGCCTGCCTGCCTCTGTAGACTTCACCTCTGGGGCAGGGCATGGCCGAACAAAAGGCAGCAGAAACCTCTGTAGACTTAAATGTCCCTGTCTGACAGCTTTGAAGTGAGTAGTGGTTCTCCCAACATGGAGTTTGAGATCTGAGAACTGAGAGTCTGCCCCCTCAAGTGGGTCCCTGACCCCCAAGTAGCCTAACTGGGAGGCACCCCCAAGTAGGGGCAGACTGACACCTCACACGGCTGCGTACCCCTCTGAGACAAAACTTCCAGAGGAACGATCGGGCAGCAACATTTGCTGTTCACCAATATCCGCTGTTCTGCATCCTCCACTGCTGATACCCAGGCAAACGGTCTGGAGTGGACCTCCAGCAAACTCCAACAGACCTGCAGCTGAGGGTCCTGACTGTTAGAAGGAAAACTAACAAACAGAAAGGACATCCACGCCAAAACCCCATCTGTACGTCACCATCATCAAAGACCAAAGGTATATAAAACTACAAAGATGGAGAAAAAACAGAGTAGAAAAGCTGAAAATTCTAAAAAAGCAGAGCACGTCTCTCTTCCAAAGGAACGCAGCTCCTCACCAGCAACGGAACAAAGCTGGACAGAGAATGACTTTGACGAGTTGAGAGAGGAAGGCTTCAGATGATCAAACTTCTCCAAGCTAAAGAAGGAAGTTCGAACCCATGGCAAAGAAGTTAAAAACCTTGAAAAAAGATTAGACAAATGGCTAACTAGAATAACCAATGCAGAGAAGTCCTTAAAGGACCTGATGGAGCTGAAAACCACTGCATGAGAACTACATGATGAATGCACAAGCCTCAGTAGCTGATCTGATCAACTGGAAGAAAGGGTATCAGTGATGGAAGATCAAATGAATGAAATGAAGTGAGAAGAGAAGTTTAGAGAAAAAAGAATAAAAAGAAACAAAGCCTGCAAGAAATATGGGACTATGTGAAAAGACCAAATCTATGTCTGATTGGCGTACCTGAAAGTGACGGGGAGAATGGAACCAAGTTGGAAAACACTCTGCAGGACATTATCCAGGAGAACTTCCCTAATCTAGCAAGGCAGGCCAACATTCAAATGCAGGAAATACAGAGAATGCCACAAAGATACTCCTCGAGAAGAGCAACTCCAAGACACATAATTGTCAGATTCACCAAAGTTGAAATGAAGGAAACAATGTTAAGGGCAGCCAGAGAGAAAGGTCGGGTTACCCACAAAGGGAAGCCCATCAGACTAACAGTGGATCTCTCTGCAGAAACTCTACAGGCCAGAAGAGAGTGGGGGCCAATATTCAACATTCTTAAAGAAAAGAATTTTCAACCCAGAATTTCATATCCAGCCAAACTAAGCTTCATAAGTGAAGGAGAAATAAAATACTTTACAGACAAGCAAATGCTGAGAGATTTTGTCACCACCAGGCCTGCCCTAAAAGAGCTGCTGAAGGAAGCACTAAACATGGAAAGGAACAACTGCTACCAGCCACTGCAAAAACATGCCAAATTGTAAAGACCATCAAGGCTAGGAAGAAACTGAATCAACTAATGAGCAAAATAACCAGCTAACATCATAATGGCAGGATCAAATTCACACATAACAATATTAACCTTAAATGTAAATGGGCTAAATGCTCCAATTAAAAGACACAGACTGGCAAATTGGATAAAGAGTCAAGACCCATCAGTGTGCTGTATTCAGGAAACCCATCTCACATGCAGAGACACACATAGGCTCAAAATAAAGGAATGGAGGAAGATCCACCAAGCAAATGGAAAACCTAAAAAGGCAGGGGTTGCAATCCTAGTCTCTGATAAAGATGGTGGGTTTTAAATCTAGGAAACATTACCAGGGACAAAGGTTAGACATGGTTCTTTATTAGTCTTTGTTCACTTTGTTTTTCACATTATCTCGTTTTATTTGCCTGTAAGTGCATGAGGAGATATCCTCGGAATGTAGGGTTATGCATATATATCTTATATGCTTTTGTATGTATTGTGCTACAAGAGGCAACCTTAAGAATCAAATTAATGTTATTTAAAAAAAAAAAAAAAAAAACCGGGAGGCCGAGGAGAGTGGATTACAATGTCAGGAGATCAACACCATCCTGGCCAACATGGTGAAACCCAGTCTCTACTAAAAATACAAAAATTAGCCGGGCATGGTGGTGTGCACCTGTAGTTCCAGTTACTCGGGAGGCTGAGGCAGGAGAATTGCTTGAACCTGGAAGGCAGAGGCTGCAGTGATCCGACATCACACCACTGC
Organism: Homo sapiens; assembly: GCF_000001405.40. NCBI lineage: Eukaryota > Metazoa > Chordata > Mammalia > Primates > Hominidae > Homo > Homo sapiens. The sequence goes on from NC_000006.12 coordinate 76,393,315, forward strand.
ACTCTAGCCTGGGCGACAGAGCAAGACTCTGTCAAAAAAAACCAAAAAAACGAAAAAAAAAAACCTCTCATACCCTAACCATTTATGTGAAACCTTTCTACTAAAGTAGCAAAGCCAAGTTTTTGCTGACTGAAAAAGAGTAGCATTGCTTGGTTAAATAAACATGATATATAGACTATGAAGGCAATAGAAGAAAATTTAAAAAGTGTACATTTTGATAAAATGGCACAAAATTTTTAAACTTTTTAGAAAAAACTTTTACAAGTTTTAACTGTTTAATTTTTTTAAATAATTAATTTAAAATTCTCTTCATATACACACCAAAATTCCTTACATGATAATTCCTTAATATTTTTAAATCCAATAGGAGCTCAAGGTTTGGAATTGGAGAGACCTCGGTTTGAGTCTGTGCAAGTTCTCTCTCTAAACCTCAGTGTCATCAGTCAAATAATAATAAAAAATAAAAGCACCAGTCTTATGGGATTGTGATTAGGATTATGTTTATAAATTGATTGCAGAGTGATAAACATAGAGCCTACCACATCAACAGAATTGAATGAATGCTAATGCATTATTATTTTTACATTATTACTACTATTGTTGTTACATGTATATTATAAAGTCACATATTCCAAGAGGTTGTTGATAGTGCGGAAAGTCATGGTGCTAGGATCCTCAGACATGATTGGCAAGAACTGTGTCAGCAGTCTTATTTCTGTTTTTCCTTTTTCTGTTTTTTTTTTTTAAGAGTTGATAACATGCTATGAAAACGTGTTTCCTTTCTTTTTTTTAATACTCTTATGATACTTTTACATGTACAGTCTTAAGAGGTAAATCTAAGAATACTTATTTAGAGATGCATTATGTGCTGTGTTCTTTCAGTGATGGAACTGTTTTATCAAAGAAAGGACTTTGTGAGCAAGAGTTGAGAATATGTTATTACAACATGTTTCTTTTCTTTTTGCATTAGTCCTTATTATGATAGAATGACATATACAGTGTTTTTTCTAACATTTAATGACTACAGATAATGCACTTAATGTTATGTGTCTGTCATCCTTGTTCAAAAATTTATTTTTACTTTTATTCTATTGACTATATAATGCCTTTGTAGTAAATGTCATGGTCTACTTTATTCTCTGATTAAGAAATAGATGAGTGTTCCATATTTTATTTCTATATATTATGTTTAGAACATTTGGAAATGTCAGAGTCAAGAAATTTGTCAAGTGGCACCAATGTGAAGGAAATCAACTTGCCAAAATAAAGTGATTTGGTTTCTGCTTGTTTTTCTCTCAGGCCTCAGAAGTTTTCAAATACTTTAGGAAAGAATCTTTAGGTAAAAGATACTATATTAGTGTTGAATTTTAGAAATGTGACACTGTGGAGTTAAATGTGAATATTAACTTTTATTGGTAGTAATCAGAACAAATAATGATGTTTTGGCAATGGGAATATTCAATGTAAGTAAGAAAATAAGGAAAAATTATAGTTTAATAAAGTCTTTTTGGAATAGTGCAGTTTGCCATGTTACATCTTTTCTATTATTAGTGAGAATGTGACAATTTAAAAATGTTTATACTAGCTCAATCCTAAATCTCTCTTGAGGTAGAATGGCCAATTTTGACAAAATGTGCTTAGTTACATGACGACTTGCCACCAGAGATTGAGCTAAATTGGATTTGTTCTTGGAAACCAGAGCCAGTGCCTTGGTAAGGCAAACTGCTTTCCACATTTTTGGAGGACTGCAATGGATTTATTTTTTTCCTGTATTTTATAGAATATGTTTTCTATAAATGTCTCCTGATATCTACCTCTTGAGATCAATAAGGCATATGATTTTAATATAGTCCCATTTGTCTATCTTTGTTTTAGTTACCTGTGCTTTTGGGGTCTCAGCCACCAATTCTTTGCCTAGATCAATGTCCTAGAGTGTTTCCCCTATGTTTTTTCCAGTAGTTTTATAGCTTCAGGTCTTCTGATTAAGTCTTTCATTCATTTTGAGTTGATTTTGTGCATAGTGAGAGAGATAGGGATCTAGTTTCATTCTTCTGCATGTGGTTATCCAGTTTTCCCAGTACCATTTAATGAAGAGGCTGTCCTCTCCCCAATGTATGTTCTTGGCACCTCTGTCAGAAATCAGCTGTAAACATGTAGATTTATTTCTGGGTTCTCTATTGTGTTCTATTTGTCTATGTGTTTATTTTTACACTAATACCATGCTCTTTTGGTTACAATAGCCTTGGAATATATTTTGAAGTCAGGTAGTGTATTGCTCCCAGCTTTGTTCTTTTTGCTCAGGATTGCTTTGACTTTCTTTTACTTTTTCTTTCTATATAAATTTTAGGATTTTTTTTCTATTTCTATGAAATATGCAATTGGTATTTTGATAGGAATTGCATTGCATCTAAATCATTTTGGGTAGTATAAAGCTCATTTTAACAATATTCTTCCAATTTTTGGGAATTGGATGTCTTTCCATTTGTTTGTGTCCTCTTCAGTTTCTTTCATCAGTGTTTAGTGGTTTGCTTTCCTGGTAGAGGTCTTTCACCTCCTTGGTTAAATTTATTCCTAGGTATTTTTTTTGTAGCTATTGTAAATGGAATTGTCTTCTTGATTTTTTTCCAGGTAGTTCATTACTGATGTATAGAAACACTACTGATTTTTGTATGTTGATTTTGTATTTTGCAAATTTATGGATATTATTGATCAAATCTAGGAGTTTTTTGGTAGAGCCTTATTTTTTCTAGATATGATTATATCATCAGCAAAGAGAGATACAAAAAAAGAAAAATATTCATTAAAAAGTGGAAAAAAACATGAGCAGACATTTCTCAAAAGAAGACAAGTGGGCAACAGGTATAGTAAAAAAAATGCTCAACATACTAATCACCAGAAAAAATGCAAATCAAAACCACAATGAGATATCATCTTACCTCAGTTAGAATGGCTACTATCGAAAAGACAAAAAGTAACAAATGCTTGTGAGGATATGGAGAAAAGCACACTCTTATACACTGTTGGTAGAATGTAAATTAGTACAGCTATTATGGAAAACACTTTGGAGATTTTTCAACAAACAAAAAAATAGAACCATCATATGATCATCAGTCCCAATTCTGGGTATTTATCCAAAGGAAAGAAAGTCAGTATGTCGAAGAGATATTTACACTGTCATGTTCATTGAAACATTCTTGACAATAGCCAAGGTATGGAATCAACTGAAGTATCTGTAATCAATGAAAGGGGAAAGAAAATGTAGTATATATACACAATGGAATACTATTTAGCCATAAAAAGTGATGAATCACGTCTGTTGCAGCAACAGGGATGGAACTGGAGGTCATTATTTTAAGTTAAATAAGGTATAGAAAGACAAATTTTGCATGGTCTCATTCATATGTGGGAATGAAAAAAAAAGTTGATTTCCTGGAAGTAGAGAATAGAATGATAATTACAGGAGGCTGGGAAGGGTGTGGGGGTGTGTGTGTGTGTAGGTGTGGAGCGGGAATGAAGAGAGGTTGGTTAATGGCTACAAACATAAAATTAGAAGGAATAAGTTCTAATGTTCAATAGCAGAGTAGGGTGACTATAGTTAACAACAGTGTGTTGTTAAGAAAAAGGTTGGGGAGAAAATAGGAAATCAAAATACGGATATACATTTCTGTATTTGCAACAAAATTTTAGATGAAGAGAAGAATGGGATCATTCTGGGATAGCAGCCTAGTGCCCATACATTACATAACATTTTCTGTTACAGCAAACTATCTCTTGTAAGGACGGAGAGGGAGGGAAGGAGGGAGGAAGGGAGAGAGGGACACAGAGAGAGACAGAGAGAAAGAGAAAGAAAGAGAGAGAGAAAGAAAGAAAATAACTCTTTCAATGTGAGTTCAATGTGAGTTTGGCTTGAATTTTTGGTATTTGTTAATCCAGATCAGTGGCACCATAAAAACTTGTCATGAAACTGTAATACCAGTGAGTAAACTTGATACCTAAAGCTATCCCCTCAGACAGAGGGTTATTTGTCCAAATGCTTATGCCTGACTATTTGTCTAAAATTTGAACTGACCTTTCTCTACTATAAAAATCAAATGTGTGGTCAGGTTACCGAGAATATGTGTATTCTTGATGTGTTTGTGCTCGAGGTTAATTTTCAGGCTCAAAGATGGAATCACAGCCAAAACAGTATTTGGTTCTGAGCTGATTGGAATTCAAGTGACTGGGGAAGGATGATTCAAAAGTTTCCTTCTGCTAAAGGACAACAGATGTTATGAATTAACAGATTATCCTTGTCCCAATATTACAGTTGGAGAAGCTGAGTTGAGAGGGCATTGAGTGGGAAAGTTGTAAATACAGATGCATCATTCCTGAACTTTGATTAGTTGAATGAACAATAAGCTCTATAATGCTTTTGAAGGGCCTATTTTTTCACCTTCAAAAGAGATGCTTATTTGTTTATGTATATGTTTGTCTTAACATGCTATCTTTGAAAATGAGTGTTCTTAGGTACACCTAAAAGTTTATAGTGGCTTAACAAAATTACACAGCTGAAAGATATTTCCATTGCTGCTTTTGATACCCTATCATTTGGTCTAGAGTTTCTGGAGTTGTTATTAGTGTAGGGGAGTCAGAAATTTCCTATGTAGTCTTTGATTCTAAATATAAAATAGTTTATTTTGCAATTTATTGTTTTTTCTTTTAATGTTCTGTTTTCTTGGGAGTAATATGACAGCTATATAATCCATTTGGAATTGTGGGCCAATTGAACTGCCACCTGGATTACGAAAGAAGGGAGGGATGTGGGATGAGGACAGACAGTACTCTCTTTTTCTCTGGAAGTCCTAGAGGATGAATATTTTCACAATATACTGGAAACAAAAGACAAGGTTTAAACAAATGAGTTGGATGGACTTTTGATTTATTACCTTTCCTTTGCCAGAAAATTTG